>NC_000001.11:168184587-170684587 GCF_000001405.40 Homo sapiens | reverse complement strand
ACAGATGAGGTTTCACCATGTTGGCCAGGCTAGTCTTGAACTCCTAACCTCTAGTGATCTACTTGCCTTGGCCTCCCAAAATGCTGGGATTACAGGCATGAGCCATCCCGCCCAGCCGATTCCAAATCTTTAAAAGCAAGATGTATCTATACAAATAGTTTATTCTGATAGTATTCCAACTAGCTGTTTCTTATGGGTTTAAAATTCTCATAGCCTGGAATCACTTCGGGGTCATACAAAGTTCCATCTGTAAGAAACTACAAGAAAAGATCTGATTAAGTTTCTGAGATAAAATGTCTGTCTTGGAAAAGAGAGGACAAGCCTGAGAAATAGGCATAGAGAATAAAAGACTGGAAGAAGTTGAGGTTGCTATTAACATTTTGAGCAGGTGCCACCTGAGAGCACGAGGGACCATTGAGTGATAGGGAAAAGAGGAGGAACAGGATCTATGACCCCAGGAGCAGATATGTTAAAATCATGCTGAATATGAACTATGTGAGGCACAATTTTAGATCCATCTCGCCAGCTGGATGATTGGCAAGAGGTCATGCCATTCACTTCTTTAATATCCTCCAAAGTGCTTGGCATGATGCTGAATACAATGCATACTTGTTAATCAAAAAACTGGTGGTGGGTATAATTTTCTGATTTTAGCTCCCCTGAATTTTGGTTACTGTTTCATTGTTTGCTTGGAGAAAAGACCTAACTGATTTCTGACTTTTGGCTCCATTAATGCATACACACTAAAAAGAAGAGACTAAGACCTAGGAAACACTAAAAACTTCTGAAGACATTTCAGTTACACAAGTCTTCACATATCTGAATTGCAGTCTTTAGCAATGCTGCCTTCTGATGTTTTGCTAAATTACAAAGAGCTGCTTTTGCAGAATTTAAAGCAGAACCCTTCCTTTCTGGGAAAATTAAAGGCAGTACCTGAATTATAGACTCTAACATTTCAAATAACAAAATCAAAATAAATTGCTCCTATTTCATACCCCACTGCACACAACCAACCACTCCTTCTCCTGGAAGCAGCTGCTTCTAGGGAGCCCACCATGGTAAGGCTTGGAAGTTTGAGAGAAAACCCAGGTACAGAAACAGAGAAAAGATGAGACTGAGAAAAGATGAGACTAAGAAAGATGAATGTCCTAGGTCAGTCCTCCAGGGCAGGCTGCACAGCCTCATTGACATTGTCCTCTCTTTTCCTCTTTCATTTGCTAAACTCCGCTGGCTCCGTCAGCCTCCTGAGCCCCTGTAGGAGTCACACTCTGGGTGCCGACCACTGCTGCTCTATCCTCACCCATACAGCCAGTTCAAGACACCATCATCTCTCATCTGGCCTGTTGCAATAACCTCCTAACTGCTTCTCCTTCTTCCTCTAATATCCATTCTCCATAAAGCAGTTGGGTTGTTCTTTTAAAGACATAAATCACATTACAAAACTCTCCGGTTTCAATGTCTCCCTGGCTTCCCATTGTCATCACACTTTGAATATAAGCCCAGTTCCTCAGTGTGACCTACAAGTCCCTGTCACCTAGCCCCTACATATCTCTCTGACTTTGTCATCTCTCAAAGTCCCATCACTTACTATCTTCCAGTCACATTGACCTTCTTTCTGTTCCTTGGCTATAAAGCTTGTTCCTGCCTCAGGGCCTTTGCACTTGCTGTTCACTTCCTCTGCCTGGAAGGCTTTTCACCCTGCTCTCTACATAGTTAGCTCTCCTTCTTTTCTTTCATATTCCTGCTCAAATAGGCTGTTTCATTTCTTTCATAAAACTTACTAATCACAATTGAATTACTTATCTAGGTGTGTGTTCATTTATTTGTTTATTGCCTTTTTTCCCCAGGAGAATATAAGGTTCAGGAGAAAAAGCAACGTGTTTATTTTATTCACTGCTGCATCCCAGAACCTAGCATAATGACTGGCACATAGTAGGTACTCAAGACACATTTGCCAAATATGTATGAAAAAAAAATGAGTGAGAGAAAGAAAAAGAGATGGGCATGGAAGTCTGTTCTACAAACATAACATTTAAACCTAGGCCTCCAACTTTGTTATACTAACAAATCCCAGGAGATGGGGGCATGGGGTGCCCAGAGTTTATGGAGTGTTTGCCTAGATGATGATAATTCAGTACCTTATTTCCTCTTCAGCTACTGTTCTATGTGTTTATCTTCCTTACGGGGAACTCTAGAGGAGTGAGCAGGATGTGACTGAGGCACCAAAACCTTACTGGCATTCTTAAGCCATGCAGTGTGATAATACTATCAAGGGTGACTGAGAACATGGGAGCACACAGAAGGAACATTGAATTCAGACCTTAGAGGTCAGGGGAGAAGGGGTTTGGAGAAGGCTGCCTAGAGATTAAATTCATCTAGTTCTAAATTTTGCCTAAATTTTGGTCCTATACCAGTAAAGAGAGAAGGGCCATCCCTTTCTTCCTCATTCTGAGCCACAAATCTATTTCTTCCAGGATGCAACATACTAGCTGCTTCCATTTACACTACAGTTCAACTGTATCACCCATCCACCAATCTTTTGGAGGTTTCCTAGGAACCTAATCACAAATTAAAACATTGCATTTGGACAAATGAATTTCCAGTTCCAAACAGCCAAATTAGAAACAACTGTCTGAATCTTTTAAATAAGATTATATTCTTGGCTATAAATATTCATTTCCATAGCAACAGAGAACATAATCAGAAATGTTGAACCTGTCCCCTTTTTGTCAGTGTTTTACAATTCAATATTAGGTGATGCAAATTAGGAGCTTGGTTCCACCTGTGAGTTAAGGTTGTTACATAAATATCTGATTTAATCTTCAATAGACTTGTCAAGAAGATATTTCTATTTTTCCTGTGATTAGAGCTCATAAGGGCTGGGTGGCATGTTCAAGGCCATACTTTTGGAAGGACCATGGTCAAAATCAACTCCTCACCTTCAGGAAAGCTCTCTGGCTCACCTGTTTCTTCTCTAGTACTATCTTCCAACTCACTTCTTCATTTATGTTCACTGAGCCCTGTAATTGACTTCAGATTTGCTGCTTATCTGACATCTAAATGTCTAGTGCTATTAAGAGGGTTTTTTTTTTTGCAAAGATAACATTTTCTGCAGGATTATCTGCAGTTTTAATTTGTAATTCTAGCACAGTCAGGTACCACAGTTACAAGAGTTCTATGTTCCACTGAATAAATGCCACTGAAAAACCATTGAACTCAACCACTTCCTTCCAATTTTCTAGCCACTGGAGTTAGAAAATACTGGAATACAGTAGAACAGAGGGGTCAAGACAAGTTCTGGTTTGTCAATAACTAACTTTGAGGCTTCAGGCACATTGCTCCAACTCCTCTGAGTCTCAAAGCCCTATTGGTAAGGTGGGGGTGGCAATATCTATCACTCAGCACTATTGTGAAAATTTAAACAACATAATTAGTATACATTACCCAGCACAGTACCTGATCCATTATGGTACTCAATACACCTTAATTTCTTCCCTTTAGTTCCCTTCTTCCATTAAGAGACCCAAAGGCACAAGTTAAGTGGAATCATTTCTGAGTCTCAAGGTTAAACACAAATAAATATGGAGACAAATCCGAAGTCTCCTCGCTCACCTAAAAACTGCCTTTGTTGTTTCATTGATACATTTTACATACCCATGGGTTAACAGGAATAGAACCACATTTTACAGTCACATTATAGAAGTCACTCCTACATGGTTCTGGAGTTGTCTTTCTATGGAAGCAATATGCTTGCTACTCAGAAAATTGTATTTTATTTAAACCAGGAAGCCCAGCTGTCTTTGGTAACTGTTCCTCCAAAAGGAAAACTCATTGAGAAGGTGATGCAGCCAGGATAACTTTCAGGACAATCATAACCAATGCCAGCATCTGCAAGGCGTGAACTATGGGATGTTATGACACTTGGTGAATTACTTCTGACGTACTTAATTATGCAACAACAAGATTTGCAGGAGCATAACCACATAGTTCCCCTGAGTATGCTGCCAGTATGCTCCACAAATGATTAAATATAAAATAAACAAGAGCTAACTGTGAATTATGAAGTTGTAATTCCACCAACGGGGTTCCAGTGATGTCATAAACCACTAGAGCAAAATTCATGTCACCAAAGGATCCCAGATGGGCTTAGAGAACTGTAACTCAGTAGTGGTCTCTACTACAGACGTGGGTCCAGGAAACCCTTTCACCTCTGTTTTCTGCCCCTTCACATCTCTACAAGTGCCCTTCTTTCTTGTTTTCTTCCTTCAAGTTTTCTAAAATCATACTTATCCTGCTTTTCTAAATGTAGTTCCTTTTAATTCATTCATTGGTCTATCATTCAGGGCAGATGAACAAATACATCCTTTGGACAACGATTCATAATTATATATACTTCATTAGAAAAAAAAAGCCTGATATTTAATAGAAAATCCATTTAGGACAAGAGCCCTGAAACGTACCTTAAAAGGGGATATTTGAGATATAACTTTAGCATATGTCAAAACTACTAGTGGAATAAATGCAGTTGTCTTTAAATGATACATTTGGATAGGTTATGTTGAAATTTCGTACACAACCTTTTCAAAAATCAGCATCAGAAAAAAGGGAAAATTAAAACTTGGCTTTATCAGACCATAAAAAAGATAAGTAAACAAAATTTCAAAATAGAAATATTGTGCTTTATCAACTGTCTGAAAGTAAGGAAGGACTTTGTAAGAAAAGAAGATAAAGATAAACTTTCATTTAAAAACATACTTAAAACTAAAATTAAATTGCAAACATCATCCATGGGGTAAGTTGCCACTTCTTTGACACATGTTTTTTCTTCTAGAATAAGTGCTAACAACCACCTAAAACTAGTTTTAATATGTACAACCACAATTTATCAATATATGACAAAAAATAAAATGCCTGTAATCCCAGCACTTTGGGAGGCCGAGGTGGGCGGATCACAAGGTCAGGAGATCGAGACCATCCTGGCTAACACGGTGAAGCCCCGTCTCTACTGAAAATACAAAAAATTAGCCAGGTGTGGTGGCAGGCACCTGTAGTCCCAGCTACTAGGGAGGCTAAGGCAGGAGAATGGCATGAACCTGGGAGGTGGAGCTTGCAGTGAGCCGAAATTGTGCCACTGCACTCCAGCCTGGGCAACAGAGCCAGACTCCGTCTCAAATAAAATAAAATAAAATAAAATAAAACAGTTAGTCTTACTTAGAATTTTGACATCCCCTGATGGTTGCCTCACATTGTTTTTCTTGGTTTTATGTGGAGTGCTTAACAAAATGCCAGATGCCTAATAAGTGCTATATGTGTGCTCTTTCTCACTTGTTTGTTCACATATTCGTTTATTCAGCAACCGTTTGTTAAGCCTCCTATAATATAAAAAGCACCATGATAAGTGCTCTGAGGCTTAAACTGTTTGCCTCTGCCCTTGTCTTTAAAGCTGTATGTACTCCTTTGAAGAGATGAGACTGACACTTAAGGAGAGTTAAATAACAATGGAACACACAGGATACAGTGGATGTCACGAGGAAAATATTATTCAATACCAATTGCTATGGGAGAAAGTGGTCTGGATCAGTGTTTTCAGACTTTGTGGGATATAAAAATCATCTGGGATATTTAATATGCATATACTTTGGAGATTCTGAGTCACTGGGTATGAGTGGGGCCCTGGAATCTGCATTTTGAGAAACCTCAGTTCATTCTGATGCAAGTGAACCAGGCATCACATTGAAGATATGCAGGATTAGAGTATAAGGACACTAGAGAAAGAATCTCATAATCTGTTATTTCTCTTATCCCTATTCTCTAAATTATTAGACATGAACTGCACATATGGGAGAGACATAGACAGAAGAAGAAAAACAACGGCCAAAAGAAAATCTTCCTAGATGAGGAAGGGCTTCATGTGCTCCAAAGAACAGAGACCCAGAGTTATCTACATCCCCAGTTAGAGATCCTACACAATATGATAAAATATTGACAGCATTTTTAGCAAACACACACACAAACACTTTTCCGTATATCAGAATGCTATTGCCAAGAGAGCTGTGCTCCTAATCTTCGCCTAACACTCACTTAGCATGTTGGGGCTGACCTGCCCCTTCTCTCTTGCATAAGGCACATGTTAAGCTACTTTCCTAGACCACAAGCACACTAGCCTTGCAATAAACTTGTCAAAGTGCCTCACCCATGGTGACCAGTTTTCTCCACATGTACGACAACTGCTAGCCATGCTGATCTATTGCTCACATATGCCAGAGAGATTTAATTGTTGATTGCTTGGCAAAAAAATAGAGTCCTGGATGTTTCATGATATAGAAGTGCCATCTGTATGTCTTCCAGGCTTATCAGATTTCAAAGGAAAATATGTATGAAAACAGGTCACATATCAAATGGAGGACAGAATGTGTATCTTACTCAACTGGTTTAGGAAATCTAAGTTGGCAAAAGAATGGCAACTTTATGTATAATTATAGTTAACATGGTGAGCATTATTCATGTACAAAAAGTTAAGTAAACCCACAGAAATCTCAGTGGAGCAGTAAGGCAGTGCTATGTTAGAGGCACTATAGGACAGAGAGAAATTAACGTGGTTGGCCTCCAGAAATTTACTAGCTATGTCAGGTCTGGAATAAGAAACCTTAACACCTTGTGTCCCAAGCATATGTCATAGAGTCTCTATAAAATTCAGAAACTAGAGGAAAGGGGATTTGTCTTCTTCAATCACTGTAACATCTTAAATCCCTGTAAAATCTTTAATATTGGTGCCATCCAAAAATATAAAATGATCTGTGTTATTGTTTCACGCTGAGAGAGGAAGGGTGACCTAAAGGTGATAACCATAGTCAGCAACTTCTGAGCCAAACTCCTGGCTCTTCCAGATACTCATGGTGTGGCGGTATAAGTATCACTGAAAGTTATGAGGCATCAGTTTCTAATTGTAGATAGAAAACAAATAGACTCAATAAGTGACATGCTGTAAGAGTATGGCTTTTGGAATATGCAAATATTCCTAATTTCAATGGCACTAAATGGCCTCCAACATTGTTTGGGAAGCCACAGTGGACATATATCCATGCCTGAAATAAGTCATACTAGTCAGAGATGCTGTGGGGTGGAAATAATGTAAGCAAAATGCCCAGTACCCTACTACCATTCCCACTGAAGGCACTCAAATAAATGCTTGCCCTAAAGGGCATTTATAACAATTTATAATAAAGCATTTATTTGAGTAGGGTACTAGGCATTTTGCTTACATCATTTTATTATTCCAAATAACAAATCTGCGTGATAAATATTAATGTGCCAGTTTTATAGATGAGGAAATTGAGACACAGAGATTTGTCTAAAATCAGTTGGCAAGTATTAATGAATGGTGGAACCATAATTTAACACAGAATTTTCTGAATCCAACATAAAACACATGAAGACTCCTAACGTGTCTAAATCTAAATTTAAAATATTTCACATTTTGAGACCTTGCTGTAAATCCAACAAAATGCATTCTTGTTTTTTTTATTGTTACTTGACAACTTAATTTAGAAAATTCGCCATTCACTCCCTTATAGTATGACAACTCACATGCATTTAGCCCTTTATTTCTCAAATATTTTCACAAACACAATCTCTTTCCAACCTGCTGTGTTAGCATGAAGAAGATAGGTGCAGCAGTCACATGCCAATTTTATAATGAAGAACATGAACCAGAGGAATTTAAAAAGGTCTGTGCAGCATGGCAATATGTTATGAAATGGCATGCCAGACTCTTCATTCCTAACTCAGTATGATTTCACCAGATAATAATGCATCTAGAGGAATTTGGTTGACATCAAAGATCATACAATATAATGAAAAATAAATAAAATGGGGTCAGAGCAGCTCCAAGCCACAGTTTTCCTATCTGTAAAATGAAAATAATTAGCCCTATCTTCTTAAAATTGGCTTTATAGAACATAGCAGCATCTGCACATTTTCTTAAAGTTTGTGAAGCAGTTTTATGTTTTATCCCAACTTATCTTTCATATTAAGAATTTTATTAATTCTTTATGACAAAGTAAGTCATCTAAATAAACCAGCAGTCTGAGTATATTAATTCAGCTGAAATGATTATATTTCAAGGACTGCATAGATTGGATTTCCTGGCCTTCAAGGTAGCTCTGATTCTCCAAATCAAAAAGCCCAAAACAGTTCAGAAAACAGATATTCTCACCACCCAGAAAAAAAAAGAATGTGAAGTAAAGAAAAAAAAAAGAGAGGGGAGATATAAATTTAAATAGCAGTCCGTATATTCTGAGTAAGAACGATCATACCAGGAAAAATTTCTTCCCTGAGGAAAGCTAAGAACAGACTGTAACAGTCAAATGTGGAGTGATATTATTTTCTATTTCCCTTGTCAGAAGGGATTCAGTCTTTGAAATATGGCTAGCAAAACTGCAGATTTTGGTTCCATGATTAATTAACTAAATTATATTTTATTTCTTAAATGTGTTGAGGATTCAGCCTGTGGTCTTCCCCTGATCTTGAGGATTAGAGCTGTTGAACAGCACATCTGGTTATAGGCCAAGAGCTCTCTGGGTGGTTCTCTTTCTTTCCTCTCTTAGAAATAGGCAATGTGGGGGAACTTCAGAAACTTTTATTAGGCAAGTGTGGTTTTTAGTTTTCAAAAATGGTGTTTACTCTCTCTCTTCTCCCTTTCTCATGAGGAGAAAGATTAATTATTAACATATATGTCATTCATAATTTAAAATTTCTGTTCTACGGGATTTTATATCACTTGTTAATACTTTCCCTAAATAAAATATTTGTATTCATCAGGCAAATGTTTTAATCTCCACTTGCTTGGGAAAAATTTTTACATAGACTTCATAATAATAAAATATGTTGTTTCCCTGAAATTATCACATTAAAAAAGCTGAAATGCTGTAGATGCTCATGTCTGGGTAAATGCACTATCTTTAATTTTTAATAATTGCTTCTTCCTCTGTCAAACCACACTATCATGTCCTGGAAGATGTCACTATCTTACGTATACCTCTAAAAGGTATAAAGAAATACCTTTATATAGTAAATCATTTTCCTCCTTCTTTCTTTCAAAAAGCATGCATGAGCCTTAAGATATTTAATTTTAAAAATTCAAGATTCAGGGACCAAGAGTAGTAGAAAATTTCTAGTTTGCTACAAAATTTTTCCCCGACTAATTTTGTGAGCTCTTCCTCACCAAATCATGTAAAAATTGATTTTTGGAGCAGTAGTTCTCTAACTGTGGTCTAAGAACATCCTTTAGGTATTACGCAGGCTTTTCCCATTTCAAAAGAAGACATGTGCTCATATCTAGGGAAGTTTCCCAGCTAGAACAAGCAGAAAAGGAAAAGAAGCTGTTTACTCTGAAGGACTTTACTGCTGAAAATGTACCCACTGGAACTTCAGAAAGCTGGGAATTAACTGATGCCACAGCTTTCACAATCCTTGGAGAACTGTTGTTAGTGTGGTGCATGTTTGTTTAATTTTTCTGATCAGAGCAAGTGGGTTAAATGCTTACACAGTTTTTTAATTTTAGAGAAACACAGTCTTTGAAAATGGGGTTAAAACTTTTTCCACTGAGTAAAGAAAAATCAATAATGAAGAATGTTAATGCAATATGATGCCAATTGTGTAAAAAGTGTAAGAGAAAATATTTTAACACCAAAATATTAATTGTATCTAGCTCAGACTGGTGAAAAATTGGTGTCTTGATAGTCCCGTTTCAATTTTGAAATGTACAATAATACATTTTCAAAAATGAACATGTATTACACTTTGGTATTACTCCTATAATTTACAAAATTACTTGCAGCTAAAGATTACAAAAACAGAGATGGGGAGGAGGGGAGAAAAAAAAGGATTACAAAAACAGTAGAAGTACTCCGTACAAAAAAAAAAAAATTTGCTTACTGCAGCGGTGTTGTACACTGCAGAATACACCTTTTCCCCAAAAGTCTCTAAATCTTAAAAAAATCTAGATAATCATAAAATATTTAGAAAACAATTGAGCACTACTTGTGGAGCCACTGATTGTTATTTCCCATAGTAAGTCTTGAGAAAAGAGATTTGTGTGGTCTGGAATAAAGTAGTCAGAGAAGGTTTCGCAAGGAGGTGTGATGGGAGCAGAATCTTGGAAGAAAGCATGGGAAGATTTGCAAAAACGAGGCACAGAGCAAGGACACTTCACATCAGAAGTCAGAGAAGCCAAAATGAGACCAGAGCACATGAAAGGAGACTAGAACACAGGGAGTTAGTATACTAGCCTAGCTAGCATACTAGGGAACAATAGGAAAACAGTTACAATCTGTGTGTGTGTGTGTGCGTGCGTGCGCAAGCGCGCACACGTGTGTGTGTGTGACAGAGAGAGAGAGAGAGAGAGGTATCAGGCAGGCTGCTAGAGCAGGGATGGGAAGGTAGACTATCAAGAGTGATTTTTAAAATCAAGATAATTCAATTTTGATGTAAAGAATGAAAAGTGATTGTGAGTTCTAAAGAAAGAACATGACATGATTTTTTACATGTACTTGTAGAAAAATACACTAGCATTTGTCATTTGGAAATTCAACAAATATTCTTTAGGGATCTATTATATCCAGTCTTTGTAACCAACACATTAAGGACAAGCATGGATACAGAGAGTTTCCACAGGCTAGGAGGGTGGTACAGCAGTGCAGGTGAGCCAGGATAGAGACTTAAACAGTAGATGAATTCAAATTATTTTAGAAGGTAAACTTGATAGGATTTGGGGATGGATGGAACAGAAACATAAAGGAAGGAGAGTCAAGGATGAGTCTGAAGTGCATAAGTCTTGCATCCACATGTTACCATATAGGAAAACAGGGAAAGCTGTAGGAGGATCAGACTGGGGAAAGAAAGTTCGTTAGTTCCATGTTTTGTTGATTTTGAGGTCGAAGCACGTTTGTGATATTCAAATGGAAATGTCAAATAAGTGGCTGCAGATATGGATTGCAGCTCCAATGGAGAGTCTTGAAGCTGTAAACTGGGAGTGGTTAGTATATAGATGGTTATTAAAATGGTGGGCCTAGAAGATAACTCCTAGGCAAAAGGTATGAAATGGGAAGGGGAGGGTAAAGTGGCTAGTACTTAGGCTAGATTAGAAAGGTGTTCCACCAAGGATGGAGAGCTCATTCTCTCACTTGGTAAGCATTAACTGAACACAGGCAACAATTTAGCAACTGTCCCAGTAGTATACTACTGCTGGAGTCTAGACCAGTATTTAGGGAAGCAGCACTGGTAGAAAATGGAAAGTCACAATGTACATAATTATTTAATGTTACCTCCCAGTTTGAATTAATGGTGATATGTGAAAATGCCCAGGTATAAAAGTTTACATTGAATACCTACTTCAATGGGAACTTTCAAATTCATATATTTATGAGTTAGCTGAAAATAAAACAGAATGATATCCAGTCCCCAAAACCTAAATCTCCAAGAAGTCTCTAACTTAGCTATTATAAAATGAATTAGCAGAAAAGAAAAATACATAAAGATACCAGGTATATTACATATAATTGAGCTCAGCGGTCCTCTTGTTTTCTGAGGATCCTAGAAAACAGCATTTAGGAGACCTCTGTGGCCTCTAGGTGTCAATTTTCTCTGCAACACAGATTTTCGGCAAACTGCTGAAGCAGAGAGAGTACCAAAGAAAGGGGAGTAGACAAGGACAGGAGCCTGGGGCACTGACTCTCACCACCCTCCCGGCCCAAACCAAATCTAACAATCCCTTTGAAGACTAACACTAAATTTGTGTGGAAAATAACAATGGAAACTTGAGAAAATGTGGTTCTCTGTATATATCTGAAGTGCTGGCTAGGTCTTACACTTTGCCCATATTCAAGCTGATTGAACTTAGCATATCCTGGCTCAAATTTTGATTGAATTGGGCTCCTTGGCCTTTAAGTTGTATATATGAATTCTCTTTGAAAAGATTTGGCATCCCCGATTATATTTAGAGGACTGGGATCACCCATCTGTTTTTATGCTTATTTATAACTACACCACTTTCCAGCACTGTGAGGTCCTTGAAAATATAATGACATGACTGATGATGAGAAATTAAGTGAATGGGGTGAATGTTCTTATTCTCAGACAAACGTTTGTGGGAAAGCAATTTGCCTTACAGTTCTGGCCTTGTGCTCCTGTTTCTAGTGAACACTCCAGCTCAGATTATCTTGGAAAGTATGTATTAACCATCATCTATGCTATGAAGACAAAATATATATTATTCCAGTTTGTTACTCTCACCGTGCCTTGATTTGTTGACCCCCATTGTCAGGGAGTGGTAAGAAGTCGAAAATCCCTAAATTTACAGAAGGGGTTAAAAATTTATCCTCATCTGTCCTGTGAGTCTCTTGAAACTCTTGCCCAAAAATGGAGGATCAGTGGAGGCCAGGAGTCAGATTTGCAGATTGGAAATGGCTTTAGGTACCCAAGTTGCAGGCTCACACAAGATTTGGGGCAGTTATTGTTCTTTCGTGAGGAGGAAAGGTTACCCTGATCCCAGGGCCTAAAACTCTATGGTGCCAGGTTTTCTCTTCTGTCTTAACACTCCAGGCACTGTGAGGGCTTCTGTGGCAGTTTTTCAACATCTCACTAATACCAGCCACTTCTCCATTTCTCAGATCTGCCCTTCTTTCTTTGAAGACCTCAAGTACATATGCAGAAAAGTCCACACAGCTCCATGGGGACAAACCCTCTCCTCCGCCATGGAACCCAGGCGTCAGTCCTAGCACCCACCAATTCCATCCACGGTCATCTGGCCCCACTCCCCTCCTGCCACCCTGGAACCCCGACCACCCTCATTTGAAAGGAGGAGAGGCAGGCAGCCAATGCTCCTGCCAGGTGTCTACATGTTTCCATTAAGATGCATGTGTGTGCACCTTATATTCCTATAGTCCCTGAAGTGTCATCAAACTATTATTTCCCACGTTTTGTTACTGTCTGTCCTGCAGGAACCCAGAAATTTTTGAAGGCAGGATAGGTACCAGCGCAGCCTGGGAGGAGCGCGCCCCCTTTCGGCGAAAGAAGGCAAGGAGGAAAGCGTCTGGCGAGGCTCGCCGCTAATTTACCCGGCGGAAAGCAGCGCCTGGCGTCGCTACAGCAGAGAGGAGAACTGCGAAGATGGGGTGGGGGTGTTTGTTTCTTTGCCGAGGCAGAGACCACACCACTATAACCAAAAATACTGTGGGCTCTGTTTTCAACGTTAAAATTCTTCATTCAGTTAATTACTCTTCCACCCATTCCACAACCTCAAGCCCCAGTAAAGGTGAGATCCAAAAAGAGCCCCCTGTTCCGACTCCTATGTCAACTTTATTACTGCATCCGAGTTTCCGTGTATTCTCTCTCTGCCCGTTAAGAAAGTTTCCAATCACTTCACAGTAACTCGGTGAAAGTAAACAAAATAGGAGTAGAGCCTGCCCTTGCCCTTTCTCATAACTCGGATCTTGGGGATTCAAATTAATACATGAATTTCAGATTTATACCTTTGTAAGAGAGCTGAGCCTGGGCAGACTCAATGATGGTAAAAATAAGCCCCAAAGTTCTCGGGAATTAGAGCTTCTTCATTACGTGGAACAGCTAAGGGACTGGGACATCCAGTACCAGACGAATGTATTCTGGGCATAACTCAGACCCTTATTCCTATATCTGAGAACCGCGGGAACAGAAGAATCCCCAAGATGCTGGTTGTCCTCAGATTCCTCTAACTCACTTGTGCCTCTGATTGATTTATTCTGACATGTTTTCTTTATTTTCTTTCATAAAATTTCCTTAACCAACCACCATTTGTGCCTTAATTCCCCTCCCCTACGCTAACATGGCCCTAAAATCATCTTCCCAGATATATTTTTATCAAGAAAAGTAGTCCCAAGGCAAGTGAAATATGGTATTTTTTTAATCTTAAAGTTAAAAATCGATACCCCATAATTGTCTGGATGAGTACTTCCCTGAGGCTGCCGCATTAAATTAGAAAAATGACAACGACAATCTACTAATATTTAGTCCACAGTGGAGAGGTATTACTCAAGAACATCTACACCTGAAAAACAAACCTGCCAACCCTGAACCACTAATGACTGTTTCTCTGCAATGTATCTCCTAACTTATTGATTTTAGAATAAACAGCATTTGGAGAAAAGGAGGCATGGCAGCCGTTTGCTGACATTATTATTGCTGTTTGAGACTGTTGGGTTTTGAGTGCTTGCCTGCTCACCAAGCCGTTTGATTTTAAAGGAATCCAAATTCTTGTGGATACATAACGCTGACATATGCATCCTCTTTATTAATATATTGCTGTAAACGGAGTTAAAGGACACCCAAACAATGGGAATGGTACTCAAAAAGCATCAAAGTAAAATACAGAATTCGACAAAGGGCTCCCAATAAGATTACAACGGTGTACACTCACAGGCAGTTCTCTAAATGTTTGGACACGGAGAGTTGGCCCCTTATCCAAACATTGCCTGTAATTTTTTATCTGTAGCTATAAGGAATACTTTAAGGGTCCTGTTAATTAAACTTACAAAGGCTTAGATAGAGAATGCGAGCCCCCACGTTTTACATTTTCCTTGAGAGGATACTCTGACCCCCAAAACACTTCTATCACCTGTAGAAAAATAAGCGAAATGCAATCCTTATCTCCTTCTCTACAAACACACTCCCGATTTCAAAAAGTTGTTCCTCGTATAGCTTCTTCTAAAGGGGGGAAAAATACATTCATATTTCCAGAGCTGTTGAAAGTGAGCTCGGCCTTGGAACTGGAGGCGCGCCGGGGGTCGCAATGCAGGCACAGGCACGTACAGACCTTTGCAACAATCCGGTACCTGAGGGCCCTAGTGCTTCCGCCAAGGAGGGTTTTCCAGGAGTTAGGGGTCTGCGATGGTGGTGTGGTAGGCTGATGGATGGAGCGGGAAACAGTGTGTAGGAGAGGGATTGTAAAAGAAACATGCCTTTTAAAATAAAAAATCAGACTGGTCTAGGGATTGTCGTGGTTGAAAATCTACAGTTGTTATTTCTTGGAAAAGGGGCCTGGCTGGGAGAGACATTCAAAGCTGGGTCGGTGGAATAGAAACGCATCACTGCTTCTGAATTTTTTTTTTTTTTTTTTTTTTTTTTTTTGCAGTGGGGAGCCTGAAGGTGACATCTTGTTGGTTTGGAGATGATTTATTCGCTCGTGTTGTAAAATCTAAAATGACACTCCTGGGAAGAGGAAGGAACTATAAGGACCCGTGTGACCCATTGCTGTCTGCCTGAAGCCCTGGCGCTCTGACCTGAGTGCACCGGGGTTAGGTGTCTCAGCCAAAATGCAGGACTGCACGACGTCTAACACATGGGAGAGATGCTCTGAAACATGGGGGTGGGTATTCACTGCATTCCAGAGTTGGGGGATCTGGAGACCCAGTGAGTCCTTCGGACTTCACAGGCCTGTCTCCCCACACTTCAAATTCCAAATCGTCCTTCACCCAAAAGTGGGTAGGAGTCACTGGACTATCAATTTCCCCAAAATTCTAAGAGAAGGAGGTAACCCGGGCCCCTACTTCTGCATGTAAAATAAACCGAAATCACCACCTCTTGGCTGGCCTTGACATTCAGCTCTGGGGACTCAGTGAGGCACTTAATCCTGTATTTCACCTCCTCTAAAGAGAAAAGTTTCCAAGCTACCCTTAAAGCTTTATATTTCATTGGCTCCCCTCTTCAACGAGATAATTGAAGCTCAAATTTAGACTGCCAGTGGGCCCCAGAGTCCCAGGATGGTGCTGCATAAGAAAATTTCTGGCGCCAGGGTTGTTGCAAAAGCTGAGACTCTAGAAGCTGATATTACTGTGATGAGAATTCCAACTTGGGAGCGCCCTAGAAAATGTTCCCGCTCTCCTGGGCGTTTCTCTGGCGAAGAGAAGTTGGCGGGGCAAGGTCCCGAGAGAGTGTGGCTGGTAGATTGGGCAAGCAATTCCTTTGCGCTGCGTTTACACCTCTCCCTTTGTGACAAATCGATTTCCCGCGTCGCTGTTTTGTATTTGCATCCCGCCGCGGCCCGGGAGCCAGCTGCGCCGGGTGCACACTTAGCACCGGCTTGTGAATGTGTGCGTGTGTGCGCGCGTGTCTAATTGACTTTCCGTCTACCTTTTTATGACTACATGTGTTTCCAACAAAAGGTCTTATTAGGACAATCTGGTTTCGCTAATTTAGAGGTTGGAAACGTGGAAGGCAGGCGCATTTTTTTTCAAAGAGTTTGCAGAAGTTCAGATTAAGAAATGACAGCGGGATGCACTGTCCTCATTGAAGTAGGTCTGCCTATTTTTATGACCTGTTCCTCTTTCCTCTCCCTGATTACCCATGTTCTGCCACCACCCCCATTCACACTCCACACTCTCCCATTAGCCACTGGATCCCAAACAATGTTAAAGAACTATTTCTTTGAACACTTAATGTATTTGAGCACAGAAGTTGAGAATTTACTAGTCTGGGAGACTCAGTAAAAAGTGAAAGAAAGCATTCTACAGAGAGGACAGTGTAGTGAATATCAACCAAGGTGGGGGTGGGGACAGAATTGCTGATGGTGAGTGGGGTGGGGAGGGTCTGGGAGAAGCCCTCACTTTAGAGAATACCTACTCCTTCTAACTATATTCGGCCCAGGTTATAGTTAGGAATTTTGCAAAATTAAGAATCTAATATTGAAGGTGTAAGTGGAGTTTGTTTTGCTAATTTCAGCTGAAGAGAAAATTTAGAAAGGACGAGGACTGTTTCTATATAGCTAAAAGAGCCAAAGGCTTCTTTTTAATATTCCCCATCTCTCCGCAGGAGACAATCGTTTCCCACTCGAGTAGACTTCCAGCGGGATACAAAGAGCGCCAGACTCCTGGTTTCATCCCTGAGTCCCTTTGGGGGTGGGGGAGAGTCTGCTCTAGCCATCCTTTCCCGAGACACTCCCCTCTTCCCTGATTCACAGTCTGAGCCTCATTGTCACTGCAGGCTGGAGGCCCAGCTGTCCTGACTTCCAAGTAGCTCACAACAGCTTTCTTGGCAACTCTTGATGGGAGCCCAAAAACTAGGATTGCGGGTTCCCCTGGACGCTTGCTACCATAAGACTCGTCAGGCCCTCCCATTCTCATGCCAGCGGAGAAAAGAGAGGTTGAGAAAAGTGCTTATAAAAGCAACAAACTATTCGTTAGAACGCTACCCTCATCTCTCTAGGAAGCAAGGCCTGGAGTGTGTGTGTGTGTGTGTGTGTGTGTGCGCGCGCGCGCGCGTGTGTGTTTCTCGGCTACTTTCCTAGCTCCAGGTGCCTGTCACTTCGTCCCCATCACCTCACTCTGCCTTCTGCGGCCTCCTCCGGAAGCTGTCTCTTGATCATGCTTCCGCAGAGCATCCTCTTTCTGAGCCTCAGTTTCCTTTCTGGGTCTTCTCCCCACAAGGCCTCTCTAGTCATTGTAACTCTGAGATGAGCCCGAGTATCACGTGGGCGAGTTTCTAGAGTCTTCTCCCCTTCTCCCGGGACATACAGTCCCCAATTCCGCCCGGGATGCTGAGCTTGTCCTCGAGCGCTCCTGAGGACTCCACGTGCTCCACAGGGCCTCTGAGGCGCCAGGCTCAGGTCTCACAGAAGCCTGTCCCCAGTCCAGGGCAGCCTCCCAGCCACCGCGCGTCGCCTCCGAATCTGCTCGGGGGCGCTCCATAGCTAGCTTCCTCTGGCCAGCCCGGCTCCATACCCACTCTAAGGCCACGACGAATCCCGAGCTCCCTTCTTGGGAGTGGCGTCCACTCAGAGCCAAACAACCGGTACAATTTTCATCCCTCTTCCCCTGCAGTATCTGAGGGCCACCACGGCTGGCTTGTTCCCTAGGCTGGCCGAGGCCGCTGGCCTTGGCCCTGGTTTTCTCATCCTCCAGCCTCCTCATAGGGCAAAGCAGCATCTAGTCTCTCCTGCCCCACTCTGGTCTTCTAAGCAGAAGTTTCTTCGTGGTCCTGTTTTCTGTTGTGGGTCCAGCCTCTAGTATCCGAACAGTGGTAAATGTTGCAATTAATAAGTCGTCCTGGCAAAACAGAAACGACTGGACGTGCAGAATTGGTGAAGCTGGGGTCTACACCAAATGCTGTTCTCCCTACTTTTTTTTTTTTTTTTTTTTTTTGAGACGGAGTCTCACTCTGTCATCCAGACTGGAGTGCAGTGGCACTATCTGGGCTCACTGCAACCTCTGCTTCCCGGGTTTAAGCGATTCTCCTGCCTCAGCCTGCTGAGTAACCGGGATTACAGGCGCTCGGCACTACGCCCGGCTAATTTTTGTATTTTTAGGAGAGAGGGGTTTCACCACGTTGGTTAGGCTGGTCTCGAACTCCTGACCTCGTGATCTGCCCGCCTCGGCCTCCCAAAGTGCTAGGATTACAGGCGTGAGCCACCGCGCCTGGACTCTCCCTACATTTTTCGTTTTTCATTTTCCCTGGTAAAACGTTTAAAAACAATCATAGTATTTCTCAGTGCATTTTGTTAGAACTAAGAGTGCCTATGCAAACACTTAAGTAATGCTGCGGGTGCAGCCTCTCAAGCACCCAAACCCTAAAGAGAACGTCTCTGTCTCTGCGCCTAGCCCTTTATGCGGAACTTGAGGACACCTGGTTCTTCATTCCTCAGAGTTGGCCACCTTTCTCTGGTGTCCAGGCCAGACTTCCTCATTCAGTTCCTGTAGCAGTCTGCTAATGCATTGGGTGGATCGGCCCTAGGCCGCTTTTGGCTAAAAACACCCAGGGGCGCCCAGGCCGGAACTAAGGAAGCAGGGTGAAGACCAGGCGTCTTGAGCACACCAGAGGCTCTCTCTGCGGCTTGCTGTAGCGTGGCCCGCGGGGCCACCACTGTGCCCGGACCCTGTTTCCAATTGTTTCTATGTGCAGTTTGATTTGTATGTCTATTCTTTGAGAGTCTGAAATAGGCAACGTTTTGTGAAAATCATAGAATGCTGGAGGGCCCCCCGGTTCCACGATTTCCAAATTTGAAGACAAAAATGGTAACCAGCAACTACTGACATAGAAAGCAACCAGCCTCATTTGAGAACTTACAGCTAAGTTCAGACTCTTGCAACCTCGAGGAGAAGAGGGAGTATCTGTACATATCTGGCCACATGTCACCTGGGATGAACAGGGTGACCGGTCTGTTACAGACTTGGGGGCATGGGGATACAATTGCAGTCTCTTTTTAAGGCACTAGCGAAGCGAGATTTTCATGGGTCGCGAGGTTGGTCGGTGAGGATGGGGAAGGGAAACTGGACTTTTCTGGGCGTTTAAGAGCCAATAGGGAGAGCTCCTCTAAGGTGACACTGGCCTCCGCACTGAAGCTCGCGCCTCCCGGATGCAGCTCGCCTGTGCGGGATCATGCGGGGCTGGATTTCAGGTTTCACCCTTAAAGGACATTCCCTTTGCTTGGCCCGAGTTTTCCCAAGCCAGCCGGGCTTTTGACTCTGCCAGTCTCAAACCCATTTGCGGTAGAGGCAACAGCAGGGGGCAGAGAGCAGCTCCAGCGTCTGGGGCCGGGCGTTCTCTCGGGGCCTCCCGGTCGCGCCCGGCCTTACGGTGCCCGCGTGGAGAGTGCAGCCTGAGCAGCGCCAAGTCCTGCTCCCTGTGCCTGGTGCCCTCCCTCAAGCCGTCATACGCTGCCCGAGAGAAGCCCTTCCAACCCGACTCAGCATCTTTAACCTGCTGCTTTCCCAAACAGCGCTGGCTCTCTGAGTTTGCACCCCGCTAAGACCTTTTCCCAGCCCAGCCCCGCCGCCCCGCGTGCGGGATGAACCGAGCCGGTGCCTAGCCGAAGTAAAGAGAGTCCGCCGCGGACAGAGTCCCTGCCTGAGACCGCAGGGCCTCGGAGTGTCCCCGGACCTTGGAGCCTCTCTCCAGCGTCCTCCTTGGCTATGCCCTCGGCCGAGACCCGCTTTTCTCATCTGGTTTCCCCTGTGACTGGCCCTTCCTTTGAAGTCTGCCATCACCTCTCCTGGTCCCAGGACCTTGTCTTTCTGGCCGCGGACGGGCTCTAGCTGCCCTACACGGGTCCCCGCCCTCTGTCCCGGGCACACACCCCCGTGGGCATGCGCCCCTCACTCACTGTCCTGCTGCGGGGTGTCGCTGCCGCTGGTGAGTCCCGGCGACTCCAGCAGGCTCCGGCCAGCCTCGCCCACGTTCTCATCCGCCTGTGCCGCCACCATGTCCCCGGCTTCCTCCAGGTCTAGCAGGTGACTGACGGAGAAGTTCTTTTTCGCCTGCAGGGTGTCGAGGTTGCCCGGGCTGTCCAAGCGGCCGCCCAGCGCCGGTTGCCGCTCCAGAACGTGCCCGTAGCTGGAGGTCATGGTCTCCCCCACCGATCCCACCCACCCCCCTCTTCCCGCTCGAATCAACACCAAACGCTGTGGGCGCGAGGGGGGAGAGGAGCCGAGTGGGGAAGAAAGAGGGGGGTAGTGGAGAGAGAGAGAGAGAGAGGGAGGAAGAGGGAGGGAAGGAGAGGAAGGCCAAAAAAAAAAAATTGGAAAAGAGGGTGGGGGACCCCCTTCTGTAGAGCAGAGCGTTGTGCACCAGCCGCCTTCCGCAGCATTGGTTGATTTCCTGAGGCCAAGTCCGGCGCGGTCCAAAGAGATAATCCACAGTAAAATACAATATTAAAAAGTCACCCTATGTTCAAGTCAGGAGAAAAAAATCCCTTCCAACTCTCCAAAAGTGTCCACACGCACAGACTAAAAATAATAACAAGGGGGAGAGAGGAAAGCGGAGGCCAGCAGGGCGGGGGAGTTAGGCAAACAGAAGAAGAGAGAAGAAGGGGTGGGAGAGAAGAATCAAAGTGAATGGTTTTTTTAAAGGTTAAAAAAGTTATTCCCAGGCAAGAGTTCAAGCACCAACAGAAGAAGGCTTGTTCCAGCTTTAAAACATCTTCAAGAAAACGTGTTCCCCCCTCTCTGCACTCCTGTGGATTCTCAGGAGTGACTAAAGTTTCAGGAGGAGAGGGTGATGTCTTGCAGATGTATTAGAGAGCAGGATTCTCACTTTACTTTTTGTAAAGAGTAAAAAAAAAAATTAAGAATTAAAAAAAAAAGGCTTCAAGAGTCCGACGGAGGGTGCTGGTGGGTTCCCCCCTTTCCCCTTCTCTCTCTCCCCCTCTTCTTGCTGGGCTCCTTTTTCCTTCTCAGTTGGATCAAGAAGCTCTCTGGCACTTCAAAAGGCACAAACTGGCATGCAGAGGAGGCTTTGTAGGGAATACAAGAAAATTGGAGACCCCTGGGAGGGCAGATCTCGACTTAATAGGAGCCTGTAATTACGTGGCAAAGCCTTTGTGCTGTGCCTGACGTTTCACAGACCCCCTTTCTCCATCACAATCTCCTTCTTCCTCCTTTCCCTGGGACCAAAAAACAGTCTGATTAAGAAAACCCCCTTTGCCAACATCAGAGTTAGAGAGAAAGGGAGAGGGAGGGAACAAGAGAGAGGGAGGGAGAGAGGGAGGGAGGGAGGGAGGAAGGGAGAGAGAGAGAGAGAGAAAGAGAGAAGAGAAATGAGAGAGGGAAGAGAGCAAGAGAGCCCCTTTGGATTTCTAAAGGTCTAATTATCATTCCCCTGCAATAATATCACGGGGAGAAAAGACAAACTGAAACTCACAGTCACTTCAAACGTGCTGATTATTTTGCTTCGGCATTAACTCCTCCAGATTTGTTTAAGATCCTGTTGGAAAATCTCATTTGCATGTTTTGATAACAGCTGTGGGGAAATTTGGAAAAAATCCACCACCATCACAATCAAATTTTCTTCTCCTTCTGCCTTCCCCCAAACCGCCCCCCCCCAAAAAAAAATTTTCTGCTGTTCTAACAGTTTGGGGCGGAGTACAGGGAGAAAGTAAGCATATTAAGGCTATTTTTGGTTCCGTAGAGGGAGCCTATTAAATAATGTAATAAAAATAACAAAAGGGATGATAATAGGAAGTTCTCTCACGCCTCTCGCAAGGACTAAAGGCAGGTTGGGGAGATCCAGAGGGCACCGAGTTTATTTGAGGCTTTCCCCGCCATTAGGCATACCAGGACTAGGGCAATGAGAAAAGTACGTGTTTATTAAACTGGAAGAAAGGACTCCAAATATATATTATAATCTTTCTCCCTACCCCCGCCAATTTTGTAACTTCTACGGTAAGGCCAAAGTTGCTTCCCCAGGCGAGGACGCTAAACCCAGAGGGTCCCGCTGCCCAGATTCCTTGAAGCAGGCAGGAGCACTCCCAGAGGCAGGAGTTGGGGAGGCTTCCGTGCGGTTCTGCGTCCAGCCTGGCTGTGGTGGCAGGAGGACAGAGAGGGGCGGAGGAACCCCCATCTAAGTCTACGGATAATCCTCTGTCGTCCGTCTGCGGAGCCCTAACCTGACAGAAGACAGAGAGGTGCTGAGCAGTTTTTTCATGACCTGTTGGAATTTGGTAACAGCTTTAACAGTCTCATTAGAAATGAGTTACTGTATGACGACTCAGTAAAATATTAAGTGCTTATTTGTGGCGTTTTATGTTCTTTAAACGCGCACTCACACACACACACACGCATCCGTACTCCCGCACTCCCTTGATTGCTAGACTTTTTTTTTTTTTCGTCCTATAGTCAAGAGGCTCGACTGGAGAGAAAGAAGGGTACGAGTGTGTGTAAATGGTTTCTGGGCTCCAAACGGCCATAGTTAGCCCAGAACTTCCAGCCCTGATCTGGGAAAAGAACATTTGATGCCATCAAAGGGCTGTAGATTGAAACCAGATGTGCTCGCCTCGGTTCTTTCCATGCATTTAATTAAGGAACTGGGATGGAGGAGACTTTTTCATCATTAGTCCACCCACTCCCCCCTCCTCTCGGCGGTCTTTCGCCCTCCCCCCACTCTCCCCGCCCCCACCCCCATCCCTTGGCCGCTCGAACCCCCGACCGGGAGCCCAGAGCCCTGCCAGCGCCGCACTGTGCGCCGCGCAAGTCGCTCGATCTCCCCAGCGGTACCGGCTCTAAGCAGTAAACATCTGTGCGCTTCTGAGCCAGGGACGCGCGTGGGGGGTGGGCGTGCACGCGGGTGGGCCAGCGCAGAGTGGGAGCTTGTGGGTGCTTTCCGTCGGGATTTCCAACTCAGCTGCCTCCGAGAGCCTAAGCTGAGCGCCGCACGTGCTCGTGCCATCTGCTGTACTGGACGCAGTCTAATAGCGCAGAGAGGTTTCCATCCGGCATCCAGTTCGATGTGGGCCGTTTTTCCCTTCCCAGCGGTCTGTCCTTGGAGCTGATCAGTCTCCCCAAAACCTCCCTAGAAATAGAGCAGCTCCTCGCCTCTCCCTCCTTTCGCACTCTCTATCCTCATTTACACAGTTGCGTTTTAACGTTGCTGTTTTTCCCCTACACATACCCAATTGCCCGTCGTGACAAAGGTGTGGGTAAGGGCTGGGGACTTTTGGCACCCCCAAGACACGATGTTCCCCCTAAAGATCCAGCGTCCTCAGTCATTTAGGGGGTCAGCGTCCTCAGATCGCCCTTTCGAGGAAATTGCCTTATCCGGGTGAATGGTCAATATGGTTGGGGAGCGAGGAATAGCTACAAGCAAGAGAGTTTATAGATGGGCATCCGGAGGCATACGCAGTCGGCTCCGCTGATATTCGGACGCATTCTCTAGAGGGACCGGGCGCTTCTTGAAAATCACCCACTTGTCATTCGTGTTAATATCAACCAGTACCACCAATACCAACTAGGATGCTAACGGTTTCAAGAAAAACACCGCACACATTTACTAATTTATGGACTATATATATATTATATAATATACACAATGTATAATATGAATGTATAATATGAATATGTATAATATGAATTTCTATGTTCTATGAATTTTCCCCAAATGTCTTTCAGACTGATGGCTCAGATACCCGCCAATGAGCTGGGCTTGTCAGACCTGTGCAGCGCCGCTCCTGCAGCTCTAGAAGCGCAAGGTCGGGGAGCCCACCTCTAGAAAAGGAGGTGGTCTTTGAAGAGTGAGGAACGGAGACTGTCTTTGAGTCCTCGGAGCTGGAACTCGGGAGCAGAGTCCCAGGGTATTCAGGAAAAGGGAAGAGCTGCGTCGGGGACTTAGTCGCGGTCCCCGGGCGGGTGGGGGGCGCGAAGCAAGCAGCAGGGCCCGCTCCCGCCGTTCCGCAGTGCTTTTCTCAGAATCCCGCGGAGGTCACCAGAGCGCTAAGGCTTGAGAGACTCTTCACCACTACGGAGAGGCTGCTCTTTCCTGGGATATCCCGTAGGCCTCAGCTGCAGGGACCAAGCCCTGGATTCCTCTAGCCCCGACATCACCGCAGGGAGTTTCGAGGCAGGGTGGGCTGCGGGACGCGTTGGGACAGTCTCCTAGGAAGCAAATCACAAAGGCAAACACCCTGCAGAACTGATCCCCCCCACCGCCCCCCGGCTTTTCTTGCTTGTTTAAGTCTTTGTGGGTTTTTTCTTTTCCTTTTTTTCTATTAGCAATTACAAGTGGATTGGATCCACACTCTGATTATGTTTACACACATTTGTAATTTGTTGAGAGTCTGGATTGCAATTTTAAAAATCGGGATAACCCTTCAGGGAAATTCAAGACAGAGCTGATAATGCGTTCACCTCATAAACGACAAAAGGAGTGCTTGAGCTGGAGAAGGCGCTCCCGAAACCCTCCGAGCCAGAAGTGATGCTCTCCCCAGGGCACCCATAGGCAAGCCGGGAGCTCCTTCCCAGAGCGCCATAGGTCGCTGCTCCTAGCCTCTCCTTGACCTCCAGGCTCCAGGTCCTGCTCACAAGAGGGGTGGAGCAAGGGGGAAATTGAAGGACCAAAGTTCTCTGGGCTTGGCTCACGTTGTAGGAACCAGAAGGGCAAAGCACCCTGAGAATTTGAACGACCATCTGGCAGAAAGATGTCAGGAGAGGAGACTTGAGGAAGCTTTGGTGGACAGCACATACTCATCTCCCAAGCAGGCGGCAGGCTTGGCCTGGCATTTAGAAGGCCCGGGAGAATAGCCTGCTGTTGCCCCTGTAGTTCCTTAATCACTACTTTGCTTTCCCCATGTGACTTTTGGGGGTGGGAGAGAGAGCTGGAAAAAGAGAATTTCTAACTCAAAATCTCTGAACATGTGTAGGCCTTTCTTTGGCTTTAGCTTTGACTTCCATCCATCAATTATTATTTTTTGAAGTTTGAAGCCCTGCATGATGTAACTAACCAGAAACTTCTCCCTTATGACCCTTCCAGCATCTGAGACCCACTTTCCAACCATTCCTTCTGCCCTGCCTCCTTTACAATAACTCCTGTTTTTGAATTCATCCCTATGTAAGTGGGAGCAAAGCTGGATCTAGCAAGGAAACTTGCCAATAGATCAGACCAAGGTAGGAGAGAGGTTTGGTTCCCAGCCATGTGCCTTTGGGTGGTCTTATTAATAGTCAGGTTTGGTACTGATTACTGCCTAGGGTTTCCCTGGCACTGAAAGTTGGCAGAACTCTGCCTTATCTGGCTAGCAGAATGTCTCCCACCCTAAGCAATTTCCTCTCTGAGGTGGAAACCAGGGGTTGCACTCCCTGACATGTTAATAAACTAACATGATAATTAGGTGACAGGTCACAGGTTCCATGACACATAAAGAAGACAACACCACTCTCAGGCAAATAACATGCTGTGGGAATTAAAATGTTTTCCTTCTCATGGTTGACAATCTAGGACATATTCATTAGCAATGATACAGGGGAAAAGACAAATGCAAAATGGATTCTGCAGGGTTCCCATATTTTAATGTTTTTAGGAGTCTTTATGTCAGGCTTGAAAGGAACTCTCCTTTATCCTTCCAATTCTGATTCTTGTAATAATAAGTGTTATTTCAGGAGCATTTCTCCTATGCTCTATTCTTTATCCAATAGCCCCATTGAATTATTTTGAAATTTTATAATAATCAAAGGAAGTCAGACTAAAAATACATTTCCAAGTAATGAGCTGGTAATTGATCTGCTCTGTTATAGTCTGGGAAGCCCAATATATTCAGGTGGGACCTAGAATAGTTTCATTAAGCCCATCTGCTCCTCAAATCACTGGCTGGACACTGACTTTGCATATATCACTGAGGCAGCTTTAGCTAAAGACATCAGTGACATGCACATTTACAAATGCCGTAAGTATTCCTCATGCCTTATTTTGCTAAATGCTTCTGCTATAATTGATAGTGTTGAGCATCCTTTTTTTTTTTTTTTTTTTTGAATATTTTTCTCCTGGTCCTCTATTTCTCTGACCACTTATTTTGGTTTTCATAGTGTATTCCTTTTTCTCTGCTCACTCCTTAAATATTTATATTCTCTAGAATTCTGGTCTTCATTTTACTGTCTTTCAAAATAAATAGGTTGTTCTTAGAAGATATCATACTTTTTATGGGTTATGTCTTGGTCTGTTTTATGTTGCTATAAAAGAATATCTGATTGGGAGGCTGAGGTGGGCAGATCACAAGGTCAGGAGATCGAGACCATCCTGGCTAACACAGTGAAACCCTGTCTCTACTAAAAATACAAAAAATTAGCCAGGCGTGGTAGCAGACGTCTGTAGTCCCAGCTACTTGGGAGGCTGAGGCAGGAGAATGGCATGAACGCAAGAGGTGGAGCTTGCAGTGAGCCGAGATCTCGCCACTGCACTCCAGCCTGGGCAACAGAGCGAGACTCTGTCTCAAAAAAAAAAAGAATACCTGAGACTGGGTCATTTATAAAGAAAAGACGTTTGTTTAGCTCACGGTTCTGCAGGCTGAGAAGTTCAAGGATAAGTTCAAGTTCAAGTCCTGGCTTCTGGTGAGACCTATTCTGCTGCATCACAATATGGCAGAGAGGGTAAAAGGGGAAGTGGACATGTGTGAAGGGAGGGAAACCTTAGGGGCATCCCAGCTTATAACAACCCGCTCTCATGAGAATCCATTCTCCTGAGAACTGATTCACTCTTGTGAGAACAAGAATGTTTTTACTAATGCTAGAACAGCACTGAGCCATTCATGAGGGATCCACTGCCATAACCCAAACACCCCCCACTAGGCCCCACCCCCAACTCGCCCTCACTAGGGATCAAATTTCAACATGAGCTTTGGTGGTAACAAACAAACCATATCCAAACCACAGCAGTTAACTACCACCTGTTTGTCAATGAGTCCAAAATGTAAACCTTAAGCTTGTCCATCTACTTACTGTCATCTTGTGCAAACTGAGCAAGTTACCACTCCAAGCCTCAGCTTACCCATCTCTCAAATAATGCTAATTATGGCACCTACCATATATATTTGTGAAAATTAAGTAAGAATGCAGGCAATCAATTTATCACAGTGCTTAGCATATAGTAAGCTCTGAAGAAAAAAAAGATAGCTATCTCCTTGCTGGATCTGCACATTTATTGAAGAAACATAAATTTAAACTCTTGCCCCAGTAGTAAACCTAGGAATTATCCCAAATTCCTTCCTCTTTGATACCACCTCCAGGTCTGCCTATATTATCTAGCTAGCATCAATCCTGATGCAAAATAGCCAATAAATCCTTATGGAATTGGAACTGAAAATAAAGTAATACTGAAGGAGGTGAATAGGCAACACTATATGTGAATATGTATGTATTATATTTACAGTGTGTTCATATTATATAAACATAACAACAGTTAGTAGTCCAGGTGTCTTGCCAGATGCTTTCAGAGGAAATATGAGTATGCAGGTGCCATACCTTCTCTGTCTTGAGGAACCCAAATCTTATTCACCAGGCTGATTCAGATGTACCACAAATGGCTATTGAGAGGATTAAGAAAGAGAATAAAGGAAAAATGCCTTATCATAATCAATACTCAACAAATGTTAGTTCCCTTCCTCCACTCTTTACCTTATGCTCAGATTCTTCTGGGCTTCACAGGATAATAGGAAGCTTAATTCTTGCTATCTTCCTATTTTAGAAAAATCCTTTAAGGTTGGGCATATGCATGTAACTTAGATGCTTAAAAATGGGAATGGCTCTAGGCAAGCAGCAGCACACAGAGCTGTAAGATAAACCAATGCCAACCCCTCATTCCTTTGCAGGAAAAATTCATGCCTGGTAGGTTTTTTTGTGTCTCACTCTGAGAATTTGAGAACCTGCATACTCACCAGACTATTGGCCCTGAATAAGACATCTAAACTGAGATCCCAGACTAGGTTGGTGCCTCTGCAAGCTCTTCAACTTTTGGGCCCTGAAGCTCTGTTTCCAGGCCAGGCAGACGTGAGATGGAATCCAACAGTACAAATACAAAATTCTCTGGACCTGGGTAAGTTAGGCTGATTTGAAATGCATAAGGTCCTTCAGCTGACTTTGGGGCTTATTTATAGCATACCTGGTAGGTGTGCCACTTTAGATAACCTTCCTTGGCTTGCTGCTCCCATAAATCTGGAACCAAGTACAGCCCACTTCTCTGCTTGCTTTCCTCCCCTTCTACAAATCTCTAAATTTCTGAGCTTGTCTCTCTCTTTTCTCCCAGATCTCCACTTTTTCTATAATGCTAGCTCACAGGTAAACATCCAAACTGGTTACAACTTCTTTTGTCCCTTTATACCTGTTAGGTTAGGTATATATTTTACCCTAATTTTTCTTGTTTTTATCTTGTTAAAGACACCCGGATCTGCCTTATTTCAAGTTTTTCTCCACAGTAATTTCACAAAATTTCAGAGACTTTTTTTTCTTTCCTGCCTCAAAGTGATGCTTTGAGATAATGTGTATGTGAGGAACTCAGTGTAAAAGGTATGAGTGTATATAGGACCAGTTACATTTGTCATTACAATTACAGTTGTCATTCTTTCCTGACATTCTTTTCTTGCCTTTATCACTACAGAAAAGAAGTAAGGATTTATATGGTGGAAATAAGAAAACTAACTTTTATTAAAAAGTCTAAAATACTGTGTTATATCAGCACTTTGCAGATCACAAACCTATTAATTCCACATTTTGTTAAGTCACCATTCACCTCTTTATACAATACATACCTTTGTCTTTCATGAACCTGGTACCCAGCTCTGCATTTAAAGCACCAAAACTACCTATCTCCGAAATACATACTGGAGAAAAAAAACACTTCCTTTTGCTACTTACCCTTTTATTCTTTCCTCTTTCCTGATTTGTTCTTTTGAGCATCATCTGCTCCTTTAAATGAAAAGTCAGAATTATTTCCTTCAAAATATGAAAAGAGATTTAGTGACCTCTCTAATACTCATTACTATTGTGTGTCTCAGTCTCCATTAAAAATTATTACACAGGATCAAAGATATCAACATTTATATTCTATTTTGGACCAAATGACATAAAGTAGTAGTTCACCATTAATCTTTAACCATTACCAGACACTGTGTTACATCCTACTTTGTCCCTAATGTGGTGTAAAGACTAGAGGCTTTAGAGGCTTTGAAAGTTTATTCTTTGTTTCTAACTCTTTAAAGAAATTTTGAGCAAGTAACTTAGTTCCTCTGAGTCTCACACTTTGAGTCTCAGAAGCTCAAAGTACATCTGAAAGAAAAGTAAGGCCGGGAGCGGTGGCTCAAGCCTGTAATCCCAGCACTTTAGGAGGCTGACAGGGGCGGATCACGAGGTCAGGAGATCAAGACCATCCTGGCTAACATGGCGAAACCCCGTCTCTACTAAAAATACAAAAAATTAGCCGGGCGTGGTGGCGGGCGCCTGTAGTCCCAGCTACTCGGGAGGTTGAGGCAGGAGAATGGCGTGAACCCGGGAGGCAGAGCTTGCCATGAGCCGAGATTGTGCCACTGCACTCCAGCCTGGGTGACAGAGCGAGACTCCATCTCAAAAAAAAAAAAAAGTAAGATAACAAGTAAGACCTAACATAGTGCCTGGCAAGTAATAAATACTCACTAAAATTTAGTTCAGAAATTCTTTTGGCAATGATGTAGTAGCTTATAGCAGAAGAGTAGTGCTCCCTGCAAAAGCAACTTAAGAACCTAAAAATATTTATATCTTCCTCACTTCAAATATCAGACACCTGCCAAGGCGATCAAGACTTGAGCAACTGTATATTCCAGACAAGGATGCTCTGAGGTAAGTCAGACTTGTTTCATTCCATTTTTATCCTTGGGTTATCGGCAGCACTTTGGAATAAAACAAGAGACTGAAAAAAGAGATAGTATTTGTTTAAAAAAGGAGAACAGTAGAGATTTATGCAACTGTATGGCCTTGGAGGAAGAGAAATTGGAGTTTGGTATTGATGAGATTTTATAGAGAAGGGAGGCTGAGACAAATGAGACCAACATTCACATCAGTCTTCCCCACAAGGTATTAGCCAATTAAGCTGCGTAAGCAAAAGGCTAAGAAGCAGAACATAATGTGAATAATGGCAAATCAGAGATTTTTGCAACTTGACAATACTAAGGAGACAAAAACTGAAGTTCATGTCAAAGAGAAGAATCCGTAAGAAACACTCCAGGCTCTCTGTTAGAAGTCCTGGAAAGCTACACCCTATGAATGCAAAAAAATTGCATGTAGACCGAGCCTTAGAAAGACTGAGTTTAGTCCCAGGTTGGATTGAGCTAATCTGCCTCTCTGTTGCCTTTCAAGATAGGTTGAATCCTCTCTGGAGAAATATAGCACTAGAGTCTTTTTTTTTTTTTTTTTTTTTTTTTTTTTTTTTGAGACAAAGTCTTGCTCTGTCGCCCAGGCTGGAGGGCAGTGGTGCGATCTCAGCTCACTGCAACCTCTGCCTCCCAAGTTCAAGCGATTCTACTGTCTCAGCCTCCCAAGTAGCTGGGATTACAGGTGCCTGCCACCACACCCAGCTAATTTTCATATTGTTAGTAGAGACAGGGTTTCACTCTGTTGGCAAGGCTGGTCTTGAACTCCTGACCTAAAGTGATCCACCCACCTCAGCCTCCCAAAGTGCTGGGATTACAGGCATGAGCCACCAAATCTGGCCTAGAATCATTTTAATGTTTACACAAAATGTCCAACATTTGATAAAAATAACAAAAAAAAGGCACCAAAAAATCTAGTGTATTAAAAAATTAGACCAAGACAAGCAATACACAACACACATGGACTAATTAACATAATCAAAGTAATAAATGATAAGATGAGAATTTCACAAGAAAACATGCAACTATAAGAATCAAATGAAATGTTCTAGAACTAAAAAATGCAAAAACTGAACTTAATTCAAGAGATGAGTTTATCAGGATATGTGACACAGCTCAAGAGGGAATTAGTGAGCTGGAAAATAAATAGGTCAGGAGAAAAGACTGAAGCAGAGAGCAAAAATAATGAGAAGTATAGAAAAAACAGAAGAGATATATATGATAAGATATAGACATATGGATAATATCTAGCATCCACGTAGTTGAATTTCAGAAGAAGAATAAAGAGAGGATGGGGGAAATTTAAATAAATTGGGTTTGATTAAAATTTGTCCAAAGTTGATGGAAGACATCAAGTCACTGATTCAAGAAGCTCTTTAAACAACAAGATGAATAAATACAAATAAAAGAAAATGATACCTACATACATCATAATAAGACTGGTGAGATACAAACAAAACACAAACAACAAAAAGGAAAAATTTTTAAATGGCCAGAGAAATAAAGATATTTTGGCCCCAAAGTAGCAAAAGCAAAACTTTAGGCTGACTGCTCAACAGAAACAATGAAAGCCAGAGACAATGGGATGACATTTTTTAAGTACTGGAAACAAATAACTGCCCTCCTGAAGTTCTATGCCTAGTGAAAGTATCTTTGTTAAAACAAAATGAAGATAGTTTCAGACAAAGTAAAACTTGAGATCAATTTGCTACCAGCAAACTCACACTAAACACAGTTTCTAAATGATTTTACCTAGAAACATAGAAATTCAGGAAGAAATAAAGTGCAAAATAAATGGCAAATATGTCAGTAAGTCTGAATGAATATTGACTGTAAAAATAATGATAACAATAATGTCTTATGGTCTAAATACACTAATTAAAAAACAAGAAACATCATGCTGCTACAGATTGCTACAAGAGCTACTCCTTAAATATAAAGAAAAAGAGAAGTTAAAAGCAAAAGAATGAGAACATTTTGTGAAAAGATCAGCAAAACAAAGAATATGAGTACCAGAAAAGATAAGCTTAAAAGGAAGAAACAATTTTAGACATGAAAAAGGACATTTAATAACAACAAATAAAGTGAATGTTATAGGAAAACATTACAATTAAACTTTGTATGCATCTATTAGTGTGGCTTCCAAAAATAAATATTAAAAATTAGATGAACCAAGAGGAGAAATATACAAAACCATAATTATAGAGAATATTTAATATATCTTTCTCCATAACACAAAAAAAAATTATTAAAAAGAGGGGAGGTCTGAAAAATACTTGGCCTAGTTGACACATATGGAACACTGAAGTCAACTATGACGAACTATGTATATTTTTTCCAAATGCATAGATAACATTGACCAAAATGTTAATGACTATATGCACTGTGGTTTGAATGTTTGTCTCTTTCAAAACTCATGTGGAAACTCAGTCCCCAGTGTAACAGTATTAAGAGATGAGAACTTTAAAATGTGATGGGGCCTTTAGAAAGGTTATGAGGGCTCTGTCCTCATCAATGCATTAATAGGTTTGCAGGAATGGGTTAGTTATCATGAGAGGGGGTCTGTTATTAAAGCCAGTTTGGCTGTCTCTAATAAGCTCCCTTGCCATGTGATGCCACCTTGGGGGCTCTAAAGAAAGTCTCTACCAGTAATAGGGCTCTCGCCAGATGTGGCTCCAAGAACTTGGACTTCCCAGTCACCAGAACTATGAAAAATAAATTTATTTTCGTTATAAATTACCCAATCTCAGGTATTCAGTTGTAGCAACAGAAAATGGACTAAGGCAGAAAAATATATGCAGAGCCATTAAATGAGTCTCAAAATTATTCAAGGCATTGAAACTAGTCAATTAAATGCTCAAGCTAGAACTCAAGTGTAAAATAAAGACATAATCAGATGAGATAACCAGAAGATTCCAGTATGCTTGGAAATTAAGCTATTTTATTCCATAAACTATTTATCAAAGAAGAAATTTAAATGGAAGCTAGAAACATTTTGGACTACACAGTGAAAATCCTACATATCCAACATATAGAATGCATCTAAGGATATTTCTGATGGAGATTTTATAGTGTTATAGTCTTAAGCTATATTAGAGAAAAAAGGACTGAAAACTTGTGATTCAAGTATCTATCTCAAAAACATAAAAAACTGAAGATTAAACACTAATAAAGTAGAATAAAAGAAACAATAAAGATGAACTGAAACTAATAAGATAGAAAAAAAAGGAGGTACAATGGAGAAAGTCCACAAAGCTAAAAGCAGATACTTCGAATAGACCAAGAAAATCAGTAAGTTCTTTGCCAGTCTAAGAAAGAACAAAAGAGAAAAAAAATGAATTATCAATATTGGGGTAAAAAAAGGGGAATCAACACAGATCTCTATGTATTAAATACATCTTAAGAGAGTAATTATGTTTTCATTCAAATAAATTTGAAAATTCAGAAGAAATGTACAGATTCTTTAAAAACAGAATTTAATGGCCGGGCACGGTAGCTCACGCCTGTAATCCCAGCACTTTGGGAAGCCGAGGCGGGCGGATCACCTGAGGTCAGGAGTTCGAGACCAGCCTGGCCAACATGGTGAAAACCTGTCTCTACTAAAAATACACACACACACAAAATAGCCAGGTGTGGTGTCAGGCACCTGTAATCCCAGTTACTTGGGAGGCTGAGGCAGGAGACTCGCTTGAACCCGGGAGGTGGAGGTTGAAGTGAGCTGAAATGGCGTCATTGCACTCCAGCCTGGGCGACAGAGTGAGACTCCTCAAAAAAAAAAAAAAAAAAAAAGCCGGGCTTGGTGTATCACACCTGTAATCCCAGCACTTTGGGAGGCCGAGGCAGGTGGATCGTGAGGTCAGAAGATGGAGACCATCCTGGCTAACATGGTGAAAACCGGTCTCTACTAAAAATACAAAAATTAGCTGGGCGTGGTGGCGCGCCTGTAGTCCCAGCTGTTCCGGAGGCTGAGGCAGGAGAATCGCTTGAACCCGGGAGTCAGAGGTTGTAGTGAGCCAAGATCTCGCCACTGCACTCCAGCCTGGCGACAGAGTGAGACTCCGTCTCAAACAAACAAACAAACAAAAGAGAATAGAATTTAACAAGATTAACACAAAAATAATTATGAGTAATCTTGCACATTTTAAAGAAATCGAATTAATCTTTTCCACTCAGAGATCTTCAGACAGACTCAGAATGCATGAAGGATCAATTTTTTCACTAACTTAAAGAAGAAATAATAGCAATATTATAAATACTCTTCTGAAGAATGAATAAAGAGGACACATGTCTGCAGGCGCGGTGGCTCACGCCTGTAATCCCAGCACTATGGGAGGCCGAGGCGGGCGGATCACGAGGTCAGGAGATCGAGACCATCCTGGCTAACACGGTAAAACCCCGTCTCTACTAAAAATACAAAAAATTAGCCGGGTGTAGTGGCGGGCGCCTGTAGTCCCAGCTACTCGGGAGGCTGAGGCAGGAGAATGGCGTGAACCCCGGGGGGCGGAGCTTGCAGTGAGCCGAGGTTGCGCCACTGCACTCCAGCCTGGGCGACAGAGCGAGACTTCGTCTCAAAAAAAAAAAAAAAAAAAAAAAAAAAAAGACACATGTCTCAACTTGTTTTATGAGGCCAGCATACTTCTGAAAACAAAACCAAAATGAGACATTATAAGAAAAGAAAATAACAAAAAAATGAAAATTACAGGTCAATAAGTAAACAAACAAAACTATTATATGAAATACTGACAAATCAAATTGAGTAATACACAAAAATCATAATACTTCACAATCAAGTTGAGTTTATTCCAGGAATGCAAAGCTGGTTTAATATTAAAAAGTCAATCAATGTCATTCACCACTTTAAGAGAATAGAAGAGAAAAATTTTATGTTTATCTAAACTCATGAAGAAATAGTATTTGATAAAATTACACATTCATAATAATTTTTAAAAACCTTAACAAACTGGGGATACAAAACAAGTCCCTCAATCTGATAAATAACACTTATGAAAAGCCTACTGAAAAAATAATACTTGCTGGTAAAATATTCAAAGCTTTCCCCCCGAGATTTAGAATGAGAAAAGGATGCCTACTAATGTCATTTCTATTTACATTCTTTTAAGGCCCTAGGCAGTACAATAAAAAAGAAGAAAAACTCATTAAAAAATTGGAAAGAAAGAAATAAAACTCTTTTTATGTGAAAATGACATAGTGATATATCTAGTCTAAAGCCAAATTAAGATACCATCATACATTCACCAGAATAGTTAAATGAAATAGACAGTGCTTTTAAGAATTTAGAATAGTTAGAACACCACTCTCATATGCTGAAATACTCATATACTGCCGGTAACTTTGTACAAGCAACTGAAACTCCGATACACTGCTTCGGGGAATGTAAATTGGTACAACTTTTGAAAACCAGCAGCACCTACTAAAGTCAAATATATGCCATGACCCAGACATTTTATTCTGGGTCATAGGTAACAATCCAACAGAAATGCTTTCATACATGTACCCAAAGAAATACACACACACTCACACACACACACACACAAACAGTAATGCACTATTTGTACCAGACCCAAACTGCAAATAACCCAAATATCAGTATTATGGGTAAAAAAAATTAATATATTTATATAGTTGAATACTGTCTGCTGCTACATGCACCAACATGGTTAAATCTCACAAATATAATGTTGATTAAAAAATGACAGGCACAGAGTACAGTTTGTACATTTCATTTATTTAAGAAAAAAAATGGTTCTCTCCATATTCTACTTCCCAAGCTGAAAACATCTCATATTATTACATTTCTCACAGAAACTATAGTTCAAGCAAGAAATCAGAGGCTCAGTTTTTGGTATTTATCTACCACAGAGGATTTCTGTAAGAATGAGTAGGAAATGTGAATAAAATGCTTAAAACAGAATGTTAATTGCTCTAAAAAACGTAAAATGTTTTCACAAATTGCCTTCTAATATTTAGCAGGATTTTAACTATGCTTTTTTGTGTCTGATGAAATTATATACTAAGTATATAGCATTGCACACAGGCATCTGAAATATATAAGGCCATGATAATTCTCTCCCAGCTATCCAGTTGTTCACACTGACCTCAATTTTATAACCAAGGAATTGTAGTAGTAGTAATAATGGCTTAATGAGTATTCGCTATATGTTAAACACTGTGCTAAGTGTATATTCTTTATCTTATTTAATCTTCACAATAACCCCATAAGGTAAGTTTTACTATTTTCTTTTACAGATAAGAAAATCAAACAAGTAGTTTTCCCAGGGGATCACCCCGGCATGATTAGAATCTGGTTCCCTCTGATGACCAGGCTTGGACTCTTAACCACCTTGCTAGATGGTATATCATGCCGGAATGCATTAATGATGTAAATTCAGACCAATTCAATGGTCTGAAACTGTATAGTTAAGATTTAGAGTAAATTTATTCCCCCATATCCCTCTGTTTCCCTCCCTTAGCCTCTACTTCACCCTCACTTGACCCCCTTGAGTTACTTTGCACTACACTGGCAATTGAAAACATAAAAATATCACAAGGAAGAGGAAAACAGTGATACCTTTGCTTATCTTATTAAAGGGTTCATATCCCAAAATAGAGTTAACACGGATTGTTTTAGAATCTGTCTAGTTTTTGAATGCTTTTCCTGAAGATGGAGTAAAGAGGGAGGTTATATAGTCAGCATCCAGACTTGCTGTTTTTCTTGGTAAAACAATGGAAAAGAGGGAATTACAAAATGAATACTTAGCCTATAAATCAGAGAATACTTGTACTTAGATTATTTTTTCTCCTTATCTTTACACCCACCCTATTTTTGAAAGGTATTCGTTCTTTGCAATGAAAAACTCATTTGCCATGTCACATCGGGATGCATATTGTTATCAGTATGTTTCTCAGGTGCTAGGAATCAGGCTCCTCTTTTTGGACAGAAGGGAAGATTTGTCATGGCTCTGCCTCTGGATTGTGTTGGTGAAGTATGTTCTTTCTGGAGATAACAGCTTCAACTGAAAAAAATCTGAACTTCCATAAGTTGAAGAAAATTTTCAGCTACTGCACCCTACTGCAGTGAGAATAATAATAAAAACCTTGGACCCATTACTCATGAATGAGAACAAAGGGAGCTTTATTGAAGATCAAATAAAAAGTATAAATACTGAGTCAGACAGCACAAGAAGTGAGGATTAAAACATTCTTATTGCCCATATTGTTGTTAATGGCATTTGAGATTCAAGGTCCAATATAATTCAACACAATAACCCTTGTACGTCTTGATTTTTCTATATTTGCAGATTCTTAACTATTCACCTTTTCACCTAAAACTTTATTTCTCAACAAGATGTGTGTCTTCATTGCACTTTTCATGTCTGTTTATCTCAAAGCCTAACCAGCCAAATGTGTATTTTTAAAACAATCCTTCAGGCCTTTCTGAATTAGACACACATTTATTCACTTACTAAAAAGGTGTCTAGTGCCTACCAATTCTGAGGGGTAAAAAAAAAAAAAAATCAGATCTGCCTACAGTGTGCTCACTATCTAAGAGGGAAGAGAAACAAATTGATATTTGTAAAAACATCTGTGTGGTAGAGTCAATGATTGAACACTCTATTTCTCAAATCTTAAGAGAAGTATTTTTAAAAATTTTTATAACATCTATTTATCCTAGCCCCTCATCCATCAGGGCCAAAGGAAAAGCCTAAATTAAGTAATTAACAGCATCTCAGACCCCTGGGGAGTGTATAATAGTCTCTCAAAGATAACTTCATCTCTTTGGGGATGTCAATGCTCAGTCTTTCAGTTTGCTTTCCCTTCCTCTGAGTTTCTTCTACAATGGCATCGTAGTACAGCAGGTCTTCAGATAATGTCATTTTACTCAATATCGTTTTGCTATGAAATTGATGAAGAAAAAATTTGATTTCTGACCAGGGTCACTGTCTGTGCGAAATTTGCATGTTCTCCCCATGCCTTCATGGGGTTTCTTGGATACTCCAGTTTCCTCCCATATCCCAAAGCTGTGCACATTAGGTGAACAGTTGTGTCTCACTGGTCCCAGTCTAAGTGAGTGTGTGTGTGTGGGTGAATGACCCTGAGATGGAATGGCGTCCTGTTCACGTTAATTCTCGCCTTGCATCCTGAGCTGCTGGGATAGGGTCATGGGAGGCCATCCATGACCCTGAACTGGAATAAATGGTTTGGGAAATGAATGAATGGACACAAATTATTGTCAAATAAAAATCAGTAAAGTGTACAATAATCATACAATGCATGGCAATAAATGATGCAGTACAAAAGCACTTGGCAAGCCCACCACATTTGTTATTATTTTCTAATGGCGTGTGGGTAGGAAGAGCTCATTACAATTCTTGCTTTGCAAACATTATTCTTTGATTTAACCCACCACCACTATGACCACTGTCACTCAATGATTCGCCAAAAATTGGATAAATACGTGTCTTACTTGCGTTTATTAATCTTTCTTTAATGTATATAGAGCTCACTTTTATTTCAATGTTTCATATTAGAAGTATTTGGTGTTCTTTTTTTTTAGAAGCTTGGTGATTTTTGTGTGTATGTGACCAGAAGTATGCCATAGGAACTTAAATCTTGTTTATATCAATTAGCCTATGGTAAAATTGGTTTTGTTATATGCTGTTTTGCTTAAAGTCACAGTTTTCAAGAACCTATGGACAACATTAAGTTAGAACTTACTGTATATCAAGGAGGGGTCTGAAGTCTACTACAAGCTGGGAAGAGAGAGTCTAACTTCCATGAATAAAAGTTCTATGTTGACTTTTAGTTTCTCTGTGACAAAGTGTTTGGTGGGGATCAATCCTTGGGCTCCCTTTTGCAGTTATTATTAATACAGGTGTTTTTCTACTTAGCTCATCAGTTCATTTTAGTCTTCCCCAACTCACTAAGCTCCAGTTCAACTCTCTCCAGGATTGAACATTCCTCTCAATCTGAGCCGGCTGGGTTCAGCTTCCCAGCACTAGTATATTGAGTAGGTCCCCTCACTGTTTACTGCAGCAGTCTCTTACAGGTCCAATGGGTCAACTCAATTACCTTTCTCACTCTCGCCCTGCTCCACACCATGAGGCATGTAAACTTCTGGATCCCTTCCATCTACTAGAGGAGATGAGGGAGTCTTTTAATAGCTAACTCAGGCCTTACAAGCAAGCCAAGTCTCTCCACCATTTTATTTTGATACAGGATTGTACCCCGTGAGGCCATCTCTTTCCAGAGTTCCAAAACTCGGGTCTTTGGGAAGTAGGGAGACAAGCTCTTGGAGTTAGTGAAAGATGGGGAAGATGGGGCCCCCATGGAGAGAACGTCTGAGGGACAAGGTCTGACCTTTACCTCCTCCTACCTCTTTTTCTCCTTTCCTTCTCATAATCTATTAGACCAATATTAGGCCATATTATTCTCCCTTCCCCGTATGGGAAGGAATTATGCCTATGAATTCTCTCTACCCTTGAGAGCTTGATATTGAGGTCAGCCTGTCCTAATTCTTGATATGATAAAGAAAGTTTAAAAACAGAAATTTGTTTACTCTCTCCACAATGCCAGCCTTCTGAGAATATTGTCACAAAAATGACTAAAAAGTCCCATTTTTGGTAGTCAGAAGTTGAATGTCAACTATTTTCTTGCTTTTTTCTTTTTCATTCCTATTTACCACCTTCAGGTAGATTAATATTTCTGAATAACTAGAAAGTTACAAGTATGGAAATATAAAAGATAGGTATACATTTAATATGCATTATATATTATGATATATTTATATCTTATGACATTAAAATATATTACACTTCTATAGTTTTATAACATACTATATGCTCTTATATATTATTAAAAAATATATTATCCCATTCTAAATGTATAAATTACAATGGAAACACCAAGAAGGAACATATAGCTGTATATAAAACTAGAGAAAGGATTAATTAAATTGCTAGAATTGGCTGTTTCTAATTTTTAAAAATATAGCTAGCACAATCTAGATACCAAAATCTTAGAGCACAAAAATCAAAAGACTCATCAATTTCCTAAACAAGATGTTAACTAAACAACCTAAACTATTTATTAAAATGCCAAGCCACAATGACTAAGCAAAAGAAATGGATGGTTTGATAGCAAAATATGTATTACCATTATTCATCAAATAAAAAGTATCAGAAGCGATACTTGGATGGTGTTTAATAAAATTGAGCATATATTCTCAATAAAACTTTAAAAAATAGAATTAGAGAGTGACTTTTTAACATGATAAAAATGCATACCTTAAAATGATTGAACAATATCATTCATCATGATGTAATCCTACAGAAATTCTCATTAAAGTCAAGACTAATGAAAGGAGTCTATAATTGCAATGGTTATATAAGACTATACAGAAAATGCCAACTAACACGATTAGATAGGGAAACTATGTAATAATGTAATAATACTGGAAAGAGAAAGTAAATTTACCAAATACCATAAAATAAAAAATCAACAAAAAAAAGTTCCTTAAAACTAATGAATTCAATAATGTAGTCAGTTACAAATCAAACATTTAAAATTCCAAAGTTTTTCTAGATATCAAATATAGTCAGTCGGAATACATGATGTTAAATGAAATACCCCAATCATAAGGATAATAAAATTTCAAATATCTTAAGTGCAAAATGAAAAACAAATGTGTAAGGCATACAAAAGAAGACTAAGAAAGCACTACTGAAGGACATAAAAGAAGATATGACTTGACATGGATGGGCATTTCCTACCCAGTTGAAAATACTCAATATATTAAAAATGCCAATTATCTCCAAATTAATCAGTAAATGTAACGCAGTCCCAATAAAAGTTACTTGTTTTGGCTAGGCACTGTGGTTCACACCTGTAATCCCAGTACTTTGGTAGGCCTAGGCAGGTGGATTGCTTAAGCTCAGTAGTTCAAGACCAGCCTGGGCAACATAGCGAGACCCTGTGAGAAAATGGTTTTTGAGTTCAGATAGAAGGAAAGTGTCTGATTTTCTGGAGAGTATTTTGGTAAATTGTATTAAAAGCATTAAAAAATTGCTATGGCATAATAATCTGGCTTTTAGGAATAAATGCTTAGAACATAATCAAACAAGAAGACAATGATCTATATAAAGTAATATTCCTTACAGCATTTTTATAATAGAAAATATGGAAAGAACCAAATAGTCTAATAATGGGGTGATTAAATACATTATAAATGCAATTAAATATTGTGTAGCTATTAAAATAATGAAGTCAATGGAGTTGCTGATTTGGAAAGATATTCACAGTACAGGTGTTACGTGAAAAAATTAGGCAAGCATGTTTATAAATTATATATTTGCATAGAAATGAGACTGGAAGAAAGTGCACGTGTTGGAATTTTTCATGATTTAATTGTATAATTTTTTGTTTGGTGGTTATTTATTTCTTCCAAATTTACATTCATTTCTTGTATTATAAGCAATAAGTAAAAGCAAAATAAAGCAAATAGAAAGGAATTACCCAGGGCTGGGATCAGTGGCTCACACCTGTAATCTCAGCACTTCGAGAGGCCTACACGGGCAGGTTGCTTGAACCCAGGTGCTCAAGACCAGGCTGGACAAATAGTGAGATCTCATCTCTACAAAAAATGCAAAAAAAAAAAAAAAAAAAAGCCAGGCATAGTGGTGCATGCCTGTAGTAGCAGCTACCCAGGAGGCTGAAGTGGGAGGATCACCTGAACCCAGGAGGTAGAGGCTGCAGTGAGCTGTGATCACACCACTGCACTTCAGCCTGTGTGGCAGAATGAGACCTTGTCTCAAAAAAAAAAAAAAAAATACTATATCCAAAAAGAAATTAAGTCCTTTCAATTCTCTTTCCTTAATATTGTTTGCCTCAATTCTGTCTCCACTGACTGGGCTGCTGCAGTAATTTGCTAACTGGTTTCATTATGATTAATATCTCTCCACCATGCCAACAAAGTGGATTTCTTAAAAAGAATATTATCATATTTGTCTCTTTTAATATTATCCAGTGGTTCCTTATTGCCAGTAAAAGAGAGCATAAATATCTTAGTATAGTGATGGCATGCACTTCCTTACATTGACTAGATTAGCATTACCTCCTACCTTCCTTTTCATGTATCAGGGACTTAGCTTGTGCCCTTTACTTGTCTGTAATGGTTATCTCACCTGCTTTGCTAAAGATTAGCTTTTGCTCATGCTTCAGGTGTCAGTTTCAAAGCCACCTCTCACAAAAACACTTCCTGAACTTTAAGGAATACTTCTGTCCCTTCTCATCTTCTTTGCCCAATTCTCTATCTCAGCCCCCACTTTTCTTTTTCTTTATATGCACTTATACTTTGTAATTATATTATTTATCTATTCACGTAGTAATTTTTAAAATCTGCCTTCATTACTGTAACATAGTCTTCCTGTGGGCATGGACTGAACATATCTTGTTCACTACTAAAAGGAACTTATTTAATAAATAAAGAGTTGCACCCTTATTCTGATCAAATCTATCTTCAGCTGTATAAATGTGTCAGGCTATTTCAGACTCTACTTTCACATTTTTAGTTTTACCTGCTTGGAGAATCTGTCCTTCTCCTGAAAACCTGTATTTGGTCCTGTTTCAGGAAATTGACTCAAACTTTACTTCCTCTAGAAATCTTTTTTGATCACTCTCATCTTTGGGCCCTGTTGAATCATAGTTTACCCTCATATCATAGAATATATCACATTCTATTGCTTTTATTAGTTCACATGTCTATTTTCCCCTGTTAAAATGTATGTTTCTTCTGGGTATGGAGTGTTTTTATTATCTCTGTTCTCCCAGTGTTTGGCACAATCTGTAGTTGGCTCTCAGGGATCAATCAAAGTTGGTTGGATGAACCAGTAAATATGTTTCTGTAAAATGCTTCATAGAATTTGTAATTAGTATCTTCATTTTATGTCAAATAATTCATATTTAAAATCATTACAAGACTACTTGATTTATAGTAGAAAGAAAAGACAAGAGCTTTCTAGAGGAAATGTCAAAGGACAGTCCATCTCTCTTTTACCAATGGGATGTGTTAAAATAAAGCCCAAAAGATATTCTCCATATATCACCTAATCCTTCATCAAAACCACCAATAATGACAATGAGAGAAAACAGTTGAAAGAAAGGTTAAATTCACTGGCATTGTCAACTTCAGCCAAGCACCTATTGTATTGCAGCTGCCTGGACCTTTGAAAGAATTTTAAATAGGCATGGCCTAGAATTCTCAAGTCTTTGGTTTACACTTCATTAAAAAACAAAACAAAACAAAACAAAAAAAAAACAAAAAAAAAACGGCACTGACTTTATCTCTGCTTACCACCGCTGAACTGAAGGCACTTCTAGCTTTGATGGGACCAAGCCTTGGAAACTGGTCTATCCCAGTGGGACTGAAAATCTGTCTCCTTTGGTTTTGGAATCACCATTGTGCATTCTTTCTCCAGGCTCACAGTGGTGATGTTATTTCCTTAGCCTCAGACTCACAGTTATGCAAGGACAGCCTCCAGTACACAGATGAGCATAAAACAGCTATCACTGCAGGTGCAGGGTTGCTTTTATAATGAATTAGTGCCTCCTTACTGGGAACTAGGAGAGTCCTGCTGCTTGACACTTTTTAGTTATTAGGCAATGTCTGAAGGCACCCAATATTTCTATTCCACACTTACCCTTTTCTGGAGCAGAAAGCAAGTGCTGTAACAGCTGTGTGTGTATTTGTTTTCTTTGGGGGCAGATAGAAGCCAAAGAAACCACAATAAAGTCTAAAGCACAGCACTTCCTTCACTTACATAAGGATTACAGAAGCAGGTGCACAGTGTTTGTTTCTTCTTGGTGTAAAATAAGGCATCAGTTTTCATATTAATAATTCATATTTGTTAATTTATATTTCATTTTAAAAAACTTGCACCAACTTAATCTCTGCTCACCCCCTCTGAACTGTAAGTACTCTTGGCCCTGGTGCAACCAAGCCTCAGGAAACTGGCTTATTCCAGTGAGACTGGAGAAAAGGGAACCCTCACACACTGTTGGTAGGAATGTAAATTAGTACAGCTATTATGGAAAACAGTATGGAGGTTCCTCAAAAAATTAGAAATAGAAGTACCATATGATATAGCAATCCCACTACTGGGCATATATGAAATCAGACTCTTGAAGGATAACTGCATTCCTCTGTTCATTACAGCACTGCTCACAATAGCCAAGATGTGGAATCGATCTAAGTGGCCATCAGCAGATGAATGAAGAAAGAAAATATAGTATATAGCCACAATAATGTAGTCAGTTACAAATCAAACATATATACAACTACAAATCAAAATATATACTATTCAGCCTTAAAAAAGGAAGAAAATACTGTAATTTTCGACAACATGAATTAATCTGGAGGACATTATGTTAAGTGAAATAAGCCAAGCACAGAAAGATAAGTACCAAATGTCCTCATTCACACATGAGTGTAAGTATGTCTAACTGGCCGGGCATGGTGGCTCATGCCTTGTAATCCTAGCACTTTGGGAGGCCAAGGCAGGTGGATCACAAGGTCAAGAGATCGAGATAATCCTGGCCAACATGGTGAAACCCCGTCTCTACTAAAAATACAAAAATTAGCTGGGCGTGGTGGCATGTACCTGTAGTCCCAGCTACTCAAGAGGCTGAGGCAGGATAATCAGTTGAACCTGGTGTGTCTGGAGTTGGTTTCTTCCAGTGGGTTCGTGGTCTTGCTGACTTCAAGAATGGAGCCGTGGACCATCGCAGTGAGTGTTTCAGCTCTTAAAGATGGCATGGACCCAAAGAGTGAGCAGCAGCAAGATTTATTGTGAACAGCGAAAGAACAAAGCTTCCACAGCATGGAAGGGGACCCAAGTGGGTTGCTGCAGCGGGCTGGGGTGGCCAGCTTTTATTCCCTTATTTGTATCCCCCCATTTCCTGTTTCTGTCCTATCAGAATGCCCTTTTCTCAATCCTCCCCGTGATTGGTTACTTTTAGACTCCTGCTCATTGGTCCATTTTACAGAGTGCTGATTGGTCCATTTTACAAACCTCTTGCTAGCTACAGAACACTGGTGCGTTTTTACAGAGCAGTGATTGGTGCATTTTACAACCTCTTGCTAGCTACAGAGCACTGATTGGTGCGTTTTACAATCTTAGCTACAGACTGCAGATTGGTGCATTTTACAATCCTCTTGTAAGAAAAGTTCTCCAAGTCCCCACTCGACCCAGGAAGTCCAGCTGGCTTTACATCTCACCGGGAGGCAGAGGTTGCAGTGAGCCAAGATTGTGCCACTGTACTCCAGCCTGGTGACAAAGAGAGACTCCATCTAAAACAAACAAACAAACAAACAAAAAGTCTAACTCCTAGAAACAGAGAGTAAAATGATGCTTATTGGGGGAGATATTGGTCAAATAACACAAAATTTCAGTTAAACAACAGGGATAACTTTAAGAGATCTACTGTATATCATGGTGACTACAGTTAAGAACAATATGTTTTATACTTAAAAATTTCTAGGAGAGATTTTACAGGTTCTCATAAAAAATGGTATGTAGGCCAGGCACGGTGGCTCACGCCTGTAATCCCAGCACTTTGGGAGGCCAAGGCGGGTGGATCACGAAGTCAGGAGATCGAGACCATCTTGGCTAACACGGTGAAACCTAATCTCTACTAAAAATACAAAAAATTAGCTGGGCGTGGTGGCAGGCGCCCGTAGTCCCAGCTACTTGGGAGGCTGAGACAGGAGAATGGTGTGAACCCTGGAGGTGGAGCTTGCAGTAAGCCAAGATTGTGCCACTGCACTCCAGCCTGGGTTACAGAGGGAGACTCTATCTCAAAAAAAAGAAAAAAAGTAAGGTAATGCATATGTTAAATAGTTCAATTTAGCCATCTCACAAGTTATACATATATTAAAACATCATGCTGTACATCATAAATGTATACAATCTTTACCTGTCAGTTGAAAAAATGACAACACAAAAAATAATTCACAAACAGCCCATCATCATGGCCATATATATGGGGTGAGGGCTATCTCAGCTATGCTGTAGAACTCTTTGAAAAGACATACCTGATGTTTGCCTCTGCCCTATTAACTTGATCATATCAGCATCATTAGCCTTAATCTCATATTTGAGGACCCATAACGTGAAGGGTCACACATATATGGTATAGATGAGGTCTACATTAAACTGAAACCCTCAGTCTAAACATTGTAAATTCCAAGGAGTCAAAAGGGCCAAACAGAAAATATTTTATGTTTTGTTTTTTGTTTTTTTGTTTTGTTTTGAGATGGAGTCTCACTCTGTTACCCAGGCTGGAGTACAATGGAACAATCTTGGCCCACTGCAACCTCCACCTCCCAGGCTCAAGCGATTTTCCTGCCTCAGCCTCCCAAGTGGCTGGGATTACAGGGGCCCACCACTGAGCCTGGCTAATTTTTGTATTTTTAGTAGAGACAGGGTTTCACCATGCTGGCCAAGCTGGTCTCAAACTCCTGACCTCAGGTGATTCACCCGCCTCAACCTCCCAAAGTGCTGGGATTACAGGAGTGCATTTTATGTTTTAGGAATATTTTTCACTTTGCTGTAACCTTGATTGTTCGCTAAGATGAAGAACAGACTATTCCAGAAATATCCTTTTTAAAATTTATTTTATTATTATTTTTTTTTGAGACAGCGTCTTCCTCTATCACCCAGGCTGGAGTGCAGTGGTGCAACCAGGGCTCACTTCAACCTCTGCCCCACCCTGAGTTCAAGTGATTCTCCCATCTCAGTGTCCGGCCCCCTCAGTAGCTGGGACTACAGGCAGGTGCCATCACGCCTGGCTAATTTTTGTATTTTTTGATAGAGATGGGGTTTTGCCATGTTGTTCAGGCCGTCCTCAAATTCCTAGGCTCAAGCAGTTCACCCGCTTCGGCCTCCGAAAGTGCTGAATTACAGGCATGAGCTACGCTGCCTGGCCAAGATCCATATCTTGAAGCACCTAAAGACTAAGGCTGGCCTTTTTCATATTCCACAAACACTCCAAGCTTTTGCCTACCTAAGAGCCATGTAGAATTGCTCGGTCATGGATTATCATTACATTTGAAAGTTTTATAGGTATCACCAAATTGTGAAACACTGAATTTCAGAAGATGTTTCTTACGTAGGATTTTATTTAGATATATGGGTGATACTGTGAACAATACCCTTGACAATGTTTATGAGTTAATGCAATAGTGAATTATGTGTTTGAAAGAGACTAATCCTAATCATTACTATTAAATAGATATAGTTATATAGCAAAAATATTTCTGAAGCCCACGGGGTGGCTATCCAGTTTACTTCTCCTGAAAAGTGAAGGGTAAGGAGCGTGTGTTGTTTTTCTGCTGTGTTTCCATAGGGTAGCGGCATCCTGCCTTTGGCTTCAGTGCTTGAAGCCAAAGAACAATTAACAGAAGGTAGTGTCAGGTGAGGATCAGTGTAGTCATTTGCTAGGGCTGCCATAACAAAGTACCAGGAACTGAGTGGCTTAAACAACAGACATTAATTGTCTCACAGCGATGAATACCAGAAGTCTGAAATCAATATGTCCACGGCAGTCATTCCTTCTGAGTATTGTGAGGGAAGGATCTGTTCCAGGCCTCTCTTCTTGGCTTATAGATGGCTGTATTTTCTCTGTGTCTCTTCACATCGTCTTCCCTCTATGTATTTCTGTCTCCTTTTTGCAAGGCACCAGTCATATTGGGTACCAGTGATTTTTCCTTCATTATCTCCATGAATACTCCATCTTTAGGCCTTTACGAATGTCATATTCTGAGGCACTGGATAAGACTACAACATATCTTTTGAGGAGGGAGGGTGAGATACAATTCAACCCAAAACAATAAGGATGGTCTGAGGTTGGGCAACCAACAGATGAGAAAGCCAAGATCCAAAAGCAAGGGAGACTGGAGATTTAAGAGAACCCATTCATGATGGGGTTCAAAGAGCCCAGAGCGATCAGAAACTTGGAATAATTCCTAAGCTGAAATGCCAATAATTGCAGTAATTTTTTATGTGATGTCCCTAACAATAATGATGTTTGGGTCAGGAGATTTTAAAGAAGGAAAAAAAAAAAAACAACCAAAAACTGAAACAAGAGGCCAGACACCATGGCTCACACCTATAATCCTAGCACTCTGGGAAGCCAAGACGGGCAGATTGCCTGAGTTCAGGGGTTTGAGACCAGCCTGGGCAACATGGTGAAACCTCGTCTCTACTAAAAATACCAAAAAAAAAAAAAAATAGCTGGGCATGGTGGCATTTTCCTGTAGTCCCAGCTACTTGGGAGGCTGAGGCATGAGAATCGCTTGAAACTGGGAGGCAGAGGTTGGTTGCAGTGAGCCAAGATAGTGCCACTGCACTCAAGCCTGGGCAACAGAGACTCTGTCTCAAAAAAAAAAAAAAGGGAAAAAAAAGAAAAAACATTTGAACAAGAGGAGAGCTGCGGTAGCAATGGTGTAAAACGAGGCCAAGTTGTGACACTGTCCATAATCAGGGGACTATAATATTATTTAATATTACCATCTTTGACCCTTCTGAACTCCTTATTTATTCTCATTTTGGTTTTTCTTTCCTTTCGTTTTATATTGAAGTAATTTAGATTGGGTTTAATTCCAAGTAGTTTTTGCAGCAATAAAGTCTATTTTGCTAAAGACTTCCATGTTCCATGTCTATTAAGTTTCTGAAGATGGTGAATTCTATTAAAAGAGAGCTAGAGAAACAATTCTTCAAAACAACTTGAATGCTAAGTTTGCACTCTTTAAGGGGGAAAATAAATTTTTTAAAAAGAGCATAAGAATCTAATAAAAGTGTTGCCATTCTACAAATTCAGGTCAGAAAGAAATGTTGCAACCTCCCTGTCAAATCAATTTAATTCCTATTTTAAGACTGCAACACATGAGACAAAAAACATAAACGTTAATATTTCTTGGACTTCTCCATTCTGGGTTATAGTACAGATTTTAGATTTTATACAGGGTGAAGACTAGGGGTGAGGCACCTTGTCTTCAGTCTTTCTGCCACATTGATAGCCATGGAAATGTCTTCTGCCCACATGACCCTTTCAGGACCAACAGATTCCTACTACTTCTGGAATGTTTCCAGCACAGACCCTTTCTTGATGAGATTGCTTGTGTGTTCTTCTGCCTAAGAACTGCTCAGCCAGGTCCTCTTGGAGGTCTCAGAACATTTCCTGTGGTGCCCTGAGAAGCAGGATGTTGATCTCTTCTACTCTAACAGCTCACAAATCTCTTTCTTTTCTTTCAACCCACTAGCTCAAAAGGGGCAGGGTGATTTTCACCCTAATGGAAATAATTTTCCATTTGTTCATGCTATAGAATTTCCTTCTTTTTGCCTCCTCAGCATACTCCACAACCAATCATTTCCTCTGAAGCTTGGGCTTTTAGAAACAATGGACAGAATGACTTTGATCTGTGTTTGCTTCCTTCCTTGCCCTGTATCATCATTCCTGAGTAATGACAGGAGGACTAGCAACCTTCAATGTGGAGAAGGGAAGGTGGAAAATAGAAAAAGGGTATGTTAATATCACAAAATATGTTTCCAGGAGCACAATTAAGGTACAAGTGTTCTCAAACCAGTTACATCTTTACACACAGTCAGTAACAAGCAAGACTAATATCATGGCTAATAGCATAAAGGGAGACCACCAGAGTTAGCCAATGGCTTTTTTATTGTTTTGCTGGGGAAAAGACTCAGTGAAACTTTACCCAATTAAAATTTATCCATAGCTATTTTCATCTTCTGAAAACAATATGACTTAAACCTCTTCAGTTTAGAATATAATGCCTCTGGAATTTCCCAATGCTTCATTGAGAGTCTGCTTTCTAGAGTCCATATGCTGCTTGTACATCACTGACATCTCATTAATAGCATTAGTAAAGGATGACTCAATGAAAGACTCTCCATTCTATCAAAGCAGTAGATTTTGTGGTAAAAAGAGAAAAAGTAAATTGGAAGTTGCAGTTGCCTTCCCAGGGCCTGCATGCCTTAGTCTACATTGTAGTCACGCATGTAAGATGTGCCAAATCAAAAATAATTGTTTTTAGAAACAAATGCCAGCTTTCTAAGGACCACTCAATTTATTTCATACTTTTTTTCCACAAAAAGTAGACATTTCAGAGTGGCATTATCATCTACCAGAAAAAGTTATCTGATGGCATTTGGCTTACCAGAATGAGAATTCTTTTTAGATTGTTAAGCAGCTACTGACTACTTAACAGTTCTCACATTACACTGAATATAAGCAGTATTGCTAAAAGCCAATACTCATCTGACATAGTGAAATTGAAATTAAGCACAAAATTATAGAAAACATCAGAATATTATTATTCACTTCTCAGAAACAGTGTCATCTAGGCAGATGGCATGGCTAATTCCTGTAATCCCCACACTTTGGGAGGCTGAAATAGGAGGATCTCTTAAGGCCAGGAGTTTGAGACCAGCCTGGGCAACACAGCAAAACCCCATCTCTACAATCAAAATAAAAACAAATTAGCTGAGCATGGTGGCACATGCATGTAGTTCCAATTACTCAAGAGGCTGAGGCAAGAGGATTACTTGAGCCCAGAAGTTTGAGGTTGCAGTGAGCCATGAGAATACTACTGTACTCCAGCCTGGGTGAAAGAGCCATACCACGTCTCAAAAAATAAAAAAGAAAGAAAGAAAGAAAAAAATAAAGAAACTAAAATCAATGTCATCTAAGCACAGATAGACAAATGAATGCTCACTCTTTTCTTAGGGGATGAGCAATTAGCCAAATGCAATAGCATGTATTTATAAATTTTTATATCACAAACTAGACTTCTAGTCTCTGTTCCAGTATGTAAGCTACTTGGAAATTGTCATTCTCATCCTCAAAACAAAGCAACAACAAAAAAAGCTGAACAAACTGAAAATAAACACTCTTCTTATATCCTTCAGAAAACTGAGGTCACAGGGCAAACTCAAAATAGAGAAATAGGTTAATACAGAAAATCACAATTACCAGACCAGAAGCAAAAATCTTCTGCAAGAACCAGTATCAAGATATGAAGATTTCAACTGTAATTGACAAGTTGTTGGCAGCTCAGTGTGGACAAATTTGAGAGTTAAAAACTCTAGGGGGCCTAATCTTAGGGGAGCCCCTATTCTTTTGTGAGTTTTACATCTAGAAGCCCTACCAGGTTTTCACAGTGAATATCTGGTAACAAAAAAAAAAAAAAAAAAGAAAACAAACAAAAAAAAAAACCCTTCTGTTTCCTGAAGGGTATGGGGAAAGTTTCCATTTAAAATTTGCCCAGATTATTTTGTTCTTCTCAAACAGGCCTACTCTCATGAAAAACTATTTTACCAGAGTTTAATCAATTGGAGGTCTTATCAGAACCTAACTGACCTGAGAGAAATACTCTACTTCAGCTACCTCTAGCCAGTCTTACTCACCAAAGAGGAGGAAAAATTGAGAAGCACTCATGAAGCTCACAGCTCAGGAGCACAGGCTAACTAAAAGCCTAAGACTGCATCAAAGGACTGTGGAACACTTACTCTTGCCACACACCTTACCATCACACCAATAGGGCTCTTGTATAATAATTGGGGAATACAACTAAAAGAACTGGATGTGTCAGACTTTATTTAAGAAGAAATCTCTAAGGAAACTCAGAGACAACCAGAAACACAAATAGAAAAACACAAGAGGAAATGTTAACCTCTGACACCTACAGCTACAGCCTAACTCCTAGTCAGATAAACGTAAAGCCTCACAAAAAAGACCCTATCTACCTCTGTTCCACTTACCCAGTATTTCATGTCTAGCTTCCAATATAAAATTGTAAGGCACAATGAAAGACAAAAAAAAATTTTTTTGAAGAGATAGAGCAAGCATCAGATCCAGAGTCAGACATGGCAAGGATGTTGGAATTATTAGATTGGGAATTTAAAACAACTATGATTAATATGCTGAGAGCTCTAGTGGAGAAAATGGACAACGTGAGAACAGATGAGTGATGTAGGCAGAAAGGAGAAAATTTTTTAAAAGAATCAAGAGGAAATATTAGAAATCAAAAACACTGTAGCAAGAATGAAGAATACCTTTAAGGGGCACTTCAATGAACTGAACACAACTGAAGAAAGAATCAGTGAGCTTAAAGAAATGTCAATAGAAACTTCTAAAACTGAAATACAAAGAGAAGAAAAGACAACAGAATATCCAAGAATTGTGGAACAATTACAAAATGTATAACATACACATAATAGGAATACCAGAAGGACAATAAGGAGAAAACAGAACAGAAGAAATATTTGAAGCAATGCTAACTGAGAATTTCCTAAAGTTAATGATAGACACCAAACCACAGATACAGAAAGCTCAGAGAACAAGTAGGATAAAAAACCAAAATTTACATCTAGGCATATAATTTTCAAACTGCAGAAAGTTAAAAACAAAGGGAACATCTTGAAAGAAATCAGAGGAAAAAACACCTTACCTATAAAGAAGTAAGAATAAGAATTACACTGGTGGTGTGGGGGTGGTACATTGGTGGGGGGGGACGGGGGTGGGGGTCCGGGGTACGGGGGTGGGGACTGGGGACGACGGGGATGGGGGACGGGGACGGGGGCTGGGGGAAGGGCCAAGATGGCTGACAAGAAGCAACAGCATTAGGAGGCTCTCATTGAAAAATAAAACATAATAGGCTTGTGAATCCTTTACCGGCAACCAAAGTATCCAGGTTCTGTCATCAAAATGGACTCGAGGGCTGGCATGACCCATGGAGACAAGGAAGAACAGTGTGGTGCTGCGGCCCACCTGAGAGCCATATGGGGAAGGGGAATCGCCGCCCCCCAGCCAAGGGAGGCAGTGAGTGAGCACGCTACTCAGCCGGGGAAACTGCTTTTTCCACGGAACTGTGCAACCCACGGATCGGAAGATCCCACTTGCGAACCCAGTCCACCAGGGCCTAGCACCCCCACCCCAGAATGCACAGATTCTTACAGCTTCTCAGCTAGAATCTGATCAAGCCTATCGAACTCCCAGCAGGAGGGGCGACCAGCACCGGCTGTGGCTGCCTGCTGTCTAAGTTGTTTGAGCTCCTTTAGGGAGGGGCAGCAACCAGCACTGGGACTCACAGCTGCCTAACACACTAAGCTCTTTGGGTGGCGGAAGGGCAGCAACCATTTCTATAGCTCCAGGCTGCGCTTTTCCCCTGCTGGAGCCAGGGAGGCTGGACGGCTCAGTCCCAACACTTGTCCCCACAGCCCAACACACCAGCTGGCCTGCGGTCAGAGTGCATCTTCAGGCCTAATTCTGACCCATCCTTCCTCAGTGGGCGGGGCTTTCCTGCAGGATCTCCAATAACTCCAGCCAGAGCCTCAGGGACAGAATTTGGATCTCCCTGGGCCTGAGCCCCTAGAAGGAGGGGTGGCTTCAGTCTCTACAGACCAGCCGACTTAGCCTCTCCTCCTGGTAGTTCTGAGGAATTCGGGCAGCCCAGATGAGTCAGTTCCCCCCACCAGTGAAACACACCCTCTCCGCCAAGGGACAAAGTGCTCTGTTAAATAGGTCCTGCTCCCTGTTAACCCAACTGGGTGAGACCCTCCAACAGGGGTTGTCAGACACCCTATACAAGAGCAATTCTACTGACAACAGGTTGGTGCCCCTTGAGATCAGAGGTTCCAGAGGAAGGAGCAGGCACCCATCTTTGCTGTTCTCCAGGCTCCTTGAGTGACATCTCTAGACATGGGAGTGAATCAGATAAATAAGGCCTGAAGTGAACCCCCAGAAACTTCAGCAGCCCTATAGAAGAGGGACTTCACCATTGAAAGGAAAACAAGCAGAAAGCAACAACAACAGCATCATCAACAACAACAAAAAGCCCCCACAAAAACCCCATCCAAGGATCAGCAGCCTCAAAGACCGAAACTAGACAAACTCACGAAGATGAGAAAGAATCAACAATACAATGTTGAAAACCCAAAAGAGAGAAATTTATAGTACTAAATGCCCACATCAGAAAGCTAGAAAGATCTCAAATTGACACCCTAACATCACAATTAAAAGAGCTAGAGAGTCAAGAGCACACTAACACAAAAGCTAGCAGAAGATAAGAAATAACTAAGATCAGAGACGAATTGAAGGAGATAGAGAAACGAAAAACCCTCCAAATAATCAACTAATCCAGGAGGTGGTTTCCTGAAAAAATTAACAAATAGATTGACCGCTAGCTAGACTAATAAAGAAGAAGAGAGAGAAGAATCAAATAGACACAATAAAAAATAATAAAGGGGATATCGCTACTGACCCCACAGAAACACAAACTAGCATCAGAGAATACTATAAACACCTCTGCACAAATAAACTAGAAAATCTAGAAGAAATGGATAAATTCCTGGATGCATACATTCTACCAAGACTAAACCAGGAAGAAATTGAATCCCTGAATAGAACAATAATAAGCTCTGAAATTGAGGGAGTAATTAATAGCCTCCCAAACAAACAAACAAACAAACAAACAGGACCAGACAGATTCACAGGTGAATACTACCAAAAATACAAAGATGAGCTGGTACCATTCCTTCTGAAACTATTCCAAACAATTGAAAAGGAGGGACTACTCTCTAACTCATTTTATGAAGCCAGCATCATCCTGATACAAAACTGGGAAGAGACACAACGACAACAACAACAAACTTCAGGCCAATATCCCTGATGAACATTGATGCGAAAATCCTCAATAAAATACTGGCAAACTAAATCCAGCAGCACATTAAAAAACTTATGCACCACAATCAACTCAGCTGCATCCCTGGAATGCAAGATTGGTTCAACGTATGCAAATCAATAAATGTAATCCATCACATAAACAGAACCAAAGACCACATGATTATCTCAATAAATGCAGAAAAGGCCTTTGATAAAATTCAACATCCCTTCATGCTAAAAACTCTCAATAAACCATATAAATAAACTAAATAAACATATATTGATGGAACATACATGTAAACAATAAGAGCTATTTACGACAAACCCACAGCCAATATCATAATGAATGGGCAAAAGTGGTAAGCATTCCCTTTGAAAACCAGCACAAGACAAGGATGCCCTCTCTCACCACTCCTATTCAACATAGTATTAGAAGTTCTGGCCAGGGCAATCAGGCAAGAGAAATAAATAAAGCGTATTCGAATAAGAAGAGAGGAAGTCAAATTGTCTCTGCTTGCAGATAACATGATTGTATATTTAGAAAACCCCATCATCTCAGCCCAGAAACTTCTTGAACTGATAAGCAACTTCAGCAAAGAATCAGGATACAAAATCAATGTGCAGAAATAACAAACATTCCTTTACACCAACAATAGGCAAGCAGAGAGCCGAATCATGAATGAACTCCCCTTCACAATCGCCACAAAGAGAATAAAATACCTAAGAATACAGCTAACAGGGGATGTGAATACAGATAACAAGGGATGTGAAGGACTTCTTCACTGCTCAAGAAAATAAGAGAGGACACAAACAAATGGAAAAACATTCCATGCTCATGGATAGGAAGAATCAATATCGTGAAAATGGCCATACCACCCAAAGTAATTTATAGAGTCAATGTTATTCCCATCAAACTACCATTGACATTCTTCACAGAATTAGAAAAAACAATTTTAAATTTCATATGGAATCAAAGAAGACCCACCCCCCGATATAGCCAAGACAATCCTAAGCAAAAAGAACAAAGCTGGAGGCATCACGCTACCTGACTTCAAACTATACTACAAGGCTACAGTCACCAAAGCAGCATGGTACTGGTACCAAAACAGACATGTAGACCAATGAAGCAGAACAGAGACCTCAGAAATAACACCACAGATCTATAACCATCTGATCTTCAACAAACTTGCCAAAAACAAGCAATGGGGAAAGGATCTCCTATTCAGAAAATGGTACTGGGAAAACTGGCTAGCCATATGCAGAAAACTGAAACTGGACGCTGTCTTTACACCTTATACAAAAATTAACTCAAGATGGACTAAAGACTTAAATGTAAAGCCCCAAACCATAAAAACCCTAGAAGAAAATCTAGGCAATACCATTCAGGACATAGGCATGGGCAAAGACTCCATGAAAAAAGTGCCAAAAGCAATGGCAACAAAAGCCAAAATTGACAAATGGGATCTAATTAAACTAAAGAGCTTCTGCAAGTGAAAGAAACTATCATCAGAGTGAACAGAAAATCTACAGAATGGGAGAAGTTTTTGCAATCTCCCCATCTGACAAAGTTCTAATATCTAGAATCTACAAGGAGCTTACAGTTACAAGAAAAAAAAAATCAAAAATTGGGCAAAGGATATGAGCAGAGACTTCTCAAAAGAAGGCATTTATGCAGCCTACAAACATATGAAGAAAAGCTCAACATCACTAATCATCAGAGAAATGCAAATCAAAACCACAATGAGATACCATCTCACGCCAGTCAGAATGGCAATTATTTAAAAGTCAGAAAACAATAGAATAGACACCGGCAAGGCTGTAGAGAAATAGGAACGCTTTTACACTGTTGGTGGGAGTGTAAATTAGTTCAACCATTGTGGAAGACAGTATGGTGACTCCTCAAGGATCTAGGACCAGAAATACCATTTGACCCAGCAATCCCATTACTGGGTATATACCCAAAGGAATATAAATCATTCTACTATAAAGACACATGCACACATATGTTTATTGCAGCACTATTTACAATAGTAAAGACATGGAACCAACCCAAACCCCCATCAATGATAGACTGGATAAAGAAAATGTGGCACATATACACCATGGAATACCATGCAGCCATAAAAAGGAATGAGGTCATGTCCTTTGCAGGGACATGGATGAAGCTGGAAGCCATTATCCTCAGCAACTTAACACAGGAACAGAAAACCAAACACCACATGTTCTCACTCATAAGTGGGAGTTGAACACTGAGAACACGTGGACATGGGGAGGGGAACAACACACACCAGGGCCCTTTTGGTGGTGGGGGATGAGGGGAGGGAACTTAGAGGATGGGTCAATAGGTGCAGCAAACCACCATGGCACACATATACCTATGTAACAAACCTCCACATTCTGCACATGTATCCCATTTTGTTTTTTTTTTAGAAGAAATAAAGAAAAACAAACAAAAAAAGAACTACATTGGGCTTATTTTCAGAATGCATGCAAACAAGAAGAGAGTAAGGTGAAATATTTAATGTATTAAAAGAAAAAAACCACCAGTCTAGAATTCTTCATTCTTCTAAACTAAAAGAGAAAGATTTTCTCCAACAAGTAAAAACTGAGGAATTTGTCACTAGCAGATCTGCCTTGCAGGAAATGTTAAAAGAATTTTTTCAGAAGGAAGAAACATGACATGATAGATACTTGGATCTACATAAAGAAAGGCAGGGCCGGGTGCAATGGCTCACGCCTGTAATACCAGCACTTTGGGAGGCCAAGGTGGGTGGATCACGAGGTCGGGAGTTCGAGACCAGCCTGGCCAATATAGTGAAACCCCGTTTCTACTAAAGATACAAAAAAATTAGCCGAGCATGGTGGCGGGCACCTGTAATCCTAGCTACTCAGGAGGCTAAGGCAGGAGAATCGCTTGAACCCGGGAGGCAGAGGTTGCAGTGAGCCAAGATCACGCCATTGCACACTCCAACCTGGGCAACAAGAGTGAAACTCCATCAAAAAAAAAAGAAAAAGAAAGGCAGAGTGTTAGAGAAGAAACATATGACAGTAAAATACCATTAACTATGGATCGTCTTCAAAAGATGAGCTTACCTACTTAAATCATTAAATATACAGAACTAAAGTTTTTCTCAGAAGAGAATCATAAATTCTAAAGGATTTTTTTATTTACTCAATACATTATTTTCCTATCAATAATATGTCATTTCTAATGGTTTAATAATAGGGTGCTTTATTTGTTCAACAAACAATTATTGAATGTATGCTAAATGTTAGACTCTATTACTATTAATAGAAAAAAGGAACAAAGTTAAAAAGAATTATTTCTCCCCAAAAGAAGTATACAATTTAATAAAGCTAGAGAAATGCTGCTTGAAAATTTACTAATACAGTGAGCTGAAATACATGAGTGTCATATACACAAGTTAAGTGTCACTTTCAGGGAAGCATCTGACTTTAAAGATGTCAGGCAAAGTTCATTAGAGGACACAGCATTAAAACTGAAATTTAAATGTGAGAGGAGTTTACAAAGGGATGATAACTGTGTATGCAAAGGTATAAAGAAGCATGACATGTATCAAAAATGCAAAGTGGCCAGGGGTGGTGTCATACCTGTAATCCCAGTAATTTGGGAGACCGAGGCAGATAGATCACTTACAGACCAGCCTGAGCAACATGGTGCAACCCTGTCTCTACCCAAAAAAAAAGCCAGGTGTGGTGGCACAGGCCTGTAGTCCCAGCTATTCAGGAGGCTGAGGTGGGAGGGTCTCCTGAACTTGTGAGTCCGAGGCTACAGTGACCCAAGATCATGCCACTGCACTCCAGCCTGGCGGACAGAGTCAAAAAAAAAAAAAAGAAAAGAAAATGCAAAGTGATTCGGTATCACCCACATTTAGAGAAAAAGAGTGGGGAATGAGGCTGGACCAGTGGAAGTCAGGTAAGAAAAGTCTTACATGCTTGGCAAAGGGATTGACTTTTGTTTATTTGTTTTTGTTTTTGTTTTTTTGAGACAGAGTCTCACTCTGAAGCCCAGGCTGGAGTGCAGTGGCGTGATCTCAGCTCACTGCAACCTCTGCCTCACAGGTTCAAGTGATTCTCCCATCTCAGCTTCCTGAGTAGTTGGGATTACAGGCATGCGCCAACATGCCTAGCTAATTTTTGTATTTTTAGTAATGATGGAGTTTCACCATGTGGGCCAGGCTGCTCTTGAACTCCCGACCTCAGGGGATCCGCCTGTCTTGGCCTCCCAAAGTGCTGGGATTACAGGCGTGAGCCACCGTGCCTGGCCTTTGTTTTTGTTTTTCTGTAGACAAATCAGGTTTATTGAAGAATAGTGGATTATAATAACAAAAGCACTAGGTAACATTTATTGACTGTTACCTTATTCCAGGCTCTGTTCTAAATAGCTTACCTTTATTAATTTGTTTAAGCCTCACAATCTGCTGCAAGACTCAGCATGGTTAAGTAACTTGTCCAAAGTCATTCAGCTCAGTGGCAGAGCTGGGTAGGATGTGACGTAGTGGCACTTGTGTTTAGAATTACCTTTCTGATAGCCATGTAAAAGATGAAGAGGTTGGTGATAAACTCAGGCAATGGTCATGGGGATGGGGAGGAGGGGCAGATAGTCAGAAAGTAGAATTGACAGAATTGATGATCAAACAGTCGTGTGAGGGCTAGGAGAGGAAGATCTAGGATGACTTTGAGGTTCTTGGCTTGGGAAAATGGAAAGAGATGATGTCACCGTTCCAAAAACAGGGAATATTGGGAGGAAAACAGTTCTGAGAATATTTCATTCACTCATTGATTCATACATTCATCTCTTCAGTCAATATTGTCTGCCTATCCTAGATTAGGCAATCTGTTAAGTGTTGGATATACAATGTTAAGCAAAATAGACAAAATTGTCATATAGCCTGCAGTCTAAGAACAAAGTCAATTTCTGAAAACATTAAAGCTTCCATAGGCCATCAAGCTAGGCATTTCTACAAGAAGCCTTGTAGATAGCTTTCAAAATTCCTGTTGATCCTCTAAAATTTACTGGAGACCCAGCCTTTTCCTGGACCCACAGCCATGTCCAGTCCAGGATCAGGCCCTGAAATGTGTCTTAGATTCCATGCACATTCACTCTGGTCTGAAGTCAACACACATAGCCAGAGGTAGGGTGGCTCCTAGGCTTTGACCAGTACACCTGCAGCAAGCCAGCCTTGGGAGAAAGAAGATTCTATCTTTAAGGGAATATGTCCAAGGGGGCAGATTATGTGTTTAGCTTCAAGAGAAATCTGAATTGGAGGTAGACATGTGAAGGTCGTCAGCATGTATATGGTAGATTAGGCCACTCATGTGAATGACTTTGATAAGAACCGACAGCTGAAGACAGTGCTTGCAGTAGCATTAGGAACAGGTGTCCACAGAAGACTTAGAAGAAAAACCTGGATAGGGAGCAGGAAAACCACTAGAATAGTGTCACAGATTCCCAAGGAGAGGAGAGCTTTAAGAAGACAGTAATGAGTAGAATAAAATGCCCCTGAGTGATATGTAAAGCATGAGCTGACAGTGTCCTGAATATGGGTTCATTTGTACTGACCTTCATCCATTTATATATTAAGAGTCTTTGCTGGGGATTTTGGTATTGACGCAATAGATTCCATCATTATAATGAACTCTTGGGCCAACATTACCCAAGCTCTAGACTGCTTTTGGGCTTGAGGGTATTGTAATGATGGTTAAATTTATAAAGTATTCTTCCAGGATGATTTGTTCAAATCAGATATCTTAGAAACATATTTGCTGGAGTCTTCAATTTTTTATTTTTCTTCTATCACTTTGAGTTGTGATAATAGCCAAAAAGTATAGAAAACAAGATTTTTTTCTTTGGATAGTTGATCTATTAAGGTGGAGTTTTAGTTTGCAACAAATCCAAATTATTGTCAGCTTGGTTATACATTTTAATTTAAAACGTGGTTTATCTGGTCTTTTCACTCTACCATAATAGAATTTTGGCCTCAAAATTAATTTGGCATCCTTTTTGTATAGGGTAGCATTTAGCATTCAGGCAGAGCACAGTGGACATGTTCTGTCTTTGCTTCATAGTATATGTGGACTCAGCTAAAGAGACTTAAATGACTGGGAGTGACTTGAACAATTGAGAGACAGAATCATTTAGAGGCTTCTTCCATGTCTGGGAACTGGTCAGGAATAAATCAGAGCCTGGGCTAAGCAGGGACTGTCACCTAGAACTCCTACATGTGACTATGTGATCTGCATGTTGCCATGTGACCTCTCCATATGGCTTGGGTTTCCTCACAGTATGGTGGCCTCAGGATATGCTGTTGGACTTATCACATCATGACTCAGGATTCCATGAGCAAGTGTTCCAGCAAACACGGTGCAAATTGCATGACTTTTTATGACTCAGTCTCAAAAATCCTGTGGCACCACAAACTCACCCAAATCAAGAATGAGTACACAAATCGGACCTCTTTATGGGAGAAATGACAAATAATTTACAGTCATGTTTTAAAACTGCCATACTTATCAAAGGTGCTCTGATAACGAAATTACAACAAAAATAATTAATGAAGATTGACTAGCTACATATTATGATGTGAGAACGGTATAGAACCTTAGTTAGAAAGACTTGTGCTGGGTTTCCAAAAATAAGAAATCATGCAAAGAACATTATCTGGATTCATTTTTGCATTCAAAAATTATTGAAAATACTGTGGTGAAAAGACAAAGTTCTTGCTCTCATAAAGTTTACATTCTTGTAGGAGGATGGAATGGAGGGAAACAGATAATAAAGAAGTCATAAAATACATTAATAAGATGATCTATGATAGAAATATATGTCTGAAGAAAACAAATTCATTTATTAAAGATTTAGCATTTAAGAGAAATTTCAATGCTAGACCAAAGGATCTAGCTTATCACAATCATGAAAGCATGGGATATAAATTATATAAGATCCAGAGAATCTACACAAGAAGGAAAAAGATGAGATGACAAAGGTTGAGTGCTGAACAACATTTTCAGGAAGCACAGAATATAAAAACTTGGATATGCAAGTTCAAATGTCATACAAAAGATTGGATTTGAGGCCAAAGAAAAACAGAGCCAAGGGCTAGAAGCAAGGTATAACTGAAGTTGAACAAGAATGAGGTTGATAGAAAAGCACAGTGAAGTTGCTGTAATATTTCCTTTTTGGCATCAACTATGTATAGTGGATGAGGCTGATTTAAGGAATTGAGGTGAGATGTGCCATTATATACAGCAGTCTATAAATCATTAAAGAGACATAGTAGAGAGAAGTTATTTGCAAGGCATATAATTGTCAAAGAAATGACATTTAGAATATATTATAAACTGCTAGAAATTAATTTCACAAAGTCAAACAATCCAGTGGGAAAAATGGGCAAAAGATATGAAAAGAGAAATCACAGTAAAGGAAATCAATCTCCCTATAATCAAGGAAATGCAAAATAAAAAGTACAACAATGAAAAGTAATAATAGTGAACTATCATTAAATGGCATCCCACACATATACATATGTAGACTAGTTTTAGTGGTTACAATAATTAGAAGATATATATATATGTATATACTATCTTGGATAAATGTTAATAACTATGGTAGGGTAAAATCATACAAAAATGTAAAACAACATAATATTATCTAAGTAAAATTTTAAAATGTGCAAACGATACTACATAATGATTGCTGATACATCTACAGGTAGTAAGGTATAAAAACAACAACAAAATACACACCAATTTCAGGTACTAACATGGAGAGAAAAAAGGAAATGGAATTGCAGGAGAGGATTGTCTTCTATTGTACCCTTCAAATATTAATATATCTGCTATGTCTTCTTTCTTACAAAGAAGGTCTTTTTTTGTGTGTGTGTCAGATGGAGTTTCACTCTGCCACCTAGGCTGAAGGGCAGTGGTGTGATCTTGGCTCACTGCAACCTCCACACTCCAGGTTCAAGCGATTCTCCTGCTTCAGCCTCCCAAGTAGCTGGGATTACAGGCGCCTGCCACCAGGCCCCGCTAATTTTTGTGTTTTTAGTGGAGATGGGGTTTCACCATGTTGGCCAGGCTGGTCTCAAACTCCTGACATCAAGTGATCCGCCTGCCTTGGCCTCCCAAAGTGCTGGGATTACAGGTGTGAGCCACCGCGCCCAGCAACAAAAAATTAGATCTAAAGCGAATATGATAAGATACTAAACCATGTAAAATATGGCTGGTGATAGTGTACTATTTTCTGTTGTTTGAAATATTTTACAATCACCTCTTTTTTAAATATTAGAAACATAAAGCATATGGGTTATTAATATGTAATTCTTTTTTGTGAGACAACTGGGAAAAGCCACTTGTCAGATCTGGCCAAGGAAGATGTGTCTGTCCTTATCCAGTTTGGGTCATATTCTCCTCCAGTAAGACCTTTCCTGTATCAAATAAAAGTCTTGTCCTATACCTTGTTATTTAAATTTTTACTTCTATATGTCAGAATTTTAATACTGATTACAGAAAATTCTTGGTTTCTCCATTTTAAATATTCCAAAGTTCATACAGTAAATTCAGAGTTTTTTTTTTCATTTTTAATCAATTATATTTATAAGGAGATTTGCTTACTGGGAAACATGTATTTTCTGAAAAAATACTAACTATGAATCTCTTTGTTTCTCTCTTCTGAGTTTTCAATCTTATTCTTGTTGATGTTATGGTGGGAGATAGGGGATTTTTATTCTTGAACTTTTTGGTGGGAAAAGAATAACTATAAGGATCTGCAAATGACTCATTCATTGTGTAGAAATTATAGACTTCATGATATTTCATTTCTAAAATTATTTAAGCATCTAATTCCTACTGCAAAGCAGCATCCTAGGATATGTGTTGGCTGATTATATAGCCACGTGGACCATACAAGAACACAGAGAACCCCTGGAGAGTCTCATGAAGGAGGTACCATCCTTACCTGAATTAATATAACACTTTTGCACAGGGTAAATTGTTGCCAAAGAGTAGATTTTGTAACCATTTAAATGCCAAATCAAATATTCTATTATTAAAGGGCAGTTTATCCTTTCTCTGTCTTACTCCTAATACCCATAATAGTAACAGTAATTTGGAAATTTCTCCAGTGGGATTTTGCTCAAGTTAATACTACTAAAGTTTAATTTCTTTTTCTTTTTGGTGATACCTATACCAAGCACTCATGCTTCAGAAAAAGCTCTAAGCTTTGGCTGCAGCAACTTGAGCCTTGCTTTCTGCCATGCACACTGGAATGCACAACTCACAATAGTTTCCAGATATATCAGTTCCCTTCCTGTCTAGGACATTGTATTGCCACATGACCTTTGCCAAGTCACTTCTTTCTGCTCTGCCATAACATAAGGTTGTAATTATGATGATCTCCCTCTTAGAAATGTGATGAGAAGCTATTCATAACAAAGACTGTAAAAATTGCAAACATGATGAGAGAGGCAGATATTAAATGTAGGAAAATGTTCTAAATTGAATATTTACTTCCTGCCTGACTCCACCTGTCCTTAAAATTTATCCATAAAGACAACAGTAGCAAGAGTGCCTGATTAAGCCCTTCTGTTAATACTATCCACTTAAAATATATTTTTCTGATCCCAAATATGGCCTGGATTTTCAGGCAGATGATATTTATGTGTGTAAGTTATATTTTCATTGTTCTTTCATCAGGCACATGGTCTTTCTTTTTTCTTTCCCAAGAAAACTGAGATCACTTCGATGGTTTTAAATTGGCAATGTGATCTTGTTCAATGCCAGACACATGACATGTTCTAGTAGCCCTCTGGACCTGGGTCTGGGATCATATTCCCCTCTATCCCCAATACATGTTCCAAACACTTGTGAGCATGCTGGAGGCAGAAGGCTTAAAGAGGTGAGATCAGGCCAGGCTGGCATCCACTCTGTAGGATTCAGGGACAGACTCAAACTTCAAAGTGGTGCAGGAGTGACTGGCAAGGCACCAGAGTATTCACGGTAGGTGTAAGGACAACAGGAGAAAAATAAGCCGTCTTAGTACATTTTTTCAAGTTTCTGTTTGTCTTCCATCTGCAGGCTCTTTAAGCTGCCTTCATATTTGGATGTGGAGGTTGAAGTATTGCTGACCAATGCCAGAGTCACAGGAATATCCTGCTGTGCTTTTGATCTTCCCATATGACTGAATTTCCTGAATCATCATGTTACTGTGTGTGCACATATGTGCACATGTGAATCTTCTGGCACATCTCCCAGAAGCGCTAGTTCTGGGACAAAGGATCCATTGGTGCTTTCAGGATGTAATATTGATCACTTTGGCTTTCCTTGGCTCAGAGCCAGACACTTCGTCTCTCACTGCACAAGATGGCTGCCAGCTCCATAAGCTTGTCTCATTGTGACGGCCCTCGGCAGGACTTCCTGAGAGCAGACTAATTTCTGAGAGGCTTTGAAAAATGTTGTTTTAAAGTGGAACTTTGTGTTTTACCAACTATGGACAGTGCTTGGAATCTTGTTATTGACTTTTAAGATCTGTGGTACATCCTATGTTTAATTATGTAATACTCTCCAATACTCAGTTAAGCAGGAACGTCAATGACACAGAAAAACTCACTAGGTTTTTTAATCCCATGGTTTTGCACACTTTTTTATCTAGTATCAGTCTTAGTCAACTCCATAATTTGGACTTCAGACTTAATGATAGTTCAAAAGTCAAATTCGCAAGTATGAAAGGACGAAATCTCCTAAGTTTTCAAAGTGTTTCTTTCATGTATAGTACCACTAAAATTGTAAAAGCAAAGGATTTAGAAAAAACCTTGATGCCAATGCTTTAACATTAAAATAACATTTAAATTAAAACATTTAAAATAAAATGTTTAAAACTACGATTATCTTCAGGTAGATATCTTTCAAATCAAGAACATGACTGCAAATTTGACCCATTGCAAGTTTCCAGACTACTCAAGAAAAAAACAACACCAGAATCTCCTTTTCTCTTCTTTTTCCAAGTACTGTGTCTAGGACTTGACCTAAGCAGAAAGTGAAAAAGACAGAGTGTTCTTTCATTTCCTTTCCAGATTTCCATTCTGCTTTCAGCCACATCATCTTCACACACCAAAAATGTGTTGACTGCCTTTCTTCTTAGAAAGAAAGATTAGTCACTAAGCACTTGAGTGTGAATTTATCTCATATATGATTCTTTCCTGTCTCCCAGAGAAATAATTTTATTTTTAAAAAAAGGACATAGGAAGGAACACTTGCGGTGGACTTTAAGAGATCACTGCATCTATGAGAAGGAATGGCTGAGAACAGAGTATTTGGTCATGTCATAATTTTTATTCCATTAGTGAGACCCTGTCCTTTGCTACTGAGGTGTGTTAGCCTTTGTTAGGAGATGAATTTGCTGTTTTCATTAGCCTCTATTTTATTTGACTCCTGAGAAATGTCCAGAGCAGGTCTCTAACCTAGGCCAAAACGAAATATAATCTGAATTCCCAACATTCCGTGTGTAATGGAAAGAGCACATGCTTTGGAATCAGGAAGACTTGGGTGAGTCTCCTTGTTCAGTCATTTACCATCTGTGTGATCCTGGAGAAGGTATTTAACCTCTTCAAATCTTAAGTTGCTAGTGTACAGAATAAGAATAATGCTACTTAGCTCACGGGGTTGTTGTGAGGCTAAGTGAGATCATAGGTATGAAAGTCTTAACACAGTATGTGACACAGCTGATTTTTAAATAAATTTCCTTCATTGTATGCTCTTAAATGTCAGTAGTCTCTATCAAGCCTGGTGGAGCTCACTTCTTAATGATACTAAGTAATCTAAAAATTCAGCTGTGATATTTTTAAAAAATTATATTCCATGGTTATGATATCACCAGTGTTAAATTTAAACTTGCGATGACAGCACAGCTGTGAACTCTTTGCGTGTCGTATCCTTTGGAAGCAGGGCACTGTGACAGTCCTGAAGAAAATGCTATGTTTGCCATTCTTTGGGTGCACTCGTTAGATTCTTGAATTTCCAGACAGAAAAAGCTGATTGTATTTAGCTCATTTACTCTGAAGAGCCTACTTCAAATCCTTTCTTTGAAAGTAGACAGATTATATATAAATGTGTAGTGTTATTTCTCTATATTCCTATAAGTGAACTCAGTAGTCTGATGTTAATAATAATCTGTTTTAAAACTCATGTTTCAAACTCTCCCAGAGAGAAACTTAATAAAAATTTTGAAATTACAGAGTAAAATAATATGAGTTTGAAGATAAGCTCAAGACAGTCTGTTGACTCAATAGAGTGATATTTTGTTGTTGTTGTTGTTTCCAGAATGACAACAGTATAATGGTAGCAGCCTTGAAAGTCTAGCCATTGATATTTTGACTGAGGAAATCACTCTCTCTCCACGGTCTTGAGAAAACATGGCATTTTGCTACAATCATTACACAGTATGCATGGCACTGTCTGTTTAATCCCACACATCTTGATGTCATCTAGATAACAACAACAAAAATGGGTTGTAATTAGGAATAGGGCTCATGTTCATATAGGCAGTAGTACAGTGAACAGACCATTAGAGCCCAATCAACAATTAAGTAGGCTTGCAATTCAAATTCTGTTTTTGGCCTTTCTCTCTCATATTTTGAAATCACATTTGAGTTGTTATTCCAGGCAATCATTTCTTCACTATTATAGTATTCAGACTCTGTGCTTGCAAAATATAGGATAATGATTTCATTGTTTTCCTTTCCCTACAAGAGACTCTTTGAGAAGCATGGCAAATAGGAAAAAAATGAAAATTCATGGTTTTGAGTTCATCTTCAGGTTATACCACAGGAGACAAAGCTTTGCATACAGGTGGTTGTCATACTATAAAATCTTCAAATCCTCATGGTTGGGACAAAACTTCTTGTATTCCTCATTAAGCAGGATTCATCGTTCAGCTAGCTCCGTGCCACAGGTAAGTTGGACAGCTGAAAGTTTTGAAAATATTCTGGTTTTGCAGAAGGCACATACTTTCATATTCTGCTTACCTTAATTGAAATCAATTTCAGGGAATTTTTTTGTTCATGACACTATATCTCATCTCTCTTCACACTTTCAGTTGCCACATTAGTAGCTTCCTTTACTGCAGTACTGTTTATATTCACAAAAGTCAGACCAGTCACCTATTAGTCTCTGACACTGGCACCAAGCATTGCCTTTCTTCATTCCACAAACACCTACGAAACGTCCTGTGTCTACTTTCTGCTATACTTGGAACATTTGGCAATAAAAAACTAAGTAGAGGACATGCCTCTGTTTCCAAGGAACTTGCCTAAGGAGAAAGCATGACAGTTGCCTTCCATCATATGTGTATTAGTTCATTTTAATGCTGCTGATAAAGACATACTCAAGACTGGGCAATTTAGAAAAAAAAAAAAAGGTTATTGGACTTACAGTTCCACATGGCTGGGGAGGCCTCACAATCATGGTGGAAGGCAAGGAGGAGCAAGTCTCATCTTACGTAGATGGCAGCAGGCAAAATAGAGCTGGTGCAGAGAAACTCCCATTTTTAAAACCATGAGATCTCATGAGACCCATTCACTATCGTGAGAACAGCATGGGAAAGACCCACCCCCATGATTCAATCATCTTCCACCAGGTCCTGCCCACAACATGTGGGAATTATGGGAGCTACAAGATGAGGTCTGGGCGGGGATACAGAGCCAAACCATATCAATACAGAATTTAAAAGTTAGAGATGTCCATCTATTATCCAAAATACCATCTACTCTAGAGATCCTAACCTAGGATGCTGCAGGCTGAATCCAATCTAAAGACAAGTTTGGTTTGGTTCACACAGTATTTGCAAAAACAATTCCACAAATCTTCAATATTTTGAAAAGAAAAGATATTAAATAAAATTCCAGATTTATGATTTTTCTTGAAAAAAATGGAGAGATGTAGCAACACAAGGTCTTCCTTCCCACTTGGCAATAATTGGATGGAGTGCCCCACTATGTCACAGTGCCCATCACTCTCTTACTGTGTCCTCTCAATTTCAATAATTTCTACAAATATAGTAGGAAGTTTCTAGCAAACTGGTAACTTGAATGTAGCTTGTTTTCCCTCTTCTTTCAACCGTGGTCTATTCTGCTTTCTGAGCTTCAAGACCACTAAAGCTGATTGATACACTCTCATGCTGGCAAAACTCAAAGGAGTTTTGGACTTTGGACTCAAAGGAGAAAACTTATATAGGGATTTTTTTTTCTCTGTGTAGTCTGGGAGAACCTGGAGATCAAACAGAGATCCTCAAGGTGAAGATTATAAGACTGCGGATCTTGAAAAAGAGTTTCTGTTTCTAAAACAGCATAGATCCTTGGAAGAAGATTGGCATTCATTCCATTGAAGGTGCCTGGTTTTCTGACCTTAAAGAACTGAGGACCAAAGCAGGTTGAACTTTCATTGTCCCCAGGACTGGAAAAGAATAGCTCACAGCAGGAGGGTTTTCACATGGTACTTCAACAAGGGCCAGCCCTTTATTTGTAAAGGTTGCTTCACCTTCTACTATAGGGTAGGCTTATAGTAAATTGAAATATTTAAATAACTAGTTTACTTGTGATGAAAAATAATCAATTGAGGAGAGCCTATCAGCTCATGAGAAGAAGACAGGTCATAATGCATAGCACACTCCACATAGCTGCTGAAGGAGACACATAGATTTAAATGCAGCCCCCTCTTTATCAAAGATGGCTGAATAGGAACAGCTCCAGTCTACAGATCCCAGCAAGACTAATAGAGAAGGTGGGTGATTTCTGCATTTCCAACTGAGATACCCAGTTCATCTCATTGGGACTGGTTAGACAGTGGATGCATCCCACAGAGGGCAAGCAGAAGCAGGGTGGGGCGTCGCCTCACCGGGGAAGTGCAAGGGGTTGGGGAACTCCTTCCCCTAGCCAAGGGAAGCTGTGAGGGACTGTGCAGTGAAGGATGGTGCTATCTTGCCCAGATACTACTCTTTTCCCACAGTCTTCACAACCCATAGACCAGAAGATTCCCTTGGGTGTCTATACCACCAGCGCCCTGGGTTTCAAGCACAAAGCTGGGTGGCCGTTTGGACAGACACTGAGATGGCTGCAGGAGTTTTTTCATACCCCAGTGGTGCCTGGAACACCAGTGAGACAGAACCGTTCACTCCCCTGGAAAGGGGGCTGAAGCCAGGGAGCCAAGTGGTCTTGCTCAGCAGATCCCAACCCCATGGAGCCCAGTAAGCTAAGATCCACTGGCTTGAAATTCTCGCTGCCAGCACAGCAATCTGAAATTGACCTGGGATGCTCAAGCTTGGTGGGGGGAGGGTCGTCCATCATTACTGAGGCTTGAGTAGGTGGTTTTCCCCTAATAGTGTAAACAAAGCCACCAGGAAATTCAAACTGGGTGTAGAACCCACTGCAGCTAAGCAAAGCCACTGTAACCACACTGCCTCTCTAGATTCCTCTTCTCTGGGCAGAGCATCTCCAAAAGAAAGGCAGCAGCCCTAGTCAGGGCATTATACATAAAACTCCCATTTCCTTGGGACAGAGCACATGGGAGAAGGGGTGGCTGTGGGTGCAGCTTCAGCAGACTTAAACGTTCCCGACTTCCAGCTCTGAAGAGAGCAGTGGATCTCCCAAAACAGCCCTTGAGCTCTGCTAAGAGATAGACTGCCTCCTCAAGTGGGTCCCTGACCCCCATGCCTCCTGACTGGGAGATGACTCTCAGCAGGGGTTGACAAACACTTCATACAGAGGAGCACTGGCTGGCATCTGGTGGGTGACCCTCTGGGATGAAGCTTCCAGAGGAAGGAGAAGGCAGCAATCTTTGCTGTTTTGCAGCCTCTGCTGGTGATACCAAGTGAAACAGGGTCTGGAGTGGACCTCCAGCAAACTCCAGCAGACCTGCAGAAGAGGGACCTGTTAGAAGGAAAACTAACAAACAGAAAGCAATAGCACCAACATCAACAAAAAGGATGCCCACACAAAAACCCCATCCAAAAGTCAGCAACATCAAAGACCAAAGGTAGATAAATCCATGAAGATGAGGAAAATCCAGCACAAAAAGGCTCAAAATTCCAAAAACCAGAATGCCTCTTCTCCTTCAAAGAATCACAACTTCTTGCCAGCAAAGGAACAAAACTGGACCGAGAATGAGTTTGATGAAATGACAGAAGTGGGCTTCAGAAGGTGGGTAATAACACACTCTTCTGAGCTAATAAAGCATGTTCTAACCCAATGCAAGAAAGCTAAGAACCTGGATATAAGGTTACAGGAACTGCTAACTAGAATAACCAGTTTAGAGAAGAACATAAATTACCTGATAGAGATGAAAAACACAGCGTGAGAACTTCGGGAAGCATATACAACTATCAATACCTGAAATGATCAGGCAGAAGAAAGGATATCAGAGATTGAAGATCAACTTAATGAAATAAATTGTGAGGACAAGATTAGAGAAAAAAGAATGAAAAGGAAGGAACAAAGCCTCCAAGAAATATGGGAGTATGTGAAAGGACCAAACTTTTGTTTGATTGGTGTACTTGAAAGTGAAGGGGAGAATGGAACCAAGTTGGAAAACACACTTCAGGATATTATCCAGGAGAACTTCCCCAACATAGCAAGACAGGCCAACATTCAAATTCAGCAAATACAGAGAACACCACTAAGATACTCCTCAAGAAGAGCAACACCAAGACACATAGTGGTCAGATTCACCAAGGTTGAAATGAAGGAAAAAATATTAAGGGCAGCCAGAGAGAAAAGTCGGGTTACCCACAAAGGGAAGCTCATCAGACTAACAGCAGATCAATCTGCAGAAACCCTACAAGCCAGAAGAGAGGGGGGCCAATATTCAACATTCTTAAAGAAAAGAATTTTCAACCAAGAATTTCATATCCAGCCAAACTAAGCTTCATAAGGGAAGGAGAAATAAAATCCTTAGAGATGAGCAAATGCTGAGAGATTTTGTAACCTACCAGGCCTGCCTTACAAGAGCTCCTAAAGGAAGCACTAAATATGGAAAGTAAAAACTGTTACCAGCCATTGCAAAAACATATCAAAATGTAGGGACCATTGACAAAATGAAGAAACTGCATCAACTAATGAGCAAAATAACCAGCTAGCATCATAATGACAGGATCAAATTCACACATAACAATATTAACCTTAAATGTAAATGCCCCAATTAAGACACAGACTGGGCCGGGTGCAGTGGCTCATACCTGTAATCCCAGTACTTTGGGAGGCCAAGGTGGGTGGATCATCGGAGGTCAGGAGTTCGATACCAGCCTGCCCAACATGGCAAAACCCCATATCTAGTAAAAGCACAAAAAATTAGCCAGGGGTGGTGGTTGGCGCCTATAATCCGAGCTACTCAGGAGGCTGAGACTGGATAATTGCTTGAACCCAGGTGGTGGAGGTTGCAGTGAGCCAAGATCGTGCCACTGCACTCCAGCCTGGGTGACAGAGCAAGACTTCATCTCAAAAAACAAAACAAAACAACAATAACAAAATAAAAAAAAACACAGACTGACAAATTGGATAAACAGTCAAGACCCATCAGTGTTCTGTATTCCGGAGACCCATCTCACGTGCAAAGACACACATAGGCTCGGAATAAAGGGATGGAGGAATATTTACCAAGCAAAGAGAAAGCAAAAAATAAAAAAAAAGCAAGGGTTGCAATCCTAGTCTCTGATAAAACAGACTTTAAACCAACAAAGATCAAAAAAGACAAAGAAGGGCATTACATAATGGTAAAGGGATCAATGTAAAAAGAAGAGCTAACTATCCTAAATATATGTGCACCCAATACAGGAGCACCCAGATCCATAAAGCAAGTTCTTAGACACCTATAAAAACTCCAACACAATAAAAGTGGGAGACTTTAACACCCCACTGTCTATACTAGACAGATCAATGAGACAGAAAATTAACAAGGATATTCAGGACTTGAACTCAGCTCTGGACCAAGTGGACAAATAGACATCTACAGAACTCTCCACCCCAAATCAGCAGAATATACATTCCTCTCAACACCAGATACCACTTATTCCAAAATCGACCACATAATTGGAAGTAAAACACTCCTCAGCAAATGCAAAAGAACAGAAATCATAACAGTCTCTCAGACCACAGTGCCATCAAATTAGAAATCAGGATTAAGAAACTCACTCAAAACCGCACAACGACATGGAAACTGAACAACCTGCTCCCGAATGACTATTGGGTAAATAAAGAAATTAAGGCAGAAATAAATACGTTCTTTGAAACCAATGAGAACAAAGACACAACATACCAGAATCTCTGAAACACAGCTAAAGCAGTGTTTAAAGGCAAATTTATAGAACTAAATTCTCATGGGAGAAAGTGAGAAAGATCTAAACTCGACACCCTAACATGACAATTATAAGAACTACGGAAGCAAGAGCTAACAAATTCAAAAGATAGCAGAAGACAAGAAATAACTAAGATCAGAGCAGAACTGAAGGAGATAGAGACACGAAAAACCCTTCCAAAAATCAATGATTCCAGGAGCTGGTTTTTTGACAAGACTAACAAAATAGACAGACTGCTAGCCAGACCAATAAGGAAGAAAAGACAGAATAATCAAATAGACACAGTAAAAAATGATAAAGGGGATATCACCACTGATCCCACAGAAATACAAACTACCATCAGAGAATACTATAAATACTTCTACACAAATAAACTAGAAAATGCAGAAGAAATGGATAATTTCCTGGACACATCTACCCTCCAAAGACTAAATCAGGAAGAAGATGAATCCCTGAATAGACCAATAACAAGTTCTGAAATTGAGGCAGTAATTGATAGCCTATCAACGAAAATACGCTTAGGTACAGATGGATTCACAACTGAATTCTACCAGAGGTACAATGAGGAGCTGGTACCATTCCTTTTGAAACTATTCCAAACAATAGAAAAAGAGGGACTCCTCTCTAACTCATTTTATGAGGCCAGCATCATCCTGATACCAAAACCTGGCAAAGACACAACAAACAAAGAAAATTTCAGGCCAATATCCCTGATGAACATCGATGCAAAAATCCTCAATAAAATACTGGCAAACTGAATCTAGCAGCACATCAAAAAGCTTATCCTGCACCATCAAGTCAGCTTCATCTTGTGAATGCAAGGCTGGTTCAATATAAGCAAATCAACAAATGTAATCCATCACATAAACAGAACCAATGACAGAAACCACATGATTATTCAATAGGTGCAGGAGAGCCCTTTGATAAAATTCAACACCCTTTCATGCTAAAAACACTCAATAAACTAGGTATTGCTGGAACATATCTCAAAATAATAAGAGCTGTTTATGACAAACCCACAGCCAATATCATACTGAATGGGCAAAAGCTGGAAGCATTTCCTTTGAAAACTGGCACAAGACAAGGATGCCCTCTCTCAGCACTCCTATTCAACATAGTATTAGAATTTCTGGCCAGGGCAATCAGGTAAGAGAAGGAAATGGAGGGTATTCAAATAGGAAGAGAGGAAGTCAAATTGTCTCTGTTTGCAGATGACATGATTGTATATTTAGGAAACCCTATCACCTCAGCCCCAAAACTCCCTACTCTCAGGATATAAAGTCAATATGCAAAAATCACAAGCATTCCTATATACCAGTAATAGACAAACAGAGCACCAAATCATGACTGACTTCCCATTTATAATCACTACAAAGAAAATGAAATACCTAGGAATACGACCCACAAGGGATGTGAAGGACCTCTTCAAGAAGAACTACAAACCACTACTCAAGAAAATAAGAGAGGACACAAACAAATGGAAAAACATTCCAGGCTCATGGATAGGAAGAATCAATATCATGAAAATGGCCATAATGCCCAAAGTAATTTATAGATTCATGTTATTCCCATCAAACTACCATTCACTTTCTTCACAGAATTAGAAAAATCTACTTTAAATTTCATATGGAAGCAAAAAAGAGCCTGTATAGCCAAGACAATCCTAAGCAAAAAGAACAAAGCTGGAGGCATCACGCTACCTGACATCAAACTATACTGCAAGGCCACAGTAACCAAAACAGCATGTTACTGGTACCAAAACAGATATATAGACCAATGGAACAGAACAGAGGCCTCAGAAATAATGCCACACATCTACAACCATCAGATCTTTGACAGATTTGACAAAAACAAGCAAGGGGGAAAGAATTCCTTATTTAATAAATGGTGCTGGGAAAACTGGCTAGCCATACGCTGAAAACTGAAATTGGACCCCTTCCTTACACCTTACACAAAAATTAACTCAAGGTGGATTAAAGACTTAAATGTAAGACCTAAAACCATAAAAACCCTAGAAGAAAACCTAGATAATACCATTCACAACATAGGCATGGGCAAATACTTCATGACTAAAACACCAAAGGCAATGGCAACAAAAGCCAATATTGACAAATGGGATCTAATTACACTAAAGAACTTTTGCACAGCAAAAGAAATGATCATCAGAGTGAACAGGCAACCTACAGAACGGGAGAAAATTTTTGCAATCAATCCATCTGACAAAGGGCCAACATCCAGAATCTACCAGGAACTTCAACAAATTTACAAGAAAAAAACAACCCCATCAAAAAGCGGGCAAAGGATATGAACAGACACTTCTCAAAAGAAGACATTTATGTGGCCAACAAACATATGAAAAAAAGTTCATCATCACTGGTCATTAGAGAAATGCAAATCAAAACCACAATGAGATACCATCTCATGCCAGTTACAATGGCGATCATTAAAAAGCCAGGAAACAACAGATGCTGGAGAGGATTTGAAGAAATAGGAACGCTTTTACACTGTTAGTGGTAGTGTAAATTAGTTCAAGCATTGTGGAAGACAGTGTGTCAATTCCTCAAGGATCTAGAACCAGAAATACCATTTGACCCAGCAATCCCATTACTGGGTATATACCCAAAGGTATAAATCATTCTACTATAAAGGCACATCCACACGTATGTTTATTGCAGCACTATTCACAATAGCAAAGACTTGTAACCAACCCAAATGCCCATCAATGATAGGCTGGATAAAGAAAATGGGCACATATACACCATGGGATACTATGCAACCATAAAAAAGAATGAGTTCATGTCCTTTTCAGGGACATGAATGAAGCTGGAAACCATCATTCTCAGCACCTAACACAGGAGCAGAAAACCAAACACCACATGTCCTGACTCATAAGTGGGAGTTGAACAATGAGAATATATGGGCACAGAGAGGGGAACATCACACACTGGGGCCTGTCAGGGGGTTTGGGGCAAGGGGAGGGATAGCATTAAGAGAAATACCTAACGTAGATGATGGGTTGATAGCTGCAGCAATCCACCATGGCACATGTATACCTGTGTAACAAACCTGCACGTTCTGCCCATGTATCCCAGAACTTAAAGTATAATAATAAAATAAAAAGATTTAAATGCAGCCCAAAGTACTTCTTGTGTCTAAAACCATAATTTCTGAACTGAGTAATTTAGTAAATTAGTTGATGAATTGGATGGTTACCACTGAGACTAAAATTAGTGATGTAGAATATCAAGTAAAGTAATATCTCAGCGTACCCCACAATATCTCAAAGACATGGGAATTATACATGTACACACATGCACAAACACACACACACAAATACAAAACACTTAGAGGATAGAGCAGGAACCCCAAATGTGAATTATGGAACTTCTAGAAGAAGGAGGTACAAAAGGAAATGAAGCATTAAGAGGAAAATAATAGACTTTCCTTGTTTAAATAAACACCTAATTTGCAAATTAAAAGAACAGATGAGGACAAACATGATGGTGCACATCTGTAATTCCAGCTACTTGGGAGGCTGAGATGGGAGGATCATTTGATGTCAGGAGTTTGAGACTAGCCTGGGCAAAATTTTTTGTGAGATCCCATCTCTACACACACACATAAAAAAAGCTTAAATTAGCTGGGTGCGATGGAACGTATGGTCCCAGCTATTCTAGAGGCTGAGGCAGGGTTCAAGGCTGCAGTAGGCTAAGATTGTGCCACTGCACAACTATAGTCTGGGTAACAGAGCAAGACCCTGTTTCTAGAAATAAAAATTGTTTGAAGAATGATAAGAACCCCAAAAAATAAATTTTAAAAAAAGAAAAAGATAGTAATATAATTAAATTATCTCACTAACTGCTTAAGGGCAAAAAAGGTAAAGCAAGAAGGGATAATGATCAGAAGTTAAAAAGGAGACATCATAGACTAATTAAAGCTGAAAATAATTACAAAATAATATTTCCCACAACTCTAAACAACAAATTTGAAAAAGTCAAAGCAAGAATAATTTCCTAGAAAAATAAAATTACCAATGATGACACAGGAAGAAATGGAAAACATCCATGGATCAATTACCATAAATGAGATTGTCAAATGATTAAAGATTTACCATTACAAACAGTACCAGGAGCAGATGAATTCATAACTAAGTTTTATCTAACCATTTAAAAATAGTTAAGTTCGATGATAGTGTTACTATTTCAGGTCATAGGAAAAGGTTTTAAAATTCTTTAATTTTTTTAACAAAACCTGCATAGTTTTGATATCAAAGCCTAACAATAATATTGCAAAGGGAGGAAAAATAAGGCCAATTGCACCAGCAGGTAGCTATAAAAAAAACATTAAGTATTACCAAATACAATTTGTGATACATGAAAAGAACAAACATATATTTTTAAAGGTATGTCTCATTGCAGGAATGAAAGACTATTTTGTTATCTATCAAGATAATCCATTATATCAAATATTTGAAAGTAAAAACCCATGTAATTATATCACTAGCTGCTAAAAAGTTATTTTATAATACAGCTGTAATTTATAATTTTTAAAAGATAATTTATTAAACCCAACATCTAAGGTCGTCCCAAATGGCAAAACACTAAATCAATTTCAATAAAATTTAGGAACAAGATAGGGGTAAGTGCAAATTCTGTTATCATTGAACATTATTGCGGTGCTAGATTTTAGCAAGTAAGACACATAGAGGAAACTATAGAATACTTGGAGATAATTTTTTTAAAGGAACAGGTTCTATATGAAGAAAATGTAAAATCTGTTGCTAGATATAAAATAAATGTAATAAACGGAAAGCCTTTCAATGTTCTTTTATGGAAAGATCTGAAATAATGAAAATGTTAATTTGCCAAAAACTATTACTTAAATGTAATCTCCATTTCAATCCTTACAGGGGTTTGGAGGAAGCAGATAAAAAGACTTCAAAGTCTATAAGAAAGCAAACATTTCTGAGAATAGTCAAACAAATTTTGATAGATAGTGAGTATACTATTAAAAATGGAAATCAAATTAATATGGTCATAGGCATAAGAAGAAACAAATGGATCAGTAGAACAGAATAGAGAAGTCCAGAAAATACTTAATTTGATATTTAAATAAGAGGGAAAATAATGAATTATTTAGTAAATAGTGCTGCCATAGAAATCTACCTATCAGAATAAAAATAAAATTAAACCCTATTTTATACAAAATCGTTTTCATACAGATTAAAACATTAAATAAGTTTAAGAAATAAAATATGGCAAGAAAATCTAGTATACAATCAAGTACAATCCAGGGGCAGGAAAAACATTTTTGTCTTCATAAAAGACTTTTTTGAACAAATGAAACTTAAACTTTTTGAATGGCAAGATAATCATATATTATATTATGTATTATAATGTTAGGTATGTTACATAATAAATAAATTTCATATATAAGAAAAAATCCAATAATTTACAAAATTGATTTGGGAAATATATTTACAATGCAGATCAACAGATATTTACTAACTATAATAATCAAAAGCTCTTACTAAATGGCAAAAATGGGATGTGAAGCCCAATAACAAAGAATGTGAAGAGGCAAACAAATGGGCAACCAACATATGAAATGTTCTTACTTTAATTTGCATTTCCCTGACGTCTTTTTACTCCTCATTAGACTGAAAAATTAGAAAGTGTTGAAACATCAATTGTTGTCAGGTTCATTGAGACAAGAGTTCTTTTATAAATTGCTGGTGAAAATGTGAATAGTTTCAGATGGATACCAATCTAACAAAATATAGAAATTTATAAAACATGCGCATTTTAACTCAATAAATCCCACTCCTGGACATCTGTGCCATGAAGTGAAAGCCATCAATTTTTAAAAAATGAATTTTGTATGAACAGATATATTGGAGCATTGTTGATACTGGCAATAATATAAAATAGTTAAGTAAATGTACCTCAGGATAGGAATGATAGAGTGAATTATGATACAACTACATAATGGGATACTGTGGAGCCATTAAAAAGAATGAATTAGAAGTCTAGCAGTTGTTTTGGAGAGATTTTCAGTAGATGTTTGGTATAAAGAAAGCAGAAAAGTATAAATCTCATTCCATTATTATAAAATAAACAATGGTAAAATGCTATATTTCTAAATATATATTTATGAATATATTATTTATATACGGAAGGATGTGACCACAGAGAAAAATGCGAGTGGCTCCATACTAAGTTATTAGTGTGGTATAGCTCTGTAGTTAGACTGGGGCCATGTGACAAATTCTGGCCAATGGACTGTGAGTAAAAATGACTGATGTAGTTATGAAATGATGTGCTTCTGCATCTCTATCTTCCCCTGCGTTGGCCAATCTGAAAGGCACATATTCCAGATGGCATAGCTACAAGCTTGAGGAAGACTGCCGATCCACATCAAATTTAGCAAAGGAAAATTAAATTTATTTTGTTAAGTCTTTCAGATTTTAGCATCTTCCTCTTGTGGAACTTACATTATCCTACTTCAGCTATTAATTTTTGAAATGAGGTGTTGCTAAAACTAAAAGCTTAAAATGTATGCTGTGTATTAGTGGGAAACAGGCAGTGAGAAAATTGACATGAGATGAAAGAAAGAAATTGATGTTATTCAGTGAGGGAAAAAAGTGAAATCGTCACTTGTGGTAACTTGGGCAGCAGAACAGATCATATGCTTAGCAGAAGAGATTAGAAGAGACAATAATTAGAAGTGAATATCAGCTATTGCTCAAGCTTTGTCAAAATATTATAAGAAAATTATAAACTCAGAAAAAATTCGCTGATTTGCAAGCAGAAATGAAAAGGAACAGACAGAAAACAGATATTTGAGGCCATGCAGGTTTGGGAGCAAATACTTGTCAACCTCAAAGAGTATGAGATAGTAACAACAACAAAAGATTTTAAAGAAAAGTGCCCCATAAACCTCGTTGTTGGCAAAAGTCATCACATTCAGATTCTCACTGTCAAGTCTGAAATCCTCAAGACAACTACTATTAAGCTGAAGGACAAAGGATGAAAAAGCAAATAAATAAAGCGAATCTGAAAACTATGCCTCAAAAATATTTAGGATGTGGTCACTGGCACATGGAACTGAGCAAACAGATAAGAAGCCTACTGCATTTTTAAAGTATTAAGCCTAGCAAGATTTTTAACTACATTGTTAAATAAACTATTAGCTTAGACCACTGTGACATTTGGCTGTTCAAGACATGGAGGCTTCTGGCCGGGCGCAGTGGCTCACACCTGTAATCCCAGCACCTTGGGAGGCCAAGGCGGGCAGATCACGAGGTCAGGAGATCAAGACCATCCTGGCTAACATGGCAAAACCCTGTCTCTACTAAAAATGCAAAAAAAAAAAAAAAATAGCGAAGTGTGGTGGTGGGCACCTGTAGTCCCAGCTACTCGGGAAGTTGAGGCAGGAGAATGGCATGAACCCGGGAGGTGGAGCTTGCAGTGAGCTGAGATCATGCCACTGCACTCCAGCTTGGGTGACAGAACGAGACTCCATCCCGAATAAAAAAAATAAAAATAAAAAAAAAAGACATGGAGGCTTCTACTTCCCGTCAAAGTAGATTTCCATCCTACATAAAACAACTAAGAAGTCAAAGAAAATACATGAAACATTGCTTCATGAGACATCAGATATGAAGCAATGAAGGAAAATGATGCTCGAGAGATGGGAGACAAACAAGGTGAGCCCTACAATTATCCTAGCTTACAGCCCAGAGAACATGCTCAGCCAGGGCAAAAATGGGGAAATTCAGGTGGAGTATGGCAGTCTTCCTGAGTTGAGGAGACAGAGCTAGGAGTTGGAGGGAGAACAACATGGCTAGATTTTGAGGGCAGGGTAACCAGAGAGAAAAGAGCTGAACACAGCGAGAATTCTAGATGTCTGGGTAGTGTTCTTCTCAAGTATTAATCTGAACGTTAATCAGCACATGCACGTGATGAAGTAACCAAGACAGGGAAAAACCCACTGGAAAGGATTAGATGGAGCAGTCCCACAAGCTAGAGTGGAAAACCTAATAATCATGGAGCTTTAGTTAGAGTACTCAGAAGGATTTTGTCTCAAGATAAGAAAAAATTACCTTCTGACTACATGCTGCTATATTCCAGCCTAACAAAACTTAACAACAAACTGTTTCTAAATAGTTCGCCAGGCACGATGGCTCACATATGTAATCCCAGCACTTTGGGAGGCTTAGGCCAGTGAATCACTTGAGCCTAGGAATTTGAGATGAGCCTGGCAAACATAGCATAGTTTGGCTGTATCCCCACCCAAATCTCATCTTGAATTGTAACTCCCACAATTCCCATGTGTTGTGGGAGGAACCTGGTGGGGGATGATGGGATTATGGGGGTGGGTCTTTCCTGTGCTGTTCTTGTGATAGTGAACGAGTCTCACGAGATCTAATGGTTTTAGAAACAGGAGTTTTCCTGCACAAGATCTTCTCTTGTCTGCTGCCATGTGAGATGTGCCTTTTACCTTCTACCATGATAGTGAGGCCTCCCCAGCCATATAGAACTGTAAGTCCATTAAATCTCCTTCTTTTGTAAATTGCCCAGTCTCAGGTATGTCTTTATCAGCAGCATGAAAATGGACTAAGACAGTAAATTGGTACCAGTAGAGTAGGGCGTTGTTGAAAAGATAACTGAAAATGTGAAAGCAACTTTGGAACTGGGTAACAGGCAGAGGTTGGAACAGTTTGGATGGCTCAGAAGAAGACAGGAAAATGTGGGAAAGTTTGGAACTCCCTAGAGACTTGTTAAATGGCTTTGATCAAAATGCTGATAATGATATGGACAATGAAATCCAGTCTGAGATGGTCTCAGATGGAGATGAGGAACTTGTTGGGAACTGGAGCAAAGGTGACTCTTGTTATGTTTTAGCAAAGAGACTGGTGGCATTTTGTCCCTTCCCTAGAGATTTGTGGGACTTTGGACTTGAGCGGGATGATTTGGGGTACCTGGTGGAAGAAATTTCTAAGCAGCAATGCATTCAAGAGGTTACTCGTGTGCTGTTAAAGGCATTCAGTTTTATAAGGGAAACAGACCATAAAAGTTCAGAAAATTTGCAGCCTGACAATGCCATAGAAAATAAAATAGCATTTTCTAAGAAGAAATTCAAGCCAGTTGCAGAAATTTGCATAAGTAATAAGGAGCCGAATGTTAATCCCCAAGACAATGGTGAAATGTCTCCAGGCCATGTCAGAGACCTTCATGGCAGCCCCTCCCAACACAGGCCCAGAGGCCTAGGAGGAAAAAATGGTTTCACAGGTTGGACCCAGGGTCCCCATGCTGTGTGCAGCCTAGGGACTTGGTGTCCTGCATCTAAGCTGCTCCAGCTATGGCTGAAGGGTCCAACATAGAGCTCTGGCTGTGGCTTCAGAGGGTGCAAGCCCCAAACCATGGCAGCTTCCATGTGGTGTTGAGCCTGTGAGTACACACAAGTCAAGAACTGGGGTTTGGTAACCTTTTCATAGAGTTCAGAAGATGTATGGAAACACCTGGATGACCAGGCAGAAGCTTGCTGCAGGAGCAGGTTCCTCATGGAGAACCTCTGCTAGGGCAGCACAGAAGGGAAATGTGGGGTTGGAACCCCCAAGCACAGTCCCTACTGGAGTACCACCCAGTGGAGCTGTGAGAAGAAGGCCACCATCCTCCAGACCCCAGAATGGTAGATCCACTGACAGCTTGCACCATGCACCTGGAAAAGCCACAAGCACTCAATGCCAGCCCCTGAAAGCAGCTATGAGGGAGGCGGTACCCTGCAAAGCCACAGAGGCAGAGCTGCCCAAGACCATGGGAACCCACCTCTTGCATCAGCATGACCTGGATGTGAGACCTGGAGTCAAAGGAAATCATTTTGGAGCTTTAAAATTTGACTGCCCCGCTGGATTTCAGACTTGCATAGGCCCTGTAACCCCTTTGTTTTGGCCAATTTCCCCCATTTGGAATGGCTGTATTTACCCAATACCTGTAATACCTGTATTTACCCAAAACCAATGTACCCCCATTGTATCTAGGAAGTAATTAGCTTGCTTTTGATTTTACAGGCTCATAGGCGGAAGGGACTTGCCTTATTTCAGATGAGACTTTGGACTGTGGAATTTGGGTTAAGACTTTGGGGGACTGTTGGGGAAGTATGATTGGTTTTGAAATGTGAGGACGTGAGATTTGGGAGGGGTCAGGGATGAAACAATATGGTTTGACTGTGTCCCTAATCTCATCTTGAATTGTAACTCCCACAATTCCTACATGTCGTGAGAGGAACCCAGTGGGAGGTGATTGAATTATGGGGGAGGGTCTTTCCTGTGCTGTTCTTGTGATGGTGAATGAGTCTCATGAGATCTAATGATTTTGAAAATGAGAATTTCCCTGCACAACACTTCTCTTATCTGCTGCTGTGTGAGACAGGGCTTTTCACCTCCCACCATGAGTGTGAGGCTTCCCCAGCCACATGGAACTGAAAGTCCATTAAATTTCTTTCTTTTGTAAATTGCCAAGTCTCTGGTATGTCTTTATCAGCAGTGTAAAACGGACTAATACACCCATCTCTACTAAAAATACAAAAATTAGGCAGGAGTGGTGGCATGCACCTGTAGTCCCAGCTACTCAGGAGGCTGAGGCAGAGAATCAGTTGAACCCAGGAGGTGGAGGTTGAAGTGAGCCAAGATCACTCCACTGCACTCCAGCCTGGGTGACAGAGTAAGACCCTATCTTGAAAATAACAATAACAATAATAATAATAATTTAACAATGTCCTAAAATAAAGCTCAAGGGTTAAACTGTTTCTAAATAATTTAACAATGTCCTAAAATAAGACTCAAAAATATTTATAGGAATAAAAAATCTCAGCTCTGAGAGAGGTAAAATTCATAATATCTGGCATCCAATAAAAAATATTATCAGTCTTGCAACTCATATGATTGATAATATGGTATTTGAAAAACCCAATTAGTCAAAACTAACACATAAATGACACAGATAATAGCGTTAGTAGACAAGGTCATTAACACAATTATAACAGAATTCCAGATGTTTAAAAAGCTAGAAGAAAAATTAAACATGTTAATTAGAAACATGAAAGATATAAAAGAGAACCAAATTAAACTTCTAAAGATGAAAACAATGACCCAAATGAAAAATACAATGGACAGGATTAATGGCAGATTAAACATTGCAGAGGAAAAGATTGGTAGTGAACTTAAAGATACAGCAATAGAAACTATCCAAAATAAATCACAGAGAAAAATAAAATACTAAAACAAAAAAGACAAACAGAGCTTTAATGAATTGTGTAACAACTTCAAGCAGGCTAATATACACATAATTCCAGTCCCCAAAGTATTAAGGGCAGGGAGGACAGAAAAAAACTGAAGGAATACAGTCATCCCTCTGTATCCGAGGAGATTTCTCTATTCAGAAATCCCTACTAAGATACCAAAAATCTAAGAATTCTCAAGTATCTTATATAAAATGTCATAGTATTTGCATATAACCTATGCACATTCTCCCATACACTTAAGTCATCTCCATATTATAAGTAATTTACATTATATTAACTAATATAATACAATATATATTAGATATATAATATAATACAATGTAAATACTATGCAAATAGTTGTTATACTGTATTGTTTTTCATTTGTATTCTTTTTTATTGTTGTATTATTATTTTTATTGTTCTTTTTATCTTCAGTTGATTGAACACTTAGATGTAGAACCAGCAGATATGGAGGGACACTGTGATGCCAAAATAATGACCAAAACAGTTCCAAATTGAATGAAAACTATAAGCTTACAGATCCAAAAAGCTAAACAAATGAAGAAAATTACACCAAGAACTATCATACTTAAATTTCTTCAAAATAATAATAGAAAAAAATCTTAAAGCAGCCAAAGAAGGCATATTACCTACAAAGGAACAACCATAAGGATGATAGTACATTTTCATCAAAGTAATGAAAGTGAAAAGGCAGTGGAGCAACATCTTTAAATTACAATAATGCATCATTCAACAATGGTGACACAATCTGAGAAATGCATTTTTAGGGGGTTTTGTCATTGTGTGAACATCACAGAGTGCACTTATACAAACCTAGATGGTATAGTCTATTACACACATAGGCTATATGGCATAACTTACTGCTCCTAGACTACAAACCTGTGCAGTATGTTACTGTACTGAACACCATAGACAACTGTAATGCAATGATAAGTATTTGTGCATCTAAACATATTCAAACTGAGAAAAGATAAAGATACAGTAAAAATACAGGAGAAAAGATTTTTAAAATAGCACATCTGTAGAGAGCACTTACCATAAATGAAGCTTGCAGGACTGGAAGTTTCTCTGGGTGAGTATTTTAAAATACTTATCTTTCTTCAATAATAAATTAGCCTTAGCTTTCTATAATCTTTTTACTTTATAAAGTTTATAAAGCAGATTTGCTTACACCAGCAGCACCACAAACACGAGTAATGTGTTTCACTATGACATCATCACTAGATGATAGTTTTTCAGCTTCATTATAATCTATGGGACCACCATCTTATATGCAGTCTGTTGTTGACTGAAACATTGTTATGCAGTGCATGACTGTACTGAAAGGAAAAAATAAACCTGTCAAACACAGAATTCTTTATTCAGTCAAAATATCTTTCAAAATCAAAAGTGAAATAAAGACATTTTCAGACACAAAATCTGAAAGAATTTATCACCATCAGACCCACATTACAAGAAACTAGTCCAGATGGAAATCTGGATCTAAATAAAGGGATGAAGAGCATCAATAATGGAAATTATGTGAATAAATGTTAAGACTTTTTGTAAAGTAAATATGATTGACTTCTAGTTACGGCCAAGTGAGGAGAGTGACAAATCCTCTCTGAGAGAAGCAACCTAAGCTGGAGAAAATTGACAAAAACAACCATTTTGGTTTATGGAAATTGGCCAAAGGCATATAACAATCTGAGAAGTGTTCAGTCTTGAAAAAGCTGAATTTCAGGTAAAGAAAGTGGGAATTCATAGCACTCTGGCGTGGGGCTCCTCCTATCCTGTTCCCCCAGCTCAGTGAGCATGAAGGCTCTGCCAGGGATGGGCAAGCCATGGAACTAGCACTCTTTCTGGCAGCCTGGAGAAGTGGGTGGTACCTACCCCAATGGCATTGTCAGAATAAGTGACTTCAGGGATGTGGGACAGTAGGGGAGGGCCAATAACTTGGCTCCACAGGCTTGAGATTTCAGTCATAATTGGCACAATATTTTTCCTAGCTTTACACATGTGCCGTGAAGACTGGAGAGGGGCCAAATTATTTATGTGCTCCTGGCTGACCCTGACAATGTGTACCTGCATTTAGGAGGCCAGAAAGGACTTGGTGAAAAGTAAAACCTGGGACAGACTTCAAAATATACTGAATTTTAAAGGTGCTCCCTTACCAACAGATTAATTTGCAGAGGTCAGAAGACTTACTGGCTTGAGGTATTTGAGCATGACTTCTGTCTAATCATTGCCTGAGGCTACACAAGTGCAGGGACAACCCCTAGGAGTTCGGTCTTGAAAGTCAAAATAAGAACTAAAAGAAAACACACAAACAAACAAAAAAACTAAACTGGCCAGAGATATTTGTGACCACACACTATAGGGGAGTCAGATTTCACAAATTTAGCCTGGGTAATTTATTAAACAAAGAATAAACAAACAAAAGGGAACAACAGCAACAACCTTCAGGGCAAAAATATCAGCATCTAGAGTTGCTACAAACAATGATAATATGTACAAAGAAATACAAAAGTGTGACCCATTCAGGAAAAATATAAGCAACCAACAGAAACTATCTCAGAATGCCCTGTCTCCAGAATTTGAATTTAGGAAGCAAATGCTTCAAATAATATGCTATAAATATGTTCAGAGTACTTAAGTAAACTATCTTTAAAGAACTAAAGCAAAGTATGTCAACAATGAATTGACAAATGAAGATTTTCAATAAGCTTAAAAAAAAGACCAAATGAGAAATTTTGAGTTAAAGAGTATAACTGAAAAAATTTAAAAATCCACTAGAGGGGTTTAACAGCAGAGTTGAGATAGCAGAAGAAATAAATTGATGAATCTAAAAATTAATCAATAAAATTTATCCCATAACAACAGAAAGAAAATGATTAAAGGAAAATATTCAATCTCAAAAACACATGAGGCATGATCAAGCATACCAACATATATGCAGTAAGATTTCCTGCAGGACAGTAGAGAGATAATGATACCGAAAATATATTTAAGGAATTAATGGCCAGAAAATTCCCAAATTTGATGAAAAACATTGAAGCTTATTAAACTCCAAGTAGCATAAATTTTAAAAATCCATATAGATACAAGCTATTGAAAGACAAACAGGAAATCTTGAAAGTAGCAAAAGTGACTCATTATGTACAGAGCAGCGTCAATACGAGTGAAGACTCATTTCTCAGTAGAAACATTGGAGGCCTGAAGGCAGTGAAATGTCATATTCAAAGTGCTGAAAGAGGAGTTCGAGACCAGTCTGAGCAACATAGCAAAACCCTGTCTCTACAAAAAAATGCAAAAATTAGATGGGCATGGTGGCGGGCACCTGTAGTCCCAGCTACTTGGGGGGCTGAGGTGGGAGGATCACTTGAGCTCGGGAGGTTGAGGCTGCAGTGAGCCAAGATTGCATCACTGCACTCCTGCCTGGGCAACAGAATGAGATCCTGTCTCCAAAAATAAAATACAAATAAAATAATAACAATAAAAAACAAAGTGCTGAAAGAGAAAAATAACTATTAACCAAGAATTCTATATCCAGCAAAATTGTTCTTCAAAAAGGAAGCCAAAGTAAAGATATCCTCAGCTAGACAAAGAAAGTATTTGGTCTTCACAGACCTGCATATGCATAGTAAATATATTATTGTTTACTATATTGTATATATTGTATTGTATAATTAAAGCTTTATAGCAATACTATGGAAATATTGAACAATTGTGAAAAAGGATTTCTAACCAATATCCCTGTTAGAGCAGCTTTGAAAGGTTCTATACATTCTTTTCCAGTCTTTGTCCATTTGCATATACCTTTCACCTAGAGTAATAATAGTGTAAAGACATTTGCTACAATTTATTCACTTTATAGTATATTATCACTTTAGTAATTGTATAATATTTCATATTATGAGTCATTGTTTAGTTACTCATTTTCCCAATTTGGAACATTTTCAATGTTTTTAAAGTTTTTCTATTGTGAATATTTTCCTACATATAACTTTTCCCTCATTACATCTTTTTCTAGCCTAGATTCTAAGAAATGTGTTTACTTGGTCATTTTATATCTTACCTTGCTTGCCTCTGTCACTCCCACCACTTTACTCACTATTTTTCTTTTTGGATCAAATGCATAGAAGACTAACTACTGGTTCTGGCCTACCATCCTTTCTGTTTGCCTGCTTCTACTTGAACTCCAACCTGTCTGGAGTTCTGGAACTTATGGCACCTGCTTTCTATCTTAGAGCTTCTGTCTAAAGGCACAGAACAAACTTATTTAAAGAAAAATGTATTATTTCCTTTAAGAAGACATTCCACATATAATCAACTAAAATACATAGAACTTAAAAGTTGAAAAAAATTACACTGAGAAAAGAAGTGGTGATAAATACAATTATCTAGTGGAGTATAAGGTAGTTTACTCAGGAAGTTTTCATAAAGGAAATTACCTGGTGTTGTGGTTTAAAATAGATACTAGACCTAACATGTTGAAAAAATAAAATAATCAATAAAATGTATATTTGTTTATCACCTGAGATCTTTTCCTTATATGAACTCTGTTTGGGACTCAGCAAACTTGATTAAGGATGTTGAGTATGGAGTGACTTGGAACCAAAGGCAGTGCACAGGATCAGACTGTCCAGGGTTAAATTCCTGACTCTACCACTTACTAGCTATGGGAACTCAGGCAATTATCTAATTTCTCTAAGCCCTAGTTTCCTCATCTATAAATAGGGAATAAGTATGTAGATTTCATAGGGTTATAGTAAGAACTGTTCACATCTGTAAAGTGCCTAGGTCAGTAGATCTTAATCAACAGCAGCAACAGCAACCTAGTAAAGTCTTGTACCCAGTGTGACGTAGGCTTCTTCAGGCATAATGTGTTTAACGGACTCTTCCTAGCATTCCTGTCTATAAAATATACTCTAACCATAGAAAGTAGTTGCATATGAAAAATCTAAAAATTCTTGTTAAATCAGTGGCTATCAGATTTATCATCCACTATGAAAATATCTCTAAATTAATTAAATTGGGTCAAGACCGAAATAAATAAAGCATAACTCACCAAGTTCATTATAGGTATTGACAAACACACCAGTTTCTCCTAACAGTGTCTTTGAAGGAATGCTTGAGTTTTGCTTAGTTACTACATGAAAAAGATAAACAGGTAAAGGGGGGTACTCCTAGTCTCTAATTGTTAAATTCATGATTATTTTGTATTTATTTGTTTGAATAAAAGGGTGATTGATGCAGTAAATTTTCTAAGGACTTGAAAAAACAAAGGAAACCATTACAAGATTAACTATCACAAATCACTTTTTAATTATCAGATGCCAATGAAAAAGTCAATGATTCACTTTGGGCCCTTGATTTTGCCTAAGTCAGGATTCTAGCTAGTATGAGAATGATTGAGGCTGTAGACCACGGCACTACTGGAAAAAATACCCAGCTCTTTGGGACTCTGTCATCATGGGGATTATGGATGCCAGGGGCTCTGGCAGAGTTTGGACCTGTTTTAGCCTTGCAGTCACATTTCAGTGGGGGCCTGACCAAGGAAATGTGGGAAAGGTGTGTCTTCCTTTTGCCTCTGTGAATCTCTGCTGACGTTGGCCAGACAGCTGCCAGGGGCTAACGATGTGCTTCAGATCTTCATCCTGTGGCCTGTGAGGTAAAGGCAGCACTTTGCTAACAACCAAACAGATGGACATCTCTCAGCAAACAACCAGACCGTATTCTACTCTGGCTCAGGGATCAGAATCAACCCTGCTGATTTATTTTAAGACTTTGCCAGTGGGAATGGAATTTAAAACAGTTTTTACGTCCAAATGCCAAATGGGATTTGACACACATGTATACATTCAGTTTTAGGACCAGGGAAATTCCAGGGCCTTGGAACTTGGGGTTCCCAGTAGCTCCATTCTCCTTCCAAATGCTGACTTCTTTGGCCTCCCCTACAAGCATTACTATGCGTTATCCCTGCCACAGAAATTCCATCCATGGACGATGGTGAATATTACAGATTTCTGTCTCCCTTTAACACCTGGCAGCCTAGGAAACAAACAGCTAAATTGAAGCTAACTTAAGTTGATTTCCTTTAAGCCATAGAAATAAAATAATGCATTTTTTTTACCAAGATATAGTAAATACATAAATATACTAAGGCTTTTAGTCACCTCATGTTGCTTCCAGAAGCCAAGCAAATGTTTTTCTGGTATTCATCTTAGGAGTACATTGTTTCCAAAGATGCCTTATGCTAATCTGTGTTAGTTATGCCTTACTTTCACTTTGTGAGCTATTTCAATGTTGTGATATCCATTTTACGAAAAGAACAGAACACCTATTTCCCTGTGTTTCTACTTTTCCATGTCATGTCCCACCTACACCTACATTAGTACTAAATTGACTTCTTCCAGGACGTTTGCCAAGTGTCTGTCTAAGTTTTTTCTTCCCATCTGCCAGGGTGCTCCCTGATATTGACAAAGATTGTCTCCAAGCCTTCTCTGCCCTTCCTTGGTTTGCTTGTTCGTGTTTTCCCAGTCTGAGGTTAGACTGACTATGGGGCTTTCCACAGAAGAAGGGGTTTGGATAAGCCAGCAGTTTAAGCAGGTTTTATGATCAGCCAGTGTAATAAAATGCATTCAGGGGTCACCCGAGAAACTTTAATCAGCACCAGGGGTCACTGGATAGCACTTCTAGACAGGAGAGAAAGAAATGAGGAACAGAGACTCAAAGAGGAGGAAGAGTTGGGGGAAGGGGATAAGAATAGAAGGTTCTCAAGTTATCTGAAATAACTTTTAAAAATAATCAATGTGTTTTGCAATCAGAAATGGTAAAAAGAGCCATAATTGCCCAGCGGAAACTAGAGATCTGCTGCAAATTCAGATGAGAATTTTACCCAAAGCTTAATTTTTTTCCCCTCGTGCAGTTTTGCATGAAAGTTTGGCCTTATGACTGGTCTCGGGATGGATATCAGATATCTCACCCTGAAGGGAGAAACATTCCCACCAAATCCTTCTCTCCTGAAAGAAAAAAAAAAATTCTGCATCCAATAATCAGAGCCTGGGCAGACAAATTGGCACCACTTTTTTTTTTTTTTTCCTCCAGCCTCCCTTTTATTTTCTGTGAGAAATAAGACTGCAGACTTGAGTCACAATTCACAAATATTTGGTAGTATTATGTTGCAAGAAACTGAGGGGGAAAACCAGAAGGTAATTCTTAAAAGCTTTGCCTTCACTCATGCAAACAAACTTTATGCTTCTCAATAAATCTCCTGTTTTGTAAGTGGCCATTAAAATAACAGATCATTTGATTAAAATTCTGTTTTCTTTTCACAACAGTCATTTGGAATTTTTTGGGACCTCCAAATGTGGTCTTGGCCATGATGTCATTAGCATTTTATTAACGCATTCAAAAGGTTAAAAGCTCTTAGTTTTTATAGGGCTTTTAAAAGCAAACATTTGATTGTCTCTTGCATAAACTGAGTCTGAACCCATTAAAATGTGACAACAACTTCAGAACTGACCCTGTTTAAGGGTAAAAAATTGATCAAGGATTTGCCACATTTTTAATTGCATTCAGTGAAATGAAAACTGAACTGATGCCAATATTTGGGAATGAAAAGAATTAAATCCAGTCCAACACCTTTCAAAATAATAATGATATTTTTTAAATTGGGGTTTTTCCCTTTTAGAGTTGAATGATTCTTTATGGCACAAAAATAGTTTATAGTTAGAAAAGTTTATTTTTCCCTCTCTAGTTCAGTCACAATGCAGTCAGTCTGTCATTAAAAATAAGATGGAAAAATATTTTAAATGTATGTTTCAAGCATCCTGGCCTGGAAGAAAAAAACTGTTCAGGGCAGCAACAGTAAATTTGCCTTTGTTGTTTATTTGGATAGAAAACCATCTGTGGCTGTATAGATTTGGAATTATGTTACCGAACTTTTAGAACTAAAGACTCTTATTTTTAAATTAGGCACCTCGGAGAATTATGTCATAAATCCACAATAAAATAATAAAATCAGTGGTACTGGAGCATATGTAGCCATTTATTGTTATTTTCCACTTTGCCTCATTTTCATCATATATATTTTTAGATTGGATTGCCCCATCCCATTGAATGATCTTTTGTACACAAAATAGAAAATTCCTGCCCTCCCATCCCCCAATTTGCACTCTAAATTAAACTATATTAGCTCCATTCTATTTTTTTTTCTATTTTTGCCTCACTGATTATGAAGAGTTTTCTACTTTTCTTTATTGTTCTTATTCATTAATTTTTAGTGACATTTCCTATTCTAGTACACTCTGTTTTTCAGGGCATATTCACTCATTTATTTATTTATTTTTTATCCCTTACAAATGAACTACTGAAAAACCATCTTCCTGAGCCTTTCTCTTAATTGCTCCTGTGTTCTGAGGCATTGGGGGAACTACATAACTAGCAGGAGCCGATCAGCAGATAAGCTTGCATAACACGCACTTAATTATACAAACAAGTCTTTCTGGAGAAAGTCTTCTGACAATTACCTCCCGAAATAAATATACCTCAGTGACTGTCAATAGTAATAAAACCCACACAATCATTTCTTAAAGCTTTTATTGTTTGCCTGTAATTAGCATGTTGATGTGATTAAAGCTACGTTTGACTTTTGATAAACCCCAGACTCCTATAGATAACATTTCCAGCAGTTCAAAGCTGCTTTCATTAGACGCGATATTTATCTGATTTGTAACCAATCAATTGGAAATAAAACTTTCCTACGGCATGCCGTTAAAAGAGCCAGCAGCAGCCCTAGTTTCCTCAAGCCCCTCTCCTAGTCTAAGTCCTTGAACGAGATGGATTCCATATGGTTAGGAGAAAGGGGCAGGAACTGGAAAGGTATAGAATGTAGCTCTGCGAAGAGCCCCTTTAAATTCACTGCCTTATTTCTACATGCTGCTGTTGGAAGGCTCGGTAACTGCTGTAACCAATTTTCTTGAAAAATACACTTTTGTGTGGCAGCAGAAGAGCCTGCAGAACTGGGGTTTGTTAAGGGCATATTTGCGATGTTTACTCAGTTTCCATATTTTACAGTTTATGTCCGATTCTTTTATCAGACCCTTTTGATCCTGATTTTCACTTTGTGCTCTTTGACCTTCCCCCAAGTTATTTCTCCCTCTATTTCCATACTATTCCCATTGTATATATTCTTCCTTCCCCGCTTCCCTCCCTGTCTTCCTTCTCCTCTTCCTTCCTTCCTTCCTTCCTCCCTCCCTCCCTCCCTCCCTCCCTCCCTTCCTTCCTTCCTTCCTTCCTTCCTTTCCCCTTCCCGCCTTCCTGGCTTTTGGTTTTTATACATTTGTCTTCTATAACAATATTTAGTTTGCAACCAATTTAATTTTCCTTGTGCAAAATTACAAAACTCTACATTCTGAAGTTTTAACAAGTACATTTTCAAAAATTTATCCAACTTAGCAAATATGCCGAAGATGTGCTAAAGGTCCCCAAGTGTTAGAGGAGTGCTGAGCTGCTAACAGCATCCCTACATTATCACTGTTGTGACGTTGCATCCTACATCTTTTCTGTGTAATTTTGCCACAAATGCATTTATTCTTTTCTCGGTAGAAAGAATAAGGAAAAAGGAGAGAAAGAAAGTCAATCCACCTTCAAAATCTGTATATATTTATTCAAAGCACTTCTTCTCTCTTGCCCTCCATACTCACCAGACATTTTATATTTTTAGAAATGAAATAGGGGAAGGAAAATATTTTCTATAATGGAACTAGTGTTGACATGCAAACCTTTATGGATTTCCAGCCATGCCTCATTAAAATCTCTCTTTAAATGTATGGTAAACATGTGCATAAATGTTATATATGCTATGCTTTTAAAACGGTTTTAAAATGAATGTACACAAACAAAATATTTTATTGCTATTAAAACAAAAACATGAAATCTATATCTGTGAAGCCATTTACACTAATCTGAACATGTTCAAAGGCCTTCCATTTGTATTTAATTGTACAGTTTCTCAGCACTCATTTCAAATGTTTTCTCAAACACTGTAATTTATAACTTCATAGATAACCCCATATAATTACAATTTTACTTAAGCACATATGTCTTTGCATTGATAATTCAAGGGCATTGTCTTGAAAATGCCAGTTCTTTCTAATCTTAAAATGACGTTATTTATGACATTAAATATCTTGGAAATGAATACCATTTATATATGTATAATCTAGAGGCAGTTGCCCTTAAAAACTGAGGAAATAGGAGGAGGAATTATTGCTGAAAAATGAATGACTGAGATGATAACAAGATAGGATGTGACAAATATGTCTCTACTGATCTGAGCTTTATGAATATGCTTATAGCCAGGAGAATTTCTGAGAATGCCGGTCTCATGGAAAAAGTCCGTAGTATATACTATGTGCCTCTTGAAAGCAGCTTTTCTCAAACAGTTTAAATATTTCCTTTTCCGTTTATTTTAGAAATCATTAAAATCCATTTTTAAAAAGTCAACTGTAATGTAGTTCTTCACTTTCAATGCATTCCCTCATTTCTCCATTTCCTAATTAATAAAAATCAAGGTAAGTCACTTGGCAAATATATCATGCTACCAAAACAAAAGATATTCTCATCATCTTGATTTTGGATCCATTAATTTAAGATTATGAATCACATATTTTTGGATCTGTATTTTTACTTAACTGTAAAAAGTTAAGAATATTTTAGAAACTAAAGCTAGAATTTTTTTTGCACATTGATTTACTGTATTTCAGCATCCACATGATCACTAAGATAACAGAGATTCAGAGCATTATGAACTTGAGCAGTTCCTTTAAAATATATTCTGCACATAACTAAAACCACAGCAATACAAGTAATAGAAGGAAAAATGGTTTGCTGATTTACAAAGAGAAATCATGTATTTGCCACTTTATTCTCATAGGCGCTATCTGGTTGAAGCTCCTCTGAGAATAAAACTGCAGAAATACATGATTTCTCTTTGTAAATATGTAAACTTGAAATATCTCATCAAATAACTGAAAATAGAGAAGGAAGTCTGGTCTAGCTGGATTTTTTTTGTCGGCGTTTAAGCATGTGTGTACATACGTGTGTGTTTATGTGTTTGTGTATAAGGACACATAGGTGACCATGGCACCGTGATTTAGCTGTAAGGTTTTTTTTATAATTTACTTCTCTTGGACCAGCTATTGTATACATGTATAACTTTTTTCTTCTTTTGGTGGAGAGAACATACATTTATCTAGTCATCGACTATAATTTCACAATGACAAATATCAGAATGAAAACTGAAACATCTAGCCAGCTATCTGGATTGTTTCCCTTTACAATGCCAAAAGCAAGGTGTTTGAAAATCATCGAGGCACAGGCCTCATGTTTTCAGTTTTTAATCCAGATGTTTGGAATCATGTAGATACAGCCACAAGCTCTGTTCCCTCTCTGCTGAGGGAGCCTGTCATCTGTAGACAAGGAGCATTTCAAAAGTCCTCAGTGGAGCAACTGCAGAAGTGATTGAAATGACATTCTCCAGGCTGCATAACTAAAGACAGGAAAGTTTGGACATTTTTCCTTACAGGTAGCCAAACCAAGTCATTCCAGTTCACATCTCTTTTCTTATATCTTGAGGTAATTTTCTCCCACATCAGTCTTTGCACTTGTGTGTGTTAATTTCTTTATTTTTGGTTCCTGAAACTAACATGCTATTTTTAAAAACTCTATACATAATTCTATAGAATTTTGATTTTGTTCATAAATCCCATGCACATCATCAGCAAATAGCCCTGTGTTTCACATCTCTGAAAATAATTTTCTGATACAGGAAAAGAATCTCTTCATTTTAAGTGTGACCTGAAGATAGAGTGAGCTTCCTGCTGCACGGGTAAGTTTTTCAAAAATACAGACTGTCCATGAACTTGAGCAGGTCTAGACAGGAAGAAATAGTTCAGTTTCTACTGTCCTATTAGACTACAGGGCTAATTCAAGTTTAACTAACTCTCAATTTGTTAGAGAAATTGACTTTGCCTTATTTTTCTTACATGCTAATTTGAAGCACACTTATGAGTATTTTCTGGTGTTAGTCATTCTGAAGTCTAATCACACATTAGTGAAAATAATAACACCACCTTAAATCCATTCAAGTTCCCCAAACAAGAAGGATGAGGACAAAGATGTACCCTGACAGTGTGTTTCACTTTATAGTACAGAATAATATTCATGATGCCCTTTAAAACTTACTCCATATATATACAAAGGTATAGATGCAAAATTGTTTGCTTAGATTTAGAAAAAGCAAGCATTTTTTTAGGGCTATATGTGGTTACATAGCTAGTGTGACTGTACTTTTCGTTTTTCCACAAGTCAAAACATACTGTGACAAGGCCAGTTAAAAAGAGTTCCAATAAAACATAACATAGTTCAGTAAATAAATGAATATAGAAACTTCTATTCTATGGGTGTCTAAAAACTAATTCTTAAAAAGTAACTCAAAGGATTCTTCTGAGGGAAGTCCTCCACACAACATGGCAGTGTTGAGTAAGTCTGTTCACAAAGAAGGTTTTGGGAAAGCTGCAGACTCTCACAGAGAAGTGGTCAAAGGCGGCATGCATTTCTATTCCCAAACATGTCTCGGTGCCACTCTTTGGAGCCTGGCTCCTTCTACGCTGTATACAGGTTTGATGGAGTCAGACAGCGTGGGCTCCAGAGACTCTATTTGCTCTGATCTTGGTAATTTTTGCAGAGTCACTATAGAGCCCAGAAGAAAGAACACCAAAAGAGAAGTTTTTTAAAAAGAAAAGAAAAGGAAAAGGAAAAAAAGAAGAAAAAAGAACAGGCACTCTCAGCTCCAACGGAAGCTATGCCAAGAAGCAACTAACCAAAAACAGACTGAACAGAGACGAGAAATGAGGAAAGAATAAAATGGTTTGGAGTCAGGCTGACAAATGCACGAGAGAAAAATTCACGTGGTTTCAGAGAAGTACTTGGCAACTATCTCAGAGATTCGTGTGTGTGTGTGTGTGTGTGTGTGTGTGTGTGTAGTTTTTTATTTTTTTTCTGGAAGAATATTTTGCAAATTCTTCTTACTGAAAAAGATGAGTTATTTTCCTTCTTTTAAATCATGAAGAAATCATCCCTATTCCCCCACTTCCCCCCTCCACCCCCGCAAAGTCTGCCTCCTCTAACAACGCAGTTTTCAGTTTTAAGATGTTTTATTGAGTTGAAACACTACATCATTTCCTATGGTCTCTAACCAAAAAGAATACTAAACCCCAAATGTGTCAGTCTATTGTTGTTCAACTCAGTTCCTAACACCCCCTTATAAGGAGATAGGGACCATTCTGCTTGTTTCATTCAGTCCATTTCAACAAAAGCAGAGCAGTTGTTTCAAAAGAAGGCGGAGCGCACTGCGGGCCAATTTTGATTCTGCATTACTTTGAGTAGTCTAAGCAGCCTCCAGGCTGAGGTCTGCAAGCATTTGGCTTATTAGATCTAATCCACTGATGGCTTGTGTGGTAATGAATGTCTGAAATGCTTGTCTATGATTAGGAATTGTTAATGCTGTCCTCATGGGCTCTGCTGAACTTTCCTGCTAGTAAGCAGGGGCTTAACACACTCAAATCATCCATGGAAGTTAGTGAGCTGGCGACACCCAGAGAGAAAACTTGCCATTGTGATGCTAATTTCCCTCTCACCTTTGACCAGGAGTGAGTAATTATATATAATTTGTAGAAACAGTTCTTCTGGAATGAATAAACACAAGGGAAACAGGGAAGTTTGCTTAAACTCATTGAATACCTTCAGGGTAAGAAATACAAAGGTAGTCTGAACTTAATTATTTCCCTCTGCCCTATCATCAAAGCACTGGCAGATTTTAACTGCTCTGAAAGTTAAGGCAACAGTGTGAACATTCTTATTTAGACCCCTTCCTGCAACTCTACAGAAACTAGATTTGATGAAGCAAAGATGCTCGGAACAGTTGCCAGAGACTTTTGTTTTCTTCTGTGATAGATGTGTTGTAAAGGCATTGATACTGTTTAATCATGACAGTAATGACTATACAAAAGGGTAGCATTCAAGCATCTATTTTCTGTGCTTCTCCCTTGACACTCCACTCCTCCTCCTGCCTCCATGTGTCAACCTTAACCAAGTTGTGTTAGGATAGACACACCTGGAAAGTTGATGGCTCCCACCTCTAGGGTAACTGCCATTCTTCCCCTGAGAACATTTGTGTAGTGTCTGAGTTCTCTGTGCCTTTGAGAGAAGTCTCTTGAAATACGTGTTCTATTTGTGTTCCCATTTCCAGTTTTTTTTTTTTTTTTTTTTTTTTTTTTACATAAGAAGTGAGCTCCTCAAAGGGCTAAAACTCTGAGTGGTGCAGTTAGAAGACAAAGTCAAAGCAGCTGTGATGTGGACAACAGCGATGATCCAGGGGTACAGCACTAATCCCTTTTCCAGGATAGACAGTGATAGCTGAAGGACATGCATCTTAAACACAGTCCACCATAATGTTTGTAGTGTAATATTGACTGAAATACCATTTCTATCAATTTCTACTACTGATTGAAAGTTCTGGATAAGGGAAAGTCAAATCTGGCCCCTCCTATGTATTGGAAATAGCAGGGGCATTAAAGTGAGACAGATTGGGATTCACAAATTAACTACATGATATATTAGCTGTGTGTTCCTTGACTTCCCTGAACTTCAATTTTCTTACCTTTAAAATGAGCACCACATCAAGGAAGTTTTAAGATAAGATACAGAAAGTGCTTGGTAATATTAAAACAAAACAAAACTTGACACTCAATAAAAGCTAATTGTTTCTTCCACCCTAAAAACAAAACAACAATTTTTGCAGTGAACAATTTTGTTGCAAATCATTCTAATGTCCGGTTTTCAGCTGTCTTTGATAATTGGTGGTCTTGCTATGCCATAGCTATTATATTAGATCACGAGAGAGTCGTGTAATTGTAGAAGTTATAGGAGACATGATGAAAAATGTCTTACTCTGAAATTTACCTTTAGTACCAAATATCCATAAACAGGTTTTTGCGCTGTAATAATAATCATCATACCATGATTTTTTTAGCATTGTGGTGTGAGCCATAGATAAATTATTTCATTTATTTCTCATTACAATGTTATGAAGTACTTATTTCTGTTCTACAGATGAGGGAATGAAGATTCAAAATGGTAAAAAAAAAAAAAAAAAAAAAAAATTCCACTACACAAATAATGGAGATGAGATTCAAACCCGGGTCCTCTTGGCTAAATCCCAAGCTCTTAACTGCTGTGTGTATACTGCCTTATGCTACTGAATCACATAGTACAGAATCCATCATAGCAACTCTATAGATCTTCATTTAGACTCTGCTCAAATACTCATTTTTCCATCTGTGAGGTGACTCATGTCACTTTTTGATAACTCTGTTTTTCTATAGGTCTTTACTTTGAATCTGATGATCATCACTGTAAAGCCAGGAAGAACATTTAAACAAGGGGCAAAAATGTGCTATCATAGGTGGTAAAAGAAAAGAAAAAGCTGCTGAATTCTCTACAAGTCTCCTAGCCATTATCTGGCTTGTAGTAATATTGCTCAGGGTCGTTAAGTATTATTTTTCATTTGTTTGAATATTTTCATGGCTGACATTTTAGAACCGCCCTTGCCATATGTGGCTATCAAGAAATTGAAATGTGGCTAGTTCACACTGAGATGTGCGTAAGTGCAAAATAGACCTTGGATTTCAAAGACTTAGCACAAAAAAAAAATGTGAGATACCTCATTAGTTGATTACACATTTAAATGATAATATTTGGATATGAGTTAAATAAACACATGTTAAAATTATCTTCACCTGTTTCTTTTCACTTTTTAAAATGTGGCTACTAGAAATTTTTACATTACATATATAGTTTACATTTGCAACTTGCATTGTATTTCTGTTGAACAGCATTGTTCTGGAACCTCAAAAGTGGAATGTACCAGATGTTTGAAATCTATCAAATCCACACCTTGCTCCAGATAGTCTCAGAGAACAATAAAAGCAAATGCTTATTCAGCTTCCATCCTATCCTGCTTTAACGCTTTGACTACAAGGTCCTTAGAACGCATGGAGAGATATTTATCCTTTGGCCAGAGGCTAGTGCTAAAATGAATATCCCTTAATCATCCTAATTTAAGGTTCATAAGAATTATTTCTTTTATACCAGAAATATTGCTTTGTGTTATAGGCAAATGCATGGCCTTATTCCTTAAAAACCATGGAGTCAGCTTTGGAAAAATTTGGGCATTTGCCCCCACTTTTTCTGGGTGTGGGTGGGTGTGGAGGAGTGATGTGGAGCAGAGGACAGATAGATAGCTATATTAAACAGACTTAAGGCCCAAGGAGGCTCAAGTACCACCTTGAGCATCCATGATGAACATAAATGTCTTTCCAAATCCCGATTCTCCATCTGAACACAACAGAACACTATCCAGAGTAACCAAACACATTGAAGACCCGAGTTGGTTCTGATAACTGTTCCTTGAGAAATAAAATGGTGTTTCCAACCACCCCACCTAGAAATGGTTTGTTCAGGTTACAGAGAGGCAGCTACAACTGATTTCCATCTTGGAGGAAGGAATTGTTTCCGTCAGCCTGCCTGCCTCTGCGTGCCTGCCTCCACCTGCCTGCCTGCCTCCACCTGCCTGCCTGCCTGGAATTGCAGCTGAGCCATATTTAGCCTCTAAAGCTAGATGTTTTAGTGCCTGGCTCTTTTTAACTGGCATATGTTAAGAGCTTTGAATTAACAGGTGCATAAAAACTGTCAAAAAACACTTAAATCTCAAGACAGACTGTCAGTTGTATTAAAAAATATGGTGTTACATTACCATGCACTCTCAACACGTCCAGCATGTTACAGCTTGGAAAGTCCTTTCTCCTTCTGAGCAGCCCAGCAATGTTAATCCATCTCATGAAACAGAAGGCCATGGTCCTTTAACCTCTTGATGGAGGACAGGGGTTTTGGGGGTGGACGGGGTGGGGAGTAGTGGATCAGAATCATGGAGGGGAAGGTTTTCCCTTTTGTGACTGAATTATCTTTCAGTTTTTGAGATCCCCATTTCTAAACCAAGCTAATTGGATTGGAGGGAAAAAGAGCTCTCAGGGCTCTGTAAGGCATACTTGAAATGGTTCCTTTTAAATAAAATAAACAATTTATTATGTAATGTGGTTAAATTTAAATTAAAATTAGGACAGGATGGCAGAAAGAGAGAAGATGTGTTGCCTAAAACTGTGTGAACAGTTTCAAGTGAATGTATAAAAGCCACTACTTGGTTAAAATAAGTGAAGTCAAGCATGATTCAGTTCACGCAGAGTATAATATTTGTTTCTATGTATGATATTTAAGAGTTCTTTTTTTTTCTTTTTTTTTTTTTTTGTGAGACAGAGTCTTGCTCTGTCACACAGGCTGGAGTACACTGGTGTGATCTTGGCTCACTGCACCTCCACCTTCCGGGTTCAAGCAATCCTCCTGCCTCAGCCTCCCGAGAAGCTGGGACTACAGGTGCGTGCCACCATGCCTGGCTAATTTTTGTATTTTTTTAGTAGAGATGGGGTTTTGCAACGTTGGCCAGTCTGGTCTCGAACTCCTGACTTCAGGTGATCCACCGCCTCGGCCTCCAAAAGTGTTGGCTGCAACCAGTCAAGATTTCTTTTATTATATTTTTAAAGGTAGTAGTTATATATTACTAACTCTAAAATTGGGATGGGAGAACCTAGCATTTCTGGCTTAAGCACTTTATTGCACATAGTATGCATCATAAAAGCATTTTTAATTTAACAAAAGTTTGATATGACCTGTGCTATGTTTTATAGTGATGTTTTGGATTCAGCACTCAGTCCTAATCTTTCAAATAGCTGGGTGACTATGACTAAGTTATTTACTTTTTCTAAGCTTCATTTATCTTTTAAACTGTAACATGGAGGTGGATGAAGGTGGGATTGGTGAAAAGATTCTTTTTTTTTTTTTTGAGATGGAGTCTCACTCTGTCACCATGCTAGAGTGCAATGGTGCAATCTCGGCTCACTGCAACCTCCGCCTCCCGGGTTCAAGTGATTCTCCTGTCTCAGCCTCCCAAGTAGCTGGGACTACAGGCGCATGCCACCACGCCCAGCTAATTTTTGTATTTTTAGTAGAGATGGGGTTTCACCATTTTGGCCAGGATGGTTTCAATCTCTTGACCTTGTGATCTGCCCGCCTCAGTCTCCCAAAGTGCTGGGATTACAGGCATAAGCCACCATGCCCAGCCGGTGAAAAGATTCCTCAACCTTCATTTTGGTTCTAAAAGTAAAATCCTAGGGTGTATGGGGTTCCATTTTGTACTGAGTGTCACTTTTGGATATCTCTCTGTAGAATACTAGAGCTACTGTGTTAAAATGATGGGGCAGATTAATGGGTTTTTTTAGTTTTTAATTGTTTTCTGTGTCCTGGCTTTTAGATTGTTGGGTTTTTGTTGTTGTCGTTGTTCGTTTTTTGTTTGTTTTTGGTTGGTTGGTTGGTTTGTGTTTGCTTTAATGTGCATTCCAGACCCAGAAGGCTTTCATAGGTCAGGATTACCAGGAAAAAAACCCTAAAATGGAGATGCATATAATAGTTTATTGGGGAATATGTTTGAGGACAAACAACTGTAAGAGAACCAAGAAAGCAGGACTGGGCACAGCAAGAGGTTCAGATGTGATGCAGTCATAACAAAGACCTCAGCAGATCCCATGGGGAGTCCTGCCCCCCAGCTCAGCCCAACTGAGGCAAGGGGGTTAGTCCTTTCTATCCACATAATTATTCATCTTTGGCTGTGCTGCCTTCCACCCTCCCAAGGGGAACAACCTTTGGCAAGGCCATTCTCTTTAGCCTAGAGAAACTCCTGGAGAGAGAATCACCAGTGAGCCATTAGCAGCCAACACTAAGGGATTTAAAAAGTCAAACCCTGTTGGTTTTTTTTAAAGTGAACCCTAGCCAAAAACAAATAGTATGCACTGTTCCCAATAAGCTGCTTTTCCGTTGGAAGGTGTTTATTGTTGTTTTCTCCTTATTGAATGGCAACAAGAAGTTACTTTTCGTAATAGGCAGTGACAAAGAGTTTTTGCTAAAAGGAATTATATTCTAAGAAAGACCCAAGTGTGGGTGTTTCAACTGACAACATTTCCTCTCTGTTTGGATACTCAGGGTTTGCAGCCTCTTTTGAAATTCTGATGTGCATGTGTATGTCAAATGGTCAAGGCTTGTTCCTCATTCTTACATATTCTCTCCTTCTCTCCTTTGCCCACAGAGGTTTTCTTCTGGCTTTTCCCAAGCTCAGTGTCAGCCAGTCTGATGTAACTACTACAACAGGCTAAAGAAGGGGGTGCAATATCATAAAACCAAACACTGTTGGTAAATATTTTGATTTTTGAAAAGCTGAAAAACAATTGTTATTTTGGAAGTTGAAGGGCCAAGTCTAGGAAGGAAATTCTTGAAAAGGAACCTGTCCCTGGCACTGACAATCTCTTAAGTGGGCAGATATTTTTAATTTGAATATGGAACAAGAAGATCTTTTTCTCCAAACGTTGGGATGAAATCACATCTTTACCAGCCTGCCAGCAACTTATAATAGAAAAGAAGAAAATTACTTGAGCTCTAACCATGGAGAACTTAAAACCATAACAATAAAACAGACCAAAATGACCCAAACAAACAAAAACCACTTTTCATTCCACTGTGTGAGCTAAACAATCCCATCCCCCCAAATGTGTGGTTTTTATTTTAGTTTATTTACATTTAGCCATCCATTTTGCCTCTCTTTAAAGGAGTCTGAGGTGTTCAGGAATGAAAGTGAGTTTTTCCAGGTTATTTATATTACCAGTTTTCATTGTACCATCTTGATTATTATATGAGATGTCAAATAATTCATTTTTCAATCTTTAAAGAAAATATATAACAAGTCCCTGAAAAATATTATTCTGTTCACTTTAGCACTCTAGTTTTACAAAAAAGTTATGGTCAATGGCTTCATAACTGATTCAGACTTGACACTTCATCAAAATTAAATGGGACATATTTATGTAGCACAAATCTCAAAGTAAACCAAGTCTTGTGCTGAGTTATAGAGTGCTGGGGGACTCTGAATGATCACAAGACTGTGGGGAAAGAGTGGGATGGAGGGGTGAGTGGTGGGACTTGAATGTGAATTGACAAATCCTAAGCATCTCCCAATATTACCCTGGAATCTTCACTTTCCAGGCCCTCACTCTTTGTTTTGCCTTGCTTTGCCACAGCCTACCAACTCCACTTGGCCTGTGGCTCGCCTGCTGGGATGAGCAGCCTCTTTATTTGCCGATGCCAAGTTCTCCCCCTCAGCTGACTTTCATGTGCCCAGAGTTTCTGTCTCTTCCCACCACTTTTAAACTTGGATAAACAGTACATCACAGGCATAGGATACATGCAAGCATCTGACACCCAGCAGCCATTGTGTTAATGTAATCCAGAAGGGGGAGGAGTTAATACCCTACAAGGCAATGGGAAAGAGGAAATGGTTGAGACCTGGCCAGATAAATTCCTTCTTCTTCCTCACACCCACAGGCTGCTCTGAAGCATCATTTATTAATATGAAATTTTTAATATGAAACTTCTGCCTATCTGTAGAACTTCCCACTGGATATAGCTCCTGCATACCCAGCCATGTCTCTTTACCATCACTGCAAAGCCGTGGCCAGCACAACATTGCTTCCTGTTTCTTCTCTTCTTCCCTTCCTTCTTCCTCACCCTAACCGATTCCCCAAGTAAAGCATCAGCAGTTAATCCTTGCCTGCTGATAACTATACATCAAATAATTATCACATTGTGGCTAGCTCATATATAATGTCTTACTCGGGACAAGTAAGACAGGAGGAAAGCATGAAGTCTTTTGGAAAACTGGTATTTTCAACAACCTGCATAAACGACTGAATCTTAAAAAAGTGGCGTACAAGTAAGAAATCACCCCGAGGAGTTAGGAATGCAAGACAAACCTCCTTTAAGATCCTGGTAGCAGAGAGTGGCATAAATACACTTCTTTCAGGGAAAGGGGGGAAGGGGTCTCTCTACTTCCTCAGAGCAGTGCAGCTCCTCTGCAGGACAGCAGGAGCACAGGGTGGCCCAGAGGGACCATTGGGTGGCAACACCAGCAGCAGGAAGTAGTCCAACCTCAGTGGCTGCAATAAAGAACCTTCACTTGTATTCACAGGAAAATCACTAAAGGGAAACAGACAGAGAAGGGAGTATGGCAGGTGGTACATGGTAGTTTGAGAACTTATTCTGAAGAATTAGTGAGGCATCTCTTAGGAGTTTTAGAACTAATTGGAAATTTGGGAAAGGAGAGGATTCAGGAAGGTTAGACATTCTGAAATATGAACTAAACAAAAAGCCAACTTTTATCATGCAGTTGTTGTTAGAATGACTAACAACATTATATATGAGCTAGCCACATTGTGGTAACTATTTGCTCTATGCTCTTGCATGACACATGATTTAAAGATCATCATCAATCCCGTTGTCAGTAAATGTATTACCACTGTTTTATTCTAGTTGGTATTCAACTGTGATGCATATTCATATATATATTATGCATACATAAAAGTGGCACATGGATATTGTGCATTGCTGTTCATTTACTGCCTTTCCCTTCACCAACTCTCTTCCCACCTGTCAATATATCTTCTTTTAATTCAACAAAAGGATCACAATTTGTTGATTTTCATTGATGTGTCTCCAATATCATAGTACTTGACACATGGTAGATATTCAAGAAATGATTGTTTGAAGAATGAAATTTGTCAAAAGAGTTCACTCTAGAGGATTAAATCTCTTGAAACAATCTCCTATTATGAAAAATCCTAAATAGGCTTTATTCTAAGACTACACACTAAGCTATGTGAAGCACATACTTTTGAGGCCTAATGTTTATTTCTTGTTGTTTATTTACCCCAAAGAGTACATCTCAGTTAATCAGGCAAAGTAGAGGCCATGTGTATTATCATGCAGTAGAAACAATGTATCATCATGTGAACACAATTCATCATCATGAAAGTAATGAGGAATGGAAGAAAATATGTGAAAACCATATATTCATAAGGGGTGAACATCCAGTATACATAAGGAACTCAAACAACTTAAAATCAAGAAAACAAATAACCTGATTTAAAAAATGGGCAAATGAAATGAATAGACGTTTCTCAAAAGAAGACATAAAATGTCCAACAGGTATATTTTTTTAAATGCTTGGCCAGCTGCGGTGGCTCATGCCTGTAATCTCGGCACTTTGGGAGGCCAAGGTGGGTGGATCACGAGGTCAGGAGATCAAGACCATCCTGGCTAACACAGTGAAACCCCATCTCTATTAAAAATGCAAAAAATTAGCCAGGCGTGGTGGCAGGCACCTGTAGTCCCAGCTACTTGGGAGACTGAGGCAGGAGAATGGTGTGAACCCAGGATACAGAGCTTGCAGCGAGCCGAGATCATGCCACTGCACTCCAACCTGGGTGACAGAGTGAGACGCCATCTCAAAAAAATTAAAAAAAAAAATGCTCAACATCACTGATCATCAGGGAAATGGAAATTAAAACCACAATAAGATATCTCACTCCTGTTAGAATAGCTATTATAAAAAAGATGAAAGACAACAAATGCTTGTGAGGATGTGGAGAAAACAGAACCCTTGATCATTGTTGGTGGGAATGTAAACTAGTACAGCGATTATGGAAAACAGTACAGAGGTTTCTCAAAAATTAAAAATAGAACTACCGTATGATCCACCAATCCCACTACTAGGTATTTAGCCAAAGAAAATGAAATCAGTATGTTGATGAAATATCTGTACTCAGCATTATTCAAAATAGCCAAGATAGGGGAATCAACCTAAGTATCTATCAGTGGATGGATGGATATAAACATGTGGTAGTTATACATAATAGAAAACCTTAAAAAACAGAAGGAAATCCTGTGATTTGCAACAACATGGATGAACCTAGAGGACATTATGTTAAGTGATAAGCTAGGCACAGAAAGACGAATGCCATATGAGCTCATTTATTTGTGGAATTTTAAAAAGTTGAACTCATAGAAGCAGAGGATAGATAGCGATTACTAGGGGCTGGGGTTGAGTTGGTATGATGGAGTTGTTGCTGTTGATCAGAGGATACAAAATTTTTGTTAAATAAGAGAAATAATTTCGAGAGACCTTTTGTACTACTTGGTGATTAAATAACAAATATATTCTTGAAAGTTACTAACAGAGTAGATTTTAAGTGTTTTTACCACACAAAAATTATGTGAAGTATTGCACATGTTCATTAGCTCTACTTAGCCATTCCGCAATGTATGCCTATTTCAAAACAAATGGTGTACACAATAAATATATATAATTTTTGTCACAGAAAAACTAAAATTTAGTTTGAATTTTACAAATACACACAGCCTTCTTGTGTGTATAACGGGGCATTATTTCTGTCATCATCCATGTGATTGTTCCGGAACCATCTTCATCTTCCATTCTGGGTGGCTAACAAACACCACAGTCAGAAGTAGGGAAAGATGCAAAGGTAGTGCTGAGAAGAAAGCCTCAGGAGATGATAGGATGTACTAGAAGAAAAGTGCTGAAGTAGGAATCAGAAGACTAGAGTCTTTCACAAATTTCTGAACCTTTTGATCTTCCATCTCTTCAACTATAAAATGGAAATAATAATAATTCTTTGCCAGACTTGACTGGTGTTCAGGAATATTCAGTGAAATCAGAACTTGAGAACTTGGAAGTTTTATACGGCAATCATTTGCTGTTGTTGTTATTGTTGTTATTTTAGAGATGGGGTCTTTCTCTGTTGCTGAGGCTGGAGTGCAGTGGTGTGATCATAGCTCATTGCAGCCTTGAACTCCTGGGCTCAAGCAATCCTTCTGACTTGGGCTCTCAAAGCATTGAGATTTAGAGGCATAAGCCACTGCACTGGGCCTGTGTTATTATTACTCACTTAACAATCTATTTAGGAGGTAACTAGGCATTAGAACCAGACAAAAAATGGCCCAATTCCTGAGTACCCAACATAAGACTTATATGAACTTTGACAGGTTACTTCATCTTTCTGAACCTCTGTTCTTCATTTTAAAATATAGCCAATTCTGCCTGTTAGGGTTGATGTCACAGTGTTGCCAGATACAGCATTTGAATACTTTATACAAGTTTGGTTTTAAATGTTATTTTAAATAGATATTTGTGAAAGATTTCAGCTCAAATGTGTCATTTATTTACTAAAAGAAATGGACACTTTGATGCATTATATAAAATACACAGTGCAAACTAAATCAACTCCCTAAAGATGAGGACATAATCTCATCTTTTCCAACTGTGATGAGACCCAGGAGAACCCAAACATTTTCAAACAATTAGCAGTACCCTGATCACATGATGCTCCCAAACAAGATCATTGTTTTCCATCAGACCCTGGAATTCAGTAACTAACCCAAGCAATAGTTGATATGGGATATTAAAATAGTGTAAGTCAACTGAAGAAGGGAATTACCTGTGGTGAGTGATAAACAATAAAAGTAAGAAGGTAATACTGGTTTAAAAAAAAAAAAAAAGAAGACAGAAAAAGCATGTTTACAAATGGCAGAGAACATAATAAAAGCAGACAATTTAAATCTAGTTTTTTTTTTTATTATTGTACTTTAAGTTCTGTGATACATGTGCAGAACGTGCAGGTTTGTTATATGGATATACATGTGCCATGGTGGTTTGCTGCACCCATCAACCCATCATCTACATTAGGCATTTCTCCTAATGTTATCCCTCCCTTTGCCCCCCACCCCCAACAGGCCCCAGTGTATGATATTCCCCTCCCTGTGCCCATATGTTCTCATTGTTCAACTCCCACTTATCAGTGAGAATATGCAGTGTTTGGTTTTCTGTTCCTGTGTTAGTTTGCTGAGAATGATTGTTTCCAGCTTCATCCATGTCCCTGCAAAGAACATGAACTCATTTTATGGCTGCATAGTATTCCATGGTATATATGTGCCACATTTTCTTTATTCAGTCTAACACTGATGGGCATTTGGGTTGGTTCCAAGTCTTTGCTATTGTGAATAATGCTGCAATAAACATACATGTGCATGTGTCTTTATGGTAGAATGATTTATAATACTTTTGGTATACACCCAGTAAAGGGATTGCAGGGTCAAATGGTATTTCTTGTTCTAGATCCTTGAGGAATTGCCACACTGTCTTCCACAATGGTTGAACTAATTTACAATCCTACCAACAGTGTAAAAGTGTTCCTGTTACTCCACATCCTCTCCAGCATCTGTTGTTTCCTGACTTTTTAATGATCACCATTCTAACTGGCATGAGATGGTATCTCATTGCTGTTTTGATTTACATTTCTCTAATGAAAAGTGATGAGCATTTTTTCAAATGTTTGTTGGCTGCATAAATGTCTTCTTTTGAAAATCGTCTGTCCAAATCCTTCACCCACTTTTTGATGGGGTTGTTTGTTTTTTTCTTGTAAATTTGTTGAAGTTCTTTGCAGATTCTGGATATTAGCCCTTTGTCAGATGGATAGATTGCAAAAATTTTCTCCCATTCTGTAGGTTGCCTGTTCACTCTGATGATAGTTTCTTTTGCTGTGCAGAAGCTCTTTAGTTTAATTGGATCCCATTTGTCATTTTTGGCTTTTGTTGCCACTGCTTTTGGTGTTTCAGTCATGAAGTCTTTGCCCATGCCTATGTCCTGAATGGTATTGCCTAGATTTTCTTCTAGGGTTTTTATGCTTTTAGGTCTTATATTTAAATCTTTAATCCATCTTGAGTTAATTTTTGTATAAGGTGTGAGCAAGGGGTCCAGTTTCAGTTTTCTGCATATGGCTAGCCAGTTTTCCCAACACCATTTGTTAAATAGCGAATCCTTTCCCCATTGCTTGTTTTTGTCAGGTTTGTCAAAGATCAGATGGCTGTAGATGTGTGGTGTTATTTCTGAGGTTTCTGTTCTGTTCCATTGGTCTGTATATCTGTTTTGGTGCCAGTAACATGCTGTTTTGGTTACTGTAGCCTTGTAGCATAGTTTGAAGTCAGGTAGCATGATGCCCCCAGCTTTGTTCTTTTTGGTTAGGATTGCCTTGGCTATACGGGCTGTATTTTGTTCCGTATAAAATTTAAAGTAGTTTTTTCTAATTTTGGGAATAAAGTCAATGGTAGCTTGATGGGGATAGCATTGAATCTATAAATTACTTTGGGCAGTATGGCCATTTTCACAATATTGATCTTTCCTATCCATAAGCATGGAATGTTTTTCCATTTGTTTGTGTCCCCTCTTATTTCATTGAGCAGTGGTTTGTAGTTCTCTTCGAAGGAATCCTTCATATCCCTTGTAAGTTGTATTTCTAGGTATGTTATTCTCTTTGTAGCAATTGTGAGTGGGAGTTTGCTCATGATATGACTGTTTGTCTACTGTTGGTGTACAGGAATGCTTGTGATTTTTGTACAATGATTTTGTGTCCTGAGACTTTGCTGAAGTTGCTTATCAGCTTAAGGAGCTTTTGGGCTGAGAAGATGGGGTTTTCTAAATATATAATCATGTCACCTGCAAACAGAGATAATTTGACTTCCTTTCTTCCTATCTGAATACTCTTTAGTTCTTTCTCTTGCCTGATGGCCCTGGCCAGAACTTCCAATACTATGTTGAATAGGAGTGGTGAGAGAGGGCATCCTTGTCTTGTGCCAGTTGTCAAAGGGAATGCTTCCAGCTTTTGCCCACTCAGTATAATATTGGGTGTGAGTTTGTCATAAAAAGCTCTTATTATTTTGAGATATGTTCCATCTGTACCTAGTTTATGGCGTGTTTTTAGCATGAACGAGTGTTGACTTTTATTGAGGCCTTTTCTGCATCTATTGAGATAATCATGTGGTTTTTGTCATTTGTTCGATTTATGTGATGGATTACATTTATTGATTTGCATATGTTGAACCAGCCTTGCATCCCAGGGATGAAGCTGACTTGATCATGGTGGATAAGCTTTATAATAGGCTGCTGGATTCGGCTTGCCAGTATTTTATTGAGGATTTTCACATCAATGTTCATCAGGGATATTGACCTGAAATTTTCTTTTTTTGTTGTGTCTCTGCCAGGCTTTGATATCAGGATGATGCTGGCCTCATAAAATAAGTTAGGGAGGATTCCCTCTTTTTCTATTGTTTGGAGTAGTTTCAGAAGGAATGGTACTAGCTCCTCTTTGTACCTATGGTAGAATTTGGTTGTGAATCCATCTGGTCCTGGGGTTGTTTTTGTTGGTAGGCCAACCAACCATAAATAATTACTGCCTCAATTTCAGAACTTGTTATTGGTCTATTCGGGGATTCGACTTCTTCCTGGTTTAGTCTTGGGAGGGTCTATAAGTCCAGGAATTTATCCATTTCTTCTAGATTTTCTAGTTTATTTGCATAGAGGTGTTTATGGTATTCTCTGAGGGTAGTTTGTATTTCTGTGGGATCAGTGGTGATATCCCCTTTATCATTTTTTATTGTGTCTATTTGATTCCTCTTTCTTTTCTCTTTATTAGTCTGGCAAGTGGTCTATCTATTTTGTTAATCTTTTCAAAAAACCAGCTCCTGGATTCATTGATTTTTTTGAAGGGTTTTTCGTGTCTCTATCTCCTTCAGTTCTGCTCTGATCTTAGTTATTTCTTGTCTTATGTTAGCTTTTGAATGTGTTTGCTCTTGCTTCTCTAGTTCTTTTAATTGTGATGTTAGGGAGTCAATTTTAGATCTTTCCCACTTTCTCCTGCGGGCATTTAGTGCTATAAATTTCCCTCTAAACACTGCTTTAGCTGTGTCCCAGAGATTCTGGTATGTTGTGTCTTTGTTTTCATTGGTGTCAAAGAACTTATTTCTTTCTGCCTTAATTTCGTTATTTACCCAGTAGTCATTCAGGAGCAGGTTGTTCAGTTTCCATGTAGTTGTGTGGTTTTGAGTGAGATTCTTAATCCTGAGTTCTAATTTGATGGCACTGTGGTCTGAGAGACTGTTTGTTATGATTTCTGTTTTCTGTTGTTTTTTGTTTGTTTGTTTGTTTTTTGCATTTGCTGAGGAGTGTTTTACTTCCAATTATGTGGTCAATGTTGGAATAAGTGGTATGTTGTGCTGAGAAGAGTGTATATTTTGTTTATTTGGGGTAGAGAGTTATGTAGATGTCTATTAGGTCTACTTGTTTGAGAGCTGAGTTCAACTCCTGAATATCCTTGTTAATTTTCTGTCTTCTTGATCTGTCTAATATTGACAGTGAGGTGTTAAAGTCTCCCACTATTATTGTGTGGGAGTCTAAGTCTCTTTGTAGGTCTCTTAAGAACTTGCTTTATGAATCTTGGTGCTCCCGTATTGGGTGCATATATATTTAGGATGGTTAGCGCTTCTTGTTGCACTGATCCCTTTACCATAATGTAATGCCTTTCTTCGTGTTTTTTGATCTTTGTTGGTTTAAAGTCTATTTATCAGAGATTAGGATTGCAACCCCTGCTTTTTTTTTTGCTTTCCATTTGCTTGGTAAATATTCTTCCATCTCTTTATTTTGAGCCTATGTGTGTCTTTGCACATGAGATTGGTCTCCTGAATACAGCACACTGATGGGTGTTGGCTGTTTATCCAATTTGCCAGTCTGTGTCTTTTAATTTGGGCATTTAGCTCATTTACATTTAAGGTTAATATTGTTATGTGTGAATTTGATCCTGTCATTATGATGCTAGCTGGTTATTTTGCCCATTAGTTGATGCAGTTTCTTCATAGTGTCGATGGTCTTTACATTTTGGTTTGTTTTTGCAGTGGCTGGTACCAGTTTTTCCTTTCCATATTTAGTGCTTCCTTCAGGAGCTCTTGTGAGGTAGGCCTGGTGGTGAGAAAATCCCTCAGCATTTGCATTTGCTTGTCTGTAAAGGATTATATTTGTCCTTCCCTTATGAAGCTTAGTTTGGCTGCATATGAAATTCTTGGTTGAAAATTCTTTTCTTTAAGAATGTTGACTATTGGCCTCCACTCTCATCTGTCTTGCAGGGTTTCTGCAGAGAGATCTGCTGTTAGTCTGATGGGCTTCCCTTTGTGGGCAACCCGACCTTTGTATGTGGCTATCCTTAACATTTTTTTTTTCATTTCAACCTTGTTGAATCTGATTATGTGTCTTGGTGTTGCTCTTCTCAAGGAGTATCTTGTGGTGTTCTCTGTATTTCCTGAATTTCAATTTTGGCCTGTCTTGGTATGTTGGGGAAGTTCTCCTGGATAATATCCTGAAGCGTGTTTTCCAACTTGGTTCTATTCTCCCCTTTCCTTTCAGGTACACCAATCAAAGGTAGGTTTGGTCTTTTCAAATAGTCTTATATTTCTTTCAGGCTTTGCTTATTCCTTTATTTCTTTTTTCTCTATCCTTGTCTTCATGCTTTATTTATTAAATTGATCTTCAATCTCTGATATCCTTTCTTCCACCTGATCAGTTCAGCTATTGATACTTGTGTATGCTTCATGAAGTTCTCATGCTGTGTTTTTCAGGTCCATCAGGTCATTTATGTTCTTCTCTAAACTGGTTATTCTAGTTAGCAATTCCTCTAGCCTTTTATCAAGGTTCTTAGCTTCCTTGCATTGGGTTAGAACATGCTCCTTTAACTCGGTGGAATTTGTTATTACCCACCTTCTGAAGACTACTTCTGTCCATTTGTCAAATTCATTTTCCGTCCAGTTTTGTTCCCTTGCTGGTGAGGAGTTTTGATCCTTTGGAGGGGAAGAGGCACTGGTTTTTGGGATTTTCAGCCTTTTTGCGCTGCTTATTTCTCATCTTCGTGGATTTATCTACCTTTGTCCTTTGCTGTTGGTTACCTTCGGATGGAGTTTTTGCATGGTCATCCTTTTTGTTGATGTTGATACTATTGCTTTCTGTTTGTTAGTTTTCCTTCTAACAGTCAGGCCCCTCTTCTGCAGTTCTGCTGGAGTTTGCTGGGGGTCCACTCCTGACCCCGTTTGCCTGGGTATCACCACTGGAAGCTGCAGAACAGCAAATATTGCTGCCTGCTCCTTCCTCTAGAAGCTTCATCCCAGAGGGGCACCTGCCAAATGCCAGCTGGAGCTCTCCTATATGAAGTGTCTGTCAACCCCTTCCAGGAGTTGTCTCCCAGTCAGGAGGCATGCGGGTCAGGGACCAACTTGAGGAGGCAGTCTGTACCTTATCAGAGCTCGAGCGCTGTGCTGGGAGATCTGTGATGCTCTCTTCAGAGCCAGCAGTCAGGAACATTTAAGTCTGCTGAAGCTGCGCCCACAGCCGCCCCTTCCCCCTGGTGCTCTGTCCCAAGGAGATGGGAGTTTTATCCACATTCCTCTGACTGGGTCTGTTGCCTTTCAGAGACACCCTGCCCAGAGAGGAGGAATCTAGAGAGGCAGTCTGGCTACAGCAGCTTTGCAGCACTGTGGTGGACTCCACCTGGTCCTAACTTCCTGGTGGCTTTGTTTACACTGTGAGTGGAAAACCCTCATACTTAAGCCTCAGTAATGGCGGACGCCCCTGCCCCCACCAAGCTCAAGCATCCCAGGTCAACTTTAGACTGCTGTGCTGGCAGCGAGAATTTCAAGCCAGTGGATCTTAGCTTGCTGGGCTCCATGGGGTTGGTATCCACTGAGCAAGACCGCTTGGCTCCCTGGCTTCAGCCCCCTTTCCAGGGGAGTGAATGTTTCTATCTTGCTGGCGTTCCAGGCACCACTGGAATACAAAAAAATATTCCTGCAACTAACTCGGTGTCTGCCCAAACAGTTGCCCAGTTTTGTGCTTGAAATCCAGGGCCCTTGTGGTGTAGGCACCTGAGGGAATCTCCTGGTCTGTGGGTTGCAAAGACCTTGGGAAAAGCGTAGTATCTGGGCAGGATAGCACAGTCCCTCAAGGCGCAGTCCCTCATGGCTTCCCTTGGCCAGGGGAGGGATTTCCCTGACCCCTTGCACTTCCCAGGTGAGGTGATGCCCCACCCTGCTTCTGCTCGCCCTCCATGGGCTGCACCTACTCTCTAACCAGTCCCTGTGAGATGAACCGGGTACCTCAGTTGGAAATGCAGAAATCACCCGCCTTCTGCGTTGGTCTCGCTGGGAGCTGCAGACCAGAGCTGTTCATATTCAGCCATCTTGCCCCTACCAATCTAGTTTTAAAATGTAGATAAAAGACTAGAAAGAGCCATACACACTGCTTTTTCCCAAGGCCATGGGATTTGGTGGACAAAAGGTTTCAAGTCTATTTGAGCAGTTAACAAGGTATGCAAAGGGGCAAAATAATCCTGGTGTCTTTTTCAGTGTTGCTCTGTTTCTAATAGGACTTGAAGAAGGAAGGCATTTGCTAATGGAAATAGAGCAGTGATTCAAAGTTAAAACCATTTTTCATGACATAGCAATAAAGAATAATATAACGCTGAAGAAATAACATTAAAACCCAAGGCTTAATAAGAAAACAACTATGAAGTTTTTCCACAGATAGACAAGAGTCACCTGAAAAATGAGAGACTAGAACCTCCTGAACAAAGATTTGTAGGCCAAAGAGTAAGAAAGATGAGACTCTTCCAGGTAAGCAGCCTGTGTGTGTAGTCAAGGAGGCCCCCTGGAGGGAGGGGTGGAATGCCAGCTGCCAGGTGACAGATGATGCAAATTCTTGGACATTACACTGAAATCTAGGACTTCCATTCACTGTTGTTTGATGAAAAGCTCTTCTGTGTCCACCATCTGATTCTTCCTGGACCTGGCTTCTTTGTTAAGACTCATTCAGTCACCTATGTCCTGTGCTCTGCCCTTATGTCATTCTGGACTCTTCTAATCTCTTTTGGGCTGAGTACAACATGCTTTTTTTTTTTTTTTTTTTAATTCTCATTGCTTTCTGATTTTCTGTTTAGGAAAAAATAAAGGCAAATAGGAGAGGAATGAGAATGGGCGGAGAGCAGTGAGGAGCATTAGACCTGCCTATAATCACAGGTGCCTCATTAGGACTGATTTATGTTTGACCAACCTAGAAAATGTTTTTACCAAAACAATCCAGTCCTAATTCATAGAGCTGTGTAGTCTTTCACCCTCAATCTGACTTAAACTAAAAACACGATTTAAACTCTGTAACTCACACATTGCCCAAGGCAAGGATTTAAAGTGAGAGTCAAGTGTGCAGTCTTTGACAAAATATACTTTCTCACCCCCTGTCACTTCTCCAGTTACCAAATCTTTTCCAACTTGTCTGGGCCTTCTGTGGCTGGAGCATAAATCAGGAGAAATGGGGGTGGAAATGGCTTTTTTTTCTTCAAAGCAACAGGTACCCACCTCAACGGAGCATTAGAAATCCATAATGGTACAGGACACATGGTTTCCATTATGCCAACGGAAAGCCTGTCCTAGCTGCTCTCGACTGTCTCTCTGGTGCACGACATCACAGCCTCTTCTTTGGAGAACTCGATTTTTAAAAATCTGGAGAAGTTCTTGGATTCAAATCAAAAAGGGATCTTTTAGGCTCTCAGATCTAGTTTCTTATTTGTATATATACAGAGAGAAAATGCTGATGGTATGGAGGCTTGGCATAGTCTCTGAGAGAGATTCTGTTAGAGGATTACTGACTTTAAATATCACTATCCTTTTGGGATTTCAGACTCCTCTGAGGCTGTTCACAGCCTGAGCCAGAATGGTCACGAGAGGCCTGGGAACAAACATGACATGCAACCTGAGGCAACAGCAATATGTTTATGACTTTGTTTCCTTCTCTTTTTTTCTTATTTTTTCTCTCTTTCCCTTTTTCTGTCCTTCCCTCTCTGCCTCCCTCTTCCTTCTTTCCTTCTTCTATTCCTCCCTCCCTCCTTACCGTCTTTTTTTCTTCTTCTTCAATACCTTTATTATTGATCTTTTGACTTTTCTTTTTGGGTTTTATAGTATATTCAGCATGCTAGCCCAGTGGAAAAGTTAATAAATATTTCATATTTTTAAAATGCCTTATTTCACTCCTTGTTTTTCCTAAGATTATTATTATTTTTACTCTGCTACTACTTATATCAGTGGGGAGTAGCAATTGAGGTTCATAGACAAATGGGTCAGCTCATATGTATGATAAATGGATCTTTCTATGCCATTGAGAATTATCTAGTAAGTAGGAAGACCAAGGACTCATGAGAAACCCATTCATCAAATCTTCTCACAGTGAAATGCCAAGAGATGTATGCGTAAGGCCTGTCCTGCAAAGAATTACAAGCTAGTGGATGGGGTAAAAACAGAAGAGAACCAATGTTTATTGAGTATCAAATAGTCACTAATCCTTTCAGTAAGCATACATTGAGTATCTACTATGTGCTAGGAACTCTTCTAGGTGCCAAAGATACAGCAGTGAACACAACAGACAAAACCTGACCGACTTACTTTGTAGTATAAACCCTAGGCATTTTTTTATGTAACTTTATTTGATACTCCCAAGAACTCTCTAAACTAGTTATTATTATTCTCAGTTTAAACATGAGAAAACAAAACTACAGATAGGTTAAATTACCAGTTTGTTAGGGAGAGAGCCTGGATTTCAAGCTAAATCTGCCTGACTTTAAAGCCTACATGCTTTCTATTACACCACATGGTCGTTAGAGATTAATGAAATCCTAAGAGATACCTATAGGGCAAGACAGAGTAGGGTAATTGCCAGTTGAGAAGAATCCAGATGAGTGATGCCTGGCAAAGGGCTGAGGCAGCCCAGGAGAATTTCTTGGAGGCCCTGAGTCTGAAGGATAGATGGAGCTTTGGCAAGAGAAGAGATAAAACAGGGCATACAAAGGTGCACAGACAGGTATGTCCATGGCTCATTTAGGAACAATGAGTAGAAATAGCTTAAATGAAAAGACATGGTCTCACAGGGGAGAATAGGGAGACAGAGAGAAGGGTCTGGGACAAATTGTGGTGTGTCTTAAACACTAGGGTTTGTACGGCATCCTGGGGCAGTAGAGAATGTGGAAGATGGGACTTAGACATTACGACAGTAAATGTCCTACTGCTTTATTACTACTAAAAGATGTTCCTCTTTCAAAGTTATCATTTACTTATTTGTGAAAGAGGATAATCTTGGACATATTTTTAGGTGACTTCAAAAATAACTAATAAAAACATTTGTAAATTGATGGACAAAGGACCAGCATATTATTAAATTTTCATGCTGGATATATTTTTTAATATCGATCAGATTCTTTTTTGGGCAGGCTTACTGTTCATACAACTGGATACATGAGTATTAAGCCAATAAAACGGGTTGAAGAATGTGAGAAATTTATCTACTACATGAAGTCATTGTTTCATATTTTTCTGAGGCTCCCAGTGGACTCTGAACACCAGATTTTTGTTACTCTCTGCTTTCCACATTGTACTTTCCCATGAGGAGATTCTTTTGATATCAGCATGGGGTATATGGAATTCTTTGGGGGTGAAAGGTGTACTTTCTATTATAGTAACTTTCAATTTAACTAGTGCATTTCCATGCAAAAACAAAAAACAACAACAAAAAAAAACTGCTATCAATGCAATAAAATTTGAAGGGACACACCGGATCTGTGTTTTAATTTTATTCTGGTGGGGTAAAGTTGCTGAGTAAATTTGTTGAGCAGCTGGAATTATTAAAGTCACACTAACATTGAAAAAAGAAGGTCCTGACATCAACATACTCGAAGATCTGAATAATTTTGGTCAGACTCCAGTTTTGAAATCCTTTGCTCTGACTTGTTCCTTCCTTCCTTTCCTTCTTTCTTCCTTCCTTTCTTTTTCTTTCTCTACCTTTTCTTTCTTTTTCTCTCTCTCTTTCTTCCTTTCTTATATTTTCTTTCTTTCTCTCTCTTTTCTTTTTCTTTTTCTTTCTTTCTTTCTCTCTTTCTTCTCCTTCTTTCTTTTCTTTCTCTCTCTCTCTTCTTTCCTTCCTTCCTTCCTTCCTTATTCCCTTCTCTTTCTTTCTTTCTTTCTTTCTTTCTTTCTTTCTTTCTTTCTTTCTTTCTTTCTTTCATCTCTCTCCCACACTGATTTGGTTTCTGGCTTTTCTCCTTTTTCTAATGAACCCAATTCTATGTGGATTTTTAAATTTCGCCTGCTATAGTGCAAACAGTTCCTGTGGTATAACCTTTAGGTCAATTCTTCAAGTATTATTTGCTTGGTCTGTTCAGGAAAAATAAAATCACTTTCTTCTGCCCAGATCCTATGTAATTGCATGAATGCTCTGATTTAGTTGGCTCTGCAAATTTATCCCAAGGTGCTTTGACTGCAAAGATGGAAGAGAATTCATTATACATTCCTTGCTGAAATAGTGACCTGCAAATAATGATGGGGAATCAACCTTGATCGCTGGACTTTTCCTTTAGTCTAATTTCTTCTGAACTTCAGACTGTAACTTTTTTTGACTGGATAGCCTAAGGACATACTGGAGTCTGACCAAGGGGGTGCACAGACCTGGATTTTCACACCATGAAGCTGGTAACAGTTTTGACTTCAATACCTTGAAAAGTAGGTGATTTCAATTGCCCTGTTTCCTTTCAGGGGAAAACGCTCTCTTTGCACCTAAACAGTCTTCCGGTGCTTTTGACTGACAAGCATATTGTTATGATTATGACTGGACTTCTTGACTCCTGCAGGGATAGCATTTAAAACTGCCTGAGACTGGCACAAATCAAAATATTCATCAACTTAAACTATGTCAGCTAAAATGGGAAAGCCAAAATTGTAGTGTTTTATATCATGTCAGAAGTCCATGAACACAGTGCAAAACCTCTTAACTGTTTCCTTGCCAAGAGAAAAGCCTTGTACGCTGCATAATCGAACTTATTTGGATTTTTTTTTTTTTCAAAATTACACCTGTCATGAAAATGCCTTGTGTTTCCCCTTTCATAGTGCCCATCAGTTTTTTGGGTTTGTTAACTCTTCCTTCCCATTCATTGATTCATTTGATCATTCAATGCACACTTTTGAATGCCTATTGTGTGCAGGGCACTGTGTTTGCCTTTGTGGAGAAAGGGAACTAAGTCCTTGCACACTATTTACTGGTGGTCTGCTACAAGGTAGAGATATATCCATAAATGGCTACAAAATAAGCAGTATAAAAAGCAGTATAAAATGTGGTATGTATAGATAAGCTGCCAGGATAGTTCAATAAATATGAAATCACTTCTACCCAGGCAATGGAAAGCTGAATATTGAAGGGATTGTCTGCCCAGCCTCCACTTTTTCTTTCCTCCATCAGTGGTGGGTACTTCATAGCCATTTTATAAAATGGGATCCTATCCTTCCCTACAAGGGGTCTCTCAGCTACAGTTAATTGATTATTGACCCTGTTGGCCCAATCAGAAGATCCATTAGAATCCAAATATCAGAACAAGAGATTTCAGTCTCAGCATGGCAGGACGAGGAGCATAAATTTAGGCCCTGTCTACAGAGGGGAAGAGAAAAGCCATGAAGAGAATGAACAAAGCCACCACGCAAAGAACAGAAACCAGAGGAAGCATGGTTCTGATAGAAATCCACAGCTTTGGTGCTTTCATGAAGCATGATCACATTTCTGTCTTAGACTCCAGTCCTTCCCGCTCCTTCTAGCACCTGCATTATATTTTCTCTGAGGGAAGTGGTGGGCAAAAATGAGTTGATTTCTATTACTCACATCCCAAAGAACCCTATCTAATGTGGAAGGCTTTGTAAGAAAGGAGGAAGACGAGTTCATTTCAATTTTACAGAGAATAAAAAAGAGAATAGAAATCCTAGTGTAACAGGATAATATTTTGATGTATTAACCAATGTGTTTTCCCCGTGATTTCCTGTTACCCTTGACCCTCCCCCATCCCGGCAGCTAGACCATGAGTCATTCCTTGCCTCAAGGGAGGGTTGTCACAGCAGAACCAGAGAACAAAAGAGACAAATTCTTGGCTTTCAAGTTTAAAAAGCTGAGCTTCAGGCTTCAGACAAAAAATATTTGGAAGAAGAAGATTTGATTAATTTGAGCCAATTTTTTCCCCTGCCCTCGTATGATAAAAATTCCCCTGGCTGGGATACAAGAGGCGATTCTAAGGCAAAGCAAGATGGTTAGATGCCGCTGAGTTCCTGGGAAGGGGCTCCTGCACTCTTCTGCTGCCCCTCCCCTTGCTGAGCCCTGGCCTGTGTGTGGGTTTTTCAGGTTCTGAGAATCAGGAGACCTGTGGCTTATTTCCTTGTTGGAATCTAGGAGATGGCAAACCTCAGAGAAATCCTCTATACTCAGCATTGGATCAGAGGAGCTGCCTGGTACATCTAGAGCAGAAGCGTCTAGGGTTTCCTCAGAGAGTTTTCTGTAATCTCAGAGTGGTAAGGGAGGTGAGCCTATTATTTTCTGGGACCTTGAGATGAGTGTAGAAGTGGCTGAGAGAGACCCAGACCTAGAGGAATCCTGCAGTCTGGTCTAAGGGATAATGAAGATGTAATCCACATGGGAATGGACTGAGTACTGGGTACCAGTGGTACTATCTACAGCTTAAAGGATGCAAGCCTGGAAAGATAACAACCAACAACCAAACCTGAGACACACCAAGGACCTTGAGTCATTCTGGGAAAGCAGCTTGGATACCCTCCGGGTAGCAATCTGAGCATGTTAGACCCACAGCTCTCTACTCTTTGCACTGAATACTTCCCCAAATGGAGACTCTGATTAGATAGTTTAGACATCATTTAGATATGGCATACACCTCTATGGGGCAGAGTTCCTGCTAATCACTCTAAGGATGGCTGGCCTCCCTTTTGGGTCAGCCTATATTTCACTGCCTGAAAGAACTTGCTGGAGTTCCTGATTCAACCCACTATGGCATATCAGTTTTTTTTTTTCTTTTAATTTTTTTTTTGAGTCAGAGTCTCTGTCTGTCACCCAGGCTGGAGTGCAGTGGCATGATCTGGGTTTACTGCAACCTCCGCCTGTAGGGTTCAAGCAATTCTTGTGTCTCAGCCTTCTGAGTAGCTGGGATTACAGAGGCACACCACCACACTTGGCTAAATTTTTTGTGTTTTTAGTAGAGACAGGGTTTCACCATGTTGGCCAGGCTGGTCTCGAACTCCTGACCTCAGGTGATCCACCTGCCTCGGCCTCCCAAAGTGCTGGGACTATAGGCATGAACAACTGTGACCGCCCAGCATGTCAGTTATTTATTGCTGCATTAAAAAACACCCAACACTTAATGTCTTTAAACAACAACCATTTTATTTGCTTCTGATCGTGGGGATAGAACAGAAGAACTGCCCATTTGATCCTAGCCCAATTCGCTGACGCACAGAATGGTGAGAAAATAAAATGGTTGTTGTTTTAAGCAACTCTTTTTCCTCAAAGTCATGCTGAGACATGGTTTTTATAGAGTGAAGTCATGCTTTTTAGGTGTATAGTTTTATGTAAGCCGTTGAGTTTTGGGGAAGAATTGGTACCTAGAACTGAGATGCTGTTGTAACAAAAATCTAAAACATATGTCTTTGGCTTTGGGACCAGGTAGCAGATAGAGGCTGCAAAAGCTGTGGGGAAACCGCTTGCAGAAAGATGGAAAGTGGGCAGCCCATATTATCCAATGGTGGAACAACTGGCAAAAAATAACGCCCATGATAACTCAGAAAATAGAAAATGTGCCTAATGAATTTCTGGCAAAGGAGATTTCTAGACGGAATAGTGATCATTTGAGTGCTTCTAGATGCATATCGTAAGGTACCATGAGAGAGATACTACAAAAACAGACAAAAATGTTTCAGTTTGCAAGCAGAATTTAAAGAAAATAGAGAGGGCTAAGACTTACTGGGTTGGAAAATAAAACTGTTTCTCATCCTTAGCCTTGCCAGCTGCTAGAAGATTGTGAAAGTAAGAAACAGGCTGAGGGTAAATTACACCAAGGGCGTGACTATAAGATCTTTTGTTAAGGCCTCAAAAATATTTAAGGTGGTGATGCCTTGAACTTCTCAGCCAGACAAAAGGGCTTCTAAGAAGCTTAGTGACTATATTAGTCAGCTTAGGCTACCATAATAAAATACCACAGGCTGGGTGGCTTAAACAACAAAAATTTATTTCTCACAGTGCTGGAGGCTAGAAAAATCTAAGATCAAGGTTCTGGCCAATTTGATTTCTGTTGAGCGCCCTCTTCCTGGCTTGCAGATGGCCACCCTTTCACTATGTCCTCATGTGGGGAGGTGTGTGTGAGCTCTCTGGTGTCTCTTTTTATAAGGATACTAATCCTATAGATCAACGCCCAGCCCTTATGACCGCATTTAAACTTAATTACCTCCTTACAGGCCCTATCTCCAAATATAGTCACATTGGGGATTAGGGATTCAACATGTGAATTTTGGTGGAACACAGCTCAGTCCACAGTGGAGGTATTGTTTCACAGCTGCCTAAAATAAATATGTCTTTGGGGTTATGAATGAACCCCACCAAGACTCTGTATTAGTCCATTTTCTTTTCTTTTCTTTTTTGTTTAAGATGAAGTCTTACTCTGTCGCCCAGGTTGGAGTGCAGTGGCGCGATCTCGGTTCACTGCAAACTCCGTCTCCTGGGTTCAAGTGATTCCCTTGCCTCAGCCTCCTGAGTAGCTGGGATTACAGGCATGTGCCACCACGCCCAACTAATTTTTGTATTTTTAGTAGAGATGGGGTTTCATCATCTTGGTCAGGCTAGTCTCGAACTCCTGACCTCGTGATCCGCCTGCCTTGGCCTCCCAAAGTGCTGGGATTACAGGTGTGAGCCACCGTGCCCAGCCATAGTCTGTTCACATACTACTATAAAGAACTGACTAAGACTGGGTAATTTATAAAAGAAAGAGGTTTAATTGACTCACAATTCAGCATAGTTGGGGAGGCCTCAGGAAACTGACAATCATGGCAGAAGGTAAAGGGGAAGCAAGGCACCTTCTTCACAAGGCAGCAGGAAGGAGATGTGCCAAGCGAAAGGGGAAGAGCCCCTTATAAAACCATCAGATCTCATGAGAACTCACTCATTGTCACAAGAACAGTATGGGAGGAACTGCCCCCGTGATCCAATTACTGCCAACTGGTCTCTCCCTTGACACATGGGGAAAATAAGGATTATAATTCAAGATGAGATTTGGATGGAGACATAATGCCTAACCATATCAGATTCAAAGACAATCTACCAAATTTTAAAAGAGTTGTATTGACAAAGCACCACCTGCTTGAACTAAAAGAGGAGACTTTACAAAATGAAAAAAGGCCTCAGGACCATCAAAAGTTTTTATGGTCAGGAAGCTGGCTGAGAAAGTTACTAAGTTGCAAACACGGATCATTCCTTGAGGAAAAAACAAAAACAAAAACAAAAAACAGATATCTCAGAGTGCAGAGCCAAGAATTGTGGAAAACCTAGAACTAGGTAACCACTCCCAGAAAGCAGAATTAAACCCAAATTACACTCACTGTCTCCAGAAAAGAGAGTCCTGACAATATGTCCCAGGCTAGATTTCAGGATGCTTCCCATTTGCTTCCTGTTCCTCTTCTTCTTTTTGTTGTTGCTATTTTATTTTTTTCAGACTGCATCTTAGTCTGTTGCCCAGGCTGGAGTGCAGTGGTGCAATCATAGCTCACTGCAACCTTAAATTATGGGCTCAAGCAATACTCTTGCTTCAGCCTCTTGAATATCTAGGACTACGTGTGTGCCACTATGCCCGGATAGTTTTATTATTTTAAAAACTTTCTGTAGAGATGAGTTCTCACTATGTTGCCCAGGCAAATTCATGGCCCCAAGTAATTCTTCTGCCTCAGCCTCCCAAAGTGCAAGTAATACAAGTGAGAGCCACTATGCCCAACTACCTTTCCTTTTAAAAAGGGACTGTCTCCTGAAGCTATCCTATTCCCCTCACCACTGTATATTGAAGTGTGGTGAGGACAGGTAAATTTTCATTTTAGTTCACAAGTTTTTAGACTAAGAGGAGTCACGTTGGCAGTTCGAAACCTGAGGTGCCTCATTCACATCTGGACTTGATTAGATGACGAAATCCTGGACTCCACATCTGAAACCAGAATGGGATGGATGAGGCTTTTTGGGGAGGCGGTGAATACATTTTTGTATTTGTAATGGATGTAAATGATTGTAACAAGGCAGCCAGCCGACTGTGGTAAATTGTTTGCAAAGATCACAACAATCCCTCTCATTCCTATATGAATGCCCCTTTGCAATGTGACTTTCCTACTCCTCCCATCAAGTTGTCAAGACTGTTTGTTCACCACTTGAATCTTGGCCAGTCCTATGACTTGCTTTCATCAGTGGACTGCAGCAAGTAATGTGATATGACTTCAAGAAGCCCTGCATCTCCTACTGTTGCCATCTTGGAACCCTGGGACCTCCATGAATAGAAGCCTGAGCTAGCTCCTTGAGACTGAGAGACTAAATGGAAAAAAAGATCTAGGTGACAGGCATCACCAACAGCCAGAATGTGAATGAGGCTGCCTTGGATCATCCAGCCCTAGGAAAGCCACCTGACTACTGCAATCACATGAGTGATCCCCAGCAAGATCAGCAGAACTTTCCAGCTGAATCTAGACCAAATTGCTGACCCACAGAACCATGAGCAAATAAAAGTGGTTATTGTGTCAAGACACTAAGTTATGCGGTGGTTTGTTATGCAGCCATAAACAACAGATATATGTGGCTAGAATGGCATAGTTGGTTTCCCTTCTCTAACAGCATGTTGCACCAGCAATAGGAACAGGACAGGTTGGGGTAATTTTCCTCAAATGGAGATTATCATAGTATAGGCAAAGGCTTCAGGAACTCATTTCTCAGCTCATGCACTAGGATATGATTTCAGGATGTCCTCAAGTCCTCTCCAGGCACACCATTCCCCAGTTCTCTCACCTGGTCTCTGATGCTTGGCATTTCTTTAGCTAGGGGCTAAAAGTTATACTACACAAATTAAAATACATTACTTTAAAATATTCCACTACATTAAAATGCAAACACTCTTGGGAGAAGTGATCTACTAACTTAAAATTTCCCCAAGATTCAAGTAACTGTCTTCAGATCTTCTCCAAAGAGCATATTTTGAAAGAAAGAGCACTGGCGCCCTGAAAGAGGGCTTAGGCTAAGAGAAGCCATTGTTTGCCTAGACTTTTGTCTAGAATACAGACCTGTCTTGTGCCATGGGAGACTAGTAGGACCACAGGAGACCTTGCCCTCTTCATTTCGTATCTTCTGAAGTGGTCAGACAGACACATGGAGAGGAATACAGCAATAAGACACCTGCTTCTATCTGCCGGGCTTTCCAGTGTCTCTGTCAGAGTTGGGTACTTCTTGTCCCATCTTATGGCTACTGGGCATCTCATTTTTCATCCTGTTGAAACACCTGGCACCACCATAGTGTGCAGTTTAGTTGATCACTAGTTCTAGGGTCCTCCCTCTCTTCCACCAACAGCATAGTGGTAGGGAAGGAAAAGCTCAGACTAAAAAGTTCGAGATGCTTCTGGCTGTGACACTGGAGCCATGCCTACTGGTAATTTCTGAGGGAAATGCACATGAGGTGAATGAACCACAGTATGGGAAATGACCCAACATGCTTCAGGGCTAAGCAACTGTAATCATAATTCTACCAGACTGTACTTCCATATTTATGGCTACTGATTTTCAAGTTTGTGTCTGAACTGCCTGGTTTTTGCTTGGTTACAGATATGAGATAGTTAATTCTGCAGTTTTAAATTTAGTGAAAGCTCTGGCATAAATACACAGCTTCAGAATGCTGGATACAACTAATGGCCACATGTACTATACACATGGTAATATTACCCAACAACTGAAATAATGGCTCATGAAATGACTCTTCTAACTCCAATTGTTCATTTCCTTCTCATTCTCCCTCTAACAGCAGTGACACTATACATTGCAGGGTTGTTTCACTCCTCAGCTGAACCTTTGGCCTACTGACTTATCCCTTGAGGCATGCTATAATCACTAAGAAATGTTATCCCTGTCACATCTTATTGCTTAATTATGGTTCTATTTTAGGCTCATGGAATCATTTGGCTTGGAAAGACCTCCCTTATATGTGATCTTTGAACAAGCCTCCATGTTGAGTTATCCTTGAGCTCACATTGTCTGTTCCATTTACATCTTGTTCTGACTTAGGCAATACTTACTGACCCTTGGTTCCACAACACCCTGAAAAATTGTAATGAGTGCTAACATTTATGCTGTTTTTCATCTAACGAGATACCATCAACCCTCAGTCAGAAAGGTCTGTTCTTAAAGTAATTTTTCCCAATACTTGATGGAGTTTTGCACTGATGAATCCCAATGGGTCCCCTATTTTAAATCAGTGACAGTCAAAAACCTTCCCTCTTTCCAATTCACTCTTGTCCTGGGGACTGTACTTTTCAAACTCAAAATCTGCATATATTGTCTTTTTTTTTTCTTTTTTTGACAGGGTCTCACTGTGTTGCCCAGGCTGGAGTGCAGTGGCATGATTTTGGCTCACTGCAACCTCTGCCTCCCAGGCTCAATTGATCCTCTACCCCAGCCTCCCAAGTAGCCTGGACCACAAGTGCACACCATCATGTTTGGCTAATTTTTTGTATTTTTGGTAGAGATGGGGTTTTTTTTGCCACATTGTCCAGGCTGGTCTTGACCTCCTGAGCTCAAGTCATTCGCCCACTTCAGCCTCCCAAAGCACTGGGATTACATACACTGTGTTAACATAGATATTTTTGTTTTTTGTTTTGGTTGTATATGTGTTGCTCCATAGTACTAAAGGCAAACTGAAAGATATGGTAGGTCCTAGGCACATGCATAGATTGCAAAACTAGATAGAATAAAATTAAGAGTGTTTTACAAATTTGGGACTTCTGGAGGATACATCCATGTTCAATGTTCCAATCACTTAGTTTGCTTTCCATTAAGACATTGTTTCATATCAACCTGTTTTATGAGTGTAAATTCTATTGCTTCAATTAAAGTATAAGCTTCTGAAGAACAAAAGGCAGAGATCATATGCCTCTTACATAGCTCTGTCCCTATAGATAGCTATACTCAGTTGTTTGATCAATTGCATAAATAAATGATATCGTATTTTCAAGACAGCTGTTTGGCTTTAGAAGCTTGCACAAATAGCCTGACATTAAGATAAAGCCAGATTGGAGAACAGTGTCCTGCTTCATCCCACCAGAGAATAGTTCAAATCAGGCCTAGGATAGATCTATGTTGAGAAAGGGTATAATTACCCTGATCCAGAGTGGCCCCAGGTCTTGCCTGGCAGACTGAGTTACATCTATCAGGGCCTTTTAAAAGGCTGACTTGGTTCCTTAGAAATATAAAACTCAAAACATCATTTATAAAGGTCACTGGGAATGGCCTGGGTCAGAATAACTTGAGTTCATTTTGTGCCAATGCCATGAAGAGGAAGTTGCTGAATATTTAGATAAGTTCCTTGAGAGTACTATGTTGCTAAATGCAAAGAATGAGAAGTTTATAGCTGAATTTTTACTCTATAATTCAAATGCCAATCCAGCAATGAAATATGCTGTAGGAATTCCAGTAAGAGATTATCATCTGACTTGGAAACCAGCTGTCCTCAGTGAGTACAAAGATTTACCACCTGCAAGTGCTGTAATTCAGCAGAACTATGCGGAGGTGAAAAACTCAAGTTTTTATTTAAGTGCAATGAGGACTGTGCTTTAAGAAATTTTGCTTCTCTGAAACCCCCCAAAAATGGCCCTAAAGAAAGGAATAGAAAATCAAAGTATAAAAACCCCTCTATTCAGGAATTTAAGTTTACCCAAGTAAATGTATACTTTAAGTGAGAATTACTACAATTTGGTAAAGATTGTCTTTTAAATAGAACAAGTGAGATAACACAAAGGAGGTGGCCCCTAGGTTACTTTTCACATCATTAGGAATCCTGATACACCTTTGCTCTAACAATTTGAGAAGTGGAAGCAAGGAGAGTAGTTTAACCCAAGGAGGGACAGCTCTATAAAATGCTGCAATAAACTCATGGCAGTAATTTTGAGCCAGTAATTTCCTTCACAGAAATTAACAATTATTGTGTATTTGTGAATTTATATATCAAAGCCCTTCAAATGTACTGTATTTTATTTTAAATATGTCTGTGTCAGGGCGATCCCGGAAAAGCCAGTGCATATGGTCTTCATACCAATGAACCCTCACTTCTCATTCATTTGCTCTTGTTCCTCCCACAGATGGGATACAGCTGCCTTTGTATAAAACTGATGCAATATGATTTTGTCACTTATATCATCACCTGAGCACTCTGATACCACCCTGGGAAAGCCAAGCAAGATAACATTTTTTCAAAATAATGGGTTCAGTGGACCTTTTACAGCCACATTTGAAAGCACTTTTCTCTCCCTCTCCCTCTCTCTCTCTCTCTCTCTCTCTCTCTCTCACACACACACACACACACACACACACACACTCTTCCTCAACGGGTTATAGAGCAAAATTTGCAAGTGGAGGGATGCAGTGCAGTGAACTTCACAGCCTGAAATATGTAAGTGACACACCTGGAATATGGAACTGCAACTTTACTAGCACTTTAAATTTCAAATGAGCCAGCTGGCCAAGCTGCTACTGAAATCTTTGGCTCTCAAATTCTTCACTATAAAATAAAACGAGGCTGGGCGAGGGGGCTCACGCCTGTAATCCCAGCATTTTGGGATGCTGAGGAGGATCACCTGAGGTCAGGAGTTTGAGACCAGCCTCGCCAACATGGTGAAGCCTCGTCTCTACTAAAAATAGAAAAATTAGCCAGGTGTGGTGGCAGGCACCTGTAATCCCAGTTACTTGGGAGGCTGAGGCAGAAGAATTGCTTGAACCTGGGAGGTGGAAGTTGCGGTGAGCCGAGATCGTGCCACTGCACTCCAACCTGGGTGGCAGAGTGAGACTCCATCTCAAAAAAATAAAAGATTAAATTAGATTATCTCTGAGGTCTCATCTAACTTATATTTTTTTCACGGTTCTCATTTCTTCATATATCTTTGAAGGGTTTACACTGAGAATTAAGATTGCACATGCCTGCATTTAACCAATATTATAAAACCTCACTGATAATGAATTTTCCTTAACAGAGGCTTAATAAAAGTAAGTAACTGTATGTACCACAAGGAGATCCAAGATGCATTATTGTCACACAATGCTTAATACATACTAAACTGTTTGAAATTTTTTTAAGGTAAATGAAAGACACTATAAGTACATCAGACTTGTTTATTCCTTAGAAAAAGAAGTGTGTTAGACAATGAAACTGTTGGCTTTTATGTATTTCATAAATAAAAGCACAACTATCTATAGAAATGCTTCTGTTTAGAGAAGTCAGTAGTAAAATGTTATACTTTCAACTCAAATTACATAATATAAAAATATAAAGCTCATCTATATTACCAGAAGATAATACCCTCAAACAAACCCATTTAAAAACAGGATGTCCCTAAGTTTTTCAGAAACTTTTATGGATACAATCTTATACTTGTGCTTATGTTCTCTGATAATAATTCTTTTTTTAAAAAAAAAAAGTCCTCAAAGGTAATATTTTTACTTTTTGGAATTTCTGATAAATAAATCATAATGTGATATTCACAGACTTTGTGAGAAAATTACAATATTTATTTACACATTTACATATAGCACAATGTATTGGTCAAGTACTAGTAACAGGCAATTAACAAACTAATAAGAAAATCAGCATTTTAACAATTTAAACGCTTCATGACAGGGTAATTCATGTCCAACATATCAAAAACATATTTATAGATAACTTTAGAAAGAAAATACATACTTTTTTTGATAATCACAAGTAGCAATGAGATTTTCTATATTATTTTCAGTCTCACTTTAGAAATGTTTTAATTGTCTAAATTTAATCAATTCATCGATTAAAGGAAAGACAATAAAATAGTAAAATTACATGTGTTTATATATAAGTGTGTGTGTTTCAAATAACAAAACGCAGGTTGTAAACTAAAATCACTGGAAGGCAAATTGAAGACAAAAGTGATGCTGGTTTAAGTTGTTTGGTTCTTCACATAAATTCCAGTTTCCAAGTTGTGTTTTACAACTCTAGTAATATCCAGATAGATAATTCAACCTGCAACTTTTTTCTTCTATTCCTGTTTTTCTCTTGTTCACACTGTAATTTTTGTCTTTTTACTGATACTGATTAAATAAAATAGGACTTCCAGTCTTAATACGTCTCCCAGGAGAAGTGAAATGAGTTTAACTAGGTATTGAGTATCATTTTCCATTTTACTTTTCTATATTTATCTGATCTAAAAACACTCCAACCATGTAGTTTTTCTTCCATCCTTTTAAGTCACTTACTTTCAGTAAAAAGGGTAAACGGAACACTGAAAGAACCGGGCCAAAATCAAGGTGAAACATACCCCTAGAAATACAGTTATCATAATTTTGGATTTTAGAATGGCCAAACCTATTAATTTACTAAAACTAATCATGAATTCAAAAATCAGCATTGTTTTAAAGAGGTTTTTATTGGAGGTCAGGGCATGATCTACTGCAAAAAGTATACTTTACTCAATACCATATTAGCTCAAAAGAATACCAGAACTTCATGTGGCCAAAGCAGCTGAAATGTCATTACCTTCTTGATTTGGGCAGTTTGGACTAAGAAAGGGGATGCTACTGGAATTTCCACACTGGTCATCTACCTTTGGGGAAACAGCTTGTTCTTGACACTTTCTGTTCTCTTTAGCAAATTCTAATGTCACACTCTCCTCCGCAGGCTGAAATGGCCTCTCTAAACGAACCACTGGTCTCCTTGATTCTACTTCTTGTTCGTGTAGCAATCTCTCGACCTCCACCTCAAGCTCCAAAGTCTCTTCATCGGCTTCTACATCTAGTTGTTGCATCAACTCCTCCAACTTCTTGGCCTTTCGGAGCTCATTTTGCTGTATGATCGTACAAAGGTGTTCAGTGAGTTGCTCTTTTATCTCAGTCTTGCGCTGTATATCTAGCTTTGCTGCAATGTACTCTGCTTCAGCCCTGTCAAACCGCTTCCTGTAAGGATGTGTATAAAGATAGGTCCATCAGTTTTCCATTGAAGAAGATATTCAAAAGAGGATCTAGAAACAATAACTCAACTCCAAAATTGGGAAAAAATATATAATGAAGATACGGATATTACTACTTTACAAACACTTGTCTACATGTTGGCCAGACTAGGCTATGGCTGCTGAAACTTTCACAGTATCCTTACTTGAATTCACCTAATGAAAACATGTTATTCTGCACGAATGTTTTCTTTACAAAGCTGTTTTTGAGTGAAGGCAGGCTAAAAGGTTAATTCAGTGGTATGCTAGTTCTGGGGTGGGAGGATGGGGAGCCCTGATTTGTAGCGTTTACATTTCCATGGGATAATTACTACCACCCTGTCCAATTTCAAGCCACCAACGTGATATTACTGAATGCAGAACTGGGAAGAGATACACAAAATCCACATGAACCAGGGTAAGCTAGCTTCAGCACACAGCTGGTTAAATTTATGAGAAGACAGACAAGAGATGGAGAAAGTGGAAAATTGTTCTCTTGATTAATAAATTAGAAAAAAAGAAAAATTCTGATGGAGAAAGATACGGACAGTGGTCGGGAGATGAATATAAATGGAACAGAGCACACCCAGCAAAATGATACTGGGTGAGGGCAAGAAGTAAACATCAAGTAGAAAACCTCAGGATAGCTATATGCAGGATTTCTCAACCTTGGTGCTACTGACAATTTGGGCCATATAATTATTTGTTGTGAGAAGCTGTCCTGCACTGCAAGATGCTAAACAGCATCACTGGCTTCTACCCATTAGTTGCCAGTAATTCCCAAAATTTATGACAACCAAAAATGTCCCCAGGCATTGCCAAATGTCCCTTATTGGACACAAATGCTCCCAGTTGAGAATCCTTGGGTTAAGTTGTTCTCATTCTCTCCACTACTCCTCTTACACTCTTACTAGGAAATTTTACATAGTTACACATGTATAAACTCTGTTGACAGGTAATCTTATGTGAAGTCTTATGTGAAATAGGGCAATTCTACTAGAGAAGTCACCTTGCAATCTCACTTTTTTTCTTCTGCATTAGGTCAGTACAAAAAGAAGAGTTATCGTGTCTTAATTTATTGTCTTTTGCCTTTTCTATAAAATTTGTTGCTTTTCTTTTTGCAACAAGAGGGTCCTTCCTCTCTTGCAAGAAAAAAGATTGATTTCCAACTAGTTCTTTAATTTCATTACCATTAGCAGTTGTGAAGGCCATGCTGCTTTACCTGTTATGAGTGCCTACATCAACTTAGTGTAATAAGTAGCTTCTAGTACAAGAGTTATAGCAAAAAAGAAACAGGTATATCTCCTAATTTAGGATTCTCTGTCTTGGAAGAAAATACAGTGAAAATAATAAATGGCTTTCATTTTAGAAAACTCAGGGTTCAAAACCTTCCTGACATTTACCATGTGTACCCATTTCGGTCAAGGCTTCTTGTGGATACAAAGAACAGATATCCAGTCAAACTAGCTCAGGTAAAAATTGGGTTTTATTGTAGGATACACGAGGCAATTTCATAGTCATGTCATCAGAATCAAAGGCTATTCTTTTCAATGCTTAGAAGCGACACATTTTCTCTCATTTCAGCTTTCCTATCATACTCACAGGCCAATATGGCCACCACCTGCACTCTGTATCAAATTCACTCCACCCAATCTCTCAGTGATCCAATTCCACACTCTCAGAGGAGAACATAGGTTTGCCCGGCTCATCTCAGTTTAAACAGAACTCTTAGTGTCAGGCCATGCCGTGAACCACTATTTAGCCTATGGATTAAATGTACTGGAGTCGGTAGCCCATCACTATTCTAATTAGGTATGCCCCAGGTCAGCATCCTGAGTCCAAAACACAGCCAGGTTCCTCTGGAAGGGGTTGGGGAAGAGGCATGCAATAACTGAAAATTCCGGCACAGTGACTCTGAGCAGTTACTTAAGCTGAGTCTTGGTCTACCTGTAAAACAATGATGATAATAATACCTCATAGGAGTTTTGAAGATTAAACAGTATAAATGGGGCAAACTTCCAGTTTTGTGCCTGGTAGGTGCTCAAGAAACAGAACTTCTCATTTAGAACACCAGAATCAAAAAGTACTGTTAATATATTAGTAAGCATGAATCTAAAATTAAGATTATGGAAAATTTAGGGACCTGGTATTTATACTTGAAAACTCATTTACATAATGTTAATTTATCCTATTTCCTTTTTTAACTGTAAATATAGTAAATGTAAAAATGAGAGCACCCATTATCTTTCAATAACCCTCTATGTTAAAAGAATTGTTCTAAAGGAACTCTACTGGATACCTAGTTCCCTTATCTCCATACTTTATAACATACCCTGTTCATGTAATGTTCTTGCAACAAGACAAGAGTTCTGACATTCTCTATAGGTGTATGAATACCCTGCCCTGACCCTGCCTCAAACCTCCCTTTTCTGCAAGTCTGTGGTCTCCTTCAGCCAGTCAAAGTCAATCAGTAGAGATTTACAGTCTGGATTCATGAATACTGAATTGAAATTAACATTTGCGAACAGGTCCCTTGGTTTCCATTGATCTATCACCCTGGATAAATCACTGAAGATTTTGTATTTTGTTTATTTATTTAAAGTCCTTCTGGCCAGAAATACGAATATATATTCTCCCACAGAGTGATTTAATGTTTAAAATATTGATTAGTTTCACAAACTGCACTACCAGCCTATGGTCAGGTGGGTAATACCAAATTAGTGTATGATGACATTCTGGAACAAAATAATAAGAGCATTATACATAACACAGTAAGACAGAGTGAACTGGAAATGTAATTATAGAACTGTTTTGTTATTTTAAAGGGGGATGGAATGAATTAATGAATGTTATTTTTAAAGGATTCTAGAAATTGTCTCTTTGTTTTGGTATCCCCTGAAATGTTTAAAAACTCAACCATTAACCCTCAGTATACCACTGGGTTCCACGGGTCCACTTTTAGTTTTTCAGTTCCTTTTCTGAGCAGTTCTCACTATTTGTATAAATTAGCATTTCATAATTTTTATCTTTTCTTAAGTCTTTCAAATAATGAGAAAATTTACTTATTTAAAAAAACAGAATAAAATAAATTATATTTTGCAATTACCAGAGAGGTCCAAAGAACCCTTTCATAAATCTAAGATATATTATAGGATTATTGCAGTATTTTTATATTTCCTGTATCTTGAAACATTTTGCCATTTCATCATCCTAGGAATTATTTCATCATTACTTATCAATTATTCCCTTTTGTAATAAAAAGAAATTAAAATAAGAAAATGATCTGAAAGGATGATGCAATAACTTATCATTGTTGAGCTTCTTTACTGTGCTGTACAAAGTATCATGTCACCTCCAGAAAGTATAAAAGAAGACTGAAAACACCATTTTTGTAACCTGTTTTTAGTTTTCATTTTCTGCCTATCCAGTATTTGCAAAGTGGAGACAACTGACAGAGGAAGACATCTTGCCACTGTTAAAGAAATCAAAAGATGAATGGTGTGGTAGGCTAAAAAATGGCCTCCCAAAGATATTCACTTTCTAATTCCTGGGACCTGTGAATATTACTTTCTATGACAAATGAGTGAAAATTATCTTATATGGAAAAAGATGTGATTAAGATAAAGGTTTTGAGGAGTTTATTCCAGATTATCCAGCTGGACCCTAAGTGTAATCACATGCATCTTTTTAAGAGAAAGGCAGAGGAAGTTTAGAGAGAGAAGAAAAAGCAACATAACTATGGAGGCACAGAATGGCATGGCGTGGCCACAAGCCAAGGGATGCCCACAGCCACCAGAAGCTGGAAGAGGCAAGAAATGGATACCTAGAGTCTCTGAAGAAATCACAAATCTGACACCTTGATTTTGGATATGTGGCCTCCAGAAATGAAAGAGAAGTAATTTCTGTTGTTTTAAGTCACCCAGTTTGGATTACTTCTTATGGTAGTCTTAGGAAACTAATACAAATGCAGAGACACATTCTAGAGTCTAGATGATAAAATCGATCATATGTGAAATCTCAGATGAGTCTTCAGCAAAACATATCCTAGGTGAATTTTCTCAAACTTAAGAATCAGTCAGTAAAAAATATATTTCTAAGCATAGAAAGGAAAAATGATTTTATCATAGAGTTAATCATTTCAGCAGGGAGAACATACACCCAATATTTTACAAGTATCTAGACTATCTTGTGTTGCTACAAGGATGTAACTATACTCTCTCAGCTTTTTATGTTTGTGAGTCAAACATTACTTGATACAAAGATGGTTACCATGCTTACATTCTTATTAAAATTTTAAAGTTGTTTTACACAATCCCTTTTAATCTTACTTTTAAAAATTACTCATAAAGTGATTTAAAAATATTCGTCTGTGGGTGTATGTTTGCATGTATGAGGGTGTCTATGAAACCTAGATGGTCAATAGTGATTTAAAAAAATGTTCTACATGCAGCCACTCTGGATTTTATAAACTGGTCTGCACAGCATATGGCAACATTGTAATCCCAGTGGTGAACAGTAGCAGTAGTAGCAGTAGCAGCAGTAGCAGCAGTAGCAGCAGTAGCAGCAGTAGCAGCAGCAGCAGCAGCAACTCTCTCAAATTGGCTCAAAGTGCTAGTCTTCTCAGAGGTGTCTATCCAAACACTGCTCTACAGAAGCCAATTTTAAAGCAAGTTCTGGCCTATTCACTATCCAAGAACCTTTTGTGGACATAGCACTGTACCAAATACTATAGAACTAAGATATCATTTTTATTAAAAAAAGAAAAAACAAGGAAATCTCCCATAAAAACTGACTGTCCTAGGGATTATCTTTCACTTCAAATCTGGACCATAATATTATTTTACCGATCTGTAATTTCTCAATAACCACAAATGCAAGTTTAGAAAATAATACCTTAATCTTACGCATGAACAAGACACACTACGGTTCTAGTCACCAAAGTCTTTGTTTCCCTTTGACTCAACGCAAGAGCTTCGGCTTTTGAAAATAGCAGCACATGGCCAGGCGTGGTGGCTCACACCTGTAATCCCAGAACTTTGGGAGGCTGAGGCAGGCGGATCACCTGAGGTCAAGAGTTGGAGACCAGCCTGGCCAACATGGTGAAACCCCATCTCTATTAAAAATACAAAAAATTAGCCAGGTGTGGTGGTGGGCACCTATAGTTGGGCTACTCAGGAGGCTGAGGCAGGAGGATCGCTTGAATCTGGGAGGCGGAGGTTGCAGTGAGCCAAAATCGCACCACTGCACTCCAGCCTGGGCAATAAGAGTGATACTCCGTCTCAAAAACCTAAAAATAAAAACAAAAATAGTGGCACACAACATCTACTTACATTCAACTACATCAATATTAGTACCATGAGAAACTGTCATCTGTAACTTACTAAAGATTTAAAAATTTACTAAAATTTCATTTAGGATACTTATAGACTATAGGATGTTTTTTCCTTTAGTAATCCCACCTTCTTTGTTGTGGTTCTTAGAAGGCTAAAACTATGACATTTCTTATATAATACTGAATATGAAAAAGCGTCTTTCTCCAGTTTCCACTAGGACAAAATTAAAATCAAATTACTTTTCTTTCTTTTTTTTTTTTGAGACGGAGTCTCGCTCTGTTGCCCAGGCTGGAGTGCAGTGGCGCAATCTTGGCTCACTGCAAGATCCGCCTCCCAGGTTCACGCCATTCTCCTGCTTCAGCCTCCTGAGTAGCTGGGACTATAGGCGCCCACCACCACGCCCAGCTAATTTTTTGTATTTTTAGTACAGATGAAGTTTCACCGTGTTAGCCAGGATGGTCTTGAACTCCTGACCTCGTGATCCACCTGCCTTGGCCTCCCAAAATGCTGAGATTACAGGCGTGAGCCACCGTGCCCGGCCTCAAATTTCAACTGAGGTACCTAGTACTTCTACCTTATAATATGAATTATTCATATAAAAGGCTACAAAGGCATAAAAATGTTCCTCTGGCAAACTTATGTTACAGAGAATAAAATGTGCTACAAATCAAGGCTTAGTTTAATCTTAAATAAAATCTCTGTTATCTCCCTTAATGACCTTATTAATGGAAACCTGGAACCTCTGGTTATCAGCTACTGATGGCATTCTTTTAAGTAGTTAATTAATAAAGACAACTCTAAGTCTAATAGCATATGGTCCAACAACAATTACAAAAGTCACAAGGACAACCACAAGACTCTTTCTTAAACACTCAACAGTTTATTAAAAACCACAATCAAGCATTTCCGCTTTAATAAATTGTTATATAAACATTCTGATGTTGTGGTTTACCCTGGCCTAATGAGGCATTCTGATTCATTTCTAGTGTAACAGAGTAAGATAGAAAACTGAGTCATTAACACAGCATTCCCTTGTGAAAAAAGACAAACCAGGATGATTAAAGCAATGTTGAAAGGGCTGAAAACCCTGAAATTGGACATATTTTTTTGCCCTTTTATCTGTCTGCAAAGTCCATGTAATTCATTACATGTGTTAGTTCATTTTAAAAATACTCCATGGTATTTTTTCTCTTTTAAAAAATGCCAATGGTTGAAACCAAGGAAACATATATTAAACCATTTCATACAGAGTATAATTGAAAGGAAAAAAAAAGAGAAAATATTTCAAATTTCCAAGACAGAGGATATGCTTAAAATATTCATAAGCTTTTAAAAACTAAACTAGATCCTCTTACTCTGATGAAAGCTAAAGTGAGGACTAGACTTCAATCCTATAGGACTATATCAGATATCAAAAATTTTAATGGAAAGAACACAGACTTGGTGTCAGAGTAACAGTTTTGGCGAAACCACTCAGATATTTACTTTGCTAGATGCTGAAAGATGAGCAAAAACACTTCCAAACATTAAATAGCTGAGGGTTTCGCAGCAAAGACTAAAACGTAAATAAATAATGCAAGAACTGCTCTAATGGCACACGAACAAGGTTAACTAGTAGGGCAGAGTTAAGGAAGACTTCACTGAAGAGGAGACACTTGAATTAGCACAAAAGAAGAATAAATACAGCACTGAATGGGGTTGTTTTGAGGCTTCAATGATGATATACATAAAAGCCCCTGGAACAGCTGGCAATAAACATTAATTAAATCATACTCCTTGTTCAGATTCAATTTCCCCAACTCACCGAGCGTATGAATAGTCTAAGCTGGCCTGATCAATCCGGTTCCTGAGAATTCCAATGTCAGCTGACACCATGTCATCTAAAGCCTGCAACTCCTTCTGGATCCGCTTTAGTTTCATGGTCTCTGCCTGAGTTCTTTTGGATCTAGAAAATCAGGTATGTGAGTGGGAAAATAAGAACATTTTAAAACCATGTGTCCATATACAATGTAAGTGAAAAAGCAAGATACTGCATATACATTTATAATTTATATTTTAAAAGTTAGAAAAAAATCAGAAAAATTGAAATAAAGTAAAAGCTGGTTAACATTTGAGTTTTTGAAATTTTATATTTGCATGTTTCATAAAGTAACAAATAAGTCTAAAAAAACTCAGCAAATAGTTCATTTTAGATTGATATTCATTCTGTAAAGAGAACAAACACTAAAAGAATATATCTGTGTTCCCTTTACATTGAAACATTCAACAGAGCTTTCCAAATTTCTAGTCTTTAATTCTTCCTCTTGCTAAGCCCATTTTCATTTGTCTGATACTTACCTGACATTAAGAACAGATAGATGTCTATACTAAACCACACCTCTTTATATATCTGAGAACATCCACTTAGTTTTAACTTTCTTGGGACCCATTTCCCCAAACTTTTATTGCTTTGATTCTTGTTCTCTAGGAAAACTACTAGTTACGAAAATTCTTTATGGAGCTGAACATCAAAACACTCATTTTCCTTATTTAAAAGCACATCCAACCTCATAATTTCTCAATCCCCTCTCCCAAGTACAATATATACTTAAGAAAGGGAACAAACAAATAAAAAAGCAACCCTTTAATCATGATTTCACTCATTTCAAATTTTCACACACATTGTGAAGGAAGAAGAAAAATCCCCACATAAATCCACCATGTTACATAGCACATTCTCTTGATTTCTACTCTTAGGCATTTACCCTTCCTTTCTGCCTACAAAACTTCACTTAACAGTATGATTCTTTTACGTCAAGTACTTCATTGTCCATTTATTAATAGTTCAAACGTTGTATTTCCTTACACTTCTGTTTATACTGGTGCTGTCTAAAATCAAAAGCACTTATGAGAAGAACTGCTGAGCCTGTACATCTTTTTGTAAAACCACAGAAAACAGCCTTCCCATCTCTTAGAAATTGAAGACTACTAAAATGCTTTAATTATTTTTAAATAATCACTTACCAAAAAAAAAAAAAAAGAGGGCACTACTCTTTTATCTGCTGGTTTTTTCCTTTGAAACATAGTAACTCAGTGAGTTGCATTATTTCCTATGCTTCAAGAAAGATCAAGGTGTACCAGTAGTAGAAAAAGAAAAATCACCATTTCTCAACTACACTCACTCCTCTGGCAGACAAAATTCTGAACTACTCTTATACCCATCACCTTCTTCCCTCTTCTCCTGCCCCTACACATACTCTAGCTTCAAGCAGTAACAGTTTGACAGACTTTTCTGGAAGTCTAAAAAGAAAATGTACTTCCTTGCATTTAGTTTTCACTATTCACAACCATGGATATATTGACTAAGTTTAGTTTCCTAAGGCCACAGGAGATTAGACAGAAACTACAAACTCAGCAAGAGTGGTGGGGGATGGGAAGAATGATTCCAATGGGAATGTTGTTGTGTGCGGCTGGTACAATGCAGTAAATGTGAAGGGGCTGCTGATAGACACTGGAAGGTGAAAGAAAAATTGAATCTCACACAGTGCTCATAATAATGACCCTGAGTCATCAATAAAAAGTTAAACTATATCATGTATCTTCTACTTGTGGAGGCGGGGCAAATTATTTAAGAAAAATGCCCATAGGAAATCCAATTAAGATTCATGGGAGTATGTCACTTATGTAGAAAACCTTATTCCTCTACACATCAAATGATTAAGGCCTCCCCACATAAAAATTAAAACTTGCATTTGTTGCTAATTTACATATACTGATAGCTATTTACTGCTTCCCTTATGAATGTGTAGATGGTTAAAACTGGGAGCACTAATGAAGGTCTTTAAAACTGCAACTATATTTACAAATTTAATATGCTCTATGCTTAAAAAGTTCTCTTTAATAAATTATAACTAGTATTTCAGTATCACTTATAAAGCATAATTTGTTTAGTTAGTCTTAAAAGTAATGGTTGAAGAAAAAATATCAGTTTATTAAAAGAGACATGGGAAAACAAATATAACACATGACACAACTGGTTACAGGTTACAAACAGCCTCTCCTGGTTCAGGTGCCTCACCTTTCTGCAATAGCTTTAGCCAAAAGAGCTTTTTTACGTTTATTTTTCTCTTCCATTAGCCGTTGTTCTTGTTGGAGGACTTCCCAACGAGATTTTTCTTGCCTAGGGGGCAAAAAAAGCATAAAAATGAGTTTATGAAAGAAAAAGAAACTGCTACCCTATCCAACACCTTACCAGTCTCAGTCCTCTAAGTATAAAATTTAATCAAGAAGATTTATGTATATGTTCTTTCAAAAGTCCTCTTAAAAGAAACCCATCTGCAGTTCATTATTTTGCTCTAATGGGAACAAAGACTACGATCTAAAGTAAAGAGGCTTACATAAATTGGACCTCTGAAATCCATTATATATATAATCTAGGAATCCACAAACTGGAAGCCAGAATACTGTGGCATGTGTTTAGGAGTACAAAGAAATTTGTGTAAGTTAATTATGTATTATATGCAGAATGGAGATTAATAAAAATTGGTTTGTAGCTGATGTCATATTATTTATACCTTTTAGAGTTTTCTATAAAGTCTCCACCACCTTAACATGTTTCAGACAATAACCAATGTTTATTTCATATATTAATATTTTCTTTCAATTTGCTCACTTTTTCCCAACTCTTAAGACTTTTTTTTGTCTTTCTTTTTTCCTTTTTGTGGAGAACAGGGTGTCGCTATATTACCCAGTCAGGTCTCGAACTCCTAGGCTCAAGCTATCCTCCCGCCTCTGCCTCCCTAAGTGCTGGGATTACAGGTGTGAGCCACTGTGCCCAGCCCAACTTGGACATTTTTAAACAAAGTAAAACACTAAGAGCTAAGACTGGAATGCTGGGCTAAAGAAAAAAATTCAAAGATGTGAAAACATGTATTGTCTTACAATCTGTCCAATTCTAAAATAAATACATTAAAATTTCCCATAAAGTCATGAGCTTGATGTCAACTCAAATTAAACAAGGTATTGGCAAAGCTATTTATTCCTATTACTGTCACTTCTTACAGCCATTATATCACATACCTCTATTCCCAAATCTAGTAGCCCCTTCCAAAATTGTCCTTCTCTCTCCATTTCTACACCTTCCACCTTAGTGCTGGGACTGGTCATTTCTCACTTTTACTACTGCAGGCATCTCCTCACCAGGCGCCTTAGTTCCACAGCTCACTATGCACTCTCTTGCATATGATCTACAATATTGACACCTGGGATTTCTCTAACCTTTATTTTGATTGCGGCCTTTAGCCCTCAGAGAGCTTCATGGTAACTTGCTGCATTAGTGAACTTGCTAGGAAGGAAGGCATCCCCTGCTTCCGATCCTTTCTCATTTCTTTAATTCTCTACTTATTCATCCCCTGCTTCTGCTTCTGATCCTTCCTCAGTTCTGCTTTTTTTTTTTTTTTTTTTTTTTGGGACAGAATCTTGCTCTGTTGCCCAGGCTGGAATGCAGTGGCATGATCTTGGCTCACTGCAACGTCCACCTCCCAGGTTCAAGCAATTCTTGTGCCTCAGTCTCCCAAGTAGCTGGGACTACAGGCATGCACCACCACGCCCAGCTAATTTTTTTGTATTTTTGGTAGAGACAGGGTTTCCCCATGTTGGCCAAGCTGGTTTCAACTCTTGGCCTCAAGTGATGTGCCTGCCTCAGCCTCCCAAAGTGCTGGGATTATAGGTGTGGGCCACCACGCCTGTCCTCCTTCCTCATTTCTTTAATTCTCTACTGTTCTCTGGCTTATCCTTTGCCACCTCTCCCAGAGAAATGAGGTATCATCTCTGAACATTCTCTAGGACACAGCTTTCCTTTCTCCTCCTTAAAACCTCAAAATTTCTCCTTTACGTGAATGGTTTGAGGTTACAGGTCTTTTATGAAAATTCTTCCAAGTATCCAAAAAAAGAATAAGTTTCCCTATAACATCCAATCCAAATTGTCCAGCTCAATGTAAACTTACCTCCTATTTGTCTCCGGCCTTTGTTAGTAAACTACACTTAGAGACACTTTAATGTATGCACTTGTTCAATATAGGTTTCATAATTCATGTGGTTTTATAACTCTTGTCAAAATGATTTCTTAGTTGTAAACCCCTAGTGGACAGGAAACATTTTAAATTCACAGGATAGAATCTGGATCAGCAGAGATTAAAAAGATGTCAGAGATTAGAAAAAAAAAAAGATACTTTGAAAAGAACTCAGAAAAGAGAAAACAGAAAAATGTCATTCCTTCTCTGTGAGAGATAAATCAGGAGCAAACAAAGAAATAAGAGTATATATTAAAACACAAGCTATCAAATAAAAAATTCTAAGAATTTGCAAATCAAAAAATGGCATCTTCCACAAGAACAGTGTAGCTAAATTATGAAGGTTGTTTCTAATACAAAGACAGTAAAGAATAAATAAAAAGAAATCTAATGATGAACTGAGTTATATCATTAGTCCCCTAAATTTCCTACACTCTCTCCTTTGACCATCCCTTCACGTCTCTCCACAAGTTCCAATTTCTGGGCCAATGGAAATAGTCTGGAAGTTGAAAAAAGGGGTCAATTTGGGCAGAGGCACTATGCATATAAGAACTGCTTCTGAGCTGTGATTGCGCCATTGCACTCCAGCCTGGGCAACAGAGCGAGACTCCATCTCAAAAAAAAAAAAAAAAGAAAGAAAAAAAGAACTGCTTCTGCTCAGTGTAAAAGGCATAAACTTTGGATCCAGACAGACTTATCTGTAAATCTCTACTATTTACTAGCAGTGTATTAGCTTTAGAAAGGTATCATCTTTTCTGAGTCCCAGATACCTCATGTATAAAGTTTAAATAATAAACATGCATTGTAAGGCTGTTATGAAGACTAAAGAACATAAAACATACAGAATGCCTGTGTCCAGCTTATATTTAGGCAGTAGCTATTTTTCAATAGTTTATACATCACATTCCTATGATTGAATGAATATAAAGGAGAGAAAATGTTAAAATAAACAAATTATATTTCCTTAAAGCCCATTGGGAAAAAACGGGTTAAATGAAAAGTCTCATGGACTTTTCACATAGACTTACTAACAATTCCACTTTCTTTTTCTCCAATTTGCAATCTGGCTTTGGAGGTAGAATCTCAACATTGTTGTGACCATCATGGGAATTCTCAAGTCCCAGTTCCTTTGGCTGACTTTCAATGCCCTGTGGTTGTCCATCACCAACGGGGGAGGTGAGAGTGAAATGACTCGGAAGAGTAGGGGAAGAAAAAGGTGGTTTTTGAACGTTAACTCTCTGTTTTGGTGCTGAAAGCAGCTGCTCTGGAAGTAATGAGGTTGATCCATCTTGAAGCCCAAGTTTTTGGCTTTGCTCTACAAGGGCTTTTTCTCGCTGAAGTTGTTGTCGACTTTTCTTCGCGGGGAGACGTCGCTGTGGTTCAAATGGATCTATGTAAAAGAAAATAGAGGAAAATTCCTTTGTGTGGGCAGCAAATAATTATAATTCCTCTAAGAAAATAAAAAATTAACATTAAACGTTGATAATTCTAGTGGTTCTCCTACCCCATTCTCTATCTTGAAAGTCTAGGGGAAAAACAGCCATCTTCCTGTAGAGTTTCAATAGTTTTCAGATCATAATGTTAATATTTAACAGAAACTGCCCCATCTCTTAATTTATCTTCAGAGAAAGTCCATCAGTGAGTTAGGCCTTAGGTCACAAAGTGAAGTTTCTTTTTCAACTTGATTTCATAGTTGTCAAAAGAAAGCAACTAATTTTGACCAAATCAGGGAGGTGACTGAATTATCTGGTTTTAAATTTGATTTATGGTTCTGTCTGCTCTACTGAAACAAAATGGTGGTTGCATTTTCAAATGGGATTACCCTCTCTTAAATTTTAACAGCTTTTAGGGCAATTTGGTACATATGTGATACATATTCAGATGCTATAACAGGCATGTAATTGAGTGAAGTCTCTTATTTCTAGGAATGCTAGTTAACCTTAAATTGTTGTCTTTCATCCTACAGAACAATCCAAGGTTGTACTCCCCGAAGCCTAGTCAGGCTCTAATCAATGCATTCAAACTGATTTTAATAGTAGCCTCAGTAAAGCAATAGAAGATAAAACAACTGGGGGGAAATATCTTTAAAGTTATAAATAATAACACTTCTATTATACTTTTTGGACTGTCCATGCCAGTGTTAACATCTTAGGGCAGACAATTGGAGAATCTGACCCACATTCATACTATATTTCATAAGATCTATAAATAGCATTCTCTCTTAAATGCCTGGGAAGTGAAGTTATCAGTTCTTGTAAATGAACAACTCAAATGGGACTTTCAAATTTGGCATATTGACTTTTGAAGCAAAACAAGCTTATTATTTGAATTTCCCAAAGTATAGTTAAAAGCTCTAGAGTCACAATTCCAGCTTTGCTTCTGCCCAGCTCAGTGACCTCAGGTAAGTCAATTATTTATTCAATACCTTAGTTTCCTCATCTATCAAGCTGGTTGAAAATTAACCTGCTCTACTTAATGCATGAAGTTGGTGTAAGAATTAAATGAGATATGTACAGAAAATATTTTTTAAAAGACTGAAGTACTATCAAAAGCAAATGTTATTGTTGACTTTAGCCAGAAACACAAAGTATCCTGTATCTTGCAACAGGAACACATTCTTGGCTCTGATCTTTATTCACACCATCAAAAAATGTCACTTAGCCTGCTTATCTCCCTGTTGAACTCATTAGCTGAATTATTAATAGTTCCTCTGAAATTCAGGTAGTAACTTCTATTTTATTTTGCATTTTTACAGAACCTACCTATAAGACTGAAAATGCTAATTTTAAACAATAAACAATAAGCAAATCAGGCCACTTAAACACAGAACATATTGCTTCCCACACTCTGTATTAGGGGCTGCAAATATCAAGGAGACTGTGGTGAACTGAGAAGCGTAAGTCTAGTGTAAAGGGGGCAAATTCCGAGTCACCTTTAGTCAATTGCTATCATTAAAAAATTTAGGTCACCATAGCCAGATATTTTGATTTTTATGATTACAATTTAGACTTTTATGTAAAATATCTTGATTTTTAAATGTAGGGAACTGTTTCAATCAGGAAAATCTAGATTACGCTGTAGGGGCAAATCTTAGTGGTTTTAAACCACAAAGGTTTATTTTTCATTAATGCCAAGTGCCAACTAAAGGCTAACAGAGAGGTTCTGCTGATTAGTCTCTCAAGGCTCTAGGCTGACTGTACAGTCAGTATTCAGTGTTGCTGGCCACCACAACACAAGGAGAAGAGAGAGGTCAGGAAGGTCTTGCTATAGCAATTAACTGCTGACCCAGTAGTGACATAACACTTCTGCTCACAATGCAATGGCTAACCTAGTACATGGACCTACCCCCAAACAAAGGCAACAGGTATAGCTGGCTTAGCAAATAACACAATGATTATCACCATTATTAACTAAAAGAAATGTAAAGATTGGATAAAAGAAAGAGAGACAAAGAAGAAAGAAAGGAATGAAAGAGGGAGGGAGGGAAGAAGGGAAAGAAAGGAAGGCAGGCAGGAAGAAAGGAGGGAAAAAAGAAAGAAGGGGAAAGAAAGGAGGCAAAGCTGAAAAGCCACATACATTTTTGGGTTAAATTAAGCTAATGGGCTACCAGTTTGTGATATATACTCCATATCCTTTATTTAAGCCCTGCTCCCTCCACCTCAGAAAACTATCATTTGAATCATATGTTGATTATTCTCTTCCTTCTCTAATAGTCATATTGCATCTACAAATATTTCTAAAAAGTATTTACTTAGTTGTTTGACTTTATAAAAAGGGTTTTGTGCTGTACATCTGTTTTACTTAATATTACACTGTCAATAGTCATTCATATTGTCTATGTTTCAGCAGTCATTCATTTTGTTGTATAACATTTCATTGTGTGAATAAACCAGAGTCTATTGATCTTCTTCCACTGATAGACATTTAGGTTGGTTACAGGTTTTTGCTTTTGTAAATTTCAATAATGTGTCTCTTATTTTACATGTACAAGAATTTGCTTTGGATATTATCTAAGAACTACTGAGTCACAAAATATAACTTTAGAAGAAATGTGAAAATGCTTTCCAAAGTGTGCTCCCTCTAGTAATGTATAAGATCCTGTGGATGCACTTTCTCTTCAATACACGATACTGTCAGATGTTTTAATTTTTGTCAATCAAATGGGTGTAAAATAGTACCTCACTGTATTCTTGATTTGTAATTCTCTGCTCCTTGGTGGTGATGAGCATCTCTTCATATTTCCTTTTCTAGGAAATATCTATTCATGTCTTTTGTTGACTTTTCTTTTGTCTTGTATTTTTTATATATCAGCAGAAAACAATTAGAAAATACAATTAAAGAGAATATATTTCAATACCAGAAATTATTACTTATCTAGGAACAAATCTAACAAAAAGATGTTTAGTACCTCTATAGGGAAAACTCTAAAATTTTATTGAGAATTTAAACAAGTACTAAATAAACGGAGACATATACCACGTTAGTGGCAATGTTAATAATATGAAGATGAAATTGATCTAAAGATTCAATGCAATTACAATCAAAATTCCTAATGGGTTTTCCATTAAATTTGGTAAAATTATTAAAATTTTTATATGAAAAGATAGAAGGTCAAGAATACTGGCTGGGTGCAGTGGCTCACACCTGTAACTACTATACTAAGTATAGTAAGAAACTAATTTCTTAAGACATGGAAATGTTGGCTATTAAAAAAAGGTTGACATATTTGAATACATTAAAATTAAGGCCTGGAGTGGTGGCTCATGCCTGTAATCTCAGCACTTTGGGAGGCTGAGGAAGAATTTCTTGAACCCAGGAGTTTGAGACCAACCTAGGCAAAATAGCAAGATCCTATCCCTACAGAAAAAAAAAGAAGAAAGAAAGGAAGAAAACTAGCATGGTGTAATGGCACACAGCTGTAATCCCAGCTACTTGGAAGTCTGAGGCAGGAGGATCGCTTGAGCCCAGGAGTTCAAGGTTATAGTGAACTATGATCGTGCTACTGCACTTCAGCCTGGGCAACAGAGTGAAAGCCAGTCTCAAAAAATAAAATACTTTGTTCATCAAAAAGATAAAAGTGAAAAGATAACTTAAAAACTGGGAGAAGATATTCATAATGTAACTGGCAAAGAATCAGTATGAAGAATAACTCTTCTGAATAAATAATTTAACTAAAAATTGACAGCATGTGGCTGTACTGTTTTCTTCCAATTTTTCATTATGAAATAGACCATACATCAAATATATGCATGTGTTACACTCATAAACACACACACTCAGTCTTCCAACCTATATGATTAAAAAGAAAGTTTAAGAAATAAAATATGACAGTAGTAGAAGTAACTACTCTTTAAGGATAGACATAATCCTCCTTTTAGAAGAGAGAATTTATTTCCTGTCTCCCAAGTTATATGACTTGCTTTTGGTAAATAAAAGTAGGAGTGTCACATGTCATTTACTGGTGAAAGGATTTAATTGCCAATGTTCAATTTTCAATCTTCTTTTCTTCCTACTATGGTAAACTCCTACAAGACAGCACCAAAAAACGGAGTGACTGTGCAACACAGTCACCTGCCAAACCCACATTAAACATGAAACGAGTGAAAACCAAATCTTTATTTTAAACAATTGACTTATTAGGGCTATTTGTTACTTTAGCTTAACTTGTCTTAACCTGATTTCATAAATACCAATACCTCTGAAATTCCCTCTCCCTGATCACATTCCCACGCCTCCCCACTATATACAATCATACGTCACTTAACAAAGGGATACATTCTAAGAAATGTGTTGTAAGGCAATTTTGTCCTTGCGCAAACATCAGAGAGTGTATTTACACAAACCTAGATGGTACAGCCTACTATATACTTAGGCTATATGGTACAGCCTTTTGCTCCTAAGCTCCAAACCTGTACAGTATGTCACTATACTGAAGACTGTAGGCAACTGTAACAACGGTATTTGTGTATCTAAACATAGAAAAAGCATAGTAAAAACAGGGTATTATAATATTACCAGACCATCACCATATATGTGGTCCGCTGCTAACTGAAATACTGTTATTGAGTGCGTGACTGTATATATTATATATACAGCTAGCTGATCCTTGGTATATGAGGATAATTGGTTCCAGGATCCCCATGTATACCAAAATCTGTGCATACTCAAGTCCCACAGTTGGCGCTGTGAAGACCACATACACCAAAAGTTGGCCCTCCATATACTCAGGTTTTGCATCCCCCAAATACTGTATTTTTTAAATGCACATTTGTGTATAAGTGAACCATCACAGTTCAAACTTGTGTTGTTCAAGGGCCAAGTGTAACTACATATACTGTATTAACAAACATTTTAATGCATGTGGCTACAGTTAATACTAATATATTCCCACCAGCTGTACAGTAGCCCGCTAGATGAGTATACCACAATTTATTTATCCATTCCCTTGTTAATGGACACTTTGGTTGTTTCCAACTTCTTAATATTATAAACAAGACTATTAACAACTTTCTTGACTATGTTCCTCAATGCCCATACAGGGGTCTCCAGAGTACTACTGTCCTTATTTTTCCTGGCAACCAACTCCATCTTCCTAAATTATTCAATAAATTTTTAAAGATAGAGAACAGCTAGAAATGGCTTTAAAATTAAAGGGCCAAATCCTCTAATTTTACAAATAAGGAATCCAAGGAGAAAAGATTTAGAGGAAGAGCTGGAAGTTCTATATGCCAATCACTGTGTTTAGCTACGGGTATACAAGGAGGTTAAGATATTTTCCGTCCTCGAGGTGGTCACGGACTAGCGATTTGGTTTCCACACTACAGTGGGCCTTGAAGTTCAGGTCCTCACCATCCTCTATCTACCCCCGGTTGCAAAGATATTTCAAAATATACTTCTACATAATGAATATGTTGTTTAATTTAGATTTTTATATTAAGTCATCTTTACCCTGGAAAATGCGCCTCTGCTAACACACAAACTTTGTGAAATCTTCCCAAGCTCCATCCAATCCCCGGCAGAGTGAGGTTCCTCTTGTCTCTGAAGCAAGTTCTTGCAATATCTACTATCACATAACTTTGTGGTTTGTCTCCTCATGAGTCTACTGGAGTCAGACCAGAGGCCAGGGCACTTGTACCCTGTATATCAAAGTATGTGAATGGATGTTGAAAACACAAAGCAAAAGAATTTGAGTATATCAAGCAACACAGAGTCAGTTAACTACATAGCTTAGCCTAACCTTTATGATAGAGTTTTTAAAGTCCCCTGGACCAGTCAAAATGTCCCCAGTCGATATAATCTACATTGGCCCTATCTTACTAATTTACTTCTTTTCCCACTTGTCTGCCCTAGATTATTCTCATATTTATGCTAAAAATGCACAAGCTACCAGAGCAACATCCAATTTCCCCACAAACGCTAACAAAAGGTTTACTTCATTTGCTACCAAAATAAAGTATTTGAATTAAGGTACCAAGAGTGATGTACACTTCTTACAGAAATTGTGTGTACTACCACGATAACCATACAGATCACTGCGAAATTTCAACCACAAGCAAAGTGCAATTAATATTACTAAGTTTTCCACCAACAATCAGCAAACTTAATTCCTTCCACAACAACAAAAAAATTGTACAAGCCCATTCAATGATTACTCTATAAAGCCAGAGAGAGAAGCACAAGGTTAGCTTACTCCAAAGTCAGTAAGACTGTATGTATATAAACATATAAAGTCTTCACATCTACCCTCTCAAAGACCCTTTTGGTTTGCTGATTCTCAAAAATTGGGAAGTACTGCAAAAATCATCTGGCAACCAGAAGTGAATGCAACACTCCAGATGAATTGTGAAAAGTACCGAATTTTTGCCTTTATTCAGACGCCTGTGCTCCTTTTTTCCAACCATCTGCTTCTATAAATTCATCACAATTCTAATACGGTGTGCGCCCCTCCTCCTTCCCTTACCCTGACCCTAACCTTCCAACCGTTGATTCCTGCAGCAATCTTCCCTAAGGGAGACACCCCGGCTGTAGGCTCACTTCCTCTCCCAAGTCCCATTCCTTTCACAAGAGTCAAATCCCTACAGTGGATTCCTGGACCGTTTTTTCTAAAAGAAGATCCCAGTCCTCTGGCTTGCCCCTCCCGTCGTGACTCCCAGTAAGTCCTCCTCTGAAACCCCCTAATCCAGTCCACGTACTTACAGCGCCTTCCGCTAACACAAACGTAGCCGCTTCCACGCCCCCTTTCCCCGCCAAAGCTGCATCCCCGCCTCTTCCCCTTAAGACCCAAGAATTAAACCACTGTAAACCCATCTTGTAACCTTTAGTCTGCTTTAGTCTCCTCAGTTCCTCCTCAGAGAATCCTGCCCAACCTTGCGCCATCGGCCCGGGCCACCGGCACCCCCAAAAGTGCCCAAATCTCGCAGCCGCGACTGCCAACACTGCTGCCCAGCTCATCCGGGTTTTTCCCCGGCCGCGGCCAATCAGTGCATCGGGCTCCAAACACAAGGCCCTCTCTCCCCGGCCTCAGGGTCCGGCTTCCTTCCAGGCTGCCTTCAGCAGTGCCTGACAAACTGCCTAAGGAAACCTTGCCACGCAGACATTCGTTTCCTCTGGCTTACCTCTACTCTCTCTCTCTCTCATTGTTTCTCACTGTTGCTGGTTAATCGCTTCAGGAGCTAAGGGGGGAAATGGCGATGGGGATAAGGGTGGAGATAAACAGGTATTTGGGAAGGAGCAACAAGTCGGTGGCGGAAACGGGAGATCTAAGTGCCTTTGGGGTCCTGTACCTGTGGGGCGGGAGCGGTGCTCTCTGTGGCTCTTAGTGTGCCCTAAAATCCTTGTGTTTTGCTGGGAGTGTGCACAGCGCTGGAGGCCTCCTTCAGATTAACTCAGGAAATGATCAGATTTAGGATTTTGATGATGAAGAAACATTTAAAAGGGGTGGGGTATAATTGATGAAAAGGGAACAGGCATAACCAGGTCTCTCGCAGGCCGGAGCGGCTCTCAGATTTCTTTTGCTTTGGGTTGTTTCCTTTGTGAATAATTATAATATGTAACTTTCCTCTTAAGGGATTTCTTTTTCTTTTTTTCTTACTTTTTTTTTTTTTTTTTTTTGAGACATAGTTTCGCTCTTGTTGCACAAGCTGGAGTGCAATAGCACGATCTCGGCTCACTGCAACCTCCGCCTCCCGGGTTCAAGCGATTCTCCCGCCTCAGCCTCCCGAGTAGCTGGGATTACAGGCGCCGGCCACCACACCCGGCTAATTTTCTGTATTTTTAGTAGACACGGGGTTTCACCATGTTAGCCAGGCTGGTCTCGAACTCCTGACCTTAGGGTATCCGCCCGCCTCGGGCTTCCAAAGTGTTGGGATTACAAGCGTGAGCCACTGCGCCCGGCCGGGATTTCTTAGTCTCCCCTTTAAATCTGTTTTTCAGAGAAGACATTGTAAAACGTCGGTGCTGGGGGATGGGAAAGCATTTCTTAGGATCCTGCCTGGAATCCTAATACCGTAATTCGGGTTCTGCCTTGAACACTAACCTGAGATCCCATTTCCTCATTTGAAATATGGTTGCAAAGATTAAAAGATGCAAGCGTTGTCAAAATACACATAGATAAGGATGATTCAAGAGAGACCTAGTTATACTATTTTTCATGGTTCTCTTTCACTATTTTTGCAGTAAGAACAACAAAACACCTCATCTTGGCTTACATTTTAAAATACTTTGGCTTTAGTGTGTTGATATTTTTAAACAAAATGAAAGAAAGGAGTAAAGTACAAAATAAAACACGTCAAGAAAAGTTGAAATGAGTACTTCAGATTTAGTAAGTGATAAAAAGTGAAGGATGTTTGGAATTTCCCATGTAAATCCGAGCTTTTAAAACTTAAAGTGGTTTCTGAAATTTGGGGATGCTGCAGATGCGTCATTTTAAATATGTACTCATTTTTTATAATATTAAACAATCAAAATGCCTGGAGGAGACAGTTACCACCAGTTTCTGAATATAGACTGAATATAGACTACGTATATTCAAGTTATAGATTATCTAGCTCCAAAGTAGTAGATGGGGATCAGTGGCAATCTGGTAGTTAATTCAGTTTCCTAGTTGCAGGCAACCGCCATCTAGTTCATCTAATAACAGTAAACCACCTTGTGTGCCCCATGTTGAATTTTATACATAAATGTTCTTTAGTTCACTCTGGGGGAATTTCAAAAATTATCCGTAATCTTAATAAAGATGTAAATTAGGATATTTTAAAAGGTTTTGCATTGGCCCTTAATGAGAACCAAAGCGAAAGTGACACGTGGTAAAAGATAATAAAATCCGTCTGTATAAAAGTTATAATTTCCAGTTTGCTAGGTTCTAAATCTCCTGTTTGTTGTTTCTGTTGGCTCTCCCTCATGGTGGCTAGTTTCTTCAAATGTTGTGTAATATTTAAGTGGGAATTTATCTTCAAAGTTCTTTGTTCTGCAGAAGTCTTCTCTTCCTTGAGTTAAGAAAGTGTCTCTACAGATTGGTTTTATTGGTCCTAAAGTTTCAGTTGTTTTAATCCAGATTTAAGGTAATTTTTTCAGCTTCTACTGTAAATTTGGTTCTTGGGTCCCACCCCCATATATGATATAGGACTCAGGTCTCAGTATTTTTTAATTGCCTTTATATGTATACAAATTATACACAACTTTATTTCAACAATCTTGTCTTCAAATATGTGAAGGAATCCCAATCCCTAGGATCTATATTTACATAGAATCCCCCTTTCTATATCTCTTTAGCTTTCTTTTAAGTTCTATGATGTATTTTTTGATTATGTAAATAAAAACATGTTATATGTTTTTATGTAAACAAAAAACATAATAATATTACTCACAGATAGCAAGCCTCCTTACTGCTTTTCCAAAGCAACAGTCTTAAGTTTTTGTGTTTTTGTTTTTTTTTTAAAGACAGGGTCTCACCCTGTCACGTAGGCTGGAGTGCAGTGGCATGATCTTAGCTCACTGCAACCTCTGTCTCCAGGACTCAAGCGATCCTTCCATGTCTTTGTCTCCAGAGTAGCTGGGGCTATAGGTGCCCACTACCATGCATGGATAATTTTTATATTTTTTTGTGGAGACGAGGTTTGCCATGTTGCTCAGGCTGCTCTCCAACTCCTGAGCTCAAGCGGTCTGCCCAACTGGGCCTCCCACTTGCTGGGATCACAGGCATGAGCCACTGTGCCTGGAGTTTTTCTAACCCTCTGTGATCATATGGTCTGTCTTTTCTAGACTCAGCTTTATTTCAGCAATCTTGTCTTCAAATTATGTGTAGGAATCCCAATCCCCAGGACCTATATCTAGGTAGAGGCCCCCCCTTTCAACATCTTCTTTGCTTTCTTTTAGGCTCTGTGATATATATTTTTTGTTTACATAAATAAGAACATGTTATACAGTATTTAGCATCTTTATGTGTTTATAGAAGGGGACCACCTATGACAATTTAGACAATATCTCTGGTTGATTCTCCATCAGAGCGCCTAGAATATAAAAATGAAGACTAATTGTGTCTGTAGCCTGGTCAAAACAGTAAAATGCTTTCCCAGCACACTTTGAATAAAATCCCAGTTCCTGCATGTTCCTACATGATCTCACCCCTGTCTACCTCTCTTATGTGATCATTAGGCTGTCTTTCCCTTTACTCTGCACTCACTATAATCCAGCCAAAATTGGCATTCGTTGGGGTTTTGGAATACACCAGACTCTCTTTTCTACTATCCTCTACTACCTACCCAGAGCTTTCCCAAATGCTGTCCTTTAATTATTATCTTTCCCTTGTCTGGCTGGTTCTTCCTGCTTCTTTACGCTTTGGCCTTAAATATTCACATAGACGTTCTATGACCACCCTATCTAAGTAGCACCCGCCCACTTCTATGTTTTTTATAACTTTTTACAGCACTAATTAAAAGTTCTCATCTCTTCTGTCTACAGACTGAGCTCCTTGCTTTACCAGCATTTATCCTCGAATGTAAAGTGACCCATCCAATTCCCTTTTTTATACTGCCAGTTGCCTCTCTTCCTTTCCTGTCCCTGCTCCTTTGCCTGACTCTTCATTTCTACCTACGACTTGGGGATATAGGACTGCCTTTCTAACCCTTATGCCTTCCTTACTCAGGATCTGTAAGTAAAAATCTTTGAACTTATTTCCTATTGTGGTTGTGTATTGAATTTGTGCCTTCCATCTGGAGAACATGGGGCTACCCCAGACCAAGTTTTGCCCTGGAGAAACACAGGTTGGACTCCCAGTGCCAGAGCAGTGGTCAGAAAGGCATTGAGTGGATGTGGGTCAGACAAGAGCCACAAGGGTGTCTGCCAGTATAAAAGAGATCACCCTGTGAGGGACCCCCTGGTTGTGGGTCAGACAACTAGGATGTCTACCAGGTAAAAGAAGTATCCCATGAAAGGCACTCTGTAAACACCCATATCTAGTTCCCCTTCATTTCCTGTAAGGTCAGGGTTGCTGTGGTACTACAACCCCAGTTTAGCTCTGGGCTCTCAAAACAGTAAGTCTTGCACACCTGTCAGATTTACTTTAAAATACGATGCTATTATAAGTAGCGTTATTTTTAATTTCAATTTTTAATTAGTTTGTTATTTATACCTGCTACAGTCTTAATTTTGGTATACCTCACAAAATTCATATTCTGGAACTTAATCTTCATGTGACAGTATTAAGAGGTGGGGCCTTTAGGAGGTAATTTGATCACGAGGTCAGGGCCCTCATGTATGGGATTAGTGTCCTTATAAAAGAAGCTTGAGGGAGTCGGATTGCCTCTTCCATGTGAATATGGAGCAACAAGATTCCATCTATGAAGCAGAGAGCAAGCCGTTACCAGACACCAAATCTGCCAACACCTTGGTCTTGGACTCCCCAGCCTCTAGAACTGAACAATAAATTTCTGTTGTTTGTAAATTATCTAGTCTAAGGTTTTTTTTATAGTAGCCAAATGAGCTAAGACAATATAGAAATAAAATGGACTCATTGTTGATCTTGTATCCTCTGACCACAATAAACAAATATATTAGTTGTAATCGCATTTTTTGGTAGATTTCATTGGATTGTCTACAAAGACAATCATGTCTGCAAATAAACAGTTTTACATCTTTTTTTTTCTAATCTAGTTGCTTTTTATTTCCTTTTTTGCCTTATTGCACTGGCTAGACCCACCAGTACAATGTTGAATAGAAAAAGCGAGATTGTATACCCTGACTTGATTCTGATCACAAGGGAAAAACATAAAGCCTTTCACCATTAAGCATGATGTTAACTTTAGGTTTTTCATTAATGCCCTTTAACAGCTTATGAAATTCCTTTCTGTTTCTAGTTTTCCGAGAACCTTTCTCAGAATGGATAGTGGATTTTGATGCATGCTTTTTCTGAGTCTATTGAGATGATCATATGATTTTTCTCTTTCATATTGTTAATATAGTCAATTGCATTGAGTGGCCAGTGTTACACTAATCTTGTATTTCTGGGATAAACTCCATTTAGGTATGATATATTATCCTTTTTATATGTTGGGTTTAATTGTTAATATATTTTATTTAGAAATTTTACATATGTTCATGAGGGATATCTGTCTGTAGTTCTGTTTCTTGTAATGTCTTTGTCTGATTTGGGATCAGGGTAATATTCTGACACAATGAGTTGAGAAATAGTCTCTCAAATTTTTTGGCTGACTGTGCTACTGATATTCATTATATACTTGATAGAATTTACCAGTGAAGTCATTTGGAGTTTCCTTTGTGGGAAAGTTTTTAACTTCAAATTTAATAACTTTAATAGATACAGGGCTATTCACATAATCTTCTTGAGTGACTTTGGTGTTTTTTCTCTCAAGATATTTGTCCATTTTATCCAAGTTTTTCAATGTATTGGCATAAAGTTGTTTATAATACTCTTTTATTGCTCAGTAAAGAGTTAACTTAGTGGACTTGGGATGCTCAAACCCTGCACTTGCCCAAGAAAAGACTAGCCTTTGACTGGCTCCTAGGAGATAAGCTCCAAGCTTTTAGAATATCCCACCTAATAAGATCATCTTTATGTACATGGGGCTTTTGGCCTTACCAGATAGTTTATGCTAACAACGTGATTCAGTAAATGGCTGTTTTTGTTTGTTTGTCTTCCTGCGCCATGCTGTATCAGTTTGATGCCTGGAGGGGCTGGAGATTGGGTAGCTAAAGTTAGTTGTATGAGTGCTCTCTGCCTATGTGATTGACCCCCAATAAGAATCCTACACGTCAAAGTGAGCTTCCTGGTTAGCAATCAATACTTTGTATGCATTGTCACACATAATTGCTGGGAGAATTAAGTGCTGTCCACACAAATATACTAGGAAAGGACAGCTGTAAGCTCACACCTGATTTCTCCTGGACTCTTCCCTACGTGTCTTTTAATTTTGCTGATTTTAATCTGAATCCTTTCATTGTGATAAACTGTAACTGTGAGTACGACTGCTTTTCTCAGTTCTATGAGTCTTTCTGGCAAATCATCAAACCTGAGGGTGGCATGGAGACCTCTCATATACTTATCATTCTTTTAATATCTGTAGACTTTGTAGTGATTTCGCTTCTCTACTGATATTGGTAATTTGTGTCTTCTCTCTTTAAAATTTTTTTTGTCACTGTCATTAGAGGTTTATCAGTTTTATTAATTTTTCTCCAAAAAGTTTTTGGTTTTGTTGAACTTTTCTATTGTTTATTGGCTTTCTATTTTATTGATTTCTGTTCTAATCTTTACTGTTGTATTTCTTCCGCTTTCTTTGGATTTCATTTGCTTTTCTTTTCCTAGTTTCTTAGGGTGGAAACTGAGTTCATTAATTTAAAACTTTTCTTCCTTTCTAAATAAGTGCTTAATACAATAAAATTTTCCCTAACTATCACTGTAGCAGCATCCCATGAATTTTGATATACTGTGTCTTTATTTTCATTCAATTCAAAATTCCTTTTTATTTCCTCTTGATTTTTTGATTCATGGATTATTTGAGATTTTGTTATTTGGTTTCCAAATATTTTGGAGCTTTTCTGGAGAACTTTCTCTTATTGGTTCCTATTTTTAGTTCCATGTCATCAAAATTTAATTTGTATAATTTAAATCCTTTTAAATTTATTAAGACTTCTTAAATGTCTCATAATATAGTTTCCCTTTAATTTTTTTTTTTTTTTTGGAGTTTCGCTCTTGTTGCCCAGGCTGGAGTGCAATGGCATGATCTCAGCTCACTGCAACCTCTGCCTCCCAGGTTCAAGTGATTCTCCTGCCTCAGCCTCCTGAGTAGCTGGGATTACAGGCATGCACCACCACGCCCAGCTAATTTTTGTATTTTTAGTAGAGACGGGGTTTCTCCATGTTGGTGAGGTTGGTCTTGAACCCCCGACCTCAGGTGATCTGCCTGCCTCAGCCTCCCAAGATTAGGTTTTTAAGTCCTCTATAGCCTTACTCATTTTCTGACTCCTTGTACTATTATTTATTGAGAGATGAGAAATATCCTATTATAACTGTAGATTTGTTCATTAATCCTTGCAGTTATCTCAGTTTTGTTTCATGTATCTTGAAACTCTGTTATAATAATAACAGGTGAATAAATGTTTGTGTTTGTATGTCTTCTTGATTCTTAGACTCATTTATCATAATGAAATGATCTTTTTCTTCCCCCTAATTTTGGTCTGAAATCTACTTTATCTGATATTAATATAGCCACTGTAACTTTCTTTTGCTAAATATTAGCCTTGGTATATCTTTTTCCTCTTTCCTTTTTCTAATGACTGTATCTATTTCCTTTATAAACTTATTAGCTATATTCTTTGTTTTGTTATTTTAGTAATTGCTCTAGGGTTTGGTATGTATTTTTAACTTATCATAGTCTATCTTCAGGTAGTATCATACCACATGTACTATAAGAACCTTATAAATATACACCTCTGCTTTTTCTCTCCTGGCCTTTATGCTATTGTTTCATACCTTTCATTTATACGTATGTCTTAAAATCCACACTGCAATGTTATCATTTTTGCTAAAATAGTAAGTTAACTTTTAAACAGATTTAAATAAAAATATATATTTACACATGTAGATAAAATTTCCTGTGTTCTTCACTTCTTTGTGTAGATTCATATTTCCACCAGGCATCATTTTCATTCTACCTGATGGGCTTTTTTTTTTTTTTTCTTTTTTAGTATTTCTTACAGTGTAGGTCTGCTGCTGATTAATTCTTTCAGCTTTCATCTGTAGGAAAAGTCTTTATTTTGCCTTAGTTTTCGAAAGACATTTCACTAGACATAAAATTCTAGTTTAACTTTTTTTAAAAAATTACTTTATTCTCTTCCACTCTTCTAGTTTGCATTGTTTCTGATGAGAAATTTGTATCATCACCTTTGCTCCTTACATAATGGGTGTTTTTTCTCTGTCTTTTAAGATTTTTACTTTATCACTGTTTTTGATCAATTTGAATATGATGTACCATGGTATAGTGTGTAGCTTCCTTGCTTTCTTTTTTTTTTTTCTTCTTTTTCTTTCTCTTTCTGTCTTCCTTTTTTTCTCTCTTTGTCTTTCTTTCCTTTTCTCTTTCTTTCTTTCTTTTTCTCTTCTTTCTTTCATTCTTTCTTTTTGTACTTCGGGTTCTTTGAGATACTTGAATGTCTGGGTTTATAGTTTTCATCAAATTTGAAAGTTTTCTGACCATTATTTCCTTAAATATATTATTGTTCTCCCTTCCTTTTTCCTCTTCTTTTGGGGCTTCCATTACATGTTAGCTACTTGAAGTTTTCCTGTAGCTCACTGATGGTCATTTCATTTTTAACATCTTTTTCTCTCTCTTTACTTCATTTTGTATAGTTTCTATTGCTACATCTTTAAGTTCACTAATATTTTTAATAATTTTTTCTCTAATGTCTAATCTTTTATTAATTGAATCTAGTATATTTTTTTATTACAGACGTTGTAGTTCTCATCTCAAGATATTCAATTTAGATAGTTTTTATATCTTTGATTATTTAAGGTATTTTTATATCTTTTCAACATATGGAATACAGGAATGACAAATATTAATATCCATGTCTGCTGATTCTAATAACTATGTTAGTTCTAGGTAAGTTTCAATTGATTAATCTTTTTACTCATTATTTTTATTTTCCTACTTCTTTGCATGACTGGTAATCTTTTGTTTGGTTCAAGACATTGTCAGTTTTACCTTGTTGGGTGCTAGCTATTTTTCTTTTCCTATAAATATTTTTGAGCTTTGTTCTGAGATACACTTAAGTTACTTGAAAATAGGCTTATCTTTTTGAGCCTTGATTTTGGAATTTGTGACATAACCAAAGCAATGGTTAGTCAAGGACTAATTATTCAATGATTAGTCAGGGACTAATTATTTCCTGCTACTAATGCAAGAATCTTCTGAATACTCTACCAAATGCTCTGGGAATTGTAAAGGTTTCCAGTCTGATTGATGGGAACAGGCACTATGCCTGGTCTGGTGTTTTTGCATAGTTCTTTCCCTGGTGTTTTATCCCATTTTGTGCTGCCATATCAGAATACTACAGACTGGGTAATTTATAAATAATAGAAATTTATTTCACAGTTCTGGAGGCTGGGAAATATAAGGTCAAGGTGCCAACAGGTTTGGTGTTGGTAATGGCCTGGTGTTCACTTCCAAGATGGCTGTTAAACATGACGTCCTTTGAAGGGGAGAAAAACTGTTCCTCACATGATAGAAGAGTGGAAGGGCCAAGCAAGGGAGAACCCACTCCTGGAAGCCCTTTTATAAAGGCATTAAACCCGCCCATGCAGATGGAGCCCTTGTGACATAATCGCCTCTTAAAGGCTGTACCTTCCAAAACCATTTTGTTGGCAATTAAATTTTAACATGTGTTTTGGAAGGGACAAACAGTCAAATCATAGCTTCTGGCTCATGTAGTTTCCTCACTTATATGTGCTGATCACCTTGAGGGAGACTGTCTGCTGGTCTCCATGATTCTTCTTCTATGCAGCTCACTCCTTTCTGATACCTCGTCATACAAATTCTAGTTTCCTTGCTCTTCTTGCAGTCTGAGCTTCACCTCCTCAAGTAGGAGTCCTCTAGGATTTGTCCAGTCCCTCCCCTGCCACATGCTGTGGCCTGAGGACTCTCAAGGCAGTCAACTGGGGAAATCATAGGTCTTGCCTCAATTTTTTTCTCATCTCTTAGAGATCACTGTCCTTGGTTGCCTGATATCCTGTCTCTTGAAAACTATTGTTATTCTATTTATTTGTTTATTTTGGGTTTAGAAGGAAACATAAATTAAGTCCCTGTTACTTACTCTGTTTTTGTCAAAAGGGCAAGTCCCAGCAAAGTTTCAACTATTATTCCATTTTGTAGATGAGGAAACTGAGGCACCAAGAGATTAAGTTAGTTGTCCAAGCTTTCACAGCTTGTTAGTCATAGAGCTAGAATTCAAATATTAGCTCTTGAATACTTGAGCAGTATAACTTCAGAATTTACAATTTTAACTACTACTATCTACTTTCATATTACTTCTAAGCTTGCTAAGAACTGGGCAAACATTTCATTAAATGTTTATGTAGCTCATATGAGCAGAATGTGGATGACTAATGGTCCTTAACTCCACATCCCCATGATATTTGCATTTTCAAAAGAATATGCTTATTTATTCAGTATGCTTGTTTATCACATACTATTAAATATATGATAGAAATATGTATTCTAACAAAGAAAAATGAGAAATATTTATGAAGTGTAGCAGAAGCTGTTTTTAGTTATTAACTCTTCCAGTTTCCCTCTACCTTGGAATTTTCTGGCTTGGTTTTCCTAAGTTATTCTTAATTTTTGCCAATTTCTCTTAATCCATTCTCAGACTATTACCAATGGATTAAAAGTTTCCCTTTTTTAAACCTTTGTATCCATTCATCAAAGACTGGGAAAATGGTGGTTATTTGTATGTAAATCACTTAAAAATGAAGAGCTACAAGTAATTTAACAGCTTGCATTTTCCTTTGGGAAGCATTCAGAGATCTTTTCCAATAGCTTTCGGATTCCAATTTGTTCTTTTTTGTTAGAACTTTTGTCTGTCCCTGAGTGCATAACTATTAGGTAGGCAGGAGAGATATGTGGGAAAGTACTTTTTTTTTTTTTTTTTTTTTTACTGCTGCATTACAGGTAACTAGAAACAGTGCTGGAGATGGTGGCTGAATATTGTTGAATGAATGAGTGGATGGATGGATGAATCAAGCTGGTGGCCAGCTAGAGGAGCCTAAGGGAGACTAGACTAGACTGGGCAAACATACGCTGTAGACAGCATATTCAGACTGAAGTGAATACCCAGCACCCAGGCAATTGAGTCTTGACTATATTGTGTTCTGGCTTTGGGATATGGTTATGTTCTACTTACATTTGAATACAGTTGCATTTTGATTTCATCTAAAATAAGGAAATCATACTGATGACTCAGAAGATACAAGAAAATTGAGTTTCTCCTGTCTTTTACTTATGCTGTCTTCACTGGAACATTTTAAATATGTATTTCAATGAAGAGGCAATTCCATTTAAGTGAACTAGTATTTCAAGCATTTTTAAAAAACAAAAACACATAAAAAGCATTAACTAGAACTGCCAGGCAAAATAGCCCTCCTGTTTAATAGTTTCCATCAGTCCTCAGTTTAATTACCACATTATTCTGCCAGCTTTCTCCAGAAATAATTGACTGAATGAAGTCATTTCATTTGATATTTACAAACACTAGACTTGTAAAGGGGGTATCTGTCAATTCCCCCTTGGCTTGGAAATGACTAAGGCTGACCTGGCAGTACACAACTGCTATTTTGGGCTCAGCATATTTTCATAGTCACCAACTCAGTAAGATGATGGGAAAGAAAGAGAGGCAGGTAAAACTTTTGGCATTTGTGCTCAGTTTTCTAATTTTGTAATTTTTGCTGTGAAAAAATGAGGGAGTAAAACCCTGATTTGCTCTAAGACACAAACAGGTTGGAAGTGATGTTTTTGTGTGTGGTTGTTAGAATATCCTGTTAAATTCTGAATAGTCTAGAAGGAATCTGCAAAGCTTTGGGTAGCTATAGTGAAAGCTTAAACTGGCTTATCAATCATGATAAAAATGAATTACAAAGGTCAGTCTGTTAATGTTATTGATTTAATGTTCTGGAATCAAGTGTTCTTCATTTAGATTAAATAATAAAATATTATTTTGAAGGCATAATGTCAAATGGATAGGAGATAAGATGAAGATTAGGCTGGAAATTATTTTATCTCAGGCAGCCAACAGGAAATTTCAAAAGACAAGGCTAATATAAGTGAAGTTTTTAAAGAATTGAAGTAGAACACCAAATCGCGGCACTATAGATTCAGGTTTATAAGTGTCAGTCATTACTACATAGAAAAAAATGATTCAGAAGCTTCTGGTGGTCTTCAGAAGGAATTGTAGTAATATTTACAATGTGATGTTTTCATAGTGACTATTTATAGTCTTAAAATTTTGAAGGGTGGGGAGATTGGAAGAAAGACCATTTTGGGTAAGGTGTTAATTTAAGAAACAACAGAATAGTAGAAGTGATAAACATCTTAAGAGGCATATAAGAAGTGAGATGGGCCAGGTGCGGTGGCTTTTGACTGTAATCCCAGTACTTTGGGAGGCCAAGGCAGGCAATCAACTGAGGTGAGGAGTTCGATACCAGCCTGGCCAACACGGCAAAACCCCATCTCTACTAAAATTAGCCGGGCATGGCAGCGCATGCCTGTAGTACCAGCTAATTGGGAGGCTGAGGCAGGAGAATCGCTTGAACTGGGAGGTGGATGTTGCAGTGAGCCGAGATTGTGCCACTGCATTCTAGCCTGGGCGGCAGAGTGAGACCCTGTCTCAAAAAAAAAAAAAAAAGAGATGGTTGAAGCTAATATAATTATGAAGAGTATAGAAAGAATGAACTCAGATTTATTTCTTATTCGAATCTACATTTCAGCTACACAGGAGTATGAAATCTCTTAAAGATGAGCCTGAGTAATCCAGAGTATATTTTCATCCATAATATCATCAATAATTTCAGTTCAGTCATCTCAGTGACAACTTAGACATTTGGTGAAAACTCATTTTCATTTTATATGATAGCAGCAGGTTGTGCAGGACATGAAGGCTATACAGTTTTGTGAGGCCTCCTTAAGTAAAAAGTAAATGCAGCACTGTAAATATACACTGAGTTATTGGGACTAGGAAGCCTGATGAGAGGCCCACAAGCTTGAGCTTTAGTAGCTTCAGGTCAGTCTGCTTCTGGTTAACAAATTTAATTTCATTTATATAGAGTGAAAAGATTCATTGTAAGTAAAGCGTAACTAGAATATGAATGTGGTGGAAAGAGGAGTAGATTGGGATTTAAGACCTGTGTTCTAGCCTAGGCTGACTCATTCATTTTCATTGCTCATTTACTGAATGCAGCATTGTAAAAGGTATTATGGAAGTGGCTGTGAATACAGTGAATACAAAGGTCCGTGCTTCTGGAATAAAGCACTCCATGCCCAATCTGAATTTAGGAAATAGTGTACACTCTACCCTTCTTAGTGACACACTATAGGCTTCGGCATATTAATGGCTCTGAGGGGTTTTACTGTTAATAAAAACAAACACATCATAAACACACAAGGTTTAACTTCATTTATTCCAGTTTTTAGGTTCTTTTCTTTTTTAATTTGTATAACACATACTGACATCACCTAGAAGACATTTTGGAAAATGCTGTTATAAGAAATTTTCTCACTCTGCTTTCTTGACGATTATACCTGTTCTTAGGTTTTCCTCTTTGGTCAAGTAGAAACTCTTGTCAGGTAATGGAATCCATATTCCCAGCAGTGTATTTGAGACAGACCTGTACACTTTGGACTCAGCCAGCAGTTCTTATTAAATGATACCACCCATCAAGCAGATATTGGCTGTGTGGGGTGTGATAGGTGCTTAACTGGGATGTAGGGACTGGCTTTTCACAACCCAGGCTTATTCTTCCTGATTCCTGGGAAGACTTTCCTTTAAGCATTCTTCAGTCGTCTTAAATGAGCTTTCTGCGTTAGTGGTGTTGCCTTCTGTGCTTGTTTATAGAGGTTACTACACTTGGCATGTGGATACCACCCAAGCAGCCTGTGCAGGGGTTGGAGGCTCAAGCAAAAGTAAGATTCTACTCCTTCTTCAGACTATTTCTGAATGTGGAGGCTGCCTGAAAGAAGGCCTCTTGCCAAGTATGGCTTGGAATTTAAACTTAATGCCAGTCACCACACCTTTTTTAGGGTAATTACCACTTAACCAAACATTTCTGAGTTCCTTATAAATTGGCCCCCTCAGTCATTTAACCATTTTAGTAGCTCTTCTCTGAACTCGGTCCAAGTTTTCCACAATTCTGGTAACAAGGGACTCTCCAGGGAATTCCATGTCCAGGTGCGGCAACCTTGCCAGGGCATTTGGTGGAGGGGGGCGAGGGAACAAGAGAAAGATGACAATCATCTAATATCCCTTAGGCTCTCATAAATGTATGGCAGCTTTCCAAATAACAGAGTTGAGCTCACAGTAAATGAGTAGGCGAGTAGACTGGAAATGGCTCCTTCTTTCGTTTAGGTGAAAGAAAAGCCAATGGCCACTGGCCTGCAAACAAGTAGTGATGGGGTGTGTGTGAATTTGAAGAAATCCTTCACTTTTAGGATTAACATTATAGCCGTACTTAATGGTAGGAAATCATTCTAAAGCAAAGGTTGAGAGGTTCTTAACAGGGATATTCCAAGGAAAGGCAATGGCCTAATCCAATGTTACCATTGCCCTTTATTCATCATTGGCGCTGTTTTTATGTAAATAAGGTCAGGAAAGTCTTGTCTATTATTTTTGTTTTTTCAGTATTTGATGGGTCTGAATGAAAATCTGATGAAACAGATGTTACTTGAAGCTGAGTGACTTTCTCAGGGTCAAGCAAATAAGTAAATGGAGGAGCCAGAATTATACCCCAGGTATGTATAGTTTCAAGCCCTGTACTTTTTACTTGACTGTAAACAAACAAAGCAAACAAAACAAAAATATTCCTGTTCGTACATCCTGTGTCTAACACTGGTTCAAAAAGTGAAATGTTAACATTTATTGGCAAGTCTTTTTTTTTTTTTTCTTAGTTACTGTCTTACTGTGTCCACATTTAAAAAAAAATTGTGGTCATTAGCTTACCTTTTTTTTTTTTTTGATAACTCCCTTTTATACCAAAAAATAAGATTCCAAAGACATCAGCATCTGGTACTCAGGTGAAAGTACATTATGTCAGTTTGTTGGGGTTCTGGGTGACCCTAACAAGGATACTGGTAAAAGATTAAGATTTAAGTTCAAAATCAATAATAAATTCTTGAAAAATATAGGGTACTTTTATTTGTTGATGTTCGGGACATTAAAACAAATATTTAACATCTGATTCCAAAGCTAATTAAATATATGTATAATGGACCACCCTACAAAATACATTAATAAGTTACTTATGCATGGAGCTATGTATCTTTGTGGCCACTAATGTTTAAACCATATTTAAAATGCATAAATATTGTTATAAAACAAAACTAGGCAAGGAGAACCATACCAGAAGGAGTATAATAGTTAACAACAAATATGCATATGGTTGTAGTATTTTAAAGATACTTTTTGTAATTATGAGAGTTTAAGATTTCAACTGAAATGCAATTATTTCCCACAACCTAGAAAATTACTTGATACTAAGATTCTCAATTCACCATTGCTGGCATGGGATCACATGGCTAATACTGCTGGAATTGGGCTTTTGTTCTAAGCTCCTTGCTCTATCATAGATTTCTCCCTGATCATCACGGGATGATTGTTTCCTTAACAATAATCCTGTAATCAAGTGAGGCTTTTCAGGGAGTCGAATGCTAATATCGAACTCAGAATTCTTCTTTTCTTCTCTGGTCTAACAACTGTTTGTGCCAGCCCTATCCCACTGTAGAGGTTGAGTTCTGTAGATCCGTATCTACTTTGAACACAGCTGGACTCTCAGGTAGTTTGGTCTTTGGGGGCTGATATACCTAAAATAACTATGAATAGTTAAATCTGACCACGTGTGATATGGCAGTTGCCTTTTAATTTTAATGGAATATTTTAGAGCATTTTTATGGAAAAGCTCTTAAAGTTCTTTTTTTCACTACCTTAATGAAGGGGAAAATGTGTTGCTGTAGCTGTTATTTTTTATAATAAATTTAAAGGAGTTCCTACAAATCTTAACAAGTAAAATCAAATATTTAATGCTTTTGGCAAAATGCCTTTATAAGATTTCCAGAACAAAATAAAATGTTCTGTAGTTAAACTTCTTTGAATAAATTAGACTGAATTTCTAAGGGTACTTACATCATGTATCAATATTTTCAAGTTAATTTGATATAAGGAATCATCAAACAGCATCATTACAGTAGTTACTGTTGCAACTGAAAAGACTTATGCTCACATTTTAAACCAGAACAAAAAGCTAGATTCACAAATATGAACATTCCAGATAGAAACCCAATTGTTTTGCCGTTTTTTTAAACACCACATTTCTTTGATATATGCAAATCAGGATAGCCTCTAATACTAGCTGTTGGTATGGGCTACGATTATAAAAGATATTGTGGGCATTCTAACTCTGAGACTTTGTGAAGGCTGGTTCTTTTAGACTAGGGGCAGTGATGTGCTGGTAATGTTTAATAAAAGCCTCTCCAGAAAGAAAACAAAAAATTTGATTGTTGGTTTCCATAGTGTAAACGTGAATTGTGGAGTTAAGAAGAGATATGTACAATCACCCCTTACCAGCTGATGCCAGTGGCATCAACCAGCTCCAGGAGACTACTGAAGAGGAATGACTTTATATTTGTTAAACATGCAATATGGGAGCAATCAGTTATAAAGGCCCAAGTTTAACAGGAAAAAATGTTTAACTGAGTAAGATGGACTAATACCATTACTTTGGGCATAGACCTTCTGAGACAGTTTTGACAAGATTTAGTCACCTTATCAAATGGAGCATTTTGAAAAAATGCCTAGTCATAAACTTAAGTAGCTGTAGAATCAGTGGCTTGACAAAATGAATAGAAATAGAAAAAATTAAAGGGGTAACTTTATGTTTCTTGTTATTCATAAAGAATTTTTACCATTGCTTTGCTCTGAATGAGGTTTGAGTTGGATCCTTGAAAATCATCATCATTTGTATGATAGTTCTGGGAAAGATGTTTTCCAGGAAAAGTATTTTATTAAAATAATTGTAAATAATATTTATTTTGACAGTTTCTGTTCTTCTGTATTATCTCATTGAATCTGCACAACAACTTTCTTATTATCTGTCCCATTTTTCAGATGAGGAAACTGAGGAACAAATAATTTAAGTAACTTAAATTCCACATCTAGTAATTGGGTTAACCCAGACAGTCTGACTCAAGGGTTTGTGCTGTTAGTCAATACACTTTTTTTTTTTTTTTTTTGAGATGGAGTCTCGCTCTGTCACCCAGGCTGGAGTGCAGTGGCACGATCTCTGCTCACTGCAAGCTCTGCCGCCTCCCAGGTTCACGCCATTCTGCCTCAGCCTCCCGAGTAGCTGGGACTACAGGCGCCTGCCACCATGCCCGGCTAATTTTTTTGTATTTTTCGTAGAGATGGGGTTTCACTGTGTTAGCCAGGATGGTCTCAATCTCCTGACCTCGTGATCCATCCACCTCGGCCTCCCAAAGTGCTGGGATTACAGGCGTGAGCCACGGCACCTGGCCAGTCAATACACTCTTATGCCTCAAATATATTTTTTTAAAGAAACCTAGTCATTACTATAGTTAGCCAATGATTTCATATATTTTAATGTTCTTTACAGTAATTGAAATTATGTAAGATTCTTTCAACATATGTGGATAAGAGACATATTCAGAGGGGTAGACAGTTTGTAAAGGGCACACATTTTAAGGTTAGAATAGTTCTGGGCCAGATAATCTTTAGATTACATTAACAAAATGGAGATTAAATAGTAATGTGGCTAAACTATACTCTTGCCTTTAGTTAATAGAAATCATCTGTCAAGAAACTATAAATTTGTACTCTTTATATTGCTGCTTAGGCCAGAAAGAATTTAAGATGCCTTAAAAATACACAGGCACAAATATATATATGTATATATACATATATATATGTATATATATATGTATATATACACACATGTAAATATATATACATATGTGTGCAACTATATTATATATATGAAAATAAAGAAATGTAATTTAAGGGAAGATAAGACTAGGAAAAAGAAAACATGGCAGAGAATGAGGGTAGTACACAAACACTATGTTTCTAGGTATCATATACTTTCTAGAGCTGGATCATACTTTTGCCCTGAATCTTTTCAGAACCAAAACAGAGGGGGGAAATGATATGCAGTGTCATATATATATATATATATATACACACATACATACATATATACATATATATACACATACATACATATATATACATATATATACATATATGTATATATATGTATGTATGTGTATATATATATATTAAAAGTACTTAAAAGAAGCGTAGAAGTTTCTCCCATAAGTGATAATAAAAGTTATATTATGAAATTTAGTAAGCAATGCGCTCAACATATTTAGAGTACAATGCATGTTTTGCCATTTAAAAATATATATATATAGACTGATTGATTAGCATAATTCTATGGCCAAACAGAATGGTCAAATACTGCAGTCCAGGTATGTAAGCAGCAATGGCTTTGTCTGGCTACCTAATGCTAAAATGGATGGGTAGACAGATAATTATGTGCTACACTTGATGGCATATACTTTTAGTCTGGGAATTAATTTCTACTTTTTAATCTGACAGGCTTTTGTTAAAGATTCCAAAAGAAAGATCTTTTTGATTAAAATTGTGGAGCACCTAGAGTTAGCGAGGTATTAGCATGTAATGTAAAAAGAAACAAACTCAAATTGGATAATTTGAGAAAAATTTAATGAAGGGACCATTTACAAAGGTGTGAGCTATGTTAAAGGAAATTAACAAGGAATGATAGCAACTGCTAGGAACCATGACCACCAAGGCCACAGGAACAAGGAAAGGAAGTGGTAACCAGAATCCAAGAACTTGGTGGCTGTTGCTTGCTGAAGTTGTAGTTGTAGAAGGTACCTTGACAGGAGTTGTGGCCCTTTGTAGAGAAAGTCAGCCACTGCTATCCTGTGGCCTGCCAGGGAGGGAGCTGGAGGAATAAATACCCCATCCTTTTTCTCTTCCTACCTACTTACTCCTGCTGGTGCCTCCCACTAGCCTAACCCAACAGGAAGTCAGAGGGCAAAGTGCCTGATTGAGGTAGCTCATAGAAGTCAGCCTCGCAGGGCACAAAACAGAAAAAAGAAAGATTGTGAATTTATCTGGATGGGCAAATGGAGATTACCTAGCACAATGTATACATTTCTTCATTTTCTTAAAAAAATTTATTTGGAGGAAATTTTAAAAAATAAACAGAAGTACAGGAAATAAAACATAAACTTGTATTGCCAGCACACAGGATATAAACAACTATTAACATTTTTCCCCAATCCCAGCCTCTGGCAACCACTAATTTGATTATTGTTGCTGTAGTTTTGAACTCCCACCAGGAATATATGAGAGTTCTAGTTGCTCCACATCTTTGTCAGCACTTGGTATTATCATTAAAAAGAAATTTAGGCATTTAATAGGTGTATAGTTGTATCTCATTGTGATTTTAATTCGCATTTCCCTAATGGCATCTAATGTTGAGCATCTTTTCATGTGTTTATTTGCCATCTGTATCATTTCTTTGGTGACATGTCTATTCAAATCTTTTTGCCCATTTTTATGCTGGATTGTATATTTTCTTATTATTGAGTTTTGAGGGTTCACTTTTACTTCACAAAAAAGTTACTGACCATCCTTCTTTGAACAAAGTTCAAAGCATGGGCAGGGGCAAGACATATGGGGTACCTACCTCAAGCATTATAACTTTGTAAGCAACAGATGGAGCTTTAGCTATGGAGAAACCTTCAGAGGCCTGAGAGGTCAATAACACCTAAGCAATTTGTTTCCAGAGTGAGCCCATTAGGACAGAATTAAAAACAAATAATTCTTTAAGGATAGTATCTTATTCTCTTCGGGCTACTGAAACAAAATACTATAGCCTGGGTGGCTTAAATAACTAACATTTATTCTCACAGTTCTGAAGTTTGGAAGACTGAGATCAGGGTGCCTGTATGGTTGGGATCTTAATAAGGGCCCTCTTCCTGGTTTACAGATGGCTGTCTTCTCCTAGTGTACTCACATGGCAGAGAGAAAGAGAGAGAATCTCCTGTCTCCTGTCTCTTCTTATAAGGGCACTAATCTCATGATTTATTACTCCCAAAGGCCCCCTCTCCAAATCCTATCACACTGAGGACTGGAGTTACAACATATGAGTTTTGGTGGTGGGGGGGTGGGTGGGGGGCACTGAAACATTCAGCCCATAGCAGGTGGCCTTACATTATCTTTTAGATGGCTTCTAGCCAGGCCCTAAAACAACTGTCACAATGGAAGTGAGACGAGTAAGTCTCTCCTGGAAAAACATGTCATCCACCCTTTTCCTTTTCTCTCCAAATACATACCACTTTCCCACCTCCATCTAAAATATTCTAATTTATATTTTATTGAAATTTGTACCAAGGCTTTTGTTAATGAACCATTTTCTATTATGAAGGGGCCTTAAAAGGGATGTGATGTACAAAGTACCAAAGCATAGGTCAAATTATTTTTTGACTACGTACCAAACCAGGAAAATTGTATATTTTTAAACAGAAGAAAAAAGAAGAGGAGGAGAAGAGAGGATGAGTTAAGAGGAGAAAATAAACATTTCAAAATCTTATTTCAGTGGTACTTAAAGGATCTCTGTTACTTTCAGAAACTTTTGAGACAGCTTAGGTATTATTTATTTATTTATTTATTTATTTATTTATTTAGTAGCCTAAAGCAACTTTCCTGTCAATGACCTATCTAACCTCTGTCACTAGAAAGCTATGTGCTGGCAAACTGGCCTCTACAGTTCAAGGTTGGAGAACCCCAGCCAATGCCCCGAGGGTGGGACAGAACCTAGGCGCCAAGCAGTATCCTCAGGCTGCAATTTGCTGGACACACAGAGTCCTGTTCTGCAACCTCCCCCTACGTTGTGGGTGAGTGGAACCCATTAAAATTTAAAAATATTTGCAGAAATCAGAGGGGGGAAAAGGTATTTCTGGAGGGCCAGTACTCAGTGCACTTTCATGCGTGCCAAAGTTTGCTGGCATGGCTCAGGCTTTGATAGAGAACATCTGGGCGACTGCTGCTGCAGCATGTAGATGGGGCGGAGGGCAGGGAACAAAGGGGGCCTGTGAGAGAATGTTCAAGTGGGGGAAATGCTCTCCACGAAGGAGGCCTTACTTAATGTCTATTCCATGCTCAGCTAGGGGAGGGGAATGAGGAGAGGAATGGAAGGTTTTGCCCTCATGTGGCCTCAATAATGAACACTGGAGACTGAGTGGCAGCATAGAACTGGCTGGTTGGGCTACAGAGACCCTTATTTCCACCACTAGACAGACATGCATCTTAGGGTGAAGATGCAGCCAACAGCAGTCACCACCACCAGTGGCATCCTAATGCTGCTTCTTCTCCTAGAGCCTCTTTGTTGGAACCCAAGGGAACAGAAGATGGATTGGGGAGGATGGAGGATTCTATTTTCAGTGGACACAGATTTGTCATTGTTTCCCCTACTGCCAATTCCATTCATATAAACAAGATTGCATATTTTGAATAGGTATATTTCAAACACAAAAGTGCTTTTATTAACTGAAAGTTAAAGTCAGACTGTTGGAAATTTATCATTTATGAGTAGGATTTTGTATCGGATTCTTATTTATGTATGTCTTACCTTACTCAGTATCCATGTATATGTAAGAAAAATCCATCTTTAGACATTTATCAAATCATACCAATGCTGATGTATGATGGGAACCACTGTAGTTCTTTATAAGAATGAATAAACTAATACCCCCTTTACTCAGATAATGATTGTGTTATAAGCTAGCCTGTGTTCTCACAAACATGATGTATATATTTCATTTATAATATCTTTCCTTACCTCTTCCCTTTCCTCCCAGCTCATTGCTTACCTTCTGACTCAGCTCTGAAAAACTAGCTCCACATTTTTAACGCTGCCAAGAGCTCCCTTCTCTGTGGATTCATCTAAGACAACAGATATTAACACTAGGATTGTGATGGCAGTGGAGTCAGTACCAACTGACCCAAGTATTCCTAGCCTGTGGAATCTTTAGACTCACTTAATTCATTCAACATATACTTATTAAGTGCCTACTGTGTCATGAACTTCAGGGATATGAAATTCTGCAAGATAGTCTCTGCTTTTCAGTACCAGGAGCCCCAGATATTATACTTAATGTTTCAAATAGTGGATTCTGGGTTGCTTGAAAGTCAGTAGGCAGCCTTTTTGTCATTAAATTTCCTTTATTGCTCTGATGCATTTTATTTTATAGTGACTCTGACTACTTCAGATTGTTCACAATATTTTAAAACTTACGTTATTAAGATTGCTCAATTCTGCTGTTCAAAAACTGTTAGTAAAATGATAAGGTTACCTTATGGCTTTGAATTTTAGGTGCTTTGGTATCCATGATACATACGTGTATATATAGTCATGCACCATGCCACGACGTTGCAGTCAACTACAGACCACATGTATGATAGTGCTCTCATGAGATTATAATGCCATATTTTTATGGTCCTTTTTCTATGTTTAGAAATATTTAGATATACAAATAATTACCATTGTGTTACAGTTGCCTACAGTATTCAATACAGTCACATGTTGTACAGATTTATAGCCTAAAAGCAATAGGCTATACCATATAGCCTAGGTGTGTAGTAGGCTATACCACTGTTTAAGTCCACTCTATGATGTTCACGAAACAACAAAGCCATCTAATGACATATTTCTCAGAATGTATCCCCATTGCTAAGCAACTCCTGATTGTGTGTGTATATATATACGTGTGTGTGTGTATATGTGTTCCAAAATCAATTTTATAATTAATATTGGTCCTAAGTTCAGAATTCATTTCAACTGTTTATGTTAAGAATTACATTTTGCTAGATCATATGGTAGCTTTATTTTTACTTTTTAATTTTACTTTCTCATAATGGCTATACTAAGTTAAATTCCTGCCAACTGTGTGTAACCGTTCTCCTTTCTCTGTATCCTTACCAGTGTTTGTTCTTTTTGTCTCTTTGATAATAACCATTCTAACTGGGATAAGTTGATATTTCCCAATGGTTTTGATATGCATTTCCCTGATGATTAGTGATGCTGAACATTTTTTCATATACCTGTTGGTCATTTATATGTCTTCTGATCCAATAATCCCACTACTGGGTATATATCCAAAGGAAAATAAATCTGAATGTGCAAAAAAGATCTGCTTTCCCATGTTTATTGCAGCACTATTCACGATAGCCAAAATATGAAATGAACTTATGTGTCCATCAGTAGATCAATGGATAAAGAAAATGTGGCATATGTACAATGGAATCCCATTTAGCCATAAAAGTGAACAAAATTGTGCCATTTGCAGCAACGTGAATGAGCTTGGAGGACATTATGTTAAGTGAAATAAGCCAGGCATGGAAAGATAAATACTGTACATTCTCACTTATATGTAGAGGCTTAAAAAGTTGATAAGAAGTATGGAGTAGAATAGTCATTACTTAGAGGGGGAGAAGGGTAAGGGGGTGGGAAGATAGAAAGAGGTTGGTTAACATACAAAAACTAAATAGGAGCAATATAGTTCACAGCGCTATAGGGTGACATAACAACAACTTATTCTATACTTTCAAATAGTAAGAGAGAAGATTTTGGATGTTCCCAACACAAATGATACATGTTTGAGATGATGGATATGCTAATTACCTCAATTTGGTCATTATACATTGTATACATATGTTGAAGTATCACACTGTACCCCATAAATGTATACAGTTATCTGTCAATTAAAATAATAATAATTTTTTAAAAGAAAAAAATTACATTTTCCCGCTAGTACTTTCACATTCCTAATTATTATTTTTTAATATATTAAGACATTACTTTTAAATTGTTCAAAGACTTTCCCTTTTCCTTTCCCTCCTTTCCACAAGCAGTAAACCAGATCTATCTGAATGACAAATTTATGGTCAGTTACTCCAAGAAAAGCAGTTTTTCAACTAAAATAGTTGAATATTTCTTAAGATCTATCAAGTATTCTCTCTATACAGTTTGTAATTATAACAAACTGTCAGCCTCCTTATTTCAGAAGTAATAGACATCTGGTACTATATATAAATAGAGTCTACAACTCAAACACCAAAATAATGATCTTGGCCAATTTTTAGGCTGATAAAAGCGATGATTCCTTTTCTGCAGAAAAGAAATACACATTAAAGCCAACTTTTACCTTCATCCTCAAACAACTATGTATGTGTTAGTCTCTCAGACCACAGTGCAATCAAATGAAAACTCAGGATTGAGAAACTCACTCAAAACCACACAACTACATGGAAACTGAACAACCTGCTCCTGAATGACTACTGGGCAAGTAACAAAATGAAGGCAGAAATAAAGATGTTCTTTGAAACCAATGAGAACAAAGACACAATGTACCAGAATCTCTGGGACATATTTAAAGCAGTGTGTAGAGGGAAATTTATAGCACTAAATGCCCACAGAGAAAGCAGGAAAGATCTAAAATTGACACCTAACATCAAAATTAAAAGAACTAGAGAAGCAAGAGCAAACAAATTCTAAAGCTAGCAGAAGACAAGAAATAACTAAGATTAGAGCAGAACTGAAAGGGATAGAGACAGGAAACACCCTTCAAAAAATCAATAAATCCAGGAGCTGGTATTTTGAAAAGATCAACAAAACAGATAGACCACTAGCCAGACTAATAAAAAAGAAAAGAGAGAAGAATGAAATAGATGCAATAAAAAATGATAAAGGGGATATCACCACCAATCCCACAGATATACAAACTACCATCACAGAATACTATAAACACCTCTACGCAAATAAACTAGAAAATCTAGAAGAAATGGATAAATTCCTGTAAACATACATCCTCCCAAGACAAAACCAGGAAGAATTCGAATCCCTGAATAGACCAATAACAAGTTCTGAAATTGAGGCAGTAACTAATAGCCTACCAACAAAAAAACGCCCAGGACCAGATGGATTCACATTGAATTCTACGAAAGGTACAAAAAGGAGCTTGTACCATTCCTTCTGAAACTATTCCAAACAATAGAAAAAGAGGGACCCCTCCCTAACTCATTTTATGAGGCCAACATCATGCTGATACCAAAACCTGGCAGAGACACAACAAAAAAAGAAAATTTCAGGCCGACCTCCTAGATGAACGTTGATGCGAAAATCCCCAATAAAATACTGGCAAATTGAATCCAGCAGCACATCAAAAAGCTTATCCACCATGATCAAGTTGGCTGCATCCCTGGGATGCAAGGCTAGTTCAACATATGCAAATCAGTAAACGTAATCTGTCACATAAACAGAACCAATGACAAAACCACATAATTATCTCAATAGATGCAGAAAAGGCCTTTGACAAAATTCAACAGCCCTCATGCTAAAAACTCTCAATAAACAAGTTATTGATGGAATGTATCTCAAAATAATAAGGGCTATTTATGATAAACCCACAGTCAATATCACACTGAATGGGCAGAAACTGGAAGCATTCCCTTTGAAAACTGGCACAAGACAAGGATACCCTCTCTTACTACTCCTATTCAACATAGTATTGGAAGTTCTGGCCAGGGCAATCAGGAAAGAGAAAGAAATAAAGGGTATTCAAATAGGAAAAGAGGAAGTCAAATTGTCTCTGTTTGCAGATGACATGATTGTATATTTAGAAAACCCAATCGTCTCAGCCCAAAATCTCCTTAAGCTGATAAGCAACTTCAGCAAAGTCTCAGGATACAAGATTAATATGCAAAATTCACAAGCATTCCTACACACCAATAACAGACTAACAGCCAAATCATGAGTGAACTCCCATTCACAACTGCTACAAAGAGAATAAAATATCTAGGAATACAACTTACAAGGGATGTTAAGGACCTCTTCAAGGAGAATTACAAACCACTGCTCAATGAAATAAGAGAGGACACAAACAAATGGAAAAACATTCCATGCTCATGGATAGGAAGAATCAATATCATGAAAATGGCCATACTGCCCAAAGTAATTTATTGATTCAATGCTGTTCCCATCAAGCTACCATTGATTCTCTTCACAGAATTGGAAAAAAAAATACTTTAAATTTCATGTGGAACCAAAAAAGAGCCTGCATAGCCAAGACAATCCTAAGCAAAAAGAACAAAGCTGGAGGCATCATGCTACCTGACTTCAAACTCTACTACAATGCTACAGTAACAAAAACAGCATGGTACTAAAACCAAAACAGATATACAGACCAATGGAACAGAATAGAGGCCTCAGAAATAATGCCACACATTTTCAATCATCTGATCTTTGAAAAACCTGATAAAAACAAGAAATAGGGAAAGGATTCCCTATTTAATAAATGGTGCTGGGAAAGCTGGCTAGCCATATGCAGAAAGGTGAAACTGGATCCCTGCCTCACACTGTATACAAAAATTAGCTCAAGATGGATTAAAGACTTAAATGTAAGACCTAAAACCATAAAAACCCTAGAAGAAAACCTAGGCAATACCATTCAGGACGTAGGCATGGGCGAAGACTTCATGACTAAAACACCAAAAGCAATGACAACAAAAGCCAAAATTGACAAATGGGATCTAATTAAACTAAAGAGCTTTTGCACAGCAAAAGAAACTATCTTCAGAGTGAACAGGCAACCTACAAAGTGGGAGAAATTTTTGCAATCTACCCATCTGACAAAGGGCTAATATCCAGAATTTACAAACAACTTAAACAAATTTAGAAGAAAAAACCCCATCAAAAAGTGTGCAAAGGATATGAACAGACACTTTTCAAAAGAAAGCATTTATGCGGCCAAAAAACATATGAATAAAAGCTCATCATCACTGGTCATTAGAGAAATGCAAATCAAAACCACAATGAGATACCATCTCATGCCAGTTAGAATGGCGATCATTAAAAAGTCAGAAACAACAAATGCTGGAGAGGATGTGGAGAAATAGGAATGCTTTTACATTGTTGGCGGGAGTGTAAATTAGTTCAACCATTGTGGAAGACAGTGTGACAATTCCTTAAGGATCTAGAACTAGAAATACCATTTGACCCAGCCATCCCTTTACTGGGTATATACCCAAAGGATTATAAATCATTCTGCTATAAAGACACATGCACACGTATTATACCCAAAGGATTATAAATCATTCTGCTATAAAGATACATGCACACGTATGTTTATTGCAGCACTGTTCACAATAGCAAAGACTTGGAACCAACCCAAATGCCCATCAATGATATACTGGATAAAGAAAATATGACATGTATACACCATGGAATACTATGCAGCCATAAAAAGGATGAGCTCATGTCCTTTGCAGGGACATGGATGGAGCTGCAAACCATCATTCTCTGCAAGCGAACACAAGAACAGAAAACCAAACACTGCATATTTCTCACTCATAAGTGGGAGCTGAACAGTGAGAACACATGGACACAAGGAGGGGAACATCACACATAGGGGCTTGTCAGGAGGTGGTGGGCTAGGGGAGGGATAGCATTAGGAGAAATACCTAATGTATATGACGGGTTGATGGGTGCAGCAAACCACCATGGTATGTGTATACCTATGTAACAAAACTGCACATTCTGCACTTATATCCCAGAAATTAAAGTATTTAAAAAAACCATAAAAAAAAAGGAAACTGTACCCTGGGTGACAAGCTCAATTTCTTTTTGAGGTTAAGTTACATTTTTATGAGATGCCTGTCTTTTGGACAAAGACCATTCCTAATATATCTAAATATCAGTATTTTGAGTATTGTAGATACTTAAATGTTAAATAGAACTTGCATTCCTGAAATCAAAACATCATACAAAATGAGAAAATGGGATATTAGTCTTTTATGCCAATAGGTACAGAAATTGACGTCAAAATCCTGAAAATAGTCTCGCAATTTTCTAGCCTATATTGATTGAGAGCAAACCTATATGTAGAATGTTTGTTTCACCCATCTCAAAAAGTGTTGGGTCCCTTTTATGTTATGTAAAGACTTAAATGCCAGATATAATTCATTAGATTCAAAAGAAAATCTAGAAATTATCATTAAATTCAAGAGTGATTCTCTGAATTCACTCTCCTGAAGCAAATAATTAAGTCTGGACTAAAGCCTTAGAAGATGCTACTCCTATTATATTTTCTTCACCAAGCTAACCATATGAGTCCTTTCAAATTATTTCTCCATTTAAGAGTAGTTCTAGTGCTTTGGATCCATATTATAATTTCTTCCTTAATCTGTATGCAATCTCTAATGACATCTAATATTTGATGTTTTTTTTCCTTCCTTCATTTACTAGAAAAGCACATGGGAACCTGTCCTGGCTTGCAAGGCAATTGAAATGACAAAAGCATCCAGTGGTCAGTCTTACAAATGCAATGACTTATTTAAATAGCCAACAGTTACACAGTTGATTTTTAAAGAGGTCTTCTGAGTTTGATGTAGGGACCTGGTGCCAATGAATTCAGCATCTCAACAGTTAAGTACACCTCATGCAGTTGTTGTCTAGTCATGAGCTGTTCACGGGATAAAACATCTGCATACAGAAAAGGAGTTTAAAGTTGCCCAGCTGGACATGAGGGGAAGACTGTCCTAGCTGCTATAGATGATCCAAAAGCTCTCTGTTTTCCATGACAGATTTTATAGTCTTATTTTAGCCTATCTCTGGATGAGCTCAGCTGTCTCGTTCAATACTTTATCTGCAGAGCAGCCTTGCTCCGCAGTTTCAGCCAGTCAGTCCTAGCTTTGGCACATATATATTGGGCTTTATCAATGGCAGTAAACACTGTCTTTATATATCCCTCATGCAAGGTGATGTAACATGTTTACTGAACTGGGCTGCATAAGCATTTCTGCTACACAACTCCACAAACAACCTCCACTGCTGTTTGAGATTCTGAACTGATTATTTGCCACCTACTTGGCCTCGAGGTCACCCTTATTTGAACTATTTTATCAACCAGGACCCAAGAATAGCAAAACCCCAAATTTTTGTCACAACCCACTCAACAATAACCCAGAGCCTAACATCGATGCCATTCAGTTTCATTTGAATCATTCTGCATTCCCATTATATTAATAATATAGGCTGGGCACGGTGGCTTACACCTGTAATCCCAGCACTTTGGGAGGCCGAGGTGGGTGGATCACAAGGTCAGGAGATCGAGACCATCCTGGCCAACATGGTGAAACCCCGTCTCTACTAAAAATACAAAAATAAGCTGGGCGTGGTGGTGCATCCCTGTAGTCCCAGATACTCAGGAGGCTGAGGCAGGAGAATCACTTGAACCCAGGAGGCAGAGGTTGCAGTGAGCTGAGATCATGCCACTGCACTCCAGCCCAGTGACAGAGTGAGACTCCGTCTCAAAAAATAGAATAAAATAAAAAAAAAATAATATAAACACTGCAGTGGTTCTATTGATGTAAGCTCGAGTATCAGCTGATAATTTTGACAATTTGAATTTGCACTTATAACCATGATCTATCTAAAAACTTTCCGGAGTCATTCAGAAATTTCGTAGCAGATGAGATATCCAGACTTGCCATTATATAGTTGTTGAGATCTGTACAAATGATCTTGGACTAGTCATTTTGCCCAAAGAAAGGTGACTTTTTCTTTTCTGTAAAGTATTATTTTAATTTAAAAATCTAACATTGATGGAGAAACACATCTAAGAAATGAGATTGAAAACACCTGAGCAGATGTCACAATGATGCAAAGAAATAAAAATCTAATAGAAGGTGCTGAAGTCATATACTTCATAACACAAGGCAACCATACTTTTAATATAATAAAAAACCCTCTGCTTTTATAGTAAAATTGGGCATATCAATACTAGTCTTATTTAAGTGAAAGGTCATTTTAAAAATAGTAATATGTATTAAGTTTACATAAAATTGACAATAATCAGGGCAATATTTATTTTTCCTTTTAAAATGAATGTAGGATTAGCAGTTCTGTAAAGCAGTGAATCCCCTTTCAGGGATCTCGTTCATCCAAACTAAAGCTATTGCTCCTAATAGAACCAATAACAACAAAGGTCTAATACAGTTACTGCAATAAAGTCTTTGGTGGAACCACTCAAGCTAGTATTCCAATGTTTACAATCTGATTTTTGGGGCTCCATTGACCACAGAGGAGATTAAAGACTACAATTCATCTCCTTCCTGCAACATGCCTCATGGGGAGAATATGTTGTCCCTAGTGATGTTTAAATAGTTCTCCAGCTGATATGTTTCTATAGGTGTTTTTCGACCTTTTTATAACCTCTGCCCTTTTTGGAAAAAGAAAAATCTCCTATTTCTCTGGAAATTATCTTATGCTCTGCCTGCAAAAAGAGAAAACCAAAAAGAGATAAGGAGTGATCATTGCTCTATTTGTTTTCTGGGTTCCTTTACCAGTCGAGAAAATTAACTGAGCCTTTTTCTTTCTGTACCTTTGGGAAAATCCTTTATCATTCTTTTGTTTCTAAATATTAAAAAAATAGAATGTTGAACATGTTTTATTCAAACTGTATACATTTCCTTCTTAGGTTCTATTGCCTCCCTCTGGACATGCAGCTTGTCCTGAAAAATGGAAATAGCAGTTTCTCAAATGTTTAGGAATAACTAAATTTTGGGAGGCCAGGATATGTTTTTAGCCCTTTCAGGGATAAAAATATGGATTTGGCTTATGTATATGTGAAAATTATAACCTAGTTTCTTATCTATTGAACAAATAGTTTTCAGATAAGATGGGCAACAACTGACTTCAGAAGACAATGAAAAGACTATTGTATCATTCTCCACTTATCCAGCCAAGTACACATGAAGGAATTCCTAAGGGGTATATTGAAACTATTAGTTAGAAATATTCTGAAGGCTATTGTACTTTCACCTTTATTGCCAGAAGACAGACTTTGGGCAGTAACAACTGGTTTGAGATGATTTGCACAGCAACTATATAAATGGAAAGTCCTGGTATCTCATTTGCTACCAAATTTCTGAATGCTTCAGGAAAGTTTATTAATGGAAGATCATGATTACAAGTAACAATTCATATATTAAAAATTATCAGCGATACTTGAGCTTACATCAGTGGAATCACTTGAGTGTTTATGTTGTGCATTGTTCTTTTTGTCTTCTTTAGCTGATAAACTTCTTCATTGTCAGATGATAATACAGTTTGATATCTTTACCCATATTGTTCTTAAAATCATCCCCAGTTATTACTTAAATCTGTTTTTTAAATTCTAGTCCTAACTCCATTTACATGGTTACTAATAATCAATCATTTACTTAGAAAAAGAGAAGATTTAAATGGAGTTTCTGGACTTGTCATGCCCTCTCACTTATAACGATAGCACACTACTCCTCTGTGCTTAGTACATATAACCTTTTGTTAAACCTTTTGGTCACATCTCCAATCCCCTGAATTAGACGTTTTCTCAACTCTTGCTGTGTGCCAGGCACTGGGTTAAGCATTCACATTCGCCTGCCACTTAATTCCCATAGTAGCCCACTGTCCCACGTACAGAATGTTATCCCCATGTACAGTCAATGTTATCCCCACTTCCCACATACAGAAACAGGTTCAGAAAGGTTAAGTGACTTGTCCAAAGTCACTCAATTAGTGAGTGATGGAGTCAGAATTCAAACTCAGATCTGTCTGACTAGAAAGCGTCTGGTCTGCAATGTGACTCCATATAGCCTTCAGCAGTAATATCAGACCCTTTATCTTACAGGATCCTGAGGATCCTCACTGAACTACTTCTAGAGCCAATCAATTTATTTCGCCTATCTGGTCTGACTTTTGATAAAGAAATAGTTCACACCCCCTTGAACAATACACAGGTCACATGTTGATGCTCTCATTCATCTCGTTTCCTCTTATCACCCTGAGGTAGAGACTATTGCTAAGAAAATCCCTGTTATAGTTTGCTCAGGCCAAACTATGTGGGATGTTGGGATGTCTTCTTTGATCCTGTAGAAGCAGTTTCTCTCCTCTGGAACTTCTGTGAGTGAAATAAGAATAAGATTTCCCTAAACTTAAATATTCAGGGAGCTGCTAATAGACATTAAAATATTGCTATCTGTTATGTGTAAACAAAGTTTACCCATGACCATAATTAACACATCAAAATTCTTGGGTGAGAACAACCTAGAGAGAGCATTGCTGTCACAAGATATGGGGATGATGACCATGTCTCTGGGAGCATTTTTCCACCTTTGAGAATTGAAAAATGTCAGTTGACAGAAATGTAAGACCCCAAGAAAGTTTTGATCATGGCAGGGGAAGCTGTGTATATTAAAATGCACTATCAGGAATTTCTTCAGTGAGGGAAACCAAATTTGAAGATCATCTGGTTTCTCTCAGGTATCTCATTTCCTTTGCAGTAGTACCATTTTATCTGGTAGAATTTGGTTCTGGAAATTTCTAATGATGAAATTAACTAGTGTTGCTATGCTCCAGAGCTGAGAGGTAAAATCAAGTTTGTTAATTTGGACCAGTTTCTTTCCTGACAGTACTGGCGGCAAGTTGGTTGAATTTCACAAAATATTAATATATTGAGATTCAGCCAATTTCACAATGAAGGAAGGTATCATTCTTATGTACCGAATGATAAATGTTCTCTGAGAAGATGCAACAGAATAGACATTAGCATAAGACATTTGATGTCCTGGTTTACAGGAAAGACATTTTAAAATGTACAGAGACAAATAGAAACCAAAAGCCAACATTTTATGAATTTAAAATAACTTGTATGTTCTCCCACTTAAAACTAGGTAGCAAATTAAATATTGTCAGCTTGTATCAACAGAGTAGGTTCTATTTTTAGAAAGTTCAAATGCTTAGCTTAAACTGAATTATTATTTGAGATATTTAATGAATGAGTTGGTTCATAAAGACTGATAGTATTTTTAAGTAGATGTCAATTATATTGAATCATTACCCGATTGAGTGGTCCTATATTTTATATTTATTTGGTTTGCTAATATAGGAAAGATTAGTTTCAGTAGAAGTCTCCTCTACTGAAATAGAGAAATAAGGAAAAGAAGTTGCATAATAATTAGAAATTATTTGTTGGGTTCCAAAGTCTGGAAATGTAATAATTTTTTTTTCCCACCCAGCTTTATATCACTGAATTCTTACTAGATGTGATCACCAGATCTAAGACTACATTGCAGATGGGTATTGCTTTTCCCCAAAGAGTACATTTATTGTTTTGAGTATTCAATATAGCCTTCTTGGAAGTCGTTCTGCTGGACTGTTTCCCTGTTGTACACAATTGGGTTATTTTGAGTTCATAAAAATTGAAGATAGTTCAGTTCATTTCACTGATATTTATGTAATGTCTGTGCTAGAACCTGGGAAAGATACAAAGTTAATACCCATCCTTAAACTTCAAGAAGATACCATCTGGTAAAAATATTTTATTTTTGAATAGTACTATTTGTCTTTTATAATGAATGCTACATGCCGCATCTTCATTTTACTCTAACCATGAAACAGAGGAGATGAGAAAACTGGGCATAGAGAGATTATAGAGTCTTTTTAATGTATCATAGCTCGTTGGTTTAGGAACCAGGGCTAGATCCAGTCTTCTAATTTCTAAACCAGAGAACACAAAAAGTCTGAAGGTGGGCTCTAGTTCTGGGTGTCCTGTTACTAGCTGTGCAACCTTGAATTAATCACTACCTGTGGTGCCTCAGTTTCCCCAGCTATATTATAAGGGGTTGGCATAGATTATTTCTAATATTCATTATGGTTCTAATGTTCCAAGACTGTTTTCCCTAAGAGAGGAAGTGTGACAACCTGAAAGAGAGACCATGCTGTTAAGGCATAGTCTTCTCAACTTTCTCATCCTGGGCTAATCCCCTTCTGTGTCTTTCTGTGAATCGAGAAATAATGATTTTTTTCTAAAAGCATCTGCTTTATCCTTTTTCCTGACATCACTTAATTATGTAGGTCAGTGCTTTTGGCATCTTCTTTAAGACTTCACTGCTATGGTTCCCATTTTTAGGGTCTCTTTTTCAAAACTATATTTGGCCCCTTTGTACATGTTAGAGTTCTATGTATTAGCAAACCCTTTGGACTCTCCTCAGTAGCAGCAACACTTGCTGTCTAAGGACTCATTGTAAAGATTTAATGCCACTTCCACATCATCTTCCATGACCTCATTAAGACTATCCAGTTGTATAAACCATGGAGTGTTGGGAATTTGAGGCCTATCAAGTTCAAGACTAAGGAAATCATGTCCTTTCTCAAATTAGACTCTTTTCCACACACTATCCATATCACTTCCCACCATCATTTTTCAATATTTTTCTTAACCTGGTGGCAGGGGATTGTACCAAAATCCCTGACACATTCCACCCTCAGCCTCAGTATCCTTGATGAGCTATAAAAGTGGGTGTTACATCCAGTGCATCCTGGATACACATTTACTTTCTGCTTTATCAGCTGCTGTATCATTTTGTGTTGCATGGAAGAAATTTAAAATGTAATGTTTTCTTCCAAGGACATGTAGTATTTGAATACCATATTCAAATACTATATTCAAATTTGAATACTATAATACAGCAAATTTGATTTATTTTTAGCTTGTTTGTATTGTATGGTTATCTGTGTGATGAACAAGCTGGAGTTTTAATTTTAAATTCTCTGTTGAGTTTCTGCTAAGGAAGAGAGTAAGATGGTCCATGACTGCCTTAAAGCCAGACACAGTTTTTTCACATGCAATAAATGTGAAGGAAGTTATCTGTTTCCATGAGAGACTGATTCCATCTGCATTAAGAGCAAATTGTCGAAGACATTCACCAATTTCCATCATGAACTTGAGAAGTCCAGGAAATTTCTCTACTGTTGCCTAGTCTGTATTTACTCCCTATTCTAAAAGTTTGGTGCAGGCTAGTCACTGCAGCATTTAAGGTAGCTAAATTGACCATGTCTGGAATTTAAAATTCCTTTAGCTACACTCTTATATTTACATAAACTGAGTACCTTATCTATTAATGGTCAGAGACAGCAAGTGTAGTAGAAAAGGCATTGAGGCAATTTATTTAGTCATGGCAATGGGACGTATATGGTGGTGATAGTTGCTCTCTCTCTCTTTCTATATGTGTGTGTGTGTGTGCATGTAGGGTGAGGGGGTGTAGTTGAAGGGGTACTCACATAGCAAGCAAGCAAAATCTGATAAAAATACCACTGAAATTATTGCATATCAACTTAGGTGTGTCCCCAGCCTAATTGGAACATATTATGCCCCAATGAGGAAATCTGGCAGCATTGAGTTCTTGGACTCCTTCCTCTGAGAAACTCTTTTGGTTGAGTCTGGTTGATTCCACCTGACAATCACCTTCACAACTCATGTCAGGAGGCACCTCTTTGGTAAAACCTTTCATGACATTTCCAAACTCCAGGAAGAACTAACAGCTTGCATCTCTGTGCTTAGTGTGTTTTATATACCGGTGATAAATACTATAAAGGATGTTTCCAAATCTATCTCTCCAGCTAGATTGTGTGTCATTGAGGGTAGCAATTCTGTTTATATTTTTTAATAGAGGCAGTGTAGCCAGTTAGGAAGAACCTGATCCTCAAAGCCAAACCCAATTTCAAATTAATTTCACTGCGGTGTGTTGTGTTGCCTTGAATAAAGTACTTAAAGCTTAGCCTCAGTTACCTCATATGTGAAATGTGTCTAGTAATGCCTTTTTTTTTTTTTAATGGAATCTTGCTCTGTCACCCAGGCTAGAGTGCAGTGGCACAATCTCGGCTCACTGTAACCTCCGCCTCCTGGGTTCAAGCGATTCTCCTGCCTCAGCCTCCCAGGTAGCTTGGATTACAGGCATGTGCCACCATACCTGGCTATTTTTGTATTTTTAGTAGAGGTGGGGTTTCACCGTGTTGGGCAGTCTGGTCTCGAACTCCTGACCTCAGGTTATCCGCCCGCCTTGGCCTCCCGAAGTACTGGAATTACAGGTCTGAGCCACTGCGCCTGGCCAGTAATGCCTAATTCTATAGAACTTTTTGAATAAGTACAAAAAGGTCCTCACATATTTCATTTCCTTGTATCTTAATTAAACACTATTGCCTACCAGAAACATAGAAACATTCAATATTCTGATGTTCTTGGACCTAGACTGTCCGGGTAACTTAAAGTCTGTTCTCCCTCTTCCAAAAGAAGTTACCGCCTTCTCAGTAAGGATGGCCTGACAGGGGCCTTGGTGATAGCCAGACTTCATCACTGAGTATTTTCAGAGAGACCACAGAGTCAACTGTTCAGGAAACTATAAGAAAGGATGCCATCTCTATGTAGAAAGCTAACTCAGATGATCTCATTCATTCAACAGATAGTTTTGGAGTACTTACTGTATGCCTGTCAACTGTGCCAGATGCTATGAAGATTACAAACTAGTGAATGACAAAGATTTTAAAGTTAAATTAATACAAAATTACAACTAAATAAAGTATTATGAAGGAAAGAAATAAGAGCTGAGATCCTGAGTTCTTTTCCAAATCTAACCTATATGATTCAATGTCTACATTTTCATGAAAGTAGAACATTGACCCACAAATTGCAAATGGAAATTCCAACATCCTTTGTAAATGTGTTCAACTCTACTTATTTAATCTTTTGTTCTATTCTTCCTGATAGCCCATCTAGTCAAAGTCTTCCTCTGGTGGCACAATCAGCATCCCGGCGTCTACGCAGATGTTGTTTCTTTTACCTGGAGCTTACTCCATTCCACAACCTAAAATGTTGTTCATCACCCAGAGCCTAGTTCCCCCACTTGTAAAATGAGCTGGTGAGACTAAATGGTCTTTAAAATTTCTTAGTTCTAGAATACTTTGGTTCATTTAACCTTGCCAGTGAAGGAAGAGGGAAGATTTTGTTCCCTTCATTTTTACTTCTAAATTGCATTTTCTGTGCTTGGTCATCATGATGTATTGTTTTTAGCTTTTCCTCGTATCAGAACTCCAAACAGAAGAAGCTGGAATGTAGGGCATGCATTACATGAAAAGTGAAATGTTTTGAAAGGGCTTTGAAGTGTTGAATAGGAATATTGTATTAAGAACATTCCACTAAATGGAAGAAACCTGGAAACTGGACAAGCTGTGGATGTGCAGATGGTATTACTAACCATCAGTCAAATAGAGAACACAGGCTATTTGTATAGATCGATATGTCATGTGTCTCTATACATTGGGAGGTACCAAGAAGTTGTCAGCAGTTGTTATTTCTGTATGTATTGCCTCCAAGGAGAATAATCAAATTGCCTGTGTTATACAGCCTAGAAATTTCAGTTTAGTCTGTACCAATATGAATGAATCTATTTAAGATGTCTTGTATGAGAAAGGATGCTTTTATAAATGCAAACGGACATAAATGGGTTTGTTTGTGGATGGGTCAGTGAGGGGAGGTGGGAGCAGAGAGGAAGATCCCCTAGCTTAATAGTTCTTTAAAAAATCTTCTTTATTCTAATATTAGACAGTCTACGAACTATAATTATCCAGTGTGCTCCATATCACCCCACGACATTTTACGATTAGAATGTGGGTGAATTGCTCTGCCTCAGCCAACACTAATATTAAAGAACAGCAGAGAGTCCTTTAGGTAAGTCTAAGCATGAATCAGTCAGCTATTGGAGTATTTCAGAGGGGTGTTATTTCTCAGAGATAAGGGAACAAAGAGGTCTTAATATCCGGCTCAGCCAAGGCAGGAAATTGCCTACTTCCTGAGCCAGTGTGGTAGAGGCTGTGGGATGGGAGCCAGATATATTGGAGGGAGGAGGCAAGTAAGTGCTGGAGACCTCAGGATTTTATTGTAGGGCACATGGACTTTGTATGAGAATGTCAAAAACTCATTTTGTCTTTAGCACAGGAAGATGCTTGGCAAAGAGTTAATGACACTAAAGAATTCTTACAAATGTTATGGATGGGTGTTAATTTTCACAGATAGGCATTCATTGTCAGATGTTTATGCTCTCCATTCCTGAAACTCCTCCTGTCTGTGGTATGTGCCAATTTTTTAATTTTAAAGACTATCAATTATCCTGTTAATCTTAAATTCTATTATAAAAGTGTAAAGTACCGGGTTGACCTTACATCCTAGTCCTAATTACATACATATGTTTTTATAGACCCCTATCCAACCCCATTGACACTAACAAACTAGTTTGCAAAGCTCTTAACCTCTCCTGCTTTCTTTCCCTCATTTGTCAATCGAGAGTGTCAAACTAGATGATCTCAAAGGTTCGGATTCTAAAGAAATGTAGCAGAAATTCCATCAAGTACAAGGCTGTATAGTCAGAAAAGGATTTAGAATCCTAGATACTTGAGTTTAAACCTCTGTACCTCCTATTATCAGATGTGTGACATTGTGAACATTCTCTAATCTTCTCAAACTGGTAACAACACTTGTTACTGGAATAATACCTGAATTAAAAAGTTGTCTAGAATTAAATGTCATAGGACATTAAAGTGTCTGGCAGACATGTATTTAGTAGTTGTTCCTTTTCCCTTCCTTCTCTTCCTTTAGTGTTATTGGAATTAATGGATTTTACTAGTTTTTATTAGAAAAAGAACCTAGATTCAGATAGTTGTATTAAAAGAACAGAAGAGAAAGGTTAATTTACAGGATCCAAAGATGAGTTGAATTTTAGCAAGCAAAAATCAAGATGAAAGTCTATCTATGTAGGGAATAATGTAATCAAAAGTATAATAGCACTAACAAAAAGGTGTATATGGGGAATACACCATGGTGTCTGTTGATATTGAAATGTAGTGGCTGGAGTTAAAATATGTATTCTATCTATCTTTCTATCAGTTAATTTTTACTCAAATGTTTGTATATTGTACACAATGTTCTACATCATTTTCTCTTTTAAAAACATTTTGGTGATCATCTCATATCTATATATGAAAATCTTTTTTATTTCTTATTTACTATTCATAATATACCATTATATGTATACATTATAATTTCTATAAGCAGTATTCTGTTGATGGATATTTAGAAGACTACTATATTTTGCTTTTATAAACAAAGTTGCAATAAATAATCTTGTATACATTTCATTTTTTATATGCATGAGTAAATCTGTAGAGTATATTCTAAACGTGGAATTGCTGGTTAAAGGGTATGTGCACTTATAATTTTGATAGGCATGGTCAGAATGCCCTGCAAACAGATTTTATTTGTTTAAATGTTCACAATCTATGTATAAAAGTGTTTCCTTCAAATCTGAATTTATTTTAATATATTTAAGAGCTGTTTATATTTTCTTTCCTATGATCAGTTTGCTCACATTCTCTGCTCATTAATTTACTGAATGGTTGGGTTTTTTCTTATTGATAAATAGGAGTTCTTTATGTATTAGAGAAATTATATCTTTATTTCTTGTGCAAATATTTTCTCACCATTTTTTCTTGATTTCAATTTTATTGTGAGTGTTGCCATGTAGAATGTTTTCTTTAAATTTTTTGTACCAAGTTTATCAATTTTTCAGTGACCTCTGGATTTTGTTTCTACTTAAATTTTCTCACTTGAAAGAATAAAATATTTTTCATGGCTTTTTTTCTACTACTTTTATGATTGTATTTCTTATACTTAAATATTTGATCAATTTTAGATTTATTCTGGTAAACAATATAAATCTAAATTTATTTTTTTTTCAGGTAGTTACCCAGATTTCCCATAATGTTAGTATATAATCCATATTTTCAATGCTATTTTGAAATGTTCCTGTATCTTTTACTATGTAATTATATGTATTTGAATCTATTTCTGGAATTTCTTTTCTCTCTCATAAGCTTATCTGTCTATTCATGTACAAGCATCTTTTTTAAAAAAAATCTGTTAAATTTTTAATATATTTATAATATGTATTAAAATGTGATAGAATAGCTTCCTTTTCTTGATTTAGTTTTTCAGAAATTTTCTGGCAATTTTTACTTGCTTATTTTTCTGATGATCTTTAGAGATTAGCTTAGTCTTATCAACCCTCTCAAACAAATATATCAAATTTATAAATTAAGTGAAATTGACACTTTCATATTTTGGGGGTATTTCTTTGCAAATACATGGTATTCCTTCCCAGTTGTTTAAATGTGTATGTGTTCATGTGTGTTTATGCTATGTGTATATGTGAATATATGTGCATATTTTGTGACTCTTAGGAGCATTTAAAAATTTTCTTCACTTCTTATTTATTTCTGGTTAAGTGTCTTCCTAAATTTTTGTTGTTTTCAGATTTGATCTAATAAGAACACAGCTTCATGCCCAGGAATTACATATAAAACAGGTGTCTTAGTAGAGTTGAAATGAATAGTTTGTAATAAAGGAAGGAAACAAATCTAGTTTAAACAGGTAGAAAGATACTTAAACAGACCCATACAAGACAAACACAAAAATTACATTTGATACTCATGAAAAGGGGTAATGCTAAAATACCCCTGGTCACCCACTAGATTGGCAAAGATCATAAAGTTTAATAGCATACTGTGCCGATGAGGGTAAGTGACAGGCATTCTTATACATAATTAGTAGGTGGGTACGTTGTTAAACCTCACTGGAGGGCAATATTGTGATAGCTACTGCAGGAGACCAGAATATGCCACCTAAAAAAATGTTTCTTAAGAATTAGATGGTATCTCACTCTGTTCCCCAGGCTAAACTGCAGTGGCATGGCAGTTCACTGTGGCTTTGAACTCCTGGGCTCAAGGGATCCTTCCACCTCAGCCTCCCAGGTAGCAGGGACTATAGGGGTAAACCACCACACCTCGCTTTTTAAAGAAATCTTACACACAGGAGGAGCTCTGTAAACAGAGCAGAAGTTTACCTGTAAGCTTTTGTTAGGGAAATTGACATGTATAAAGGAAATGCCCGTTGGTAAAAGCATCTCCTCTCTGTACCAGGAAGAGAAAGATGAAATCACTAGAAACCTTCATCAGTGGAGAAGGCACTAACTTAAATCTGCACAGTAACCTTACCCTTGTTTTACCAAGTTTTTTTTCTGTGCATCTGCCCATAATAGGCCTTCCCCCATACCCTTATTTCTTTGTTTCAGTTGAAGATGATGCCTGAACTTAAAGCTACTTCTTAGGAAAATTATTCATTCACTGAGTGGCTCCCATTTATACATGAGGTATACATGTTAATAAACTTCAGTTTATTTTTCTCTTGTACATCTGTCTTTTGTTAAGGGGTCTGTTTCAACTAAGAACCTTAGAGGGGTGAAGAAAAAAGTTATTTTTTTTCCCTACAACTCTTTGAGTTTAAATGGCCTAATGTTCAGAGGCTTAAATCAAGTCTCAAGTCCTCCCTCCCTGTCTTACACTTGTTTAATAAAAAGAAAGCTACTGTTGCATTAAGGGCCAAATACTTTAGGCTATTATTTTTATTAATGTTTTAAAAATTTCTTCTCATGCAGTCACCCTGCAGTAAGCTATTGAGTTTCTGTCAAATAAACAGCAGTAGGAAAAAACTGTAAAGAAAACTGAAATGAGAATAGTCTGTGTTGGTGTTGCTGGTTTTTAACTTTATTTTCTAAAACGTAACCTGTAGCAAAATGGGAATATTGGGCTTTTACCATTACTTTCTCTTTGCTGATTAAATGCAAGAATGACTGGATGCTGCATAAAAATATGCTTATGTTTATGTAAGCTGTTTATGTTTACATTTAGGAAATCCTGGAAGAAGACTTTTTAGGAAAGGTGGAGGATGCAAATAGTGGGTTAAGAGTAGCTTTAGGTACCTGGGAATATTAACACAAAATTCCATTAAAAAATAAATATTGGTAGGGGTAAAGGGTGAGCTGCTTTTAATATTTTGAATTAATACAAAGGATACATTATTATTGATGACAAATAACAATTAGAAAGCATTTTTTTTCAACTTTTATCTTAGGTTCGGGGGTACACGTACTGGTTTGTTATACGGGTAAATTGAGTGTTGTGGAGGTTTGGTATACAGGTTATTTAGTCACTCAGATAATAAGCATAGTACCTGGTAAGTAGTTTTTGGATCCTCACCCACCTCCCACCCTCCACACTCAGGTAGGTTCCAGTGTCTATTGTTCCTTTCTTTACGCCCATGTCTACTCAGTGTTCACCTCCCACTTACAAGTGATAACATGCAGTATTTGGTTTTCTGTTCCTGCATTAATTTGCTTATGATAATGGCCTCTAGCTCCATCCATGTTGCTGCAAAGGACATGATCTCTTTCTTTTTTTATGGTTGTATAGTATTTGATAGTGTATAGGTACCACATTTTCTTTATCCAGTTCTCTGTTGATGGGCATCTAGGTTGATTACATGTCTTTGCTATTGTGAATAGTGCAGTGTTGAACGTATATGTGCATGTGTCTTTATGGTAGAATGATTTATATTCCTTTGGGCATATACCCAGTAATGGGATGGCTGGGTCAAATGGTTGTTCTGTTTTTAGTTCTTTGAGAAATCTTCAGACTGCTTTCCACAGTGGCTGAGCTAATTTACATTCCCACCAACAGTGTATAAATTTTCCCTTTTCTCTGCAACCTCGCCTGCACCTATTATTTGTTGTTTTTTTAATAATAGCCATAATTCTGACTGGTATGAGATGGCATCTCATTTGTTTTTGATATTTATTTCTCTACTGATTAGTGATGTTGAACATTTTTTCATATACTTGTTGGACATGTGTATGTCTTCTTTTTTTGTTGTTTGTTTGTTTCTTTGAGATGGAGTTTCACTGTTGCCCAGGCTGGAGTGCAATGGTGCAATCTCAGCTCACTGCAACCTCTGCCTCCTGGGTTCAAGTGATTCTCCTGTCTCAGCCTCCCGAGTAGCTGGGATTACAGGTGCCTGCCACCATGCCCAGCTCATTTTTTCTATTTTTATTAGAGAAGGGGTTTCACTATGTTGGCCAGGCTGGTTTCAAGTTCCTGACCTCAGGTGATCCACCTGCCTCGGCCTCCCAAAGTGCTGGGATTATAGGCGTGAGCCACCGCGCTCAGTCTTATGTCTTCTTTTTAGAAGTTTAGAAGTGTCTGTTCATGTTCTTCACTCCTTTATTCCCCCCGTCTTTTTTCTTTCTTTCTTTTTTGAGACAGAGTCTCCCTCTGTCACTGAGGCTGGAGTGCAGTGGCATGATCTCGGCTCACCACAACCTCCACCTCCCGGGTTCAAGCAATTCTTCTCCCTCACCCTCCCGAGTAGCTGGAATTAGAGGCACACACCACCACGTCCAGCTAATTTTTTTTTTTTTTGAGACAGAGTCTTGCTCTTTCACCCAGGCGGGACTGCAGTGGCGCTATCTTGGCTCACTGCAAGCTCTGCCTCCCGGGTTCACACCATTCTCCTGCCTCAGCCTCCTGAGTAGCTGGGACTACAGGCGGCTGACACTGCGCCCAGCTATTTTTTTTTTTTATTTTATTTTTTTTTTTTTAGTAGAGACGGTTTCACTAGCTATTTTTTTTTTTTTTAATTTTTTGTAGAGATGGGGTTTCACCATGTTGGCCAGGCTGGTCTTGAACTCCTGACCTCAAGTGATCTGCCTGCCTCGGCCTTCCAAAGTGCTGGGATTACCGGCATGAGGCACCACACAAAGGAACTATAGTGGCAGCCACCAGGAAGCACCCTAGTTGGGCATCTGAGACTGTGCTGAAAGTAGGCATGGCCAGGCAGGGACTCTGTGAGAGGGTGACAGACAGGAGGGTGCTCAGATCAGACTGGCTCCATCCCACAGGCAAGAAAGCCTTTTTCTGTCGAAGTCTGACAGTCAACAAAGACCAAAGCCACCTAGAGGAGTATGATGAGCCTTAGGGGATAGGCCTCCCTGGCCATGTCCCACTGCAGCTATTCCCACACCAAACCCTCTGGGCTCCCTGTAGGCTGGAGTTCTGTCCCTGCCATCTCTCCAAACAGCTCTCCCTGTCAGCTCAAATGTCCATGGGGGTCTCAGGGTCTCTGCAGCTAGGATTCCAGAGGTCTGTGGCAAGAGTGGGTCACTCCTCATCTGTTCAACTCACTTCTGCCCCAGAAGCTGCTGGGGGCCAGAAAGGAGTCATGGTGCTCAGCAGCCCAATGCAGGGTTCCCAGCTTCCTCCCACTTCAACCCAGGGTCTGCGTCCTCCCTCTGTCCACTCCAAATGCCTTCCCTCCAAAGATCTGCTTGGAGTGTGCCAGTCTTCTTGATGGTCTTGTCATTCCATGGTAGACGCTCTTCCTGGCAGCATCTAGTTGGCCACCTTGGCTAGAATCCCTACAAAGCTATTTTATTAGGTGAGTTGGGTGAGAACCTATTTAAAGATGTTGTTGAAAGATACCAGAATATGCCACCTCAAAATATGACTCTGTTACATAGAATATTCTGAGCTAAAGACAGTTGAGAACCTGCAGGTATAGGAAGAGCTCTTACCTTCCCCTAAATGCCTAACAATAGAATATAAATCTCCCCTTTTGTGAAGGATGTTTACATTTATAAAAGAAGTTTCCATTTGTAAAGATGTCTCCCTACCAGGAAGAAAGCTAATCCTGGAGACAACTGTTATCACCAGAGAGATCTTATCTGCATAACAAGACAAACCTTATTTACCATAATATCCTCCTCTCACCTTCCCTGCACAGAGCCCCAAACACCTTTTGTTTTGGTTAGCCTAAGATGGTACATAAGCCTCAATCATCTGGTTGTGTAGCAACCTGATGGGTTCTTGCCTGCTGCCCAGAAAAGCCAATTCACTGAGAACAGCAGTATTGCAGCAAGGAAAGAGTTTAATAATCACAGGGCCAGCCAAGTCAGAGGAGGAGAGGTATTTCTTAAATCCATCTCCCTAAAACTTCAGAGGCTAGGGTTTTTAAGGATATTTTAGCAAGCAGGGGGCTGGGGGAATTGAAACAATGACTGGCTAGGGATGAAATCACAGCGGTGTCTAAACTGTCTTTGTGTGGCTGAGTCACTTCCAAAAAGGGGCCTCAGGACCAAGTTTTGTCTCTTGGTCTGTCAAAATGCTAAATCTGAAAAATGTCTCAAAGACCAGTTTTTTAGTTTTCACAATAATGACGTTATTTATAGAGTAGTTGGAGAAGTTATCATTTCTTTTTTTTTTTTTTTTTTTTTTTGAGATGAAGTCTCACTCTGTCGCCAGGCTGGAGTGCAGTGGCACGATCTCAGCACACTGCAACCTCCGCCTCCCAGCCTCCTGAGTAGCTAGGACTATAGGCGCATGCCACCATGCCCAGCTAATTTTTGTATTTTTGGTAGAGACGGGGTTTCACCATGTTGGCCAGGATGGTCTCAATCTCTTGACCTCATGATCCACCCACTTCAGCCTCCCAAAGTGCTGGGATTACAGGCATAAGTCACCGCACCCGGCCATTATAAATTTTTGGACTTCCAGTTATGTGACTCTGGGGTCATAAGCAACTTATAGAAAAGTAAACTAAGGAATGGCAGGTTATTGTTTAACAACATATATATATATAATAATGATATATATATATAAAATAATGATATATACATATATACAGTGTCTTGCTGGAGTGTAGTGGCACAGTCAGCTCACTGTAGCCTCAAACTCCCAGGCTCAAGTGATCCTTCTGCCTCAGCCTCCTAAGTAGCTGAGACTACAGATGTGTGCCATCATGCCTGGCTAATTGTGTTTTTAACCTTTATTTTTGTAGAGATAGGGACTTAAGCAAAGTTTAAGTGCCTACAATAATTCTAACCTAGTCTTATGAAGTCAGCTTTAATCTCCAAACAAGGAGGGTGTACAGATTATTCAGGACTTTGTGTTCTTGTGAATATATGGTTCTTTTAATATTATGAAATATCACTCTTTATTGCTCTATATTTTTCTCATCTTAAACTCTACTTTGATATCACTTTAGTCACACCAGCTCTCTTTTGGCTAATGTTCACTTAGCATGTCTTTTTTACATTCTTTAAAATACTATATATTTTTATATTTATGGTGTGCTTTTTATAAGCAGCCATAATTGTATTTTTTTAAAAATGTGAACTGGAAGTCTTGTTAACTGAAGTGTTTCATCCATTTACGTAAAATGCAATTACTGATGTAGTTGGGTTTAGTCTCCCATATTGCTATTTGTTTTCTATTTTTCCCTTGTTTTTGTTCCTTTATTATACTTGCTTTGTAATAATAAAATACTTTTTATATTTCATTTTTTCTCCTCTGGTAGGCTTGTGTTATGTTTTTTAATATAATTGCTTTAGTGGATACGCTAAAAATTATAAGACACATGCTAACTTATTATGGTCTATCTTAATACCTTTTTGGCTTTTCCAACAATGTAAAACATCTAGAACAGTATACATCTATTACCCTCTACTCCACCTTTGCCATTTTTGCTATTGTCATATGCTTCTACATGTGATAATCCCCATAAAATACTGCAATTGTTCTTGCTTTAAACAGTCAATACTTTATATTTATCTACATATTTACCTTTCACAAAGATGTTCATTGCTTCTTGCACTTTCAACTTTTATTATTTTCTTTCAGTCTAGAACATGTTCTTTTATATTTCTTGCAGTGAAGATCTGTTGGTTGTGAATTGTGTCAGCCTTGGGTGTGTGTGTGTTTCAGCACTTCATTAGTTTTATCTTCTATTAGTTATTTTTTCTTCATACTAGAACTAAATATGTCTTCTTCAATCTAAGCTCTTTTCCATAATAAGTCTTTATAAGCTAGAAAACTTTCTACTGGAAAACTAATATAACTTATGTGGCTATTTTCAGATTGAGGTATCCATTCTTCGCTTTTCCTTCCACCCTAAGCATGGTCTTGCCCATTATTCCACAGGTAGGCAGGGAAGAGAAACAAATCAAAGACATATGAAAGTACTGAGGAATATACAAGCATTCTCCAAAAACAAAGTGAAGTTATTAGAATCATATTAGTACTAGAAATCAGTCTCTTTGAGACATTAATACCTTTTTCAATCTTACTTTTGTACTCTGCATTTTTTCTTCCAGTGTTCCTGTCTTATAATTTTATTCTATATGATTCATTTGGTGCTGTGGCAGTTTTCAAGTCTAAATTGGAAAATAGCCTCTTCTGGGTTTCTAGTTACAGTTACAAAAGCCAAATTTAAAACATGTGATTAGTGGAACCATGTCATATGCATATTTAACTCAGTCAACCATACATGCTGTACCAACTTAAAATGAAGAACACTTTGAACAGGGTGGAAGATTTTACCCACCATTTTCCTCAATGAACACATGAACCAGACAGTGTGAATTAGGACACATGAATCTGTCCTTGGTTCAGATGATCTTGGTTCCTATATGCCTCTGCTGATGTGAGTATCTTACCTCTCTGATTTCAGAGCCTGACCCCCGACAGAGCACAACACCATCATAAAAACACATTTACAGTTAGGTAGGTACTCTTTTAAATCCTACTATAAAATCCCCCAATTACCCAGTAGCATTTGCTGCCATATCATTTGGCCATCACAAATAATTTTCTCATAGAAGTGTGATTTAATTGGAGGCTATCTGCAACAACATGAAATGTATCCTTAAGACTTTATTATTAAATGGGCTGGGCGTGGTGGCTCATGCTTGTAATCCGAGCACTTTTGGAGGCTGAGGCGGGTGGATCACTTGAGGTCAGGAGTTCGAGACCAGCTTGGCCAACATGGTGAACCCTCATCTCTACTAAAAAACAAGTAAATAAATTAGCCAGGCATTGTGGCACACACCTGTAATCCCAACTATTCAGGAGGCTGAGACAGGAGAATCGCTTGAACATGGGAGGGGGAGGTTGCAGTGAGCTGAGATGATGCCACTGCGCTCCAACCTGGGTGACAGAGCGAGACACTAGCTCAAAAAAATAAGACTTTATTATTAAGTGCCCCTAATGGTTACCACCTTTTCTTTCACAGATATCATGAAGTAGGGTCACCGTTTAGCCAAGGAGAAAGACACAGAAAACAATGGGCAATATATAATACTCCATAAAAAGTACTATGCTAGAGACATGCACAAGTGCTTTATAAAGAAGGAATCTTAGTGCAAAGTGCCCAGAAATTAATAAGTAGGCAAATGGATTGAAGAAAACATTATAACCAATAGGAATAACAAGGACAAAGACTGTAAAACATCAAATTATGTGGCAGGTTTTTAAGGTGCAAGATATTTGTTATAGTTTAAAACCCAGAATATGCTGATGATAACAAAGGTTGGGAAGGAAGGTTATATTACAAAGTGAATTAAAATACTATTCCAGGAAATTTGGACCTGATCCTCTTGTTACAAAAAAGTCATCTTCTGGTTTTGTTCTTGTACATCCCTTGTGAGAAAATATGACCCAGTTAATTTTGGACTTCTGCACTCGTACCAGAGATAGGGCTTGAGTTTAGATGTCCCAGCTGAAATTCTGCACTCTTTCTACTTCATTCTATTGCTTTTCATGGATAGGATACCAAGTCACTTTTTATATCTACAGATAAGGCTAGTCTTGTTATTATTTGCTCACTACTGCTCTGGTAGTGATCATCTGTCCTCCCCCATTTTATGAGATAGTCTGAACTCTGACAGTGAATCTGGGCCTTTCTTTCATTTGGAGCTTAAGATGGTGGCAAGTCTACAAAGTTGTCAAAAGCAGACACTTGGAATGTAGAATTACAGGGCTGCGAAACTGATGTGGAAAATTCAAAACACCCTGCACTTAACACAATGCCAGAGCTGATTAGTGCAGTTTATTGCTAAACCCCAAGGGACACCTGAAGGCTTTTACCTTCAGTCTAGAACCCCTGGCCTGAGTGAAGGTGTAATGCTGCGTTAGTTCCACACTCTTTCTATTAGAGCTTACTCAAAGCTGCCGACACCAGATGTGTTACAAACAAACATTAATTCTCCTCCGGCATCTGGATCGTATGTACAATAAGGGGCAAGATTTATGCCCTGCTGAAGCATTCCCCGGTTTTTAGCACAGAAGTGATTGAACTCCAGATGTTAACAAGATGCAGCGACCTTTTAGTATTATTAAAAACATGATTTCTTGTTTTGCTCATGACAAAAACCATTGGATTAACTTATTAGAAGTGGAGCTGCTGTCCTGCTCATTGGAAGCTGTGTCTACTTTAGCTATTGGAGCTTGTCGTCAAAGATTTTATGAAGAAAGAATGACTCATCAGCTCCTAAAATCATCAACTTTTAAAGTTTCTTTCAAAATCATGGGTTACAAAGACAGAAATTCTCTGAGAACTGCAAATAGATTCAGAAAAGAATGTAAGTTAAAACAAGTGTTTGTATGAATTAATCAAATGAGCATCTGTTCCCTTTCAATAATTTTATTGTTATTGAGAAACATGGAACTGTAACCTAAAAGCCTTAGAGCTAGAATTGTTCTTCAAATATTATCTCTTCTGCCCTGTCCTCCTTTAGCCCTTCTCTTTCTCTACTTTCAGAAAGGCAGAGAATAATCTCATTTTAAAGTCAAGCAAATGGGAGCAAAAAAGATCCAATACTTTGATATTTACTGTCTCAAAATTACTAGTGAACTCACTGAATTCAGATCAGCTATTTTAAAAGTACGGTATCCTCAATGATAAAATGTACTTTGCCCATAGTTTATTCTTCCATAGTTGGAATGAGTCTTAAATTCAATGTGAATGTTTAATGTTTGCTTATTTATTGTGCCTAAAGTTGTTATTTATAGTGCATATGACAGTCAATGACATCTTAGAATAAGAAAGTATGTTAACTTTTGATTTCATTAAACAAAAAATAGTAAACAATCATCTAGTATTTTTACTACTATCATAATCAGGGAATCTATGAAAAGTGTTATCCTGATCAGAAAATGCCTTCTTTTGGAGATACTCATGTTATGGTGTTCTCAGCCTTACCTATTCAGGATGAAGGAGGCACTAAGATGATTTTAATATAAAACTTTAGCATAGAAAATATAATCATGTTAAATAGTTTTTATTAATCATAAATTTAACCTACTATTTACAATATAGCTTTCAAGAATTTGTGGACTTAATATCTAAATGGTTTATGAATTGTAAGACCTTAAGTTTTCACTCTGCTTCAATTTCTTTGGTTATTTATTCTGTTCTATTGTTTGCCATGATACACTTCATTATTTCCTTATGTCTCTTGGGGTGACTTTGGAGAGTACAATAAATATACCTGTAACATATATAAATAAAAAATAGTGAGCACCAGTATTTGTTCCTGCTTCCAAGTGGCTCCTGAGGGAGGATGAGCTAAATAGGTGTGCAGCGGACCACTCTCTCCATGGACCTCCAGAATCCTGGCTGCAGGAGACCTGCCAGCAACCCCCATGGACATTTAAGCTGGCAGAGAGAATGGCTTGGAGAGTTAGCAGGGACAGGATTACAGTCTGCAAGGAACCCACAGGGTTTGGCATGGGAATGGCTGCAGTGGAGCATGGCCAGAGATGCCCATGCCTTAAGGCTTGCCATGTTCCTCTAGGAGGCTTTGGTCTTTGTTGACTGCTGTACCTGGACAGAGCAGGGATATTTTGCCTGTGGGACAGGGCCAATCTGATCTGATGACTCTCCTGTCTGCCACCAGCCTCTCCCGGAGTTCCTGCCTGGCTGAACTTGTTTGCAGTGCAGCTTCAGATTCCCAAACAGGGTGCTTCTTGGTGGCCACTGACATAGTGAGATGACCCTGCCTAATCATCAGAGAGCTTTTGAAGATGTACCCCTGCCAGCATGCACCTGCCTGCAGCTGCACTCCACTGATTTGCCATAACACACTTGTCTGTAGCCTCCCATGACTGCTTTGCTGGCATGCACCCTGGTGCCACTGCCCTAAGTGCTTTGTCTGACACTCCCCATCGGAGTGCTATTGCCAGTAGACAGGGAGTACCTCAGTCCCTCCAGCAGAGCAGGTGCTTAACTTTGAGGAGTCTGAGAAAAAAAGCTGTGGGCCTGATCCCAGGCCCCCAGGTATACAGCATGCAGCTCAGAAGTGCTGAGCTGAGGCTTGGCCCCCTGAAATCATTCAGAAATGAAGCCAGTTGACTAAACCCAGCTTAAAACCACAGTCAAACCCTCAAGGGCATCAGAGAATATAAAAGCAAAAAGCCCTATTGAAAAGAAAGCAATGCAAAGATTAAAGGAATATCAGCCCACAGAGATGAGAAAGAATCAACATAAAAGCTCTGGTAACTGTAAAAGCCAGAATGTCTTCTTACCTCCACATGACTGCACTAGCTCCCTAGCAATGGTTCTTAACCTGATTTAAATGGCTGAATAGACTGACATAGAATTCAGAATCTGGATGGCATTGAAGCTTGTTGAGATTCAGGAGAAAGTTGAAACCCAATCCAAGGAATCTAAGGAATCCAGTAAAACTATTCAAGAACTGAAAGACAAAATAGCCATTTTAAGAAAGAACCAAACTAATAGAGCTGAAAAACTCACACAATAATTTTATAATACAATTGGAAGTATTAATAGTAGAATACAGCAAGCTGAGGAAAGAATCTCAGAGCTTGAAGATTGGGTCCTCCAATCAACTCAGTCATATAAAAATAAAGAAAAAATAATTTAAAAAATGAACAAAACCTCAGAGAAATATGGGATTATATAAAGAGACCAAACCTATGATTCATTGGTATCCCTGAAAGAGAGGGATACAGAGGAAGCAACTTGGAAAGCATGTTTGAGGATATTTTCCATGAAAATTTTCCCAGCCTTGCTAGAGAGAATGATATTAAAATTCAAGAAAAAGATCCAAAGAAACACAATCAGAAATGACAAAGGGGACAATCCTACTGATCCTACAGAAATAAAAAAAAAAAACCCTCAGAGAGTACTATGAACATCTCTGTGCACACAAACTAGAAAACCTAGAAGAAATGGATGAATTCCTGGACACATACAACCTCCCAAGATTGAACCAGGAAGAAATTGAAACCCTGAACAGACCAACAGAGTTCAGAAATTAAATCAGTAATAAAAAAACCTATCAACCAAAAAGAGTCCCTAACCAGATAGATTCATAGATGAATTCTGTTAGATGTATAAAGAGCTGATACCAATCCCACTGAAACTATTTCAAAAATTGGAGTAGGATACACTCCTCCCTAACTCATTCTATGAAGCCAGCATCATTCTGATACCAAAACCTGGCAGAGACACAACAAAAAAAGAAAACTTCAGGCCAATATCCCTGATGAATGCAGATGCAAAAATTCTCAACAAAATACTAGCAAACCACATCCAGCAGCATATCAAAAAGCTAATCCACCATGATCAAGTAGACTTTATTCCTGGGATGCAAGGTTGGGTCAACATATGTAAATCAATAAATGTGATATATCACATAAACAGCTAAAAACAAAAACCACATGATCATGTCAATAGAATGTTGAATTTCAATAAAATTCAACATCCCTTTATGTTAAAAACCCTCAATAAACTAGGCATTGAAGATACATATCTCAAAATAATAAGAGCCATCTATGACAAACCTACAAGCAATATCATACTGATAGGGCAAAAGCTGGAAGCATTCCCTTTGAGAACCTGAAGAAGACAAAGATGCCCACTCTCATCACTCTTGCTTGACATAGTTCTGGAAATCCTAACCAGAGTGATCAGGCAAGAGATGAATAAAAGGCATCAAAATAGGAAGACAAGTCAAACTGTCTTTGCAGATGATATGATTTTATACCTAGGAAACTTGATAGTTTCTGCCCAAAAGCTTCTATATCTGATAAACAACTTTGGCAATGTTTCAGAATACAAAATCAATGTACAAAAATCAGTAGCATTTCTATACATCAACAATGTCCAAGCTGAGAACCAAATCAAGAATGCAATCCCATTCACAATGGCCACAAAAGTAATGAAATACCTTGGAATACAGTTAACAAGGGAAATGAAAGATCTCCATAATGAGAATTTAAAAACTGCTGAAAGAAGTCAGAGATGACACAAACAAATGGAAAAACATTCTATACTCACAGATAGGAAGAGTCACTATTGTTAAAATGGGCATACTGCCCAAAGCAATCTACACATTTAATGCTATTCTTATCAAACTACCAAAAACATTTGCCTCGAATTAGAAAAAACTATTCAAAAATTCATATGGAATCAAAATAAAGCCTGAATAGCCAAAGCAACCCTAAGTGAAAAGAATAAAGCTGGAGGCATCACATTGCCTGACTTCAAACTAAACTACAAGACTATGGTAACAAAAACAGCATGGTACTGGTACAAAAACAGACACACAGACAAGTGGAACAGCTTAGAGAACCCAGAAATAAAGCTGCACATCTATAATACAGCCATCTGATCTTTGACAAAGGTTACAATAACAAGAAATGGGGAAAGGACTCCTTATTTAATAATGGGTGTTGGGATAACTGGCTAGCCATTTCAGGAGATTGAAACTAGACCCTGTCCTTTTACTATGTACAGAAATCACTCAAGATGGATTAAAGATTTAAATGTAAAACCTAAAACCACAAACCCTGGAAGAAAATGTAGGAAATACTATTCTGGACATAGGCCCTGGCAGAGATTTCATGATGAAAACTACAAAAACTATTGTAACAAAAACAAAAATTGACAATGGGACCTAACTAAACTAAAGAGTTTCTGTACAGCAAAAGACACTATCAACAGACTAAACAGACAGCCTACAGAATAGGACAAAATATTTGCAAACTTTGCATCTGACAATGATGCAAAGTGCTTGGATTACAGGCGTGAGCCACTGTGCCCAGACATCTTGCCCCAATTTCTAATGGGCTAATTAATTAAAATATAACTTCCAAGCAAATCATCTTGAAATAAGAATCATAGTATTAGTTTGTCCTTGTGGCTCATCTTTTAAGCAGAATTTTTATAAGTAAAATTCTAGAAAAGTAGGGGCCGCATATAAATAACTTCTTCCTGTATCCTGTAACCTAAGCCAATATTGCTTTCTAGAAATCTTTCACAAGGAACTGATACAAGTGTGGACAAAGCTTTATGTGTAGAGGTGATGACTGGAATGTTATTTCTAAAAATGATAAACTGAAAATCTAAATACCAAACTATAAGACAAATTTTTATTAAAATAATAAAGGATCATAGGGATCATTAAGCTAGAAAATTTCTGCAAATAATTACTGATGGTATGCATCAAGTGCTTATAAATGGTACAGGTAGAGAAACAGGCATCAAATAATACATAGAAAAAATCTTGAATATGAATTAGAAATTTGATAAAATTAGGAGTAATTATAACAAAATTGGATGACAGATTTATAGACTTTTAAATAGATTTTTCTTTAAAATCAGCATCATTGGAATATAAATGACATACAATAAAATGCACATATATTAGGTGAACAATTAATAAGTATTGGCAAACATATAAACTCATATAACAATCACTTGAATTGATAAAGAATATTTTTATCACCCCCAAAATTTCCCTTATGCCCATTTGCTGTCAGCATCCCTTCCTTTACTCAGTGAAGTATCTACTGACCTTCTTTCTGTCACTATGTATGTCTTGCCTATTCTAGATGTCATATAATGCAATGTGTAACAGTATAATGGAATACACATACAGTATAACAGTATGTACTGTTTTGTTTTTAACTTTCTTAAGTCAACATAATATTGTTGAACCTTAGCCTTGCTGTTGCATATGTCAGCAGTTCATTTCTTTCTTTCTTTTTTTTTTTGTTCCTTTGGCTAAGTAGCATTCGTAGTTTGTTTAGCCTTTTATCTGTTAATGGAACTTTAGGTTTTTTCCAGGTTGGAACCATCATGAATAAAGCCGTTATGAGCATTTGTATACAGATTTTTTTTGTGAATATATGTTTTCCGTTTTCATGGGTAAATACCAAGAAATGAAATCACTGGGCCAAACGGTAAGCATACTTTAATTTGACACATATTGCTAAACTCTTTTCCAAAATGATGCATCTTTTACACTTCCATCATCAATGTATAAAAATTTCCCTTACTTTTTATTCATAACAACAATGAATACTGACAGTTTAAATACCTTTAAGCCATTCTAAATGCCTGTCTAGTAATATCTCATTGTGGGCTTGATTTTTGTATTTCCTTGATTACAGATTATATGGACCATCTTTCCCCCTATTTATTTACCATTTATACATTTTCTTTTGCAAGCAATTGGTCAAATCTTTTGCCCATTTTCAAAAAATTGGGTTGCTTCTTTTCTTATTATAGAGTTGCAAAAATTTTATATGTATATATTTTGGATACAAGCCTTTTATCAAATATATGTATTACAGATATCCCCCCACATCCCTGTCTATGGCTTGCATTTTAATTTCCTAATTTTCTCTTTTGGAGAGTTAAAAAAATTTTTTGATAAAGTCAAATGTATTGTTTTTTCCCTGTTATGTTTTAAAAAGTTTGTCTTCTTGGTCAGTCTAGCCAGATGTCTATATTTTATTGATCTTTTAAAAATAAGTATCTTTTAGATATTTGGTTTTTCTCTGATTTTTTTCTTCTCTATTCCATTGAGTTTTGCTCTTGCCTTTATTATTTTCTTTTTTTCTATTTTATGCTTAATAGTATAATTGATTTCTAGCTTCTTAGAATGAAAACTCAGATCACTGATATTACATATTCTTTTCTAATACAAGCATTAAAACTATAAATTTATCTTCAGGCAATCACTTAGCTGTATCCCATAAATTTTGATATGTTGTGTTTTCGTTTTCATACAATTTGAAATATTATCTTATTTGCCTTTAGATTTTTTTCTTTCATTCATGGGTTATTGAGAAGTATATTGTTTAATTTCTAAGAATATGGAGATTTTTCATATGTCTTTGTGTTATTAGTTTCTTATTTAAATTTGTTGAGGTCAGAGGGCATACTACATATGATTTGAATCCATTCAACTTATTTAGACTTGTTTTATGTCTCAGCATATGGTCTATCTTGGTAAATGTCCAATTTGCATGTGAAAAAAGTCTATCCTGCCATTGTTGGTATATGTCAATTAGGTGTCACATTGGTTGATAATGTTCAAGTTTTCTAGACTGATTTTCTGTCAACCTGTTTTATTACTAGGAGAGATGTGTTATTACATCCAACTATAATTGTGGGCTTTTCTATTTCTCCTGTCATTTTTATTAGTTTTTATTTTACGTATTTTTTAAGCTGTATTATAAAGTGCATACACATTTAGGATTGTTACATCTTTTCGATGAATTGGCTCTTTTGTCATTATGAAATGGCCTTGTTATTCCTGATAGTATTCCTTGTTCTGAACTACATTTTGCCTGATATTAATATAGCCATATAAGCTTTCTCTTTAGTGTTTCTGTGGTATCTTTTTCTATTCTTTCACTCTTAACCTCTGTATATTCTTATATTTAAGGTGTTTTTTTTTTTTTAGAAAACATAGAGTTGTGTTTTGCTTTTTTATCCAATGTGACAATCTCTGCCTTTTAATTGAGATGTTTAGGTCATCTAAACAGTGTAATTATCAATTGATAATTGATAATTATTGAGTGTAATTATCAATACAGTTAAGTTTAATCCTTTCATCATATTTGTTTACTATCCTAAATATTTCTTCATTTTTCCTGTTTATATATTTTTACCATTTTCATGGCTTTTTGGGTCTTAATTGAGTATATTTAAATATTCTATTTCCTTTTTTTTGCTTATTATCAATGTGGTCTTTTTTTGTAGTGATTACTCAAGTTTTATAATAAGCATCTTTAACTTCTTTAAGTCTGCCTTCAAATAATATACTACTTCATGTATAATGTAAGACTCTTACTACCATACAACTTTATTTGCATAAAATTATGTCATAATTGTGCTAATATTGTCATAGATTATATTTTTACACACATTAGCCTTCAATACATTGTTGTTACTGTTCTAAACAGATTTTAAAAAGTAAAGTAAATTACAGTTAAATAAAGATTTCTCATATTTATCCACATATAGCATTTTCAGGGCTTTTCATTTTTGTTATAAATCCAAGTTTCCATCTGATATTCCTTTGGTCCTAAAGAACTTCCAAACACATTTCTTTTAATTCATGTTTTCTAGTGACAAATTCTCTCAGCTTTTGTTTGTATTTAAATGCTTTTAGGTCATGTCCATGTTTGATGGATATTTTTTCTGTATATTAGCTTCTAGGTTGACACTTTTTATATCCAGCACTTTTAAGGCGCTGTTTCATTGTATTCTTGCTTTTTTATTTCTGAGAAGTCATTAATCATTCTTACATTTGTTTCTCTGAATTTAATGTGTCTCTTTATTTCTGGCTGCTTTTAATATTTTCTTTTTATTACAGATTTTCAGTAATTTGATAATGATAGGACTTCCTGTGGTTCTTTTTGTTTTTATTTTGCTTCTTGAATGCATGGGCATTTTTGATATATGGGTTATAGTTTTCATCAAATTGGGAAACTTCTGATTTTATGTATTCAAATAGTTTTTCTCCTGGGAATCCATTTACATGTATGTTAAACTATGTGATATTGTTCCACAGTCACTGAGTCTCATCTTTTTCTTTAGCTTTTTTTCTCTGTGTGCTATAGTTTGGATAGTTTCTCTTGCTATGTCTTCAAATTCATTGATCTTTTCTTCTGTAATGTCTAATTGGCTGCTATTCCAGTCTAGTGAAGTTCTGGACATGAACTTCAGTTTTAGAAGTTCAGTTTCACTCTTCTTTAGTTTAGATTTCTCTTGTTCTTATGTTCATGCTTTACTAACTTCATGATCCTATTTATTATAGCTGCTTGAATATCCTTGTATACTAATTCTACCATCTCTATCATTGCTGCATCTGTTTCTATCAATTCATTTTTATTTTGGTTATGGTCATAATTCCTGGCCTATTGCATATTTAGTATTTTTTGATTGGTTGCTGACCAATGTGAATATTACATTGAAGAGTCTGTGTATTTTGTTTACTTCCTTTTGAAGAGTGTTAACTCTTGTTTTGAGTGCCAGCTAGATAAATTGAGGTTTCATTTAATTTTTTCAGGCTTATTTTTAAACTTTCTCAGTGCAGGTCTAGAGTTGCCTGTCTTCTGGAGCTAGTTTAGTCCTACAACTAAGGTGCAATATTTCTTGAGTCTCTGTTGTATGGTACAGATGTTCTAAAAAGTCTCTTCCCTCTGGATGACTGGAATTTCAAATGTGGTCTCAAAAGTGTTTTCACGGAGACAGCTGGGGAATTGTAGAGCTCACTTCATTTTCCTACTCTCTTGTAGAGAATATAGTCATGTATCTGAAAAGAGTTGTTTCTTATATTTTGTCGAGTTTCTAGTTGTTTATAAGAAGACAAATCAGGTAAATGTTATTCTGTCACTGCCAGGAAAGTAAATTTGGTCATAATATTATTAAAAAGATACTTTTTTATAGACTTTTAATTTTCAACAATTAACATGTATTATTCAACAAATATACACAATATTATTGTGTGAATTTCCTTATTTTTTCTGTAACAATTGAAGCTTTGAAGAATACAAATTTATTACCTTAGAATTCTGTAGGTCAGAAGTCCAGCAAAGTCCTACTGGACTAAAATTAAGGTGTTGAATGGGCTGCATATCTTTTAGGGGTCCTAGGGGAGAATCTGTTTATTTGCTTTTACAGGTTGCCTGCATTCCTTGGCTCATAGCCACTTTTTTAATCTTCAAATTAAGAGGCATAGCATCTTCAAATCTCTAACTCTGACTTTCTTGTCGTCTTTCACTTAAAAGGACCTGTGATTATAGTAAGCTCAACTGGATAATCCAGTGTCATCTTCCATCACAAGATCCTTAAATTTATCATCTTTGCAGACCCTTTTACAATGTAAAGTAGCATATTCAAGGTCCCAGGGGCTAGGAAATAGACATCTTTGGGGAACCATTATTCTGCTGACCACAATTATTAAAGTTTTTGTTGTGAATTATTGGGAGAATACATCATCATTCTTAGAATGTACTGTAAGAAGAGATATCTATTGATATACACCCCACATGATCTGAAAGACACTACAACACTTAGGCTTTGATAACACCTAAGCAAATTTAACTATTCACTTTTCTAAGGCCGTGTAAACTTGATATGCCTGCTTATGTCACAGTGGATAATGCCTAGTCCACAAGGTAGATAGCATATTTGCAGACTGTTGGAATTTGCTAAATATAGCCCTAACTTTTGTTTCCAGGTCTCTGAATTTCTCTAACCTACCCTTGATTTATTGAGACATCTCTAAGTATATCTGACAGTAGTAATTTTTAGAGCTATTACTACTCCCCAAGTACTGTGCTGAAAATTTTATTCTTAAAAGTTATAATAGCAAAATATTCTTCTTGTGACATTCTATATCTGTAGGTAGGACCATGTTTTTCTGAACTGAGGCTTAAAACCGTAGTCTCTTTTGTCTGATTTTTATCCTGATTTTTACTTTATCCACTGAATCAATTGTCAGATTTTGTAGACTTTTTCCCTAAGAAATCTCCCTAAAAATTTCTCATACGCTTGTTTCATTTTAATTCCCACAGCCATAACTGTATTTCAGGCTCTTGTTCCTGTATTTGAATGATCACAAATGTCTCCTAATGAGCCTCCTTGCTTTTATTCTTTTTCCAAACCACCACTGCTAGATGAGTCTTCCAAAAGATGCATTCTTACTAAAATATTTTTTAGACTTTCCTCAATTTCTATTGGATGAAAATTTAACTTTTCATTATGATATAAAAAAAACCACACTTTCATTTTAACAATTTAATTCCTCCATGTCTTATCACAAACTCAACTTCCTTTTATTTTGCTCCCTTTAACCATTCTAGTTTTCATCAACATTAATAAGTTTTTATGGTGGTCTTTTGTGGAAATGTTTTAGCAATTTATTAAACTATGATTTATCTTTATCAAATGATTTATCTTTCTGTAATTATATACTTTCTATGTTTTATACTCCAACTAAATTTTTGAAGGGCAGAATTCATGTTTTGTAGGTCTTTGAATCCTTTACAATATCTGGAACTAGTATTTAATACACGTCTACTTGTGGGTAAAGGAGAATGGGATTCAAGTCTACATTTTTTTCCAGGGTTTCTTCTGGTGGAGACAGGGGTGGTCATATGAAATAATCAATGTTTCCTAATAAGTAAGTTTCAATAATAACTAGTGTGCATATTGTTTTTAATTTTTTAAAAAACTAGCATTTTGTTTTTGTATCTTCATAATCATTCTTTAGGGTTAGGATAGATATCCCCATTTTAGCAACTATGTGATCTCCATAAAGCAGTTCAATTCATGATGAACAGAGCCAGGTCTCCCTACTCCCACTTCTATGTTCTTCTATTCTACTCTCTGACCTCTCAGAATTTCTTATTTTATTTAAATATTTTAAGTCTCCATGCAACAACCTTAGTAACCACACAGACTATGTTGATCATTTTTCTCTAAAACTTAGCTCATTCTTTTGGTTCTCTTTTGGCAGAATAATCTTCCTGTAGCTTATGAATCAAATCTACTTTGTTTTTACAGTAGAATCTAAAAGACTCCTTACTATTTTTACTACACAGCCTTGTATTCTCCATTCCTCTGTTTCAGTTTACTTTTTTTTTTTTGTATAATACAAACTAAGAAATGCAAAGTATATTTGGATTGTCTTAAAATTCTCCCAGATACCTCTGTGGTTGACTCATTGTTAAACCCCATGGTAACTCCAGTTTGTTTGGCTAAACTCAGGACTGGGATTTGGGGAATTATGATAATTATGGCTCATCTTATGATCCCAGGCCAAGTATTTCATTTTTCTTTGCTTTAGTTGCTTCATCAGCAAAAGGTAAAATCTATTGTGTGTAACCAGAAGGTCGAATACAAAGGATAGAAAAAGTTGCATGCAGTTTGTGAACATAGGATACATATAAAAGCTAAGTATAGTCATCTCAACTGCCACAGGGGAATAGCATTTTAGATCTTTCTCCCAGGAGCTCCAGCAGTACATACATATCGCAGCCCCATTTTCCACACCAACTCACATAATACATTTTTAAATAATAAAACTGAGAGATTTCAGGATCTCAGATATTGAGATATTTCAAGATGTCAATAATATTAGTGATGATGATGATGATGAAAATGGTAGTTACAAATTGTTGGGCCTTGTGTACCATGTTTTGGGATTTATTATCAAAACTGTCTTTATACAAATCTGTGAGGTATATATTCTTATATCCCTTCTACAAAAAAACAAAAACAACTGAGGCTCAGTCAGCATAAGTGGCTTCTTTGAAGTCACAGAACTAGTGAGAGGCAGAGCCAATCTTCATCTCTATGACCCCAAGTTTGAGCTCATAACCAGCATACTGTACCACTTCTACTACCAAGGCACTAGGTACACAGCAGTGAGCTGTGAAGAGGGAACTACTCTTGTTCTTATGACAGTTTGACTCATTTTATAGTGACTAATTTAACTCATTAAGGTAATGATATGTTAAGAGACTATACGTTAGAAAATAACGGTAAGTTTTAGCTTACTTATATTTTGGTTTAAGTATATGATCCTATACTCTCTTTGCTGGTCTTCCTTCCTTCCTTTTTCCTTCTTTCATTCCTTCCTTCTTTCTCCTTATCTTCCCCTTCTTCCCTCCTCACTTTTTTCTGCCAATTTAATGGCTTTGGACTTCATCTGTAATACAAGAAGTATTTATTAAATTATGGTTTACTTCCAACACCTTTTCACCAAGTCTCCATTATATTGTAGCAATATTTTGGAAATGTTCAGGACAAACTCATGACTTTCTTGACATGGCATCTGATTTGAGATAATCTCAAGTATTAGGCAATTGGTTACTAATATTATAACTTTTATCTAAGCAGGTGTTCCCCAAGTTCGTTGGTATTGAAGCAGAGTTTAAGACATTTTAGCAACACAACAGGGAATCTGCTTTGCTCTTACAACAGAACCTAACCTTCATCTCTTGGCTGTAGGGCAGAGACTTGGCACACACAACTGCACACAGGATAGGCAGTCACCCAGATGGCTCAGAGATATTTATATATTCATTACATATTAATTGGCCTCCTCTCTTGTTGAGGTATCAAGACTTTTGGCTCTTTTTAGATCCTACCAACCTATTCATTGATTCCATAACTAAGCAGAAGGCATGGGAGTGAACAAACATATAAAACTCCCTAATTTCATGGGGCTTATACAATATGTGTATGTTATCCATATTTGACAATCTTCTTTTTCTTCTTCTTTTTAATCTCATTTTTATTGCCCTTTTCCTTTCCCCAAATTTTTTCTTTTTTTAAAAATTATACTTTAAGTTTTAGGGTACATGTGCACAATGTGCAGGTTTGTTACATATGTATACGTGTGCCACGTTGGTGTGCTGCACCCATTAACTCGTCATTTAACTTTAGGTATATCTCCTAATACTATCCCTCCCCCCTCCCCCCACTCCACAACAGGCCCGGGTGTGTGATGTTCCCCTTCCTGTGTCCATGTGTTCTCATTGTTCAATTCCCACCTATGAGTGAGAACATGCGGTGTTTGGTTTTTTGTCCTTGCCGTAGTTTGCTGAGAATGATAGTTTCCACCTTCATCCATGTCCCTACAAAGGACAGGAACTTATCATTTTTTATGGTTGCATAGTATTCCATGGTGTATATGTGCCACATTTTCTTAATCCAGTCTATCATTGTTGGACATTTGGGTTGGTTCCAAGTCTGCTATTGTGAATAGTGCCTCAATATACATACATGTGCATGTGTCTTTATAGCAGCACAATTTATAATCCTTTGGTTATATACCAAGTAATGGGATGGCTGGGTCAAATGGTATTTCTAGTTCTAGATCTCTAAGGAATCGCCACACTGACTTCCACAATGGTTGAACTAGTTTACAGTCCCACCAACAGTGTAAAAGTGTTCCTATTTCTCCACATCCTCTCCAGCACCTGTTGTTTCCTGACTTTTTAATGATTGCCATTCTAACTGGTGTGAGATGGTATCTCATTGTGGCTTTGATTTGCATTTCTCTGATGGCCAGTGATGATGAGCATTTTTTCATGTGTCTTTTGGCTGCATAAATGTCTTCTTTTGAGAAGTGTCTGTTCATATGCTTCACCCACTTTTTGATGGGGTTGTTTGTTTTTTTTCTTGTAAATTTGTTTGAGTTCCTTGTAGATTCTGGATATTAGCCCTTTGTCAGATGAGTTGATTGCAAATATTTTCTCCCGTTCTGTAGGTTGCCTGTTCACTCTGATGGTAGTTTCTTTTGCTGTGCAGAAGCTCTTTAGTTTAACTAGATCCCATTTGTCAATTTTGGCTGTTGTTGCCATTGCTTTTGGTGTTTTAGACATGAAGTCCTTGCCTATGCCTATGTCCTGAATGGTAATGCCTAGGTTTTCTTCTAGGGTTTTTATGGTTTTAGGTCTAACATTTAAGTCTTTAATCCATCTTGAATTAATTTTGTATAAGGTGTAAGGACGGGATCCAGTTTCAACTTCCTACATGTAGCTAGCTAGTTTTCCCAGCACCATTTATTAAATAGGGAATCATTTCCCCATTTCCTGTTTTTGTCAGGTTTGTCAAAGATCAGATGGTTGTAGATATGTGGCATTATTTCTGAGGGCTCTGTTCTGTTCCATCGGTCTATATCTCTGTTTTGGTACCAGTACCATGCTGTTTTGGTTACTGTAGCCTTGTAGTATAGTTTGAAGTCAGGTAGCATGATGCCTCCAGCTTTGTTCTTTTGGCTTAGGATTGACTTGGCAATGCGGGCTCTTTTTTGGTTCCATATGAACTTTAAAGTAGTTTTTTCCAATTCTGTGAAGAAAGTCATTGGTAGCTTGATGGGGATGGCATTGAATCTATAAATTACCTTGGGCAGTATGGCCATTTTCACAATATTGATTCTTCCTACCCATGAGCATGGAATGTTCTTCCATTTGTTTGTATCCTCTTTTATTTCCTTGAGCAGTGGTTTGTAGTTCTCCTTGAAGAGGTCCTTCACATCCCTTGTAAGTCAGATTCCAAAGTATTTTATTCTCTTTGAAGCAATTGTGAATGGGAGTTCACTCATGATTTGGCTTTCTGTTTGTCTGTTATTGGTGTATAAGAATGTTTGTGATTTTTGCACATTGATTTTATATCCTGAGACTTTGCTGAAGTTGCTTATCAGCTTAAGGAGATTTTGGGCTGAGACAATGGGGTTTTCTAGATATACAATCATGTCATCTGCAAACAGGGACAATTTGACTTCCTCTTTTCCTACTTGAATACCCTTTATTTCCTTCTCCTGCCTAATTGCCCTGGCCAGAACTTCCAACACTATGTTGAATAGGAGTGGTGAGAGAGGGCATCCCTGTCTTGTGCCAGTTTTCAAAGGGAATGCTTCCAGTTTTTGCCCATTCAGTATCATATTAGCTGTGGGTTTGTCATAGATACCTCTTATTATTTTGAGATACGTCCCATCAATACCTAATTTATTGAGAGTCTTTAGCATGAAGCATTGTTGAATTTTGTCAAAGGCCTTTTCTGCATCTATTGAGAGAATCATGTGGTTTTTGTCTTTGGTTCTGTTTATATGCTGGATTATGTTTATTGATTTGAGTATGTTGAACCAGCCTTGCATCCCAGGGATGAAGTCCACTTGATCGTGGTGGATAAGCTTTTTGATGTGCTGCTGGATTTGGTTTGCCAGTATTTTATTGAACATTTTTACATCGATGTTCATCAGGGATATTGGTCTAAAATTCTCTTTTTTTTGTTGTGTCTCTGCCAGGCTTTGGTATCAGGATGATGCTGGCCTCATAAAATGAGTTAGGGAGGAGTCCCTCTTTTTCTGTTGATTGGAATAGTTTCAGAAGGAATGGTACCAGCTCCTCCTTGTACCTCTGGTAGAATTTGGCTGTCAATCCATCTGGTCCTGGACTTTTTTTGGTTGGTAAGCTATTACTTATTGCCTCAATTTCAGAGCCTGTTATTGTTCTATTCAGAGATTCAACTTCTTCCTGGTTTAGTCTTGGGAGGATGGATGTGTCGAGGAATTTATCCATTTCTTCTAGATTTTCTAGTTTATTCGTGTAGAGGTGTTTATAGTATTCTCTGATGGTAGTTTGTATTTCTGTGGGATCGGTGGTGATATCCCCTTTTTCAATTTTTATTGTGTCTATTTGATTCTTCTCTCTCTCTTTTCTTCTTTATTAGTCTTGCTAGTGGTCTATCAATTTTGTTGATCTTTTCAAAATACCAGCTCCTGGATTCGTTGATTTTTTTGAAGGGTTTTTTGTGTCTCTATTTCCTTCAGTTCTGCTCCGATCTTAGTTATTTCTTGCCTTCTGCTAGCTTTTGAATGTGTTTGCTCTTGCTTCTCTAGTTCTTTTAATCGTGATGTTAGGGTGTCAATTTTAGATCTTTCCTGCTTTCTTTTGTGGGCATTTAGTGCTATAAATTTCCCTCTACAAACTGCTTTGAATGTGTCCCAGAGATTCTGGTATGTTGTGTCTTTGTTCTCATTGGTTTCAAAGAACATCTTTATTTCTGCCTTCATTTCGTTATGTACCCAGTAGTCATTCAGGAGCAGGTTGTTCAGTTTCCATGTACTTGAGCTGTTTTGAGTGAGTTTCTTAATCCTCCATTCTAGTTTGATTGCACTGTGGTCTGAGAGACAGTTGGTTATCATTTCTGTTCTTTTACATTTGCTGAGGAGTGCTTTATTTCCAACTATGTGGTCAATTTTGGAATAAGTGCAATGTGGTGCTGAGAAGAATGTATATTCTGTTGATATGGGGTGGAGAGTTCTGTAGATGTCTATTAGGTCTGCTTGGTGCAGAGCTAAGTTCAATTCCTGGATATCCTTGTTAACTTTATGTCTTGTTGACCTGTCTAATGTTGGCAGTGGGGTGTTAAAGTCTCCCATTATTTTTGTGTGGGAGTCTAAGTCTCTTTGTAGGTCTCTAAGGACTTGCTTTATGAATCTGGGTGCTCCTGTATTGGGTGCATATATATTTAGGATAGTTAGCTCTTCTTGTTGAATTGATCCCTTTACCATTATGTAATGGCCTTCTTTGTCTCTTTTGATCTTTGTTTGTTTAAAGTCTGTTTTATCAGAGTCTAGGATTGCAACCCCTGCCTTTTTTTGTTTTCCATTTGCTTGCTTGATCTTCCTCCATCCCTTTATTTTGAGTCTATGTGTGTCTCTGCATGTGAGATGGGTTTCCTGAATACAGCACACTGATGGGTCTTGACTCTTTATCCAACTTGCCAGTCTGTGTCTTTTAATTGGAGCATTTAGCCCATTTACATTTAAGGTTAATATTGTTATGTGTGAATTTGATCATGTCATTATGATGTTAGCGGGTTATTTTGCTCATTAGTTGATGCAGTTTCTTCCTAGCCTCGATGGTCTTTACAATTTGGCATGTTTTTGCAGTGGCTGGTACTGGTTGTTCCTTTCCATGTTTAGCGCTTCCTTCAGGAGCTCTTTTAGGGCAGGCCTGGTGGTGACAAAAATCTCTCAGCATTTGCTTGTCTGTAAAGTATTTTATTTCTCCTTCACTTATGAAGCTTAGTTTGGCTGGATATGAAATTCTGAGTTGAAAATTCTTTTCTTTAAGAATGTTGAATATTGGCCCCCACTCTCTTCTGGCTTGTAGAGTTTCTGCTGAGAGATCAGCTGTTAGTCTGATTGGCTTCCCTTTATGGGTAACCTGACCTTTCTCTCTGGCTGCCCTTAACATTTTTTCCTTCATTTCAACTTTGGTGAATCTGACAGTTATGTGTCTTGGAGTTGCTCTTCTCGAGGAGTATCTTTGTGGCATTCTCTGTATTTCCTGAATTTGAATGTTGGCCTGCCTTGCTAGATTGGGGAAGTTCTCCTGGATAATATTCTGCAGAGTGTTTTCCAACTTGGTTCCATTCTCCCCGTCACTTTCAGGTACACCAATCAGACATAGATTTGGTCTTTTCACATAGTCCCATATTTCTTGGAGGCTTTGTTCATTTCTTTTTATTCTTTTTTTCTCTAAACTTCTCTTCTCACTTCATTTCATTCATTTGATCTTCCATCACTGATACCGTTTCTTCCAGTTGATTGAATTGGCTACTGAGGCTTGTGCATTCATCACGTAGATCTCGTGTTGTGGTTTTCAGCTCCTTCAGGTCCTTTAAGGACTTCTCTGCATTGGTTATTCTAGTTAGCCATTCGTCTAATCTTTTTTCAACGTTTTTAACTTCTTTGCCATGAGTTCGAACTTCCTCCTTTAGCTCAGAGAAGTTTGATCGTCTGAAGCCTTCTTGTTGCAACTTGTCAAAGTCATTCTCCGTCCAGCTTTGTTCCACTGCTGGTGAGGAGCTGCATTCCTTTGGAGGAGGAGAGGCACTCTGATTTTTAGAATTTTCAGTTTTTCTGCTCTGTTTTTTCCCCATCTTTGCGGTTTTATCTACCTTTGGTCTTTGATGATGGTGATGTACAGATGGGGTTTTGTCATGGATGTCCTTTCTGTTTGTTAGTTTTCCTTCTAACAGTCGGGACCCTCAGCTGCAGGTCTGTTGGAGTTTGCCGGAGGTCCACTCCAGACCCTGTTTGCCTGGGTATCAGCAGCAGTGGCTGCAGAACAGCGAATATTGGTGAACAGCAAATGTTGCTGCTTGATTGTTCCTCTAGAACTTTTGTCTCAGAGGACTACCCGGCCATATGAGGTGTCAGTCTGCCCCTATTAGGGGATGCCTCCCAGTTAGGCTACTCAGGGGTCAGGGACCCACTTGAGGAGGCAGTCTGTCCATTCTCAGATGTCAAGCTGCATGCTGGGAGAACCACTCCTCTCTTCAAAGCTGTCAGACAGGGACATTTAAGTCTGCAGAGGTTTCTGCTGCCTTTTGTTTGGCTATGCCCTGTCCCCAGAGGTGGAATCTACAGAGGCAGGCACTACTTGAGATGTGGTGGGTTCCACCCAGTTCGAGCTTCCTTGCCACTTTGTTTACCTGCTCAAGCCTCAGCAATGGTGGGTGCCCCTCCCCCAGCCTCACTGCCACCTTGCAGTTTGAGCTCAGATTGCTGTGCTAGCAATGAGCGAGGCTCCGTGAGTGTAGCACCCTCTGAACCAGGCGTGGGATCTAATCTCCTGGTGTGCCGTTTCTAAGACTGTTGGAAAAGTGCAGTATTAGGGTGGGAGTGACCTGATTTTCCAGGTGCCATCTGTCATCCCTTTCTTTGGCTAGGAAAGGGAATTCCCTGACCCCTTGTGCTTCCTGGGTGAGACGATGCCTCACCTTGCTTCAGCTCACACTCAGTGTGCTGCACCCACTGTCCTGCACCCACTGTCCAACAATCCCCCATGAGATGAACCCTGTACCTCAGTTGGAAATGCAGAAATCATTCATCTTCTGCGTCGCTCACGCTGGGAGCTGTATACTGGAGCTGTTCCTAATCGGCCATGTTGGCTAGACCCTGACAATCTTTACATATGCTAATGTAGGCACAGGACTCATGGGATTTGGTGACAAAACTCACATTGATATTTTAGGTTAATTATCATACAAATATTTTTAGTTTGTTACTCTTTGGATAACTTTGTATTTCTCCTTGGATAACTTTGGTTTACCTATGTTTCTCACTTTTACTGTTGTTTTCTTCAAAAACCCAGCACCCCCTCCCCAGTTCATTCTTCCCACTCTCATGATTTAATATTCTTGAGAACCCTCTCAGGTTTCATTTTATAGATGAGGAAATTAAGACTTAAAGAAATTAAATAACTTCCTCAAGTCTACACAGCTGGTAAGTAGTAGATCTGGGATTTTGATTCAGATCTATCTGACTCCAAAAATTGCACTTCAACCACAATTTTATTCTTGCATTATTTTAAAAGTTTCCTCTATGCATATACCATTAAGTACTTAATTACATGGTATTATGACTTCTTTGAGCTAGTCTGTGACTCCTGGAACAGTTCATACTCTGGTCTATAAGCATGGGAATGATGAAGCATATATCATCCTTAGTGCTCCTTTCAGTTTATGATGGTTCTGATCCATTGCAAAATTTACAGTTTCTAATACCATTAAGTTTCTAGAGAAAAATAAGCCATTTTCACTGGAGAATCTTTTGGTCTTCTGCTTAACCGTTTCTACTTTGTAGCATACTCAAGCCATCCTGCAGAAACTTTGTTCTGTAAATAACCCTGAAAACTTTGAATGACTGTATATAATTATCACTTGCTAAAGTGTCTGAAGAATTCCTTTTTTTTGGTGGGGTGGGGACGGCATATGTGAGCTATCCAAACTGCCAGTATCCCTGATCACATCATATATACCTTCTCGCCAGGAACAGATGAATACGAATATTACCATTTCTAATAGCTGTTCTGAACTTACACATTTGCTTAATAATGCCTGAGTTGAGGGTAGTGGGATTTGAAAGTGACCTTATATAAACAGACTGAGTTATTTTCAGAGAAATACACAGGGTCAAAGCACACAGGAAGAGTGCATGGTTAGGAAGCATGAGACCCAAGCCTGATTACAGAATCACAAGAAAGAAGAGTGAAGAACAATGTGGTACAATAGAAAGAGCACAATGTGAGATTTAGGCCACCTGTTTTACCTTGACAAAGTTAATTAATGTTTCTGTGCCTAGGTTTCCTAATTTATAAAATTTGGTAAATTATACTGTACAATGACTACGTAAGAATTGCCAAGGAGATTCTTGAAAACACAGATTCCCAGTTTCTACTTAAAGATTCTCATTTAGAATATCTGAGTTTGGACTAGGAATCTCTGTATTTTAACCAGTTGCCCAGGTGACTCTATTGCATACTATATTGGGAAAGAGATTGTATGCTAACCACTCATTGATTCTAAAATTCTCTGCTTCTATGGACTTTTGGTTTTACCCTTATTTTTTTCCTTTTAGGATCCCCATCACAAGGAGGGGAGGGCTACCATCCCAGCTGCAAACTCTCATTCAAGGTTTATGCTGCAGCCAGCAGTGTCCTTGGAGTCTAGTTCAAAGCTGAAGAGAGTGAACCATGGAACTGGGAGCCATTGGCGGAGAGGCTGGCCTGAAGGAAGGGAAGTGTTTCAGCCAGAATGTACTGACGCACAACCAGGAAACCACAAGACTGGTGAGAACCTTTCCAAAACTGAGCTTTATGATCAAAAGAGGTACAGGAAACAGCTCTGCCAAGAGTCCTTTCTGCTCCTGGCTGGAACCCTGAGCTTCTGAGGCTCTCTGAGTCAACTCTCTGAACAGATGCTGTCACCCAAGGAACCATCACTAAAGCATTTTTTTGCTTTGCTCTGAGGTGGCCTCACTGGTGGGTGCAAGTGAGTTACTGTCTCTTTTTCTCTTTCTTGTTTCTTTCTTTTGACAGAAGTTGCCATGTGATTACTCAATTCTGAATTTTAGAGGCCATAGGTTACTGCATTTATGCCCTTTGCCAACTGACTATTGTTTGGTGCTGGGCCTGCATACAAACACGACATCCCCAAACTCTTATCAATACCTAGATCACCTGATGTGAATCTATCAATACCCTGGACTTAACAGGGTATTGAAGGAAAGAGAACCGGCAATTCCTTCATTTCTTACATCCCAGCCAGTAGTCCTTCTCCCAGGCTAGTCTTCCTTTTGTTTCCCCTAAGAATGACTCAACTAGGAATTGCATTCTGATCCCTGTCACAGATATAAATCTTGTCTGGATACAAGGTCAAAATAATTGTGTTCCTGTGGATTCTTTTTCTTTTTTCAACCAGAGTAACTACCAGTTGCCATGAAATAAATCACATCATCATATGGCAGATCCAGCTAATAGCTGAGACTGGCAGGATAACTGAACCGTGTACTCAGAGCTAAATGATGGAGAAATTGGACTGGCCATGGAGCACTTCAAATTGATTGCTTAGTAATGGGATATTTTTCCTGGAAAGACAACAGAATACTTCTGAATTGTTGGTTCTGTCATGGGTACAGGCTCCCATGTACAGGAAAATAAAGAAAGTGTGATGAATTTTTCATCTGGCCTTCTGCCTACTTTCTTGCTTTCTGCATGTCTCCATTTTTAGTCTGTAAGCCCTGCCTAGATGACCAATCACTATTGCCCATGTGGCATAAAACCTACAATTTAACTATACTTCTTACCAAACTCTCAGCAAGTATGAGGTAGCCAACAGCCTTTTCAAGATAATGACTGAGTCTTAGCTTAGGTTTCAGTCATTTTAGGAAACATAAAAAATTCAATGGTGGGAGATCATACACACTCTGCAAAGATGTCAGAAGTCAAGTTTTGGGAGAGTCCACACACAAACTGAGCAGTGATGGTAAAATATATTTTTGAAATATTTCTCCTCTGTGACTGTTATGTGAAGTAGAGCAAACACATTGTGCTGCAGTGCTCTTTGGGACATGCCTTTTTTGGGAAGTGCTAACTTTATACTCTGCTGACACCAAACATTTGAATATAAAACCTTATTTTTTTCTCTCACTCTGCTCCACTTTTGGCTCAGCTTATTCTACCAAAACACACTTCAAAAGACTTCTTTATAGAAAGAATGTTTCAAAAATATAATATTTCCATCTGTTATTTCAATAATACATGCTCTGGGACTCTCTTTATGAACCACTTTCCTTTCTTTGCTCCCATTTAGATGTATAAATATTTGATTGTAAAGCTCTAAGGAATAGTCAGCCAATCGGGTCACTGAATTGTGAACATTCCTAACCCTATAATTTTGTCTGTAGCAGGCACCTCCTGCTGTGGAACTAACTGCTAAGGGATTATAGCAATGTAATCCTCAGACTGTTCCATCTCAAGGTTACTCTGAAGTGGAGGGAAGGAAGCCGTTTTAATTTTGATAAAATAAACTTTATTTTGTAACTTTATTATTTGTTTTTCTTTTTCCTTTCAACACTTCATAATAGATGTGTCTGGTAATTTGAAGTTAGCCTCTCTGGTTGAGGTGCCCTAAACCACCTCGTATTATTGTAGCTTTCTTAAGAGGCCACACAGCATTTGTTTCTGTCATTACAAAGTGTAGAACTTGAGTTTTTCTACCTCTCATGAGCTGAACCAAGCCACATATGGACCCTTATTAACATGGTCAATTAGGTGCATTCCTAATGGGTGGCAACAGAAGATGCATGGAAAGTGTCATGCCACCCATGTATGTTTGAAATGTCAGACCATGTGCAAAACTTTAAGTTACTTTTCTGCTTCCTAGGCTTTGCCTACCAGACCTTTATTTCAGCAATTATTGAAGCAATTGCATTTAAGGTTACAACATGAATTTCATGGGAACTCCCTGTTCGATATAAATGGAAACATGTTCCTTGGAATAAAATATCTTTATGAGTGAAGTTTAATATATTTTGAATCAGGCCCAAAGAGATCTTTTGCTGTGAGTGAAGAATAAAGTAAAAATTCCATTAATAAAATTTTATGGCTGTATAGGTGGAGAAAAATCTTTTCCACATAAAAATATTTTCATGTTTTTCTCAAATTAAAAAAATGGAAAGTTATTGATAGTCACTTAAAACTAAGCCTAATTATTAGAATATAGATAGCCAAATATTTCTGGAGACAATAGGGCAAAAATATTTTAGAGTTTTAAAATGTCTGTAACTTTAACCAAGAAATTATGCTTTTAGAAGTCTACTCAGGAAATACAACTTGAAATGCTGGATACATTTTAAAAATCATTTTGATGACATTGGAGAGGTATAAGCCAGTCAAAAATTGAGAGTTCAAGATTGTCAAGATGACAAAAGAACCAGGAGAGGAGCCTGAAAATTGGTGCTACCTTTCCTATCCAGGTCAACAAAATTGAGAAACTGAGGGCTGCTTTTGGCAGTTCCATGGGACCGAGGGGACAAAAATTAGATATTAGAATTTGTGAATGTGTCAGGGACCTGGTAAACAACCAGGTTTTCAGTTGGGATCCCTAAAGGGATACAAATTGGAATTAATAATGAACAGAATAAGTCCTTCCAGTGACTGAAACAAACTGTCATATCAGTTTAATCCCTTGTTATATTAAAGCAATCTTCCTAGGCTAATAATACACTGAAAACAAAATAAATACTCTATGGAGGGAGATAACATCATCAAAAGCATAAAGGTATTGCTAAAATATTTCATATACAATGTTAGCATTTAATAAAATATTACCACACCTTCTAGGAGGCAATGGCAAATGCTAAAAACTTAAGAGAAAAAAAAACAGGAAAAAATAAAATAAAACAGACCTATAGGAGAGACATTTATTAGAGTTAGCAGACATGGACCTTTAAATAACTTTGATAAATATTCTAACTAAAAGGACAACATGAAGAGAATTGTATAGAACTGGAATCTAGAAAAACAATGAAATTGGAATTCTAGAGTAGAAATGCAATAACTGAATTTAAAAGTCAATTTAAAAATCAGTGTGTGGGTTTAAGAGCCAATTAGACACAGCCAAAAATAGAATTAGTAAATTAGAAGATAAGTCAGTGAAAATATTCAGAAAAAAGTATAGAGAAACAAAGTAAAGGAAAGCACAGAGGATAAGAGACATATAGGAAATAATGAAAATATCTATCAAATGTGTAATCACAATTTTAGAAGAAGAAAAAGAGAGAGAATGGGGAAGAAGCAATATTGGAAGAGACAATGGCTGATAATTTTCCAAAACTGCTGAAAAACATCAACACATAGATTCAAGAAGAGTTATGAATTCCACATAGAAAACTATGAAGTAAACCACACCATAATAAAGGAACATCATAATAAAGCTCCTAAAAAACAAAGAGAGAGGGTGGCTGGCAAGATGGCTGAATAGGCACAGCTCCAGTCTGCAGCTCCCAGCGAGATCAATGCAGAAGGCGGGTGATTTCTGCATTTCCAATGGAGGCACCCAGCTTATCTCATTGGGACTGATTAGACAGTGGGTGCAGCCCATGGAGGGTTAGATGAAGCAGGGTGGGGTGTCACCTCACCCGGGAAGTGCAAGGGGTTGGAGAACTCCCTCCCCTAGCCAAGGGAGCCATGAGGGACTGTGTCATGAGGAACGATGCACTCTGGCCCAGATACTGTGCTTTTCCCATGCTCTTTGTTACCAGCAGACAGGAGATTCCCTTGGGTGCCTATGCCACCAGGGCTCTGGGTTTCAAGCACAAAACTGTGCAGCCGTTTGGGCAGACACCAAGCTAGCTGCAGGAGTTTTTTTTTTTTTTTTTTTTTTTTAATGCCCCAGTGGCGCCTGGAATAGCAGCTAGACAGAACTGTTCACTCTCCTGGAAAGGGGGCTGAAGCCAGGGAGATGGGTGGTCTAGCTCAGCATATCCCACCCCCATGGAGCCCAGAAATCTAAGATCCACTGGCTTGAAATTCTTGCTGCCAGCACAGCAGTCTGAAGTAGACCTGGGATGCTCAAGCTTGGTGGGGGGAGGGGCGTCGAACATTACTGAGGCTTGAGTAGGCGGTTTACCCCTCACAGTGTAAACAAAGCTGCCTGGAAGTTAGAACTGCAAACAACTTGAAATGCTGAGTAAATTTCAGCAGCTCGTCAAAGCTGCTGTAGCCAGACTGCCTCTCTAGATTCCTCCTCTCTGGGCAGAGCACCTCTGAAATAAAGGCAGTAGCCCCACTCAGGGGCTTATAGTTAAACTCCCATCTCCCTGGGACAGAGCACCTGGGGGAAGGGGTGGCTATGGGCACAGCTTCAGCAGACTTAAACATTCCTGCCTGCAAGCTCTAGAGAGAGAAGTGGATGTCTTAGCACAGTGCTCAAGCTCTGCTAAGAGATAGACTGCATCCTTAAGTGGGTCCCTGATCCCCATGCCTCCTGACTGGGAGACACCTACCAGCAGGGGTCAGCGGACACCTTATACAGGAGAGCTCTGGCTGGCATCTGGCAGGTACCCCTCTAGGATGAAGTTTCCAGAGGAAGGAACAGACAGCAGTCTTTGCTGTTCTGCAGCCTCTGCTGGTGATACCCAGGCAAACAGGGTATGGAGTGGACCTCCAGCAAACTCCAGCAGACCTGCAGCAGAGGCCTGACTGTTAGAAGGAAAACTAACACACAGAAAGGAATAGCATGAACATCAACAAAAAGGACGTCCAAAGAAAAACCCCATCCGAAGGTCACCAACATCAAAGACCAAAGCTAGATAAATCCACAAAGATGAAGAAAAACCAGTGTAAAAAGGTTGAAAATTCCAAAAACCAGAATGCCTCTTCTCCTCCAAAGGATCACAACTCCTCGCCAGCAAGAGAGCAAAGCTGGATGGAGAATGAGTTTGACGAACTGACAGAAGTAGGCTTCAGAAGGTGAGTAATAAGAAATTCCTCCAAGCTAAAGAAGCATGTTCTAACCAAATGCAAGGAAGCTAAGAACCTTGAAAAAAGGTTAGAGGAATTGTTAACCAGAATAACCAGTTTAGAGAAGAACATAAATGACTTGATGGAGCTGAAAACCTTAGCATGAGAACTTTGTGAAGCATACACAAGTATCAATAGCCAAATTGATCATGCAAAAGAAAGAATATCAGAGATTGAAGATCAACTTAATGAAATAAAGCATGAAGACAAGATTAGAGAAAAAAGAATGAAAAGGAATGAACAAAGCCTCCAAGAAATATGGGATTATGTAAAAAGACCAAACCTACGTATTATTGTTGTACCTGAAAGTGACTGAGAGAATGGAACCAAGTTGGAAAACACTCTTCAGGATATTATTCAGGAGAACTTCTTCAACCTAGCAAGACAGGCCAACATCCAAATTCAGGAAATACAAAGAACACCACTAAGATACTCCTTGAGAAGAGCAACCACAGGACACATCATCATCAGATTCACCAAGGTTGAAATGAAGGAAAAAAATGAGTGAGTTTCTTAATCCTGAGTTCTGATTTGATTGCATTGTGGTCTAACAGCAGATCTCTCAGCAGAAACCCTACAAGCCAGAAGAGAGTGGGGGCCAATATTCAACATTTTTCTTTCTTCCTTTTTTTTTTTTTTTTTGAGATGGAGTCTCGCTCTGTCACCCAGGCTGGAGTGCAGTGGTGCAATCTTGGCTCACTGCAAGCTCCGCCTCCCGGGTTCATGCCATTCTCCTGCCTCAGCCTCCTGAGTAGCTGGGACTACAGGCACCCACCACCAAGCCTGGCTAATTTTTTTTGTATTTTTAGTAGAGACGGGGTTTCACCATGTTAGCCAGGATGGTCTCGATCTCCTGACCTCGTGATCCTCCTGCCTGGGCCTCCCAAAGTGCTGGAATTACAGGCGTGAGCCACTGCACCTGGCCAATATTCAACATTCTTAAAGAAAAGAATTTTCAACCTAGAATTTCATGTCCAGCCAAACTAAGCTTCATAAGTGAAGGAGAAATTAAATCCTTTACAGACAAGCAAATGCTGAGAGATTTTGTAACAATCACACCTACCTTACAAGAGCTCCTGCAGGAAGCACGAAATATGGAAAGGAAAATCTGGTACCAGCCACTGCAAAAACATACCAAATTAGAAAGACCATCGACACTATGAAGAAACTGCATCAACTAATAGGCAAAACAACCAGCTAGCATCACAATGACAGGATCAAATTCACACATAATAATATTAACCTTAAATGTAAACGGGCTAAATGCCCCCCAATTAAAAGACCCAGAATGGCAAATTGGATAGAGTCAAGACCCATCACTGTGCTGTATTCAGGAGACCCATCTCATGTGCAAAGACACAAATAGGCTCAAAATAAAGGGATGAAGGAATATTTACCAAGCAAATGGAAAGCAAAAAAAAAAAAAGCAGGGGTTGCAATCATAGTCTCTGATAAAACAGACATTAAACCAGCAAAGATCCAAAAAGACAAAAAAGGGCACTACATAATGGTAAAGGGGCCAATGAAACAAGAAGAGCTAACTACCCTAAATATATGTGCACCCAATACAGGAGCACCCAGATTCATAAAGCAAGTTCTTAGAGACCTACAAAGAGACTTAGACTCCCATACAATAATAATGGGAGATTTTAACACCCCACTGTCAATATTAGACAGATCAATGAGAGAAAATTAACAAGGATATTCAGGAGTTGAACTCAGCTCTCGACCAGGTGGACCTAATAGACATCTGCAGAACTCTCTACCCCAAATCAACAGAATATACATTCTTCTCAGCAACACATAGCACTTATTCCAAAATCAACCACATAACTGTAAGTAAAACACTCCTCAGCAAATGCAAAAGAACAGAAATCATAACAAACAGTCTCTCAGACCACAGTGCAATCAAATTAGAACTCAGGATTAAGAAACTCACTCAAAACCACAGAACAACATGGAAACTGAACAACTTGCTCCTGAATGACTACTGGGTAAATAACAAAATTAAGACAGAAAAAAATAAGTTCTTTGAAACCAATGAAAACAAAGACACAACGTACCAGAATCTCTGGGACCCAGCTAAAGCAGTGTTGAGAGGTAAATTTATAGCACTAAATGCCCACAGGAGAAAGTGGGAAAGATCTAAAATCGACTTCCTAACATTAAAATTAAAAGAACTAGAGAAGCAAGAGCAAACACATTCAAAAGCTAGCAGAAGACAAGAAATAACTCAGATCAGAGCAGAACTGAAGGAGATAGAGACACGAAAAACTCTTCAAAAATCATTGAATTCAGGAGCTGTATTTTTGAAAAGATTAACAAAATAGACTGCTAGCCAGAATAATAAATAAGAAAGAGAAGAATCAAATAGACACAATAAAAAATGATAAATGGGATATCACCGCTGATCCCACAGAAATACAAACTACCATCAGAGAATACTATAAACACTTCTATGCAAATAAACTAGACAATCTAGAAGAAATGGATACATTACCGGACACACATACCCTCCCAAGACTAAACCAGGAAGAAGTTGAATGCCTGAATAGACTAATAACACTTTCTGAATTTGAGGCAATAATTAACAGCTTACCAACCAAAAAAAGCCCAGGCCCAGACGGATTCCCAGCCAAATTCTACCAGAGGCACAAAGAGGAGCTGGTACCATTCCTTCTGAAACTATTCCAAACAATAGAAAAAGAGGGACACCTCCCTAACTCATTTTATGAGGCCAGCATCATCATGGCAGAGACACAACAATAAAAGAAAATTTCAGGCCAATACGCCTGATGAACATTGATGCAAAAATACTCAATATAATACTGGCAAACTGAACCCAGCAGCACATCAAAAAGCTTATCCACCACGATCAAGCTGGCTTCATCTCTGGGATGCAAGGCTGGTTCAACATATGCAAATCAATAAATGTAATTCATCACATAAGCAGAACCAATGACAAAAACCATATAATTATCTCAATAGATGCAGAAAAGGCCTTTGACAAAATTCAACATCTCTTCATGCTAAAAAATCTCAATAAACTAGGTATTGATAGAATGTATCTCAAAATAATAAGAGCTATTTATGATAAACCCACAGCCAACATCATACTGAATGGGCAAAAGCTGGAAGCATTCCCTTTGAAAACCGGCACAAGACAAGGATGGCCTCTCTCACCACTCCTATTCAACATAGGATTGGAAGTTTTGGCCTGGACAATCAGGAAAGAGAAAGAAATAAAGGGTATTCATATAGGAAGAGAGAAAGTCAAATTGTCTCTGTTTGCAGATGACATGATTGTGTATTTAGAAAACCCCATCATCTCAGCCAAAAATCTCCTTAAGTTGATAAGCAACTTTGACAAAGTCTCAAGATACAAAGTCAATATGCAAAAACCACAGGCATTCCTATACACCAATAATAGCCAAATCACGAGTGAACTCCCATTCACAACTGATACAAAGAGAATAAAATATCTAGGAATACAACTTACAAAGGATGTGAAGGACCTCTTCAAGGAGAACTACAAACCACTGCTCAAGGAAATAAGAGAAGACACAAACAAATGGAAAAGCATTCCATGCTCATGGATAAGAAGAATCAGTTTCGTGAAAATGGCCATACTGCAGCCCAATGTAATTGATAGATTCAATGCTATTCCCATGAAGCTACCATTGACTTTCTTCACAGAATTAGAAAAAAACTACCTTAAATTTCATATGGAACCAAAAAAGAGCTCATATAGCCAAGACAATCCTAAACAAAAAGAACAAAGCTGGAGGCATCACACCACCTGACTTCAAACTATACTAGAAGGCTACCGTAACCAAAACAGCATGGTACTGGTACTAAAACAGAGATATAGACCAGTGGAACAGAACAGAGGCCTCAGAAATAACACTACACATCTACAACCATCTGATCTTTGAAAAACCTGAACAAAGCAAGCAATAGGGAAAGGATTCCCTATTTAATAAATGGTATTGGGAAAACTGGCTAGCCATATGCAGAAAACTGAATCTGGACCCCTTCCTTACACCTTATACAAAAATTAACTCAAGATGGATGAAATACTTAAATGTAAGACCTAAAACCATAAAAACCCTAGAAGAAAACCTTGGCAACACCATTCAGGACAAAGGCATGGGCAAGGACTTCATGACTAAAACACTTAAAGCAACGGCAACAAAAGCCAAAATTGACAAATGGGATCTAATTAAATTAAAGGGCTTCTGCACAGCAAAAAAAAAAAAACTGTCATCAGAGTGAACAGGCAACCTACAGAATGGGAGAAAATTTTTGCAATCTATCCATCTGACAAAGGGCTAACGTCCAGAATCTACAAGCAACTTCAACAAATTTACAAGAAAAAAGCAATCCCATGAAAAAATGTGGGAAGGATATGAACAGAAACTTCTCAAAAGAAGACATTTATGCAGCCAACAAATATATGAATAAAAGCTCATCATCACTGGTCATTAGAGAAATGCAAATCAAAATTGCAATGAGATACCATCTCACACCAGTTAGAATGGCGATTATTAAAAAGTCAGGAAACAACAGATGCTGAAGAGGATGTTGTGAAATAGGAAGAGTTTTACACTGTTGGTGGGAGTGCAAATTATTTCAACCATTGTAGAAGACAGTGTGGCAATTCCTCAAGGATTTAGATCTAGAAATTTCATTTGACCCAGCAATCCTTTTACTGGGTATATACCCAAAGGATTATAAATCATTCTACTATAAAGACACACACACACACACACGTATATTTATTGCAGCACTGTTCACAATAGCAAAGACTTAGAACCAACCCAAATGCCCATCAATGATAGACTGGATAAAGAAAATGTGACACATATACACCATGGAATACTATGCAGCCATAAAAAAGAATGAGTTCATGTCCTTTGCAGGGACATGGATGAAGCTGGAAACCATCATTCTCAGCAAACTAACACAGGAAGAGAGAACCAAACACCGCATGTTCTCACTCGTAGGTGGGAGTTGAACAATGAGAACATATGGACACAGGGAGGGGAGCATCACACACTGCGGCCTGTTGGGGGGCGGGGGGCTAGGGGAGGGATAGCATTAGAAGAAATACCTAATGTATATGATGGGTTGATGGGTGTAGCAAACCACCATGGCACGTGTATACCTATGTAACAAACCCGCACATTCCGCGCATGTATCCCAGAACTTAAAGTGTAAAAAGAAAAAAAGAAAAGAAAAGAAAAGAAAAAGAAAAAGATGGTTACAATATTCATCAAGGTCATAATGCCCACTTTTGTTGTTGTTGTTGTTGTTGTTGTTTTGAGATGGAGTTTCACTCTTTTTGCCCATGTTGGAGTGCAATGGCACGATCTCGGCTCACTGCAACCTCCACCTCCTGGGTTCAAGCGATTGTCCTTCCTCAGCCTCCCACTAATGCCCACCTTTTAAAGAAATACAATCAAACCCCATATTTAAATACAAGTTATTTACCAAGCAATATAGAGCTTTCTAAAATACACGTACTTCCATTAAAAAAAGAAAAACAACAACAACAAAAAATAAAAAGTATGTATTAGTTTGCTAGTACTGTTATACCAAAGTATCACAGACCTGGAAGCTTGAACAACAGAAATTTATTTTCTCAGATTTCTGGAGGCTAGAAGTTCCAGATCAAGGTTTCAGCAAGGTTTGTCTTTTTTTTGAAGCTTCTGTCTTTTGTTTGTAGTGGCTATCTGCTCCTCCCTGTATCTCCATGTCCTTATCCTTCTATGTGTGTCTATATTCTACTATCTGATAAGAACACTAGTTATATTGAATTAAGACCCACCATCATGGCCTCCTTTTAACACAATTACTTCTAAAAGACTTGTGCCTCTAAATAGTCATACTCTGAGGTACTGGGGATCAGGATTTCAACATGTGAATTTGGGGGTGGGAGGAGGCAGAGCACAATTCTGCCTATAACCATGTATAAGTGTGATTTTTATGATTCCATGCTTTTATGAATTTTATAAGTGGGATCTAAGTTATGTGTACACATGGGTGTTGAGTGGAATGATAGACCCTGCAGACCTGGAAGGGTAGGGAATGGAAGCGGGTTGGATGATGAGAAATTACTTAATGGGTACAGTGTGCATTAACCAGGTGATAGACACACAAAAGCTCTGACTTTACCACTATACAATATATATCCATGTAAAAGAAATGTGCTTTTCCCCTACATATTTATACAAATAAAATTTTTAAAATAGAGGAATTAAAAAATATGTGTCTCAAATGTTTTAACAGTAAGCATTTTGAAAGATTCTGCTAATAGTGTGGCAGGGTTCCCTGGTGAGAGCAAACCGAGATTCATAGTCTAGTGGCTTGTGATGGACCTGTGATCTCTGCAAGTATCTGTTTGCATGAACTGATGTGAGTATAGTCGTCCCTCAGTATTTGTGGGGAATTGGCTCCAGGACCCCTTATAGATACCAAAATCATAGATGCTCAAGTCCCTTATATAACATGGAATAGTATTTACTATAACCTATGCACATCCTCTTCTATACTTTAAATCATGTCTAGATTACTTATACCCAATAAAAGGTAACTGCTATATAAAAGTTGTCATACTGTATTTTAAAATTTGTATTATTTTTATTATCATAGTTATTTTTTATTGTTTTTCCTCAATATATTTTATCTGTGGTTATTTGAATCCAGGTATGCAGAACCCATGAATATGGAGGGCCCATATGTATAGGCTTTTGTGTAGGAGGCAGAGAGAGGAGTTAGGAGTGAGAGCAAAAGTCAGGGTGAACAACAATGGCCAGGACAATGGCATGATGTTTTCTTTTCCTTCTGGGCTAATTAAGTTTTTAGCCTTTTTGTAGAGATACTATAGACCAAACTTCAGGATCTATTTCCCAGAAAGGCTTTTGGGGACTCTGCACACAAGCAGAGCTGCTGTGGGGCCCAGTGACAAAAGGCAACATAGAATAGGAAAGAAGACCTCTCTCTGTGCTTCGTATTACAATGTAGGTCTAGCAGTCTGAGGGACAAAATGTTCATCAGCACAGACTGGTTTGCCTGGTAGGACAGGGCACTGTCAGAACACGCAAATGTGGAGTGCCTTGACAAAGATACTGTCAAAGAAATGTATGAACCTACTGATGTCTCACACACAGAAAAACCTCTGTTGGGATCTTACAGAAATAACTGAGAGAAATTGTGAGGCTTAAAGTACCCAGGAGCAGAAAAAGAAAAGTTCTTTAAAAATTGAGGTTTTTTTTTTTTTTTTTTTGGAGACGGAGTTTCACTCTTGTTGCCCAGGCTGGAGTGCAATGGTGTGATCTCGGCTCATTGAAGCCTCCACCTCCCAGCTTCAAGTGATTCTCCTGTCTCAGCCTCCTGAGTAGCTGGGATTGCAGACACCCGCCACCACACCCAGCTAATTTTTGTGTTTTTAGTAGAGACGAGGTCTCGCCATGTAGGCCAGGCTGGTCTCAAAATGCTGACTTCAGGTGATCCGCCTGCCTCGGCCTCGCAAAGGCATGAGGGATTGGGATTACAGGCATGAGCCACCATGCCCAAAGGTGTTGGGATTACAGGCATGAGCCACCATGCCCAAAGGTGTTGGGATTACAGGCATGAGCCACCACGCCCAGTCAAAAATTGAGTTTTTAAATGTCGATGACTTCATTTATGCCTACTATCATTTGGGTTACAATTAGAAACTTTTTCTATAAAGGTTTCTAGTTGTCCCTTTGGTAAGTTTTTTTTTCACCATAATATGATGGAGACATGTGACCTCATAATTTTGGCAAATGTTGACTTAAGAATTTTCTTGGAAATCTTTGTGTGTTTGGAAAGGATTTTTAGTGCATACTGTGCTACATGGCCAGACTTCACTTTCATACCCCACTTTGAGGTGGAAAGGCTAATTATTTCTCTAGCTGCTAGGAGTGCTGCTAGATAAAAGCACTTATTTGTCTGTCTTCTCTTGGAATTCCTTCATTGATGTCACACCACCTTTCCAAGGAAGCCTTTGTCTAATGAATGGAGGTTATAAAAGCCCTGCTCTTAGCTCCAACTTGTAAAACTCTGAAGGAACATTCAGTTTCAGAGCTGCCACTGAGTTCAGATAAACCCTTTGTTGTGACAGCACTTACAGTTCAACAAAAAATAAGCCAAATGTACATAATAACAGAATGAATAAATAAATAGTCCTTCAGTATATAATGGAGTACTAAATAACAATGACAGTAATCAAACTGCAGTTAGATGAATCACCATGGATAAAAATCACTCAATGTAATGTTGAGTAAAAGAAGCAAGACACAAAATGGTATATATTGAATAGGGATGTACTTTTTAAAAACAGATATATATCAACAGATACATAATTAGTTATACATCTGTTGATATATAAGAGTAGAATTGCTAGGTCATAGAGAATATATATGTTCATCTTTAATACATAGTATCAGTTTTCTAAATTTGCTGTACCAATGAAGTACTAAAATGAAGTAGTAAATAGCAATGACGATCAAACTACAGTTGCATGCATCAACATAGATGCATCTCACTCAACGAAATGTTGAGCGAAAGACGCAAGTCACAAAAGGGTATATGTTGAACAGGAGTATACATTTCAAAAACAAGCCTAAATTATCTTTGGTCAGAATTGTTGTTACCCTTTGTTGGGAGGTGGGGTATAGCATAATAACTAGAAAGACATGCAAGGGAGCTTCTGGGAGTTGTGATGAGTTCTCATTGTTTATCTGTTTCCCCATTGACATGGATGCATTTACTTTGAGAACATTTAAGTTGTACAATCATACTTCATGTATACTTCTTTCTTTTTTATGAGACGATCTATGAGTGCACATGTATACTTCAGTAAAGGAAGGGGGAAAATACTCTGAAGGGACTTTTGTTCACATTATGGGAAAACTACTTTTTTTCCTGTGAAGGGATGAGAAAGGAGTTTGGAAATAGTTCATTTGAGCTTGACTCCCTTAAAAGGAATTTTTAATAATCTGGAGGCTACTCCATGGAAATGGGAGATTTTTAAAAATCAATGTCTAATAGTTATTTCCCTTTTCAATCTTTCTAGATCTAGTTTCCAATCATGACTTCTGATTCTTGAGGCTTTTAGGCTTGAATACTTTTCTTAAATGAGACATTCCTTTTATTCATGTTGACTAATGAAGAAAAATGTGGCCATTTACATGTTGCTCAGTGTAGTCTGTGATTTAGAGCACTGGAGAGTCCCAAGGATGGATCATTGTTTGATATATGGAGTAGTTATTTAACACCGCATCTGTCTCCTGGTGCAAAGACCCAGAGGGAAAAGAGGCAGGTGGTGGGTAGGCATCAAACTTTCTTAGAAACTAACAAAGTTGAAAGCTCTGAATAGAAAACTTTGAAAACTCTGGGTTACTGAGATAATAAAGGGAGCCAGATTGGGAAACCTCTGAAAGTAGACCCCAAAGAGGAATGCTAAACACCAAAGTAATCCATTCCTGGGAGACACATTCAGGTAAGAGTAAACCCATAACAGATAATTCCCCCCAGCCTGTTTTTACTTTGAACATGTGTCTAGAGGCTGGAAAACTATCTCAACTGACAAAGATGTTTATAGCACAGTTAAAAATGTAATAATTTAGCATGAGCTAGAGATGCTATCCAGGAAACCAAGAAGCAGAGTAACAGACAATACAGCGGCTCTATAGTATAGCTAAGATGCTTCTTCAAAGCAGAGTGGGTCCCCAGTGAAGTGCAAGACAGGATTTCCTAGTTGCTTTTTTCTTGTATATACTTATAAACAAACATAATCAGATGCCCATTTTTCAGATACAAATTACAGAGATGAACTTATAGATGTATTAATGTTCTCAGCAATGATATTCAATCAGTTTGGAATGAATTTTATCTTTGCAAAAAGAAATTTGAAAAACAGAACTATCTTAGTATTTTGTGAAGAAATTTATACTCTAGAATTTCTGCCATCTTTTAATGTGATGGTGGCAACAAGTTTTTCAGGAAATGAGAACAAAAAATAAGACTGTTCCCTGGATTTACCTTTATATTTTCTCCAGCAGATGTGAAATCAGTGTGACAAATCAAAGGGAATGGTGCCCCTATGATGCTTGTTTCCTTAGTGCTCTTCATGTGACCTGCGTGTCGGTTCTGTAGGACTTATAGCACCTTCAAGGTAGTGACATATATTTCTTGCTGGAATCATCCTGATAACCTGTTGTCAGGCATCACTAACAAAATTACTTCACCTTGTTCCTTAATAGGTTTGGATTCTAGGGGTTTCAGGATAACTTAGAGACTCACCTGGCTCACAGAATCCTGGGAAATTTTATTGTCTTCAACATGGAGGTGACATCCAGGAAGAGAGCAGTGCAATGTCCCCAGCCTGGCTCAAAGGAGAACATTTTGATAAAGGCTTATATAAGTAAAAGTGCTTCCTTCACTTCAGCGATTTCACAAATCCGTCTCAATTTGAACTCTCTTACCTATCATCCAACAACACATGCCACATTCAGAGCGAACTGTGAAAATTATTATTTTTCTTGGAATAATAAACTTTCTATTCCTCCTTTCCTGTTACAAATATTGTTCCCTGGCTAAAGGGTGGAAAGGTGGGTAGCTCAAGTCTACCTACAGTATTCCATTTCATTAGTTACAGTGAATGGATCCAGGATGGGTACATGACCTAAGAAAAATCACTCATAATCCTTCCTTGGAACTAAACATATTCTCTAAGATTTCCAAGACAGGAGGATAGGAACCTGGGGCTGCTAGCAGAAGTGTGGAGAGAATTTGCTTGCAGAGTGAAGCCAAGTGGAGACAATTGTTAGAGACAGAAGAAATCTTGTGGCTTTGAGTGTCTGGCTAAAAGTCCTGAGGCTCTGATTCTTGTATCTCTCATTTCAGTTGTGTGAATTGCTCATGTATGCTCCAGAGCTTTGTGAATGAAGGAATTTTCTTTTTCCACAAGCCAGTTAGAGGTTCTGTTGCTACCAACTAAAGAAAGTCCTAATGAATAAAAGAACATTATCAAGAATAATAGGAAGGCCAAAGTCAGTGGCTTTTAGTTTGGAGATACTGTAGTCCCTTCTAATCTGTGGAGGATATTCCAAGACCTCCAATGGGTGTCTGAAGCCAGGGATGGTACCAAACCCTATACAGTCGTCCCTCAGTATCTGCAAGGGATTGCTTTCAGGACCCCTGTGGATAACAAAATCCACAGATGCTCAAGTTTCTTATGTAAAGTTGTGTAGTATTTGCATATAGCCTATGCTCATCCTCCCATATACTTTAAATCCTCTCTAGATTACTTATAATACCTGATACAATATAAATGCTATATAAATAGTTGTCATACTGTATTTTAGCATTAGGAGATATACCTAATGTAAATGATGGGTTAATGGGTGCAGCACACCAACATGGCACATGTATACATATGTAACAAACCTGCACGTTGTGCACATGTACCCTAGAACTTAAAGTATAATAAAAATATATATATTTTCAATCTGCTGTTGGTTAAATCCATGGATGCAGAACCTGTGGATATGCAGGGCTAATTGTAGATACTGTTTTTTCCATCTGCTGACCGAGATGGTTATTAAGTGACTAATGGGTGGGTAGGTGTGGATATGCTGAGCAAAATGATGATTCACATCTGGAGTGGGACAAAGTGGAACAATGTGAGATTTCATCATGTTACACAGAATGACATGTAATTTAAACCTCATGAATTATTTCCGGAATTTTCCCTTTACTATTTTCAGACCTCAGTTGACCATGGGTCCTGAAACTGTGAAAAGGGCCACAGGAGATAAGGGGGTACTGCTGTATTTATTTCCACCATCGAATCCAAATGGCCTCTTTCTGTATGCCTTTGGTAATTGGATATTAAATACCTGGCATGAATCTTGTGATAATTTCCAAATAGCTGGGGCATACCATAAAGCTTTTCTCTGAGAGCTGTGCTTCTCAAACTTCAGTGTGTTCTCTGGGGCTAAGGATTTGCTATTTTTTTTAAAGTCTCACATATGACAAGATATCTACATTATGCCCTTAATTGGCATAAAGAAGACAGTCACACATCTGCTGTATTCTAACTACTGTGTGAGGCAAGAGAAGTTTAGTGTGTTTAGTAAAGATAGCTCAGACCTCAAGTTACTGATTGCTAGGATTATATAAAAATAATATCATTTACTGCATTTATTATTAGTTAAAAAACAATGGTTGACACAAACTATGAGCAAATTGGGAATAAAGAAGAAACAATTATTATGGGCTGAGAAAACTAAAGAAATATGGAATTTGAGCAGAGTCCTGAAGGACAGGTAAGCTCAGATTGTGCAGAAGAAGCAGGGACAGGCTTTCAGAGAGTAGAAATTGTAGGGACAAAGGCTCTAAAAAGAGAGAATGTAGGTCTGTGTGCCAAGGAAGGAAACCTGATAAAGAGGACATTCACTCCATCCATTAACCATTGTTTATTTGTCTCTTTACTGACCACTCATTCCAATTGCAATGTCTTGATGAATTTTGATCTAAGGGTGAGAAGAAGGAACTAACCATCTCATCTCATCTGGAGCTCTTCTTGACACATGGTACCCTAAAAACATTTTGTATTTTCCTGTTTTCTATGGCATCCATGGACTTCCTTTCTGATCATTCATCAAAGGGCCATCTGCTCTGTGCTCAGTCTGTTCCATAAATGAAATTAAGGCATATATTATGTGGCTCCAGTCCAGCTTCCCCTTCTTCATAGCTGCTGTGTCCCTTTGAACAGCCCATGAGGCAAAACTGATGTCTCACCTTACTGCAAGGTGCATGACCCCTTTGCTTCCAATCTTATTTTACTTTGAAAAATACCTGCACCTCATGCTGTTCAGATGTTATGTTAGTGTATAGTGTTATTTACCATACACTAAACCACTAGTTGTTTAGACCCTTTGGCAGTAACCCATTTTACCAATGAAAGGTTTTAATGAAAATTCAACATTTCAGTCCAATTCTTCTATTACAGGAAGAATAACAACTTTCAATTTCCTTTTATATCCCAATTCCTTTTAAGTGCATTACTGACATTTGCTAACCAGGCTCCTTTATATTTTTGGGACCTTCACTTCACAGGGGAAGGTTGGAAGCTAGACACAACCTTAAAACTACAGAGTCTCAAATGAATGAAAATAGTCCTGGTGAATGGGAATAAAGTAACAAAACTAAAAATATTTCAAACGCCTTACAAAAACTGAGTGTGAGTGTGTGTGTTTGTGTGTGTGTGTGTGTGTGTGTGAATATGTAATTGACAAATACTCATCTCTACCAAACCAGAGAACCAGAGAAATACCTGTGGATGACTAGGAGGAAGAGATTTTTTAATTATATATTTTTTGTTAAAAAAATCACTGTTCCAAGATTTCCTGTGTCCTAGGTAGTATAAAATTTGACATGTTTTTAACCTCTGTGATTCTCACTTTGCTAATCAATAAATTGGTAATAATAAATACCTACATGCAAGAGTTTTAAGGACTAAATATTGAGCATAGTACCTATCTAGTATGTAGTAGGCACTCAACAATACCACAGTGTCTAGCATGTAGTAGGCATTCAATAATTATCTCTTGTTTGAATTTATGAATAATGGGTGAATGGAAATAATATACAGAAAGTTTTTGTCTTCCAGGAAAAATTAGTGTAATTTGGTGCCTTTATGCCCAAGGAAGATATATATCTACCATAATTTCTGTAATAATCAACTTATAGTTCTTTGCTTAGCTTGATATGAAAAGTCAGTGAAACATAAAACTGAGAGTTGGAAATACTCTTAATCAACAGCTAAGTGGCACTGGTAACATCCCCAAGATCTTTGTGAGCTGGAGTCATTCTTTTTTTTAGAATTTTAAACAAAAGGTAAGTTTCTGGGAGAAATAGGGGACAGAAAGCAAATATTTAATTAAGGTTCAATTTTCAGCAGTGAAAAAGGCAGGTAAACAATTGAGAAAAATGGATCATTTTTAAAGCTGTATTGAAGTTTAATTGACACACAATAAACATCAAGTATTTAAAGTACACAATTTAATAGACTTTGATAAATGTATATATGTTTGAAACCACCAACATAATCAAGAGAGTGGAGTATGTCAGTCACCCACAAGTGTTCTCTCACCCATGCAGTCTCTCCTCCCTCTTCCTTTTCCCCTGGCAACCACTGATCTTTTACTATAGATTAGTTTGGATTTTCTTGAGTTTTATATAAATATAATTATACAGTACATGTTCTCTTATTGTTGGCTTCTTTCAGTCATTATAATTATTTTGAGATACATCCTTATTTTTGCATTTATCAAGACTTCATTTCTTTTATTCCTGAGTAGTAGCCCATTGTATGGCTATAACGCACATTGCTTGTCCATTCTCCTGTTGACGGATGTTTGGATTGTTTCCTGGTTTTTGGTTATTACGAATAAACCTGCTATGAGTATTTGTGTACAAGTCTCTGTATGCATATGTGCTCTCATTTCTATGAAGGAGTAAAAATAACATGGTAGGTGTATATTTAACTTTTTAAGGAACTGCCAGACTGTCTTCTAAAATGGTTGCATCATTTTGCACTTCCATCAGCTATTCCAGTTCCTCCACATCCTCACCAGTCCTGGGTATGGTCAGTCTATTTAATGTTATACATTCTAATAGGTGTCTAGTGATGTGGTTTTAACTTGGATTTCCTTAATGACTAATGATATTGAGTATCTTTTTGTGTTCTTATTTGCCACACAGATATCTTTGATGAAGTGTCTGTTCAAATCTTTCCTCATTTTTAAAATTACGTTGTTTGTTTTCTTACTACCGAGTTTTACATGATCTTTATAGATACTGGATACTAATTCTTTTTTAGATGTATGATTTGCAAATATTTTCTCCCATTCCGTGGCTTGTCTTTTCATGTTCTTAACAGTGTCTTTCAAAGAGCAGAAATATTTAATTCTCATGAAGTACAATCTATCACTTTTGGGGGCCTGTTTTATGGATCATGATTTTGGTTTCCTACCTAACAAATCTTAGCGTAATCCAAGGTCACAAAGATTTTCATCTACTTTTTTCTTCAGAAAGTTCTATAGTTTTAGTATTTACATTTAGGTCTGTGATCATTTTTGAGTTTATACATATGATAAAAAGTGTGATAATAGTCATACTTTGCATTTGAATATTCAACTGCTCCTGAACCAGTTGTTGAACAGTATCCCTTCTCTGCAGAATTGCCTTGGAAATCTTTGTAGAAAATCAGTTGTCTATATATGTGTGTATCTATTTTTGAACTCTATTATTTTTCATTCATTTATTTTTATATCTTTATGAGAATACCACACTGTCATGATTTATGTAGCTGTAAATAAGTCCTGACTTTAAAACTTTATTCTCTTCCAAAGATGTTTTGTTTATTTTATGTTCTTTGCAATTTCATGTGAATTTTATACTCAGCTTGTCTATTTTTTTAAAAGGGCCTGTTGGCAGTTTGAATCTATTGAATCTATAGATCAATTTGGGGAGATTTGATGTCTTAACTATATTGATTTTCTCTACTCACAAATACAATATCTCTCTCCATTTCCTGTGGTCTTCTTTAATTTCAGCAATATTTTATAGCTTTTAGTGTATAGGTTTTGTAAATCTTTTGTCAGCTTTATCCTCCAATAGTTCATATTTTCTGATGCGATTGTAAATGATATTTTTATTTCAATTTATTTTTTGTTTCTAGTGTATAGAAATACCATTTATTTTTGTTTATTAATCTTGTATACTATAATCTTGCTAAACTCACTTATTAGTTCTAGTAGGATTTTCATAAATTCCATATGACTTCTTCATAGACTGCCATATTATCTGTGAACAAATACAGTTTTATTTTTTCCTTTCCAATCTGGATAACTTTCATTTATTTTTCTTACCAGATTTCATGGACTAGGTAGAGCCTCCAGTATAATAATAGAGAGAAGTGGTAGAGTGGGCATTTTTATTATCTTCTGTTACTTGAGGGGAAGACATTTAATTTTTCACCATTAAGGATGATATTAGCAATATATCTTTCATAGATTCCCTTTTTCAAGTAAAGAAAGTTTCCTTCTGTTCCTAGTTTATTGAGAGTTTTGATTATTAATGGATGTGGATATTGTCATGTGCTTTTCCTGAATCTATTCAGGTGATATATGGGGTTTAGTTTTTATAGTTTAATATGGTGAACTACATAAATTGATTTTTTATGTTAAACCAACCTTGCATTCATGGAGCAGACCTCACTTGTTCATGATATATTATTTCTTGTGTTGTATTGTTGCATTTGTTTGGATAAAGCATTGTTTAGAATTTTTGCATCTTTGTTTATAAATATTAGATTTATCATTATCTTTCTTTATGTATTTTTTTCTGGATTGGAATCCTAATAATACTAAAACCAAATAATAAATTGGGAAATATCCTTTCCTCTTCAATTTTTCTAAAAGTGTTTGTACAGAATTGGTATTACTTCTTCCTTTCATGTTTGGTAGAATTCAACAGATCAACAACTTAAATAAAATGGACCAATTTTTTGATAGACACAAATTACTAAAACTCCCTCCAGAAGAAACAAACAATTTAGATAGTTCTAGTCTTTATATCTATATGATCTTATATCATATTATGATATAAGATCACTAAATTAGTAGTTAAAAATCTTCACAAAGATTATGATTTGCCTTTGTAGGTACAGTTTTTTTCCTCTTATTTGTTGTACTTGGAATTAATTGAGCTTCTTGGATATTTGGGTTTACATTTTTCATCAGTTTTTTAAATGACCATTATTTCTTCAAGTATCTCTTTTGCATTTCCTTTTCTCTCTTTCAGATACATCTACATTAGGCTGATTGAAGTTGCTCCATAGCTCACTGATGTGTATTCAAATTCACTTGTATTTCTTTCTGTAAGGTCCTATCTGCTGCTAATTTCATCCAGTGTATTTATTATCAGACATTTTTGTTTTCACCACTAGAAGTTTGATTAGGTTTTTAGAAATTTCTTTTATGTTTTTACATAATTCTCTGAACATATGGAATGCAGTTACAGTAAATGTTTTCATATCCTTGTCTGCTAATTCAAACATGTGTGTCAGTTCTGTGTCAATTTCAATATACTGCTTTTTCTCCTTACCATGGATTGAATTTTCCTGCTTCTTTGCATTCCTGATAATTTTTGATTGGGTGCCAGACATTGTGAATTTTACTTTTCTGGGTACTGGATATTTTTTGAATTCTTCTAAGTAGATTTGAGCTTTCTTTTGGCATGCAGTTATGTTACTTAGAAACAGTTTATCTTCTTGCATACGACTTTTAAGATTTGTTACATGGGACCAGAGTATTATTTGATCTATTACTAATTATTCCACAGAGGTAAGACTATCCTGTGTACTCTTCTTAATTCATTGTGAATTTTCACATTTTCCTATGGTGATAAGGGCAGATACTCTTCCAGGTCCTGTGTAATTGCCACGTACTATTATCATTAAACTTTTCCAGTAGTTGTTTCCCTAGCTTGGTTGGTTTCTTTACATGCATGCACTGATCAGTACTCTAATGAATACTCAAGGGGGACACTTTGCTAGTCCTTGGACTTCTTCCTTTGTGCAGCTATGTACTTCCTGGTTCTCTGTCTTGTGAACTGTAGCTACGTTGGTCTCCCTGGACTCTTAGCTTTGTCTCTTCAACTCAGGGAGTCCCCTCAACTCTACCTGGATTTTCTCTTCATGTGCTATGGACTGGCAATCATCACAAGGCAGAAATCTGAGGTAATTGTAGGGCTCACCTTACTCATTTTCTGTATCTGTGGGACCCTTTTTCTCTGTTCCTTAATATCCAGTATCTTAAAAAATATTGTTTCATATATTTTGACTGGTTATATTGGTTTTTCCATAGAAAATGGTAAATATTGTCCTTATTATTCTGCCTAGGTAGGAAGTGCAAGTGTTGTTACACATTATATTTAAAAGCAATATAGCAGATGCTGAGAGGGTTTGAACAACTTATAATGACTCCAAATATTTGTACTACTCTAGCGTATACACCAGATTAGACATCATCCCTTAAACACAGGCTTACTAGAGCAATGAAGCAAATGATTCTTATTCACCAGCCTCACCCATGAAACAGATTGAATAGAGAAGGAAAATTTCTTAAAGAGGTGCTAAGAAGAATTAAAGAAACACCGCTCCCCACCAAAAAAGTTCAGGTCAATATTCCTTCATTTTTTGTAGTTTCTACAGAATTACAGAATGTTCATGACTTGATACCATGGAGTTGACCTGCATCTAAATTATTATAAAAGGAGTAACTTTCACTTTATCATTTCAAGGAACAGATAGCAAAAATTCTGCATGTTGTCTTTTTTACTTTCTATTGAGGCTTGTGGGTCCTTAATGTATTTGAAAGAGCTTATTTAAACCTCTCTGGTTGTCTCCTTGTGAGGGGTAAGTAGTCCTGACTGTATCCTAACCAGCTTAAGTGTTTACCACAGTAAGCAGGGGTTTTCAAAGCTACTTCACCATCCCAATCCATTTCCCAGTATAAGTGAGTTCTAGAGGGAAGCTCATACACTAGATGATGTCCTTGCTCTGGGATCCGTAGAGTGATTTGCGGTTCCTTACAGGAGAAGTTTCAGTGAAGAGTTCTGTCGCCCTTAGGCATACATTTTAGGGGTTGGACTTCCTATTTAAGGGCAATTAAATAAGGGGCCTTACTGTTTTAATTGGATTTTAGGTAAGCTATTCCTGTGGACAGTTTGTCAGTGTTTGCTATGGCCAAAGCTTTTCATTTACATTTGATATTCTTGTAATCTTGTGCTAGTCCCTCACCCCTAAAATAATTATCTTTTAAGTTCTCTGCCTTCCCAGATGGCAAAGTCATTAGCAAAGCTCTTGAGACTAGCTCGGTCATTTTGAGCAACAACAATTTTGAATCACGTACTTTAAATTGGGTCTATAGAGAGGACCTTGATTTTTTAGGCCTGGGGTGCTCTTTGATCACTTTTTCTGCTTCGGTTGGTTCATCATGTTTTCTTTCATTCATCTTCCACCAACTCAAGGATTTGTCTAGTGTTCAGTACAGAGGGGTAGGATTAAAAATGGCATAGTCCAGCAGAGTGGAACTGAATTAGAGGGGGCTGGGAGAACCTGATTAGTATGCTAAGTTGTGAAATGCTGTCTACTTACAAAGGTATAATTTGTATAACAAAATGGTCATTAATGTCCTTGCCACCTAAACAGTTTTGAGATGGCCTGTTAGAGAATAAGAGAATGTGTGAAGGATAAAGGAAAAGGGTTGTTGTCCCAAAGTGCACTGTAGGAGAGAATCACCTGATCCCATGAGGAGGTAGTGAAAAAAGGCAAGAAACTTTCTATTTGAGTGTGCCCTGGCGAGTTTTATCCATTACCTAATTATGTTTCCTCTACCCTAAAATATGAAGAATAATTTTTATTCCACTTCCAAAGTGTCTTCTCTCTCAAAATTATCCTCAGTCAAATAACTGCATTTGCTAAAACCAACTGGCATTTGTAGTACGCTGGCAAGAGAGTCACATATATTTATCTTTATTTTTAATGAAATTTTCATGATTTCTCTTTTAAATTCTATGTGAAAACATGCACGTTAGTTTCCTATTGCCATTGTAACAAATTACCACAAACACAATGAAGATTTATGATCGTTCTGGAAGCCAGAAGTTTGAAATAAATTTTAATTGGGTTAAAGTCAAGGTGCCAGCAGGATTGGTTCTTTCTGGAGACTCTAGGGGAGAATTCATTTCTTGGTCTCTTCCACCTTCTAGAGGCCATTTACATCCTTGGGTTCATGGCCATGTTCCTGTGTCTTCAAAGCCAGCTGCATAGTATCTTCAAATCCCTTTCTCCCTATCTTTCTTCATCTGTTATCATATCACCTTCGGTCTCCCTCATCTCCTGCCTCCCTCTTAAAAGAATCCCTATGATTACACTGGGCCCACTTGGATAATCCAGCATAACATCTTTATCTCAAGATATTTAATTTAATCACACCTGCAAAGTCTCTTTTGCCATATAAGATAATATTCACAGGCACCAGAGATTAGGATGAAGGCATCTTGGGGGGCCATGGTTCAGCTTACCACACACGGTATTTGGAGAAATGGGAAATATACTCAGGAGTGTGCTGGCTCAATATGTACCTTCAGGTAGCACTCTAGCCTTTTCCCACATGACCTCATTCTTTTACCTTATAGCAAATGCCTCACAGAATCAATTGTATTCCCTCTCTAAAAATAGAGCTCGGAGTACCATTTGTTGCTTGACATTGTTTACTGTTTACTTCATTTGCATGTAGTTTTGCTACTTATTAAAATGCTTACATTTTTTCTGAGATTCTCATTCATTTACTGACTTTTTTACAGTATTGAACATCTTTTATAATCCAAATACTACATTAGGCAATAGATATGCAAAAATATATAAAACATGGCCCTAACCTTTAGTAGGCTTATGGTCTAGAGGAAGAAGTAGTTTTAGGAAACTTCATTTTGCAAATGAGAAAACTGAGGCTCAGAGGGTAGTTAGGTGGCTTACCCAAGGTTTTTCATTCAGCAAATAGAAAACCTGGATCCAACTACAGATTTGATTTCAGAGAAATGACTCATTTAGTAAAGTAACTATTCGGAATATTGCTGCATAAAAGATAGGAAGCATCTCAGCTCCGAGTGACTTCTGATGAGAAATTTGAATGTTTGTCAAACACTTTGTGAATCTGATTCCGACTTCTCAGAATCCTATTTACTCTTACACACAATTCTAATAATTCATTTTCTCATTCAATGGCCCACTGGAAGCAGAAAGTAAGACTAGGTATGTGTTGAGGGTTGGGGAAGGAGGTAGGTGGAGAGAAGAGGGGCAGACAAAGGGAGAGCAGTGGCAGAATAGAGAAACCTGAAAGCTTAACAGTGAGTGAGAAAAAATGCTGCTGAAAACCAATAGAAGCAAGGATAGCATTTTCAGAGTTTTTATAGGTAATACCTCACCTACTGCCAAAAAATTAGAAACAACTCTATTAACTCGGTATTCTCCAGTGACATTTCTGGCTTAAAACATAGTAATCTGATACTCATTGATTCTACCGCTTTTTCATTCCCCCTAACCTTTTCTGTCTTTACTTCCCTCTTAAACCAGCTTTAGTTACATCATTAAATTTTAATAATTCCCTGGCAAACATCCTCAATACCCTTGTCTATCAACTACTTTCCTATATTTTCCCAGATTTAACTTAGAAAGTTGAACATAACTGTCTCGTCCCTGCCTGCCCCCCATACAACTGAATATGGCTGGAGAAAAACACATAGCCATATTGACTGGTCTCATTTCATATTTATATTCTTGTTCATTGACTTGTTTCCTATTTCACTGAGAAAACAGATGTAATCTGAATTGAAGCCCCAAAGTCTGGCAATTATATATTTATACACTATCTGCCACTGTACTATAAATCCAACCTGCTCTCATATTGGTTTGGTTATATTGGTTTCTCTGGCTTTACCTTCTTGGTCTTTGTGGATTTTTCCTCATTTTTCCAATCTTTAAATATTGGAGTGCCCTAAGGGCTTGGTCCTTGTATTTCTTCTCCTCTCTACCTCTTCTCAGACTTTAGATAATGTAGTACAACAAAGGTCTTTAAATTATATTTACATCCTAATGACTTATAAATTAATATCTCTAGTCTAGACTTTTCCCCTGAGCTCCAGATCAATATTCTCTAGCCCCTGCTTGTATTTTAACTTGGACACCTAATATACATCTCAAACTTAATATGTCTAGAATGAACTCTTGGTATCTGCCCTTTCCCTACCAAACCTACTCTTCCCACCATAGAAGTGAGCACTCATTGAAAAAAATTGGGTTCAAGTATGTCCTACATACTCTATGTGAGGTCCAGAAGAATATAATACATTTTAGAAAGATTTTTATGCAGAATGGTTAAAATCATTTTTTGAGAAGTTAAAGACCTATCTTTAACTTTTGGAAACATTCATAGACCTCAAACGTTGTTGGGACCATGGGAGTCATGAGCACAGAGACTGGCTGAACAGAGTAATGTAGAATCAGCAAGCTCTGAGATGGGAGCAGAGAGCTTTTAGTTCTGCTTCATGGCCTCAAGCAATGTCACTTGGCTTCCTTAAACCATAGTGTCCAAATCTGCAAAATTACACTTGACTTCTGAGATCCATTCTGTGTCCAGAGAAACCAATGTGTCTATGATGTACAAGATCTCCCTAGTCCAGTGGTTCTCACGTGTGGTCTCTGGACCACCAGCAGCAGCAGAATCACCTCGAAACAGATTAGAAATATAAATGTCTAGGCTCCAGCCAGGTATGCTGAATTAGGAACTCTGAAGGTTGGTCAGTCCCAGCAATCCATATATAATAAGTCCTCCCAGGCAATTCTGATGCATGCTAAAGTTTGAGAACTACTGCTGTGTTCTATCACAAGTATTTCACAGAGCAGGGATCTGGTTCCAAGGGCCTTAGTTACCTCTTGATGATCCTGTATAAATGAAATGGAATTGTTCAGTTTCAAGACATATGACAATTTCTATTCATGACTCTTAACCCTGAAATTTTACTAGAAAAGTTTTTTAAAGTATTGTTCAGACTTTTTTTAGGCTTTGAAAAATGGGTTCAATTTTGTAAGTACATGAAAGAGGGTTTGGACCTATAAGGATGATGTAAAAAGTTGCAAAATGAGACATGAGGAAAGATGAAAGAGGATGGGACTTTCTAACCTAGAAAAATAATCAAAGGAGATTTAAGAGCATATAGACTTTATATTTTGATGTGAAACATCCAAACTGTTTTTCACCTTCCTTCAGGATGAAACAGAAGAAAAATCTTAAACTGTGACATACAGGATTCAAAATAGCTATAAGGAAGAATTTTCTATATTTAAAAGACATAGTAGATTCTGTGTCCTTAATATCTAAACCAACCCAGAAAAAAATGGATTATAATCTCACCTGAAGGCAAGAGAATTATTCCTGTGAATCTCAGGAGATATTCTTCCTTAGTATAGCAAGTCTTCTAGATGGAGGATTCTCAAACTTGCCTGAGCATCAGAATCACCTGGATTATTATTATTGATAGTGATTCTTGGGCAACACTTTCAAAAAGAATCTGTGTTCTTTATTTTTTTTAAACTTATATTTTAGGTTCAGGGGTACCTGTGCAGGTTTGTTATATAGGTAAACTCATGTCACGAGGGTGTGATGTACAGATTATTCTGTCATGCAGGAAAGAAGCATAATACCTGATAGGTACTTTTTCAATCCTCACCCTCCTCTCACCCTCCATCCTCAAGTAGATTCTGGTGTCTGTTGTTCCCTTCTTTGTGACCATATACACTCAATGTTTAACTCCCACTTACAAATGTGAATACGTGGTATTTGGTTTTCTGTTCCTGTGTAAGTTTGGTTAGACGAATGCTCTCCAGCTCTATCCATGTTGCTGCAAAAGACATGATCTCATTCATTTTTTATGGCTATGTAGTATTTCATGGTGTATATGCACTACATTTTCTTTGTCCAGTCCACCATTGATGGACCTTCAGGTTAACTCCATGTCTTTGCTATTGTGAATAGTGCCGCAATGAACATAGACATGCATGTGTCTTTAGAGCAGAATGATTTATATTCCTTTAGGTATATGCCCAGTAATGGGATTGCTGGATTGAATGGTAGTTCTGTTTTTAGCTCTTTGAGAAATTGCGACAGTGCCTTCCACAATGGTTGAATTAATTTACACTCCTACCAACAGTGTATAAATATGCCCTTTTCTCCAAAAGCTTACCAGCATGTGTTATTTTTTGACTTGTTTTTTGTTTTTTTGTTTTTTTTTAGACAGAGTCTGTCTCGGTTGGAGTGCAGTGGCGTGATCTTGGCTCACGGCAACCTCTGCATCCCAGGTTCAAGTGATTCTCCTGCCTCACCCTCCTGAGTAGCTGGGACTACAGGCATGCGCCACCAGGCCCAGCTAATTTTTGTATTTTTAGTAGACCGTTTCACCATGTTGGCCAGGATGGTCTTGATCTCTTGACCTCATGATCCACCCGCCTTGGCCTCCCAAAGTGCTTGGATTACAGGTGTGAGCCACCGCACCCAGCCTTGACTTTTTAATAGCCATTCTGACTGGTGTGAGATGGTATCTCATTGTGCTTTTGATGTGCATTTCTCTAATAATCAGTAATATTGAGCTTTTTTTCATATGCCTGCTGGCTGCATATAAGTCTTCTTTTAAAAAGTGTCTTTTCATGTCTTTTGCCCACTTTTTAAAAATTTTACTTTAAGTTCTGGGATATGTGGGAACAATGTGCAGGTGTGTTGCATAGGTATACATGTGCCATGGTGGTTTGCTGCACCCATCAACCCGTCATCTTCATTTTAAGCCCCACATGCATTAGGTATCTGTCTTAATGCTCTCCCTCCCCTTGTCCCCCACCCCCCAACAGGCCCCAGTGTGCCAAATTCCCTCTCTGTGTCCATGTGTTCTCATTGTTCAAATCCCACTTACGAGTGAGAACATGCAGTGTTTGGTTCTTTGATCCTGTGTTAGTTTGTTGAGAATGATGGCTTCCAGCTTCATCCATGTCCCTGCAAAGGACATGAACTTATTCTTTTTTATGGCTGCATAGTATTCCATGGTGTATATGTGTCACATTTTCTTTATCCAGTCTATCATTGATGGGCATTTGGATTGGTTCCAAGTCTTTGCTATTGTAAATAGTGCTGCAATAAACATATGTGTACATGTGTCTTTACAGTAGAATGACTTATAATCCTTTGGGTATATACCCAGTAATGGGATTGCTGGGTCTAATGGTATTTCTGGTTCTAGATCCTTGAGGAATCACCACACTGTCTTCCACAATGGTTGAAATAATTTACACTCCCACCAACAGTGTAAAAGCTTTCCTATTTCACCGCTTCCTCTCCAGCAACTGTTTCCTGACTTTTAAATAATCGCCATTCTAACTGGTGTGAGATGGTACCTCATTGCAATTTTGATTTGCATTTCTCTAATGACCAGTGATGGTGAGATTTTTTTTTTCATGTTTGTTGGCCACATAAATGTCTTCTTTTGAGAAGTTCTGTCCTTGGCCCACTTTTTGATGGGGTTATTTTTTCTTTTAAATTTGGTGAAGTTCCTTGTAGATTGTGGCAATTAGACCTTTGTCAGATGGGTAGATTGCAGAAATTTTCTCCCATTTTGTAGGTTGCCTGTTCACTCTGATTTTAGTTTCTTTTGCTATGTAGGAGTTCTTTAGTTTGATTAGGTCCCATTTGTCAATTTTGGATTTCGTTGCCATTGCTTTTGGTGTTTTAGTCGTGAAGTCTTTGACCATGCCTATATCCTGAATGGTATTGCCTAGGTGTTCTTCTAGAGTTTTCATGGTTTGGGGTTTTACATTTAAGACTTTAATCCATCTTGAGTTAATTTTGGTATAAGGCACAAGGAAGGGATCCAGTTTCTGTTTTCTGCATATGGCTAGCCAGTTTTCTCAGCACCATTTGTTAAATAGGGCATCCTTTCCCTATTGCTTGTTTTTGTCAGGTTTGTCAAAGATCAGATGGTTGTAGATGTGTGTGTGGTGTTATTTCTGAGGTCTCTGTTCTGTTCCATTGGTCTATATATTTGTTTTAGTATCAGTACCATGCTGTTTTGGTTACTGTAATCTTGTAGTATAGTTTGAAGTCAGGTAGTATGTTGCCTCCATCTTTGTTCTTTTTGCTTAGGATTGTCTTGACTATATAGGCTCTTTTTTGGTTGCATATGAAATTTAAAACATTTTTTTCAAATTCTCTGAAGAAAGTCAATGGTAGCTTGATGGGAATAGCATTGAGTCTATAAATTACTTTGGGCAGTATGGCCATTTTCACAATATTGATTCTTCCTATCCATGAGCATGGAATATTTTTCCATTTGTTTGTGTCCTTTCTTATTTCCTTGAGCAGTGGTTTGTAGTGCTCCTTGAAGAGGTCTTTCACATCCCTTGTAAGTTGTATTCCTAGGTATTTCATTCTCTTTATAGCAATTGTGAATGGGAGTTCACTCATGATTTGGCTCTGTTTGTCTATTATTGGTGTATAGGAATGCTTGTGCTTTTTGCACATTGGTTTTGTATCCTGAGACTTTGCTGAAGCTGCTTATCAGCTTAAGGAGTTTTTGGGCTGATACAATGAGGTTTTCTAAATATACAATCATGTCATCTGCAAACAGAGACAATTTGACTTCCTCTCTTCCTATTTGAATATGCTTTATTTCTTTCTCTTGCCTGATTGCCCCGGCCAGAACTTCCAATACTATGTTGAATAGGAGTGGTGAGAGATGGCATCTTTGTCTTGTGCCAGTTTTCAAGGGGGAATGCTTCCAGCTTATGCCCATTCAATATGATATTGGCTATGGTTTGTCATAAATAGCTCATATTATTTTGAGATATGTTCCATCAGTACCTAGTTAATAGAGAATTTTTAGCATGAAGGGATGTTGAATTTTATCCAAGACCTTTTCTGCATCTATTGAGATAATTATGTGGTTTTTGTCATTGGTTCTGTTTATGTGATGGATTCTGTTTATTGATTTGTGTATGTTGAACCTGTCTTGTATCCCAGGGATGAAGCTGACTTGATCATGGTGGATAAGTTTTTGATGTGCTGCTGGGTTCAGTTTGCCAGTATTTTATTGCAGATTTTTGCATCAGTGTTCATCAGGGATATTGGCCTGAAATTTTCTTTTCTTGTTGTGTCTCTGCCATGTTTTAGTATCAAGATGATGCTGGCCTCATAAAATGAGTTAGGGAAGAGTCCTCTTTTTCTATTGTTTGGAATAGTTTCAGAAGGAATGGTATCAGCTCCTCTTTGTACCTCTGGTAGAATTTGGCTGTGAATCCATCTGGTCCTGGGCTTTTTTTGGTTGGTAGGCTATTAATTACTGCCTCAATTTCAATGCTTGCTATTGGTCTATTCAGGCATTCGATTTCTTCCTGGTTTAGTCATGGGAGGGTGTGTGTGTACAGGAATTTATCCATTTCCCCTAGATTTTCTAGTGTATTTGTTTGGCAGTGTTTATAGTATTCTCTGATGGTAGTTTGTGTTACTGTAGAATCAGTGCTGATATCCCCTTTATCATTTTTTATTGTGTCTATTTGATTCTTCTCTCTTTTCTTATTAGTCTACCTAGCAGTCTATTTTGTTAATCTTTTAAAAAAACCAGCTCCTGGATTAGTTGATTTTTTGAAAGGGTTTTCATGTCTCTATCTCCTTCCTTTCTTTTCTGATCTTAGTTATTTCTTGTCTTCTGGTAGCTTTTGAATTTGTTTGCTCTTGTTTCTCTAGTTCTTTTAATTGTGATGTTAGGGTGTCGATTTTAGAGCTTTCCAGCTTTCTGATGTGGGCATTTAGTGCTATTAAGTTTACCTCTTAACACTGCTGTAGCTGTGTCCCAGATGTTCTGTTATGTTGCCTCCTTGTTATCATCGGTTTCAAAGAACTCCTTTGTTTCTGTCTTAATTTCATTATTTACCCAGTAGTCATTCAGGACCAGGTTGTTCAGTTTCCATGTAGTTGTGTGGTTTTGAGTAAGTTTCTTAATCTTGAGTTCTAATTTGATTGCAGTGTGGTCTGAGAGACTGTTTGTTATGATTTCCGTTCTTTTGCATTTGCTGAGCAGTGTTTTACTTCCAATTATATGGTCAATTTTAGAATAAGTGCAATGTGGTGCTGAAAAGAATGTATATTCTGTTGATTTGAGGTGGAGAGTTCTGTAGATGTCTATTAGGTCCACTTGGTCCACAGCTGAATTCAATTCCTGAATAGCCTTGTTAATTTTCTGTCTTGTTGAGCTGTCCAATATTGATAGGGGAGTGTTAAAGCCCCCATTATTATGGTTTGGAAGTCTAAGTCTCTTTGTAGGTCTCTAAGAACTTGCTTTATGAATTTAGGTGCTCCTGTATTTGGGAGGATATATATTTAGGATAGTTAGCTCTTCTTGTTAAATTCATCCCTTTACCATTACGTAATGCCCTTCTTTGTCTTTTTTGAACTTTGTTGGTTTAAAGTCTGTTTTATCAGAGACTAAGATTGCAATCCATGATTTTTTTTTTTGCTTTCCATTTACTTGGTAAATATTCCTCCATCCCTTTATTTTGAGCCTATGTGTGTCTTTGCACGTGAGATTGGTCTCCTGAATATAGAACACCAATGGGTCTTGACTCTATCCAACTTTCCAGTCTGTGTCTTTTAATTGGGGTAATTTAGCCTATTTATATTTAAGGTTAATATTGTTATGTGTGAATTTGATCCTTTCATCATGATACTAGCTGGTTATTTTGCACATTAGTTGATGCAGTTTTTTCATAGTGTCACTGGTTTTTATATTTTTGTGTGTTTTTGCAGTGGCTGGTACCAGTTTTTCCTTTTCATATTTATTGCTTCCTTCAGGATCTCTTGCAAGGCAGGCCTGGTGGTGACAAAATCCCTCAGCATTTGGTTGTCTATAAAGGATTTTATTTCTCCTTCACTTATGAAGCTTAGTTTGGCAGGATATAAAATTCTGGGTTGAAAATTCTTTTCTTTAAGAATGTTGAATATTGGCCCCCACTCTCTTCTGGCTCATTTCTGCAGAGATCTGCTGTCATTCTGATATGCTTCCCTTTATGGGTAACCTGACCTTTCTCTCTGGCTGCCTTTAACATTTTTTCCTTCATTTCAGCCTTGGAGAATCTGATGATTAGATGTCTTGGCATTGCTCTTCTCAAGGAGTATCTTAGTGGTGTTCTCTGTATTTCCTGAATTTGAATGTTGGCCTGTCTTGCTAGGTTGGGAAAGTACTCCTGCATAATATCCTGAAGTGTGTTTTCCAACTTGGTTCCATTCTCTCTGTCACTTTCAGGTACACCAACAAACGTAGTTTCAGTCTTTTTACATAGTCCCATGTTTCTTGGAGGCTTTGTTCATTCCTTTTCATTCTTTTTTCTCTAATCTTGTCTTCATGCCTTATTTCAGTAAGTTGATCTTCAATCTCTGATATCCTTTCTTCTGCTTGATCAATTCTGCTACTGATACCTGGGTAAGCTTCACAAAGTTTTCATGCTGTGTTCTTTAGCTCCATCAGGTCATTTTTGTTCCTCTCTAAACCAGTTATTCTAGTTAGCAGTTCCTGTAACCTTTTACCAAGGTTCCTAGCTTCCTTGCATTGGGTTAGAACACAATCCTTTAGCTCAGAGAAGTTTGTTATTACCCACCTTCTGAAGCCTACTTCTGTCAATTCATCAATCTCATTCTCTGTCCAGTTTTATGCCCATGCTGGAGAGGAGTTGTGATCATTTGGAAGACAATATGCATTCTTGTTTTCGGAATTTTCTGCGTTTTTGCAGTGGTTTTTCCTCATCTTCATGGGTTTATCTACCTTTGATCTTTGAGGCTGATGATTTTTGAATGGGGTTTTTTTGTGGGGGTCCTTTATGTTGATGTTGATGTTGTTGCTTTCTGTTAGTTTTTCTTCTAACAGTCAGGCCCCTTTTCTGCAGGTCTGCTGCAGTTTGCTGGAGGTCCACTCCAGACCCTCTTCACCTGGCTATCACCAGTGCAAGCTGCAGAACAGCAAATATTGCTGCCCACTCCTTCCTCTGGAAGCTTCAACCCAGAGGAGCACTGGCCTGATGCCAGCCAGAGCTCTCCTGTATGAGGTGTCTGTCAACCCCTGCTGGGAGGTCTCTCCCAGTCAGGAGGCACGGGGATCAGGGACACACTTGAGGAGGCAATCTGTCCCTTAGCAGAGCTGGTACCCTGTGCTGGGAGAATCCCTTTTGTCAGGATCAGCTGCTCTCTTCAGAGCTGGCAGAACAGGAAAGATTAAATCACCCCCCAGGTGCTCTGTCCCAGGAAGGTGGGGGTTTTCTCTGTAAGCCCCTGACTGGTGCTATTACCGTTACTTCAGATATGCCCTGCCCAGTGAGGAGGAATCTAGAGAAGCAGTCTGGCTACAGCCACTTTGCCGTGCTGTGATGAATTCCACCCAGTCCAGACCTTCCAGCCTCCTTAGCACTGTCAAACTGCCTACTAAAGCCTCAGTAATGGTGGACGCCCCTCCCCCCATCAAGCTTTATTGTCCCTGGTCGACTTCAGACTGCTGTGCTGGCAGTGAGAATTTCAAGCCAGTGGTTCTTAGCTTGCTGGGCTCCGTGGGAGTGGGACCTGCTGAGTGAGACCACTTGGCTCCCTTGCTTCAGCCCCTTTTCCAGGGGATTGAATGGTTCTGTCTCACTGGGGTTCCAGGCACCACTGGGTTATGGAAAAAACTCCTGCAGCTAGCTTGGTGTCTGCCCAAACAGCCACCTAGTTTTGTGCTTGAAACCCAGGGTCCTAGTAGTGTAGGCACATGAGGGAATCTCCTGATCTGCAGAATGTAAAATCCATGAGAAAATCATAGTAACACAGCTGGGTAGCACAGTCCCTCCATGCTTCCCTTGGCTGGAGAAGGGATGTCCCCCAGCTCCTTGCACTTCCTGGGTGAAGCGATGCCCCACCCTGCTTCTGCTCACCCATTGTGGATTGGACCCACTGCCTAACGAGTCTCAGTGAGATGAACTTGGTACCTCAGTTGGAAATGCAGAAATCACCTGCCTTCTGCGTTGGTCTCACTGGGAGCTGCAGACCAGAGCTGTTCCTATTCGGCCATCTTGGCCCCGCCTCTCCTTTTTTGCCCACTTTTTAATGGGATTTTTTTTTCTTGGAAATTTAAGTTCCTTATAGATGCTGGATATTAGATCTTTGTCAGATGCATAGTTTGCAAATAGTTTCTCCCATTCTGTTGTCTGTTTACTCTGTTGATAGTTTCTTTTGCTGTGCAGAAGCTCTTTAGTTTAATTAGAGCCCATTTGTCAATTTTTGGTTTTGTTGCAACTGCTTTTGGCATCTTGGTCATGAAATTTTTGCCCACTCCTATGTCTAGAATGGTATTTCCTAGGCTGTCTTCCAGGGTTTTTATAGTTTTAGGTTTTACATTTAGGTCTTTAATCTGTCTTGAGTTGATTTTTGTATATGCTGTAAGGAAGGGATCCAGTTTCAATCTTCTGCATGTAGCTAGACAGTTATCCCAGTATCATTTATTGAATAGGGAGTTCTTTTCCTATTGTTTGTTTTTGTTGGCTTTGTCAAAGATCAGACGGTTGTAGGTGTGCAGCCTTATGTCTAGGCTTTCTATTCTGTTCCATGGGTCTATGTGTCTGGGTTTTTTTTTGTTCTTGCTTTTGGTTTTATTTTATTTTGAGACAGCGTTTCCCTCTGTCACCCAGCCTGGAATGCAGTGGCATGATCTGGGTTTGCTGCAACCTCTGCCCCACCAGGTTCAAGTGATCCCCCCACCTCAGTCTCCCAAGTAGCTGGGACCACAGGCACGTGTCACCATGCCCTGCTATTTTTTTGTAGTACAGGTGGGGTCTTGCCAGATTGTTCAGGCTGGTCTCGAACTCCTGAACTCAAGCAATCCACCTGCCCTTGACCTCCCAAAATGTTGCGATTACAAGCATGAGCCACTGCACCCAGACTATGTTTCTGTTTTTGTACCAGTTCCATGCTGTTTTAGCTATTGTAGCCCTGTAGTTTAAGTTATGTAGCATGATGCCTCCTGCTTTGCTCTTTTTGCTTAGGATTGCCTTGGCTATTTGGGCTCTTTTTCAGTTCCACATAAATTTTGAAATAGTTTTTTTCTAGTTCTGTGAAGAATGTCATTGGTAATTTGAAATAGCATTGAATCTGTAAATTGCTTTGGGAAGTATGGTGAAATCACCTTAGATCATTATAATGTGCGCTCAGATTTGGAAAACACTGTCCTGAATATAGTTATCTGAAGTTTTAAATGGAGGCCTATTTTATATCTAAGGTATTGGAATACAAATGAATAGTGATAAACGCCAGTGTCTTAGCTATAAGTTTTAGAATTTATAACATTGTCTTTGAGAAAAATTTGTACTTCAAGTGTAATACAACTTTCAAAAACTGTCTTATTTTAGGCTATGTCCCCTCCAAAAGCAGAGTGTGTAAAAATTTCTGTAAAACATTTTATTTAGCATATAGTCTTAGGGAGCGAGGGTGAGAACCAAGAAAGTAAAACAAAAAAGACACAAAGCCAAAACAAAAGTGCACACCAAGCTGGTCACTCTATGGGTAAATAAGGCTTGATGTCACCAGGATCTTTTGAGAAGCCATAGAATGTCCCTGAGAATTGTTCACCCAAAGGCCAACTGAAGAAGTATTTACATATGGTTTCTCATCCACCATTGTTTAAAGATCAGCTGTCCGTGGATGCCTGCTGACTGTATCATGCTGGCATCCTATGCTGGGACATCAGAGAAGCCCCAAGGCAGAGAGAAAAAGGAGAGCACACTTGAGTTGAGACACTGTCAGCCCAAGTAAGTGGAAGCCTCCTGGGCTCAAATCTGGGGTAAGGCTGTAAAGATGTGAGGTGGAGAACAACAGACATCACAAGTTCTAATTTAATAAGATTACAATTGTAATACACATCAATTACTAAGTGGTATATCAAAATAATGTGTACATTAGAATTAACTGAGCAGAAAGTATTAGATAAATAATAATACCATCATGATTTTTAAATAACCACTTTAGCTGGAGATATATTTATAACAATGCCCTATAGCAATTTAGGTTATAGAGTTTAATGTTTTAAATTATTTTCCAAAAACTTTGTACTATGTTCAGATAAGTAATCACCCCTTGCTAGCCAGACCAATAAAGCAGAAAAGAGAGAAGAATCAAATAGACGCAATACATATTGATAAAGGGGATATCATCACTGATCCCACAGTAATACAAACTACCATCAGAGAATACTATAAACACCTCTACACAAATAAACTAGACAATCTAGAAGAAATGGATACATTCCTGGACACATACACCCTCCCAAGTCTAAATCAGGAAGAAGTCGAATCCCTGAATAGACCAGTAACAAGTTCTGAAATTGAGGCAGTAATTAATAGCCTATCAACCAAAAAAAGTCCAGGTCCAGAGGGATTTACAGCCGAATTCTACCAGAGGTGCAAAGAGGAGCTTGTACCATTCCTTCTGAAACTATTCCAAACAATAGAAGAAGAAAGAATCCTCCCTAACTCATTTTATGAGGCCAGCATCATCCTGATACCAAAATCTGGCAGAGACACAACAAAAAAAGAAAATTTTAGGCCAATATCCCTGATGAACATTGATGCGAAAATGCTCAGTAAAATACTGGCAAACCGAATCCAGCAGCACATCAAAAAGCTTATCCACCATGATCAAGTCGGCTTCATCCTTGGGATGCCAGGCTGGTTCAACATACGCAAATCAATAAATGGAATCCATCACATAAACAGAACCAATGACAAAAACCAACTGATTATCTCAATAGATGCAGAAAAGGCCTTTGACAAAATTCAACACCCCTTCATGCTAAAAACTCTCAATAAACTAGGTATTGATGGAACATATCTCAAAATAATAAGAGCTATTTTTGACAAACCCACAGCCAATATCATACTGAATGTGCAAAAACTGGAAGCATTCCCTTTGAAAACCAGCACAAGACAAGGATGCCCTCTCTCACCACTCCTATTCAACATAGTATTGGAAGTAATCACCCCTATAAGGATTGTGTTCCAAGACCCCTAATGGATGCCTGAACCCATGGATGTCATCAAACCCTGTATATACTGTGTTCCTTCCTGTACATAGGAAATTATCATAAAGTATAATTTATAAATTAGGCAGGATAAGAAATTAATAACAATAATGGATAACAAAATACTAAATTAAAATAATATACTACAATAAAAGTTACATGAATGTGGTCTCTTTCAAAATATCTTATTGTACTATACTCATCTTTTTTCCTGTTATGAAGAAGGGATGAAGTGGGATGCTACACTATTTCATCATGCTAGTCAGAATGGCCGCTATTTAAAACTTGTGTATTGTTTATTCCTGGAATTTTTCATTTCATATTTTCTGACTATGGTTGACTGCAGGTAAATGAAACCACAGGAAGCGAAACCATGGATAAGGGAGATTTTCGTATGTTAAAAAACATTTTTAATGTTTTAGTATGAATAATTTTAACATGTACAAAAGTAGAGAGGCTAACACAATGAGCCTCCCCACTCCTACCCCAGCTTCACTAATCATCAACTCAAGTTACTTTTGTTTCATCTGTATTCTTACCTCCTGTCATCCAATTATCATGAAGCAAACCAGACATCATGTCATCTCATTAAAAAAAAGTTTTCTTGGCCGGGCGCAGTGGTTCACACCTGTAATCCCAGCACTTTGGGAGGCCGAGGTGGGTGGATCACTTGAGGTCAGGAGTTCAAGACCAGCCTGGCCAACCTGGTGAAACCCCATCTCTACTAAAAATACAAATATTAGCTGGGAGTGGTGGCGGGCACCTGTAATCCCAGCTACTTGGGAGGCTAAGGCAGGAGAATCACTTGAACCCGGGGGGTGGAGGTTGCAGTGAGCCGAGATTACACCATTGCACTCCTGCCTGGGTGACAGAGTGAGACTCTGTCTCAAAAAAAAAAAAAAGTTTTCTTAAGTATCTTTAAAACGTAAGTATCATTAACAAAATTCATAAGTAAAATATTTTTACATCCATGAAGAGTAAGAAAATTTCCTCAATATAATCAAACCTCTTTATGTTTTTCTGATTATCTTATGTATTTTTTTAATAGTTGATCAATTGTTTTGTCTGAATCAGGATCCAAACAAGGTTCACATATTGAATGCAGTGATTATGTTTCATATCTCTTGTAAACTTTGGGTTTCTCCTTGTTCTCTTTCTTTGCCATTTATTCACTGAAGAAATCTGGTGTTTTGTCCTATGGAATTTTTCATGTTCTGGATTTTGTCCAAAAACTTTATAAGGTTTTAAATAATCAAGACTTCAGAAGAAAAAGTCTAGCAGAATAGATAAGGAAATGGCTAACTTAGGACCACAGTTGTCCTTTTTTTCCCCGTTTGTCACTAGCAAAACCCTACAGAAGCAGATGGTTAATTAATTTCGGTGGTCATCCAGATTGGTGCTGACTTTCAGAATCTAAATGGTTAACATTGTTTGGGGATCCAAAATTCAGGAATATATCAAGGCAAAGGTGTAGATTATGAAAATAATATATATACATTGTATACAGATGATATGATTTGGCTCTGTGTCCCCATCCAAATCTCATCTTGAATTGTGATCGCCATGTGTCAAGGGAGGAACCTGGTTTCCCTCATGCTATTCTCCTGAAAGTGAGTGAGTCTCACAAGATCTGATGGTGTTAAAAGTGGCAGATTCTCCTGTGCTCACACTTCATTTCTCTTTTCTGTTGCCATGTGAAGAAGGCATGGCAATCACCTTCCACCATGATTTTAAGTTTCCTGAGTTTTCCCCAGCCATGTGGAACTGTGAGTCATTTAAACCTCTTTCCTTTATAAATTACCCAGTCTCAAATATATATGCATGAAATACAAATACGTGTATATATACGAAATATATATACACAAATAGATATATTTTGTATATATACAGATATATACACATATTTATATTTCATGCATATATATTTATATTTGTGTGTGTTTTAAACATGTTTAAATATATGAATTAAAGGCTTGTTTTCATTTTTCTTGAAAAGTTTACCCAGTCAATAAATGAAAGCTTTCAGCCCACATTTCTGCTGGTAAACAAGATAGAAAACCATATATTCCAAACTTCTTTTGCTGTTAAAGGGATTTCTTTCAACCCTAAAATATATATTCATGCTTTGCCTGCATTACAACTATTTTGGATATAGACCTAATTTCTTGATTTATGATAAATAAACATTTCATCCTGTCATAACCATCTTGCTTATATTCAAAATAAACAGTGTGCATTATTTGGAAATAGTGTAAATGTTGGAGTTATTCAGAGCCATAGAAGCAAGACACAATTGCTTCTCTACTACCCTAGTAACCTCCCAACTAATCTTCCCACTTCTATTTCCACCACTCTCCCTAACTTATTCTCCATATGGCTGACAAAATGATGTTTTTATGCTTAATTCTGGTTAGCAGAATAAGCATTTTTTAAACTTACAAATACAGAAATACATTTTAGAAAGAAAAGTCGATAAAATGGTTCAAAGTAGTTCTTTGGAGTTGAAATCAGGATGGGATTTTTTCCTAATTATTACAATATAATTGCTGTAATATCATTTGATGTTTTGTACACATGTATTATACATGTGTTATTTTGGCAAAATAACTTTTTTTGTCAAGGAACACAGTTGTAACTGCTGCATCCTTGATGAGGCTATCCACTACCATCCTGCCATCTCCGTCTTGGGGCTGCTTTAAATTATCCTTCCCAAGTCCTGTTTCTTCATCTTTTCCTTCAATTCTAAAAATTCCTTTTTAGTTGGGGTTGATTTCAGCTGTTTGCAACCGAAGAGCTCTGATTGATATACATGGACAAATGTGCGTCTCATCTTACGTCTCTCCAGTGGATCCCCACTGCCTACAGAGCAGTAAAGGGCCTTGGCTGGCCATCTGAGGACCTTCGGGACCAGGCCCCTCTTCTCGCCATCAGGTCTCTGTCACCATTTTTGTTTCTAGGGGAGCCAGTCACAGAAACTGACTGTGCATCTATGGGTGTGCTAGGCTCTCCCTTTTTTCTGGAGTGATGCTTCTTCTTTCTTTGGCAGATGGTTATTCACTTTCAGTCCTTGGCTCAGGTATCAGCTCCACCACAAAAACACCACTGAGTCCTTCATTTGTGCTCCTATAGAGCCCATATATACCTCTACTTACTATTCCCTGCCAAAGATTGATACTATTTCTTATGTATCTGTCTTCTCCATCAGACTCTAAGATAATCAAGAGCACAGCTTCGTTTATTTTTATACTTCCAATGCCTCCTACATCCCATCACACTCAAATTTAATTTTTATTTTTATTTTTATTTTTATTGATCATTCTTGGGTGTTTCTCACAGAGGGGGATTTGGCAGGGTCATAGGACAATAGTGGAGGGAAGGTCAGCAGATAAACAAGTGAACAAAGGTCTCTGGTTTTCCTAGGCAGAGGACCCTGCGGCCTTCCGCAGTGTTTGTGTCCCTGGGTACTTGAGATTAGGGAGTGGTGATGACTCTTAACGAGCATGCTGCCTTCAAGCATCTGTTTAACAAAGCACATCTTGCACTGCCCTTAATCCATTTAACCCTGAGTGGACACAGCACATGTTTCAGAGAGCACAGGGTTGGGGGTAAGGTCACAGATCAACAGGATCCCAAGGCAGAATAATTTTTCTTAGTACAGAACAAAATGAAAAGTCTCCCATGTCTACTTCTTTCCACACAGACACGGCAACCATCCAATTTCTCAATCTTTTCCCAACCTTTCCCCGCTTTCTATTCCACAAAACCACCATTGTCATCATGGCCCGTTCTCAATGAGCTGTTGGGCACACCTCCCAGACGGGGTGGTGGCCGGGCAGAGGGGCTCCTCACTTCCCAGTAGGGGTGGCCGGGCAGAGGCGCCCCTCACCTCCTGGACGGGGCGGCTGGCCGGGCGGGGGGCTGACCCCCCACCTCCCTCCCGGACGGGGCGGCTGGCCGGGCGGGGGGCTGACCCCCCACCTCCCTCCCGGACGGGGTGGCTGGCCGGGTGGGGGGCTGACCCCCACCTCCCTCCCGGACGGGGCGGCTGCTGGGCGGAGACGCTCCTCACTTCCCAGACGGGGTGGCTGCCAGGCGGAGGGGCTCCTCACTTCTCAGACGGGGCGGCTGCCGGGAGGAGGGGCTCCTCACTTCTCAGACGGGGCGGTTGCCAGGCGGAGGGTCTCCTCCCTTCTCAGACGGGGTGGCTGGGCAGAGACGCGCCTCACCTCCCAGACGGGGTCGCGGCCGGGCAGAGGCGCTCCTCACATCCCAGACGGGGCGGCGGGGCAAAGGCGCTCCCCACATCTCAGACGATGGGCGGCCAGGCAGAGACGCTCCTCACTTCCTAGATGGGATGGCAGCCGGGAAGAGGCGCTCCTCACTTCCTAGATGGGATGGCGGCCGGGCAGAGATGCTCCTTACATTCCAGACTGGGCAGCCAGGCAGAGGGGCTCCTCACATCCCAGACGATGGGCGGCCAGGCAGAGACGCTCCTCACTTCCCAGACGGGGTGGCGGCCGGGCAGAGGCTGCACTCTGGGCACTTTGGGAGGCCAAGGCAGGCGGCTGGGAGGTGGAGGTTGTAGCGAGCCGAGATCACGCCACTGCACTCCAGCCTGGGCACCATTGAGCACTGAGTGAACCAGACACCGTCTGCAATCCCGGCACCTCCGGAGGCCGAGGCTGGCGGATCACTCGCGGTTAGGAGCTGGAGACCAGCCTGGCCAACACAGCGAAACCCCGTCTCCACCAAAAAAAATACGAAAACCAGTCAGGCGTGGCGGCGCGCGCCTGCAATCGCAGGCACTCGGCAGGCTGAGGCAGGAGAATCAGGCAGGGAGGTTGCAGTGAGCCGAGATGGCAGCAGTACAGTCCAGCTTCAGCTCGGCATCAGAGGGAGACCGTGGAAAGAGAGAGAGAGGGAGACCGTGGGGAGAGGGAGACGGAGAGGGAGAGGGAGAGCTTAAATTTTTTGTGAGCTGAAATGGATACTTCTGAATCATAAAAGGGGTTAAATTATATATTACATAATTTGCATGTTAGTTTTTTTAAAACCTCTATCCAAAAAGGTACTTTAAAAAATACTAATGTTAACAACACTCAAAAATCAAGTCAGCTCTCCTATGTATGATGGTTGGTCTTTAATGGATAAAGAGTAAAGCTCTATTGACCTTTCGGGGAGAAATCATCAGGCTCTCCTTGATTGCACTGCCATGACGACATGGCAACATCAGTATGATCTATTTAAACATATACTAAAATCTAAATGTCTAGGGATCTGTCCTTGTTCACATTCATTTGCTAGGGCTGCTGTAACACAGTACCACAAACTGAGTGACTAGCTTACAGTTATGGAGACTAGAAGTTCTAAATCACGGTTTCAGTAGGGTTAGTTTCTTCTGAGGGCAATGTGGGAGAATCTGTTCCATGCCTCTCCGCAGCTTCTGGTGGTTGCTGGCAATCTTTGCAGTTCCTTGGCTTATAGATGCATCACCCCAATATCCTCCTTCATCTTCACGCTGCATTCTCCCTGTGTATGTGTCTGAGTCCAACTTTTTCCTTTTATAAGGATACCACTCATACTGGGTTAGGGCATGTCCTAATGAACTCATCTTAACTGGATCATCTGCAAAGACTCTATTTCCAAATGAAATCACACTCACAGGGGATAGGGCTTCAACATCTTTTTGAAGGACAAAATTCAACTCATAATAAGTGTCTACTGTGATCTCTTGCCACTTTCCCTTCCCTGGTTACACTGGCCTTCTTCTGTTCCTAGAACAGATCAATGGATTGCCCTTCTCACTCTCATGGATTTGGTACTTCCTATTCTTTATACTTGGAAAACTCTTTACCTGTCCACTATAATCTTCTTTAGATCTGAGGGCCAAGCCAGAGAGTCTGGCCCTGACCACTCTATCAAGGGATGTCCCTCCAGCTACCTGCTGTTAGTCTATTTATTTCTGTATAACCCTTACCACTCCCTGAAATCATCTTGTTCTTTTATGTGTTTGCCTCTCCTATCTAGAATGGAAGTTCCAGGACCACAAAGATCTCACCTTTCTTCTTAATGATGCACCCTCAACACCTAAAACAGTACTGGGTGTATAGTAGAGGCTCACTAAAGAATGACTGTGTTACATTGAATTAAATGTACTCACAAGTAAGGTAAAAAGACAATCATTTGGAGTCACATAAACAGATAGCATAAAAATTTACCAAGGAAACAATAAAAACGAGGATGTTATCCAACAGTTATTTTTTTCAAATATGGAAACACCACTATCCTCCCTTCTCCCATGACTCAACGTTGCCTTGGATCACACGTCACTTTTGTTTTAACATAGCCTCCACTGACCACCCTATTTAAAATCACATCTCTCTACCTGAGCCAGTATTCCCACATAATTCTTTGTTGTTCTATTGTTCCATAACACTTATCATTTCTAAAATACTCTATAATAAACTTATTCATGCTGCTTTTTAAAATTGCCTTTGTCTTCTCCAGTAAAGACATTTGTCCGTTTTTTTCACTGAAGTAGCAAAAGAATTTAGAACAGTGCCTGGTACCTAGTAGGTGCTCAATAAATACTTGTAGATGGCTGAATGAGAAGTGCTGTCTTGCCCTTTCAGGTTCCAAATTGTTTACTTGGGCACTATGGCAATAACAGAAGCTTATTTGTAAATGAAAATGTAAAAGAAAATTCCAGATTAAAGAAGAGAGAATTCGAATCAATATGGTGTGCACAATGCTCAGTGTTTTTATGCAGGTTCTTTCTATCCTTGCTTAACATTTTGATGTTTATTGGTTCCCACATATTAAGTTCCCATTAGGTTAAGTGAATCCTGCAGGAGCTGTATTGGTTCTGAACTCCGGGCTTCACTTTTGCCTTGACCATAATTGAGGTTTTTGTCATTCTCTAGGCTGAGTGGTTAGTGGTTAGTAGTCAGTGCAGTCTCTAGCCAGGCCTATTATATTTCCTTTTTCTAAAGAAACGTTTTCCCCGCACCATACCAACATAAAAGGCCTCCCAACAATCCAGACCAACCTTTGTCTTAATGGAGTCTGAAGTTCACTCCCCTGTTTATGATGTGTAACAACTGAAGTGGGAGATATAAAGTTTGCAGCTATTATGTAATCAAAAACATTTGTGTTTTCCCAAAAAGGAAGGAGGAGGCAAGAAGGGGATGGGGAGATGGGGAGGGGCGGGGGATAGGAAAAGGAAAACCCCCAGATTTAGAAGCTCAGAGCCTGTGCTGTGAGCAGGAAGTTGAAACTCATCCAGCTGTCACATAAAAACAAAAGAAAAATACTTTATGTATTCAATCATTATTAAGGCTCTGCATGTCTATTTCCCATGTTATTTGCCAGCAAGTATATATTGGTTTTCAAATGCTAGCATTTTAAGAGCAGTAAAAATATTTGCTTTTAAGTTAAAAATTGCTTCATTTCTGAAGGCCATAAAAACAAAAATTCATGTGGTAAAAGAGAAAAAAAAATATGTTACTCTCACCCTCAGCTTCAAGCATTCTTTACTGAAACCAAAGAGCCCTCTATTGCTAACTTGGAAGGGCACTTTCTAGATGGAGAGTTGCTGTAGGCTGAGCCAGCAGTGCACCAGTCCCAAAAATGTTTTTTAGGAATAAAGTACCCAGTTTCCAGTGATGTTGTAGAGGTGGACAGGACTTAAAGGCTAGCAGATGATCGCCCTTTGGGCTGCCAGCACATGCTTCTTCTATAGAGAGGAGGTCTCTTTAAGCCAAACTGAAAGACGGGAAATTTGGGGAAGTAAAAGTTTTTTTGGGCATCTTTCTCTTTTAGCTTCTCTGTATGAATAGGGAAACCACAATTGGAATTGAATTATTAAATTTATGAATCTTAGCATTGTGAAGTGTTAGAACTAGAAAATACTGAAGAAAGCAAAGGCCTAACTCTGTATTTTGCAGTTGAGAAAATTGGAGCACAGAGAAATGCTGTGACTTTGCCAAGGTCATGAGTCTATTCAGCATCTGGGCCAAGCTTCAAACTCACTCACATAGTTGTCTGAAAATAAACATTGAATGAAAGTATTCTGATTGTGATTTACTCATTTTCCCTCTTTGGTCGTCTAATAAGTGTTTTTGTGCTGTCCTCTAAAACCTTATAGAAAGATTATTTTACTACTTCTGGAGGAGAAAACTCACATATCACTATTTAGTCTATTTACTTCATTTCTATAAAAGACCATCTTGAGAATGTGTTTTATACACTCCAGGTCCACATAAACATAAAATTTGATCCCTTATGAATAGAAATGTTTGTAGTGGATTCTTAAAAGGCAACAGTGTTCTGATGCAGCTTTCCCACAGGAAAGAGTTCCCGAATTCCCAAATTCCTGTTGATGATGCCAATTTCTCTTGAAATTAAGACTTTGTTTATTTCACCCTCACTGTCATTCTTGCCCATTCACCATACCTCCAGTTTAAGTTCAGCCTCTTTTTTTTTTTTTTTGAGATGGAGTCTCGCTCTGTCGCCCACGCTGGAGTGCAGTGGCACAATCTCGGCTCACTGCAACTTCCGCCTCCCGGGTTCAAGCGATTCTCCTGCCTCAGCCTCCTGAGTAGCTAGGATTACAAGCGCACACCACTATGCCCAGCTAATTTTTTAATTTTTATTTTTATTAGAGATGGGGTTTCACCATGTTGGCCAGGCTGGTCTCAAACTCCTGACCTTGTGATCTGCCCACCTTGGCCTCCCAAAGTGCTGGGATTACAGGCGTGAGTGAGCCACTGCACCCGGCCAAATTCAGCCTCTCTTTAGATACTTCTGTCTTAGCTCCTTACTCAACACCTTTTTGGCTTCAGTTCAAAATTGCTCTCCGAGAGGACTAAATAACCTTGATGCTCATTGTCACCTCTTTACTGCCCTTAGTCATTGATTGGCATGTTTTTGTCTATCCAGGTCCTGGTGCAAAGTGCCCTGCTAAGTTCTCCTGAGCTTAACATCTTCTTTCTATTAATACATCCTAAATTCTTGACACTTTTATCTTCTCTCTTACTTTCTATATTTATTACGTTTGAAATAAATACACACAAAATAATACATCAATCAACTTCATCCCTGTAACTCTTGCATATATGCATGTGTGTAGTTTTAACAAATGATAATACAAACACTTGTGTGTACACCATCAAGTTTAAGAAATAGAATACTGTTGATGTTGTTGAAGCCATTATAGGCTCCTCCTGATTGCACCTGCCTCCCTTCCAAATATTTATTATTCCATTGCTTTTCTTTATAATTTTACTATTTATGCATATGCCCCTAAGAGATGTTTAGTTTTGCTTTTGTTGAGGTTTAAAAACATGGCACCATATATATATATATATAGCTTTTTGTGACTTGCTTTTCCTGCTTACTATTTTGTTAAATTATTGCTTATCAATACATGTTACTTAATTAGTTTTCATTGCAGTAAGGAATTCCATTATATGACTATTTCACAACTTATTCATACTTTCTACTTTTGACTGATAGATATTTGGGTATTCTCAGTTATTTGTTTTTACAGAAATTGCTGTTATGAACATGTTTATTCATGTCTCCTGGCTTATTCATTAAATATTTTCTCCAGAGTATAAAAGAATAAATTTATTTTTACATTATAGGCTATAAGTATTTTCAACATTATACCTCAACATTATTAGGTAATGTAAAACTGTTTCCTGAAGTCACTGTACCATTTATATTCCCATTACTCCACAATCTCTCCAAAACTTGGATTTATCCAACTGTTTTTTGTTTTTGTTTTTTGCTAATTTGGGTGTGTGAAATTTTATCTCATTCATAATATTAATATGCATTTCCCTAGTTATTAATGCAGTTGAACATTTTTACATTCAGACAGGCCATTCCTGTTTCCTCTTTTAATATATGAACATGCATATTCATGCATTTTGCCTACTTCTAAGAAATTGAATGGTCTGTCTTTCTGTTGTTTATTTATATGAGTTCTTTTTATATTCTAGATTCTAGGCTTTTTGTTCATAATGTATTGTAAATATTGTCTATGAATTTGTGACTTTTTTACTTTTTTGGGGTTTCCTTTTGATGTTCAAAAGTTCCTAATTTTAATATAGTCAAATTTCTTTACTTTTCTTCATAATTAGCATTTTAAAAATTTTGTTTAAGAAATCCTTCTCTGCCTTGGGTTCACGAATTATTCTGCTAGTTCTTTCTAAAACTGTAAAATTTTTCTCTAGAGCTATATGGATTTTGTATGACTGTGTAGTATGAGATATAATCTTCTTTTTCTTATGAATAGGCAAATGGACCACTACTATTTATTGAACAGTCTAATCTTTCCTCACTAATCTGTAACAAAAGCTCTGTTATATATCAGGTTTCCATATTTGGCTGAGTTTATTTGGGGCTCTGTATTTCATTCCACTGGGCTATGTGTTTATATCTGTACCAATAGCATATTTACTTATTAGATTAATTTTATATTAAGGAAAGATTTCTGGTGTGGTGAGTCCTTTCAATATAATTCTTTAAGAATATCTTGGCTACAACAAGCTTCACAAAATGAGTTGGGCAGTTTTCCTCTTTTTCTCTTATTTGAAAAAGTTTTGTGTAAGATTGAAATTACCTGTTTCTTAAATATTTGATCTAATTTATCTGAAAATGTCTTTACCAGGTGCTCTATTTGTGAGAAGATTTAATTGGATTGAATTCCTTTAATAATAAAAAGTTCTTCAAGATTTTTATGTCTTCTGTCATTTGGTTAAGTTACATTTTTCTAATAATGTGTGCAGCTCACCTAATTCCTCAAATTTATTGGCACAGAGGCTTTAATGATAGTCTCTTGCTATCTTTTTAAACGGAGTTCCTTCTCCAGTTGTGTCCTCTTTTGTATTCATAATATTATTCATCTGTGCCTCCTTTTTTTCCCTTTAATCTTACCAAAAGTGGATCAATTTTATTAGACTTTTAGAAGATACATTTTTGGCTTTTTTGATCCTCTCTATTGGATCTTTGATTTTTCTTTTATTAACGCATCACCATTCCTTCAATGGTACATTTCTTTCTGATATTGCTCTAATCCTTTAGCAAATAACTTCATAAATGAGTTCACAGTTTGCTGAAGGAACAGGTGACAGGTTAAGGAATTTCACACCATTCCCTCCCTGACTTTAGCAGAGATTGGCTATTGCCCAGTTGGGCAGAAAGTAGCTTTGGGTTCGACAGGGTGGTATATGGTATTAGGAATATCCATAACATCAGAGTCTGAAGAGGATACACATATGCCTTTGACAGCCCTAATCACATTACCATACATTTGATACTAAGATTTTCTTACTTGCTTGTTTAAACTACATACTGGTGAATTTCCAAAAATGCAATTTTTACCTATATGAGAGAGATAACAATTTCCCACCGATTAAATATTTTGACAGGGTGAGCGATTAATAAGGGAAGACAAGGAGATAGAATTGCTGAGGATGGAATGAATTCTTGAAATGAATACACTTGACTATGAGATAAAATGAAAAAATAAAAAGAGGAAGAAATATTGGCAATTATTTTTCATTCACATAATAACTTACAGTTTTCTTTTTCAGACATCTGAATAAGCAAAACCTCATTTGATTCTCTAATAGCCCCACTATCAGTGAGTTGGGTAAAGCAAGTATTCTAGAGAATATAGAAGGAGAAGCAAGTACCTGGGGGTGGTTTCCTTAGGAAAGGAAGTCATCTGCTTGACTGAAGACAGCCTTAATAATGAAACAACTGATAAATTTTTAAAACATTTTGTCGAATTGCTGTGATGCATAGAGTACCTTGAATAGATTTTGAGATGAACTTGATTAACAGGCAACTTGTTTCAATTGACATAACCTTCCTGAGAGTCATCGTTATTCCTTACACTGATTTCCTCTTCAGAATCTAAGATATAATATACATCTTTAATTTATCTCATCACTCTAGTGAGGCACCTTCCAGCATATGCTTTTGAATTTGTTAACTGAAGGCATATCTTGAGTTTGTAATCCATGAAAGCTGGTATTAAAGACAAAATAAATATACTTCAGGAAAGATAACATTTTTCACAACAGATGTGAGAGCAAAGAAACTGCTGACATGTTTATTAGCAATGGATAAACTGAATGTTTCAGTTTGGCCCAGCACCCAGAAAATGCAGATGTGTATCCAGATGCAAACCTCTAGAGTCTGCAAAATAAAATTTGTATTGGACATTTTACAAGATCTTTGGCACTTCCTGCTTGACAAGAAGTACCCCTGAGGGCCACCTATCTCATGATATTTAGGCAGTTTTTCCCCTACTCTTGTAAGAGCCAAGAATTGCAGAGGGCAGAGGGCACAGTACAAAAAAAAAAAAAAGAAAAAGAAAAGAAAGAAAGCAACAAAGAAAGGAAGAAAGAGGAGGAGAAAAAAATAGAAATGAGAAGTTTACTGAACTTTTTTGACCTTCAAGTTAGGATTTTTAAAAAGTGGGTCTGGAATATGAGATGACTCAGTCATCTTTCTTCACCCTAGGTTATTTTTACTAGTTGTGAACACACCAAGCATTCCTTAGCTCTTGCGAACATTTATTTGAATGCGTAAGGTCTCAGTTTAATTCCTGTCTTTTCCCTGGTGGGAAAGTACTTGACTAAAGTCTTAGCTAATTTCAGAATGCAGTGATTTTTTTTTAATGTATGGACAAATCCTAACCAAAAAGTAAGGCTCCATATAGGAATCTATGCTTTTAACAATATCTATTTAGGATAGAAAATACATTAGAGAGTGTCCAAAAACTAAATAATTTGGTATTGTGCCTACTCTAGGGGGATGTATGGCTGAGTTAATTAAATTATTGATTAAAGAATCTTCCTTACAACTCATTTTCAACAAAGAAGGAGCCAAGAACATACAATGATGAAAGAACAGCCTCTTAAATAAATGATGCTGGGAAAACTGTATATCCATATGCAGAAGAATAAAACTAGGACCCTATCTCTCACGATATACAAAAGTCAAATAAAAAGGAATTAAATATTTAAATCTAAGACCTAACACTATGAAACCACTAGAAGAAAATGTTGGGAAAATGCTCCAGGACATTGGTCTGAGCAAAGATTTTTTGTGTAAGACCTCAAAAGCACAGGCAACAAAAGCAAAAATAGGCAAATGAGATTATATCAAGCTAAAACACTTCTGCACATCAAAGGAAACAATCAGCAAAATGAAGAGAACCACAGAATGGAAGAAAATATTTGCAGACTATCCATCTGTCAAGGGATTCAAAACCAGAATATATAAGGAGCTAAAACAACTCAATAGCACAAAAACAAATAATCCGATTTAAAAATGGGCAAAATATGTGAATAGACATTTCTCAAATGAAGACATATAAATGACCAACAGGTATATGAAAAATGCTCAACATCACTAATCATCAGGGAAATGCAATCAAAGCTACAATGAGATATTATCTCACCCCAGTTAGAATGGCTTTTATCAAAAGACAGAATAACAGATACCGGCAACAATGTAAAGAAAGGGGAACCCTCCCACTGTTGTTGGGAATGTACATGAGTGCAGCCACTGTGGAGAACAGTATGGAGGTTTCTCAGAAAACTAAAAATAGAACTACCATATGATCCAGGAATTCCACTATTGCGTATATCTCCAAAAGAAAGAAAATCAATATATCAAAGAGATATCTGCACTTCTGTGTTTATTGCAGCACTATTCACCATAGCCAAAATATGGAATCAAACTATGTGGTCGTCAATGGGTGAATGGATAAAGAAAATGTGAGATGTATATAGATGTGGTATACAATGTGATCTATCTATCTATCTACAATGAAATATTATTCAGCCATAAAAAAAGAAATTCTGTAATTTGCAGCAAGATGGATGGAACTGGAAGTCATTATGTTAAGTGAAACGAGCCAAGCACACAAAGACAAATATCACATGTTCTCACTCATCTGTGTGACTTATAAAAGTGGATCTCATAAAAATAGAGAGTAGATTGATGGTTATCAGAGGCCAGGAAGGGTAGTGAGGAGGGGGTATGAAAAGAGATTGGTTAATGAGTATAAACATGCACCCAGAAGAAATAGGATCTTGTGTTCAGTACAACAGTAGGGTGACTATAGTTAACATTAATTGATTATACATTTCAAAGAGATCGAAGAGAATAATTAGAATATCTTAGCATAAAGAAAATATAAATATTTAGGGTGATAAATATCCCAATTACCCTGATTTGATTATATGAATATGTCAAATTATCATATGTGCCCCCAAAATATGTATATGTAATACATATCAATAAAACGAGAATCTGACTTTTCATCAGTTAGTTTTTAAAAAATTAACAACAGTAATAGATATAATTTATTCAACCACATAAGCCAAGTACTGTGCCAATTGCTTTACATGCCGATAGTAACAATTGCTAACATTTGATCAGTTAGCGTGTTACTCATTATGGTAAGCTGTTTACTTGCATTATTTTATTTAATTCTTTCAAAAATTCCTTAAAGTCAATTTCACTATTATGTATATTTGCTGTATGACAAGACTAAGGCTTAGAAAACTTAAGTGATTCTGTAAGATGTTTGACAATAAATTTAACTGAGGGAAAGCTGTTTTGAGATGTTTGGATTGTTTTTGTAATGGTGAAATTATTTTTGTGAACTTGTTTAGAACTTAGAAGGCCTTGAAAGTTGCAATGGCATTTAATTCATACACCTAACAAATTACATGCTGATTTGCTCATGACTTGTCACTACTATTCTCTCCTTGGTGCCAGGAGAATATGAATCTGTAGTGAGTTGTTCAAATAACTGCACTTCTTTGAGGCACCAGGACTCAGAAACCAAGAACCCAGTAAAGAACGTGGGGTCAAGACAGAAATTAGTACACAAAAAGTAGATATTTAAAACAATAGATTTTCATCAGATCAAGCAACAATAACCAAGTGAAAGTGTTATTTAAAAATTGGTGATACAATCCCCAGGAACCCCCTTCATTGTGGCTTCTGGCTTTCTTTATTTTATATACAAACTTGATCCTAAAACATCTGTGCTTAAAAGTCATCAACATGGATGAAATTTGAGGCTTCATCTTGAATTGATGTCTATGTGTGCATGTTTCTGGTACAACAGCAATGCATAAATGTATTTTCAGGATTGTTTAGAAACATAACATTTTAAATATTTGTTTCAACAAGACAAATGTAACATTTTAACAATTTTCATTACAAATATAGTGATTGTGAAAATGTGCATATGCTTGGTCATTTACCTCACTCACCAGACATGCTCCTACATGACTGTGGCAGTTGCTAACGTTCAAATCCACTCTTTAAAAGTGCAGATTTGCACCACTAAGCAGATACCAAAGAATGCTTTAGAAGCTGTTATGGCAACACAAAAGGAGTATTTCCAAAAAAAGTTTGGATTGAGAAATAGCAATGTCATTAGAATAAATATGTTGTCTCTTAAGGCAATGACTTTCCTAAAATGTAAAGGGAAAAGTATTTCCTTTGAAAATGCCAAGCCTTATACATTTTCAACATTTGTTCTCAAACTTCAATGGGTATAAAATCATTTAGGAATTGTATTAAAACAAATTTGCAGGTACTATGGGATCCAAATCTCAAATAATTCAGTGGGTCTGCAATGGCATTCAGGAACCTGTGTTTCAACAAGCTTCCCCCAAGGAATTCTGATGCATGTGATCAACGGGCAATTTTCTGCAACACACTAATCTGGATACATTACTAACAGCCACATCCTATACACCCAGGAATGTAACTTTACTATTTCATGTTTTCTTTCCTTAAACCATCTTGACATAGCTTAAAACCATGTTTGGACTCCCTCAGTTATTTCCAGTTTCAACTCAAGTACAATAGTTGACCTTTTCACTATGACTTTAAGCCAGTAATTCTTACTGGATTACAAATAAAATTCCTCAGATTCAGAATTGTAATCCCTCCGTAATGTCCAGGACTACAGGCTTATAGCTTTGTCTGTGCCTGAATTGTTTTTTAGTGGCCCTTGGGAGAAAAGCATGGTTTCATGGGGATAACAAGTATGTATGACATGGTCCCCACTTCGAGGGCACTTCTAGAGAGGGAGAAAAGTTGTGTGTGCAAGTAACTAAAATGTCACAAATCATAAAAGTCAAATGAATAGTAGAGTAGCATTTCCTAAATCATGTTTCATACACTATTTATGACCCCGAGATGTTAATAGGTGTTACAAATGAAAAATGATTTTATGCCAAAGATTTTGTAAATGCTGAACCAAACTTAAACAATTTTATTTGTGAGGCTTATTGAAACCTTTAACATGCTAATATGCTTTATTATGAGGGATTATAGTACATCATCTCACTTGGTGCTAGAGATTTTCACAAACTGACTAATTTAACAGTACACCAGTATAATACGCATCACACTTGGAGTATTAGGGTTCTCTTAGAGGAACAGAACTAATAGGATATCTATATATCTATATGGGTGTTTATTAAGTATTAACTTACATGATTATAAGGTCCCACAATAGGCTGTCTGCAAGCTGAGGAACAAGGAGAGCCAGTCCAAGTCCCAAAACTGAAGAACTTGGAGTCCAATGTTCTAGGGCCCAAAGCATCCTGCATGGGAGAAAGACGTAGGCTGGGAGGCTAGGCCCATCTCGCCTTTTTAGGTTTTTCTGCCTGCTTTTTATTCGTTGGCAGCTGATTAAGGGTGGATCTGCCTTCCCCAGCCCATGGACTCAACTGTTAATCTCCTTTGGTAACATCCTCACAGACACACCCAGGATCAATATTACATCCTTCAATCCAATCAAGTTGACACAGTATTAACCATGACACTTGGTAAATATGTTCAGGCAAACGCATAGGTTTTCTAAGAAAGATGAGATAATTCTTCAACAGGGTGCTTAGAGAAAGTCTCATGTAGATGTTGGCATTTGAGCTATACGCAGTGCTACTTACAATCTTTGTTCACCAAAGACAAAATATTCATGGAAAAGAGGGGTTCACAATATAATTATATTATAAGTAGTTATCCTTGAAAAAGGATCCTATCCTCAGATTTAAAAATAAAAGCTTTGAATTTGACAATTTGGAGATTAACCTTTGAGCCAGCAGTGACTGGAGAAATAGAGTGGTGGAAGCCAAATTTCACAGAATTAAGAACGAAGAGTTAGTGAGGAAATAGTTCCTAAACGAAGATTTGTAAAAGAAGATGCCAACCTGGTGTGGTTAATAGTAGAATTGGAAAGCCATTTTTTTTTAAAATGGGGAGAGGCCTGAATATTTTATCTTATCTTAATGAATATATTTTTTAGAAGCATATTGTGAGTCTGTTCCTGCTGCTATAACAAAATACTTTAGCCTGGGTAATTTAAAAACAACAGAAATTTATTGCTCACGGCTCTGGAGGCAGGGAAGTCCAAGATCAAGGTGCCAGCAGTTAAAATGTGTGGTGAAGGCTCTCTGCTTCATAGATGGCACTTTGTTGCTGTGTCCTCACATGACAGAAGGGGTAAGGGAGCGTTCTTGAGCCTCTTTTATATGGGCACTAATTTGCTTCCTGAGGGTGGAGCCCTCATTACTTAATCACTGCCCAAAGGCCCTACCTCTTAGTACTCTCACATTGGCTACTAAGTTCCAACATATGCATTTTGGGGGGCACCAACATCAGACCATAGCACACATTTAGAGGCTTTTTTTGAAATGCAAGGTTCTGACTCAATGACAAAGTCATTCACTAATTAAGTCATGACAAAGTCATTCAGTAATTAAGAAAATAATACAATCATTATTTATTGGGACCTACTGTGCACCAGCTCTGATGCAGGTTCTGGTATATAAAAGTGATTTACTTATTCTCTCTTCTCAAATCACTCCAGGAAGAAATGCCTCAAGGCACAGCCATTTTGGCTGAGTTGGACTCTCATATGGTAATGAAAACTTGGAGGAAATAAAGGATTTAGCCACAGATTTAGAAGAATGAAAGTCTTCTTGTCACTTTCTTTGCTTCCATTTCATTAGCTTATCAGACTCATCTCAATAAATCAAGTAAGACTAACAAATGGAATTTCCCATCCCAATTTATTTTGTTTATTAATAGGTAAAATTAATTCTTAAAAGAATTCATGGACATATTTCTTCATTTAAACTAGAAATAGACAAAACCTTTGTGGGCCCTAAATGCTCACTTCTGCACTCATCTGCTACCAACAAATTTCTCCTACTGTTGTGCTTAATGCACTAGTCCAACACTTTGTGTGATTACTAGTTGGGGGAAGTAGCATAAGATTAAAATACAAGAGGGGGTCAGGAACACAAGATACTTTTAAAGAAGAAGAATGTGAGAACTTGCTTTATCATATATTCAGATGTATTACAAAGACATAGTAATTAAGACAATGTGGTTTTGCACAGGGACAAACAAATAGACCAATGAGACTCAATAAAAAGGCCCAGAAACAAGACAAATCATAGATTGACACCTGATGTATGACAAAGGCGGCATGAGAAATTAGTGGGGAAATTTTCAACAAATGATACTAGGACAATCGAGGATACAAGTGGGAAATAAATAAAAATGGACTTATAAATGAAACCACACATAAAAGTAAATTCCAGATAAGGTTAAAGCCAAAATTTGAAAATAAAAATATAAAGCTTATAGGAAGTAATAAACAAGAATAATTGCTGGATAGGGTAGTATTTCTTCAAGTAACCATAAAGTAAAAGACTGATAAATTGACTATGTAAAATTAAATACTTCCATTCATCAAGAAAATCATAGAAACACTATAAAAATAATCAGTATTGTGTTTTAACACATACCTGCAGCATGTATAATTGACCAAAAAATTATATTTCAGAATATATCAAGTTTTTACCTGTCCAAAATTAAGACAGACACTTAAATAGAAAACAATGCACAAAAAACTTCAACAGGCAATTTATAAAAAGAAAGTCAAAGGGATGCAATCTTATTAGCAATCAGAAAAATGTAAAGCCAATCTGTAATGACATATGTTAATATTCTATCAGATTTGAAGACAGAAATCTGACAAAACCAAGTGACGTTGAGTATATGAAGCAGTGGAAACTCTCATATGCTGCTGGTGGGAGAAAGAAACATCCAACATCTTTAGTAACAGATTGGCATTAGCTATTAAATTTTAAGAGATATGTACCTTACGATCCAGTGCAGTGGTCCTCAAACTTAATAATTTTCTCAAAAATTATTACAAGCTGTGTTTATGTTGGTTATACCTATAGACATTTACTGTATTTGACACTAAAAATAAGAAAAAGTTAAAATATCTACTTATTTAAAATAACAATGTTGTTATAAGAGTATTAAAATTAGATGTTAACCTAAATAGCATTTTAATCAAAATAATTATTTCCATAGCAAGACAAATTTTAGGGGAAAAACAGCATAGTTTTAGTTTTACAAATCTCTTTAATATCTGACTTACTAGAAGAAAGCTGGATTTTCCTATCTGCTTCTGCTTTTGGTCTGGCACAGTGTTGCACGTGATGTAGCCTCTGGAAAATTCCATTCTACATTCATGAAAGACTGAAAGTGGAAAGGGAAAATAAAGTCTTAGTATTATCATGAAAATTGTTTTGCACTCACAGACCCCATGAAAGTGTCTTGAGGTCCTCCCAAGGATCACCCTTTAAGAACCCTGCTAGAGAGAAACACATGCACCAGAATGCAAGTATAAAAATGTTTATGGCAGCATGTCCATACAGTAGTTGTTCTTAGAAACAACCCAAATTTCCATTTAGAGTGGAATAGATAAATAAACTGTGGTATGTGAATTCATGCAATGGACTACTGTACAGCGGTGGAAATGAACATACACATATATTTACACATAAAATATATAAAGATATGTATATATATAATGAGGGAGAAAGTCTTGATAGTCTAAGAATGGACCTACTTGAAGGTGAAGGGATGTTTCAAATGATTACTGTGTCCCACCCAAACTTAAGATTATGACACTTCATAGTGAATCAGTTTTCTTTTTTTTGCACAGTCACTGCTGTTTCTATTCTGTTTTGTCCTAGTTATCTTGATTAAAGTGACTAGTAAACAAACTTGGTGGTTTGAAAAAAGAAAAAAAATCCTAATGCTGAAAAACTAGTGCTCAAGTCTGGCATTCCCTCTGTACATTCACATGGCTGAGGTCATCTGCAAATAATTAGAAAGCACAACCATCAGCAATATTGCATTTGTTTCTAGTCTCAGAAGTTAATAGCAACTTCCCTCAGCTTTGTTTAGCCAGAAAAGTTTTCTAATGACAATACAATAATGACTTTTACCAGTATGGAAGATCATAAATATTAAATAGAGAACATATCGGCTCTTGGCTGCAGGCACCTGGGTATGTTCCGTGGGCGGTGTTCTGGAATACATGGCTCCTGAGTAGGCCACATGAGATTTTGTGTAAGATACAAAGCAAGCAGGGAGGGACTCTTGAAAGGAAAGACTGCCAACAAGCATGATGATTAAACAACTTTGGAAATTGTTTTTTATTTTTTTTTTTAGCAATTTGGCTAAAAGCATGCTCTAGTCCAGCATTTCTTGTAAGCAATTATGTGGTAGTCCTTTTTCCACTGGGCCATAAGCTCTCAGAGGTGAAGGACCATATCATAAGCTTTTCTTGTACCTCCCCCTAGAACCCCAATCTCACTTACACATTGTACCTAGTGGATACTTAATCACTGTTGTTTATGATCTGACAGGCCCAAATCTCAAAATCCAGAGGCATTATTAGGAACAAGCTTGGCCAAATATTTTTAGTGTTTGAATGAGATCTTGTTTTGAGTTTGAAGTGGAGGCCCAGATACATCTCCTTTATTCCAAGTAGTCTGGTATCTCTAAAAGAAATTCTGCATAGCGAAGTATATATTTACAAAAGATCTTCTCAGCTGACTGACTCTTGGCATATTGCAGGCTCTTGTGCACAGACTTCTTTTCCAAGCTCTTGATAACTGTCCACACCAAAATGGAGCAATTCAGTCCATCTATTTGATGCTAATTTACACCAAGCCTGGACAAAATGAACCTCTGCTGCGGTTTCTGAAAAGTTCTAGAATGCAAAAGCAGGATTCTTCAAAAAATTTTTTAACATTTTAATTATTTATTTTTTATAATTTCAACTTTTATGTTAAATTCAGAGGGTACATGTGCAGGTTTGTTCATGAGTATATTAGGTGACGCTGAGGTTTCAGATATGAATGATCCCATCATCCAGGTAGTGACCATAGTACCCAATAGGTAGTTTTTCAGCCCTTGACTCCCTCCCCTTCTCCCCCAGTAGTCTCCAGTGTCTATTGTTTCCATCTTTATGTCTATATGTACCCAGTGTTTAGCTCATACTTATAAGCAAGAACATGTTTGTGGTATTTGGTTGTCTGTTCTTGCATTAATTCAGCTAGAATAATGGCCTCCAGTTGCATCCATGTTTCTGCAAAGGCTATAATCGCATTCTGTTTCATGGCTGCACAGTATTCCACAGTGTATATGCATCAGATTTTCTTTTTCCAATCCACTGCTGATGAGCACCTAGGTTGATTCCATGTCTTTGCTATTGTAAATAGTCCTGTTATGAATATACAAGTGCATGTATCTTTTTTTTTTGGAACGATTTATTTTCCTTTGGATATATGTCCAGTAATAAGATTGCTGGGTTGAATAGTAGCTCTGCTTTAAGTTCTTTTGAGAAATCTCCAAACTGCTTTTCACAGTGGCTGAACTAATTTACACTCCCACCAACACTGTGTAAGCATTCCCTTTTCTCTGCAGCCCTGCCTGAATCTGCTATTTTTTTAAAAATCTTTTTAGTAATAGTCATTATTCTTACAGGTGTGAGATGATATTTCATTGTGGTTTTGGTTTGCATTTCTCTGCTAATTTGTGGTGTTGAGCATTTTTTTCTATGTTTGTTAGCTGCTTGTATGTTTTCTTTGAGAATTATCTGTTAATGTCCTTTGCCCACTTTTAAACAGGATTCTTTGTTTTCTGCTTGTTGAATTAAGTTCCTTATAGATTCTGGATATTAGACTTTTGTCAAACATATAGTCTGCAAATATTTCCTCCCATTCTATAAGTTGTCTGTTTATTCTGTTGATAGTTCATTTTGCTGCACAAAAATTCTTTAAGTTTAATTAGGTCCCACTTATCAAATTTTGTTTTTGTTTCAATTATTTTTGAGGACTTAGTCATAAATTCTTTGCTAAGGCTGATGTCCACAATGGTATTTCCTAGGTTTTCTTCTAAGATTTTTATAGTTTGGGGTCTTATATATAAATCTTTAAATATTAAATCTTTAATTAAAGATGTAAATATAAGAATCCGAACTATAAAACTACATGGTGGAAATAGGGATCCAGTTTCATTCTTCCGCATATGGCTGGCCAGTTATCCCAGTGCCAATTATTGATTAGAAAGTCTTTTCTTAATTGCTTATTTTTACTAACTTTGTCAAAGATCAGATGGTTGTAAATGTGCAGCTTTATTTCTGGGTTCTCTAATCTGTTTCATTGGTCTATGTGTCTGTTTTTGTAGTAGTACCATGTTGTGTTGATTACTGTAGCCTTATACTATAGTTTGAAGTCAGGAGACATGATGTCTCTGGCTTTGTTATTTTTTTGCTTAGGATTGCTTTGACTATTTAGCTCTTTTTTGGTTCCATATAAATTTTGGAATAGATTTTTCCAATTCTGTAAAAAATGACATTGGTAGTTTGATAGTAATAGCATTGAATCTGTAGATTTCTTTGGGCAGTGTGGCCATTTTAGTGATATTAATCCTTCCAATCCATGAGCATAGAATATTTTTGCATTTGTGTGTGTCATCTTTGATCTTTTTTCCACAGCGTTTTGTAATTCTTGTAGATATCTTTCACCTCCTTGGTTCAATGTATTCCTAAGCATTTTATGGTTTTTTTTTCTGTGCCATTATAAACGGGATTGTGTTCTTGATGTGACTCTCAGTTTGAATGTTATTGGTGTATAAGAATGCTACTGATTTTTGTATGTTGATTTTGTATCCTGAAACCTTACTGAAGGTGTTTATCAGTTCTAGAAGCCTTTTGGCAGAGTCTTTAGGGTTTTCTAGATATAGAATCATATCAGCAAATCATATCAGAAATAATTAGCCTTTTTTCCCGTTAGTATGCCTTTTATTTATTTCTCTTACCTGATTGCTCTGGCTAGAACTTCTAAGAACAGAATTTTAAAGTGGATTCTTCTTTTGTTATTTCTTTTCTTGTTAAATGCATTGACTAGCACATGTATCAATATGTTTAAATCATCTAGCAGGATATCTAATTTCTCTGTTGTTGTTTTTTCATCATTCTTCCCCCTAATGAGAGCCTCAATTAATGACTTAGGTCTGTACTTTTCATCTAGAAATTATATTTGCATAGTAATTAATGATCTACCAATAAATAATATCTATTGAATATTTATTGAAATACTATTATAGAATTATTTATCTAATTCATTCATTGTTGACTGAAAACTAGATTAATCACTTTAGATAGATGGCCAACGATTTGAGTGCCTACCATGAGTCACATACTGTTGTTCTTAGTGTCTGAGAAAGCTGCCTAGAATAAAATAATCTATAATTGTAAAGCTGGCCATTTCATGGCATACAGCTACTGCCTCAATGTGCACCACATTTCCCTATCCCCCTTTCTCTCTTTTAATTTTTTAAGAGAAATAGACTGATGAGCCTAATAATGTTTGGTCTTTGTTTTATCAGCACTTAAAACATCTTCAGGTTGTGTTTGATTCTTCCATGCCATGTATTTCTAGTGATACCTTTCCCTCAAAGGCTGAATTTTGTGTCATGTATCAAAATATGAATCTCACATTAAATATACTCTTATCACATATTTCCTTTCTTAAATCTAACAACTTTTAAAAATAAGTTTGAATGTAGCCTTTATAAATAAGCATGAGAATAACTTCTGAGGGTAGAGACTAGCCAGGGCCCAGCATTATTTAACAATAGTGACAGGATTCCAATTGTTCTGCCGGGAGGATGCCATGGCAACTATGCCAAAGTTCCCAATGCCCTGATGCAAGGCATGGTGATAGTTATCATTTTATATAATATGACCTCAGTTGAATGATAAAGTAAGTACTCTTGCTTACCAATGTCACAGCTATGCAGTTAAGAGAGGGAACGTTCTCTAGTTACATATTCTCAGAAGCAGACTGCATGTTATTGACCTGGTGGGAAATCACCAGAAAGATGCTTTCCAACTTTGTGTTCCCTCTTCAGGATACATGGCTGGCCTAAGGACCACATGCAGTGGCTTCTCTCTTCTCTGTTCCAGGAGAATTCTGCTCCCATACTAAAACCTCATTTTCCCCTTCCCAACAGAAGAGCTGCCCTTCCTCAAAGTTCTTTCTAATCGCCTTCATTTTCAAGTTTTTAAAAGCTGCCTCTTACTTTCCTTCCAGGATATTTGGATGCCTGAAAGAAGTTTATTTCCAAAAGTCTTATGTTCAAAGCACACACTGTACTAGTTTTAGGAAAATTCTTATTGGCCTAAACTGAGAAGGTGTATGTATGGAAGGAAAAGTAACTTGCGTGTGATACCTGGGTGGTCAGCAAAAAAAAATCTGTGTCTTTTTCACACTTAATAGGTTTTGTTAAATTTCTTTTTACTTCTGATGAATATAAACTTTCAGGTCCTCACATTTTAATGTAAAAAATAGTTTTAAAGATGCTTTAAAATGTAACAAATGGAAAAAAATCAGTCTGCCTCAGCTAGTAGGAAATCTTAATTCGATCAATTCTAATTGGCCAAGATCCTCACCTCTCTGTAGACACCCCAATATTAACCAGCATTTGCCTAGACTGAGAATATGTTCCCGTTAGAGGTAAAAGCAGACCCCAGAATATCCTGTATGAGACTCTCACAAACATACATATTTGCCATTCATCAGCAAGGATCAAGTAGAACTCAACCCATCCTGGAGAAGCTAAGAAAGTGAATTTCTTCTAGGAAGTTACTTCCTGAAAATAGTGCTGCTATCAGGCAACTTTGACCAATAGACCAGTGATTTCCAAGACATATCTAAAGATGCATGCTAAGCCAGAACAGATCCCATTTTTACCTCCTTTAGATTTTAAAGGCTTTGCACATCTTCACTGCAGAAAAATGAACAAAAACACACAAGCCAAACAAACAAAACAAAACCCTCCTTGACACAGTTAAAAAAGAACATTGAGATTTCATGCTTTAAAAAATTAAATAATATGTTTTTCTTTAATTCAAAGACAAGTGAGAAAAACCATTTTCCTTATGATAATCCAGACTGAGGGACAGAGAAGAGGAAAATTTCCCGGAAAAATAAAACACTTTTCCATGGTTATGAGTCAGTATTTCATGCATGATGATTTTCAATCAAGAGGATTTTGATATAAGAATCATTAGAGGAAAAAAAGTCCTCAACATGAAAGGGAGCAAAGAAGTGTCAATAAAATCTTTTCTAAATTAGAAGCGGCAACAGGGCTGAACATCTGTTTAGTTGGTAAAAGCATGAGGCCAGCAATTTTACAGACCTGGGTTCAAACCCAGTCTTCACTGGTTATTGTGAAAACTTGGACAGATTATTTAACTTCTCCAGTCTAATCTCCCCATCTCTAACATGTTCATAATAATATAAAATCTACATCAGTTTTAGAACTCAATGAGACCATGCCTAAAGCAGTTAACAGTGCTTGGCCCAGTGTAAAGCTGCTGTAAGGTTTTTATTTTTCTCTTCTGGCAATAGACTTTTGTGGCTTCTTTAACAGTTTAACCCCACATCTCTAACAAGTTGCCAAAAAACAATTTTCCATCCCTGCCCCTTTTAACCACACCCTGCTTTAATCATGAACCAGATTTCAACACTGTCCCTGAAAGGTCACCATAGACCTCCAAATAAAACTTTCTCTTTCTCTCTCCATCCACCCATCCATCTACCCTTCCATCTATCTTAAAAATAGTTCTAATTTTTTAAGTTTAAAAAATTATCTTCAAATTTAACTGATGTTATATTATTTTTCTTTCAGAGTCAATTTTACTTGTGAAACATACTATACCCAGTTTTTAATGTAACCCCAATACTCTAATTTTGGAATACATTTTATAAATTTAGTTATTCACTATCTTTATCAGCTCCTTCTTGTGCAATGATGGAAAACCTAATTAAATTTGGCTTAAGCCAAAAACAAACAAATAAACAAAATCCCCAAAAAACAAAATTGCCAGGGGTGGTAGTAAGTGGATTCATTGGCTCTCCTTACTAAAAAGTGTTGGGGCAAAACCATTTTCAGACATAGCTGTATCCAGACACTCAACGAATGCCTCTAGAACTAATTACCCATGTTTTAGTTCTGCCTCTTGGTCAGTGGCTTTATTTTTAGGTTTCTATGAAATGCCAAGGTGGTTTCTTGGAGCCCCAGGCCCACTTGATCCCAGGTTTACTTACATCCAGCAGAAAAGAAAATGTCATTTTCTCCCTCTAACTCTTTCTCTCAAATCCTAACAAAAGAGTCACTGTGTGTCCAAATACTGTGTACAAAGAGGGTTACATGAATGCCGGGTCCAAAAGTAAGATGTTTGGTAAACTGTCTCCTCTCCAGGTGGCTTCAGACAAGGGTGAAATATGGTTATTTAAATTGGGTAATTCTCACTATCACAATTTTTTATCTGCTAGAACATTTGGAAATAATTCAATCCACTATGGCCACCTCCAAGTATCACATCACATGCCAAACACCTTCTCACTAGGTGTTAAGCAAGGTATTGAGTTTGAAGAAACATATATTGGTAGCACCAACTTCCTAGGTGATAGGTGACAGGTGACAGGGATACAGCAGTGAACAAGCAGAGAATTCTGCCTTTATGAAGTGTATAGTCAAATGTGAGAGACAAAAAATGAATAAGAAAAACTAAGCTATATAATAATGTGTTAGATAACAATAAATGTTAAGAAGAAAAGCAACACTTGAGAAGGGAGATTAGAAGTGTTGAGAATAAGGAGGTTTTTAAATTTTAGATGCAGTGACTGGGGAAGGCTTCACTGAGGAGATAGTTAATGTAGATCCCAGCTTTATACAGTTAATGTAGAAGATATGGAACATAATCATGATAGCTACTATTTTAGGAAAATTTAGAATGCCTTAATTTAATATTGATGATTCATTGGATAGGAACTTACATAGCACAAGTTCAATGGGGTGAGAAAGAAGAGCTTGCTAAATAAATTTTGGTTTTAAAATGATTGTAAATAGGATTTTAAAGCAACTTAAGAGAAAAAACATTTTCCAAAAAATGTACAGCTACATGTAAATATAAATATTTGGTATGTATAATTAAAATAATATTTTGCATTCACGAAAGGGGTCCTCTGAATGCCACTTTAGCAAACAACATATTGTTAGCCTCTAATTATTTTAAGTATAAAAATAATCAAACTCCACATTAAACATATTTAATTCATATATTTTACTAATTCAGAGATGCTTTCCTACCAAGAAGAGTTAATGTTATTTTCCTGTGCATATTAAAACTGGAACAGGAGAAGACTCTTGGAAAATGGCAGTTTAGGAAGCACCAGGAATCTGTTTCCCCACCTAGGCAATAACCGCACTGGCACAATCTTTCTGATGTAACTATTTTGGAATTTTGAAGCCTATTGAAGGTTTGAAATTTCCAGGGGAAGGCAGGGACAGTAAATTGTGGTTGATTTCAGTCAATTTCAGCTTTTAGCACAGTAGCAGCTATCCATTCCCCCATCTCTGTGGCAGACAGCCATGCATATGTTTCTGAAACAGTTTGCACAGACCTCAAAGGAACCAGGATAAGCAAAGAGAATCCTGCCCTTCAAATATCAGAGATCTGTGCTTCGGTTGCTGGTTACTGCTTATGACTATAGAGGTGCAGACAAAGAGGCAGGCAGTCATTATTGTTGCACCTCTCCTGATTTGTAACAAGTCTGTCTCCCTCTAGTTGAAGTGACTTCCAAGAGATTTAAAGAACCAGAGATGGCCGGGCACAGTGGCTCATACCTGTAATCCCAGCACTTTGGGAGGCCAAGGCAGGTGGATCCCAAGATAAGGAGATCGAGACCATCCTGGCTAACACGGTGAAATCCTGTTTCTACTAAAAAATACAAAAAATTAGCCAGACGTAGTGGTGGGTGCCTGTAGTCCCAGCTACTCGGGAGGCTGAGGCAGGAGAATGGCATGAACCCGGGAGGCGGAGCTTGCAGTGAGCCGAGATTGCGCCACTGCACTCCAGCCTGGGCGACAGAGAGAGACTCCGTCTAAAAAAAAAAAATCCAGTGACTATCCCTGCCATCTTCAATTCCCCCACTTTTTGGAAGCAAGACCTTAAAGACTATAACATTCAAGGCAATTGCATACATGGGGAAAATTAGAAAGTCACTGTGCATGCGTAAGCAAAGGCACAGCTCCTTAAATTTATACCTCAGGTAGATTCTCAGCACAAAGACAGCATACAACAATAAAAGAAAAAACAAAAAGAAAAAAATCAGTGAATCTTGGGGAAGAAGGAGAATCTGATTTCCACAGTTACAGTGTTATTAGATTGAAATCTAGAGTTTCAATTTAAAAATCCACAAATTGTACAAAAAAACAGGTATAACCCATTTAAAAGAAAAATAAATCCACAGAAACTGTCCCTGGAAAAAAATATGATGGATCTACTAAACAAAGACTTTAAAACAACTGTCTTAAAGATCCTCAAAGAACTAAAAGAAGACATGGAGAAAGTCAAGAGAAATATGTATGAACAAAATGGAAATATCAATAAAGAAATAAAACACCTAAAAAGAAACCAAAACAAAAATTCTGAAGCTGAAAATTACCATATCTGAAATTAAAAACTCATTAGAAGAATTCAAAGGCAGATTTGAACAGGCAGAAGAAAGAACCAGTGGACATGATGATAAGACAATGGAAATTATTGAGTCTTAGAAACAGAGAGAAAAAGAGATTGAAGAAAACTGAACTAAGCCTAAAGGACCTGTAGGACACCATCAAGTGGACCAGGATATGTACTGTGGGAACCCAGAAGGAGAGAAGAGAGAAAAAGTGGGGGAGAGAATACATAAATAAATAGTCAGAAAGCCTCCCAAACATTCAAGAAGCCAAATAAACTTTAAATTGGATGAACTCAAAGAGACTCACATCAAAACACATTATGATCAAACTGTTAAAAGCCAAAGAAAAGAAGAATTTTGAAAGCTGCAGGAGACAAGCAACTTATTACATACAAGGTATCCTCAATAAGATTATCAGTAGATATCAGACACTCTGGAGGCCAAAAGGCAGTGGGCAGCTATATCCAAATTGCTGAAAGCAACAAAACAAAACAAAACAAAAAACAGTTAATCAAGAATTCTATATCCAGTAAAATTGTCCTTCAAAATTAATAAAGAAATCAACACATTCCCAGGTTGCAAAAAAAGCTAAGGATATTTATGACTACTAGAACTTCTCTCCAAAAAATGCTAAAGGGAATTCTCCAGATTGAAATGAAAGGACACAAGACAGTAACTAAAAGCCATATAAAGAAATAAAGGTTAATTATTACATGGGCAATTATTTCCTACATGATGTGAAACTAATACATTTAAAAAACTAGTATTACTGGAACTTTGGTTTGGAACTCCATATTTTGTTTTCTAAGTAATTAAAAGACTAATAGAATAAAAAATTAGTTTATGTTTTGAACATACAATGTAAGATGTAATTTTGTGATATTAACTACTGAAAGGAGTGGAAATAGAGCTATCAAGGAGTATGGTTTTTGTATGTTATTAAAGTTAAGCTGGTATAAATTCAAACTAGAGTGTTATAAATTTAGGGTGTTAAATGTAATAGGAGAATAACCACAAAAGAGCTGTAGAATATAAACAAGAGGAAATGAGAAAAAATTAAAATGTTCATAAAAAATTAGCCAAGCACAAAAGAAGACAGTAATGCAGGAAATGAGGGACAAAAAGCTATAACGCAAATAGAAAACAAATAGAGAAAAATTACAGGAGTAACTCTCTTCTTTAAAGTACAATCATCCATCTGTATTTGTGGGCTCTGCATTCCCAGATTCAATTAACTACAGATCAAAAACGTTTGAAAAAAATACAGCAATGAAAATCAATACAATATAAATAAAAATACAGTTTACAAATGCTATGTAATACTACTTAGATAGCACCAACATTTTATTAGGTATTATAAGTGATTTAGAAATGATTTAAAGTATACAGGAGAATAAGCATAGATTTTATGCAAATGCTATGCCATTTTATATAAGGGATTTGAGCATCTGTGAATTTTGGTATACATAGGAAGTCTTGGAACTGATTCTCCAGAGATACCAAGAGAGAACTGTAGTTACTTTAAACGTTAATGTATTAACCTTTCCAATCAAAAGGCAGAGATTGTCAGAATTAATAAATGAAAACATGATCCAACTATCTTCTGCCTGCAAGAGACTCACATTAGCTCTAAAGACACAAATGGATTGAAAATGAATGAACTGCAAATAATTCCATGAAAATACTAACCAAAAGACAATAGAGGTGGCTACTCTAATGAAAAAAACAAATTTTAAATCAAAAAGAGGTAACAGGAGACAAAGAAGAACATATGTTTCAATACAAAGTTCAATACAGTATGACAATAAAATAATTATAAACATTTACACATCTAATAATAGACCATCAAAATAGATGAAGCAGAAATTGACAGAATTGAAAGGAGAAGTAAACAGTTCTACAATAATAGTTGGAGACTTAAATACCCCACTCTCAATAATGGCTAGAGCAACCAACACAAGATAAGTAAGGAAACAGAGGACTTGAACAGAACATTGGACCAACTATATTTAACAGATACACATAGAACACTGTACTCAACACCAACAAAATGCACATTCTTCTCAAGTGCACAAGGACATTTTCCAGTTTAGAACATGTGTTAGTCGATTCTTGCATTGCTATAAATACCTAAGGCTGGGTAATTTATAAAGAAAAGAGGTTTTCATTGGCTCATGATTCTGCAGTTTGTACATGTATCTGCTCCTCCAGCATCTGCTCCTGGTGCAAGCCTCAGGAAGTTTACAATCATGACGGAAGGCAAAGGAGGAGTAGGTGCATCACATGGAGCAGGAGAAAGCAAGAGAGAGAAAAGGAGGAAGTCTCAGAGTTTTTTAAATAATCAGATAATGTGCGAGCTAACTAAGAATAACTCATCTATCACCAAGGAGTTGGTGCTAAACCAATCATGAAGGTCTGCCCCCATAATCCAATCACCTCCCACCAGGCTCCTCATCCAACATTGGGAATCATATTTTAACATGAGATTTGAAGGAGATAAACATCCAAACCATATCAGACCACATACTAGGTCAGAAATTAAGTCTCAGTAGATTTTAAAAGGTAGATATCGTGCAAAGTAACTACCCCAACCAAAACGGGATACAGTTAGAAATCAGTAACAGAAGCAAACTAAAAATTTCATAAATTTGTAAAAATTAAACCATCAGTGAATCAAAGAAGAGTAAAAGGGGAAATAAGAAAGTAAGTAGAAATAAATAAAAATGAAAACACAGCATAGCAAAATGTATGGGATAGAGCAAAAGCAGTGCTAAGGGGAAAATTTATAACTATACTTACATTAAAAAACAAGAACAATCTCAAATCAACAATTTAACTTTACAACTTAAGGGACTAGAAAAAAAAAAGAACAAACTAGACCTAAAGCCAGCAAAAGAAAGGAAATATTAAAGATTACAGCCAGATAAACAAAATATAGTACAAAAAATAGAGAAAAATCAACAAAACCAAAAGCTTGTTCTTTGTAAAGATCAACAAAGTTGACAAATCTTTAGCTAGATGAACTAAGGAAAAAAAGAGGGAAGATTCAAATTACTAAAAGCAGAAATGAAAGTATGGTGATTACCAACTCTATAGGAATTAAAAGGATTATAAGAAAGTACTATGAACAATTATAAACTAAAAAACTAGATAACCTAGATGAAATTGAGGAATTCCTAGAAACAAGATATACCAAGATGAAATAATGAAGAAATAAAAAATATGAATATACCTATAATTGGTAAGGAAATTAAATCAGCAATCAAAAATCTCCTGACAAGGAAAAGCCCTGGACTTGATAGTTTCCCTGGTGAATTTTACTACACATTTTAAACACCACCAATATTTCTAAAAATTTTCAAAAATTGGAAGAGGAAGGAACACTTTCCAACTCATTTTAAAAGGCCAGAACCAACCTCATACCGAAACTGGACAACGACATGAGAAGAAAAGAAAACTACAGATCAATATCTTTTATGAACATTGACGCAAAAATCCTCAATGAAATACTAGCAAACCAAATTCAGCAGCATATTAAAAGTGTTATACTCCATAAGCAAGTGGGATTTAGTCCTGGAATGGAAGGTGATTTAATGTATAAAAATTGATCAATGTAATGTACTACATGAATAGAATAAAGGGGATAAAACACACAGAGTCATCTCAATATACACAGAAAAAATAATTTTCAAAATCTGACATACTTACATGATAAAAACACTCAACAGCCTAGAAATAGAAGGAAACTACCTCAACATAGTTAAAGCCATACAAAAACCCCACGGTAAACATTATTCTCAATGGTGAAAGACTAAATGCTCTTCTAAGATCAGGAAAAAATCAAAGAAGTCTATTTTGCCACTTCTATTCAACATAGTACTAGAAGTTCTAGCCAGAGAAATTAGGCAAAAATTTAAAAAAATACATCCAAATTGTAAAGGAAGAAGTAAAATTATCTCTGCTCACAGATAATGAGATCCTATATGTAGAAAATCCTAAAGATTCCACAAAAACAAATTATTAGAACTGATAAATGAATTCAGCAAAGTAGTAGCAGAATACAAAACACACAAAAAGCAGTTGCATTTCTGTACATTAACAATGAACAGTCCAAAGAGGAAATGAAAAAAAATTCAATTCCAATAGCATCAAAAAGAAAAAATATATATTTAGAATTAACTTAAAGAGGTGAAAGACTTGCACTATGAAAACTATAAAACATTACTGACAGACATTAAAGACAGAAATAAATGAAAAGATCACATAGTCATGGATTGGAAGATTTAGCATTGTTAAGATGTCAATACTTCCCAAAGTACCTAGATTTAGTGATCCCTATCAAAATCTCAATGATGTTTTTTGTAGAATTAGATAAACCCATCCTAAAATTTATATGGCACTTGAGGGACTAAAGATAGCTGAAACAGTCTTGAAAAAGAAAAGCAAAGCTCACATTTCCCGATTTCAAAACTTACTTCAAAGCTACAGTAATCAAAACAATGTAGTACTAGCACAAAGACAGAATACAGACCAATGGAATAAAAGAGAGAACCCAAAAATAAGCCCTTACATATGTGGCCAAGTGATTTTTTAACAAAGGTGCTAAGACCACTCAGTGGAAAAAGGACAGTCTTTTCAACAAATGTTGCTAGGAAAACAGGATATCAACATGCAAAAAAAAACAAAAACAAAAACAAAAACTGGATTATTATCTAACATTTTATAAAAATTAGCTCAAAATAGATCAAAAACCTAAATGTAAGACCTAAAACTATAAAACTCTTAGAAGAAAACATAGGAAAATCTTTATGACATTGGATTTGGCAATGATGTATTGGATATGACACCAAAACCCATTGTGTAGGGAGGTTATTCTGCAATCCCAATCTGGGAGCCCTGCTTGGTGAGCATACCCATTGGTAGTGGCTCTGTGTTTTCCTGGGGAGGAGCACCCAAAGGCAACTGACAGCCCCTCTGCCATTGCCATGGCACCAGATCCTACCCTGCTGCGCTTGGTCTGGAGAAGAAACAAAGAGCCTGAGAGCTTCACTTGTGCTTCCAGTGTGCCATGTAACCTTATGGAAAGGAGTGCAGTCTCTCCAATTTGTAAGCCCTTGATCCCCTGCTTATCATCAAGTGGAGCCCCAGCTTGGCCCAGCAGTGCAGCCACCTTACCCCTTGGCTGAAGATTCCCTTTAGCAGTGGTTCTGTGTTTCTCTGAGGTGAAGCTTCCAGAGGTAACCACTGCAGTGGTACTGCCCTTGCTGCCCTTGGATTAAGGAAGGAGCAAAGACCCTAAGTTCTTTAACCACACCTCCAGCAAGCTGTAGTTGCCCTAAGAAAAGACCAGTCTGTCTCCCCCATTCCACAAGGTGGCCTCCTTACTTTCCCTGCTCATCACTAGGCAGAACCCCAAGACCCTGCCTGGGCCCACAGTGCAGCTTCCCCACCCTGGGCCAATCACACAGATTGATAGCAGCTCTGCATCTCTTTGGGGTGGAGCCCCAAGAGATAAGTGAAAGGTCGTCTGCTACAACCACTGCCAAGTTCCCTTCCCCTGCTGCCCTCAGGCTGAGGAGGGAACATAAAGCCCGAGCTCACCACAGAGCTGTGGTGTGCAGCCCAGGAGTGCCAGAACAAGATCTGCAAGCCAGCACTTGAGTGGGAGAGGAGAGCACATTTTTAGAGCACCAAGAGGGAGCACAGCTGCAATCATTAGGAAATACAGAGGAGCCGTGTGTCTGAGCAAGAGCCTACCTACTGGATCCCAAATTTCAATGCCAAAAATACTTTGCTCATATACCCTCCCGTGAAACCAAGGACAAGAATTCAGATACAAATAAAGTCCCTGCACAAAGCCCCAGCCTTCTGAAAACATACAGAAAAAAAGTCTACTGACTGTATCCAAATTATAATACATTGTACTTAAAGGAACATTGGCCCACACAGATGAGAAAGAACCAATGTAAGAACTCTGGCAACTCACAAAGCCAGGGTGTCTTCCTTCCTCCCAACTACTGCAGTATTTCCCCAGCGAGGCTTTTTTTTCTTTTTTTTCTCTTTTTCTTTTTTTTTCGTTTTTTGAGACAGGGTCTCACTCTACACCCAGGCTGGAATGCAGTGGTGCAATCTCGCCTCACTGCAGCCTCAACCTCCTGGGCTCAGGTAATTCTCCCACCTCAGTCTCTTGAGCAGCTGGGACTATAGGCATACACCACCACACCCAGGTAATTTTTGTATTTTTTTGTGGAGAAGGGGTTTTGCCATGTTGCCCGGGCTGGTCTTGAACTCCTGGGCTCAAGTGATCCTCCTACCTCGGCCTCCCAAAGTGCTAGGATAACAGGTGTGAGCCACCATGCCCAGCCCAGCAAGAGTTATTAACTGGGCTAAAATGGCTGACTTAAATGTAAAACCTAAAACTAAGAAAACTCTGGAAGGTAATCTCAGAATTACCATTCTGGAGATAGGTCCTGGCAAAGATTTCATGACAAAGATGCCAAAAGCAATTGCAACAAAAACAAAATTTGACAAATAGGACCTAACTAAACTAAAGATCCTTTGCACAGCAAAACAAACTATGAACAGAGTAAACAGACAACCTACAGAATGGAAGAAAATATTTGCAAACTATGCATCCAACAAAGATCTAATATCCAGAATCTATAAGGAATTTAAAGAAATCAACAAGAAAAAAAATCAAATAACCCCATTAAAGAGTGGATAAAGGACATGATCAGATACGTTTCAAAACAAGACATACATACAACCAAAAAGCATATGAAAAAATCTCAGTAGTATCAGTAATCATTACAGAAATGCAAATCAAAACCACAATAAGATACCGTCTCACACTAATCAGAATGGCTTATCATAAAATCAAAAACAACAGCAGTGTATAAACATTCTCTTTTCTTCACCACTTGAACAACAGATGCTGGTGAAGTTGTGAAGAAAAGGGAATGCTTACATGCTGCCAGTGGGAATGTAATTTTTTCAACCATTGTGGAAATCAGAGTGGCAATTCCTCAAAAAACTTAAAACAGAATTACCATTTGACCCAGCAATCTCATTGTTGGAGTATATATCCAAAGGTATATAAATCATTCTACCGTAAAGGCACATGCACTATTCACAATAGCAGACATGAAACCAACCTAAATGCCTATCAACGGTAGACTGGATAAAGAAAATATGGTACATATACACTAAAGAACACTACACAGCCAAAAAAAAAAAAAAAAAAAAAAAAAAAAGAATGAGACTATGCCCTTTGCAGAAACGTGGGTGGAGTTGAAGGCCATTATCTCAAGTCCATTGCAGGGACAGAAAACTAAATACCACATATTCCCACTTACAAGTGGAAGCTAAACAACAGAACACATAGACACAAAGAGGAAAACAACAGACACTAGGGCCTACTTGAGGGTTGAGGGGTGTAGGAGGGGGATCAAAAAACTACCTACTAGGTACGATACTTATTACCTGGGTGACAAAATAATCCGTACACTAAATCCCCTGTGATATGCAGTTTCCCTATATAAGAAACCTGCACATATATACTTGAACCTAAAATAAAAGTTAAAAGATGAATAAATGAATGAATGAATTAATAAATAAAAGAAATGATAGATACATTGGATTTCCTGAAAACTTAAAAATTTTATGCATGAAAAGACACCATGAACAGGGGGCAGGAGGCAGAGTGAGATGGTGGAGTAGAAGGCTCTCCCAATCATTCCCCCCAGAAGGACACCCAGTTAACAACTATACACAGAGAAAACACCTTCATAAGAACCAAAATTCAGGTGAGCATTTAGAGCACCTGGTTTTAAGTTCACATTGCTGAAAGAGGCATGGAAGAGAGAGAAAAAACACTCTTGAATCGCTGACACCACCACTCCCCCACTCTCTGGCAGTGGCAGTGTGGTGCCGAGAGCACCTCTGGGTGCTGTGGGAGGGGGACCCAGCAATTTTGAGGCATTGAACTCAGTGCTATTCTGTTAGAGCAGAAGGGAAAACCAGACCAAACTCATCTGATGCCCGCACATGGAGGGAGCATTTAAACCAGCCTGAGCCAGAGGGTAATTGCCAATCCCAGCAGTCCAAACTTGAGTGCCTGTGAACGTCACCACTGAGGGCTGCACCTGGCCTTTAAATAACTTGGAAGGCAGTCTAGATCATAAGAACTGCAACTCTTAGGTGAGTCCTAGTGCTGAGCTAGGCCCAGAGACAGTGGACTGGGGGAACACGTGATATGCTGAGACATCAGCTAAGCCAGCCAAGGGAGTGCTGGCATCACCCCTTTCCTAACTCCAGGTTGCACAACTCCTGGCTGCAAAAGACACCCCTTCTTTCCACTTGAGGAGAAGAAGGGGAAGAGTTGGGAGCCCTTTGTCTTGCATCTAGGATACAAGCTCTGCCACAGCAGGATGAGCACCAGTCAGAGTCATGAGGACCCCATTACAGGCCTTAGCTCTCAGATGACATTTCTAGGTACACCTGGGGCCAGAGCGATCCCACTGCCTTGAAGAAAAGAACCCAGTCCTGCCAGGATTCACCACCTGCTCATTCAAAAGCCTTTGGGCCCTGAATAACCAGCAGCAATACCCAGGTACTACATCAAGGGCCTTGGGTGAGCTTCTGAAACTTGCTGGCTTCAAGTGAGACTCAGCATATTACCAGCTCTGGTGGTTATGGGACAAAACTCCTTCTGATTGAGAAAAGCAGAGGAAAAAGTAATGGGGACTTTGTCTTGCACCTTAAGTACCAGCACAGTCACAGAGTGGTAGAGCACCAAGTGGGCTCTTGGGGTCCCCGATTCCAGAACTTGACACTTGAATGGTATGCCTGGACCTCCCCTGGGCCAAAGGGGAGCCAATCGCCCTGAAGGGTGAATCCCAGTCCAGGCAGCATTCACGACAAGCTGACTTAAGAGCCCTTAGGCCTTAGGAGAACCTTGGCAGTAGTCTGGCAGTACTCTTCATGGCCTGGGGTGCCAGTGGCTATGGGATGAGGCTCCCCTGCTTTTGGAAAGGGAAGGGAAGAGTGGGAAGAACTGCACCTTATGGTTTGAGTGCCACTCAGCCACAATACAGTAGAACACCAGGGAGACTTCTAAGGTTTTTGACTGTAGTGCCTGACTCCAAGATGGCACCTCTGGACCCACCTGAGGCCTGGGGGACCTCACCACCCTGAAGGGAAAAACACAGGCCTGGCTGGCTTTGCCACCTGCTAATTGTAGAGCCCCAGGGCCATAAGCAAACATAGGCAACAGCCACGGAGTGGTTACAGCAGGCCTTGGGTGAGACCAAGTGCTGTGCTGGCTTCAGGTCTGACCCAGGGCAGTCATAACAGTGGTGGCCAAAGGGGTACTTGTGTCACTCCACCCCAAGCTTTAGGTGGCTCAGAACAGGGAGAGAGAGACTCTGTATGTTTGGGAGAAAGTAGGGTAAGAGAACAAGAGTCTCTGGTAACCCGGAAAATTATCCTGGATTTTGTCCAAGACCATCAAGGCAGTGCCTCTACACATCTGCAAGACCCACAGTACTATTGGGCCTGGGGTGCACCTTAAAGCGGATACCTCTTAGATCACAAGTCCTTTCAAATATCTGGAAAAACTTCCCAAGAAGGACAGCTACAAATAAGCCCAGACAGTGAAGACTACCATAAATACCTAACTCTTCAATGTCCAGACACCAAAGAACATCGACTAGCATTAACACCGTCTGGGAAAACATGACCCACCAAATGAACTAAATAAGGCATGAGGGACCAAACCTGTAGAGCTTTGTGACCTTTAAGACAGAGAATTCAAAATAGCTGTTTTGAGAAAACAAAAAATTTCAAGATCACGTGGAGAAGGAATTCAGAATGCTATCAAATAAACTTACCAAAGAGAATGAAATAATTAAAAAGAATCAAGCGATTCTGGAGCTGAAAAATCCAGCTCTTCTTCAGTATATCTTTGACATACTGAAGAAGGCATCATAGTCTTTTAATAGCAGAATTGATCAAGCAGAGGAAAGAATAAGTGAGCTTGAAGACAGGCTATTTGAAAATATACAGTCAGAAGAGACAAAAGAAAAAAAGTAATGAAGCACAATTACAGGATCTAGAAAATAGCCTCAAAAGGGTAAATCTAAGAGTTATTAACTTTAAGGAGGAGGTAGAGAAAGAGATAGGGGTAGAATGTTAATTCAATGGGGTAATAATATCCAAGTACAAAAAGGTTATAGAACACCAAACAGATTTAATCTAAAGAAGACTCCCCTCAAGGCATTTAATAATCAAACTCCCAAAGGTTAAGGATTAAATAAAAGAATCCTAAAAGCAGCAAGAGAAAAAACACACACACACACAATGGAGCTCCAATACATCTGGCAGCAGACTTTTCAGTAGAAATCTTACAGGCCAGGAGAAAGTGGCATGACATATTTAAAATGCTGAGGGAAGAAAAAAAACTTTTACCCTAAGATAGGATGGCCAGCAAAAATATCCTTCAAACATGAAGGACAAATAAAGATTTTTCCCAAACAAAAGCTGAGGGATTTCATCAACACCAGACCTGTCCTACAAGAAATGCTAAAGAGAGTACTTCAGTCAGAAAGTAAAGAACATTTATGAGCAATAAATAATCACCTGAAGGTACAAAACTTACTGGTAATAATAAGTAGACAGAAAAACACAGAATATTATAACATTGTAACTGTGATGTATAAACTACTCTTATCCTACGTGAAAAGATTAAGTGATGAACCAATCAAAAATAATAACTACAACTTTTCAAGACATAGTACGATAAGATATAAATAGAAACAAGAAAAAGTTAAAAAGCAGGGGGAAAAAGGTAAGGCATAGAGTTTGTATTCATTTTCTTTTTGCTTATTTGTTTAGGAAAATAGTGTTAAATTATTATCAGGTTAAAATAATGGGTTATAGGATAGTATTTGCAAGCCTTATGGTAACCTCAAACAAAAAATATACAATGGATACACAAAAAAATAAAAAGCAAGAAACTAAATTATATTATCTGATAAAATCATCTTCACTAGAGGAAAACAGAGATGAAAGAAAGAAGGGAGAGAAGACCACAAAAGAACCAGAAAACAAATAACAAAATGGCAGAAGTAAGTCATTATTTATTAATAATAATATTAAGCATAACTAGACTAAACTCTCCAATCAAAAGATATAGACTAGGGATGAATGAAAAAAACAATACCCATTGATCTGTTGACTACAGAAAGCACACTTCACACATAGACTGAAAATAAAGGGATGGAAAATGATATTCCATGCCAGTGGAACCCAAAAAGAAAGAATCACTATACTTATATCAGAAAAAATAGATTTTAAGACAAAAACTATAAGAAGAGACAAAGACGATCACTATATGATAAAGAGTTCAATTCAGCAAGCAAATATAACAATTTTAAATATATATGCACCCAACACTGGAGCACCTAGATATACAAAGGAAATATTAGAAATAAAGAGAGAGGCCCCTATATTATAATAGGTGGAGATTTTAAAATCTCACTTTCAGCAATGGACAGATATTTCAAACAGGAAATCAACAAAGAAACATCAGACTTAATCTGCAATATAAACAAAATGGATCTAATAGCTATTTACAGAACATCTCATCCAAGAACTGCAGAATATAGATTCTTTTTCTTAGCACGTGAATCATTCTCAAGGATAGACCATATGTTAGGTCACAAAGCCAGTCTTAAGACATTCAAAAAAACTGAAATAATATCAAGTGTCTTCTCTGAACACAATGGAATCAAACTAGAAATGAATAACAAGAGGAATTTTGAAGACTTTACCAATACATGGAAATTTGACAATACACTCCTGAATGATCAGTGGGTCAATGAAGAAATTCAGAAGAAAGTTGAAAATTTTTCTGAAGCAAATGAAAATGGAAACACAACATGCCAAAACCCATGGGATACAGCAAAGACAATACTAAAAGGGAAGTTTATAGCTATAAGTACCTACATCATAAAAAGGAAAACCTTTAAATAACCTAATGATGTATTGAAAAAAACTAGAAAAGCAAGAGCAAACTGGACACAAAATTAATAGAAGAGAAGAAATAATAAAGATCAGCACAGAAATAAATGAAATTGAAATAAAAGCATACAAAAGATCATTGAAACAAAAGTTGATTTTTTGAAAAGATGAACAAAATTGACAAACCTTTAGCCAGACTAAGAAAAAAAGAAAGATCCATGTAAATCAAAAATGAAAATGGAGACATTACAACTGATAGTTCAGAAGTTCAGAGGATCATTAGTGACTACTATGAGCAACTATATGGCAATACATTGGAAAATCTAGAAATGGACAAATTCCTAGATAGATACAACCTACTAAGTTTGAACCATGAAGAAATAAAAAACCTGAACAGACCAATAACAGGTAATGGATCAAAGCCATAATAAAAAGTATTCCAATAAAGAAAAGCCTGGGACCTGATGGCCTTTCTGCTGAATTCTACCAAATATTTAAAGAAAATCTAATACTAATCCTACTCAAACTATTTAAAAAAAATAAAGGATGAGGGAATACTTTCAAACTTATTCTATGTGGCTAGAAGCCAGTATTGCCCTGATACCAAAACCAAAGACACACCAAAAAAAGAAAACTATAGGCCAATATCTCTGATGAATATTAATGAAAAATCCTTAATGAAATACTAGCAAACTAAATTCAACAATACATGGGAAAGATTATTCATCATGACCAAGTGGGATTTATCCCTGGGATGCAACGATGATTCAACATACGTAAATCAATCGATGTGATACATCACATCAACAGAATTAAGGACAAAAACCATATGATAATTTCAATTGATGTTGAAAAAGCATTTGATAAAATTCAACACCCCTTCATAATAAAAACCCTCAAAAACTGGGACTAGAAGGAACACACCTCGATACAATAAAAGCCATATATGACAGACTTACAGCTAGTATTATAGTGAGTGGGGAAAATTGGAAAGCCTTTCCTCTATCCTGAACAAGACAAGGATGTCCACTTTCACCAGTGTTATTCAATATAATATTTGAATTCATAGTTAGATCAATTAGGCAAGATAAAGATAAAAAGGGCATCCAAATTGGAAAGGAAGAAATCAAATTATCCTTGTTTGAAGATTATATGATCTTATATTTGAAAAAACCTAAAGACTCCACCAAAGACTATTAGAACTGACAAATTCAGTAAAGTTGCAGAATACAAAATCAACATACAAAAATAGTAATACATCTATTTGCCAACAGTGAACAATGTAAAAAAGAAATGAAAAAGGTAATCTCATTTACAATAGCCACACATAAAATCAAATACCTAGGAATTAACATAGCCAAAGAAGTGAAAGATCTCTATAATGAAAACTATAAAACATTAATGAAAGAAATTGAAGAGGACACCAAAAAATGGAAAAGTATTCCATGTTCCTGGATTGGAAGAATCAATATTGTTAAAATGTCTGTACTACACAAAGCAATCTACAGATTTCATGCAATCCCTATCAAGATATGAGTGACATTCTTCACAGAAATGAAAAAACAATCCTATTATAAAATTTATATGGAACCACAAAAGACCCAGAATACCCAAAGCTATCCCGAGCAAAAAGAACAAAACTGGAGGAATCACATTACCAGACTTCAAAGTATACTACAGAGCTGTCGTAACCATAACAGCATGGTATTGGCATAAAAACAGATATATAGATAAATGGAGCAGAATAGAGAACTCAGAAACAAATGCACATACCTACAGTGAACTCATTTTTCACAAAGGTGCCAAGAACCTACACTGGGGCAGAGACAGTGCTTGAGGGAATGGATACCCCATTCTCCATGATGTGCTTATTTCACACTGTATGCCTGTATCAAAACATCTCATGTACCCCATAAATATATACACTTACTATGTACTCACAAAAATAAAAATAAAAATGACACTATCAACAGAGTAAAAAGGCAACCCAGAATAGAAAAGGATACTTGCAAACAAATTGAGCTAACATATGAGCTCTTCAATAAATGGTGCTGGGAAAACTGGATATCCATATGCAGAAGAATGAAACTGGACCCTTGTCAAACATGAACAAATGGGATCACATCAAGTTAAAAAGCTTCTGCACAGCAAGGATACAATCAACAAAGTGAAGAGACAACCCACAAAATGGGAGAAAATATTTCCAAACTACCCATCTGACAAGGGATTAATATGCCAAATATATAAGGAGCTGAAACAACTCTATAGGAAGAAATCTAATAATCTAATCAATGGGCAAAAGATTTGAATAGACATTTTTAAAAAGACATACAAATGGCAGAGAGACATATGAAACAGTGCTCAGCCTCATTCATCATCAGAGAAAAGCAAATCAAACTACAATGAGATATCATCTCACCCAGTTAAAGTGGCTTATATCCAAAATACAGGCAAGAACAAATGCTGGCGAGGATGTGGAGAAAAGCGAACCCTTGTACACCGTTGGTGGGAATGTAAATTAGTACAACCATCATGGAGAACAGTATGGTGGTTCCTCAAAAACTGCAAAAAAATAAATTGAGCTACCATATGATTCAGCAAACTCTCTGTTGCGTATATACCCCAAAGAAAGGAAATCAGTATATCACAGAGATATCTGCACTCCTGTGTTTGCTGCAGCTCTGTTTACAATAGCCAAGATTTGGAAGCAACCTAAGTATCCATCAACAGATGAATGGATAAAATGTGGTACATATACACAATGGAGTACTATTTAGCCACAAAAAAGAATGACATCCTGTCATTTGCAACAACATGAATGGAATTGGAGATAATTATGTTAATTGAAATAAGCAAGGCACAGAAAGACAAATAAGTTCTCTTTCATTTATGGGATCTAAAAATCAAAACAATTGAACTCATGAACAGAGAGTAGAAAGACGGTTACCATCAGCTGAGAAGGGTAGTGGGGGCCTGGGGGAAGCTGAGGATGGTTAATGGGTTACAAAAAATAGAAAGAATGAATAAGATGGTTAATGGGTTACAAAAAATAGAAAGAATGAATTTGACAGCACAACGGAGTGATTATAATCAATAATAATTGTATATTTTAAAATAAATAGTGTAATTGGATTGTTTGTAACTCAAAGGATAAATGCTTGAGGGGACAGATACCTCATTCTCCATGATGTGCTTATTTCACATCACATGACAGTATCAAAATATGTACCCAATAAATATATACACTTACTATGTACCCACAAAAAATAAAAAAAAAACTATCGAGTAAAAACGCAACCCAGAATAGAAAAAAATTTGCAAAGTATACACCTGATAAGAGATTAATATCACGAATATATAGAGAACTCCTAAAAGACAGGAACAAGAAGATAAGCAACTCAATTCAAAAATGGGCAAAGGATCAGAATATACATTTCTCCAAATAAGATATACAATTGGCCAATAAGCACTTAAAAAATGCTGAACATCTAATTATTAGGAAAATGCACATCAAAACTCTAATGAGATACCATCACACCCTTTAGGACAGTTACTGTAAACACACACACACACACACACACACACACACAGTCAGCCAAACACACAGAAAATAAGCATTGGTAAGGTTGTGGAGAAATTGGAACTCCTGTGAACTGTTGGTGGGAATGTAAAATGGCACAGCTGTTGTGAAAAACAATAACATGGCCATTTCTCACAAAATTAAAAATAGAATTGCCATGTGATTGAAAAATTTCACTTTTGGACATATGCCACCCCCAAATTGAAAACAGAGTCTCAAAGAGGTATTTGTACATTAATGTTCACAGCAACAATATTTGCAATTGCTAAAATGTGGAAGCAACCCAGAATTCTACGGATGGATAAACAGATAAAAAAAAATGGTACACACATACAATGAAATATTTTCAGCCTTAGAAAGGAAGGAAATTCTGACATCTGTTATAACATAGATGAAACTTGAAGACATTATGCTAAGTAAAATAAGCCAATCACAAAAGGACAAACACTGTATGATTCCAATTATATGATAAAGTACTTAGAGTCACCAAAATTATAGAGACAGAGTAGATGACTCTTGCCAGGGGCTGGGGAAAGGGGAAATGGAAAGTTATTGTTTAATGGGTATAAAGTTTCAGTTTTGCAAGATGATAAGAGTTTTGGAGATGGATAGTGATGATGGTTGTGCAACAATATGAATGTATTTATTGCCACTAAACTGACACTTAGAAATGGTTAAAATACACATACATTTTATGTTATGTGTATTTTACCACAGTTAAAAAGTTGGGAAAAATTGGTACAAAACACACATTATATTTTTCCTGTGCTCCAAAGTCTAGCTAGCAAGAGTTGTTTGGACTCAAGGAAGTACAGAAATCCACAAATAAGATTTTTGCTAGCCATTTTCTAACCCTGCAATGATGAGATACAGGATGTAGCCAAAGAAACAGAAACAATAAGTCATTTTTTAACCTGTGCTGCAACAAAAAATGCCTTGGCCATTTCAATTCATTTCTGCTTCTGAGTAAGCATATCTCATAGTTATTAATCATATCTACTTGACCTTAGTGGCAATGAAATCACCTTGGTAGATAATTATAATGTATGTGTGATTTGAGCACCCTTCCTCTGTTTCATTTTAGTGAGCCATTTCTCACTAGGTAATAGAAAACCAATTCTCTCCTCTGACCTAACGTATTATTTGCCTTATTTCCTTGGCACTCTGTAATGTACTCAGTCCTCTGCTCTCTATTATAGCAGTATATGAAGTCTTATTTTCTGGATGCCTTCTCCTGAGTATCTGCCAATCTCTGAGGACACTAAATAACTCTGAAGCATTGGCTGAGCCATATACTTGCTGGTTTATAGGTTATTAGGAAACCATTCATCCTTTGGGGTGAGGTTATGACGAAGATCTCTTCAGTTGGTGATGTTCTGCTTCTTCAAATGAAGATTGGAACAAGGTTTTTGTGGAATGCAAAGAACTTTCCCAAAGTAGCCTACATTGCTCTCTCTCTAGACTGAATAAGGAAAAAAAAAAAAGAGTATCAAAGGTTGTGTGTTACTGTTTACAGAAAAATTTAGGTTTAACAATTCAAGTGGATTAGTTGATATTTTTGTTTCATCTTAAACAAACATGAAAGTGAATCCAGTTCTCAATTGTCCAAAAGCAAATTCCCAAGTGTGTAGATTTTCCAAGAAATTTAGTATTTTCTTCCTTTCTTCTGCTGGACACTTTTCAACTAAAAGAGAAAATATTTACATCACTGTCTTCTGAAATACTAGCTAGAGAATGGTAGGAATTTTACTGAATACAATGAAAAATTTTCATTGTCAATGGATTTAAATTATTCACACTTCTGATACATTTAGCTATTACAAATGATAAAGTTAAAACCGCTCTATTACTTTCTCATGTGTTACTAGTTTTCATCCTCTTAATAGCTTAAAAATACTTCAGAAAAATGTACAAGTTCTGGATGTCTCAAAAACCCACTATGACTCTCAGCAGCCCAATCTTGAGTGTACCTATGTGAAAGGTGAATTCCAAAATAAAATGTGAAGGTATGTTTACAAGCACTGGCTTCCCCTTCCGCATTCCCAATTTAGCCTCACTTCTCCCACTTTTTAACTGGCCTTCTGTATGTAAGCAGGTTGACTATGCTAGAATCAGAGCAACTCCTCAAGTTACATTCAATATAGAAACTCTGACAGTTATTCTGCTGGTTTCATTTGAAGGTTTTATTAAGTCGATACCACATAGCTTTTCATCATTGGATCAGCTAATGACAAAAGATTTTGCCTCAAGGGAGAACTTTGTATTAAAGGCACTGCAAGTGTGTGTGTGTGTTTGTGCACATGCACACATGTGGTGTGTGGGGATGTGTTTGGCAGAAAATAGAGATTTCTCCACTTTAGATACTGGGTTTTTATGCTAACACATCAAAAGAAAGCCCTGCTTCCTAACTTGTTCTCATGTTTTCTGCTGCTTGGTTTGATATGGTTTGGATATTTGTTCTTGCCTAAATTTCATGTTGAATTGTAACATCCAATGTTGAAGGTGGGACCTGGTGGGAGGTGTTTGAATCATGGGGCAGATCTCTCATGAATGGCTTGGGCCATCCCCTGGGTGATAACCGAGCTCTTGCTCTGAGTTTACATGAGATCTAGTTGTTTAAAAGGGTGTGGCACCCTTCCCACCCCCCCATCCCCCCACCCCCCCCACACACACATTCTCTCTCATTCCTGCTTTTGCCATGTGATGTGCCTGCTCCTTCTTCATCTTATGCCATGATTGTGATCTCCCTGAAGCTGCACCACAAGTCAACCAGATGCCAGCACCAAGCTTCCTGCAAAGCTGCAGAACCATGAGCCAATTAAACCTCTTTTCTTTATTAATTACGCAAGTCTCACGTATTTTTTAATGGTGATAAAAGAATGGCCTAATACAGAAAATTGGTACTGAGGAGTGGGGCATTGCTATAAAGATACCTGAAAATGTGGAAGTTTGAACTTCAGAGTGATGATTTAGGATATCTGGGGGTAAACATTTCTAAGCAGCAAAGCATTCAAGAAATGGCCTGGCTCTTTCTAACAACCTGTGCTCAGCCGTGGGAGCAAAAAAAAACAGACTTACAGTTGGAACTTATATTTAAACAGGAAGCAAAGCATAAACATTTGAAAACTTTGCAGCCGAGCCATGTGACAGAGAAAGGAAGATTTTTCAGAAAAGAAATTCAAGCAGGCAGTGGAGCAACCACTTGCTAGAGATATTCCTGTAACTAAAAAAGAACCGAGTGCTAATTTCCAAGACAATGGGGACAAGGCCTCAAAGGCATTTCAGAGACCTTCACAGGAGGCCCTTGCTTCAGAGACCCAAAGGCCTAGGAGGGAAAAATGGTTTCATGGGCCAGGTCCAGGGCTCTGCTGTCCTGTGCAGCATCAGAACTCTGCTCCCCACATTCTGGCCACTCCAGCTCCAGCTGTGGCTCAAAGGGGCCCAGGTACAGCTTGGGCCATGGCTTTAGAGGTGGCAAGCTGTAAGACTTGGCAGCTTCCATCTGGTGTTAAGCCTGTGGGTGCACAGTGTGCAAGAGTAAATGAGGCTTGGCACCCTCCATCAGATTTCAAAGAATGTGTGGAAAAGTCTGGATGCCCAGGTAGAAGCCTGCCTCAGGGGCAGAGCCCCCACAGAAGAACCTCTGTTGGACAGTGCCAAGAGGAAATACAGGGTTGGAGCTCCCACACAAAATCCCCACTAGAGCCCTGCCTAGTGCGTCTGTGAGAAAGGGGCCATGGCCCTCCATACCCTAGAATGGTAGATCCACCAGCAGTTTGCACCCAGCACCTGGAAAAGCCACAGGCACTCAACAACCTGTAAGAGCAGCCTGGAGTTCTGAAACCTTCAAAGCCAGAGGTGGAAATATCTAAGGCTTTGGACGCCGGCCCCTTGCACCAGTGTGCCCTGAATGTGGGATATGGAGTCAAAGAAGATTATTTTGGAGATTTAAGATTTAATTACTGCCCTTCGGCATTTTAAACTTGTATGAGGCCTGTAGCTCCTTTCTTCTGGCCAATTTCTACCTTTTGGAAGGGGATGTTTACAATGACTATACTCCCATTGTATCTTGGGAGTAAATAACTTGTTTCTTTATTTTACAGGCTCTATAGATGTTAAGGAACTCAGCTCAGTTCTAGATGAGACTTTGAACTTGGGACTTGGGACTTTTGAGTTAATGCTGGAATGAATTAAGACTTTGGGCAGGGGGAGGCTTTGGGGGACTATTGGGAAGGCATAATTATATTTTGCAATGTGAGAAGAACATGGGATTTGGGTGGGGCTGGGGTGGAATAATATGGTTTGGATATTTGTTCCCACCCAAATCTCATGTTGAATTGTAATTTCCAGTGTTGGACATACAGCCTGGTGGGAGGTATTTGGATCGTGGAAGTGGATCCCTCATGAATGATTTGGGTTATTCCCTTGGTGATAAGTGAGCTTTTGCTCTGAGTTCACATGAGATATGGTTAAAGGTGTGTGGCATTCCCAACACACACCACATTCTCTCTTGCTTGTTCTTGCTTTCACTGTGTGACATGCCTTTTCCCCCTTTGCCTTCTGTCATGATTGTGAGCTCCCCGAGGCTTCACTAGAAGCCAAGCAGATTATAGCACCATGCTTCCTGTACAGCCTGCAGAATGATGAACCAATTACTCTATTTTCTCTATGAATTATCCAGTCTCAGGTATTTCTTTATAGCAATTCTAGAATAGCCTAATACATGATTTTGCAAGATAATTCAGAAGATTCTGCTTAACTGTTGCACACAAATAAGGAAACCAGCTCTAACAGGGGCACTTGGTTATTCAAACCTTGTTGAATAAGCCAGGATTTTCCTACAGAGACCTAGAAATGGATGTCTGCTTGGATAGAAGGAATATCCCTTCCTATCAAGACATGTGAGAGAAACATAGGAAAGCCTTGCTCTAAAAACGATATGGAGTTTGCGTTTATTTGGAGGCCATAAACTTAAAATTGATTTTAACATTGTGCCTTGTGTACAGTAATTACTGAGGAGGACGAGGAGTAAATCTCATGGTTCCAGCCTCATTATCCTCCCTTTGTAATACTGGTAATAATTGGCCCTACACAGGTACCTTTTAAATTTAAAACTTTTTAATGGGCCATTATGACATTTAGCTATGACTATAAAGTCAGAGAAAAACATGTGATTTCAGGATTTCTAGTCAGGTCTAAACTTTTTTCTTTAAAATTATGTCTAATTCCAATCAATAGAAAAAGAGGGAATCCTCCCTAACTCATTTTATGAGGCCAGCATCATCCTGATACCAAAGCCTGGCAAAGACACAACAAAAAAAGAGAATTTTAGACCAATATCCCTGATGAACATCGATGCAAAAATCCTCAATAAAATACTGGCAAACCAAATCCAGCAGCACATCAAGAAGCCTATCCAGCATGATCAAGTGGGCTTCATCCCTGGGATGCAAGGCTGGCTCAATATACGCAAATCAATAAATGTAATCCAGCATATAAACAGAACCAACGACAAAAACCATATGATTATCTCAATAGATGCAGAAAAGGCCTTTGACAAAATTCAACAATGCTTCATGCTAAAAACTCTCAATAAATTAGGTATTGATGGGATGTATCTCAAAACAATAAGAGCTATCTATGACAAACCCACAGCTAATATCATACTGAATAGGCAAAAACTGGAAGCATTCCCTTTGAAAACTGGCACAAGATAGGGATGCCCTCTCTCACCACTCCTATTCAACATAGTGTTGGAAGTTCTGGCCAGGGCAATCAGGCAGGAGAAGGAAATAAAGGGCATTCAATTACAAAAAGAGGACGTCAAATTGTCCCTGTTTGCAGATGACATGATTGTATATCTAGAAAACCCCATCATCTCAGCCCAAAATCTCCTTAAGCTGATAAGCAACTTCAGCAGTCTCAGGATACAAAATCAATGTGCAAAAATCACAAGCATTCTTATACACCAATAACAAACAGAGAGCCAAATCATGAGTGAAATCCCATTCACAATTGCTTCAAAGAGAATAAAATACCTAGGAATCCAACTTACAAGGGATGTGAAGGACCTCTTCAAGGGAACTACAAACCACTACTCAATGAAATAAAAGAAGATAGAAACAAATGGAAGAACATTCCATGCTCATGGGTAGGAAGAATGAATATTGTGAAAATGGCCATACTGCCCAAGGTAAGTTATAGATTCAATGCCATCCCCATCAAGCTACCAATGACTTTCTTCACAGAATTGGAAAAAACTACTTTAAAGTTCATATGGAACCAAAAAAGCCCGCATCGCCAGTCAATCCTAAGCCAAAAGAACAAAGCTGGAGGCATCATGCTACCTGACTTCAAACTATACTACAAGGCTATAGTAACCAAAACAGCATGGTACTGGTACCAAAACAGAGATATAGACTGATGGAACAGAACACAGCCTGCAGAAATAATGTCACATATCTACAACCATCCGATCTTTGACAAACCTGACAAAAACAGGAAATGGGGAAACGATTCCCTATTTAATAAATGGTTCTGGGAAAACTAGCTAGCCATATGTAGAAAGCTGAAACTGGATCCCTTCCTTACACCTTATACAAAAATTAATTAAAGACAGATTAAAGACTTAAATGTTAGACCTAAAACCATAAAAACCCTAGAAGAAAACCTAGGCAATACCATTCAGGACATAGGCATGGGCAAGGACTTCATGTCTAAAACACCAAAAGCAATGGCAACAAAAACCAAAATTGACAAATGGGATCTAATTAAACTAAAGAGCTTCTGCACAGCAAAAGAAACTACCATCAGAGTGAACAGGCAACCTACAGAATGGGAGAAAATTTTTGCAATCTACTCATCTGACAAAGGGCTAATATCCAGAATCTACAATGAACTCAAACAAATTTACAAGAAAAAATCAAACAACCCCATCAAAAAGTGGGTGAAGGATATGAACAGACACTTCTGAAAAGAAGACATTTATGCAGCCAAAAGACACATTAAAAAATGCTCATCATCACTGGCCATCAGAGAAATGCAAATCAAAACCACAATGAGATACCATCTCACACCAGTTAGAATGGCGATCATTAAAAAGTCAGGAAACAACAGGTGCTGGAGAGGATGTGGAGAAATAGGAACACTTTTACACTGTTGGTGGGACTGTAAACTAGTTCAACAATTGTGGAAGTCAGAAGATTCCTTAGAGATCTAGAACTAGAAATACCATTTGACCCAGCAATCCCATTACTGGGTATATACCCAAAAGATTATAAATCATGCTACTATAAAGACACATGCACACGTATGTTTATTGCAGCACTATTCACAATAGCAAAGACTTGGAACCAACCCAAATGTCTAACAATGATAGACTGGATTAAGAAAATGTGGCACATATACACCATGCAATACTATGCAGCCATAAAAAATAATGAGTTCATGTCCTTTGTAGGGACATGGATGAAGCTGGAAACCATCATTCTCAGCAAACTATGGCAAGGACAAAAAACCAAACACCGCATGTTCTCACTCATAGGTGGGAATTGAACAATGAGAACACATGGACACAGGAAGGGGAACATCACACACCGGGGCCTGTTGCAGGGTGGGGGGAGGGAGGAGGGATAGCATTTGGAGATATACCTAATGTTAAATGATGAGTTAATGGGTGCAGCACACCAACATGGCACATGTATACATATGTAACTAACCTGCACATTGTGCACATGTGCCCTAAAACTTAAAGTATAATAAAAAATAAATAAAAATAAAATAAAATAAAATTATGTCTAATTAAAAATATTCCTGATTGGTAGAAATTTGAATTGTTTCAAGTTTGGAGCTACAAGTAAAACTTCTATAAACAGTTAAGTATGTGTCTTGAGTTGACTTATGCTTTTATTTCTCTCGAGTAAAAACAAACAGCAGATTTTCTAGGCTGTATGGTAAGTATGAATATGTTTAACTCTATAGTCTATTTATGTGTTTAAACATCCAGAAATGACTATACAATTTTACATTCCCACCAGCAATTTATATCAGCTCCCGTTCCTCCATATAACTTGCCAAAACTTGGAATGGTGAGCGTTTAGAAATTTTACCATTCTAGTTGGGTATTTGCATTTTTCTAATGACTAATAATCTTGAATATTTAAAAATGTGCTTATTTGCTATCTGCATATCTACTTTGGTGAAGTGTCTATTAAAATGTTTTGCTGCCCCTTCCCCTTCCTGGAGGGCCTTCCAGCACGGTCCTCCTGGGCCTCGCTTCCCCTAGCCCCTGTGGTGGGCCCGAATGAGAGGTTCCAGAGCGAGTTCCGGAGCCCCGGGGTGGGGTGGGTCCTGGGTGTAAACAGACGCTGCTGTCCAGCCTGCCCCAGCCGAGGATCTTGGCACCCCCTTGAGAGCTTCACCTGCCCCAGTATTAGAATCCCAAGAAAATCAAAAGGTATTTGGGGATTTCTGCTCACCTGGAGAAGGGATGGAAATACTTCAACAAGGCATGGAAGGAAGTTCGACTGCATAAGACAACGTGGTTGAGGTCTGAGATTTTACATGGAGTTATTCAGGAGTTGCTTGTGGACTACTGTGTGAAGATACAGGACACAAATTTAACTTCTGAGGACAAAAATTTCATGAGACCCTTGAACAGCGGCTACTCATAACTGAACTGACATGGCTCTTAGGTCCTAGCCAGGAGAGGGAGATACCTTCACTGCTAGAGCTGGAGAAAGCGGACCTTCTGGAATCCATGCCACTCTCAGACGATTTTGTGTGGATGAGGGCTCTGCTACAGCAAGAAGTGGAGGAGTAGCTCAAGAAGAAATGTTTCACTCTGCTCTGGTACTATGATCCCAATTCAGATGCTGACAGTGAAACCGTAAAGGCAGCAAACGTGTTGAAACTTGCAGAGGTCCTAGTGGCTAGGAAGCAGCAGTGCCAGGATGCCAAGAGCCAGCAAAAGGAGCAGATGGTGCTGCTGGAGAAGAAGAGTGCCACCTACTTCCAGGTGCTTCTCTGCTGCCTCATTTTGCTGCAGAGGCTTCTTCAGGAACAACGGCTGAAGACTCACTCCGAGTTAGACCACATCAATGCCCAGTACCTGGAAGTCAAGTGTGGTGCTATGATACTTAAGCTGAGGATGGAAGAGTTAAATATTTTGTCCAACACACTGCTGAGAAAGTGGAAGTTCATTGTCCGATTAGGGACCGTTTGGAGGGAGCGATTCACCTACGGGAGCAGCACATGGAGAAGTCAAGACAGGTCCTGAACTCCTATGAAATACTTGGGGAGGAGTTTGACAGACTGGTGAAAAGAGTCCACCCTACTCAAGCAGGCAACTGAGAAGCGGTGGGCCCTCCAGGAGTTCAACAAGGCCTACTGTTGATCTCTGGCAGGGCCAGGAAGCATGGCTTCTGCACAGCTGCTGCCTCCTAATCTTCCTGCTAGTAGGACCACGTTCACCTGGGGCTGCCTTCGCTACAAGGGAGTGTGGGAACGTTTGCACTTGCTTGAAAGACTGCAGTCGTTTAGGCACCCTCCTGGTTTTTCTTTCTTGTTTATAATGACTGGGCCTCTTCTGGAAAATCTAGCAAGCAGATTTATATAATTTTTATGCATGGCTGTTTGTCTGTGTCAGCCCTGTATATTTGATTATCTCCTGAATAAAGTTATGATATTATATCTTAAAAAGTGTTTTGTTTATTTTAAAAATGTTGTCTTTACAATTGAAATTAAGCGTTCTTTATGTATTTTGTATAAGTTCAGTATCAGATATAGCTTTTGAAAATATTTTCTTTCAGTCCATGGCCTGCCTTTTTATTTTCTAAATGTTGTTTTTTAAAAGGCAAATGTTTTATATTTGATAAAGTTCAATGTGTCTATTATTTCTATATCGTGTGTGTGTTTGTGAGCATGTGTCCAATCTAAGATATCTTTGTCTAGCTAGAGGTCCCAAAGATTTTTCTTGCATATTCTTCCAGAAATGTTTTGTTTTTCACACTTACATTTAGGTCTATGATGCATTTTGAGTTAATTTTTCTGTATGGTGAAAGAAAGGGTCAATGTTCACTTTTTGATTATACCATTTGTTGATTAATGAATACATTCCCCATTGAAATACCTTGGCACTTTTGTCAAAAATCACTAGGAGAGACAGAGGCAAGATAGCTGACCAGATGCAGCTAGTATGAGCCCCTTCCACAGAGAAGGACCAAAATAGGTCCTTCTTCTCTACCAGGAAGCAGATAATCACAAATCTAAGAAAGGACACTGGAATTCAACAGAGAAGTGACAGGAAGCACTGAAAACAAAGAAGGAGAGGGAAGTGAGGCAGCCTGCTCAGCCAAGATTGCCTGGGAGTTGGGAGAAGCTCTCAGATGCAGGGAAATGGTCAGTGAGACCTTCGGGGCTCCAAATTCTTGTCATGAACTTCAATTCTAGGCACTGGAGAGCCCCTCAACCCTCATGAGCATCAAGACTAACATAGGGAGCTGCCTAGAGATTGTACAAAGGCATTGTTTCAGAAAGGGAACTTAGGCTGAGTCCCACAGGCTTCTGAGCCTTGTGCAACTGTAACATTGTATCATTCTGAGAGCTCAGCCCCCAGAGGACTTTGTCCTACCCTGGGACCATCACTGCCATAGCTGCCACTGGGCCAAGGAGAACAAGAGGAGGATGGGTACTTTCTTCCGAGGACAAATCCCACCACTACTGCAGACTATTGTGGGGCCAAGATGTGAAGAAACTGTACACACCACAGCTGTCTGCCCGTGCTGCTCCCACTGAGAGTGGCACTGCCCTCCCTGGTAGCAGGCCCACAGCCAGTGCCATTTTGACAGCCCAGCCTCCAAAGCACTGTGATCTTCCCTGGGGCCACCAGGCCAAAGAAGGAGAGAGAAAGCTGGGCACTTTAACAAGCCCCGAGGACAAATACCACTGCCACTGCTATAGGCTGCTAAGAGACCAAGGTGTGAGCAAACTGCAAGCTCCACAGCTTACTGCTTTAGCTGCTCCCACTGAGAGTGGCCTTGCCCTCCCTGGAGGCAGCCTGCAGTGCAGCCACTGCTGCCCAAACCTGACAATTCTGCCAGCAGCCTAGGAACCATCTGCCCCTGCCTATCACAGCCACTGCCTGAACACACTTCCAGGGAACCTGAGGACAAAGTTATCAACTCAGTCCCATTTCCCTACTACTCTAGCATGCCATTTAGGGGCCTGGGGGTCTCTCAGCCCAGTTCATCACCAATGGTACCTGAACATTCCTCTTGGAGTCTGAAGCTGGGCTGACCCAACCTGTTGATACCACCACAGCTGGCAGTCACCCACATGAGCCACCTGCAGGTCAGCAGACTGGCCCACCCAACTTATCACAACCACCACCAATACCAGAATGGACTACCTGGGGTCCAGTGGGTTGCTCCACCACTGCTCCTGCCGTCACCCACATCACACCACTGCCTGGAGACCTAAGAACCCACCCGCATGCCTTGCCCACAGCTGCCACTACTGGCCTACCTGGACCTGCTAATACCAGTGGCAGCATACATCACTCTGAGGCTCAAGGACAGGTATGCTCAACCCACTGTTACCACCACTGGGGCCTGAAGACTGGCCCACCAGGCATCTTAGAACCCATAAAAACTTCATCATAGCCTCCACTAACAACTACACCCTAAGCCACTAAGGAAATCACAAATACCACTGACCCTGTTCACAGATGAAGAAATCACACAGAGACTACCTTACTGCATACACCCAATATCAAAGCCAGAGTGACCTACTCAACTGCAAACAGATATACATCTTCAGGAAAAGTTCTGCCCCATGAAATCAAATTAAAAAACTTGAAAGAAGTGTCTGTTACACCAAATGTGCAGATATCAATGTAAGGATGCAGGAAACATGAACAAGTAAGGAAATACAACACCTCCAAAGGAACTCAATAATTTTCCAGCAGCAGATCCCAATTAAAGAAACAAAATCCCAAATAAAGATGCAAAATACCGATTTTAAAGAAGCTCAATGAGACACAAGAGAATTCTGAAAAAAAAATTTAGAGGAATCAGAAAAATGATTCAGGTCATAAAAAAAAATTGCCAGAAAGATAACTATTTTAAAAAAGAATCGAACAGAAATTCTGAAACTGAATAATTCATTTACTAAAATGCAAAATATGTGTGAAAGCTTCAAAAATAGATGAGACCAAGCAGAAGAAAAAATCTCAGAACTTGAAGACTGGTCTTTTGAAATAATCCAGTCAGAAAAAGGTAAAGATAAAATAAAAAAGAATGAGCAAAGCCTTTGTGACATTTGGGACAACACAAAGTAATGGAATATTTGAATTATCAGTGTCCCTGAGGGCAAAGAGAGAAAGGAAAGATTAGAAAACCTATTTAACAAAATGCTAGATGAAAACTTCCCAAGTCTAGCAAGAAACTTAGATAACCAGATACAGGAAGCTCAAAGATCCTCAAATGAATACAATGCAAAAAGTTCTTCTTGATAGTACATTGTGGGCAAACTGTCTACAACCAAAGACAAAGAGAGGAGTCTTTAAAATGTAACAGAAAAGCATCTACACCTTTTTTTTTTTTTTTTGAGATGGGAGTCTTACACTGTCGCCTGGGCTGAAGTGCAATGGGGCGATCTCGGCTTACTGCAACCTCCACTTCCTAGGCTCATGTGACTCTCCTGCCTCAGCCTCCCAAGTAGCTGGGATTACAAGTGCACACCACCACACCTGGCTAATTTATTGTATTTTTAGTAGAGATGGGGTTTCACTGTGTTTGCCAGGCTGGTCTTGAACTCCTGACCCTGCGATCCACCTGCCTCAACCTCCCAAAGCGCTGGGGTTATAGGCGTGAGCACCACCACACCCAGCCCACATCTATACCTTTTAAAGAACACCCATCAGACTAATAGTGAATTTCTCGGCAGAAACCTTACAGGTCAAGAGATAATGGAATGACATATTCAAAGCACTGAAAGAAAAATATGCATGACACTATGTCAACAAAATTACCCTTCATGAATGAAAGAAAAATAAAGTCTTTCCCACACAAGCAAATGCTGAGAGTATTCATCACCACTAGGCTGGTCTACAGGAAATGCTCAGGGGAATTTGAAGCTGAAAGGACAACATTTGCCATCATGAAAACACATAAAAGTATAAATTCAACAGTAAAGCAAACACACAAATGAGAAAGAGAAATAACTCAAATGGTACCATTATACATAATCACCAAACCACGAAGACAATAGAAAAAAAGGAAAGGAACTAAGAATATACAAAACAACCAGAAAAAAATTAACAATATGATAAGAACAAAGCCTTACATATCAGCCATAACTCTGAATGTAAATGATTAAATTCTCCACTTAAAAATATGTAGACTGGCTAAATGGATAAAGAAGCATGATCCAATTATATGCTTCCTACAAGAAACATACTTTACCTGCAAAACACATATAGACTCAAGTAAAAAGAAGGAAAAAGTATTTCACACAAATGGAAGACAAAGATGCAAAGCAAGACAAAGCAAGCAGGAAAAACTATACTTAAATCAGATAAAACAAACCTTAAGAGAAAAACAGTAAAAAAATGAAATAAAAAAGTCACTAAATAATGGCAAAGAGATCAATCCAACAAGAAGAAATAACAATTCTAAATAAGTATGCACCAAACACTGGTGCACCCAGATTTACAAAGCAAATATAGCTAGATCTAAAGAGAAAAATAGACTCCAATGCAATAATAGTGGGGGACTTCAACACTCTACTTTAAGAGTTAGACAGATCATCTAGACAGAAAATCAATAAAGAAACAGGATTTAAACTGGACATTAGACCAAATGGACCTAACAGACATTTACAGGACATTTTGTCCAAAAACTACAGAAGATACATTATTCTCATCAGCACATGGAACATTCTCCAGGATAGACCATATGTTAGGCCACAAAATATGTCTCAAATTAAAAAAAAATCAAAATTATATAAAGTATCTTCTCACATCACAATGAATAAAACTGGAAATCAATACTAAGAGTAATTTTGAAAACTATACAGATACATAGAAAGTAAACAACATACTCCTGAACCTCCTTTGGGTCAACAAAGAATTAAGAATGAAGAAATTAAGATGGAAATAAAAAATGTTCTTGAAATAAATGAAAATGGAAACAAAACATACTCCAACCTGTGGGATACAGCAAATGCTAAGAGGGAAGCAATAAATGCCTGTATAAAAATACCTATATAAAAGTCAAAATACTTCAAATAAACAACCAAACATGTACCTCAAGGAACTAAATGGAGCAAGAGCAAACCAAACCCAAATTAACAGAAGCAATCAAACAATAAAGATCAGAGCAGAACTAAGTGAAATAGAGACTAAAAAACAGAAACTAGGTTCTTCAAAAAGGTAAAAGAAATTGAAAAACCACTAGCTAGACTAACCAGAGAAGACCCAAATTTTAAAATATCAGAAATGAAGAAAGGGAGACATTACAAAAGACACCACATAAATATTAAAGGTCAATGGAGATTATTATGAAAAAATATATACTAACAAACTGAAAACCTAGAGGAAATGGGTAAATTCATAGAAACCTATAAACTATCAAGATTGAATCAGAAAGAAATAGAAAACCTGAATCCACCAATTATGGGTAGCAAGATTTAATCAATAATAATAATAAAAAAGACAGGACAGGAAGAATGCACAGTCGAATTGTGCAAAACATATAAAGAACTATACCATCCTCCTGAAACTATTCCAAAAACTCAAAGTGAAGGAAACTTTTCCTAACTCATTCTATGAGGCCAGCACTAATCTGATACCAAAACCAAACAAGGACACACACACACACACACACACACACACACACAAAGAGAGACAGAGAGAAAGAAAAAAGAAAAGAAAAGAAAACTTACAGGCCAATACCCCTGATGAACCTAGACTCAAAAATCAACAACATACTAGCAAATTGAATACAACAGCAGATCAAAAGGAAGACACCACGATCAAGTGGGATTTATCCCAGGGATGCCAAGGATGGCTCAACATATACAAATCAATAAAGAAGCATAAAAAGCATTTGATAAAATTTAATATCCCTTTATGATAAAAAAAAACTCTCAATAAACTATGAATAGAAGGTACATATCTCAAAATAATAAAGAGCTTATATAACAAACCCACAGTTAGCATCATACTGAATGAGGAAAACCTGGAAGCTTTTCCTCTAAGATCTAGAACAAGACAAGGATGCCCCCTTTCACCACTTCTATTCATCATAGTACTGGAAGTCCTAGCCAGAGCAATCAGGCCAGAGAAAGAAATAAAAGACACAAAATTGTAAAGAGGAAGTCAAATTGACACTCTTTTTGATGATATGATCTTATATCTGAAAAAACCTAAAGTCTCCAACTAAAACTCATAGTTTTGATAAATGTAGGGAAGTTGCAGGATACTAAATCAATGTACAAAAATCAGTAGTCGTTTTATAATCCAACAACAATTCAGCTGAGAACCAAGTCAGGAAGGCAATCTCATTGCCAATAGCCACAATAAAGTAAAATATCTAGAAATAAATTTTACCCAGAGGTGAAGGACATCTACAAGTAAAACTACAAAACGCTGATGAAAAAAAAATTTGAAGATGATGCAAAGAAATGAAAAGATATCCCATCTTCACGGATAAACAAAAACTAATACCCTTAAAATAACCATACTGCCCAAAGCAATCTACAAATTTAATGAAATCTCTATCAAAACATCATTTTTTACAGAAATAGAAAAAACAGTCATAAAATTCATATGGCACCAAAAAAGAGCCAGAATAGCCAAAGCAATTCTGAGCAAAAGAACCAAGTCAGAGGCATCATATTATGTGACTTCAAAATATATTACAAGGCCATAGTAACCAAAACAGCATGGTATTGGTACAAAAACAGACATTTAGACCAATGGAATAGAGTTCAGAAATAAATATATGTATTTACAGCCATCTGATTTTCAGTTAAGGCATCAAGAACATACACTGAGAAAAGATACCCTTTGCATTAAATGGGGTTGGGAAAATTGAATACCTATATGCAGAAGAATGAAACTGGACCTATATCTCCTCCACATACAAAAATTATATCAGATGGATTGAAGACTTAAATACAAAACCTGAAACTATAAAATTGCCAGGAAAAAAAAGAACTTAAAAAATATTTCAAGATGTCAGTCTCGGGAAAGATTTCGTGGCTAAAGCACAGACAAATATAATGAAATTAGACAAATAAAACTATATTAACCTAAAAGCTTCTGCACAGCAAAGGACACAGTCAATAGAGTGAAGAGATGACCTGCTGGATGGGAGGAAATATTTGCAAATTACTCATCCAACAAGGGACTAACATCCAGATTATACAAGGAATTCAAACAGTTCAACAGTAAAAAAAAAAATAGTTTTTCAACTATTAGCCCCATTAAAAAGTGGGCTAAGGACCTGAATAGACATTTCTCAAGTGAAGACATAAATGACCAACAGGTATATGACAAAATACTCAACATTACTAATCATCAGGGAAACAAAAATCAAAACCACAATGAGATGACATCTTGCCCCAGTTAGAATGGCTATCATTAAAAAGACAAAAAATGCTGGTAAGGATGTGGAGAAAAGAGAAGCCTTATACACTGTTGGCACAAATGTAAATTTGCAAAACCATTATAAAAATATAGAGATTTCTTGAAAAGCTAAAATGATAGAACTGCCATGTGATCCAGTGATCCCACTACTGAATATATAAAAAAAGAAAGAAACAAATCTGTATATCGAGGGATCCTGTGCTGGCATGTTTATTGCAGAACCATTCACAATAGCAAAGATATGAAAACAACCTAAGTGTTCACTGTCAGATGCATGGATAAATAAAATGGTATATATACACAATAGAATACCATTAGCCATAAAAAAATGAAGTTATGTCATTTGAAGCAACATGGATAGAACTGAAAGTCATTATATTAAGTGAAATAACCTAGGCACAGAAAGTCAAATATTGCATGTTCTCACTCGTATGTGGGAACTAAAAAAGTTGATCTCATGGAGGTAGAGAATAGATATAATAGGTACCAGAGACTGGGAAGGGTGTGTGGGTGGAGATGGGAGGACAAAGAGACATTGATTAGTGGTTAGATAGAAGAAAAAGAACACCAATATTTGATAGCAGAGTAGGGTGACTAAGTTAGCAGAAATATAGTGTATATTCCAAAGCAGCTAGAAGAGAGGACTTGAAATTTTACCAACACATAGAGATAAATACTCAAAGTGATAGATGTCCCAAATACTCTGACTTGATCATTACACATTCTATGCATGTAATAAATACTCACATGTGCTCCATAAATATGTAAAATATTTTATATCAAGAAAATAAACAAATAAATAAATAAAAATCATTGGCCAAATGTGTCTTGGTTTATTTCTGTACTCTCAATTCTGTTTTATTGATCTATATGTGTATTATTTTTACAACACCACATTACCATAATTTCTTTTTGAGACAGGATCTCATTCTGTTGCTCAGGCTGGAGCACAGTGGCACAATCATAGCTCACTGCAACCTCCAACTCCTGGGCTCAAGCGATCCTCCTCCCTCAGCTACCCAAGTAGCTGGGACTACAGGAGCATGCAACCACCCCCGCCTAATTTTTTTGTATTTTTTTTAGAGATGAGGTTTCATCATGTTGCTCAGGCTAATCTTGAACTCCTGGGCTCACGCTATCCACCTGCCTTGGCCTCCCAAAGTACTGAGATTATAGGTGTGAGTCACTGTGCCTGGCCACACTACCATGATTAATGTGGTTTTATAGTAAGCCTTGAAAATAGATAGTGCAATTTCTCTAACTTGGTCCTTTTATTTATGTGTGTGTATTTATATATACACACATATATATGTACATTTTTATGCTATATTTAAGTCCTTGAATTTCCATATAAATTTCAGAATTAGCTTTTTACTTTCTATAAAATAATTTTGCTGGTATTTTGATTAGATTTGCATTGAATCTACAGATTAATTTAGGAAGAATTACTATTTCAACAATATTCAGTTTTCTGTTCTATTAAAATGGTATATCTCTTCATTTATTTAGGTTTTTAAAAATCTGTCTTCACAATATATTGAGTTTTCAATGTACATGTATTTCAAATACCTTGTTAAAGGTATCCTAAGTATTTCCATATTTTTTATGCTTTTGTAATGGTAATTTTAAATTTCAACTTTTCATTGTTTATTGTCAGATATAGAAATACTACTGATTTCTGTATATTTCTTTGTATCTTTCAACTTCACTAAACTCATGTATTAGATCTTGTGCCTTTTCTTTGAGATTTCTCAGAATTTTCTTCATTGACAATAATGCACTGAAAATAGACAATTTTATTTCTTCCTCTCTGATTTGGTTCTTTTCTCTTCCTGTTTTTCTCACTATACACTTTCTAGAACTGTGATTCTCAACTGGTAATCATTTTGTCTCTCCTCAAGAGTCCTTTGGCAACATCTGGAAAAAGTTTTTGTTGACACAAGTACTACTGGAATCTAGTGCAGAGAAGCCAGGGATAGGGATACTGCTAACATACGACAATGCATGTGCCAGCTCAAGAACAACAAAAATTTATCAGGCCCAAAATGTCAATATACTGATGTTGAGAAACTCTGGTCTAAAAACTCTAGTATAGTGTTAAATAGAAATGATGAGAGCAGATAGCTTTGTGCTGCTCCTGATCTTAGGGAGAAAGGCTTCGGGCTTTCACCATTAAGCATGTTAACTGTGATTTTTCCATAGCGGTCCTTGATTATGTTAAGAACACTCTCTTCCACTCTTGGTTTGCTGAGAATTTTTATCAATAAGGGTTTTGAATTTGAAAAAAAGCTCTTCTGCATCAAGGAAGATAATTTTATGCATTTTTAGTCTGTTGAGTTATTAATTGGATTGATTGATTTTTGAATATTAAGCCAACCTTGAATTCCTGAGAAGCATCTTGATAATAATATATTATTAATTTTATATGGTGATGGATTCAGTTAGCTAAAATTTTGTCAAGGTCTTTTGCATCTATGATCATGAGGGATATTGGGCTACAGTTTTCTTACATTGTAATGTCTTTGTCTGGTTTTTATGTCAAGGCTATGTTGATTCATAAAATGAATTGGAAAGTGTTCCTTCCTTTTTATTTTTTGGCAGAATTCTTGTAAAATTTATGTCTTTCATAGATTCTTGGTAGAATTAAACAGTGAAGACATCTGGTCCTGGAATTTTTAGGGTGCACACTTTTAGGTTCTAGTTCAATTACTTTACTAATTAATGAGCTATTTATTGACATTATTTCTTCTTGAATAAGTTTTATTAGTTTCTGTCTTTTAAGAAATTTGTCCATTTCCACATGTGCTGTCAAATGTATAGGCATGAAGTTGTTCATAATATGCTTTTATTGACCTCCTAATTTTTGTAGGTCACATGATGTTCTTCTTTCAATCCTAATGTTGGTAATTTGTATCTTCTTTATTTCTTAATCAGTCTAATAAAAAAGTTTAAGTTTTTTGATCTCTTCAAGTAACAAACCAGTAAAGTCAATGGTTTCATTGACTTTATTGATTTTATCTTTTAAATTGCATTAGTTTTGTTCTTCTCTATTTTTTCCTTTCTTCTGTTGGCTTTGTGTTTTATTTGCTCATCAGTATCTTCATTTCTTCTCTCTTTTCTTTCTTCCTTTTTTTTTTTTTTAGAAACAGGGTCTCACTATTTTGCCCAGGCACAATCATAGAATCATAGCTCACTGCAGCCACAAACTTCTGGGTTCAACAATCCTCTTGCCTCAGCCTCCCAAGTAACTGGGACCACAGGTGTGAACCACTACACCCAGCTAATTTTTAAAATTATTTTTTACAGAGACAGGATCTCGCTCTGTTGCCTAAGCTGGTCTCAAACTCCTGGCCTCAAGCAATCCTCCCATCTCAGCCTCCCAAAATGCTGGGATTAAAGGCATAAACCACTGCACCAGGCCTTCCTTCATTTCTAATATAAGTATTCAGTAATATATTATTGAATCTTTTCCCTAAGCATTGCTTTAGTTGAGCCCCACATAAGTTTTAACTGTTTTATTTTGATTTAGTTGCATACAATAAAAAGAATATGTTTGAAGCATATAATTTGATAAATTTCTGTGTGTATATATATATAAATATATGTATATATGTATATATATATGGCTATATATACCATCAGTGCAGTTAAGATAATGAACATACTCATCAACTCAAATGTTTCCTTATGTCCTCAACATATTCATCAACTCAAATGTTACCTTATGCTCTCTTATAATCTCTCTCACCTACCCTTTCTCACATGCCTCCATTCCCCCAGACAATCATTGATTTGCTTTCTGTCACTAAAGATTACTTTGCTTTTTCCATACTTTTCATACTTTTTCATACTTTTATACATATTAGTACATATTGTATAATTCCACCTGTACAAAAGCATAATTATTTTGAGGTTCATCCATGTTGTAGTAAATATCAGTGGTGCATTCCTTTTTATTGCCTAATGACTACTTCATTGTATAAACATACCACAAATTTTATCCATTCACCAGTTGTTTGACATTTGGTTTGTCACTAGAGTTAGGCCATTGCATATAAACATGGTATGAGTATTTGTGTATTTACCTTTTCTGAATATACGCTTTTATTTATCTTGGGTAAATACCTAGGAGTAGAAAGGTTGAGTTATACTGTAGATGTATAATTTTTTTTTGAGACAGGATCTTGCTCTGTTGCCCAGGCTGAAATGCAGTGGCTCTATCTCAGCTCACTGCAAACTCTGCCTCTCAGGCCCAAGTGATTCTTCTGCCTCAGCCTCCTGAGCAGCTGGAATTACAGGCATGTGCCACCACACCTGGCTAATTTTTGTATTTTTAGTAGAGATGGAGTTTCACCATGTTGGCCAGGCTGGTCTCGAACCCCTGACATCAGGTGATCTGCCCGCCTCGGCCTCCCAAAGTGCTGGTATTACAGGTGTGAGCCACCACGCCCAGACATAATTTTTTAAGATACTGAAAAACTATTATTCAAAGTGGTTATCCACTTTATGTTCCCACCAGCAGTGTATGAACATTATATTTGCCATCTTACTGTATTTTTCCTAAAAGTTATATTTTATTTAATAATGTTAACTGAAAAAGTCTCTTTCTTAAATATTCTAAAATACTTAAGATTTCTATGTTGACATTTCACTTGCGGATGAAAGGTCTTCAAGATGTAATCGCTCTTAGGGAGACTGTGGAACATGGTGGTGCATTTTTACTACAATACAAAAAGTACTGTTTGATTCTGTTAATTTTTGTGTCAAAGCTGAGATGCGAACTTGTATTCTGCTGGCAGCCATGTTTAAAGCTGGCCTGAGAGAATGGGACTGGCATGCAAATAAAGGGAGAGTTAAAAAGAGACAAAGATAGGGGAGATAATAAAAAGTAGAGGGGGCACAGACTGATAGAATTCAAACTCCTGGCTCCAGAATGTGGTTACATAGAACAATGTGTTCTGCTTTTTGCTGTAGAGAGGGTAGTATTAATATATGCCATCTATCCTTGCCCACTGATACACATTCTAGTTGGTGAGACCATAATAACACAGAAAACTGTAAACAAACAAAACAGAATATAACATACTGCTAACTAAGTGATACTTTTCTACCTCTACCACATTCCTTCCTAGGCTAGGGCTCCTACTCATGCAACCAGTATCAGGCAATTGTGAAAGTGAGAATCAATCCAATATGAGCCAGTAGAGGTAGAAAGAAACTGCATAGGTTTCTATTTTTCTGAAAGCCTTCTGTTTCAAGGAAGTTTTGAGGCTTGTACACCTGTTAGACCTCCACCTGATGTCCTATAGCATTACTACTGCCTCCATCTCTTGTGTTTCTACAGCATGAAAGTTGTTCTTTTCCTTTTCAAGAGCCTGCAGGAATTTCTATGAGGAGTGTGTGTAAATGGATGGTATTTAGGTAACCACACTTCTGCTTGTAAGCTATTGGTAAGATTTCATAATTTTATGCCCCTTTGCTTACTTTAAAACTCCTTATTGGGCTTTGTTACCATCAGTGAATTCTCACATTTTTGGGAGTTTTTGAGTCGAAGGGTGTTACTTTGGACATGTTCACAGGCCATTTTACACATTTGAAAGTTGTTCACAGATAAAACATATGAAAACTTGAAACCTTTCTCTTGTGAATAAACAAAATGGTTCAAATAAATCTTTGGTCTACCTGAGGCAGTCCACTTACCCATGTAGAAACTTTCAATAATAATTGGTATGGTCAAGAATTCCTTCAAAGTATTGCCATGGTATATACAAACACAGACTTGAAAACTCTACATGGTTTGAAATGTGATTAACTCCAAAAATACCTCTGTTTATGCTTAGTCTTAACAATAAAAAGATGCTGAAGTTACACTTGACATTTTGGCAACCAAGGACTAATACTACTCTTTAAGGCTCTTCACCCCAAATCAAAGTCAGTCAGAACTCTGTTAATTAAATTATGGAATCCTGACAAGATCTGGATTTTTGCAGTCTAGAAGACCACTCATAGAAGGTAGTCCTTTGACTATTTTTTTTTTCCTCAGGAAAAAATTCGGTCAGATGAGTAACTATAAGTGTATCTACAACATATTTGTGAATCTCAGAGTCCATTGGTGTAATTTAATTTAATAAATATTTCACGCAAAATCCAAGTAGCTAAAAAACTGACTAACTGAGGCAATGTGATTGATGGAAAACTAGAGGGTAATTTTCAAGGTGATTGAACTTACAGAGTAGATCAACTTCAAGGTAGTATGGAAACCATGCCTAGAAGAGCAACACCTGGGTCTGCTTCTATCCAATCTGACCAAGGCAATCAAGTCAGAGCTTTACCAGATGCCTGCAGAATCTGAATGAATTGGCAGATACCCAATGCTTCAGAGAAAGAGAAGGAAAATAGGTCATTTTCTGAGAAAAACCCAACAGAGAATTCTATCCTAGCTACATTACATTTCATGCAAGGGAGACATCTTGTGCTCCATTAAGCCTAGAGTTTTATTTTTAGTAAGGATGAATGGCAGCTTTTCTCTGCTATCTTAGGTGACCTTTTATAAGGTAAATTTATCTGAAAGAGCCAAACATAAAATCTACACTCAGGCTACAGATGAAGCAATGTACATTTTTACCTTGAAATTAAAACACAGCAATCACTTTGGCTAACAATAGAATTCTTCAGCCTCCTATTTTTAAAGCTTTCAGGCTTGAAAAAATACAAATTCTCTAAAATAGAAACTTTAAAGAGAAAGCCATCAATGAACCAGGTTATGTTAAAAACTCAAATTAGAGCTAATGAGTTTATGATGCTGATTTTTAAATTCAATTTAATAAATAACTTGTTGAGTCTATTGTATGCATGAAGCACAGTACTGAGTAAAAATTATAGGCACTACTTCTTTAAGAGAGTTTTTGTCTAGGAGAAAACAAAGATGTATTAAAGGGCCATTTAGCATGATAGAAACTAGAGAGAACACAACACATAACTGTAGGAATATTTCATGGCGCAAATTTCTGGATTTCCCATGCTTGGTCAATCAACTTCAGAAGAATGTGGGAAAGCCAGTGACTTCTCCTCTGAGGGCAGTCCAATGCAAGGGTAAGGAGGGGATTCTGGAACTATAGAAGTGACTAATACCATGAAATGAAAGTGAAAAAGTTACTTGGATCTCTATTTACAAGTTTATTCAAAATTGCCCTGGAAGGGAAAGCCAGCATGTGGATCAAAATAACGCACTTAGGGCTGAAGAGTGAAAAGGTCAGAAACACGACTGGGGAGTGATAGGTCCAAGGCTCAAGAAAGGGACCCTGGGGGACAGTCCAATCCGAAATGGCAAGGGAAAATAAATGGCAATGGAATTTGACCCAAAGCTTTTGGAGCCTTAAGTTTTAAATAAAACGTAAACCTTGAGGGCAAAGTCCTGCTTGCAGAAATCTTATCTCATGGAGAAGAACTATGCTGGGCCCAGAACGCTCTAACCAGTCACTGATACACTAGGGAGACTATCTGGCAGGGTGTGACAGTTCAGAGTGGCACTGTATGCCCTTCTGGATTTGTATAGTCATGTCCAGTTTACCTGTGTCAGACAAGACTTTGACAGGCCTAACAGAAGGAATTATGCAGGGTTGCCAGTTATCCGAGCTGCTGGAAACACCACTAGGCTAGCCAGCCAAAGAAAAATACATGCGCCTGCCAGAAGTAACAAAGTAATGGACTTTCCATGAGCAGCTATCAGTTCTGGATGATTTGTTATTTTTAGAGAAAAGACTTATGTATAGTAGGTACTGCGGTCATTAAGACCTGAACTGATGTGGTTCTTGGATTCAGGATAAGGGTGTGGAGGTGCTAGTGAAGAAATGAAGCATCAAGGCAGAGAATTTGTGTTTCAAAAAAAACAGTAAGATATAAATATTAGGGAAATATACAATAGCTCACACTTTAAAGTATGGAATGTCAAAGTCTAAGCATTCTGTATGGCACTAACAACCTGGCATAAACACATAGTTTGTAATGAGAAGGAAACAAGGGTTTAGGAAATGCAAATATGCTTTACCTATAATTGACATCTATACTGTGTGCCTTAGAAATCGAAAGACAAGATGTATAAAAATTTTTCACACATAATAATAATACTTGATGGTCCTTAACTAAACTGTCTTAAACTGGGATCTATGAGTTCACCTTGGCCCTGTAAGTTTCCAGAAATTTCCTGAGGGTCAATTTAACCCCTAGATCCTTGGGCTTCTGATTTTAATTAAAATATATTTTTTGCAATGTATCAGATAAGATCATGAAATTTCTCAGTAGACACATTTTGAATGATACCTATGGCTTTAAAAACAACCTCCTAAGAAACCAGCAAATATCAGGTACAAAGTCGTAAATATGGAACTTCATACTGTTTTCCTAGACCTTAGCACATTATCTTGCACAAGGTTAGTACCTAGAAAAAACTTGTTGGACTGATAGAGAATAAATTTTTCTCATTAATAAGTGAATCCTATATAAAAGTTAATATCCTTCATAGTAACCTATTTTATTTCTCTTAGAACTAGAAGCATCATTTAATCTAGGAGTGCCAGATGTCATCATTCAATCAAGTATTCAGCATTCTATCTATCTAAATATTCATGAGCCCAGATGCCTAGGAAATGTCAGATTGCCAATACTTCTGTGAAATTATGTAGCAGAAACTGTTCGATGTATGTTTTCGGGAAAACTAGTTCCAGGCTTGAGTCTCTGATTTTACTCAGTATTTAGCTGAAGGTCCATTGTCTTATCTCACAGTTAATATGAAACTTAATACATAGTTTCTTATTAACACTGGAAGGTGTGGGTTAAAATCCCAATTTGTTCCTTTCACATAAAACTGTTTATCTAAATCCAGCAGCAGACAAAGAATGGTATCATGTGCCCATTTCTTAGCAAGACATCCTTCATAGCCTTCCCACCATGGATAACTATTGAAGGTAAAATCAATCTCCAGATGCCATTCATTTGAATTAATGTCTATATTCTTGCATTAATGGTAAGAGAATAATAAGTTATAAGAAGTTACGAGGCTGGGTGTGCCAAATGAGACGACAACTGATCCTTACTATAGAGGGCTTGATGTAAAGAGCCATGAGTGAATAGTCAGTAATCCTATATTCTTAGAGTCCATGATGCATTCGCATAGATTCTTATCAGTGTAGTACCATTTTGAACAATAAACACTCACTGTAATTCTAAACAGGGCATATGGGCAAAACATGATTCCACCCACAGGTAACATGCCCATGGCTAATTGGACAGAAACTAATATAGAACAGAAGCAAAGTAAAATCTGGAATGAGCATTAAGAGATTGTGAGAACTACACAAAGCAAAGCAGAAAGGAACAATTCAGTACTGGCCAAAGATTAGGTTTTGATATCCTTAATGTAGCTATCAGATTGTCAAATGCAAACTTATGAGAGGACTACTGAGTTGTAGTGGAGAAAGAAGAATGTGGTTTTTGTGGCCACACTGCTGAGAAGCTTCTCATTGCATTTAGAATAAAATCTTAACTCTACCATGGCCTACAGACCTACAAGATGTGGCTTTTGCTGGCTTCTCCAACCTTATCTAGTTCTCCTCTCTACCTATTTCATGAGGCTCCAGCCACAGGGCCTCCTTTCAAACATACAGATCTTGAAGGTCATGCCTTAACTCTGTCTTGTGTAGTACTTTTTTCCTTTCAAATACTCTCCGTGATCCCCCCACGCACCCACCCATGTCTTCCTGTACTATGTCTGGCTCCTTTGCATCTTTAAAGTCTTAAGTATATTTCTCTTCGGTACGGGAGGCTTCACTTGAACATCAAACTTAAAGTGGTTTTCTAGCATCCCAGTACTCTCTAGCATGTCTCCCAGTTTAACTCCTTTATTTTTCTTCATAACACTTATTATGACCCAAAGTAACCTTGTTTAATTATCAGTTTTCTGTTTTTTTCCAACTGGAATCAAACCAAGTTGGAGGAAAAAAAAAACCTTTGGCTGTCTTTTTCATTGCTTAGTTCTGGCACTTGGTGATTCGCACATGGAAGCTACTCAACAAATATCTGTAGACAAATAGAAATTCAAGTGGATCAAATAAAGCTCTGTTGCAGGTAATTGGATCCTAATGTTGAGCCTAAGAAAATAGGGCTTCTAGAATCCAAGCAAGGGCCTATATTCAGGCCACACAAGGCACATTGCCCAGCTTTAATGTCCACAAGTAACCTTCTGACAAGTTCATCTAACCCAACCACTCTCTGCTTCTCTCATCCCTATTTATCACTCATACCAAGGCTTTCATCTAGCCTCTCCTATAATTCTTCTTGGATATTCTGCAAATGACACAAGGAAACATGGACTCTGTCCATGGGAACCAACACACAATTAACCACCCTTCCACTAAAGCTCCATTTGGTCTCCAGTATGTTTGGACTGGCTGTTTGTCAGAGGCCAGGATGTTGGTCACTCTCAGAACAGGAGCTTTGCATCCAATTGTTATAACTTTCTGTGTCCTAATCAGAGGCTCTGTTTTAAGTAGTTAGAGCTACATAGTATTTGGCTTAAACCACAGGAATCGCTGGAAGGAAAATGGGAGCATGGGAGCTCAGTCAATTATTGTTGGAATCAAGATACCTAGGCCCACTAGGGGCTGATCTAAGGGAGGCTGTGTATGCAGAGCAGCTTAGGAATTGGAGAGGTGGGGTGGTTCTGATGCTTTGGCGACCACCAAGGAAAGAAAAAGAAAAGTGTAGAGAATGGATGGGAGGAATGAGGATCTGATTGAAAAGCATATAAATGCACATGACTTAATGAATGCATTACTCCAATTTATTAACAAATATTTCAGGGTAGGCAAGGCTTGAAGGGAGAGTTAATTTTTTAATTCTCCTCCTTCGAAATGCTTTAACAATATACTCACAAAGGCTATGGAACTCATGAACCCAGCTGCTGCTTATCACCAGCTGTCAGAATCATAAAGATTATGCTTCACACTTCCACATATCTTTCAGAGTTAATATTTGTGTGCCACTTGGTGATTCAGCCATGAAGAGGCAATGGAAACAAAGAACAAAATAATGTTGTTGGTCTTTCTTTCTGTCTTTCTTCCCTCCTCCTCCTCCTTTTTAATTCCTCTTCTTCTTTCTCTCCCCTCTCCTCTTCATGAGAATCTGATTATTAGAACCTTAAGTGTGCAGGTTCAATTATTGTGGCATGTTTACTTTTTTTCCTGAAGCAGAAGAGAGAGTGTTAAGTGCTAGATACACAAAGAGATTTTTGTTTTCTGACACCCACGTGGACTTGATGCATTCTCCTATGTGCTGTAGTAATGGAAGATGAAAGCCATCTGTTCCTCATCCAATACTCATGTCTTCTTGATTTGTCTCTTAAAATTACAGTTGTTATAAGGCTCTGTCATCCATTTCCTGTTTGCCAAGACACCTGTCATACGAGCTAGAATCAATAATTGCTAGTCTGTGGGAACACACACAGCTTTTCTGGACCATTCTTAAAGACAGTGGGGTCTCTTACAGTTGAGGACTCAAAAGTGCTGGGTCTTTTGACTTATATTGTTTTGTCTTGTCTTTGCCACTCATGTTCCATGATCTGTAAAATGATAATAATATTAGCTACCTCATGGGCTTATTAGGTGGCTAAGTTAGTTAACGTGTATAAATAACTTAGGAAATAAACAATTTTAGTAAAAAAAATCAATATAAGCAGGAATTAAATAAGATGCTGAATGTTGAGTCCTAAAGAAAGTCCCTGCCAGGATTTCCCAAAGGTCTTTTTATAGCCACATTTATGAATCAGGAGGTTTTTTTTATGTTAGTAAATTGCTTACACATATTTTTACATGGGCTGTATAACCTATTCTTAGACCTAAACTTATATATTGATTTTGTAACAAGTATGAACTTTAATTTATAATTCCAGGGTGCAATAAATGGCAAATAAATTTATTTTTCCAAAACTAATTTAATTAGGATATTAGAAGATAAAAACCCAGACATTTGTAACATTGGTAGAGGATATTCCTGGAGAATAGTGAGAGAGGAAATATCTCACCTCTCTGGTATCATTCAAGAACTGTGAGAGTCTTAGGCAGCTCAGAACATTAAGAGTAACCTTTTCGTCTTTGGTTGGCATTGGTCACCATTGATATGTTTGTCGTCCAAGCACACCTGTGCCCTTGAAGGTGGGCAGCCCTGCTACTTCCATATCAGCCTTGGGTTCTAGTGTTTTTGCTGAAGCTAGGAACTTCCATATATCCAAACTGTCCTCTTAAATATACCAGGAAACCAGCGTCCTCTAAGTTATTGCCACCTCCCCAGTTCACTGGAAAGGAAGAGGCCATTGAAAGAGAGCAGGCAGGCTACTGTCTTCCCAAGCTCCCTAGACCTGCAAGACTCCCATTTTCTTTCTGAGAGACTCTCCCTAAATCTCTCCCCTACCCAGATACTTTCAAATCCTCCCAGAACTCACTTCTATCCCTTTGAAACAATCTATTATTACACCCCTCAATGAGCTCAGCTCCAAAACTCAATCAACGCAATGGCTGTCTTATGAGCATCTGTTGGGTTCTGCTTGCTTCCTTGAAATTCTAAAGCCCTCAATCAAGAAAACAAAATATATTAGCTACCTTGGAATGTGAAGGGAAAACTACTTACAGTTTCAAAAACCTGGTAAAATTAACTTATCTATTTATTCTGCTCTACTGCCATCAAGGTGATTATCATCTTTTTCTCCTTTCTATTTTCAGTTTATATTACAAGCCTTGTACTATGTTACATAGGGAATGTTGAAGAAAAAGCCTAAGAAAACAGCTTGAGTTAGGTAAGAAGAGTGGCAATTGTTGAGGCATAATAAAGAAAAATGGTCTCCTAAAAGCTGGTTATTGTTTGAAGGACATGACAGTGGCTCTGAAGACCTTCTTTATTCATAACTTGTGGGGTGGCTATTCACATAGGCTGATGTTGGCAATTTCGTTTTAACCAAGAATTCTTGTTTCTAAGAACCAAAGACTTCATCTGGGATGGCACTGATCACAAGAGAAGGACTACATACAGGAGAATATGGTAAAACAGAAACCAGGACTAGTAAACTTGTACCAGATAGGCCAGGCACCTGCACTTAAGCTTGTCGATCTTGTTCTAACACTGAGGACAATTGAATAAATCTTTTGCTTATTCTTATATTAGGTTGATAACACCTGATCTAGTAGAAAGAGAAATAGAGTATAAAATTGACTGGCTATTTTTGTTTCTATCTTTGTTATTTCTGATTGTACTAACAATTTTCTAAATTGAACCAGAGAAATGAAAATTTTGTATTTGAATATGAAGTTATCCTAACTCCTCCATTTCACAAATTTATTGAACACTTTCCCAGGTGTTGTGAAGTTTACAAAAATAAAAGACAGGTCTCTTCTCTTAACAATCTAGCAAATTTCAAATCTTTTTATGAAGTTCATCTAATTGGATTTTTTATTCAATATCATTCCTCTGTGGTGAGAGAATAGGCAATGTTGTACACTCCTTTTGGAGACCTGAACAAACTGAAGCTCAGAAAGGCAAAGTGATTCACATAGTATTATATCCAGTTAGAGGAAATGCTGGAAATACACCCAAAGATTCAATGCCAGTAATCTTTGCTAATTCTGGAGTCCAGAGATTCCTTCAGAAAGGAACGTAGAATGAATTTGGTCTCTCAGGCATTAGGTGGGAACAATTTGAGTTTTGGGAGTCCTTTCTTAAAATTACACAATAAAGGGGTTTACCCAGTCTCATATCTTGTAGGCATAGCACTGCCTGGATCATTATCTGAGAGGGTGTAATCAATGAGAGTCTTAATCATCATAGTAGGGAAGGAGCACGTGCTCAATTTAAATATCAGCCCTCAATAGCCCACATGTGACATTAACCTCTACATGCCTCCATCTCCTGAGAAGTTCTGATGACCTACCTTGTAGGATTGGAAGGAGTGAGTGAGATAGCTCATATAAAATGGACAGTCTTATGCCAGGTACCCTGACCTAGGGGAGAGTCTTCGAACACGTCTTCCCACCACTGCCACCCAAAACACATGCACACACACACACACACACACACACACACACACATACACACACACACACTTTGAATTATTATTGAATGCATCTGTTCATGCATACAATAAACAAACATTTATTGAGCACCTACTATATGAAGGTCTCTTTGCTGGGCAGTAGGAATACAAATATAAATAACATCTAATCCCTGCCTCAAGGAGTTAGTCTTCTATTGCACTTAACAGGAGAAAGGACTTTATTTAAAGTCCTCCATTTGGAGGGAATAAAAGAAAGCTGTGAGAGCAGGAATGGGGAATTGTCAAGAGGTGCAGAGAAAATAAGGCCAACTTACTCTCCGGGTTTCAGTCCTTCAGGATGAGTGGTGGGTTTGTGGCAGGGAATGGGATTTTGCCTTACTCTTCTTGGATGTAGCTCAGGGAGCTGCACCTAAAGAGAACTTTTATTTCCTGTGTTCTTTGTTCCCTGACATTTCCAATTTCCATCACAGGAACTTTGCCAGTTGTGTGCTTTGCCTTTATTTTAAAATTAACTTCCCAAGAAGGTTGTAAGATTCAGTAGACATCTGGTGTGAATGCTGAGGGCTGTCCTTGCCAGCTGGGTGCTCCTGCTGTGATGGAATCGAGTGGTCCTGCTCTCTTTGCTTTGAGATAGTGACCTGTCTATCCAGGTCCTCTTCTCCTCTAAATACATGAGCATTCATATTTTATTTGCCATTTTGACTTCATAAACCAGGCTTATGGTAGAAGAAAAAGACTGCGACTCATTAGGCATATTCTCTGTCTTTCCTCCAGAGGGTTCAGGCAGGAAGTGCTAATAGGCCTCAAAAGGACTGGGGAGAAGAGACACCGAGACAGAAAATCAACAGCTACCAGCTATTGCTCATTTCTAAAGAAGAGGCATTTTTACTTAAGCAATAGGAAAAAAAAATGCTCCAAAGTAAATGTGAACATATATACTTGAGCAACCAACAGCATTTTCTCAGACTACGTGTCTCCTGAGGAAAAGTTGAAGTTTTTGCTTCTGGCCAGTCTGGAACCTGTCCCTGTGCCCACCTTCCCTTGCCAAAGCTTTGATCCTAAAGAAACACTTCAGTATTTCAAATTCAAACCCACAATAGTAGACCTTGTGGTAGATGTGTTTCACATTTGTGATATGCCTAATTCACAGCAACTCTCTCAAACCACATCCATTTGAGGTACACACCATATGTTCATTCCTATTTTCCCAACCCACAAACTTAGCCCCCACCATCACAAAATGTTTATTTTTCATTAAACTTCCTACCTATTTACTCATCATGCTTCAAGAGCTCCTAAAATTTCAGGTCTCCTCCATAGCATTTCTCACTTTAACTGGAACTGAGATGGAATTTTTTCCAGCTTTGGACTTCCAAGATAAAACTCATACCTTCAGCCACACCAAAAATGACAAAAACTACAATAATTTGGGTGGAAATACTACCTTCTCTAGCACCCAAAGCATTTTTTAAAATCATTATATTTTGTTGGTGTATTCTAAGAGATAAAAAATATTGTGTTCTCATTTGGCAAAGAGCAAGACTGAAGTAGGCATTCAGTGGCATAGCTAAGATTGCTCAGCACCATCTGGCAGGCAGGGCAAGGGGAGAACCTGCTGACTCTCAAAAATAATGATCTATGTGTTGCAGGCCCAAAGCTTTCCTGGGCTCTACAATATCTTAGTAGTTACTATACTTTATGACCATGGATTTTTCTTAGTTCTTATTTTCAGATGGATGTTAAAATTATCTTAAAATGTTCTCTCCTTCCCCAAACATATACCTATTTATCTCCCTCCAAACACATATATATTTCCCCCACCACACTGAAATTCTGAACATGGGGGTTAGAGAAGAGGGAGATTTCCTGCTTTCTCCTCCTCTGCCCTCATATTTATCTTCTGGGATGAAGGAAACTGATATTTATCAATAGTCTAATGCAAGATGTATGTAATTTTATTTAATATTTCTAACAACCTTACTTTGGCATTATTTCACCTCAGAAGGATTAAATGCCTCATCTATTCTCACAGCTTACAAGATGCAAGGATGGAAGAGTACAGGGCTCAGAGCCTTGCAAGATGCATGGCTGATCTAGGAGCACCCAAGGTCTCACCAGTTCCAAAACCTGTATATTGTTTCTGTTGTTTTTCTTTCAAGTTTATTCATTTTAAGCAGATTTTGAGCATTCTAATCTCCTTTGGATAGGTGCTCAAAAATAAGATCAGTGAGTATCTTTTTTTTTCTTTTTGAGACAGAGTCTCGCTCTGTCACCCCGGCTGGAGTGCAGTGGTGCAATCTTGACTTGATCAGTTAGTATCTTAATGCTTGGACACGGAAGTTTTAAAATTTTGTTCTCTTTTTCTTTTTTTGATTTTCCTAAACATTAAATTGGCTGAGTTAACATTCTTATTCCAGAGGCTGGAAGTAAGATGAAAGCCAAGAGTCTGACTTATTTCTTCATCAATTCATTCAAATCCTACAAAACTATCCATTGACTTGGCCTTTCTCTAACAAAGACCTTAATTTAGCGTGGTTTGATTTCATTACTAGTGATTGGGAGAGTTTATTGCATAGAAACAAACCTTATGATCCCTTGGGAGAATATGAAAGTCATCACTGGCTGAGATGACCCATGAATAAAATGGGTGAAAAACATTCTAGAAAGGAAGAATCTGTAAGAGAAGTTGTGTTTAGAGGAAAAAAAGATTGTTAGTGGTAATGATATATCTTGAGCTAGATATGTCATTTGATCTCCTTAGACAGCTTCTGCAGGATGGAACTTAAAATACATTTTTTTCTCAGTCTAACACAAATAATCAATACAGGAAAAAAAAAAGGTTTAGGCTGAAAAACAAAATAAACACGTGTAATTCAACCCACCCAGATAAAATGGCATAAACAGTTGATATACAAGCTTCCAGCTTTTGAATCTGAATATATAATTTAACAGAAATAGAATCATAGCATAATACATCTTTGAAGCTCATTTTAAATTTAATATTAAGAATACAAATTAATATCAATAAGGAAAGATCTATAGCATAATAATTACACAGCTCATAGTATGATATCATGTGCTGCATCACAATTTACTTAATCTGTTCTTTAGGATTAGACAATGAGACTTGTTTATAATTTTTCAGTTGCAAATAGTGATACCATGAATGCCAGCAAAACTGTTGGTGTAAGGGAAACAATGAGAGATAGCAACAGGTCTGGAATTGAAACTATTTATTACATTAAAGGTATAAACATTTTAAAGCCTTTTGATAGACGATCCCAAACTATTTTTCTGAAAATTGCGCCAACATACATAGCAGTGTATGACTGCATCCACTTCCCTAAACCTGCAGGCTGGTAGAAATAAATGTTATTTCATTGCATTTCGTTGCAATAATGTTGAATAATTTTTACTGTGTACATTGCCTGCTTGTATTTCTTCTTTTATAAATAGCTTATTATGTTTTTTGCCCACCAATTTTTACCTGAGTATTAGTCTTTCACTTATTGATTTATAAAAATTCTCATTTTATAGTAATGCTTTATAATAAATGTTGCAAATATTTTTTCCAATTTGTCTTTTTTTCCCTTTTAATTTTACTTATAGTGTTTTATGCAACAAACTGGTTTTACATTGTGTGTAGTCAAATCCATCAGCATTTGCTTATTTGTATTTTCCCTTTGGTTTTTGGCTTAGACAATTCCAGGAACTTTAAAGCAACTTTGAAAAAGTCAAACTTATAATACATAAGCTCTCTACAAACTTATTCAAAATTTTCATGTGTTTGTACTCATGATACTTGTTACCAAGCTATACCTTCTATGGAAGACCATTTTCCCATAATTTTAGTCAGGGTGCTGTGCCATTAAATATGAATAATAGCAATCTTTTTAATTTTTCAGAAAAATAAATTTAATAAAATATCTTTCAAATCTAAGGTTTCCCACCACATTTTTTTCTTAAATATTTGGTGCTGTTACCCATTGCCTTTATTAATATCTAATAAAACCTGGTGTCATATTATATATTCTGTTATTTTAAATTTAATATGTCAATATTAAATGGTGTTGTGCAAAGGTTGCTATTACTTCCAGATGTTCTGCTAACTGACAAGTTCAAGGATCTCTAGTATGTGGTACATGTTTGCTACAGTTAAAAACTAAAAGGGAGGTAATGTTCACAACACAAAAAAATGAGAAAACTGAAGACTAAGAGTTTTGTTGTAACTACTAATTACTTCTTACCTTCTTTAAGATCCCATGCCTTGATTACAAATATCACTGACTAATGTATTCAATGAATCTGACTGCCACGCCTGTGAAATTGTAATTTTCTGATGGGCTCAAATAACTTTCCAAAGGTAAGATTTTTTTAACCACAAAATTATTATTTTTTATATTAGAAGCATAAATGGAACATGGAAATTTCTTCTTTGCTTTTTAATGCTTCCAGAGGCAGTCTTTATTGCTATACTGGGTCTGTGAAGAACACATAAAAAGGCACTTCTCAACTGGCACTCACAAATAGAAGCTTTGAAAATATGCACCTATAAAATGCATGCATTTCCTGAACTGGTAGCTGCTTTATTCAACAGACCATTAAAAGCCCACTTAGAGGACCTCTCACAAGCTCATGTGCACTACAGGTACTTAAAGCTGGTGAACCCAGCAATGGCAAGAAACAAAACAAAACAAAAAAGTAGACCAACATCTACTAAAATTTACACAGAGAAAAAAGCTCTCTCCCCAAACCCAAATTTCCTCCAACACTAACACTCTTATAAAGAACAGGTAATGTGACAAAATTGCCCCACTTCCAATCCCCCAGCCCAAATCCAACACCCCTCCTGTACTCCAAGTATCAATCATCAGCCCAGGCAAGGCAAATGAACTTTTAATCAATAACAGCTACTGTTTCTTGTACGAGGACTGTTTATGATTTAAAAGGGGAAAAATTAAATCAATCCTGATGTGAATGTTTTCTCTCTTGAAGAGAAAAAGCAACACCCTGTGTCAAAGAAAGGGGGTAGTTTCACGTTTTAAAAATACATTACAAAAACAAATTTAAAATTGTTTGTGTGTGCATTGGCTACAGACAAAAAAGTAACTTTGTGGGATGCTATAGATTGTAGGCAAGTGCCTTTAATCTATGTCTTCACACCATTGTATTTCCTGTTTACATTCATGCATTGGCATAGATTAATAGAACTAGAAGAGAATATAAGGGATACCAGTCCAAAGACAGCTGCCTTGGGAGAACTGCCACTGAAGCTATTCAGGCATAGGTACAAGGATCTATCAGTTAGGAAGTTATAGAGAAAATCTGGACAACAGAAGGTTTTATAGACTATATTGGTGGATGAGATTGATTGTATATGGATATCTAGTATGTAGAACCTACAAAAGTAGGTCTACTCTTGTTAAAGATTCTTGTCCCTTTCTCTATTCATATCTAAAAGGCAGCCCTAGTCTGGAATTTCCAGCGTTCTGCCTAAGAGGCTTTTAAACCCCAGTACCAGAGACCTTTAAGCACCCTGCGTGCTCTGATTCTTGCCTCGATGTTCCTTCCATCACTGTAGGCCACATCCAGGTAGGTCTAACTAAACACCATAAATCCTAATAATACTGGTGGTCAGGTCTTTCTGTATCTTAAGTATCCCTTCAGCCAGAGAGAAATCAAACTGAACTCTTTATGAAGGCTGCTGCATTATTTTGGCATGTTTGTACAAAACCAGAAATAACTTCCCTGAAGATTACTGAAATGAAATCATCATTTACCTAATTGAGAAAGGCTACATAGGCTTATGCCCAATTTTAAAGAGTAATGTGATTGGTGGGGAAATGATGATGGAAGTAATTTCTTGACTATTTTCTTTTACAGTTTGCTGAAATGGAACAAATCAATCCTGTCTTGATTATTTATAAAACCTTAACACCAACAAAGCGGGTGAACTAATGAAACCAGGAGCAAGGAATGTGGGAACTCTCATTTCTAAACTGCTGGCACACAGACATGCATTAGTGTTTTGTAGCTTTTAAAGGGCTTGAAGAAATGAGTTTTCTTCCTCCAACAACTGTTTGTAGAAAACAAGCACTTGCACCCAATTATTTACCACTGTAACTGGCAACCAGGGGGAGGATCCAGCAAATAAGTCCATGTTTTTGAAGAACAAGGATAGTATATCCTCATGTACCCTTTGAATAACACAATAACTATAGGCTCTTAGAAAATAGTGACCATATGACTAGTAACACAAACGATTTTGTAACAGACTTATAAGGCATATTTAATCCTTGTACTACCTCTATGAAGTCAATATTTTCCACATGTTACAGATGAGGAAACTAAGTCTCCAAAGGATCAAATGGCTTGTTCAAAGACTATTAATTCTTGTGTAGGAGGTGGGTTTTAATAAAAAAAAAAAAAAAGGCAATTCATAGTCTGAAAAGCCAGGATTTGAATTCAGTTCTATGGCTAAATCCTAAGTTCTTTTCATCTTTCTAAGAAATATTTTTCTGGGAAGCAGAAGAAGAAATTTGATCTCTATTAAATATTATGTCAATTTGGAGTATGAATAAAAGATCTGATGTCTGTCAGCCACAGTTCAATTCTGCACCTCTTCTATTCTCCCTTTCTCATGCCCATTTATAAATAGCTGATATTCATACATCCTCAGAACTCTTGAAAACCTGACAACTGTCATCTCTGCCATTGTTCATTATGAGGACACTGGTACCTGAGCTGAGAGTACCATCTCCTAGTACCCCCTAAGTCACCAAGCCTCAAGATGCAACTGTAGGTCAGGGGTCCACTCTGTGAAAAAGCACCACAAAAAGGAAAACAGTGACCTTTTAATGTAATATATACCACATCTCATCTCCTGTGCTCTAAAGCTACACTGAGTTGCCTTATGCCACTGAATGTCTAAGAAGAGAGGCTCCTTCAGCTTTCGCTAGTGATCTTTCTTTCCACAGGGCTCATACTTGGGTCTTTGTATCTGGGACAAAGGATGCACTAGACTCCATCTCCTTTCAGTTTCCCACTTTCATCCTCTGGGGCTCCAGCTGCCAGAACTTCTGCCTATGGTCTTTAGCACTTGGCTGAAAGTTCATGTGCTGTCCAGGTAGTAATATCTCAGTGATCCTGATTTGCTGGATGGCTCTTGGTTTATAAGAAGAAATCCATGTGGCTCATCAGCATCATGACCTCACAGTTAAGTGGTTGTGGAATAAAATATGTCTATATATATATTGGAGTCATATGGTCTGAATATAGGAGCAAGAGCTTTTATCCATGTTCCCTTATCTGTCTGGAGCTTTGGAATGTAAATTTAAATGCGTATGTGCTCATACTGCTGTCATTAATGATAAGCTGTCTGGAAATGTAGTGATGGCATGTCAGACTCTAGGGAGGGAGGTGGAATTTTCCATTACCAAGGTCATTACTTATTACGTTTAGTGCCTTGGATGCTGTGGGTATATATGTGACAAAGTGAGTCAGAGGGAAAGGCATCTGAAAAATGGAAATGAAGAGAAATGTCTACCTTTAGTACTGCCATTAGACCTAGGTGAGCAAGAACTCCTGCCCCAAGTCCCACACCTTATGGGGACTGTGCTTTGGAGGATCTTCCTCAAAACTTTCTAGTCCCCTTTCAGTGCCTGAGACAGGTGAGGCCCACAGTGTCACCCAGGCAGGGCTTTCCATGCCAAGACAGGGACCCTCGTGGATCTCAATCAAACCTCTATCCCATGTGTGGAACCAATTAGATGCCCTGAGGAGCTCTAAGATTCCCGTCTGTGGGGTTATTCCAGGGCTTCAGGTGCCCTGGCAAGCTGATTACTCTTACTGACTGGTGTGGAATGTCTTTTGAAGGACTGCATGAGGTTGGGCCTCCAGAATGGGACCGAAACAGTGATTTGAGGTGACTAAAATTGTTTATATAGACAAAGGCTCCATGTATTTTTCCAGAGCTTCACATATCCTAGGGTGGTCAGGCCAGCCTTCAGGAGAGGATCACCCATGAAAATAGATTTCTCGTAGGGAGGATCTGAACCTGATGACTTCCAGTCCAACATAACATTATTTTAAGCTCCCTAAGAATAGAAATCATCCTTATCATCATGACTTCTCAGAGGCTGGCACAGTGTTAAGCATATGACAGACAGGAAGAAACATACATAACGGATATTAATATCTCTTCCTTCTGGTCATCCATCCCTTCAATCATTATTTCTTCTAACACAATATTTCCTGCTTGCAGAGCACATGTAGATTCTCAGAGTTTCCAAAGCACACTGGGCTGGAGATCAATGATGTTACTAAAATGCCACTCTCAGAAATGCATTTGGAAGAATATGCACTAGTAAATAAAGAAAACTGCATTGGAGGAGGTATGATAAATGAATTTCTGTAAGATTAAGACTCACATGTAGGGGGAAAGTCTTATACAAGCTTCAAATAAAACAGTATTGTTATTTGCTCAGAATTACTAAAATAGAGAAGCAGAGCAGACAACTTTAATCTCTTGAGAAAAGTACATGCTGCTCAACAGAATGCCAAGAATATGAAATATGCCTAATTATCTTTTTATAATTCAGAAAGCATAAAAAGATATTACCCTGATACAGCTTTATTTGAAAACAAAATTTAGCATTATTTCCTGATTATAATAGATTAGGCTTCTTGGTATTGTGCTTTTGTAGTTGTTTACAAGAAACAGATGAGAAGTGGGGTAGTTATTGCAAGGTACATATCTGCTTTAATTGCCACTAGGAAACGATTCAAATGGAGGCAGCTTTAGGGATCAACCATCTCACCCTCCTTCCCTCTCTGCCTCCCTTTATCCCCATCTTTCCCTCTCTCACAACCCGTGAAAGGTAGTGCCATCCCAAGATTCACCAGCCAACCTAAGGGATGAGGTCATGTGGGGCCAGGCAAGTTTCCCTGGATCAATCAGAACCACCCATGCCCAAAGAGCAGCTGTCTGCTGAACAAGGCTATGAGTGTGGCAGTTTAATTTTGAAGGGAAGTTTGGATACTGCACCAGATATGTCAATCATAAATATAAATACTTAGAAAATGTAAGTATACAGGAAAGTAATTTTAAAATCCCACCACCTAAAGATAACTGTCATGAATAATTGAATACATTTCATTCCAATTTCAACATAGGCATATATACTCTGAATATTTTTCACTAATTTTACATAGTGTATTCTATATGTGTTTGCACATCACTAAATATTTACTAAAATACTGTTATTTAATGGCTATAAAATGGTTACCAAATGAATGCACTATAATTTATTCCATAGCCTTTAAAAATTTTACAATATATATTTTCATTTTTAAACAAATATATACTGAACAACTTTGTAGCTAAGTCTTTGTAAACATACATGATTTCTTTGGATACATTTCTCCAACTAGAATTGCTGGGTCAAAGAGGATGAACTTTTACAAAAGTTACTGACAAATACTATAATTTGACGGAAACAGTTATGCCGATTTAAACTCATACATCCTGTGTACAAAGTGTCTCTTTCTTCATACCCTGTGAACACCAGGTATTATACTTCTCTGTTTTTCATTTCTAGTATTATAATTTATTACATTTCATTAATTATTCATCTGCAATTTATAAAAGAAGATTGCTGCCATCAGTTTCATTGACCCCTTAGGGATAAATATAAATTAGCCCCTTTTAAAGTTTCACCAAGAATACAGGAATAAGTCTCATGGGGTTCTATAAAAGAGACCCTTCTATGCCAGTTTTGAAGCCTCAATATGTGTGTGGATCTGAACATTGATTATTTCTCGTCTATTTAAAGATTAGGAGTTTGCTAAGTGAATGGATCTTCTTTGTTATAAACAATTATTCTATGTAATAACACACACTTAAATTATATTTTACTCTAAAGAAAAGTGTGTAGAGGGTAGTTTTGGTTGGTTTGGTTGGTTGGTTGCTTGGTAAGAGAAGAATATCCAAAATTTCTCTAGAACATTCTTTTATCCAAACTGCTAGAGTGCTGATGACTGACTAACGCATGAATAAAGTCAGTACTCTATGTTGAAAGTCTTCCTGAAACATAAAACGGCTTTTCTGGTAAGAGGGAAGGCTGAGGGTTTCTTCTCTTTTCCTTAATTTTGTTGTTGTTGTAATTCATTATTTTTCTTGGATCATATCTCTTAGGAAAGATGTGTCTGTTTAAGTAATTGCTTACTCCTGCGCACTCCTCCAGGTTCAAGGGCAGAGCAATTCAATTGCACACCGTTTAATGCTTTGCTTCCAAATAAGCAATGTTCCCATCGGTATCCTCCTTTCTTCTGGTCTTTGCCACAAGGAGTTTTCCACACCAGAATCAGTCTCTGGATTCTTCTCTATCCGATCTCATTTGCTTCTTATTAAAACCAGAGCTCTTTTGAAAATATTTGAATAAGCACCTTTGATCCTTTCATATTTTTCAAGGATTTCTTAGTTTCTTCCCAACACTCAGCTGCCAGATTTCTGGGTGCAGCCAGTCCTACACAAAGACACTTTAAGCTGATGGCATCATCTGAATACCCAGGGAAAGGCCTTTTTGGGGACCCTCAGGAGCGTGGATGGCTAGGAGCCACAGTGGTCCTGTCCTTCATTTCTTTGGAAGTGAGTCAAGGAAGGCAGGACTTTCAGACACATGCTCCTTTCATCCTGCAGATAAAGTGTTCTCACAGAAACAATGAGCCTTAATAAAAATACAAGCAACTTCAGGATGCATGTTTTCCCTCAGTCCATGCTCTCCCAAGATCTTTCTTTCTTACTAGGCCAACTCTTCTTAACGTCATTATAATTTTCTGGCTGAACACCCTTAGGCCATAGGGCCTTTCTACCTGTACAGAAGCACTATCAAGCTCTCTGGGTGTTAGAGTGAAGATTCAGATCTACACTAAGATGTATGGGGAGATTTAAAGGTTTATCTGAGGTAGGGACTTGCATTAGAGGAGAGAGCTAAGCCTCAGGGCTTCTGGGACCAGCTTTGCTTTCAGTTGCACTGTATCTTTGAAGATACCATTGAGTATACTTTGGAATTTTAGATTCCTCATTTATAAAATGAAGGAGTTAAAGTTATCAGAAAGTTTCATCTCTCCTAAAGGGTGAATTATTATTTTACCCAGAAGAGGCTAGTACTTTTAATTTGAAAAAAAAAAAAAAGTCTAATGCAAAATAAAGCTTGGTACCATTGTTTTGGTGGCAAGGCATAGGTTTTCAAGGTTGAGCAGTTACAGGATAGATAGCCATGCTGCACTGAGTGTCATGACCACCTGCTCAGTGACCTTGGTAAGCCATCTCACTGTTTTCAGCTACAGATTCTTAATATAAACAAACAAACTAAACTGAAAAACAAAAATACAAAGCAAAACAAAAAATCACAGGGATAATAACTGTATCTCCTTTGTAGTTGAGACCATTAAGAGAAGTCATGAAATGCTTTGTTTACTTAGCTGCTGGCACAAAGCTAACCCTTACTGATTAGTGTCAATATTACTAAGGCCTGCTAGAGTTAAAAGTTTATCAAGTATGTCATTTAAACTCTCATTATTTAATTTGATCAGTTTCTTCATTGCTTTTGTAGGGATACATTTCAATGTCTTTCTCTTTGCAAGTTTGTTTTTAATATATTGTGTGTATGTGTACATCGAGACACACACATAGATATTCAACATAGTTCAGTATATACAATATCTATAAACTTCAAAGGCTAAAGTACTTTTACTATTCCATTTATCAAATATTTTTACTAAATATATCCAATGGAGTTTTTTAAGAATTCAAATCCTATTGTTAGAAACCTCTTACAAAAATGTTTATTTTTTTTGTAGGACACATGGGTTGCTTTACAAAGTAGTTCTTCAAAAGCACAAACATTTTTAAAAGCTGATTTCAAGTAGCAAACAGAAAATGTACATACTACATACCGAAGTAATCTCTTAAAATTTAATATCAGCTTTGTTACAAAATTTTGGAGTTCAGTTACTCTGTGTATTAATAAATGTAGTTGTACAATTTGACCACCATGGTTTCCATATCAATTGGTTGAATATCATAGCTTATTTGGACATAATTATGAAGTATATATGACCATATCCAATTCTAAGTTCATCTCTGCTCCATAAGCTTCTGAAGGTATTAAGAACATTGTTTCACCAAAATCTGTGCTGTATTATCATTGCAAAAACATATAATTTTACCTTTAATGTTAAATGTTTTAATTGGATTTACTATGGCATTCATAATAATGTCAGATGTTTTGCACTGTTAAGAGAATGAATTTGCAAAAGACTGACTTTGATTACATAAATTTGATGAAAAAAATGCATAGATTGGAATGAACTGATTTTTCACTTGAGGTATTTTGATGGCACTGACATAAAACTGTCAAGCCAGGAGAAGTGGCACATGCCTGTAGTACCAGCTACTCAGGTGGCTGAGGCAGGAGGATCTCTTGAGCCCGGTAGTTGGAGTCCAGCCTGGGCAATATAGAGAAAAACTGTCTCTAAAAAGAGAAAAACAAAAACAAAACTGTCCTTATTTAACTGTTAATTTCTTCTGCTCATTAAGCCATATACTAACAGCTATTGCTTTACTCTTAATTCATTTACAAAAAACAAACAAACAAACAAACAAAAAAAACCAGAAACCCGTAGAGTGAAAAATGACTGAAAGTAATTTAAAATAGCTATTTGATCTAAATGAAAAGTCATATTTCACAGACGGCTATGAAGGGTACCTTCTGTGGTTACAAATGGGACACAGTCTTTACAAACTAGTTACTCACTTTTACAGTAATGTCTGGTGCTTCTCCAGCAGATTTGTATCTTCTGGTTTTTATGTGGTCAGTATATCACTATAACCCATGATGAATGGTAAATGCCAACAAATATTTTATATACATTACATGCTTATTATTAACTTTCTTGAGCAAGCAAAATTTGCTTCTTATTTTTCAACTCAATACACTTTATTAGGCCATTCTTGCATTGCTATTATATAATATAAAGAAATATCTGAGACTGTGCAATTTATTAGAAAAGAGGTTTAATTGGCTCACAGTTCTGCAGGCTGTACAGGAAGCATGACACCAACATATGCTTCTGGGGATGCCTCAGGGAGCATTTACTCATGGTGGAAGCTGAAGTGGGAGCAGGCACTTCATATGGCAAAAGCAGGAGCAAGAAACAGAGTGAGACGGGAGGGATCACATACTTAAATGACCAGATCTCCTGAGAACTCAGAGAACTCATATACCACCAAGAGGATGGGCTAAACCACTCATGAGGGATATGTCCCCATGATCCAAACACCTCCCACAAGGCCTCACCTCCAATACTGGGGATTACGATTCAACATGAAATTTGGATGGGGGCATATTATGTTGGTACAAAAGTGAATGTGGTCTTTGCCATTACTTCCAATAGCAAAAATCGTAATTACTTTTGCACCAACCTAAATATAGTCAAGCCATATCACACACATCTACTTTTTTTCTTTCAGCTTATTGTTGCTAGAAGTATGTATGGCAAAATTGAAAAGCTTTGTCAAAAAAAATAAGTAAATAGTTGTAATTTTACACTGTACAATAAATGACAAAACAATACGAAAACTGTTTAAACTGTTCTCTTTTTGCTCCACAGGTGGGATGACTCTGTCTTTATTTCCTCCACTTATTTCACGTGTACCTGAACTATAATTTATTACATTTGTCATTCACAGTCTCCTGGTTGACTGTGAGTTGGTAACTTCATGTATCTTGCAGGCCTTGCCACTGATCACAGTATAACTGATTGGTATACCAAGCGGCCAGCAGTGATAGATTATCAAATACATCTCCCAGAACTACCTGAAACTGGAAAGAGTTAGCTGTCCCTAGCAACTTTTGTCTGAGCACACTTCATTTTGTCACCAACCTCTTTTTGAAGAAGAAATGTTAATGATTAGGAAAGGGGCAGGGAAAGAGGGATGAATTACCACTGGTGATCTTTTAGATTCGGACATTTATGAGGGTGAGAACGCTGTGTACTGAATGCATGTCGCACATGCTACTAGATGAGACCACGGCAGAAGTTGCAAGAGGAAAGGGGAGGCCTACCCAACTATTTACAGCTTGTTCTAAAGCAACAATTACACTAACATTTCATTATACAATGAAAAGTCTGAGATAGATGCTAAAATAGACAGGAAACCAGGGCAACACTCACAAACTAGTATTGTCAGGGACTTACGATCACACCACAGAGTCCTTTTAAAACTATTTGGATTTGTTCTCTATGGTTCAAGAAGAGTTACGACTTACAGAAAAAGGTCACTGAGAGATGAATTTTAAATAGCTATCATGAAGAGTTTCCCAAAATGGCATAAGCAGTGGAAAAATCACCACTGGAAATATTAAATCTGAACATGGATGTTATGGAGAGAATGACAGCTGGGCAAGGTAAATGCCAAGGATCTTTCTAAAGGTTTCATGATTTTCAATCAATGTATTGTTACAGGCAGATCTTAAAAGTGTAGAATCACAGCCCTGAGAATCTTGGAATGATTTCAGCAAATGTCAAAAAAAAAAAAAAAAAAGAAAAAGAAAAAGAAAAAATCTCTGTCTGGGTTTACGCATTCTTCCAAAGACTTTTAATGGGCTCATAGTTATTGAAAGAATTTGATAATCTTTAGAGTAGCCACAGAAAAGAATAGACTATTGACTGAAAGGGAGCTTAGGATGTCACCAAATCCAGGGTTTATTGTCAGATGCAATGCTTGGCACACAACTGATGCAAAAGAATCTTTTGGAACAATTAAGCTTTCTGAACCTCATCTATATAATGGGAATTGTAATATCTGCTGAATTCTAGACAGACCAACAATGTCCAACAGCTACTAATGGAGAGAAAAGAATGTCAGTTACTTATCTTCTTATGAGATAATATAGAAGCTGTGTAATTAGGTGAAAGATGAGTAGCTGTAAAATAAAGCCATTTTGTATACTGTGTTTAGAGATTTCCAATACTGTTGTTTGTATTCAACTTGTGATATATTACTTCTATTAATCTCCATTTCTTTGAAAGATAAACATCTTAAAATGGTCCTCCCAGTGTATGACTACATTCATATTTCTTGGCAGAGAAACTTTTATGTAAATCTTACAGGGCAACCGGTAAATGGCAGATGGTTTTAACCTGAATACTCCAATCCTTATTTTCTTCCAAAACTCTTTTTGTCTGTCTATGAAAGTCTAGGCAACGAGTAGTAGAATAAAATTATTTCTTTTTTCAAACTGAAATTACCTGTTTGGTTAAAACTGCAGCTGATGAAATATAAGGCATTATTGCCACCAATAAATTAAGCCATAGCCCATAGGAAAAACAGGTTCTAAGTTTCAATCACAGCTCTGCATTTACTAGCTTTGTGACTTTAGACTAGTTATGTAAATTCTTTCAGACCTGTTTCTCCATTTATAACATGGGAAAAATAATGATTTGCAGGGTTGTTAAGGATTAAGTGAGATAAATTATATAAAGTGTTTAGCAAGTCTGAAAATACTCCATAGTGCTGTTTCCCCCCAATTACAAGTCCTGAAAAGGCTGGGGAAATGTGCTCTGCAGAACAGAATTCAATTTCATCAATATATTCAGAGTCTGTTCTGTGCCCCAAGCACTGCTACAGACATGGTAAGAAGGAAAAGAGAATTAAAATAATTAATATAAACTGATTCTTGCCCTCCAGAAAAGGAACAGTGAATAGCTCAGTATGGTTTCTAGGTACATATATGTAGAGATAGATGAGACTGGAGTGTCCTGAGTAGGAGGCTGTGAAGCTGAGACTTTTGCCTGTACACAGGGGATAGAAGTAAATGTCAGCAATGCCATCTCAGAAAGAAAAAATTATGGTAAAAAAACAGCCAGTTAGTCTTCAGCTAACACTCTTACGGGACAAAATTACAGGTTGATAGTAGGCATGTCCCAGAATGATTTGCAGACTTCCACCATGGAGCCTGAGTGCAGGATGTAGCTAACAAGCAGTGAAGGGAGAACATCGTACAGCAGGTAACTGAGCAGGAACAAGGCAGCCCAGTGGGCCAAACACAGGATTAGTTTCACACTCCTGAGCTATCTTGGCTTGGCTGTCACATTGCTTGGGGACATGCAGGAAGCTGCTTCATTTCTAAATTTCACCATCTGTGAGATGGGGTTGTAATTTTACCGAATTCACAGGGGAGCTCAGGGGCTTACTACACTGCTTTTAAGTTAAGGTTTTGGAGAAAATTTGCTATTTTCGGAAGCAAGAGACTATAAAATAACAAAATGTATTTATATTTTTAATGTACAGTTGATTCTGATTATTGGCAGATTCTGTACTTCTGTACCTATTCACTAAAACTAATTTGTAACTGCCAAATCAATATTTGTGGCTCTTTTGTGGTCATTCACAGACACACATAGGCAAAAGTCTGAGTCTCCTGATCCACAGGTTCCCACCTGAAGTGGAATAAGATGATGTTCTGTGTATTCTTTCCATGGTCTATTTAATGCCATGTTTTCTGCATTTTTGTACTTTGTTGGTGATTTTGCTATTTGGAATGGCCTCCAATTACGGTGCTAATGTACTGTGTAGTGATCCAAAGCACAAGAAGACTCTAATGTGCCTTGCAGAGAAAGTATCCCTGTTAGATAAGCTCCATCCAGTCATGATTTGCAGTGCTTTTGGCCATGATTTCAATGTTAATAAATCAATAGCATATATTAAATAAGGTATTTTTAAACAAAAACATACATAAAACAAGGTTATTTATTGATCAATTGATCAGTTGATAAAAAAAAAAATGTGCTCAGAGGCTTGCAGAAACCTAACTCTGTATTTCCTCTAGGAGCAATGGTTCAGTATTTGCTATTCATTTAGTGTTTGAGGCTACTGTATAGAACACACTTTCTGCAAATAATGAGAGTCAACTGTAGTTATTATTGATTATCTTAAATGTTTCCCTTAGACAAATTACCTTTAGGGATGCAGGAGGGTTTATCTGTCATTTCATCCAACTCCATAATTTTACATTAGAGAAAATGAGGTGTCAAGATGGGACTTGATCTCAGGCCTCAAGAATAGACAGAGCCCTCAAGGCCATCTTTATATGATTAGACTACACTGGCTTTCCTGAGTAGACATGGGGAAAATGACTGCTTTAGAAGGTGCAGTTTCATGGGGTTAGATAAAAGAGTGATTTCCTGTTTGGCTCATGCTTCAGGCTTCATGTCCAGCAGTGTCTGTTTTTCTGGTGATGTTTAGATGCTGGAATGCATATCTCATACGTTTGTGTTTAAAAAAACAAATGCCCTTGCTCCATGTTTGTGGGTGGCACTGTGCTATGGCAAAAGACCCATATCAGGGAAATGGGATCAATATTTATAGAAAGCTTTTTTTCCTTTTAAATCACTAGTATTAGTCTAGACATGTTATTTATGCAATTAAGTTAACAAAGCTTCGTTCTTTATTATATTTTTCTCCATATTCCAAGGACAAAGTAGAAGTCAATTATCTTAAACTAAGGCAAAAGAGATTTGGTTAACACTTAGGCCAAACTAGGAGACTAAGAGAAAGATGAGTCATGGGAGAAAACGATTGTACCTAGAGACGTTGAGGAAGCATAAAGATGACCGGGTGCCCTGAATGACATCATAAACTCAACAAGCATTTGTGGATCTTCTAAGTGCAAAGCATTTTGCTTTGTGCTATAATATTCATCTTTTTAGGTCCATATTATGGTAATACTATTATAATTTCAAATTCATTCTGATTGCCAATCAATTTGGGTATGATGGGATAACAATAAATAGGCATGATTTATCCAAAATCATGATCTATGCGTTGTCTCTAATCTTTTTCTTGGTATCATCCTTTTTTTCCCCAATATATGCTTGGAAATGTCATTCCTGGAAACATAAAGAGCCAATAAACCAAATGTAGTAGCTTCTCAGTATAGAAATTCAGTGTCTAAGAATGAGAATCTAGAGTCAAGTCCTTGGGCAAGATCTAGAAGCCAGATCAACCTGATCTGTTCCTTGGCATGTGAGCATTTCTTTTGATAGCCCCAGGATAATCATTAGGTAATGTGATTGCAAGTGGAAGACAAAAAATAGCCCAAGTTTTAGGTGCACTGACAAAGTATGGGGTAAATTTAGAGCTGAGGCCTGCATTGTTTTATTACTGAGTTTTCTTCTATAATTTGTATAAATTATACAGGCATAATTTGTCAAACAGCACTAACAATCAATTGCCATTGGTACAAAGAAGTCAACAGATTTTAATCTCCTAAGAAAAATTAAAGGAGGGAATTAACACTGAGCACTTACCATGTACCTTACACTGCTCTGGACTATTCTGTATTACATTATTTAATTCTCATACAAACAGTTGAGATGGGTGCTTTTACCCCAATTTTATAGGTAAAGAAACAGAAGCAAAGAGATTATTTAACTTTCCTAAGATCACTAAGTAATGGAGCCAGCTTTCAAATCCAAGGATACCTTGATCCAAAAGCCATTCTCTTTACCGAATAACAGAGCTTCCCTCTTGTTCGTATATTTTTTGTATAATACTTGGACAGTCCGGGCATTGTCTCTCATTGTGTGATCCGCAGACCTTATGTGTCAGAATCATCTGGGATACCTATTAATGATGCAAATTCCTGGACTCCATTCCTGAAATAGGAGTCAGAATTTCAATGGGTAAGTTTCCAGAATCTGGTTTGCTAACAAGCTTCCCAAGTGCTCCTTATGCACTCGGAAGTTTGAGAGACAATGATCTGCATACTCATACACTTCAAAGAGGGTAGAATAATAGAGAATATCACAAAGCCTGCGCCAAAGATACTGATGTTTGTAGCAGGTGCTATCAATGCCCTGTGCATATCCCTGGGCCTTAACCATGTCATTCAGGCAGCGAGCTTCAGCTGTCAGTATCTTATGCATTCTCCTTGGGCTTTTCCTCCAAGACTTGGATAAAGGTCTCTTTGTATACATGGTAGACAAGCAGTACCAGAGAAATAACTACTGTACCCTCTGCCACCTGCAGTTCTTAACCAATGGCTGGTAGGAGCTGAATACTTGGGCGGAGGAGTCTGAGGCTTGTTTTCTACACCGTTTTCCAAAGATTCCCCTGTAAGATTAAGTTTCTGTTATCCACAGTGGTCGTTGTCTTAATATCTGACCTTGTGTTTGCTGCCTTCTCTTCTGTCTCACTCCTATAGTTTTTTATCAATTTTTCCAGTTTGACCCTTACATACTGCTTGCATTTGAATCTTTGTCTCTCAGTCTGCTTCTGGAGAAACCCCAAATAGGAAAATAATTAGCTAAAAACTCTCCAATTATAGCATCTTCTTCCGTGTGTTGGGCTGCCATGTTTCTTTCCTTCTTCCTTCACTGAGACAGCTGCTAACTTCTGGACTAATTTCAATCATCTGGCAGGTGTTTCTTTAGAAAACACATGCCAAATGCTGTGTTTTGTGAATCAGCACCTATGTTTTCTAAATCAGCTCTCTGGCCTCTTCTCAGCCCATCACATCCATCCATCCTTCATGATAAAGTGCAAAGAGTATAAGATTATGAATGCAGCTGAAACTGGGTTCAAATCCTGATGTTTCTGTTTACTGGTTTTGTGACCTTCACAAGTTTCTAAGCATCTCTGGGCTTCCGTGTTCTCATATGTAAAATAAGAACAAAATCTACCTCAGATACTCAGTGAGAGGATTAAGTAAAAGAACATGTGAAGGTATGTTTGTTCTCTCCCTTCCTTCCTCAGGTCTCATAAATTTTCTGAAGACTGTCATCACTCTAGTTCCTGGTGATCTATTTCTCCTTTATCTGAACTTGATGGCTTTTATTGATCATCCAATTCATGTTGATATTCATGAAAAATTAACTAACAATACCTAGCAATAACTAATATCTAATGTCCTCCCTACAACAAGATTGTAGGTCTCTTGAATGCAGCTGTGTCTTAAATTTATTTATATTCCTCTGGCCTTACATATCAAGGATATTTGATAAATTCTTTTGTTGATTTGTTAACCATCAGTGATTATTAGCAATCTCTAACTCAATTATCTATAGTTGATCTTTACACACTTCAGTCTGTATAGCTGGCACCAGCTACAGGCAGTTATAAACTCCTATGGGCCTATAGAGGGAACTTAAAACAAACATCCTATTCTCCCAATGAGGGCTTAAATTTCCAGAAAGTTCAGGACATGAGTGATGTGCAGGTTGGCAAGACATGTTTTTGCAGAACTTCTTGTCAGACATGAGGGGCATGGAAGAACTGAGTTCTGGCTGGAACCCTTCTTCAAATGGATATAGTGTTTTGGAGGAGGCAAGGAGTTTTGAGAACACGGTATTCTTTGTGCAAAAATTGTAACTTGGCTTCTCCCTACTCAACTCTATACTAGAATCTGGTCCAGTGAATATTTATTATTTACCTGCTTCCACCCATCATGCCCAATCCCTACATTATATCACCAATATTTATTACTGCATTCTGGAAGGCATCATTAAAGCTCCCTTTTATGTTGTTTCGTAAAAAACACATGTGACACCTTATTCTTTTTTGGTTAGAGTTCTTTCTGCTTCTCCTAATAAATTATCTTTGCAAAATAATTTCTATGAGTTCTATTTAAATTTCAAATGCTATTTCTTTCCTTTACAAAGTCTGGTCCATGTGCAACTTTCCAACTTTGTTTTATATTCTGTAATTTCTGGAGGCACAACCAAACCACAAGTCTCCTTTGAATATAGTGGAAACAATCAAGTATTTAAATTATCATCAGTAATAATTATTACCAGTATTATGAAAAGATGTCTTTGATCCTGCCTCCTTCAGTGTCTCCACTTAAAACTCAAGAGACTTTTAAAAATGTTACTTCTTTTCCCCACCGTTCCCTTCTCCAGGCCTTAAACATTTTTTTCTTCTTGGAACTGTGATCCTATTGCCTGACATTCAAGTTAAAATTGGAAGAAAGATCACAGTTTATAGAAGGAAGAAAGCTTAATGATCCATGTACACTTAGCCACATCCATTTCCTTTCAGAGCTTATACTGATAGGTAAAAGCATCCCTCAGTAATTAGGACAACATATATTCCTAGTCCCCAGCTTCAGAATCTTCCTGTCACAGAGCCATTACATGTGCTATATTTGATGGCTTCTGAAGTACGTCAAACCAGGCAAAGTGTGTGGACTTCTCAAGGGTTAGCCAAAATTGTCCACAGGCCATTCAGAGGTAACAAAGGATATCACCCTGCTTAAACAAAATCCAGGGAGCTTTTAATGGGAGTGGAGCAACCATAGATTTAGCACTGAGCACAACCACAAAGGCTGAGTAATATGAATAGTAGAGTTCTGAAGAAGTTGAGCCTGGTTTCAATATCACACTCTGGTCTTACAGTCCAGCAAAGAGCAATAAGTTGAAGTTTGGGAAAATGAACTACAATCTGGGGAACATATGAAGAATAATCAGGGAGTGATTTATAATACTCTTCTTGGCAATGAGGAAAGTGTTGCGTGAAGAGCAATATACAGAGGTATCTATCTTGTCCTATTGTGGTCTGTGCTTTTTTTTTTTTTTTTTTTTTTTTCATTCAGCATTTGGATACTAAACCCAGGTGTCAAGTATAATGACAGGCACCATGTTCATTTAAATGAAATTCCAGACCCTCCCTCGGTCACTTTTTGAAGTTGTCTAGGGCAAAGAACTCTTTGTCTAAATGAAGCTTGCATTACTTTTCCACCCTGTAATTATAAAGGCCTTTTTACTCCCATCCAACTGGAGTTGAGATATTCAGCCACACTGTCTTGGGAAGCATTCTTCATAAAATATAAAAATGACACATTGTTAATAAATAAAACTTCAGAAAAGATGAGATACACATTCCCTAAATGTTAAACCCTACTTTTGTGGCCACTAGAAGAAAAACATCTATATGAAACCTTGTTTTTTACCTCAATCACTAGGAAGAATCAGAGTATTTTTAATTGATGGAGGAAAGAATTTATAAAATCAAGTGATCCTTTCTCAGAAAAGAGACAGAGAATTTTAAATGCCAAAACCAAATTATCTGATCTCTTCAAAAAGATTAAATTGTTTTACTTCTGATCTTAGGGAAAATAGAATTCATACTTACTTTTTCCACTTTACAAACTTTCTGGTTATTTAATCCATTAAAGGAAAAGTTACACTTCTTTTTGTTTTTTGGTGCATGTTCTCAAGTAATTTGGTAAAATGATTAGATCCAAAAGGAAGGAGAACGAATACACATTCCCCTCAGAGAGGTTCTGGTTCTTCATAGAGATATGTGTTTACAAGTTTTTAAGGCTAGACTGGACGGAAGTCATGGACATCTGTCTTAGACATCGATTCCTGGTGCCAATAACTAATTCCTTCCCAGAAGTCTTTGTGTTTCCTCACTGTGATGGTGCTTGTGATGCTTTCAAAGAGCCATGTCTCACAATCACAGAACAATTTTCAGTTCCAACCTCAGGAATCAGCTCATCATCATCATTTTGAAAAATACAGGGTGGTTTCAATGACATTGAACAAGACCCTTGTGAGAAAATCTTCTGGATGAATTATATTCCAGTATATAAAGAGGAATTAAAGAAAGGCTGTACACCATCTATCTCAGGTGGTTTATATGAGGATTAAATTAGATAAGCTTGGCAAAATACCTGGCACATAGTAAATTCTCAACAAATATTATTGGCTTAGCCTTTTCTATGAGCTTTTGTGTCTTATCCAAAAGTTGCCAATGACATGTGATAGTCAATGTTGTTGTTTAAACCAAATTTCATATGTGAACACTGGTTTTTAATGCAAAGAAATTTGAAATATTATAACTTATTTTGTCTTATTAGTAAAGTAATATAATGTATGTTCAATATATAATGTTTGAAAAACATAGGAAAATAGAAAAAGTACATAAAAGTCACCCAGAGATACTACAGTTGACACTGTGTTGTACAGGCTTTTAGTCATCCTTAAAAAAAAATAACAAAATTAGCATCACAGTGTTCTATACTGTGCTTTTTGTACTTACCAATATACCATAAATATTTTCATGCCATTAAATATTATTATTTTTAAACAATGGCATAGTTTACTATTTTGTGAATATACTATTCATTTAATTTATCTCCTATTTTTAAACATTTAGATAATTCTCAGTTTTTCTCAATTATAAATAATAATCTGATAAGAAACTTTTGTTCATAATAAAATAAGTTTGCCCACTCTCACCACTCCTACTCACCATAGTACTGGAAGTCCTAGCTAGAGCAATCAGGCAAGAGAAAGACAGAAAAGACATCTAAATAGAAAGAGAGGAAGTCGAACAATCTCTCTTTTAAGATGATAAGATACTATATCTAGAAAACTCCAGAGTCTCTGCACGCTTCTCAATCTGATAAACAACTTCAGCAAAGTTTCAGGATAAAAAAATCAATGCATGAAAACCAGTAGCATTTCTTTCTTTCTTTCTTTCTTTTTTGAGACGGAGTTTCGCTCTTGTTGCCCAAGCTGGAGTGCAACGGCACGATCTCGGCTCACTGGAAACTCTGCCTCCCAGGTTCAAGCGATTCTCCTGTCTCAGCCTCCTGAGTAGCTGGGATTACAGGCACCCGCCACTATGCCCGGCTGATTTTTGGTATTTTTAGTAGAGATGGGCTTTCAACATGTTGGCCAGGCTGATCTCGAACCCCTGACCTCAGGTGATCTGCGTGCCTCGGCCTCCCAAAGTGCTAGGATTACAGGTGTGAGCTACCACGCCCAGCGAAAACGGGTAGCATTTCTATGCGTCAATAATGTCCAATCTGAGAGCCAAATCAAGAATGCAATCCCATTCACAATAGCCACAAAAAGAGTAAAATGCCTAGGAATACAGCCAGCCAGGGAGGTGAAAGATCTCTAAAACAAGAATTACAAAACACGGCTGAAATAAGTCAGAGATGATGCAAACAAATGAAAAAACATTCCATGCTCATGGATAGTATGAATTAATATCATTAAAATGGCCATACTGCCCCAATTTACAGATTTAATGCTATTCCTACCAAATTACCAATGACATTTTTCACAGAATTAGAAAAACCCATTCTAAAATTCACATGGAAACAAATAGAGTCCAAATAGCCAAAGCAATCCTAAGACAAAAGAACAAAGTTGGAGGCATCACACTGCCTGACTTCAAACTATACTACAAGGCTGCAGTAACTAAAACAGCATGGTACTGATACAAAAACAGACATATAGACCAATGGAAAAGCATAGAGAGCCCAGAAATAAAGCCACACATGTACAACCATCTGATTTTTGACAAAGCTGACAAAAAAATACAATGGGAAAAGGATTCCCTATTCAACAAATGGTGCTGGGAAAACTGACTAGCCATAAATGGAAGATTGAAACTGTCCCCTACCTTTCACCATACACAAAAATCAACTCAAGTTATATTAAAGGCTTAAAAGCAAAACATAAAACTATAAAGACCCTAGAAGAAAATCTAGGACATACCATTCTGGATATAGGCAAAGACTTTGCCCTGGCAAAGGCTTCATGACAAAGACTACAAAAGCAATTGAAACAAATACAAAAATTGACAAGTCAGACCTAATTAAACTAAAGAGCTTCTGCACAGTAAAAGAAGATATCAACAGAGTAAATAGACACCCCACAGAATGGGAGAAAACATTTGCAAACTATGCATCCAACAAAGGTCTGATACCCAGAATCTATAAGGAATTCAAAAAAATCAACAAGCAAAAACCAAACAATTGCATTAAAAAATGGGCTAAGGACATAAACAGACACTTCTTAAAAGAAGACATACATGTGGCTAACAAACATAAAAAAATGCTCAATATCACTAATCATTAGAGAAATGCAAATCAAAACCATAATGAGATACCATCTCACACCAGTCAGAATGGCTATTATTAAAAAGCCAAAAATAATAGATGCTGGCAAGGTGATGGAATAAGGGGAACATTTATACACTGCTGGTGGGAATGTAAATTTGTTCAGCTACTGTGAAAAACAGTCTAGATATTTCTCAAAGAACTTAAAATGGAACTACCACTAGACCCAGCAATTTCATTACTGGTTATATTACCCAAAGGAGTATAAATCATTCTACCATAAAGACACACACATGTATATTCATTGCAACACTATTCACAATAGCAAAGACATAGAATCAACCTAGATACCCATCAATGGTGAAGTGGATAAAGAAAATGTAGTACATATACACCATGGAATACTGTGCAGCTATAAAAAAATGAGATCATGTCCTTTGCATCAACATGGATGGAGCTAGAGGCCATTATCCTAAGCGAATTAATGCAGGAACAGAAAACCAAATACTGACTGTTCTCACTTTCAAGGGGGAGTGAAACATTAGATACACATAGACACAAAGAAGGGAACAATAGACACTGGGCCTATTTGAGGGTGGAAGGTGGGAGGAGGATGAGAATTGAAAAACTACCCTATCAGGTATTACGTGCATTACCTAGGTGACAAAATTATCTGTACACCAAACCCTGGCAACACTCAATTTACCCATGTAATAAACCTGCACATGTACCACTTGAACCTAAAATAAAAGTAGGAAAGAAAGCAAAAGCAAAACCTTTGTTTATAAATATTGCTGATTATTTACCTAGAATAAACCCCTCAAAGTGGCATTTGGGGTTAAAGGGTATACATACTTTCAAGTAGGTAAACTTACACGAACATACATGTATACATGTTTTGAATCACTAAAAGATCTTTAAAAAATGTTGTACCAGTTCGTATCCTACTTGCAGCATATGAAAAAGCTCATTTTCCAAGAGGAGAACATTTAAAAACCAAATAAACCTTTGGGAGGCCGAGGTGGGCAGATCACGAGGTCAGGAGATTGAGATCATCCTGGCTAACATGGTGAAATACATGGTCTCTACTAAAAATACAAAAAATTAGCCAGGTGTGGTGGCACACACCTGTAGTCCCAGATACTCGGGAGGCTGAGGCAGGAGAATTGCTTGAACCCCGGAGGCAGAGGTTGCAGTGAGCCCAGATTGTGCCACTGCATTCCAGCCTTGGCAGCAGAGCAAGACTCCGCCTCAAAAAATAAATAAATAAATAAATAGAAAGAATTCAATGCAGACAATATAAAAGTTTTAAAGCTAATCAGATAGTTTTCTTTTCCTATGACACATTTGAATGAATGGTGAAAACGCTGAAGGAAGGAAGGCCAAACAGACATCTTTTCACATATCAAATTTTGGACAAATTCTTGAGTGGAAAAAAAATAAACAGCATGTTGCAGGGTTTGCACCTGAAGAAATCTGGTAAGATATAATGGCACAAGAGATGATATGCGATTCTATGCATGCCATCACGTAGTCCTCTTCCTCCCTTTACCCACCGAAAATGACAGAACTTGGACTGCTTACAACTCTGGACATATGCGAATGATGTTCCCCACATGGCCGAAGGGAAATGGCTCAGACATGTGCATTCCTGAGGCCAGCTGAGTAGTGTGGTCTTGGTGAATTCCTTTATGTTTGAACCAAGGTAGCCATGGGGTTAGTGCTGCGTAAGGTTAATTTGGAATTGCCTTTCTCCAGGTTTAATATGCACAGTAGCTTTTAGTAGGAAAAAAAAATGGTTTCCAGGCACATTGGCCATCTTTCTGTGTTGGTTTATTACATAACCTTTATTCAAATAATATTATTATTGAAAGCTAGTTGTAGAATACAAAAATCTCTCACAAATTCATCACCTAATGATAGGGTATCATTGTTTCCTTTATGGCATTTACCTCCAGTTTTTTTTTCTTTTACATTCTTGTGTTTCTTTTGCAGAAAATCACATTGTATACATGTTTTATGTCTTGCTTTTTTACTAAATACAATATTGTAAACATTTTCGTGCCATGAAACAGTCTTTAAGAGCTTATTTAATAGGCATCTAATATTTACTTGTATTAATATGTGCTAAATTATTTAGAATCCCTCATGGTTGAACATGAAATCTGCTTCCATTATTTTATTAGTCTGACTAACACAGTGATGTACATCTTCTAGCAGAAATCTTTGCTGTTTCTGATGTTTTTCCTAAGGTATATATTTCTAGACATACGTATTTGTTATTTCTGAGAATAACAAATGATAACTAACACTGGTGCCCAAAAACTTATTTTTCTCTTATTTCATTTGCTTTCTGCTTGCGAGTTATAGAACCATCATTTCTTTACAGGTTCTATTTGTCTTTTTTGTCCATTTGTCTTAAAATAATAGGCATGATGTCAATGACCTCTCAGCTTCTATTATAGCAGATTCTTCTACCATACCTCTCCTATCTTGACTGGTCATTATCTCAAATTCTGATACCCATTTTCTGTATATAAAACTTCCCCATAGATGGGGGCTCCTTTCAGGACAGCCATCTCTCTGATCCTCAAGTTTCACCCAACTACCTTGCTGCATCCTGCTTGGAAGCTGACACTGCTTCCTGGAATGCAGGCTCTTTTCTCTCAGATCTTGTATTTGATCCCAGCTTGGTGCACCTGCTTGTAATGAAAAACCAAAGGTGTGGGTCCCCAGAGACTCCATGACTGCACTGCCTTCTAATCCTTCCCAGCACGAGACTCACACCTACATCACATTTACTTAGAAGCTGCAAAGAAAAACACCCTAAACCATATCCAGAAAGACAGTGATAGGAAAAACCATGGAATTGGTTTAAATTTACAAGTTATTACTCTTAAAAATGAAACCAAAGGAAATCAGAGCTACTGTGCACTCTAGGCCCATGTGAAGGCGGTGAGTTTTACAGAATCGAAGTTGAAATCTGGTGTTAAGAGATAGAGTTTCTATTTCAATTGACTGACTTTATGAAAGCAGTTTTATCTTCTTAGACCTCTTCCTATCCAACAGAAAACAGAAATTAATATCACCCACTCCCTCACTATTACAGTGTAACTTGTGAAAACATACAAATTCATATTCAGGGTTTTATATATCTCAGAGAAAAAGGAGTTAACAGCCATTATCCCTAGAAATTACAACTCAGATAATCTGGGGTTGCATTTGGCACTGTTTCCTAAATTTATGATGAATTATTGTTGGCATAGAAACTTCTTGATGACATGAGTCCTGTTTAAAAGTACCATCTCCTTTACAGCTTGCTATGTCCAACTAATGTATATCAAACACCTCCTGCTGCTCAGTGCTCAGATAATTGGATTTACCTGATGTTCTTCAGTTTCCATGTGAGCTTTAGCTCCCCTCCTAGGGCTACACAACATCATATCTCATTATTATTTTTAGGGTAATAAACATGGATTATTAATTCCAATACAGGTGGACATCTTTATCTCCAAGCTAAATCTTGTATGATTATAAAAACTAGCTTTGATTAAGGTCTTACAATATGCAATGAACTGTGTTAAGAGCTTTACAGGCATTATAACATAGAATCCTCACAACCACCATTTGAAATAGGCACAATTCTTTTTATAATTTTGCAGATGAAGAAATTGAAGCAGAAATGGGTGAGAAATTTGCTAGAGCTGAGACCATGCAAATGCTATAGAACTTTAGGCTCAGCTTTTTAGCATATGACAATTACTACCTTCTGAAATAAGTCATTTTAGTGTGTAGTTTTTTACTATCCAAATCAACTAAAAACTTAAAATATAGGCACCATTAATAAAAAAGCAGTGCTCAGTTCTAGGTTGTTACTGTCTTCCTTTTGTGGGAGAAATTAAGCAAGCTTGGGTTTTGTTGGGCTTGAGAGCTTTTGTTTGGCTTATATAAAATGTTGCATATTTGGTATAGAAATTACCCAGGGAGTATGACTCTTAACCTGGACATGCTGTTTGTGCTGGAGTCAGGGTTTTGAGACTGTAACCTCTCCTTTCATGTTTTGAAACTGTTCTCTTTTTCTGTGGATATTTTTTCATTCACTAGAAATGTGTTTTTTTACATTCCTCAGACCTGAAGAATGAACTCTGCCAGGTGAGTTTAATTTATTACTCTGCTGACCACATCACTATTCTGTCTTTCCTCCCTTTTATTTTTAAAGGGGTAGTGTTCTACTGAAACGTTGGTATGACATGTCTTTATAGAACAATAATCTTTTACTTTAGTGATGCTTTAAAAAATGTCCTTTAAAAACATCTAGTTGGTGTAAAAATAAATCCCAAATACCTATGTATTTAATTCATATGTTTCATGTGACTCAGGTTTTTGTTCCTCCCTTTGCTAAAATGTTCAGGTCAAAAAGATTTATATGTCAATTAAAAATTATTATTATAGTATTTTGAAAGTTTTGAGGTATTTGTTTTCTTATAGCCTTCATCAATATAACTTGTCTTAATAGAGCTTCAGGATGATAATCAGAGGCCAGAACCCAGAGTGTGCATACGTCTGTGCACATGTTGTTGATGAATCAGCTGGGGTATAACAACTCTCAGGAATTTTTCAGAGCCTAAGGAAGACCTGTGCCTAAATAGAAAGCTATTCCACCTATTCAAGGAAATAGAGTGAAGTAGGATTTGGGACAAGGAAAAGCCAAATGAGGAATTGAAGTAAAAAATTCTATGTCAGGAGCAAAACCAGGGTCATTGTAACCTGAAGTTATTAGCACTAGCTTAATAATATGCCCATTTGCTTATTTCATTCACAGATATTTGGTGCTCCTAGTAGAATGGTCTTCACACTTCAGTACCCATGGGACTTACCTGAAGAAATTGTTCAAATACAAAATTTTGGGTCACTGCCAGAGATCATGATCCATTTGCTTTGGGGAGACACTCAAGACATTTCCTTTTAACAAGCTTTCAGGACATTCTGATGCAGATGGCCCTTTGGATGCACTTTGAGAAGCAATTTTATAGCATCTCAGGCATAGGATGAAGACTCAAACAGATTTACAAACATGGAACAGACTTGTCTTATTGTTCAGAAAACTTTGAACAAATAGTGATATGTATTTTAACATTGATGATAAATAATAGCGGTAATAATAGCTACTATATGCCAGGCATTATTCTAGATTATACTCATATATTATTTCAATGAATCCTTAGAGTTAACAGTCTTACTCTCATTTTACAGTGAAAGAGACTAAGGTGCATAAAGATTAAGTAACATGTCCAAGCGCAGGAGCCCAGGCCTCGCTTACTCTCAATAGTCTCTAACCCTTGTCTCCTGTCCTATATGCTCTAACCAGGACAGTACAGTACTGGACATTGCTATATAAGACAATATATGGTAAGTGTTGAGAATAACACCTACAAGTTGGTTTAGTGGGTATGATGGAGAAGGAACTTACATTTATTGAGTGCTTACTGCATGATAGGATGCATGTATTTTTAAACACCCAGTGAGGTATAAATTATCATCCCATTTACCTTCAGTTTCCTCATATGTAAAGAGGGGATAATAAAATATCTTATCTCACAGGGTTGTTAAAGATGATTGATTAAAACAGATAATGTAATGTATCTAGCACAGTGCTTGGCTTAAGCTCTTGATAAATGTTAGGTACTATTATTTTCACTATTACTATTTTTAAATTGTTTTTAATTGACAAAATTTGTGTCTATTTATGGTGCACAATATGATGTTTTGATATATGTACACATTGTAGAATGGTTAGATCAAGCTAATTAACATATCCATGAACTCACATACTTATTTTGGGGGGTGAGAACATTTAAAATCTACAGTCTTAGCAATTTTCAAGTATGCAATATATTGTCATTATCATTACTTAAAGTTGAAAAATTTGAGGCTCAGGGAAGTTTGAGAAATTGGTTGAACTTAGCAGTTTTCAAGTATGCAATATATTGTCATTATCATTACTTACAATTGAGAAATCTGAGGCTCAGGGAAGTTGGAGAACTTGGTTGAAGTTACCCGCTAACAGGACCTGGGATCTGATCAGCCTGGCTCCTCTTCCATGCCGTGCTGCCACTCAGCCACTGGCAGAGTAGGATGCCCTGCCTTCTGGTGACCTGGGAAGGCTTCGTGGATGAGACAGCTCTAGAGTCGGGTTTGCAGAATGGGTAGAGTTTCAAGCACAGAAATAACAGTGAGGGTACTCCAATTTTTGCCTGAGCTATTTACCTCACCGAACTTATGTCTGTAATTTAACAGAGCCCAAATCTTTCAAGACTTCAGCCTTCAGAACTTCTGCCAAAACAAATTTCAGGCAGGTTAAAGAAAAATGTTTCTGGATTCCTTCAAGACACTCATGTGAAAGGTGCAGGGAAAGCTTGTGTATTTAGGGAAGAAACAGAGGCTGGACAGCAAGATTGCGGCAGCAGACCGGATGCGGTATCCTAAAGAGGCAGGCCATGGCCAGCCCCATGGGCGCTGAGTGTCAGTGTAAGCCTGCAGAAGGTCACAGCCTGGGGGATGTGGCCCCACTCCATGGGGTGGAAAGAAGGAATTTTACTGCCATGAGCCTTTCTGGAGGAAATTCAAAGGCTAAAAACGTAGCCCCTGAGCACTGGAGTTACACCCATGGAGTATAAGTCACTTATCAGTGAATCATTCCTTCAGTGCCAATACACCATGGAAGAAAGTAGGAACCCACAGAAGCTCAGTTTCTCCATCAGTAAAATCAGGGGCCACATGAGTGGGAAGGGTAAAGGCGAGGCTGCAGTCTGCTCTCCTGGCTCCCCGGCCAATGTTCTTTCCCAGCCACAACTATGTCGGCTCCAGGGTTTCTCTACAGAGGGTGGCTGGCAGACAGCCCCTCCACAGTCCTGACCCCAAGGAGCTCTGGAAGGAAGAGGGAGTTAGAAAATTTCCTTTTCTGTCTCTTTAGAAACCCCACTTACATTAGATCCCTCTATGGAAAAATTTCTTTGATTTTGTCTTCAGTCTGATGGCTTTTTAATTTAACCAGTACCTTCATTTATTCATCCATTCAACAAGTATCTGTGAAGCACTTGTTGTGTGCCAGGCACTGCTCTAGTTTCTTTGGAGACAATGATGAAGAAAGGAGACAGCAATCTCTACCTGCATTGGGCTTATATTCTAGGAGATGGAAAGAGATGATCTGTAAATAAGACAAATGTCTGAAAAATATGGTACATTGGAGGCAATGAGTGCAAAGAAAAAAATAAAGAGGAACAGAGGTAGAAAGTTGGTGGACAGGGGAGGCTAAACAAGGGATGGGTAGCCAGTGAAGGCCTCCCTAAAAAGTGTCACCTAGGAAAAGCCCACACAGATACCTGGCGAGAGTATTCCAGGCAAAGCGGCAAAGCAAAGGCCGGAGTAGGAGTGTACTTGGAATGGTAGAGAAACAAAGGCTGGAGTGACCAAGAGGAAGCACACTGGGAGGAAGTGAGAGATGAGGTCCAGAAGGGAGCAAGGAGAGTGCAGATTGTGGCTTCTCTCTACCTGAGAGGGGATGACTGTGGGGAGTTTTGAGCAGAAGAGAAATGTGATGTGCCTTGAGTTTTATCACAATCACTTTGATTATTGTGCAGAGAAGGGAACAATGGTCAGAGCAGGAGCCCAGCTAGGAGGCCATTGTTATTCCCCAGAATTATTGAATTGATTATGCCTAGCTGGTAGTTGGTATTTCCTGTCATTTTTGAGGTCTTCTAAATGCCAAGTGTGATTCTATAGCGTCTCTTTCCTGGGCTCTATAACTTTTTCTCCCTCGGCATAACATGCATGAAACAAACCTCACTATTTATTCCTGCTGCTGGATATCCCTGCTGATTCTGAACAATGACAGCCCTGACACAAAGAACTGCAGATGATGTTGAGTTGAGAGAGTGGGAAGTACCTCATACTGGCTCTTCAACACCTGCTCCAGTCCCCTTTGCATGTGTCTTCCTGTACTTCAGAGACTGGAAAAGCAGAAAGGAGAATGATGCTTTCCAGGTCTCCTGGTAGCTCCAGTTTCTAGGGGGATTTGATTTCCTCCATGCACACACACTGCTGCAAGACTTGGAGGCAGAAGAGAGCACAGGGAGGGGGTGGTCAAGTAGAGAAAGGCGAGATTCTCTGGAAAGGATGGTGTCAAGGAGGAGGAGCCTGGATTCTTTAAGAGGAGCTGACATTCTCCTGTCACAAGTGCCAAGTGGTGAGCAACCAGGCCATGACAGAGGGATGTGCCTCAGAACATCATTTCCCCTGGATGCTGTCCTTGGCCAGTACTCCCCAGCTTGGTAAGTTCCATGGACCATTTAGAAATTCTGTATATTTCCAACAGCCTCTAATAAACCCTGTTTGACTCAATGAGTCTAAGATGGCTGTAGAAGATTCTGCAGTCTAACCTTAGTTTTAGACTTCAGGAAGGACAGGGAAGCAAAGGGGATTTCATCAGTGTTCTGTCCACCTTCTAAGGAGACTTCCTGGAAGCCTCCCACAGAATTTCACTTACATCTTGCTAGCCATAGAAACTTAGTTACATGGCCACACCTAGGTGCAAGGAGGCTGGGAAATGTAGAAGTTTAGCTGGACACCTTTTCATCTCAATAAATAAAGGTTTTCTGTAGTAAAGAAGTACTTCTTTCTCTTAGTAAAGAAAAGGGAAATAGATATTGGGTAGGCAGTTTGCAGTCTCTGCCACAAAGGATACACATTATTTTAGGGTCTTGATACATATTGCTAAATTGCTTTTTTTTAGAAATGTTTACACTCTCATCATCATCAAAAATGAAAAATAAAACATGGGGAAAAATTAAGTGTACATATCCAAATGTTTGTTATAGCCAAAAACGTGTCTCTTCATATCAACAAAACAAATATTCAAGTGCCTAAAATGTGCCAGGTTTAGTCCTAGAAAGTGGGAAGAAAGCATGAAACAAAACAGGCAAAGAGCCCTGTCCTCAAGAGAATATGGTTGCAAAATTTGCCACTTAAGGACTGTGTTTTCATAAGCCCAACCACCAGATTGGCTGGTTAAATATTGATTGTTGGCAAAAATTGTGATTTGGGTTTTGTAATGGTGATCTAAAGCCTTCCTTTTGACATAGATTGTTTGAATGTAGAATTCATAGTCTGTTGAGGGTGCTAATTTGTGGCAATGAAGTTTAGTAGTAAAGTTCCAGAATATAGATCTTACTATTCTCCAAGGTGTTCAGTGGTGAAACTGTCTCATCTAAGAAAGTGATCCTGTAAAAAAGGTTAAAAGTTGGGGTAGGGGGGTGTGCAGGTAGAGGACAAGAGCCAGCAAGTCTAAAAACACAGAAAATGAGAGCGTGTGAAGGGAGCTGTGAGTAGCGCCTGATCAAGCAGATGCCAAGTGAAAGGGTGACAGTGGCAGCAGATGAATCACAGTAAGGAGTGGGCCAGATCATGATACTGTATTAAAGAATTACAATTTTATTCTTCTGGTAAAAGGAATCATTAAAAACTGCAGAGCAGGATGTGATGTTATCAAAGTAAATAAAAGGATAGAGGCAAAGTTATTAGCATGGCGCCTGGCACCTAGTAAGCCCAGATAAAATGTTAGCTGTAATGATAATTATTATTCCTTGATTACAAGCATCACTCTGGTAGCAGTGCGGAGGATGGGTGCGGGACGGGGAGATTAATTAAGAGGATTTGGACAGTTGACAACGTGAAAAGAAGAAGATAGAGAAAAGAGACATTCAGGAGAAAAACAACAAGACTTACTGGAAGATGAGGTTGAAAAGAAGAATGTAGGGTGCCAACGTGGGTGCCTAGGTATGTGATGGACCCATTCACTGATAAAAGATGTGGGCAAGGGAATGTTTTTGTAGGGAAATGATGAGGTGCCTTTAGCACATCCAGATAATCATGTCCTCTTGCATCTCAATTTTCTATTCCAATCCAAAACATTGATATTACACCATTTCAAGGGACCTGCTGCTTCCATTCAAAGGGTGACAAAGACTTCAAATGCTTTGGCTGGACTCACGATCTCTGTTAGAACCAAATGAGGAACAAGATCACCTGTCATCCTACTGTTCTCTTGCAACCTGGGAATTATTTCTTCCAGGCTTTCAAGCCTGTTAGCTCATGTGCAGGAGGAAGCAGAACATTTACTCAGGCTCCTTGCAAGGCTGGTTGCCACATGAAGATGCTCACCAAAACCAAATTTATGCTTTTATTTTTTCCGCTTATCTTGTCAGGAGTGGGAGCTGAGAGAGGGGAACTGCAGTAAGGCTGTTCTCTTGCCTCAGTGGCAGAGAGCAAGGAGGGCCTCAAGGAGCTCTGCTTGCCCACCTGGACCATTTAAATTAAGAGACGAGCAAGATGCCAAGTGCACAAGGGCAGACTGCCTGTGCAATGAGCTCACAGAAAGGTTGTCTGGCAGGGGCAGCTTCTTTGAGGAATAAAATCCTTGTAATTCACTTCCCTTCACTAAAACACAGAACTTCCACATGTAAGAGCTGGGTGTCTTTGTAAAAGCAGGGGGAATTTATAAATTAGACATTATTAAATTGTGTTTTACTTGCAGCTCATTTATTTTTAGGCCTAGCATAATTGCTTTCAGACCTCGGGCTTGCTGCAGTGGTGATTTTGTCCAGCTCTGCAAGATGACCTGGAGACTCAACTCCAGGCACAGGGATAACAGTCCCCTGCTTCCTACACTCTAGAGGGTCAAAAGCAAAGCCCAGACCAAAGACAAGGGAGATGAGTTTTTGGTTCTACTCCTCAATCACCCAAGCTACTTGATTATGTTAAACCAAATCCAATCCCCTTTCTCTGCCCTCATACTCAGGTAACAGCTTTTAGTGTCCTTCTTTAGAAATATCAGTGTGTTATATAGAGTAATGGAGTCAGATCTGGATTGGGATCTCATTTGTACTCCTTGGTTGCTTCAAGTTAACTTAGTGCAAGTTAACTTAATCCTTCTGAGCCTTCAATTCCTTCACATGTAAAATGGGGCTAATAGTAGGACTGATCTAACGGGGTTGTTGTAAGACTGGCTAATATAACACAATGCATATGAAGATCTCAGCACACTGCTTGGTATTCTATAAATGGTAGACATGGTTAGATAGATGGATAGATCAAAAGTGTATGTTCAATATGGTCAGTGCATGCAGGCCAAGCTATGTAAGTTTCCAGTAACAAATAACCAAGTCCTGTCTAAAGATTTTTAATCAGAGCCAATATTCCAGATGAAGCAATCACTTTTGACTACCTACAGTCTTTCTGTGGGGAGAAACAAGATGTAATATTTTTAGAGCAGGTCCCACTAGTTAGTTTTAAATTATGTAAAATCTGCTGGGGTTCATCAAGCAAATTAATCCTTTCATTCTGGGGTCTTTTCTCCAGCAGTGACAGTTAAAATTTTGTAAAACTAACAAACAAACAAACAAAACAACAACACTGACAACTGCTTCTTTTCTTCCAGAACCCTTCCTGCTCATGGGTTAATTCCTCTTTATTCCCTGAAGAGGTAAAAACTTTAGAAACTAACACAAGGGATTCCATTACCATTTTTTATTAGTCATTTATCTACTGTTCCCATGTTACTATACTAGAAGAACTGTAACCACCCAAACACCATCTAAAAACACATAAACATAATTTGCAAGAAATTTTCTGACAGGTCCCCTTGGGCCTATTTGATATAAGCTTAGTAACAGAATGCATTTTAAGTCAGTACATTTTTCTGGCTAAAATTACCCATTGGTTCCATATTTATGTAAGAATGTGTTCATGCTCTCCTGGGGCTGGACTTCATCCTCCATACTCCCCCTGGGGTGTAGCTCTATAATGAACCAGTGGTTTTGATGACTTCCCGAAGTTCTCTCTCCTAGAACACATGATCTGGAAAGACTAAAACAGAGGCCAAAGGAATGCCTTGAGAACACTATTAATTTAGATGCTATGTCTTTAAGGAGTTGGGAGAAGCAGTATCAGGAGAGTTTAGCAGACCTGGGAACAAATAGAAGTTAATTCCTCTTTCGGTGTGCAAATGATGTTCTTCAGACTTACAGAGCCTGTCACACACAGCAAGCCTCCTGCCTTTCCCCTTTCCTGATCATCTCTCACTCAAAAACTAAATGTGCCCTTCTAAAACACAGCTATGTTTGAATAAGAGCTCTACATTAAACTCTTTAGACTTTGTAATGAAGGCACTAGCCTGGCACATATGCCCTTAACTTTGTGCCTTTCCAGCTTTGTCTATCACCGTCGCTGTCATATCCTCCACTTCAAACACGCAAAACTCATCCTTCCCCAAATTCACCATGATTTGCTCTCTCCAACATCTTTGTGTTGGCTGCTTCTTTTGCCTGGTGAAATCGCACCCATTAGTCAAAGCCCAGCTTAAATATAGTCTCCTAAGGGAAGGATTCCCAGTGCCTAAAACTGACATAGTCACTTTCTCCCCTGTGATCCTGGCACTTTGTAACAGGCCTCTACTGCAGCACAGTACACACTAGTTTGCAATTAATTTTTATTTGTCCCTCTCCCCTATTATATCGTGATATTTTCAAAGGATAAGAAACATGTTTTATGAATTTCATGTGCCCCAGTGTTTCAAAAGTAGTGAGTGAATTAAAGAATGAATGAATGAACCAACCCAGCACATGGGTCCAATGATAGATGGGAAAGAAGATGAGATATTAAGCAGGGACCCACCCTTTGCTTCCACATTGTCTGGACTAACCTACTGACTCAGTTTGTGAGAGTTTTCTGGGAGATGATACAAACAGACCCCCATGGAAAGACTCCCTGCTTACAGAAATGCAAGGGGGCCTTCATAGGATGAAAGAGCTTCTTAAGTTTTCTGTCATTAAAATTTACCAAAGAGAGGGCAGCATCAAAAAGTGCTATCAGTAAGAATAGAGGGGGACCATGCAAGAGAAAATTGGGTGCAAAGTTTCCTTTGCAGAAAAAGTACAGCTCTATGGGCTGGGAAATTCTTCCACTTAAGAGTCATATGCTCTGGAATGTGCAAGGGGAAACAGTCTCAGTAGGGTCTTGACTCAGCAAGGCCTGGAATTGATGCTTGGGCTGTTCTGCAAGGTCCTAGGGCATTTAGATTCACAGCGGCCTGAGCCCAGTTGCACACGCCGGCATGTATCAGTACAAGCTTTAAATCAGAACCACCCGTTACACCTCCTCCTCTCTCTCTGGCTCTGAGCCCTACCCTCAAAACCCCCTCCCTCCCTTCACTGCAGGCTCATTAAGGCCTTTCCCAGTGCAGAGACACTGCATTTGGGGGACTGTTGGAGTGTTTGATATTTTCCACTCTGCGTGTCAAGGGCATTTACAGTCGGCGTCAGAATGTTATGTCGGTCTGAGGAGGCACTTTGAAGTGTTTGTGGTAGAGGCCACATGTGCAAGCAAGATGTGCCTCCTCCCGATCCCTGGATCCCTGAGGTTCCTGCTCAGCTCTTTCCCAGAATCATGTGACAATGAACAACACCACTTAACCCTTTGCTTCGTAGTGTAGTAGCTGGTTATTATTACCCTTATTATTATTATTCATTATTTTGAAAAAGTACTTCATCCTCTTTCTACATCTTGGCTTTGGAGATGGTTTGGTGGCCTCTCCTTGCCTTCCAATCACTACTTCTTGGACCCTTTTTGTGGCTGTTACTGCTAACACTCTTACATAAATGCATATGTAGAAATATATTTCCAAATAGTACACACAAAGCAAATGCATATATCGTAATACTGTACAGATGGTGAAAGCAATGGGGTTCTTGACACTTTCATACCATTTCATAGTTCATTCCAAAAGCCAGCAGGCTGGCCAATCATCCCCTTCACCAATCCCAGAGTCTCTGATGCTCAGCCATCATCAACACAAGAAGCCCCCAAATGGCATCACTGTTTTTCCCATTTACTAAATGGTCATTCACAGGTAGTCTCTCCAATGTCACTCGGCCTATTCCGTGAAAATCTGGGGTCCTGAAACTCTGAGCTAAAATTTGAAGAAGAAAAAATATGAGACTTTCAGAGGAAATGTTATCAGCCAACCTGAGTCTCTTACTTGCTACATGGTTTGGCTCATGCAATGGAGTAGGGCTTAAGTTGATAACCTTCAAATCTCCTCTCAGCTTAAAGAGGTTCACTAATGCTCAGCTCTCAAATAGTCTGGAAAGGAAAGTCTTGGACATGGTAGAGTGGGCTGGGGTGGAGGCACATGGCTTCTCTCAGAGACAATGGGCATCAGTCTCTCCGGAGATCAGTTTATATTAACAAAGCACCAAGCAATACGGTGGAAACAAGACAGTTTTTTTTGTTTTTGTTTTTTTTTTGAGATGAGTTTTGCTCTTGTTGTCCAGGCTGGAGTGCAATGGCACAATCTCGGCTCATTGCAACCTCTGCCTCCAGGGCTCAAGCAATTCTCCTACCTCGGCCTCCAGAGTAGCTGGGATTACAGGCACACGCCACCACACCTGGCTATTTTTTGTATTTTTAATAGAGACGGGGTTTCACCATGTTGACCACGCTAGTCTTGAACTCCTGACTTCAGGTGATCCACCCACCTCAGCCTCTCAAAGTTCTGGGATTACAGGCATGAGCCACCACACCCGGCCAACAAGCAGTTTTTAATGAACATAAGTCACTTTCAGGCATTAAAAGATCAAGACCCTTTGGCAAAGTTGCCTTGGGCTCAACTCCATTATTTAGAATGATTTCTGGAGATATTTACTAAATATGGGATTATCCCCTGCAATAACAGCTATACTTCTTTATTTTGATTTAGGGGTCTGAAGAAAGAAAAGAGATGTGCTTTAACATTAGACTATCAAAATACTAATAATAGTTACTGTGACACAGACAATAATGTGCTAAGTAAAGCATTACCTTATTTAAGGCTCATAATAACCCTATGAGGTGAGCATTGTTCTCTGTATCTGAACCTCATGGAAGTTAATGGCATGCCCAAGGTGGTATTAGAAAATGGAGGGTCTAGGACATGGACTCAAAACTTTCTGACAGTTGGTGGGCCTTTGCCTGCTAGTCTGTATTATTTCCCCAAATAGTTAACCTTGTCTTTATTATTATGTTGTCCTAACAGTGACTCTAATTTATCGTCCTAACATTGACTTTAATATCTGCATTACTTATGTCCATGACACAGTTCTGCTTATTCAAGGTCAGGGTCAGTGACCTTTTCATCTCCTAAGACAACTCCTAGCATACTGCCTTCCCTGGCCTCACATGTTCCCCAGCTCTGAGTCAGGGGTGTTTCATCAATATCTGTTGAATGAAGGAATGAGTGAATGGCATGTAACAAGCCTGGGAAAGGTGCTGGAGCCTAAGGCAACAACATCTCTCAATTTCTGTAATGGAAGTCTGCCCTGGGACTCCCCCAACACAAACAGGACACTTTCCCAAAGCAGCCAGGGGATTCAAATCCTTTAATGCTGGGAATCCAGAAATCCTCCCCTGACAGCATAAACTTGCAGGCTTCTTGCACCTCTTTCTTCCAGTGCCACAGACTCTGAGCTTTATTGGCCTGCCAACAATTAGGCACACACACACACAAAAAAATGGATCAAAGAGGAGGACATTGGCTTACATAGTTTGTCAGAATAACTTTGCTGTTTGTATTTGCTATGCACAGTGTCAATTCTCTTCTACAAAATAGGGCATTTGCACCCCAGTAAAGAGCCTCACTGAGAAGAGCGACAAAAGGGAGAGAGTTAATAGTGCTCTGTTGCAAAGCTGTCTTATCTTGTAAGCTGTTCCCAGGAGGGCTGCTAGCATGGGATCAGAGGGGTATACCGTGTGTTTTTTTTGGGGGGGGAGGGGGTTGCTTTCTTTTTTTTTTTTTTTTTTACACATTGGTTGGAATGAGAAACCTTTCCAGTAACTGTGTTCTGGAAAGAAAATATTTGATATGGAATAGTGTCCATGACATGTGATCCCTAAAAAGCCCACTTGGACCAGTGCTTGAACCATGTTTTCAATCAAGAATTGCTACCTTCAGTACCTCCTGGCTTTCAACAGTGGAGACCCTGACCCAATAATTTCCTAAAAAGGCTTCTCCCTTTATATGGGTCTCTCTTCTTAGCAGAGCTTATTTATTTTGTTTCCAATGTACCAGAAAAGAGATATGTTTTTCTGTTGCTGAATGGATTAATCCAAGTATTTTTATTTGTCTTAGAGCAGAGTTGGCAGCTGGTTCTCACAGGAGAGGGGATTGGCAGCTAAATCAATTTTAAATTAGGCATTTGTCATGATTTAGCCTACTCATAAACCTTTAAAAAATCCCAAAACTTAAAGGTCAAAACTAACAGAACTAAGATCTGCCTGTTTTTTTGAATTAATAAAAAGAGTTGGTGGTTCTTTGCCTGCTAACCTGTATTACTACCCAAAATAGTTAACCTTTTCTTTATTATTTTATTATGCTACATTTTCCTCTACACTTTTAAATTTTATTTATGTTGTCTCTTTCTTCCCTTGTTTCATATTTTCCCTTGCTCACTGACTCATATCTTTCACTTTCTACACCCTCTGTTTTTTGCTCACTCGATATTGTGTGTTCCAGATTAGCAGTAGGGTGGGAAGCCAGTGGAAGATAATGCACTTTGGAAAGGAGAGTGTTATTTCTAATCTCTATCTGTAGCATTGTTCACTTCTGTATTAGTCTATTTTGTTTTGCTATAATAGAATATCTGAGATTGGATAATTTGTAAGGAAAAGAGGTCTATTTAGCTCCCTGTTCTGCAGGCTGGCAAGTTCAAGACTGATCAGCTACATCTGGTGGCTTCTAATGAGAGCCTCATGCTGCATCATAGCATGGTGGAGAAGTGAAAGGGGAAACAAGCATGTGAAAGAGAACAAACAGGAGAGGCAGCCTGGCCAAATAACAGCCCATTCTCAAGGGAGCTACTCCATTCCCATGAGAACTAACCCGGTCTCAAAATAAAGACATTAATCCAACTTAAGGACCTAATTACCTCTTAAAGGCATCACCTCCCAACACCATGACATTGGGGGCCAAGCCTCAACATGACATTTGGTGAGGACACATCATATTCACACTGTAGCAATGTCCATATAAGAAATTCCTCAGCAGCCTCCACCTGAGCACTAGCCTTTCTGTTGCTATTGCTTTCCTTCTTTATTTTCATTGTTTTCTTCTTTTTTTCTCTTTTCTCCTCTTCTATTTTCTCTGCTTCTATTCCAGAGGAAATAAAAATAACGATTATTTATTGATTACTGAACATAGGCTAACTATAATATTGCACACTTTTAAATTATGTCATTTAATAATAACTAGAATCCTAAAAGTTAAGTGATTCTCTTACCATTTTATAGATAACGAATCAATGCCTTGCCCAAGCCAGTGAGAAAATGGAATAAGGACCACACCCCAGCTTGCCCCAGTACATGTTGCCTTTAGAGGTGAGTTCATTCTCCATTTTTCTGCTGACTTCAGGCCTGAAGGTTCCAGTTGCCATAAGGGTGCTGGGTGCAGGCCCTTTCATTTAAGATCTAGATTCCTGGGGCTTGAGACGTTGACATTTAGGCTCAAGTTTCCTTTAGGTATGTTTTCAGCAAGGATATCCCAAGGCTAATGGGAGTGTAAGAGGAAGAAGGAGTCCTTTGGTTTTCTTTTATCAATTGTTATTCATTTAGATAATTTTTATTTTTTAAATAGAAGAAATAAGATCTAGTGTTTGGTAGCATAATAAGGTGACTATAGTTAAAAACAAATTATTTGTATATTTCAAAATAACTAGAAAAGTGGAATTGGAATGGTCCTAACACACAAAAAATGTAAATGCCTGAGGTGATGGATCAGTTACCCTGATTTGATCATTACATATGGTATGCTTGTATCAATGATTCACATATACCCCATAAATATGTACAACTATTATGTACATACAGAAGTACAACTATTATATACATAACAATAAAAATTTTTAAAAACACCCCAAAAATGAAGTTTGCATTTATCACATCATTTTAATTTTGCATTAGGGTGTAACTCACTAAAAATGAAAATAAAAATACTTTTCAGTAGGAAAACACATTAATTTTAAAAAAAGCCTAGTATAAAACATAAGCATTGTGATTATCATTGAAAACCATTTGATTGCCACAAATTCAAATGAAGTAGTGAATAAAAACCAAGTAGCATTTTATACCTTAAATAAATGAAAATAGGACCATTTCAAGTTTAAAGGCAATAGGTCAAACATTGCAGAAGATGACAAGAGTTAAATCTTAGGTCTAGGAAATGGTTCAAGAACCTCTCTTCTTTTCACCATGAGAGCTTCAGAGAGAGACAAAAGACATCTAAACAAAGAACTATCTACTCAACCTCCTTTTAGAAAAGTTGCATTGATGATAGCTTTACTTGTAAAGATTTGGTGATGACTTTGCCTGTTATAATATGATATTCTGCAAAAATTAGATGGTATTGAGTTTCCTTCCTAGCTTGAAGCAAGTTATGCTTATTGATTTCAGTATCGATAAGCAGACTTAAATTGGAGAATGAATATTCCAGTGACCTAATTGAATCTCAGATATTATTCATTTTTGTCTTTTATTAGTTTGGTGGGCCAACTGAATGTGAGTAAAATAATGATAAATTTATTTTATAAACAAGGAAATATTCATTTGTATATCTTAACTTGGCTCTGAACCTTTTTGCTACTTCCACCAAAGTCAGCTAAATCAAGGATGGTTCATTTGAAGAGGTTCCATTTGACGCAATATATATTTATCTGTGACCCATATCTCATCCCGTGAGAATTCCCCCATTTGGGGGAAATGCATATTTCCTGCTCCTGGTGTTTCCTCTTACGTAAAGGGTATGCATTAATGCAACACTTGTGGCCTCTCTCCATCTTTTGGCTCACTCCTGGAAGGGTGGCGGTAGAGAGGGCAGGAAGTAGTAACTCAGTTGATTGGTGCTCTTGAGAAGAATTGGAGATGCTTAGCCCTGTCTCTTCCTTTCTCCTTCTCAGAAGAGCAATGTTCACAGGGTACATGTATTCATCTCTTTATCTCTGGGAACTGGCTTTGTTCCTGCAGAATAGGAAAACTGGTCCCAGTCCAGTGCTGCAAATGAATATGTTGGTACAGTTTTAGGGTCAAGACCAACTATCTAATTTTCAGAGCTCCAGTGAAAGGTGAAAATGTGACTTCCTTTGTTTAAAGATCAGGAAAAATATGCCATTAAAGGAAGACATGAAGCTTTTCCTTTTTTCCACTTTCACTCTCAACTTGTCTTGGTGCTTTTTGTTTGCTACTCATTGTCATTCTAAGTAAACTGAAAATTTTAAATAATTACTACTATGATTTTTTCATTCATCTTCATATTCTGCAATAATAGTTTTAAGCAAAAATATCAGAGCATTTAACTCCTATGCAAAACCACAAAAATTCTCAATTTGTTTTTATTGGCTTTTTCTTAGAGGGTGCCTCAAGCTGGCCAGGTGAGCTAAACATTCCAACTAGCAATAGAGAATGCTAGCAAACTAGAAATAAAGGACATTTTCTCAACCTGATAAAGGTCATCTATTAAAAAAACAACAACACAACTAACATCATTCTCAGTGGTGAAAGACTTAATGTTTTGCCCTTAAGATCAGAAAATAAGCAAAGAATGGCTTCTCTCACCACTCCTTTCAACATTGTAATGGGGGTTTTAGCCAAGAGAATTGGGCAATAAAACAAAATAAAAGCCAACCAGACTGGAAAGAAAGAAGTAAAAACATCTCTATTTGCAGATTACATGGCCTTGTATGTAGACAATCCTAAGGAATTCACCAAAAAACAATTAGAACTAATAAATGAGTTCAGCACGGTTTCAGGATATACAAAACAATCATATTTCTATTCAGTAGCAATGAACAAATGGATATGAAATTAAGATAACATTATCTTTGCAATAGGATACAAAAGAATAAAATATTTAAGAATAAATTTAACAACAAAGTGCATGACTTGTACACTGTACATGGAAAACTATAAAGCATGGTTGAAATAACTTGGAGATAGAGTAAGTAGGAAAACAGCAACAGCTTAGGTCTAATGTCTCCCCTTCTCACCAGTCACTGGATTGATACACGAGGCCTTAGACGGGGGTGAAGCCTGAGAAAATTGATCCAAGAATCTCCCCTTTCTACAAACCCACAGCCCTATCTCACAGCAGATGGGTTACTCCCAAAAATCTTTAAACCTCCACAATGGGTCATGTTCAGTGTTTTGATTGGAGTGGTGGAATGATGGAGAGGGATTTGAGAGGTTCGCCCCTCCTGAAATGTGGCCTCCTGCTGGTCACCCACCATGCACCCAAGCTGCTGCCAGCTCAGGGTGGGAACAGCCACTGCCAAGCCTCTTCAAAAGATGCCATGGATATAGGCACTCACTCTTGATTCTTCCCAAGCTCACATCTAGGCCCCTGCCTGGGTAGAGGGTGGCAGTGGTTATAGAGTGAGGAAGGAGAAGACAGGTGGGCGGGGGCTTGGGAGCAGTCAGCTGAGAACTCATTCTGGCAAGGAGGCAGGAGTAAAGGCTGGGTATGAGACAAGGCTCCAAGCCCCAGAGCATGGTTCTTTGTCACATTGAACTTCACTTGCAAAACACAAATTCAAAGATAAAATTGTTAAGAATTTTAACAATGTGACCACAGAACATTTAATCCCAACTGTGGGACTTTTAGCATGGGGCCCCATGCCACCTGAAGGCATGTCCACAAAGCCAACTCTGTCTATGTTTCAATACTAGGAAGTTCACTTGCCCATCAATTTAAGTTACTACTTTAATATTGGCTTTACCATTAATGGAGGTGATAGTTTGGCCCCCATTTGATCTGCCACTTTGTTTTATTTCTCAATTGGTTCAGATTTCTGGCAGAGATGGGGACTCCTCAAAGATTCTAACTTCACCTACCCAATTTTTGCTTCTTGAAGGAAATCCAGAGAAAGCAACAATTAGGTCGTATATATCTCGAGGTCATGTTATATGCTTATAAGAGGTAGTATTAACTAGTAGTTAAAAACAAGGGCTTTGGAATCAAACCAAATTTGGTTTCAACTTCAAGTTCTATCCCTTTTAGTTAATGCTTCCTGGCAAATTATCTCCCTTCCTTTGCCGCATATATAAAATGTACATGACAGTAGTACTTACTTCTAAGTATTGTTGTGAAGATTAATGAGATAATGTAAGCAAAGCATTTGGCATACACAAGCAATCAGCAGTGATTGTTTTATTATGCAATCAACTTAATGTAAACTGTATTCTAGCCAGATTGAAGGTCTTTTAAGACATACTGTTTAATAAAAACCACAGAAGGGTAATATTGACATGTAAGGGAAAGACTTCCAAAACATTTAATGTCACTAAATAATCAATACTTTGGATGTTCTCCAAGTCCCTGGGCAGCTCTCTAAATATTCAAGATGAAGCATCATGAAACAGAAAGTGCCTACCTGCAGTTATAAGTGTAACTAAATTCAGTCATTAAAGACAATTTTAAAGATGTTCAAGTCCACTTATGTTTAAAATTCTATCCAATTCTATAAAATAGACTAACATTTTAAAAGTTTAAATGGCAATGATTTTTGCTAATGAGTTTATTTTCTTTCTTGTTTTTCTTTGTTTAAGCTGTCATCTAGAAGACCCAACTATTCCCAAAGAATTGTTTCCTCTGGTTCTTCCCAGGAAGCTAAGAAATATGTGTTTTAAGGGAAGTATTATTATGTAGTGATATTGTAGTACAGTGGGCTCTGAGGGCAGCATAGTCTGATACCAAGCCCAGCACTACCTCCTAGTTTTCCTGTGATATTAGGCAACTTCTTCAATGTTTCTGAACTTTATTTTCCTCATTCATAAAATGAAATTCATAACAATAACTCACAGAGTGAAGAGTAAATGAAATTATGTATATGTAGATATATCATTATGTATAGTATTATAAATATTTATGTAGTTTCATATATACACACATATACTATTATTACTATTCCACTGCTTGTTTTCACTAATGTCTCGAGGTTTCTATGTGCTTTAAAGAAACTGATTCCTACTAACACAAAATTTTGCCCAAAATATGTACATTGTTGGAACAATAAGATTTGCAAAGTTGCTATCAAACTACCCAGGGATTTGTCATTCAACTGAGAACTTATATTGGAGGAGCCAGGGTATCAAATCTTTGCACTGATTCTCTTGAGAGTTAACAGTGCCTTTTATGGTCAGGGAAACAAAATTTAAACATGGTCATTTTCCTATTGTTCTTAAAATTGTGATAGTATTTAAAAATTTTACCAAGCAAAAATGTAGCTACTACCTCAAGAAATAATGAAAATAACTACCATATGTTGTGCAGTTTTAATGTCTGACACCATACTGTGCTCTATACACATTTAAAATGACCCTATAAGAAAATGTTACAATTTCCGTTATGAAGGCGATAAAATGGAGTTTTATTGTGGTTACAGAAACTGACGAAGTTTTCATGCCTGATAAGTGGTAGAATTCAGATTTGAACACAGTTGTGTCTGCTTCCAAAGCATGCTGTCTACCCAAGCAACAATTCTGTAAGTAAATTTATTTCAGTTGTGATCTTCTGGCTTCCAGAATTTTCCACTGTTACATCAGAATCCTTCTTAGTATTTGAGGTGTGTAAAATATGTTAATTAACAGAGGTCAGCAAAACTTATATTTTAAAAAACTTTAGCCAGGTGCAGTGGCTCACGCCTGTAATGCCAGCACTTTGGGAGGCCGAGGCAGGTGGATCATTTGAGGTCAGGAGTTCAGGAAAAGCCTGGCCAATGTGGTGAAACCCCCTCTGTACTAGAAATACAAAAATTAGTCAGGCGGTAGCGGTGTGCACCTGTAATCCCAGCTACTTGGGAGTCTGAGGCAGGAGAATCACTTGAGCCTGGGAAGCAGAGGTTGCTGTGAGCCAAGATCACGCTACTGTATTCCAGCCTGTATTCCAGCCTGTCTCAAACAAACAAAAAAAAACTTTAAGAGCCCCTATATTATTAACATATATTTGAACACTTGGGTAAAAAAGGGTAAACTTGTTACCTCCTGAGGCAACAATATAAATATTGCTGGTATTTATCCTGATGAATATATATATATATATATGTTTTAAAATGTTTATAAATTAATTATAATTCAGGAATTCCACTTGAGAGTCTCTTTCTTAAGGATATAGTCCACAATACCAAAAGTATTATATGCACAAAGGTGTTACACAGTGTTATTTAAATTTTTAAAGTACATATACATGCTAGGCATGCAAGGTTGACTTAATAGCTGGAAATAGTATAAAACACCATAGTCATAAAGGACAAACACTTCATGTTCATTTCAGTAGACTCAGAAAAAGCATCTGACAAAATTCAAGAAAACATTATGATAAATTCACCCAACAAACTAGGAATAGAAGGTAATTTTTGTTAACTGGATAAAAGGTATTTAAAAAGAAACTATAGCTATCCTCATACCTAATGGTGAGAGACCGAATGCTTTTCCTTCTAAGATCAGGAAGAATAGGGTATCTATTCTCACTATTTTAACTCAACATTGTGTTGGAGGTTCTAGCCAAGGCAATTATGCAAGAAAAGAAATGAAAGACAATCAGATTAGAAAAAGAAGTAAAACTACCTTTATTTGCAGATGACATAATCTTGTATATAGAAAATCATAAGGAATCCACAAAAAATTATTTGAACAAATAAGCAAGTTCAGCAATGTGGCAGGATACAAGATTGATATCAAAAATCAATTTTATTTCTGTACACTACCAATGAACACTCTGAAAATAAAATTAAGAAAGCAATGTCATTTATAATAGGTGCAAAAGAATAAAATACTTAGGTAGACAAAAGGAACACATATATATATTATCATATTTAATTCTCTCACTAAGCTCATTAGTTATATATTCTTTGCTTCATTTACAATCAAAGAAACTAAAGCTCTTCAGAGTTAGAGCCTCTGTCCAAGGTCACACAGCTGGTAAGAGACTTTGTTGGGCTTTGATCTTGGAAGATCCAGTACCAAAGTCACTGGGCTGTCAACTGCCGTGGCAGCTTTCTTTGGGGAAAAACCCTGTTCATAGAAGCGGAGTATCTCACTGTCTACCCCACTTTCAGAACAGTTTACCCATCCGTCAGATGTAGGGAAGGGATGCACTAAATGGTATCTAGTGTTTCTCTTAGTTCTGGGCTTTTATTTATTGTTGTGAATAAACCTCAGGGAAGAAAAATACACAAATAAGTGAGAATTATGCAGAAAATATTAGACTTTCTTTATTTCTCCCTTTATCTTTAGGACTTTCAACCAGGCTTAATCTTTGCTCTGGATTTTTATCTTGAGTATACTGATGTTTTCTTAATCAAGATTAGCTACTTACCATGCTTGGGTGCTTATGCCTTGAATAAATATATAGTAGTGATTAAATATATAGGATATATATATATCAAATGTTGATATATTTATATATCAAAGTTTTTTGTACTATTTTTGAAATTTTTATTCTTGTTTCAAAGTAAGTTACATATTTAAAAGTGTATGTCCAGAAAAGCAATTTGAAAGATTATGAATGTTTCAAAAATTATATTTACAAGACTAGCATAATAACAGAGGAAAATGATTGTTATATGAGGTTTAAAAAGCAGTACACAAATTTTAATATGCAAGATTACTATAATTATATACAAAAATGCAAAAGCTAATGATAAATTTTTAAAAGTGAAAGAAAATAAAATGTGAACATCTCCAGATGTTACAGTTAATAGATAACTTATTTTATTCGACTTTTTTCTAATTTTCAAGTTTTATGCAATAAGCATGCATTTCCTTTTTTCCCTTTTGGGTTCACATTTTCTTTTAATAAAGTTTACCCTTTACAATTCTTTCAATAAACATCTATGGGTGGCCAAACATACTTTATTTTATATATCTAAACTATTTTTATTTTCCTCCTCATTCAAGAAAAATAGTTCATATATACATATATGTGTATATATATATATATATATATATATATATATATATATATATATATATATAAAATTGGAAGGGGATGTTAATACAGTACCTCAAAGTTTGTACTCCTTTGTGTTCTGCGTATATTGTTGCAAATGAGAAACTTATTGTTAGATAGTCTGTCATTCCTTGGTAAATAAACTGTCCATTCTGCTCAATTTTTTTTCTTTATATTTTGATGGTCTGAAGTTTTACTACAATATGTTTAGAAAGTGAATTTATTTCTAGTTATCTTGCATAGCATTTGGTATTCACTTTAAATCTGGGGACTCTTGTTTAAGGCTAAAAAGTTTTCTATGAATATGAATTCCTTTGAACATTGTTTTCCATCTTTTCGTTATTTTCTACCTTTAGAAGTTTTAATAATGAGGCATCTAATTTTATCCTTTATTTATTCCTGTGCCACATTGAGAAAATTTCCTGAGTAGTATCTTCCAATTCACTAATTTTCTCTTGTACCCTTATATGAGATATTTACTCATCTTTTTGATATTTTTGGTCTAATTATTATATTTTCAATTCCAATAATTCAATTTTCTTATTTTTTCTACCCAGCTGTCTTTCAGTAATGTCTCTAGGTTTTTATTTCATGATTAATTTTTCTATACTATAAGGTTATTATGTCTTTTGATATATGAGAATCTTAAACATATTATTTAAAAATCATTTTTAGATTGCTCTATTATATTCATTTACAGATGTTTCTAGACTTATGATAGGGTTACATCCCAAATAAACTCATCATAAATTTAAAATAACCTAGGTCAAAAATACATTTAATACACCTAACCTACTGAACATCATAGCTCAGCCTATCCTACCTTAAATGTGCTCAGAACACTTACATTAGCCTACAGTTGGGCAACATCATCTAACACAAAGCCTATTTTGTAATAAAATGTTGAACACTTTACATAGATGGGCATTTTGTAGACACAATGGGATGCAAAAATACAAAACACAATATCAAAACGTGCTGCCAACACGGTACACTGTAAGTATTGGTTGTTTACCCTTGTGATGTTGTGGCTGCCTGGAAGCTGTGACTCACTGTCACTGCCCAGCAACACAAGAGAGTATTGTACTGCATATTGCTAGCCCAGGGAAAGATCAAAATTCAAGATTCAAAGTATGATTTCTACTGAATGTGTATTGCTTTCACATCATCATGAAGTCAAAAAATTGTAAGTCAAACCATTGTAAGTCAGACTCTGTCTGCAGTTGAGAGATAATTCATCATTTGATTACTGAATATGTTGGCTGCAAATATGAGTTTTTTCATGTGTTTTAGAATTTTAGTTTGTGAGTTTACCTTGAATAAAAGTTTGAATTTGTTTTGTTTCTTGTGGGCATTTTGGTTTGTTTTTAGTCTGCCACAAGATTTGTGCAGCCTCCTATTTCTCACAGTGAGCCTGGCTCTCATGCTTTGCCATCCGTGGAACATATTATGTTCCCCATTACCTCATAGGAGTTCAATTTCTTTCAGACCGTTTCTAGTTCCAAAGACTGGCAGGCCCTTGTCTTCTTCCCTTGCTTATTGTTTTGCTCCTTATTCCTTATCAGATCAGCAGATATATTTAACATTGTTTTATTGTTTTAACCACGTCTATGTCTTTTAAATATACACAAATACAAACCTTTCACTGCTAAGTCTTTGGAGTAGAGAAGAAATTTAAAGTGTGACTTCAAAGCTCCATCCTGATTATAAGTGCATTTATTATTTTTCTTTCATTTTTAGTTTGTAATCATGAAATTTTAAAAATACATAAAAGTTCAGAAAATATTGTATTCCCCAGTATACCACCACCAAGATAAAACAGATGTTAACTTTTGGCCATGTTTGCTTTAGATCTTTCTTTTATTTTTTGAAAAGCAAACTATTTCAAATGATTCTGAAATCCACTTGTTCTTTTCCTTTGTTTTCCCAAAGGTAATCGTTATTTTATACATGATATTTATAATTCTTGTGTACTTAATATACATAATGAAACATACATTCCTATATGTACACATACATGTCCCTGTGTGTTTAACAAAGATGTAGTGGTGTTTTCCCATGTTTAAAAAATTTGCAAGAAAACGTATTTGATGTAAATGTAAAAATCTATCTTATTGTGACTTGAGTTTTCAGTATCATATGTCAGGTTCATTTATGTTGACATTTATCTAATTAGATAGTTTATATTACTGCAATACATTACTCAATTGTATACACAGTTCACATTTCCCTAATGCAGAATAGTTAGGTTGTTTTGCTTTGTTGATGTTATAAACTGAGCTAAAACAATCATCCTAGAGCTTGTCTCCTTGCACATATGTGTGAGAGCCTCTCTAGGAGAGACACAAGTCGTAGTCTTTCTGAATATTGATGTGTTCAACTTAAATGAATGTTGCAGTTTCTTCTCAAGGTCATTGTAACAATGTAGAGTTCTACAGTCATGTCCTGGGGTTTCTATTTCTCTACATCTTCACCATCATTTGGTGTTATCATACATTAATTTGGTCAGTATGATGGTCATTTAATATTATCTACTTATTTGTAATTGTAATTTCCCTGGTTTGTAATCAGGTTGAACTTTTCTTAATACGTTTAATGGCCATTTTGGCTTCTTGCTTCCGTGAATTGTTTTTTTAAGCCATTCACTCATTTTTCTCTTTAATCTTAATTTTTTCTTTTTAATCTATATTAGTTAATTATATATTCTGAATACAAATACTTTGTCAGTGTGACAGTCAGTAGTGCTACTTACTGATACCCAGTTCTCCTTTCTTTTTTGGCACATAAAGATTTAATGTCCTGGTTCCCTTGGGAATAGATGGATCCATCTGACTAATTCTGCCAAATGAATTATGAATAGAAGTGACGCAGGTCAATTCTAGGTTAGAACATTTAACTGCCAGTGTTAATCCTTGACATTTTTATTTTCCTCTTTTATGGTCTTAGCAATGACCAAGATGTGGGTGCTCCATCAGCCTGGGTCTCGGTGTAAATTAAAGTGCCCACTGCTGACTCAGTGGGCACGTAGCATGACCAAGATATAAACTTTTATTGTTTTAAGCTGCTGAAATTTTGGTGTTATGTCATAACCTAGCCTATCCTGATGAATACAATTGGTTATATGTGTTGCAAATAACTTCTGTCCATTGGTTTTACACTTTATCTTTTATTTTAATGTAATTACATTTATCAATCTTTTATAATTTTTGCCTTTAATGTCTTGTTTTGTAAATTCTTTTCCATTCAAAGACATATTTTAATCTAACATTTTTAAATTTTTCATGTTTTGGAATATATTTTTGTGTGTAATACAAAGTAAGACTAGTTTTATTTTATTTTTATACATAGATGACTAATTTTATAAGCTCTATTTATGAAACAGCTGAACTTTTTCCCCCACTACTTTGTCTATTTGTCAATCCTGCACCATTACCTCACTGTCTTAGACTTTTTTTTTAGTGGAAGTCTCTGAATGATAAATTCTCTCTGTTTTTGACTGAAAATATTTTTATTTTGCTTTCACTCTTAAATGGATAATTTAGCTAGTATATAGAATTTTAGATAGACAGTTGTTTTCCATCAGTGCTTTAAAATATTGTTGCATTGTTTTTTGACCTCAATTGTTGTTATGAAATAGTTTTTTCTCATTTCCATGGCTGTTACTTTATAGGTAATCTATCTTCGCAATCTGGTTGCTTCAAAGGTTTGGTCTTTGGTGTTCTGCAAATTCACTACAACATTCACAAGTGTAGATTTATTTTTATTCCCCTGTTAAAATTTTTGTGAATCTTACATAAAAGGATTCATTTTTAAATTAATTCTAGAAAATTTAAAAACACCATCTCTTTTATATTTTCTCTTCACCATTTCCTTACTCTGTACTTCTAGACTCCAACCAAGTAAATGACTCTTCTTGACTTATTTTTTATACATAATTTTTGTCTCATTATTTTTCACTCTGTGTCAAATTCTTTTGAAATTTTCTTATTTCTAATGTTTACTCGTTTCTCTTCAGATACTTCTGATCTAGTATTTAAACTATTTACTGAATATTTAATTATAATAACTTTTTTAAAATTCTTGAAGTAAACTATTTTTAAAAAATATTTCCTTTTCATGTCTTATTCACTTATTTGACTTCATTTTGTATGCTTTTAGCATAATCATTTTAAATTCATATTGTTAACAAATTATCTCAAATTCTTGGAGATCCCTACCTTGCTTTTTATCATATTTGCTAAATTTCACTCATGACAGATTATTTTTCTGAATGTTTTGTAATTTTTAACAGAAACTTTCCTTTAAATGGGGTAGATTTTTTTTCTCTGACAATTTTTTGTACCTATGGGTGAAATTCCAAATTAGTTTAATGTTTGCATCTCCCAATGACCCAGGAGTATTACCAGACACAGGCCAATTTTACTGTTATTTTCTAAGCTTAGGGTTTTCTAGATCAAGTAGGCCATGCAGCTTTAAATCTCAAACACTTGCCAAAGAGAGTACCATATTTATAAATTATCAGGAGATATCCTTTTCATTCTCCTCTAAAAACCCAGATAGTGGTATACAAGCTTCCTTGCCATGTCTATATATCATTGGTAGGTAGGTTTTTTTTTTTCCATCTCACACTTTAATTAAAGATACAACCTTTTCAGATCCTGGATCTGTGTAGATGGTCTTTGTTCTAACTCTCTGCCTTCCATACTCTCAAGGCATCACCGTCTGTGTCTATAAGGCCGAAAGTAACTATGTCGGTAGTTTAATGACAAACACACCTCATATACACGCATTCCACCATTTTTTCCTTCCCCACTTGTTTTCAGTCTCCTTTTTGAGTCTGGAACCTGACACTTGCCCATTCTCAGCTATGACTACAAAAGAATGTTTGCTATATTTTATCCAGCATTTCTAGATTTTTGTATTAGAAAGGTATACAGACTATACAGTATATCAGTTTACTAGAACTGTAAGTATATTATCCAACCATTTAAAAGATATATATTTTAAGTTGAGAAAAAGGAGAAATGTGCATGAATTTCATTTTGTGTTTATTCTAAAAATAAAGCAAAAGGGTAAAGCTTCCCTGGCCTACTTATTTCTGACCATATTTATCTTTCATAAAATTTACACAGACATAGCTAAGTTATTTCATTTCCTACTGTTAAAAGAATTTCCAAAGCTTTGAATTTACCAATGTAAAGACACTTTCTAGAATACAGTCACTGAATATTACTCTATGTTGATACCCTAAGGCTGCCTAAGTTAAGACCGGCCTGTTACTAGTTATGTAATCTTAAACCAGTAATTTAATATAGGAATAAATATCATATCTACCCCAAATAGTTGTTGAAAGGGATAAATGAAATAAGAAAGTAATATACTTATTTCAGTGCCTGGTCATAGTAGGCACTATGCTGAGTTATATTATAAATAAATGATGACAATAATAATTGTATTTGGTCACCAAATTCCAGATGACCCTGAAGCACCAACCACATTTGGTTCAAAACAGATCTTTTGTGGCATCTAATTATCTACACATCCCAGCTGTCATTGTGAGGTTTAAGAAGATCAAACTCTATGCTTTGGCATCCTTTCTAAGGCTAGGCTGAAACACTAAATTTTATCATTATGTATGTAACTCTGGAATTCTTTAAGTGTTTAAATTAATTAATGTAAGGGATAAACACTGAACATGGCACCTGGTGCTTTGTGGGCATATGTCAGTTTTCTTCCTATCATTATTATTTCATGTCTTGCCACAAATCTAGAAGAAAAGAATGGAATGCCAAGGCTTGAGAAATGTCTGCCACGTCAGTGTCAAGATTGCTGGATGACTGTTTATTGAATATGTAAATGAAAACTTCCTTGAATACCCCCGCTCCCACTCCCCTTCCAGTTAATCAAATTTCAGCATTTGTTAACTAGCATTCCTGCACTGGTCTATGTCTTAAATTAAGTGTACAGAAGGAAGTTTATAAATAAATTCAAGCTATTCAAAAGTAATCACTATGAGTTATTTGATCACATAAAGAAATTATGCTGATTTTCCAGAAAATGGTCACCACATTTTCTTGGCCATGCTACATACAGCACGCTTGGAGATTGTTCACATGAAAGACTTGGCTAGTAGCTTTTTTCATTAGCCTGGAACTGATTCTGACATTGGAAGAATTATAAACCAGGATTGTCCATGCGAGGCTACTCAGCGTAACTAAGCAAAAAGCAAAAGTACCTACTTTTCTAGAAGACAAGGCCAAAAATCGTGGTCAATAATCTATGTTGATTTTACATTTTATCTCATGGATGATATTGATTTCAGTATGTTTTATCTCAAAATACTTTGTAAAGTTTCCACTTACATATCTGGTAAAACTAGAGTGTCTCTCTGCCAATTTTTTTTTTTTTTTTTTTTGCAATAGTGATCTCTAGGTACATTTGTGAAGGGAATAATGAAAATTTACATGAGTGTCATGTCCAAAATTAAATCTCATCACTTTTGAAAAACTATGTTGGGATAAAAGAAAGTTGTATAGAGTATGGAACCCAGATCCAACCACAAAATGTTTTGGAATCCTTGCATAGAGTCTGGATAAATCTGTTACCAAAAACATATTGTTTCTGCCCCCTGGGAAGTAGAGATTTGACATAAAGTCTGAGGCAGTGCATCACTTTGAGCTGGAATAACCTTCCCAGTGAGGATTTCCTTAAGCAGACGAATAGGGAAGTTTGAGTCACTGTGACTGGAATGAATTAAACTGCTTTTCACAATAATGTAAAGGGTTAGAATTAAGAGATGACAATGTATTTCAGGAAATTGTTTCCTTTAGAGGAATATTTCTTTCCTAGGTACATATTTAGATTACACTGCTTAATCTTCGACTCACGTATGTCTGTTTGTGATGCTAAACTGTCCCTCCCACATTGCTGGCCATGAGCGATCAGGCCTAGAGAAAGTTAATATAGGTTCAGTTTGCACTTTATTACTTGTAAGCTGTCTTGCCTTCCATAGGAACTTAGTATGAGCAGCCATTCCAACTACGTCAAATCTCTAATATATATGACCCTATATTAAAATCTTTGCATAATTTATTCTATCCTTCTCTTTCTTAACACTTCCATTGACTCTTCCTCTGTTTTGTTAACACCAGCTGCTGTAATGCCAAAAGTAATAGAAATATACTACATAAAGTCTACAGTAAGTCTTCCTAATCACTGGCCAGTTCTCCTCTACATGGTGATTTAAGGACCCAAGATGTTGTCATCCTCAACATGTGGCTTCAAGTTACCATGTTCATTTGCATCAAACTGTTCAAGGGAAAAATCACGGAGTTTGAAGCATAGGACATTTTTATAGGGTAGATATTTCAGTAGTACATATTGCTTCTGCTCAGATTACACTGGTTAAAGCTAGTCACATGACATGGATTTAATAGAGACTGGAAAATATATTCTTACTACATGCCCAGGAAGGAACATAAGTGGGTTTGGCAAAGAGCTGGCCAGTAATAAATCACAGTCTCTTTGTTTCTTCAACAGTCTAATTTTTTTTTTTAGTTGAAAGTTTACAGTTTTCCTTGGGAAGCTACAGTTCTACTAATTTCTAACTAATTGCAACCTGGGGGAAGTGAGAAATTTTCATATTATAGAAGTCAGAGGAGTTAATTTGCATGCAGTAGTTCTTAAACTCCATATGTGTTCTAGTCTTTACAGTCACTTGCTGTGGATCAGGAGGAGCCAAGACCAAAAAATATAAAGAGGGACATGGAAGCACGATCTTCACCACATGTTAGGGAGGAATAAAGAAGGGACGCAGACCAGGATTGCTAAAGTCCAACATGGACTTGGCTGTTGATCTTCCACCCATGGGTATGATAAATAGATTCAAAAATAGGTCCAATTGAATCAATACAAACAAACCTCAATTATCTCCATATAGACTTAGATGAACACTTCTAATATTTACAAATTAGCAGAAACTTATTCTGGATCTCTGTAAATATCTACTCTAGGACAATTTTTTTTCTGCAAAAGTCAGTTTTCAGAGGGTATGGAGCTGGATCAATGTGACTTCCTGTCAATATAATTGAGTTAATTGAGCCTGGATCATATAAATTTCAGAGCCCAGATAGGTTGGTATGACATTGCAGTATTGAAGATTCAAAAAGTCACCCTAATTGAGGACTCATTGACTATAGAGACTAAAGGTGTATCCAATTGGTGCTATCTGACATTGTTTTTTCAGCTATACCTCCTGACATCTCTCCAGAACTACAAAAATAAAGGTGCAATATGCCCTCACTTTCCTGACACACATTAATTATGTATAGAGACAGATACTAAACATTTTAAATGACCGAGAGAGGTTAATTTATATATTTGGGCTGAGACTTAATGTTTAGCTTCTTAAATTCAACAAAACACTTTTCCAGGCTCTTTGGAAATGTGAAGAAGGAATGACAATGACTTAGCCTAGATAATTTTAGTGATGTTGTAGGATGAGATAAGCAATACATACATTTAACTATAATATATGAAATAATAGTAGTGCTGAAGCAGAAATATAAACAAGATATAATGGCAATACAGAAGGGGAATGGATTAATTCTATTTGGGCAGTATCTTAAAGGGCTCATAGGAAAGATATTTAAGTTGCATTTTGGAGGAAGATTGGATTACAGATGCTAGAATGATGTAAGAAAATTTATGTGAGCAAAAGTGCAGAAATAAGCAAGGTCATATGGTTAGGGAGTAGAGAATAATCTGATTTCACTGGAAGGAATTCATTCATTATTCGATAAATATTTATTGAGCACCTATTATGTGCCAGATACTATTATAGGCACTTATGATACATCAATGAACAAAAACAGATTAAAACATAACAAAACAGAAACCCTGACTTGGATCCTCTTATGGGAAGGAGGAGTACAGAGAATGTAAGAGACCATAAGATAAGAGGAAAAAGATTGAGGCCATCATATTGAGCACCTTAAATTATTTTCTAATAAGCTAAGGAAGCTGAGTTTAGAATGTGGATTTGGAAATCCTCGCATACATGTGAGAACAAAAATCTCTGGGCATAAATTGGGTTTATTTATCCCAGAGAACAAAAATATCTGGGGATAAAATGAGGAGAGAATTTTGAAGAATGGCAACAGTAAACCAAGAAGGCAGAGAAAGAGCTGGTAGAGCAGACTGAAAAGGAATTTTCAGAACATAAGGTTTCTGAAGGAAGGGAGAGCACTTTTCTTTGCACCACTGAATCTTCAGTGTCTAACACAGCCCTCTCAACAGAGCAGGTGCTCATTTATCTTTTAAATCCATGCATTATTGAAAGATGTCAGGAGATAGCATTAGGGAGGAAAAACTTTAAAAAGTGAGCAGAAAAATCTTCCCAGTTGTTAAATCAGATAAGTTATTATGCTGGTTATTCTCTTTGCCCCTCGCAATCCTTTATCTGTCTCCTGAACCCCCTAGAGGGCTGACCTCTACAAACTGTGTTACTTGAGCTTCCTGCCCTCTGTCTTTAGATTGGGTTAACCAATGGGAGACACCAACAGAACATCATGGGTAAAAGCAAAGATAAGTAAGGGAATTTCTTCTGCTCCCGCTCCCTGATGGTCTATAGTTTTGACAGAAGCCGATTTTCCTCTACTAAGACCACAGCTCATATCAGGCAGCTACAGCTCTTGCTTATTTCTGGTAACACTTCTTTCTCCACTTGCCTTCCCGCTCTTGTTGATCTCTGGATACCTCATCACCCTGCTTGGATTCTTTAACCTCCCACCGCGTTATTTCACCTCACCAAAATTCACTTTATAAAATTAAACCCTTTGAATGTGCCATTTCCTACTAGATCATGACTGATGGAGTCATTAAAATCTTTTAAGAGATCATTCATAACACTTTAGGGATACTGTAAAGGCTTAATTAGGTGGGGGAATCTAAATTCAGGTAGGATAAGTCAGTTAGCAATTAGTGGGAAAGTAGAGGCTGTGAGTAGAGACTTCTCTTGAGTAATGTAAAAATGAATGGAAGGAGAAATGGCATGATGTAAAGAAGAAAGGGCTAGGGAAGATTTTTCATGTGTCTATTTATTTAGGATGAGGAAAACTTCAGCCTATAAACGTGTTCAACAGAATGCACCAATAGAAAACGAAAGAGTAGGAATTTAAGGTTCAGAAATAATAACCACTGGAGCCCTATCTCAGAGAAGTCAGGTTTAACACTGGTTAAAACCTGTGAAAGAAGTAGGGACACTTATTCTGGAATAGAAATGAAAAATGTAAGGTTGGTGGAAGACAGAGATAGAACTAGTGATAGAAAACGAGAAAGCTGAGGGAGGTTATATCTGAGGGTCCCTCTTCTCTGGGCAATATATGATGAAGCAGTGTTTGCTAATACAGTCATAGGAAACCACACATAATTTCAGATAAACAGAAAAAGGGAATGAATTTGAGTTGTGAGTTTAACTTTATGAAATGGGTGTTGAGAAAGAGATTTTCAGAACTCTGCAATTTCATCTTTTATGTTGCAACAATGAGTAGGATAGATCAGAAAAGAAGAAAACCGCTGTATTTGTAGAAACTGCAATGGTCTAGAGCAAGAGTGAATGAGGGTCTGACCTGAGCAGAGAAGAGTGAGACTAAATAGGATGCAGCAGAGAGTCTCTTCATGCATTTACTATATGCACCGTGCCCAGCTTTATATAAGGCACAATGGAGACTCTACAAAGAGCAGAGAATATACTTCCTACCTCAAAGGAGCTCACAAGCTGGCTGGAAAAGCAAAGATATATAGCAAAGACTGGAGTATTGAAAACAATATCAAACTAGGGGTCAGGCCCAGATTTCTAATCCCTGCCTGCCATTAACTCAATATCAGATGATGCATCAGGCAATTTGCTTTGTCATCTGCACCTCAGCTTCTTTATTTGACCAATGAAGCAGTTAAAAATTGATGGTTTCTTTGGTTTTTAAATACCATTCTTGAATAAAAGGAACCAGGGTTCCTTGGAGAAATACCTAATGTGAGGGCTGAGGCAGGTAAAATAGAAGAAACTGGAGGATCTTGTAGTGCCAAAAGGAAGGAAGTGCTCAACACACAAATGGATGGGAGCATGTCAAAGGAAATCAGAAGCCAACCCAAAGGCACTGCCAATGGCCAAAGTTGAAGTAACTTGTTCAACAAAATAAATAACATAGCATTAGATTATAACCCAAAATATGAAATACTAGTTGGCTATCCTTATCTGAAATGCTTGAGACCAGAAGTTCTTCTAATTTCAGACTTTCTCAGATTTTTGGAAATTTGCATATATATAATGAGATATTTTAGGGATGGGACCCAAGTGTAAACATGAAATGCATTTATGATTTTTATATACATAGCCTAAAGGTAATTTTATACAATATTTTAAATAATTTTGTGCATGAAACAAAGTTTTGACTGCATTTTGACTGCAACCCATCACATGAAGTCAGGTGTAGACTTCTCTACTTGTGGCATCATGTCAGTGCTCCAAAAGTTTGGGATTTTGGAGCATTTCGGGTTTTGGATTTTCGGATTAGGGATAATCAATCTGTGACTCTACATAAGTGCATACCAATATAAATAAATGACTAAATTTAAAAAATGAAAAGTTAAATCTTTCTTACAGAAGAATTTCAAATAATATATGTAACTACTCCCCCCACTAAAAAAAGGTGAAACTTGACACCCCTCTACACATACCCTGAGAGTAGACTAGGCTTAACGACTCCACCCCAAGCAATAGAATAGGGAAAGGGAAAAATAGTAACTTTACACTTTTCTCCTTTACAGGAGAAAGATGGCCAACATGACATTAACCAAGTGATGAGGGTTAACATCCCCAGAGATGTCATGTGGTTATCATATACCCTCAATAGAATATGATGAGAAGGGCATTTCACCTCTATGGTCTTCTTCCCAGAAACCCATAATCCCAGTCCCAGTCTAATTATGAGAAAGACATCAGACAAACTCAGATTGGAGAACATTCTACAGGATACCCTGCCAGCACTCCTCAGGACTTCCAAGGTCATTTTTTTTTTTTAAAAAAAGGAAAGACTGAGAAAAAAGAGGAAAGACTGAGAAACTGTCACAAACCAGAGGAGACTGGGGAGAGATGACAACTAAATGCATTGTGCTACCTTGGGTAAAATCCCGGACTAGAAAGAGGACATTAATGAAAAAACAGATGAAAACCAAATAAAGCCTGGAATTCAGTTAATTAAAAAAAATTGATGGTCTCTAAAGTCTCTTCCAGCTGATAGCTATAATAATAGCATTTATTATCTAATTGCTTCAAAACTGTGTTCATATTGCTTACAAAGTGCTAAGAGCACATGAAGTAAGGGAACTATTAAAGTAGAATGCAAGGCTTTAATCAACTTTTTCCTCCCTCTCTCTTCCGACTTCCTGTAGTTGTGTGTTTCAGTGATGTAGTGTATGATTAGTTCATTTTTGAGGCAATAGCGTAATAGTGAAAGTCTGCTGTCTCTTGTTTGTTACATTGCCAAGTCAGTGCCCATCCTCTTTTCATAGTAAGAATGGCCTCTAATGAACCAGCAGTTTTCCATCCGTTTGCAGTCCTGAGCGGTGGGGCTCCCGTGCTGTCCTATCATGCTCTTACGCGGTTGCTATGGTGATGGTCATGGTGGCAGGGCTACCTTTGGCTCATTTGATTTTCCTGGACAGTTTCTTTGCTTTAAAAAAAAAAAAAAAACATACACACACACACAGTTTATGAAGCCCCAATGTGAAATCATGCTGGCTCTGATTCATGACATTTTCCTGAGACTTTATAATGTTTCTTTTTTCTAAATAAGCAATTTCAGGTCAGGTAAAAATGTGAGTAAATCATGCCTGGCTCTTGTTCCAGATGTATCAATTTCTGTTCATTCCCTTTTTTCCCCCCTCATGGCTTTGGGACAATAAAAATAAGCAATGCCTCCACTCTGGAGCCTTTCTGAGTATGCAATATATAAATGGTATACCGTGCAGGGAGCGATATTTCCTTACCTTGGTCATTACCGACCTTAGCGTTTTCTCTGGCAATTATCTGAAACAGAGCAATAACGTGGAGTAATGATCTTGGCACACTTGAGACCCTGGGAGGATCAAAGAGGCTGATGTGACAGTTCATGAAACGGGGAGGAAGCAAACCGTCCCCCACTGCCAACACTAACACAGCTCTGTGCTTGAGAGTCTGGGAGAGTCCAGTTGCCAAGTGTCTGCCTGCATTTTCTTTGAGGGGGCCAGCCCCAGAGCAGGTCAGGAAAATTGTGGCTTTTATCAAGCAGACACTGTGGCTCTCTTTGAGGATGGCCAAAGACTCACTCATTGCTAGTAACTGCAACACGTGGTCTTTTAAAGAGAGGACATGAATATTTTCATTAACTGGGAAAGAAGGTGCCCACATGAGACTTCATTTATTTGGGAGACTTAGGGCAAGGCTGAAAGGGGCAGATGTTTATAAAGAAATTAAGAGTGAGGGCTCTGGAGACAGACTGCCTGGGTTTTAATCCTGGCCCTTTAAGTTACTATTCTGTACAAGTTACCATTCTGTACAACGTAAGCAAATTCTAACCTCTCTGCCTAAGCTCCCTATCAGTAAAATGAAAGTAATGGTAATACCTACGTCACAGGCTGTCCTGGAAATAACATGTGAGAAGTACTTAGAATACTGCTTGGCACATGGTAAGTCCTCAATAAATGTCAACTGCTATCGTTATTTTCAGGATAGGAGGGTGGTATCCAAATCCTGGGCTTACACAAGGGGTTTTTCATAGAGAGAAGTCCACAAAGGTAGAAAGGGTAGTCCTTGATGAGCCTTGAATGGACTTGGCTGAAGAAGTTTACATTTTTATGTAGCCTGGGCAACAGAGTGAGATTCCATCTCAAAAAAAAAAAAAAGAAAAGAAAAGGGCCTCGTGAGGAAGAAACTGGTGGTGCTGTGGGTTTTGAATTAGAGGTATACTCTAGAAACTGACCCTGATAAAATATCCTGCTTTATCTCTAGCTCTTCCCCATATAACACAGAAAGATATTCCTATCATTTATTATTGTGTCCAGCATATAAGTATTAAAAATTAAAACATCTCGGTAATTTAACAAAATTTCTTTTTTTTTGGTCTCTTTTTTTTTTCATTATTATACTTTAAGTTTTAGGGTACATGTGCACATTGTGCAGGTTAGTTACATATGTATACATGTGCTATGCTGGTGCGCTGCACCCACTAACTCATCATCTAGCATTAGGTATATCTCCCAATGCTATCTCTCCCCCCTCCCCCCACCCCACAACAATCCCTAGAGTGTGATGTTCCCCTTCCTGTGTCCATGTGTTCTCATTGTTCAATTCCCACCTATGAGTGAGAATATGCAGTGTTTGGTTTTTTGTTCTTGCGATAGTTTACTGAGAATGATGATTTCCAATTTCATCCATGTCCCTACAAAGGACAAGAACTCATCATTTTTTATGGCTGCATAGTATTCCATGGTGTATATGTGCCACATTTTCTTAATCCAGTCTATCATTGTTGGACATTTGGGTTGGTTCCAAGTCTTTGCTATTGTGAATAATGCCACAATAAACATACGTGTGCATGTGTCTTTATAGCAGCATGATTTATAGTCCTTTGGGTATATACCCAGTAATGGGATGGCTGGGTCAAATGGTATTTCTAATTCTAGATCCCTGAGGAATTGCGACACTGACTTCCACAATGGTTGAACTAGTTTACAGTCCCACCAACAGTGTAAAAGTGTTCCTATTTCTCCACATCCTCTCCAGCACCTGTTGTTTCCTGACTTTTTAATGATTGCCATTCTAACTGATGTGAGATGGTATCTCATTGTGGTTTTGATTTGCATTTCTCTGATGGCCAGTGATGATGAGCATTTTTTCATGTGTCTTTTGGCTGCATAAATGTCTTCTTTTGAGAAGTGTCTGTTCATGTCCTTCACCCACTTTTTGATGGGGTTGTTTGTTTTTTTCTTATAAATTTGTTGGAGTTCATTGTAGATTCTGGATATTAGCCCTTTGTCAGATGAGTAGGTTGCAAAAATTTTCTCCCATTCTGTAGGTTGCCTGTTCACTTTGATGGTAGTTTCTTTTGCTGTGCAGAAGGTCTTCAGTTTAATTAGATCCCATTTGTCAATTTTGGCTTTTGTTGCCATTGCTTTTGGCATTTTAGACATGAAGTCCTTGCCCATGCCTATGTCCTGAATGGTATTGCCTAGTTTTCTTCTAGGGTTTTTATGGTTTTAGGTCTAACATTTAAGTCTTTAATCCATCTTGAATTGATTTTTGTATAAGGTATAAGCAAGGGATCCAATTTCAGCTTTCTATATATGGCTAGCCAGTTTTCCCAGCACCATTTATTAAATAGGGAATACTTTCCCCATTGCTTGTTTTTCTCAGGTTTGTCAAAGATCAGATGGTTGTAGATATGTGGCGTTATTTCTGAGGGCTCTGTTCTGTTCCATTGATCTATATCTCTGTTTTGGTACCAGTACCATGCTGTTTTGGTTACTGTAGCCTTGTAGTATAGTTTGGAGTCAGGTAGTGTGATGCCTCCAGCTTTGTTCTTTTGGCTTAGGATTGACTTGGCGATGTGGGCTCTTTTTTGGTTCCATATGAACTTAAAGTAGTTTTTTCCAATTCTGTGAAGAAAGACATTGATAGCTTGATGGGGATGGCATTGAATCTGTAAATTACCTTGGGCAGTATGGCCATTTTCACAATATTCATTCTTCCTACCCATGAGCATGGAATGTTCTTCCATTTGTTTGTGTCCTCTTTTATTTCCTTGAGCAGTGGTTTGTAGTTCTCCTTGAAGAGGTCCTTCACATCCCTTGTAAGTTGGATTCCTAGGTATTTTATTCTCTTTGAAGCAATTGTGAATGGGAGTTCACTCATGATTTGGCTCTCTGTTTGTCTGTTGTTGGTGTATAAGAATGCTTGTGACTTTTGTACATTGATTTTGTATCCTGAGACTTTGCTGAAGTTGCTTATCAGCTTAAGGAGATTTTGGGCTGAGACAATGGGGTTTTCTAGATATACAATCATGTCATCTGCAAACAGGGACAATTTGACTTCCTCTTTTCCTAATTGAATGCCCTTTATTTCCTTCTCCTGCCTGATTGCCCTGGCCAGAACTTCCAACACTATGTTGAATAGGAGTGGTGAGAGAGGGCATCCCTGTCTTGTGCCAGTTTTCAAAGGGAATGTTTCCAGTTTTTGCCCATTCAGTATGATATTGGCTGTGGGTTTGTCATAGATAGCTCTTATTATTTTGAAATACGTCCCATCAATACCTAATTTATTGAGAGTTTTTAGCATGAAGGGCTGTTGAATTTTGTCAAAGGCCTTTTCTGCATCTATTGAGAGAATCATGTGGATTTTGTCTTTGGCTCTGTTTATATGCTGGATTACATTTATTGATTTGCGTATATTGAGCCAGCCTTGCATGCCAGGGATGAAGCCCACTTGATCATGGTGGATAAGCTTTTTGATGTGCTGCTGGATTCGTTTTGCCAGTATTTTATTGAGGATTTTTGCATCAATGTTCATCAAGGATATTGGTCTAAAATTCTCTTCTTTTGGTTGTGTCTCTGCCCGGCTTTGGTATCAGAATGATGCTGGCCTCATAAAATGAGTTAGGGAGGATTCTCTCTTTTTCTATTGATTGGAATAGTTTCAGAAGGAATGGTACCAGTTCCTCCTTGTACCTCTGGTAGAATTCGGCTGTGAATCCATCTGGGCCTGGACTCTTTTTGGTTGGTAAGCTATTGATTCTTGCCACAATTTCAGATCCTGTTATTGGTCTATTCAGAGATTCAACTTCTTCCTGGTTTAGTCTTGGGAGAGTGTATGTGTTGAGGAATTTTTCCATTTATTCTAGATTTTCTAGTTTATTTGCGTAGAGGTGTTTGTAGTATTCTCTGATGGTAGTTTGTATTTCTGTGGGATCGGTGGTGATATCCCCTTTATCATTTTTTATTGTGTCTATTTGATTCTTCTCTCTTTTTTTCTTTATTAGTCTTGCTAGCGGTCTATTTTGTTGATCCTTTCAAAAAACCAGCTCCTGGATTCATTAATTTTTTGGAGGGTTTTTTGTGTCTCTATTTCCTTCAGTTCTGCTCTAATTTTAGTTATTTCTTGCCTTGTGCTAGCTTTTGAATGTGTTTGCTCTTGCTTTTCTAGTTCTTTTAATTGTGATGTTAGGGTGTCAATTTTGGATCTTTCCTGCTTTCTCTTGTGGGCATTTAGTGCTATAAATTTCCCTCTACACACTGCTTTGAATGTGTCCCAGAGATTCTGGTATGTTGTGTCTTTGTTCTCATTGGTTTCAAAGAACATCTTTATTTCTGCCTTCATTTCGTTATGTACCCAGTAGTCATTCAGGAGCAGGTTGTTCAGTTTCCATGTAGTGGAGTGGTTTTGAGTGAGTTTCTTAATCCTGAGTTCTAGTTTGATTGCACTGTGGTCTGAGAGATAGTTTGTTATAATTTCTGTTCTTTTACATTTGCTGAGGAGAGCTTTACTTCCAACTATGTGGTCAATTTTGGAATAGGTGTGGTGTGGTGCTGAAAAAAATGTATATTCTGTTGATTTGGGGTGGAGAGTTCTGTAGATGTCTATTAGGTTTGCTTGGTGCAGAGCTGAGTTCAATTCCTGGGTATCCTTGCTGATTTTCTCTCTCGTTGATCTGTCTAATGTTGACAGTGGGGTGTTAAAGTCTCCCATTATTAATGCGTGGGAGTCTAAGTCTCTTTGTAGGTCACTCAGGACTTGCTTTATGAATCTGGGTGCTCCTGTATTGGATGCATATATATTTAGGATAGTTAGCTCTTCTTGTTGCATTGATCCCTTTACCATTATGTAATGCCCTTCTTTGTCTCTTTTGATCTTTGTTGGTTTAAAGTCTGTTTTGTCAGAGACTAGGATTACAACCCCTGCTTTTTTTGCTTTCCATTTTCTTGGTAAATATTCCTCCATCCCTTTGTTTTGAGCCTAAATGTGTCTTTGCATGTGAGATGGGTCTCCTGAATATAGCACACTGATGGGTCTTGACACCTTATCCAATTTGCCAGTCTGTGTCTTTTAATTGAGGCATTTAGCCCATTTACATTTAAGGTTAATATTGTTATCTGTGAATTTGATCCTGTCATTATGACGCTAGCTGGTTATTTCATGTGTTAAAAGCTGCTTTAAATTTTGTATTTTTACTTTTTACTGATACATAATATTTTATATTTTAAGGGAGGTGGATGTGATATTTTGTTACATGCATAGGTTGTATAATGATCAAGTCGGGATAGTTGAGGTATTTATCACTTTGATTATTTATTATTTCTATGTGTTGGGAATAATTCAAGCTACTCTTTTCTAGCTATTTTGAAATACATAATACACTGTTGTAACTATAGTCACTCTACTCTGCTGTTGAACAATAGAAGTTGTACCTTTTATCTAACTGTATGTTTGTACCTGTTAACCTACCTCTCTTCATCCCTGCTTCACCCACCCACCCTTCTCAGCCTCTAGTATCTATCATCTGTTTTTAAAAGTCCTGCCCATTTTTTCTTTCTCTCCTACCCCTTTTTCCTTCCTTCTTTCCATCAATAAAGATGTAATAAGTATCTTCTCTCTGGTAGATACTGTACCAGATGCTTCCATATTTGTTTTCATCAGCCCAGGTGTTTTTGGTTTGTTTTGTTTTCCTATTAAAGCTTCACTGTCAATGATGATGGCAAAGAGCCCTGAATAAAGCACCATAACAGTCGTTTCATGAAGTTCTCTTATAAAGGCTCACACTTTATAAGAAAAGTACTATTGCAACGCTTCTTGGGGGATTCTCCAAGTATTCTTTGAGGCCTTCATGATCTCCCTTTTCAGTGCACCAAGTCCCCTCCAAGGAGAGACCCTGGGTAATGATGATCTTTGGTGTCAACTAAGATTCTTAAGAACTGGATCCTCGTGATTCCTATGTGACCTGAAGGTAAGCCAGCAACTCAATTTATCTCATATTTGGTTTCTTAAACTAATACTTTATGAATACTTGCCACATGCTGCAAAATAAATAAAGCACATATATGGACAAATCATTTTGATTTGGGATTCTTTAATAAAAATAACAGAAATGGCAATAAAGTCATGATTGAAAAAAGTTGTTATTTTAGTGCTGAATTCACTGCTTCCTTCACGGAGTTTTTCCACATCCTTAAGGAGGTTAGAGTAACTTTTAAAAAATAAACAACAAAGTGACTGGAAAGTAGATATTAAGCAAGAGTGATGCAAATTCTGTGTATCCTATGATTTAATTAAAGAGACCATCTCATAGAAGAGCAACACTGAAAACTTCTGCAGAGACAATGTACTGCAGTGGAGAGAGCACTGACTTCAGTGCCAGCTGTGAGACCTTGAACTTCTTGGACCTCAGTTTCCACCTCTACAAAACAAGGAAGTTACAGTAAAATATCTGTAAGATCTTCTCTAGCACAAAACGCCTAGGATTCTCAGGACCACTTAGCAAAAGCCTTCAGTATAAATTTCCAATCATTAATTTGGAAAGTTCTTAGAATTTAAAATAGTCATAATCTCTGTGGTTCTGCTCTAGTCCACTCCGAAACTCACACCTTTTGATGGGTTAACCAGACAGCATAGTGTTTTCTCAGAGTTCTTTGTTCTGAGTAGAGTTATGCTCCAGTTCTACTTCCTCTGATTTACTTATTCCACATTGTATTAAAATTTGGCATCCAACTGTTTAATAAAACTCATTGCACCACAGTTGAAAGCTCCAGATTATTTACTACCTAGCATCTTCTTAAATTTATTCCCACATAATAAGAGTGTGATATCAGCTGAAAGAACATTTCTAAAATCTGTATTGTTCTTCCTGGAGGCAGTTGAACTCAACTTTCAGGGTTTGATCATCTTATCAGTCATCAAAGAAATGTAGGGCCAGGATCAAGTATATGGCTATTCTTGAATACTGCCATCACTTGTGTCTAGGTGAAATTGAGTTGAATGAGCAAAGGAGGCTAAATAATACTTTTTTTCATAGCTTTAAGGTTTAAGATAATGTATATAAAGTACTTGATATGTGGGAGACACACAGTAGGTGGTAGTCATTATCAAGGGATATGTTGATTTATTGAGCTCAATTCTCATCAAATCTCATTCCCACACAAAGCTCGTGCTAAATAGAAACCTGCACTTTCCCATAACTATCATGCTTTATTTTGCCTCTGAGCCATCCCTTCTGCCTGTTCCAATGCCTCATCCCACTCTTTTTAACTGATGAACTCCTATTCAACATTTTGAATCTCGAGATCCATTCATAAATTCAACAATATTTATTGAGGACCTGCTATGTCCAAGAAACTGCTCTTGATGTTGTGGATATACCAGGGAACAAAACAACCCAGAACACATTCGTGTTTTCTCCTAACATGCCTTGTAATTACCAGCATGCTCATTTTTATCCCCACTGGATTGTACACTTGCCAGGAGTGAAGACAATGCCTTTCTTAAAAACGCAGCACTGAGCAAATGTCTGGCACAAAATAGCTGCTCAATAAATACTAAGTAAATACAATTAAGAATAAGAAATGAGAATACATAGAAAGAGGAATGGGACAATACCTTGGTGGTGTTATTGGACCACTAATTACAACAGTAGCATATGAAGAGACTATTCAGGCTGTGATCAATTGAACCCTAGAAACCTTTCTGGTATTCACTATGAACCTTATTCTCAAAAATCACACAAAAAAATGTATTAGTCCATTCTCACACTGCTATAAAGATACTACCCAAGTCTGGATAATTTATCAACAGAGGAGGTTTAATTGATTCACAGTTCCGCCTGGCTGGGAGGCCTCAGGAAACTTAATCGTGGCGAAAAGAGAAGCAGATACCTTCTTTACAAGGCGGCAGGAGAGAGAAAAAGTGTGTGTAGGAGGAAATGTTAAACACTTACAGAACTATCAGATCTTGTGAGAATTCACTCACTATCACAAGAACAGCTTGGGGAAACTGCCCCTGTGATCCAGTCGCCTCCCACCAGGTCTTGTCCTTGACACATGAGGATTATGGGATTATAATTCAAGATGAGATTTGGATGGGGACACAAAGCCAAACCATTTCAACAAAGGAGAATTATACATCTGTCTCAGTCTAGGTACAAGTTTACATTTCTCTAGAATTTTTATCCTTTTACCACAGGGGGAATTTTTTTTTTAAACATGCTTTTAAGAAAGCCACTAAGGCAAGAGAGAAAAAGGAATAGGACAGTCCCAAAGGAGCTGAGGTATAGACCAATGGATCTTGCAGGGTATTTTCAAAAGACTAGTCAAGAAGGTGGCATTTGTGGAAGAGGAGCATGAAAGGAATATCACGGAAAGGAAAGAAAACCTAAAACAGCAGAAAGAAAAAACTTTTATTAAAAAAAAAGAAGCACTATGGAGGAAATACATCAATAACTAAAAACATGAAAACAGCAAAAACAATAAAAGTAGTAAATGTGATTATGGATTGTACATACAATTGTTTTATTTGATTTACTCACCAGCTCTGTGGGTTCTGTAAGGAGGTATTATCCTCCCTATTTCATAGATAAGGAAACCAAGATGCAGAGACTTGCCCAATTACATAGCCAGTAGTTGAAGTTCTCTGACTTACGCTCTAAAAATATTCTCACATAGAAAAGGGGAAAGATAAAAAATCAAAGATAAGAATGAAGAGAAAGCAGTGATTAATAAACGTTTGTTGCATGAGTGGGACAGAGATATGTAAAAGGAAAGACTGAAAATACAAATTTCAACTTCAATGGAGAATATTTCTCTGGGGTCCCTAAACATTTTCAAGACTTTGGCTCCTGACTCCTACAGATATCATTGTAGATATGATGTAACTAAGTGGAAGAAATCCCCATTCTTGTTTATAAATTAAGAGATTAATTAATAATAGTAAGTCAATTATTATTTGTTGACCAGACTGTCAGTCAGGATTGAGGCAGGAAAGAGATGGCTCACTCAAAGGGTAAAGAGCATTTAATGAAGGGACTATTTACACATTTGGAGGGAGGGAGAATAACCAAGGGACTGCTCATAGTGGGAAGTGGTCTTTACTCGTGGGCCTCGAGGGCAATGAATGAGAGGGAGCACAGACCCCAGTGAGCACTGCAGCCATGAGAGAGGGCTTCTTGACAAGAGCTGAGGTCTCTGGGTGTCTGATAGGAGAATGCAACCATGATGGTGACAGTAGAGAGAAGGATGCTGTGCCAAATGCCTTCTTTTCCAAAAAAAGATAAAATTAAGAAATAAAGATGGGAATAAGGGGAAGAGATGAAAGACTGTACTACTTCAACAAAATGTGAAAAACGAGGAACAAGCATCTTTCTTAAGGTGTGGGAATTTAGAAAATGGGGAAATATATATAAACTTTAGTTACATTTTCCAGTCTTGTCCACTCATTCTGCAACAGTGTAATGAATCTACTACACTGCAGTCATTCAGAAAACTTGGGGTTAATGCGACAATAACACAAAATCCCTGTCCCCAAAGAAATCAGTCCACAAGGACAGACATGCAAGTGAACAACAGCAACAAAACCAGTATAATATAATGTTATAAAAGAGATACACACACAATTCCGTGGTGCAAAGACAGCAAGTGCTATTCTTGGTAGAGTTGGAGAAGATTTGCAAATGAGAGGGACATCTGAATGGCATTTTAAATCAGCAGTTTTGAAAGACCAGGGAAATAAAGGCATCTCAAGTATGGGGAGTGGCTTGTGTCCAGGTGTGGAAACTCTAAAGGACCTGATGATTTAAGGAACTGCAATAATTCAGCATGGCTTGAGTTTGGGGTGGTTGTGGGGAAGTATTATACTAAAGACCATTAACTTGACTCTAAGTAACAGTTGAAGATTTTAAAGCAAGAAAGAGATATGGTTACATTTATGTATTAGAAAGACCATTACTGAAGTATTGTTTCCAATTGAAGGAATGGAATGGGTGGGGAGGAGGAACAGTCATGTATAAATTTATTTCCTCTAAATTTCTTTCTGTCAGTCACTTTTTTCATCTTTATTGTATTTGCTTGATTTTTTAAAAAAGGGGGGACATTTTAATCTGAGATAAGAAGAAGAGAAGTGCAGAGTGAAAGATGGGGTTTATTTTCACATCGGTGTCATTGCCTTGCAGACATTATGGTGAGGGGCTGCAGGTAAAGGAGCTCTCCTGCTCAAAGACTGACCTTGGTAGGACCTTGGCCACCGATCTGCATTCAGGGAATTTCACTTCTCTTTCCCTTCTAGATGTGGCCAGTCCACCACCAAAGCAAGGAAGGAGATATGAGAAGGAAGTTTCGTCTCCTACCCAGTGCATCATTACTGGCAACAGTGAGAAGCAGAGCTGGGAATTTGAGAAGCAAACCAATGCCTTCTGCTTCTCATCATTATTCCTGACAACAGACAGAAAAGAGGCAAACCTTCACCTTCTGTGGTCGCTTCTGATACTCAGCCGGGAACCTCATTCTCAGTAGCTACAGATTTCCCTAATCACTCATCTTAACTTGACACTGCGTTCTAGTGCCTTTCGTGAGAAGGGTCTTGGGAGGCCATAAACCTATGTTGCTGGGAAAAGAATGTACTGCAATAAAGAGAGCAGGAGAGGAGCTGCAGATTTCCAGCTCTCACAGCTTGTTCACTTGTGGAGACTAGGCTGCAATGTGCTCTTGAAATCATTGGGGTGGGCCTTGTTTCTGAGGAAATAAAGAGGCCCCAGAACCTCCCAAGTGAGCGAAAAAATGATTTCCAGATACTCAAATGGAGTGGCCTTCTGGCTACATGAGCTGGATGTGCTTGGCAGTCTTTCCATCTGGCTGGCCAGTATCCTGAGGTTAGCAAAGCAGAAGGCAAATCTTTGGGGAGCTAAAAGACATGTGCACGTGCCAGTATTTTTGACAAATGCTCAGTTAATTGTTTTCTATGATTCTTCTCCCGAGACACAAACTGTGTGCACCAGGCACCAAGAACTATCCCCATCCCACCACCCCAGATCCCAAGGGAAACTTCATAATTACACACGTTTGGGCCAAACATCTACCCCACAGGAAATGGACACATCAGCCCCTAGGGATGAAAGAATGATGCAGGGCATGGGAAAGCAGAGAAATCTCCTGAGTGAGAAAGAAGACAAATTCACAGAAGCCTGAGAGCCTATATACCAGTAGGAGAAACTCAGAATTTCTTTTCAGGATACTAAGGAAATGGTGGTCAGAAGAGGCCCGGGTAAGTTGATGAAAAATCTGTATTGTTCTATATCTGGTAAACAATTTAGTATTTGGAAACCACAACATTCCAGGATGGAACTCAATTTTGGATCAGTTACTGGAAATAGTGGCATATACAATGGGTTCCAAAACAGATTATGCATAAGTAAAGATGATTCAGGAGTCTAAGCTTTAAAATCCATGATCTTCATGAATGCTTTTTTCCAGATCTAGCCCTTATACGATTTTGTCTCTTTTTTGTTCTACAGCTTTTTCTAGTTATATTTAGCTCCTGCCATTTATTCATCAAATATTTGTAGTTGCGCACTGTGTAGGATGCTTACATACTATGCTCTTGTTGAGTTAGAAAGCTTTAGAAGATATAGCCCTCTGAATGAATGTTAGCTGGATGAAAATCTCACCTGTACACACCCATGTTGCTTACTAGAGCAACAGACTGGAATAGTAAAGAACCCCACTTCTACTACTGACACTGCTGGAGAACTGGCTTCAGCAGAAGATAACTCAATTTCAACATATGGTATTTTTGCCAAATGTTTTGAATCAAGAGATTTGTGCTCTAGGTATAAAATCTAACCTCTCTATATATGTTTTTAAAGTAATTCTTGTTTGCTTCCACTAAAGGTAGATTTTATAAGCAGTGACAACATAACATACTAAGTCAATTTAAAGATCTGCAATCTGAAGTTTCTTTAAGAAAACTAAGATAATGTGTTACTTATTTAAGGATTAATTATCCATTCTCTTCGGAATTCAAAATTTTCAGAGAGAATAGAAACTCCTCAAAAAATAGTTAAATTTAAAAGGCATTGAAATCATAAAGGTGAAACAGATATGTAGTTGGTTAATAGATTTTACATGCCTGAGAAAATCTGTAAATAACTTCAATAAAATGTTTACTGAAAGAACAAGAGTACAAGAGAAGCAAGTATCAACAACAATGGCAAAGCAAAAAAAAAAAAACAACTTGAACAAAAAATTTGTCACCAGGAAATAAATAAGTCAGATGAGAAGCAGTATTGGTAAATTCAAGTTTAAAAATTTGACCAACACATTCAATATAAGAAGTAGAAGTCAAATAAAATGAAATAAAGGCAAGGAAAAAAAGTCTGAGGCAAAGGGAAATAAAGGAAAGAGATTGAACTAATTTTTGCTTTACAAAAATATTTTAAAAATACAACACCTTATGATTGTTTAAAACCATATTAGCTTATTTTAGGAAAAATAATGCTTTATTTTGTTTTGGCTTGTTTTTCAACGAGGAGATAGCCCAGTCTGTGTGAAATAGAAATACCAGCAAGAAGCATTTGTTGGATTAAAAATATATCACTACAGCTCTGAAATTAGTATAAGGCTAATTACTATAAGGCTATTTGCATAGAGAGTGCACTTTAATAAGCATTAGTAAAACATTTTAGAATGCTTTGTTCGAAAAATAAAAAAATCCCTCAATGAAGCCTCTTCCAGACATGTGTCATGGGTTTTTTGTTGCTGAATTCTTCCATATTAACAAACTAAGTTGCTCTTCCTTTCATTCCTTTGGCCACAGGACGGATGAAATTCACCAAAGTCTCTACCACAGACATTCTCAGATGGTCCTAATAAAAAGAAGAAACCCAAACCAGAACTGGTGGTCCACATTGTGAGAGTTGCTGAATATCATCACAAAGCAATAATTATCCAACAGCATGCTTGGTGGCTCAACATTCTGAAAGGCAAATGTCAAGGGCACATAGTCTCAACCATGTTGCTGATGGGAGCTCATGTTTTTTGTGTTGGGTGGTCTTGTGTTCTGCCTGGTGGTCTTTCTTCTGCCTGCTATGACAGCACTAATGATTTCATGTACACAGTATTCACTTGTCTCCCTTTAGTAGTGCATGACAAGTCATAAAAGACAGACTGCCCAGAAATGACACTGCAGTATTCCAGACATTTTCTCTCTTGGTGGTGACAGTTCCAAATCAAGCTGGCTCAGTGCTTTTAAGTCAAAGCATTTGTCGAAGTGGCAGTTTGAAACACAGCCTTAGATCTGGAGAATCAAACTAGGCTCTTCTCACCTCTCCCATCATTGCTGGTAATAAATATTCAACTGCTGGACCACAGCTAGCAGATTATGATAGATGACACAGAATAGAATCCAACTCTTTCTTTCTTATCTGTGAAGAACTCCTCTTTTGGTTAGAGAGATTTCACTACCTTTTAATAAGCATAAGTAGGTCATTTTACAGAATTTCTTCTGCACTCATTCAGGATTTCTTTCCCAAATTCCCACAAAGAGTAGCAAGGGAAGCTTCATAGCTGCATAGAATATTAATATAATTTCTGTTCAGAGGATCAACGTATCACATACTCAAAAATCAATCCAGGCAATTATCAAGGTTTTAACTCTAAAGAATGTATTAGAACATTCTTCATCAGAAGTTGACCTATAATTCTGTATAGGGCAATCAGACCAAGAATTTACTCTCAATAGACTTGGGGCCATCATTTAGATTAGGTTTGGGGAATTCAGTGCTACTCCCCACAAACCACCCATCCCAAATGATCTTCCTGCAAAGTCCTACACTCACTGCCTCTACTATTCACTGGCCATTTTATTACTTTTGGCCTTTTATTGTGGTTAAATTTTCATAATCATTCTTTTGTTAAACGAACATAAATTGGGTCTCTGTTAAACCTTTTTAAGACCTAGAAAAAGCTTCTAAACAGGAGTGATACTTGAGCTGGCCATTCTAAGTGCTTCTATCACATCCTTAAGAAATATTTGATGCAGAACCTGCCATGCTATATTGTAATCATTTTGCTTCATTGACTGTTTCTCCTCCTTTATTATAGGTTCCTTGAAAGCAGATACCAGACATATTTATCTTCCCATACCAGTGTCTAAACACTGTGCCTGGTTCATAGCACAGGGTCAATACATGTTTTAACGAGTAGATTAAACTTGGCCCATTGGAGGGGAGAGAGTGATTACAAGGACAAATAAGATTTAGTTTTATCCCTTAAGGTCTTTCTAAGTTAGCACATGGCTAGGTACAGAGTAGATGCTCAGTAAGTGCTGGTTGGTTAGTCAATTCTCAGTTATTTTTCTTCAGATGGAAAGACAAGACTACCAAAATGAATATATACCAGCAAAGCCAGTTACTGTTTTATTTTGAAATATCAACACCTTTCCTTGCTTCACTCAGGACCCCAAGTACTAATGAACAAGAAAGAAACAAAGCATAGGGGTTGTTTATCATACCAAACACAATATCTGAAGCCAAAACTGAGACACATAGTCTTGCACCAGTAGAGGATTTTTTTTTTTTTCTTTTTGAGACGGAGTTTCTCTGTTGTTGCCCAGGCATGATCTTGGCTAGCTGCAAACTCCGCCTCCCGGGTTCAAGCAATTCTCCTGCCTCATTCTCCTGCCTCAGCCTCCCAAGTAGCTGGGATTACAGGCATGTGCCATCAAGCCCAGCTAATTTTTTATTTTTAGTAGAGATGAGGTTTCTCCATGTTTGTCAGGCTGGTCTCGAACTCTTGACCTCAGGTGATCCGCCTGCCTTGGCCTCCCAAAGTGCTGGGATTACAGGTGTGAGCCACTGCGCCCAGTCCAGGAGAGGATGTTTTAAAATAGAACCATTCTGGATCAACCAAGGTGTTTGGTTCTTAGTACTTTTGGTCTCTAATATGCCTCAAGAATTTCCAGTTAGACCTTGACAATTATGTGAGAAAATAAATATAAAAACACTTTAAAACTGTATGACACACAATGAAAAGATAAGTGCTATAAATAGAACCTGTATTTCTGCATTAAAAATACATGGACCAATTTGGTAAGTGCACACATGAAGAAATAGTGATTTGAGACATTTCCTAATTCACTTATACTCCTTTTTTATTAGTAACTTAAAGCACAAGATCTATTGTAAAGTCAGAACTAAAAAGGACCAGAGAAGAAGAGGAAGTAGGTGACAGAAGAGTAGAATATTGTAAGAGGAAAGGACTTAGTACAGAATTATACAGCCCAACAGAGAAAATTAGAAACTGATTCAACATCTATTAAACAGACTTTAACTGAGTATCACTGAGTGTCTCTGAGGTCCCAGGCATGAAGCTAAGAGCTGCGAAGCACATCAAGATGAATAAAATTCAGCCTTGTGAAAGAAAGCTTACAGTCTGCGGGTTGGGGTGGTGGGGTGGTGGGTGCGGGAAGGGAAAAAAAGACAAGTATGTATACAAATACATCAGAAGGGAGAAGTAATTATAGCCGGAAGAGAAGTTCAGATAGAGTGCTGTTGTAATTTAAAGAAAGAAAATGTGTCTTCATTAAAGGATGCTTCAGGGTAATTTCATAGAAGGGATGTTATATAAGCTCAGTCTGAGATAGAAGAAATTCAAGAGATAGATAAAGGATGAAGAACACTACATTTGGAATTAACACTGTAAGAAAAGCATAGAGGTAGGAAACTTACTAGCTATGTTTAATAAGCATCAAGTACTCCATTTCATCTAAAGTTCAAGGTATGCATGAGGACATTGTGAGAAATGACGCTGAAGAGTAGACTGTGGCTAGATTATAGACAGCAGCCTGGAATACTAAGCCAAAGTATTTGGGCTTTATTCAGCCATTTTTGGGAGCTACTCAAGGTATGATAGGATCATAGCTGTATTTTTGAAGCTTAATCTAGACACAATAAAAGTAAGGTGAAAAAAAGATTGGAAGTGGGAGATAAATTTAGATGTCATTATAAATACCAGTTCAAAACTTAATAAACATCTTCAAAAAGGAGGTGACTGCTATAATGTTCTGATATTTGCCATGACCTACTCAGGCTGCTGTAACAAAATACCATAAACTGAGTGACATACAAACAAGGTAAATGTATTTCTCACAGATCTGAAGGCTGACATGTTCAAGATCAAGGTGCTGTCAGATTTGGTGTCTAGTGAGGCCTGCCTTCTGGTTCATAGATAGTGCCTTCTCACTGTGTCTTCACATGATGGAAGGTACAAGGCAGCTCTCTAGAACCTCTTTTATGAGGGCACTAATCTCGTTCATGAGGGCAGAGCCTAATCATCCCCCAGTTAGGCCAACCTCCTACTACCATCACCTTGGGGGTTAAGATTTCAACATAGAAATTTTGAGGGGACATGAATATCCAGACCACAGCAATAACATTAAATGTGACAAATACTGCTGTCTTGTTTAGTCAATGTAGGAATGAGCCATGAAAGATTAGAAGGGAGGCTGGTTTGAATTGGGACTGAGGTGAGGAATGACACCTGAAGGAATTTAGTGTCAGGTATGAACAAACAGCATAGGAGCAAGATGCTTGCATGCTTAAGTCATACGTAGGGTCTCATGACAGAATTAGGAAGGAGGGAGGTGAAACAAGATGGTCAAATAGAAGCCTTCAGCAATCATCCTTCCCGTGGGAACACAAAATTGAATAACTGTCCACACAAGAAAGCTCCTTCATAAGAACGAAAAATCAGGCGAGTGATCGTTGTACCTGATTTTAACATCATAGCAAGCAAGGAGACACTGAAGAGGGTAGGCAAGAGTCTTGAACTGCTGACACCACCCCTCTCCCATTCTCCTGCAGCAGACCTGTGGGACAGATTGAGAATCTGTGTGCTTGCAGGAGGGAGAGTGCAGTGATTGTTGTACTTTGCATTGGAACTCAGTGCTGTCCTGTCACAGAAAGCAACATTGGGCAGAATTCAGCCAGCACTCATGAAGAGAGCATTTAGACCAACCTTAGCCAGAGGGGAATCACCCATCCCAGCAGTGGGAACCTGATTTCTGGCAAGCCCCACCACTGAGGGCTAAACTGTGCTGGGGTTTTAAATAGACTTAAAAGGCTGCCTGGGCCACAAGTACTGCAATTCCTGGGTAAGTCCTTGTGCTGTGCTGGGCTTAGAACCAGTGGACTTAGGATGCATGCAGTCCTACTGAGACACCAGCCAAGATGGCTAAGAGTTTTCTTGCATCACCCCTTCCCAACCCCAGGCAGCACAGCTTGCAGCTCCAGGGGGAGCTCCTTCTCTCTGCTTAAATAGAGGAGTACTACTACAAGGAAACACTGGGGAAGCTGTTCAGCACATTGGTCTGGGGAAAAATTTTCTTGAGTAATATCTCCAAAGCATGGCAATAAAAGCAAAAATGGGCAAATAGGATCACATCAAGTTAAAAAGTTTCTGCATAGCAAGGGTACAATCAACAAAGTGAAGAAACAACCTACAGAATGGGAGAAAATATTTATAAACTACTCATCTGACAAGGAATTAATAACCAGAATATATAAGGACCTCAAACAACTCAATAGGAAAAAATGTAATAATGCGATAAAAAAATGAGCAAAAGATCTGAATAGACTTTTTCAAAAGAAAACATACAAATGGCAAACAGGCATATAAAAAGGTGCTCAACATCACTGATCATCAGAGAAATGCAAATCAAAACTATAATGAGATATTATTTCATTCAAGTTAAAATGGCTTTTATCCAAAAGACAAGCAATAACAAATACTGGTGAGTATCTGAAGAAAGGGGAACCCTCATACACCAATGGTGGGAATGTAACTTAATAGAGCCAATATGGAAAACAGTACGGAGGTTCCTTAAAAAACTAAAAATAGAACTACCATGTGACCCAGCAATTTCACTACTATTTATCCAAAGGAAATGAAATCAATGAGTCAAAGAGATATCTGCAGTCACATATTTATTGCAGCACTATTCACAATAGCCAAGATTTGGAAGCAACTTAAATGGCCACCAACAGATGAATGGATAAAGAAAATGTGGTATATATATTATTATATATATTATATATTTTATATATATATATACACACACAAAGGAATACATTTCAGCCATCCAAAAAAATGAGATCCTGTCATTTACAACAATATGGATGGAACTGGAGGATATTTTGTAAAAGCCAGGTACAGAAAGACAAAATGTGCATGTTCTCACTGATTTGTGGGATCTAAAAATTAAAACAATTGAACTTATGGAGATAGAGAGTAGAAGGATGGTTACAGACACTGGGAAGGGTAGTTAGGGGGTGATAGGGTTTGGCTGTGTCCTCACCAAAATCTCATCTTGAATTGTGGTTCCCATAATCCCCATATGTGGTGGGAGGGACCCACTGAGAGGTAATTGAATCATGGGGCCAGTTACCTCCATGCTTTTCTTGTGTTAGTGAGTGAGTTATCATGAGATCTCATGGTTTTACAAGGGGCTTTTCCTCTTTTGCTTGGCACTTCTCCTTGCTGCCACAATGTGACGAAGGAGGTGTTTACTTCCCCTTCTGCCATGATTGTAAGTTTCCTGAGGCCTCCCCAGCCCTGTGGAACTGTGGGTCAATTAAACCACCTTCCTCATTAAATTATCCAGTGTCAGGTATTTCTTCATAGCAGTGTGACAATGGACTAATACATTAAATTGATACCAGGTAATGGGGTGCTGCTCTAAAGATACCCAAATATGTGGAAGCGACTTTGGAACTGGCTAATGAGCAGAGGTTGAAACAATTTGTAGGGCTTTGAAGAAGACAGCAAAATGTGGGGAAGTTGAAAACTTCCTAGAGACTTGGAGGGCTCAGAAGACAGGAAGATGTGGAAAAGTTTGGATGTTCCTAGGGACTTTTTGAATGGCTTTGAACAAAATGCTGACAAGGAAGTCCAGGCTGAGGTGGTCTCAGATGGAGATGAGGGACTTCTTGGGAACTGGAGTAAAGGTCACAATTGTTATGCAAAGAGTTTGTCAAGATTTTGCCCCTGCCCTAGAGATCTGTGGAACATTGAACTTGAGAGAGATGATTCAGGGTATCTGATGGAAGAAATTTCTAAGTGGCAAAGCATTCAAGAGAAAGCAGAGCATAAAAGTTTGAAAAATTTGCAGCCTGACAATGCAGTTGAAAAGAAAAACCCATTTTTCTGGAAAGAAATTGAAGCCAGCAGCAGAAATTTACATAAGTAATGAAAAGCCAAATGCTAATGCCAAGACAATGGGAAAAAATGCCTTCAGGGCATTTCAGAGAACTTTGCAGCAGCCCCTCCCATCACAGGCCTGGAGACCTAGGAGGAAAAATGATTTCCTGGGCTGGCTCCAGGGCCCCCCTGCTATATGCAGCCTGGGGACATGGTGCCCTTCATCCTGGGCACTCCAGCCATGTCTAAAACGGCCAAGGTACAGCTCAGTCCATGTTCTCAGAGGGTACAAGCCCCAAGCCTTGACAGCATGAGAAGAGACTAATACAGGGGGTCAGTGGAATAGAGAAGGTTAGTGGCTATAAAAATATAGTTAGATAGAATGAATAAGATCTAGTATTTGATAGCACAAAAGGGTGACTACAGTCAACAATAATTATTGTACATTTTTAAATAACTAAAAGAGTATAATTGAGTATAATTGGACTGTAACATGAAAAGATGATAAGTGCTTAAGGTGATAGACATCCCATTTACCCTGATGTAATCATTACACATTGTATGCCTGTATTATACACTTAAGCACATTGTATCTTATATTAGAAGGTAATAAGTTCTATTTAATAGATAAAATAGGTCAGAGGGACCACATAAATGGAGTTCGGTTTGAGGCAATTTACAATTTTAAAAAGGAGATCAGAGTAGGCCTGGTTGAAAAGGTGTAATTTGAGCAAAGGCTTGAGAGACAGGACTAGCTATCCATGTGGGTATTTGAGAAACAAATGCGTCAGATGAAAACGCTAGTCCAAAGGCCTTAAGGTAGAATGCTCTTGCTCTATTGTAGAAAAAAAATGAGACCAATATGGCTAATGAAGTAAATGAGGGGGATAATATTAGAAGATGAGATCAAAGAGTGGGATCATGAAGGGTCTTTTGGCCATTGTAAAGACAGACTTTTTCATTGAGTAGTATGTGAAGCGACTGGAGGATTCCAGGTCAAAAAGTAACATGATCTGACTTGTATTTTAAGAGCATCACTCTGGTTGCTAAATATGAAATCACAGAGATTTTGGAGTCAAGTGTAGTAATCCAAGTGAGGGAAGATACTGTCTTGGCTCAAATTAGTAGTAACAGAGATAGTGAGAAGTGATCTGATTCCAAATCAGTTCTGACCCTAGAGTCAACAGGATTTCATGGTGAATAAGATGTGGAATGAAAGAAGAGAGGAGTCAAGGATGACTCAATATTGTTAGTCTAAGCAACCAGAAAGATAGAGCTGCCAAAAATTCAGGTGGAGAAGATTACAAATGGGGCAGGTTTGGGGAGGGTGATTAGGAATTCAATTTTATACATATTATGAGCATATGGAAATAATACACAGACATTTAAAATTTAAGAGAGAAAGCTAGTGAGACAAATTTTGGAGTCTAGTATATCCATAATAGTTAAAATTATGAGACTGGATAAGTTCACCAAGGGAACGAATGTGGATAGAAAAGAGAATCCAGATTGTTACAATATTAATAGTTCTGGAAAAAAAGGAGGAACCAGCAAAAGAGACTGAGTGTAACCAGGAAGGCAAAAGGAGGATCAACTGAGTATGTTGTTCTGGAAGCCAAGGGAGCAGGAGGTATTGAGGAAGAAGGATAATCAACTGTGTCAAATGTTGTTGCTATATCAAATAAAATGAGCACTGAGAATGACCATTGGATTTATCAGCAAGGTCATCAGTGACTTTGGCCACTGGAGTAGTTTTCATGGAGTTGTGAAAATAAAAAGCTGAATGGAGTGAAATTATGACAGAATGAGAGGGAAAATACTAGAGACAGCAAGCATATACAACTCTTTTGAGAAGTTGTTTTTGTAAAGGGGAGCAGGAAATTACATGGCAGTAGGAGAGAAAAGTCGAGTAAAAAGTGAATTTTAGATTTTTTTGTTGTTGTTGCTTTGTATTATGGACTGAATTGTCTTCCCTCAAAATTCACAGGAGGTACATATGGCAACCTAGTAACTAGGAATATGACTGTATTTAGAGATATGGCCTTTAAAGGGGAAATTAAGTTAAAATGAGGTTCTTAGGGTGGGCCTAATCCAATCTGACTGGTGTCCTTATTAGAAGAGGAGATTAGGGCATACAGAGATGTACACATAGAGAGGAAAGACTAAAACACAGTAAGAAGACAGCCATCTACAAGCCAAGGAGACAGACCTCAGGGGAAACTGAACCTGTCAACTCTTTGATCTAGGACTTCTAGCCTCCAGAACTGTAAGTAATAAATTTTTGTTGTTTAAGCCATCCAGTCTGTGACATTTTGCTTTGGCAGTCCAAGTAAACTCACATAGTCTTTTTTTTCAGATAGAAGAAATAAAAGCATGTGTGTGTGTGTTTGTGTGTGTGTGTGTGTGTGTGTGTTTAGGAAAAAGAAACCAGAGGGAAAATTATAATTTAGAAGAGAGAGGAGAGAACTAATGGAAAAAATGTTTGTTGAGAAGGAGAAAATGGCTGGGATCTGTCTCAACTATTCATTTTTTCAGAGCTCCTCTTAGCCTGAGGCCTCAGTCAAACTCTAAAATAAATCTTCCCAGATTTTTAAACAGATATTGTAGTAGAATCAGTAAACTTAATAAGGAAGAAGAAGAGATTCTACCAAATCTGGATTTCTAGAAGACTTGTGGATCCTTTAAGATGAATGGATCAGAAAAAGAGAAATTGCTTTTAAGTAAAGGAGAATCAAGGAGACAGGAAAAAAGAAATGAGATGAATTTCACTTTCTCAATGAGTAGTCTGAGTTCGATAAGACAGCTAGAGAGAGATGTTCTTGTGGGTGTTGAAACTGTTGAGAAAAATTTAGCAAAATGAAATGAAAGAGATGAAGTAAGTCTACAAGCAAGTCTTCTCTTAAAGATTACATTTTTCATAAACAGTTTGCTTACTATAAATAGTTCCTGCTGGCACCACCACTGCTGACTTTTCCTAAGGGCATGCAGTAGTTATCAAAATAAAGTCATTAAGCTGAAAAACAGTGGTTTAATAAATGGAAAGGTGGTCAAGAAGAATTTCCAGGAAAAGGGATGGGGAGACAAAAATGACTATTCAGTCTCAGCATCTTCAAGACATTTCACTATGGGCTTAGGATGACATAGAGATAAAGTTATCAACACTGGGATTAAAGAGCTGGGGTGAAGAAACACAGATCATCTTACTATAAAATCATATAGGATTCCTGGAAATTAGAAAATCTACAAAAACTAGCCCCATTGTTTGATGGCGGGAGAATCTTGGCATAATGAAGCTAAGAGACTGGATTCACACTAAATGTATTTTGAATTGGTTCAGCCTGTTGCAATGAGTTAATACCAAAAGAAGGACTGGCACCCAGGATTCCTGGCTCCTAGCCAGGACTCTACCCACATAACTATATTTCCCATGTTTTTATTTTTTATCTTGAGTTTATTCTCAATCTCTCTTGCATGCACCCTCTCCCTCTTTTCTCCTCCCCCTCCTGTTTTCTCTCACATTCCATAGATGACCCTTGTCCATGTCCTCCATAAATCACTCTATAATGGTGCCCCTATGTTGGTCTCTTCTCTAAGTACTCAAAGAAAGATTATGGCAGAGAACCAGGTCTAAACGTTAAAGGAGATAATTGAAGGTCATTCAGCTGAAAATAATTCATATTTATCCATGGCTTTCTTTACCAGAGCATCTGGTTTCCATTAGCCAGCATGGTGTCCTCTGGTTCTGACTGTGGTGGCCAACAGTAACCACATTTCTTGCTAAAAATGAAGAGTTCCTTTACATCTGTTCCCGAGATGTTTTAAACTCTTCCGTGTACAAAACTGTGCTCTGAAGTTACGTCAACACAGACTAAAACTTCACGGTGTTAGGTACTGGTGACTTTGAGCCTGCTCCTGGGTATCCTGTCTGTTACTTTCTTTTTCTATCAAAATCAATCATAGGATTAGATTAGGAAAGCTAAAGTCAACTAGCTAATCTTACTAACTCCTGCCAGAACTTCACACTTCTAAGCAAGTTTGGATTTATTCTATTGTAAATATATTTTCCGTTCTTATCTCCATGGATGGATTACGATATCAGTGTGTGTGTGTGTGTGTGTGTGTGTGTGTGTGTGTGTGTGTGACTGTTACATTAGCAATAGGAACTCAATATCTATGTAATCCATAATCTCTCTCAGCCTGCCTATTAATAAATGCTCCTCTATTATTACCTACTAGTGATCTTTCAAGAAAAGTATTGATTAGTTAAAAGGTCAAGACATGAAAAAGACAAAAAAATGAGAAATAAACATTTCTTACCACAGGCCAATTCAGGAAAAAATCAAAGTGCATAAATGTTGGAAAAACAGAATTCTGAAGTAATCAGAATCAATAGTAGATTAATTCTGACCTTAAGATGAATGATGTTGCAACTATTTATTTATTAATTTTTTTGTTATACTTTAAGTTCTAGGGTATGTGTGCACAATGTGCAGGTTTGTTACATATGTATACATGTGCCATGTTGGTGTGCTACACCCATTAACTCGTTACTTACATTAGGTATATCTACTAATGCTATCCCTCCCCCCTCCCCGCCACCCCACAACTGGCCCCCGTGTGTGATGTTCCCCATCCTGTGTCCAAGTGTTCTCATTCTTCAGTTCCCACCTATGAGTGAGAACATGTGGTGCTTAGTTTTCTGTCCTTGCGATAGTTTGCTCAGAATGATGGTTTCCAGCTTCATCCATGTCCCTACAAAAGACATGAACTCATCCTTTTTTATGGCTGCATAGTATTCCATGGTGTATATGTGCCACATTTTCTTTATCCAGTCTATCACTGATGGACATTTGGGTTGGTTCCAAGCCTTTGCTATTGTGAACAGTGTCACAGTAAACATACGTGTGCATGTGTCTTTACAGCAGCATGATTTATAATCCTTTGGGTATATACCCTATAATGTGATGGCTGGGTCAAATGGTATTTCTAGTTCCTTGAGGAATCGCCACACTGTCTTCCACAATGGTTGAGCTAGTTTACAGTCCCACCAACAGTGTAAAAGTGTTTCTATTTCTCCACATCCTCTCCAGCACCTGTTGTTTCCTGACTTTTTAATGATTGCCATTCTAACTGGTGTGGCATGGTATCTCATTGTGGTTTTGATTTGCATTTCTCTGATTAACAGTGATGATGAGCATTTTTTCATGTGTCTGTTGGCTGCATAAATGTCTTCTTTTGAGAAGTGTCTGTTCATATCTTTTGCCCACTTTTTGATGGGGTTGTTTGATTTTTTCTTGTAAATTTGTTTAAGTTCTTTCTAGATTCTGGATATTAGACCTTTATCAGGTGAGTAGATTGTCATGGGCAAGGACTTCATGACTACAACACAAAAAGCAATGGCAACAAAAGCCAAAATTGACAAATGGGATCTAATTAAACTAAAGAGCTTCTGCACAGCAAAAGAAACTACCATCAGAGTGAACAGGCAACCTACAGAATGGGAGAAAACTGATGTTGCAACTATTAACAGTAACAGCTGAAACTTATCGAGTGCTTTCTACGTACTATGCCTAATGCTTTAGGTCCATTATCCCATTTAATCTTCACAACAAATCTATGAGGTAAATAATATTCTTATGCCCACTTTATAGAAAAGAAAATTGAGACTTATAATGATATATTTGTGGGGTTCCAAAAGGAAATAGATGGCTTCCTAAAAGTAGGTTAATTAGAGGGAAGTTTATTAAAATGACTATTTACCAAAATGTCGGCAGGGTGTAACTAAATCATAAGAAATAGTGCAGTACGTTTTTATAAGCACTGCTCATTCTATGGCCTGCTGACAACAAATATATGATAGTAGCAATGCTTATAAAAGGGTGCTTCATTATTCCTTCTTATTTTGTTGAGGCCATTGTCATCCCCAAACCTGGAAGAAGGAAAGGAATAATTACCGGAAGCCAGAAAGAGAGCTAAGTCGGGAGGGCACCTGGCAGGATCCCTCTTTGTAGACGGATGCAGGCAGCCTACAAAGAATGGAAGGGAAGAGTGGAGGAATAAGCATCTCCATTCTCATTCTCTTCCCATGCTCTAATTTCCTGCTGAGCCTTCCTATTAGCTAAAATCAACCAGAAGCCCCAGATCAAGGGAGCATGTGGATAAAATGCACAGAGGTCAGACTACTGGGACAGAGAGCAAGGTGGAAAGAGTGGAGAATGGATCTAGATGGTTACAATCACTTTGCAAGGTCACAGTGATGGATTGGGTCACTAACTGGATCAAAGTCGCTAAGTAATGGGGCAAAAGTTCGAATCCATGGTTGTCTGACTTTAGAGCCCAGACTTTTAATCACTATGCCCTACTGCTAGGGCCTTCAAATGGCAAAAGGAAGGGAGATTATTTCAGGGAGCATAAAGATTATGAGAGGTAGAGAGACAGGAGTGTGCAAGGCAATGACATTTACTAGACGTGCAACTTCCGGCAAAGACTTCTCTGAGTCTGTTTTCTCATCTATACAATGTGTCTACATCACAAGATGTGGACTTTTTCTCTCAATGAAGCTAATATAGTCAATTTCATTATAACTATTCTGACACAGCCTTGAATGGAAATGAATTACCCAACGTCATGCTCAGAGACAGGATCTCTGCTCTGTCAGAGCTTAGTACAGAGTGAAAAACTGTGTACTTTGTAGGCTACATATTATTAACCCAGGGTCAGAAAGAAAGTGGCCATGAAAATTTCCAGTATTTTCTCTTACTCTTTTTACTTCACATAATAGAGGTACCCACTTATTTCTCCAAACACTACTTAAGAAAATCTGTTCCCATAGCAATAGAAAAATTAGGAAACCTGATTTGATTTACTAAAAGTTTCTTCATTCTGTAAAAGGAGTCACTTTAACACAAAGATCAATAGCAGTAACTTTACAGAGGATTATTTCTGCTGACAACAAATGTGTATGATAGTAGCAGTGCTTATAAAAATACATATGGTTCCAAGTCCCTGTTGGAGCTAAAGAGTCGTCTTATAGTAGCTTACAAAATTTTCAGGAATTTCCTGTGACAAAAACAAAGGTGATAAAAAGGACTGCAAATTGAAGAGAAAACCAAGAGAGCAGGGGTCAAATAGAAAATGTAGATCAGGAGAAGTTTGGAACGAAGTCCAAGGTTGTAGCAGGGCCTTTGGTTTCATCGACATATGATGCGAGAGAGTAGCAGACTGAGTGAAAAACCAAATTACCAACATTTCAATAGAAGGACAGGAAGATATCATCTAGTTTGTTTCCTGGAAATTGGAATAAAAAGAAAGAGAAATGGAAAATATGGAAAAATAAGAGATTTAAAAGATCAATTCAGAAGATCCAACATCCAACAAATAATAGATTTGGGAAGAGAGAATAGAAGAAGCAGAAAAATAATCAGACCAATAAAACAATACACTTTGCCCATACCAAAGAACAAATACAAAATGGATGGTTCTATAAAATGCAAAGTAATATAAATGAACAAAGACCCAAACTTAGGAAAATCATTCTAAAAATTTAAAACATAAAAAATAAAAAGCAGATCATAAAAGTCTCCAGAGAGAAATACAGACATCTTGTCAGTAAAACTATATAGTACTAGAGAACAAGCTCTTCGAGTTCAAGGATCAAATTTTTAAATATAGAATCTCATAGCTAGCCAAATTATGTATCAGTATGAGGAGCAGAATAAATATATTTTAAGAAAGGAAAAGACTCCAAAATTGGATCTCACATTCACCCTTTCCTAGATCGTCACTTACTGGAATAAACCAAGAAAGAGGAAGACATGGGATCCAACCAACTGTGTATCCAACGCAGGAAGACATAAAAGGGAGCCCTGTGAGATAGCAATGTAACTAGTCCAGCCAATTAAACAAGAATTCCCTGGGGAAGGTTTCTGGTCGAAGAGGGGCATGGCGGGTAGTAAGAAGCATTGATTGATAGCTTTAAAAAAAAAAAAAGGTGACGAAAATTAAATAGAATAAATATTAAAATGTAAGTCTCAGAAAACCTTAAGACTATGATCAATATAAAACACATACATACAAAGCAAATAAGAAACTTCAAAATAAATGTTAAATGAGAACTATATAAGAAAGGCATAATCCAAATAGAAATGCAACCAAGGCCGGGTGCGGTGGTTCATGCCTGTAATCCCAGCACTTTGGGAGGCCGAGATGGGTGGATCACGAGGTCAGGAGATCCAGACCATCCTTACTAGCACGGTGAAACCCAGTCTCTACTAAAAATACACAAAATTCCCCAGGCGTAGTGGGGGGCGCCTGTAGTCCCAGCTCTTTGGGAGGCTGAGGCAGGAGAATGGCGTGAACCCGGGAGGTCGAGCTTGCAGTGAGCTGAGATCACGCCACTGCACTCCAGCCTGGGCGACAGAGCAAGACTCTGTCTCAAAACAAAAAAAAAAAGAAAAGAAATGCAACCAAATAGAGGCATGATTTTCATCTGGAGGTATGGGTCAGGGAAGATCTGGAGATAGGGAAGCCAGTTATGAAGCTGTATCAGTTACCAAGTGAGAGGTAATGGTGGTCTGATCCAAGGTCATGGCAGTGGGATAGAGATAAGTGGGCAGATTTTAGAAATATTTAGGCAAATTGGGAGGTCGATATCAGAGAAGGAAGTGTTAAGAAGTCACCATGGTTAGGCGAGCTTGCAGTGAGCCGAGATTGTGCCACTGTACTCCAGCCTGGGCGACACAGCGAGACTCCGTCTCAAAAAAAAAAAAAAAAAAAAAAGAAGTCACCATGGTTTTGATTTAGAAACCTGAGCATAAAATAGTACCATTCACTGAGATTGGGAACACTAAAGGAGAGAAAGGGTTGGAAAGTACAATGCTAAGAACACGTGAGTCTGAAATGCTGAAGGAACGTCCACAAGAAATGACCCATTAATAGCTGGGTATATTCTCTGGGGCTCTAGAGAACAGTCTGATTTGACATGTGATATCCTAACCAACAGGAAAGGTTGGGTTAATAGTTAATGACTGAAGCTTCTCTGAGCTAGACAAGCAAAATATCAATTTTAAAACTTCTAGGGCAAATAATTTAGAATAATAAGCAATAAAACATATGCAGAACCTTCCTAGAGCTATGTTCCATGTAGTCTTGATCCATACAGGTGCTGAATTTAAAATAATACATTTCATCCAACCACAATAATTTCAGAATAACAAGTATTTTACTTGTGTTTTCAAAAATTCCATGAAGTTGACACATATTCCTTTAAGAATAATTACTTATTTTTCAACCCAATCCATATTTTTCACAGATTACAGCTAATCTCCTTAAACATCCCTATAAAACTCATCCAGTTTTTATCTTGTACCTCTTGTTTCCCCCCACACCACCTCCCCACTGCCCCCCACCCACCACTTTTTTCTCAACCCTCCATCACAAAATACCAAAAATTATTCAAGCAAATCAGGACTATAGTTGCAGAGTGGGGAAAGAAATAGCCAGAAGTCAGCCAAGCTTGAGTCCTTTTTAGTGTTAGGGACAAAAATCTCATTCTATATGCATTATTTCTAAATAATGTCCCAGCACTATTAAGCATTCAATGTGGTTCATAGAAAAGTGCTTTCCAAAAGAGATCCAGCTTCCTGTCCACCAACAGGCCTCACAGGTGATACAATTCTAAATTTGGCCTTTACCTTGTCAATGTATCTCCATTGTCATCTGTCCTGAGAAGCCTGTCTCAAACTAACAGGAGACTGAAGTTTAACAATCCAATTAGACTGCTTCTCCTCCCACCCATCTTGAGAGATACTCCTTCCAGGGTATTGAATAATGATGTTTCCTCATTCAGGGTACCACCTTCTCATTAGCAGAACAGTTCATAATAAAAATGCTACTGACTGGCCGGGTGCAGTGGCTCATGCCTATAATCTCAGCACATTGGGGGGCCAAAGAGAGAGGATTGCTTGAGGCCTGGAGTTTTTGACCAGCCTGGGCAACATAGCAAAATCCTGTCTCTACAAAATATTTTTAAAATGAATAAGCCAGGTATGATGGCATACACCTATAGTCCTAGGTATTCGGGAGGCTGAGGTGGAAGGATTGCCTGACCCGGGCATTTGAGGCTGCAGTGAGCTATGATCATGCTGCTGTACTCCAGCCCAGGTGACAGAGTGAGACCTTTTTTAAAAAATGCTATTTGGCAGCCGGGCGCGGTGGCTCACGCCTGTAATCCTAGCACTTTGGAAGGCCGAGGAGGGCGGATCACGAGGTCAGGAGATGGAGACCATCCAAGCTAACACAGTGAAACCCCCTCTCTACTAAAAATACAAAAAATTAGCCGGGCATGGTGGCGGGCGCCTGTAGTCCCAGCTACTCGGGAGGATGAGGCAGGAGAATGGCGTGAACCCGGGAGGCGGAGACTGCAGTGAGCCGAGATTGCACCACTGCACTCCAGCCTGGGCGACAGAGCGAGACTCCGCCTCAAAAAAAAAAAAAAAAAAAAAAAGATCAAGGCCATCTTGGCCAACACGATGAAACCCTGTCTCTACTAAAAATACCAAAAATTAGCCGTGCATGGTGGCGGGTGCCTGTAGTCCCAGCCACTTGGAGCCTGAGGCAGGAGAATGGCGTGAACCCGGGAGGCGGAGCTTGCCAAGATCGCGCCACTGCACTCCAGCCGAGGTGACAGAGCGACACTCCGTCTCAAAAAAAAAAAAAAAAAGAACAGAAAAGAAAAAAATGCTATTTGGCAAGCAGAGAATAAAAACAAATGGAAATACATATGATCTTAAGTAAAATTTCATATTTATGCTACAGGTGGTGCTGTAGGTGGAGGATCACTGCCCCACAATACCCTGAAGCGAGTGGAGTCTTTGTGTGCCCTACTTCCCAGTCTCCAGGCTGCTCAATTGTAGTTCCCTCTTCTGTTTATCCAGACTGACTGTCTTCTGTGTCCTCAACTTTTTCTCCATGTAAAGTACAATACAATTGGGTTCCAATTACTAAATTAAAATCACATTCTGGAACTGCCTGCTTGAAATTACACCCAGGTGACCCTTACTGGAGTTTTGTATGTTCCAAAACACTTCAGCCACATATTTACAGTCTCCAGACTTACTCCCACAGATGGCGAACTTTATTTCCGCCATTTCCAATGTAAGAGGAAACATCTCACTGCTGTCCCCATTGCATTGCTGCCATTCAACAGAAGAACAAAAATCTATTAATATCTCTTAGGCATGTTGAATTAATCTCCCCACTCTCATTTTGTCTCAAATCTACACTTCTCGTTACCCTAAAGTCGTGGAAATGTAAAAATAAAGATATTCATTTGTATGTATCAGGGTCACCAGTCAAAGCAGATACTAGTTAAAATGTTTGGAGAGGGGCAAAGTCTGATATGGGTATTAGTTGGAGCTCTCTACTAGACGCTTTCATAGATTTTCCCCTTATTTTGCAAATATTACTTTGATACAGCACAAATCGAATTTATGTTTCACAATTCACACAGCTGACTGACTTGTTTCATGTTCTATAATAATTCCAGCTGCTATTTTACCTTTTATCCCCTCTCTCACAGTGTTAGCCTATCACTTGAGCATTTAGGAGGGGTGGGACTGTGTTAGAACACATCTGGCATGTAGTCAACCTGATGATTCAATATGGCGGGAGAAGCATTGGCTTCCTGTGCCCTCTGGCTGGACACTTCCTGCCAGTCTTCTCCAGGTCTCACAGCTCTCCCTCCTTGGCAATGGCAGAGACAGATGTGTTTAGAGGCAGAAACACTGAAATAATCATTTAGTTTGATGACACACAGGCTGAGTGAAAAATAATTCACCTGGACAGGTAAGAGATGAGGTAGAAATGGGGAGAAGATTTTTTAAGACTAAGAAGAGAAGAGGAAACAGGTATATAATGGATTCTTCATTTCATTTCCTGGCTCTTTCATGCCTCCCATTTAAGATATCAGCAGCAAATTTCACTTATGCTTCTGGCATCATTTTTGCTTAGAATCTTGGGTCCTGGATGGAAGTCTGGAAAAGCTATTTAGACGTTAGCTCTTCCTCCAGCACTCCCACATGCACACAGAGAAACCCATACCCAGACATGATGGCACACCCACAGAGAAGCCACATGTGCACCTAAGAACACATGGACAGGCAGACAATAAAAACGCCCAGTTGCAGCAAAATCACTGAAGCTACAGATGCCTCATTCTGCAGACACCACATGTGCTTGCATTCTCACACCTACACAGACACAAAGACCCATACACAGATGCCACAGCCACACCCACAACCCTTACTTACTCAGCTATGACTTTCCCCTGCATGCCTTATTTGAACACAAAACTGTCTCTAATTAGAATTTCCCAAATCCATCTTTGACTAACTGAACTTCAGTCTATGCAGCATCATGAAAACTCAATTTCTGAATTGCTCAAAATAACTGAGTGAAAGAGAAATAAGACACTGCTCACTAAGCTGGGGAACTAAACTTTGGGAAGCTAGGTGGAAGGGTTGTCAGGACTAATAGTGCCCCACTTAGATTTCCAGTAGACGAACATCTGGATGATCTGGAAATAGTGACAATGCAGTAGTTACTAAGGAGATGATCACTAACACTAAACAGAGAAATAAAGTATGACCTACTGTGGAAATAAAATGAACTTTAGAATCAAACAGATTCAGATTCAAATCTAGCAATGCTGTTTACTAAGTGTAAACTTGAGCAAGTTATTATATTTAATCTCTGAGTATCAATTTACACAACAATAAAATCTACTTTCCAGTATTCTTGTCAGAGTTAAATGTAATGATATGCATAATGTGGCTCTTGCAGTGTTTAGCTTCATAAACATGTTTTATTTTTGTTATTAAAGTTGTTCACGGCCAGGCGCGGTGGCTCACGCCTGTAATCCCAGCACTTTGGGAGGCCAAGGCAGGTGAATCACGAGGTCAGGAGATCGAGACTATCCTGGCTAACAAGGTGAAACCCATCTCTACTAAAAATACAAAAACTTAGCCAGACGTGGTGGCAGGCACCTGTAGTCCCAGCTACTCGGGGGGCTGAGGCAGGAGAATGGCATGAACCCAGGAGGCAGAGCTTGCAGTGATTTGAGATAGCGCCACTGCACTCCAGCCTGGGCAAAAGAGCGAGACTCTGTCTCAAAAGAAAAAATGTTGTTCACAAAATTTCCTATGCACTGTCTAGGCAAAGGCAAGGCTTTAGTTTTCAGACTCTCTAAACCAAAATAAGAAAGATGATATTCTCACTCTTTCCTCGGAGTAAAGTATCACTGGTAGGTAATATTTGATAGGGAAATAAATGAATAAATAAATAGCTGAATGTATAGAAGGATAGAACAAAGAATGGGTGGATAGATAATGGATGGATGATGGTGACTATAGTACATTGTTCTTAAAATCACCAATATTGAGTACTGGATCTAGATTCAGTGGTCCTAGTGCTATAAATTTCTCAGTCTAATGGGAAAGACGCCTAGACAGAAATAATTCTAATAAAATGAGAGAAGTATTGCAAGGTTTTATTATAGGAGAGAAAAAAAGGTAACTTCTGGGAAGCAAGGGAATAATCCGAGAAAGTTCTTCAAAGCAGTGATATGTAATCTACATCTTGATGAATATGTAAGAGTTTATTGGACAGCAAATGTGGATAAATGCATTTTATGAAGAAGAAAGAACATGGGCAAAGGTAGAGGAGCCTGGAAGGTACTTACCTGGGACAAAATGAGGAGGGGGCATGGGGTATAAGCCAGGTGACAAGGCTGGAAAAGTAGTTTGGGGAACTAGACTACAGAGAACTTCATATGAAGAGTATCTTTTCATACATCATTAACACAGAAGGTGGCAGGCAGGGAAGGGGCACAGTTCAGATGTGTATTTTTAAAAGATCACTCCACATAAGCTTGAGGATGGATTCGAGCAGGAAGAGATTAAACCCTGGACAGTCAGTTTAATTTATTATCCTCTTTTATATGCATATCTTAATGGTTTCCAAAAGGCAGGGAAACAGAGAATATAAGAAAGGGGATATATTCAACATAAAATTATGAGATAGAATTGGTAGGAATTTGAGAATTGACTGAATTTGTGGAGTAAGAAGGAAGAGTCACAGATGACTAAGAATACAAACATATGTGACTTGGTAAATCTTTCATTAACCAAAATAGAAGACAGCTCCAGTTATTTATGGCTGCATAATGATTTACCCCAAAACTTAGCGGCTTAAAATAACACAATCATTTTATTATCATCTCTTATGGTTTGAAAATTGATTGTGCTTATGAGAGGTGACAACGTGCTAGCAGCCCTCGATTGCTCTTGGCGCCTCCTCGGCCTCGGCATCCACTCTGGCCACGCTTGAGGAGCCCTTCAGCCTGCTGCCGCACTGTGGGAGCCCCTCTCTGGGCTGGCCGAGGTGGCCGGAGACGGCTCCCTCTGCTTGCGGGGAGGTGTGGAGGGAGAGGCGTGGCCGTGAACTGGGGCTGCAGGTGGCGCTCATGGGCCAGTGCAAGTTCCAGGTGGGCGTGGGCCCCGCGGCCCTGCACTTGGAGCAGCCAGCCAGCCTGCCAGCCCCCTGCAGAGAGGGACTTAGCACCCAGGCCAGCAGCTGCAGAGGGTGTGCCAGATCCCCAAGCACTGCCAGCTGGCCCACGCCATGCTCAAATTCTCGCCCGTCCTCAGCCACCTCCCTGCAGAGCAGGGGTCGGGACCTGCAGCCCACTATGCCGGAGATCCCCCTTGAGTTCCCCCTCCAGCCCCCCCTTCCCATTGGTCTCCGCATGCCCAAGCCTCCCCTACGGGCTCTGTCCCCTGCTCCATGGCACCAGGTCCCATCCTGCCCAAGGGCTGAGAGGTGCGGGTGCGCAGCACGGGACTGGCAGGCAGCTCCGCCTGGGGCCCCTGCGTGGGATCCACTAGGTGAAGCCAGCTGGGCTCCAGAGTGGGGACTTGGAGAACTTTTATGTCTAGCTAGAGTATTGTATATGCACCAGTCAGCACTCAGTGTTTAGCTCAGGGTTTGTGGATGCACCAATCAGCACTCTGTATGTAGCTAATCTGGTGGAGACTTGGAGAACTTTTATATCTAGCTGGAGGATTGTAAATGCACCAATCAGCACTTTGTGTCTAGCTCAGGGATTGTAAATGCACCAATCAGCACCCTGTCAAAACGGACCAATCAGCTCTCTGTAAAATGGACCAATCAGCAGGATGTGGGTGGGGTCAGATAAGGGAATAAAAGCAGGCTGCCCAAGCCAGCAGCAGCAACCTACTCCGGTTCCCTTCCACGTTGTGGAAGCTTTGTTCTTTCGCTCTTTGCAATAAATCTTGCTGCTCCTCACTCTTTGGGTCCACACCGCCTTTATGAGCTGTAACACTCACCACGAAGGTCTGCAGCCTCACTCCTGAGGCCAATGAGACCCCGAACCCACCTGAAGGAATAAACAACTCCAGACACGCCGTCTTTAAGAGCTGTAACACTCACTGTGAAGGTCTGCAGCTTCACTCTTGAAGTCAGCGAGACCACGAACCCACCAGTAAGAAGAAACTCTGGACACACCATCTTTAAGAACTGTAACACTCACCACGAGGGTCCACAGCTTCATTCTTGAAGTCAGCGAGACGAAGAACCCACCAATTCCGGACACACTTAGCTATATCTGTTTTGCTTGGAATCTCTCATGTGTTGCAGTCACATGGCGGCTGAAGCTGGAGTCATCTCCAGGCTTCCTCACGCATATGCCTGGATGTTCATATTGGCTTTCAACTGGGGCTTTACCTAGAACTGATGACCATTGCACCTACACGTGGCTTCTCCTTGTTGGTCTAGGCTTTCTCATAGCATGGTGGCTGGATTCCAATAGCAAGTGTGCCAAGAGAACCAGGTGGAAGTGAACGGAAATTTTATGACCTAAGCTTGGAAATTACATAAATTATTCATTTGTGATTCCAGCTACTTTACTGGTGAGGATAGTCACAAAGGTCCACCCAGGTCCATGGAGTGGACACATACTCCTAGCTCTCAGTGGGAGGAGTTAGAAAGGTAAACTGCAAAAAGGATGAGCCATATATTGTGGCAGTCATCATAGGAAAACACAATCTGCCAGAGCACATAGATGGAAAAGCACGTTTGAGTTCTGTTTTGGGTGTGTTGTATTTCAAATGCTGGCAGGACACTCAGATGAAGAAGATAAATGGAAAATAATAAATTTGGCTTTGGAGTTTAGGAGATTTGAGAGCTATTGGGATATCTATGGTAATGGAAGTCATGGGAGTAGATGTTATGGTTATCTAGAGAATAGAGAAGGAAAGAGAAAAGAAGGACTAGAAGGAAAGAGAAGGAAAATCAAGGGAGGGAAGGAGTGGAGAAGGAAGAGGAAGGAATGAGGGGGAGAGAGGAGAGGCCTGTAAGTTTTCTAGTGCTGCTAAAACAAACTACCACAAACTGGGATTAAAACAACAGAAATATATTGTTTCACAGTTCTGGAGCCTAGAAGGCTGAAAACAAGATGTTGGCAGGGCCATGGTCCCTCCAAAGCCTCTAGTAGAGGAAACCTCCTTGCCTCTTCCAGCTTCTGGTAGCCCCAGGTGTTCCTTGGTGTGTGGCAGCATAACTCCAGTGTCTGTCTCTGTCTTCACATGGCTGACTTCTCTCTGTATGTGTCTATGTCTATATTTTCCTTGTCTTTTAAGGACACCAGTCATATCGGATTTAGGGCTCACCTTACTCCAGTATGATCTCATGTTAACTTAGCTAATTACAGCTGCAGTGACCCTATTTCCAACAGGGTCATATTGTGAGGTACCAGAGATGAGGCCTTCAACATTTTGGGTGGTGGGTGTGGGGAGTTGGGGGGATGGCACAATCAACCAATTAAAAAAGGGGAGGATAAGAAAGGAAAGGAGTGGACAGAACCAAAACTCTGGGGATGCCATAATGTAAGGATGAGACAGAGAAAAAGGGACCACTGGGAAAAAATTGGAACAATCGGAGAGGGAGACATGCATCGAAGGTTTGCAGATGGAAGAAAAAAAAATGTTGTCAAAAAAAATGTTGTCAAACAGTATTCATTTTTGAAAAGGACTGAACAGCTTCCATTTGAGTCATGATCTGGGAGGTTATTAGAAACTCTTGTGGGATCAGACTTAGTAGAGTAGTGGGGGAAGGAGCCAATTTGTGAGACACTCAGGAGTGACAAGAAGATGAAGTGGCAACAGTCAGGCTACATAACGGGCTAGTGAGATTTCACAGCAACTCCTTTACGAAACTTTCCCCAGAGTTAGTGCTAGTAATCTGGTCTTCCTGTTAGCCCAATTCCACGTACAAAACTAAAACAAAAACTTGAAAGTAAGAGGGAGAGAAAAATGACATAATTGTGGAGAGCAAGCTGGGACTTCCATTTTTGGAGCTTTCTTGTGGTTTCCCTATAGCTCGAAATGTGGCTTCCTGGGTATGGTCTGGTCCAGAATAAATGCATAATGGAGAGCTGTTCACAACAGAGAGAATTACAGAGGCAGAGATGGGACACTGCCCAGAGAAAACGAGTGATTAACTTAAGGAATAATATCAAAGGTTTGGAGAATAGAAGGAGGCTACAAATGCCAGGAGAAAAAGGATGTGGCCAGAGCTGGGCTTAATTGTTTATTTCCTAGATGCCTAAGCAGCATCCAAGCAGAGAGGCAGTTCTGGGCAGCTTCCTTTAAAACTGTAGTTTCTACAAGAGACTGGGTGAAGCACACTTTTCAATTTTCCAACACTCTTCAAATATGTGTTCCACCCACTAGACCCAAGCTCCTCAACTTTCTTGTTCATCTCTGAATCTCCTGCTCCTTTTCCACATTTTATTCTCATACTTCTCTGCTTTATTTCATTAAATGCTTCTAACTTTTGCTTTTTTCTATTCCTCTTCTTCACTTCAGAGTTGGCCTAATCATGGCACAAATAAAGGAGTACTCTGTTCCACATCTTTTATGAAACTTTTGTTCCATTTACAAAATGGAGGTTATTAGTCCTGACTCTTGATTCTTAAGGCAGATAAGAATTTTGGTTTAGGATTTGCTTCAGGGGGAGTTTTGTTCTAATTGTTGTTGGAGTGCACACGGTACTAGTGATCCACCTCCCAATTTGTTAGCTTACTGGGAGGAAGAGGGTAAGGGTGGTTGGTAAGCCCATTTTTTCCAACCTGTATGAGATAATAAGCAGAAAGATATCTTCAAATACTCAGATAAAAGAACAAACAGTAAATGTGTTAAGAAATGTAGCTCACCACACATTATATAAGTACTATAACTCACATGAAATACAATGAGTGATATAAGTTGGGAGGCCGCAGAGCACAGTGAATGAGAGGGCCCATGCTGGAGCCAGACTCCCTTGGTTCAAATTTTACCTCTCCTGGAGCTTATTATTCAATGTCTCTGTAAATCAGGACCCACAGTCATAAAGTGGAGATGACAGTAATAATAACACCAAACCCATAGAGTTAATAACACTAAATGACTTAAGATTTTAGGACAATATCTGGCACATTGTAATACTATGTAAATGTCATTTATTATTATGCAAGTTAACTAAGCACCTGAAATTAGTTTTGTTTTTTTTTTTTTAATTGACAGATACAACTGTATGTACAGTCATGTGTCACTTAACAGGTCTAAGAAATGTGTTTTTAGGCAATTTTGTGATTGTGTCAACATCATAGCGTGTATTTACACAAACCTAAATGGTATAGCCTACTACACACCTGGGCTATTGGAGGAAGCCTATTGCTCCTAAGCTACAAACCTGAACAGCATGTTACTGTACTGAATACTGTAGAAAATTATAACACAATGGTATTTGTGTATCTAAACATATCTAAACATGGAAAAGGTAAAGTATTATAATCTTGTGGGACCATCATCTATGTGGTCTGTCTTTGGCTGAAACATCATTTTGTGGAACATGACTGTATTTATCATGTACAATATGACTTTTGAACTATATATACATAGTGGAATGACTAAGTTTAGCTAATTAACATATACATTACCTCACACAGCTATCATTTTTGTGGTGAGAACATTTTATATCTGCTCTCGTAGCATTTTTCAAGAAAACAATATATTGTTAACTATAGTCACCCTGTTGTACAACATATCTCTTAAAGTTATTCCTCCTACCTAACTGAAATTTTGTATCCTTTGACCAACATTTTCCCACCACCCTCCAACCACCCCAGCCCCTGGTAACTACCATTCCACTCTCTACTTTTATGAGCTCCACTTTTTTAGATTCCATATGAGTGAGATTATGTGGTATTTATCTTTCTGTGCCTTGCTTATTTCACTCAACATAGTTTCCTCCAGGTCCTTCTATCTTGTTGCAAATGACAGGAATTCATTTTTTATGGCTGAATCGTATTCCATTTGTGAATATATACCACATTTTCTTTATCCATTTATTTGTTGATGGATATTCAGGTTGATCCTATATCTTGGCTATTGTGAATAAGCTGCAGTGAACATGGGAGCGCAGAAATCAGCAACACGCTGATTTCATTTCCTTTAGATGTGTATTCAGTAGTGGGATTGCTAGATCATATGGTAGTTCTATTTTTTTTTTTTATTTTTTGAGGAACCTCTATACCGTTTTTCATACATTCCCACCAATGGTATGTGAGTGATCTCTTTTCTCTACATCCTTGGAAAAACTTGTTATCTTTTATCATTTTGATAGCCATTCTCACACGGGTGAAGTGATATCTTATTGTGTTTAAATTTGCATTACCCTGATGATTAGCGATGTTGAGTGTTTTTTCATATACCTGACAGCCATTTGTATGTCTTATTTTGAGAGGTGTGTATTCAGGTCCTTTGCCCATTTTTAAATCAGATTATTCATTTTCTTGCTTAGTTAGTAGCTTGAGTTCCTTATATATTTTAGTTATTAACCCCTTATTGGATGTATAGTTTACAAGTATTTTATTCTATTCTGTAGGTTGTTTCTTCACTCTGCTGATTGTTTTCATTGCTGTGCAGAAGCTTTTTAGTTTGAGGTAATCTCATTTGTCTATTTTTACTTTTGTTGCCAGTGTTTTGGGGGTCATATCCAAAAAAGATCATTGCCCACACCAATGCCATGGAGCTTTTCCCCTTTGTTTTCTCCTAATAGTTTCATAGTTTCAGGTCTTACATTTAAGTCTTTAATCTATTTTGAGTTGATTTTTTATATGGTGAGAGAGAGGGGTGTGATTTCATTCTTCTACATGTGGATATCCAGATTTCCCAGCACCATTTTTTGAAGAGACTGTCCTTTCCCCTATTGTGTGTTCTTGGCCCCTTTGTTGAAAATCAGTGGCTATAAATGTGTGATTTTATATCTGGGTCCTTCATTCAATTTCATTAGTCTGTGTGTCTGTTTTTATGCCAGAATCTTGCTGTTTTGGTTACTATGGCTTGGTAGTATATTCTAGAGTCAGGACATGTGATGCCTCCAGGTTTGTTCTTTTTGCTCAAAATTGCTTTTCTATTCAGGGTCTTTTGTAGTTCCATATAAACTTTTGAAAACTATTTGATTATAGTATTATTTTAGAATTCCAGCTTCTAAGAATATGTTTTATACACCATAATATGTTTTATATAGTACATGACAGAGTAAAACATTTTAATTGAAGTATGTTTTATTTTAAGCCATTTTCTCATATACACTTTAAATTGTAAAAATCTAAAACAAGATTTTTTAACGTGGCTTTTTAAATATATTGTTTGCTTTTCACTCAATGTCCAAAAATATGCACAGAATATATTTTGTTTTTATAAAAGGAAATAAAATGAGATTAACATCAAAAATGAAAAGCAAATTTCTTTTTAAACTTCGCTTTCGATAAATACACATGCTATTCTTTTCCACAATAAAGTATAGCAAGTATGTTGGAGGCACTGGTATCCCGAGCATCAGATTTCATTCATGAAATTCAAAATCCAGATCCTTAACCTCTGTCATGTGTGAAGTGACCTTAAATAAACGGCAACTCCAGGTAATTTTGGTGCAAGTAATGTATATCTCACTGCCACTATATTTAAATTCTCTACCCACCTACATACATGTGAGCACACACACATTCAAACTAATAAACACACACCTACATCAGTTAGAAATGCTTTCAGTAGTCAGCAACGTAACAGTTTAACAGCAACCTAACAGCTTAAGTAAACATGGGATGTCTGCAAATAAATGGCTTCTCCTGGCATTGCTTCAGTGGCTCAAAAACTGCAAAGCTTTCTCTCAAGGTTGCAAGATAACTCCTTGATCACAAACCATTGCTTCCACATTCACGTCAGCAGGAAAGGGATAATAAACAGGACCACCAATTTCTGTCTTAATATCAGAAATACAAAAGCTTCCCTAGAAGTCAGAATACCTATTATTAAAAAGACAAACAGTCTTGCTGGCAAGGATGGGAAGAAAGGAGAATGCTCATTCATTGTTGGTGAGAATGTAAATTAGTATAGCCATTATGGAAAACAGTATGGCGGTTCCTCAAAAAACTAAAGACAGAGCTACCGTATGATCCAGCAATCCCACTACTGGTATTTATCCAAAGGAAAAGAAATTAATACATTAAAGAGATACCTTGTGTTTATGGCAGCACTGTTCACAACAGCCAAAGTATGGAATCAACACGCATCCATCAACAGATAAATGGATACAGAAATGTGGTATATACAAAATGGAATACTATTCAGCCACCAAAAAAAAAAATGAAATCCTGTCATTTGTGGCAACATGGATAAGCCCAGACATTATGTTAAGTGAAATAAGTCACATACAGAAAGAGATATACCACATGTTCTCACTCATATGTGGGAACTAAAAACCTTAAGCTCATAGAAGAGTAGAATTATGGTTACTAAAAGACTGGCAAGGTAGTGGGGAGTGGAGGACAGGGAGAGGATAGTTAATGGATACAAAATTACAGCTAGATGGGAGGAACAAGTTCTAGTGTTCTATAGCCCTGTATACAATATATTTATTGTATATTTTCAAATAGCTAAAAGAGATCTTGAATGTTCCCAATACAAAACAAAAATGATAAATATTTGAGATGATAGATATGCTAATTACCCTGATTTGTTCATTACATATTGTATACATGTATCAAAATATCACTCTGTGCTTCTAAATATGTACAATTATTACTAGTCAGTTAAAAATAATAATGATTTTCTGGGTGTGGTGTCTCATGCCTGTAATCCCAACGCTGGGAGGCCAAGGAGGGAGGATTGCTTGAGCCCAGGAGTTCAAGACCAGCCTGGTCAACATAGTGAGACCCCATCTCTACAAAAAACAGAAAAATTAGCCAGGCATGGTGGTGCATGCCTATAGTCCCAGCTACTTGGGAGGCTGAGGTGGGAACCTCAGCCAGGAAGGTGGAGGCTGCAGTGAACTGTGATCATGCCTCTGCACTGCAGATGGGTGACAGAAGAAAACCCAGTCTCAAAATAATAATATTAATTTAAAAACCATTCAAAAATAAATGTAGCTCAAGTGCTAAATTTTATTATTAAAATATTTTGCTTTTTAACAAAAGAAAAACTTCTCCAGACGCTCCTCCCCTCACTTAGGTGCATGCACACACATGAACATACCGCCCCCCCCCTCCCCACACACACACACAGTGGATTTCCCATTAGTTTTGTCATCCGGAATTGGATCACATGACCACCTATAGTTGCAAAGGAAGCTGCGAAAGTGGGAAACAGGTTGCTTATGATTGTCTTACATCAAACATGACCCATCATTTGGACTAGATATTACTACTCTGAACAAAATTAGGGCTCCATTGTCAAGAGAAAAGGAAGTATAGTTATTGGGTAGGTAACTAATAATGTATGTCATAATAACTTGCCAGTTATTAAGCATCTATTATGTGAAAGGCAATAGGCCTAGTTATTTTACATATTAAAATATTATGTCACTAAATCTTCACAACACTGTGAATTAATCATTTGTAAATGCTGTTTGTTCTCTATTCCTTATAAATAAGAAAAATGAGCCACACTAAAATTGTAAGTACCTTACACAAGGTCACACAACTAGTAAAAGTGGCAGATTAGGATTTGAGCTCAGACCTGATTTGAAGCTCACACTTTTTCTACAATATCCTACAATATCATACTGTCCATAATCTTAGCATCTGTCCCTTTGCTATCCCTAATTCTATCTAGCTATCCCTGACTTCATACAGTCTTGATCACAAGCCCATCCCCCTAAACAGTCTAAGTCATATGGAATTCAATTTAGAAGACTGCACATTGCCTTTACATATATCAAATGCCTATCACAGTGTCTAAAACATAAGCATTCAAAAATACTAATTTAATTCCCCATTTCCCAAATCCCTGACCCTACTTGTCTATAAAATGAGATTCTATGAGACTCTGCCCAAAAGGGTTTAAAAACGAAGGTTTTCATTATAATTTTGTTTCACCTACACGTAATTCCACAACTCAAACCCAAGAACTACAGAGGCTACTATAAGCATATAGTTCTTTTGAGAGACATCAAAATATTCTTGATCACTGCAGAGACAGCCAAGAGAGCTGAACATTTATTTATTTATTTATTGAGCCTTTACTGTATGTTAGGCACTGTTCAAAATTTTGGCAATTCAACAGTGAAAAGGCCAGATAAGTTTCTTGATCTTTGAGTTTCCATTCTAGTGGAAAAGAAGGGCATTAAACATATAAACAAAGATAATTTCAGAAAGTGAGAGTGCTATGAGGAAAATAAAACAAGATTATGTGATAAATGAATAATAATACACAGGTTGATTTTGATAAGATGCCTAGACAGAACGGAAAGAGCTTATTTGAGACCTGATGGCTAAGAGAGAGCCTGGTCACATGTGGGAAAAAGAGAACTGCAGGTCGTAGGCCTGCGCCCTTGAGGCAGGAATATTTTACAGGAACAGAAAGAAGGTCAGTGAGGCTGGAACATAATGATTGAGAAAGACATGATAAGAAATGAGATCTGAGAGGAATCTGTATTTTATTCAAAGTGTAACGGGCATTTTGACAAATTTTAGATAAGCAGGGGTAGCATAATCCCGCGTTGTTTTTGTAATCACTCTGGCAGCTGTGTAGAGAGTGGCTTGGTAGGTTGCACAAGTGGAAGTGGAGATTTCAGCGAGGTGACTTGGCCAGAGCAGCACTGGTAGAAATGGGATAAAGATGGGTGAATTAAAGATAAATAAACATTGTGATACAACTTAACTGTGGGGAAATTTGTTTTCTCATTCACTTCATTTTACCTTGAGTTTGCAACACCACAGTGTTTTGTCACATTAGTTCACATGTTTTCTGAAGAATTGTGGCCATTATTTTCTTCTTAAACCTTTTTATAATACATGTCTTAACGTGCTAACAAAATTCAGTCAGATATTTGTCTTTTATTTGAATGGACTATATCTACAAGACAGTGCTGAAGCAGTCAGTTCATTCAAACAGCCTTTGAATTCAGAGTGCCTCTTTCCTTTCAGAAAAGAAAAAATAAAGTCAGTCTCATATCTTTTTATAGATACAGCTTGTCAGAGGTTTAGCTTTGCATAATTGGCCATAATTAATTATAAGCTTCTCTAAGTTTTCTCTAAGTTCATGAAACTAGTCAGGTTAATAGAAGATTCTCCAAGAAACTGTGTTCTGGGGTTAATCAGTGTTGTTCCTAACTAGAATTCTGAGTGGAATAATCCAGGAGAAACACGTCACTTTTGGAAGCTGCCCCTGTAAATTTACTACGTCTGAATGTTCACTCCTTCTGGAAAAAGCATCTTAATTTAACTGCAGTGGGAGTTGATAATAGTGCTGGTGCTCCTTGGAGTCAAATTTAGATGAGGACTATTACCTGGCCCTGTCCTATTCTGCTATTTTGTTATCCAAACCCTTCAACTATGACTAGTTAGTCATCCTCAGAATGCACTTTGCATATCATGGTTAAGCTTCTAAAATTGTGACGGAAAGGAGAGTTGTAGTACCAGAATGAATTTCTGCATAAATAATTTTCATTTTCATTTTTATCAATTGGGGTAAACATGACTTTAGCCACAAGGCATGAGAGAAAACCAGGATCTGGTTAACTGTTATCTGGGTAACTGAACAATGGGAAGACTGAAACTGGATGACTGAAGCCAAAAGCACTTCAGGCAGGGATTCTTGGGCTCATGGATCTTTACAGGCTTAAAAATGCTGCTTTAAGGATATTTAAGAAGAAGGCTTACATTTAGGAAACTTCAAAGGGTTGAAATTTGATCACTCCATAGGTGATCAACGCAGAGTGAATGTCTTCAGTTGCAATATTCAATTGAAACACTCTTGTACAATTGAAGAAAAAGGAAGAAATCAGAAGATAGTTAATGCCTTTTAAATCCAGATAAGTTTAACTACAATAAAAACACATACCAACGCCTTGCCTTCTTGGCCTAGTAAGTTCCAGGTATAGTTGTGAAGACTGTTCTTCAGTGCAGTAGCAATGAACTGGAAAGCCTTTGTGTAACTGAAGGGTTTCCGTGGGTTCCAGATTCTGAGTTTGTCCCAGAAGCCAAAACAATGATTTATAAAATGTTGCAGATTTCTAAATAAATGTTAAGCATCTCCTGGTTATTAAAGATTGCTAACCAGTATTTAATTTATCTGTGTTTCCTCCTGTTAACCAAGCAAGTATACAAAAAGAGTTGCTATTAATTATCATGCCATATTTTCAAAAACAACACACTATATTAACTTTTGCTTATCACAGACTGCCCTAATCTAAGTCTGATTGTATGGCTTTTAGATCGTCTTTTGGTTTGATAAATACATCAGAATCCCCAATAACTGTTGAGATTTCATTTCCACCCCACCTAACTATTGCTCATCTCATTCTTACTCATGCAATTCCTCCTCCCTCCCCACCCATACACAGCAATGCTGCTTTTGCAATTTGTCAACCTGAAGGCAATAACAGTTGTCAAACTGACCGTGCAACTTTTTGGCAACCCACACAAATCACTGTGTATCTCTGTACTTCTCTCTCCTTTTATCAATGATTTGGGAGTAATCATCCTGGTTGCCTGCTTTGTTCTCGTGAGTTTGGAGGGCACTGACATTCATGGAACATTGTGAACTAAGAAGAAAGTTGCTTATAAGTGTCTCGAACTACCATTTTCACATGTCTTAACTGCCATAACAGGGAGGAAAGTCTTCACAATTTGAAAGGCTGCCTGAAACTTAGTCCCACTGCACCAAACCTTTGATCTTTTGGTCACACCGTCAGTCTCTTGAAAACTCAGTTCTCTTGTAAAATTTTCAGTCTGCTCCCAAAACAATTGTTGCATAAGTTCTGAAAGCCAGGCCCACAAAGCTTCGCTTTGTTCTGGAAAGTTCCCTAAATAGAGTTAGGTAACAACGGCATTAGCACTAAGACTGAGGAGTCATGGCATCCAATCACACACAGCTCTCTGTTTTTCTTTCTCTCAACGTCTCTTTTTCTTTTCCTCTTCTCTTCCCCTTCTTTTTCAATTTCTTCCTCCTCCTCTCTTCTCCTTTGTTTCCTTCTCCCACAAAAAGTGTTTGCTTTTCCCCGCAAACGCTTCTGAGCCTTGGACCAGGCTCTGATTTCACCAGCTTTGCTTAAGCAAGACTTGCTGCTTCACCTAAGGACAAAGGTGTTTCCAGGTTTAACTAAAAACTGGATGGGACATTACATAACAGAGTGAAGTGAGGCTCCCATTGCCAAAGTGCTACAAAAACACTTTTTCTCACAATGTTTCAGAACTTTTGCAACAGGGTATCTACGAGAATTAAAACATGGGTTAAAAATATGTAAGATCTCATGCCAAATAATTGAAAACAAACAGTTGATTTACAGTAAGATCTTGCTAGTTTTCACTCTTCTGAAATGAACCTGATTCTTTTGTTTTAATAGCAGGGTTTATTTGCTATATACATTGAAATACTTTAAATTATTGAGCATTTTTGAATATTAAGAACTTTTGAAATAAATCATGAACTGATGTTAGGAACAATTTTAAGTGTGTCACATTTGTCGGTATGAATTAACCTAATGCATTTTATTTGAGGGGCTTCTCTACATTTTCTTCTCTTGCTTGTGAGAGTCTGTGACATTTCACAATGAAGATAGCCTCTTGTGTAAGCATAAATTAGGAGAAGCCACCAAGGCTGAGATTAATAGCTTAAGTTATTTTCACTAAATTTAAGTAGATTGATTAAATCATTCCACAATGTAATCATGTATCAAAACATCACAATGTACTCCCTAAATAGATGCAATTATTATTTGCCAGTTAAAAAGTTTTAAAAAGAGGTTTACTTCGTGAAGAGCAAAAAATATTTGGCAACAGTAATCAAATGAAGCTTATATATCATAGTCAAAATATAATTGTATCAGAATTCCTGATGATTAAAGCACATCTAGAAAGAGCCCGGCCCACTGTGCTCCTGCCCACGACCAAGGCCTCAAAGAGGTCTCTCTAATCATTCCCACTCTCATTTCTGGCTGTACTCCTATTTCTTACTATGCTGGGGTAACATGTTTGTAGACTATTTTAAGAACTATATTGAGCAGCTTCTTCAAACAGGTATACTTACTCTTGGGAGTACATAAAACCTTTCAGAAGACATGCAAACACAAACTGTTCTAAGGAAATCAATTTCCAGATACTTAGCTTCCACATCCACTCTTTCCTAAAAGTAGTCTGCCTAAGGTGCCTTCCATGAACTCTTCATAACCCTTTCCTTCCCATTCGCTTTGTTATCCTTGCTGGAGCGATGCATTGTCTTGCGATGTAATAATCTCTGGGATGTCAAACAAAGGAATAATTTGAAATATTTGTGTCACCTCATTTAATCAAAGCACCATAAAACCTGACCACCGATCATGCTAAGAAAAGCATCTCCAATACAATATTATTTTTGATATTTAAAAATTATAATTTGTGTGTATTTTTGATCACTTCCATATGAAAAATAACTGTTATGATAATACAGAAGAAAATTATAGGTCTTCAAACTCTAGGACCATAGAAAATTTTTATTGCAACTAGTAGGCAGAGCTAAAAATGTAGCAAAAGGAATCTAAATTTAGACATAAAGTTCTGACTATGGAGGTAGTGAAAAAAACACAGAATGGAAATTTTAAAATTTTTGTTGTATAGGCATATAAAAGGGTAACCAATAACAGATATTCACTTTTAAAATTATATTGCATTGGTGTAAAAGTCTAAGAGGAAGTGGAATGGAAATAAAATATCAAAGAGAAAAAAGAATTACAAAAATGTCTAATTTTTTTATTATTATACTTTAAGTTTTAGGGTACATGTGCACATTGTGCAGGTTAGTTACCTGTGTATACATGTGATATGCTGGTGCGCTGCACCCACTAACTCCTCATCTAGCATTAGGTATATCTCCCAATGCTATCCCTCCCCCCTTCCCCCACCCCACAACAGTCCCCAGAGTGTGATGTTCCCCTTCCTGTGTCCATGTGTTCTCATTGTTCAATTCCCGCCTATGAGTGAGAATATGCGGTGTTTGGTTTTTTGTTCTTGCGATAGTTTACTGAGAATGATGATTTCCAGTTTCATCCATGTCCCTACAAAGGACATGAACTCATCATTTTTTATGGCTGCATAGTATTCCATGGTGTATATGTGCCACATTTTCTTATCCAGTCTATCATTGTTGGACATTTGGGTTGGTTCCAAGTCTTTGCTATTGTGAATAATGCCGCAATAAACATACGTGTGCATGTGTCTTTATAGCAGCATGATTTATAGTCCTTTGGGTATATACCCAGTAATGGGATGGCTGGGTCAAATGGTATTTCTAGTTCTAGATCCCTGAGGAATCGCCACACTGACTTCCACAATGGTTGAACTAATTTAGAGTCCCACCAACAGTGTCAAAGTGTTCCTATTTCTCCACATCCTCTCCAGCACCTGTTGTTTCCTGACTTTTTAATGATCGCCATTCTAACTGGTGTGAGATGATATCTCATTGTGGTTTTGATTTGCATTTCTCTGATGGCCAGTGATGGTGAGCATTTTTTCATGTGTTTTTTGGCTGCATAAATGTCTTCTTTTCAGAAGTGTCTGTTCATGTCCTTTGCCCACTTTTTGATGGGGTTGTTTGTTTTTTTCTTGTAAATTTGTTTGAGTTCATTGTAGATTCTGGATATTAGCCCTTTTTCAGATGAGTAGGTTGCGAAAATTTTCTCCCATTTTGTGGGTTGCCTGTTCACTCTGATGGTAGTTTCTTTTGCTGTGCAGAAGCTCTTTAGTTTAATTAGATCCCATTTGTCAATTTTGGCTTTTGTTGCCATTGCTTTTGGTGTTTTAGACATGAAGTCCTTGCCCATGCCTATGTCCTGAATGGTAATGCCTAGGTTTTCTTCTAGGGTTTTTATGGTTTTAGGTCTAAGCTTTAAGTCTTTAATCCATCTTGAATTAATTTTTGTATAAGGTGTAAGGAAGGGATCCAGTTTCAGCTTTCTACATATGGCTAGCCAGTTTTCCCAGCACCATTTATTACATAGGGAATCCTTTCCCCATTGCTTGTTTTTGTCAGGTTTGTCAAAGATCAGATAGTTGTAGATATGCGGCATTATTTCTGAGGGCTCTGTTCTGTTCCACTGATCTATATCTCTGTTTTGGTACCAGTATCATGCTGTTTTGGTTACTGTAGCCTTGTAGTATAGTTTGAAGTCAGGTAGTGTGATGCCTCCAGCTTTGTTCTTTTGGCTTAGGATTAACTTGGTGATGCGGGCTCTTTTTTTGTTCCATATGAACTTTAAAGTAGTTTTTTCCAACTCTGTGAAGAAAGTCATTGGTAGCTTGATGGGGATGGCATTGAATCTATAAATTACCTTGGGCAGTATGGCCATTTTCATGATATTGATTCTTCCTACCCATGAGCATGGAATGTTCTTCCATTTGTTTGTATCCTCTTTAATTTCATTGAGCAGTGGTTTGTAGTTCTCCTTGAAGAGGTCCTTCACGTCCCTTGTAAGGTGGATTCCCAGGTATTTTATTCTCTTTGAAGCAATTGTGAATGGGAGTTCACTCATGATTTGGCTCTCTGTTTGTATGTTATTGGTGTATAAGAATGCTTGTGATTTTTGTACATTGATTTTGTATCCTGAGACTTTGCTGAAGTTGCTTATCAGCTTAAGGAGATTTTGGGCTGAGACAATGGGGTTTTCTAGATATACGATCATGTCGTCTGCAAACAGGGACAATTTGACTTCCTCTTTTCCTAATTGAATACCCTTTATTTCCTTCCCCTGCCTAATTGCCCTGGCCAGAACTTCCAACAGTATGTTGAATAGGAGTGGTGAGACAGGGCATCCCTGTCTTGAGCCAGTTTTCAAAGGGAATGCTTCCAGTTTTTGCCCATTCAGAAAAAATATCTAATTTTTAAAGAAGATATTTGTATGCCTTTAAAATAGATGATAGCAGATATAAAATTCCTGTAAAAAGTGCTCATTTAAAAGTGAGGTGACAGTTTTACTTTAAAAATTTCCATTTAAATGTTCAGGAAATTATATCCTTTGAAACTATATAAACTTATGTTAAATATTTTAGTTGTCAACTTAAAAATGTGGAAGGGAGAAAAAAGTCTGTAAAAATTCTCTTAAGGAGCATGAGAGCAACAAAGAAGATACCTGATAAGAAAAATACTCTCTGCCTTGTGAAGATTATATTCCTAACAGAGAAATCAGCCAGGTAGGGTAAGCACCATGTGGCATTTTTTGTTCTTACAGAAAATATGTCCTGTTCTTCCTTCTTCCTTTTAATTGGAAGCTCTCGCTGAAGAAAAAAAAGTTTGAAGTGGCCTATTTTGTTTCTGGTATAAGTAGAGCCAAATTTCTCAAATCGCAGCAAAATATAAATGGACTCTATAGGATGCAGTTATGTCAAGAAGAGTTGCTACTATTTCCAAGTGAGTGGATTAACCTTGTACTTGCCATATGTTCAACCAAGTGCCAGTAGCCAACAAAATACTACACATAAGCACAGGGTGCCAACATCCTATCTAAATGAGATCAAGTTAAAATATACATCACAGACAGGCTTGAATAGGGGGAAAAATACAGAATATCATTGAAAGGGTACTCACGGAAGGAAAGGACTCAGACCCAGCTGTGTGTGCACGTGTGTGTGTGTGTGTGTGTGTGTGTGTGTGTGTCAGGGGCACTTTTTCCCCTGTACTGCTTACCTACATTAATCTCTACAGTGAAGGATTCCTGAAAGTACAGCATGCCCCAAAACGCAGTACCCTAATCTACCCAGGTTTTGCTTTATCAATACATACAATCAAGAACTATCCCAGGTTTTCCTATCCCAGGTTTTTCTCTATCCATACATACAATCAAGAACTATCCCAGGTTTTCCTATCCCAGGTTTTTCTCTATCCATACATACAATCAACAACTCATTTTCTCAGCATGTGTTTCTGAACCTAAACCATTGCTAAGAAATACTAGAACTATCAAAATTCCTATTTGATAGACCACAAACGTGGAGCAGTAGAGAAAAACAGCAAATAAGTCTCCATAGTAAGCCACAGTTTTGGTCATCTAAACTATGAGTAATAAAAAGTAAATTTCAATCAACTGTGCTAAAGGAAAGACTAAGATATCTTTATATTCTCTGTATAAAATATTACAGAATCTTATTAGTAAGAAAGTTTCATCAAAGAGTATGCAGTCAAAAACGTAAAAAGAATGCATAGTGGTAAGTGAGAGAGTTAATTAATTTAAAATATTATGCTATTTTTCTTCATTTTGTGATGTTTATAATATTGGCGAATTTTTTTAGTTGTTAATTCTTGGGATTTATTTTTTCTTTAGAAATAAATTATCAGCTTTTTGCTCAATTTATAAAATTATAGAAGCCTCATGCCTCAACTAAACTCCAATTACTCTGCTCCCTAAGTCCCTGCCTCATGAATAGACAGAAATGACTCTGCCACTTCCTGTCTCCTGTTCAAGGTGATATGAGCTTTGCCTCCTAGGTATGAGGAACAATGGAGGAATTGCTTTAATAATAGGTAAGAATTATGAACATGCATTTCTTTTTCTTCAACAGAGTTAAATAATGGCTCACTCTGGATTTCCAGATGCAGTTAAGATGAAATAATAATGTTGAGCCAGTCTTGCCCTGCTTTAAATTAATCACTCCAGGAAGAGACATTAAACCTTTCAGACCACCAGTGTGCATAAATGCTTTAGTGCCCTAGACCATACACCCTCTCTTGGTTATTTGGGACACAAGGAAATGTAGGCTCAGTAAATGAGGCTGTTTTATGAGCCATTTAAATAATCTGAAAAGGAAATTAATACTTTTATTACTTTCTATAAGTGAAAAACTTCCTTAAAAATCTGTAAGAGTTCTTTATATTATGGTGGGTAGGACTGACTGCCCTGGCCAAAACATGGATCCAAAGAAATAATGGAAGGTTACAGAAAGCATGCGTGGCCACATAAATCATAATGGAATAAATAAAGGCTGGAAACTAATTTGGAGCTAAAGAAATTCACTTCTAATCATGCCAAAAAAAATTCACTTGATTAGAAATCAGGCTATGACTTAAAAATAAAGTATTTCTCAGTCTTTTTGAACAATATGAATTTTTGCTGGGCCTATTACTAGGATGGGAAAGGAATCTAGAGAAATGTGGAAACAAGGTGTGAACCCTACCCCATGTCAGAACCATCAGGACTTCTCACACGAGGAATATTCCATTAGTCACTTTTTATAAACACTGCCCTCAAACTTTAAGACTTCACAACAGTCCAGTAGAGAAAGGAAAATTAGGTGAATTTGCTAGAAAGGAAAGGTTACTTCTCTGATCTCATCTTTTACCCATTTCTGCCTCAGTCAGCTCCAGCCACCATTCTGGCTTCTGCTCTGTTCCTGAAACACACCAAGCACACTCCAGTCTCAAAGCCTTTGAACTGGCGGTTCCCTCTGCCTAAGACACTCTTCCCCTAAATTTCCACATGGCTCCCTCCCTTATTCTATTTAGATCTCTGTTCACATGTCACCTTATCTCGGAGCCCCTCCCCTATAATGCTTTGTTCTCTTGCCCTGCCTTATTTTTCTCTTAGAATATTACAGATTTTTTTGTTGCCACTGAAATGTAAGCACCCTGAAAGTAGGGAGCTTGTCGTTCACTGCTGTTTTCTCAGTGCCTAGCACAGGGCCTGATACAACTATATACTCAGTAATTATATGTTAAATGATGAATTGCACTGGTAAATACATGATTTGACTATTGTAAACCTTCCTTTCATTAAATTAGTAGATACCAAGCCTGAATTGGAACACAGATCTCTCTGTACCAATCTGCTTGCATACAGATCGCCTGCAGGCAAGAGGGCCTATTATAAAGATAATTCCCTTGTAAGGAAGAAACTAGTTTCTAACATTCTTCTAACAATGTTAGAAGAAACATTCTAACATTCCTTTCAACATGAATTAAAAAAAAAGTTTTGCATGTGTCAAGACTAAGGGAAGCTATATATTTAGTTGGCTATACTGACATGTGCTTATATATCCACAGGAGCATAAAGCATTGCAAAGTTCTCTCTTCTGCCAATTTTCTCCCTGGAGTTGACTGACTGGCCTTCTGGCCTCAGGTTAATGATCACTTAGTGTCCAAAAAGGAGACTGAAGTAAATAAACAACCTGACCCCGTTCTCTTCCTTCTTTCCAATCTCCTGCCAGGGCTTCCCTTTGGCCCAACCCAACTGGAAATCAGGTGGCAAAGAATCTCCTCACTGTGGTCCATACAAATGAATGCTTTACAAACATTTCTGTCTTTTTTTTTTTTTTTTTTTTTTGAGATGGAGTCTTCCTCTTGTTGCCCAGGCTGGAGTGCAGTGTCGCGATCTTGGCTCACTGCAACCTCCACCTCCCGGGTCCAAGCAATTCTCCGCCTCAGCCTCCAGAGTAGCTGGGATTACAGGTTCGCTACCAGGCCTGGCTAACATTTCTAACTTTTAATGTAATCTTACTGTTTCTAGTTTTGACCTCTTGGCCTCTCAAGAGGACTTTACTTGGAGGATTGACTTACATTAGCTTTGATGATTCTGGTTTTATTTTTCTTTTGTTAATGGAAAGAAAATTCAAGGCTTAAGAAGAATACCTAGATGGATGAAAAAGAGGTTTGTCTCCTCACCTGCAGTGGCATGATCAGCCTATCTGCCAATAGGAAGAATCCTGCCTGGGGTCCCGGTTACAAGGTGGTTGAAATCAGCATGTTTATCAAGCATATTTCCTCTTGTGTAAAATGAGGAAGAATGGAGATAAGGCCAGGAAGTTAGCAATATTGTGTGTGATGTTACTTCTCCCATAACCTCTCAGATCTTCAGTAAAAACACTAAACTAATGACATACTTGGGGAAAGTAGAAATTGTGTCTGGATGATGCAGGATGAATCTAAGACAAAGAAAACTTGAAGAAGGACGCCACTGAGAATTCACAGAAATTGTAGAAGTAGCTCTAAACTTGTATTGGTACCAAACTGAAATTTTAAACCAAATTGACCTAAGTCTCCAAGGGATAGTAGGACCCCAACTGATGTCTGGGATGTGCTTAAAAGTCTCTCAGGATTTTCATACTTTAAAAACTTCCATTCCATTTTTCCCATAATCTCTATAGTTAAGAACGTTATGTCTGAATTTAAATTCCTATTGCTGCAATTTCAGCTTAGCCTAGTAGTTAAAGTAATAACCATAATAGCTCCCAGGTACAAGCAATGGAGTCAAACTCTCTAAGTTTGAACCTCAGCCAAACTACTTACAAACTTGGACGAGTTACTTAAACTCTCTAAACAACAGTTTCTTCAACCATAAAATGGGATTAAGATGATTCCATCCACCATAAGGTTGTTACGAGCATCAGATGAATAAATGTATACAAAAAATTTAACAGAGTACCTAGCACATAGTAAGTGCTCAATAAGGTTTGTTATTAACACCATTCCTGTACACTAAGCATTGTGCTGTTTTACATAGGTCATCACATTTAATGCTCACAATAACTCTCAGAATTAGTGGTTATAATCTCCATTTTACAGATAAGAAAATTAAGATGAGGATAATTTAAATAATAAAGAATAGCTATTTTCTTTTTACATCTTTGTGTTGCATTTATTATGGCACCAATGTGACCATGGAGAAAGAAATGTTTGAGTGAATAAATGAATAAATAATTTTTCTCCTTCTGATCTCTCCTAAAATCCAGAGAAAGAAGAGAAATAATTTCATCTCTCAATTCTGCCAATTTTTTAGTGTTCACTAACATTCTCAAACTAAGGACTTAAATGCCAATTTCATTAATGTTCCAATTTATTTTTCTTTCAGAGAAGCAATGAAAATGTTTATAAGAAAGAGATGTAAAACATATTGCTTCTTAAACTCTAACACCTTGAATTCTTCCTTTCTTGGTTCTTCTACAAGCAGTCTTTGCAACATATTTTAGTCTCTGCCAATTGGAACTAACACTCAAAATAAATTAAAAATATAATTTTGCAATTTCTAAACCAGATAGTCTATAAAAACTCTAATAAATAACATCTACTCTACTTTTTTCTCACGAGTGTTATTAACTATTATCCAAAAAAAGAATCTGATACAATTTGTAATGCAGAAATCCATACTTCTGGTTCATGATTTCCTTACCCTTTAGGTGTTTCCAATTTTTTTTTCTCAGAATGTACTCTGTTATTCCTCAAAACCGATACCAGATTATATAAAGGGTACTGCTTAAAAACATTTTCTTTTTCTGTTTTGGAGTTGGTCTCTAATTTGAAGTTAGCATTTAATACCATCATAATAGCTTTACTTAAGCCAATCCTTTCTGTAGATAAAGAATGTTCTGCTGAGATAGTCATTTGAACATAATGTTCATCAAGTATTCATTTTTCCCATTTGTCATTTACTACTTATTCTAATCTTCTGCTATTTTTTCCAATTCTTTACTACCAAGTAGTTTGGATTTTTCCTTTTATTTCATTCAAGGATGTTGTGGGAAGTAAGCCTATGGTGCTGTGTACATCAATCTGCTGGATCTTGACGTACTCTTAGCCAATTACTGGACCATTCTGCCCCTGTTCACTAAGTAGCCCATGTCACATCAGTAAGAAGTGTGTAATATAGTCTAAAGGGAGTGGGAACTAAAAGACACATCAGGAGTATAGATTTGACACTGTGAAAGGAAAATAAATCTCAAGACCCCAAAGTCACTAAGCCAGGGGAAAAGTCAAGCTAGGAAATATGTCAGGCAAACCTGCCTCCCATTTTATTTCTAAATAAGATAGCTACAAAGATAAAAAGCTACATATCTCCCTCACAATTTGTCAGCAAGGAAATTCCTTGTGGACAAAGGTCAGAAAGAAATCAAAGTCATCCTTCTGAGGCTCACCTGAGACAAATACATATCTGATTACTTCCTCTGCCCTATTGCTTATGTAAAAATGCAGATTCATGGAGCCAGACTCAGCTGTGTATTCAGTGGAAGACTGATCAAGGACTCAAAAGAATGCTACCTTTGTCTCTTGTCTACTTATGACCTGGAAGTCCCCATCTCAAGTTGTCCTGCCTTACCCAACCGAACCAATATACATCTTACACATATTGACTGATGTCTCACGTCTCCCTAAAATGTATAAAAGCAAGCTGTACCCCAATCATCCTGGGCACATGTTGTCAGGACCTCCTGAGATTGTGTCACAGGTGCATCCTTAACCTTGGCAAAATAAACTTTCTAACTTGACTGAGACCTCTCTCAGATATTTTGAGTTCACGACATTTATCTTCTATTACTGTGTAATGTTTGGTGAAATTAACTTCTTCAATATTTCGTTTATTCAACCTTAAGTGACAGTGCTGTCTTCCTGTTTTCTAGAGATAATAATGCTTTTACTTTTTGATTATTTATTTGAAATTAGATAAAAGATCAGATTTTAAGTGTCCTTATTATGCACACCACACACACACACACACACACACACACACACATACAAATGGTAACTATGGGTGATGATGGATGTGCTCTTTAATTTGATTGTGGTAATCATTACACAATGTTTATGTATAACACACTATCATGTTATACATCTTGAATATATACAAATTTTGTCAAATATTGCTTTAAAAAATATTGAGTTAGAGAGTTTAGATCTCTCCCAAATGACCTGGAGGAATTTCACAGCATTTGAAAAGTAAAAAAGCAAGATATAGAGAAATATATGTATAAAATTTCCCAATTTATAAAAATGAAAACATAAAAGCCCATTTCTGTATATATACGTAGATTAAGTTTTTTGAAACAGGGTCTCACTCTGTCTCCCAGGCTGCCGTGCAGTGGTGTGATCACGGCTCACTACGGCCTCAACCCACCAGACTCCGGTGATTCTACCACCTCAGCCCCCCTAATAGCTGGGAATACAGGCATGCTCCAGCACCCCCAGCTAATTTTTTTGTATTTCTTGTAGAGACAGGGTTTCACCATGTTGTCTAGGCTGGTCTCAAGCTCCTGGGCCCAAACAGTCTTCCTGCTTCAGCCTCCCAAAGTGTTGGGATTACAGGTGTGAGCCACTGTGCCCAGCCTGTATATATTTTTTTAAGTTGCAAGGTGAAGTAACAACAGAGGAACTATTCTAGTCTCCATAGCCTGACCACTGATATTCCCCAGCTGCAGGGCCTTTTGCTCAGCCTTTCTGCAGCATGTTTTTGCCTACCTGTGGTATTCAGTGCTGGTAGCCATCAGCTCTTCCTGAGATGCTCTCTGGCTTTGATTTCTCTGATTTCCTGCCTTGATTTGCTCCCATGGTTTTCCACCTATCTTTTGGATTTCTCCTTCTCCTCCCCTTTCCTCATTCTCCATACCACCTAAGGTTTATGCCTTTTTTCCTACACATGACAAACAGGCATAAAGGTGAGGATACAGAGGTGAGTGGCCCATCCTTGGCCTTAAATGGCTTTTAGGCTGGTAAATAGAGATGAACAAAATGTTAGATAAGTGAACAGAGGTGTTATCAGTGACTCTGAGTTCCCTGAAGTATAGAGTTATTTATTCTTTTTTCCCTACTAACATTTGGGGAAAAAACCTGTTGTGTATCCTTGGTGACACTATCTCACCGCAATATTTCATCTTCCTATCTGCCCCCATTGGGTTAGTTCCACAAAATCAGAGATTTTCAAAGCCAGTCCTCCTTTTACCATTAAATGAACTGAACCTACAGATAAAGCAACTTGTCCATGACCACATGGCTTGTAAGTGGCAAAGCCAGACCAGAATGAGACCTCCAGGCTCCTATTGCTCCTATTGTCAGATCTTGTAGCAACTTTGTGAGCTGAGGTGTCCCATGTTAATCCATAAGTAACTCTATACTTAACAAAGTAATGGTTTGGTATTTCCCTCTTGTTCCACAGAGGGTGACAGCATGTCCTAGAGGTCTGAAGGCAAAAATCCATACCTCTCTTGACAGAGCAAATTCTTCAGGTTCCAATCAGTTTGTGGAAGATTCACTCTGACAGCCTGTGACCTCAGGGTAGAGAAGTGGTTCTGAGCCCATTAAAATTCATGTTCAGAGCCTGATGGATCACATGGGAACTGCTGTAACAGAAATTATTCCTGAGGTCACATGGTGTGTTAACTCCTTACTCCTCATCACAGTAATGATGGCTCAGACAAACTATCATGGACTCAATGAATCCTCAGCTGGAGAAAATATCTGGGAAAGGGACCTCAAGGTGTCTAACGTATAAAACAAGGAGGAGAAGCAAATATTGACAGAAATCTGAAAATATTGCCTTTTCAGTGGTAAAGACAACACTCAGATATTCTGTGGTCAAGTAGGGAATTGGAAGGTAATAAAAGAAGGAGGAAAGGAAGAAGAAATGGAAAGAAGGAGAGAGGAAGGGAGGGAAGGAGGGAAGGAGAGAAGGAAGGCAGGGAGGGAGGGAGGGAGGAAGGGAGGGAGAGAAAAGGGCAAGAAAGAAAACTTTCACCAAACTGATACCTGTCAGATAAAAGAGATTGGGGCCATAAATTTCTCCCGGCATTTCTAATGGGATTTTAATACAGCATTTGGCCATCATCTTTTTTTCATTCCTGTAATGACATACATGCCCAAAGTGTAGCCATGGAGCCTCTGAACTCTGTATATTTCTGTAATACACAAAGAAAACAGCTGTCACATCCATTTTAAGGAACTTTTAAATACATTACAGTGAGGTCTACAGGCTCCGAATCCAAAGGGAAAGGCACAAAGTCTGTCTGTACATCATCTGTGATGGGCCTGAAATCCAGCCAAGGTAGATTTTTTTTTTAAATAATAAAATAAAATGTTGTGTTTTTTTTTTAAAGGAACATTATATTTTTAAACTGGAAATAATTGTATTTTGTGTCTTATATGGCATCTGAAAGTGATTTAGTAGAACAATGTGGTTTCTGATTGGTATTTGAATTGGTTCCAGAACATTTTTCATAATAACCATCTTAAAGATCCCAATTATCTGATCCTCTTTCCCCCCTTCACATGGTTTCATAGGAGCTTTCCAGAGAGAAAGAGAAACCTGCAGAGGCAGGCAAGCCAACTCACATCTAGCTAAACAGTGTGTGCCTGCTAGGCCCAAAGGAAAAGGCCTGCTTGTTATTTTGAGTTGTCCAGGATGCATTTATGACTCAATAAAGGAGGCCTTGGCATTACCAGAATAATTACTTACTAAAACAAGCCTATAAAACCAAAATGTTGCCTCAACTAAAAGGCAAACAGAGAACATTCTTTTTCTTTTAGTGTTAACATGTAAACCTAGTGAAGTGTATTTAGATTTCTATAAAATCAGCTCTGGGTGCAAAAGGGATGGTTGATTTACCAGGTGGACAGCATCACCAATGCCCCGGGGTTACAAAGGGGCTAAGGGGAAGTGGTCCTGTCAAATATGAAAGGATGCTCATCCATAATGGACCCGGCCTTGCTTGTCACAGGCAGAAATTATGGCTTGGTGGTGAAGAAGCAGACTCCGGAGTCTGACAGTGGGATCTGAGGCTGCACCACCGTAAGCAGTGTGATGTCGGCCGTGACCCAAACTCTCTGTGTCTCATCTGCATGGTGGAGATAATGTCATATCTGTTTTATGGGATCATTGAAAAAAAATGAATAAAATAATACATGTAAACGGCTTCTTAGAACAACACATGGTATAGAATATGGCACACAATGGTAGCTCCGATGTTTACAAATAATGGGATCCATTATTGTAACAAAAGTAACTTTCATTTTTTACATATATTAGTAATAAGCATAAAATTTTTAAATATTGTTAATTCTGCCTTTTATTCTTTCATTTGAAATGTTTTTATTTCATTTCATTTTTAGTTGACAAATAACTATATAAATATGAGGTGCAATGTGATGTTTTCATATATACATGCATTGTAGAATGACTAAATCTACCTATTTAGCATATCCATTACCTCATGTACTTATCATTTTTGTGTGGTAAGAACATTTAAAATCTACTCTTTTTGCAGTTTTGAAATATGCAACCTGTAGTCATCATGCTGTACAATAGGTTACTAAAACTTATTCCTTCTGTCTAACTCAAACTTTATACCCTTTGACCAACATCTCCCCTTTCTCCATCACCCCTCCCATCCCCACCAGCCTCCGGTAACCACCATTCTACTCTCTATTTCTTTGAGTTTGACTTTTTTGTGACAACATGGATGAACCTGGAGGACATTATGCTAAGTGAAATAAGCCAGACACAGAAAAACAAATACTACATGAGCTCACTTACATGTGGAATCTAAAAAAGAATAAATATTTTTGGAACACTAAGTGTCAGCACATAGTGTCTGACACTATGCTAAGCATTTCAAATAGTGTATCCCGCTTAATCCTCTCAAGGTAAAATTCCTATCCAACCTCTGGTAAGTGGAGAACTAGAAATAGGGTTGCCAGATTTAGCAAATAAAAATACAAGATAACTAGTTAAATATGTATTTCAAACAATAAATATTTCTTTAGAATAAGCATGTCTGAAGGGTCGCAAGGGATAGAGTTACATATCTTACAACCCTAACTAGAGACCAAGATCCCAGATCTATTTCATCCAAAGCCCATCCTCTTTCTACCCTCACTACACTAAACTACAGGCAGAATATAACTTATTCTTTGTATATTTCTTTCTTTAGTGACATGGTTTGGCTGTGTCCCCACCCAAGTCTCATTTTGAATAATATCCCCCATAATTCCCACGTGTTGTGGAAGGAACCTGATGGGAGATAACTGAATCATGGGGACGGTTTCCCCCATACTGTTCTCGTGGTAGTGAATAAGTCTCACAAGATCTGATGGTTTTATAAGGGGTTTCCCCTTTTTCTTGGCTCTCATTTTCTCTTGCCTGCCACCATGTAAGATGTGACTTTTGCCTTCCACCATGATTGTGAGGCCTCTCCAGCCACGTGGAACTGTGAGTCCATTAAACCTCTTTTCTTTATAAATTACCCAATCTTGGGTATGTCTTTATCAGCAGCATGAAAATGGACTAATATACCTAGTATTTTTTCCCAAACAAGAAGTTTCTTCAGGAAGAAATATATTGTTCATAAATTGCATTTGGTTATCAACTATCAGGGAAAGTAAAATGCTGAGGCCAAGTAAGATAAACCATTGCAGCTGGCTAAAGCGCTGCCACTTCAAGAGCTGTCACATCAAATCTCTTTGTTTTCCTGAAATTATGATCTTAGGACATGTCAGCAATTACTAAAAGCCTTTAAACACAAAGTATCCAAATAATATTATATGTTGGGAAAAAATATTTTTGCATCACAACTTACAGCTATAAATTTTACTTTAAAGTATTTTAAAATTTTTTTCTCAATGATAAAAATCCACAATCTTACTCACTCATTCAACAAATATTACTGATTGTCTCTATGTCAAGGCACTATATAGATGCTAAATAAGCCAAACAAACACCATCCTTGCCCTCATGGATTTACACTCTAGTGAAGGAGCATAAGATAATTAAATAAGCACAAACACAAATGCATAGTCACAACCATCACAAGATCTATGGAAAAGTACATGAAGAGATGAGCCTAATAGTGGGACTTGAGTTCAGAGAGGGCTTCCAGGAAGTGGTTATACCTGAGCTGAGACCTGAACGATGAGAAGGATTTAACCAGAAAGTATTAATGGGAGGGTTAATAGCATATGCAAAGATCCCCTGGGATAAAGGAGCATGGCAAGGATGAGGAACTGAAAGATTTATTCAGCTGATGTGGAGAAATGAGGCATGGGCAGTATTGTGGATAGATGAGACAGAAGATACGACATATTAATTATGGTAGACTTGCCTGCAGCAACAAATAGACCCCATAATAGCTTATAATAAGTATGCATTTCTTTCGCACATAACCTTCCAAGAAACCACAGGTCAAGGATGGTAATGAAAGATCCTTGGGGATCCACTTCAGAGATTCATGCTGATACTACTCTTTATCTTCAAGATGCGGCTTTCATCATGAGTATTGCCATTGAAGTCACCTGGCAAGATCATGAGTAATGCACACTGAAGGTATTTATGGGCTAGGTACTAACAATAAGGGAATCTGGAAACTGTAAACTATCTGTCACAGGAACAAGAGGAATAGGCATTACTGAACAGCTTGCAATCTCTACCATAAGCAGGTGGGGCCAGATGATGCAGTGTCTTATAGCCCTCATTGAGGAATTTTGCTTTTATCCAAGACCAAAAGAAATCCACTGAAGGGATTTAAATAAAGAAGAGGGGCATGCTCAGATTTGTATTTTGAAAAGGTAAATCTGGCAACAAATTGGAGAATATATTATAAGTGTGTCAGAGTGGTCTTAGGGAGATCAGTTGGGAAGATATCATGGCAATTCAGGCAAGACATCATGGTAGCATGGAACAGAGTAGTTGGTGGTGCTAGAAATAGAGAGAAGTAGATACACAGACGTAGTAACGCCATACAACAAAGCATTGGCTAAGCAGCAACAGGCAAATAGATAATACATCTGTTTTCTTTGTTGCACTATTTTCTACTTCTTGTTATCCCCTAGCTCTCCTTAGTTTCTTTTGCACCACTAGGGTTCTTGGTCACCATCAGTAACAGTGAAGATATAAAAATTATGATAAAAATTTCTGAAATCTGGAAAAAGTTATCAGAAGGGCACTGAGGGCCTCTAGATAGACTCTCTAGGGTACGAATTGATTCAGCACAGCCCGACTTTTTAAAAAAATATTATACAGGTAAAACAAAGTTAAAATTTTTTAAAAGAACAATGGAATGCACATCAGACAGGGAGTCAGAAAATAGAACTTGTATGTTAATTTTTTATTGTTTTCCTGTACTGAAAATGAGGGCAATAAACCTGTATATGCTATCTCTTGGGATTTGGTGGTTGTGAGGAGCAAATGCCATAGAGATCATGTATACTGAGGTCCACAGTGGTTCATGTTAATAGTGTTCGAAACTCCCTAGTGTTTGAAGTTCCTATAATTGCTTTTCAAACTATTTAAGGAGATATTCATCAAAGTATTGGCACATAAAAAAAAGAATTGTATGTTCAAAAGTCTGTTTATTCTTTTCTTGCTTTTACTGCAACCCAATATACCAGTAAATGAAAGTTATTTGCCTAGTATAAAGGACTAAACAAACACAAGGTATATAGGCTTGATATTCAGTGTGCAGTTTAATTGGAGAGTTGAGAGTTTGGTTGTTTTTACTGGTGTGAAAGAGGGAGACTACTCAACCCTCTGTTTGAAAATGATCTTTCTCAAGGCTACTGAATTTGGTTTTCCCCTTCGTCACCTAACAAGCTAAAAATAGTAAGAGGTAACACATTAAATAGTATGCATTATTCCAAGAAACATATGAGTGTGCACATATATACATATACATATTCACACACACACACACACACACCCTTCACCACAATCCTATCGGGGGGGGGGTACTATTATCACCATCTCTGTTTTACAGATGAAGAAACTGAGGCACTAAGAGGCTAACAAACTTGTCCAGAGTCACAAAGCTAGTAAGTAGCTGAGCCATAATTCAAACTCAGGCCTTCTGACTCCAGACTCCATGCTCTTTAACCCCACTATGCTACCTCTTTGTAATGTACTAAGTGCTGAATAATGTGCTATACTCTGCTCCTAACCAGGCTGTCCCCATTCCAGTTATTGCGTTGTTTTCTCCAGAAGAATGTTCACTGACAACACTCTGTCAAAATTACTCCAAGAATTACCACTCACTTGGCCCGCAGTTATTAAAGCAAGGCTAGTAAGATAATCCCAGATGGGTGGGAGAACTGGAAAATTCCACAACAAACTGTGCAGTCAGCTAGAGCCTTGCCCAAAAGGAGCAGGTTGCTGCCACATAGTTGCTCTGTCAGGATGATGAATTCCAGAGCTCTTCAAAGTGCAAAGGTGAGGAAGTAAGGATTCTGGCCTTCCTGTTCTAGTGCCCGGTATCTTGTGGGGTGATTACAGAGAAAGCAGTGCTTGAACTGAATCTTGGAAGTTGAATAGATGCTTATTGAACTAACAACAGGGAAGTGATTCCAAGGAGAATAAAGGGACAGAAATAAGGTAATGAGGAAAGCAAGGGTCTGCAGAATGGAGACCAAGTATACAAGAAGGCTAGCCTGAGTCAGGTCATGGAAGGCTTTGTGGAATTTAGAAACTTCATTCTTTATAGATCCAGGGAGTCACTGGAGAGAGCTGAGTAGATGGTTAGTAAATTTAGAATACCAGAGAAGGTATCAGGTGTAGGGGAAAGATTATAGTTTCAACTTTGGACTTTATGAGTTTGAGATACTCGTAGCACATTGACTACAGGTGTTCTGTGGACACATGGAAATAAATGCTATCGTTCAGAAGAGACACGTGGACTGAAAACAGATTTGGGAGACAACCCCAGTTAGCTAGTAGTTAAAGCTCTGAGCATAAATAAATTTCCTAGATGAATATATGAGATGGAAATAAGATAGAAATCATAACCCTGAGGAATAGCCCACCTCTGAGAATGGAGGACAGATGAAAGATGAGGCTGGTGAGTGGCAACAAGTCAGGAGAATCACATGAACACGGCATTAGAGACGCCAAGGGAGGAAAGAACATTATTCAAAAGGGCGTGGGCAAAAATGTCAGCTATCTCAGAGGGGTCAAATGAGGTGAGGGCTGAAAAACCCTCCCTATTTCAATGGAGTGGCAGGGCCACCTCCTAACTACAGGGGGTAAAAAGTGAACATGAGGTTAGGAAGTAAAATGAAAGCAGGTAGAGAGGACTCTTCAGTGGAATGAAAGACAGAGATAGCAACGTGGCAACCAGTCTGTGTTCTGTTCCTCAGTGTTTCTCCAAGAGCCTGGGAGGTGGCACTAAATCATGTAGCCCTTGTTTCTCTGACAGCCTTTTAGAAAAGATCAGTGTTATAGACAACCCCCAGCCCCTAGTTGTTGCAGTCTCCTTTTGGAGTCTGGTAATCAATTTTTTAGGTTCTTTCCCAAATCTCTAAACTGAGTAACTTGATACACTAGAGCCTCTTTGGGGACTCATTTATCTAATATATAACAAGAACATATGAATGTCCCAAAATGCAGGTTTTATGGGTATTGGGGGCACAGAGCCACTAATTGAACTGAGTCTTTTCCACTGTCATAAAATCCAGGTGATTTCACAGGTTGAAGGGGATTTTCATTTATTATTTTTATTTTCCTCTTGGGTTTGTTAGTATGCTTTTTCATATTAATCATGCAATCTCAGGAGCATTATTTAAGATGAGACTGTTCAAAAGACCTCAACTCTGTACAGATTTCCCCCACTTGCTTTTCACCATGTTTAAAACTCCACCGTTTGTTATCCTGATCTCTCCCCTTACATTTTGTGTGATCTTGGATGTGTACCTTAAATTCTTAGGCCTCAGCGGCCTCATCTGTTCAGAAAGGGCACTGGACAAGATGCTCAATAAAACCATGCATTATTCTACGTCAGGGGTTGACAAACATCCTATAAAAAGCCAGATAATAAACACTTTCAGCTTTGCAAGCCATATGGTCTCTAACACAACTACTCAACTCTGTCATGATAACCCTGAAGCAGCCAGAGACAATATGTAAACAAATGATCATGACTGTGTTCCAATAAAACTTTATTTACAAAAACAGACGGTAGGCTGGATTTGGCCGGTGGGCTATAGTTTGCCAACAACTTTTCTAAACCTTAAAATTAAGTCCTTCAGTATACAAAGTTGGACCCCTCAGAATGACCTATTAAAATATTCATAGGCTAGGAAAGGCTAACTATTCAGCTACTGCCAGTCATTATGTGGCATGAGTCACTAAATGAGAAGAGCAAATGAGAAGACCAAAAAATGTAAGGTTTACTATTTTATCAGTAAACAATCTGGTTTCTCAAAAGGTAGGTGAGAAAAAATTACCAAAAATATAGTTAAACTTAGGAATTCAGTTTGATCCATAATATAAACAGTCTATTTTAAGAAGTATTTAACATATTTTTTGTTAAAAAAATTCTAATTTCTTTGAAAGCCTTTCAGCCTTGGGTTAAAGGCAGTGATACATGAATGAACAAGGAAGAGGAGTATGACTGGTGGGACCTCAAAGTCCATAAAGGAAGAGTCAGGGTTCTCAGGAGCAACGTCCCCCTCCCTGTGTCTCTGGGGTACCATCTTTGTCAATACAGGTGCTGCCTGCCTCACTGGCATACAACAGCTGAGGTCTGTGGTCAGTTTAACTTTCCATCTAGTAGGTCTTAGCTTGGGCTTGGCAGGGCTCAGCAGTGACCCTTGGCTGGCTCTGCCTCACCTCAGCTCCTATTGGTGTTAGAGACCCTTATGAGGTTTGGCTGTGACTATCATTAGGCCCTAGTTCGAGGGTTCTGCCTTGCAACTCCTGCTACAGAATTGTTTCACCCTCCCCAATACAGTGACACCCACTTTGCCAAGTTTCCTAACCAGATTTCCAGTTCTTTCTGGAATTTGTCTGTGCACAAGGGAACCAAGCATGCCTCAGGAAAGGATGACCTCAGAGTTTCTTCTGCCTGAGCTCACTACATTCTCTGGTTGATTTGACTGTGACCCAGGTTAGTTTAGGGCAGCCTGTAAGCTGGCCACCTCCCAAGTCCTAACCGGCTTCTTGGAGCTTACTATTTACCTTATAGTAAATGGGGAGAGAGATGTTCGATTGCTTCACTGATTTACTCTCCCACCCGCTTTATCTCACAATCCCTAGAGCCAAAAGAGGGGCGGGCTTTTCTTTTACTACCCTCTGCGGCCATGGAGCTCGCCTGGGGATTGTAGCAGAAGAGTCATCTTCTCTATGCTAGAGGGGTGTTCTCAGAGAACGAGCACTTCAAGCTAAGTTGTTCATATACCAAAGGAGCAAATAATTTATTTGGAACAAACTTTCTCAACAATGCCTGGCTGCCTCTCAAGCCTATTGTTTTGTTCAAAATCTATCTTGTATGTTAGAATCTGACTAATTCCTATCTATCTGGTTGAATTCCTTATAAAACAAATTATAGTTTTCTCCCAGGCTAACAGATAGATGAATGAATTTGAAGCACTGGGATGAAGATCTTATATTCCAAGAGATAGAATGAGGAGCACATATTTCCAAAATATATCATTACCAATTAATTGGCAATTCATTCTAAATTCATTCAGTAGTTCTTTCCACAAAGACAGCTGAATAAAGGGAGTCTCTTAAGAGAACTAAGCTCAGGATGGATGGTAGTAATGCAGAGAGAGAGAACAGCACACAGAAGCAGTTTGGTGATATGCCAAGGGAGACATGCTGGATCTCCAGAGAGAAGAGGAGGAAAGCTGTAGAATGCATTTTGCAGTGTGTCTAGGACCCACATAGCCAAATATTACAGTGGGAGAAAAGGAGCTGAAGCATGAATCAGTCTGCAATCCAGCAAAAGATTTTGAGGAGAGGACTGAAGTAACGAGCTAGGGCAGCGATTTTGCATTTTATAAGGACTAGAACTTAGAGTCAGTCGTTTTGGTTAATGGTGTCGGAGTACATAGAACCTTGTTCAGAAATAGGTCAAATATATTCAGTTGATTGTCCATGTGTGGTCCTTTGGACTATGGGACCAGGCTTAAAATTTAGGAGATGATGATAGTGGGCGGTCCAATAGAATGTTCCAAGAGGAATTAACAAGAACACCTCAAGAGAAACTGACTTTAAAATCTTTACTAACTAGATAGTTTATATTTGATTAAAAGATGGATAATTGCTTATAATCAGAAATGTATACCTGCAGTCTAAATGCCATTTTGCTACCTACAAAGCCATGGAAAATTAATAGGCAATTTACTCTTGACTTGGAAGAGAATTATATAATTTTAAAAGTGTATTTTTTTCTTAATTGTGTCATCCCATCGCTGATATCAGCATTTGTTGAGCATCACTGACTAGAAAAGAGATGGAAGTTAGTAAAACAAGCCAACCTAGCATTAAATTGCTCCTCTGAGAGTAGAATATGTTCTTCATTTATTGACTATGCATAGGATTTACAAAATAATCCCAGGCACTTGGGGATACAGAATAAAGATTACTGATTCCTGCCGGAGCCCCAGAGGGCAAGGCTGCAGTGAGCTGAGATCCCGATGCTGCACTCTAGCCCAGAGTAATAGAGTGAGACCCTGGGTCAAAAAAAAAAAATGTACTGATTCCTATCCCCAATGAGATTATGGTCTAATGGGAAAGAAATAAAACATACAAAATCAACACAAATACACACAAATGTACACAGCAATTACAAGAAGGAGGTGACTGTATGGAATCAAGAATTAGGCTGATTAGTTGGGGAATGGTTAGGTAAACCTCAAAAGATGTATAAAGGAAATAGGGATATAGTATGAAGGTTGTTATCAATGTACTTTTAGAGAAAATTTTAGTTTTATGACACTCCTTAATGTCTAAACCTGTAGCATGTAATCTCCAACATCTAAGAAAGTTTATTTCTAAGACTTACCACCTAATACCCCCAAATAACCACAACGTTTAAAGATATGTTACCAACCTCATGAACTGCTATTTCTCTAATTAAAAAAAAAATCTAAATTACATATCACAGAGCTTGCTATGGTATATTAGTAGATATATGTATGAAGACATACATATACCAACTCAGACTTGCCAGGTATCAGCAGTTGTGGTATGGATAGTATAGGATTTCCCTCTGTATCCCATCAATTCTTCCTTTTGCCCTGCCTCCCTTTACCATTACAATGAACATTCCAATGAGCATGCGTTTGCGCACTGGGACAGCTGCAGAAAATCATATACTGCGGCCGGGCGCGGTAGCTCACGCCTGTAATCCCAGCACTTTGGGAGGCTGAGGCGGGCAGATCACGAGGTCAGGAGATCGAGACCATCCTGGCTAACACGGTGAAACACCGTCTCCACTAAAAATACAAAAAAAAAAAAAAAAAAAAAAAAAATCAGCTGGGCGTGGTGGCGGGCGCCTGTAGTCCCAGCTACTCGGGAGGCTGAGGCAGGAGGATTGCTTGAACCCGGGAGGCGGAGCTTGCAGTGAGCCAAGATCGCGCCACTGCACTCCAGCCTGGGCAACAGAGCGAGACTCCATCTCAAAAAAAAAGAAAAGAAAAGAAAAGAAAATCATATACTGCAACCTATTTAGAAGCCTGATGTGAACATGGTTTTAACTGTCTTCTGCCTTGAATCTTCTTTTCTGTTTCTCCAGGCCAGAGGAATTGGGAGAAGGATCGTCAATCCATGACGTGGCTTGTTTTAATAACTTCATCTCTTTACTAGTCAGTGATGCTTAAGAGATGCTGATATCAGGAATGGGATGACACAATTAGGAAAAACAATACACTTCTAATGTATTTCTGATCATAATTATGTCCTCAAGACAAAATTTCCATAAAGGAAGAAATTAAGAGCAGAGACAGTGAGAAAGCATATCCTTTGTCCAAGGGGTGAGCCAGAAGACATATCCCATTAGGAAAATAATGAACCAGAAATAAAAAAGCATTAATACAAAAGAATCTAGAAAAAGCTTGGAAGGGCTCTGGAATTCTACAGGCTGTGGCAGTCATTTGCCTTGCCAAAAACCCGCCCAGCTGTTCTTTAAAAAAGAAACAATAAAAGCCCACAGGGACCAAAAACATTGGCTAATAATTTTTGAATCCATCTCCAAAATTTATTCATCTCTGCCAAGGTCAGGTTTGGTCACCGCATGACTGGAGGTCTGGGCATGCTATTCCCAGTTTTATTTTTACAGTAGTTATGGAGCCCTTTATATTTTCAAGGGCCCTCCTGTCACTTATTACCCACCCATCCAGACCACCCACTCACACTCCCACACACAATATGTCCAGACACACCCACAAATACCCAGATTCTTTCAACCTTATGGTGGTTCAGGCTATAGGAATACTGTTTGCTCCAAAGGACTTTGCTTTACATACTTGGAATTTTCCAAAATAAATCTGTTTCCCTCTCTGGGGACCAATCTGTGGATGTTACCACTAGGCAAACATTTATGGAGCACCTACTGTGTGTAAGGCACAGATGAATGTGTGGGCTAAAAGAAACTCACCAGGAGGCAGAGAAGTCCAAGAGTTCCACTCTGCTGAGGAGGCATGTGTGTGTGTGTGTGTGACAGAGAGACTGTGTGTGTGTGTGAGAGTGTGTGAGAAAGTGTGTGTGTGTGTGTGTGCACGCTTTGGGGTGTATATCTGAATCAAGAAAAATTTTCTTCCTGCCACCCACGTTTCCCCTTTCCACCTTCCTTTCTCTTGTCTCCTTGGTTCATTTTTTTCTCTCTAGTTCTTCATCTTGTGTAAGTATATGTCTCTATTGTTTCCATCCCTCCCCTGTCTTTTTTTCTGCTAAGACAAAACCACCCTAGAATCTCTGTCTGATATGGAGGCTATCACTGTGCTTTTCTCACTTCCTTAAAAACCTTCATGAGAGTAGTTGCTGTGGCCATACAAGTCCTACAAACATAAAAGGAGGGAAAAATGCTTGTCCCAACTCATAAAAACTGGCTCTGAGGACACTACATTCCTCCACATCCTACACATTGGTATCTGCCTATCGGAAAGACCAGGAAGGAGGTGCTCCCGCTGCTGCTGTGCGGTGCAGAACGCTGACTGCAGTGTGGACTCGCAGCCTTCCCAAACCTCCCTGAGCCCTGACCCCTTAAGATAATTTATGAGGTGTCAGGATATTCTGACCACAAGGTCGGAATAGAATGGTTTTTACACGTCAGCTGCCATGAAAGAGAAACAATTTAATTCTGTTTCACTCTGGCACTGTCTGTTTTCACAATGAACAGGGGATTTGGGTCGCCTTGAGATTATTTGTCTAAGCACAGACCAAGACTGCTGCTAAGACTTGAGATGTCTGATTTCCACTCTGGCTTCCTTCTCCTTTCTTCCCAGATAGAGAGGGAGGCACTTGCCTTTCCTATTGTACCAAAATGGGACCGGAGTCCATTTCACCCAAGCAACTGCTGTGTGCTGGTGAATAAAGTAGATTTCTTATGTCACTTCCATCAAAGAGTGGTTTGAGTAAGGAAGGGGTATGAGAGAGTCCTCTCCTAAATTCAGCAGGCCCCGTGGTCTCGGCCAAATCGTGGTCTTGAGTCTGAAGCAGTGTTTCCCTTGGCTTGGAAGCTCAGCCTCCTGGCTCCTCTTGAAGCTACAGAACCATAGACATTCCGCTGAGTAGCCTGAAGCCCTGCCTGCCAGGAAAACCCAATGTCTCCTTGGAGAAATCTCAGAGTAGGAGTGCAGCTTCACCCAGCAGCCAAGAAGACAATCTCAAGGCAAGTCGGCTTTCCCAGGACCTCCCCCGACAACCCTCTCCTCTAAGCCAGACTGGGAAGGTCATCTGAGAATCACAATTTGACATATGATTTCACTATAAAACACTCACCCAGGAAGCTCACATAATAGGAAGGGGTCCCTGGATTCCTGAGCCTAGAAGCAACAGGACTTTTGGGATGGTTCATGTGGTCTTCTTTGCTAAACTCATCTTCTGGGATCTGGCCACATGTCAGGCACTAGAAATATGTTTTATCAATATTTTAAAATGTAAATGGAATGAAGTAAATCTCTACACAGATAGGTAATCATCTTTAAGAAATATTAAGTGAAAAAGAAAGGGTACGACACAGAATAATATGGTGCCATGTGTATAAAAAGAGGCAGCTAGATAGTAAAATATACTTAATTAGACATAACTTAGGAAAACAGAAAGAGCTTGTTTGAGAGTCTGTCTTTAGAAAAGAGAACTAGAAGCCTGGGGGGATAGGAATTCAAATGATTTTCTTCTCACTACATTTTGGGGGGTATTTTTCGAACTTTTTTTTAACCAAAAACTCATGCTACAATTTTCAATTTAATTAATAAAGTAAAACCCCAGATAAGGTAAAGGGAAAGGAGGAGTAAGATGGAAAGCAAATAATTTTAGCTTAATGCCAGGCCAGCCAATTCTCAAAAAACCTCTCCCCTCAATTAAAGCAACAAATTCTTGGTGGGAAGGGTAAATAAGCTATTTTGTAAATGACCTCTTTGAGTTCCCTTAATAGTAGTACTTAAGTGCTTTTGGAAGAATTCCTTACTTTCATGTGGGTGAGAAGATTACTCCCCCCACAAAAAAAAATCAGTCAATGGGATAGCGGCTCCTATAATTTAATATCCAATAAGCCTCAGTTTCAAACAAAGTGCTGAGTCAAACTGGTTTGCTTGCCCTTCTGCTCTAGTCAGAGTTTCTAAAGTTTCTTCTCTCTACTATTGTCCCAGTTATAATTATCTTTCCCATTTCCAGACAATGTTATTTATCCAAGCCAGGGAGATGTATAGGAAAGAGCATTGACTCCTAGGTAAAATAGCATATGGTACTACTCTGTCTCTGTATTAACATGGAAAATCATTTCATCTCTCTGGGCTTCAGTTTCCTCATCTGTAAAGAGAAAGATTTGAATGAGATACATTACCTTAAAATGCCTTAAATATTATAAGTCTCTAATTCTATGAAAATACAGTTATTAGGCTGCATGCAGATGGAGAATGGAACATTCTGCAGGCTTGTCATGGAGTTCCACAGTTCCATCTGACCATTAGGCAGACGCATATATGAAAATACCTTCTGAATTAATAATTATGAATAATTGGGCTGCTGTCCCAAAGATAAGACTTCACCACTAGACCACAAAAACAAGATTCTGAAAGTCCATTCTGCCTTGCCATATGACAAACAGAAGAAACTACTACATTATAAGAACTACTACATTCAGAGGTATCCTGATATTGCCCCAAGACCTTGGAATGGATGGCCCACTGCTCCATTCATTATCTGAGAGGCAGAGCTTGCCACTGAGTGATACATCCCTGCTTAGACAAGAAATGCCACCAAAATGAAGGTCCCTCTTCCCATTCTCCATCCCATTTCAGGTGTCTGGAATATCAGAAGGTATTTCTTCTATGTCAGTGAAAGACAATGTACTCTGGTAGAGCAGCCTAGTAGTGCTATTATGGTCCAGGTGCACCAGAAAGCCCAGTGACATGGTGAGAAAGAGAAAAAAAGAACTGCCAGGACAGTAGTGCCCATTAACCCATGCTATTCTCAGAGGCGATGACCTAAGAACTCAGTGGGTAAGCAGCCAACCTGAAACATGTCTGATTATTATTTTGCAAATTTCTTCCCCTCCAACATGTTTCCATTCAAAATATAACTGATTCTCATTTCTTTCCCCAAACATTGCAATTTATCATTGCCATGTGTGTCCTTTTCTCCTCAACCTTATAACACAGTCTTGATTGGTCTTCTTTATTAGCTATATTTTTACCATTTATAACCTTGCCATGGCTTCAGTATTCTAAGACGCTAGGTAAAACACAGACACTAGACAGATAATATAGTCCAGGGGTTAAGAACATGAACTGTGGAGCTAGAATATCCAGGTTGAATTCCAGCTCTGGCCTTGACAATATGGCAGCTAGAGTAGATCACTGGTGACCAGTAGCTTTGAACCTGCGGCTCATGAGCCTGTATGTCCCCAACCAAGAGCTGTTGGACCAGGCTCTGCTCTGTCACAAGAAGGTTGTTGATCATTTAGAGAATTCAAACGATGAAAGGCTCCTTGATAAAATATCCAGAAATGAGCTAGATTGGTGAAGGCTCTAGTTGGTAGTAATTTAATGAAATTGTTTCAAGTGAATGAAAAGGAAAAACTTATGGCTTCCAGGTTTTAAATACTTGGCTGTGGTTCTGAAATTGATCCAAGTTTATTAACCATTGAATAGGTTAAGGAAAAGTGGTTGAAGAAGCCATGACCATCAAAAGCAGAGATATTGAAAAGGAACTATGCCTTTCTCCCATGAAGCTGCACTGCTCCATGCTAACTGAAGATGCAATCACAGTGGCCCTAATAGACTGCAAACTGAAAAAGAATTCTAAGAAAGGAGAGGCAGAGAAGAAATGAGCCAATAGATAAAATTCCATTGGATAAAGTCAGTTGTTTACCTACTCTCAGTGTAATCACCTTAGATGTTAAAAAGTCTCTTATGCTATCATTAAAGAGCTATGGATATGCACAATATTTTGCTGTTCAAATTGTTGCTCTAATACAACTTAATTACATACATTACTTGTTCAGAGTTCTTTGGTTTTTTTAGCTTCCTCATACAGCCTTAACTTAATTGATATTTATTGTGAATTATGTAACTGTGGCTAAGACAGCTTCTTGATGAATTGGTAATGATTTCCAAAGAGTGCTTATATTTAAGAGTGAAGTATATAAATATTCAAATTTTCCCAAATCAATTTGTAATGAAAGAGATGTTATTAAAATTCTCAATATGATTATTTGAAAGGGCCAATCATTGTGCATAAATAACATTATTGGGAGAATGTAAGAAACCAACAACAACAAAAAAAATCATAGGTCTGCCATTTATTAGCTGTGTAAGCTTGGGGAAGTTCTTCACCTACCTGTACCAGTTTCCTCATGGAAAAAATGGGATGATAATAGACCCTACTTTGTAGAGCAGTCATAACAGTTAAATGACCATGGAGAAAGTCCTAAGAACAGCAGCTGACATGTTGTAAACACTATATATTAACATCATCATCGTCATCATCATCATCATCATCATCATCATCATCATCATCATTAGCGATCTGGAATATTAGATTATTCATATGGCCATTGACACACTGTGCTGGCTTCTTAAAAAGCGTGATAAGGCTACTTTTGAATCTTTCAGACCTTTCCAGAGTCCCTGTCTCATCCCTTTGGCATGACTGCAGTGAACTCTGTTTCTCCTTGTGCTGTGCCACATGTAATGCTCCATCCATCTTCAGTGACATGTTTACTTATTTACATGCCTATCCCTCACTTGTCCATATCTCCTCCTCTCAAAAAAATAAAGCTTGTCTTGTTCTTTAATTTTCAGTCATTCTCCTCTACTTTCCTGCTCAAAATTCTCCTGGTATTTAGATTAGAATACTAACAGAATATATGAAAGTTTGAAAGAAAGAGGCAAACCAACTGTAACTTTCCACAGGATGCTGTCTTCTTCCCCATCTTTGCTTCCTCAAGGCAAAATATTCCACACAGGTTTGCTCTCAGTTGAGGGAAATTAAGGAAGATATTTTTTGCCTGTGAAATGGATAAGTGATATAGCAGACAGTGTTCATTGTTTACGCAACATCCATTTTGCCCTCTTACTTGCTAATTAAACTCCAAACATATTCAGGTAGCAAGCAGACATCTTATATTTTTGAAGAAGCTTAGCTCCTTCTCTGGCCCTACTTGCCACTCCATTTCCTCTGCCAGTGATCAGAAGTGGGAATGTAACCCAGACCTGGCTAATGAAACATAAGAGAAAGTGTGCTAGGGAGTTGAGTGGAAGCAGCTTCTGGAAACTATTTCCTTTCTTTAAAAAAAGGAAAAAAAAAAAAGATCCTCAAAAGAAAAAAAACTTTTTCCCTCTGTCCCCAAATGTAATAATGTAATTAGGTGAGATGTGATCCTAGGAGCTATGACAGATCTCTTAGCATAATGAGGTACAAGTCTAAGGAACAAAAGCCAACATACTTAAAATGGTCCTCCAAAGAATGGAGGACCTGGATGACATCAACAAGCCACTGTGACTGCCTTGGAAGAATCCATCTCCAGACTTCTTTTTGTAAAGTGTAAAGCTATGGTAATTTGGTCTTTGTTACTTGATAGCTGATTCTAACAAATACAAATGTGCATTTTCCAAGGACTGCTGAGTCCTTTGTAATAGCACATGCATTCATCCTTGAGCATCTGCTGTGAGTTTTAATAAATACATTTAATAAATAATTATTTAATATAAAGAACTTTCTATATTTCAAAGTACTATCACATTCCTGTTTCATTTCTTCTTTACAGATTATTCTATTAAAAACTATTGGCCAAGCACAGTGGCTCATGCCTGTAATCCCAGCATTTTAGGAGGCCAAGGTGGGCAAATTACTTGAGGTCAGGAGTTCAAGACCAGCCTGGCCAACATGGTGAAACCTCATCTCTACTAAAAAAAAAAAAAACAAAAATTAGCCAGGTCATGGTGGCACACACCTAGAGTCTCTGCTACTTGGGAGGCTGAGGCAGGAGAATTGCTTGAACCCAGGAGGTGGAGGTTGCAGTAAGCCAAGACCATACCACTACACTCCAGTCTGGCAACAAAGCAAGACACTGTCTCAAAAAAAAAATGATTTATTATATGTATTTGTCTGTTTTCATGCTGCTACAAAGATGTACCCAAAACTGGGTAATTTATAATGGAAAGAGGTTTAATCGACTCACAGTTCAGCATGTCTGGGGAGGCAGGGAAACTTACAATCATGGCAGAAGGGGAAGTGAACACATCCTTTTTCACAGGGTGGCAGGAAGGAGAAGAATGAGAATCAAGTGAAGGGGGAAGCCACTTACAAAACCATCAGATCTTGTGAGAACTTCCTCACTATCACAAGAATAGCATGAGGGAAACCACCCCCATAATTCAATTAACTCCCACTGGGTCCCTCCCACCACATGTGGGGATTATGGGAACTATAATTCAAGATGAGATTTGTGTGGGGACACAGCCAAACCATATAATTCCACTCTGGACCTTCCCAAATTTCATGTCCTCACATTTCAAAACACAATCATGGCTTTCCAACAGTCCCCCAAAATCTTAGCTCATCCTGGCATTAACCCAAAAGTCCAAGTCCAATGTCTCATCTGGGACAAGGCAAGTCCCTTCTGCCTATGAGCCTATAAAGACAAAAGCAAGCTAGTTGCTTCTTAGATACAATGGGGGTACAGGCATTGAGTAAATACACCCATTCCAAGTGGGAGAAATTGGCCAAAACAAAGGGTTTATAGGCCCTATGCAAGTCCAAACTCCAATGAGACAGTCATTAAACCTTAAAGTTCCAAAATGATCTCCTTTGAAACCATGTCTCAAATCCAGGTCACACTGATGCAAGAGGTGGGTTCCCATAGCCTTGGGCAGCTCCACTTCTGTAGCTTTGCAGGCTACAGCCTGGCTGCTTTCATGGGCTGGCATTGAGCACCTGCAGCTTTTCCAGATGCATGGTGCAAGCTGTCAGTGGATCCATCATTTTGGGGTCTGGAGGATGGTGGCCTTCTTCTCACAGCTCCACTAGGTAGTGCCCCAGTGGGGACTCTGTGTGGGGGATCTGACCCCACAGTTTCCTTCCACACTGCTCTAGCAGAGGTTCTTTACAAGAGCTCCACCCCTGCAGCAAAATTCTGCATGGACATCCCGGCATTTCCAAACATCCTCTGAAATATAGACAGAGGTTCCCAAACCTCAATTCTTGATTTCTATGCACCTGCAGACCCAACACCACATGTAAACTGCCAATGCTTGGGGCTTACACCCTCTGAAGCAATGGCCTGAGATGTAGGTTGGCCCCTTTTAGCCACAGCTGGAGCTGAAGCAGCTGGGACACTGGGTACCAAGTCCTGAGGCTGCATGGAGCAGGTGGGCCCTGGGCCTAGCCCACAAAACCATTTTTTCCTCCTAGACCTCTGGGTCTGTGATGGGAGGGGCTGCCATGAAGGTCTCTGACATGCCCTGCAGACATTTTCCCCATTGTCTTGGTAATTAATATTCAGCTCCTCATAACTTATGCAAATTTCTGCAGCCAGCTTCAATTTCTCCCCAGAAAATGAGGTTCCTTTTCTATTGCATTGTTAGGCTGCAAATTTCCCAAACTTTAATGCTCTGCTTCCTCTTGAATGCTTTGCCACTTAGAAATTTCTTCTGCCAGGTACCCTAAGTCATCTCTCTCAAGTTCAAAGCCCACCGATCTTTAGGCAGGAGCAAAATACTGCCAGTCTCTTTGCACAGCAAAAGTGACCTTTACTGTAGTTCCCAGCAAGTTCATCATCTCCATGTGAGACCACCTCAGCCTGGACTTCATTGTCCATATCACTATCAGCATTTTTGTCGAAGCCATTCAACAAGTCTCTAGGATGTTCCAAACTTTTCCACATCTTCCTGTCTTCTGAGCCCTCCAAGTCTCTAGGAAGTTTCAAACTTTCCCACATTTTCCTGTCTTATTCTGAGCCCTCCAAACATTCCAACCTCTGCCTGTTACCCAGTTCCAAAATCACTTCTACATTTTCAGGTATTTTTACAGCAGCACCCCACTCTGTGCAGTACCAATTTACTGTATTAGTATATATACAGCAGCACTCTCATGCTGCTATAAGGACATAACTGAGACTGGGTAACTTATTATATAAAGGAAAGATGTTTAACTGACTCACAGTTCAGCATGGCTGGGGAGGCCTCAGAAAACTTACAAACATGGCAGAAGGGGAAGCAAAGACATCCTTCTTCACAAGAAGGCAGGAAGGAGAAGAATGAGAATTCAGCGAAGGGGGAAGCCCCTTATAAAACCATCAGATCTTGTGAGAACTTACTCACTATTACAAGGATAGCATGGGGGAAACCACCCCCATGATTCAATTATCTCCCACCAGATCCCTCCAACCACATGTGGGGATTATGGGAACTACAATTCAAGATGAGATTTGCATGGGGACACAGCCAAACCATATTATCACATAAGCATTTTAATTATCTTATCTCAATTAACTTCCAAATTTTCACAAATGCAAAGTTATGTTTCATACTCTTAAATTATAAATTTAAAGTTTAATTACAACTTTGATTATTTCAACCTTTCTCCCCCAATATTTTTCATCTCTCCTAGAGAGGTTTTGGCTAAAAGCATGGATTTGGAGTTAGAGATACCCAAAGTCATATTTACTTGGCATGTAAATGGATAAATTACTTATTCCTTTCTGATACTTCATTTGCTTTTCTGAAAATAATATCTAGGTCCATTACCAAGATGTGTTGAGATGACATAAGTAAGAGGCTTCACTAAACCTTGACACAGAGTGAAAACTCAAAAAATATAGAGAAAATGGAAAGAAGGAAGTGAGGAAGAGGAGGAGAAAAGCGAAAGAGAACAAAAGAAAACATGAAGAGAAGGAGAAGGATAGGCAAAAGAAAAAAGGGGAAAAGAAGTGGAAGAAGAGACAACAAAAAGAAGAAGGAGGAGAAGGAGGTAGGGGACAGAAAGAAAGGACAAAACAGAATAGGGAAAAAAGAGTAAGAAGAACAAGAAAGTAAGAGGAAGAGAAAAATGATGATGATGCTGATGATGACAATGACAATTATGATGAGGAGGAGGATGTTTATTTTAATACAGGGATGAACACTGAGAAACAGAAAGGTTGAAGTGTGTTTTAAAGCCCAGACAAAACCCTAATCATCTGCAACTTAATGCAATGTGATTTTTCCCCAGAAAGCTTTGGTATTACACATGGTGACTCTCTCTTATGCAGTTTGAATCTGGCTATTCCAAATATTACTACAAAAAAATTACTATTTAGTTAAGGAATATAACACTTGGGTAATAATCCTCATATTTCAAAGAAATGGATGACTCATTAAGATTCCAGTGCAATCAAAGAACCTGGAGAAATCCCTGGAGTTAGTTTTAGTCAAATATGAGACACAGCTAAATTAAATGAGTAAAAAATAAAATAAGTGATTCATTGAGTTTCTTATATAATCACTAGATGCTCTCCTTCTTCAATAATGGCAGAACAAGAGGAAAGAGCCCCCTTTTTTTCCTGACATAAGAGAGAGGCCCTCTTGACAGTGAGGGCTGATAAAAGCCCCTTAGTTACCATCCCACTGGTTACAAGTCACTTCCTACAGAAAATTTAAAGCACAGTCAAGTGTGGGTAAAGGGCAGTGCAAATGAATACAGGTGGAGAACTAGAAAGATCTCTCAGAGGACTTTCTAGGCCAACGCTTTTGTACTGCAGTCAATTCTCATTTGTTTTCCATAATGGAGTATTGGGGGAGGGGGAAGTGAAAACCTTTTACTTCTTTAGGTTTGCTTGTGAGCATGAGTCTCTCTTTGTCTTCTAATCTCTCTGATGCTGACATGGGTCCTGCATCTGTAGCATTCTCCTTCTTGCTATGAAAAACACATGCAGCCTTTCCTTCTGTCTGTACTTCCTGATCCACTCTACTTATGGTTCCAGCTTTCATTAACATGCACTGAAGCCTGAGACTTTCTGAATTTTCCAAGTGCCATAATTCTACTAGCCTCCCCTACATTTTAGGTTGCATTATCACTAGCAACCATTTCTCAGATACATTCATAGATATTGTTGCTAGTTCTCATCTTCCTTCTACAAAGTTAGAGTTTAATCTAATGCTATCCCTTTATCATCATCACTGTAACCTTCACCCTCTAGCTCAGATGCCATTACCTTTGCATTTAAGATTTCACTTTGGAATCTTGTTACCTTGCATCACAATTCCAGTAGAACGACTTAACCCAAAAAAGGCAAAAAAAAAAAAAAAAAAGGAAACTCTTGCATTGGCCTGAATTAATAATGGAGAAAGGGGAGAAGTCTAATCTTTCCAGTGCAGAAGATGTGTGCATTGTTTGTTGTGAGTAGCCCTTGGGGAGGGAAAGATTTCAAGTTCAGCATTTATGTGGCACATTTTTCAATTAGACAATATACTGTATGGTATTTCCCTTCCTCCCCCAACCCCGTCTCTTTTATTACCACATGATTTCATCTCCCCGTGTGACTGACAAAGCCCATTGGGCTCAACACTGATAAAAAACATCTGTGGGAGAAAAATTGCAATTTAGAAAACAATTAAGTACATCATTTTCTTTTCATTTAGTTGGCTAGAGAAAGAAAAGTTCTTTCAAAGAGGTAACTTGATCTACAATGATCATGGATTAAAGGACACGCAGATCTGTTTTCTCCAGGCTGTAGTGTGGAGGAATGCATCCTAACTCAGAGGGCTACATGTAGACATACACCTCTAAGTTGCAAGTTTTAAAAAAGAATAAACTACTGAGAGTTTCTCTATGTCTCTGATGTCTTCTGATTTTTAAGACATTCTTCTATTCTTATTGAATTTGTGAGAACTTAAGAGCTTCCTTAAAGGATGTGTATTTCCCTCAGTCAAATGCTCACCATATGCTCATTTGTTATGGGAACTCTGTAAGTGAACCTTGGCTTACTGTTACAGACCCTATCTGAAAGACTGAGGGGTGGGGTGTGTGTGCATGTGTGTGTGTATGCTGACTTTCCCTTTCATTTTTTCCTCACTAGTTCTGTGAGAACCCATGAGTCCATTACTCTGAGCTCAGAATCTTTATGAACCATGGCCTTATTTTTTATCTGCAAAATCTTAAAGAAAAAATTTTAATACCAACAGGATTGATTCTGGGTGTCTCCTCCCTGGCCAGAAGCATATGTCTAGGTAAAGATTATAACCACTGCTCTCACTCACTGAGTATCTACTATAGAAGAGTCACTGTAATTCACACCTTGATTAAAATATCTCAGTTATTTGTCACATCAATCCCATTAAGTAGGTGTTGCCATTCCTATATTTTACAGAAGAGAAATTGATAATCCTCCTATTTTAAGCACTAAAATGCTTACCCACAGAAAACAAGAATGATTTGAACTCATATTTCTCAGCTTCTTAAGTTCAGGCTCTAAATAACAAATCCAGAAAATTAGCAGCTAGGAAATAAACTCTAAAAAGTCTGAGCCATTGATAAGTCTGAAATGAAAGTTTTTTGCCACATTTAAATAAGGAACATATAAAAAGTAACTATTTAGTACCTGGCCCAAGGTAGTTCTTTAGTGAAACCATCTCTACCCATTCCCTGCCTCTTATCTTTTCTCAAACTTCATAGTGCACATAAGATTATCATGTACAATAGGCCCGGCACGGTGGCTCACGCCTGTAGTCCCAGCACTTTGGGAGGCCAAGGCAAGTGGATCACCTGAGGTCAGAAGTTCGAAACCAGCCTGGCCAACATGGTGAAACCCCGTCTCTACTAAAAATACAAAAAGCTAGCTGGGAGGGGTGGTGTGTGCCTGTAATCCCAGCTACTTGGGAGGCTGAGACAGGAGAATCGCTTGAACCTGGGAGGCAGAGGTTGCAGTGAGCCAAGATCACGCCACTGCACTCCAGCCCGGGCAACAGAGCGAGACTCCATCTCAAAAAATAAAAAATAAAAATAAAAAAAAAAGGAAGTGTATCAAGTACACTAGTGAGGCTTTATTACAGTCCCCACTTATCATCACCTCTCTGTTCTAAAGACTTAAAAACAAGATCTGGAAGCAAGCATTTCATGCTATTGGTTGAGAAACAGTGACTATTAGGAACCCCCATTCAAAGAAGGGGCCAATCAGTGGAAAAGGTCCTAAGGAGACCTCACTCGTTTTCTTTTAAAGTTTGTCTTGTGAACCAGCATAACACATACCTACTTTCATAGCATGTGTTTCATTTTGCCCATGGTAGTCAGGGAATGTAATTACAAGAATATCATGAGGCCATCTGGAAGTGCAGGTTAGGGCATACTCATTTTATAATGTACCACAGCTGATGGACAGGATTACTCAAAAAGTGGAGCACATTGGCAGTAGAAAAGCTGGAGGCTGAGAAACATGAACAAAAGGCAGATCTTATGTCGGTGAATGGATGTTAAAGTAGAGAGAAAAGGGGTGCGTGGGTTGCAGAGCATTGAAAAGGCAGAGGGAGCTTGGCAGAGGGAGCTGACAGTGGAGTCACTGGTGGAGCTGTGGTTGAACCAAGAAGCCTAAAGCCTACTGAAATTCAAGAGTTTTAGTCTCTGGGTAGGAAATCCAGGGATGATCTTACAGCTCAGGAAAGTTAGAAGATTGCTAGAAAGAGTCTTATTTCATGTAAGAGGCAAGGGGGTGGAAAAAATACCTGGATTCCAGCAGTAGAGTGCTTGGGGCCCTGAATAATATTTCTGCTATAGGTGAGAGATGAGGAGATCATTGTGGGCTGGAATGTTCAAGAGGAATCTGATAAAGGAGGTCTCTTGGTGGAATTTACAGTGAGATGAGAAGAAATCAGGATGGCCTGCTTGTTAGAGGTAAACAATTCAACAACAGGAAGAAGACACAAGTGAGCATGGTGACATCAAGGAAAAGATTTAAAGGCAACTGCAATGGTTTAAATGTGTCCCCCAAAAGGCATGTGTTGGAAACTTAATCCCAAGTGCAACAGTGGTGGGAGGTGGAGCTTAACGGGATGTGTTTAAATAATGAGGACTCCCAAGAGGACTCCTGCGCTCATAAATGGATTAATGCCAATTATAGAAGGACTTGAGGCTGTGAATTCAATCTTGTGTTCAATGTCATGTTCTCTCACCATGTGATGCCTTCTGCTATGTTGTAATGCAGCAAGAAGGCCCTCGCTAGATATGGCCCCTTGATCTTGGACTTCTCAGCCTCCAGAACTGTGAGCCAAACAAACTACTATTGTTTATAAGTTGCCCAGTCTGTGATATGCTGTTATAGCAGAAAAAAAAAAAAACTAAGACAATTACTGAAACCCCCTGCCACCCACCCATACACCTCCACCCCACCCTGCCCTTCCCCACCATGAGTCCAAAAAGCAATGAGCAGATTCTTATGTTGGTTTTGATGATAATAGGAACAAGATAGCTACCTTTTTCTGGATCAAACAGGCTGGCTGAGGAAGGGAAGAGTTGTTCATGGTATGTTGGTTTCAATTTTTCTTTTTTTTTTTTATTTGTTTGGGTTTGGTTTGATTTTAACCTCACTAGGTCAGCTCAGGACAATGAGGCAATTCACATTCAAAGGTATTGCTGAAATTATCAGAACCATTTGTCTTCCTTGACTTTAAAACCAGGCAGAAAATGTTGCAAAATAATATTTCCAATCTCTCTGGCCTCTGTTTGTGCCAAGAGTGCCCCAGGACTGCCCTCGGAGAGGCAAGAGCCCTTCAGATCATCAGGAAACCCTGGAGCTTGCTAATAAGAAGAAAATGATTTTTCATACAAAGTAAACAGATCCCTCCTGCACATCTAAAAGGATTTGGCTTCAGATGCTGATGAAGGTTTAGGGTGGAGTTTTAATTTTCAAATTACAGTAGCTTATTCTGAGCTTGAATTTTCATATTATTCTTCAAAGCACAACAGAACCCCCTGTCAGGAGATAGCCAGCAACTGCATTCTTGAAGCAGCTGTCAACTAGCCTATGTTTCGTTTTCCGTCCTGAATGTGAGGTTTCTTTCAGGGACCCAGCAGAAGTCCTGTAGGAACCAAGAAGTGATTAGAGGATCTACTCTCACTTAGAAAAGCTGCTTCTGTAGAATCTAGTTTGCCCTAGTTTTTCACAAAACTGAAACAGTCTTATTTCACGTAAGAGGCAAGGGAGTGGAATCATTTTCCTGGGTTGAAATTGCTTTGTCATTGCATAGATTAGCAGAAGATTTATATAATAAAATTCTCTATGTGAATTAAAAGACAGACATACAGAGGCAGAGACAAAGAGAAAGAGGGGGGAAGAACCCTTCTCCCTAACATCATCTTTTTATTTATAAAACACTACTAAGCTTATTGGCAGAAAGACACCATCTCATGTAACATTCAGGGTGGTCCATTTAAGAGAGTCCCCTTTAACACAGGACAGCTTTAAATGTGGCCTATTTTAAGTGGGTCACCAGATGTATTGTTTTGTTAGTCCTTCCTGGAATTGTAAGAGTAGGGAAGGCTTTCAGGGGCTGGGAGTATATGTGGAAATGCAAGAAGGCTGGTTGAGCTTTAGTACTGTGAGAATAAAGGAATCCATGAGGAAGCCTGATAACTGGGACATAAAATATAAGTAAATATGTAGGAATTTGTTCAGTATTAGTGCTAATATCTTTGCTTTCACAGGTAAGATTTTGGTTATTTGGTTTGGTTTGATTTGGTTTCATACCTCCTTGATGGTTGTAATTCATTCAGCAAAAATGTATTGACCATCTATGTGACAGCATTCTGCTGAATAGCAATAAAAATGCAAAGGCAATGTCATGTTGGGACTCAAAAGCAATACCCCAAAATGAAGGCAGCCTCAGAAGCAAAAGTTTTTCTCTGACCTTTCTTCCTTCCTGTCTCTCAGTCCCATTTTCCCATGAGGCTACCCATAGAAACTAAAATCCCTCTTCCCCAAGGCAGTTCATGGAAAGGAGAACCCCTTTTCGTCAAAGCCAGCCATAAAACCTTAAACTATTATTGTAACTTTCCCCTCATCTTTCTGTGTAAAAACTGCCCATAAAGAAATTATTTAATCTACGTTGTTTGACTATAGGTCATAGGTCCCCATTCCAGAGAGGGCTTTGCCCCATATCCAGGAGGAAGGAACACATGCTCAGGAGGCCAAGAAGAATCCAGACAAGCTTTGCTGGGTCTCCCCATTCAGTCTGCTAGCATTAGGTCATGCCTTTTTTGGCCCAATCATATTTCTACACTACTATCTATGGTTCTGTCTCATGAACTTAAGCATAAAAATAAACAATTTCCTTTATATCTTTGGATCTTCATTCTGAGGATATCTACACTACATGAAACTATGATCAAATAAATTTGTATGCCTTTTCGCCTATTAATCTGCCTCGTGTCAGTGAGTTTCAGCAAACCTTTAGAGAGTGAAGGGGAAGTTTTTCTTTGGACACAACACCTTCCAGAGCCCACATTCTAGAGTAGATAGATAAACAGATATATCCATTCCCCCCGAGGCTACCCATACAAAAATACAGCAAGTGAGGAGGAAAGGGGAGAATCAGGGAAGGTCTCTTTGAGAAAGTAGTTTTATAGCAGAGACCCTAAGGAAGTGAAAGGTGTATACTATGTGTGTACCAAGCAGAGGTAACAGCAAAGGCAAAGCCCTGGAGACCAGGGTGTGCTTGGCCATTCCTGGAACAGTAAAGAGGGAAGGGCCCAGAGAGCACACGTCCTTGTGAGCCTCTAGCTTTACTCAAGCCTTCCTAAAGTTAAAGATGAGGGAGAGAAGTGGCGTGGGGTAGAACTTGGGTACTCTTACTTATTGGAAAGTTGAAGTTGAGGTAGAGAGACAACCTGCTTCTGGCATCCCCAAGCAACTGATCACAGAGGATGGAATATGGCTAGCAAGGACTTAAAGAGTGAGGAAAGAAAGGAGAGATCTTTGCCCACTGAAGCTAAGTAAGTTAACTACTTTTAGATGGAAGACTAGGCAAGGATTACAATGTCCTATCCCAGCCAGTGATCATTTCCACATTATCCCTCATTTCAGAGCCTGCACAATTCTACTGTTGACATTACTGTGGAAACTTGGCTATATCAATAGGGTTATCTAAAGTTAAACCAAAATAAACTTTATCTTAGAAAGTTTGTTATTAAGGACAAAAAAAGGAAAAGACATTTTATTCATTGTTCTCTGTTTCAAACTCTCCATACTTCTCCTTCCTCCTCATTCTGCCATTACCTGATTCATTGGTATCTCCAGAGTTGAAGAGGTTCCTTCTCATTTTCTTTATTTCTTGATAAAAATATTTAAGTGACAAATAGATTGTATATATTCAAAGTGTAGAACATGATGACTTGATATTTGTAAACACTGTGTATCACCACAACCAAATTCATTAATACATCCCTCACCACCCATGCAATATATTAGATTCCCAGAATTTGTTCATCTCATAACTGAAAGTCTGTTGAAAGGCACTGAAGAGCAGAGACAGCATTTCTCTGCCATCCTGGCATGAAGGCCTAGATGATAGTCACTAAGGCTGGAATGAAAAGTTTTACTGGCAGGAACCTGTTGCCTCATCCTGATCTGTAAGTCTCAATATGAGATAATTTCTTTTCCTTCCAACTGGACTTTGACTTCACTATCCTTTTCTCTCTGGTATTGTTCACAAGCTTTTCACATATTCTGTAGGTCATCTCCCGGTTTGGGACTTATGATATGATTCCATCTCCTACTTTCAGCTCTGCCCTGAACAACTTAAACAAAAACAGACAAGTAAAAGAATGTCGGCTTTTAAGTTATTCATTTATTCAATTAACATTAATGAATACCTACTACATGCTAGCCATTGTGTCTAGGTGCTCGGAATGAAACTGGGAATAACACATACCTGGCTAATGTATGGTGTGAGAGAATGTGCAGACCAGAAAGGAAAATTATTCCGCTTCCAAATCCACTTATATCCTCTGATATTTATGGAGATCCCATCAGATCCCAGCAGTCCTCATTTCATAAACCTTCCCTAAGTGGGATCCCCAAAGGATTCAAGATTTACTAAGGAGAAAGATCTTCCTAGAGCCTCAAACATAAATTAGATGCTCCTACTCCCATTATTATCTTTCTTGGCATTTAACACAATTAAAACTATACATTTATGGGCCAGGCACAGTGGCTCATGCCTGTAATCCCAGTACTTTGGGAGGCCGAGGCAGGCAAATCACAAGGTCAGGAGTCTGAGATCAGCCTGGCCAATACAGTGAAAGCCCATCTCTACTAAAAATACAAAAATTAGCCGGGAGTGGTGGCATGTGCCTGTAGTCCCAGCTACTTGGGAGGAGAATCGCTTGAACCTGGGAGATGGAGGTTGCGATGAGCCGAGATTGTGCCACTGCACTCCAGCCTGGGTGACAGAGAGAAACTCTGTCTAAAAATAAATAAATAAATAAAATTATACATTTATTTGAGTGCATGTTTATTTCATGTCCACCCTTTACCAAATTTTCAAGTTACTTAAATCACTTTGTTACTTGTGTCCCCAGTGCCTAGCATAATGCCTGGCATAGGTACCAAAAAAATACTTGTCAGTTTATGGTTGAATGAAAAATTGAACAAATGAATCAAGTCCTTCCTGTTATCAGCTTGAAAGAGGACACCAAAAATTGAAACTAATCTTCTTACATGCTTCTCTGAAGGAGGGGCCATGATCATCACGCTTTAGATTTTAAATAATCCTGATGTTTCAGGGAAATTTAAAATTTAAATATGCCTGTTTGTATACTGAGTCACCTTCTTGCTGATCATCACAGGATTGAACTTACAAGGTAAGAGCATGATCTGAACATTGCACACCAAGCCCCAGACCAGGGCCTATGTTCAGGGTGCTCATCTTTCATTAGCCAAGGGTCTAATATCCTACTTTAGACAATTTGGGCTTCTGGCTTCTTAAACCAGTTTTTCTGGAACCAAGCTCTGCAGTCCCAGGCTCTGCTCACATTCCAGAGAGGGTTAGGGTTTCTCATTAATCTCTGTCTGGATCCTGTCCTCAAATTAGCGACCACTGAAATATAATCCCTGTCATGGGGAATGAAGAACTTGATCCATACAAAGTTAAGCTGAAGAACTGCTCCCTCTCTGAGACCAGTTGTCCCTGACTTCTCACTTCTCCCAGGCATAGCACAATGACTCAGGGAAGCCATTATTGCACTGTCACTACCAAGCAGCCATCCATCACTCCAAAAGGTTTATACAAGAGTCCTTTCTACATAACTTGACATTTTTTGCCCATATTTAGCACCAACAGAGAGCAGACTCCTGGAGTTGAGAAAGAAAAGGTACTTGGGTTCTGTATAGCTGAATTGATACTCTTTTCTCAGAATTAAAATAAAAGAGCAGGGTCTAGATAGGACCCATTCTGTGACAATTTGTCCTTACTTTTAGAACCTCATATGGCAGGTTTCGAATATGGAAGTGAGAAGAGTTGCCTAGAGCAAAATATGGAAATCCCAGAAAGTACTCAGAGACAGCATCAGGCCTCAGATGCTTAGAGGGGGCAGAAGTAACCTCTTCCAGGAGGTCTTGGTATAGTTCTTTTACAATGTAGCATGGTGATGAGGATCTCAGAGACTCACACTGCCAAGGTTCAACTCTAGCTATGTAACTTCTGGTAAGTTACTTACATTTTTTTATGCTTCAATTTACTGTTCTGTGAAACAAGATGAAAATGGTACCTATCTCTTAGGAATATTATGAGAATTTAGTATATTTAAAGCATTTACGGAAGTGCCTAGCAAATAGCAATACATATGTACGATTATTACTTAACATCAAAAGTCTGAGTTAGATGTTGAATTAGAACTTTCTAAAGTCAGCTCCATCTCTAAGTTTCAAGATTACAGATATCTTCTAATATACATACTATTTATAAAATTAGGGAATTTTATAAGCTTGCAAAAGAAACTCAATATAAATGATATTTTTACCACTGTAATGATTTGTACTATAGCAATTATCTTAAATCGATATATAAAATTATTTGTGTGTGTGTGTGTGTGTGTGTGTGTGTATGTGTGTGTTTATCCAGAAAAGGGGCCTATACTTTCATCAAATTTCAAATGACAAAAAGAAAAGTCAACTCTTCTGTAGTATTCTCTGAGACAGAGTGAATAGACCAAAAACCAAACAATTTAAAGTTCAGGTTACCTGTGTGGTTAAGTTAATTACCACACATATTTTCTTTAAATAAACAAACAAACAAAAATTACGTTTACACAATTTTTGAAATGTCTTAAATCTAAATAAATGGATTATAAATACTCAAATGAAGATAAAAGTTTATTAAATACCTCCTTAGTGCATATTGAGAGGAGTGATTTAATAATACACTATGTTAATGAAGAAGAGATGATAAATCTCTTTAAGACAAGTAAAGAGAGTGAAAGACCAAGAAAGGACAGGTCCAGGATTTGATCAGAAAAGGCTCAGAATGTCTTTCTGGATAATCTTCTTGTATGGTGAGCATTTGCCTCAGGCCTGGCCACAGGATTAGTCTTTCCAGTAGAGGTCTAGCTCTCTCAACCAGAGGTCTGCTGCCAGTGGGATCATCTCAAGATCTAGCACCAGCCCCAGCCCTCTTCAGAATGGCCATTCCTCTTAAAGATAATCTGAACCTCTCGATGCACATCAAGGAAATAGAAAAGCAAGAACAAATCATATTCAAAATTAGCAGAAGGAAAAAAATAATAAAGATCAGAGCAGAACTAAACAGAGATTTAAAAAAATACAAAGGGTCAATGGGAAGTTGTTTTTTTAAGAAGATAAATAAAATTGATAAACTGCTAGCTAGACTAATAATAAAAAGAGAGAGAGATGGTCCAAATAAAATTAGAAACAAAAAAGGAGACATTACAACTGATCCCACTTAAATACGAAGGACTATCAGAGAACAACTACATGCTAACAGGTAGTTATATATAATATGAAAAATTACATGTAATAAGAACAACTACATATTATATGTAATATGAACAACTACATGCTAACAAACTGGAAAACCCAGAGAAAATGAATAAATTATAGGACATGTACAACATTGAACCAGAAAGAAGTAGAAAACCCAAACAGGCAAATAATGAGTAATGAAAGTGAATCAGTAATAAAAAATCTCCCAGTAGAGAAAAGCCCAGGACTGGATGGCTCTACTGCCAAATTCTATCAAACTTACAAAGAAAAAATAGCACCAATTATCTTCAAAGGATTCCAAAAAATTGCAGAGGAGGGAATTCTCTCTAATTCATTCTAGCAGGTCAGCATCACCCATTACCAAAATCAGGCCAAGACATACACCAAAAAAAAGGAAACCACAGGCGAATATTCCTGATGAAAATAGATGCAGAAATCCTCAATAAAATGTTAGCAAACTTAAACCAACAGCACATCAAGAAAAGATAATACACTATGATCAAGTGGGATTTATCCCAGGGATGTAAGGATAGTTCAACGTATGCAGATCAATAAACATGATACATCACATCAACAGAATGAAGGACAAAAACTTTATGATCATCTAAATTGATACACAAAAAGGATTTAACAAAATTTGACATCCTTCATTATAAAAATTCTCAACAAACTAGGCATAGAAGGAACATAGCTCAACATATTGAATGCGGAAAAGCTGAAATCCTTTCCTTTAATAACTGGATCAAGACAAGAATGCTCCCTTTCCCCACTTCTATTCAATGTAGCAATGTAAGTCCTCATCAGAGCAATCAGGCAAGAGAAAGAAATAAAATGCATTCAAATTAGAAAAGAGAAAGTTGAATTGTCCCTCTTTGCAGGTGACATAATGACATAATATTGTATATAGAAAAGCCCTAAAGACTATACTATAAAACTGTCAGAATTGATAACAAGTTCAGTAAAGATGCAGAATACAAAATTAACATGTAAAAATAAGTAGCATTTCTATACACCAATAACAAACTAGCTGAGAAAGAAATCAAGAAAGCAATCCCATTTATAATACCTACAAACAAATGTACCTAGGAATACATTTAACCAAGGAGGTGAAAGACCTCTACAAGAAAAACTACAAAACACTGATGAAAGAAATTGAAGAGAACAAAAACAAATGAAAAGACATCCCACGTTTTTTGGAAGAATTTGAAGATTGGAAGATTTAATATCATTAAAATGACCATACTGCCCAAAGCAACCTACAGATTCAATGCAATCTCTATCAAAATATGAATGAAATTATTCACAGATGTAGAGAAACAATCCAAAAATTTGTATAGAACCACAGAATAGCTCAAACAGCCAAAGCAATACTGAGCAAAAAGAAGAAAGCTGGAGGTGTCGTACTACCTGACTTCCAGATATACTGCAGAGCTATAGTAACCAAAAGAGCATGACATTTGTATAAAAACAGACATGTAGATAAAACTGAACGGAATAAAGAACCCCCAAATAAGTCCACATGTTTACAGCCAATTGATTTCTGACAAAGGTGCCAAGAACATACCCTGGGGAAAGAACACCCTCTTCAATAAATGATGCTGAGAAAACTGGAAATACATATACAGAAGAATGAAACTAGACCCCAAACTCACACTGTATACAAAGAATCAACTCAAAATGGATTACAGGCTTAAATGTAAGACTTGAAACTATAAAACCACTAGAAGAAGATATAGGGGAAATGCTCTGGGACATTGATCTAGACAAAGATCTTAGGGAGGGCTAAGATCTCAAAAGCACAGGCAGTGGGAAAAAAAATGACAAATTAGACTATATTAAATTAAAACTCTTCTGCACGGCAGAGAAAACAATCAACAGAGTGAACAAATAGCCTGTTGAATAGGAGAAAATATTTGCAAACTATTCTTCTGACAGGGGGCTAACATCCAGAATATACAAGAAGCTCAAACAACTCAACAGCAAAAAACAAATAATCTCATTAAAATGGGCAAAGAATCTGAGAAGACATATCTCAAAAGAAAACATACAAATGGCCAAGCAGTATATGAAAAAATGCTCAACACTATTAATCATCAGGGAAATGAAAATCAAAACCACAATGTGATACCATCTTACCCTAGTTAGGATGGCTATTATCAAAAAGACAATAAATTCTGGAGAGGATGTAGAGAAAAAAGGAACTTTTATACACTATTGGTGGGAATGTAAATTGGTACAGCCATTATAAACAACAGCATGAAAGTTTCTCAAAAAAGTAAAAATAGGAGAACTTCTGGCCAACATAGCCAATTAGGAGGAGCTGCAGTCTACAGCAACACAGAGAGAAATGAAAGGGGCTAGTGAATACAGCACCTTCAACTAAAATATCCAAGTTCTCACATAGGGACTGATTAGGGAAACAATTCAACACACAGAGAACAAAGAAAAGCAGGGTGGGATGATGGCCCACTTGGGAACAACATGGAGCCAAGGGAACCCCCAACCACACCCAAAGGGAGTGGTGAGTGACTGTGCGACGCTGGGAAACCATGCTTCTCCCATTGATCTTGGCAACCTGCAGATCAGGAGATCCCCCTGTGGCCCACGCTATCAGAATCTTGGTTCTGACCCACAGAGCTGTGTGGAGTCTTGGCAGAGCAGCTGCTCAGGCACGCAGAGAGACCCAGGAGCTTTAGATACTCTGGCCTCAGGAACCCCAACAAACATGTCTGCAACTCAGGCAAGGTGGGACAACTGCATGCACGCTAGGAAGGGGCAGAATCCAGGGAGCTGAGAATCCAGGGAGCTGAGCAGATAAGACCTACTGGCTTGGAATCCCAGCTTGGTAGCTACCAGCAACAGAATGGAATAGGTCTGAGATGGGACAGAGCCCCGGTCGGGGGTTGGGGGTGAAGGGCAGGCACCATCTCTGCTGTTTGGTCAACTCAGCAGTTCCAGCCTTTGGGCTTTGGAGAGTCCAGACAGTCTGAACGAGGAAGGGTCTCCCCACCAGCACAACATAGCGGCTTTGCCAGATCATTGGCAGACTGCTTCTTTAAGCAGGGACCTGACCCACTTCTCAATGGGCAGGATCTCCCAGTTGGACCCTACAGCCATGCCTGCCAGCAGGTATTAGGGAAAGAGTGCTGATCTCTCCCTGGGATAGAGTGCCTGGGGATGGGGAAGGCTGCCACCTGGGTTGGTTGGATGACAGCCATTCCAGCCTGTGGGCTTTAAAGAGTCCAATCTGACAGGGGAAAAGGCAGTTCCCCACCACAACACAGCTGTTTTGTGGAGGCATGGCCAGACTGCTTCTTTAAGCAGGACCCCCAATCCACTCCTCCTCATAGGGTGTGTCCTCCCATCCAGGGCCTTCAGACACCCCTGCCCATGTTCTCCCTGGGACAGAGTGCCTGAGAGGCAGGGCAGGCCACCACTGTGGTTATTCGAGCTTCTTAGCTGGTCCAGCCTGAGGGCCTTGGTAGACCCCAAACCCATCAGACACTGAAGGGATCTCCGACACCACAAAGCTGCTCTACCAAAAAGCAGCCAGACTACTTCTTTAAGCTGGTCCATGATCCTGTTCCTCCTGACTGGGTGAAACCTCCCAACCAGGGTCTCCAGCCACCTCCTACAGGTGTGTTCCAGCTGGCGATAGGTCAGTACTTCCCTGGGAAGGAGCTTCCAGAGGAAGGGCAGGCTGCCATCTTTGATGTATTGCAGCCTTCACTGATGATGCCTCCAGGTATGGGAAAAACTGAGGCAACTAGGGTTTGGAGCAGACACCCAGCAAACTGCAGCAGCCCTATGGAAGAGTCAGCAGGCTGTTAAAAGAAAAACAAACAAAGAGAAAACAACAACAACAAAACCCCACAAAAACCCCATCTAAAGATCAGCAACCTCAAAGATCAAAGGTAGATAAGCCCGCCAAGATGAGAAAGAATCAACACAAAAATGCTGTAAACTCAAAAAGTCCCCATTTTCCTCCAAATGATCACAACACCTCTCCAGCAAGGGCTGAGGCTGAGCCTTTGGGCTGAGGCTGATGGCTGAAATGACAGAATTAGGCTTCAGAAGGTGGGTAATAATGAATTTTGCTGAGCTAAAGGAACATGTTGTAACACAATGCAAAGAAGCTAAGAATCATGATAAAACAACACAGGAGCTGACAGCCAAAACAGGCAGTTTAAAGAAGAACATAACCAGCATGTTAGAGCTGAAAAACACACTACAAGAACTTCACAATGCAATCACAAGTATTAATAGCAGAATAGACCAAGTGCAGGAAAAAAACTCAGAACATGAAGACCATCATTCTGAAATAAGATAGGCAGACAAGAATAGAGAAAAAAAATGAAAAGGAATGAACAAAACCTCTGAGAAATATGAGATTATGTAGAGACCAAATCTATGACTGATTGGGGTACCTGAAAGAGACAGAGAGAATGGAAGCAAGTGGGAAAACATACTTTAGGATATCATCCAGGAGAACTTCCCCAACCTAGCAAGACAGGCCAACATTAAAATTCAGGAAATGCAGAGAACCACAGTAAGATACTTCATGAGAATATCATGCACAAGAGACATAATCATCAGATTCTCCAAGGTCAAAATGGAAGAAAAAATGTTAAGTGCAGCCAAAGAGAAAAGCCATATCATCTACAAAGGCAAGCCTATGAGACTAACAGTGGACCTCCCCACAGAAACCCTACCAGCTAGAAGAAATGGGGGGCCAATTCTTTAAGAATTCAACATTCTTAAAGAAAAGAATTTCCAACCCAGAATTTCATATCCAGCCAAACTGAGCTTCATAAGCAAAGGAGAAATGAGATTATTTTCAGACAAGCAAATGTGAAGAGAATTTGTTACCAATAGGCCTGCCTTGCAAGAGCTCCTGAAGGAGCACTAAATATGGAAAGTAAAAATCATTACCAGCCAATACAAAAATACACTAAAATACACAGACCAGTGACACTATGTAGCAACCACATAAACAAGTCTGCAAAATAACCAGCTAGCAACATGATGACAGGATCAAATCCACACGTAACAACACTAACCTTAAATGTAAATGGGCTAAAGGCCTCAGATAAGAGACACAGAGTGGTAAGCTGGATGAAGAAGCAAGACCATCAGTATGCTGTTGTCAAGAGATCCATCTCACACATAATGACACACACAGGCTCAAAACGAAGGGATGAAGGAAAATTTACCAAGCAAATGGAAAACAGGAAAAAGCAGGGGTTGCAATCCTAGTTTCTGGCAAAACAGACTTTAAACCAACAAAGATCAAAAACAAAGGGTATTACATGATGGTAAAGGGTTCAATTCAACAAGAAGATCTAGCTATCCTAAATATATATGCACCCAATACAGGAGCACCCAGATTTGTAAAGCAATTTCTTAGAGATTTTCAAAGTAACTTAGACTCCCACACAATAATAGTGGGAGACTTTAATATCCCACTGACAATATTAGACAGATCATTGAGAAAGAAAATTAACAAAGACATTCAGGACTTGAACTCAGTTCTGGATCAAGTGGACCTGTCAGATATATATAGAACTCTCCACCCAAAAACAACAAAGTATACTTTCTTCTCATTGCCACACAGCACTTACTCTAAAATTGATCATACCCAGAAGTAAAACACTCCTTAGCAAGTGCAAAAAAAGCGAAATCATAATAAACAGTCTCTCAGACCACAGCACAATCAAATTAGAATTCAAAATTAAGAAATTCACTCAAAACCATACAATTACATAGAAAGTGAACAACCTGCTCCTGAATGACTCTTAGGTAAATAATGAAATTAAGGCAAATACCAGGAAGTTCATTGAACCAATGAGAACAAAAATACAATGTACCAGAATCTCTGGGGCACAACTAAAGCATTGTTAAGAGGGAAATTTATAGCACTAATGACCACATCAAAAAAGCTAGAAAGATCTCAATTTAACAACCTAATCTTACAACTAAAAGAACTAGAGAACTAAGAACAAACAAACCCCAAAGCTAGCAGAAGACAAGAAAAAAAAATATCAGCTGAACTGAAGGAGACAGAACACAAAAAAGCCTTCAAAAAATCAATGAATCCAGGAGTTGATTTATTGAAAAAAATAATAAAATAGACTGCTAGCTAGACTAATAAAGAAAAAAAGAGAAGACTCAAATAAACACAATCAGAAATGATAAAAGGGACATCACTACTGACACCACAGAAATACAAACAACCACAAGAGAATACTGTAAGCACCTCCATGCACATAAACTAGAAAATCTAAAAGAAATGGATAAATTCCTGGACACATACACCCTCCCAAAACTGAACCAGGAAGAAACTGATTCCCCAAATAGACAAATAATGAGTTCTGAAATTGAGGCAGTAATAGCCTACCAACCAAAAAAAGCCCAGGACCAGATGGATTCACAGTTGAATTCTACTGAAGGTACAAAGAAGAGCTGGTACTATTTCTACTAAAACTATCCCCAAAAAATTGAAAAGGAGGGACTCCTCCCTAACTCATTGTATGAGGCCAGCATCATACTGATACCAAAACCTGGTAGAGATACAACAAAAATAGAAAACTCAGGCCAATCATAATGAACATTGATGCAAAAACCCTCTATAAACTGAATTCAGCAGTACATCGAAAAGCTAATCCACCACAATCAAGTAGGCTTCATCCCTGGGATGCAAGGTTGGTTCAACATATGCGAACCAATAAATGTGATTCATCACATAAATAGATCTAAAGACAAAAACCACGTGATTATTTCAATAGATGCAGAAAAGGCTTTCAATAAAATTCAACATTCCTTCATGTTAAAAACTTTCAGCCAGGCATAGTGACTGGCTGGGTGCATTGGCTTACACCTGTAATCCCAGCACTTTGGGAGGCCGAGGCAGGCAGATCACTTGAGGTCAGGAGTTTGATACCAGCCTGGCCAACATGGTGATACCCCATCTCTACTAAATATACAAAAATTAGCCAGGTGTAGTGGCGCACACCTGTAGTTCCAGCTACTTGGGAGGCTGAGGCAGGATAATCTTTTAAACTTTGGAGATGGAGCTCACAGTGAGCTGTGATCATGCCACTGCACTCCAACCTGGGCAACAAAGAAAGACTCTGGCAAAACAAAACAAAACAAAACAAAAAACCTCTCAATGAACTAGGTATTGAAGGAACATAGCTCAAAATAATAAGACCAATCCATAACCAATATCACACTGAATGGGCAAAAGCTGGAAGCAGTCCTCTTGAAAACTGGCACAGAACAAGGATGCCCTCTCTCACCATTCCTATTCAACATAGTATTGAAAGTTCTGGCCAGGGCAATCAGGCAAGAGAAAGAAATAAAGTGTATTCATACAGGAAGGGAGGAAGTCGAACTATCTTTGTTTGCAGATGACATGATCCCATATCTAGAAAACCCCATTGTCTCAGCCTAAAAGCTTCTGATGCTTCAACAAAGTCTGAGGATACAAAAGCAATGTGCAGAAATTACAAGCATTCCTATACACCAACAACAGGCAAGCAGAGTGCCAAATCATGAATGAACTCCCATTCACAATTGCCACAAAAAGAATAAGATGCCTAGGAGTAAAACTGACAAGGGAAACGAAGGACCTCTTCAAGGAGAACTACAAACCACTGCTCAAAGAAATCAGAGGTGACACAAACAAATGGAAAAACATTCCATGCTCATGGATAGGAAAAATCAGTATTGTGAAAACAGCCATACTGCCCAAAGCAATTTATAAATTCAATGTTATTCCCATTAAACTACTGTTGACATTCTTCACAGAATTAGGAAAAACTATTTTAAAATTCATATGAAAATGAAAAAGAGCTTGAATAGCCAAGACAATCCCAAGCAAAAACAACAAAGCTGGAGGCATCACAATATCTGACTTCAAACTATACTACAGGACTACAGTAACCAAAACAGCATGGAACTGGTACAAGAACAGACACATAGAACACTAGAACAAAACAGAGAACCCAAAAATAAGACCACACAGCTGCAACCATCTGATCTTCAACAAACCTGACAAAAACAAGCAATAGGGAAAGGATTTAATATTTAATAATTGGTGCTGGGAGAACTGGCTAGCCATATGCAGAAAATTAAAACAGGACCCCTTCCTTACATCATATACAAAAATCAACTCAAGATGGATTAAAGACTTAAAGGTAAAATGCAAAACTATAAAAATCCTAGATGAAAATCTAGGCAATGCCATTTAGGACACAGACACAGTCAAAGATTTCATGGTGAAAATGCCAAAAGCAGTTGCAACAAAAGCAAAAATTGACAAATGGAATCTAATGAAACTAAAGAGCTTCAGCACAGCAAAAGAAACTATCATCAGGGTGAAGAGACAACCTACAGAATGGAAGAAAATTTTTGCAATCTATCCGTCTGACAAAATCCTAATATCTAGCATCTACAAGGAACTGAAACAAATTTATGAGAAAAAAACAAATAACCCCATTAAAAAGTGGGCAAAGGACATGGACAAACACTTCTCAAAAGAAGACATACGTGGGACAAACAAACATGAAAAAAAGCTCAACATCACTGATCATTACAGAAATGCAAATCAAAACCACAATGAGATACCATCTCATGCCAGTCAGAATGACTATTATTAAAAAGTCAAGGCCGGATACGGTGGCTCACACTTGTAGTCCCAGCACTTTGGGAGGATGAGGTGGGCAGATTGCTTGAGCTCAGAAGTTCAAGACCAGCCTGGGAAACATGTTGAAACTCTATCTCTACAAAAAATACAAAAATTAGCCAGATATGGTGGCACATGTCTATGGTCCCAACTACTTGGGAGGCTAAGGCAGGAGGATCACTTGAGACCAGGGGGCAGAGGTTGCAACGAGCCAAGATCATGCCACTGCACCCCAGCCTGAGTGACAGAGTGAGACCCTGTCTCAAAAAAAAATGTCAAAAAGCAACAGATGCTGGTGGTGAGGTTGCAGAAAAAAGGGAATAATTATACATTGTTGGTGGGATTGTAAACTAGTTCAACCATTGTGGAAGACAGTGTGATGATTCCTCAAAGACCTAGAGGCAGAAATACTATTTAACCCAGCAATCCCATTACTGGGTATATACCCAAAGGAATATAAATCATTCTATTACAAAGATGCATGCACGTGTATGTTCGTTGCAGCACTATTCACAATAGCAAAGATATGGAATCAACCTAAGTGTCCATCAATGATAGACTTGATAAAGAAAATGTGGTACATATACACCATGGAATACTATGCAGCCATAAAAAGAAACAAGATCATGTCCTTTGCAGGGACATGGATGGAATTAGACACCATTATCCTCAGCAAACTAACTCAGGAACAGAAAACCAAATACTACATGCTCTCACTTCTAAGTGGGAGCTGAATGATGAGAACACATGGACACATGACAGGGAACAATACACGCCAGGGCCTGTCAGAGGGTGTGAAGCCAGGAGGGAGAGCATCAGGAATAATAGCTAATGGATGTTGGACTTAATACCTAGGTGATGCGACACCACTTAGGTGCAGCAAACCACCATGGCACACGTTTACCTATATAACAAACCTGCACATCCTGCACATGTACCCCTGAACTTAAAAAAAAAAACACCTAAAAATACAAATACCATAAGATCCAGCACTCCAGCTGCTAGATATTTATCCAAAGGAAAGAAAAGCAGTATACCAAAGGGATACCTGTACCCCTATGTTTTTTGCAGCATTATTAACAATAGCCGAGATATGTAATCAACCTAATAGTACATCAGTGAATAAATGGTTAAAGAAAATGTGGTATGTACACAATGGAATACTATTTATCCATATTAAAGAATGAAATGCTGTAATTTGCAGCAACCTGGATGGAACTGGAGGTCATTATGTTAAGTGACATAAGCCAAGTACAGAAAGACAGATATTGCATGTTCTCACCTGTATATGGGAGCAAATAAAAGAAAAAAAGCTGATTTCATAGAGGTAGAGAGTAGAATGAGAGTTACCAGAGGCTGGGGAGGGAGTGATGAAGGGAGGTTGGTTAATGAGTACAAACATAAAGTTAAATTGAAGGAATAAATTCTAGTGTTCAATAGCACAGGACAGTGACTATAGTTAATGACAATACATTGTATATTTCAAAATAGCTAGAATGAAAGATTTAAAATGTTCCCAACATAAAGAAATGATAAATGACAGAGGTGATGGATATCCTAAATACCATTATTGATCATTACACATTGTATACATGTAACAAAATATCACATGTACCACATAAACATGTACAAATATTATGTATTAATAAAAGATAATCAAAATTTAAGAAAAGAAAAAATAATCTGAAGAATCTTCTGACATTATAAGTGAGTGGGACAAGAATCTTGTTGGGAGTGAAGGGGAAAGCCATTACCCTCACTCAGGTACACTCAGGAAAATTACTAAATCAAGTTTATGAAGCTCTACTTGCTCATCTACTTCCAAGTTTTTCTCATATACAATCAAATGTTTCAATCCATCTCTTCTTACAACAGAGTCATATAAATAAATTATTATAAATATAGTCTTTTCATGTTTCCCAGACATCATCATATTTGTGGTGTTTATTTTGAGAGTACAGACTTTTATATCAGCAGCACTGGGATCCAATTTGTGATTGGTCCTTTAACCAGTCACATGACCTTGGGCTATTTCCTTAAACTCTCTAAGGCTCAGTTTCTATACTTATAAAGTGCAAACACCTATCTCACAGGGCTGTTGAAAGAATTAAGTAAAATCACAGATGTAAAGAACTTAGCATTCACTGAGTGCTTATTACTATTATTTTCCCACCATTTGAAAGGAAATTCCAAAGGGCTGAAGTGAGGAAGAGACAGAGAAAAGTTCTCCTCATGTACTTTCTGATCCAAGGAAAGGCCAAACAGTATCTCGGAGATAAACTTACACTTCATTTCAATAAACAGATATGTTAATTTGCTCACCCATTGTAGTAATTTCACTATGTACACCAAAATAGCATGGTGTTCAACTTAAATCATACGATTTTTAAAAAGAAATAAATAGTGGATAGACTCAGAGCAATACTCAGAAAGGCCTACAGAATAGGACTCAAAACGTCACTAGATATTTCATTGTTTGATGGGCCTGGTTCTCATAATTTAAATTTCCATTCTAACAATACATATTGTCAAAGAACATCTGGTAGATACAGAGGGCCTGTCTGCCACATTACTTTTTCCTTCTTGACAAATATTCCTAGAGGCGGTGAGAATCAGACATTCTTCCAGGACATCCTTTCGTTCTTCTTGCAATAACCCAAATCCTTTCTGTACACGTATTTAACCCAAAGGTGCAGGAAAATTGCAGCCTTCTTATTCTTGCTAAGGTTCCAAATGCAGGTGTGAACTGACTTCCCAAGAAAGTCTTCTAAAGAATTCCTCTCAAGAGACTGCTTAAGTATATCTCTAGGGCATAGCATGGACATATTACATGTATTTAAATTTTCTTATTGTTTTCTGATCTTAGTCACTGAAGACAACGAAGACTATGAAGACACTCAGGCACTGAAGATAATTTTGGAGTGCCTTCCCAGCTTGCCTCCTCCTTTAAATGTGCTCCTCACCTATAGCTCATAGCTGTGTTACCAGAAAGGGGTCTCAATCCAGACCCCAACAGAGGGTTCTTGGATCTCAAAAAAAAAAAAAGAATTCAAGGAGAGTCCATAGAGTAAGTTGAAAATGAGTTTATTAAAAAAGCAAAGCAATAAAGCATGGCTATTCCATAGGCAGAGCAGCCCCCAAGGGCTGCTGGTTGCCCATTTTTATGATTATTTCTTTATTATATGCTAAATAAGGGGTGGATTTTTCATGCCTCCCCTTTTTCATGCCTCACCATAGAGGGTGACTTCTTGACGCTGCCATGGCATTTGTAAACTGTCATGGTGCTGGTGGGAGCATAGCAGTGAGGAAAACCAGAGGTCACTCTCATTGCCATCTTGATTTTTGGTGGGTTTTAGCCAGCTTCCTTACTGCAACCTGTTTTATCAGCAACGTCTTTATGACCTGTATTTTGTGCTGACCTCCTATTTCATCCTGTGACTGGGAATGCCTTAACTGCTTGGGAATGCAGCCAGTAGATCTCAGCAATATTTTGCCCAGCTCCTATTCAAGATGGAGTTGCTTTGGTTCAAAGGCCTCTGAGAGTGGGGGGTGGACAGAAAGAGAGAGACACAACCATATTGCACAATGTGACCTTACTCCCTGGCCACAGTTGATTGATAGGAGAAGAAGTGAGACTCTGCCAGAACAGTTGGTGACCATTCTCAGTGAAATGGGAATTGAAAGCAAGGGCAAGGGCTACCAAGACAGAGATAGTCCATCACTCCATCATTCGTTCCCTGTGGCTGAATACAGAACATGCAAACTGGGAAGCTGAGGGTGCCCATGTTTTCTGTTATGTGGACTAGGGAGCAGAGAATGCCACCCACAAGGAAAGAGAAAACTCAAGCATATGTTCAGAGCAAAGCAAAGCTTGAATAGAAGAGTCTATTTCCTGGTTTCCAGCAGCTTTCTCATCTCTGGTCGCATCCCAAGGTCTGGCTGCATTCTTGCCACTGAGTTTTATATCACCCTTGCATCCATATAATAAACATTCCCCTTTTCACCTAGCTCAACCTGCGATCCAATCATTGATGTAATTGATATACTGAGCTTCAGTCATCTTTTCCCAGGACCTTGATTTTTTTTGTTGTTGTTGTTCTGAATGTATTATCTGACTCTTCTATCTTCTGTTTCCCTTAGAGTGCTCTGGCCCTACATTTTGTACACAGGGAGGTATGTTTCCCTACTTAGGGGCCACATATGACTAGACTACCTTACCTGCACTTATATTGCCAGTTTGCTTACATCTAACATGGACTCTTTCCTTTCTAGGGAAGTGCTTATTACCCCACTCCTCAATTTCCATAGAGAGGCAAAGATTTCCATTCCACTTCCAGGAGAGATCAGTAAGGGAAGAGGGGACATTTCTGTCCCTTTTCTATATCTTACTCATTCCTTCCCACAGTCAAAGTAGTGCTCCTCTCATTAGGATTTGGAAAAGTGATTAGACTCACAAAGCAAGCTGTGGTCTTTTTGCTTGCTCCTGTTTCACTGTGGAAAGAAGGCATAAAGATGTGGCAATCATTTTCTCCTTTCCTGTCAGGGCCATCCATTCTCCCTGGATCAAGGGAGATTGCAGATCTCTTTGTATCTGTCTTGGCAAATATTAACCCATCACACTAGACTATTTTGTTTTGGAGAGGGGATGGGGTGCAGCAGACAGGCAGGGGTAATCATATCCCAAGATCTAGACTTGTGAGGTAGGAAGAGGTAGGATGTGGGAGGAAGAAAGTTTGGAATGCCGATCCAAGATGCATTCTCCAACTTTGCTTTATATATAGTAAAGTAATATGTGATCCTTGGTCCTCAAGTCTATTTCTAAATTGACTAAATCATTTAGATAAAAGAATACGATTGGTCTCTTGGAATCCTCACCAGTGTTGAAAATATCTCTTGGAATCCTCACCAGTGTTGAAGATACTTTAAGGAATGTCTAGTTGCGTGAAATAAATAAACATCTATCTAGAGAATAAGGTGTATGCCTTAGGGCTCTGCGATGTTATTGCCTATTAAAAGATGTATAATCTGTCAGTCCATCTTAGTTGTTCTCCTTTATTCCCTAAACTAGTAAAAGGTAATATATTTTACCCAGTGGCTATAGTCAAAAACCTTCAAATCTTCCTTGATTCCCTTCTTTGCCTCACTAACCACATTCAAACAATCACCAGCTCCTGTTGATTTTCCCTTCCCAATGTTTCCTCTATCCCTTGAACAGCCTAAGTTCAAACCCTTCTACCTGTAGTTTTCATTATTGCTGTAGCTTTCTAGTTGCCTTCTTTGCCTCTACCTCTCTTTCTACACTGTAGCAAGATTTATTTTTGTGAAATAATCTGATGAGATCAGTGCCCTGACTAAAAACCTTAGATAGTCTCTTTGCACAATCTGCCCCAACCTAGCTAGTCTCAGCAACTTCGTTTTCTTCCATCTTGCTTTACCATGTCCAGATCTCTCTACATCTGTAACCACCATGCTTCCACTTGATAATGCAGCCATGTGGATATATTCACCATATCTTAAATTACATGTCTTTTCACATGCAATTAAATGCCCAATGATTTCCCTATGCCTGAAATATTCTTTCCCCAGACTCTACCTCCCTTATCCACTTATCCTTGGAGTCCCATGTAAAAATTTAAATCATATGTGCAGTAGGTTCACATTTGCTCCTCATTGCTATTTCCAAACTATTCTCTTTCTTTCTCTCCTCACTAAGTACTCTAGGGGTTAATCTCATATAAATCATATTACCCATTATCCCTCATTGTTTATGTCACCAACCAGCCCCCAGGTAATACCCCTTTATTTCCCACTGATTTTAATGCTTGGTTCACTTTCACCCTATCCAATACCACTTATGTCTTGATTCTTGGATGATTGCAATACACCCATTAGAGATTCCGTCTAACACTCTAGCCTCTCAGTTTGCTAAACTCCTCTTTTTCAGTGATCCAACCCTCATACTACCTCAGCCATATGTTTATATGTTTAGAACCCTAGACCTTCTCATCACCAATAATCCCTGTATAATCTCAATTTAGTTTATCCCATTCTCTGACCATAACTTCCATCTATCACTTTATTCCCTCTAATTCCTCAATTCCAATTTCACCAGGATCTCCAATCCATTCCTCTTCCTGTCTTTTCACTGTCTGTAACCTCATTAATATCCTCTCTTTCATACTTACTCATCTTAAATTCCATGGTTAATTAACATATTCACTCATTTGTATACACTCTCAATTCCTTGTCCCTGCTATACGCACTTGAAAAAATCACAACCCTGCTTAAATTTATCATTGTGCCTACAACCATGCAAAAGAATGAGCTGAAGACAAATGCACAAGATTATGAACCTTAAGTTAGCCTGTCTGTTGCTTGATGATCATACTATACTTTTCCAATCCATTCATTCTACCGTATACTTGATGGCTATTTTGTTCTTTCTCCTCTCTTCTCAAACCCACAATACACCATCTCAATCTTTACTCTCAGATAATGATCTTTTTTTTCTACTTCACTTAGAAAATTAAAGCAGTAAAAAAAGATTTCCATAGACTCCCACCACCCCCTCCAGAATCTGCACACATAAACTCCCACCTGCTTCTAGGGAGGATTTATTTATCCATGTTCCTATTTAAAATTCAATCCTCCCATTTGCAAACCAGATTCTATCTTCTCTTAACTACTCAATGACATTACTCTAGCAATTCCTTTCTTAAATCATTAATTTCTCCATCTCTATCAAATCTTTCCCATCAAAATACATACACACGATTAAATTATTTCTTCCACCTTCACCTCAAACTATAAGAACCCTAGAAGAAAACCTAGGAAATACCACTCTGGACATTGGCCTTGGAAATAATTTATGACTAAGTCCTCAAAAGCAATTGCAACAAAAACAAAATTTGACAAGTGGGACCTAATTAAACTAAAGAGCTTCTGCATAGCCAAAGAAACCATTAACAAAATAAACAGACAACCTACAGAATGAGTGAAAACATTCACAATATGCATATGATGAAGTTCTAATATCCAGGATCTACAAGGAACTTAAACAATTCAATAAGCAAAAAATAAATAACCTCATTAAAAAGTGGGCAAAAGACATGAACAGACACTTCTCAAAAGAAAACAAACCAACAAACATGAAAAAATGCTCAACATCACTAATCATCAGAGAAACGCAAGTCAATGCCACAATGAGATACCATCTGACACCAGATAGAATGGCTGTTATTAAAAAGTCAAAAAACGACAGACACTAATGAGGCTGCAGAGAAAAAGGAATGCTTATACACTGCTGGAAATAATGTAAATTAGTTCAGCCACTGTGGAAAGAAGTTTGGAAATTTCTCAAAGAACTTAAAATGAAACAACCGTTCCACCCAATAATCCCATTACTGGCTATATACCCAAAGGAAAATAAATCATTCTACCAAAAACACACATGCATGTGTATGTTCATTGCAGCAATATTCACAATAGCAAAGACATGGAATCAACCTAGGTGTCCATCAATAGTGGATTGGATAAATAAAATGTGGTACATATACACCATCAAATAATACATGGTCATAAAAAAGAATGAACTTATGTCCTTTGCTGCAACATGGATGCAGCTGGAGGCCATCATCCTAAGTGAATTAATTCAGGAACAGAAAAACAAATACCACATGTTCTCACTTGTAAGTGAAAGCTATGCATTGGGTGGTCATAGACATAAAGATGGCAACAGTAGACACTGGGGACTCCTAGGGTGGAAAGAAGAGAGGTAGGCAAGGGTCAAAAACCTATTGAGTACTATGCTCACTACCTGGGTGACAGAATCAATCATACCCCAAACGTCAGCATCACCCAATATATCCATATAACAAACCTGCACATATACCCCTGACTCTAAAATAAAAGTTGAAATTATATGAAAAATTATTTCTTCCATCTTAAAAACAAGAATCTTTCTCTTAATCCTACTTCCCTTGCCTGAAATTGCCTTATTCTTTTGCAAATTTGTCTCCCTTTCCAGCAAAAACTCCTTGAAAGAGTTTTCTGTACTCCTTCTCTCTAATTCTTCTCTTTCCAAACTTAATTATATCTATTCCAATCCAATTTTTGGTCCTACCTAGTCTACCAAAATTGCAATAGTCAATTATCAGTTCTCTTCTTATTTGACTTATCAGAAATATTTGATATATTTGATTCCTCTGTCCTCCTGGATAAACTTTCTTCATTTGGCTTCCAGAACACCCTACTCTTGATTTAATTTACTGGTCTACTTTATTGGTCATTCCTCCTTAGTATCCTTTAATGGTTTTTCCTTTTCTTCCCAAACTTCATGATTATGAGTTCTAGGATTCATCCTTTGTTCTTTTCTCTGTGTTTACTCATTCCTTTGGTAATCTCATCCAGAATCATGACCTTAAATATCAACTCTATGCTGATGGCTCCCAATATTCCATCTTCAGCCTAGTAGTCTCTTCTGAACTTAGATTTGCATATTCAATTGGCTCCTCAACATTTTCACTTGGTGTCATCCCAACACTCACCAAGGTTGAGTTTAAGCTGCTCTAATTCTTGATCTTCTTTCACCATGAAAACTGTTTTACCACCAACTTCCCCCATCTCAAATGATAGAAACTATGTTCTCCTGGTAGTTCAGGCCAAACATTTGACACTCATCTTTGACTTTTCCTTTATTACACCCTCCCACCCAATCATTCAGCAAATCTAGTTGGTTTTAATTTTGTATATATGCAGAACCCAAACACTTCTCACTACTTTCGGTGGTACACCCTGGTCTGAGCCACCATCACCTCTCTCCTGAAATGCAGCAATATTCTAACATAGGGGACAGCAACGTTTTTCATAGGGAGTGATACAGTAAGTATTTCTTCGTTTCATGGGCCATACAGTCCTTGTGGCAACTACTCACCTCTATTATGGTAATGCAAATGGGCCTGGCTATGTCCCAATAAAAGTTTATTCACAAAAAGCAATAAGCCAGATTTGGATCATGAACCACAGTTTACCAAGTCCTGGTCTAACTGGTCTCCTTGCTTCTATTCTTACCCCAGTTATCATTTCTTGACACAGAAGCGAGGAATCTTTTTAAGACACAAGTCATATGTCACTTCTCTGCAATGCTCCCCTTCTCAGAATAAAAGTGAAAGTCGTTTCAATGACCTACAAGATCCTACATAATCTTGCCCGAGTCATATCCTTGAACCTCATATATGACTACACTCTTTCCCTCATTCACTGTTGCAGCTGCACTGACCTCTTGCTGTCTCTCAAATGGGCCAGGTACACTTAAGACTTAGGGCATTGCACTAGCTGTTCCCTTTTTCCCCAGATATCAACATGGCTTATGCCCTCATCTTTGCATTTTTTTTCTCAAATGCCACCTCTTCAATGAAGCCAATACCAACAACTCTTTGAAGTTACAAACAACCCCCCATGAATTTCAATCCCCCTCTTCTACTCTATTCCCCCCAACACCACTTTCTAACATAAAAATAATTTACTTGTTTATATTTATGACCTCTCCACCTCTCCTAGAGTATAAGCTCTACAAGGCCAGGGACCTTGGTTTTATTCCTTGATGTAGCCTGAGATCCTTGAGCAGTGCCTGGCACATAGTAGGCATTAAAAAATGTGTTGAGTCTGGGCACGATAGCTCATGCCTGTAATCCCAGCACTTTGGGAAGCCAAGGCAGGTGGATCACTTGAGCTCAGGAGTTTGACACCAGCCTGGGCAACATGGCGAAACCCCGTCTCTACTAAAAATACAAAAAATTAGCCACATGCCTGTAATCCCAGCTACTTGGGAGGCTGGGGCACGAGAATCACTTGAACATGGGAGGCGGATGTTGCAGTGAGCCAAGATCATGTCACTGCACTCCAGCCTGGGCGACAGAGCAAGACTCTGTCTCAAAAAAACAAAACAAAACAAAACCAAAAAATGTGTTGAATGAATGAATCTCTGTAACCTCCCTCAAATCCCAGAGATGGAGTTACTCTTTTACCTATTTTTTTTAACTTTTTGTACATACCACTCATTTAGTCCATTTTATCCTGAATTATTACTATCATTTATGTATCTATATGTCCCATTACTGACCCATGATCTTTTAAGACATTTTCTATATGTTTATTTGCTGAAACTAATACAGTGTCTGTCATGCAACAAAAGGTCAAATTGTGCCAACTTAATGAATGTACAAAGGTGCCATATACACGTAGTTCTCCGACACCAAATTACTAGTTCTGGAAGTCAGCTATTGTTTTAAAAGTCTCTCTTCAACCCCCACTCTAAATACATGTATGCTCACACTCCACTAATAGAGATACTTTAAAACTATTTTTCACATATTTGCTTAATTAGCTTGCAGTGACCTCTGCAAAAACACTGGCCTCTGATGATTATAAGAGGTAGTTTTTTGGCATGGACACCAAAGCATCAAAGAGTCAGCTGGAACTAAGGAAAGCAATAACACGACTGGTTTTAATTACTCATGACAGGCAGCTGAAGATATCTGACACAGGCCTTCTCTCCAATACATCACTCAAAACAGGCCAGTTACAGGAAATAGTGGAGAGAAAAAAAAAATAAAGATGGGGCCAAAATGTGTCCATAATACAAAGCAGATCATCTTTCACATGGATGACCTTATTCACTTTGTTTTATATTTTTATGATGGGCTCAAATCTATAAAACTGCTGATGCTTTAAGACTTTGCATGCTTCTATGCCAGTGCTTAGGAGTGGTGGCTCAGGTTCTCGAAAAGAGAGGTAGATGAAGAGTGCACCCATTCATGAATCACTATATAAATCAAGAGGTCCTCCAAAGTTCATCTAGGATTGCAGGCATGTTTGCAATTAGCTCATCTGTGACATCAGGTGAGCACCTTCTAATCAACATTCACAGAAGGATTAACGTCATCTATAACCTAGTTAGTTTCTTCTGACCTCTTGCATAGCAGGAAATGAGTGAGGATTTTGTTACTAATATAACCTACTCACAATTTCAACATATCTCTCTTATCAAGTCTACACACTCACCTAATGAAACTGTGGACTTCAGATTGCTCATATCCTCGGATTGTCTCCTCTTAAAAAAAAGAGAGGGCCGGGCACGGTGGCTCAGACCTGTAATCCCAGCACTTTGGGAGGCCGAGGTGGGCAGATCACCCTAGATTGGGAGTTTGAGACCAGCCTGACCAACATGGAGAAACAGTGTCTCTACTAAAAATACAAAATTAGCCAGACGTGGTGGCACATGCCTGTAATCCCAGCTACTCGGGAAGCTGAGGCGGGAGAATCACTTGAACCCAGGAGGCGGAGGTTGCGGTGGGTGAGTCGAGATCGCGCCATTGCACTCCAGCCTGGGCAACAAGAGTGAAACTCCGTCTCAAAAAAAAAAAAAAAAAAAGAGAGAGAGAGAGAGAATGAGATTTCATAACTAGACAGGATTTTACCTCAGGATCCAGTCTTGCTACAGTCTTCTCCCAGATGCTTGCCTGATCCCAGTGTGCACCGAGCTTCTTGTTTCTGTGCACTTCCTGATTCTTGCCGCTTGCATTGTACTGTTTTGACCAGTCTTGCAAACCGTAGTTCTCATGGAACTTAAAAAGGCCTTCGTTTTTCCTGCTGCTTTCTCTAATTCCCGTTTGATGCCTTCAGAAATCAAGATTATCCCAAGTCTTTCTACTTTTTTATCACCTTGCATTATATCAGCAAAGCTTTTGAGTTCCTGAAGTGTACTAGGGCCCGTAATAGAGACTGAGACTCTAACCATGAATACTCCCATCAGGGAGCTCAGAATTTAATAGAGGAAATGGCAAGTAAACAGACGATTATGAAGTCACGGAAGTGCTGTGATATGGTAAGCAGAAGGGTTCCCAGAATAGGGGTACTTAGCCCAGCACCTGGGGAGTAAGGGAAGCTTTACTAGAGTCAGCAACATCTAAGTGGTGTGGGCCTGACAAAAATAAAATAAAATATATATGCCAAGGAAGTAACATGTAAAAATGCCACAAATTATGGCTCCCTAAGGGACCTACAAGTACTTAAGTACAGCTGCTGGAGTGGAGAGGGAAGCCAGGGCCAAATCACAAATGGCTTTATATGCCATTCTAAGGAGATAGAAATTCATCCTCTTGGTGGTGGAGAGTCATTGAAAGTTTACCATTAAGATGATGCTAGCCTCATAGAATGAGTTGGGAAGGAGTCCTTTCTGCTCAATTTTTTAGAATAGTTTCTGTAGGAATGGTACCAGCTCTTCTTTGCACATCTAATAGAATTCAGCTGTGAGTCCTTCAGGTCCTGGCCTTTTTTGGTTGGTAGGCTATTTATTACTGATTGAATTTCGGAGCTCATTATTGGTCTGTTCAGGGAATCAATTTCTTCCTTGCTCAGTCTTGGGAGGGTGTATGTGTCCAGGAATTTATTCATCTGTTTTAGGTTTTCTAGTCTGTATGTGTAGATGTGGTCATAGTAGTCTCTGGTGGTTGTTTTTTTATCTGTGAGGTCAGTAGTAACATTTCCTTTATCATTTCTAATTGTGTTTATTTGGATCTTCTCTCTTTTCTTCTTTATTAGTCTAGCTAGTGGTCTTTTTGTTGTTGTTGTTGTTGTTGTTGTTGTTGGTTTTTTTTGAGATGGAGTCTTGCTCTGTCGCCCAGGCTGGAGTGCAGTGGCACAATTTTGGCTCACTGCAAATCTCAGCTCACTGCAAGCTCTGCCTCCCGGGTTCATGCCATTCTCCTGCCTCAGCCTCCTGAGTAGCTGGGACTACAGGCGCCCGCCACCGCGCCCGGCTAATTTTTTTGTATTTTTAGTAGAGACGGGGTTTCACCATGTTACCCAGGATGGTCTCGATCTCCTGACCTCGTGATCCGCCTGTCTCGGCCTCTCAAAGTGCTGGTATTACAGGCATGAGGCACTGTGCCCGGCCTTTCTTATTTTTTTCCAAAAAACAAAAAAAAAAAACAAAAACAGAAAAACAAAACAAAAAGCAACTCTTGGAGTCATTGATCCTTTGAATGTTTTTTCATGTTTTGATTTCCTTCATTTCAGCTCTTATTTTTGTTATTTCTCATCTTCTGCTACCATTGGGGTTGATTTGTTCTTACTTCTCTAGTTCTTTCCATTGTGAAGTTAGGTTGTTAATTTTAGATCTTTCTAACTTTCTGATGTGGACATTTAGTGCTATGAATTTCCCTCTTAACATTGTCGTAGCTGTGTCCCAGAGATTCTGACATATTGTATCTTTGTTCTCATTATTTTCAAAGAACGTCATGATTTCGGTCTTAATTTCATTATTTACCCAATAGTCATTCAGGAGTATGTTGTTTAATTTCCATGTAATTGCATGGTTTTGAGCAATTTTCAGTCTTCTATTTTTATTGTGCTGTGGTCTGAGAGTGTGTTTGGTATGATTTCAGTTCTTTTACATTTGTTGAGAATTGTTTTATGTCCAACTATGTGGTTGATTTTAGAGTATGTGCCATCTGGCAATGAGAAGACTGTATATTTTGTTGGTTTTGGGTGGAGAGTTCTGTAAAGGTCTATCAAACCTATTTGACCCAATGTTGAGTTTAGGTGCCGAGTACCTTTGTTAATTTTCAGGCTTCATCATCTCACATTGTCAGTGGAGTGTTGAAGTCTCCCACCATTATTGTGTGGGAATCTATATCTGTTTGTGGGTCTCTAAGAACTTGCTTTATGAATCTGGGTGCTCCTGTGTTGGGTGCATATATATTTAGGATAGTTAGGTCTTTTGCTGAATTGGACTCTTTACCATTATGTAATGCCCTTCTTTGTCTTTTTTTATCGTTGTTGGTTTGAAATCCGTTTTGTCTGAAATTAGAATTGCTATGAATTTCCTATATCTAGAAAACCCCATAGTCTCAGCCCAGAAGCTCCTTCAGCTGATAAATAACTTCAGCAAAGTTTCAGGATACAAAATCAATGTATAAAAATCACTAGCATTCCTATACACCAACAACAGCCAAACCAAGATCCAAATCAGAAGGCAATCGTACTCAAAAATGTCACAAAAAGAATAAAATACCTAGGAATACAGCTAACAAGGGAGGTAAAAGATCTCTACAATGAGAATTACAAAATACTGCTCAAAGAAATCAGAGAAGACACAAACAAATGGAAAAACACTCCATGCTCATGTAAAGAAAAAATCAATATCATTAAAATGGCTATACTGCCCAAAATAATTAACAGATTCAATGCTATTCCTATCAAGCTACCAAAGACATTCTTCGGAGAACTAGAAGAAACTATTTTAAAATTCATATGGAATCAAAAAAGAGCCTGAATTGCCAAGGCAATCCTAAGCAAAAAGAACAAAGCTGGAGGTATCATGTTACCCGAATTCAAACTATACTACAAGGCTAGAGTAACCAAAACAGCATGTTACTGGTACAAAAACAGGCACGTAGACCAATGGAGCAGAATAGAGAGCCCAGGAATAAGGCCTCATATCTATGACCATCTGATCTTCAATAAAGCTAACAAAAATGAGCAATGGGGAAAAGACTCCCTATTTAATAAATGGTGCTGGGATAACTGGTTAGCCATTAGCAAAAAATGGAAGCTGGACTGCTTTCTTATACCATACACAAAAATGAACTCAAGAGGAATTAAAGACTTAAATGTAAAACCCAAAACTATAAAAATCCTGGAAGACAACCAAGGTAATACCATTCTGGACATAGAAACAAGCAAAGATTTCATGAAAAGCACACCAAAAGCAATCACAACAAAAGCAAAAATTGACAAGTGGGATCTAATTAAACTTAAGAGCTTCTGTACAGCAAAAGAAACTATCAACAGAGTAAACAGACAACCTACGGAATGGGAGAAAATATTTACAAACTATGCATCTGATAAACATCTGATATCTGGCATCTGTAAGGAACTTAAATTTGCAAGAGAAAAACAACCCCATTAAAAAAATGGGCAAACGGATATGAACAGGCACTTCTCAAAGGAGACATACATGTGGCCAAGAACCACATGAAAAAAAGCTCCATATCACTGATTATTAGAGAAATGCAAATCAAAACCACAATGAGATACCATCTCACACCAGTCAAAATGGCTATTACTAAAAAGTCAGAAAATAACAGATGCTGGTGAGGTTGCAAAGAAAAAGGAACATTTATACACTGTTAATGGGAGTGTAAATTAATTCAACCATTGTGGAAAGCAGTATGACGATTCCTCAAAGAGCTAAAAGCAGAACTACCATTCCACCCAGCAATCCCATTACTGGGTACACACCAAGAGAAATATAAATCACTGTCACATAAAGAAACATGCATGAAAATGTTCACTGCAGCACTATTCACAATAGCAAAGACGTAGAATCAGCATAAATGTCCATCAATGACAGATTGAATAAAGAAAATGTGGTACATATACACCGTGGAATACTATGCAGCCATAAAAAAGAATGAGATCATGTATTTTCCAGGAACACAGATGGAGTTGGAGGCTATTATCCTTACCAAACTAACTCAGGAACAGAAAACCAAATACTGCATGTTCTCACTTGTAAGTAGGAGCTAAATGATAAAAATTTATGAACACAAAGAAGGAAACGACAGTCACTGGGGTCTACTTGAGCAGCAAGGGTGGAAGACGGAGAGGAGCAGAAAAAGTAACTGTTGGGTACTGGGCTTAATACCTGAGTGATGAAACAATATGTACAACAAACCCCTGTGACATGTGTTTACCTATGTAACAAACCTTCACGTGTACCCCCAAACCTAAAATAAAAGTTTTGAAAAAGGAAGTTTATACATGAGACAGTCAGATTCATATTTTAGAAGGACTGGCATCAATGTGGAGAATGGATTTCATCATCCAGCGATTTCCCTTGAACCTGGCCCGTACTTTTGCTTCCCTTGCCTTACTTTCTGTGGTTCTGAGGAGCCCAGCTCCACACCTCTTTCCCATCAGTGTCCTCAAACAAAACTAGTGATCAGATTCAGTGACCAACTTAACAGAACCATATATCACGGGGATCAAGTTTGAGAATCTCTATTTATAAGTCACCTCCAAGTGATTCTGAGGCAGCTGGACTATGGACCAGTATTTGGGAAATAATATAGGTTGTCATTTGCATCACTAGCTTTCAGATGTGTTGATAAACATGAGCAGTGTGTTTGGCTTACTCAATTAGATTAAAGAGGACTGGAGTAGGTCTCACTCTAAATGTCTTCTTTCCACAGTTTCTACGACTCTACTCCCAAAGGCAGAAAAATCAGTCCTTTACTTGCACCCTTCAAGAACTTCCACTTGTTCTTTGAGTAACATGTCCAAACCTTAACATGACCTATAGTGTGCAGGATCTGGCTCCAACTTCTCTCAAGCCACCCTTTGCCTTGTACCCGTTATTAACAATATAAAGCCAGGTCAGGGGAGAGGGGGTGATGATACTATTTACTCCCAATGTCTACTTTCTCAGTTAAGTTAAGCATAGATATGGAATTGGGAAATTGTATAGAGCAATAAAAATCTGAAAAATTTCTAAGGAGAATAATATGTGATTTAGGATGAGAAAGGGGAATGATGATCAACCTCAATGACCCAGCTGAGTTGAAAATCATATATCAGTATCTACAGGAAAATTATGTCATTCCCTCCATAAGCTCAGAAGCCCATAGCAGAGAATATTGACAACTGTGTCAATCAGCTTGTGAATATTGGCAAAGCAGAAAGTCAAGGGTTAAGAGAATTAAGGATACTGGTGAAAGAAACAGAAAATTCCCAGGATGAGCCTAAAAAGAAGATTCTGCTAATTTGCTCTAAGAATTACAAAGGCCTAAAACATAAGTACCATTGTTTTGCTGCACTTAGACTGTTTGGTAATGGTTTACCATTTGATTTAGCTCTGGTCCCTGGCTTGCTTGTCACGGATTCTGAGTGGCACGCTACCCTAGAGCATGGCGAGTAACATACAACAGCTGTAAGATGCCAAGAGCAGAATAGGTGAAATAATTTTCCAGCACGCTAAATGAAACTACCAAGGTAAAGCTACAACAATGTATTAAATGTTTTATCAAAATTGTTTTCCTCTGAAATGAGAGCTGTGACCTGAAAATACTATTTTATGATGATAGCATATCCATGTAGTCTGTCTTCTTTACTTAAATTGATTATTTGCATTTCATGGAAGACTCAATACATATCAAGCACAAATGTGCTTCCCTGTGAAGGATGTTGAAGTGTTTTAAAGACAACAGCAGTTATATTTAGCATTCTGCTAATAAAAATTGAATTACATTTTTTGAATGATTTTAGATTATTTTTAATTAAACCAATGTCCAGCTAGTCAATTTTCAGGGTTATCATTTCCTTGTCCATTTCTTTTGCTGCTTCTCTTTCCAATATACATTCATATCAATCAAGACCCCAGGAGCAGCTGCAATGAACCAAGCCATGTTGAAAAGCAAAGACTAAAATTAGATTATCAATGACATTTACTTATATGTTAAAGGTTGAAATTTCAGGGCACAACATTTTCTCCTGAAAGGAGATACTTCCCATCACTGTAATGCAGACTTCTGTTATCAAATTACATCCATATTACATCATTGGGTAGTAAAACTGACCCAAAATAGAAAGTGAAACCAAATACCTTTTCTGCCAAGAGAAAGGCTAAAGAGAAAATTAAATAATGGACTTGTTTTCACAAGATTATTTTGACTAGTGTCTTCTTAATTAGAGGGAGATGTTTGTTCAAGAGAAGTAGTAGTACCAAAGAGGAAGTATAATGTAGCTGACATGAAGGCGGGGAAAGGAGTGTAGATTTTCTCCTACCCCCACCCCCACCAGAATACTCTATAATACTAATTATCAGGGAACAAGACAGTTTGGAATATGTGGGCATTGTTTCTTTTTCTTTTTTTTTTTTTTGTTTGAGTAGACAAATGCTTTATCTGAACAACCCCCAAAGCTAAATTATTTGTTTTCCTTGATGCACAGAATGCTGATTTCATCTTGTGATGGAAAAACAAAAAAAAAACCACCATTTTTGTCTAGGATGTTGTGAAAGACAATTTTTACAAATACTGATGCAGGCCAGCTGTCCTTTATGCCTTCTGTTTTCATGCACGCTTGCACAGTTTAGATACATACAAACGGATTTAAAGCACGTTTCCTGATATTTCACTCCATTTTTTTTTCAGAAAATCCACAGAATTTGTGCATGTCTCATCAGAGTGTGTGCATTATATAATCACTGAAAACATGTACATATTATATCACAAATAATTTGCAGACATATGTTGTATCCCTTTTCTTGCCATCCCTATCTGCATTACAAGGGGCACCTGGAAGGATAGCAACCCCATCCCAAAGCACCACTGCCCAGTCCAGTCGTTCATTCCCACTGCTTTTTCAGGAGTGTCTGTCGCTGTGCAGTGCGAACATCCACACGGGGATGCACTGCTCTGGGAAGCCATCCTGCTTCTCCTGGCCCAGCACCACCAGCCCACTCTTCCTTATTAGGCTCCGGAGGATGTCCATGTCCCGAGTCACACTGCTGTCAGAGAGATCAAGGATACAGCCCTCCCGGGCCACATTGTCCTTCAATATGATGATGCCATTTTCTTTCAGGCCATCTCGGCACCGGGAAAGAAATGCAAGAAGGTCCTTATCAGTCAGGTGCCCTACAAGGGAGACCAAGTGGATGGGGGAACAGGAAGAAATGGTGGGGAGGATGGAAGGTGAGTAGGGAAGAACATGGCTAAGAATCAGGAGACCATTTGTTCACTCATTCATGATTTAATAGCCTCATTTAGTTACAGGAGGCTTTGAAAATTTAGATAAGAGGACACATATCCTCTTAGAGAAGCCTCTGTCCCCGTCTATAAAATGTATTATCCTACCTAGCCTGTCGACCTCATAGGCATGAGATAAGTTATTGTCTACCCCACAAGTCCCTCCATGTCCCCTGGAGAACCCCCTCTATTACCACTTCTTTGTGTCTCACACACACACCCCAAAATCAAATTCACTGCTGTCTCATTTCCTGGGGATTTAAATCTAAGAATGTCTAGTTCTGCCAATAAATGGGGATTAACCTTTTTGACTGCACTTTTGAAATTTTTTCAAGTATTTACATTTCTTCGAGGATTTAGGTTGGTCCAAAGGCACTTGCTCCATTTAAGTTGGTTCGAGAACCAACGTAAATCCTCCAAGAAATGTAAATTTATTGTACAGAAAATGTCAAGGGAGAAATCTGGAGGATCAGAGTTTTGTGGGAGTTCACATGACACCTAAGGCTAGCTAACTGCTTGAAGTACTACAGCTAACTCTTCCCTGGTGCCCTCATTAGCCCCAAGGACTGTCTTCTCTGGCTGAGAAGGGGAGAAAAGCAGAGGGAAAGTCATGCAGGACTAACCAGAGACCCACTGAATCCAGATGACATCATATCTCCTGAAGGGGGGTGTGAATTCCTGCAGGCTGTAGCAGTGGTAGCTTTCTACTTTGTCACCTTTGACCTGCAGGTAGTTCTGGGCTTCAAGGAGAAAGGATTCCATCATATCCACCAGCTCCACACTGTTGAAAACAGGCAATAAGACGTGTTTGCTGACCCTTCCTATCCCGGAGCCGCAGTCCAAGGCGCAGTCTGTTCCAGCTCTCCCAGGCCCCTGCAGAAAGGCACCTTGATATTTCAAGTACAGAGACCCATCCTTGAAAATTGCACACCCAGGCCGGGCGCGGTGGCTCACGCTTGTAATCCCAGCACTTTGGGAGGCCGAGGCGGGCGGATCACGAGGTCAAGAGATCGAGACCATCCTGGCTAACACGGTGAAACCCCGTCTCTACTAAAAATACAAAAAAAATTAGCCGGGCGTGATGGTGGGCGCCTGTAGTCCCAGCTACTCGGGAGGCTGAGGCAGGAGAATGGCGTGAACCCTGGAAGCGGAGCTTGCAGTGAGCCGAGATTGCGCCACTGCACTCCCGCCTGGGCCACAGAGCGAGACTCCGTCTCAAAAAAAAAAAAAAAAAGAAAAAAAAAAAAAAGAAAGAAAATTGCACACCCTAGTTACCTCTTTAAATCAACTTTATTAGGTAAATTTTATGAAATGAAATGTACCATTTCTTGTGTACAATTTGATGATTTTGGACAAATGTGAATAGCCATGCACCTACTACCACAATCAAGATATACAATTATCTTTTCAAAAAACAGCTAAACATTTCTAGTCCTGCTTTCTTTATTTATCCAAAAAAAGAATTATAAATGAGATTTAAAAAAATAATATCTTAGGTTTAAACACTTGGTAATTTTCTCCAAAAAAAAAAAAAATGAGCCATTGCTAGCCCTATGAAGATAAAACTTTAATGACTAAATTTGAGACAAATCCACAGGTAAATGGTTCTACACTACAGATTGTTGCCTACAGATTATTACACTACAGAAAAGCAAAAAAGAACCAAACAGTGAGAACCTTTCTGAGTTTTAAAATTAAAGATTCATTCAATGGAAACATTTCAGTTTGGAATACTTGAATTTTATCTTTTCTAGGCAAATTTTGAAGGCTCTGAATTATCTACTCCTCTTAGGTGGATGGTAAGTTTGGGAACCTGAGGTGAACAATGCTAACTGTTCCATTCTCAGGCCAGAATTTTATTTCAAATACAGCCCTGATGGCACACAGCAAGTTCACATGGATAAAGGGTAGTTTTGGCAAAGTTTCCTTGTGTCTTTTAATGCTAAACATTGTTTTCTGGGTTTTTTTGGTACCAGAAACTACATGATTTATTGGGCATAAAACTCTAAAACTGTTTTTTTAAGTAGGTCTGTGCATTAAATTAACTGGGAGTGAGGGGATGGCAAGGTGGTGGAGGTAGGGAGAAATCAGCCTACGCAAACTTTCTCAAACTTGCTTCCATAAAATTTAAAAAACTTTTCTGATTTATGAAGATTCAGATGGTCTAAATTATTTGGTCATAATTGGGATGGCTGCTGAAGCGGTTTTGTGCTAGAAATTACAGTAACAAGATACTTGAAGTTGCCAATCAAGATCTTAAGGGAAAAGCCTACTCTTGATTTCTCAGGAACTAAGAATAAAAAAAAAATTGGCTAAGGATCAAAGGTAAAATACAAACAGAGGGAAACATCAGAAAAGCAGCTTTCCAGTCCACCCAAATGGCCTTCGTTATGCTAGAAAAGTACAATGAAGAACAAAAAGTGAAGGAATTGTAACTTCTTTCCAAATGGAATAATAATAGCCACAATTATTATTTATACACAGCAAGCTCTTAGCTATAGTAATTATAATAAGAAAACTCCACAATATAGATTATTATCCTCATTTTGGAGATGAGAAAACTCAGATTTCTAATATTTCATAGCTAATGGCAGAATTAGAATTTGAACAGGAACGGTCTGAATCCAAAGCCAGTTCTCCATTAGGGATGTCACCTCTGATTCCCTTGGTAATATCTGTCTAATGCTATGTTAAAAAGAATTATAAGGCTTCATTTAGACTCAGCAGAAAAGAGATCTATGATTGATTAGTGATGTCTGCCTCAAGCATGAGAAGGGGAAGTGGTAATATACTGCCATGTGTTTGCCATTTTTACTTACACTATGCCACATGTCACATTCAAATATAATTTAGACTAAACTAATTCAGAAAAAGGCCTAGGCATGAATGCTGTGAAAGAAGCATCTTCTAAGTAAATTCATAACAAAAAGATGAGCAGTATATGGAGAAATTATGTCATTATTAGAAATGACTACTAAAATGTGTATGCTCAATAAGAGCGTCTCATTTCAAATTTTTCTTTTTATTACTTGGCCTTAAAAGCCTCTATTGGTCATGCTGCTCTCATTAGTGTAGTAAGTGGTTTCAGAAGTAGAATCCTGGAACAATAAAGCACCATGAACTTTATTGGACACCATGGCTGCCTGAAACTGTGATTTTATTAAAATCTGATGCCCTTGAATGAATATGACTAGAACTACATGCGATGTGTGATTTCAAAACAAGACGGTCTTTTTTTTTTTTTTTTTTTTTTGAGATAGAGTCTCATTCTGTCACCCAGCCTGGAGTGCAGTGGCACGATCTCAGCTCACTGCAACCTCCACCTCCCGGGTTCAAGTGATTCTCCTGCCTCAGCATCCCGAGTAGCTCAGATTACAGGTGTGCACTATCACACACCACTGATTTTTGTATTTTTAGTAGAAATGGGGTTTTACCATGTTGGCCAGCCTGGTCTGGAACTCCTGACCTCAGGTGAGCCACCCGCCTCAGCGTCCCAAAGTGATGGGATTACAGGTGTGAACCCATTTGGTTATTTTGATTTTCATTTATTATGCCATGTTTATACTTATGAATCCATATAAACTAGTAAAACACTATTAGGAATTTCAGTTTAGTTTTGATTCTGCCTATGTATTTTGTTTTGAAGAACATTATTTTAGGTTTATCCAGTGGAGTTAAAAAACTAAAATGAAAGGACCTCATGTCACTGTGTAAAAACTATAAAATATAACAAGTTAGTAGACCCAGATTTTTTAGCTATCCAATCTTTGAGAAATGTCAAAAAATAAATACTGTCAAAAAAATACTGAGGGGTTTTTATGAATTACTACTTTCTCCCACTAGAAAGCTAAAACAGGAAAGTTATCAACTATGGCATTGACATCATCTTGGTATCATTTGTTTATTTGCTAAAGTAAATACATTTGCAACTAGTTTAAACACCTTTTCCCACTGTCTCATGTCATTAAGTGTTGAAAGGAAAACAAAACTTTAAATTAAACAATCTTCTTTTCGCAGTTGACACAAGAATAAGTCATGTCAGATACTCGTATTCCCTAACTCTTTGTATCTTGACCTGAATACTAATCTAGTAGATTACAGTATGAAGGTCAAAGTACCAAAATATCAGTCCTTAAAAAGGACTGCATTTGTACTTAGAAGTCACAGCTTTACAATGAGCCTTGTGTACTAAGAAGGACTCCTTATATTTGTTTCAAAGGAGCAGGCTGCCTCTTTTCCAACATAAATATGCTAGCGCAAGGCTGTTTCCTTTCCCAGGTCTGTGGGCGTGCTTATGGGCTCTGTCTGACCAGCATCCCTGTGGTCAGCTTGGCATTCCACACGGAGTGACAAGACAGCTGGATTACTAACTAAGCTTCTGAAATACTTTGGGATCAAAGTCGGCCTCACCACGAGGCAAGCAGGAGGGATTGCTTTCAGCCAGACTGGAGGAGAGTCGAGGTCTATGGTCCACCAAAAAAGTAAATAAATAAATAAATAAATAAATAAATAAATAAAGCAGGGATTTTTTCAGTTTCATGAGACAAATGGAAAAAATATGTCATGGTTAAGAGCAGAGAGTTTGGTGTCAGGCAGACCTGGCTGGGCTTAATTCACTGTTCTGTCTCTTACCAGCTGTGTAATCTTGACAACTTATTTAACCTCTTCAAGCCTCAGTTTCCACAACTATAGAAACAGAGCTAATAATAGCACTTACCTCCAAGAATTGGCATGAAGAGTAAATGAGACAACGCTTCTAAAGCGCTTAGCAGATTGACTCTCTCAGAACCAGCATTCAGTGAAACCAGTCAGCAGCACTGATTTAGAAATACTCCAAGTTAACCTAACCTATAAATATCCACAGTCTTCATTCCTAGACTCTCTAGTCCTTTATGGCTGAAGCTGATGTCCAGACACTTTGGCCCCAGTAAATACATCATCCTGATCACATTTTTATCTACTGTCACTCTCTGGACTCACACACTGGGTGCTCCAGGAAGATTGGATTTGAAGTGAACCTCACCTCAATACTAGAGATATTAATGTTTTGCTACTAAATCGGTTGATGGCCTAACCCCACGGCCTAATGTTTATGTTTCCTTTATCAGAATAAAATGGGCACCAAATCTCAAACCAATGACTTTGTAATGTATTGGAACAAAACCTGTTACCAATTAGAACTTTTCATCTTTAATAGAACTAACAGCAGCTTTATCTTGGGGTTTAAGTCTTTTCTGTTGTTGCTTTGCTTTGCTTTGTTTGTTTGTTTGTGTGTTCGTTTGTTTGAGATGGAGTCTCGCTGTGCCACCCAGGCTGGAATGCACTGGCACGGTCTCAGCTCACTGCAATCTCCGCCTCCTGGGTTCAAGCGATTCTTCTGCCTCAGCCTCCCCAGTAGCTGGGACTACAGGCGCGCAACACCACGCCCGGCTAATTTTTGTATTTTTAGTAGAGACAGGGTTTCACCATATTGGCCAGGCTGGTCTCAAACTCTGACCTCGTGATTCACCCACCTCAGCCTCATAAAGTGCTGGGATTACAGGCATGAGCCACCATACCCAGCCTTTCTTGGGGATTAAGTCTTTTCTAACAACTAAATGAAGTTCCTTAAAATACAATGAATACATTATATGAAAGCCTGTTAGTAGTAGTAATAGCAATAAATTAGATTTATTGGGTACTAATTTTGTGCACTAAAGCAGGTACCTGACATGTATTATCTCATTAGATCTCCACATTATCCTGTGAAGTAGCTTCTATTGTCATGCCCTAGTCACAAGAGAGAAAACTGACACTTGGTGCATTTAAGTAACAAGCTCAAAGTTGCTTATACATTAAGCAGAAGAACCACGATAGACATAAAGGCCAAAATTTTGACCCCTACAATATACTGTCTGTCTTCATATGACATGACAGTAAGGAAGTAATAGGGGTTGACCCAATGCAGGACTACAAAAGGATACCATTCTTTCAAGGTAAAATCAAAACTATGTATAAAATAGTATAAAAATATTCTACCTTCATTGTTTTTAAACTGAACATAATCATGTATTTCCTTCTAACTTTTTTTTTTTTTTTAGACGGAGTCTCACCTGTCACCCAGGCTGGAGTGCAGTGGCGTGATCTCGGCTCACTGCAAGCTCTGCCTCCCAGGTTCACGCCATTCTCCTGCCTCAGCCTCCCAAGTAGCTGGGACTACAGGCGCCCGCCACCACGCCCAGCTAATTTTTTGTATTTTTAGTAGAGACAGGGTTTGACTGTGTTAGCCAGGCCAACATCTCATTTTTATTACAGGGAATCAATAAGTCAACCCAAGATCCCAAAAGGCATGATCTGTCATCAATCATTTGGGTATGAAACGTTTATGAGACTCTAAAAGAGATGTCTTCTTTATTCCCAAATTTTATATCAACACTGCTAATTCACCTTCCTCTGAAGCATGTAAGATTAGTTGGTGATAGGACAGTGAAATGCCAAGTGGGAGGGTAAGACAGTGTTATTATATTTATCATATCAAAAATGGTTCATCCTTTCTGAACATCTTAAAACCGGCTTGCAGGCGGCAGAACTCTTGGCTGGGTCATATGGCTTAGTCGTGACTTAAATAACAACACAGAGGCATGCGAGCTCAATGTTTGCAAGGACTTTGCCTTCTCATCAAGCTGCAGTTGAATAACTCACCCCAACAAATTTCCTAAGAAATTTCTGAGAGGCCTGGATGTCTGGGCTGGACAGTTCAATGAAATTTCCCATCATACCCTCTTCTGTGGCTGGTACTTCTTGGTAGAAAAGTTTAGCTCTGGCATAGAACTGCATCTCACCATTGATGACTTGGCTTGTTAAAGCGTACAATTTCACTGCAAATGAAACATTATTAATAGGTATTAATATTTATAAGATAAAAAAATCTCAGCTTTATGCATTGCATTTCCTTTTAAAAGCCTGTGAATCTGTGCTGTGGCAAAAAGAGCACTGGTTTGAAGTCAAAAGATTTGGGTTTGAGTTTTGGCTCCATGACTTATGCACTATGTAATGCTGGGAAAACATCTTAACTCCTCTGATCTTCAGAGATCGCATCTATGGATTATAATAATCGTGGCATTTTCATGACTTAATAACTCTATAGTTGAATAAACCCATAGCTATATCACTGTATTAAAATTTTTAACAGTGTTAGCTACAATAATGTAAAGAATGTCATCAATTTTGCAGTGAGTTCTATCTCTGAACTCCAAATGTTTTCTGAGAATTTTCTCATTAAGCTTATAATAAAGTTTAATGAAAAAATTACTTCTAATCGCAAGGTAGGGGTAACTGTTTTTATATCTTTTTCAAGCAACACATATCCAAATATGTCTTCATATCAATATTACAGAAATGTGCTTGAACTCTACATTGTGAAAATAAAATAATAAAGGAAACATAATATTTATTGTGCAGCCATTCTGTCCTAGGTAGTGTGCCAGGCACATTCACATATACTTTGTCATTTCATTATTTTCAAAAATGTATAAGAAAAATATGTGTTCCAACTTCTGAGGAATAAATGAGAGTACACGTAAGTGTGTTTTGCAGCTAAAATTCACCCATGCAGATATAAAATATTTTCATCATAAGACATTCATGATAAAATGATAGACAGTAGATTAAAGGATGGAACTTCTGGTTCAAGATTGTAGGCTGAGTACATGCATTTGTCTTCTCTCCCTCCCAATATTCCCTGAGAATTATCTTAAAACACTAAACCCATAATAGTGAGGAAAATGAGAGGGTATCACTGACAGATTCATGATTCCAATAAATTTCTGGACAACAAAAAGCAGACGGAACAAAGCTAAAGAATTTGCAGGCCAAAATATTTGCAAGAGTAAATTACATTCCAGACTTAGAATCAGCAGGAAGGCAAATGTACGAATGAGAATGGAAACCAAAAAAAAAAAAAAAAAAAAAAAACCAGAGCATAAATCAAAACTCTGTCCAGAGAACAACCAGGTAAGAGGGCAAGTGCACCCTCCTAAAAGCAGCAGACAGCACAGCTGTAATCCTAGAAAGGGAAAATGTGTCTGTTGTCTTAAAAAAGAATAAATAGACAAATTGCCTAGGAAGAGCTAGACCAGTTAGCATTAAAATGTTAGAACACTACTCATTTTCACATATATAAGACTCCAAGTACTGTCACTTACTCCCACTCATCAGAATCTGGTAAAATCTACCTGCACATGTAGGGCTTCTTGTCTTCCTTTCTATTTAGGGGACAAGTACAAAACAAAGGAAACCTTATCTATTGCCTAGAATTATTTACCTTGTTTTTTATTCCTAAATGTGGATAAATGATCTCCAAACACATAAGAAGCCTGAAAAACAAAGACTGAGATAAATAATCAGAACTGACCTCAAAGAAAACAAAAATAATTCAGGAAATGGATGAGAATTTAAGCCAAAACAAACGAAAAACTCATAAATCTTTGAAGAGATATGAGAACAGGCACATCCATAAATTAAAGATAAGATTCCAAGAAAATTATAATTAAAAGAACAATAAAGAATTCTTATAAATTAAAGTTTTGATGACCAAATCTTTAAGATACAAAGTTGAGTAAATTTCCAGGACATAAAACAAAAAGATAGATATGCAAAACAGAAATAAGAAGACTAGACTTATATAAGCAATTCAGAAGGCCCAAGATCAAGCTAATTAGAATTCTAGAAAACTAATAAAATGAAGGGAAGAAAATTATTAAAGAAAGTAATAGAAGAAAATTCCCTGGAGCTGAAAGAGACTGTAAGATCTAACAGTGCTGAGATGCATAGATTTTTTTTTAAAGCCACATTTGAGCACATCTGTAAGAAATTTCAAAACAGAAAGAGTAGTAAGAAGATCTAAAAGTCATTTAGAGAAGGAAGAGTGGTTGACCTTCAAATAGGATTGCCAGATTTAGGGAAAAAAAATACACAACACACATATTTGAACTTCAGACAAATAATGAATAATTTATTGGTATGAGTATGCCTGAAATATTGCACATTCCAGGGTAAATACTTACACTAAAAATTATTTGTCAATTATGTTAAAATTAAACTTAGCTGGCATCATATATTTTATTTGGCAACTCTATGTTCAAAAGACTAGAATCAGGCTTCTATCACAGATCTCATCAGAAACACTAGAAAACAATGGCACAGTGCCACCAATATTCTGAGATCAAATTTTTGGAAACTAAACTTCATATCCAGTCAAATTATTATAGAATATTTACCTCCTATAGATTCATTCTTCAGAAGTTTCTTGAAGCTATATTCCAGCCCAATGAGGGTTACAATCAAGAGAAGATGCACGATGAAAGATGACGTAATTAACCAGGAATCCAATGAAAAGAAATCCCAAAATGACAGATATGTATCAGATCTGGAAAGAAATCAGTTTATATTACAAGACAAAACATAGACTTCAAAAATAATATCTTTAAGTAGAATAAGCTAGATCCAAGGCAATAGAGTAGTCAAGAAGCAAGGAGATATTAGAAATATTCTAAGGAGGACATACTTTTAATCTAAACCACCAAAAATAAAACATAATTGAAAGCTCCAAGAAAAATATACAGTGATTCAAAAATGTTATGATCAGGGCATGAAGCAAGCCAAAATATGACATAAATTTGAGCAGAAGAAATCAAAGAGAAAAATACCTATTTCACTTTAACTAAGAGCATTTTTCTTCAGATAACCCCAAGACTGAGACATTGGATAGTATTCAGAAATGAACAATTACATAATTCCAAATTTTGATTCTGAGAGTTAAAAATCCAAAAAATACAACTTGTATTACTATGACTATGTTCCATCTATGGAGTTACATCAGCATTTTCCAACTTGGAGACATTGGAGCCAGTGTTTGTACCCTGAATCACCATGAATTTGCTGAAAGGGATAATGAGAACAAGAATCAGTTTCTATGTAGCACATCATTTTCTGGAGGCCACCAATATTATTTATATCCTCCATACATGTTAACTATTATACATAGATTGTTATTTTAAAAATATAAATCTTTTAAAAGTTTAAATAAATACATAGAAGCTTTTTTGCTATTTTACATACAAATTAGCTACTGATTGAGAAAATACAACATTAAAAGGATGGTCCTTATGTTCAAAAACATTGAGAACCATGGATCAACACCAATCTCCCTTCCCTAGCACTTGGTAAAGGGTATACGCAGCAAGTGACTTAATAAGTGCTTATAAATTCAACAGGGATGACAGAAACCAGCCATCACCAATAATATGACTGTTCCAAATTCTTTCGATGTCTCAGAAAATCAGGCTAGGAACTCACAGCTCACAGGCTGCCCAGGGTTGGATGCTACTCTGGGATTATTGGCAAGCCATAGCCCAGGGCTCTCTTGATCCAACCAAAGCAGCAAAGCAGCCACACTCATCATCACCTGCTTAAGTCAACTGGTTTGTGCAGTCTATTAAAACCCTTAATCTAGAAATAGGAATGGTCCATTATGCCAGCAACATTTAGACCACAAGTGAATGCCAATCTCAGCAGGCGTCAGACTCAATAGGTGGGCTTTTATGGTTATAGGCTTGAGTTCTCATTTTCACCTAATTGACAGCAGCATTTCACTAAAAAAAAAAAAGATATATGAGGTGTCATGTTCGGCCCCAGGTTCTCCCCTCCTGAAAGCTTCTGCAATTGTGCATATTGACTCAGATAAGTAAACCAGTCACCAGCACATGGCTTTTTACTATAGAAATATATATACTGGCAAATTAAAGAATTGCAATGTCTCTGTGAAACTTGGGGTAGTTCAAGACAAAAACTAGACACTATTTGTTTTTTATTTAATGTAATATTTATTTATTGATCTACATTATTAGTTGAATTCCCAAGGACCTTCCACTGTTTACTTGTGGTGAAAAGAAAAATAGAGTACAAGTTTGTTTACTCTGAAGGAGAATAAAGATGAAATTTCTAGGAAAGGTTAATATCCAAGAGAATTTACATCAAAAGACAGTTCATTCATGATTCAGTTATTAAGCCCCAGTACAACATTCAGGAAATAAACATAAAGCTCAATCTCTCTCATGGAGATTACACTCTAGCATGGAGGAGTTAAGTCATATGGCTGCATGTCCAAAGAATAGTACAAAAAAATGCGCTGGGCATGCAGCAGATGCCTGCAAGTAGCAGCAAGAAGACTCCATAAGACCTTAACCATGAAGGATACTTTTTATTTGGGTTAGCAAAAAAATGAGCAGGAAAGAAATGTCACATGGCATGAATTATCTGGATAAAACTCAGAATTTTCAAATGCCTCCTTGAGAAACTCTTTTGCAGGTAGCAAAAGAATTTTGTGGCTTAAGGTCTCAACTTCTGACTCTAAGAAGCAAATAAGTCAGTTTACCTTGAGGCAATGCACCATTTGATGACTTTTGCTGTCTTTCAATATAAAAATTTGGAGAAAAACAGAATACTCACTCAAAATCTTAATCTGGACCTGAAAGGAAATATTGATCTAGTATCAGAGACAGGGACAACAAGTCGAGACAATATTATCCAAGTTGGCAATAAAATGAAGACTTTCTGACAAACAGGAAGTTTTGTTGATAGCTAAGTGCTTACCTCTGCTGAGTATCCTCTTTTCTTTCTTCTTTTTTCAAGTGGTTGAATATACCTATTTTAAAATGCCTCTTTATTCCAGCTATTAGACCTGTTTGTCAATTAAAAAATGATCTAAAATTCTTCAGAAGACAAGTAAGCTAGGTTTAGACAGTAATTTTTAAATGAGTTGAGTCTGATAATATTTGATCAAGTTAGCCCTTTGTAACAGAAAAAAAAAGCCCAATTAGGAGATGCCCCTATGAAAGGTAAGACCTTCCATAAAAGAGATTTGCAGATAAGTACTTCTCAATTTAGCCATTAAAGAAGTAATGGTAAAATAGGAAAAAAGGAAGGAAGAGAGGAGGGAAGAGAGGGAAGAAAGGAAAGGAAAAAAGAGAGAGGAAGGAAAAAGTTGGAGTAAGACATTCCTGGATTTGTTTGCCAGCTCTGACACTAATTAGTTTTATGATCTTGAATAGGTTACATAACTCATGTTAGCCTCAGCTTCTTCCTCTATAAAGAGGTAATGATACCTGTGTTAGGCTGTTCTTGTGTTACTATAAAGAAACACCTGAGACTGAGTAATTTATAAAGAAAAGAGGTATTTAATTGGCTTACAGTTCTGCAGACTGTACAAGAAGCATGGCGCTGGCATCTGCTAAGCTTCTGAGGAGGTCTTAGGGAGTTTTTACCATGGCAGAAAGTGAAGCCAGAGCAGGCATGTCACATGGCAGAGCAGGAGCAAGGGGAGGGGTGGGGTGTCACACACTTTTAAACAACCAGATCTCATAAGAACTCAGTCACAAAGAGGACAGCACCAAGCCATGAGGGACCTGTCCCTATGACCCAAACACCTCCCACCAGGCCCCACTTCTAACATTGGGGATTATATTTTAACATGAGATTTGGATGGGACAAATATCCAAACCATATGATTCTGCCCTGGCCCTCCAAATCTCTTGTCCTTCTCACATTTCAAATTCCCTTCTCAATAGTCCCCCAAAGTCTTAACTCATTCCAGCATTAACTCAGAAGTCCCAAGTCTCAAGTCACAAGTCTCATCTGGAGATGAGTTCCTCCACCTACAACCCCATAAAATCAAAACAAGTTATTTATTTCCATGATACAATGGGGATACAGGTATTGGGTAAACATTCCCATTCCAAAAGGGAGAAATAGGCCAAAGGAAAGGGGTTAAAGGTCCCTCACAAGCTTGAACCCCAGCCAGCAGGGCAGTCCTTAAGTCTTAAAGCTCCAAAATAATCCTTGACTCCATGCCCCGCATTTGGGCACACTGAGGTGTGGACTTCCAAGGTCTTGGGCAGCTCCCCTCCTGGGCTAGTCCATACTGAGGTTGTAAACTGCAGGTGGGTCTGCCATTCCCAGGTCTGGAGGCAGTTGACCCCCTTCTGATAGCTCCACTAGGCAGTGCCCCCAGTGGGGACTCTGTGTGGGACTTCACCCCACATTTCTCCTCCACACTAGTAAAGGTTATCTCAGTGTGGGGGGCTCCACCTTTGCAACAGGCTTCTGCTTGGGTGCCCAGGATTGCCCATACATTCTCTGAAATCCAGATGCTTGGCAGCCTCCACTACTCTTGCACTCTGTGAACCCACAGGCTTAACACCATGTGGAAGCCAACAGACTTACAACTTCTGCCCTTCAGAGCAGATGCCTCAGCTGTACCTGGGTCCCTTTGAGCCACAGCTAGAGCTGGAGTGGGATATGGAGAACAGTGCTCTGAGGCTACACAGGGTAGCAGGGCCCTGGGCCTGGTCCCCTGAAACCAGTTTTCCTACACTACTGGGTCTGTGATGAGAGGGGCTGTCTCTTAGATCTCTGAAATGCCTTCCAGACCTTTTCCCCATCATCTTGGCTATTAGCACCTGGCTCACTTTTAGTCATGCAAATCTCTCTAGCAAGTGGTTGTTTCACAATCTACTTTAATTCTTACTCTGAAAAAGCTTTCTTTGCCACATGGCTAGGCTGCAAATTTTCAACTTTTATGCTGTGCTTCACCTTTAAATATAACTTCCAACTTTAAGTCATTTCTCGCTTCCAAATCCTGGTTAAGCTGTTAGAAGCAGCCAGGCCACATCTTGCATGTTTTGCTGTTTAGAAATTTATTCCACCAGATATGCTAAGTCATCACTCTTAAGTTCAATCTTCCAGAGATCCCTAGGACATGGATACAATGCAACTAAGCTCTTTGCTAAAGCATAACAAGGGTGATCTTTGCTCCACCTCCCAATAAGTTTCTTATTTCCATCTGAGATCTCAGCATTCTGGCCTCACTGTCCTTGTCACTATCAGCATTTTGGTCACAATGATTTAACAGCTCTTAGAAGTTCCAAACTTTTCCTCATCATCTTGTCTTCTGAGCCCTCCAAATTCTTCCAACCTCTTCCCATTACCCAGTTCCAAAGTCAATTCCACATTTTCAAGTATCAGATGCTTCCACATGTCAGGCATTTCAGGAGCAACGCTCTACTCATCAGTACCAATTGTCTATGTTAGGCCATTCTTGCATTGCTATAAAGAAATACCTGAGACTGCTTAATTTATAAAACAAAGAGATTTAATTGACTAATAGTTCTGTACGCTGTAAAAGAAGCATGGCACTGGCATCTGCTCAGCTTCTGGGGAGGCCTTAGGGAGCTTTTACTCATAGCTAAAAGTGAAGCAGGAAAAAGCACATCACATGGCAAGAGTGGGAGTAAAAGGTGGGGTGAAGTGCCACACAATTTTAAACAACCAGCTCTCATGAGAACTCACTCATTATTTTAAGGACAACACCAAGGCATGAGGGATCCATCTTCATGACCCAAACACCTCCTACCTGGCCCCACCTCCAACACTGGGGATTACATTTCAACATGAGATTTGGATGAGACAAATATCCCAAATATATCAAAACCTATCATACAACTTGTTGAGATTATTAAATGAGATAATGCATGTGAAAACACCTAGTATGGTGTTTGGTTTAGAGTAGAAGCTCAATAAATGTTACCCTCCTCATTATATTTTTCATCAACAATGGTGGTGGGGGGGGGATTTATCAGTGTTTCTGGTGAAATCCAAGGTTTAAATGTGCCAGGATACTAGAAAGCTGTCATTACCAAGTCTCTGGATTGCCCAGAGGAACCCTCTAGGTTTTATTTGCTCCCTATAGGCTTTAGGTGTCTGATGTTTCTTATCTCTAAAATAGGGCGCTGCCTATTCTGAAAGTTGTGTGGGGCTTTTTTCTTTTCAACTGAGGGCTAGTTTAGTGTTTCCTGACTTCTAAATTGGGGAAAGACAATCTACTTTCTCAAATTCAGCAAGAGATCTATCCCCTACCTACTCGCTGAGTGTCTTCCTAACTCTCTTCTTTCTTGAACTCTCTATCTGACCTACTATCAAATCTGAGAAGGCCAGAAGTCAAGGGGAGATACTGAAGACAGATTTTTCATGATGAGATTTGACTCAGCAGTCCCCATGCTTCCTTTGCACCTCTGTAGAATTTTATAGTGGTCTCTACCACTTTAATACCACATTTTTAAAAAGTATTTGTGTACGTCTCTCTCCTACACTAAACTCTTCAGGATAAGGCTATATTTTATTTTTTTGTAATCCTAGCACTTAATGTTATGCTAACTTCTTGATGGGCCTTCTTTGAATGTTCATTGAATAAAAGCTAGCTTTTTGTTCTTTAAATAATATATGGGTACAAGAAAGAGCTGAATGGTTATAGGGATTAACCGACATAAGCACACATAAGTCATACCTTTGGTATCATTTATGAAATACCTGTCCTCCCAATTAGGCATACTCAAATAATTAAAAAATAGTAACTATAGATGATCAAACATGTTTATATGTAATACTTATGCAAAACATTTATATCGAACTGACTATGTGAGATAAACATTATATATCCATTCTACAGAAGAAGAAACCAAGGCATTAAGAGATTAACTAAATTTCCCAAGGTTAAGCAGCTAGAGAGTGATAGATCTGGGACTTGAACCTAGGTCTATTTAAGTAGAAAACCTATAGATCATCCCTCTCATACTCTGCACCTAAAAATATGTCTGCTAAATAAAAAAGAAAATTATATTTTCTTCATTGCTTGAAAGAGAAAAATGGTCTTGCAGCATTTGTATTGCACAGGTAATGATAAACATTTGAAAATGTATCATTGTACAATGAGTTGTGCAGCAATGCCTACCACAGGAATGAAATAAATTTTTAAAATACCAATAGCTGTATGGTGAGTTTTATTCTGGAAGTTCCAAGTGCTTTTTAGGAAATGTTGTTATTAACTCTGGCTTTTAACTTTGATGGCAAAGGGGTAGCTAAACAATCTATGTCTTTGCCATCAAAGTTAAAAGCCATAGTTAATTTCCTCCTCAGAGACTGATTCTTCTGAAAAGGGATCAACGCAAGAGAGGATACCTCCTATGTGCCAGGTATTATGCTAGGTACTTTCAAGTCACCTCTTCACATTGTCTCTTTTAACTATCACAATGATTATATAAGACTAGAATTATAATCGTCATTTTATAGATGAGTAAGAGAATCAGAGAGACTTGGTAACTTAATATCACATAGAAAAGAAACGTCATAACCAGGTCCTAGCACATGCCTATTCAAATGCAAAGCTTCTGGTCTTTCTGTTAAACCACACAGAACCATTGTTCTACACATGAAGTTGGGCTAAGCCTTTAACAATGTCTAGGAGTAATAGACTTTTGCTCAATAATATAATTAATGAATATTCATTGACTTCTATGTGTTCAGAAATGTGGATAGCACTGGAAGAATCATTGAGTGTTAAGTTATTCCTCAATGATTGTTACTAAACATGGAGATGTTGTCCCAACATCTCCAGTTGAGCCCTTTGAGCACTGGTATACACACTGGAGATTTCCACTGACTTGTTTTCCCATTCTATTTCCTATTTGTTCATGAATAGCCATTTTTTGAAAATTTGTTCACACCAAGCTTCTAACAGAAATTTGGTTGGCATAACTAGATTATTTAAACCTATTTACTGGCCTGCCTATCTTGATTATCTCAACAGAAAGCGAATGCTCTTCATAGGCTATGTTTGTTCCCTATTCCTGTTAAATCATAAAATATGGTAAAACTTATATTGCTGCCCACATTAGTTAAGTTTTCATTTACATTGTATTATGTAGTGGTTTAAAAAAGATCATGGAGTTAGATCACCTGGGTTCTAATCCTGCTACTCCACTCACCACCACAAGATCTTTGGCAAGTTACTTAACTCATCTAGGTGTCAGTTCTTCAAATATAATATGGGGAAAATAACAGCACACCTAATAGAGATGTTATAAAAATGAACTGAGATAATATATGCAAAACACTGAGAACAATGATAGGCTTGTTCTCACTTCTTTCTGAAGATCAGTTATGTTCAACAGCATAGCTGAGTCTTCCATTGGAGATTTTTAGTATGTATGTCTTTGCTATTCCATGAATCTCTGAAGCTTGCCAGGGATGTTTCAGCAAATTTCCCCATGACTGAATGTCACCACATATCGTGCTGGAGTGAGACTGCTGCCTAATCTAGGCAGTTGGAGGGAGGAAGGAAGGAAAGAAGGAATCAAAGAGTCTGGTTAGCCACCGTTCTTTCCATATAATTACCCCAAACAACAAACTCTCTGTGCAGACCCTACAGGAGAAGTTCCTAGCCTTTTTGAAAGAAGGACTTTATTTTCATTTCTATGAAGTCTTGAAATTATCAAGAGTAGAGGAAGCTGACTCTAAAACACCTCAGCAGAGCTGGAGAGGAAGCATCTCTTCTGGCTAAGTTTTATTTCCAAACTGAAAAACATAATTAATACTCACTGCAGCCTGAAAACTCTCATATTTTGAATTAAGTTTATCGTTTTTGGTAATGCCTGTTCTAGAGAAAGCTACATGGTGACTTTAAAAGAGGCCTGGCTCAGAGGAAGGAAATAAAGAAACTAATATTTACTGAGGAGGACTATTTCACATATATACCAACATTTAATCCTTCAATCAACTCTGCTGTAGTTTTAAGAAAAATTATACTCAGAGGCTTTAGTAACTTGCAGAGGTTAGTTTTCTAGTAGTAGCAGTGCAAAAATTTAAACTCAGAACTTTGCTGATCTGCAATTAATTATTAGTAAGAGGCCATTTAATTCATTTAACAAATATTTTTTGTGTTTTTCCTATGTGCCGGGAACCATGGTAAATGCTGAATAGATACAAAAGAGGAAAAAATAGGCGAGTCTTTACTCTCATGGGAATGAGAGTCCAATAGGGAAACTAATACACGCAATTGCATTCCATAAATATAAGTTATAACCTCCTGGGACAAAAACCAAAGTTTAAATGAGTGAATCAAGGATTAAGGGAAGCCTTCTAATTGAATAAAAGTCACACTGGCAGATAAGACTTACATGCAGATTCCTTTCTGAACATTTGGCTTCTGCCATTAGAGGAAAAAGCTACAAAAAAATCTGAGTATTCACAGAACTGGTAGCCTGATTTCCCTGCACCCTTAGTTTAAAAGGATTAATACACAGTTATTTGTAGATTTGCATCCATTGTCACATTATAAAATCCTGAAGAATGGAAACTGTCTTATTAATATTTGAATCCTTTCTAATGCACAATACTTTGACAATAATGAAATTCCATAAATGTCTCTTACATTGAATATGACTGAATTGATCAGAACTAAGCATTGTCTGGTATTTTTATCTCCAAAATACAATATTTTTCCCTGTAGCAGAAACATTTTCTAGTGAACAAATATATATGTGCTCCCTTCATATTGCCCAGAATTCTTGTAGTTCTGGACAATGAATTCTAAGCAGATGTAATAGATGTCCTTTGGGGCTGAAGTTTTTAAGAGCTAGTAGACAAAACTTTGGCTGCTCTATTTGCTTGCCTGGTGACTAGTGATGTTCCAGCTGGCAAAGCCTCTATCATCCTGGATCCCTGAATGCCTGTGTGGAATATAGCCTCCCCTCCACAACTCCAATAATGCATGTTGAAAATGATGTAGCAAGAGAAAAAAATATTTTTTATGTATTCAGCTATTAAGATTCCAGAGTTAATTTGTTACTGCAGCCTATCCCAGTCCATATTGACTAACATAGCCCTAAATTTCTATCATCAAAGAGGTACTGTGGATGAGGCTAGCTCTGTGACTCTCAGGCAAACTAATGTCCAGGTCAAATCATCAGGGTCAGAGAAAATAAGCAATGCCCATTTATGGAAAGCTGCAAATAAGTAAAATGAAGGCAATGTTGGCTTGGGATAGACTAATGGTTTTCAAACTGTGTTTATGGAACCCCACAGGTATTAGAGAAGTGCCTCTGGACGGGCGGATCACGAGGTCAGGAGATCAAGACCATCCTGGCTAATACGGTGAAACCCCGTCTCTACTAAAAATAAAAAAAAAAAATAGCCGGGCATGGTAGCGGGGGACTGTAGTCCCAGCTACTCAGGAGGCTGAGGCAGGAGAATGGAGTGAACCTGGGAGGTGGAGCTTTCAGTGAGCCGAGATTGCACCACTGCACTCCAGCCTGGGCGACACAGTGAGACTCCATCTCAAAAAAAAAAAAAAAAAAAAAAAAGGAGTGCCTCAGGAGACAGTGGTAAGTCTAAGAGAATAGACCAAGGAAAGGGTCCTGCCCCCAATCCTATGCAGAAAAGTTTCCCTTTTTCCTGTATTTTACATTGGGCGTCAGTGGAATATTTTGTCAAAAACTTTGCCTTTTGATAATAATGTTTTTTTAAAAGGTCAAAACTCATTGGTAAAACATTAGCATATTTACAAAGGAGAAAAACACAAAATCAAAATGATTTTATTGAACAAAAAAAGGGATTGAGACTAAATATAAATTATAGTCCATTTGTGCCAAATTAATTTTCATCTGCTTTTCAGAAGAGACTATTGTATTCAACTTTTTAACTCATCTTCAGCTGCCTTCAAAGGTGACTTCTTTTTCTCTCTAGTAAATATTTTTAAAGTTTGACAGTCATCTGCCTGTTAGTGACTCTCTTCTCAGCTGTTGTAATTGATATCTTTCTCCAGTCTAATAAAACCAAAGCTACCAACCTACTCTTATTGAGGTATGGCCTGAAGAGTGTCTCCAGAAAAGCAATGCTTTGCCAGTATATGAAGTGACTAGAACATCATCACCTTCCATTTAAACTGCTGTATTTTTTTTTCCTTTTGGATATAGATGAGATGTATTATACGTCCTAAAAGAATTACTCATGGGCAGTGTGATCTACCAAAAAAAAGCCCTGGACTTTGGTCTTTGCTTTCATATTACTCTATCTAGATTAAATATCATCATCTCTGAATTTTACTTCCCTCCTTTGAAAAAGTAAAATGAAAGGAAGAAGGAGGGAAGATAGGTAGAAAAAAAAATGATAACTTACCCTATCTATTTCATAGTGTGACTATGAGAATCAAATAAAGTCATAGACGATAAAAAGTTTTAGAAAGAAGTTATATAAATATGAGATGAAGGTATTTGTATGTTTAGAATTAAAGATCCCTCATAAATGGATTTACAAAAAGGTTTTGGTAGGCTGCTAACATTCGGTTGCTTGAATGCAATACAAAGAATTATGTAGCTGCTTCGACAGCTGGAAACCCTGACCACATCAAGTGCACAATGGGGCTTTCAAACGACCTTAAGAAAACAGACTAGGCTGATACACAGCCTTCTTGCTTTCACTGGGGGAAAATACAAATCAAAGGGAGAAGGGTATTTTACTCTTTAATGGTAAGTTATTTCCTCTTCAGTGCTGTTTAGGGTGCCCTGAAGTAACTGCTTTCACAGAGGCTGAAAAAAGTAGAGTAGGCAAAACAGATAAGCTTTTTATTGCTCTATTGTCCAATTCTCTGAAAACTAGAGGAGATAACAAAAATGGAGACAGACCACTGACTTCTTAATATTCAAAAACCAAGCTAAAATCTCCTTTTTTTAGGCTCTCTGACTATTCTTGTGATTCAAGAAGACCGCAGAGGATTGTAAGTGTGTACACAAGCACAGACACAGAAACATACATACATAACCCAAGCACATTTTGATCTATCATTATTTAGTCTTTCTTTTTAACTCTTACTCAATGTATTAATGCATTAATACTCTCATCTTTGAATTATCAAATTTGCCCAATTACAATTTTTTGTAAATATTAAACATGTCTGAGTTTCTACAAGCCTGATACTCATGCAACAGACACCCAGAGAAGCAAATCACAGTGCCTGAGGGTGCATGGAAATCCCAAAATAAAGTCCTGACTCTATTTTAGGCACTTAATCTTTGTATTCTCCATAAAGAATTCCACTGAAACATTTCAGCCCAGTGACATTGGTTGTGGAGTTTTTTTTGTCTGAAAAGTGTCCTTGTTTTAAATTCTCTTCTAGAAGCCCCATGACCTCATGCAATCCCATCAGTCATTTCTTGTTTCTTATCTAGTAGCTCTGACTCACTTACCCAGGGGAATTTTTTCCAGCAGGTAGAGATAGCTCTGAAAGAAGTCATTGCGAATGGCTTTGTGAAGGATAAAAGACATGCTATGTCTACAGAGTTCATCGTCGGTCTTCTGCCAGCGGGATCTAAAGGCAAAATGGGCTCCCCGGTGGGCCATGACAAAGGGGGATAATAATGATTCCTACAGAGAAAGGAAGCTTGCCTTGCTGTTTCTTTGAATTAGCCTTCTCTTTCTAAATGAACTTGAGACTGTCATTTTAAACCAGTCCCCTCTCCATCTATATCAGGACAGGCTGTCATGGGTGTGGGGAGGAGGGGCAGCACACAGTGGGAGGGGAGGGCAGGCTCTTGGCACGTCCCTCCGTCTGATTGCTTGGGTGACACCACTCCAAGCCAGCAGGTGCTAAGTAAGGATGAAAACTGGCTGAGAGAGATCCTGCTTCATCCAGGAAAAAGCACGCCTCTCTCCTTTAGCCACCACTTCAAACAGGCAAGAGCACAGCCTGCTAACACCCTGAATATTTGCCTTAATTTGATTTCTAAATTGGAATAGCCTAATTTCCATTTCAAAGAGTTGTGAATATTTTGCAAGAGATCTTGTTCCCTGATTTCCATCACTCCTCGTAGAACACTGAATCCTCAAATTACAAGGACCCTTCAAAGTCATCTTAGCCACTCATGCTCCTTTCATCAGTACAATTTCTCCCAAATAATTTCATAGAAATGTGTATGTGTTTCCTATTTTGAAGGATCTTCAAGAGAAGCAATTATTTGAAAGCTTGTTTTGACGTTAAATATCCTTCTCTGTCAGCAAACTCTTCCATCTAGCTTGCTGTAAACAACAACTATTCATGTAAGCCTGTTTCTTCCTCTCTGCCTACTCTGAATATAATTTTCCTCTTAAGTACATTTGTTTTCTGTACCGGGTATCTTCTGATTGTCCCTCCGGATACACTCTCCACTCTTCATACATTACTATGTGTTCCCCAGGAGGCTGACCTACATCAGTGGACTCCATTGCCCTCTAGCTTCTAGTTGGCTTTAGCCAATGGATAGTGCCAGGAGGAGACAGGAGGAAAGTGAGGTCAAGGTATTTATTCCCTTGGCACCTTCTCTGTGGAAATGCCATGAGCTGACCATATCCTTTAACAAAAGGTCATACGTCTGACCAGGGTCTTCTCATACAAATATCCTCTCCTGGTTCTGTTCATTTCTCCTTCACCTGACTGCTTGAGGCCCAGGGGGAGTGATGTATCAGGTGACAAGCCCAATTCCTTGTAATTTTCCTATACTTGCCCACATATTTGTAAATAGTCCCTTTATTAAACCAGTTCGAATTCCCAATTTGTGAATTCCATCTGTTCCCTACAGGGACCATGACTACTGTTTTCCTCCCCTTATGTTCCTAACAGGAAAATGTGTAAGATCTCAATACACTATTGGCCCTATGCCATGTGCACCCACAGACCCCCTGCCTGTACATATACACATGCTAATATACACAAATGCACACATTATGGTAGGCAACTTCTAATGTGACCCCTGTCTTAGTTCAGGCTGCTCTAACGTATTACCAAAGACTATGTGGCTTAAACAACAAACATTTATTTCTCACAGTTCTGGAAGCTGTGAAGTCAAAGATCAAGGTGCTGGCAGATCCCATGTCTAGTGAGGGCCCTCTGTCTGGTTTGCAGATTGCCCTCTTCTCATTGTGTGCTCACATGGCAGAGAGTTAAATCAAGCTCTTGTGTCTTTTCTTATAAGGGCACTTATCCCCTTCATAAGGGCTCCACCCTCATGACCTAATTATCTCCCAAAGGCCCCCATCTCCAAATCCCAACACATTAGGGCTCAGAATTTCAACATAAAAATTTTGATGGAACACAAACATTCAGTCCACAGCAGTCCATAAGAATCCCCATCTTCTTTCTTCCTGGTATTCACCTCTTCCTGTAATCCTCTTTTTTTGAGTATAGGCTGGACTTAAGGACTCACCGCTGAAGAATAAAATATGGTGAAAGTGATGAGATGTCACTTTTAAGAAGAGGTTATTAAAAGATTGTCTTAGGTGTCTTCTTTCTCTCACTTGCTTGTTTGCCATGTGGGAAGACTGCTGCCTATTGTGAGTGGCCATGTGGAGAGGCCTGCATGTCAAGGAGCTGAAGTCCTAGGTCAAACAGCCCAGAAGACACTGAAATCCACTAACAACAGTGTAAGTGAGCTTGGAAGCGAATCCTTCCCCAATTAACGGTTTGGCTGCAACTTGATGGGAGACCCTAAGTCAGTTATGTCATACCCAGGTTACTAATCCACAGAAATGTGTTTATTATTTTAAGCAACTAAGTTTGGGGATTATTTGTTACAATGCCACAAGATACAATGAATTCATACATTGTCCATGAATTTTTTTTTTTTTTTTTTGAGACAGGGTCACGCTCTGTCACCCAGGCTGGAGTGCAGGGGTGTGATCATGGCTCACTGCAGCCTCAATCTCCCAAGTCTCAAGCAATCCTCCCACCTGATTCTCCAGAGTAGCTAGGACTATGGGCATGCATCAGCACATCTGGATTTTTTTTTAATTTTTTTTTTTATCTGTAGAGACGGGGTCTCGTTATGTTGCCCAGGCTTGTCTCAAACCCCTAGCCTCAAGCAATCTTCCCGTCTAAGTCTTCCAAAGTGCTGAGATTATAGGCATGAGCCAGTAAGCCCAGCCAGAATTTTTTGAAGATAAACAATGTAGCCATAATCTTTTTTTAAGTTTTATTTGTGTGTCAATCTTTTACTGAGAGAGGAAGTAAGGATTCCAATTATTTGACTCTGATTTATTTTCCCTCATCTTCTTGTGCTTCTGTTTTGCCATTTTCTCCCTCTCCAGGTAAAGGGACAGCCATTCAATTTTGGTGGAATTGTCCCCATCCTTGGCTTCAGTAATTGCCCAAACTGCAGTTCAAGTTATCCATTTTGCCCCTCCCACAGTTTGTGGTACACAGATGGGTATATCATCCACGCCTGAGCTGGTCAGTACATAATGTTACCCTGGTTCCAGTTTTCCTTTTTGAGTGGGCACATTATCTAAGTCTGTTATTGTTAATGCCAGCTTGAGTTGAGTTTTCTGTACTAGCAACATGGAGTTTTGTCTAATACAAATACCATCCTGAATCATTTTTACTCAATGAATTCTCATGAAGATGAAGATAGAGTAGATGACATCAAACAGACCAAAGAAACTTCTGGTGTGATTATTTCATGGTATTAAGAAGGAAGGGTCTTACCTGGAATTAAGCAGATATGACTGAGTTAGGAATTCATTGCCACCACTTATATATGGGGTTACCTCAACTAACTGATTTCTTAGTCTCTCTGAGCCTCACTTTAATCTTCTTTAATATAAAAATGATGATAATAGTATATGTCTTACTTTATTATTGTGAGGGCAAGATGAAATAATCCATGTAAAATACCACAGTGCCTAATACACAGTACATGTTCAGTTATTATCATCAGTTAACTATTATCATTACAATCCTTTGGAGTAAGCTAATAATAAGTTATAGGTCCTCAAAATACATGATGTCTATCTGGTTCTTCTTCTGTTGTATTTAAGTAATTCTAACACATATCCAGATTATTTGTACTTAATGCATTTAAGAATTGAAAAGAAATCCAAATGAAATGTGTTGTTAGAGCTCATTCATCCATCCTTTGGAATTTTTTGTTGCTGTAGTAAAATAAATTAAGTAAAAGAAGAAAAACATGAAGGGATTCTCTTTTGTTACTTATATTCATCAATACGTTTAACAAGAGGTGTGTTCTTAACCCCATCTCAGTGATGTTTTGATGACCCCTCCTATGCTTAAAAGGTCAGGATGTTTGGTGCTGGGAGAGAGACTGGCAATCACTGGCTCAAGACGCTCAGTATTGCTTATTTGGCAATTGATATTAGCAAGTTTCTCAGTTTTTACAGAACTAATTTTCTTCCACTATAAAATGAACATTAATTATTTGTGTTTGAATGAGGATTATTAAGTGTTCTAAGATTCTATATTTCATACCCATAATTCTTGAGTGGGGTGAAAGACTGATTGGTTTCTACAAAATGCCTTTGTCAAGTTTTGTTTATCTCTGTAGGTCACATTGGATTTTGTGACTGTTTCTCATACTGGTATAGCTCGAACCAATTTCTGGCTCATTGCGTTTGTTTCCTTATGCCAATATTTTTTCTCTCAGAGCTGCAATGCTCTATTTGCTACCACCTCACACCATTCTTGGCTATGTTCATACTCAGTAAATGAGGTTATGATATAGATCTCAAGTCTACCAGTCATCAATTTCCAGGCAGGAAAGAAAAACAATGAATGCAGAAGAAAGAAATATGACTCCAGCAAGAGAAGGTAGAAACTCTGAATTTATCCATTTTGGTTTTCCATCTCACAGGGGATCCCTTGGTGGGCGGGGGGTAACTACTGTTAAAAAGTAAATTATCATGAAGAGAGAGTCAGAAGTAAGGAAAACAAAGAAAGAAAAAATGCCATATAAAAAACATACTCATTCAGTAGTACAACAAGCTAAATGTTTGGGAACATCCACTCAAAATAAAATACCTATCAAATTAAAATATCATAATACTTTAAAGGGAAATTCAGCATAGAGGATGAAATAAGGATATTTTCAGACAAAGAGAGAATTTACCACTCATAGGTGCTAACTGGAAGCACAACTAAAAAAAAATCTACTTCAGGAAGAAGGAATTAATACAGGGTGTTATTAGCACAGGAATAGGTAAAAAGATTAATAAAACAGAATACACATAGAACTACAAAACAAATCTATTCATATATGGTAAGTTGACATAAGACAGAGATAGTATTGCAGTAGAGAAAAGATATTTTCAACATTGGTCCTGGTGCTGGCATAATTGGGTCCCCATCTCACATCATGCACAAATCTAACCCAGGCAGATTGAAGATTTAAATGTGAAAAGCAAAACTCCAAAATTCTTTGAACGTCTTATGGGAAAACATCTTTATGATAACAGAGTAAAAGAAGGATAACTTTTTTAAGATTCAAAAAGCAAAAACTAAAGAAAAAGTATAATTAATTAGACTACATTGAAATTAGAATGGTGAACTTTTGTTTATCAAAAGAAACCATTGAACAAATGGGTAAGAAATACTTGTACCACCAATAATTAATCAGAAATTAGTATACTAAATATATGAAGAGTTTCTATGAATAAATAAGAATAATACAAACAATTCTATAGAAAAATTGAAAAAAGACATTAACAGGTAGTTCACAGAGAAGTAAATAAAAATACAAATGAAACATTAAAAAAAGGCTAACCCATTAATCACCTAGAATATACAAATTTTAATCAAAACAGGTGCAGAGTGAGATTTGTGAAAATTAAGGCCTGGTGAGGATATGGAACAGAAGAAATCATTATAAGCTGTGTTTTAGTGAAAATAGACACAAACATTTTGCAAAACAATTTGACATTATCTTGTAGAGTTAATGATGTGCGTATCCTTGATCAAACAATTCCATCTTAGGCACATACCCTAAAATAACTCCTACACATCTGCACCAGGAGATATGTTTAAGAATTTTTTAAATAGTGTTCTTTACAATACCAAATAAACAAACAAAAACACTATAGCAACCCAGATGTTCAAAAACATCAAAATTGGCAAATAACATATATTTATACAGTAAGAAACCAAAACACAGCAATGACTATTGGGGAATGTTCTGCTATTATGCACTGGCACCCTTGCAGGTATCCACACGTGCCACACAGGACTGAACCACAACTAATCTGAGTCTTGGCAGAATGCCTTGTGATCCTCCTGAAACACAAGATGATAAGTGGTTTGTGAAGCTATCTCCCACTCACTTCCCTGTATCCCCTAAGAGACTTGCATGGCACAGTTTCTTTTTCTTTCTTTTTTTTTTTTTAACTTTAAGGTCTGGGATACACATGCAGAATGTGCAGGTTTGTTACATAGGTATGCATGTGCCATGGTGGTTTGCTGCACTCATCAACCCATCACCTACATTAGGTATTTCTCCTAACGCTATCCCTCCCCTAGCCCCCCACCCCCTGACAGACCCTAGTGTGTGATGTTCCCCTCCCTGTGTCCATGTGTTCTCATTGATTCAACTCCCACTTGTGAGTGAGAACATGCGGTGTTTGGTTTCCTGTTCCTGTGTTAGCTTGCTGAGAATTATGGTTTCCAGCTTCATCCATGTTCCTGCAAAGGACATGAACTCATCCATTTTTATGGCTGCATAGTATTCCATGGTATATATGTGCCACATTTTCTTTATCCAGTCTATCATTGATGGGCATTTGGGTTGCTTCCAAGTCTTTGTTATTGTGAACAGTGCTGCAATAAACATAAGTGTGCATTTGTCTTGCATGGGACAGTTTCTTACCACTTCCCAGATACTGATGAAATATGAGGCTTTCTGCAAGGTATGGCATCAGGCTACAAAACCACTTAGCTCCAGTCTAGAATTGCATCTTAGTAATGGAGTATCCTGCAACTCCTATGGGCAGCCATTCAGCCCCTTTTGTTTTACTAGCATAATTTTGGGTGCATAGGACAGGGATGCATCTACCTGGCATCTTTGGCTACTCTTTATTTCACTCTCCATGGAAATAACAAACTGCCTGAATCTAAAAATAACTCATTGTGTCTTAACTGGCTGAATCAGACCTTAGCTTTGTCCTTATCTTGTGTGCTTGAAAATATCTGCTACTACTCTTCCCCATAAATATGGATGAATCTCATAAACACAATGTTGTGTGAAAAGCAAATTGCAAAAATATATTTACTGTATATTTCTAGGCATATAAACTTCAAACACACACTAAACTAAGCAGTATGATTTTAGGGGAAGAGTAAATACAATGATCAGTACAGGGATCAATCCTGAGAGATAAGGAGAGGATACATCTGGAATGGAATGCCAGGAAACTTTGATAGTACTGGCAATGTTTAAATCTTCAGCTAAGCTGTGGGTGCAAATATATTCACCTTATTAGCTTTTTGTATATTAAGATAGTTGTTTGTATGAAATAGTCATGCAAGCGAAGGCAAATGGCCAAATGTCATTTATACGAGACCTCCTAGAGCAGTGCTCATTAAATAAAATGCACAGAAACAGAGTCAGTAGCAGGCATACAATTTCCCATTATCCATTCATTCTAGAGCAGGGCACAGCCACCTGTCAGAGCTGGATGTTATATACTGGGAGAGACACCCTGACCCTTGGGTTGGGGATATCTTAAGCTGCATGATTAGGGAAGCAGCTGCTCATGTTCTGGCTTGATGAAGGACCAGGACAAAATGACTATATGACATTGCAGAACCTTGATTTCAGCTTAATTTTTTGACTTGGAGATAACACCAGCTCTTCCTCTGCCATAATCTGAAAGCTGTGGTCTTAGTTAGGTGGTTGCAGCTGTATGATGTAGTAAGTTTGCTGCAGGATTTGCCTGATCATTGTTCATAATTGGGAAGACACAGCCCTACCCTGTGCATGCCTGAAGACCGGGGTTCAAGCTTATGGTTGGCTAGAATTGACTGCCTTAAAAACTGCACCATAGTAGTGTACATGGAACTTTTAAGAATTCAATTCCTTTTCTGGGTGTCAGCCTTTAGAAGATGCCTTAAGAAAGCTAATCTTTACATCTAGAAATAACTCACAATAATATAAAAATTAATATTTTGTAAGCTGCAAACTATGATCTTGTTGTAATACCTACAAATCAGAAATTTTTTACTCACCTGTTTAAAACCCTTCAATGATTTCACATTGCATATCAAATATGTGACACAACAGTTTTCTCATCCTTTTCTGCCCTTCCACCATCACAACTTATATACTAGGGTAATAATTATTACCCTATTATAGAGAGCTTGTATTTGCAAAGATCTTGGAAAAGGCAAAAAAGAAAGAAGAAAAAAGAAAAGAAAGAATAATAAACAAAAGAAAAAGAAAGAAAGAAAGAAAAGAGAGAGAAAGAGGAAGGAGGGAAGACAGAAAAGAGAAGAAAAGAGGGAGAAAGGAAGGAAAGAAGGAAGGAAGGAAGGAAAGAAGGAAGGAAGGACGGAAGGAAGGAAGGGAGGTTGAAGTCTTCCGCTTCTCTAATTCACTTACTAAAGATTAGGCTCAGATAAAAATTCTGGCAGGAGTCATTCAAGACTGGAAAGTGAGATAAGATTTCCAGCCAAGGCTATATTTATCTATAACTTGCATTATCCAAGCATTTTTTTTTCTTTCCTAGAGAACACTTTTCTTTTAAGGAATTGTGGTGTGCCTGCTTTCTAACTCAGCAAATGATTGAGCCACTCTCATACATGGTAGAGTTCCGTTAGACTCAATGAAAAATAAAATGTTATTTTCTTGCTGAGACAATGACACTAACTTGCCAATTATCCCAGCACCATTTGTTGAGAGGGGTGTCCTTTCCCTATTTTATGTTTTTATTTGCTTTGTCAAAGATCAGTTGGCTGCAAGTATTTGGGTTTATTTCTGGGTTCTTTATTCTGTTCCCTTGGTCCATGTGCCTATTTTTATACCAGTACCATGTTGTTTTGGTGATTATGGCCTTGTGTGATGCCTTCAGATTTGTTATTTTTGCTTAGTTTTGCTTTGGCTATGTGGACTCTTTTTTGCTTCTATTATATGGTCTATCTTGGAGAATGTTCCATGAGCTGATGAATAGAACGTATATTCTGCAGTTGTTGGATATATTTAAATCCATTGTTTCTTTGTTGACTCAGTGGAGTTTTCCTAGGATAAATTTTCCCCATCTGGAGTATCCCCTCTCCCATCTCTAGAGATAGAGATCACAATTTATTGGTAAAATTATACAAAAAATTGGAAAAGAAACACACATTTGTCAAAGACTACACTGCTCTTACCGCCCTCAGTCATTAGGAACCATAGAAAAAGCCAACAGCATTCTCAAGACCAAATTGGCTAAACCATCTGAAAAATTGGACTTTCCATGACCACAAGTGCTTTCCATTGATCTTATGACTCTTACACCTTCACCTCCACATAAGGTGTTCACTTTTGAAATTATCATGGGAAGATCCATGAGGATGCCTTATGCATCTCAGCTAGTGTGGGGCTCTAACTTGACTTAATCTGGCATCTTTAGATACATCAAGGATCAATAAAAACTATATACTCAATCCTATAACCAACAATTCAAGGCTTCCCTCCCCTTATAACTTCCTGATTGTCCTTCCTGATTTACAAGTAAGCAATCTGGTATTCTAAAAACACTAGCATCAGAAAACTAATCTTGAGCCCAGAAGGAAGTGACCTTATACTGTTTTACTCATTGCTAACACTGCTATCAAATATATGGTATTCAACATTGGGTTCATGTTTCACAACTAAAGAAATAGAAAAGCTATTTAGACTAGAAAAGTATTCCAACTGGAGACCTCAAACTGAGGTTCTACCGAGAGCCTCCAGAAGCAGATGTAGATTTTTGAGAGGATAAAAGAATGCCTTTTCTTTACTTGAACAAGAGGAGGGACTGACAAGACACCATCCCACTTTACCAAACTTTAATAGGCACCTCTGAGTCTTCTAATCAATGAGGTCCAAATTTTGGCTTCTCTCTCTGTCTCTGTAGAGTCCAGTTTCAGCAAAAATTTTGTTAAGTTAGTGTAGAGAGAATCCTTACCCTCAGTATCTGGTCACCTTCAATATCTGACCAAATTTTGCATCCTCCACCTTCAGGATCTTATCACAGTGGCCTGTCTCCAGCAAGAATCCTGTCAAGTCAGTTGAGCCAGAATCTCCTCTTACCCTTGATGCTTCCTTCAGAGTAATTTTCTATCCACTGCCTCACACCCTGCTTCTTAGCTATAAATTCCCACTTGCCCAGCTGTATTTGGAGTTGAGCCCAGTTCTATACTCCAGTCTCTTTTTCCCTATTGCAATAGTCTTGAACCAAAATCCGGTTTTACCACTTTAATACTGTAGGCTCTGATTTTTCTTTGACAGTAGTTTATCTCCAGGATCTTCAGGGATAAACTTCTGCCTTGGCTAAAAACTACTGACATTTTTATTAATGACCTTAAGAAGATATAGACCAAAGGTTTCTATAATTGGTAGCTAAAACAAGGCTGAAACAAAAGTAATATGTTGATAGTTGAATCAGGATGACCCCAACCTACTACCCAGGATGATAGATTTAGAAGGCTAAAATAATAGGCCAAACTTAGCAAAATTAAATTTAAGATAAAATCATCAAAATACATTCCTGGACCGAGCGTGGTGGCTTATGCCTATAATCCCAGCACTTTCGGAGGCCGAGGAGGGTGGATCACAAGGTCAGGAATTCGAGACCAGCCTGGCCAACATAGTGAAGTCCCGTCTCTACTAAAAATACAAAAATTAACTGGGCATGGTGGCAGGCACCTGTAGTCCCAGCTACTCGGGTGGGTGAGTCAGGAGAATCACTTGAACCCAGAAGGCAGAGGTTGCAGTGAGCCGAGATCGTGCCACTGCACTCCAGCTTGGGTGACAGAGCGACACTTCATCTCAAAAAGAAAAAATAAAGTAAAAATAAAAAACAAAGTATATTCCCATGTGTAGGTTTTGGTAAAAATCATTGTCAAGAATACAAATGGGTAATTCTTGCTTAATAAACTTAATGTGCATTTGTGACAAAGTGGGCATTTAAGTAGACTTTCAGCTTAGAATGAAAGAGCAGTATGAAAAATAGTGCAAACAGGCTTTACCGACAGGCTCATACAGACCACCAGGCCTCGCTTCACCCTACGTGGGTCCAACTGCATAGGGAGTGTTTGCCTGTTTCTTTACCTATTTTTTTTTTAAAAGCAGACACTCAATCAAGCGACATACCGTAACCCCCTCCTAGACCTCTTGGAAACCTTTGGAAGCCATTTGTCTATGCGCAGTAAACTTATATTGTAGCTGTGCTTTGGAGAGTTCAAATTGGTAGATCCACTTCTTATTTCCAATACCTGCTATTCTGTCATTATTTATTGTATTCAAGAAAGCTGCCTATAGAATGGAAAAAATGATTAAAAATCTGTAATACTACCCATAAAGTAGCAAGAAAGTCTTATTTTAGTTTAAAAAAAGAGTTAGATTTTCTATCTTAAATTATTTCCATGAGGCTCTTCTGTGGGAGCGGGAAAAAAATACCTTTAATTGTGCAAGCTGCCCCAGGCATGGGAAACCAGACATGAAATGGTTGAGATGGCCAAAGGTTGTCACTGGGGACTAGGGATTAGAACCTGGTCAAAGCAGCAAATAAAAAAAATTTAAAAAGCTCTTAAAAGAACCTGACAAGGGAAGCTTAAATCTTATTTTAAAGGGTTGGGTTGTACTAGGCCTTGAAAAATTCAATCCTCTGGAGGACTATATCTCACTAAGAAAGCTCCACGTAAGTTTATCATGTATCCAACACTTAGACATTGGGCCTTGGAGACCACTAGGATAATATTTCCTCTGGATTAGCACTGAAGCTTGGAAGTGACATTTGTACGAGGCATACTTTAAACTCTAGGGCTTTTCCGATTATAAAATGATAATTCTGAGGGGAAAAAAGTGCTTACTGCAGAGGGAAGTTGCCATGATTTATGTCTTGGACAATCCTCTTTTTTCACACAGAACGACTTATCAGGCCAAGTATGTTTTGTGTTTCCTTTTGTTTTTAACCGCAGTTGTCTTTCGATTGATGTTAGGGTTGAGCATATTTGTTTTAGTGTGTTTTTATTTTTCCTGTTCAACCATGTCCAAATGAATGATTATATAAATTTTTGTCACTGGTGACATCAGCAACTAAGTTGCACACATAGCACAGAAACATTACTAGGAAATGCCAACTTTAGGCAAGGGTAACATCTGGAACTTCACCGACTCATCCTTCTCTGCAGAGACTCAATGGGCCACTCAAGCTCTGGCTCTCAGGCTCTGGCTCACTGATGAAAGCCAGACAATAATGAAGTGAGGCTGAAAAGCTATCCCTCGTTTACTCTTGGTGCATCTATCAAGATCTCTGGATCATTATGACATCTCCTATCATTCCAGTTATAAAGGGTGCTTCAAATGAATTAAATATCTAGTGACAGCCAAACTCATAAACTACTTGACTCCCTTGGGTCATTTTTTCAGGCTGATTTTAATAGTACTTTGGCAGGCATGTGTGTTTTGTGCAGTTATGAACATTGGCTGGTTTAGGGGACATAATTTAAAATAGCTCATCTCTATATTTGCATTTATACACATCTATTCAGGGTGTCAGGAGAATAAGCATGACAGACTTACATTTGAAGCCAAATGAAGCCTACTAACTTTTGTTCCACTTCATAACTATAGGCTGGATTCCTAATTGACTCATCTCTTTTACAAATCCATGAAACCTGCCAGTAGCTGGACTGGGTAACAGATTGTAGCTGGATCACAGCAAATCCATCATCTCTGATAGAAAAACAACTAGATTTACTGACTAGGCCAGCAGGATGATCATTATACAGAGAATTCATTCCTCTCAAAACTAAAATGAATCTTGAAACCAAGTGTCATAAGCCAAATATCAGAAGACAATAAATTTTTTTACACCTCTACATATTCTCTGGAATAAAGACAAGAAGTCTAGTGTGAAAAAAATTCCTGGCTTCACTTTGCTCATCCACTGTGGCCTCATCCTGCTTTTCGTTTTGCCATCACTCATTTCTTATTCCCATCCTCATCTCCTACACTTCTTTTACCTAGACCGTGTAAGTTTTTATTGAGGCCTGAAAGTCATAGTCAGTTCTTGAGTTGTATGAAAGTTCTGTACACTCGGAGAAGTTTTATGAAATTTTACAAAAGTTTATATACATTTTTAGAATGTATATGGAATGTAAAACGACAGACACATTTTTAGAAAACAGTGAAAACTGCTGGTTCTTAGAGTTGTAAAACTCTAAAACTACATTTCAAGTCAGCATTAACCAATACGACACCAGAATAATATGAGATTAATATTCTGCTTTGATGATAGAAATAAAAATTCTATATTTGAAGAACCACATAAGGCAGTTGTTAAGAACAAGAAGAAGACCAATAGAAGAGTGGGCATGCAAATCAGCTATGACTTCAGAGAATTTAGTGCATAGCATCTGAGGGAGAGAGGGCCAACCCTAAAGCTTAGTGCAATTACAAGGGGAATTATGCAATTATGCTTGAATTAGATCTAATATATAATAAAAGTTGATGCCTAAACAGACTACTTTATACCTATGAATTTATTTAAAAATCACCCATGATCCAGACACTGCACTAGACAACAGAGACGAAATCGAGAAAAAAAGCTAGTCTCATTCCCTTATCCTCATGAAGCTTACAGTCTAGTGGGAGCAATACAAATTAGCCAGATAACACATGTATGTGTAAGTATGTGTCTCTACAGTAAGTACTAAGGAGTGGAGGTGCATAATGCTGAGAGAGCCTATCAAAGGTGGACAGAATTAAGTTGGAGAAAACTGCCCTTAGAAATTGACCCTTCAGCTGAGATCTGAGAAATATGTAGGAGTTAACTAGAAACATAACTGAAGTGAAAAAAGGCTACTCCTCCATTACATATGATAGTGTTGCTGTTTTTTAAAGAGGTAATTCATTGACTTAATGGCTGTTAATACTAGGATGAAAAGATGCTAAAGAAAGCAGTATGAATGGACAATGCCTTTTTCTTTTCATCTTTGCTCCCCAAGAAATCAAAGGGCCTGGCTCAAGCTTCTTGGCAGACTCTATTTCCACTTGTATTCTCTCCCCTTTTAGAATGTGGCTTTGCTCCTGTAGTTAATGAAGAGAGAGAGAGAGAGAGAGAAAAGAGCATTCCAAGAAGAGACAATAGCTTATGTGAAAACTCTATGGCTCAGGCAAGAAGCAATCCACACAGGGCTTTATAGGCCATATCAAAGAATTCTGTCTTAATCCTAAAAACATAGAAAGCCACTTAGGGTATCTTAAGCAGAGTGGAGGAGGGGTGGAGAGGGGGCTGACATCACCAGGTTAACATCTTGGAAGTATTGTTCTATCTACATTGTGAAAAACAGATGGAGGCAGTAAAACGATGAAAAGTTTGATTGTGCAAGTAACCTTTGCCCCAGAAATATTACTAAAATAAAGTTTCTCTGTCATATTACATGGAAGAATAATATAATAATCACTTTTCAGTTTATTCATTCAAACATTTATTGTGCACTGTGTTCTGCTTTGGGCACTGGGACAATATTCATGACAAAAATAGACAAAGATCTCTGCCCTTCTAGAGTTTACATAATAGACAAGGTATAAACATAAACAATACAGTTAGTTAAAAGCTAAGTGCTACATAAAAAGAAAAAACAAATCAGGATAAGGGGAAATTGAAGCGAGAAGAGAAGATGGCATGTCATTTTAAACAGGATAATCAAAATAGTCCTCTTGAGAAAGTATGTTTTAAGCAAAGACTTAAAAGAAGTGAAGGTGTTCGTCTTCCAGATGTCTGGGTGAGGAGCCTTCTGACCGAGGAGCAGCCAGTGCCAAGTGTCAAAGGTGGTAACATATCGCACATGTTCACGGAACAGCTGGGAAGCCAGTGTGCCTAGAGCACAGTAAACATGGGGGAGGAAACTAGAGATGAGACCACAGAAGTAACAGGGCTCACAGCATGTGAGGTCTTTAAGGCCATTATAAGGGCATGAGAGGTACCATAATCAAGGTGGGGAGTCATTGCGAAGTTGGGAGTGGAGAAGTGGCATGATCTGATTTCTTTTTCAAAAAGCTCACCCTGCTGCTGTGTTAAGAATGGCCAATAGTAAGGCAAGAGTGGCAGCAGGGAATTAGGAGGTTTCTGCAGTAATGCATGTGAGAATGACAATTCAGATCATCAGCACTTAAATGACAGCAGTGGCAGCTAGAAGACAATAGAGAAAAATTTTCAAAATTCTGAGAAAAAAATGATTTCAATACTAAAATGCTAACACTCAGCCAAACGATCGATTGTAGAGTATGAGAATAATGGCATTTTTCAACATGAGGAAGGCCCGAAAAATTACCTCCTGTGCACCATTTCAGAGGAAAATTCTGAAGAATGTGCTACACGGGAAAGAGGGTGTAAAACAAGAGGAAGATTAATGACAGTATAAATTCCAAATAAGACAAAATACCTATAATTTTGTTTGAGTAAAGTACACAACAGGGTCATGGATTGTTTTTCATTCATAATACTTTTCTAGCTCTACAAACCAACCTCAGAAAAATACGTCCATTTGAATTTGATTGTCAGTGCAACAAATTATTATGACAACCAGTCTGATTTGCAAATTTTATGAAGTAACCTATTATATTTCATAGGTCATAGCAACAAATTCTAATGTTTAGGTGTCCAAAATATTTCTTTGCACAGATAATACTTCTAAGAACACTTTTAAACAAAGAACATATTAGGTAAATATATCTTTAAACAAATCTTAAGCCTGGACAGGAGAATAAAATTGATACTTTTCTAAATATTTTCAAATCACTTTTCAGAAAGTTTTATGATGCAGAAGACTATCTGCTTTATGCAAGAAATGACAAAATATTTTCCCTCTTGATTTTTCTCAGATTTCTTTCTCCAGCTCTTAGGAAGGCCTGAAATGTTTAAGGCTGAGAATTGGAATTCCATTAGCACCGAGAAAAAAAATAGCAGACCCCTGAAGCCCAAAGCTTATACTATGAAAATTAAAGGGTGGAATGCGATTAAAAATGGACTATGGCACATGTAGTATTTTGAATCTACAGGATCCAGGAAAATAGGGAATGCATCTTAAAAATATTTAAAATCCCCAGGATGTTAGTGAAAAGAAATCTCCATAATGGCAGCATGCAGCATTTCTAGAAAATCACCAATCCAGCAAAAGGATGGTGGTCTCTAAGAAGGGCCATATAGATAACCTGATATTTTGAATATAGCAGGTAGAGATTAGCAGAGTGGAGGAATGTATTTATGATAGATAAGTAGAAAATTAAGGAACCAAAAAGGAGGTATTCATTGATTCCTGGAAAAACCAAAAGCTATAAAGAATAAAAAATGTAATTTTTATAACTACATGGCACAGCTATAAATACTGTTCATATAATCATAATATTACAAATAATATGAATTTAACAAAAATTGTGATATAACATCTTGAAAAAATGGGAGAAGTGATGTGGGGATAGCAGGCAGGGGTGTAAGAAATCTAAATCTTCATTATTCCTACCAAGATGTCAAAAGAACCTAAAACTATGTCTTGTCAACACCTGCTGACAAGAATGTCAATAGAACTTAAAACTGAAAAATATCCAGAAATAGCCATAGAAGCCTATTATTTAGAAATAAGCAGGTAAATGCAGAAAAATAAAACAGCTAAAAGAGTTGCCTGGGGAGAGCAGGAATCAGAAATGGGATGGGTGGGGTATGGCAGAGAACCAATGAACTTTTCATCACCATTTTCTCTACCATTGGAATCTGTCTGATCTCAGGGTGTAAGACAGTAGAAGCAAAATAAGGGCTGTACGGAGGCCACTATACATTTCGCCATTGTAACAAAAATAGTACTGGAAAGGAAATTAGTATAGTAGGACAGGCAGGTACTTAAAGGCCTTACTTCTATTCCTTTTCCATGAAGCTTCATGGAAACAGGCAAGTTGGAAGCAAGGCAGGGTAAGGAGCAGGCAATGCTACTTCCAGGTGTAGCCAACTATTTTGGGCTCCAAGGCATTCTTAGTCTTACTGGTGACCTACCTCTTTGACTCTACACAGTCCTTGGCTGAAACCTGAATCAACAGACTTTTTCATTCTCCTTGATGTTGACCTATGGAGTTCCTGATCTCAGCTAAATAATTCACCTCAGTTGTCCGGTGCTCTGATTTTCTGTGGTCTTCTCCTTGCCTTAGCAACTTGACTCTTATCTTTAATGTTCCTAACTTTGTCCTGGAAATTTGATCTGATTCTCTGCATTCTTGATTTTCTTCCAGTTTGCTGCATCTGCTACCTATATCGCAGGCCAGCCTGGTAACCTAACCTTGATCTTTGGTTGCCCCGTTTGATTGAGGGTTTGGTTTAGAGCTCATGATACTACTTCTGATTGATGCTGCCGTATGGTCAATCTTTTCTCCTGACGGTAGTGTCACTTTGCCAGTATTGGCGAGTTACTGCTTAAAAGTGGTAGTAGCCAAACTGTGTTTATGCAGCTAAACTATGAGACTGGACCAATTAGATCAGGCATTGGTGATTAAGGAATTAACATATGCTCTTGGCATAAGAAAATCACAGTTGAATACCCTTAGACCCAAACAGAGCCCCTCCTCGATTCCTGACACCCTTACTCCACAGTCAATAAAAAGATTTTCAGAGAAGAAAAGGAGTCCAAAGGAAGGGTTGGAAAGGTCATATAGAGACTTCAGCTCGCAGAGGAGTTTTCTGAGTTTGCCTTAGAGTTAGAAAGCATAACCCTCAGAACTCCCTCTGTGCCTGTAAACCTAACTTCATGTTGGAATTTTAGAAACAAAGAATATTCAGGCCTCTGGGTAGTTTCACAGCCTCTTTATATATCAGCACCATCACAAAGTGGATGAAATCGTTCTTGTCTGATCAAATTTCAGTAGATTAATATTGATATACTCATATTTTACTTTAAGGATCATTTGGCCGGGCGTGATGCACTTTGGGAGGCTGAGGCAGGTGGATCACGAGGTCAGGAGATCGAGACCGTCCTGGCTAACATGGTGAAACCCTGTCTCTACTAAAAATACAAAAAAAATAGCCGGGTGTGGTGGCGGGCGCCTGTAATCCCAGCTACTTGGGAGGCTGAAGCAGGAGAATGGCGTGAACCCAGGAGGCGGAGCTTGCAGTGAGCCGAGATTGCGCCATTGCACTCCAGCCTGGGCGACAGAGCCAGACTCCATCTCAAAAAAAAAAAAAAAAAAAAAAAGCATCCTTTGTTGGCTGTCTCTGCCCCATTTTGTTCAATAACCTTTAAGCAAATGAGTTAAGAAAGATCAAGAAAAGTAAAGAAGTGTGAAAAGAAGCATTTAATAATATACTGGATGCAGGGGAAGGAGACATGCATAATTGCCTGTTCCTCTTTAGACAGCCCTTCTCATTCCTTCTTGAGAAAACAGAGAAGTTACCAAAAAGGAGTAAACACAATAGTAAGTACTTATTAAATATCCAGTAGGTCTTTGTACATATTAATTCAATTCATTCTTATACCAACCCAATGAGATGGATGGTATTATCTCATTTGATGAGTGAGGAAAGTGAGATTCTGAGGGATTAAGCAATTTGTCCAAGGTCATCAGCTACTAGTTGAGAAGATGGGACACAAAACAAAGCCTATGCAATGGCAGAGAACATGGTCCTAACTTCAAAGACATGTAGCCTTCCCAGCAATACTGGAAATGGAAGGAGATGATAATTATTTTACACTGCTAGTGGACACAGGATTTAAATTGTATCATTCACATCAAAAAAAGAAATTATCTCCTCCCTTTATCCTTCAGCTGGGACCTCAAAATGCCTCCCAGGAAATAAAGTGAGAATTTCAATTCAATTCAACAAATATTTTCTTGAGTGCCTATTAATACCAGGCTCTGCACTAGGATTTGGGATATATAACAGTGAGTGGAGACAGGCATAATGCTTGGCTTCAAGAAAGCTGCAGACATTTTAAAAGTAAAAGTATGATAACTTATACACAGGAAATGGAAGCAAAATGCTGTGGAAGGCAAAAGCAAAAGCATCTTATGATCTAAAACTCAGGGGAGCCCTTACCTAGGAAATAAAATTTGAGGTAAAATTTAAATGGTAAGTATGAGTTAACAAGGTAAGGGCTTAATTCTGATGTCACAAGGTAACTCAATGAACTAATATTGAAGAGTGACAAGCTTCTCTCGAGAAACAGTACATATGACTGTTTTATCTTTGACAGAATAGCCAGAGAGAAAGGCAGCTACCCCAGCCATGAGAAAGAAGAAAAACAGCTGAAGTTTTAATAAACTTCTAAATGCTGCATGTAGAATGGCATGACAGTATCAGAATCCTGAGAGACTTGGATACAGAAGAGTCTGTAGCATTCATCAGCTCTTTCATGGTCCTTAAATGAGAGCTCATGAAAAAGATTGAAAGCAGGGCAAAACCACTGAGAGAGACACCTAGTAAATCACAGGTATATGGGGCATGCCTAAGCCTTAGGACAGAGCAAGGAGAACTGAGAGGAACTCCTCTGTGCTCTAGACCCTGCAGTGACTAAGACAGCAGCTGTCTGCCACTGGGGGAGGAAGAGGATTGCTAAGAGCGATTCCTTCTGAGGCTTATGAAAGCAAGGGTTGCTTAAGTCTGAGGGCAAAGACAGAAAACCCAATGGAATTCCCCTCCCTCTTCTTTATCCCGCATACATTCCACCAAGCACGACGTAACAGCAGCCTGATGCAGAGGAAAGTGAATGAGCACTGAGAGAGAGACAGAGGAATACCTTACTAATTATGAGTCCAGAGCAAGCAAACTGAGATATATGTCTGGCACTCCAGGCCTTACGGGAAGTACAATACAGCAACAATGCACCACTTGAAATACATGAAGCCAGTCTGTGGAGGCATGGACATAATTTAAGCCATCACAAAACCCAACCCAATTCAATCACAAACCAGTTTAATTTAATCATGTAACTAATGACTTCACAGAAGTATATTTTTCATAAAGTAAATATTATTTACCTCCTTACCTACTATACTTACTTAAAGTATCCTGCATTCAATCAATAATTATGAGATCCATTCAAAAAAATAAGAAAATATGACCCATCATGAAATGAGAAAATGGAATAAATTCAGAGATGGCCTAAATGTTAGAATTATCAGACAGGGACTTTAAAGTAATTATAATTTTCAAATGTTTTTAAATATAATGAAAAAATGGACAATCTACATGAAAAGATGGGGAATTTTAACAGAGATGAATATTGTATAAAAGTAAAATGAACAATCTAAAAATAAAAAACTCATGATATTGGATTATAGATAATGTGTTCAATAAGTTTATCAGTAAATTGGACACAGCAGAGGAAAGAGTCATTGAACAAACCCAGAAGGACGTACTGGTGAATTCTACCAAATATTTAAAGAAGAAATAACACTAAGATTTTATAAATATTTCAAAAATAGAGGAAATGCTTAACGGTCTGAGGAATACCGTTATAATAAGTAATAAAGAAATACTTAACAGCTATTTTTTATGAGGTTAGCATTCTCCTGATACTAAAGCCAGACAAAGAAAAAAAAAAGAAAACTGCAGATGAATATACTTTATGAATATAGATGCAAAAATCCTTAACAAAATGTTAGCAAATTAAATCCAGTAATACATAAAAAGCATACCAAACCGTAACTAATTGAATTTGGCACCAAAATACAAAGTTTACTTAACATTTGAAAGTTACTCAAAATAACTCACCACATTATATAATTAAAGAAGAAAAATCTTATAATCATTTCAATAGATATAGAAAACATATCCCACATATTTATGATAGAGACTTATAGCAAACAAATGCTAGAAGGAAACTCCTGCAAAATATTTGTAATGCATCTACAAAATATTTACAGTTAATAGTATATTTAATAGTGAGTGCTTTCTAAGAAAAAACAAAAATGTCCACTCCAATCATTTTCACTGAAATTTATACTAGAGATCCTAGCTTGTACAAAAGAGAAAAAATCATAGAAATTGGGAAAAAGTGATGTCATCTTTATTTGCAAATGACATGATTCTTTATGTAAAACCTCCTAAGGTATCTATAAGAAAACTACTAGACTTAATATATGATTTTAACAATGTATGCTATAAAATCAATATACAAAAATAAATAGCATTTCTTTTTTTTTTATTATACTTTAAGTTTTAGGGTACATGTGCACATTGTGCAGGTTAGTCACATATGTATATATGTGCCATGCTGGTGCGCTGCACACACTAACTCATCATCTAGCATTAGGTATACCTCCCAATGCTATCCCTCCCCCCTCCCCCCACCCCACAACAGTCCCCAGAGTGTGATATTCCCCTTCCTGTGTCCATGTGATCTCATTGTTCAATTCCCACCTATGAGTGAGAATATGCGGTGTTTGGTTTTTTATTCTTGTGATAGTTTACTGAGAATGATGATTTCCAATTTCATCCATGTCCCTACAAAGGACATGAACTCATCATTTTTATGGCTGCATAGTATTCCATGGTGTATATGTGCCACATTTTCTTAATCCAGTCTATCATTGTTGGACATTTGGGTTGGTTCCAAGTCTTTGCTATTGTGAATAATGCCGCAATAAACATACGTGTGCATGTGTCTTTATAGCAGCATGATTTATAGTCCTTTGGGTATATACCCAGTAATGGGATGGCTGGGTCAAATGGTATTTCTAGTTCTAGATCCCTGAGGAATCGCCACACTTCCACAATGGTTGAACTAGTTTATAGTCCCACCAACAGTGTAAAAGTGTTCCTATTTCTCCACATCCTCTCCAGCACCTGTTGTTTCCTGACTTTTTAATGATTGCCATTCTAACTGGTGTGAGATGGTATCTCATTGTGGTTTTGATTTGCATTTCTCTGATGGCCAGTGTTTGTAGCAATTAGAAAAAAAGAGTTAAAATACGATTTACAATAGCATGAAGAAACATAAATTCTTGGGGATAAATTTAACAATTTATTAAAAGATGTTGTAATACCTCTTAACTAAAAAGTATAAAACATTGCTGAAAGAAATTAAAGTAGACTTAAATAAATGAAGCAGTATTAAATAAAACAAAGCTATCAATCAATTCCCTCCTCCCTACCATATCGATTCAGATTCAACACAATCTCAATCAAAATCCCAGCTCCCAGCATGCTTTTAAATATACATTGACAAAGTGATGAGAACATATATATGAAAATCACAAAGGATCTAAAATAGCCAAAACAATCTTCAAAACAAAGAATAACATTGGAGAACTCATACTACCTTATTTGAAAACTTTTTTAAAGCTACAGTAATCAAAAGAGTGTGCCACTGGTGAAAGGATAGATAGAAAATAGAACAGAAGAGAGAGTCCTGAAATGGATCCACACATGTACGGTCAAGTTATTTTTACAAACGCACTGAAATAATTCAACTGGGAGTGAAAAATGTCTTCAACAAATGGAGCTAGAATAACTGGATAATCATATGAGCAAAAAACCTGGACTCCCCCGTTCCCTCAATGCACAAAAATTAATGAGATTCATCATAGAACTAAATAGAAAAGCTAAAACCATGAAGTTTCTAGAAAAAACAGCAGAAGAAAGTATCTTTATGACTTTTGTAGGCAAAGATTGCTTAGAGTGGACAAAGAAAGCATGAATTACAAAGAGAAGAAATAATAAATTGGGATTCATCAAATTTTTAAAACCTTCTGCTCATTGAAAAATTCCAGTAAGTAAATGAAAAGGCAAGCCATAGACTGAAGAAAATATTCATATATATCTGCAAGAGAATTACATATAAAATATATGAAAACACAACTCTATAACAAAACAAAAACAACAAAAAAAATGATTAAAAGACTTGAGCAAACGCTTAACTGAAGATATACAAGTGGTATATAGCACATAAGAAAGTCTTCAACATCATTAGTGATTAGAGAAATGCAAATTACAACAACAATAAGATTGTGGTTCTTATACAAGAATGGCAAAAATAAAAACAATTTACATCAAATATTAGAGAAGATTAGTAGCAACTAGAATCTAATACATTATTGTTGAGAATGCAAAATGATACAATTTCTTCAGAAAACTGGTGTTTCTTAAAAGGTTAAATATGTATCTACCATGTAACACATCAATTCAATTCATGGGTACTTAACTAAGAAAAATGAAAGCATATGTCCAAAAAACCCTTGTTTATAGAAATTCAGTTTCTAATAGGCACAAAATGAATATGGTATATTGAAAGGAATATTATTCAGCAATAAAAAGGGACAAAGTAATGATACATGCAACAACATGGATAATTCTCACATTTTTCTGTGTGAAAGAATCCCTCATACAAAAACTACATACTGTTTGATCCTACTTATAAGAAAGTCTAGGATAGACAAAATGAATTTATGGTGGTAGAAATCAGATCAGATTATAGGGAGGAAACTGATTGGGAAGGTGCACAAAGGAACTTTCTGAGGTGATGATGAAACTGTTCTGTCTTGATGCAGGTGTGACTTATACAACTGAAACAATTAATCAAAACTGGTTGAATGGTACACTTAAGATTGGAGCATATATCTGTATTATACCTCAAAAAATTAAAAGATCACCCCCAAATCTCCATACATTGGAAACTAAATAGCTTATTTCTAACCACATTATGGGTTCACCAGTAAGTCATTTTGAAAATTAGAACATTTTAGGATTAAGCAACAACAGAGTCACTTTTGAGACAAACCTAAAGCAATACAGCGTGCAATCCCTCATTTGTAATTCTGAATTACCGAAAGCTCTGAAAAACAATTTTTAGAAAATTTGACATGAAACCCTGACTCAATCTGATATGAGACAAACTATAGTCTTTATTAGCTTAATGTACGGATTGGTGCAAAAGTTATTGCGTTTTTGCCGTTACTTTGTAATTACTTTGTAATGGCAAAAACCGCAATAACTTTTGCACCAACCCAAGATATGACCAGAGTATTGGCACAGATACCATGGGAGATTTTTATAATATAGAGTTTATAAACCATATTGCCACTCTAAAATCTAAAATCAGTGAATTCTGAAACACATTTGACACCAAGGGTTTTGGATGATGGATTGTGATCCATGTAATGAATAATCTTAATTAAATACGTTGCTAAAAATGGTTGAAAAATAATGAACTAAACATTCTACATATAACAGCGGAAAATATAAAGATAAAAACAGAAATTAATATAATAAAAAACAAAGAAACAATAGAAAGAACCTAAAAATTAACAACTGATACTTTTAAAAGATTAATAAAACTGTCAAATTTCTGGAAATACTGATAAAGAAAAAACAGAAGTTGCAAATAGTATATCAAGAATAAAAAATGGGGCAAGACCACAGAGGCAATAGAGAATCTAAAATTTATATTTTGTGTCAATAATTTTGAAAACTTAGACAAAGGGACATATTAGAAAAATAAACACAAAAAATAAAGAAAAAACAGAAAACCTAAATATTCATTTTAACTGATCTTTTTTCTTGTCTTACCGGATAAATGAACAGATGTTTTGATAAGAGATATCCTGGTATTTTAAAAGGGAAAGCTTTTTAAGTGGTGCTGTTGGGATTCTCCAGAAAAACAGAATGAATAGATGTGTGTGTGTGTGTGTGTGTGTTTGTGTGTGTGTGTAAGTAAAAAGAGGTGATTTTAATGAATTGACTCACATGATTATGGAGACTGGCAAGTCCAAAATCTGGAAGGCAGGCCAGCAGGCTGGAGACCCAACGAAGAGCCAGTGCTACAGTTCAGTTCTGAAGGCTGTCGGCAGAACTCCCTCTTGGTCAGGTTGGTCTTTCATTCTATTCAGGCCTTTCACTGTTTGGACAAGGCTCACTCACATTACAGAGATAATCTGCTTTACTCAAGTCCACCAATTTAAATGTTAATCTCATCGAAAAACACTCTGACAGAAACCTCCAGAATAATGTTGGACCATCTATCTGGGCACCATGGCGCAGCCAAATTGACACATAAAATTAAGCATCACAGTTAACTGTGCAGGATTATGAAAGAGTGACATTATATAATGTATTTTATCAAGATGATTCTGGTTATTGATTGAAAATAGACTATATGGTGAGAATTGTAGACTCAGGGACACCAGAGAAGAGACTACTGCATTAATTCATATAAAAGAGAATGGAGGCTTGAACCATTTTTAGCATTTTTAGCAGTGGGGTAGTGAGAGTTCATTAGATTCCAGATATAGTTTGAAGGTAAAACTCGTGGGATTTCTTAACAGTGTGAATGTGGGATATTAAAAAAAAAGAAGAAGAAAGAAAAGAAAATAATCAAGAACAGTGTCAAGGCTCAGGGACCAAACCACTGGGAAAGCTGAATTTCCCTCAACTAACATAAAAAGCTGTTGGTAGAGCAGGTTTTGAGGAAACCTCAGGAGTTTAAGATGTCAGACATACAAATGGAGATGTTAAGTGAAATAAGCCAGGTACAGAAAGACAAATATCACATATTCTCACTTATCTGTGGGAGCTAAGAATTAAAATAATTGAACTCACAGAGATAGAGAGGAGAAGGATGGTTACCAGAGGCTGGGAAGGGTAGACAGAGTTGGGGTGGAAGGTTGCTGGGGAAGAGGCGATGGTTAATGGGTGCAAAAAATAGCCAGAAAGAATAAATAAGGCTGAGTATTTGCTAGCATAACAGGGTGACTATATTAAAAATTAATTTAATTGTTCAATTAAAAATAACTAAAAGAGTATAATTGGATTGTTGTAAACCAAAAGGATAAATGCTTAAGGTGATGGATACCCTATGTACCCTGATGTGATTATTACTCATTGCATACCTGCATCAAAATATCTCATGTAACTCATATATATGGTACATATGTGTGTGTGTGTGTGTGTGTGTATCTACTTTGTACTCACAAAAAATAAAAATTTGAAATTTTTTGAAAAAGAAGAGGAGATGTTGAGGAAGCAATTGGCTTCATAATTCTGGAGTTTAGAGGAAGCTTAGAGATATAAATTTAGGAGTTAGTAGCATACTAATGGAATTTAAATCCCCAAGACTGTTTGAAATTTAAAGAACTGAATTTAGATAGAGAAAAATAATCAAATAACCAAGGACCCTGATCACTCCAAAATTAAGAAGTCAAAATATCAATATTTTTCAGATTTGATAAATAATTTTAATAAAATTAAATTTTTATTGGAAATGCATTTTTTTTCTTTTAAGTTCAGGGGTACATGTGCATGTGTTTTATGGGTAAATTCATGTCACGGGAGTTTGTTGCACAGATGATTTCATCACTCAGACGTTAAGCCTAGTACCCATTCGTTATTTTTTCTGATCCTCTTCCTCCTCACACCCTCCATTCTGAGTTAGACCCCACTGTCTGTTGATGTCTTTTTGTGTCCTTGTGTTTTCATCATTTAGTTCTCTTATAAATGAGAACATGCAGTATTTGGTTTTCTGTTCCTGAGTTAGTTTGTTAAGAATAATGGCCAGCAGCTTCATCCATGTACTTGCAAAGAACAGGATCTCATTCTTTTTTATGGCTCCATGGTGTATGTGTACCACATTTTCTTTATACAGGCTATCATTAATGGGCATTTAGGTTGATTCCATGTTTTTGCTCTTGTGAATAGTGCTGCAATGAACATACACATACATGTGTCTTTATGTGTCTTTAAGAATGATTTATATTCCTTTGAGTATACACCTAGTAATGGGATTGCTGGGTTGAATGGCAGTGCTGTTTTTAGCTCTTTGAGGAATCTCAACACTGCTTTCCACAATGTTTGAACTAATTTACACTCTCACCAGCAGTGCATAAGCATTTCCTTTTCTCTGAAAACTAACCAGTATCTGTTATTTTTTGACTGTTTATTAATAGCCGTTCTGACTAATGTGAGATGGTATCTCATTGTGGTTTGATTTGGATTTATCTAATGATCAGTGATGTTGAGCTTTTCTTCATATCCTTGTTGGCCACATGTATGTCTTCTTTTGAAAAGTATCTATTTGTGTCCTTTGCCATGGGGTGTTTTTTTAATGGGTTTTTTTCCTGTAAATTTGTTTATTTGTTTAAGTTCTTTATAAATGCTGGATATTAGATCTCTGTTGGATGCATAGTTTGCAAAAATTTTCTCCCATTCTGTAGGTTTCTTGTTCACTCTATTGAGTTTCTTTTGCTGTGTAGGAACTCTTTAAATTCGATTCAACTTGTCAATTTTTGCTTTGGTTGCAATTGCTTTTGGTGTATTCATCATGAAATCTGTGCTCATTCCTATGTTCAGAATGGTATTGCCTAGGTTGTCTTCCAGGATTTTTAGTTTTGGGTTTTACATTTAATCCATCTTGAGTTGATTTTTGTCTGTGGTATAACACGTCCAGTTTCAATCTTCTGCATATGGCTAGCCAGTTATCCCAGCACCATTTACTCAGTAGGGAGTCTTTTCCTCATTGCTTGTTTTTGTCAGCTTTGTTGAAGATTAGATGGACATAGGTGTGTGTCCTCATTTTTGGGCTCTTATTCTATTCCATTGGTTTATGTGCCTGTTTTTGTACCAGTACCATACTGTTTTGGTTACTGTGGCCCTGCAGTGTAGTTTGAAGTCGAGTGGCATGATGCCTCCAGCTTTGTTCTTTTTGCTTGAATTGCCTTGGTTATTTGGGTTCTTTTTTTTTGCTTCCATATGAATTTTAAAATAATTTGTTCTAGTTCTGTGAAGAATGTTGTTGGTAGTTTGGCAGGAATAGCATTGAATCTATAAATTGCTTTGGGCAGTATGGCCATTTTGATGATATTGATTCTTCCTATTCATGAGCATAGGATGTTTTTCCATTTGTTTATGTCATCTGTGATTTCTTTGAGCAATGTTTTGTAGTTCTCATTGTACAGATCTTTCACCTCCTTGGTTAGCTCTATTCCTTGGTATTTTATTATATTTGTGGCAATTGTGAATGGGATTGTCTTCCTGGTTTGGCTTTTGACTTGACTGTTGTTGGTGTATAGGAATGCTAGTGATTTTTGTATATTGATTTTGTATCTGAAATCTTGCAGGAGTTGTTTGTCAGCTGAAGGGGCTTTTGGGCATAGACTATAGGGTTTTCTAGATATAGAAACATGTCATCTACAAACAGGGATAGTTTGACTCGCTTTCTTCCTATTTGGATGCGCTTTATTTGTTTCTTTTGCCTGATTGCTCTGGCTAGGACTTCCAGTCCCATGCTCAATAGTTGTGAGAGAGGGCATCCTTGTCTTGTGCCAGTTTTCAAGGGGAATGCTTCCAGCTTCTGCCCATTCAGTATAATGTTGCCTGTAGGTTTCTCATAGATAGCGCTTATTATTTTGGGGTATGTTCCTGGAAATGCATTTTTAATAAGATAGATGGGGCTTTATATTTTTGATTAGCAATGTATTTGTGGATAAATAACTTACTACTATAATGAGACAGGGTTCACCATAAATTCTATTATAATTTGTTTTAATATGTAGATAGTGATAAACATTTCTTATACTATGGGAAATGGAAATTTTATGACAGTATACCTAGACATGTACTTATATTTATTAATGTGCATGCCAAAGTTCTATATGATTGATCATCAAAAATTATTTGTAATGCTATATGAGCTAACAACTTGATTGTTTCCCTCAATTTTGTTGAAAACAAAGAAGTGAAATTTAATTTGCAAGTGCATTTATTATCCAAAAGCAATCCTTTCCTGAATATCACATTAATATTTAAAATTATCCCTTTGTTTGAAGCCATAAATATTTTTGCCCCCATTATGTTAGCATTAATTTTAAATGAAATTTAAAGGCAAATGCTTAATCTATCTCCAGATTAGTGTCATCATGTCTGCCTAATTTAGAACTTCCCTGTTCCAAACATCTTTCTTCACCTCTTACTATAAGTATTACAACTATGTCTGGAAGCAAAAAAAAAATTTTAACATTTATTTTAGGTTCAGGGGTACATGTGCAGGATATGCAAGTTTGCTACATAGGTAAACTTGTGTCATGGGGTTTTGTTGTACAGACTATTTCCTCACACATGTATTAAGCCTAGTACCCATTAGTTATTTTTCCTGATCCTCTCCCTCTTCCCACCCTCTGAAATGCCCTAGTGTGGGTTGTTCCCCTCTATGTGTCCATGTGTTCTCATAATTTAGCTCCCACTTACGAGTGAGAATGTGCAGTATTTGGTTTTCTGTTTCTGCATTAGTTTGCTGAGAATAATGGCCTCCATCTCCATCCATGTTCCTGCAAAGGACATGATCTCGTCCTTTTTTTATGGCTGCATAGTATTCCATGGTGTATATGTACCACATTTTCTTTACCCAGTATATCAACCTAAATGCACTTTTAGATATTGTAGGAAATATCTACTCAAGACCTTTGGATGACAGAGACTTTTGAGGTTGTTTCCATGGATGCTGCTCTGGTGTTTATGATAATCCTGGCACATAGCAGATGTTCATTAATACTTGCTGAGTGAGTCTATGAATACATAATACATAATTCAATATCCTTCTTCCATCAAGACCATACAATGAATACACACAGCCCAGGGTGACATGTAAGACTGAGCCTGAATAATTTTCAAGACCTGGATAGGCAGGGATGGGGAGAGAAGGGCATTTCAGGAGAAGGAACTACACATGCAAAGTCTCAGAGTCACAGAGGCTTGGTCCAGTGGATGTGGGAAGACATTGGATGATGCAGGGAGAAGAGGGATCAGGAGCAGAGTCTAGCAGGGGACCGACCCTGCAAGGCCTTCAGTCCAGTCTGTGGCATTTGCCCCTCATCCTCCAGTAATGGAGAGGAAACATGGCCATTCAGATTGTGGAGGAACTGGACAAGTAGGCATCTGGAAACACAGTCTGGAGGCCTGAGGGATTAGCCTGTGACAGTGTTTGCAGCCTCCACACCCACTGCTGCCCTCATCACCTTCCTCCTGTAAAAACTGACACTGAGGAAGGTGAAGCAGATGCAGAGAAGCAGGATCTTCACAGCCCCCTCCCTGACGGCCACCAGAACCACCGCCTCCATGGGCCCTGATTTCTTGGAGGAAATATGGGATGAGGCCAATTCAGTTGGTGCATTGTCATAGGAAATGCTGATAACAAGGTACCTAGAGGTATAAGCCACGAAGAGTTGGATGGTCCACCATGCACTCACACCCGTTCTGGAGAAGTCTATGCAGCAAGTGTGGTAGGTGTCATGGTCCTGGGGTCTAAGTATGAGGTTGAGCACTGAGAAATGGGAGGTTGTTGTTCCAGTTCCTTGGGAGGAGAAGGCCTCCCCCATTCAGGAGAAAGATGGGGGTGGACATTCCTCAAAAGCCCAGTTAAACACATAGATGACTGTCACTGGCTTCCCATGCTCTAGGGCCTTGGGGATGTAGACATCAGGCTTCTGAGTCAGGGCTGTCAGTTCCAGAAAGAATGTATTCATGAAATTGTATCTCACAAAGCTTCCTCTCTTCACCCGAAAGAAGTACACTGCCGTATCCTCCATCTGCACATCTCTGATCACCAAGGAGCAGTTCTGGTAGTGGGGATCCCCAATGAGCTGGAATCGGCCCTAGGTGCTTATCTGCACTACTTGTTTTGAGCTGTTTGTTGCCACTAGAGCACTCATGTTTATGTTGGTCCCTTCTTTGAACCAGTAGCCACAGGCTGAGGTAGACTCGTCCAGCTCCTCAGTAGGTAGGAGAAGGAGCACATCACAGAGACACACAGTCCCTCCTGTGTTATCACTGACTCTTGCACTTGCAGCCAGAATCTCCCATCCAGAGCCTGAGACCTGCCCAGCAGCAAAGACAGCAGCAACAGCATAGGAGGCACAGCGACATGCCTGAGACAGGCCTATTCCCTGGCTGTGCTGTGAGTGACTCAGGAATCTGGAGGCAGAAGTGGAAGCTGAAGGCAGGAGCTGAGCCCTGGGGCCTTGCCCATTTGTCCTCTCGGCTCTCCTGGGACCCAGCCTGATCTTGGGCTTGTTGAGCTCGTCCTTCCAGAGCCCCCTCTGGCACTGGAAGCAAAAATGTATCCAATAAGAAAACTTGAGGATAAATGTCTATGCAGTAAATCTGATTTTTCTCAATGAATGGACCTGGCTCTCATGAATGTTTATGGGTACTTGTATCTTGTATTTCAATGTACTCTACATTGAGATACACCAGTTAGAACTGATCATAAAAGTTGTGGGCTTTGATAGCAGTATGTAGAAGCGCACATCAAAATATAACCTATCAAGTAAATTATACTTGTGCTAGTCTGGCACTGATTGATTTTTGTGATGTGAAAGACCATGTGTCTAAGAGCTCATTACATGCAATTCAAACCTTCAGCACCATGGTCAGCATCTACTTTGTCCCTAAGTTTCAGAACAGGCCAGTCATGAATATCATGTTTCACTGGATTTTGGAGATTAAGGAGCCTTTAAGTCAACCAATCCACCACCCATTGAATTCCTGCATTTTTCTCTACTGCCATCCAGACTCTGCCTTCGGTGGTCAGCATCATCTTATGGTTACAGTAACATGTATAGTTCATTTGATTAATGCCATTTACATGAATGAAACACTGAGGCTAAAGCAGCCCTATAGCTCAGAAAGAAATGTTTATTATAAATAAATTGTTTATTCCAGATAAAATGTTTATTCCAGATATAGAACTTTATTTTAGCATCCAGTATATGTTCATTTGGTTTACTGACTTTATTTACTACAACAACCCTTCATTGAGTGTAACGCAAACTTTTTCTAGGAACTGAAATGAGGTGAGAATCAAACATAAGGAAGACAAAATCCTTTATCTCAAAGAATTCATACTTAAGTAGGAGATAGAGACAAGAATATGACAACTTATAATATCACAATAAAGTCTACAATCTAGACAAATGTGCTGGGACAGCACAGAAGAAGCAATTAATTATCTTTTGAGTGGCAATTACTGGGAGAGGTGACACTGAAAAATAAGTCAACATTTTGAAGGGAGATGAGCAACAGAAGAAAACCAGAGAGAGTAAACTATATGGACCAAGTCACAGAATAGCGAAAATACATAGTGTTTTGAATTTTGTCATATGGGATTGTCAAAGAACTCACAGTGAATACATCTGTGGAGTTCCCAAGATGCTTAGTAGTAGCAGCAAAAATTAATAGAAGGTAGTGGCATACTTAAAGTGATTTAACAAGAACTGGAAAGTCCTATGCCCTTCAAAATATATCTTTTCTACTCAGGTGTTTTTGTGTCTAAAATTACAAATTCATTCCTTTAATATAGCCCTAATAACATCTTAGTGTTAATGACTGAACCAGACATATTCTTAACCATGAGAGAAGACTGCTATAAAAGCATGAGAATCATGGAATAGGTACTGCAAGTTAGGAAAGGAGATTGCTGCAAAAGAGTACAAGAGACACACTTCATATTTCTGCCTAGTTGCAAACCCTAAATATACATTTGGCATATAAAATACATTAAGCATCAAAATCCAGTAGTCAATAAACATTTATTGGGTACACACTGTGTCAGAAATTCTCCAATAAAATAAATGAATGAAACACATATTCTTTCCTTGAAGAGCTACACTCAACTGGGAAAAATAGATGGTAAAAATATAATTTCAATATAGTGTGGCGTGTGCTCTGATAAAGATTTTAAAAAGAATTCTGTAGGCTGGCAGCCAAGATGGCCGAATAGGAACAGCTCCGGTCTATAGCTCCCAGTGTGAGCGATGCAGAAGACGGGTGATTTCTGCATTTCCATCTGAGGTACCGGGTTCATCTCACTAGGGAGTGCCAGACAGTGGGCACAGGACAGTGGGTGCAGCACACCGTGCACGAGCGGAAGCAGGGTGAGGCATTGCCTCACTCAGGAAGCACAAGGAGTCAGGGAGTTCCCTTTGCTAGTCAAAGAAAGGGGTGACAGATGGCACCTGGAAAATCGGGTCACTCCCACCCTAATACTGCACTTTTCCGACAGGCTTAAAAAACAGTGCACCAGGAGATTATATCCCGCACCTGGCTCAGAGGATCCTACGCCCACATAGTCTCGCTGATTGCTAGCACAGCAGTCTGAGATCAAACTGCAAGGCGGCAGCAAGGCTGGGGGAGGGGCACCCACCATTGCCCAGGTTTGCTTAGGTAAACAAAGCAGCCAGGAAGCTCGAACTGGGTGGAGCCCACCACAGCTCCAGGAGGCCTGCCTGCCTCTGTAGGCTCCACCTCTGGCGGCAGGGCATAGACAAACAAAAAGACAGCAGTAACCTCTGCAGACTTAAATGTCCCTGTCTGACAGCTTTGAAGAGAGCAGTGGTTCTCCCAGCACACAGCTAGAGATCTGAAAACGGGCAGACTGCCTCCTCAAGTGGGTCCCTGACCCCTGACCCCCGAGCAGCCTAACTGGGAGGCACCCCCCAGTAGGGGCAGACTGACACCTCACACGGCCGGGTACTCCTCTGAGACAAAACTTCCAGAGGAACGATCAGGCAGCAACATTTGCTGTTCACCAATATTTGCTGTTCTGCAGCCACTGTTGCTGATACCCAGGCAAACAGGGTCTGGAGTGGACCTCCGGCAAACTCCAACAGACCTGCAGCTGAGGGTCCTGACGGTTAGAAGGAAAACTAACAAACAGAAAGGACATCCACGCCAAAACCCCATCTGTACGTCACCATCATCAAAGACCAAAGATAGATAAAACCGCAAAGATGGGGAAAAAACAGAACAGAAAAACTGGAAACTCTAAAAATCAGAGTGCCTCTCCTCCTCCAAAGGAACGCAGATCCTCACCAGCAACGGAACAAAGCTGGACGGAGAATGACTTTGACGAGTTGAGAGAAGAAGGCTTCAGATGATCAAACTACACAGAGCTACAGGAGGAAATTCAAACCAAAGGCAAAGAAGTTTAAAACTTCGAAAAAAAATTAGACGAATGTAAAACTAGAATAACGGACTGTTGTGGGGTGGGGGGAGGGGGGAGGGATAGCATTGGGAGATATACCTAATGCTAGATGACGAGTTAGTGGGTGCAGCGCGCCAGCATGGCACATGTATACATTTGTAACTAACCTGCACAATGTGCACATGTACCCTAAAACTTAAAGTATAATAAAAAAAAAAAGAAAAAGCAGCTGACGGAGCTGAAAGCCAAGGCTTGAGAACTACGTGAAGAATGCAGAAGCCTCAGGAGCTGATGCAATCAACTGGAAGAAAGGGTATCAGTGATGGAAGATCAAATGAATGAAATGAAGTGAGAAGGGAAGTTTAGAAAAAAAGATAAAAAGAAACGAACAAAGCCTCCAAGAAATATGGGACTATGTGAAAAGACCAACTCTAAATCTGATTGGTGTACCTGAAAGTGACGGGGAGAATGGAACCAAGTTGGAAAACACTCTGCAGGATATTATCCAGGAGAACTTCCCCAACCTAGAAAGGCAGGCCAACATTCAGATTCAGGAAATACAGAGAACGCCACAAAGATACTCCTTGAGAAGAGCAACTCCAAGACACATAATTGTCAGATTCACCAAAGTTGAAATGAAGGAAAAAATGTTAAGGGCAGCCAGAAGGAAAGGTCGGGTTACCCACAAAGGGAAGCCCATCAAACTAACAGCGGATCTCTCGGCAGAAACTCTACAAGCCAGAAGAGAGTGGGGGCCAATATTCAACTTTCTTAAAGAAAAGAATTTTCAACCCAGAATTTCATATCCAGCCAAACTAAGCTTCACAAGTGAAGGAGAAATAAAATCCTTTACAGACAAGCAAATGCTGAGAGATTTTGTCACCACCAGGCCTGCCCTAAAAGAGCTCCTGAGGGAAGCACTAAACATGGAAAGGAACAACCAGTACCAGCCACTGCAAAATCATGCCAAATTGTAAAGACCATCGAGACTAGGAAGAAACTGCATCAACTAACAAGCAAAATAACCACCTAACATCATCAGGACAGGATCAAATTCACACATAACAATATTAACTTTAAATGTAAATGGACTAAATGCTCCAATTAAAAGACATAGACTGGCAAATTGGATAAAGAGTCAAGACCCATCAGTGTGCTGTATTCAGGAAACCCATCGCACGTGCAGAGACTCACATAGGCTCAAAATAAAAGGATGGAGGAAGATCTACCAAGCAAATGGAAAACAAAAAAAGGCAGGGGTTGCAATCCTAGTCTCTGACAAAACAGACTTTAAACCAACAAAGATCAAAAGAGACAAAGAAGGCCATTACATAATGGTAAAAGGATCAATTCAACAAGAAGAGCTAACTATCCTAAATATATATGCACCCAATACAGGAGCACCCAGATTCATAAAGCAAGTCCTGAGTGACCTACAAAGAGACTTAGACTCCCACACAATAATAATGGGAGACTTTAACACCCCACTGTCAACATTAGACAGATAAACAAGACAGAACGTTAACAAGGATACCCAGGAATTGAACTCAGCTCTGCACCAAGCAAACCTAATAGACATCTACAGAACTCTCCACCCCAAATCAACAGAATATACATTTTTTCCAGCACCACATCACACCTATTCCAAAATTGACCACATAGTTGGAAGTAAAGCTCTCCTCAGCAAACGTAAAAGAACAGAAATTATAACCAACTGTCTCTCAGACCACAGTGCAATCAAACTAGAACTCAGGATTAAGAAACTAACTCAAAACTGCTCAACTACATGGAAACTGAACAACCTGCTCCTGAATGACTACTGGATACATAATGAAATGAAGGCAGAAATAAAGATGTTCTTTGAAACCAATGAGAACAAAGACACAACATACCAGAATCTCCGGGACGCATTCAAAGCAGTGTGTAGAGGGAAATTTATAGCGCTAAATGCCCACAAGAGAAAGCAGTAAAGATCCAAAATTGACATCCTAACATCACAATTAAAAGAACTAGAAAAGCAAGAGCAAACACATTCAAAAGCTAGCAGAAGGCAAGAAATAACTAAAATCAGAGCAGAACTGAAGGAAATAGAGACAAAAAACCCTTCAAAAAATTAATGAATCCAGGAGCTGGTTTTTTGAAAGGATCAACAAAATTGATAGACCGCTAGCAAGACTAATAAAGAAGAAAACAGAGAAGAATCAAACAGACGCAATAAAAAATGATAAAGGGGATATCACCACCGATCCCACAGAAATACAAACTGCCATCAGAGAATACTACAAACACCTCTACGCAAATAAACTAGAAAATCTAGAAGAAATGGATAAATTCCTCGACACATACACCCTCCCAAGACTAAACCAGGAAGAAGTTGAATCTCTGAATAGACCAATAACAGGCTCTGAAATTGTGGCAATAATCAATAGCTTACCAACCAAAAAGAGTCCAGGACAAGATGGATTCACAGCCGAATTCTACCAGAGGTACAAGGAGGAACTGGTACCATTCCTTCTGAAACTATTCCAATCAATAGAAAAAGAGGGAATCCTCCCTAACTCATTTTATGAGGCCAGCATCATCCTGATACCAAAGCCTGGCAGAGACATAACCAAAAAACAGAATGTTAGACCAATATCCCTGATGAACATTGATGCAAAAATCCTCAATAAAATACTGGCAAACTGAATCCAGCAGCTCATCAAACAGCCTATCCACCATGATCAAGTGGGCTTCATCCCTGGGATGCAAGGCTGGTTCAATATACGCAAATCAATAAATGTAGTCCAGCATATAAACAGAAGCAAAGACAAAAACCACATGACCATCTCAATAGATGCAGAAAAGGCCTTTGACAAAATTCAACAGCGCTTCATACTAAAAACTCTCAATAAATTAGGTATTGATGGGACATATCTCAAAACAATAAGAGCTATCTATGACAAACCCACAGCCAATATCATACTGAATGGGCCAAAACTGGAAACATTCCCTTTGAAAACTGGCACAAGACAGGGATGCCCTCTCTCACCACTCCTATTCAACATAGTGTTGGAAGTTCTGGCCAGGGCAATTAGGCAGGGGAAGGAAATAAAGGGTATTCAATTAGGAAAAGAAGAAGTCAAATTGTCCCTGTTTGCAGATGACATGATTGTATGTCTAGAAAACCCCATTGTCTCAGCCCAAAATCTCCTTAAGCTGATAAGCAACTTCAGCAAAGTCTCAGGATACAAAATCAATGTACAAAAATCACAAGCATTCTTATACACCAATAACAGACAAACAGGGAGCCAAATGATGAGTGAACTCCCATTCACAATTGCTTCAAAGAGAATAAAATACCTAGGAATCCAACTTACAAGGGACGTGAAGGACCTCTTCAAGGAGAAGCACAAACCACTGCTCAGTGAAATAAAAGAGGATACAAACAAATGGAAGAACATTCCATGCTCATGGGTAGGAAGAATGAATATTGAGAAAATGGCCATACTGCCCAAGGTAATTTATAGATTCAATGCCATCGCCATCAAGCTACCAATGACTTTCTTCACAGAATTGGAAAAAACTACTTTAAAGTTCATATGGAACCAAAAAAGAGCCCGCATTGCCAAGTCAATCCTAAGCCAAAAGAACAAAGCTGGAGGCATCACGCTACCTGACTTCAAACTATACTACAAGGCTACAGTAACAAAAACAGCATGGTACTGGTACCAAAACAGAGATATAGATCAATGGAACAGAACAGAGCCCTCAGAAATAACGCCGCATATCTACAACCATCTGATCTTTGACAAACCTGAGAAAAACAAGCAATGGGGAAAGGATTCCCTATTTAATAAATGGTGCTGGGAAAACTGGCTAGCCATATGTAGAAAGCTGAAACTGGATCCCTTCCTTACACCTTATACAAAAATTAATTCAAGATGGATTAAAGACTTAAATGTTAGACCTAAAACCATAAAAACCCTAGAAGAAAACCTAGGCATTACCATTCAGGACATAGGCATGGGCAAGGACTTCATGTCTAAAACACCAAAAGCAATGGCAACAAAAGCTAAAATTGACAAATGGGATCTAATTAAACTGAAGAGCTTCTGCACAGCAAAAGAAACTACCATCAGAGTGAACAGGCAACCTACAGAATGGGAGAAAATTTTCGCAACCTACTCATCTGACAAAGGGCTAATATCCAGAATCTACAACGAACTCAAACAAATTTACAAGAAAAAAACAAACAATCCCATCAAAAAGTGGGCGAAGGACATGAACAGACACTTCTCAAAAGAAGACATTTATGCAGCCAAAAAACACATGAAAAAATGCTCACCATCACTGGCCATCAGAGAAATGCAAATCAAAACCACAATGAGATACCATCTCACACCAGTTAGAATGGCAATCATTAAAAAGTCAGGAAACAACAGGTGCTGGAGAGGATGTGGAGAAGTAGGAACACTTTTACACTGTTGGTGGAACTGTAAACTAGTTCAACCATTGTGGAAGTCAGTCTGGTGATTCCTCAGGGATCTAGAACTAGAAATACCATTTGACCCAGCCATCCCATTACTGGGTATATACCCAAAGGACTATAAATCATGCCGCTATAAAGACACATGCACACGTATGTTTATTGCGGCACTATTCACAATAGCAAAGACTTGGAACCAACCCAAATGTCCAACAATGATAACTGGGTTAAGAAAATGTGGCACATATACACCATGGAATACTATGCAGCCATAAAAAATGATGAGTTCATGTCCTTTGTAGGGACATGGATGAAATTGGAAATCATCATTCTCAGTAAACTATCACAAGAACAAAAAACCAAACACCGCATATTCTCAATCATAGGTGGGAACTGAACAATGAGAACACGTGGACACAGGAAGGGGAACATCACACTCTGGGGACAGTTGTGGGGTGGGGGGAGGGGAGAGGGATAGCATTAGGAGATATACCTAACGCTAAATGACGAGTTAATGGGTGTAGCACACCAGCATGGCACATGCATACCTATGTAACTAACCTGCACATTGTGCACATGTACCCTAAAACTTAAAGTATTATAATAATAATAAAATTAAAAAAAAGAATTCTGTGGATACTTCAACTGTCAGGAGGCTTGAGGAATGCTTCATGGAGGAGAAAATAGTAAAGCTAATTTTTAGGGTGGTTTTTAAAGGAGAATAAAGAGGAAAGTATAGTCTAGGCAAAGAAAACAGCATAAGCAAATGCACAAAGTTGTAAAATAGCATCTTTCATATGGAGAACAATGTGCGGGAACATACACATAAAAATATTTCTAGATACATGGTTTAAATGTGGGGCATCATGAAACATGAAGAAATTCAGGATACTGTTTTCTTGCCAATAATAATTGCTTTGGTACAGTGATCTAGAAATTTTAGCTTGAAAATTTGTTGGGAAACATTTCTAAATCAAACTTAACACCACATTTATTGATTTAATTATTTCAATAAGTATTTATTAAGCTAGCTACTAGAAAAAAAATCCAGAGAAAGCAGCAATTGGAAATATCAAGTTACAAAACTATTTTAGATTTCAAGAATGGCAAGATGTCAGTATCTGTATAGAAAAATATATGTTATTCCACTAACAGGCAAAAAAAACCACATAGCATCATAATGAGAGGATCAAATTCACATATAACAATATTAACCTTAAATGTAAATGGGCTAAATGCCCCAATTAAAAGACACAGACTGGCAAATTGTATAAAGAGTCAAGACCCATCAGTGTGCTATATTCAGGAGACCCATTTCACATGCAAAGACACACATAGGCTCAAAATAAAGGGATGGAGGAATATTTACCAAGCAAATGGAAAGCAAAAAAAGGCAGGAGTTGCTATCCTAATCTCTGTTAAAACAGACTTAGATAAAACCAACAAAGATCAAAAGAGACAAAGTACGGCATTACATAATGGTAAAGGGATCAATGCAGCAAGAAGAGCTAACTCTCCTAAATATATATGCACCCAATAAAGAAGCACCCAGATTCATAAAGCAAGTTCTTAGAGACCTACAAAGAGACTTAGACTACCACACAATAATAGGAGATTTTAACACCCCACTGTCAATATTAGACAGATCAACAAGAGAGAAAATTAACAAGGATATCCAGGAATTGAACTCAGCTCTGGACCAAGCAGACCTAATAGACATCTACAGAACTCTCCACCCCAAATCAACAGAATATACATTTTTCTAAGTGCCACATGGCACTTATTCTAAAATTGACCACATAATTGGAAGTAAAACACTCCTCAGCAAATGTAAAAGAATGGAAATCATAACAGTCTGTCAGACCACAGTGCAATCAAACTAGAACTCAGGAATAAGAAATTCACTCAAAACCGCACAACCACATGGAAACTGAACAACTTGCTCCTAAATGACTGCAGGGTAAATAATGAAATGAAGGCAGAAATAAAGATGTTCTTTGAAACCAATGAGAACAAGGACACAAAGAACCAGAATCTCTGGGACACATTTAAAGCAGTGTGTAGAGGGAAATTTATAGCATTAAATGCCCACAAGAGAAAGCAGGAAAGATCTAAAATTGACACCTAATATCAAAATTAAAAGAACAAGAGAAGCAACAGCAGACAAATTCAAAATCTAGCAGAAGACAATAACTAAGATCAGAGCAGAACTGAAGGCAAGACATGAAAAATCCTCTAGAAAATTAATGAATCCAGGAGCTAGTTTTTAGAAAAGATCAACAAAATAGACCACTAGCAAGACTAATAAAGAAGAAAAGAGAGAAGAATCAAATAGATGCAATAAAAAATGATATAGGGGATATCACCCCTGATCCCACAGAAATACAAACTACCATCAGAGAATACTATAAACAACTCTACAAAAATAAACTAGAAAATCTAGAAGAAATGGATACATTCCTGGACACATACACCCTCCCAAGACTAAACCAGGAAGAAGTTGAATACCTGAATAAGCCAATAACAAGTTCTGAAATTGAGGCAGTAATTAATAGCCTACCAACCAATAAAAGCCGAGGACCAGACAGATTCACAGCCGAATTCTAACAGAGATACAAAGAGGAGCTGGTACCATTCCTTCTGAAACTATTCCAATCAACAGAAAAAGAGGGTCTCCTCCCTAACTCATTTTATGAGGCCAGCATCATCCTGATAATAAAACCTGGAAGAGACACAACAACAACAAAAAAGAAAATTTCAGGCCAATATCCCTGATGAACATCGATGAGAAAATCCTCAATAAAATACTGGCAAACTGAACAGCAGCACATCAAAAAGCTTATCCACCACGATCAAGTCGACTTCATATCTGGGATGCAAGGCTGGTTCAACATACACAAATCAATAAATGTAATCTATCACATAAACAGAACCAATCACAAAAACCACATGATTAAATCAATAGATGCAGAAAAGGCCTTCGACAAAATTCAACACCCCTTCATGCTAAAAACTCTCAATAAACTGGGTATTGATGGAACGTATCTCAAAATAATAAGAGCTATTTATGAAAAACGCACAGCCAATATCATACTGAATGGGCAAAAACTGGAAGCATTCTCTTTGAAAACCAACACAAAACAAGGATGGCCTCTCTCACCACTCCTGTTCAACATAGTATTGGAAGTTCTGGCCACGGCAATCAGGCAAAAGAAAGAAATAAAGGTATTCAAATAGGAAGACAGGAAGTCAAATTGTCTCTGTTTGCAGATGACATGATCGTATATTTAGATAACCCCGTCTTCTCAGCTAAAAATCTCCTTAAGCTGATAAGCAACTTCAGCAAAGTCTCAGGATGCAAGATCAGTGTGCAAAAATCAAAAGCATTCCTATACACCAATAACACACAAACAGAGAGCCAAATCACGAGTGAACTCCCATTCACAATTGCTACTAAGAGAATAAAATACCTAGGAATACAACTTACAAGGGATGTGAAGGGCCTCTTCAATGAGAACTACAAACCACTACTCAAGGATTTAAGAGAGGGCACAAACAAATGGAAAAACATTCCATGCTCATGGATAGGAAGAATCAATATCATGAAAATGTCCATACTGCCCCAAGTAATTTATAGATTCAATGCCAACCCCATCAAGCTACAACTGACTTTCTTCACAATATTGGAAAAAATACTTTAAACATCATATGGAACCAAAAAAGAGCCCTCATAGCCAAGACAATCCTGGGCAAGAACAAATCTGAAGGAATCACACTACCTGACTTCAAACTATACTACAAGTCTACGGTAACCAAAACAGCATGGTACTGGTAACAGAGGCCTCAGAAATAACACCACACATCTACTACCATCTGATCTTTGACAAACCTGACATGAACAAGCAATGGGGAAAAATTCCCTATTTAATAAATGTTATTGGGAAAACTGGCTAGTCATATGCAGAAAACTGAAACTGGAACCCTTCCTTACACCTTATACAAAAATCAACTCAAGATGGATCAAAGGCTTAAATGTAAGACCTAGGACCATAAAAATCCTAGAAGAAAACCTGAGAAATACCTGAGCAATACCATTCAGGACATAGGCATGGGCAAAGACTTCATGTCTAAAGCACCAATAGCAATGGCAACAAAAACCAAAATTGGCAAACGGGATCCAATTAAACTAAAGAGCAGCACAGCAAAAGAAATTATCATCAGAGTGAACAGGTAACCTAAAGAATGGGAGATAAATTTTGCCATCTATCCATCTGACAAAGGACTAATATCCAGAATCTACAAGGAACGTCAACAAATTTACAAGAAAAAAAACAACACCATCAAAAAGTGGGCAAAGGGTATGAACAGAAACTTCACAAAAGAAGACATTTATGCAGCCAACAGACATATGAAAAAATGCTCATCGTCACTGGTCATTAGATAAATGCAAATCAAAACCACAATGAGATACCAACTTATGCCAGGGGCAGTCTTTAAAAAGTCAGGAAACAACAGATGCTGGAGAGGATGTGGAGAGATAGGAACGCTTTTACACTGTTGGTGAGAGTGTAAATTAGTTCAACCATTGTGGAAGACAGTGTGGCGATTCCTCAAGGATCTAGAACTAGAAATACCATTGGACCAAGCAATCCCATTACTGGGTATATACCCAAAGGATTATAAATCATTCTACTATAAAGACACATGCACACATGTGTTTATTGTGGCACTATTCACAATAGCAAAGGCTTGGAACCAACCCCAATGTCCATCAATAATAGACTGGATAAAGAAAATGTGGGACATATACACCATGGAATAGTATGCAGCCATAAAAACGGATCAGTTCCTGTCCTTTGCAGGGACATGGATGAAGCTGGAAACCATAATTCTCAGCAAACTATCACAAGAACAGAAAACCGAACACCACATGTTCTCACTTATAAGTGGGAGTTGAACAATGAGAACACATGGACATAGGGAGGGAACCTTCACACACTGGGGCCTGTCAGAAGGTGGGGGGGCTAGGGGAAGAATAACATTAGGAGAAATACCTAACGTAGGTGACAGGTGGATGGGTGCAGCAAACCACCATGTCACATGTATACCTGTGTAACAAAACTGCACGTTCTGCACATGTACCCCAGAACTTAATGTATAATAAAAATAAAAATAAAAAAAGAAAAATATGTCATTTTAAGCCCAGCTTTATTAAAGATTGATCATTCTTTTATTAACTAAATATGTGAAAAGTGATTCTGTAAATTGTGAATCACTGTGATAAATGCGCTCCATAAGCAGTTGTATCTTTATTAAACAGCTTTCTTGGTTAAATGTAAGGCCTAAGTTTAATGGATAAATGGCATCCAAACATCAGAAGAAGAATAATCAAATAAAAGGGGTCAAGTGCATTGATCTCAGCGAGAAGAGAAAAGATACTTGTGAAAGGCTGAATTCAAGTTAATTTAGTATGTATCTACTGAATACCGGTATAAAATATCAAAGGGCTTGAGAAATACATAGTCTATCTAGGGAGGCAGTTACGTAAACAACATGAGTTGTGACAAGCTACAAAGAAAAAAGCAATTAATTTTATTTGAGAAACTGAAAGGTTAAGAATATTTTCATAGTAATGACATTAAAAGCTGAGTTTAAAATGAGTTCATCGAGTAAACAAATTTAGGAGGAAGAGGCAAATTCACAGAAGTATAAAGTGCATTTTATTTGGGAAACAGCAAGTAATGTGGAGTGACTAAAGGTATCCCACACAGGGTTATGGCAGATGAGGTGATCTGACATACTGAGTTTGGACTTCATTCTGTAGGTAACAGGAATCCATTAAGAGTTCTGAAACAGGAGTGTAATAGCCAAGTTTGCGTTGTAGAAAGAAATGCTTGTCAACAGACAGAAGATGCTTGTCAACAGACAGAGTTCCAGGAGAGAGAGGTGGAGGAATCATGTAGAAGGTAGTTGAAATTATTGAGGTTGGTTACAGCTCACTAGCAGGCATTGTTTCTTCTTTCCTGTGACTTTGCACCTATGGTTCTCCCTTTACTCCCTTTGCCCTGACATTCCCTTCAAGACCATGAGCTCAGAGCACCTAGTGCTTCCCCAGTCAAAGAAAATTTATTGTCCATTAGACTATAAAACTAATGAGAGCAGGGTCGGGGCCAATCTTATTCACCATCAAATTCCTAGTGCCTGGCATATAAAAAGTTCTCAATTAATGCTTTTTGGATGAATAAATGAAATTAGAGGTGTTATGAGTGGAGCAGAAAGAAAGTGAAAACAAAGAGAAATTTGGGAGTAAATCAAAGGAGGAGCTGGTAATAACTGGTGGCAGCATCTAGGAAATATTATTTCAAAAGATCCATAGTGTAAGAATCTAGAAGGACCAGATGACTAGCTTGAAGTTCTAGTGATTAGCATGGGAAGGCAATTTTAACTTGAATTGAATTTTTTTTTACCTAATACTCACCAAAAAGGAGTTTGTTTGTTTTGGTTTTAGTTTTATAAAATTTTTTAAGTTATTTTTTAATTCTTTGTGGGTACCCAGTAGGTGTATATATTTATGGGGCACATGAGATGTTTTGATACAGGCATGCAATGTGAAATAAGTACATCATAGAGAATGGGGTATCCATCCCCTCAAGCATTTATCCTTTGAGTTACAAACAACCCAATTATACTCTTAAGTTATTTTAATATATACAATTAAGTTATTATTGACTATAGTCACTCTATTGTGTTGTCAAATAGTAGGTCTTATTCATTCTATATTTTTGTCCCAATTAACCACCCCCACACCTCCCCTGGATCCCCACTACCTTTCCCAACCTCTGGCAAGCCATCTGAGAAAAGAATCTAAGAGACAGTCTAACGGATGTAGATGGAGAGAATAGAATTTATCGTAAAAAAAAAAAATACCAAGTGGAATAAAACTGTCCTCTAAAAAATATGTGTATTTGTAAAATGCCTCTCCATATTTCAGCTAGAATTCTGAGATTTTCATACTAGAGTGTGAAGCTAGGCTGACAGTGTGAGGAATAAGATAATTTATTTGGAAAGATTAAAAACATTTATTTTTAGAGATAAAGAAAATTTGACACCAGAGGCCCTTTTGCCCTAATGTGCAATGGAAAGAATCAGCTGCAAAAGCCTTTCTAAAAGCTGAGATTCAACTCTTGAAACCTGAAAAGTTAACATCAGGATTTCAGGTGACATAAATTTACTTCTCATTCTGCAATATCAATTTCATAAATACAAATAATAAAATTGTTTACTTAAAATTCAATGCAATAATTATTTTTCAGCACTTAACATGATTCAGCCCTTTGGTAGAGTTTGGGAAGAAATGCTGGGTAGTATTTTCCTCATTTTCAAACGTAAAAATATTGTTGTAGTCATTTGGAATGTTTATGCCCTCCAAAAATTTGTATGTTAAAGCTCTCACCCCCCATGTGGGTGTTTTTAGAGATGGGACCTCTAGGGAAGTGATTAAAGTTAGGTGGGGTCCTGATCCTATGAGATTAGTGTCCCTATCAGAAACATTGGAGAGCTCCCTCTTGTTCTTTCTCTTCATGCTCATACACCAAGAAAAAGATGTGAGGACACAGTGAAAAGGAAGCCATCTACAAACGAGGAAGAGAGCCCTCACCAGGAACAGACCCTGCCAGACCTTGATCTGGGACTTTTTGCCTCCCATACTATGAGAAATAAATCTCCATCCTTTAAGTCTATCACAATGTGGTATTTTGTAGAGCAGCCTGAGCAGACTAATAAAACTTTTAAGTAATTGAATCAGGATATGTGTTCAAGTCTTCTGACTTCAAATTCCAAGCTTTCCTTACAGTGCCAAGTATTTTAAAATCTAGGGATCCAGTTATATAAGAAAAATGTATGTGAAATGTAGAGAAAATGACAACAAATGAGAAAATATTCAATTAAATATAATCAAATTCAGAGAGAGGATTTATTATTGAAGAAGATTTTATAGAGGACTTAAGGATTGGTAGGACTTTGGATGGATGGTAAGGAGATGGTTGGGTGGAGATAGTGGAGAAAATATACAAGAAAGGACAGAAGTGAGCTTGGAAGAGTGGGCAAAGGGGTCTTACATTTTATGGGGGAATTGGGATCTGAAGAATGATTAGTAAGGTAAGCCTAGTCATGGGCTTGAAATGGTAGCAGAGCCTGGAGCAGCTCCAGGAAAAGTATCTCACGGTTGAACTCATCTCCTGAGGCAGCAGTGGAGACTGGGTTGGGCCTGTCAGGATGGAATATCTTCACATAAAGGCCAGGAGCTATGATGGTGCTTAACTACCTCTAGGCCAAACGACTCCTCTGGGATTGGAGTTTTACAGGAGTATACCTCACCAAAAAGGGCTGTCTCAGCATGTCTGTTAATAGAGTCACAAAGGTCTTTAAGAATAGAAATGAAGGTGGGTAGAGAGAGGCCAGGAGTCTATGATAGAGAAGAGTGCCAAAGTGTGCTTAAATATACCTAGGATTCGTTTTAATAAGGCATGATGAGGCCAATAGATCAGGAAATTATTCCATTGAAAAAATAGTTTATTACTTACAGTTCCCAAGAGGAAGGAACATGCCATACAACACAGGGCCACATGGGGAAGTACCCAGTCAGTTGGGAGGCAGAAGGAAAGAAGGGGAAAATATGGACCAGGGCCTGTATTAGGTTTCTGTGGGAAGGAATGGGTGAGGTAGGGTAGGTACACCGAGCAAGCTTACGATTGGACAATTTGAATAATTTCAAAGGGCTCTGGCATCTAGGGTGGTACTTAGTTGTCTGGTACCCAGTCCTTGGGTAATTTAAGGCAGGGAAGTATTGGCTTGGTGTATGAGAATTTGAGAAAGGAGGTTAGTGAGAGTCTGAGCTCTAGTTGGTTGGCTTGCATATCAAAAGCATGCTCACAGGCAAGTTGCTTGCAATGTCTAGGAATTAGCAAACCCTGGGAGGGGAAGTCCCTCCCTAAGTCCCCATGACCTCCCAATATGTCAAAGCATTATAAACTATGAGAAATAAAAAACAGGATTAATACACAAAGTGCTATCCAAAATGTATAGAATGAAAGAGTGAAATAAAAGGATAGGTAAGGAGCCGGGAGGCAATATCAGCCTGATACCTGGGTCTCAAAATATTTGACTTAGCCACTTAGATTCAGATATAGAGATAGATAATGATAGATAGCTATATAGATGATAGCTAGATAGCCAAATGATGATAGAAGATAGATAGATAGATAGATAGATAGATAGATAGATAGATAGTTAGATAGATGATAGATAGATATAGACAGATACATACATGCATACATACATACATATATACATACATAAGCTTTTTTCCTTTTTGTCTTAACAGGGCCACAGCATTACCAGGTTGAGTTTGGAGACAACCCTTAGGTTGTTAGGTAAAATAAAGACAGATTCAAATAACTGCACTTTTAGAAATTTATGAAGTCTTCTTGGTCTAAGTATATTATACCAGGTCTGATAATTTACCAAATCATGCCCTTATGGGTTGAAACAATTACAGTCATTATATTCAGGCATTAACTTTCCATTTCTGGCCCAGTAACTTTTAATTTTGAACATATATTTAAAACAGACATGGTTTAAAATCACATTTCATTAATGGGCTATTTTAAATGAGTTTCTTTGTGTAAGTAATGCTACTTTGTGCTTGATTTGTTCAAAAGCTATTTAAAATCCCTTGAACCTCAAATGTATGACTAGATCTTAATGCCACTCTCATTTACAGAAATACATATAAAGAAGCCAAAATATTTCATCTCATTCTTTCTTTTCAGTTTACTCCCCCAAAGGGACCTAATTGTGCTTCTTCAACACAAAGTGACAATTTTTGATACAGGTTTATTTAATTTTTAAAAAATTACTTAGAACAATCAAACATGAGCGTTAATGGGAAACATATGTGCCATTCCAAATATTCTGGAAATAAATGCAAAGCAACGTTCCAATCAACATGGGGTCAGGTTTCCTGGCCTGCTCGTGCACATGCAAAATCAGAGAGAGTGAGAGTAGGTGTGCAACCATTCATGACTAAATGTGTTTGTCTGTGTGTCTCCTGAAAAGTCTGCTTCTGCTGCAGCTCTTAGCAGCCTAGAGAAGCAATCTTTTACATGTAGCAAGACACACTCCAGGATATTAACACTCTGTCATTTCCAAGATCCTCTGTTCACCCCAGCTCCAGAGTAAACACCGTGAAAGAAGGAGCCTCGAGCTGCTAAAAAGCACACAAAGCAACAAGCAGTTTCAAACAGTTCCAACAGTTCCAAAACTCATAAAAATGGAAAATGTTTCAAGAACAACTGCCCGTTTGTTCAGAGAATGCCCACAGTGCAGGAGGGTAAATAAAACTTAGTACCTGTTAGATTTATAGGCAAATAACCATTATCTACTACGTGTAGATGAGTGAAGGATAATTTTATGCAAACCACAATAAGTAAATTCAAACAGTGTGGACTAAGCCTGCACAGTTAGTGCAGGAAGTTCAAGGGGGAAAAAAATAAGGAAATGGCATTTTCTGTGTGGTATATCACCAACCTGGGAAATCCATTACAGAGCCAAAAGCTGGAACAGGATTTTATAAAGGGATTGGCTGGAAATAGAATCCCTTAGGTTTTGTGTGGTGATTTCATACCTTAAGCAAAACTCTGCTCCCCAAGATCTAATTTCTAATTAATCTTTTGTAGAAGATTGTGGAGAATTAGTAAATTATAGTTTTTACATTACAGGGTATACAGTATAAATTATTTGGGAGCCTTCAAAGTGCATTCAACTTTTGAATGAATCAGTTTCAGTCAAGTATTATCAGGAGCCAAGCTTCCTAACTAATGCAGCTTAGTATTTTGTGGACTTGTGTCTCAAAGCTGAATAGTTAACTGGCAGTTTTATAAGATTTTTCAAAAGCAGGGCATTTGACTTCGTCCAAACTTTAAAATATCTTTAAATTCTGTGGTTTTTAAATTCAGAAGTGAAGTCAAGCCTTTTCGGGTTCAGATTTCATTTACATTTTGTCAAATGTGGTTTCCTGGGTGATGGTAGAAGATATTTTAAAAAGAAAGAAGGCAATTAAAGGATTATATATAATGCCTATAAGTGGATTCACTGAACTAGGGGCATCAATTTATTTCTAACGTGCCACGTTTTGATGAGGCATGTGTCAAAGAATTTGACATTTGTGGATTTTATTAGAAAAGTATATAAGCTTAACAGCAAAGAAGAAAACATTCTTAGAGCAAGACGGGTGTAAGTTTTAGTGAAACTAATTTTGTTTCAATAGTTCTGTTGAATTAAAAACTCCAGTGATTTCACAGTATGGGGTAGAAGTATAGCACATTTAATGAATTTGCAGAGGCTTTGAAGTCAGAAATAACTGGGTTTAAATATGGGCTCTGGAGAAAGGGAAGGAGAATTGAAAGCAAGGAAGGAAGAGAAGAAGGATTGGGAAGAATGAGGGAAGAAAGGAGAAAGAAAAGAGCATGCATTAATCAGTTTCTCTGCAACAGACACTAATTAAGCTGCTTTACTTACAGTTATCTCCTGCTGCTAGCTGTGGAATCTTGGGCAAATAACTTTAATTCCCTGGGCTTCAGGTTTCTCATCTATAAAAAGATTAACTATTGTAGTATCCTGGGAAGATGGCAGTGGCAGCACAGTTTTTTGTTTCTTCCCAGATCACCACATTAAAAAGAGCAAGCAACTAGACAGCAAAACCAAAATTCCAACAAATCTGTGTAACAGGATACCATGCAAACCTCAAAATACAAATGGATAGAGACAAACTACTAACAACCACAAGGAGAAGTAACAAGGCATTTGATGGTCCTGAGAACAAAAGAACCAAAACATCCAACAGATAATCCTTGGAAAGTACAAGTTCCAATCCTTGGAATCTGAGAAGAATGGCTGAAACTGAGCAGAGCTTGTTCATTCAACAAATTTTCACTGAGTGTAAATTATCTGCTGATTTACAGCAGCTCTGCAGCAGTCTATTCTCTAGGAGCTCTCAAACCTGATCCACCAGAGTTTCCTTCCAGGACAGGGCTCCATATTGAAGAGAAAATCCTCAGACTAGAAGCATCATTTAGCAGCAAAGAGATAATAGACAATATTTTCTTTCTTTCTTTTAAAGGAAAAAAAAATACAGATAAAAGTGGCGAACGGGAACAAAGCTAGGAAATTTCACAAAGCAAGATGCTATATTTTTTAAGATGAAACACAAACAGCAGAAGAGGAGGGTCTGTGAAGTTAGAAAAGCTGCTATTTTCTAAACATTCAGGAAAATTAATTTCATAAAAAATAAACAAGTAAGTATATCAAGGTCAAATCTCATACAATCACAATGAAATCACACCAGAAGGACATAAAAGGAGAGAAAGAAACACCAAAAATGCAAAATATTATCTCAAAAGAAGCCAAACTATATAAAATGATATACAACATGAAATGGTATAGAAAACTCAGAAGTAAGCTGATACAACTCAAGAAAGAATTAGAAATTTAAAATCATTTAAAAATGTAACCTATATTACAACATGAGTAAATCAATGTCAAAAAAACTATTAAAAACAGAAAGTCAAAAGAAGAAAAAATTAAATCATAAAGAAATGAAGAATTAAAAATAATTTAAGAGAAAATGACAAATATTGAAGATAGACAAAGAAAACCCAACATATCAATAATTCTGTCTGTGATGAAAACTCAAGCAAGAAAACAGAATACTAAAAACTATATTTCAAGAAAATTTTCCTGAAATAAAAAAAGGATGTGAATCTATGTATTGAAAGAACGCACCATGTAACTGAATCATCCATGCAGAATAACGGACATTAAAACATATTCTAAGGGGGAGGAGCCAAGATGGCCGAATAGGAACAGCTCCGGTCTACAGCTCCCAGCGTGAGCGATGCAGAAGATGGGTGATTTCTGCATTCCCATCTGAGGCACCGGGTTCATCTCCCTAGGGAGTGCCAGACAGTGGGCGCAGGTCAGTAGGTGCGCACATCGGGCGCGAGCTGAAGCAGGATGAGGCATTGCCTCACTCGGGAAGCGCAAGGGGTCAGGGAGTTCCCTTTCCTAGTCAAAGAAAGGGGTGACAGACGGCACCTGGAAAATCGGGTCACTCCCACCCTAATACTGCGCTTTTCCGACCGGCTTAAAAAACGGCGCACCACGAGATTATATCCCTCACCTGGCTCGGAGGGTTCTACGCCCACGTAGTCTCGCTGATTGCTAGCACAGCAGTCTGAGATCAAACTGCAAGGCAGCAGCGAGGCTGGGGGAGGGGCGCCCGCCATTGCCCAGGCTTGCTTAGGTAAACAAAGCAGCGTGGAAGCTCGAACTGGGTGGAGCCCACCACAGCTCAAGGAGGCCTGCCTGCCTCTGTAGGCTCCACCTCTGGGGGCAGGGCACAGACAAACAAAAAGACAGCAGTAACCTCTGCAGACTTAAATGTCCCTGTCTGACAGCTTTGAAGAGAGCAGTGGTTCTCCCAGCACGCAGCTGGAGATTTGAAAATGGGCAGACTGCCTCCTCAAGTGGGTCCCTGACCCCTGACCCCCAAGCAGCCTAACTGGGAGGCACCCCCCAGCAGGGGCACACTGACACCTCACACGGCAGGGTATTCCAACAGACCTGCAGCTGAAGGTCCTGTCTGTTAGAAGGAAAACTAACAAACAGAAAGGACATCCACACCAAAAACCCATCTGTACATCACCATCATCAAAGACCAAAAGTAGATAAAACCACAAAGATGGGGAAAAAACAGAACAGAAAAACAGGAAACTCTAAAAAGCAGAGCGACTCTCCTCCTCCAAAGGAACGCAGTTCCTCACCAGCAACGGAACAAAGCTGGATGGAGAATGACTTTGATGAGCTGAGAGAAGAAGGCTTCAGACGATCAAATTACTCTGAGCTACGGGAGGACATTCAAACCAAAGGCAAAGAAGTTGAAAACTTTGAAAAAAAATTTAGAAGAATGTATAACTAGAATAACCAATACAGAGAAGTGCTTAAAGGAGCTGATGGAGCTGAAAACCAAGGCTCGAGAACTACGTGAAGAATGCAGAAGCCTCAGGAGCTGATGCAATCAACTGGAAGAAAGGGTATCAGCAATGGAAAATGAAATGAATGAAATGAAGCGAGAAGGGAAGTTTAGAGAAAAAAGAATAAAAAGAAATGAGCAAAGCCTCCAAGAAATATGGAACTATGTGAAAAGACCAAATCTACATCTGATTGGTGCACCTGAAAGTGACGGGGAGAATGGAACCAAGTTGGAAAACACTCTGCAGGATATTATCCAGGAGAACTTCCCCAACCTAGAAAGGCAGGCCAACATTCAAATTCAGGAAATACAGAGAATGCCACAAAGATACTCCTCAAGAAGAGCAACTCCAAGACACATAATTGTCAGATTCACCAAAGTTGAAATGAAGGAAAAAATGTTAAGGGCAGCCAGAAGGAAAGGTCGGGTTACCCTCAAAGGGAAGCCCATCAGACTAACAGCGGATCTCTCGGCAGAAACCCTACAAGCCAGAAGAGAGTGGGGGCCAATATTCAACATTCTTAAAGAAAAGAATTTTCAACCCAGAATTTCATATCCAGCCAAATTTAGCTTCATAAGCGAAGGAGAAATAAAATCCTTTACAGACAAGCAAATGCTGAGAGATTTTGTCAACACCAGGCCTGCCCTAAAAGAGCTCCTGAAGGAAGCACTAAACATGGAAAGGAACAACCGGTACCAGCCGCTGCAAAATCATGCCAAAATGTAAAGACCATCGAGACTAGGAAGAAACTGCATCAACTAACGAGCAAAATAACCACCTAACATCATCATGACAGGATCAAATACATAACAATATTAACTTTAAATGTAAATGGACTAAATGCTCCAGTTAAAAGACACAGACTGGCAAATTGGATAAAGAGTCAAGACCCATCAGTGTGCTGTATTCAAGAAACCCATCTTACGTGCAGAGACACACATAGGCTCAAAATAAAAGGATGGAGGAAGATCTACCAAGCAAATGGAAAACAAAAAAAGGCAGAGGTTGCAATCCTAGTCTCTGATAAAACAGACTTTAAACCAACAAAGATCAAAAGAGACAAAGAAGGCCATTACATAATGGTAAAGGGATCAATTCAACAAGAAGAGCTAACTATCCTAAATATATATGCACCCAATACAGGAGCACCCAGATTCATAAAGCAAGTCCTGAGTGACCTACAAAGAGACTTAGACTCCCACACAATAATAATGGGAGACTTTAACACCCCACTGTCAACATTAGACAGATCAACGAGACAGAAAGTCAACAAGGATACCCAGGAATTGAACTCAGCTCTGCACCAAGCAAACCTAATAGACATCTACAGAACACTCCACCCCAAATCAACAGAATATACATTTTTTTTCAGCACCACACCACACCTATTCCAAAATTGACCACATAGTTGGAAGTAAAGCTCTCCTCAGCAAATGTAAAAGAACAGAAATTATAACAAACTATCTCTCAGACCACAGTGCAATCAAACTAGAACTCAGGATTAAGAATCTCACTCAAAGCTGCTCAACTACATGGAAACTGAACAACCTGCTCCTGAATGACTACTGGGTACATAATGAAATGAAGGCAGAAATAAAGATGTTCTTTGAAACCAACGAGAACAAAGACACAACATACCAGAATCTCCGGGACGCATTCAAAGCAGTGTGTAGAGGGAAATTTATAGCACTAAATGCCCACAAAAGAAAGCAGGAAAGATCCAAAATTGACACCCTAACATCACAATTAAAAGAACTAGAAAAGCAAGAGCAAACACATTCAAAAGCTAGCAGAAGGCAAGAAATAACTATAATCAGAGCAGAACTGAAGGAAATAGAGACACAAAAAACCCTTCAAAAAATTAACAAATCCAGGAGCTGGTTTTTTGAAAGGATCAACAAAATAGATAGACTGCTAGCAAGACTAATAAAGAAAAAAAGAGAGAAGAATCAAATAGATGCAATAAAAAATGGTAAAGGGGATATCACCACCGATCCCACAGAAATACAAACTACCATCAGAGAATACTACAAACACCTCTACGCAAATAAACTAGAAAATCTAAAAGAAATGGATAAACTTCTCAACACATACACCCTCCCAAGACTAAACCAGGAAGAAGTTGAATCTCTGAATAGACCAACAACAGGATCTGAAATTGTGGCAAGAATCAATAGCTTACCAACCAAAAGAGTCCAGGACCAGATGGATTCACAGCCGAATTCTCCCAGAGGTACAAGGAGGAACTGGTACCATTCCTTCTGAAACTATTCCAATCAATAGAAAAAGAGGGAATCCTCCCTAACTCATTTTATGAGGCCAGCATCATTCTGATACCAAAGCCAGGCAGAGACACAACAAAAAAAGAGAATTTTAGACCAATATCCTTGATGAACATTGATGCAAAAATCCTCAATAAAATACTGGCAAAATGAATCCAGCAGCACATCAAAAAGCCTATCCACCATGATCAAGTGGGCTTCATCCCTGGGATGCAAGGCTGGTTCAATATACACAAATCAATAAATGTAATCCAGCATATAAACAGAGCCAAAGACAAAAACCACATGATTATCTCAATAGATGCAGAAAAGGCCTTGGACAAAATTCAACAACGCTTCATGCTAAAAACTCTCAATAAATTAGGTATTGATGGGACATATTTCAAAATAATAAGAGCTATCTATGACAAACCCACAGCCAATATCATACTGAATGGGCCAAAACTGGAAGCATTCCCTTTGAAAACTGGCACAAGACAGGGATGCCCTCTCTCACCACTCCTATTCAACATAGTGTTGGAATTTCTGGCCAGGGCAATTAGGCAGGAGAAGGAAATAAAGGGTACTCAATTAGGAAAAGAGGAAGTCAAATTGTCCCTGTTTGCAGACGACATGATTGTATATCTAGAAAACCCCATTGTCTCAGCCCAAAATCTCCTTAAGCTGATAAGCAACTTCAGCAAAGTCTCAGGATACAAAATCAATGTACAAAAATCACAAGCATTCTTATACACCAATAACAGACAAACAGGGAGCCAAATGATGAGTGAACTCCCATTCACAATTGCTTCAAAGAGAATAAAATACCTAGGAATCCAACTTACAAGGGATGTGAAGGACCTCTTCAAGGAGAACTACAAACCACTGCTCAAGGAAATAAAAGAGGACACAAACAAATGGAAGAACATTCCATGCTTATGGGTAGGAAGAATCAATATCGTGAAAATGGCCATACTGCCCAAGGTAATTTACAGATTCAATGCCATCCCCATCAAGCTACCAATGCCTTTCTTTACAGAATTGGAAAAAACTATTTTAAAGTTCATATGGAACCAAAAAAGAGCCCGCATTGCCAAGTCAATCCTAAGCCAAAAGAACAAAGCTGGAGGCATCACACTACCTGACTTCAAACTATACTACAAGGCTACAGTAACCAAAACAGCATGGTACTGGTACCAAAACAGAGATATAGATCAATGGAACAGAACAGAGCCCTCAGAAATAACACCGCATATCTACAACTATCTGATCTTTGACAAACCTGACAAAAACAAGCAATGGGGAAAGGATTCCCTATGTAATAAATGGTGCTGGGAAAACTGGCTAGGCATATGTAGAAAGCTGAAACTGGATCCCTTCCTTACACCTTATACAAAAATCAATTCAAGATGGATTAAAGACTTAAACGTTAGACCTAAAACCATAAAAACCCTAGAAGAAAACCTAGGCAATACCATTCAGGACATAGGCATGGGCAAGGACTTCATGTCTAAAACACCAAAAGCAATGGCAACAAAAGCTAAAATTGACAAATGGGATCTAATTAAACTAAAGAGCTTCTGTACAGCAAAAGAAACTACCATCAGAGTGAACAGGCAACCTACAAAATGGGAGAAAATTTTCACAACCTACTCATCTGACAAAGGGCTAATATCCAGAATCTACAACGAACTTAAACAAATTTACAAGAAAAAAACAAACAACCCCATCAAAAAGTGGGCAAAGGACGTGAACAGACATTTCTCAAAAGAAGACATTTATGCAGCCAAAAAACACATGAAAAAATGCTCATCATCACTGGCCATCAGAGAAATGCAAATCAAACCCACAATGAGATACCATCTCACACCAGTTAGAATGGCGATCATTAAAAAGTCAGGAAACAACAGGTGCTGGAGAGGATGTGGAGAAATAGGAACACTTTGACACTGTTGGTGGGACTGTAAACTAGTTCAACCATTGTGGAAGTCAGTGTGGTGATTCCTCAGGGATCTGGAAGTAGAAATACCATTTGACCCAGCCATCCCATTACTGGGTATATACCCAAAGGACTATAAATCATGCTGCTATAAAGACACATGCACACGTATGTTTATTGCGGCATTATTCACAATAGCAAAGACTTGGAACCAACCCAAATGTCCAACAATGATAGACTGGATTAAGAAAATGTGGCACATATACACCATGGAATACTATGCAGCCATAAAAAATGATGAGTTCATGTCCTTTGTAGGGACATGGATGAAATTGGAAATCATCATTCTCAGTAAACTATCGCAAGAGCAAAAAACCAAACACCGCATATTCTCACTCATAGGTGGGAATTGAACAATGAGATCACATGGACACAGGAAGGGGAACATCACACTCTGGGGACTGTTGTGGGGTGGGGGGAGGGGGGAGGGATAGCTTTGGGAGAGATACCTAATGCTAGATGACGAGTTAGTGGGTGCAGCGCACCAGCATGGCTCATGTATACATATGTAACTAACCTGCACAATGTGCATATGTACCCTAAAACTTAAAGTATAATAATAATAATAAAAGAACTTATTCTAGTAAAATTACTGAACTTTTTTAAGGAGTAAAAAAGAAATCTTTGGTCTTCTAGGCAAAAAAAAATATATGATTATAAGGGAAAGGAAATTAAATTATCAAGACTGTTAAACAGCAACACTTTCTGCCAGAAAAAAAAAAATAGAGTAGCATATTTAAGGTACTTAAGGAAAGAAAATGTGAGCCATGGATTTTATATACAGTTAATGCTGATCTTCAAATATAAAAAGCACAGACAACTATTATCCACATGAAAGACCTCAAGAAATATTATTCCTCTGAGTACTTCCTAAGGAATAAACTAGAGAATGAGCTTCAGACAACCAAAATGACCACAGAAACATTGCATAAATACTGGTGGCCTTGACCATTAGTGGTTGCTGACGCCAAAAAGAAGTAAACATCAGTTACTCTGCGTTCCCTGAGTAAATAATACAACACCACTTTTTATGTTACCCAAATCATCATACGTGAGTCTAATTGAGCCGTCGGATTCAGCTGATGATTAGCATAAAACACATATTTGCAAGAAAAATATAATAAACTCCATCATAAGCATGCAATCAGCACATCCAGAATTTGGAAACATTATAGGTCAAATAGAGTTGGTTCTTAATCAGATTTATTCTAAGGAAAACAAAAGGATAGAGGAGAAATATTTAAATTAAAAGAGACTTAACAGACATATCAAGATTAAAAGGAGCAAAATTAAACTGTAATTTCTAGAGCTACACACATGGGTTTTAACCTAAAGGAAAACAGAGATGTCACTGGTATCAAAGTCAGGATAGTGATTACTTTTGAAGAGATGAAAGGGGTTAACATTGGGAGGGGCACATGAAGGTGTTTCTGGGGTGGCTGATACAGTTCTGTGTCTTGATCTGGTTACTAGGGTGTTTGCCTTATAAAAATTCACTAACTTTGCCTCTGACTTGTGTGGTTTTCTGTATTGGTGTTTTACTTTATAATAGAAAGGTAAAAGTAAAATAAAATTTTATAAAAAATAAACTAAGCACTAATAACTTGTACAAACTATCTCTGTTTTCTCGTCAGTAAAATATGGATAATTTTACCTCTTACACTTTTGTTTCTGTTAGTGCCTATCCCATAGTATGCTATCAAAAAATATTTCTCCCCCTTCCCTCCACACAAGTACATAGTTTTTTAATGCGATAAAGCATATTATTCTTGAGCCAGCAGAAACCAATAGAATAGAAACAAAATATTTTAGAAGTAAATAAAATGCCATCATCCAATCTTTCCTCTTGTCAACTACTATATCTATGAGGAATACTATCATTTAAGAGAAAAAATGCAAAAGCCCCAATTTTTGTATAATCTTCACTCTATTGGCCTACATGCAACAATTTAAATGCAGGCCTACTACTATATAACAAAATACCAGAAAATTTCCATTTATTTGGTTATTTCTCTTCTCTATAAATGTCCATTCAAAACTTATTTAATGAGCACTTTTTATAAACTTCTTTGTTTTGTTTTTCTTTGCTTTGAATAAATTGGCCAGCAAAATAGAATAGAATGTGTTCCTTTAGTTTGTAACTGACTTTCTAGTTCAGACTTTTCTTATTTGTTCAATTTTATGGTATTATAAATGCAAATGAACTGGCAGCAAAATCACCTTGGAATCGATCCTAACCCAATATCTCAAGGTCTGAAAACAAAAAGTATTCTGGAACCTATGAGAATATTTTAATAAGGTAAAATAAAACCAACCTTGCTAAAAATGTTTATGCTGTGAATGCTTCCTTCGTTCATAAGAAATAATTTTCATCACTATATCCACTTGGTTACTGTGGAAATTTTATGATAAGTTTCAGTCAAGAGACCATTTAAAGAGAAACACACATCACCATGTCCTGAGGAGAGCTATGTGAATAAATGTCTTCAAATGTAAAGAGGACAAGCAACATTTTGTTTATTTTGTTTTGGGTTTTTTTGATAGCATACTAGCATCTTTTATTCAGAGCAATGTTGACGTCCTCTCAAATGTCTGACTCATTTGGAAAAAAAAATTCGTACACCAATGAGAAGGATAGGCAGGAAGAGGACTGAGTTGCAAGCACCAGCATTTTATTTTCTACCTCTCCCTTTAAAAAATAAAATAAAATAGGCAATGTGAACAAGGTAATGAGGTGTGAACTAAAAATGACTTTTAAATGTTTCATCACTAACAAACACAGGAAAAATTCTGATTTATTTCCACCATTTCTCATGATCCTTGATATATATCTGCTTCCTTTCCTGATATAGTGATGACAATATTTAAGAGACATGGGTTTGGGAGAAAATTTCCAAAATTGGAAACAATTCTATTTCCAATATGCAGTTATTTCTATAACACATGTGCTATTGGAAGGAAAGGAAGGAAGAAAGGGAGGGAGGGGGGGAGGGAGGAAGGAAGGAAGGAAGGAAGGAAGGAAGGAAGGAAGGAAGGAAGGAATAAAAAAGGGAAGGAGAGAGGGAGGAAGGAGGGAGGGAGGGAAGAAAAGGAATACAAAAGGTAAAATTTTTAAAGTCAAATTTTTTAAATGGCATGATTTAATTTTGGCCCCATACTTAAAAAGCTGAAATTATGTCACCCATTAAAACAAAATATATTTCAACCCTGGAAGCATAGATCATATTTTGTATCCAACTTCAAAGTTATTATTGCCAGTTGGCGGTTACCAGGAACTAATCTGGAATGAACCGGCAGCTCTGGTTCTGAGGATATGTCACAAACACTTTTGTTATGGCAATACCTCTTCTTAAAGAGGTGAAGAAGGAGCTCCTAAGATTTTGCAGGAAACCCTGGATGCTAATATAAAGCCATTGCCTGAATTTATCCCATCCTGTCAAATGATCTTTGGGGCTACTACTTTAGCTCCAAATTGTGCCTGAAATGCTTAATATGCACCAAACACATGTATATTGAATGAGAGATCTGATCCCCTTCATATCTGTAACTCAAATGTAATTTCTATCACTGCGAGTTTATGAGTTGTGAGTTTATAAATTGAAAAGAGATGATATACCATCTTCTTTATAAGAACAAAATTAATAGATAGGAACAGTTGAAAATAGCAGAGTCCAGGAAGAAAATAAACTTGACTAGGGATTATCTGTGTGTGGGAAATATGGCTGAGACATCAATTACATGTTCCCTGATTGCCTATTCTTAGATCTGTAACTCCTGTAGGATAAGATCTGTACCTTATGCTTCTTATAGCTTCAGTAATTAGGAGAGTGCCTTGTTGCTAATCGGCATTAAGTATCTAACAATTCCACAGTCATCTCCTTGATTTCTATAGAGACACATTATAGCTCTACCACAGAATATATGACTTTAAATTTCATTTATCTGCTCACTTTGTGTATATCCCTACTGAATTTGGGTACAACTATTCAAGTCAAAAACTGTGTCTATTCATTTTTCCATACCCAAATCTAAAGCAATACCTGCTCATAAATTTTGTTTAAATTAATAAATACAGCTGATATGGCTGGATACACTCAGATGATAGTCCTTCCTCACCATGCTATGTGCATCTCTGCAAAGGAATACACATGAAAGCATAACAGTAGCTATGCTCTCCTGCAAGGAACTTCCACTTGAACATACATGTATAAATCCACATATACGAATTCACAAATACAGATGTGTGTGTGTGTGCACATATGGGTGTTAAGTGACTAAATACACCTCTATTATTCATACTGAATAACACATTCATTTGACTGTGTCTTTAAGGTTCATCAGTTTGGCATATTGCATGACTATTTTCTCAAAGTATTATTCAGACTATAAGAGAATCTGGTGAAAGAAAAAAGCACAGGAATTCATTATTCATTATCCTAGTGGGCCACGCCCCATTCCTGATCCTAGGAGCAACCCAGTGATGTCATAGTTATTGTCTTACGTCATACTAGTTGAAACAGTGGTTACCACCACCAGGAAGAGAATTATTTTAAAGGGTCCTTTTAACTGAAATCTCCTTTGTATTAAGATGTGCTACATGAGCTCAAACTAATTGGAAAGGTGGCAGGATAATGGCATTGATAGCCAGTGGATATGGGCTCCTTGGGCCCCACTGGCCATTTGATGGCATCCCAAAGGCAATCACAAGGTAAGAAAGATTTTCTATGTACTGTTGAAGCAAATCAGGATTGAAATGTATAAACAACACATTTGGAGTATTTTTAAAATGTAATTCTAACCCCTCTGTTTTCCGTTGCTGTGTGGATAAAATATAGAGAAACGAATATTGCTGAAAGTAATAAATCTTAGCATACAACTTTCCTATATTAAAATTCTTCAATGGGTCCTCATGCCTGCAGGAAATATTCAAATACCATGTTCTCGTATACCAGGTTCTCCATGATCTTGCCCCTGCTGTCTTTTCCCAACTTATTTTGCATGCCATTCCACCCAAAACTAATTCTGTCTCAAACTACATACAGTTACTTAACTGTACCATGATATTTCATACTTTTGTGTCCTTGTATGTACTATTGCCTTTCTCTATAATATCCCTGTTATGCTCTCTGCTAAGCAAAATTTTATTCAGCTTTTGTGAGTCCTACTGTGAGTCTCTATCCTCCAAGATAAGTGGATTATTCCCTTTTGTGCCAGCATCCTACTTGTGTCATGCTGCTATTATGAAAGCATTAATATAGTCAATAATTATTTGTTTATATACCTAGTGACTAGTTCATGTGCTCCTTGAAGGCAGTAACTGTATTTGATATAGCAGCAGTTGCCATTTATTGTGTTAGTACTACGTGCCATGCACTGTGATTGGACATCCATGATTTTATGCCTTTTTAATCCCTCTTATTGGAGAGGATAGAGGTATAAACAAATAATGCACATAAAGTACAGTATATGCAGTAGAACAGAGAAGGCACTGTACTGCATCTGAAGCTTACAAAAGGCTTCTAGGAAAAAGAGTTTTGCTTGATGGAACAAACTGTGGTATTAACAAAAGGCTTCCCAATGCAACCCAGACTGACTCCTATATCTCTAAAGCCCTCAGAAACCATCTTTAGCCATGTTGGTGTATCATTGGGATTATTCGTCTTTAAATGATTCTGTCATTGGTGTTAGGCATCTTTGTACTCTTTCTCTCCTGTCAAATTATAAAATTGTGAGGCAGCAATCACTTTTCTCAGTACTTTTAAACACCCCGCTGTGGCTAGTATTCAAAATACAGTTGACAAATTTAAGAATAAAGTTGAAATAATAATAACATCATCATTTTCATGTAACTTTAAAATTTATAAGATTCTAACAAAATATCAACTCTTCGTATCCTTGCAATAATCTTTGGCAATATGGGTATTTCCCCCAATTTTTCTAAATGAAGTACACACAGAGTGCTTAAGTGACTTGTCTAGAGTCATATAATTAATAAGGGATATGTGGGTGAGTAGTCATATGATTAATAAATGGCAGGTGGTAATTAATAAATGGTAGGTAGGTAATAAATTAACTAAGTTTGCAAACACCTGGTCCAGCTAATATCAATTGCTGCCCTTAATGTGATAAATACACTGGTACAAATTTATGTATGCTATCTCATTTAACTTTACAATAACTCTAGGACATAAAGACTATTACCCCTATTTTACAGATGAGAAAATTGAACATTACAGAGTTTAACTTGCCCAAGGTCAAAAGTAAATAAGCGGTAGAACAGGCACACTAACCAAGTTCTTACTCCAGAAGAATTCAGGTTCTTAGCCACTACACCACAGAATAATGCAAGTCCAAGTGCTGAATGAGATTGGTTTCTTCACTCAACAATTTATAACCCGTTTGGGAGATGAGAACGAAATAGAAATGAAAAATTAGCACACAAAAAATTACTAACTGATGATGGCTTCTGAGATCTCTATCTTTGGAATTCTCTAATTTCAGTAATGAATTTGTTTTATTTATCCTGCTTGGGATTCACGTCTTTGATTAACTCAGGATGTTTTCCAGTCTTAAATATTGGCTTGTCTCTAGCCTCTCTATTCTTTTTTTCCAGCAGTCATATTAAAAGCTTATGGATCTTTACATGTTATCCTTCCCATCCCTTAACCCCTTTTTAAGAACTGGTTTTCTCTATCACACTGTGTTGTATTATTTCCTCTTAATATTTACAAATTTTCTCTTCAACTGTGTTTATTTTATTATTATTTTTTGAGACAGAGTCTTGCTCTGTTGCCCAGGCTGGAGTGCAGTGGCATGATCTCAGCTCACTGCAACCTCTGCCTCCTGGGTTCAGGCGATTCTCATGCCTCAGCCTCCCAAGTAGCTGGGATTAAATGCATGCCCCACCACACCTGGCTAATTTTTGTATTTTTGATAGAGATGGGGTTTCACTATGTTGGCCAGGCTAGTCTCGAACTCCTGACCTCAACTGATCCTCCCACCTTGGCCCCCCAAAGTGCTGGGATTACAGGTATAAACCACCATGCCCGGCCAACTGTGTTTAATATGCTATTTAATCCACCCATTTGGCTTACTACTTTTTTCCTTGCTCATTATATCTTTTAAAACAATCACATTAGGAAATAATTTATATACAACAAAGAGAAAGTATAATTTATTTTTATACAAAATTTTTAAAATTTACATGCAATAAAATGAATGCAAGTATACAGCTTGATGAGTTTTAATAATTGTATTCACATGGGTGACCATTACCCTAAAGTTTCCTCCAGCCTGGCTGCAGTCTATCCACCCTCTATCACTAGCACAAGGCAACCACTTATCTACTTTCTGTCATAATAGATCGGGGTGTGCTTTTTTTCTATTCAAGAGTTTCTTATAAATGGAATCAAACCATATGGTTCTTTCGTCATAATGAGGTTTTTAAAGATTTATTTATGTTGCATATATCAGTAGTTTTGATTTTTCTTGATGCTAAGTAGTATCCATTGTGTGAATATCCCACAATTTGTATCAATTGACATGTTAATAGACATTTGGGTTGTTTCAAGTTTTCTGTCATTATTAATAAAGCTACCATGAACATTTGTGAGCAATTGTTGTGGACATATGTTTTCATTTTTCTTGGGTAGACACATAGGAGTGGAATTGCTGGTTGTATTGTAAATATGCATTTAACTGTTGAAGAAACTATAAAACTGTCTTCCAAAAGGTTGTACCATTTTGCATTCTCACAAGTATTAGAACTCCAGTAGCTCCACATTCTTACCACCAATTGGTATTGTCTGACAATTTAATATTAATCATTATGGTGGTAGGTATTGTGGCAGGTAAAATAATGCTCCCACCCTTCTCACCCACCCCCACAAAAAAAGGTGCTCACATCCCATCTCTGGAACCTGTAAATATATTACCTACATGGCAAAAGGAACTTGATAGATGTGATTAAAGTTAAGGACCTACTTTAACATGGGGAGATTATCCTGAATTATCCAGTGGGGCCCACATGCATCCCTAAAAGTGGAAAACCTTTCCTGGCTGTGGTCATAGAGAGATGTGATAAGAGAAGAAGGACCTGTGAGATGGCAATAATGAAAAGAACTTGGGCCACTGTTGCTGGCTTTGAAGATGGAGGAAAGAGGCCATCAGTGAAGGAGTGTGGATGGCCTGTAACAGCTGAAAATGGCAAGGAAACTGATTCTATTCTAAAGCATCCAGAAAAAAGTAAAGCCCTCTTGGTATCTTGATTTTTAACTCAGTGGGATTCATTGCAGACTTCTGATCTACAGAACTGTAAGACAATAAATTTAAGTTTTAGGCCACTAAGTTTGTTACCATTTGTTACTGCAGCAATAGAAAACTAATATAGGTGTATAATAGTGTATTTCACTGTGGTTAAATTTCCAGTTCCATGATAACTAATAAAGTTGAGTCACTATGTGCTTATTAGCTAGAGATGTATCTCCTTTTATGACATTTTTGTAAATTAATTGCTCATTTTTAGTTAGGTCATTTAGATTTTTTGTTGACTTGTAATAGTTCTCTTTATATCATGAATACAATTATTTTGTCATATAGATTTATGGCAAATACTTTCAGTCTGTGACTTACCATTTCATTTCTTAATGGTGTCTTTCAAAGGGAAGTTTTAAATTTTGGTGATAGACCTTCCTTCTCTTAAGTTTTCTAAATTGTTTTATGATTAAAGCAAAATGATAACACTGATATAGTTCTAAATGTACATAAAGGAAATGTTAAAGATAATTTTATTAAAAATGGAAGAGAGTAAACTGACAAAGGGAGATGCAGTTTCTACACTTCATTCAATCCAATGAAATGTAAATTTCAGTAGATCTTTGTGGTGACAGAATAATTCTAGATACTGATTGAGGTAGTGGTTACAGGAATTTACACACATGATAAAATGGCATAGAATTATATACATACATTGTACTGATATCAGTTTTTGGGTTTCTGATTACAATACATTTATGGAAGATGTAACTACTGGGTGAAACTAGGTGAAGGTACCTAGATATCTCTGCACCGTTTCTGCAACTTTCTGTGAATTTTAAAAAGTTTTAAGAAATTATCTGAAAAGTTAACTGAACCATAAGTGAGTCATTCTCTTTCTATTCTTTATTTTTTATTCTCTTCCATTAATCTATGTATATGTATATCCTTATGCCAATACACATTGAATTGACTAATGAAGTTATAGTAGGTCTTTTAATCATGAAGCCTTTCAAATTTGTTCTTCAAAATTGTGTAAACTCTTAGAGGTCCTTTGCATTTTCATATAAAATAATCAACCTGTCAATTTGTAAAAAAAAATTGCTAGTATTTGATTGGAGTTATATAGAATCTATAGATAAATTTGAGTAAAATTGATGTTCTAATAATATTGAATCATTCAATCTATAGACATGACACACTTTTCCATTTTCCTAGGGCATCTTTAATTTCTCTTAGTGCTGTTTCATGGTTTTCAGTGCATAGGTCTTGAACAAATTTTGGTAGATTTATCCCTACATATTTATTGCTCTCTGGTGGTATTATCAATGGTGTTTATAAATTTTATTTTTCAATTTTTCATTGCTAGTATAAGTCAATGCAATTGATTTTTGTAGTAACTTTATATTCTATGATATTACTAATTATTAGGTCTAGTAGCTTTTTATTTGTAAATCAAAATAGTTTTACTTTTCCTTTCCAATCTATATGGTTTTTCAAACACCACTGATAATATCACCTGAAAACAATAAATACGTAGGGATAATTCTACCAAAATTATTCAAATAAATGGAAAGACATCCCTTGTTTATAGATTGGAAGACTTCATATTGTTAAAAAAAAATCCATACTAGCCAAAGCAATTTACATATTCAATGCTATCTCTATCAAAATACATTGACATTCTTTTAATAGAAATATTAAAAAAAAAACCCTGAAGTCCATATGGAACCACAAAGAACTCCAAAAAGCCAAAATGATCTTGAGAAAAAGAAGAAAGATTGAGGCATTACATTTCCTGATTTCAAAATATATTACAAAGCTATGGTAATTAAAACAGTATTATACTGGCATGAAAAAGACAGATAGATCAATGAAACAGAATAGAGAACCCAGAAGTAAACCCATATAAGTATGCTTTATTAGGGTGAAGAAGTCACTTTCTATTCTTAGATTGCTAATAGTTTTTTAAAATCATGAATTCCATTATATTAATTTTCTGCTTCTGTTGAGATGACCATATGATTTTTTACCTTTATATTGTTAATATGTGTCTTTGTTCATATGTGTTGCTATAAAGGAATACCTGAGATTATGTAATTTATAAAGAAAGTTTATTTGGTTCATTGTTCTTCAGGCTGTACAAGAAGTAGGGGGCCAGTATCTGCTTCTGGTGAGGGCTTCAGGCTGCTTCCATTCAAGATGGACGGGGAAAGGGAGCCAGCATGTGCAGTGATCACATGGCAAGATAGGAGGCAAGAGGTGGGGGAGGTGCTAGGCTCTTTTTGTCAACCAGCTCTCACAGGAACTAATAGAGCAAGAACTCACTAATTACCACAAGGACAGTATAAAGTCATCCATGAGGGATCTGTCTGCATCACCCAAACATCTCCCATTAGGCCCTGTCTCCAACATTGGAGATCAAACTTTAACATAAGGTTTGGAGGGTCAAGTATGCAAACTATATAGCAATATGGCAAATTAATTATTGGATTTTCATGTATTAAACCAACCTTGCATTCCTGGGATAAACCCCATTTGGTCATAGCATTCTTTTTATGTATGCTGGTTTGATTTGCTAATATTTTGTTAAAGAGTTTTGCACATATGTTCACTAAGGATATTTGTAGCTCTTATTTTGTAATACCATTTTCTAATTTTGATATCAGGATAATGCTGACCTTTTAAAATTAATTGGTAGATATGCTTTCATTTTATATTTTCAGAAAGTATCTAAATTGACATTATCTTAATTACTTGCTTGGTAGAATGCATAAGTGAAGCTATTTGTGTCTGAAGTGTATTTTGTGGGAAATATTGTCATTAGGTATTCAATGTCTTTAAGAGATAAAGAGCTTTAACATTTTCTCTTTGTTCTTGTCACCATCTTAATAAATATCATTCAAGGTATTTGCTTATTTCATTTAAGTCATTAAATTTATTAGTATAAAGTTGTTCATAATTTTCAAATTATCATTTTTATACCTGTAGAATCTGAATGATGTCCCTTCTTTCATTTCAGATATTAGTAATTTGTCCTCTTTATCTACTTAACTGTTGATATCTCTGTGCTCAGTTTATCAGTCTGGCAAAAATATAAATTAAAAATGGACAAAAAATTTGAAGAGAATTCAAAAATGGTATAGAAATGGTAATTAAACATATGAAAATATGCTCATACCATTAATAATCAGGGAAATTCAATTAAAATCAAGTGAGATAGCCCTGCACACTTATTAGAATGATGAGAGTAAACAGACAAATTTAAAAAAAAAACAAAATACCAAGTGCTGGAAAGGATGTGACTAAATCTGAACTCATACATTGTTGGTAGAAATGCAGAACGGCATTCATTTTGGAAAACAGTTTGGTGGTTTTGTACAGTCATTCATATATTTACCATACAACTAAGTAAACCTATTCTTAGATAACTGAACAGGAGTAAAGAATACTAACTAACACAAAAATCTGTATGTAAATATTTTTAGTAGCTTTATTCATAGTTGCCAAAAGCTAGAAGCAACTCAAATGTCTTTCAACTGGTGAATGAATAAACTATGGTACATTCATACCATGGAATAGTACTTAACAATAAAAAAAAAAACAGGACCGAAAAACAAAATGGATTGTCTTCAAATGCATTGTGCTAAATGAAAGAAACCAGATTCAAAAGGCTACAGCGCCTATCATTACATTCAGATGACGTTCTGGAAAAGGCAAAATTATAGGAACAGAAAACAGATCAGTATTTACCAGAGCCTGGGGTTGTGGGGATAAGGCGACTCCAAAGGATACAAAGGAATTTTAGAGGATGACAGAACTGCTCTATGATTGTGCAGGTAATTATATGACTTAAGAGTTTTTCAAAACTTAGAGAACTGTAGGCCAAGAAGAATGCATGTTATTGTTTTTAAATTATAGTGCAATTTAAATAAAGCATCATGCTGTATTTAATCTGCCACAATTTTTCACTCAGTATCATGTTTCTAATATTCATCCATGTCATATGTAAAGTTCTAGTTCATCAACTTTCTCTGCTGCATATTATTGTATTGTGTGAATATTTCAAATGTATTCATTCATTCTCCTGCAAAAGTATTTTGTTATTGTCTTTCTGTTTTTCATTTTCTACTAAGCTCAATACTTCTCCAATGATTTTGGAACAATTTTATGAAGTATAGAACTAGGAGTAGAATTGCTGAGATTTAGAGTATGTGCCTATTCAACTTTACAAAATAATCTGACATTTTATTCCCTTGTTTGGCCCCGCCCACATCCTGCTGATTGGTGTTACAGAGTGCTGATTGGTGCATTTACAATCCTTTAGCTAGACACAGGGCGTTGATTGGTGCATTTTTACAGAGTGCTGATTGGTGCGTTTACAATCCTTTAGCTAGACACAGAGCACTAATTGGTGCGTTTGTACAGAGTGCTGATTGGTGCATTTACAATCCTTTAGCTAGACCCAGAGTGCTGATTGGTGCATTTACAACCCTCTAGCTAGACAGAAAAGTTCTCCAAGTCCCCACCCGACCCAGAAGTCCAGCTGGGTTCACCTCTCACTAATGATGCTGTTTGCTTGTCTGTTTAAAATGCTGACAGCTAGATCTCCTCATTGTAAAGTAACATTTCTTTTCCTTTAGAATTATAAAGAAATATGCGGGGTAAAACTTTGCCTCACTTTAAATTATTTTAAAGTAAATTAATAGGGCTTATTTGAATCCATTGTTTATTGGTGCTTGCAAAATAGTAACTATCATTATTTTTCTCCATTCCTACCAGGTATTTTCTGTTAAGAAGAGCTTTTCCTTGTTAAAAGGAGGTGAAATCTGGTTTATTTCCAAAAGCATTAGATTAAATCCTTCTTTCTTTTAATTACCAGCTTTCAGAGTAAAGATCTGATGCAGTAGTTGCCTCCAGTGGAAGTGGGGTTCTTTTTTCCCTGTTTTTCTATGTTGTTGAGTATCATTATGGATTTCTTTTTTTTATTTATTTAATGTCTTAAATCAATCCCAGTAATTCCATTTGATTCCCAAATTGCCTCAAATTCACCAGTGTCCTTTTTACATAATCTTATCTTCTTAGTCTCTGACTATGTCCTTACTGTCAAGCATAAAATGTTCCAGGCTCATCTTGTACTTTTCCTGCCACAGACAGACAGTTTATCTAGTTCAGTCCCAGTTTCAGCTATCTATTTATTGCTCTGGTTTCCAGCTCTCTCTTTCTTTCTGGCCTCTGGGCATTTTCTTTAGGTTTTTTTGTTGTTGTTGTTGCTATTGTTTTTTCAAGCTCAGGTTTGCATTTTTTCAACACCAAAATTTTTATTCAGTGACAACTATGGGCTGAATGCAAAAGTGAACGAAATAAGTTCTCTGAGCTCAAGGAGCTAACTTACATTCCAAAAATCCTTGTTATATTATCTATGCATTTTAATGTATATTTTGGTCTTCCAATTTTACGTATTGTGAAGATTTTAAAGTAATCTAGCCTGCTATATTACCATTAAAGGTGTTATAAATGATAATTTGTAAAATTTTACATTAGTTTGCAGAATTAATATTTAGAAAAACAAAAAATAGGAAGTCCAATGAGGAAGGAATTGCAGTACTCTAGGTATAAAGTGATTAGACTATTGGTAGAAGTAAGAATGTAGAAAAAAACTGGACTACCTGAATATCTTGAAGGAAGAAAAGATAGAATTTTGTAACACTTTAGTAAGAGGGCATGATACAGAGGAAGGAGTCAAAATTAGCTGCAAATTTTCTTCCCTTTCAGAATGAAAGAATGACTATAACATCTACAGAAATAGTGTAGCTGGTGTGAATGGGTGGGAAGATAAAAATATATTTTGTTGGGTAAGGACTGTATTTCTATATTTAATATACCATGCAGTGCCTTAACATGGTGTTTTACACATAACGGATAATCAATAATTGCATCAATGTACTACATTTGAAAAAAGCAGCAGAGCAACTACGTGCACGTCTCAAAGCAACTGGGAAAACAGGACTAGAAGACAGTGAATAAGTGACAAGATTATAGGTGAGCAGGGGGAGTAGAGGTGCTTTCTTTGCATCCCTAGAGCCTGGTTTGGTGTTTGGCACACAGCCAGCCCTCAATTCACATTTACCAAATAAATGAACCTATATCATTTGCATAGACATAATAGCTGAACCCATGGGAATAGATCTTAAACCAGAGAACATGCAGTTAAAAAAGAACCCTTCTTTCCTATGCCCTGCACTGCTAACAATTGCCTGCCTCAGAAGAAGCAATTCTAAACATACCTTGAGTTCAGGATAATTGGTGGAGTTGGAATTTCAGGAACTGTTTTTTGTTGCTGTTGTTTGTTTGTTTGTTTGTTTGTTTTGGTTGGGGGAGGTGTATTCTAGATTTAAGACATCAAAGTGACAGACTTGCCGCCTTCAAAGTTATATCCATTTTGTACAACGGTCAGATTATCTCCATAAGTTAGAGCTTGTAAGTGCAATCAGGGCCATTCAGGCCCCCAAATAGAAACCTCCCTTATTAGCTGGACTGCTGTATAGCATTCGCTAACTAAAAGGTTATCGGATTCCCCTCTCTCCTTTCAAGCTGACCTGACAGCCCTTTCTATTCCCATCCTCAAGGGGGCGGTGACTACGGAGCCACTCCTTATACACGGACGCTCAAAACTGCACCAAAACTTCCCTGCTCGGCTCCCCGGTGCGTCAAACTCTGAGGCCACCGCCTCAGACTGAGCCTGCGCATACAAGAGGTGCAGAGCAAGCGCATGCGTCGTGACGGCCCGGCTTAGGCGACTCTGGGCGGGTCTGGGCCGCTCCAGTGTTTTGGGGCACAGAAGCTGTGGGAGGAGCTGGAGGCTTCACCGTGGTAACCACAGCGCCGCTGCTGCCCCGCCTTGCAGGCCTCAGGACTGTCATCGCCTCTGGGTGTGAGGGTACTTTGGCCACCGTCCCCGGAAATAACCGCGCCTGCCTCTCAAGATACCCCATCCTCTCCACGCCGCTGCCGCTGCCGCCATGCAAGGGGAGGACGCCAGATACCTCAAAAGGTGACGACTCCCCAAGGCTCTGTCCTACCCTCCTTGCCAGGGCCCTGAAGATGTTCTTGGGTTGGCTGTGAGATGTCACTGGGCAACGCTAGTTTAGCAGACGGGATGGGAAGCAGGGAGAGAAGTCACCGAAAGGAGAGGGAAAAGGTGAAGTGGAGAAAAAAGGAGAGCTCTGGGGGGGTTTCAAAGTCCTTTGACCTGACTCGGCGGAGCCCTGACAGCATTGAAAGATGGTTTCTTCGCTACATCACCTTATTCCAGGGGGAGAGGGAGGTAGGGCAAGGTAAACCGCGTCTTTTGTTTTTTTTTTCGCCTCTTCCCAGACTCTCCATTTTCCCATAATAGATAAATCCCATGAGAGCCTGGGAATAAAGTCTGGTGCATCCGCCCTCAGGCCTCAGTTTGGGGTTCATTGCCATGGGCTTTTGAAATGATGAAGGGGAAAGAAGTGGTGGATTCTACTTTTTGGAAGGCTGAATTGAGATGTTGATTTCCAGTCTCTTTCTGCTTTCCGCATCCATGTCATCCATTTGACTCCCATGTATACAACATAATTTTTGTAGGACATTTAGTAATTATTAAGAGGTTTGTTCAGAAGTTTGATGACAATAAAATAGGCCATAATTTCTTTTAAATATAGTATCAGTTACTCAAAAAAATTGTAGTCTGTTGGGATTATTTGGGTGCTGGCAAATACTCAGATCATTCCTGATTTGGAAAAAAAAAAAGATACCTCCCACTGAACCAAGAGTAAGCAGTGATCCAATAGAAAAAAATTTTAATTCAGTACTGATTCAGTAAATACCCTGGAAAAGTCGCATGTATTCCTTTGGGCACGGTTTCCTCATCTGAAAATGGGACAGGCGTTACCTTCTGAGAGATACAAGGACGAAAGATGAAATACTTTTAAAAAATGAAACATGAATGTAAGGTGGTGGTATTATTTCAAGTCATAATACACTTGCAGTGAATATTTTTATTCTGGCTTGGCTGAGCTCTCATCATCACAGAAAGATCTTCCAAGTGTTAGTAGACTCATAGAAGGGATTCAAACAATTGTATAATAAATAAATCAACTCTATTGTCCTGGCAAGACAGGCATATATTGACTGTCTTTTTTATTTTATGTAAATATATCTGAAACTGGCAAATAGCCAGACTTTGTCAGTAAAAATTTTTAAATGAATATATAAGCCTACATCAGTGTTTATTTCCTCACTGAATTTTACTTAACGTTGGTTTTTAAAATACCTTGGTTAAAAATTTTGTGACAGAAGAAAATAAATTGCCTTTTAACTTTAAATTCAAAATTGTTCTGGAACAAAGAGCCGCTGTTATACCATTAGCTGATTTTCATGTAATATATTTGTGTCAGAGGTAGTTTTTCTTAACATTATCGTACCAGTATGGACACTGAGGCATACTGTGACTTATAATTCTCAACCTATTGTTTGCTTTTAAATACATACTATCTAGAGTTCCAAAATTAAAACCAAGCCAGTCAATGTAATGTTTGAAGTAAAATGAGATTAGAGTCTGAAAAGGTTGAAAAATACATTTCTCAATTTCATCTAATTTTTACTATAAATAATAAAAAGTTTGAATTGTCTGTTTTCAGACTAGAAGCATACAGGAGACATGTATTTATACAGGCCTGATGGAAAACATTTGTGATGTCTGATAGAACCTTCAATTTTAATTATTGTTTTTTGACCATGATTACATATATTCTTTAACAATATTTTTACTTTTATATTTTGTTTTTAACAAGACAGCAGATAGCAGTATATTTTCAGTCCCTTCCTACCTGAGTAATTCCATATTTTGGTTTTACAAAAATAATTTTTTTTGAATCTCTATGTGTTTTGGTGTTTGATTCTTACATGCCCTTCCTTTATCTGGAACTTGCCCTGTTCTTTGCCCCGCTAATTCCTCATCTTTCCTGTTTTGACATAAATACCACTTTTTCCAGAAAGCTTTCCTGAACTTCCCTTTCCCACCTCACAATCCAGGTCAGGTATACCTGTTAGGGTCTCATGATACTTAATACCTTGTTTTTCCCTAAACTTACTACTTTATATTTCCTTCTGGTTTATAAAGTTCATAAAGGTAGGTGCTATGTGTCTATCTTACTTCCCATTGTATTCCCAGCACTCAGCAAGGTGCCTGAAACATAGATTATTAAGTAAAGTCAGAATAAGACTAGAAAGAAATATGAGCCAAATCATATGGGACTTAAGCGCTTTAGTAAAGAGTTGAGACTTTATTTTGAGTGCATTGGTGAACTATTGAAGGATATTAAAAGTGAACAACATTTGTTCATTCATTTAATAGTTGAGATTCTACTGTGTAAAAGTCATTAAGCCAAGTGATAAAACATATTTGGTAAATGAAACATAAATATATTCCCTGCCTTCATGGCATTTACACTCTAGCAAGTAATACAGACTTTAAAATATACTGATATTTATTGTATTTATGAGTGCTATATGAAAAAAGTGTGTGGCTTTTGTGTCAAGCATTTCTCACATGGTATATCAAGGTCCATCTGTGTGGTAGCATGTATCAGTACTTCATTCCTTTATATAGCTGCATAATATTTGCTGTGGTTTGGATATAGTTCGTTTCCACCAAAGCTCATGTTAAAACTTGGTCCCCCATTGTGGCAGTGTTGGGAGCTGGAGCCTGGGAGGTGTTTCAGTTTTGGGGGTGGATCCCTCATGAATGGCTTGGTGCTGTTCTTGCTGGAGTGAGTGAATTCTTGCTCTAGTGAGACTGGATTAGCTCTCTTGGGAATGGATTAGTTCCCTCTAGAGTTGGTTGTTATAAAGCCAGGAAGACCCTTGGGTATTCTCTTTTCTCACTTCCCCTTTGATCTTGTCCACTGTGTTATAATGAAGCACAAAAGCCCTCACTGGAAGCCAGAGTCATGCCCTTGAACTTCCCAGCCTGCGGAACTGTAAGCTAAATAAACCCCTTTTCCTTATAAATTACCTAGTCTCAGGTATTGTGTTATAGCAACATAAAATTGACTAATTCAGTATTCCATTTTATGGATATACCACATTTTGTTTGTTTATTGCTCATCTGGTGGTGGACATTTGGGTTGTTTCTACCTATTGGCTATTGGGAATAAAGCTGCTGTGAACATTACTGTACAAGTTTTTGTTTGAACACTTGTTTTGTATCTTTTGGTGTATACCTAGGCCTGGAATTGCCAGACCATATGGTAATTCTATGTTTAATTCATTGAGGAACCACTAAAGTGTTTTCCCTAGTGACTGCACCATTTTACATTCCCACCAGCAATGTATAAGAATTCAGTTTTCCGTATCCTCACTAACACCTGTTATTTTCTGTTCTGTAATTATTACTATACTAGTGGATATCAAATGGTATCTTATTTTGGTATTGATTTGCCTTTCCCTAATTACTAATGACATTGAGCTTTTCATGTGCTTCTTGGCCATTTGTCTTTATTCTTTGGGAAAAGGAGTTCTTTGTAATAGAACCTTGTCAGATACATGATTTACAGATACTTTGTCCCATTCTGTGGGTTTTCTTTGCACTATCTTGGTATGTAAAACTTTCATATGCAAACATTTTTAATTTTGGTGAAGTCTAATTTATTCTTTTGTTGCTCATGCTTTTGGCATCGTTATTTAAGAAACCACTGCTAAATCCAAGGTCATGAAGGTTTGTCCCTCTGTTTTCTTCTAAGAGTTTTACAGTTTTAGCTTTTACATTTAATATCCTTGATCCATCTCGAGTTAGTTATTGTCTATGGTATATGGCAAGGGTCCATCTTCATTCTTTTATATGTGACTATCTAGTTGTTCTGACATCATTTGTCAGAACAAATGTCAGAAAAGAACAATTGACTGTTCTTTTCCTCCATGAATGGTTTGGGCAATTTTTTTGAAAATTAAATGACCAAAAATGTTGGGGTTTATTCCTGCACTCTCAATTATATTTCATTGATCTATCTGTCCGTGTGCTAGTACCTCACTGTTTTGATTACTGAAGCTTTGTAGTGAGTTTTGAAATCCAGAAGTGTGAGTCCTCCAACTTTGTTGTTCTTTTTCAAGGTTGTTTCAGCTATTTAGGGTTCCTTATATTTCCATTTGAATTTTAGGGTTGGCTTTTTCATTTCTGCAAAAAAAGCTATTGAAACTTTGGGAATATAATGAATCTATAGATCACTTTGGGGAATATTGCCATCTTAACAATATTAAGTCCTTCAGTCCATGAACATGTGATTTCTTTTCATTTAGTTCATATTAATTTCTTTCAGCAACTTTTTGTTTTCAGTATACAGTTGTTCCTTGGTTACGTTTACTCCTGAGTATTTTATTCTTTTTGATGCTATTGGAAATGAAGTTTTCTAAATTTCCTTTTCATATTTTTCAGCTCCAATATGTAGAAAAACAGTGGATTTTTTTGGTGTGTTCTGATCTATTCTCCAACTTTGCTGAATTTATTAGCTCTAGCCAGTTTTTTGTGCCATTTTTAGAATTTTCTATATATAAGATTATGTCTTCTGCAGATAGAAATAATTTTACTTCTTCTTTTTCAATCTGGATGCCTTTTTATTTTTTTTTCCCATGCCTCATTGCTCTGGCTAGAATTTCCAGTACTATGTTGAATAGAAGTCAGGAAAGTGGATAAACATTCTTGTCTTGTTCCTGATCTTAGGGGGAAAGCTTTCATTCTTTCACCATTGAGTATGATATTGGCTGTAGATTTTTCATATATGCCCTTTATTATGTTAAGGGACTTTTCTTCTATTCCTAATTTATCAAGTACTTTTATCATGAAAAGATGTTGGGTTTTGTCAGATGCTTTTTTCTGCATCGATTGAGATAATCATGTACTTTTTTTCTTCATTCCATTAATGTGGTGTATTGTATTGAAATGCCCATGTGGCCATGTTGCGTGGTCCTTTTAATATACTCCTGTATTCTGTTTGCTAGTATTTTGAGGATTTTCACATCGACATTCATAAAGGGTATTGGTCTAAAGGTTTTCCTGTAGTGTCTTTGTCTTGCTTTGGTATCAGGGTAATGGTGGCCTCATGGAATGAATTAGGAAGTGTTTCCTCTACTGTTATATCTTTTGGAAGAGTTTGAGGGGTATTTATGTTAATTTGTCTTTAAATGCTTGGTAGAATTCACCAGTGAAGCCATCTGGTACTGGACTTGTTGAAAGGTTTATGATTACTGATTCAATCACCTTACTTCTAATTCTGTTCAGATTTTCTGTGTCTTTTGAGTCAGTTTTGGTAGTTTGTGTGTTTCTAGGAATTATTCTTTTTCATGTAGGTTATCCAATTTGTTGGTGTTCATATTATTCTCTTGTAATTTTTTAATCATCAAAAGAGCAGCAGTAATGTCCCACTTTCATTTCTGATTTTAGTAATTTGAGTCTCTTCTTTTCTTTTTTAGTCAGTCTAACTAAAAGTTTTCCAAAAATGTTTGTTGATCTTTTCAAAGAACTAACCTTTGGTTTCATTTTCTCTATTCTTTTTCTAGTCTCTGTTGCTGCTTTTTATTATTTCCTTCTGCTAGCTTGGGGTTTTGTTTGCTCTTCTTTTTCTAGCCCCTTAAGGTGTAAAATTAGGTTATTAATTCAAAATCTTTTATTTATTTTTTTAAATAGAGCGTCAGTATAGAGTGTCTTATTGTGGATCTGTTTGAGTTTATCTTTGAATTTCATTGAGCTTCTTGGATGTGTAAGTTTGTCTTTGGTCTAATTTGGGAAGTTTTTGACTGTTTTTTCTCCCAGTATTCTCTATGTTTCTTTCTTCCTCTCCTTTCATACCCTCATTATGCATATGTTGGTATACTAGATGGTGTTCCATAAGTCTCTTAGGTTCTGTTTATTTTTCTTCATTCTGTTTTCTTTCTGTGCCTCAAAATGGACAGTTTCATTTGACATATCTTCAAGTTTGCTGATTCTTTTCTCTCTCTGCTCAGATCTGCTGTTAAAAACCCTGTAGTGATTTTTTTATTTCAGTTATTGTACTTTTCAGATCTAGTGTTTTTGTTTGGATCCTTATGATAATATATTTTTAAACTATTTATGTGTTGAGACATTGTGTTTCTCCTTTTTCTTAGTTATTTGCACTGGTTTCTTTTTGCTCTTTGGACATATTTAAGACAGTTGATTTAAAGTCTTTGATAAGTCCAGTGTTTGTGCTGTAGCATGGACAGTTTCTGTTAATTTTTTTTATTGTGAGAATGAGAATGAGTTTCTTGTTTCTTTGCATGTTTCATATTTTGTTTTGTTGAAAACTGGGTATTTTGAATATTATGGTATCCAAAGGAAAAAAAGAAAAGAAAAAAATACTCTTCAGATCTTTGTAGGTTGACTCAGTGTTTGGATATGGCTTCAACACTTAGCCAGGCAATTTACAATTTTACCTTAGCCTTCATTTGCTGCTTGCACAGAGCCTGAAGACCAGCCAGAGGTAAAAGCTTATGATCTTCCCAGGTTTTTTCTGGGTATGTATTCTGCCCTGAGCATGCTCATGGATTTCTAGATTTCTCTTTATATGCAATAGCTTTTCAAAGCATCTATTCCCCCAAAATGTCTGACTCCCTGGACTTTCCTCTTGGGCTTTCAGCTTGTGTTTTGTTTGACCCAGCTATTACTATTTATCCCAGGGGCCAGCAGCTTGTATGCTTGGCTTTCACTGATTTCAGTGACTGCATAGCTGCACTATCCTGATAAGAGTTTAAAATTAGTCAAAACAAAGGAAAGCCCCTTGCAGCTGACCTCAAAGGAAACTTCAGTCAGTTGCAAAACAATCAGACAAAATTCCTTGGGAGCAAGGTCCACTTGACTCCTCTAGAACCAAGTATTAACAGTGGGAACGTGGGCTGCCATCTTGAAGACTGCCACTGTGCTTGAGAGTGGGGTGGATGTCTAGGGTAAGTGAAAAGACCATAATGATCGCCTACCTTGTTTCTGTAACCTTTCTTCTGATTAAACATTCACTTGGTTGCTGTAAACCTTTGACTGTCTTCCAGAGTTCTGATGAGGTTGATTGTGATAGGTTTTTTTTGCCAAGTTTTTAGTGCTTCTGGGGAGTGCCAGCCTCTAGAGGTCCCTACTCTGCCGTTTTCACTGATGTCACTTAGCCATTATCTTTTCATATATTGCTCTGTACCCATTCTCTCTCACCTTTTTTCTGGGACTTCAAGTACATATGCTAGACCTACTCAGTATGCATTGCTGAATTATACTTTTGCTTGTGTTTTACATCTTTTTGTCTCTATGTTTTATTCTGGGTGTTTTCTTCTGACTTATATTTTATGCCATAAATTATCTCCTTACCCGTATCTAATCTGCTATTAAACCTATTTATTTATTATTATTCTTAATTTTGGTTATTGTATTTTTAATTCTAGAAATTTAAAAAAATTATCTAGTTTTTTCTGAAGATGACTATTCTTTGAGTATCATATATAGGAATATAAATGTATAAATAATCATTTGAGGCTCAGGATGATGTTCTCTTTTTCCAGAGAAGATTATATTTTATTTATGTTAGTAAGGATTACTGAAAATTTAGGGTCACCTTAATTAGTTCTCAGAGATTCAATTACATTAAACTGGGCTTTTTAGTCTTGTTGGTGACCGATCTGCATCTGTTTCACAGTTACTCCTAGGAGGTAGTCCTCCTGTTTCAAGCTTAAAGCTTGGAGCTTTACCAGAGCCACTGTTGTTTGGTGCACTCTAGAATCCAGTTTTTGTGTCTCTAGCCTCATGTGATTATTAAAAGATTCTCAACCTCTCAGCCCTCTCTTTTCAGTTAGCAGATACCTCTAGGGAAAAGTAGCCTCAAATTCAAGATTTACCTCTCTTCATTTTCTTTTTCTCCTGGATCTTGGCACTGTAATTTTTTGTGCCTTTTTAGTTCTCTTATGGCCTCAAACAGATACACACATACGTGTTTTTGCCCCCAGCTTTTAAGATTTTCTTAGAAGGTGCATTGGTTTGAATTACCTTAATCCTCTGTTTCTCTATTACCAAGTCTAATGTTAGTAATAGAAATATAAAACTTGTTTTGGTTTTACCAATATGAAAAGCATCAGGAATTATAAATATTTGAGTACATATAAGAGATTATTTCCCTCTTAATTTTTTAAAAATACATATGACTTGAAAGCAAAAATTATGAAATTTTTGTGTGAGTTTATAAGGTATGTACACATAATGCATATGACAGCTATAACATAAAGAATGGGGGGGGGGGTGTAGGCAATAGACCTGCAATTTGTGAAGTAGCACAGCATTAATTCTTAAATACCTTGTGAAAAAAAAAAGGTAACTAAAACATTGTTTTTCCTAAAGCAACCACCAAAAACAGTTTTTAAAAGTATAGTGAAAACATCTACACAAAATGGAATTTAAAAAATAATAATTCACAAGGCTGTTAGGAAAATAATCAAAGTATAGTTGGGCCAAACAGGAAATAAAAATGAAGTGATAGATCTGAATCTAAGTATGTCAGTCATTGCATTAAATGATCCAAAACAATAATGTCCAATAGAACTTTCTTCCCTGATGGAAATGACTTACAGCTGCATCATCAAATACATAGCCACTGGCTGTATGGCTAATGAACACTTTGAACGTGGTTAGTACAGCTAAGGAATTGCATTTTTAATTATTTTTAAAATGTAATGTATTTAAATTTAATTTTAAATAGACCCATGTAGCTAGTGACTATTGTATCAGACAGCATAGGTTTTAATGTTCCAATGGAAAGGCAGAGATTACCAATATTTCTTTTTTTTTTTTTTTTTTTTTTTTTTGAGGTGGAGTCTTGCTCTGTCGCCCAGGCTGGAGGGCAGTGGCATGATCTTGGCTCACTGCAAGCTCCGCCTCCCGGGTTCACGCCATTCTCCTGCCTCAGCCTCCCAAGTAGCTGGGACTACAGGTGCCCGCCACCATGCCCAGCTAATTTTTTGTATTTTTTAGTAGAGACAGGGTTTCACCATGTTAGCCAGGATGGTCTCGATCTCCTGACCTCATGATCCACCCACCTCGGCTTCCCAAAATGCTGGGATTACAGGCGTGAGCCACTGCGCCCGGCCACCAATATTTCTTTTATAAAGAAAAAAGAAAAGCAAGACCCAACTATCTGTCATCCCCAAAAAATATACTTTTAAGTATGGACATGGTAAGTTAATGGTAAATGGGTGCAATCAAACAGTAAGCATAAGAATGCTAAAATGACCATATTAATGTCAGATAAAATAGGCTTTAAGAAAACGTATACTGTAAAAACTACAGAGGAGTATTTCATACTGATAAAATCTGCTACATCCAGACAGTTTTAAAGTCAAATTCTAACAAAATTTTTGGGAAACAGATGCTTCCAATTATGTACAACTCTTCCAAGAAGTCTAGAAAAAAAAGGATACTCCTCAACTAATTTATATTAAGATTTTAGAATAATCTCCATATGAAAGTCAGAAAAAGGACATTAGAAAGGAAAATTGCAGGCTGAATGAGCAAGGATGCAAATTTAATCTAACAGTGCTTTAAGACAGCATTAACAAGTTGTGCTTATTCTAAGAATATGAGTATGGTTTTATGTATTTAATGAATTTGATGTAGTATATTTATGAATTAAAGAAGAACAATACATGATCCTCCAATGGATGCAGAAAAACATTTGATGACATTCACTACACATTCATGATTTAAGGAAAAAACTAAAGCCATAAATAAAAGGGAATTATGATATAAACATATTAAATGAGGAAACTAGCCAGGTGTGTTGGCTCATGCCTGTCATCCCAGCACTTTGGGAGGCTGAGGCTGGTGGATCGCTTGAGCCCAGGAGTTCAAGACTAGCCTGGGCAATATGTTGAAACCCCATCTCTATAAAAAATACAAAACTTAGCTGGGCATGGTGGTGCATGCCTGTAGTCCCAGCTACTTGGAAGGTGGAGGTGGGAGGATTGCCTGAGCCTGGGAGGCAAGGCTGCAGTGAGCTGTGATCACACCACTGCACTTCAGCCTAGGTGACAAGAGTGAGACCCTTTCTCAAAAAATAAAGTAACATCAGTAAATGAGGAAACTTTAGAAACATTTCCCTTAACATTAAGGATGATCCAAGGATACCTATGTAACCACCTCAACATTTCACCAGGAGTCCTAAACAGGTAGTAAGATAAGAAATAGAAAAGGTATAAAGATAGGAAGAGAAGAAATGAAACTGATATTATTCACAAATTATATATTAGTTTGTAGAGAAAACCTAAAATAATGTTCAAGCTATTGGCATTAATATCAAGGTATTAAGCAACAGTTGCTGGATGTAACATCTATATACCTCCCACTCCCAAATTGAATTTTGATATAGTTGGTTAAATATTGTTAGCAAAAAAGTTATTTACAAATGCAAATAACAATATAAGGTACTTGGGAATAAATCTAATAATAAATGATGGGCATCACCTTTCTAAAGAAATTTATATCATTTCATTAAAAGAAAATTAAATCTTAAAAGTAGATTTATCATTTTCATGGATAGATGCCTTAATCTGAAAATTCATTATGTCAGTCATTATCCCAAAAGGTATTTTACTGAATTTGAAACACAATTTTAAATTTTTAAGTGGACAGGGAAAGGTCCCGCAATACTGAGAAAAATATGGAAGAGCCAGGTTGGGAACACTTCCCTCAGGTATCGATGTAAAAATAGCTCAGTAAACCAACTGAATAAAATGAAAAGCCTAGAAATAGACACACATGGGTGTGTCTATGGGTTATTCTTGCCCACTACAGAGAAAAAAACAACTCACTGTGACAGCGGTATTGCAGTAGAGTAAGAGTTTAATAATTGCAGGGCTAGCCAAGCAGCAGGGTGGGAGTGTTACTCATACAAGCCTCCCCCAAAAGTTGGAAGTTAGGGTTTTTCAAGGACAGTTTGGAGGGCAGAGGGCTAGGAAATGGGAGACACTGATTGATTGACTTGGGGATGATATTATAGCAGGTTTAGCTATCTTCTTGTGCTGAGTCAGTTCCTGGGTGGGGATCACAGAACCAGTTGAATTAGTTCAGTGGTGTGAGTCACAGGTCCAGGTGGAGTCAGTCAGTGTCCAGAATACAAAAGTCTGAAAAATATCTCAAAGACTAATCTTAGGTTTTGACAATAGTGTTGTTATCTATCAGAGCAATTAGGGAAGATACAAATCTTGTGACCTCTGGAGCAGTAGATTATTATAGAAAGGCAAACTAGGGAACAATGGCTGGTTATCGTTTAACTGCATCTACTGGCTTAGCAGAATTTAGGTCCCTCCCGTAATTCTAATATTGGGGCCTTTCATTAGTCTTACAAAGGTGGTTTCAAGGCTAGTTTTGGGAAGGGATTGTTATCATTTTTGTTTTAGAGTCGATAGAGGCAGGTAGCATGTGAGGTTGGAAGCAAGATGGAGTAAGGTTAGATTTCTCTCACTGTTATAATTTTTGCAAAGGTGGTTTCATTCCCATTTTTGCAAAGAGGTAACATTGCCAACCAGTGATTAAAAAAAAAAGACTATAAATAAATGTTTATTTCTAAGCAGTAGGGTCACAATGTATCAGTGGGTTGTGAATAGGATAGAGTGCTTTTCACATGATAAGAATAGGCATGATTTCATGAATTTTTTGTTTCATTTATGTGTGTAGTAGGTACATACTGGTTCCAGATGCAAAATGTGCTTGACTATGACTTCTACCAAAAAAAAAGTGTAAAAGACACAGCAAAACCTGCTCATACAATTGGTTGTTTCTATGGAAAAAAGTTAAAATTTATCCCCACAAAAATACAAAAATAATATACAGATAAATCAAAGACAAAAATGTAAAAACTTTAAATATTTAGAACATGGAAGAAATTGATGACCTTGACCAGAGCTTTTTTGGTAAGGTAGGAGTAGAGTTTAGAGCCAAAGTCTAACTGGAATGGGTTCACATGTGAGTAGACTAATTAGAGTGAATATCAAAACAAAAGAAGTTTTGTAAGCTTTGGGTCTGTTTTTTTTAAAAAATGAAAAAACCAAACACAAAAAGAGTTTTGTAACAATGAAAAGCAGTGTTAATAGGATGAATATCAAGGTGTTAAGCAACAGTGGCATTAAGCAATGTAGGGTTTGGGGGTGGTGGGTTTTTTTTTTTGCCCTTTAACCTGACACATTTTCTTTTTCTTTTTTTTTTTTTTGATGGTATCTCATTGTGGTTTTATTTTATTTATTTATTTTACTCTTTTTTTAAATTATACTTTAAGTTCTAGGGTACATGTGCACAACGTGCAGGTTTGTTACATAGGTATACATATGCCATGTTGGTGTGCTGCACCCATTAACTCGTCATTTACATTAGGCATATCTCCTAATGCTATCCCTCCCCCCTCTCCCCACCACGTGACAGGCCCCAGTGTGTGATGTTCCCCATTCTGTGTCCAAGTGTTCTCATTGTTCAATTCCCACCTATGAGTGAGAACATGCGGTATTTGGCTTTCTGTCCTTGCGACAGTTTGCTCAGAATGATGGTTTCCAGCTTCATCCATGTCCCTACAAAGGACATGACCTCATCCTTTTTTATGGCTGCATAGTATTCCATGGTGTATATGTGCCACATTTTCTTAATCCAGTCTATCATTGATAGACATTTGGGTTGGTTCCAAGTCTTTGCTATTGTGAATAGTGCCACAATAAATATATGTGTGTGTGTGTCTTTATAGCAGCATGATTTATAATCCTTTGTGTATATACCCAGTAATGGGATGGCTGGGTCAAATGGTATTTCTAGTTCTAGATCCTTGAGGAATCGCCACACTGTCTTCCACAATGGTTGAACTAGTTTACAGTCCCACCAACAGTGTAAAACTGTTCCTATTTCTCCACATCCTCTCCAGCACCTGTTGTTTCCTGACTTTTTAATGATCACCATTCTAACTAGTGTGAGATGGTATCTCATTGTGGTTTTGATTTGCATTTCTCTAATGGCCAGTGATGATGAGCATTTTTTCATGTGTCTTTTGGCTGCATAAATGTCTTCTTTTGAGAAGTGCCTGTTCATATCCTTCACCCACTTTTTGATGGGGTTGTTTGATTTTTTCTTGTAAATTTGTTTAAGTTCATTGTAGATTCTGGATATTAGCCCTTTGTCAGATGGGTAGATTGCAAAAATTTTCTCCCATTCTGTAGGTTGCCTGTTCACTCTGATGGTAGTTTCTTTTGCTGTGCAGAAGCTCTTTAGTTTAATTAGATCCCATTTGTCAATTTTGGCTTTTGTTGCCATTGCTTTTGGTGTTTTAAACATGAAGTCCTTGCCCATGCCTGAGTCCTGAATGGTATTGCCTAGGTTTTCTTCTAGGGTTTTTATGGTTTTAGGTCTAACATTTAAGTCTTTAATCCACCTTGAATTAATTTTTGTATAAGGTGTAAGGAAGGGATCCAGTTTTCAGCTTTCTACATATGGCTAGCCAGTTTTCCCAGCACCATTTATTAAATAGGGAATCCTTTCCCCATTGCTTGTTTTTGTCAGATTTGTCAAAGATGAGATTGTTGTAGATGTGTGGTATTATTTCTGAGGGCTCTGTTCTGTTCCATTGGTCTATATCTCAGTTTTGGTACCAGTAACATGCTGTTTTGGTTACTGTAGCCTTGTAGTATAGTTTAAAATCAGGTAGTGTGATGCCTCCAGCTTTGTTCTTTTGGCTTAGGATTGACTTGGTGATGCGGGCTGTTTTTTGGTTCCATGTGAACTTTAAAGTAATTTTTTCCAATTCTGTGAAGAAAGTCATTGATAGCTTGATGGGGATGTCATTGAATCTATAAATTACCTAGGCGGTATGGCCATTTTCACGATATTGATTCTTCCTATCCATGAGCATGGAATGTTCTTCCATTTGTTTGTGTCCTCTTTTATTTCGTTGAGCAGTGGTTTGTAGTTCTCCTTGAAGAGGTCCTTCACATCCCTTGTAAGTTGGATTCCTAGGTATTTTATTCTCTTTGAAGCAATAGTGAATGGAATTTCACTCATGATTTGGCTCTCTGTTTGTCTGTTATTGGTGTATAGGAACGCCTGTGATTTTTGCACATTGATTTTGTGTCCTGAGACTTTGCTGAAGTTGCTTATCAGCTTGAGATTTTTTGGCTGAGACGATGGGGTTTTCTAAATACACAATCATGTCATCTGCAAACAGGGACAATTTGACTTCCTCTTTTCCTAATTGAATACCCTTTTTTTCTCCTTCCTGATTGCCCTGGCCAGAACTTCCAACACTATGTTGAATAGGAGTGGTGAGAGAGGGCATCCCTGTCTTGTGCCAGTTTTCAAAGGGAATGCTTCCAGTTTTTGCCCATTCATTATGATATTGGCTGTGGGTTTGTCATAAATAGCTCTGACTATTTTGATATACGTCCCATCAATACCTAATTTATTGAGAGTTTTTAGCATGAAGGGCTGTTGAATTTTGTCAAAGGCCTTTTCTGCATCTGTTGAGATAATCATGTGGTTTTTGTCATTGGTTATGTTTATATGATGGATTACGTTTATTGATTTGCATATATTGAACCAGCGTTGCATTCCAATGGTGAAGCCCACTTGATCATGGTGGATAAGCTTTTTGATGTGCTGCTGGATTCAGTTTGCCAGTATTTTATTGAGGATTTTTGCATCGATGTTCATCAGGGATATTGGTTTAAAATTCTTTTTTTTTGTTGTGTCTCTGCCAGGCTTTGGTATCAGGATGATGCAGGCCTCATAAAATGAGTTAGGGAGGATTCCCTCTTTTTCTGTTGATTGGAATAGTTTCAGAAGGAATGGTACCAGTTCCTCCTTGTACCTCTGGTAGAATTCGGCTGTGAATCCATCTGGTCCTGGACTTTTTTTGGTTGGTAGGCTATTAATTATTGCCTCAATTTCAGAGCCTATTGGTTATTGGTCTGTTCAGGGATTCACCTTCTTCCTGGTTTAGTCTTGGGAGGGTGTATGTGTGTCCAGGAATTTATCCATTTCTTCTAGATTTTCTAGTTTATTTGCATAGAGGTGTTTATAGTATTCTCTGATGATAGTTTGTATTTCTGTGGGATCAGTGGTGATATCCCCTTTATCATTTTTTATTGCATCTGTTTGATTCTTCTCTCTTTTCTCCTTTATTAGTGTTGCTAGCAGTCTATCAGTTTTGTTGATCTTTTCAAAAAACCATCTCCTGGGTTCATTGATTTTTTTTGTGTCTCTATCTCCTTCAGTTTTGCTCTGATCTTAGTTATTTCTTGCCTTCTGCTAGCTTTTAAATGTGTTTGCTTTTGCTTCTCTAGTTCTTTTAATTGTGATGTTAGGATGCCAATTTTAGATCTTTCCTGCTTACTCTTGTGGGCATTTAGTGCTATAAATTTCCCTCTACATGCTGCTTTAAATGTGTCCCAGAGATTCTGGTTCTTTGTGTCTTTGTTCTCATTGGTTTTAAAGAACATCTTTATTTCTGCCTTCATTTTGTTATGTACCCAGTAGTCATTCAGGAGCAGTTAACCTGAGACGTTTTCATATGTTTATTTGCAGATGGGAATGGACTACTAAATAATTACTGAAGAGCACCTTTGAGTAGGCAAGGAAAGATTAGATTTGGTTAGGGTCATCATTTTTTGCTTCTTTGCCCTAGACAGTTCTGGTTTTCAGCTGTTCCTCCCCTACACCCGCCTCAGCCCATCTGATTTAGCATTTGTCCCAGTTTAAAAAAAAATGTTATGGAGGTATCATTAGTAATTACATTAAAACAAGCTGGGATGGAGGATTTGGTAGATTTCCATTTTGTACTTCAAGCTTCTGCTAGTGTCTTGTCTAGTAGTGTATGAGACATATGAGCAGTGAATAGAGTTCCCCATTAAGCAGCCTATTGTGCCATACCCATGCTGTAAACTGTGGAAATGAATTCATATGCTCTGACAGTTGGTAAGGTCATTTGGAATTGTGGACACTGATATATTGGGTATTTTTCAAGTAGATGGAGGAAATAGATGCATAGCAGTCCTGCCAGAGAGCATATGGAGAGTAGACCAAACACTTCCTAAAACGGCTCTGTTATTTGCTCTATGGCGTAAATCTACAACTGTTTTTTATTTTATTATTTGATACAATTTTATTTTGCAGTAAATCCTTTTGAAAAGAATAATTTTTTAAAAGTTCTTATTTAATGAAAAGTTAAGGACTGCATTTTTGGTTTCTCAAGAAAATTGATAATGAATGGGTGGCAACACAAGGTTCATCAGCATTTATTATCTTTCTTAAGGGTCACAATAATATCTCTAACCACATGAAATCTAGGAACATAAGGATGTACTTCAGAAGTTAATAATTAAGAACACTGTCCCAAAAGGTGACAGTTTATCACATGCAGTTATAGAAGGTATGTTTCATATTACTCTGTGAAGCATAACTTCTCATTGAGATTAAAAGAAAATGATTTTTCTAAGTCAATTTAGCACACTTTTGGTTCTAGTTTTCTTACACATGTATGAAAACAAAGTGAAGCAGAGCTGTTATTGAGAAGGCTCTATTAGTAGAAGAAATTTGCAACCAGCTAAAAGATATCAATTTAATATCAGTGTCATAGTATGCTTCAAATAGAAATTCATTAATTTCTAATAATGGCTCAAATTTTTTTCATCTAATTAATGGAATTCAAGTAGAACGTTTGGAAATTAATCCTCCCAGTAGTTAAATATCTGACATCATTGTGAATGCTACTCAGCTTGAAAGTTCAGCATTTAAGATAAAATGATAGTTTCACCCCTGCTAGAATACTACCCTTAAGCCTCTTCTGTTAAAAAAAAAAAACTATAGCTGTCATTCTCTCTTTGTATATTATTTAGTATAGATAGAAAAATATCTGAATGTATATGTGGTAAAATAACAAGTGACTACTTCTTGTAAGTTTTTGAATTTATTTTTTCTTTGCTCATTTCTGTTTTAGTTTTTCTATAATAAACATAAGTTGATTTTGTGATAAATTGTAATTAACTTACTCCTCTAAAACACACATACACAGCAAAAAAAAGGCAAACAAAAACTAAAAAGGAGTGGTGAGGCATTTCATTTTTTTCCTTTTTAATTATTTGATTCCTTTAAGGAAAGGCAAGATATGAGACAACAGAGGACAAGAATTATGCAATTCCCCCAGCTGCCAATATGTGAAAGACCCATTTTAAAGTGGTAATAGGAGGCTAGTCTAAGGATCTGCATTTATATATCCTTACTCTTTTCTTCCCTTAACTGTATACAGTTATAAAAAGTCCAGTACTGGAATTGCTTTTCATGTTATCAGGAAGGAAGTAACTAGTTTGCCTTATGTAATTAAGATAGTTTCTTATGTTTCTTATAGTGATGCTACATTATATCTGTTTTCAGCTTTCCTTAGATCTTTTGTTTCCTGTGACTTCTATAGCTTTTGTACATATTATCTGTTTATCTTACCTTTTGGAATCTGTACCATTCTTTTAAATATATATTTATATCTCATTTCCTAATTCCTCGATTTTTGCTGGCCTCCCTGGCTTCTGTTTTCATTCTTTACTTGTCCTATATGTCTTACTATCAGTTTAGTTTCTGACCTACCTAGAATCTATGCTTTAGTGTACTTAATTTCCTACCCTATCACTATACTTGACTGTTAATCATAACCCTAATACTCACTCCAGATGCATCTCCTTTTCATATGGAATTCTGGTGGACAGATCCGTAAAAAATTACTTTAAAAATATGCATAATTAGTCAAAGTATTATTTCCAACTGAAAGAAAAGCTTTGAGTTTCTAATTATTGGAATTAAATTTAAGGTGTTGTCATATTTTTGTTTTTCTTATCAGGCTAAAAGACCCCACTGGTCAGCTAACTGCTAGCTAGGACTAAGAATGAGAGATTTTGCTTGTTTCTGTTGCTTAATCTCTTCCAGCACAACCAACTTTATCGCCTTCTAAAATGGCCAAGTGGCAAATAGTGATTAATTCATCATTGGTTTACTGCAATTAAGAATTCATTTTGCGACTTTATTGGCTTGAAGAAAGAGTATATACAACCTTTCCATAGAACCTACTATTGACACTATAATTTGAGATATGTGACTATACAGCGTACCTAACCTGTAAATGCTTTTTTGTTATGTAATTTGGGTGTGATTCAGTGATTTTATTTAGGTACTAATTCTACAACTTGTACCATTATGTTAGATGATACATGACATATATTGTAATATAGACAATTTCTTCGTGTCTTTTGGTCCAGTTAATGGGGTAATTAACGGGCAGGTTGATTTTTTTTTTTTAATGGAGACAGAGTTTCGTTCTATTGCCCAGGCTGTAGTGCAGTGGCACCATCAGAGGGCTCAAGTGATCCTCCCGCCTCAGCCTGCAATTAGCTAGGACTACAGACACCTGCCACCATGCCCGGCTAGTTTTTAAATTTTTTGTAGAAACAGAGTCTCGCTATGTTACCTGGGCTGGTCTCAAACTTCTGACCTAAAGTGTTTCTCCCATGTTGGTCTCCCAAGTCACTGGGATTACAGGTGTGAGCCATCATGTCTGGCCTGACTTTTTCTTTTAATATAAATTTTAAGGCAGTTGCCTTTGGTTTTGAATAACTGACTTTTAGTTGAGGTCATTCTCTCCAAAGCTGTCTTACTTGTTTATGTTTCATTCACTTGCTCTTATGCATGATTCTTTGGTAAATGTATTTTTTTTCTTAGGTAGAACTATTTATAAAGATACTTTATGCATGACAAAGTTATATGTATACATTTATATGTGTATATATACACACATATATACATATATATGTATATAAAACAGAGAAAAAGAGTTATCTCTAATCCCAAGTCAAGAGTAATCTGATTCAAATGCACATGTTAATCCAACCCACGTTATAGACCTAAAAATAGATAAAAACCATGGCCACTTTGAGAATTTTAATCTGGTTATATCATTTCAATTTTGTATTATAGGAAAGTTAAAGGAGGGAATATAGATGTACATCCATCAGAAAAAGCACTCATTGTTCACTATGAAGTGGAAGCTACCATTCTTGGAGAAATGGGGGACCCCATGTTGGGAGAACGAAAAGAATGTCAAAAAATGTAAGTTCTTTATTTGTGCACATTTTGAAAGTAGTGAACATTATATAAACTTTATACAAATCTGATATTATTTTGATCAGCATAGGTGATTAATTATGGCATTCTTCCAGGCATACTTCATCTTAGTGAAGGAGAGATTATATTAAACTGTAAGTATGGAGTATATTAATCCTAGGAAAAAATGAGATTTTTGTAAGCTTAATAGGAACCTGTTGTAACATACATATTCTAATTTATCCCATTTAGAAAATGAATATAATAGATTATGAACTACTAACTTGTGAAATCAACCATAAAAGATGTGTTTCTGGGTTTGTCTGTTTGTTTAATTTTACTTTAAGTTCTGTGATACATGTGCAGAAAGTGCAGGTTTGTTACATAGATATACATGTGCCATGGTGGTTTGCTGCACCTATCAACCCCTCATTTAGGTTTTAAGCCCTACATGCATTAGATATTTGTCCTAATGCTCTCCCTCCCCTTGTCCCCCACCCCCTGACAGGCCCTGATGTGTGATGTTCCCTCCCCTGTGTCCGTGTGTTCTCATTGTTCAGTCCCCATTTATGAGTGAGAACATGTGGTGTTTGGTTTTCTGTTCCTGTGTTAGTTTGTTGAGAATGATGGCTTCTAGCTTCATTCATATCACTGCAAAGGACATGAACTCATTCTTTTTTATGGCTACATATTATTCCGTGATGTATATGTGCCACATTTTCTTTATCCAATCTATCACTGATGGGCATTTGGGTTGGTTCCAAGTCTTTGCTATTGTAAATAGTGCTGTAATAAACCTATGTGTTAATGTGTCTTTATAGTAGAATGATTTATAATATTTTGGGTATATGCCCAGTAATGGGATTGCTGGATCAAATGGTATTTCTGGTTCTAGATCCTTGAGGAATCGCCACACCGTCTTCCACAATAGTTAAACCAATTCCAATTTTTCCACAGCCTGAGCAGCATCTGCCAAAACTTTTTAATAATCACCATTCTAACTGGCGTGAGATGGTATCTCATTGTGATTTTGATTTGCATTTTTCTAATGACCGATGATGAGCTTCTTTTCATGTGTTTCTTGGCCGCATAAATGTCTTCTTTTGAGAAGTGTCTGTTCATATCCTTTGCCCACTATTTGAAGGGGTTGTTTGTTTTTTCTCTTGTAAATTTGTTTAAGTTCCTTGTGGATTCTGGATATTAGACCTTAGTCAGATGGGTAGATTGCAAAAAATTTTCTCCCATTCTGTAGGTTTCCTGTTCACTCTGATGTTAGTTTCTTTTGCTGTGCAGAGGCTCTTTAGTTTAATTAGATCCCATTTGTCAATTTTAGCTTTTGTTTCCATTGCTTTTGGTGTTTTAGTCATGAAGTCCTTGTCCATGCCTATGTCCTGAATGGTATTGCCTAGGTTTTCTTCTAGGGTTTTTATGGCTTTGGGTTTTACATTTAAGTCTTTAATCCATCTTGGGTTAACATTTGGATAAGGTGTAAGGAAGGGGTCCAGTTTCTGTTTTCTACAAATGGCTAACCAGTTTTCCCAGCACCATTTATTAAATAGGAAATCCTTTCCCCATTTCTTGTTTTTGTCAGATTTGTCGAAGGTTAGTTGGTTGTAGATGTGTGGTGTTATTTCTGAGTCTCTGTTCTGTTCCATTGGTCTTTATCCCTGTTTTGATACCAGTACCATGCTATTTTGGTTACTGTAGCCTTGTAGTATAGTTTGAAGTCAGGTAGCATGATGCTTTGGGTTTTTTTTTGTTTTGTTTTGTTTTTTGCTTAGAACTGTCTTGGCTATATGGGCTCTTTTTTTGTTCCATATGAAATTTAAAGTATTTTTCCTAGTTCTGTGAAAAAAATCAATGCTAGCTTGATGGGAATAGCATCGAATTTATAAACCTTGAGCAGTATGGCCATTTTTTTCTTCCTATCCATGAGGATGGGATGTTTTTCCATTTGTTTGTGTCCTCTCTTATTTTCTTGAGAAGCAGTTTGTAGTTCTCCTCGAAGAGGTCCTTCACATACCTTGTAAGTTGTATTCCTAGGTGTTTCATTTTCTTTGTAGCAATTGTGAATGGAAGTTCGCTCATGATTTGGCTCTCTGCTTATCTGTTGTTGGTGTATAGGAATGCTTGTGATTTTTGTACATGGATTTTGTATACTGAGAATTTTGCTGAAGTTGCTTATCAGCTTAAGGAGTTTTTAGGCTGACACGATGGGGTTTTCTAAATATACAATCATGTCATCTGCAAACAGAGACAATTTGACTTCTTCACTTTCTATTTGAATACCCTTTACTTCTTTCTCTTGCCTGATTGCCTTGGCCAGAACTTCCAATACTATGTTGAATAGGAGTGGTGAGAGAGGGCATCCTTGTCTTGTGATGGTTTTCAAAGGGAATCCTTCCAGCTTTTGCCCATTCAATATGGTATTGGCTATGGGTTTGTCATAAATAGCTCTTATTATTTTGAGATATGTTCCATCAGTACCTAGTTTATTGAGAGTTTTTAACATAAAAAGATGTTGAATTTTTTCGAAGGCCTTTTCTGCATCTATTGAGATAATCATGTAGTTTTTGTCCTTGGTTCTGTTTATGTGATGGATTACATTAATTGATTTGCATATGTTGAACCAGCCTTGCGTCCCAGGGATGAAGCCGACTTGGTTGTGGTGGATAAGTTTTTTGATATGCTGCTGGATTCAGCTTGCCAGTATTTTATTGATGATTTTCACATTGATGTTCATCAGGGAAATTGGCCTGAAATTTTCTTTTTTTTGTTGTGTCTCTGCCAGGTTTGGTATCAGGATGATGCTGGCCTAATAAAATGAGTTAGGAAGGAGTCCCTCTTTTTCTCTTGCTTGGAATAGTTTCAGAAATAATGGTACCCACTCCTCTTTGTACCTCTGGTAGAATTCTGCAGTGAATCCATCTGTTCCTGGCCTTTTTCTTTTTTTGGTTGGTAAGCTATTAATTACTGCCTAAATTTCAGAACTTGTTATTGGTCTATTCAGCCATTTTACTTCTTCCTGGTTTAGTCTTGGGAGGGTGTATGTGTCCTGGAATTTATTCATTTCTTATAGATTTTCTGGTTTATTTGCTTCGAGGTGTTTGTAGTATTCTCTGATGGTAGTTTGTATTTCTGTGGGATCAGTGGTGGTATCCCCTTTATTATATTTTATTGTGTCAATTTGATTTTTCTGTCTTCTTTATTAATCTAGCTAGCAGTCTATTTTGTTAATTTTTTTGAAAAAACAGCTCCTAGATTCATTGATTTTTGGAAGAGTTTTTTGTGTCTTTATCTCCTTCATTTCTGCTCTGATCTTAGTTATTTCTTGTCTTCTGCTGGCTCTTGACTTTGTTTGCTCTTGCTTCTCTAGTTCTTTTAATTTTGATGTTAGGGTGTCAGTTTCAGATCTTTCCACCTTTCTGATGTGGGCATTTAGTGCTATAAATTTCCCTCTACACACTGCTTAAGCTGTGTCCCAGAGATTCTGGTATGTTGTCTCTTTGTTCTCATTGGTTTCAAAGAACTTCTTTACTTCTGCCTTAATTTTTTTATTTACCCAGCAGTCATTCAGGACCAGGTTGTTCAGTTTCCATGTAGTTATGTGGTTTTGAGTGAGTTTCTTAGTCCTGAGTTCTAATTTGATTGCACTGTGGTCTGAGAGACTGTTTGTTATGATTTCCATTCTTCTGCATTTGCTGAGGATTGTTTTACTCCCAATTATGTGGTCGATTTTAGAATAAGTGCCATGTGGCACTTAGAAAAATGTATATTCTGTTTATTTGGAGTAGAGAGTTCTGTGGATGTCTATTAGGTACACTTGATCCAGAGCTGAGTTCAAGTCCTGAATATCCTTGTTAATTTTCTGTCTCATTGATCTGCCTAATATTGACAGTGGGGTATTAAAGTCTCCCACTATTATTGTGTGGGAATCTAAGTCTCTTTGTAGTGTAGGTCTCTAAGAACTTGTTTTGTGAATCTGGGTGGTCCTGTATTGGGTGCATATATATTTAGGAGAGTTAGGTCTTTTTGTTGCATTGAACCCTTTACCATTATGTAATGCCCTTCTTTGTCTTTTTTGATCTTTGTTGGTTTAAAGTCTGTTTTATCAGAGACTAGAATTGCAATCCCTGCTTTTTTTTTTTTTTCCATTTGCTTGGTAAATATTCCTCCATTCCTTTATTTTGAGCCTGTGTCTTTGCATGTGAGATAGGTCTCCTGAATACAGCACACCAATGGGTCTTGACTCTTTATCCAATTTGCCAGTCTGTGTCTTTCAATTGAGGCATTTAGCCCATTCACATTTAAGGTTAATATTGTTATATGTGAATTTGATCCTGTCATCATGCTGGTAGCTGGTTATTTTGCACATTAGTTGATGTAGTTTCTTCAGTGTCATTGGTCGTTATATTTTGGTGTGTTTTTGCAGTGGCTGGTACTGGGTTTTCCTTTCCATATTTAATGCTTCCTTCAGGAGCTCTTTTAAGGCAGGCTTGGTTGTGACAGAATCCCTCAGCATTTGCTTGTCTGGAAAGGTTTTTATCTCTCCTTTGCTTATGAAGCTTAGTTTGGCTGGATATTAAATTCTGTGTTGAAAATTATTTTCCTTAAAATTGTTGAATATTGGTCCCCACTCTCTTCTGGCTTGTAGAATTTCTGCAGAGAGATCCGCTGTTAGTCTGACGGGCTTCCCTTTGTAGTTGACCTGACCTTTCTCTCTGGCTGCTCTTAACATTTTTTCCTTTGTTTCAACCTTGGAGAATCTGATGATTATGTGTCTTGGGATTTATCTTCTCGAGGAGTATCTTAGTGGTGTTCTCTGTATTTCCTGAATTTGAATGTTGGCCTGTCTTGCTAGGCTGGGGAGGCTCTCCTGGATAATATCCTGAAGTGTGTTTTCCAACTTGGTTCCATTCTCCCTGTCACTTTCAGGTACACCAGTCAATCATAGGTTTGATCTTTTCACATAGTCCCATATTTCTTGGAGGCTTTGTTTGTTCCTTTTCATTCTTTTTTCTCTAATCTTGTCTTCACGCCTTATTTCAGCAAGGTGATCTTCAATCTCTAATCTTTATTCTGCTTGATCGATTTGGCTATTGATACTTGTGTATGTGCTTCACGAAGTTTTCATGCTGTGTTTTTCAGCTCCATCAAGTCATTTATGTTTCTCTCTAAACTGGTTATTCTAGTTATCAGTTCCTGTAACCTTTTATCAAGGTTCTTAGCTTCCTTGCATTGGGTTAGAACATGCTCCTTTAACTCAGAGGAGTTTGTTATTACCCACCTTCTGATGCCTACTTCTGGCATTTCGTCAATCTCATTCTCCATCCAGTTTTGTGCCCTTGCTGGAGAGGACTTGCGATCATTTGGAGGAGAAGAGGTATTCTGGGTTTTGGGATTTTCAGCATTTTTGCGCTGGTTTTTTTCTCATTTTCATGGATTTATCCTTTGATCTTTGAGGCTGATGACCCTTGTATGGGTTTTTTTTGGGGGGGGGTGGTGTTTTTTGTTGATGTTGTTGTTGTTGCTCTCTGTGTGTTAGTTTTTGTATCAACAGCCAGGCACCTCTTCTGCAGGTCTGCTGCAGTGTGCTGCAATTCCACTCCAGACCCCGTCCTCCTGGGTATTACCAGTGGAAGCTGCTGAACAGCAAAGATTACTGCCTGCTCCTTCCCCTGGAAGCTTCGTCCCAGAGGGAGCACTGGCCTGATGCCAGCCAGAGATCTCCTTTATGAGGTGTCTATCAACCCCTGTTGGGAGGTCTCTCCCAGTCAGGAGGCATGGGGGTCAGGGACCCACTTGAGGAGGCAGTCTATCCCTTAGCAGAGCTGGTGTGCTGTGCTGGGAGAATTTCCCTTGTCAGGATCAGCTGCTCTCATCAAAGCCAGCAGGCAGGAAAGATTAAGTCTGCTGAAGCTGTGCCCACAGCCACCCCTCCTGCCAGGTTCTCTATCCCAGGGAGATGAGAGTTTTATCTGTAAGCCCCTAAGGCTGCTGCATTTCCTTCTTAGATGCCCTGCCCAGTGAGGAGGCATATAGAGAAGCAGTCTGGCCTCAGCCACTTTGCCACACTGTGGTGAATTCTACCCAGTCCAAACCTCCCAGTCTCCTTAGCACTGTCCGGGGAAAACTACCTACTACAGCCTCACTGATGGCAGACCCACCTCCCCCAACCAAGCTCGATCATCCCAGATCAACTCCAGACTGCTGTGCTGGCAGTGAGAATTTCAAGCCAGTGGTTCATAGCTTGCTGGGCTCCATAAGAGTGGGACTCACTGAGTGAGACCACTTGGCTCCTTGGCTTCCGCCCCCTTTCCAGGGCAGTGAACAGTTCTGTCTCACTGGGATTCCAGGCACCTGGGGTAAGAAAAACACTTCTGCAGCTAGCTCGGTGCCTGCCCAAACAGCCACCCAGTTTTGTGCTTGAAATCCAGGGCCCAGGTGTTATAGGCTCACCAAGGATTCTCCTGATCTGCGGACTGCAAAAACTGTGGGAAAAGCATAGTACCCGGGCCAGGTAGCACAGTCCCTCACAGCTTCCCTTGGCTGAGTGAGGGAGGTCCCCCAGCTCCTTGCACTTCCTGGGTGTAGCGACGCCCCCGCCACCCCGCTTCTGCTTGCTCTCCATGGGTTGTACCCACTGCCTAACCAGTCCCAGTGAGATGAACTGGGTACCTCAGTTGGAAGTGCAGAAATCACCCACCTTTTGCGTTGGTCTCACTGGGAGCTGCAGACTGAGGCTGTTTCTGTTCAGCCATCTTGGCCCCTCCTTATGCCTCTAGATATCTACCCAAATGAGTTGAAAACATGTTCACACAAAAAGCTGCACTTGAATGTTTATAGCAGTTTTACTCATAATTGCAAATAATTGGAAGCAAACTAGAGGTCTTTTTAGAGTTTTTCTCTGTATTGACCTTTCTCTCTATGCCTTCTGATGTGCAGCTAAAACTATATAAAAATATAATAAAATTAAAGGACTTAAAAGGTAGGAACCAAAAAAAAAAAAACCCAAATAAGGAAGAAATAAAGGGACAGAATACTGCTAGAGTTCTTCTTGTAAACATTAGAAGGCACTCTAGCAAATTTAAACAGAAAAGGAATTTATTAAAAGCTATTACATAGCTTGTAGAACCCCAGGAGAACCAGATTTGGGGTTGAATATATAGCTGGGAATAATATCTAAGTCATTCTGCTGGAATGGTTTCGGGAGAAATCATCTACATATGGATAATAAGCTTACAGGACATTGCTCTGAGATCCCCACTCCTGCCCTTCTAATTCCTTGATGTCTTCCAACAAAAATTAGCCATCTTTAACACAAAATAATTCTACACAGTGGCTGCTTGTTCATCTTTCTCTTTTTCAAAAGAACCTTGCATGGGAGCATTTGCTTGACAGTCTTTTGACACTAGGTTGACTCTTCACTTTGAACCTAATTTTATGTCTTTATATCTCTTCCTGGTACCCTGAATCCGTGTAACTAGGTAATTGTTTCCAAACTCTTAATAATGGTTTCTTAATGGGTTCCCAGTGAATCTCCTGGGCTAACTTTAAAAGGAGGGAGGTGTTGGCTAATTATTGTTTTTTAGTGCACTAACTTAAGTATAAAATGTATTCATTTGTTCCTCAAAATTCCTCATATAGATCTTAAAGTGGATCTCACTTTTTTTTTTTTTTTTTTTTTTTTGAGACAGAGCCTCGCCCTGTCACACAGGCTGGAGTACAATGGTGCGATCTCAGCTCACTGCAACCTCTGCCTCCCAAGTTCAAACAATTCTGCTGCCTCAACCTCCCGAGTAGCTGGGATTACAGGCGCGCACCACCACACCTGGCAAATTTTTTGTATCTTTAGTAGAGACAGGGTTTCACCATATTGGCCAGGCTGGTCTCAAACTCCTGACCTCGTGATCCCCCTTGCCTCGGCCTCCCAAAGTGCTGGAATTACAGGCGTGAACCACCGTGCCCGGCCAGATCTCACTTTTTTTTTGCTTTTACCTTCTATATAGTTACCACCAGAACAACTGAATCTGAACATATCAATATTGTGTCTTGTCCCTAGCTGAAAAAAAGTTAGCATTTGTGGGTATGGTCAAGAAAATGATTTATTTATGATGGTATGGATTCTTACATTTAATAATGCTAAAGACTTTATATATTTTATATCAGAAATACTGTTTTAAAACAGAATCTCTGAATATGCTGTCTTGCCTAGAGAGTCTGAAAAAGATTTTATGTTCCTTTTGTTATTTTGTTTGTCTAGTTCACAGAAAATCACTGCCTTGTATTTTTCTAAGCCTAATTATATCTAATAGTTTATTTTACTAAGAGTCTATGGCCAGGTTCTCTATAATAATTTATAATCTATAAATTATTTTAAAGTAGTAGTATTGAAGTTATTACTTTTATAATACGTGAGTTGAAAAATTCTGTTATACTTACAGCATTCGACTTAAGAGTCTCAATGCCAACACAGATATAACTTCCCTGGCAAGGAAGGTGGTTGAAGAATGTAAACTCATTCATCCTTCAAAACTAAATGAGGTAGAACAGCTGTTGTACTATCTACAGAACCGCCGTGATTCATTGTCAGGAAAAGGTAAGTAGTAGAATTCCTGGCTTCCTAATGCAAATCCAAAGTTGTTTGATTATAGTTCATCAAGCAACTATAAAAAAAAGTTTATCAAACTATTGATATTTGATGTTGGGTAGGTTTTTTTCACCAGTGTTATGAATGAGTAAACAACAAAGAATAAACATTAATTGCTTTCATGGTAGGCTTTATATTAGATGCTTCCACATAAAATGGTCTAATTCTTTTTCATGTTTTGTGTGTGTACACATACACTGAAGTAAGAATAAAAAAGGAAATGTCTGTCATATTGATTCTAGAATAATCAAAGGAGAGACTTTGGGGCAGAAAACCTATTTTCACTGCCCCAACTAGACTGATGTTTTATAAACTTCTTTTTTATATTTGTTTATCATTTGGATGGATTATGTAAGTGTTAAAATATATATCATATGCCTTAGACTATCCTAAAGATATAACTTTCATGAATCTTTATTTTCTCTGTTTCCTTTTTTTTTTTTTTTTTTTGCAGCAGAGAAAAAGGTTTAATCTGGGGGTCACCAAACTAGGAGATGAGAGAAAACCTCAAATCCATCTCCCTGAGAAGTTTGGGCCTAGAGTTTTTAAGGGTTTTGGACTGGGCTGAAGTGTGGAGATTGTTGATTGGTCAGAGTGTAAGGTGAAGTAATGGGACAGGATGATGAAGAAGCTGTATTCTCATGCTGATTTCATTCCTCTATGAGGGTCTTCTGACTGGTTGGCATCAGCTGTTTCACTGCAACTCAGGGTCTGAAAAACATTTTCAATGATCCTTAAGCAAAATCCTTATGATTCTAATGTCAGAGATCCTGTCTGTAAGAACAGTGGGGATGTAAATGGTCAGCATGTAGTGCTATGTGACTTTAGCAACAAGGAAATGGGCCAAAGTATAGCCTATTAATGCTTAGTTATAACTATATTTCTGTCTGGAACAGAGTTCAAGTCAGAAAAATGGAAGAAATTTTTGAAAATCTTAGTTTGAAGACTTGTAGCCAGGGAAGAATTCAGGTTTAGTTCAAATTGTAGAAAACAATAAAAACTCAAAAGTAATAGACAAGACTAAGACTAGAATCTAGTAACAGGTATACTATAGTTTCTTTTGAAACAAAATTTTTATCTCTAGTATTCCATTTCTACCAAAGACAAATTATAGTAGGACCAATTTATTTGCAAAATAAGTGTTATACTTTGCCTGACTATTTGCATAAAGTATGGCAAGAATATTCGTTGGCCATATAGGCTCTTTTAAGTTGACTTTGCAGAAACTTTTCCATAAGGAATCTTAGTTTAGACTTTTTAAAAGCCTTAAGGTTAGCTAAACCAAGGATTTATCCATGCCTACAGATACCTATATGAATTGGGTTATTTTGGGACCTCCACTCATCTCTTGTGGAGGTCCCAGAATAACTTGAGGTTTCTGGATCTGTTGAAAGTAACATTTTTTACTTATCGCAGGTGAGGAACACTATAAAGAAACTACATAGACAAGATGGAAGGCTAGTCTTTCCGAGGTGCTTTTATTGGCTCTGTAAAGTCAATGTCAACTCCTCAAAGCAGTCTGGTCATATCTAAAAATATGCCAATCCAGTCAAAGCCTTGGTAAAGTAGCTAGCATCTCCAATTGTGTCCTGCTACCAAAGAAAGCAGATTCTTATTGAATGTATGCAAATAACTATATTGCCATAAAATAAGAATACTTATGAAGGAAGTTTCCACAATTGTGAGAACTCAGGTAGAAAGGCAAATTTTGCTCATAAAGATATACTTTACTTGTCATAAGCTATAAATAGCTCAAAAGAAAAAAAAGTTTTCTTGACTCCTCTTCAGTCAGAGTAGCAGACTTCCAAACAGATTGTTGTCTGTTCACCTTGGAATTGCCATTCATAAACCAGGCAGCTCTTTGTCAGTCAGGTAAGAGCTGTTTAATGGGCACTGTAGAATCCTGCAGCTTCTCACACAGTTTCAGAGTCAGTCCTGGGGAAAAAGAGGCTCCCTGCTCATGAGTGTCTCCTCCTTGAATTTCCCAAGTAGCATGATCATATACAAAGTATCTCCATTTTATTGTGGAACTCTTCTGGGCACTGCTGACCCCAATTAGACTGTTTCTGACATTGCCCCAAAGAGCATGGGTATTTCAGATGTCATGATCATTTTATGTCCTTCCATCATAGAATGTCTTCAGTTAATGTCCTATAACAAGGCAGTAAATGCCTCTTAAGTGAAAATTCTCTAGTTCAGAGTCACAGTAGTCATCACTGGGATGTGCTCACAGACTTTTGCATTCCACAAAAGGCTATCACATGGAGAATTTGTTCCTACCAGCACTCCAGCTTCTATTCTGTATTCTGTGGGCTCAGGCAGTCTTACTGGTTCCCATTTTAGTATGTCCAGTTAATTATAGCTTGAAGGGCAGATTTGTGTGCCTTCAGTTTTATAGTACTAGGTAGAGGAAACATCCCCTAGTCAGATACAATATCCATTTTCATAAGACATTTAGGTAAAGAATACACAATTACTTTACAAAAATCCTATATAAACATTTCAACTTTGATAATCCTATCCACCCTTACATTTTATGTTCTGGTCCTGGGAATTTCTCTTCACTCCCAGACCATTTTACCCTCTCCTGTGAAAAGGGATTTGGGTTCCCAGCAGAGGGTTTAGCTAAGGGACCAAGGCTTTTTAGTCAATCTTTGTGTTGATTAATCACCTCAACATCATCCCCAGGCAGTTTTTGGTCAGTTTTCTCATTCTGATCTTTGTCTTCTGATTTTTTAAAAGATGTCTCCAATTGGGGTAAGTACAGAAAACTGATTTGGTACCCTTTAATATTGGGGGAACCAGCAATTAAGGCCTTTATTTCAACCCCATCAATTTCCATTTTATTCATTCAATTTCTTAATAACTGTCTAAAGATTTTCACTCTGCTGGGATGAGACCCATGACTCTCCCCTTTTCTTTTCCCCTTATTTTTACTCCTATCAATGTTTTCTTCATTCATTATATTTCTTGATAACTGTTAAAACTTCCCATCGTCCTGGGATAAGTCCTTTGATCCTCCCCTCTACCCTTCACCATTCCCTTGTTAACTAACCTAATATTTTCTGTTAGCATCTGTAAGAACCATGAGGAGAAGCTGACCATGACCTGGGTAATGGGCATATTCAAGGGGTGAATATCCCTGTCATCATAATGCCAGTCCCATATGGCTTGCATACAAACCACATTAGCTGCTTCATCTGGGGTACTCCACTTGGCAGTTATAGGTGGAGTCGCACAGTCCCTTTTCTCAGGGTAAAGAGACCTTACAGTGGCTTTTATCCAGTTCATTAGGCTAAGTCTTTCCTCACTAATAATGTCCTGTTTTTCTGGATCATGTATAACCATTTGCAATTGTTTAATAGTGAGCAGTGGGTACCGTACGAACCCAAACATGTTCTTTCACTCTGCAGCATTTTGAAACCAAAGACACTGCTCCCAGATTAGTTACTCTTATAATCCATTTCAATACAGGTTCTTTAGGGAGCTGATGATATTAATCTATAAAATAAAAGGATGGAGGATAAGGAACCTTTGATTCCTGGGTGACCATGTGGTCATCCATGGCATGGAACTGCAGCTAGGCTATGCCCAGTTACTAAACGTAAAAGTTACAGTGAATTTGGAGATGGATACAACTTCTGGGGAGCTGGTTCACTGGATGCATAAGGAAATGCAAACTAATATGAAAAAAGCGTAATATTCAATTCCTTGGTTATTGTTACCTATAATGGCTAAAATGAAAGTAAAAGGGATTGCTGGGTTGGACCTTAAGGCTAGAGAAAGCTCAGATGTGGGTCTGTGTGAGCTCAGGTCACTAGCCTCGAAGCTACCCACAAAAGCGGAAAATTATGTCAGGGCAATATAAAATGCCTCCGCAACCTGTGGTCTCCAAGAAGGTAGCCAATGTAGAAGAAGAACAAAATGAAGTAACTGTTGAAACCAGAGTATATAGTATAAAGGAATTGTTCTGTTTCATAGAGCTCCCACTCAGTCACAGGTCAAGTTTTCAAGGACATAAAACAAGATGAGAGGAACCCTCAGTTAGTACCTCCCCTTTATGAAGAACACAGAAAGACAAAGAAAAGATTATTTCTGGAAAGAAAGGGAACAATATGAATATTCATAAACCAAAAAGTACACTGCAGTCAATATTTCCCAAGACTAGTCATACACATCTTTTTCTCCTATTAATCAAAACCTTGCAGGAGACAGTGATTTTTTACCTTTTGCTCAGCCAGATTTCACACAGAGAGATCAGGAACCTGACTGGTAAATGATTCTTACTACCCTGTTGCCAGCTTGTCAGGTTCCTGGATTCTCTTAAACTGTGGCTTCCAAAAGAGCAGAGCTTTGATCACCCTGCTTGCTGATTATGAAAGAAAACCATTTTCTTTGTTTTCATGGGTTCATAGGTGAAAGCTGCCCAGTTTTGCAAGATACAATCCAAGGGGCTGCTTGATGTAGGAGGGATTAAGTTAGTATTTCCCGTATCGACCAAGACAAAATTACAATATACGCATAACAAAGACAAACACCAGTTACTTGGCTCAATATCCAAGTTTTAACCTAGCAAAACAGATAAAACAGACCCCCCTTTCCACCCGTTAGGCACATTGAACTTCTGCTAATGTTTCCTTCTGGGTTCCCCACACACAAACAGGACAAGATAAGAACAGACATGAGACCCTGATAAGTCAGAACTCTAAAACCAGGTTTCATAACTGAAACGAAATCGCCCAGGAGTACTTCCCCCAAATGTTGCCCTTTATTCTCCTTCCAGTTGGGGAAATTCCCCTTAAACAGGGCCCTTTTTACAGATTGGGAAGGGTCAGCAGGACTTCTGAAGAGGGAACACGACCTTTAAGGAGGCCAACAGATCAGGAGAAGGCAAAAGGGATGTCGATTGCCCTTGGCAACACTTACCGGAGAAGTCTTTCAGATTCAGAAACTGTTTCTGTACTCCAAGCAAGCTTATGTGAAGGTCGGTAATGCCTTGCTGGCAAGGGAGGCACCAGAGACAGCCCCTGGCTTAAAGAAGCCAGGCAGCCACTTGGACTCATCTCCGGGCCTCTGAAATGCTAAGAGGTCACCGAGCCACAGGCAGATGCCTACGAGGGGTATCCCTTTATGAGTTCACCACTAAATTGTAACCATACCTGGCTAATTTTTTACATTTTTTGTAGAGACGGGGTCTCACTATGTTGCCTAGGCTAGTCTCAAACTCCTGGGCTCAAGCGATCCTCCTGCCTTGGCCTCCCAAAGTGCTGGGATTGCAGGCATGAGCCACTGTGCCCAGCTGGTGCTCTTAAAATAATGTATCAATGCTCAAGTTTTGATTGGACTAAGTAGGAAAAAAAAAGAAAATTTTGTTTGGAATTTTTTCAAATTAGTCAGTCTCTCTTCATCCACAGCTAATAAAATGCCTTGTACTTAATATATACTTTTTTTAGCTGTGAATACAGTATCTAACATAGATGATCAAAATATATTTGTTGAATGAATTAAATGGTTGTAAATTTATTTACAAGCAAAAAGGGCTGGGTGTGGTGGCTCACGCCTATAATGTCAGCACTTTGGGAGGCCGAGGCGGGCGGATCACGAGGTCAAGAGATCGAGACCATCCTGGCCAACATGGTGAAACCCCATCTCTAGTAAAAATACAAAAATAGCTGGGCGTTGTGGTGTGCGCCTGTGATCCCAGCTACTCAGGAGGCTGAGGCAGGAGAATTGCTTGAATCCAGGAGGCAGAGGTTTCAGTGAGCCAAGACCATGCCACTGTACTCCATCCTGGCACAGAGCGAGACTCCATCTCAAAAAAAAAAAAAGCAAAAATAGACATTTTGAACATGATTGCTTCTAATCACATAGTTGGCATTCAGTTAAGTACTACGTAGATAAGGAAAATATTATCAAGGGAGATTTTTATTAAACAAATATTTTGTTGGTAGAATATTCTTGTTAAGATGTCTGTAAATGGTGAGAGATCGCATAGTCCAATAAATCCAAGTAGAAAAGCAAATCTGGTAGTCTTTTAAGATCTGCGTCTACTTATTGTAGGTTGTATAGTATAGTTGATCTTTCCTAGTGCCACATTAATATAATTCTGAAGGCATTTAGAATAAAATATCTTTGAACTAGTAAAAACTCTTTCACTGAGTTTTTGGGGCAAATCAGTGGTTTTATCTTGCTCCCCAGAAATTAGAGGAATATGAAAAAATTTCTATGTCATCATACATGGATAAAATAATTCAAATCAATATTTTCTCTACCCAGGTAGAGTATTATTAATAATTGAAGATATAGGAAATGCTTTAGGAAATGTATATTAAATATACACTTTTTAGAAAACTATTGGTTTTCTTTGTTAAAACTCTTTTACTTGGTAAGCGGTATTCCAAAGCCAGAAACCTTATCTTAAAAGTGATTGAAACAAAATAATAATACTTATTTGATTCATTACATTCAGTGATTTTTTTTGCATAATTAAAACCACTGTCTTAGTAAATTATCTGTTTGAAGCAGAATTAAGCTGTTGAGAATGTATGAGCTTATACAGAATGGGTGCTGTCCTCTGAAAATAATGACTAATTCTATCATATATTTATTTGCTAATTGTGGAATCAAAAATTTTGATAACATTCTAACTTACTTTAATTTACATACATTACTTAGACTTATGATCCAGATCCATAAAGTATATTTGATAGTTTTTTTGTTAAAAAATGAAATTATGCCATTAATCAGATAATTCAATATAAACGAATGGCTCAAACTTGTGTTCAACACCTTTGGATACCTCTTTATTTGGGAATAAGTGAGGATTTAATTAACACACGTAATAAATGTTTGCCTTTTAATTTATTATCTTAATTTTACTTGTTAAAAAAGAACCAGTTAGCAACTATTCTATATCTTAGGTTTTAAATTTACCAATTTTTTTTTCTTTCTGCTTTGTTAATTTTCATTTTAGTTTTTATATTACTCAAGTCGTACTTTTTTCTTTGCCTTATTGATTTTCCTATTCCTACCTTAAATTTGAATTAGGAAGGGAAAGAGAGGATACTTAGAACAGACTATTTTGCTTCTTGTTGCCAAGTCTGACTGTATACCTTATATACCCAAAAAGTTAACCAAGGAGGAAGTTGGTGATTAGTTATAGATTTTATTAATTTATACTCTCCTTGATATCCTCATTAGATCAAGTGGATTATATATGAACATTTTTATGCATTGAGAAGAGATTATTTCATAAACTATTTAGTTTTAATATCCCCAGTTTACCTAGAGTTAAACTCAGCTGCTGAAAATAAAAATTACCTAGAAACCCTAAAAACCTAAGTCTCCTTATTAAAAAAAAATCTTTTTACAGAGAAAAAAGAAAAATCAAGCAAGCCTAAAGATCCACCTCCTTTTGAAGGAATGGAGGTAAGACTGCATGCATTCTGATCTAATAGAGGACTGGATTATAAGATATTGCCTTTTTCCATCAATAATACACACAATCACATTAAGCACATGTGGTATTTTTAAAAAATGACTGAACTCAGAGGTACCTGAAAAGGTAGAAAATCATTATTTAATTGAAAAAGAGAAAAAGTATTGGTTCTGCTTTTTTTGCTCTATCTCATCTCACCACAACCTCCGCCTCCCGGGTTCAAGCGATTTTCCTGCCTCAGCCTCCTGAGTAGCTGGGATTACAGGCATGTGCCACCACGCCCAGCTAATTTTTGTATTTTTAGTAGTGATGGGGTTTCACCATGTTGGTCAGGCTTGTCTCAAACTCCTGACCTCGTGATCTGCCCATCTCAGCCTCCCAAAGTGCTGGGATTGTAGCTGTGAGCCACCGTGCCTGGCTAGGTGTGCTTTCTAGACAATTAATTTTGATAAATGATGGGTAAAAATGTTTACATATTCTTATTGTAATACGTTTTGAAATATTGTTTAATCTACTGTAGTAGATACAAATATTTTCTATTACATTTAAGATACTTTATATTGATAGACAATTTTTAAAGTTTATATAAATCTCATTTTATCATGGGGTTTTGTATTAGAGTCCTAGGTCTAAAGGTCTAAAATTTCCATATCCAAAAAGATGGCTACTATGAGTTCTTTGGAAATTTGTGTGTTGTTATAAAGGCCAGTATATTGATCACAAAATAACATTTCTTTGACAGTGGATCTGTTGAGCATTGTTGATGAGTACTTTCTGCCTCTTTGTTTCAGATTGATGAAGTTGCTAACATTAATGACATGGATGAATATATTGAGTTATTATATGAAGATATTCCTGACAAAGTTCGGGGTTCTGCTTTGATCCTGCAGCTTGCTCGAAATCCTGATAACTTGGAAGAACTACTATTGAATGGTGATTACTATAAAACATGTTTAATTATAATAGAGGAATAAGTTACAGTTATTTATACAAAACTTAAGACTTCATATATTTTCCAGCTCTTTATTTCTTTCTTACTCAGATTTCTTAAATTGAGAGTGTAGCATTTAAATATTCTCCAGAGAATTCACAAACCATTTAATGTAAACAAGGAAAATTAAGCATTAATGGTACTATACCTTTTCTTTCTTCTACTCTGGGAAGCTTTTTTATTGTTTCAAGTAGGATATAAGATCAAACTTTAGACATTTGCATAAATATATATATCATGTTTTATTAAATTAAAGTTCCAATATTCATTTTTTCTCAGTAGCACAGGGAAAGCTATTAATCTTTGCAGTTTCATTGAGATTGAATTTCACATCAAGTGTTTGCTTTCCTTTCACTAAAAGTACTTGGTAGTAACAAGAAAAGGAGATAGAATGTTTTTAACACCCTTTTCTCAATAACACCACTATAGAATCATTTTTGTTTTGTTTTGTTTTTGTTTTTGAGACAGGGTCTCCCTCTGTTGCCCAGGCTGGAGTGCAGTGGCGCGATCTCCGCTCACTGCAACCTTTGGCTCACTGCAACCTTCAGCTCACTGCAACCTCCGCCTCCCGGGTTCATATAATTCTCCCACCTCAGCCTCCTGAGTAGCTGGGATTATAGGCACGTGCCACCACTCCTTGTGTGTGGTTTGTTTTTTTTTTTTTAGTAGAGACAGGGTTTCACCGTATTGGTCAGGCTGATCTGAAACTCCTGACCTCAGGGGATCCACCCACCTCAGCCTCCCAAAGTGCTAGGATTACAGGTGTGAGCCACCAGGCGCCCTGCCTATAGAATCATTTTAAATGCATAGTTTTCTGATTATACATTTGCCAAAAACAAAATAGGAAAGATGTATTTATTATCTGGTTTGCATTACATGAGAGAGAATGCCTTTCTGGTTGTTGCCAAATACCTGGATAAGATAATTCAAATCAATAGTTTTGTCGATCAGTACTTTCAAATAAGTATTTCAAATGTCTTTTCTGCTATATGCTTGCCATTCTTTTATGAAGTAGATAATTCTTGAAAACTTATTCTGTGGCAGGTACTGTTCCATATTTTCATGGAATTGTTTTAGTGTTCCCTTTCCTTCTGTTCCATTGGTTTATTTGATGATATACATACCAATACCACACTATTGCTGTGTTGTTTTGTATTTTGATTTGAACTTTAGAATATGTAGGAAAAATGTTCCAAATTGCTTTCTTTTGCCCCAAAATTGGCTTTACTGGTCTTGCACATTTGTCTTATATATTTTGAGATTACTTCATCATAATCTGTGAAAAGACGTAATGGGATTTTGATTATGATTGCATTCAATGTAGAAATTAATTTTGTGTTGTCTTTTGACCTCTTGTAAACTATATTTTCTTTTAGCTGTTTCTCAGTAAACTGTGTACAACTCCTGTAACTATATTTTAATTGAGATGTTTCTCTATTCTGTTTTAAGGAGAAAAATGAAATAAAATTTTGCAAATAGGCCACTAAACCTATGCCTAAATTTATGACATTATAGAACAGTTCTGTATAGGCTAGTATTTAAAGAAATACTATTTTATCTGGATTATAATGGTCAAATACCTTTGGGAATTACTAGATTGAACAAAGCTACACCAGATTATTTATTAAATAGGACTTTTTGGAGGCTTTGCTGTTAATATGCATTGTCAACCTATTTATGTGACTCCAAAATAATTTTTTTCAAAGCATGTACTATTCAAGTTCTCTGCATTGTGAATGTGAATAATACTGTGAAATGCTATCATAGGATGATTTTTAATTTGCTAAAAAATTTGTCACTACGTGGATTCATAACTAATACAATCAATTTTTGTTCATAGTCTGAATAGCCAGAAAGCTCAAATATGGGACATTTTCATTACCATAATAAATACTCATAATGCAGTCCATAAAGTACTATTGTAAATCCTGAGTATCTATTAAGAACAGTGGAATTATGATTTCTATATTTTAACATACAGATATTTTAATTATTTTAAGAATTAGTATGCCATGTACCAACCTGATTTGAAACTAGTGTCATTACTTTATAATTTTCATTTCCTCAAGAGAAAATTTTAGCAGAAATGCTTATTAACCTACCTGAAAGTTAATTTTGTGAAAGCTTTTTGTTTTATTTGTGGCTACTAGCATAAATTCAGTGTGATACTGAAATATTAAATTTATTTTTCTGTGTATAGATTTTATTTGGTTTTTAATTTGCTTTAATGGAACGAGTGTTAGTCTACTAACCTGCTCATTTTTTTCTAGACTTATTCAAGTTTTTTTCATATTATCAAATACATTAAATCAGATGTTAAAAAGAAAAAAATCAGTACTGAAGTAGGAAGATTACAGTTCTTAATTTAAGGTTATTAAATTAAGAAATGAAAGGCTTTTTAATTATTTTATTGTCACCATAACATATGTCACTTTATCTAAATCATATTTGATTACTTCTGTGTATAGTATATACTTGAAGCAGCATGTTACGTATCTTTAAGTAAAATTACATTTTAGTTTTAAAAGTAGCTGTCTGTATTGGAAAGAAGCATCCTACTTTTTGTCCCAGTTCTATCTTAGCTTTATTATTCATTAATAACTAGACATTTAAAACCAATCACCCTTTATACCAGAGCAAGGAGAATGATCGTTTCGGTACCTCTCCTTTTTCTTTAGAAACTGCCCTTGGTGCATTAGCAAGGGTCCTGAGAGAAGACTGGAAGCAAAGTGTCGAGTTAGCTACAAACATAATTTACATCTTTTTTTGTTTCTCCAGGTAAGTATAAAAATTATTAAATAAAAAGGCTACTGTATCTCTATTGCTCTTTGTCTGTGTCATTGATTCAATTTGTAGATCACTTGTTCTCTCAGTTTTTCTGTGTGTCTGCCTATGCTCTACTGCTGAATTCTTATTCCTGTTTTCCATTGTCTGTCTTGCTATCTGTTATTCTATCTTTCATTTAGTCTATACCCACTCATGCCTCAGTTTCCTTATGAGTAAAATTTGGATAGTAATAGTGGCACCCTCTTTGGATAGTTTTTTGGATTAAATGAATTAAAAATTAAAATACTTAGAATAAAGCCTGACCCAGAGTAAGTGCTCAGTAAATGTTATTGTTATATATATGCATGTATGTACAAACACATACCTGTTATGTATTGTATTTATTATTTATACACATATATCCTTAAGAAAGAAGATACTTATTAAGACATTATGAAAAGTTTCTACCCAATTCCTAGATAATTGCTGCTTCTGTTCTAAAAATGTGCTAGTATTAGCAAATAAATATTTATTGAATAAATACTTGGATTAATGTATTGTCTAGAAAACATATGTAAAACCTGATTACTAGTACTTTACGAATTCTCTGATGTCAGTTTTATACAATAAATAAAATGTATGTCTAGTATTGCTACATTATTAGTTTTGTTAGACAATAATCTAAAAATCTATTCTGAATATCTGAGTAGTTAATATGGTGGTTAGTTACAAAAAATGTCTACTTTCTAACTTCTTAAAAATAACTATTTTAGGTAAGAGTAGTGTGATATATTTAAAGTAATTTTATAATCGCAAGTCTTCCTAGTGTATTGTGGATATATTCATTTATTAAAATATGTATATCAAATTTATTTTCTACATGGTTCGTACCAGTGATCACCAAAAACAAATTTCCTGTACCCATAAAATGTATTCTTTTAAATATATATTAAAATGTCTTCTTTAAAGCTTTTCTCAATTTCATGGACTTATTACTCACTATAAAATTGGAGCTCTGTGTATGAATATTATTGATCATGAGTTAAAAAGACATGAGCTTTGGCAAGAAGAACTCTCAAAGAAGAAGAAAGCTGATATCCTTTTAGAGTGGCATTTGAACCGTCTGTTGTCTTTTGCTTTAAGTTTTGGATGGGTGGGATGGTTTTGTTCTTTTTTCTTTTTTAAAAATTGTTAATTACATTACTTGGAAACAATGCAGGAGTGTGTTATTGAAGGTTAAGAAGTAGATTGAAACTATCAAAATGAATACAGTTTGATATTCACTTTTTGTCTCTTCACAACCTTTATTAGTTAATGAGGTAGAAGGAGCAGGTAATAGTTGTGTCGGGTAACTTAGTAGGTGAGCCTCTAAGTGGTTACATCATTACATCCACTAAGATCCTTTGGTTAGTTGAAGCCTGGCCCACCACTGCTGCTTATATACTTCTGTGTGAGTACTAAGGTGACTTTGATTAGAATGGGTGTAAATTTGGTGATGAACCTAGTTAAAGGTTCTATTTTTCTAGGAAAGTGCAAAAATACTGTTGTTAATAAATAAAAATTTGAAAGGCCTATAGAATAATAGAACCTGTGAAAGGAAACTTAGGTATCTGTTTTAACCTATCTTACAAATATAAAAATATTTCTGCAACTTCCCTGGCAAATGCTATTACATAGGCTCCTCTTTAACAATGTCAGTGTTTATTTATTTCACCCATTCTGTGGTTTAGCATTCTGTTTATTATAATAGTCTTTTGCTTAGTGCACTGAAGTCCATTCCCCAATAACTTCTATCCATTGGTTCTAGTATTGTATACTAAAGCAATATGGAATAAGGCTATTCTCTTCAACATCATAATTCTTCTCATATTTGAAGATATTTATCATATTTTAGCCTCTAAACTCAATGCTTCTAGATCAAAGGCCCCTGGTTTATTCATATCTGTTCAACCATGATATGTTTTGCAGATCAACTAGGCATGCTGGTAACTTTCCTTTGAATCAAGTGTTTATTATGTCTTTTAAAAAGTGAAAACTTTATTCCTATTTTGCAGAATATCATACATTTTTAACTCTGCTTTGTGCAAAAGTGGACCTTACTTTTATATTAATTTTGGCCTCTGGAAACCCTGAGGCTTCAATTTAATCTATGTTGTAACAGGTTAATTCAGGTTATTGTGTACAAAATCTCTCAGGCTTTTACTGTTGTCACATGGAACTCCAAGACACTATAAAATCCACACCCACACACAAGCTTTGACTTTTCTTAATTAGAATCTTTTCAGGTTTATAAATTTTCTATGCATACCATAAACTTCTGGCATCTAGATTGATAGTGACTCAACTACATCAACAACCCAAGAATCCTAGAGACTTTACATCAGTTCTGGAGTCACAAGACTCCTGAATGCTTCAGTGGTACCCAAAATTTATTTAAACTGGAGAAGTATGGAGGGAACCACTAGTGGAACTCTTTAGCAATCATGAATTTGCATTTTGTTATTGTTTGGTGACAAGAACTGATATCTTAGGACATATTGTATTTCTGTATCAGACACCATTAATTTTAAGATTCACTATTGTTTAAGTGCGAGGAGAGGAACATATGCTTTCAATTAAACTATGACACATCAGGGATTATAAGACACATCCAGTTTTGGAGATGTTAAGATGTGAGGAAAATGTATCTTAGACTCAACAGATTATGGTAATTGAAGGGATATAAAAATGACATCAGAATTCTGGTCATTTCTCCTGACATGTTGCTATTTTATTATGTCCTAAATTTCTTTGTATTTTGATACAAGTGGTATTCAACAAGGTCAGCTGCATTGACTCATATTCTGGGGTCATATGCTTGACTCATATGCTTGGGGATACTGAAGTAACTGATTATTTTTGCAAGAAGTCCAGAGGACGATTTGGGACCAGAAGATGTGATTTTTAAAATTTGTTTACCTTTAAGTTTGGGTTAGTTCTTTCTTGGCATCTCTAGTCTGAAAAGGCTGCTACAAAAGCTTTAGATTTAATCTATATCCTTTGAATATTCTGGGCATCTGTCTGAAGTAAAATCCAGTGTTCTTAGTAACTAAATCACTTTCTGAGGCAGTAATTTTTTTGGTTCGTGGACCCACTTGATAATCTGTTGAAAGTTATAGACTTGTGCACCTATATAAAATATTCACATATAGTTTCTGGGAATTCAAGTATTTGGTGAGGTTCAAATATCTATATGATGTTAGCTGTGGGCTACATAAAAAAGTTTGTTCACCCAAAGACTCCCAGGGAATCCATGAGCACTTAAATAAGAAGTGCTGTTACAGCACAGTTATTATGCAGATAACATTTTAGTTAAACTTTTGGTGAGAAAAATAACTGGATAAAGTTGCACATAAAATTTAATAGTGCCATTGTTCATAGAATTTATCAGTAGATTTTTTTTGCTTCAATGAGTATGGATGATCCTTAACAAGTTGTTTACTTGATGAAGACCCTGAAAACCAAACCTTGAGAAAGGATTATGAAAAAACCTTTAAAAAGTACCAGGGGCTTGTGGTAAAACAGGAACAGCTATTACGAGGTATGAATTCCTAAGCAATGAGGAAAGCAACAAAGTACTTACTCCAAATACATTTGTTTTGTTCACTTTTTATCATACCTGTAAAGCTAATGTGAGAATAGCTGAAAGTTCTATAAATGTTAATATGCTACAAGTTCGTCTGTCTTTAGCATGGGTAATGTTTTAAATTTCACTCTACTATTTTTCCCCATTTAGTTCCTAAATGTTTGTATACTTATTATTTATTTCCTAAGAAAGGATTTTTTAATCCAGTGTGTGACCTTTTCAATAATATCAATCTTTGTCTCTTCAGCCCTAACTTACTTGTTTTATAAAGTGAATTATTTTGTTGCTTTCCTAGGAAATTGATATAAACATTTTAAAATATTTCTCTTGTTTAATAGAAAAGAATTCCTTGTCTCTAGCTTTATTAAGATATTTAAAACTTCAATAGTATGGTTTCTTGGTTACTGATAAGATGTAAAATCTTATGGTGGTTAGTGATAATGACATGGGGCTTTTAAGTGTGAATTTAAGTCCGGATTTATACTTGACTATTTGATGATTCATGTAGTTTATTGGTGTTTGACTAACTTTGTACATGGAAATACTTGTTAACTCCCAAAATATTTTCATCCTGTGAAGATTAGTAGCAATTTTAACTACACTGAGTTTTTTAAATATTTGAAGCCAAGTAATTTAGTTCAACCTGTTGGAGAAAATGTCAGATTTTCAAAGGTTCATTTTAAAATATGCTAGAAAATAATAGGTATTATCTGTGTTAGCATATAATCCAAAATGCATCAGATCTCAAGAAAGCAATTGTTTTCATGTAAAAGTTTCAAAGAACTAATTTGACTTTTTTAACATGCAAAACTTTAAGCTCTGTTTCTAACCAAATATTTATGCAAATATTGTATACTCTCTTAACAGCTTTATTGAGGTATAACTGATAGACAATAAACTGTATAGTTTTAAAGTATATAATTTGATAAATTTTAACATATGTAAATACCCATGAAATAATGACCATAATCAAGATAAGGTACATATCCATCACTCCCAAAATTTCCTCATGCATCTTTACAATCTCTCCCTTTCCTTCTTCCTTCTGCCTTCTTCCTCATTCCCAAGTCATCACTGATCTGCTTTCTGTCACTTTAGCTTAGTTTGCATTTTCTAGAGTTTTATATAAATGAAATCATATAGTATGTATGCATTTTTGTCTTTTACTCAGCATAATTAAAGATTCATCCATATTATTGCATTTATCAATAGTTTATTCCTTTTTGTTATTGAATAGTATTTCCTTATATTCACCTGTTGATGATCATTAGAATATTTCCAGTTTTTGGCAATTTTAATGCTGCTGTGAACATTTTTCTACAAGTCTTTGTATGGACATACGCTTTCTTTTCTCTTAGTTAAATACCTAATGATGGAATGGCTGAGTCATAGGATAGGTGTATGTTTAACTTTGTAAGAAACTGCCAAATGTTTTTCTATAATAGTTGTTTTTATATTCTCACCATGAATGTATGTGGTTTTGATTTGAATTTCCCTAGTGACTGATTAATGTTGAGCATCTCCTGATGTGCTTATCTGCCATCTCTTTATGTTTATTGAAGTGTGCCTTCATAACTTTTGCCTTATTATTAAATTGGATAGTTTTGTATCCATTCTTTATATGTTTTGGATATAAGCATTTATCAGATACATGATTTGCAGAAATTTTTGTTCTCCTAAAGTATCTTTTTAAGAGCAGAATTTTACATTTTTATGAATTCCAACTTAGTGTTTTTTGGATCATGGTTTTGGTATTGTGTCTAAGAAATCCTTTCCTAACTAAAGGTTACAATTATTTTCTAATATGTTTTCTTCTAGAAGTTGTATAGTCTCAGAGTTTAGTTAAGGCTATAATATATTTTGAGTTAATTTTTGTATATGGGGTGAGGAATGGATCAAAGTTCTTCATTCTTTTTGCATATAAATAGCTAATTATTTAAGTACTACTTTTGAAAACACTATCTTTTATCTACTGAATTGATTTATATCTTTGTCAGAACCATTTGTCCAATGTGTCATGCCTATTTTTGGGTTTCTATTTTGTTCTATCCATCACTTTTGTGTGTTTTTGATGCCAATAGCACAGTGTCTTCATTACCATAGCTTATGGAAAATGTTGATATTGGGTGCTTTTAGCCCTACCAATTTTTTATTCCATTGATTTCTACTTTGATCTTTATAATTTTTTTTCTTCAGCTTACTTTGGGTTTAATATACTCTTATTTTTTGTTGTTGTTGTTGTTGTTGTTGTTGTTTAAGTGGAAGCTGAGGTCATTTACTCAAGACCTTTCTTCTCAAATACAGATATTTAGTGCTATAAATTTCCCATTAAGCACTTCTTTGATGGCATCCCACAGATTTTCATATGTCCTGTTTTCATTTTCATTCAGTTTAAATACTTTCCAGTTTCTCTTTTGGTTTCTTTTTTGGCCCTTGGGTTATTTAGAAGGGAGTTATTTTTTTCCCAAATAATTGATGTTCAAGGCTTTACATGTGTTGATGCTTTTCTGTACTTTTTCTATTATTGAGAGAGTAATATTGAAATCTCTGACTATAATTGTGATTTATTTATTGCTCCTGCACATCTATCAGTTTTCAGTACATGTATTTTTGAAGCTCTGTATTCTTGGGGACATAAAGATATAGGATGTAGATGTGCTATTGATGAATTGTCCTTGTTATCAGTATGAAGTGTTCTTCATCATGGCTGGTAACATTTTTTGGTCTGAAATCTACCTTTTCTTATGTTAATCTACTTCTTCTTGTGACTAGTGTTAGTATGGGATATATTTGTCTATCCTTTTATTTTTAATATATTTATGTCTATATTAAGTGTGTTTTTTTATGAACAGCATTTAGATTGGCTTTGCATGTTTGTGTGAGTATGTGTCTTCTTCCTCCTTTTTCCTTCTTGTCTGCCTTCTTACGTATTTGAGATTTTTTAAATTCTATTTTATTTCCATTGTTAGCTTAGCTATAAGTCTTTTGTTATTTTATTGATTGCTTTAAGGTTTATATTATACATCTTTAATCATAGTTGTCTACCTACAAGTGATACATGCTTAACTTATCATAAGTTAACTCTGCTGTCAAGTATTTTGTGCCATTTCATGCTTAGTGTTGCAATCATTTCTTCCCTCTCCCAACTCTATGCTATTACTAACATTTATTATACTTATACATATGTTATAAACCCTATAATAAGGCCAGATGTCGTGGCTCACACCTGTAATCCCAGCATTCTGGGAGGCCTAGGTGGGCAGATCACTTGAGGTCAGGAGTTTGAGACCAGCCTGGGCAACATGGGGAAACCCTGTCTCCACCAAAAAACAAAAATTAGCTGGGTGTGGTGGCACACGCCTGTAGTCCCCAGCTACTCAGGAGGCTGAGGCAGGAGAATCACTTGAACCTGGGAGCGGAGGTTGCAATGAGCCAAGATCGCACCATTGCACTCCAGTCAGGTGACAGAGCGAGACTCCGTCTCAGAAAAAAAAGCCAAAAACAAACAAACAAAAAACTGTATAACACATTATCATTTTATATACATAATTTTATTTTAAAGATATATTTAATAAGAAAATAATCTTATATATTTCCTTGTAGAGTTACCATTTCCATTGATATTATTCCTTTGTGTAGATCCATATTTCTGTGTGCTGTCATTTTCTTTTTGCCTGAGCAATTTACTTTAACGTTTCTTGTAGGACATATTTACCAGTGGTTAATTATCTTTTGTGTGTCTAAAAAAGTCTCATTTTAAAAATATTTTTATCTTTTTGAAATATTTTCACTGGGTTTAGAACTCTAGGTTGACAACTTTTTTTAATACTGTAAGGATGTTGCTCCACTGTTGCCTTGTTTGCATTGTTTTTGATGAGAAGTCTGCTGTCATGCTATCTTTGTCTATATATTAATATAAGGTCTCTTTTTCTTGGACTGCTTTTAAGATTGTCTCTTCATCATTCGTTTTGAGCAATTTATTATACCGGGCCTTGGTGTAATTTTTTTTTCTGTTTCTTGTTTTTAGAGTTTAGTGAGCTTATTGAAACTCTGGGTTTATAATTTTCACTAAATTTGGAAATGTTTCTGTTATTATTTTTTCAGGGACTTCAGTTAAACATATATTAGGCCACTCGAAGTTGTTCCACAGTTCTCTGATACTCTACATTTTTGTCATGTTTTTCTGTCTGTTTAATTTTGGATAGTTTCTGTGATTATGTCTTCAGTTTCACTAATCTTTTTTTCTTCTATCTCTAAACTGCTGTTAATTTCATCTAGTTTATAGTCTCAAGCATTGTAGTTTTCAGTGATAGAAGTTTGAATATTTTTTATTATATCTCCCTTGTCTCTACTTAACTTTTAGAAGATCTGGAATACAGTTATATGACATAATGTTCCGTTTTTATAATTAAACTCTAGGTCAATTCTTGGACAGTTGCAATTGGTTCATTTTTCTCTTCCTTGTGAGTTATATTCCCTGCTTCTTGTATGACTGAAAATCTTTGATTAGAAGCAAGACAGGGTCAGGCGCGGTGGTTCATGCCTGTAATCCCAGCACTTTGGGAGGCCAAGGCAGGCAGATCACCTGGGGTCAGGAGTTCGAGACCAGCCTGACCAACATGGTGAAACCCCATCTCTACTAAAAATACAAAATTAGCCAGGCGTTGGTGGTGGATGCCTATAATCCCAGCTACTCAGGAGGCTGAGGCAGGAGAATTGTTTGAACCCAGGAGGTGGAGGTTGCAGTGAGCCAAGGTCACGCATTGCATTCCAGCCTGGGCAACAAGAGCAAAACTCTGTCTCAAAAAAAAAAAAAAAAAAAAAAAGAAGCAAGACAGTGAAATTTACATTGTTGTAGGTGGACTTTTTTATTCCTAAAAATATCTTTGAGTTTTATTTGGGGACATAGTTAAATTACTTGGAAACAGTTTGATCCTTTTGGATCTTAATCTTATAATTTGTTAGTCTGGACAGAAGCAGCATTTAGTATAAAGCTAGTTATTTCCCACTACGGAGGTAAGACCCTTCTCAGGGCTCTACCCACTAATGCATGAATTATGGGATTGCCAGTATGGTTGGTAGAAGCAGGCATTATTTTCAGCTTTGTTCTTCTACTCCTCTCATTTTTTTCTGTCCCAGCCTCACTTAAATTCCTATGCTCCAATCAATACTCAACTCAGTATTTGAGGGAGACCTCTGTTAGAACTCCAGAGTTTCTCTCTGCTCAGCTCTTTCTTCTTCAGTACTCTTTTCTGTGAACTCTTTGGCGTCTCTGGATTCTTGGCTTCATCTCCTTAACTCAGGGATTCTATCAGGTTCTGCCTGGATTCTCCTTCACTGTTTTGTGACCTGGAAACTCTCAAGGCAATATTCTAGGGCAAACATAGGACTATCTCATTTATTTCTTATCTCTCAGGGATTACTGTCCTTCATTGTCTGGTGTCCACTATTGTGAAAATCTTTGTTTTGTGTATTTCAGTTAGATTTTTTTGTGGTGTTGTCAGGCAAAGGTTTAAAACCCCATCCTATTAATTTTCTGGGGTGCTATAACAAATTACCGTAAACCGGGTGGCTTAAAACAACAGAAATTTATTCTGTCATAGCTCTGGATGGGGGAAGGCCAAAGTCAAGGTATCATCAGGCCCACGTTCTCTCTGAAGGCTCTGGAAAAGAATCTTCTCTCGTCTCTTTCTAGCTTTTGGTGGGTCCCAGCAATTCTTGGTGCTTCTTGGCTTTTAGCTACATCACTCCAGTCTCTGCCTTTGTCTTCATATGGCCTTCTTCCCACTCTGTCGGTCTCTGTTATGTCACCTCCTCCTCTTCTTAAGACACCACTCATTGGATTCACGGTCCACCTTAATCCATTATTACCTCACCATAACCAATTACATCTGCAAAGACCCTATTTCCAAATAAGGCACATCCTGAGGTTCTGGGTGAACATAAATTTTAGAAGGACAGTATTCAACCGGCTACCTCTATCTTGGCTGTAAAGAGAAGTCTGTTTGTTTTTTCAATGTAATTCTAAAACCTTTTGACAGTGCCTTGCATAGAAAGTCAGCATAATGTAATAGTGTAAATATATGAGCTTTGGATTCTGATAGACTTGAATTTTAATTTAGCACTACCACTTTCTAGCTGTATGGTAGGGAAAGTTGTTTAATTTCTTTGAATCAGGGGTTTCCAATCTGTAAAATTTTTATAATACTTCTTTCCTCATAAAACTGTTTTAGAATTTAAACAGCCTTTATACATCAACAGGCCTGGCATACAATAGGTACTTAATAAGTGTGATTTAACTTTCCATCTCTAATATTTGTTAAATAAATAAATTTTATATTTATCTACTTATGTATATACATATGCATGTATTTCTTCTTTTCATAAGTGTTGAGAGGTAGTTTGCAAGAATACATGAAGTGAAATACTAAAACAATGAGGCCACAAGAGAGCAAAAAGACTATATTGACCATAAAAGCCTATATAATTCTTACAGAAATTGAACTCTGAAGCTCACTGTCAATCAAGGAAAAATGGAAAGCATTATCTATTAATATCATTTTCACTATAAAAAGCAAATGTTTCTTTTGAGAACCTAAGCATTTTTATTACACAAATCTGAAAGAAATTTTACTTAAAACTAGCAAACAATGGCTTCAACTCTGTCTAGTGCAATAATTGTATTACTGAATTTCATAAGGTCTTTTCTTATAGTGACTAACAGAAAATCAGTTTGCATATGAAAAGTTGATTTTAGTAGGCTCAAATTTAGCTGTAGCTATACTGTATATTTTGGATTATTGCACTTTTTAACACAGCAGACTTTAGTTATTAAAGTTTTATGATATGTTATCTTGTTTTCTATATGTGTAAAAACTATTTTCCTCTGTCTGCTTTATTTTTTCCTGACTTATCTACCTTTAATTGCCATTTGATTTCTATTAAACTCTAAGCTCCAAGAGGGCAGGAATCGTTGTTTTATTTTGGTTATTGTGTCCTTCTCAGCATTGTATGAATTATTTTATATGTGTGTTTTGTTTTAGATAACACACACACACAAACACATATCCCATTCAGTAACAATAAATGTTTTTTAATTAACCAATTATTAACCAGTTAAAATTTTCAAAATAATATATTACCTTTTTAGGGCTATCTCTGTTGCCTTGGTGAGTAGAAATGATTTTCTAAATTATTAATTCAGTATACTAATTCTTTATCTCTCATATATTTTACTTTTCTAGTTGCTCTTTATTTGCTTCTGAATCTTGCTGAGGATACTCGTACCGAACTGAAAATGAGGAACAAGAACATAGTTCACATGTTGGTGAAAGCCCTTGATCGGGACAATTTTGAGCTGCTAATTTTAGTTGTGTCATTCTTGAAGAAACTCAGCATTTTTATGGAGAATAAAAATGATATGGTAACTTACAAAGCTTTTTCTTGAAATAGTTCATTTTTGCCATTTTCAAGTTAGAATATTTTGAAAAAAATTAAACACTTTATTCCCCTACCGAGATAATTCTGAATAAAGATTTTATAATAGCAATAACTCACTGATATTGCTTCATTAAGAAATGTATTCCATATTAGTTAATATTCCAGGTGATTGAAGCTTTCTGAATAAAAATCATTTCTAATATATAGAATGGATCTTGCCATATTAAACATAATATATAGAAAGTTTGTTTAAATTTAAAATTTTACTTCAGAGTCACCTGGTCTTGTTGTTTTACCCTAAGCTATTTTGCCTTCTGCATCTCTGACTTTAGTTTGTGGAATTAAAATTTAGCCAGATCTCTTCATTGTTACCTACACTTCCACTTTGTTACCTACAATTCTTCTTTGTTACCTGCTGTTCTACTTGGCAGCCACAACCTGTTGATTGTTTCTTAAAAATCTCTTGAAACTGTAATATTTCTTCTTTTCATTCTAGTGCCATTGTATTAATTGATACCCTCTTTATTCATACCTTCTTTATTTCTTGCTTGAATTATTATACTAGGCTTTCATTTGCCATCTTTTACTGTGTTGATACAATGATCCTTGGAAAATACAAGTTGAGCATATATCATTTTCACCTGTGTAGAATATACATAGTATAGAAATATATAAAGATAAAATATAAATTCTCATCTGCTTTTTACCATGTCATTAAAAAGTCTTTGTTATGTACAATAATGTAGTCAATATATCATATATTAACCTACCTTGTTTTCAGATAACTGAGCTGTTTACAATTTTATCTATTACAAATAATTCTTCACTGCACATATTTGTACATACATATTTGTCTATATTTCTGCTTATTTTCTTGGAGCAGTTTCCTATAAATGAAGTTATTGGATTATTGACCTTAACTCCATTGAGGATAATTTTTAGAACTATGTATCATTATGTGGCTGTGTAGTACTGGCAAAAGTGGCTTCTCCTTTAGATAGTCTGAATGTATAGTATGTCTACCTACTCTATTTTATTTTAAAATCAAATGAACTAGGAAGTAGCTAATACTATAGTGAATGATATGGCAGGCCCTTTGAAAACCTGAGACTTATTTATCAGATTTAATAAGTACCTTGAATTATAATTATTGAATTTATGAAATTTTATTTTTCCCCTATATATTTAGTATCTGTCATTTTCATTATCAGTATATATTTATGTTCATGATGTGCCTGATATTATTTTGGGATTGAATATTCTTAGATTAATCAAACATGTTTTTTGTTTTCACTTATATCTAAGAAGAATATGATAAGATGGTAGTATATAAACAGTCCTGAGTAGTTAGAGTATGGCTAAATAATTGCTTCCCCTTGCTATAAGTTAAGGTATGTTCTTCCATTTATGTGGTCAAAGTAAGTTCACTTGTAGTAAGTTTTCAAAATTCAAAGTGATTTGTATCAGCATATATCTATTATGTATGTATTAGAGTTAGATTTAACTAATACAATTATGTGTTTATTCTATCAAAAAGATCTTGACTATTATTAAAAGTTATTTTCTGGTAAGATCATAGAATTGGAATATATGATATAAATTATCTCATTAAACCTCATTTTTTATTGAGGAAAAACTGAGGTTCAGAAAAGTTTGTTATTCTAAGATTAAGAGAAGTATTTGATTAGCCAGATTTTTACTAGAGATGATATGGATTTTACCTTTTATTGTGAAAGAAATACACTTTATTTAAGGACATCTGTAGAATCAAGATTTTTAGAATTTGACTGGACCTTAAATCCAAGGCCAGACTTAGTGAATCTAGCCTCCCAATTTCACAGATGAAGTAGGAGAGGACCAGAGACATTAATTTGCTTAAGGAAGCAAATTAGAGTATCTAGAGAGATACTCAACTTCCTACTCTTCTTCTTTGCCTCCTGGGAAAAATATCTTAGGTCTTTTTTTTTTAAAGACATTTTTAGTAAGATTAACAATAAGCAATTTTTAAATGTTAATTTCCAGAAACACTGAGAAAGGTGCAACTAAAGGCTGAAACAAACTTGCTGATAGATTGTTGGTAAAACCTCACTTTACATTGACTGTTTAATAAAAATACTAATAAGTTGTGTGTTATAGAAATAGACTTGAGGAGGGCTGGGCAGGATGACTAATGCCTGTAATCCCAGAACTTTGGGAGGCCAAGGCAGATCGATCATCTGAGGTCAGGAGTTCGAGACCAGCCTGCCAACATGGTGAAACCCCGTCTCTACTAAAAATACAAAAATTAGCTGGGCATGGTGGCACATGCTGGCTATCCCAGCTTTTTGGGAGGCTGAGGCAGGAGAATCACTTGAACCCAGGAGGTGGAAGTTGCAGTGAACTGAGATCATGCCACTGCACTCCAGCCTGGGCGACAGAGCAAGCCTCTGTCTCAAAAAAAAAAAAAAAAAAAAAAAAAAGAAAGAAAAGAAAGAAATAGACCTGAAGGCATTGCATGTTGAGGCAATTACTAAATTTAGCTCTCAGGTTTGGGTTTTTATCAACCAAAAAGACATGACTAGAAGGCTGTGTTAAATACTAGTCTAGTGTTTAAACATCTGATTGACTAATTGCACATATTTCACATTCTATTCTGTGCAATAGAAATACAAATTAATAACGGGCTGGGTGTGGTGGCTCACATCTGTAATTCCAGCACTTTGGGAGGCTAAGGCAGGTGGATCAGTTGAAGTCAGCAGTTCAAGACCAGCCTGGCCAATATGGTGAAACACCATCTCTACTAAAAATACAAAAACTAGCCAGGTGTGGTAGCACACACCTGTAATACCAGCTACTTAGGAGGCTGAGGCAGGAGAATTGCTTGAACCCAGGAGGTGGAGGTTGCATTGAGCGGAGATCATGTCACTGCACTCCAGCCTGGGTGACAGAGTGAGACCTCATCTCAAAAAAAAAAAAAAAAAAAAAAACTTAATAACAAACTCTCCAAGTTTTTTTTTATTAAGTTTTGCTGTAACAACCAGTGTATGCATACACTGTTTTTTTTCCAAAAGGAAAATACTACCTGATATAATTAGCAACAATTGAAGCTTGTGGCAGTTTTATTTATAAAAGGAATAAGGAGATGGCTGAGCTATTTGTGAGGTAGTATTATTTATTTAAATAAAGTGTTTATTTTACTCTTGATGTGAACTAATATCAGCCTGGCTTTTAGACAGTTTTTTAGAGGAACAACAGAGAGGATATATGTTGCGTAGTTTGCTTAATTTTCTTACTGCTAACTTTTGAGAGTTCTTCCTGTATTTGGATACAAGTTGTTTATCAGTTATATGTTTTGCAAGTATTTTCACTTTTCTGTGCCTTCTTTTCATTCTCCTATGAAAAGCAGAAGTCTTTAATTTTCATGAAGTCAGCATATAAAAAAAATTTAGTGGACTGTATTTGGGTGTCATATTTAAGAAATCTTTGTCTAACCCAAGTTCACAAAGATTTTTTCCTATGTTTTCTTCAAGTTTTATAGAGGTTTTTGTCATTGTCGTTTTAGTATATGATACATGAGTTAATTTTGTATATGGTACAAGATATGGACCAAGATTTATGTTTTTTAATATGGATGTCTAGTTGTTCCAGCACTATTTGTTGAAAAGATGCATTGAATTGCTTTTGTACCTTATTGAAATTGCCTTTGCACCTTATTGAAATTGCCTTTGCATGGATCACGAGGTCAGGAGATAGAGACCATCGTGACTAATACAGTGAAACCCCATCTCTACTAAAAAATACAAAAAATTATCCTGGCATGGTGGTGGGCACCTGTAGTCCCAGCTACTCGGGAGGCTGAGGCAGGAGAATGGCGTGAACCCTGGAGGCAGAGCTTGCAGTGAGCCAAGATCGTCGCTCCAGCCTGGGCGACAGAGCAAGACTCCGTCTCAAAAAAATAAAAAAGAAAATTTGGCCATATATGTTTGCCTCTATTTCTAGACTCTGGTTTCTGTTCCATTAATCTGTGTGTCTGTGCTTTCATTGATACCTCTTTCTCTTGATTACTATAGCCTCTTAGTAAGTATTGAAATCAAGCAGTAAGAGGCTGCCAATGTTGGTATTCTTTTTCAGAGTTATTCTATTCTGTATTTTTCCATGTACATTTTAAAATCATTGGGGTTGCATTGAATCTGTTGAGGGGATCAATATATTGACCATATTGGATTTTTCCAATCCATGAATATAGTATAGCTTTCTATTTATGTGGGTCTTTTTTTATTTCTTCCATCATTTATAGTTTAGCATATGTATTTTGTTAGATTTATACCTAAGTATTTTACCATTATAAGTGGCAGTTTAAAAAATTACCAGTTTCCTGGTTTTGGTTGATATTATATAGAAATATAATTGATTTTGCATATTGACCTTATGTCCTGTGACTTTCTAAACACACTTTTTAGTTGTACTGACTCTCTCACAGATTTTGGAGATTTTCTAAGTAGACAACTGTGTTATCTGCAAATAGAAAGTTTTGTTTCTTCCTTTCTAATCTGTATGATTTTTATTTCTTTTTCTTGCCTTATTGCACTGGGTATGCCCTCTAGTATGATGTTGAGGAGGAATCGTGTGAGCGGCTATCCCTGCCTTGTTACTGATCTTATGAGGAAAACAATGTCTTTCACTATTGAGCATGATGTTAACAGTGGGGTTTTTTAGATACTTGCTATCAGTTTAAGGAAGTTCTTCTATTTCTTGCTTGCTGAGACTTTTTATCATGAATGGATGTTAAATTTTGTGAAATGCCTTTCCTGTATCTATTACTGAGATAATCATATGGGTTTTTCGCATATTCGCAACAGTCTAAAGACTGTTGATATAGTGAGTTACATTGATTGACTTTTGAATGTTTACCAGTCTTGTATTGAGGGGATAAACATTACTTGGTCATGATATATTGCTCTTTTATATATATTGCTAAGTTTTATTAGCTAATTATTTTTGAGAATTTTTATGTTTATGAGGCATTATTCTATAGTTTTCTTTTCTCCTAATGTCTTGGTCTGGTTTTATTATTAGAGTAACTGTGTCCTCTATAATGAACTGGGAAGCATCCCTTCTTCTTTAATTTTTCTGGAAGGATTTGTGTAGAATTGGTATTATTTCTACATAAATGTTTAATAGAATTCACCAGTAAAAAGTCATGTAGGCCTGGAATTTTCTTTCTGTAAATTGGTTTAATAGATACAGGACTGTTTAGGTTGTTTCTTCTTGAGTGGTAGCTCTGTAGTTTGTCTTTCAAGGAATTTAATTCATTTGTATGTTAGCAGATGTAGGAGCATAAAATTTTTGGTACTGTTTCCTTTTTATCTCTGTCTGAAGGGCTGAAGTGATTTTCTCTGTTTTATTTCTGATATTGGTCATTTTTTTCTAGATTAGTGGTTTATCAGTTGCTTTGGTATTTTCAAAGAATCAGCTCTTATTTTGTGTTTGATTTTTGGAAGTCTTTGGCAATAGAATTATACTCTATAATGAACAGCTCTAGGGTATGACTACAGTGTGGCTGTGGAGTGTAGATAGAAGTCTGAAGGAAAAATCAGGTGTTAATTTGTCACTTTAGCAATTTAAAACAATTTGTGTTTATTCCTTGCATAGAGTGAAAGGAAAAAAGTATATCAAGGGCTCAGTTATTAATGTGATTTTTATGAGGTCAGTGAAAGATTGGAACAAAAATATGAAATGGGTGGTATAAATAAATATTTTAGATCTCCAATAAAAGAAAAAGTAGAGCAAGATTAATCATAAATCCTTTGATTAAATAATCAAAGGATTAATAATCCTTTGATTAAATTAAATTTAAAGGATTAAATTAAAATAATCCTTTGATTGAAAAATCATAAATTTTTTTCAAATTTCTTTTTTTGCCATTGCTTTGTAACTAAAAGACGTGAGATGTTTTTACAACCAAAGTTTTCCGATTGCTACCTTAAAAAATCTGAATGCAGAGCTTCTCTTACTAAATAAGTTGTGTCCTCTGTTACTATAAAGTAAGTTCTCTTAATGCAATTTTATAATCTTCTAGAGCAGGGGTTTGCAAACCTTTTCTTCAAAGGGCCAGATAGTCAATATTGTAGGTTTTGCAGGCCATATGATCTGTCTTGCAACTACTAACTCTGCTCTAGTTGTAGCGTGAAAGCAGCCATTGACAGCTGGTAAAAAAAATGAGCATGGCTTTGTTCCAGTAAATATTTATCAAACTGAAATTGGAATTTCATATGATTATTGTAGGTCATGAAATATCATTCTTCATTTGATTTTCGTTTCCAACCATTTAAAATTGTAAAAGTCAAAAGCCATTCTTAGCTCATAGGTTGAATGAAAACAGATAGCAGGCCAGATAGGCCCACTAGCCATAGTTTGCTGATCCCTGTCTTAAAGTTTCAACTATTGCTTTTAGTCTAGCTTCTCTCCTGAGTTGTATATGATTTTTAAATATTCACTGAGTACCATCTCAAATTAAATGACAAAAATTAAAATAATTTTTTGCCTTCATTGCCCTAAACCTCTTTTTCCATTTGTCAGTTAACAGAAAATACATCTACCTTATTGACCATACAGAAAAGGACTCTGAGACTGCTGTTTTTAAATAGGCCTTTTACAAGTTGGTGTTTAGTTAGTGTCAAGGACTTTGGATTTTAGGAGTATTCCTGGTCTAGGAACGCATCTGACCACATCACCTCCTGGACTTAAAATCTTTCAGAACACTTCACTGCCTGTGTAATAAAGTTAAACTTCTTAGTACAGCATTAAAAGCCTTTATGATTTTATGTAGATCTGTCTTATAGCCTTCTGCCAGTCTTCAACATGTACTTTATACTATGATTATACTAAATCACTTGCAATTCCCTAACAGGCTCTTTTATTCCTAAATGCCGATCCACTGGCTTTTTCCTCAACTTGTATTGCCATTGCCTTTCTGAACCAGAGAACAAATTCTTAGTCATTTTTTTTTTTTACTTTATTCCTAATTTGAAGTCTTCTGTTCTTCCAGGTGGGTTAGTAGTTCTCTCAATGCTGTTTTCAGAGCATTGTATTCATTCAGTTTTTATCACATTGTATTTTCATTATTCATTCTATTTGTCTACTCTTTTTTTTTTTTTTTTTTTTTTGAGACAGTCTCTCTCTCTGCCACCAGGCTGGAATGCAGTAGCATGATCTCGGCTCACTGCAACCTCTGTTTCCCGGGTTCAGGTCATTCTTCTGCCTTAGCCTCCCAAGTAGCTGGGACTACAGGTGCATGCCACCACAGCCAGCTAAGTTTTGTATTTTTAGTCGAGATGGGGTTTCACCACGCTGGCCAGGATGGCCTCAATCTCTTGACCTCGTGATCTGCCCGCCTCGGCCTCCCAAAGTGTTGGGATTACAGGCGTGAGCCACTGTGCCCAGCCTCATCTCCTTTTATACTGAGGAATCCTTGAAGGCCAAGGTGAGATCTTCTTTGCATAGGGCCTGGTACTTAGTAGGTGGTGTTCAATAATGCAGAGTGTTTTCAAGGATCAAATGTAATTTGTCTTCCAGTTGATGCAATTAAATGAGGGAAGGAGGGGATGATGTGGCATATATATTTTCTCCTCAAAAGTTTGATTTCAGGAAAGTTTACAGAATGAAATGGAGTATAAGATTAACATATAATTATAAAACAGATATACATTAGGGTAAAAACAAAGAAAAAATAATTATATTCTTTTTGTCCTATTTTGCAACAGAACTTCACTGTATTTGTATTATTATTTTACTTAGGTGGAAATGGATATTGTTGAAAAACTGGTGAAAATGATACCTTGTGAGCATGAAGACCTGCTGAATATCACCCTCCGACTTTTACTAAACCTATCCTTTGACACAGGACTGAGGAATAAGATGGTACAAGTTGGACTGCTTCCCAAGCTCACTGCACTCCTAGGTATGCTTTTTAGAAATTAATGACAGTGTTGTCTGGAATTTCCAACATCGCTGGAAAATTGAGCTCTGTGTTGAAAAGCCTCCTGAACAAAAAGCATTCTGTCTATATTCTTTGACTGGAAACTAAATAATAAAAATAAGCAGAGTAAGTAAAAAATGACCTGTACCAGGATTTCCATGGTGCTATGGAATGAAATAAAATAGCAACTTTTAACCCTTTGACTTCATTTATCCATACTAAGCCAAAAAGTAATGATGCAAGGAAAAATAAGGAAGCAAGAAGGAAAAAAATATTTTATCTTCAGGATTTTTCTTAAAAAAAACAACGCAGGTATCGTTTAAGTTCTTATATTCTGCTATACTTTCAAAATACTACTTAAAAATGAGCTAATTTGTGGAAACTTTTTGTTACTAAGTTAAAAAGGGTATATTTTTTTTAATAGAGATAGTCTCACCATATCACCCAGGCTGGTCTTGAACTCCTGGGCTCCAGTGATCCTCCCACCTCAGCCTCTAAAAAGGGTATTTTTTATAGCATGACTTAGAAAGTACTGTATTGGAGAATTCAGTTTATAAGTTATTTTGTTTTAGCTGCCAGCAAGATACCTGTCTATGACAAGGTGAGTTGAAGAGTTAACATTGTGCAGTCAACATAATGCTAACTTTCTTAGTAGGGCGTTAAATCTCTTTACAATCTATTCAATTTCCATCTTTATGGGCTCCTGCCAGTTCCCAGCATATACTTTACACCATGACCATACTGAAACACTTGCAGTTTCCTAAATAAGCTCTTTTATGCCTAAGTGCCTGTCTACCTGTTTTACCTGCTTTTTTCCTCTACCTGCAATGCATTGCCTTTCTTAACCAGAAAGTAAATTGTTACTTATGTCTTAACTCTTTGTTCCTTTGTTTCAGTACTGCAGTTTCATTCTTTTTAACAGCTTTCTCCATATATTCAATACTGCACAACAATGTTATTATACATTTTAGAAGTTACTCTATTAAGGAGCACTTTCAAAAATTGGTTTTGGAGAACCAAAGCAATGTAGACATTTGAGGAGGAATAAGGAAAACTTTAAGAGTAAAGTTGATTGGTCTTGAATTTAAATCATGTGACCTTTCACTTATTATAAATCTGACATAATTATGTGTCACCTATTAGGTCAGCTTCTCAATGTATGAAGATAAACAATTTACAGCCATTGGCCTGAAGGAATTCATAGTCTATTTGGTTTGTTCAGTTTCTAGTCATGTACTTTTATTAAATAATTGCCTTGTAACATATGATAAAATGTATGATTTAAAAGAGATTTTTAAGAAATCACTCATGTGATACCCACTTCATAATTTGTTAACAAGTGGAAAATTTTGGGATATAAGACATAATATCCAATGTATAAATTAATGTTTTATCTCCTTTGGAGCCCAGTTTCTTGAGCGAGACTGTTTTATTAGAACTGTGACTGTTTACATCTAACCATGTGACCTTGGGCAAGTTATGCAAACTCTTTGTTACTCAGTTTCCTCATCTCTTAAATGAGGGTAATAACTATATTCAACTTAGAGTTTTTGAAGATCAAATGAAGAATTGCCTGCAAAGTACCTGACACATTTTCTTAGTAAATATTGGCTACTGTTATTTTTCTAATCAACATCATCATCGTTATGAAGTAGACATTCTATAAATGTTGCTGACTTATGTTACTCTGAGTACAAATACGTTTCTCGTGTTACATTTTTGTTGACAAACCAGGTAATTTTTTTAAAAAAAATTTACTCTCTTGAATATGCATTTCAATTTATTTCAGTAAAATGTTGATACTCTACCATAGCAAAGCACAGCGCTAAGCACTATAGAGAAATGTTTTTCAACCTACAGATATATAGGGATTCAAAAGAGGATGTTCCTATATTGATACTTTATAGATAAGATTTCATTTGAAATGGATATTGAAAAAGTTGTCATTTTCATAGGGTGATATTTATAAAGTAAGAGTTGAGGCTATAGAAAGTAATTCAGATAAAGCAATAAACATTACCTAAGGCATAGCTAGAGCTAGGCCAGTAGGAGGAACAATAAGTTGCCATTTCAACTTGAGCATAGAATATGACTAAGAATAAGTGAAAGATAACATTTAGAAAAATGGATTTATGCTCTTAAGTGGTATTATGAAGTTTAAAGCATTGCTAAGAAGTTTGTACTTACAACTGATGGTGGGGATCATTGTAGACTTTTGAGCTCGGTAGGTTATAATCAGAAATCTGCTCAAGGGAAATTAATCTGATGTATTCTATTTGATGGACTCACATTAGAGTCTGAAGATGAGATCAGTAGCCTGCTGTAATAGGCAAGACAAGAAGTAAAGAAAACCTCGTTTAGAGAAGATGTAGTATGTCCAGTATGAGGCAAAAGGAAAGGGCAGAAGGGATATATCGTAGGTGAAATGAATGTTATAGTTACTGTTTGGATGTGGGTGATGATAGAAAAAGATGTCATAAAATCTATGACTATTAGAATGCTAGTACCAGGAACAGAAATAGAGAAGTGTGACGGAACAGGGATATGGAGAATTGCATGCTTTTCTTAAAGGCTTCCACTTTTGAAGTGACAAATTCATATTGCTACATTCTGTTGATAAAAGCAAATCACATCGCCATGCCTAACTTCAAGGGAGTGGACAAATGCTTGGAATGAGTAGAACTGGAACATTGATGAGCAAGAAAATTGATCCTGAAAGTTATTTTTGGGTTTTCAGGATTACCAGAATCTCTTAAATATCACGTCCTGACACATCGTAGCAAATCCTACAGGACGTAGTCCATCTGGCAACTGTGGTATTCCAGAGCACATTGATTAGAGCTAGGATTGTGGAGCCAGGCTATATGCCTTTGAATATTGGCTTCATCAGATACCAGTTATGTGGTATTATGCAATTACCTAAAATATACATATATATATGTATTTTATATATATATATATATATGTATGTCAGTTTTCTCATCTTCAGTATGTAGATAATAATAGTATATATGAATAGGGAAAAGTTAAATGAGATAATGCAATATTACAAAATTACAAATATGTGAAATTATCATCAAAAGAAATATACATAGAATCCCAAAACACTAGATATCTAGAAAGGATCTTTTTTGATAAGTTCTCCAGGCTTATATTATTAAGGGTGTTTAATCATTTCATACACAGTTATCTTAGGTCGTTCAGGTTTCTATAAGGGAATAGACTGGGTGACTTATAAACAACAGAAATTTATTACTCACAGTTCTGGAAGCTGTAAAGTTCAAGATCAAGGTGCCAACAGATGCAGGCTCTGGGGATGGCCTGCTTCCCGGTTCATAGACAGCTGTCTTCTCACCATGTCCTCACATGGCAGAAGGGGAAATGGAGCCTTTGAGGTGTCTTTTCTAAAGGCACTGTATGGTTTGGCTGTGTCCCCACCCAAATCTTACCTTGAATTGTAATAATCCCCACGTTTCAAGGGCCGGGCCAGGTGGTGATAATTGAATCATAGGGGCATTTTCCGCATAGTGTTCTCATGGTAGTGAATAAGTCTCACCAGATCTGATGTTTTTATAAATGGGAGTTCCCCTACACAAGCTCTTCTTGTCTGCCACCATGTAAGATGTAATTTTGCTCCTCATTTGCCTTCGGTCATGATTGTGAGGCCTCCCCAGTCTTTTTTTCTTTATAAATTACCCCGTCTTGGGTATGTCTGTATTAGCAGCATGCCAACAGACTGTCACAGGCACCAATCCCGTACATGATGGCTCTGCTTTCATGACGTAACCACCTCTCAAAGGACCCAGCCCCAAATATTATCACATTCAAGATTATGTTTCAACATAAGAATTTTGGGGGAACATAGACATTCAGTTTATAGCAGAATGTCTTTTAAAAATCAATTACATCTTTGTTTTCTAAAGTATTTTCTTAAATTTACTTTAATATCTTGAACGTAATTTTAAATTTTAGTGAGAAGCAGTATAGTGTAGTGGTTAAAAGCATGGGATTTGGAGCCAGAGTCCCTAGGTTCAAAGGCTATAATGTGTGTAGCTGTTATTGTTCTTACTATCATTTATTAAAGTTTGCAAGTCTGAAGATAATTTATTATACAGGGCCATAAATATTATTACCATGCCCAAGGATTTCTCCTTGCTAAATGGCCCCAGAACGCCATGTATTTTTCATTTTTATATACAATTTTTCTGTTTTTCCCCTGGCCTTGGCTGTCACTTCACATTTCTTCTGTACCAGCAGCATTTCTATAGCAGCAATTTTTCTTTTCTATAATAATCTATTTCTATTCTCTTGTGGTCTTGGAAACTGACAACTGAACTTATTTGAATTGTATATTTTTTAAAAAATGAATTACAAATGAGTTCCCCAAGGGTTCTATTCCTAGTAATGTTCTTGAGTTTTATTGTGTGGACCTTGTAACATTTCTTTTGACTCTGAAGAAACTGATTTTGCTTAATTGTATCTCTCTGCTGTGTTCAAAGAAATTGCATTTAGTGTATAATTGATTTCATGATATTACTAGAATGGTCATTTTTACATTTGTTAATATATATGTTACATGTGTAGACAATTAAATCATTAACTCCTAACACAGTAAGCTAAACTTCTCAATTGAGTAATTCAGTGATACATTTAACATATGTGGTCTTTGGCTACAATGCTTATACAAAAGATATAGTAAGGAAACTGTGTTATAAAGGACATGAATTTGAAAAGGACAAGAAAAATTTATTTAGAGCACTGACTTTCACACTTGTTTTACCTCAATCCGTAGTAAGATATATTTTTCCTAAGGTTAAAAAGTATATTATTTTAAATATGTATTTTACAGTGTAGCCCAACCCTCACATGTGTATGTAATGTGTATATGTTTATATACATGTATATTCACATGTCAATATATGTCTATATATTACATATTATATTTGATATATATTTAAACATTTGTTTAATATATGTAATTAAACAAAAATGTTCACAAAACAGTATTTACCTTTTCTATTTGCAATGGACACTTTGTATTTTACTGTATTCCCTTTTTTATGCTAGTTATTAGCTACTCATTGATTTGATCTTCCTGGTTGGTTTGATGAAAGATAGTGAACTAGAGGAGGTGGTTAGACTTGTTTTCCTTCAAACCTTCAGAAATATCACTGTTTCTGATGGATTTTTTTAAGTTTTATTTTTAGTTGATTTTTAATGTGTTAAATAGTAGACAATCTAAATTATTTTAGATTATTTTTTGGCAAATAACTGGAGTGATTTACATGGAATTAAAATTTAAAGAAATTCAATGGCAGAAACCTTCTGTAAATCAAATATTTAAAGTATTTGGGGTACATTTTCTTCACTGTGGAGAAAAGAATTTAAAAGTATGCAGTAGACATGAATGGTCAGTTTGCTTTTTTCTTCAGAAATAAACTCACTGTTTGATATATGTTCAAGTTGACAGTTGACTGAATTAAAGAATTACCTATTTCATATATAGAAATTACTTATTTTTTAAGAGGTGTAGAAGCCTCTCTGTGGAGCTAATGCACATGGTAGAACTTAGCATAAGTGATTTTTATGCTGTTTCAACTAGAAATGCTATCAGCTTTTAAGCAGGTTTTCTTTATTATAATTTGGGGACCCCCACAACAGAAAAATCTTTTTTATATTTAATGATAGATTATTTTCACTAGAGTACAATGAGTTGTGAATCTTTCATGCTCTAATAAATCTATGCAATATGAACAGTTAATCTGCTTCTCAGTTTCCTGAAACATTTAACTAGTACATTGCGACCCCTGCTGTTGTGAGATTGGTGTTAATGACTGAATAACTTCACTCAAAGTTTACTTGGAAAACAAACTGAAAAAAATATATAAAATTAAGGTTCTGTGATTTGAATAATTAAAGGCAAAGGAGAAATTGTGTTATAGCTCAGCCCTTTTTCCATGGAAGGCTCTAAGGGAAACTGTAATTCAATAGAACCAAAAATTATTTTAATATTGTTTTGTCACATAAAGCATTTCATTTAAGAATTTTGATTTTAGCTTTTTCTATTAACACCAGAGACACAAAAAGGGATTTGTAAAGAATATTATAAATAATTATTTTAAATTTTCTATCTCATGCTGAAATTGTTTGAGTAGTTTTGATCTTTCCCTAAGAGTGCAGAAAATCTAAAATTTTAATTGGTTCCATGGAAAACCTTATATATGAATATTCCTTTGTTTTCCTTCTCTTAAATATTGCCAAATTTATTCGTTTCTTATTTTTTAATGTTATTTTCCTGAGATTTCATAAGGATACTAAATTTATTTCTGCTTAGTTCAGTATCAGTTATAAATCATTTCAGTTCTATCATTCCTATACTTTGACAGATAGTTTCTTATGTCTGGTAACTTAATGCTACCATCTGGGAGATCTATCATAGCCATTGGCTTCAGCAAATGTGATTATCTGCAAATTGAATTGGACTTACAAAACTTGGCTTTACTTAATTGTTAGATGCAGTCTTTTTGGGGATTTTTATAGTGTTACGTTTTTAAAAGTGTTTAAAGATTTTTTTGGCTTATCCAAGAATCAGATCTTCAAAAAAATTTTTTTCCTTGTCAAAACTTATTAAGCCATTTGACATTGATATGTCTCAAGGGTGCTTCCTTACGTCAGACTATCCTGGGTTGGAAGATGGCAAGGAAATTCCTTGTCATAGTGTATTCTTCAGTACCCTAGAATATGTACTGATAGTGTTTCAAAAGTAACTTGAAAAGTTAAATTTTCCTAGCTTTTTGTCTGATGCATCATGCATATATTTTGTTGCACCTCTCATTTGCTTTGGTTTAGAGATTTCATAAGCTGAGGATTGTTTGATATGCTTGAGGATGGTTTTAGCACAAGAGCAAGCATAAAATACGCAATTGAAATGTGTTCTTTGGAAGGGCCTTCATTCTTGGATAAAAGTTAAACATCACATAGTGACAGATGGCAGTGTTTTACAGAGTGCATACATAATAATAATAATAATAAAAGTGGCATTTCACTGGTGAACTCTTTTGGACAATTCTGAATTTTTGAGTTTATTCACACTTTTTTTTCTGTTGTGTGTGATATTATTGTACATTTTAAATTAAGTAATGTTCCAAATTTTTATGTCAGCTTTTAAAATATTAACTAAAGTTTTTTTAATTATAGTGTAAGTTCTGGGATACATATGCAGAATGTGCAGGTTTGTTACATAGGTATACATGTGCCATGGTGGTTTGCTGCACCCATCAACCCATCATCTACATTAGGTATTTCTCCTAATGCTATTCCTGCCCCTTCCCCCCACCACCCGACAGGTCCTGGTGTGTGATGTCCATGTGTTCTCAGTGTTCACCTCCCACTTATGAGTGAGAACATGCGGTGTTTGATTTTCTGTTCCTGTGTTAGTTTGCTGAGAATGATGGTTTCCAGCTTCATCCATGTCCCTGCAAAGGACATGATCTCATCCTTTTTTATGGCTGCATAGTATTCCATGTTGTATATGCACCACATTTTCTTTATCCAGTCTATCATTGATGGGCATTTGGGTTGGTTCCATGTCTTTGCTATTGTGAATGGTGCTGCAGTAAACATATGTGTGCATGTGTCTTTATACTAGCATGATTTATAATCCTTTGGGTATACCCAGTAATGGGATTGCTGGTTCAAATGCTATTTCTGGTTCTGGATCTTTGAGGAATCGCCACACTGTCTTCCACAATGGTTGAACTAATTTACACTTCCACCAACAGTGTAAAAGCGTTCCTATTTCTCCACATCCTCTCCAGCATCTGTTGTTTCCTGACTTTTTAATGATCATCATTCTAACTGGCATAAGATGATATCTCATTGTGGTTTTGATTTGCATTTCTCTAATGACCAGTGATGATGAGCTTTTTTTCATATGTTTGTTGGCTGCATAAATGTCTTCTTTTGAGAAGTGTCTATTCATATCTTTCTCCCACTTTTTGATGGGGTTGTTTGTTTTTTTCTTGTAAATTTGTTGAAGTTCCTTGTAGATTCTGGATATTAGCCCTTTGTCAGATGGATAGATTGCAAAAATTTTCTCCCATTCTGTAGGTTGCCTGTTCACTCTGATGATAGTTTCTTTTGCTGTACAGAAGCTCTTTAGTTTAATTAGATCCCGTTTGTCAATTTTGGCTTTTGTTGCCGTTGCTTTTGGTGTTTTAGTCATAAAGTCTTTGCCCATGTCTATGTCCTGAACGGTATTGCCTAGGTATTGTTCTAGAGTTTTTATGGTTTTAGGTCTTACGTTTAAGTCTTTAATCCATCTTGAGTTAATATTTGTATAAGGTGTAAGGAAGGGGTCCAGTTGTAGTTTTCTGCATATGGCTAGCCAGTTTTCCCAACACCATTTATTAAATAGGGAATCCTTTCCCCATTGTATGTTTTTGTCAGGTTTGTCAAAGATCAGATGGTTGTAGATGTTTGGCATTATTTCTGAGGCCTCTGTTCTCTTCCATTGGTCTATATATCTGTTTTGGTACGAGTACCATGCTGTTTTGGTTACTGTAGCCTTGTAGTATAGTTTGAAGTCAGGTAGTGTGATGCCTCTAGCTTTGTTCTTTTTGCTTAGGATTGTCTTGGCTATATGGGCTCTTTTTTGGTTCCATATGAAATTTAATGTAGTTTTTTTCTAATTCTGTGAAGAAACTCATTGGTAGCTTGATGGGGTAGCATTGAATCTATAAATTACTTTGGGTAGTATGGCCATTTTCACAATATTGATTCTTCTATCCATGAGCGTGGAATGTTTTTCCATTTGTTTGTGCCCTCTCTTATTTCGTTGAGCAGTGGTTTGTAGTTCTCCTTGAAGAGGTCCTTCACATCCCTTTTAAGTTGTATACCTAGATGTCTTATTCTCTTCGTAGCAATTGTAAAATAGATTATTTTTCACTGTCACTTCTTTTACCTTCTAGTTACCATGTTATTTCTTTTCTTCCCATTTCAACTCTCCTCAAAAGAGTTATCTTCATTTCCTGTCTTCATTTTCCCTCTTCCCTTTCATATATATTAATATGCCCTCTCTCCCTATTCTTTATCTCTTTCTGTTTCTCTTTCCCTATCTGCCCATCTCCCTCTCTGTCTCCCTCTTCCCACTTCCTTCTATTCTCTCCTCTTTCTGTCCCCTCCCCTCATTGTTTTACACACTACTGAATCTTTTCCAATCAGGCTGTCACTCCCACCCTTCACCTCCCACACAAACACCCCATCACACTACTCTGGTCAAGTTCCAGTGACCTGCACATTGCCAAAGCCAATGGTCAATTCCTAGTACTCATATTACTCAACCTATGAGCAGTATTTGTTACAGTTCCCTCCTTCTTTAACTTTTTCCATTGGTTTTCCAGGACTCAGTACTCTTAATAGCTTTCCTCCTAAATATCCAGTCGTTCTCAGTCTCCTTTTCTGCTTCCACCTCTTCTTTACAATTTCTAAGCATTAGAATGCCCCCAGGGCTTAGTCCTTGGACTTTATCTATGCTTACTACTTTGCTGACTTCATTCATTCCATTTAAATACTCTGCCTATACGGATGTCTTCTAAATAGCAATAGAAATAATCTCAGCCTCCTCCCTGATTTTGTTGGTCCAGATATTACTCCTTGGATGCCTTATTAGCATCTGAGATTTAACAGGTTCAAAATTAAGCTCCCGATCTCTGCCCTACCCTCACCTCAATTTACTATTTTCACTGTCTTTCTCATGTCAGTAAATGGTAACTTCATCTTTTAGTTAACTGGACCAAAACTGGCAGAGTTATCCTCAGCCCTTCTCTTTCCCTCCTGTGCTTTATCCAAACTCTTAGGAATCCAGTCAGCTCTATCTTCAAAATATAGCTGCTACCCCATAGTACTTAATCATCATTGGATATAAATTCCATGTAATCATCTTGTTTACTACCTGTGCACCACCCACCTCCCCTATCCACCCTCCAGGCCCCAGCAACATAAGCTCTATGACAATATGGAGTTCCATCAGTCTCAGCCAATGTGTAGGAAGAGGCAGATGAATAATATTGAACCACCATTAGCATGGCACTTCTTTACTTCACTTCTTTACTCCTAATACCTAGAACAATGTCTAGCACATTGTATGTTCTCAATAAATATTTGGTGGGTGGTTAGAGGGATGAATGCATGAAAGGATGAAAGGAACACATGAAAGGAAGGAACATCAAAGGAGCTGAGCTTGAGTCTTCCCTTTGCCCTTTATTACCTGAGTGACTTTAGGCAAGTCAGTTGATCTTCACTGAACCTTTCGTCTTATTTAGAAAGTTAGGGGATAAAATAGGTCCTATTCTGATAAAATAGGTTTGTTCTGAGAATCAGATGAGAGAATAAACATATATTTTCTTGATAACTAGAAAGTCGTATACAAATGTTAGTCATGATAAGGAGGGAGAAAAGGAAGGGAAAGACTCGAGGGGGCTAATGGTTGCCAAATGAGAGATCAGGGACACAGAAAACAGTTTTCTTCACAGTTTTGAGTATTTCTAGACCTGGGTATACAGGGTTTTTTTTTTAATTTTATTATTATTGTACTTTAAGTTTTAGGGTACATGTGCACAACGTGCAGGTTTGTTACATATGTATACATGTGCCATGTTGGTGTGCTGCACCCATTAACTCGTCATTTAGCATTAGGTATATCTCCTAATGCTATCCCTCCCCCCTCCCCCCACCCCACAACAGTTCCCGGTGTGTGATGTTCCCCTTCCTGTGTCCATGTGTTCTCATTGTTCAATTCCCACCTATGAGTGAGAACATGCAGTCTTTGGTTTTTTGTACTTGCGATAGTTTGGTGAGAATGATGGTTTCCAGCTTCATCCATGTCCCTGCAAAGGACATGAACTCATCATTTTTTATGGCTGCATAGTGTTCCATGGTGTATATGTGCCACATTTTCTTAATCCAGTCTATCATTGTTGGACATCTGGGTTGGTTCCAAGTCTTTGCTATTGTGAATAGTGCCGCAATAAACATACATGTGCATGTGTCTTTATAGCAGCATGATTTATAATCCTTTGGGTATATACCCTGTAATGGGATGGCTGGGTCAAATGGTATTTCTAGTTCTAGATCCCTGAGGAATCACCAGACTGTCTTCCACAATGGTTGAACTAGTTTACAGTCCCACCAACAGTGTAAAGTGTTCCTATTTCTCCACATCCTCTCCAGCACCTGTTGTTTCCTGACTTTTTAATGATCGCCATTCTAACTGGTGTGAGATGGTATCTCATTGTGGTTTTGATTTGCATTTCTCTGATGGCCAGTGATGATGAGCATTTTTTCATGTGTTTTTTGGCTGCATAAATGTCTTCTTTTGAGAAGTGTCTGTTCATATCCTTTGCCCACTTTTTGATGGGGTTGTTTGTTTTTTTCTTGTAAATTTGTTTGGGTTCATTGTAGATTCTGGATATTAGCCCTTTGTCAGATGAGTAGGTTGCGAAAATTTTCTCCCATTCTGTAGGTTGCCTGTTCACTCTGATGGTAGTTTCTTTTGCTGTGCAGAAGTTCTTTAGTTTAATTAGATCCCATTTGTCAATTTTGGCTTTTGTTGCCATTGCTTTTGGTGTTTTAGACATGAAGTCCTTGCCCATGCCTATGTCCTGAATGGTATTGCCTAGGTTTTCTTCTAGGGTTTTTATGGTTTTAGGTCTAACATTTAAGTCTTTAATCCATCTTGAATTAATTTTTGTATAAGGTGTAAGGAAGGGATCCAGTTTCAGCTTTCTACATATGGCTAACCAGTTTTCCCAGCACCATTTATTAAATAGGGAATCCTTTCCCCATTGCTTGTTTTTCTCAGGTTTGTCAAAGATCAGATAGTTGTAGATATGCGGCATTATTTCTGAGAGCTCTGTTCTGTTCCATTGGTCTATATCTCTGTTTTGGTACCAGTACCATGCTGTTTTCGTTACTGTAGCCTTGTAGTATAGTTTGAAGTCAGGTAGCATGATGCCTCCAGCGTTGTTCTTTTGGCTTAGGATTGACTTGGCAATGCGGGGTCTTTTTTGGCTCCATATGAACTTTAAAGTAGTTTTTTCCAATTCTGTGAAGAAAGTCATTGGTAGCTTGATGGCGATGGCATTGAATCTATAAATTACCTTGGGCAGTATGGCCATTTTCACAATATTTATTCTTCCTACCCATGAGCATGGAATGTTCTTCCATTTGTTTGTATCCTCTTTTATTTCACTGAGCAGTGGTTTGTAGTTCTCCTTGAAGAGGTCCTTCACATCCCTTGTAAATTGCATTCCTAGGTATTTTATTCTCTTTGAAGCAATTGTGAATGGGAGTTCACTCATGATTTGGCTCTCTGTCTGTTATTGGTGTATAAGAATGCTTGTGATTTTTGCACATTGATTTTGTATCCTGAGACTTTGCTGAAGTTGCTTATCAGCTTAAGGAGATTTTGGGCTGAGACAATGGGGTTTTCTAGATATACAATCATGTCATCTGCAAACAGGGACAATTTGACTTCCTCTTTTCCTAATTGAATGCCCTTTATTTCCTTCTCCTGCCTGATTGCCCTGGCCAGAACTTCCAACACTACATTGAATTGGAGTGGTAAGAGAGGGCATCCCTGTCTTGTGCCAGTTTTCAAAGGGAATGCTTCCAGTTTTTGTCCATTCAGTATGATATTGGCTGTGGTTTTGTCATAGATAGCTCTTATTATTTTGAATACGTCCCATCAAGCTCGAACTGGGTGGAGCCCACCACAGCTGAAGGAAGCCTGCCTGCCTGCCTCTGTAGGCTCCACCTCTGGGGGCAGGGCACAAACAGACAAAAGGCAGCAGTAACCTCTGCAGACTTAGATGTCCCTGTCTGACAGCTTTGAAGAGATTAGTGGTTCTCCCAGCAGGCAGCTTGAGATCTGAGAACGGGCAGACTGCCTCCTCAAGTGCGTCCCTGACTCCCGAGTAGCCTAACTGGGAGGCACCCCCCAGTAGGTGTGGACTGACACCTCACACGGCCGGGAGGATTTGTTATAGAGGGTTTGTTTTAAACATTGAAATAGCACCTTAATTTCACTTATATTTTATAGCTTTCTCATGTATCAGTGAATTCAGGGCAGGAATCTTCTAATACAGTGATACTCAAAGTATGGTCCACAGAGCAATACTTGGTCTATTTGTTATTGGTTGTTACTGGTCTATAATGAGTAAGTCCAAAAATTGAAAGTAAGCACTTAGACACATATAGCAGTTTGACTGAATAAGATTTTGTCTGCTGAATGTAATAATAAAAATTTGCATCTTCTATTTTATATATCTTTTGTTTAATTTCATTTTTATTGTACTTTAATAAAAATGTTAGGGGAAGAAATGAAAAAACCTGGCTCACCACCACAGATAGTTTGAGAACCACTGTTCAAATAGATGAAATGGCAGTCTTAATCCTAGGTTAGTAAACTGTTCTTTAAACGTATTCAGAAGTCCATATAATTAGAACCCAGTATCACAGAATTACCCTGCCTTGGGATACCTCCTTAGCTCATTTATAAGCAGAGATGAGAATGTTTCTCATCCTTAAAAACTGAGGAATTAGTAGTGTTACCAATAGATGTTGCTAAGCTTTTCTATACTTAGAATAAGTGAATATTCATCTGGTGTACTTGTGTTAAGCATTTTCATATATAATTTATAAACCTATGCAAATTAACTAAAAAAGTTAATAGCTCTGACATATTTCTTAAAGTTATCTTTTAATCAGCAGAGCCACCCTGGTCAGTGATAAACGTATGGCACTGAAAGCTACTAGTATGAAGGTTTGAGCCATCATTTAAATTTTGATTCTGAGTTCTACCTGTGTAAATTTTGATTCTTCTAACTTTAAGAGTTTTAAATCTGTGCCAGTTTGCATGGCTGGCTTGTGCAGAAACTAATGTTATTGGTTATGACAGGAAAATTGGGACTCCTAAATTCAATAGCACATCAGGCCTGTTTCACAATTTTATGTGAATAATTTCAAAAGGTCTAATTTTTAGTCAGTAATGTTAGACCATATTGTCTTCATTGGAAGACAAATTAGAGTTTCTAAGGTGTTCCATATTGATATAAATGTTTCTCTATTCTGTGAGTAGACCCAAAATTGATTTTGAGAGTAAGAATGGCACCTGATTCATTTTTGTCTAGATTACATTTAGGTAATATGGGTTTGGGGCATTTTACAGAGCTGTAGAACAGTTTCATCAGCATGTAAGGAGTCAGACCAGGTCAAGAGTTAAGTGACAAATGTTTGATTTCTTCCGGTTTAGACAAGTCTGATTTCCCTTATTTTTGGAGATCACCAGAGCAGATACTGTTGAACTCTAAACTTTGATCATATAAAAACTAAGGGTTATTTCCTTTGACCATTCTGTCATATGTCTTTAAAAGAAAATTGACAAAGTTAACTTCTGAACACCTTTGAAATTTTTCCACAATTTTAAATTCACTTATTTACTTTATATTAATATGATCTAACTTTTAATTTACCAACAGCATCATAAAGAATGAAAAAATGAAACTTTATTTTGTGAAGAAAGCAACATTTTGCCTTTTCTGACTTATTAAAAACTGTTTGGAAATGGTCAGAATAATGATTTCCAAGCAAAATGAAGTGTTTTCCATTTTTTTGAAACTAGGTTGCCTTTATGATAGTTTCTTTAAGAAACTTAAAGTAGATTTTTTAAAAAATAAATTGGTTTGGTTGTTCTGTTTATTACCGAACTGTTATGGAATTTCACACATCTGTTTCAGAACACAACTCCTCATAGACTACTACACTGTTTCTCAATTTTAATAGGCCTCATTTATCCTATAAATAAACCTACATTTTCTTACCTGATCAAGTGAGCAAACAATAGGGGTCAGAAGTGGCAAACAGTTTAACAGAAAGCACATGTCTCGCCGTCAGGGTGAGGTAGACTCATATCAAGATTGCTTGAAGTTATTAATGGCAGTAAAATTTATGCTTCCTCCTGTTTTCCCAATTAAATCAAGAAGCCTTTTTTCTTAAGATTCTTCTGTCACCAGCTGGTTCCAATACTGTGTGTGTGTGAATATTGCCTAGGGTGTCTCCATTTCTAGATGGTAAAATTTGGCCAAAGCATATTAAGTCAATGATTTGGACATACAGGCTAGAAAGCAGTCATTGTTAAGGGCTTTATTTTGATCCTTATCATTTGTACCACAAGTATGTGTATTCTTTAGATCTTATTGCAAATAACTTGTATTCTATGGATGTAATAAAAATTCTACAGAAGACATAATAAAATAATTGAAGATATGATGAAAAATAAGCTGTGTGGCAAAATGTACAGTTGTACATACTAAAACAAATGAAAATCTATCAAAAATGTTCTATATAAGAGTACTCATTTAGTGACTATCTCTAAAAACAATGTTTAGCTTACTGGTAGATCTGCAATGTTAGTTTCTCATACTTTTAAAATTAAATAATTGGACATAAAAAATTACTTATCCGTGAACCACTGTACCTCAGAAACTATTGTTGTACTTAATGTTTTCATACTGATCTTTGTAACCTATAAATTATGTTATTTTTTCCCCTTAACTGTTGGTTAACAACTGTTGGTTTTTATCTGTTCATCTCAAATCTCGACTATAGACAAATATATTATAAAAGAGATCATCCAATGTAGTTACAGTCTTAAACATTGGTCTGTGCAAATTCAAGTTTAAACTAAGGCTATCTGTTTATATTGAGTATATATCTGCAGTATATGCTCTAATAAGTTAAGCATAAAATTATATGGAAACATGTATCAAAGATGTTCTGATATAGCTTCAATGTGTTTTTAGTCTATGTCAGTGTGTAGTTAACATGTTCAATAATTGTTGCAATTATCTTTTAAGTGGTGGTTTTCACCTGTGGCATTTTCACTGTATTGATAGAACTTTAGGGGCTCTCACTCCGTAATAAATGTAAAGACACCTGCAAATTTTGAAGCACGTTGTATTCATATAGACTTTCCAGGGGTAATATATCACCTTAATGCTATTCTATCCTAATATAGGTGTGCTTATATTCCCACTTCTATTATCTTTTCATGGAGCCTCTGTGACATCAAAGGGAGTGTTCCACTTTGAAAGAAGAAGACATAGAGTATAGAAGGGAATGAGAATCTGGCTAATAATGTGGCCCATAACTTGTGTTCTCACTTTGTTTTCACAGTGTTGGGCTGGATCTACTGCAGAAGCGGAAATTTGGCTTTTGAGTTCTCATGTTCAGAACTCGTATTTCTGCTTGACTGAACTGTGAATGAAAAATCCCAAGTGTCTTACAAAATTAGTAATTGAATGGTGTTTTTACTGATCACTTCACAGATGAAAAAACTGAAGACATTTTAAAATTCAAAACCCATCAGCATGTGTTTTGCCCTTTAATTGGCAGAAAATCGATTGTGAGAGCAGCCCAGAGAGCTGATAGTTTTTTCTCCTTCAGCTGCTCCAGCTGAACTACAGCTGTAAATTTCTTTAAAAAGAAAAAAAGATGCAATGTTTCTTATAAACTCTTGAATGTACTTTATAAGTGCAATAATTCCCACAAAATCAGTTACTGGAGTTAATGACCAGTTTGTTAAGGCATTAACTGCCCTCAGCTGGGAATGACCAATTTGAGGGGAATGGCTGCACAAATGCTAAGATAATTCAGTAACACTTTCAAATAATGATCCAGCTAATTAACGGTGAATTCCTGTGGAAATCCTATCGAAGTACTTATGACCTCTGCGTTTAATAGCCAGTGAGTTCATCATGATTCATGTTTATTACCATAAATACCAAAGGAATCATAATGACTAGGCCATTTTTTTTCTACCCTGCCCTTATTACTTGAACAGATTTAACTAATCCACCTCCAGTCATTAAGAACCTAGTTCTCAAGATACTCAGTCTTTTCACTGCCCTTGCTTAAAATTCACAGTCTTTGGTGCTGTGCCAGCATGCTGACTGTTGGCAGCCTGTTTTTACTTGGGATGCCGTTAGGGAATAATTGATGTCTTTATGTCTTAAAGGAGCCTTTTTGAAATGTCTACCATTTGTAGGATGTAGAGGAATCATAGCCGGTTAGCTACAGTTTATGGCTTCTAGTCATGAATTCTTACGAGAAAATCATACCCTCCAATCCTCATTTCTTGTAGGAATTCACTTAGGGTATATAAGATTTTTTTTCTTGAGCTTTATTTTGTAAGAACTCAGATGTTCTTTCTTTCAGTGAATGAAGAAGACTATTAGTTTACAATAAAAGATAAGCTCTTTATTTTACTTAGACCATTTAATCTCTCTAATAGCTGTTTATTGCTATGTGATCTGCAAATTAGCCTTTAAGTCGTAATATTAAATGTTGGCTGCCAAAGAGTCTTTACTTTCTTTGCAGACCTGTGTTTGAATAGATGAATTCAGGTTATTGCCAGACATCTTCCCCCTCCACGTACTCAATTTTGTTCTAAAATGCCTTGTCTTTTTGTTGTAGGTTCCAGATATCTGCTAGATGCCGTGAAGTTATAGGCTGCATTTTTATTAAGTATTGATTATTTATGTAATCATTTATGATTCAGTGAATAAGATACATATGGTTTATATACTGTAGTCTTCATATATTGAAATTATTTAGAAGAGAAAGAAAATATGTGATTTGTAACTGTAGGATAGAACTAGAATCATCAAGATAATATGTGGGTAACAAGACCGTTTATAAAATATTTACGTATTTTTCTGAATAAAAGGCCAAATGCCAGTTTATATCTTTTTCATTCCCTAATTACAAAAAGGGGGGGAATTAAATTTATAGTTATTTGTAAATCAGTTGTTTAAATTCTAGGGGAAACTTTACTCACATAAAATCCAGAAGACACATTAGCAACTTGGGTTAGAATATTATAGTCCCTTAGCTCTGTCATCACCTCCTTTCACACTGTTTCCTCAAGAAAAAAAAAAAGTGTGTGTGGTGTGTGTGTGTGTGTGTGTGTGTGTGTGTGTGTGTGTATATATATATATATATATCTGGTGAAGCACTAGTTGTAGTCCGATTTCTTTTGTTCAGTTGTGTTCAGCTAAAACATGGGGAAAACACCTCTGTCATATAGGTTTTATTTGCCTGGGACATGCTGTTTAAAGGTAAATGAAACAGGGTAGCTAATTGTGAGGTTTCTCTTCAGTGTCCTCAGACTTCTGTCTGTTCTTTCGTCTGCTTGATAGCCCATCATCTCCATGACTGTTCCCCACTTTAAGAGTGAAAGTAAGTTCTGTTAAAAGAAGGAAACCTGAAAGGATAAGAGATTTCTGAATGTGTGTGGAGGGGGGTATTGAGAGGGGATCATTTTCTTTACTAAAGTTTTTTTTTTTTTCCATTAAGGGATTTATAACTCTATGAGAGTGAGAGAATGATGATGGGTTCTTATTACATATGGGTCACTGAGTAGAGCCTCAGGTATAAGATGATTCTCCTAAGCCTAAATTTTATGAACAGCAGAGTTTTTTTTTTTTTATCCTTTTTTTTTTCTTTTTTTTTTTTTTTTGAGACGTCTCACTCAGCTGCCCAGGCTGGAGTGGAGTGGTACGATCTCGGCTCACTGCAACCACCATCTCCCAGATTCAAGTGATTCTCACATCTCAGCTTCCTGAGTAGCTGGGATTATAGGCACCTGCCATCATGCCTGGCAAATTTTTATGTTTTAGTAGAGACAGGGTTTCATCATGGTGGCCAGGCTGGTCTTGAACTCCTGACCTCAGGTAATCCACATGCCTCAGCCTCCCAAAGTGCTAAGATTACAGGCATGAACCTCTGTGTCCGGCCAAACAGCAGAGCTTTATAGGAAAATGACTAGGTAGAAAGGTAAGTGGCTCGGCCATAGGCTCAGAGTATACCTCTGAACTGTGTCTAGCTTATCTCAGAAATCTCGGCTGCCTCTCCAACTTACTTTACTTCTAACTACAGTTCAAGTCTTGAGGATAAAAAACACAAAGCATCATATATATTAGGAACACATGATAGTACTGTTGTATTAGTAAAACAGAAAAAATGTTATTGTCAACATAATAATAAGAAATGATATTTATTGAATTGATTTATTGTATGTCAAACTTAGTGCTAATTGCTTTACCAGGATTCTCTCATCTCATCCTCACACAACAACCTTTTCAGGTAGGTACAGTTATTATCCCATTTTTACAGATGATGAAACTGAAACACAGAATTTAAATAACATTCACAAGACTGTATAGCTAATGAGTGGAAGAGCCACAGATTGAACCCGAGCATTCTGCCTCCAGAGCCTGAGCTGTCAGCCAATGTTAGAGTATTGCTTTTATCAGTCTACCTATGTTTTAAGCTTCTAGCACCTTGTTTTTCTCATAAAATCACAGATCGATGCAGTTATTGTCCAATTTAGTGAGAATGAGTTTCAGAACTTAGGCTGCTGTAGGTCTAGTCCTCAAAACTGCTTGGGGGATAATGCAGTTTGCCCCATCAGGAAATTCTTTCATCCATTGGAACCTGCTATATCTGGGCACAGGTCCTCTGAGAAATATCTGATTGCATTTCTCCATTTCATGTCTTCTCTTCACCACTGCCAATCTTCTCACCCTTTTCCCCATGAGTCCCAGGTCCAGCAGATCGTACAGAGTCCCTCTAGATGCATCTCCTTCCTGTACTTCGCCCTAAGGAATGATGATGATAACTTACATTTATTTGGCATTATTGATTTCACTCCCTCTGCTGCCTCCTGGAAGGCTTGGTTAAAAGTACATGCATGAGCTTTATAGTCAGACCTAGGTTTGAATCCCAGATTCACATCTGTGTTTCCTTTTGAAAGGGTCATAGCCTTAGTGAATGTCATTGCCTCATCTCTGAATCAAAGATAATACCTACCCCTTTAATTACTGTAAGGTCTAAATGAGAAAAACTATGTTGAACATGCAATAGGAACAATACCATTGTTTGTTTAACCCATTCTCTTTAACCTTCTCTCAGAGAATTGTGGTATAAGAAAGATTAGTTGTCCATAGCCTTGTGTCCCTAGAGCTTCTCTTAACTTCAGTCCTTTAGTTTTTAGCAAACTTTTGGATATGATGATCATTTTAGATGAATATTATAGGAAATTGGAAACGTATTCAGAGTTTTTTTAATAGAGGATCACAGATCCTCTGTTAAAGCAGGAAGGTGTGGGAGAACTGCAAGGAACTTTCACCTTTGACCATAAGTGTGAAGAGAAAAGGAAAATGAGAAAGTACATAAGAGCAGAATTAGGACTGGCTGCAAAATGAATCATCCTACTTTTGGAAATTAGACGTTTAGTTTCACTATATAAAATTAATATAAATTGTTATATCTGAGAACTGCTTCTTATCTATATTATTCATCTGCCAGTAGAAATTATTATAATTTTTGGACTCTTCTCTGTACTTTCTGTTCTAACAGATACCCTTTATCCTGAGTTTGCCTTTGGAAGCTACACACACACACACAAGCTATATGTATACATACATGTATATAAAATTAATTAGAGAATTTCCCTTGTTATTCTTTTATTTATTTTAATTTTTTTAGCTTCTCCCAATGTTCAGGAATTTCTTGTTCTTTTAATGTAGTACCTATGTTTTAAAGGTGAGTCTTTCCTTCCTCTCACCTTACCTGAATGATGTGCCACCTCAGGACATTGCTTTTTAGAATTTTTTCATTGACATGAGCAGCAGACAGATTCTCCTAGAGTATAGAATAGCTTCCTGTTTCATTCCTAGCCTCACATTGAATTTTAATGTTTGATTATTTACTTTGTTGTTGAAGAATCTTTTATATTGGTTATTGATTTCTCTTTGTTTCTTTTACCATTTAATAAGTTGTATTACTTGGAATCCTACTTTTCAGTGAATCCATTACTAGAGAAAATATCTTCAAATATTTTTTAAAAATTAAGTAAGACTAGGACTTATCCACAGCTGAATGACAGATAGAAAATAACTAGAATCACAGGGAAAGAGAAACTTTCCTTCAGAATATGAGTTTGCTTTAAAACTCTGTTTGAAAAGATTTTCAAATATCTCAATTTCCGGGGGAAAAAAAATAATGTAAAATACAGTCAGACCAAGACTAAGGGATTCCTACCTTCTTGGGGAATAAAGTTGGAATTTTTCATGTTTAACCTACGTATCACGAGAACCTGTTCAAACGTTAAGTTTTGCTATGGCAAATGTGCTTTATACTAGAATAAGTATAAATTGGTGCCTTCAACAGTATAAAAATGTGGTCTGTTAAAATCTAACATTAAAATTGATAAATCTTACATATTTAGATTGCTCCAAACTCAAGGACAAAATTGTTGGGGTTAAGAACATTTATTTGTCTGCACTTTTCTCTTACTTGGAGCGATTTCACAATTTTTACCTACTGCCCGCCAAATAAAATTCTTACCCCTAAACAAAAACTTTAAATATTATTTTCTCCCACATTACTTTATCTTAGCTTTATTTTAACCTTAGTCAATAATCATTATCCTTAGAGCCTATCTCTGACTCTAATTCAGCTTCTCTCTTCTTTATAAATTTTGTAGTAAAGCTCTTCAAACAATAGAAGAAATGTGAAATTTACCTTAAATGATTTGACTCTCTATTCTGTAAATTTTCTATAAATTTAATTTTTCTATAAATAATACCATAGGGAAAAATTAAAAATAGATGAAATAAATAAATATTATTTCATATAAATAAAATGTATTTCCTGTATATGTTGTATTCCAAATAGTTGAATTAGTGAATTTATAGATTTTATTTAAGGTGAAAATGCTTACTAGTGTCCATTCATCTGAAAAACATATATTGTTTTTATCTTATCCCAAGGAGTTGTTCTTACTGCTATTGTAAGCAGTAGGAAATAGAATTAGCCAAACAGTTTTGCAAGATGCAAAATCTAAAACCTGGATTTAAAAAGCAGTATATTTTTAAAACATGTTTAATTCCCTCATATATCAGTGTTTATCAGTCTTTTATACCTGATAATGTCTTACTTAGAAAACAGTTTTACCTTGTGATATAAAAATGTTGAATACCAAAGGCATCAAATGAGGAAGAAAAATGTTTGAGAGTAGTATTGTAACATAACCTGGTAAAGATTTGGGAATCAGAGAGACCTGTGGTTAAATCCCCACTCAACCACTGACAAGGCTGTGTGGCAAGTATTTATTTTTCTCTAAACTGTAGATTTCTCATCTGAAACATAGGGATGATAAGACCTATTTGACAGATTGTTTTGAGATTCAATGCCATACAGTCTGTTTAGCATGGCTCTTGATATATAGTAAATGTTTAATAAATTATTATTAACCAATCAACAATTATTAAATACCTACTCTGTGCTAGGTACTATTCTTGCATCTGGGGATAATGCAGTGAATAAAGTCCTTGCTTTCATGGAGGTTATATGTTAGATAAATATATCAAATGGTAAGGAAGTTCAAAGTAAATTTGAGAGATAGAAGATCACTGTATTTTTTGCTTACTTTTTTTTTGAGACAGTCTTGCTCTGTTGCCCAGGCTGGCGTGCAGTGGCATGATCTGGGCTCACTGCAACCTCCACCTCCTGGGTACAAGCAATTCTCCTGCCTCAACCTTCCTAGTACCTGGGATTACAGGTGCACACCACCACATCCAGCTAATTTTTATATTTTTAGTAGAGACAGGGTTTCCATGTTGGCCAGGCTGGCGTTCAGTGGCACAATCTGGGCTCACTGCAAGCCTCACCTTCTGGGTACAAGCAAATCACCTGCCTGAAGCTTGCTAGACCCTGGGAAACTGAATACTTCTGTCTCAAATCTTTGTCTCTAATTCTGAACCCCTTTTAGAACTAGTAATTTCTATCTTTGATTAAATGAGTTTATTTCTTCAGCTTTTATATTTAAATATTAAAAACAGAATCAATCAGCAGATACTTACTGAACAACTTCCATGTTCTACACTAGGCCTTGTGAAAATACCAGTTTAGGGCCAGGCGCGGTGGCTCACGCCTGTAATCCCAGCACTTAGGGAGGCCAAGGTGGGCAGATCATGAGGTCAAGAGTTCGAGACCAGCCTGGCCAATATGGTGAAACCCTGTCTCTACTAAAAATAAAAATAAAAAATTAGCCAGGTGTGGTAGTGGGCGCCTGAATCCCAGCTACTCAGGAGGTTGAGGCAGGAGAATCCCTTGAACCTGGGAGGTGGAGGTTGCAGTGAGCCAAGATTGTGCCACTGCACTCTGGCCTGGGCGACAGAGTGAGACTCTGTCTCTGAAAAAAAAAAAAAAAAAGGACAGAAAAGAAAATACCAGTTTATTTCCTCTAAAGAATTTCTAACTACCTTGGGAATATCTTCAGAATTTCTCATGGCCTAGAATTTTCAAAAAGGATATTGTTTTTTGGATAAAATTTTTAGTTAGGCAACTTTTCTGGCTCTAGTTTTATCACTGACTTTGAGATTGTAAGTAGGTCCTTAAAATATGTTCTGTCTGAAAGCAGGTAGGATTAAATAATATATTAAAGTCCCATTTTGTTTTTCAAATCTTGATATGTATTCACTTTTTTTCAGTTTCAAAGCATATAAAACCAGAATAATCTTACCTTAGAAGTTCTGAGACATTCTTCATACTATATTTCGGCTGTGTTATAGCCTATAGCATTTTATAGTCATATATTTTATTTTTTTGTTATAACTACTACTTTACTTCTTTCATCATTTGGATGATATTTTCAGTTTCTGATTTGTAGAAAGATGCTTTTTTATTTACTATATCTAAACATCACCACTGTCAATGAATGTATTAATCACATATTTTGATAAAACAGTAAAGATGGGGAGGCTAATGACCCAATTGTTTTTATATTGGACTCATGAAAATAATTAATTCCTATGGTTAATTTTCTTTTTCAAAACTATACCTTGGGAAATAGACATTCTTTCTTGGAAATTAGTGATGTTTCACATATAACATGAATATGCTTGCTCTAAATTTTGGATTTGAAATAGATAGCTCAAAATATTTTTCAGATTAAGTTTATATAAAGATTTTATTCAGTAGTTTAAGTTGTAGTACATTAACATGAGTGTGCTATATAAAAAATATATATTTATAGCATCATCACCATGATGTTTTATTCCTAGGCAATGACAACTACAAACAAATAGCAATGTGTGTTCTTTACCACATAAGCATGGATGACCGCTTTAAATCAATGTTTGCATACACTGACTGTATACCACAGGTAAGTGGTTTAAGTGTTTTATGAAAAACATTTAACAAATATATATATTTTTTACTCTTTTCTCTTGATTTGTCAAGATTTTCTCTCTAAAAAAGTTCTCTTCTTAATAATACTACAAATTTATTATAGAAAATTGAGGAAGTACAGAACTGTATAAAAATGAAAATAACTTTCCATTATCCCAAACTTAGAGATAACTATTTAACACTTTGGTACACTTCTCTCTACATACTTAAAAAATAATATATTGAGATTACATGGTATATGTAATATTTACATATTGCTTTATTAATATATCATAATTATACTCTCATGTCACTGAACATTCTTCAAAAATTATTTTTAATTGTATAATATTCTATTACATGGATGTAACATAATTTAAATATTGTTAAATTGTATGTTTAGATTTTTTCCCATTTATCACATAAAAATGAATGTAAGCAAATGAAAATAATGTGAGATATCATATTTGTAAATGCTTCCCCACGTCTCTGAATTTTTCTTTAGTTTAAATTCTTAAAAGTAGGATAGCTAAGTCAAAAGATAATAAACACTTGTGTCTTTGTTTTGGCCAAAATATCTTCTAAGAAAACATAAGTTTTTATTTCCAGCTAGCATTTAATTTTTAGCAACACTGGATATTATTGTTCTTCTAAATATGCAGTGGTTCGTTATTTCTTTTTATTTGCATTTCCATGAATATTGGTGAGGTTGAACATTTTTTCCTGTGTTTATTATCCATATTCTGTTACAGATCATTCATATCTCTTGCCAGTCTTTCCTTCCTTCCTTCCTTTTTTTTTTTTGAGACAGGATCTTGCTCTGTTGCCCAGGCTAAAGTTCAGTGGTACAGTCATAGCTCACTGGAGCCTTCATACCTAGGCTCAAGCAATCCTCCTGCCTCAGCCTCCTGGGTAGCTAGGACTACAGGTGTGCACCACCATGACTGGTTAATTTTTTTATTTTTTATTTTTTATACAGACAGGGTCTGGCTTTCTTGCCCAGGATAGTCTCAAACTCCTGGCTTCAAGTAATCTTCCCCCGCTTGTCCTCCCAAAGTGCTGGGATTGCAAGTATGAGCCACCAAAATGGGCCTTCCCAATTTTTTAACTGATTTGTTAATATTTTTATTATTAACAAATAAGATCAATGTATATAATAACTATTTTAATTTTATGTTACAAATATTGCTTAAGTTTGTCACATGTCTTTTAATTTTGTTTATGGTTAATATTAATAGTTTTAATTGCTTTGCATTCTCTGATGGGAAAATGTTTCATCAAAATTCTTTCATTTTTATACAACTGCTCTCAAGAAAGATTTTTGCTATGATTCAGTGGCTAGATATGTATTATATGTTAGGTCTAAATAGACCTAAATAAATATCTGTCCTAAATGTCTTGAAGGAGTTTATTGATTTTTTTTGTAACATGGACTGTATGTTATAAGGGTAGAGATTCTGTACATCATAACAATTTTACTCTTAGGGAATTAACATTCATAGGATCACTATTATGTCATTACTCTTTATTAAACTACCTTCCACTAATTTGAATTATGATTATTGTAACACTATTTGGGCTGATTTTTAATATTACATTATTTTTTATAAAATAGTTTTCTAAAACAAAAATTGTAGGATGTATGATATACAATAAACATACTCTGTGTAAAAACTTCACTAGAATTTTTGAAATATGAGCAAAATTATTCCAATGCTATCTTTGCATAATCTGCATTCCTGAGTTAAGGTATGCACTACTCTAAAGGATTGCTTTATTTGCATTTACTTTTCCTACCATGACACTTCCATAAACACTAAAAGATATTTACCTTCTGTACAACCAACAGACATGGGCTTGCTGAAAGAAGTCAATCTAGTCAATGTTAAAGTAAAGTTATATGCTAGTGTGAATTTTTGGTATTTCAAAAATGCCAGAATTTCTCAAATACACTCACCTCTAAACATCTGTAAAGTGTTCTCATTTCATACTGAACTCTGTGCTTCTTGTAAATATGCACTGATTGGAGAAGAGTAAATCGCTCTATTTTCCTTGGAGGTTCATGTCTGAAATTAATGGACAAAACAAAACCTGAGTCACTATGATAACAAAGCATAATTCCATAATTTTGTTAGAAGAATATGAACAAATCGTACTTATGAAGGTAATTCCTCTTGACTCCTACTACATAATTCCTTGTCTAAAAAGAATTATTAAATGCATGTTACTTGAAAAATAATATATAGTAAAAAATAGACCATAACTTTTTATTAATTCTAATTGACTGTTCTTTCATTCATTCCAAATTAAATAAAACAGTACTAAAAGTGATTTGCTATTCAAGAATTTTAACATTTCACTTACATGTATTTAAAAAATTGATAAACTCTCAAGGGTAATTTCTTAGACTTTTATATCAGGGGATAAACTAATTACGCTTGTTTATAGGAAATAGACATCCCTGAAAGAATATACAGCATATCTTATCTAGCAAGGCAGGTGTCTTATAGAGATAATGCATGTCAGACTATACTCAATGCAAAGTGTAATCAAACTCTTTGTCAAACAAGTTTTCAATAAAAGAGTAGCCAAGTCAAAGTGAGATTACAGGTGATTTACTACAGTCTCACTCCATATGTTCTAAAGGTTTCTGCTTTGCAGTTTCAAAGGGTGTTCCTTTTCCGATTCCATTTAGAGTCAGAACTTCATTGACCACAGGATATGAACTGGAAAGCAGCCAAAAACATAATATTCTTACCGAGATTGACTGTCTTTATCCAGATTTAGATTTTAAAGAGAATAGCATTAAATAAAAGATAAATAAATGCAAACCAAGAAGGATAGGAAACTTACTTATAGAATTTTGAATTTGGAGTTATCCTATTCTTCTAGAATGTATAATCTCAAATATAAAATGTAAAATTTTATTTTAAATGAAAGAATCAGAAATAAGAGTCTGTCTAGATTACTTTTTAGATACTGTTATTATTGCAATTTAAAACTGTGTATACAGAAAATTGCTCCCATACCTTTTCAGGAGCAATATCCGTGCATATTTTCTTACCAGACAGTTTTCTAACATCAAACATGTATGCAATGAAGTTTTCAGAACATGTGTAATCTGTATTTTGTGAACAATATTTCCCAAATTTAGGAGGTCAAGGATTTTTGATGTTTTCTTTTTCCCATTTTTTTCTTTTTGAAATTTCAGCCCTTAACAGAATAAGGTTATGTTACCCAATTATGTTGTAAACATCCCAAAGCTTCTATATGAGCTGGTATTTTGAGAAAACCAAATGATACTGTACAATATATTTGCTCCTAATGTGGTATCCAGCCTATAACTTTTAACTTATAGTGCCAAATTTTACATATTTAAAGAGAAAAGTTGACGTGGTTTTATTGCCACCCAGTGCCAAGTTAATTGCAAAATAAAAGAATCATGGAAAACAAGTCAGAAATTAAATGAAATTTCCAAGTTTCCTTCAGGAATTAAAAAGGTACTCCTTTAGAGGTATTGGCTACTCAAAGTAATGTATATAATATCAATAAGGCTTTAAACTCATTCATGAGTTTAATCAGCCACTGATTAACCTACTTACTAAAGTCATAACCCCGGTTGGAATATCTTAGAGTTAATATAATATTCTGTTCGTTTGTAATTATGCATATTAATTTTTGCTTGGTAAAAATCCTCATGTATTGCAAATAACATGACTTTGAATGTAGGAAAGCAGTGGCTTAGTAGTAATTCATATTCATTTCAATGATGAAAAAAATTGAATATAGTCATCTTCATTAATTACATATATTAAAGGAGCTTTATAAACTGTAAACTATATGAAAGTAAGATATTCTTAGTAAAATCTTTGTCACCATTTTGACCCATTTATAGTCCATTTTAAGTACTGCCTATCACATATGTGTTTTATAGAATAAACCTATAATTAGATTAGAATTCACTTTTAGAAAATATTTAGCATCCGGAGTGGGTGATTATATATACAACATGTCTCATAATCTCTCCCAATATTATATTGCTTTGCTTCCTTTGTACTTTATTACCTCTAGTTATCCAATGTATTCTAATTTTCTTACCCTATTGTATCACTGTTCTGTAAAATTTAGGGGCCAGGTCAAGTCTTTATACATGATCTTAATGGTCTCAGTGGGTAGATTGTTTCAGGTAGGCATACTTGAGGATAAGCGGGAGTTAATGGTTGTATTCTAATAATAGTTAAAAGTACACATTAACAGTTCATTGTTATTTAGACCTCTGAGATGCATGTTTTGTTTAAATGGGTGCAAATGCCATCCAGATGCTTATAAAAGTATTTATTGGTAATAGAATGGCCAATGAAAGTACATGGTTAGGTAGTGATGTCATGGTGTTATTTAATATTTTATCCTAGAACAGTGTGCAAGAATCTTCATAGTGATCCACATGTTTTCCACCACAGTTGTCCTATATGGCCCCCTTTGATCTACATGCTTCTTTTTAGCTGAATGCTGGTAAACGTCCTTTCTGACAGCCCCCTTTGCTCTTGCCTGCCATTATCTGCTGAAGTTCAGAAACCAGAGCATCACTTCAAACAGGAGAGTTAGGGAGTAGCCAGTCAGAAGAGATTCCGGAGGCATGCAAAGTTCTGGTATAATCATTCAAAGATGTTTGGGTAGGGGATGGGGGTGGTAGAGTTATATGTGAATACAGAGAGCTGTGGGGGTTGGCCTCTGGTCAGTGGTAAATAAGTGAAGTCAGGTGCCAGAGAGTCTAGACACAGTGATTTCAGTCATGGGTCTTTGGTATCTGATACTCAATATGGGACTTGTCTGATTGAACACTATTGCCTCTTCATCGCACAGACTGAAGCCCTTTTAGTGCTTTTCTGGTAAATTAGTAAAAGATGACAATGGACATAGTTAAAACAGAACAAATCTAGTTTTAATATTTTCTAGTTGTCAGCAATTACACTTACTTTTGAAGTGCCATCATAGCAATCAAATTAAAGACATACTCTTTCATGTGGAGTTTGAACTAAACATTGCTTTTTTAAATTTGAAAGCTTTAATTAAAATTGAAATGTTTATCTCTCTTATTATGAAAAACTAATTCTATATCATTATGCATTCCATTTATATTTAGTCCTAATTTAGCTCGATATGGGGAATGGGAGTTGAGTAAGTTTTCGAGCCATGCATTATTTTCTAAAAATCTAGTTTCTGATTGTTTATTTCTAGGTAGAATTTAATATGGAAATTACTTTAGAGAAAATTTACCTTCTAAAATAATGACCTGTAGCCCTGTGTTTAAGGCTAATTTTCATACTACAAAGGTTGATTTGAAGTAAATACTTTTTGTTAGCAATAAATACTTTGCTTGAAACATTGCTTCAATGTAACCGATTCTCAGATTGAAAAAAATCTATGGTAGGTTTTTAATTACAGTTTAGAAAACATAGCAATTAATTAGAGGATTGTCACCTACATTTTTGGTAATTTGTAATTTAATTTTTATTGGCAATTTTATTTGTAATTTAATTTTTATTGGGCAGATAGGTAGTGAAATCTGTTAAATATATATCCAGTAAATTAAGATTATTTTACTTTTGCCCTTGAATCTTTTTTTATTCTGTGGCATTATTAAGTATTAATGATTCTTACCCAGAGATACTATCAGTGGTAATATTTGTGGTTAAAGATCTGCCCTCAAGGGGAGCATATGATACATGCCAGCCGTTCACCTGCTACAGTGTTTTGTAATTTTCAGCATACAGATCAGTGTATTTGCTTAGAATTATACCTAACAATTTGAGTGGTATTGTGTTTTTTATTTAATTTAATTTAACCAAATTTAATTTTGGTTTTCAGCTGTTCATTGCTAACACATAGAAATGTGATTGATTTTTGTATATTGACCACATATCATTTTTGAAATGCAGAAGTCATCTTGAACTAACAGTAATCAAAACAAGATTTAACAGAAAGAGGTCTAAAATAAATAAATATTTATTATTCGCTGTGTTGGATTCATGAAGGCATGAATCCAACATGTTCTAAAAAGGTATTGCCCTGAGATAAAACATAGTAAGTTTTTATATTATAAATTTTAGGAATAACTTCTATTTGTTGTTAACAATTTGGGCTGAGAAAAAACTCTCTTTATGTACTATACACTAAGTTAATTTGCTGATTTGACAATAATAGAAGACTAGCTTCTCCAAAACATAGCATAAAATTTGTTCATTTGTCCTTTATTATAGCAGCTGTTTCTCACCATGACAAATCTAGATTACTGCTAAATGGCATAGGTAGCCTACCTTTTCCTTCTTACCTTTTTGTCTGTTGTTTTTCAGACCCTCTTTCTTTTTCTCTTATCACTAAAAATGTTTTTTTCTCATTTTATACCCATGCCCAAGTGATTGGATTTAGCCTGCAGCTTCAGTTTTCAACCATATATGCCAGTTCCTAAAATTATACCTCTAGTCCAGACATTTCTTCTAAACTCAGGCCTGTGTTTATGACTTCCTACTGAATACCTGCACTAGACTATCACATAAGCAGCTTAAACTCAACATATCTAAAACCAAAATTACTATCTTTCCTTTAAAGTTTTTTTCTACCCTAGTTTCTCCTTTTCGGTAGATGTTGGCAGCACCATGTATGTCATTTCTCAGTGCATAAATCCAGAAGTCATCTTTGACTCCTCCACTCCTTTAACCATAACATCTAGTCAGTTACTACATTCCATTTTGGTTCTGTTTTCTAAATATATGTCTAATCAATCCTTTTATCTCTACCTAGTTCAGACACCCATCTTCTCACTTGGACTTTTCCTCTAGCATCCTACCTGGTTCCCCATATTTTCTTGCAATTTTATTCTATTTTCTACACTGGGTAAATCTTTTTGAGACACAAATTTTATCCTGACACTTTCCTATTTAGAAGCTTTTAGCAGCTTCCCATTATCCTTCTTAGCACGAAGGCCAAAATCTTTAACATGTACTTCAAGACCCTGCATGATCTGGTTTTTACCTTCTTATCTCTTAAAACTGTTGTTTCCCTTTCACCAACAATGCTTGCTTGCTTTTAATTCTTCAAAGAGTACTGTTTTTTCCTGCATTGTGACCTTTGCATAAGCTATTTTCTTTGCTTGGAATGCTCTGCTTCCAAACAATATGTTTAATTATTTAAGGACAGATGTTTTATCTAATATTTCTCTTATATTCTCCACTGTACTTAGAAGTTTATATTTAATGCTGAGCATCTAAGAGTTCATTAACTGTTTATTCATCCAGTTGTTGAACAGTGAACGCCTGCCAGTTTTATGTGTTGAAATGTAAATAATTATATTATGCCCAATGTACAATCTAAGATAACACATTATGATAAAAATATTGCTTCTGTGTTTGGTTTTTTGTCTTTGTTTCTTGAGTAAAATGTGCCCTGTGCTTCTTGCTAGTTAATGAAGATGCTGTTTGAATGTTCAGATGAACGAATTGACTTGGAACTCATTTCTTTCTGCATTAATCTTGCTGCTAACAAAAGAAATGTACAGCTTATCTGTGAAGGTCAGTGCCTTTGAGTGTAGGTAACTTTTTTAGCATATGGTATTTGGTATATGATGGAAAATAGATATAAGGAATTAAGAATTATAATGATTATGTAAGTCCTGTTTTCAAATAATTTCTTCATTATAGCTATAATCCTTAAAGGTCAGATAGAATATTCTTACGTCATAAATGCAGACACTTACCTTCTGATAACATTTTACAAACCATGGTGAGTTAGCCTTAATTGAAATTTGATTTTTAAAACATTTTCTAGATAAAATGAAACTTTTTCTTTGCAAAGCAGTCTATTACAATATAAGGTAATAAAATACAAATGTATTAGATTATTTCTGTAATATCTTTGTAGAATAGCCTGTCATACATTATGATGTTTCAGAGTCTGCCCGATAGTTTTTGCCTTATTTGAAAAGTAGTATGTGTTTGTTATAAAAAGCACAAATGAGCAAAAAGGAAAAGATTTAAATCTTTATTTCCTACCATCCACAGATAATCATAGGTAAGATTTTAGTGTAATACTTCTGCATATTTTTAAATAAAAATGTGATTGTCTATATATCATGATACATTCTTTTAAAATTAGTAATATCTTGAAATAATATTTTATGTGATTAAGTGTTTTTATAAAGCATATTTGTTAATAACTGCAAAATTGTCTATTAAAGAATTTTGCCATAGTTTACTTCACTATTATGGATATAGTTCATTGCCACTTATTTTCCGTTACAAACAGTGCTATAGTAATTACCCATTCTCTGAATCTTTACACATTTTCATTTTTATATTGTTAGGATAAATTCCCAGAAGTACAATTTTTCTGAGTCAAAAGTATTTTTGTTTTTAACATTTGTAGTAGATATTGTAGGCACAAAAGAGCACATATGGTATGATTCTATTTATATGAAGTTCTATATCAGGCAAAATTTATATATGTTTAAAAATGAGACAGGGAAGAGGAAAAGTGATTATATCTGGGAAACAGGATTGACTGGGAAGGGGCACAAGTGAACTTTCTGGAGGGAATGAAAATACTCTGTATGTTGATATATGGTATGGGTTGCATCTAAATTAATCAAATTGTACCCTTAAGAGTTATGCATTTTACTAGATGTAAATTGTTGTGGCTTTTTTGAGAACTAAACAAAAAATTATTAAACTTAAGCTAACCTTAATTTTATTGGGGGACTTTTCTGTTTCAGGAAATGGGCTGAAGATGCTCATGAAGAGGGCTCTGAAGTTTAAGGATCCATTGCTGATGAAAATGATTAGAAACATTTCTCAGCATGATGGACCAACTAAAAATCTGTTTATTGTAAGTATCATTTTGGCTTTCTATTCAAATAGACTGGGAATTGAAATTGCTACATTTGGAAATACAGCTCTTACTGAGGTCTCGTCAAATATTAATTTATAATCCAAATTGCTCTTATGTTATCAACTTTGTTAGTTTAGCACCTAGAAATCTCAACCTATGTTTCAATGTTGTTTTTGTTTTGTGACCCTTACCCCTAATCCCTCCACCCCACTACAGTCTTCTTGCCTTAAACCAGTTCACCATAGGCTTCTTTAGCAATTTAGCTCAAGATTATTAAAACAAGAAAATCACATTTGATATTTACTTTTTCTTTCAATGAGTTAAATTGTTAGATTCCTGTGGGTTATTAGATTAAATAAAAAATAATTTAAATTTATATTAAAATTATGTTTTATTCAGGATTATGTTGGGGACCTTGCAGCCCAGATCTCTAATGATGAAGAAGAGGAGTTTGTGATTGAATGTTTGGGAACTCTTGCAAACTTGACCATTCCAGACTTAGACTGGGAATTGGTTCTTAAAGAATATAAGTTGGTTCCATACCTCAAGGATAAACTAAAACCAGGTTTGTGCTAAGTATTTCACTTTTGTATAATCACTAAGTTATTTCTTTCTGTTATGGATAAGGCTGCTAGAGCAGTATTGTGTGACTATTATTATGTTAGGAAAAGCCATTTCTTCTCACAGCTCTCTTCTCCCAGAAAGGTAGTCACTGGATCACCTCTTACATATATGTTCTCTTTTTCCTAAAAGTGTGTTTTCTTATGTTAGTTTCTATTTCCTATTCTACCTTTCTTGTGGTCTTTTGGTATTTTTTTATTCTGTCTCTTTAAAATTACCAAATACCATCCCTCTGCATATACATAAACACGCACAAAGGTCTTTGAGGCATTCAAATGAGTCTTTTATTTTCTGTGTCTATGTTGTCATTCAGTTGTACTCTCAAAGGCTCATTTCCACTTTTCTACTGCCCCCTGCCCCCACTATCACAAACTGTCATCAGCAAACATGGAAATTTGGAAAAAGGACAAATTTATAGCATATCAAGGATTCATATGACTTGATTTAATAGCTTTCAGTATCCTTTCTGTGTATTTACATTTTGATACTCTAAATGAATTTGGATCAGGACATTTCAGTGAAAACTTTCTATGGTTTGACTTCACTAGGTGCTGCAGAAGATGATCTTGTTTTAGAAGTGGTTATAATGATTGGAACTGTATCCATGGATGACTCTTGTGCTGCATTGCTAGCCAAATCTGGCATAATCCCTGCACTCATTGAATTGCTAAATGGTAAATAACCTTAATTTATTTTTATGTTAATGTCTAAACAGCTTATTGATTTAAATATTTAAATATAAAATGCAGAGTCTGTAATCTGTTTTTCTCATTACATTAATTGTTTCATAGCAACTTATATAATCAAGAAAAATGAATTAAATATACTGCTAACTGGGATTGGATAGAGTAATATCAAAGATCTTTAGCTTTCAAAGTTAAGAATGTTGCTGTAAAGCAGTTCAGGACCAATTTTACAGAAGTACTCTCCTCACCAACCTTGAACAACCAATATAGTAGTCACAACTTAATCAAGGGGAATACATTCCAAGACCCCCAGCAGATGCCTGAAACTACAGATACTATCAAACCCTATATATACTTTTTTTTTCTAAACATACCAATGATAAAGTTTAATTTATAAATTAGGCACAGTAAGAGATTAACAACCATAATTAATAATAAAACAGAAAAATTATAACAGTATGCTTAGCATCACTACTCTTATACTTTGGAGCCATTATTAAATGAAATAAGGGTTACTTGAATACAAGCATTGCAATACTATGCTAGTGGACCTGATAACTGAGATGGCTACTAAGGGACTAATGGGCAGGTGGCATGTACATCCTGGATACACTGGACAAAGGGATGATTCATGTCTTGGATGGGATGGAGTGGAACAGTGGGAAATTACATCACACTATTCAGAATTGTGCATAATTTAAAACTTATGAATTATTTCTAGGATTTTTCATTTAATATTTTTGACCATGGTTGACTGCAGTTAACTAAAACCATGGAAAGAAAAACCACAGATAAGGGAGGACCACTGTATTATATCACTTCTTTTTGTTTGTTTGTTTGTTTTTGTTTTGACTTTTTGAGACATAGTTTTGCTCTTGTTGCCCAGGCTGGAGTGCAATGGCATGATCTCGGCTCACCACAACCTCCGCCTCCCGGGTTCAAGCGATTCTCCTGCCTCAGCCTCCTGAGTAGCTGGGATTACAGGCATGCGCCACCACACCCAGCTAATTTTGTATTTTTAGTAGAAATGGGGTTTCTCCATGTTGGTCAGGCTGGTCTTGAACTCCCGACCTCAGGTGATCCGCCCACCTCGGCCTCCCAAAGTGCTGAGATTACAGGCGTGAGCCACTGTGCCCGGCTATATCACTTCTTTCTGTTGAGATTTGTGTTGGTTTGAATTGGATCTCTTCTCTTGTGCAAATCTTATTTTTTAAAACTTGATTTCTAAGTTGGAAGGTCCATTTGGAAGCTGATTCTAAACATCATATTCCCTTCTAGATCCGAATTTATTGTCCTCTGAAATTTCTTAGTTGATGAAAATGTTCTATATATGTGGTGTCCAACACATGTAGCTGTAGAACACTTGAAATGTGGCTGTCACAACTGATAACCTGAATTTTTGAATTAATTTAATTAGCTGCAGTGGTTTATGGCTACAATATTTGACATTGCAGGCCTAGAGTTTTCCCCTTGCATTTATATTACTCTTAAGGGGCAGGGCTCATTCTTCTCCATATTGCATACAAAATTTATCTGAATCTTATTAGGGCCAAGTTCTCTAGGATCTTACACATCATAACTAGCGAATAGTATAGAAGTTAAAAATGCTAATATGAGATCCCTGAAGAAGATACTCTCATCTCAGTTCATCTTGTACTAGGCATAATATATGTGCATTTTGTGTTAATTTTAATAGACTTTTCAAATATGTAATAACATACATAAATTGTAAGTATAGCTCAATGTATTTTCAGTGTAAGCATACCCATGTTATTATCACTCATGTAAGAAAATAAAGCATTACCAGTACCTTAGAAGTGCCTCTTCTCCCTCCTCTCAGTCATTACCACCTCCTTCAAAGTGGTTAGTTTGAACAAAAGATAGTTTATTTTGTCACCACTAGATTAGTGTTGCTTGGTTTTGAACTTTAATATATAAGTGGAATCTAGTTTATTTTGTTCTACCTTATATTTGTGACATTCATCTATGTTGTATACAAAAGTTTGTTCATTTTCATTGTTATGTATAATATTTTATTATATAAACATACCACCATTTATCCTTTCTACTACTGATGGATAGTAGAGTTAGGTTTTTGTGGGGGGGAGGACTATTATAAATAATGCTCCTATGAATATTTTGAAACCTTTCATTTGGTGAACATATGTACTCATTTCCATTAGGTTCACACGTAGGAGTAGAATGGCTGGGTCACAGAGTTTGTATGTGTTTGGCCTTAGTAAACTATGCCAATCTGTAGTTCTGCTGGTTTTCATTCTTACCAGTAGTGTAAGAGAGCTGCAATTTTTCCACATCACCTCCAATACTGGGCATTGTCAGTCCTTTCAATTGTAGCCATCATACTGGTATTTCATTGTGATTTTAATTTGTATTTCCCTAATGACTAATGAAGTTCATCACCTGTTTATGTTTATTGATTATTTAGGGATAGCCAGTAAAAAGATGTGCCTATTTAAGCCTTTTGTGCATTTTTCTCTTTTGAGTTTTTTTAATTTAATTTGTAAGTTCCTTAATATAATTCATTTTAATAGGTCATCTAGAGATAATGCCCCATATTTGAAGTATTCCTTCCCAAAATTTTAGCATATTTGTATTTACTTTGGTACACTCTTCTCACAGTCAGTTTTCAGATCAGAAATAATTAAAAGAAAGACTAAGTAGTTGGGAGGTAAAAGTAAAGACACGTAGTTGATAGAGTGAGAATGAAGATTTTGTGGAGAGCTGAAGAAAGTTGAAGCAAAATGACCTGCATCCTGGAATTGCTGTCCCATAGTGATTATAATCAAGAGAGCTAAGATATTCATAAAGTGATCTGACACAGCCAGCTCAGAGTGTTTTACTATGTTTTGGTGTTCTCTGACATGAGATTATCACAGGCAGAGGCTTTATAATACTCTTTTTAAGAAATATACAGATTTTCAAGATTAAAACCATTGGTATTAAGTGAGGGAATACTGTATACCAAGATAGTAATTAATAGTGAGAAATTTAGCCCAATTTGTTTGGGAGAGTAGTACTTTGGCAAGTTAGTGAGGGAGATCATTTGGGACAAATTGAACTTTAAGGGACCCACAATTTATTCTACACAACTGGTTTGATACTCTGTTGACCTGAAACTCTGTTTCTAAAATGTCATTGAACTTTTACCAAGAGTTGATAGCAAACTATACTATTAAATCTAATTTCATAATCATTACCTAAGGTTAGATTTCTATAAGCAATTATGCTTTTTCCATTACATATTAATCAGTGGACATCAGCTGTTATGTAAATTACTTTGTATGATATTAAAGGTTTATTAATTAGCCTTTATGATTATGTAACTTTTTTACTATTATAATTAATTAGATGGAAACTAAATTACTTATTATTTCATGCAATCTGTAAAGTTTAACATTATTCAACAAAAGGAAATACCTTTTTATGATAGTTCAATTTCCACCAAAAACTTAGAGTTTAGAAGGTATAATAATTTTTAAGAATTATTTTTCTCCTGAGAAGTCAACATTATAAAGACAAAATAGAACCAGGTTTATTTTACAAATTAGAATTCTTTAAAGAATTCTTATGATGAATAAAACAAGTGGTGATAACTGTTACTATTTTACATTAGGAACATAGAAGTTAAATCCATTTCTGCTTGCTTGTCTCCTTATCACTTTTAGTTTTTCTCGTTCTATATTATTCCCCTCAATTATTTTAAATTTGGTATATAAACATAGTATTCTTTATTTGAATTTTTTGTTTATTTACAGCTCAACAAGAAGATGATGAATTTGTGTGTCAGATAATTTATGTCTTCTACCAGATGGTTTTCCACCAAGCCACAAGAGACGTCATAATCAAGGAAACACGTATCCTTTCAGTGTTTACCGTAGATAACAATATTTCACATATTCAGAAAAGATGCATCTTTGAGTTGTTTTTTTTTTTGCAAATGTTGAAATAACGTAGAAAACACTAAGTTTTGAGATAAATTTACAAGATAACCTATTTTCCATGGAAGCTGTTGACCCCAAATCAGTATATAGGTAGAATATAATGAGAACAATTTTATTAACTTGTCAGGTTGTGATTCCTAAGAAACTTAACAAACATATCAGAACTTCCTTCTCTATTAACACACTGTAAGCATCAGAGGTTCCTAGGACTATTCTTGGTTCTTTTCTAATCTTACCTTATTTACCCTACTTGGGAAACCACATCTATTTCCATGAGTTCAGCTACCAACTATATGCTAACTATTTAATCTTCATAACCCCTATCTTGAGCCCTAGGCATTTGTTGCTAACTGCCTCTTGGATACCTTCCACCTACCTAAAGGGGCATAGCATGTTGTAGCCTAAAGAGCATTGTAAATCAAATAGCCCTAATTTTAATTACCTTTTGCTACTTACTAAGCTGCAGGACCTTGGAAAAAGTTACTTAACCTCCCTAGGATACAATGAGGTACCTAAAAAATGCCCGTAACGTTAATATTAAAATAAAAAGACCTCCTACCTTGTAGAATTGTTGTAAGTACTAATGGATTTAAATTGCCTGTAATAGTTCCCAATACACAGAGGTACTTAGTACCTGGTAGTTTATCATTCTCGCATCCAAAGGGTACTCAATATTGGTAACATCCTCTCCTGATAAGCAAAGCAGTCCTGCCATCTGTATTCATTGTGAATAACAACATTGTCATCTACACAGCCTCTTAAGCTGAAAATTTTGATATCTGCTAACTCTTTTACTACATATAATTAAACATTCATTTATTCACACATTTCTCAAGCTTTGACCATCTAAACAGATACTGGCTTATGTGTTAGATATATAAGAAAGTCCTTGACCTCAGGGAGTTTATAGTTTAGTTGGAGAGATAGACAAGTATAATATACAAGAAATATAAAATTATAATCCAGTGTGATTGGCCAGGCACAGTGGCTCATGCCTGTAATCCCAGCACTTTGGGAACCTGAGGTGGGAGCATCACTTGAGCTCAGGTGTTTGAGACCAGCCTGGGCTACATAGTGAGGCCTCATCTCTACTAAAAATAAAAAAATAAAATATGAGCTGGGCCTGGTGATGCATGCCTGTAGTCCCAGCTACTCGGGACACCGAAGCAGTGATTATCACATGAACCTGAGAGGTCAAGGCTGCAGTGAGCTATGATTGTGCCACTGCATTCTAGCCTGGGTGGCAGAGGGAGACCCCATCTCAAAAAAAATTAAAAATTCTGGAACCATATAGAGTTTCCAGGAGTCAAGTCTGGTAAATAACAAGTCTAATTTGAGAAATGTTAATATTAATATGGGCTATCGAAATACAAATACTATTCTGCCTTAACAGCTAACAGTACAGAAAGTAATAAATATTTTTAATATGGTTTATAAACTGACTTTCCCAGAAAGATAAACTCCAAATATGCTTTTGAACAGTGTTAAAATAATTGGAATAAATTCATTTTTCCCCAGCTGTATTCCATGGAACATAAGTATTAACAGCTGCTTAATGAAAAAAAAAAGGTTCTCTGATAGTAAATAAGTTTGGGAAACACTGAGTTAAAGTTAACAAGTTTTCTTGCTACAGAGTCTTCTTGGAACCTTTAATATGCTTTTTTGGGTTGAGAGTCTCTGAAGATGTATTTTATGTGTAGAATTACTTAAAATTTACATAACTATAGAAGCCACTACAGAAAACAGTAAAATGAAAATGTAGTTTTTCTAGGTAACTTCTTTGAAATACCACCCTATTTACAGGTCATCTCATAGGGTTTTTTGTGAGGACTAAAAAGTGAAGTATTTAAAGTACCTACCAGGTACCTGTACACAGTGAATAAGTGTTACTGCCTCTGTTTTGGGATGTCTGTTTAAAATGTACATTTAGTACCTTATTATCAAAGCCCACAGAATTAAGAGAATTCCTATTTGACCTTTCTTTTCAGTGTAACTTTCTTTGCATTTTCCCCCAAGTTTAATTTTTGTTTTATGTCACTAAATCTGGAGTCAATACTTTTTGAATAGTTGTCCTAAAGATTATAACATGTTGATAATGGTGCAACAGGGAGATAAAAGATCTGCTGAGTTAAAATTTTCATAAAAACTTTGTGTCTTAAAATTGGATAAAGATCACTGAAGTGCTTTTCCAAAATACAAAACTCAGAAATGTTTTCTAAGCCAGGCATTCTGGTGCATGCCTATAGTCTCAGCTACCTGGGAGGCTGAGGTAGGAAGATCACTTGAGCCCAGGAATTTGAGGCTCCAGTGAGCTATGATCATGCCATTGCACTCCAGCCTGGATGACAGAACGAGGCTCTGTCTCTAAAAAAAAACTGAAAATAAAAAATAAATTTAAAAAATGTTTTGGAGTTGAAAAAACAGAATTTTTGTTGATGTCAATGGCATTTAAATCTGTCATGTTACAATGTATTACATATTAAAAATTATTGCAATATTTTATTTCACCATAACCTTTAGCATTTTATTGTAATTCTCCCTATGAATCCAATATGAATATTTGAAATAAATCTATTAGGCAATATTTTATTCCTTTTCTTATTTTTTGTTAGAAAGTTTGATCAATATTATTTGATATAATTTGAACAGAATACTTGATATATGAGATAGCTAGTGTAGACTTATTTTAGATAAATATATGATTTATATTCAGATATTTAAAATATTAAACTGACTCTCAACTGTGACTCAATCACATAAGAATTGAGAACTAATGCTGATCTCAACAACTGCAGTATGGGAAATAAAATACAGTTGGCCCTCCTTATTTGGGGGTTCCTCATCTGCTGATTTAACCATCCATAGATTAAATTCATTCAAAAAAAGTTCTAATAGAGAATAGAAATGCAACAATAAAAAACAGAAAATACAGTATAACAACTATTTACATAGCATTTATATTTTATTAAGTATTGTAAGTAATCTAGGAAGGATTTTAAGTATATGGGAGGATGAGCATAGGCCATATGCAGATACTACACCATTTTATATTAGAGACTTAAGCATCTGTGGATTTTGGCATCATTGGGGGATCCTAGAACCAGTCTCCCATGGCTGCTGAGGGAAGATTATAATCCACATTTGTCTAGATTATTTTAGATTCCCCTTGAGAATTTTAAAGATTTTTCTAATAATTTTTATTCTCACAAAACCATGTGAAGTATATAGAATAGATATTATTTATTTATTCATTAAATAAAAATTTATTGAGTACCTGTTATGATCTAAAACCTGGGGTACTATGGTGAATATGATAGGCAAAGTCTCTGCCCTAATGGAACTTACATTCCAATGGAGAAAAGAGACAGTCAATACATATTTTTTACATATTTTTAAAAAATGCACAAATACATTATTCTATATATTTTTTCTACATTTTAAATATATCTTTTTTAACCCTAAAAAAAAATAGTAAGAACCACTATGCAATATAGCCATGTAGCAAATCTGTACTTGGGTCCCCTAAACCTATTTTTAAAAAACAACAGTTTAAATAGTAAGTAACACTAATGAGTTAAGTCATCACTTTGCCACTAGTCATGATACTGTTGATAAAATTTTTTGGGTGTAATCAGTGATACAAATAATGGTATGTACTTGTGTACATGTGCTAGAGTTTCTTAGTAGAAATGTGTGGACTCTTTTCAAATTGTTTTAACTAAGACCAATTAATAGTATTGATGCAAGGTCACAACTTTTTTCTTCACTTCCTCTTTTAGATTCACCAAGGTTTCTTTATTAATTTGAATTTGCTTTATTATCTCCCTTCTGTCTTACTTATTTGTGATTATACATCCCATTTTTTTTCTTTTGGGATGCAAACTTAAATTTCAACATTCATGTTCACCAAGTTCTAAAGGAGTATATGTTTCTATTTGACAGTCTAATATCTCCACTTCTATTTTCCATGTTATTTGCTATCCAATATGATAATTTCACTTCATTTTATAACCCTTTTGTAACATCTCAGAATTAATCACTATTTTAATTATTGGTTTTTAAATAACAGTGCTTATCTAAAGTTTACAGTATGTTGACCAATTTCCTTATTTACTGTCTCCTGAATTCCATTTCTCTATTCGAGCTGACTTTCTTTCATAATCAAGTATATGCTTTTATACTTAGTGAATATTATCTATGGATAATAAATGTCTTTATCTGAAAATAACTATTTTTTCTCTTTAATAATAATTTAACAGAATATAGACTTCTAGGTTGACAGTTATTTCCCCCAGCAATTCGAAGATGTTTTTTCGCTTTCCCTTGGACTGCCAATGAGAAGTCTGTAGTCAGTCTAATTATTGTTATCTGTGATAAAGTCAGAGGAAAATTTAATTTCCTTTTCCTTATAAGTAACTTGGCCTTTCTTCCAGAAAGACCAAAGAAGTATTCTTTTTTTTTTTTTAATATCAAGTTTTTTTTACTAGAATTTGACTTGGTATATCATCCTCCATTGATTTTTCTAAGTATGCAAATGTGCACCTTTTTTTTAATTTCAGGAAAGTTTTCTTGAATTATAGTTTTTAGTATTTGTTTTGTTCTGTTACATTGGTTTTCTTCTTTGGGATTTCTATTGTGTTGGATCTTCTTAGTCTAATATCTGTCATTTTCTAATCTTTTTATCTCTTTTCACTTATTTTTATTTTAAAATTTATTCCTTTTGCTTCTGTTTCTCTTAGAATTTTATCTGTTGTGTCCATTTACTCTTTTGTTATCTTAATTTTTATATATCCAAAATGATTTTTGCTTTTGTTTTTGGTTCTTTTCTGAATTATTTTATTTCCCTTGGTTTTCTAATCCTGATTTGTGTTGTTTATATATATATATATATACACACTATTTTTTAAATTATTTTTATCTCTTTTGATATTTTAGGTTGCAGCTTTCTTTTATGTGAAAATGTTTTATCATGCCTTCTCTTTTTGACCATGAATCTCTCTTGTTAGTTTTGTTTGAAATTAGTTTTCCTGAATTTTTAGGAGAGCAGGATAGATCAAGAAGCATTTATAGCTACACAACTATAGAGCTTCCTCTTCATTTATGTTCATGATCCTCATGTATTCAGAAATGTGGTCTTGTACTTTCTGAGATTTACTGACTTTGTTTTCCTTACCCATTTTCATCTAGATTTTTCTCTTTTTTATGTCCCTACTATCCCTGTTTTTCTAAACAAATGAAACATTAAGTGTTTTTGGTCATCTTGTATTAATGATTTTATTTTAAAATTTGGGTTATATTTCCATTTAGAATTTAGATTTAGAAAAATATGAGATTTTTGTAGTATTATTGACTAGCCACAATATCAAATGTAGTTTGTTTCTTTAACCATTTTTATTCAGAGGCTCCAGCATATCTCATAGACCTAATGCATGATAAGAATAATGAAATCCGAAAGGTCTGTGATAATACATTAGATATTATAGCGGTAAGTAATTATTTTTTCTACACAAAGTATAATTGACTTCATCTTGGGGGAGAAAGTCATTGTAAACCTATTTTAAACAATGCATTCAGTGTAAACCCAACTTTGTATTTTGGTAAGATTCAGGATATACAATGATACTAAATTTACTTTTTAAACATTAGTAAGTTCTTTAGCTTTCAATTTTTAAGTCATCGGCTCCTTAAAGATGTTTTACAGGTATTCAGAGTTCTGATCTACATGTCATCACAGAGTCACTTGTTTTTCGGATAAATTATTGTATAGGAGTGGGGTGTTGGAAGACAGTTTCTGTCAAAACATTATCAATTTTGTGGTTTGGCCATTAAATTTTTTTAATAAATCAAATCTTGTATCAGCTATTTTTTTCACTTAATTGATAGTTTTATTTTATACATACAGTTGTCCTTTAAGTTGCTTTGAAATGATGGGAAATACAAAAATCTTACTGTTATTCATAGTTTTGGAGGTTTTTAAAGGATACATGACTAGAGGGATATGATCAAAGAGATGATCTAAGTGTTGAGTTAGAAACTGTGAACCATGCAGACTTATTGCCAGTAATTTTGCTGCCTACCACAGTCTTCTGCCTGGATTTGGGCCTTGCACCAGGGCTGTACCAGATACTCGATTATTTTGAGTATTTTTTATATATGGCATATACTGCTACGCACAACCACGTTGCTTTCTTTTTCTAACTGGATTTGGCTCACCTTTAGAAAGTTTATTGAATGTAGCCTACTCAGTAGTTTTAAAAGTTTAACTTTAGCTTTTTAAACAGATCAGAATAACATTTTTTTTTAAAAATCAATAACTTAGTTGGAAATCCACTAAGTTGGATTTTCTGCTAGTGATGTAATCAGGAAACTAGACAATCACCGTTAGGAACTTCATTGTCACTTTCTCACATTTTATTTCAGAAATTCATCTTAATTTGATATCATCTGTTTTTTGGATTTGACTAAGTATCCATTACTGGTGTAGAACTAAATGGATACGTTGACATTTTAGCTTTGATTTCTAAGTCAGAATAGAGAAACTGTACATATTAAATCCTCATTCTATGAAGACATTTCACACATAGGTCACTGATCACAGGGCTTATGAATACAGAATATTTAATGTGCCTAGAGAATAATTTCATGGCTCATGTACTATTTTCTAATAGATCACAGTGCCATTGTTGCATATAAAGTATATAGTATAAGAACAAAAAACTTCTTATAGTTCTGTATGTGATTATCTTACTTGAAGCAACGAGGAAAGGAGGGAGTTGTCAGTCTGTTATGCATTACATTTAGCATACTTTTTATCTACCTTCTGTCTAGGAAAGGTAACTAGAAGATAATGTTTAGATTTACAGATTAAGTGTATGTGGTTTAGAATGTAAGTTGATAGTTCTCAAAGGCCAACTCAGCCTTCATCTAAAAATATTTTGTATAAAATACAAATGTATTTATTATAAAATAGAAATTTATTTCAAATAATTTCTAAACTCTGAGCTTAAGTCTCTCATCTTAAAACTGGAGTCACCCCAACCCTGTGTCTCTTTTCTCTTCTAGATACTGTCTTAGCTCTCCTTCTTTCTAGATCCAAAGTTTCCAAACAGCTGTCTATATTTTACTTCCTTCATTTCCGCACTTTAAACCTATGAAAATTCTGGCTTCTGCTTCCATTGCTGCATTGAAATGGTGTTCACTAAAAAGACCATCAAGGGAGAATGTGAAGTTTTTGTTCAGTTAGCATTAGTAATGGCTAAATAACAAACTTTTTAAATTATAAGAAACCTGCTTAGGAGAGGAGTGGATGATGTCTTAAAATTCTTTTTACCTCTAGATAATGATTTCCTAGTATTCTCAGCATGACTGTATTCTATAATAATAAAAAATCCAAAAAATATATAGACAGAATGGGAATATTTGTAGCTTAAAGCAATTTACCTGTAAGAAAACAAACTTATCTTCCACTGAAGACAGACAGTGCAGAATAATACTAAGAAAAATTAGATGCCTTGAAAGCCTTGGGGAAATATACTTTCTGCAGTAAAGTACTTGTCCCCCAAATTATGCAAATATTATACTAGTGAAGATTTGTTTAATGTAGTTGGGCCCAAGCCCTCAACTGATGAATTGAAACAGGTGTGCGGTGGCAGTACTCTGGATACCAAGGAGGATTACATCACTTGTTTACATGATACAGTCTCTGTGGCCTCATCAGCACATTGTCACCTGTGTGACTACGTTACTTGTAGCTTGGGGAGGCAGGGAATGGTGTAGGTACAAAGAGGAGCAGGAAGGCAAGGAGAGAGAAGCCTATAGCTAGTTGGTCTTCCAAGGGAATTATAAGTCAGTTGACCATTGCCTTTTTCTCTTCCATGAAGGCAATCATGGGAATCATGAAGGGAAGAACATCACCTACCCCTCCGATCTAGAGAACTTCTAAAAACTCAATTAGATTTGTATCCTTCAGTACATCCTCAGCTTTGTGTGAAGTATTTGAGAACCTCAGAAATCCTCCCCTGATATTTCTGGTTTGTCAGACATTTAATACATGTTTATTAAGCACCTATTATGTGCCAAACACTAAGAAAGACACTGAGAACACAAAACTCAACAATACAAAGTTCCTTAATATAAAAATTTACAATCTAGACCCCAGAGAACACTGAGATACTATTCTCTAAACATGTGAACTGGCATTCCAGAAGCAGTACTACTACATGGCCTATCACTAGATTATTTGTACTAACGGCACACTGTATCTACAGGGTGTTTACAGGAAAAGGGATATAACCAGGTTCTCTGGTGAAAGAGTGATTTCTGTCATCTTTCTAGCCAGTGTATGATTTAGTAGTGACATAGGTTCGTGTCACTGAGATTTTGAATGGTACCTCTTCCTTTTTTAATAACTCTTAATTATGATCATGGGCAGATTGTTTTTATTTTAATAATCTGGAATTAATAGCAAGCTCTAATATTCTAAACTTGGAAAAGTAGGTGCTACCTTCATTCCAGACAGACAAAATTGTACTTAATAAGGCTGGTTTATTAAAAGGAAAGAAACCAATATAGCTTTAAATGTAGCTTCTACATCACCCGTTGTTATGGTCTCTGCAAAGATAACCAAGGAAGCCTGTGTCAGAGAAAAGGTGGTCTTATTAATAATCTTGCCAGTAAGGGAGAACACTTTAAGAAGTATCTTACAACGTCTTGAAGAGAAGTTACAGAGAAGGTTTTATAGGGTTAGGGTTAGCATTAGAACTCAAGCTTTCAAGAGCAGGGCATGGGTAAATGCTGGTCACTTTTAATTGGCATGCAAGTTGGATGTGGGAGTAGTGATTTTCAAGTGAATTGTTGGCAGAAATTTCTAAAATTTTCTCTTTCCAGACCAAGCAGAACTGGTTCTTGCTTGTTTTGCAGTCTTGGTAAATTCTTTTATTTCTCAGTGTAAGTTTGATTTTTATTTCTTAATCCCATATACTCTAATTGGGTTTAATGAGATAAATTTAGTCAGCCCTCTTTTATAGTTCATCTTTATATTGCGTAAACCAAAAGGCGGACATTTAGGATATTTTTCCAACTTGTTAGAATTTAAGCATATACACACATAATTTTATACATAAATGTGTGTGTTTCCTACCTGTTATGCATGTTACTTTTTTTTTTTAATTGGCAACATTTGGACTTAAAAGAACCCATGCATAGTATGAAAGAAAAAAAATTATTTCTTACTTAAATAAATTTTATTTAGTTATTTCTTTTACTTTGTGGTCAAGACTAAAGGTCAACACTTGGGGCAGTCTTATTGAGAAATAGATAGTATGTGCATAAAAATCAACTTTATTATGTATGTTAAATTATGTGTATGTCTATCAATATTATTGGGATAAATATTTTTTAAGATATAAAAAGTATCTTGTTAGCAGCTACCACCGTAACTTTAATGAGCAACTAAATTAATCCAGACTTGCTTTAATTTAGTATGAAAAATTATATTAAATAAACCATATTACAGTCTCAATTAGGGGGCTGCCACATTAAAGGAAAAAGGAAAATCTGTTTTCCATCAGTTATGTTAGAACACAAAGCAGATCTATGTAGCTCTGTGTTATCCTATAGTGTGTTAATCAGATACAAGGTGTGACGGAAGCCAGTGACAAAGAGTTTTCCTGATAGTGAACAGGCTCTGATAATAGGCTAGTTAAGGCTTCATAATGTTTCGGTGGTTAACTAGTAAACAAAATGATGTAGGACTTCAAAAAGGATGGCACATTCCATGTAAAATCAAACCATCAGTCTTTCACGACACTTTAGAATTTATGGATACTGAGTGCTTAAAATCATAATGTCAGGAGCTAAGAAGAGAAGGAAATAAAAAACAAAGCATGTTTTTCTTTAAATACACAATAGACTCAAGTCTCAAAGCCAAGACACCAGGGTGTACTCCTTGTGAAAAGAAGTATTTCAAAAATGAAGAAAAAACTATAATCCTAGAATATTTCCACAAAGGCTTTGGATAGGTTTTGATGACATACCTTAGCTGTGATTCAGCTGTGATATCCCTGAATTCTCATAATTATTTTCTGATATGGGGCTGGGGGTATAGGGGAGTGAATAATAAGAAGGGACTAGAGATTGGTGGATGGGGTTAGAGAAATTTATTTTAATGATGTATGTTGATTAAAATTTTTTGACATTGGGTTTTCATTTAAGAATTGCTTGTTAACTTTATAAAAGAAACTCCTATCCTACCAGTATTTTTCAGTTATTTGGGATAGTTATTTCAACAGCTTTATGAATTCATGGTATAAATCATAGGTTTTTATTTAGAATGTTAGAGCTTAAGTAAGTCTTAGTTTTGTTTCATTTTACAAATGAAGAATCTGAGACCAAGAGAGATTAGAATACCTTTAGAAGGTTGCATACTTCAGTTAGTAGCAGAGCTAGAACCAGAGCCCAGGTCTCCTGACTCCTAATCCAATGTTCTTTATATTATGCAGTACCATATTATTAATAGCTATAAATGCAGATGCTGAAACACAAAGAAACTCACTTTGCCATGGCTACTAAACTATATTCATTGAGGATTCCCAGAGCACATAGAGAAGATAGAGATTCCCGAATGATGGTCCATAGGAATGTGATACAGCAAATTGTCACTGAAATGGAAAAGGGAAAAAAATAAAAAAGGAAAGTTTTGTCCAGGAGGGGGATATAATGTTGTTAACATGTTTTATTTTGGGAAAGTACTGTGTATCTTTACTTTGAGATTCTTTCTCACATTTTTTAGTCTGCAAATGACCCTTTAATAAAACAGGTATAGTAGGTGGCAGTTGATTTACTTTTAATATTTGTCCCCCAAATGTGCTTTTGAACCTTTCCTGAAGTCTAAAACCATTGTCTTAGCCTATTAATTTACTGTACTTGGTAAATAGAATCTCAACAACCATAAGCTAAAATATTTCATTTTCAAGAAATCTGGTAAACCTTTTCAGAAACATAAACATAAATGGTCAGCATTATACAGCAAAACAATGCTATTTCATTTGATTCTAAGTAACATTTACTACTAAGGAAAAGGAGAAGTAAAAATATTTTAATGAATATTGTGTTCCTTATGGCATATTTCATTCTAAGATGCTTTATTTGGTAAACAGTTGAAAACCTGAGGCAACATTATCACAAACTAGAGCAAACTTTTATGGCACAAGTCCAATATCTCAATAATATTTCATACTCAGCCTGTAAATTTTTTAAACACATATTTTAAAATATTTTCCAGTTATCCATTGATGTTAGAGTTAAGAAAGTCATTGAAAACTGGTGGGATATAGTATTGTGGTTCTATCTTGCTAAAGTTTTTATAGGCATTTTTCCTGTAATTTTCCATTTTCAACAATGAAAATATTACTTTTATAATCATGAAACTCCAAATATTATTTCAAAATTATGTTATGACTCTTTAAGACTTTAAATGGAAAAACTTTTAAGGCTTTCATACTGTTAAGCCAAGGTTTTTTTTTTTTTTTTTTTTGCCATTTTCCGTCTATGATCTATAACAAAGAACCATACACACATATTTAATTTCAAGGCCACCTCTTAGGAAAACTCTGCTTGCCAATGTAGTAGATTCATCCTAGTAGGATTCTGGAATCATTGTTGGATCTTTTGCAAGATATAATTTTCAATATCCTAAATACACAGTTTGGTATAGAATAACATGTGCTGTGTCGTATTTCCTGAGAGAAGAGCTGTTTTGCTTCTTTTTTAGAGCTGAGAAAATAACCGTGGTATTTTTACTGTGATCCTGTAAACAATAATGCATGTTAATTAGTATGTTAGTCGTAGAGATTAAACCTATTGTTTTATAGTACGAAATGCTTAAAAGTTAGAATACAATTATTTTAAGTAAGAAAATGATAGTACAATCTGTATCATTGCTACCATACTTTTTAGGCTTATAATGTCAAGAGATGCACTGGTTCTATACAATAATTCAATAAAAAACTGATAAAAGAGAGAAGGTGAAAATTTTAAAGGAATGTGTAAGGGCAGTCATTACATTTGGTGCTAGGTTCTGTGCTAACTCACTGCCTTGGAAGATCAGTTTTACCAAGAAAATATCAAAAGTTAGTCATGGATGCTCATGGATATTTTTGGTTTGTGTGTTTGGACTTTTGTCAAATAGATTTGATAATCTCTTTTTAAACTGAGCCTTGTATGTATACGTTTATTAATAAGAATAATGATGTAAGCTCGTAGGGTGATAAGAAGGCTAAAGTTAGAAGGGCAATTGTTTATGAAGAAACTTCTTTGTTACACATTTTTACATTTATTAGATATATTTTTGTTATTGTTAAATTAGGATAATCTTAAAAGAGGGTGTGAAATGATAACTCGGAGTAAGCAGGATTTTTGTTTGTTTTTGCAAAGCATTACTTCCTAGGCTAAATACATTTTGCGGAAATGTAGTTTAAGGATATTTTTATTTTAAATATTACCTACCTCTGTAACATTTCACAGGTATTAGTAGGAGTCAAGTTTTACTCTTACTGGAATAGCAGACCACATATTTTATATGCTTTGGGCACTTGACTGAATTTTAACCCCTGTTTTACACCAGGAATGAATATGCTTGAAATTTAAATTACAATGAAATCATCAGATCGTATGATTTTTCTTTTTCCTTGAAGGAATACCTCTTTGTTGAGATAATTCAATCAGATTTAAATTTTTCTACCAAAATGAAAAATTAGTTTTATGCCTCTTCCCAAGTGAAACAAGCTACTTACTATTCTTTAAAAAAATAACATTCAAATTAGTTCTGTATTTAATGTGGACTTGCTAGGATTTCTAGTATTTTATAAAGCATATTCTGAGAGTTTTGGTAACCTGCAACCAACTTATTTTTTAGAAAAAAAGCCAATTAGTATGGACAATTTGTCCACATTATCATTTTGCTTTTTAATGTATTAAATGTCTTACCCTAATGGATATAATAAATTTATCCTTTCTTTCTACTGTATGATTATGTGATCACTCTTTGTAAATTATCTGGCCATTTCTAATATGACAGTATCTTTCTGCAGCTAACTTTAATTGAGCACATACACAGACACACATATGGCAACAAAAAGTGTACTCTTGTGAAGTTATATGAATCTTAAAGAGGTTCACAGTTATATTTAGCATTTAGGCTAAATTACTTTGAAGCTGATCATATGCCTATATTACATAATGAGGTATCGCTTGGTATTTTATTTAATTTTGGAAGCCCAAAGTGAACCACAAAACTGCTTGTAAACAACATCTCTGTGCATATTATTTTTCAACTCCCTCTTTTCCCAATACCCACCCAAGTATGGCCAGCTCAGTGAGAGCATGATTGAGAATACGATAGGATAATATTAATATACTTACCAGACCAGAAGCTACTTCTTCCAATATCACTCCTTGGTCAATGACTTCCTCCCATATCACTGCTTGCTTACGAAATCTTAGAACTGAAAGTTGTCCCTGGGGGTTATTTGTTATATTCTCATTCAATAAAGAATCCATTCTGCAGGAACCCTGACAAATGTTCATTTATCCTCTGTTTAACTGCCTCTTCCACATTGCTGGCCCGAGGCTTACAGTGCTGTAGTAGCCACAGCCAGCTGTGTACCCTGGATCAAGTTACTTCAGTGTTCAGGGCCTCATTTTCTCATTTGTAAGATGTTGATAATTATGGCACATATGTCAGAGAGCCGTTACTTTAATTAAGGTAATGGCTAACATTAAGTGTTCTCAATATAAGTTATCTAAATGCTTTATATGTATTATCTCCTTTTGGCAGAATAATTTGTGTGTGATCAGTGATTGGGTGGTTGTATAAATTACCATCACATTCAGTCACTGTGACCACATCAGTAATACTAAGGAGGTATGACATTTGGATTTATTATTTATATCTGAATAGTCTATTTCAAGTATAGTTTAGTATCAGATTTAACTGACGTAAAGATCTTCAGTTGATCTTTATCAACTGAAAATAATTTAATATCTTCAATTATTAAAACTATCAGTTGAATAAAAATGTTTATTATTTTTACATAATGTTTATGATAGCTCTTAATTTTATGCAACTTAATTTTAAAAAATAATATTAGGAAATAGATTGATGACTAATAGAAATGTTAATAGATAACTATTAGAAAAGAAGTCCTGGCCAGACACGGTGGCTCACGCCTGTAATCCCAGTACTTTGGGAGGCCGAGGCAGGCAGATTACCTGAGGTCAGGAGTTCAAGACCAGCCTGGCCAACATGGTGAAACCCCATCTCTACCAAAAATACAAAAATTAGCCAGGTGGTGGTGGCAGGCACCTGTAATCTCAGCTATTCTGGAGGCTGAGGCACAAGAACCACTTTAACCCAGGAGGCAGAGGTTTCAGTGAGCTGAGATCGTGCCACCACCCTCCAGCATGGGTAACAGCAAGACTCCATCTCAACAACAACAAAAAAAAGGTAAAAGAAAAGAAGTCCCATTATTGGGTATATACCCAAAGGAATATACATTGTTCTACCATAAAGAGACATGCACATGCATGTTCATTGCAGCACTGTTTACAATAAGCAAAGACGTGTAATCAACCTAAATGCCCATCAACAGTAGACTGGCTAAAGAAAATGTTATACATATACACCATGGACTATTACACAGCCATAAAAAAGAACGAGATCATGTCCTTTGCAGCAACATGGATGGAGCTGGAGGCCATTATCTTAAGTAAACTAACACAGGAACAGAAAACCAAATACCACATGCTCTCACTTATAAATGGGTGCTAAAACATTGAGTACACATGAACACAAAGAAGGGAACAAGAGACATCAGGACCTACTTAAGGGTAGAGGGTGGGAGGAGAGTCAGGACTGAAAACTACCTATTTGGTACTATGCTTATTACCTGGGTGACAATCTGTACACCAAACCCCCATGACACACAGTTTACCTATATAACAAATCTGCACATGTATCCCTGAACCTAAAATAAAAATTAAAAAGAAAATCAAGTTTAGTAATTTGGTAGCAAAATTGTCACTAGCATTACTATAGTCAAAAAATATCCTCTACCTTCCCCAACTTCAGTTGAAAGGGAGCAGCTATATATTTTTTAAATGTACATTATAGCACATGCAATCTGACAACTGACACTGCTAGGATTTGCTGATAATGTGAAACTTCAACAAGTTAAAATTTTAACAAGAAAATTACAATAATAATTACATTTATTATAAAGTCTCAGATTTTATTTTTATATCCCAGAAATGTATTATGTGATTGTGATTTTGATTTGAGTCTCAGCTTGAGTTGAAAAATTGCTTAGCATTTAACTAAAATATATATTTGGTCTACCTCTTAGTTTTTGTGATCACCTTAATAGTGCTATTACCCTGCATCCCTCTAACTCCTTTTTAGACAGCTGTAACCAAATGTGTTTAAAGATATGACAGAGGAATTTAAAACCAAGAACTCTAACAATGACATGAAATATCTGAAGCCTTTTATTTTCTATCCATGCTATCATTTCTGCTGTCCATTGTTAAAGCAATACACTACTCAGTAGTAGCTGCAACCTATGGGACAAGTAGTAGATGGAGAAGTTCTGCTGTAGCTTACAGTAATTTGCCTGTTTGTCCTTCAAAACCATTCACCAAGAACTTTCTTTCTGACAAGTGTTACAGATACACCTGTCAGTGAATAACCTAATCTTGCTCCATAGGAGTTTATGATCAAAACAAGAAGCATTTAAAGAAATAATTACAACTAAATAAGATAAGATCATTAATTTGTGGTTGGAACAAAAATTAAATTCAATTCTGATATTTGTTTTCTTTAGTAAACCATTTTAGCAGCTAAAACAATACTTTAACAGTACTTCCCCCAGTGTTATCTAGACTAAAAGATACAGCAAAATATGTCATTTTATGCTAACTACCTGTCATTAGTGCCACAAATGCAGTTGACTCTTGAACAACACAGGTATTAGGGGACCAATCCCCCTACACAGTTGAAAATCCATGTATAACTTTTAACTCCCCCAAAACATAAACTAATAGCCTACTGTTAACTGGAAGCCTTACTAATAGCATAAACAGTTGATTAACACATATTTTGTATATGTATTATATACTGTATTCTTACAATAATGTAAGCTAGAGAAAGGAATATTTTTAAGAAAATCATAAGGAAAATATATTTACTATTCACCAAGTGGAAGTGAATCATCATAAAGATCTTCATCATCATTGTCTTCACATTGAGTAGGCTGAGGAGGAGAAAGAAGAGGAGGGCTTGGTTTTGCTGTCTCAGGGGTGGCAGAGGTGGAACAAAAATCCGTGTATAAGTGGACCTGTGCAATTGAAATCCATTTTGTTCTAAGGTCAACTTTAATTATAGTCACAAGAACTCTTTGGAAACTGAAGTCTTACTGCTCGCTTAAATTCTGGCAATATTTATGTAATATTAAATAAGAATTTATGAAATTTAAACTTTTCTAGTGTTTGCCATTGCCATTAGTGATCGATAATACAAACACAGACTTCTTTATGTATGTAATTGCTTTTTGTTGGCTATTATATAAAATAATCCTGAACAGGTATTTGTAGTGCTTCCTCTGACCCAGTGAAGGGCCCCCAAAATTCTCAAGAGATAAAAATATTGCCGTCTGAGTGCCAAGTGAGTTAGCTTATATAATAACAGTTGACTGTTTGTTTTCAATAGGAATATGATGAAGAATGGGCTAAGAAAATTCAGAGTGAAAAGTTTCGCTGGCATAACTCTCAGTGGCTGGAGATGGTAGAGAGTCGTCAGATGGATGAGAGTGAGCAGTACTTGTATGGTGATGATCGAATTGAGCCATACATTCATGAAGGAGATATTCTCGAAAGACCTGACCTTTTCTACAACTCAGGTGATAACCAAAGCGAAAGTAAACAGTTTATTATATGCTATGAATAGAGATTTTAGTCGGCCAGCCTTGCACATTCCCAAGCTTAATAAGCACTTCTTTTAGTTTATGAATGGTCTGCTAATGATTTTAGATGTAACGTCTATATATAATAAGCAAACCTATTAACTTACCATTTTTTTTTCCAAGTTAGTCTTTGATGGAATCTCCCTAAAACGCTGTAGCAAGGAAAATTAATTGTTCTTAGATGTTTATTAATTGCTAGAATGTGTAACTTAAATGGACAACTTCAAGATTTCTGACTTCCGTTCAAAAATGTAATATTCATTTTTCTTCTGCATTTATTAAATGCATAATTTATTCATCATTTGTTTTCCAAGGTATTTAATCTTAACAGTTTAATTTTGCCATGGTTTTGCTTTAGTTTCAAACTACCAAACTCTATATGGTAACTTTGGGGACGATTTAGGCACTTTAGAGTAATTGTTTATTCTTTCTAAACTATGCTAATGTTTTTAAGGTAAAATTTAATATTTATGTAAATCTTACATGTATTATAACCTTTTTGATTCTGCATTACTACCTTTTTCCAAGGATGAGTTTGACACAAAGATTGGTAAGTTTTTGCATATTCCAGCTCTCACTGTTTTGTACTGTTGCCAACATTAATATTACTTCATTGAAGTCATTTAGTTGAGGAGAGGAAGGAAAGGATTTCTATAATAATTAAAATCTCTAGCAAGTTGAAGATAAAAATCATTAAGGTGATTATATCTGAATTAGTGACTCACCTTATTTTCTACTATGTGTTTCTACTATGCATTTAGTGTTCTCAATATATGTTCTCTAAATATTTTGTGTATTATCTCATTTTATCTGAACAATTTGATCAATGATTGGATGATTATGTAAATTACTATTACATCTGATCACTGTACTCACATTAATAATACCACTCACACTTTCATTCATGTGTTTTCTTAATTGTGTATTGTGCAAATTTTCCATAGATATTATGTATTATTTTTTGTATTTGGTATAGATACTTAAATCATGGAAAACTTATGCTTTACTCTGAAAATCAAATAGATTTCTTCCTAACTGAACTTTACAGTAGTTAAGAAATGCTGCTTTGTGTTTCAAACCAGATGGAGTAGATCATTAATTTCAACCAAACAGAATTTCTTAGTTCAGTAATGGCAAACAGCTGTTCCTTACATATTCAGTATTCATGAAGTAAGATGATATAAAATATATATGATGTGAATTTTTTTAATAGAAATCAGAATATTCTTGGAATCAAGTTTCTTGCTTTGAAGATTGATAGCTAACTTTCATAATGAATCAATTACCAGTTTCCAAAACCAGATAAAGCTATTAACCACCTCAGTATTCATCATTGTTGTTTTAATACAATTAAAATTTCAAAACAGATTTCTAAACAGTTATACCACATTTCCAAAATTAATTTAAATTAACCTCTTAAAGTGAAAATCCTAAATATTTTTCTGATACTTTTTAATTACAATGTATAGGTTATGCTTTTGTGAGAAAACAGTTATGTATATTTTCATACACCAAAACTTAGAAACATTTAGGTTTTTTTAATCTATAGCCTGATGATATGATAGACATTTGACAGTAGAAATTACATGCTGTGAGTCTAAAACTAAATTTCTTATAGCAAGCAATTTTTTTTAGTTTAGTAATTATTTTACCTACATCATTTTCCATGGATAGTCCATGGACTAAATGAATCCCTGTAGCATTTCTTGATGTGTCTCATGGAAATCTAGATAATATCAGCCTCCTTTCCTTTATTGTGTATGATTGTAGCATCAGAAAACGTCAGATAAATTTGTACTCCTGCAGATTTGTTTGAATGCTTGAGCCATGTTTTTAAGCCTCTGCGTCTCCCTGAAAATTTAGGCTGTTTCTGATAAGAACAGCTTTAGCAGCTTTTCAGCCACAGAGGTTAAACTGAGAGGCTCGTAATTCCCTGGGTCTTATCTTTTACTTTAAAATGAAATGGCATGTGCTATTTTCTAGTCATTAGCATCATTCTCTGTATTTTCAGACGATTTAATAGTCAAATGTATATGATTCTCCCATGTTTTTTAAAAAAAAATCTTAGTATTATGTGAAATACAAAACTAGCATCTCCTTTAGTTACAGTATTTTTTACTTAGTCTAAAATTATTGTGATTGTAGTCATTAATTAATGTCCTTTGCTATTATGAAAATGAAGCTGTTTGCTTTAGTACTTTTACCCATAGAGGAAATATTTTGTCATTTATAAAGCCGTATTGCTACTACATATATCTAAATGACTTTTTATTTTTTAATTGTTCTTCATTAATTTTAGTGAATCTTAGTATGTGAATGTATTACTGGAATATGAAGCTTAAAATGGTTTGTTCTATCTCAGGAATATTGTAAAAAACATAGTTTTCATACTACCTATGTATTTCTGTGATGTGTCTTGTAAAGTATAGTCAAATAAATTATTAATAAGATTCATCATTTTAGTTATTTCTTTTTCTCATACTCTACACTATTGACATCTATTTTCTCCCATACCGTCACAATTTCACCTTTAGCTAGTTCACCAAAAAGCCCAATATTATATTTTCATTTGACTTTAAGAAATAAAAAGAGGTCGGGCATGGTGGCTCACAGCTCTAATGCCAGCACTTTGAGAGGCCAAGGCAGGAGGGTTGTTTGAGGCCAGGAGTTCAAGACTAGCCTGGTCAATGTAGTGAGACCTCGTCTCTACCAAAAAAAGAAAAGAAAAAGAAATTACCCAGGCATAGTGGCATGTGCCTGTAGTCCCAGCTACTCAGAAGGCTGAGGTGAGGGGATTACTTGAGTCTTAAGAGCTCTGGATTATAGTGAGCTATGCCAATCGGGTGTCCCCACTAAGTTGAGCATCAGTATGGTGACCTCCTGGGAGTTGGAGACACCAGATTGCCTAAGGAAGGGTGAACTGGCCCAGATCCAAAAGGGATTAAGTCAAAACTCCCATGCTGATCGGTAGTGAGATCATGCCTGTGAACAGCCACTGCACTCCAACCTGGGCCAATTATTAATAGCAAGACCCTGTCTCTTTAAGAAAAAAAGTTGGCCTGGCACAGTGGCTCATGCTTGTAATCCCAGCACTTTGGGTGGCCAAGGCAAGTGGATCACTTAAGGTCAGGAGTTCGAGACCAGCCTAGCCAACATGGTGAAACCCCGTCTCTACTGAAAATACAAAAATTAGCCAGATGTGATAGCACACGCCTGTAATCCCAGCTACTCGGGAGGCTGAGACAGGAGAATCGCTTGAACCCGGAGGTGGAGGTTGCAGTGTGCCAAGATCACACCACTGCACACCAGCCTGGGCAACAAAGCGAGACTCCATCTCAAAAAGAAAAAGAGTTAAAAAAAAAAGAACTGTATTTCAGTAAGAGTATATGATATACAAGATGATATATAAGAAGATACTGAGTTTTTGTATTTTTTTTAATTCACAATGTTTATAAGCCAGTTTTTTAAAACTGGCTTTCAGAAATCAGAAGGTTGATAAATTACCTGTGTTGACAACAAATTTGCTTTGGTTTCATCACTGTTCTAGTATATGCTCTGTTTTGTTCATAACTGCCTTTATCATCTTACTTGGGGCATCTCAGAAAGGTGTGCTTTATAACTGTGGTCTAAAAGGTTTTATATAATTGAGTACTGTAAATGTGTATAATACTCTATAGCTTAGAGTGTTATGGTGTATATCATCTGTGTTTCCTGTTTGTTCTCTGGTCATTTAAATGTTCCATGAAATACTTTAGTTCCTTGTTAATATCTTTGAAACAAGTTTAGAGTAGGAATTTAAGACACTCCTAGATTTATTTGGAGAATAAATAAGAAGCTATGATTCTTTTTTAATATTTCCCTAAAAGAATTAATTTTGGTGGAACAATGTTAAGAAAAAATAAGATATTTCCAAAGAAGTTGAGGTGCTTGGGATGAGAGGCTTTAACAGAATTTTTATACCTCATTCTAGTAAAGAAAGATTACTCATATGTCAGAGCTGCCTAACTTTTGTCAAGCCATAAAGGGCACTGTAGAAGCTGCAGTTTACTTAATCAACCACAGTGTCCTAGGAAAATTAAAAATGAAGTTGGGCACTGTAGCTCACACCTATACTCCCAGCTCTTTGGGAGGCTGAGGCAAGAGGGATCACTTGAGGCCAGAAGTTCAAGACCAGCCTGGGAAATACCCCGTCTCTACAACAAATTTTAAAAATTAGCCAGATGTGGTGGTACACATCCCTGTAGTCCCAGCTACTCAGGAGGATCACTTGAACCCAGGAGTTTGAGGCTGCAGTGAGCTGTGATTGTACCGCTGCACTCCAGCCTATGCAACAGAGCAAGACCCTGTGTCTAAAAAAAAAAAAAAAAAAAAAGAACTTCAGTGGTATAAATTTACTCTTTTTTTATTCACATAAGAGTAGACATATTATTGAACTAGTTGTATTCTGGATTTATACAATTTCTGGCTGAATCTTTGAAGTAAAAAATTTTTAATTTGATTTCTATTTGATGATCGCCCATTTTCTAGTGCCCTGTATTTCTATTTATCCTTTTGCTACTCATTGTTCCCTTTGAAGACAATAGGCATTCTGAATCAAAAATAAGATGTTGAGAATTTGGTCAGATTTTTACTTAATTTCTACCTAATCTGGATCACTTCACTATGTCATATTTTATAAGTATAAACTTTTTTACATAATTCACATATCTTTTCATTTGGCTTTATTTATGAAATATTTCTTAGTGTTAAATTCTTTTATTTTATTGGCATGCCGAATATCTTTGTGTGTATTTTCCACGTGTGGCATATATTTTATTTTGGCATTTTACTTAGCTTTGTTCCTCTAAAATTGGCAGGTTTCTTAAACTCCGATTCTCAATTCTTTGGTTTTAATTTAACAGAGGAACTTGTTGATTTTTGTTAGTTTTGTTAGTTTGTTAGTTTTAGCCACTTTCACAAAATCCCAGCCATTTTTAAAAAGTTTACTATATATAAAATCACAAGTTTTTATATGGCTAGAATCCATATAAAATTGATTTTTTTACATTGCTTTACTGTCAGTCTGTGGTGTCTTGTCATTTTCCATGATTTCATTTTTTTGTAACTTTTCAGTGTTTAGCTGGTCTTTTTGATTTATAGAAACTTTAACTTCTAGTGGACATAAAAACTGGATTAAATATTACTGACACTTTCTGTAGAAACTCAAGCAATCTCTTAAGTATTTTAAATTAGTAAAGTAATAGGACAGATACCAAAGGTGTCCATTAACAATTTGACAATTAAATAATAATATGTCATTAATATATGATGTGTAACATGGATATATGTATCAAATGAGTAGTATGAGAGTCTTATGGAAATACAAATTACCCCACTTAATTCGTTTGCCAACTCTATTACTTAGTTTTACCATTCACTCAATTTTTTAGACCCTTACTCCTCAAACAGATTTCGTCATTTAACTCTTACCTGTCTTTCCAGACTCAAATCTGTTACACTTCTGCCACCTCCACTCAAAGTAGAATTTTCTGACCCCTCTATAGCTTTTACTGCCTCCACACTTATTGGGTACTTATATCCATTCCTTCTGTATATCATTTATTATAAATTACATTTTTAATTGCATCTTAAGTGTTTGTCTTATATTTCACTTAAACTAAAATTCTTAAAAACAGAGGTTATGTATTGTAATTTTATACATTTCCCACAGGACCTAGCACAGTATTTGCATGTGCTAAGTATAAAATAATCATTTGGTGATTGAATAATTTGCCTATACTGTGTGCCAAATGTATAAACAATGTGGTAGGTATGACCTAGCTAATGTTTATCTGCAGGCCACTCAACAACCCAGCATACTTTCAGAAAAGGAAACTTTGAAAGGCCTCAAAGCTGTCCAAATAGTTATTACAAAAGCAGTATACTAACGTATTTGTTCTATTCATTGAACAGCTCTGAAGCCATCACTTAGATCTTTTTTTCCTCAGATTCTTTTTATTCTTACCTTATTCATAATTCTATCAAAAATAGGTTATCTAGATTCTTAGATTGGAACAAATGAGAAAGTAGTACAACTCTATAATCAGGAAAATATCTTAACAAATACTTAAATTTAGGGAAAGAAGCACTTTATAAGCAAAGAATAATAAGCATACTAGTATAGAACTATTTAGCGTAGGTAATCAGATATATCTCACAACGCTAGGGACTGTACAATATTTAGTATTTATAATGAATATTGAATAATCAAGGAATATTTCTGTATAGTATATCCTTTTAAGAATATAAGGAGTGTAAACTATATGAAGATTTCTAATGTAAGTTTGTGTGTGTGTTTTAATGTCTGGCACTTAAACTGTCAAATATTGCTTATTTAGAAATTCACTTATTTTATTTGGTATATCTGATTCCCTAATCATGCTACACTAATAAAGCTGTGAAATACAATAAAGTATTACCCTTTACCAATACCAAACTATTTAATACCTCCTTGCCTTTATTTGTTCTATTTCCTTAGCCTGAACCATCCTTACTGTCTGTCCCCACCTTGCTTCCCTTCCTTATCTTTTTCTTTCTTCTCCATACGAGACCATAAGCCTGCTTGAAGGCAGAGACTAATTCCTCTCTGTACTCACATAGTGCCAAATACATAGTAGATGCTCAATGAATGTTCAGTTGTTGTGCTGCATTATTGTGAACCAGTACTTAAGGTACATACAGTTGTCTGTTCATACTCCCAGAGAGAACAGCATGTCATGCTAACATTTTTCTTTATAGATTAAATATACAAGTTATTTTCTTATTGTATTGCTTGATAGACAGGTTTTTCCTACACATATGTTTTACTGGTTACCATTTTTTTTTCTTTCTAGATGGATTAATTGCCTCTGAAGGAGCCATAAGTCCCGATTTCTTCAATGATTACCACCTTCAAAATGGAGATGTTGTTGGGCAGCATTCATTTCCTGGCAGGTAAACAGTTTTCCAAGAAAAATCTAATGTGTAGTATCTGTTGCTTTTGGAAAGCTAAAATCCTCTTCACTCTCCATTTCTCTTCTTTTTCATTAAGAGGGGGGAAAAAACCCTCAATCTTTTCAAGGGCATGTTTGTTTGATTTTAAATTAACTTATGAAGTCACATTTTCTGTATTTAAAAAATGGAGATCACAAGGCCGCGTGTGGTGGCTCACGCCTGTAATCCCAGCACTTTGGGAGGCCGAGGCAGGCAGATCACGAGGTCAGGAGATCGAGACCATCCTGGCTAACGCGGTGAAACCCCGTCTCTACTAAAAGTACAAAAAATTAGCCGGGTGTGGTGGTGGGCTCCTGTAGTCCCAGCTACTCAGGAGGCTGAGGCGGGAGAATGGCGTGAACCCGGGAGGCGGAGCTTACAGTGAGCCGAGATCACGCCACTGCACTCCAGCCTGGGTGACAGAGCGAGACTCGTCTCAAAAAAAAAATGGGGATCACAGATCTAAAACAAAATATGCTCTTCAAGTTGGAAAATATAGATTGTCTGTTGACACAAACAATACTTTTGCCTAATTAATGAATGCAGATTGTTTCTGAGTGTTTTCCAAAGCCATTAAAATATAAAATGAGAACAGAAGATGTGTATTTTAACAATTACCCAAGACATAGCTGTTTTTAAAAAGTTGGTGCTTTTATTAAATTGAAGACTTTTCCTCCCTAGATGGCATTTTATTAAAATAATTAAGAGAAAAAAAAAGTCAGGCCAGTATTGTTTTGCAATTATAATAAAGTTCCCCACAGCATATATCCAGCTTTATTACATAATAATATAATAGATTTTTAAAATCTCGCCAGAAAGTATAAACAATATTTTTCTCTTCATATCATTCCTAGAGGTGTAACATTTTAATTAAGGCTGACCGTTGACATTTCACATTAAGCTAGTCCAGTGAACAGTTATAGTGTTATTTTCCCTTAAGCCTAGTAATTTTTTCATTAAATTATTAATTTTTTTCTTCTTAAATTCTACTTTTCATTAGGATAAGCTATTTTCTATGTGTAAGATATGTTCACGTATTTTTTAAATGAACAATACAGTTGTGACCAATGTGCGATAACTCTTAATGATCACTTGTAGCGTTATTTTAATTTAATACTAATTATAATTTCAGCCATTATGGATTATCCATTGTATATAATCTGTTTTACAAATATTCATCGTATATATTTTAACTTGCACAGCAACATTTTAAAACAAGTATTATTATATGTTTTACTGATGAAATCACAGCTCTAAAAATTCAAGGTTAACTAACCAATTCACACAAGTAGGATGATGGAGCAACAATTTGAACTCAGGTGTATATATCACCAAAGTTTATGTTCTTTCCAGTATAACATGCTGCCTCATTTGGAGGACACAAAATATACTGTAGTGATTTTTCAGCTTTTTTGATCACAACCCACATTAAAAGAAATACCTTTCATATTTGAACTTAATGCATACATACATATTTGTTTATATACATGTATCTACCTATACATATATATGTAAACTGTTTACATATATTTATCTACCTATATATATGTGTAAAACAAAAATTTCTTAAAATGGTACTCTACCTGTAATACACAATTATATTTTATTATATTCCACTTCCTGTTTTAAATGCAAACTGCAACTCACTAAATTGATTTTACAACTTGCTGATGGTCATGACCCAAAGTTTAAAAGCATGGTGGAAAATCATAGGAGTATTACATGAAATGTAATAACCTTTTGTGTAGTTCAGTGTTCTGTAGTGTACTTTAAATAAATAGTAGCCCTTTAAAAATTGTTTCATCTGTGTACTAGATTGTCATAGTAAGAAACACCTTGCCTTAGGAAATAAAAGCTAAACATGGTTAAATACTAGAAAGCATATGGCTTTTGATTACTTCTGATGCTTCTGGCTTTATTAGCTATAGTTATTTAAATAGAGGCTCTGTTTAATCATTATAAATACTGTACTCTATCAGGTGACAATTCACTGTACAAATGTTTTCTGAAACATAATTGGGAAAGGATGAAATGATTTAGATATGTGATCTTAATATTTATATTGAAAAATTTTGCTTATAGCATTTATAAGATTAATTATTCTGCCATTTATGTTTTACTTTTAGCAAAACATTATTTTTGTATCTCCTGCAGATACTGTGAATCTAAAGAAAACCAACTGCTATAAATCATGCATTACTTATTTGAGAAAGACTTGCTTTTTTTAAATTTAATTATGTGACTTTTAAAAAACTAAACATTTTCACTAAAATACAGAAAATCCTTTTTTGCTCAATTCAGCAAAATCTCTAATTTCTAGTGCTCAAAAATGATTACTTTATAAACTAATAAAAGTTTTGAGAGAGATAAATGTATTCCACAAGTTATGTACTGGGTCCAAAGATTTCAGCATTTTATTCCTCCATTCTGTTAATAAGATTTTTTTACATGACTTTGGGAAAATCCTTTTACCTTTGTACCTTTACTTTCTTTTCAAAAGTAAAAATATGTAAGTAGCTTCTTTTACTTCACAAAAGACATATCCCAGTAATATTGACTTAAAAGATTAGTTAATAAAACTTACTATAGACTGTTTTTCAAATCAAAAGAATGATACAATTTTATAATTATTTTCATTTGAGAATTGTTTGCCCTTTAGAAAGAACTTTCCCTGAGAAAGTTAAGACTTTCATCTCTTGTCTTTTGTAATTTTTAAGGCCTTCAATCACATTTAACTGTATCACTTTTTTCATGTTTAGAAGAAATAATTCACAATGAATTTCCTCAAATTTTGTGGTAGGTAATAGAACAAATGAAAAGGGACCCTAAACTGTATCAGCAGAGCCACAGACGGATTACACAATATAGCCAAAGATTCATAGTCTTCTTTTTCACACTTTGTTTTACTGACTTACTCTGGAATCATTTGCTTTTTTGCTTTTATTCAATCATTTGTGGTGGGTAAGATTCTCCTTTTAATAGGACCTCTAAGCTCTTTTTTAACAGTATCCATGGATCTGAAAGTGTGGCATATTTTTCAATTCAAAGATTTAAGTATTTTAAATTGTTACATAATTATTCATATATTTCAATATGATAATTTTGCTGCATAATGTGAAATTTTAAACTATGGCTACATTTCAGCTCCTGATATCCTATAGGTGAATTTAAATCTCATTAAACTAAATAATAGTCATTCAAAAATATTTTTGAAATTTTTAATTTTAACCGATTTTAAGCAAAGTAGGAATCTTTTTCAAGAAATGCAAGTTAATTAAAGAGAAGTTGTTGAACTCATTCTTCATCTCTACTGTAAAGATGAGAATAAGCAGACTTAATGGACAACATGAAGAATTTGTGTTAACTGTGAAAGAATAATAGCTGAATTGATCTTTACATATTGAAAAAGCTGATTCTCTAAATATCTTAAAAAGATTAAATTGTCTATTTGGAGTTGTTGGGTGTTTTTCCTTTAAATCAGGGAAATGGTCCAGATGATTTATAAATTCTTTCCCTGCTTCTTCTTCATATGTCTTTGATAAATAAACACTGTCAAGTTATCTGGAGAAAGAGTAATACTTGATTAATGTATAAAAGGTGAACTTTTATCATTACCATTGTTTTCAATGATTTAAGTATAACAATATGTGGGATAAAACACGAAACAATATGACAGTGCCAAGTGGCATACTCTTCAGCCAGTTCTCATGGCTTTTCATTCTCTGTTTTCTTAATGTTTCAGTTTGAGTGGATTCATGTAATAAATAACAAATTGCTAATTTGTATGACACAAGGGTTTTTTTAATTGTTTAAAGAAAAATTATTTATTTCTTCATAAAATGACAAGGTTCAGTAATAGGATGAATGTATTAAAATCTGAGAAACTAAGCCAGATTTAGAGAAGAATTTAAATAGTTGAAATTGGTATTTTTCTTAAAATCCAAGTCAGGGGGTCCTTCTTAATCTGAATACCTTCATTTTTGTAAGATAGCAATGCAGTTTAATTGGAAACAGTGAAAACTGTTAAACTCATCTATCCCATTCTATAAGAAGACTGGATGTTTGATAAAATAGATATTGGCAGTTGGACAGTGAATCCTGGGTTTTAGACATGTGTCACTATCAGTTTGAACCTCTTGGCGCCAGGATTTCCCAACATTTAGAGCTAATGCAAAATGCATTAGGGCTCTAAGGCAATAGCTATGGAGTTGCCAATCCCAGAGCGTCAAATGTAAATCTTCCCCTCCCAAAATCTGAACTGGTGTTAGAAAGTAAAGTGGAACTTGCTTTTGAAGCTAATTAAAAATAATAGGAGCAAGACTAGCTTTTTTCCAGTTATGTATACCATGTATCTGCACCATATTTTTGGACCATTTTTTTATTATAACTTTTACTTTTCAAGACTAACAAGAACCGCATGTTAAGGGTATTTTTAAACTGCTTCCAGCTTTTACAAATCAGTTTTTGTTGCAGTAAAAATGGTCCATTTTTCTTTTATAGGAATCCAATTTTCATAAACTGGAAAAAAAATTGCAGAGACTGCTTAGGTTTCCTTGGGGCTTTGAAAAATATTTTTCAGAGAGCCTGGAGTTCTTCTTTGTGGTTGGCACAGTGATGTCATTTACTGACCATTTCAGTGGGGTCAAAGACAAACTAGATGTATGCATTATCTGAGCCATCTGACTCTTAAACTTTCATTTTCTATGTGTGTGTTATAGCCTGCCTCTTTTTCTTTTCTTAGAGTACTTTAATATTAACTTTTTTATGCATTATATGTATTATATATTACATATACATATGCCTTCTATTTTGGTCTCTTTTTTTTCAAATATTAAATCACAGTTGGATATTAGTTGTACTTTTAAAAATCATACTGAGGAGAACTAAAAAATTATTTCTTTAAAATATAAGAAATAATCTTTTACCCAAATTTTTAAATGTATGATTTTTTAATTCTAGAATTCTACATATAAAAAAATTAGACTTATTTGTTTAGCTGTAAGGCTGCCTTAATTATACTCAGCTATTTAGTTTACTGTTTTTTTCCCTTGAGAAAGCAACCTCAAAATTACATATTCTCTGTCTAAAAGGCATTGTGCAGTGTTTACAGAACTACATATTACTAGAACTGTATATTATGAGTTTGTTTCAAAGCAGTTATTCAGAAGAGAAACTAAGTTGTCTATTTTACAGCCCTTAATTTGGCCAAGCAAAAAATTCTTTTATATTGAGAGGAAAGTAAATATGCCTGCAAAATTCCTTCTTTGATAAGTCCTTTATCAATTTTTAATTAATAACCCAAACTCATTTGTTCTAATAATTTAAGTTCAATGATCTTCATTACTGTGGCCATAGCATAGCAATTAGATGGAAGGATCAAAAAAGTGAAAAGAACCTCTCAGAAGCATTTTCTTTGATAGACATTGACACCAACCATTTGTTCAGCATTGTAAGAACTAACCTAATTGCTAAAAACCTATAAAATCTTTTTAAAATAATCATTGACTAAAATACTGCTTCATTTAGTGTGTTATTACTTTTTTTTACCAAAGATGATCATAGTTTTTCTATTATTTATGAATTTCATATTACTTTTTCTCAGCAGAAAACATGCTTCATGAAGCCTTTCAAAAAAACTGACTTAGCCATTTTTCTAGACATGGTGTTTACAAAATAAAGCAGACATAACATTTTCACCTATCAATTGCCAAATAATTTCTAGTGCTAATACCCACACATCAAAGCAAAACAGCACTCCTAAACACCTGTTGTAGAATTTAATAAAACCTTTATGAAAGGCATTTGGTAATAAAGAACAAGAGCCTTAGATTGTTTACTTCCTTTTACTCTATAACTTTATTTCTAAGAATTTGTCCATATGAAATAATCAGAGATAAACATAAAGACTGATAAATAAGTTATTATGTGTCAAAGAAAATTGATACATTGAGGGTAGTGGAATAAACATTTTTACAACGTTATTTTTGTGCCATGAGATTTTTGTCTACATACTAGATTATATTACACTGGTTCTCTAAGTAAACTTTATATGTGAATGTTAAAATAAGTCAAAATAGATACATTTACTAATGAATATCCACCTTTCATAAACTTCTTCACTTTTTAAATGATTTACCACAGTGAACTTTTAATTTTCCTCTTCCTTATTAAAAATGTTTTTTATAAAAATTTTATTCATATATGATGTTTTGATAGCATAAAATTGGATACATCACTGCCACATCTGTAATTCTAGTAACAGATAGCAGACAGTATGGTTAAGAATATTTGCTCAATCCATTTATATTGATTTTCATGTATTAAAACATTATAACAGATTTGTTGACTTACTCTTAATATGTAAACATATTTTAAGATAAGTCTATTATGAAACATAGTATAATATTAAAAAAATATCATTGAATGCAAGTCACTGTCATACATTTTATTTACACTTTGTTCTTGACATGCACATTTGCATAAGTCCCTAATACTTGTTCTTAGCTGGATCCAGGTTGGGATATTTGCAAGGGTTGCTTCTCAATTTAAATAGAATTTTAAGTCATGATTTAAACATACGCAGTAGAACCTCTTTATAGCAACAGTAAGGTTGGATAATAATACAGTGTCCTGTTTACTTTTAAAAGTTGCTCTGATTCGGGCATGGTATATGATTTGATCTAAAAATACTCAGATCTGTGCAAATTTTTGTTATAATTGTATTCAGTTATCCAAATGACATTATTTTCAATATATGTAAACATCTATTTCAAGCCAAGTAATAAATGACATAGGTAGGTAAGACCAATAGAAATAATTTTAAGTTCTTTCCACCTTCTTCAGTATTAATGAAGCAGAAGTGTACAGTAAAATTTTTTGAGTAAAACCATAAGAAATAGTACTATATGACAAGTAAAATTATTCCTAAGATAATGCAGTGGTCATTTTACTCTTAAACTTGTGGGATGGTAAAAACAGGAGAACAAGAGTGCAATAGCTATGTCATAACATAGTTCTAATTAATGAGGAAAAAATCAAAGCAAATAAAAAATTTTTATAGTATAAGAGTCTTGATCTTACATAATCTTTACATGAAATCCCTTTTTTCTTTCTGTGTACTTTCATAGTAGCTGTCCCAATTACTTTTTTAGTTAAGAAGGTGGAATACCTTAGGAGCCTTCTAAAAGATTCAAAGAATAAAATGTTTAAGCCTTTTTACTCTAAATCTAAGTATATGAAGTCTAATAAGTTACATTTATCTTGCATTTAAATCTTCATGTATCTTATTTGATCATTAAAAAGTGTGTGAGGTTATAGGGCAAGGAGTAATATTGTCCCTATTTTCACAATGTGAAAATTAAGGTTCAGATATTTTTAAGGAACTAGCCTAAAACCAGGTAGCTAATAGTGAAGCCTTTAAGCTTGGTAAGAGCCAACACTCCTACTATTACATCATTATTGCCTCCAGATGACAAGCAGATATATTAGTCTTATCAGTGAACTGTACTTTAGAAAGTTTAAAATAAATGTTATTAAAATTCAGAGTAAGATATGTAGGTTTTGTTGTGCAACATGACATACTGTTTACCCAGTTTGATTTAATACATTTGACATGGTTTACTGCAAACTGGTGATTCAGATTTGCTTGGAAGCAAGCAGCTAAGGGTTTATTAATACATTAAGTAATTAGTTCACTACCTTTAAATTATCTTTAGTTAGTTCACTAAATTCTCTACAGATTAAATCCAGTTGTATAAAAAATGGGAATGAAATAAGTGGGATATTCTCAGTCTAGAAGGGTAAATGCCTCTTAAAAATCATTTATTCAGCTAATTAACCAGTTTAAATTTTTGCATTGTTTTAAAATGCAAAATTCATTTGTTTTAAAAATGCTCATAAATGAATCCTCATGGGCTTATTAATAGTCTGATTTCTCTTATTTGTTTAGACTTCTTAGAGAGACAGCTTCTTTCTAATATAGAAAAGGCAAGGAAATTCAGTTCTGCTGCTTGGACACTAATGATTTGCATTTCCCAAGGAGAATTGAATTAGGTTTTATTAGTAAATTGGGCCTATAACCTTTAAGGGCAGATTTTATTAGATTATCACACATCGGCATTAGTAAATTGTAAACTTAACTGAAATATAGACATATGAGCCACAAATCAAGGCTTAGAATCCTGGAAACTTGGGAAGATGTTTTATCCTAGAGAAATTATAGTCCTGAGTTGAAAAAATATTTCAAGTGATTCGCTTTCTTTTGAAACTTTAGAAACAAGAGAAGTTGTGACAGAACTACCCTCTTCAAGTTAGTGTTCAATTTAAATCTGCTAATCTGAGCAAAAATTTTGAAGGCATGCACATTAGCTGTATAGAAAGCCCAAAGATGCTCCCAAATAAAACCAAATTTATTGTAACTTTATTAGTGATGGCAGCAGTGGCCCATCTGGAGCAGCTGCTGCAGGGATGCCAGCTGCAGTTGGGGAGGCGCAGCTGACACTGTGAGCTACACAGAGCTGTCAGGCTGGGAAGAGGCATGAGCCCTGCCCCCTGCCAAGTTGGCAGGCCAGGAGCCCCACACTCCTGGGCACAGCTGCAGCCGCCCAGCCACAGCTTGAGACCAGGTCATCCCTGTGCTCTTGGGGGCCTGGGGAAGGCCCCCTGCCCCTGCAGGTTCGGAAGTGCCTGCTTCCACTCCCTGGCCTCTCCCTGTTGCCGGTGCCTGCTCCAATTTTGCAGCAAAGTTGAAGCCAAGCCCAGGCACTGTCATGACCTGGCTGGGTGTGCCTGCACTTGGGGCGGTACTGACACACCAGCCCCCCCCCGCCCCCCACTGCCTCAGCCCCCTCTGAAGCTTTGGGCACCTACAAGCTCAGGGAGGGAGGCCAGGGGGTGCTGAAGGTGGCTTAGTATGGGCTGCCTGGGCACCCTGGATGGCATGTTGATGGCAACAGGCAGGCTCCTGGGCAAAAAGGAGTGAATCCCCAGTGAAACCCCACCTTCTAACCAGGGATGGCCTGAGCCTGGGGACCAGGCTGCCGGTTCCAGGTGGAGTCTCCCACCCAAAGTGAGAACTTGTACTTTTTCTGGCCCTGTCCATGGCCAGCCATGGACCAATCAGCATGCACTTCCTCCCTTCTGAGCCTAGAAAAACCCCAGGCTCAGCCAGACTCATACAGACGTGGGGATTACCTGCTTGCTGTAAGGAGCTACCCACTGCAGATCTCCTCTCTGCTGAGAGCTGGACACTCATCAGGCCGCCTGCAGAAAGGAGCTACTACTTTGGGTCTCCTGAGAGCTGTTCTGTCACTCAATGGAGCTCCTCTTCCCCTTTGCTTACCCTCCAGTTGTCCACTTAACCTCATTCTTCCTGGATGGGAAACAAGAACCTGGGACCTGAATGGCAGGACTCAAAGAGCTGTAACACAAACGGGGCTGAAACACGTCGCCCCCACTCACCATGTTGTGGGAAACGAGAAGGAGGGAAGAGCTGTGGCTCTTCCAAGAGCCCAGACGTAGTTGCTCCTGAGCCAGGGATGTGACACCCTCTGTGGGGCTCTGCGGTTCCCAGTTTCTCCAGGTTTCTGGGCGCCTCTGTGTTTCCCTCATCCAGACGCAGTTGCTCAGAGCAGAAGCTGCGTGCGGTACATCTGGTCCATCTGCAGCCTCACACAGAGCCAGCACCTGTACCAGTGCCTGGAGCTAACCACCCTGCCATAGTAGCCAGTCAGCCAGCATGCCTGCTGTGCGTGGTGACCAGACCCTGCGCTTGGTCACCCACACAACCTCGCCGCTCCACACCTGGCTAACCCTTGGCAGGTGTGGGATCCAGGTTGGTAGCTCAAGCTGAGCACAGCCTATCGGGCCTAGTGGGCAGAACGAGCCCAGCGGGCGCAAACAATACTCAGGGAGAAGGTGCCGCCAGCCACAATGGTTTCTGGGTGGCAAAGCAACACCCCAAGGATCCTGTGACATTAGGACTTTGACTTAGTAGAAGAAATTCAGCATAATTGAGTCTATAAATTTAAAACGTAACCCGAATATGACTGGAACCTTTAAAAATGTTAACATGTCAATTATGGTACAGCTTTGTACTAGAAAAAATGACACAGAAGCCAATCCAGTTGTGTCTGGCAAGTTAATTATATCATCACCATTTAAGAGTGATTATCTAGTGTTAAACGTCATATACTTTTCACATGTATTGCATTTTTGTTGGCTTTACAGATAGAAATTAGTTGTAAATTTAAATGGAAAGAAAGAAAGTCTTTAAGCAAGGATGACGGTTCTTATGACATATTTGACCTAGAAATGCTCTTATTGTAAAAAACAAAAATGATTTTTAAGGTAATATAATGCAAATTACCGTCATAAAGGCTTGCTCCTTCATATTATAATGAGAATAACAAAATTGTATATAATTGGTTAATAAGCATCACTATTCCCCCTTAAAAAAATAAGGGAGAGAAATAGAGCATGTCATCTTTTATTTCCTTTAAATATGAGTGTAATGATATTGAGCTTACTCCTTAACTCAGGGATATTTTCTAATTTAAGGTAGATTTAATCTAGCCTATTGTTGTCTTGATTGATTTAACAATGTAATTTAACTATTTATGAACAGTTGTTAGATTTCTTATATTAGAAATATTAGATATTTTTTCTAAGATATTTGTTTTTTAAGAAACAGCTAAAACCTAGGGCCTACAGGTTTTCAAATGTAATTTTAAATGTAATATTAATTCCCATAATCTCCATATTGCCCATAGTCTTTACAGATGTGCTATTACAAATAGCTTACTCCTCAGATATGAGCCATATGGGCTCTGTAAACTGATTTGCACTTATTCTGAATAGGAATTATACAGATTGTAGATGAATTATTAAGTAAATTTATATTACCAAATAAATCTAAGAATAAAATATTAAGCTGTATTAAATGAGAAAGGAATCTGCAAATGAAGACCTACCTGCGTTAATAAGTTTAGTGGTTACCTTCTTGGTTTCAATCAAAAGAAATTAGTTTTTTGTTGTTGTGTTTTTTAAAGGGGTGGGGGGGGGCGTCTTTAAAACTGCTTACGGAAGTATCTAAGACAAAAACAAGGAAATATAATGTTATAAACTCAGCCAGTCCAAACCACTTGAACTGCTATGACAGCTCATAAAACTGAGAGTAGTTTTTAACTGGGCTCTGTTCTACATTGCCAAAGTGAATTTTCCTTGCAGGAAGTAGCCAGAGGGTTTATTTAGTTTCCAGTCCATGGCTTTGATCTTTCTGTACTGTCACATCTTGGGTTACATAGCCCTTTTTCACTGCAGTAAATCTGCAGCAGTTAATGAGAATAAAATTTCCTCCTTACTGATCACATTCTGTTGAATGCCAAACCACAGCCAACTGCATATTTGCAGAATTTCAGCTACAATGTATGAAAACAGCACAATCAGTTTAATCTTGTTTTCTTTGCAATTCATTTTATTGGGCTTTCTTCCTTTTCAAGTGACCTACTTTATCCAGTCAAGTGGTTGCAGGCCAAACTTGGAAGAAAGATTTAAAATGTGAATAAACTAAGAGGAGAAGGTGTGCAGGAGGTGGGCCAGGGGAGGGCAAGTGGAAGTCCGTCTGCACTGCCGTGAAGATTCCAAGACTCCATAAATTGAGTTTATTTTAATCCTTTTTAAAGACCAAGCCTTTTTTTCTTTTTTCTCCTCAAATAAAATAAAATGGTTTGTTATTTCTTTAGTTATTTTGTATGTTTAGTTTCAACATAAGTTTGTACTTACTGAGTTTATTTAATGAGTCATAACATTATTTTTCAGTTTTCATTATAGAGAAGACACCACAGTACTTAAGGAAATTTAAGGGAATTTCAAGGATTTCAAAAAATTGAAGTTTCACTTTATAAGAGCTCTTCTTAGAGTAAAAATAACATTGTTGTTAACACACACTATACCATCTTATCAAATGGGTCCTTACAAACATAAAGGAAATACTATGAATATGTTGAATAAATCAATAGAATTTCAAAATCACATTTAAGCAAGCTGAATTTTATACATTAATATGTGCATCCTCATAGTAAAGTACATAAAGAATCATATTTATTTTCTTTTTTGTTACAATGAAACCTCTCAATTGAGGCATTAATTACCTGATTCAGTTAATACAGGTTAAATATATTTTTTACTTACACCTCTTATCTTTTCTACTGCTTTGTTTTTGTGGTTGGCAACTGGAAGTTAGCAACTTCTTTGTCAAGAAATTCACCCTCAGGGGGCCATCTTGGGTGATAGTCATTGATAAATATATTTTATTGTATATTTATATTAGGTCAAATTTATATATGGAAATATGAAATTTTATAAAATAAATCAAAAAAGGAAATCAGCTTATATTTTCCCAGAAGATTGAAGTCACAGTTACTGTTTAGCCATCTAATTTCACAGAAAAAATTATTCTCATCCTCATAAAAATCAAAATGTTGAGATAAAGAAAAAATATGTAATATTTATTGATTTAGACAACTACCATAAAAGCAATAACCAAAAGTGTATTGAGAACTCAGAAGACTGTTTCTGAATTGGGGACAGTAAAGTCAGATCTCCTGATAAAAAGAGGATCCACTTTTGGGGAAATGCCTGTTGTTAGTTACCCCAATACAAGAGGAGGGTAAGAGGAGTGGTTTGAACATTTTAAAGGAAAGAGGTGCAGCACTCACAGGGCCTTTTCAGAAGGTATTAGGTATAATGTTAGAATGTTGAACTTTCAAAATGTAGCTTATACTCTTAGAATTGTTTTCAAATAGACCTATGTCTACTTAAATTGTAACATAATAGTTTGCATGTGAAAAAAAGATGAAGATGAAAACAGAATTTTAGACTTTATCTGAGGGCCTTTTCTATAGTTTGCTTCTTCGTTTCTTTGCAACTTTAAATCTGCCCAAAATTCTAACCTTGCAAGTCCACAGAAAGTTTCTTCATGAAGTAAACATTGTTTTCTTCAGTTTTTGTTGTCTTTAAACACACACACACACACACACACACACACACACACACACACACATAATTCTTAAACAAGTGCAACTGCTCAAAAGAATTTGTTTTGGGGACATGAACAGTCCAGTAGAGTTTTAAATGAAACTGCTGGAAAGGAGTAGAAACAATGCTGACTTCAGTGACATACACAATCTTTATTCTAATTGTATTATTTTAAATGGTATTCTCTAAATCAGGGGTCCCCAACTCCCAGGCCAGTACCTGTCCATGGCCTGTTGGGAACTTGGCCACACAGCAGGAGGTGAGTAGCAGGCCAGCAAACCTTACTGCCTAAGCTCCACCTCCTGTTGCATGAGCAGCGGCATTAGATTCTTATAGGCGCACAAACCCTATTGTGAACTCTGCATGCTAGGGATCTATGTTGTGTGCTCCTTATGAGGATCTAACTAATGCTTGATGATCTGAGGTGGAACAGTTTCATCCCAAAATCGTCTCTCCTCCCCCATGTATGGAAAAATTCTTCCACACAACCAGTACCTGGTGCCAAAAAGGTTCGGGGCTGCTGCTCTAAATGGTTTCAGATCTATGTACAATATGAGATAGATGGACCAATAATGATGATGGCAATTATTGAAATATATTTAGTGAGTTCCAGGCAGTTTATGAATTGCTATTTATTACATCCCTTATCTAATTTACTCTTCACAACAGCTGAAGAAGGGAGACACTATTATTAAGAAAACTGAAGCATGTAGGTTTAAGCAACTTACCCCAGGTTATCTTGCCACCACTCAATCAATAAACTATTCTTACCTTTGCCCACCTTTCTTCTATTACAATGAAAGAAGTTTTTTCAAAATCCAATAAACCCATTTTTACTCTAGACCCCATTCTTGTCTTTTCAAGGACTTCTTTTATGTTGTCACTCTTTTCCCCTTTACTGGATCATTCCTGTCAACATATAAACATAAATCAGAATCTGCAAAGTTAAACTCTTTGGCCCCACATCATATTCCAACTGCTTCCTGTTTCTCAATTCCCTTTATCCAAAACTTCTCAAAAGACTTGCATGTGCTCTTCAACTTCCCCACTCTTGTCAAAATCACCAATAGTCTTCATATTGCCAAATCTAATGGACCATTCTCATCTTTACCTCTCAGCTGGTTTTGACACAGTTGACCAGGCCCTGCTTTTTGAAACTCCCTTCTTTCAGCTCTCAAGATACCCCATTTTTCTGATTTTCCTCCTAAGCCCTTTGTCATTTCTTCCCAATGTTCTTTGCTGGCCATTCCTTCTCTTTTCCACATTTAAATGCTGGTTACTTCAGGGCTATATCCCTGTTCTCTATCCATACCCTGTTTTGGGGGACCCTCTTTTCTAACTGCACCCACCACACCTAGGATTACATCCAGATCCATGGCTTTAAGTACCATTTGTAAACCTATATTTTTAGCTTAGACTTGTCCTCTCAGCACCATCCTTATTCCTTATGCTATCAAATTGAATGTTTAATAAAATTATCAAACTTAACTTTTGATTTCTCACATATAAACAGGTTCCTCCCTTAATCTTCTCGTCTCAGTATGTGTCACCACCATCCCACCTAGTAGTTCAAGCTTTAAACTTTGGAATCTTCCTTATTATCTCCCTTTTCTTCACCATTACCCTCTCTCTCCACTGCAAACCATCTGCATGCCCTGTTGTTTTCATTTCATTTCTGGAATAGATCTGAAATTTGGCTATTTATTTCCATTTTCACTGTTAGTACCCTATTCCATGCCACCATCATCTGCCACCTGAACCACTCAATAGCCTAATTAATTTTCCTGTTTCTGCACTTCCCTTCTGCTTCATTTTTTCCACAGTAGCCATAATGATCTTTTTCAAGTATGTCATATCACGTCTCTCACGTGCCTTCAATGGCTTCCCATACTCCTGTAATAAAATACAAATTTCTTACCATGTTCTATAAAGTCCTTCATTATTTGACACTTATCTACATCTCCAGCCTCATCAAATATTCCAGTTATAATTGCTTGTTAATTCTACCCACTCTGGACTCCCTTCTCTTCCCCAGACATTCACCAAGTTCTTTCGCACTTTGTCACCTTTGTGCTTAACTGGAATAGTCTTTTGACTTTTTAAATAACTGGCTTCTTCTTACCTTTCAAGTCTCAGTTCAAATATTCCTTCTTCAGAGAATCTTTTCCTAAGAGAATTATCAAAGAAGCTGCTTCTCCCTCATCTAACCTAGTAATTTAATTTTTGTTCACTTGTTTATTCTCCCTCCTACCACAAGAATACAGTCTCTAGATGGGCAAGAACTTTGACTGTCTTTTTCAAAGTTCTATCTACTGGCACCACTAGGTTCTCAATAGACGTTTGTTTAATAGAAGTTTTAAAGGTCAGAGCCAGTATTCAGACATAGATGTCTTACTCCATTTCCCATGCTGTTTCATTTTCAATGTGAACTTTTTTATAATTTCTTAATTTTAATTTTTACTATTTCAGTATCCTTTCAAATGTACAATGCATACCATCTATTAAATATATAATCAAATAGATGTGTATTATATATCCTGCTTATAGTATCATATGCTTTGTATTATAAAATTGTTGATAGGAGCCTATGCTATATGGGAAAATTTTTTAATAACCTAGGTAAGATAAAAACAGACCTTAAGTAGCTATATTTTACATAGATGAAGATGCTTGCCTTCATAATTAAGATCCAGTTAAGGGATTCGTAGTGTACTTGTATTATACTACTACAAGTCTAATTAAATATACTGAGAAACACCCATCTAAGCACAGTCTCTATCATAGAAAAATTTTATTTTATTTTCAAAAGCAACTCTTATAATGTCCCAATATTACAAGTGTGTAAAATCATATTTCTAGTCCATCTACTTTAATCTAGCCTAAAGAAACATTATAGGTTCACCATAACAGAGGAAGAAATAATATGATTAGTATTCAATATCTCATTAATAATAGCAATAACCAACTGACTAGAATTGCAAAATAATTATTTTCTTGGAGTTATATTTTTCATGGAGAAAGATCAGTAGAAAACATGCTTGGAAGTCACATAATTTCAGTTATAGTCAATTTCATTGCTGATTTGTTGTAAATTTTGTGTTGCACCTGGAGGAATGGCTCCATGTTTAAACATCAGGGAGTATTTGTATTAAGAATTTTTACTGCTGTATCTTTAGAGGATGGTGTAACTTTAGAAGATGGTTATGACTTTAGAGGATCTTAAAGTTGGTTGTATCTTTGGAGGATCTTAAAGTTGTATCTTTAGACTTGTATCTTAAAGTTATATCTTTAGTTGGTTGTATTTTTAGAGTATCTTTAGAGGATAATCAGAATATTTTAAAAATCTGTATTAGTTTTCATAGTCCAATAGCTTAAGTTCTGTAGCAACAAATACTACTCCATACTTAAAATGAATAGAGTTTCCTTGTTCATGTTTCTTTCCTATTACCAGGTTATAACTAATGGTCTGTTAGTAGTCAATAAATGATAAAAATAGCATATATACTGTTGGGATTTTTATGTTGTTATTGCTGCTCTTTCCAAAAGATACTTATAATTTTACTTAAAGTTTCTGTGATGACAGGTGAAATTAACTTTATAAAGCACAAAATATAGGATAAAATATAGAATCATTTAATGTTTGCTTTTAACACTTAAAATTTCCTTTATTCATAACCTTTTTAGTTGACAAGCACTTGGATGAGGTCTAGGGATATGGAGGTCGGTAAGAAATAATCTCATTCTCTTTAAGAGGCTTATATAGTTCAGGGTTAAAAATATAATTTTTTGAGATGAGTTAAAGCATTCTCTTTATTATTCTTTCAGCTTTCTGTTTTGAAAATATTTAAGGGTAATAGTATTATCAGGCTTATAAAAGTAATACTACATTGTCAGTATCTGGACATCAATGGTCTTTTACCTGTTTCTGCCCACTTTTATGTTACTCCAATATGTTGAGTAATATATATATATATAATATATATTCCTCTAAAAATTAAGGAGAACTCAGATGTTTAAGATGTTTATTCTAGTGTAAATAGAATAAATAATATTTGTCTATTGGAAATATTTCCAGCAGAATAAACATCTTAAACATTTCTGAATTCTCCTTAATTTTAAGAGGAAACAGAATTAATGATATTTAGAAAAGAATGCCACATTATCTTAAATAATACTCCCCCTCATTTTTTGTAAAGAGCATGCTATGTGGAGTGTGTCATTCATTGACTTACTTCTAGTACAAAAACACAGACCTTTAGTATCTTCTTATACACACACACAAAATTTAGAGAATGTGAATTTTCTTAGAAAAAAAGTAAGTAGGTTCAGATTTTATAGCACTCTAAGCTAAGCAGTACAATATTTGACAAAGAACCACATTATTTTTGAAATACAACTTTTTAAATTATATATGCTATTTCATAAAACATCGTACTTTGATGGTCTGACAATTCACTAGTGTTTAATTACTTCTTTAAAACAATAAGTAGTTTGGAAGGATTAGTCGAAACAGCAGCTTTTTGTGTCTTTGTAATAGAGATATTGCCTCTTTAGAAACACATCAGAGTCCTAAAAAATGTAATTTGAATAATTACAGGTTTGGGGAGAACCATTTTATCAAGGAGCTTTATATAAATGTTGATTTTCTATGACTCCCATCTCATGGGTGAAAGTTTTACTGAGTTAAAACTGACTTTTCATTTTACATAGAAATGTAAAATGTTCCAAGGGAACAAGAGACAAAACATTTTAGGCTTTGAACTTCTTTTAACACTGACATCATAGCTATTGATGAATTTTTAACACTTTTCATTGGAAGAGTTTTAAATTATAAAGGATTTGTTAAAATGCATCAGGTTTTCTAATTTTTAAAAAGTGGTCATTTGAAAATGGAGGCGATGTCTGGAGTTAAAGGATTAATTATGAGCTATAATCTTATAGAATTTACCTGTAGGAATTTTAGGCTAACACACAATCTTCCAATATTAGCCCAAATTAGTTGGTAATCTAACTGCTCAGTTCCTCCATGAATTAGATAGAACTCAGACCTGCTCCAAAGAGACAAGTATGGGACTCTGTCATATAATTTATTTTCAAATACTGCTTTGTTTTGTATTTAAACGTAATTATTAGTAATTTTCTAATCATTTTTCTAATATTAAAGTTAATTATGGGTATATGTAAAATCTGTGTGTATTTATCTTGATTCTTAAGTAAAAGCTACATATTTCTATGGTCTCATTTTAGAGTAGAAAGGCAGAATTAACAAATGCTGTCTTGCACCCTTTGAATAAGCTAAAGATTTTAAATAGTCTTTTGAATACACTTAAACAGGAACATAATTTCCTGAATATGTTCTCTTTTTATGAACATAAGTCAACATTATATTTTATGAAATACAATGTATCTTATATATATTAAGCCTGTTTTCTTTGTTTAGCTTTAGAAGAAACTATATCTAAAGTTGATACACCCTGCTTTTTCAGGGTTTTCCAGCCAAAAACAGCACCTTCCTACTGGGCTGTCAGAAACTAAAAGGCAAAGCGATCTTAAAAAGGAATCCAGATTTGTGTAGACAGTATCAAGTGGCTAATTTAGAGCCCCTCAAATATGAAAGGATGGGAGGAGGCTTCTATGAACATAGTTAGGCAAGTAAATTTTTAAAATGCAACTGTAGCTTAAAATTTACATCTTTTCAAATTTATACAAAAAAACCTATAAAGCTATATTGATATAGGTGCCCAAACTTCATGCTGAGATATTTTTTGAGGTGATAAATATGCAAGAGCTCTTAAAAGTCAAAAAATATTTTTATAAAACATTGTAAAATGCATTAATAAGTATTTTTAAAAAGCATTTTAAGAGTTGTAAAAAATCTCAAAAAAGTATTTTTAAAAAGCATTCAAATATTTTTTAAAGTATTTTTAAAAATGTTTTCAAAGCCTTCATATATATTAGGCTATTATAATTTACCTCATTCTTTTTATACACTATGGGGAAAAAGAAACTATTACAATTTTATGCAGTTGCATGTTACCTTATCCCCCAACAAACTCTGGGGAAGGGAGATACTGTTTGCCATCAGCAAGTAGATACCATAGTTATTTTAAATTGAATCAATTTGTCCCTGTTCCTGCATACTTGAAATAACAAATATAGATATACCTATATGTTCATTCAGAATACTGTCTAAAACCCAGATAATCTCAAAAATGTATGGTGCATTCCATCTCCTTAAAGAATTCTCATAGTTGCCCAGCTTTGCTTATAAGTGCCAGATTGTCAGGTTGGCACAAACCCAAAGACAACACACATCGCAGAATGAAAATACTCCACCCTAAACGTTTTCATGACCTGTGTGCACTTTTCTAAGAGAAGCCAACACTGGCAGTAAACCTGAGTATAGGAATGCGTACAATGTGGGAAGTGATGATTTGCATGAGATAACTAAAAACCTTACCCTTGATTTACTACTTTGAAAATAAACTCACTGAGTATCAAATAAGATGAAAAAGCATGTAACTAGAATCTGTCAGTAAGTTTCATCCCTAAAGGTGTTGTTATTTTCATCAATCATGACATAAAATCTAAAGGGTTTTGATTGAATAACCTTATTTATACAAACAGTTCAGTCTCACTACGGTAAAAGGAAAGAACGATTGGCCACGGCATTATTTTAGTGCAACAACAATTAGTATGTTTATGTGGAGGCATAAATCTCTATGAATTATGTAGGAGCCCTATAAAGGCAAAACAGAAAGCATGTGTATGAAGCATGCCAAGTATGATAGAGTATCCCTTAACTGTCTAGATCATTAGGCAGAAGCCAGAATTTCCTAAGCATTTCTAGGGAAGTATTCATCATTTTCATATGTCATAACAATAACACCACCAAATACATACTATATGCGGGTACTTTTCTTGGAAATACAATAATCTCAAGGCATAGAGATATTAAAAGATATAGCCATTATTCTTATTTTACAAAGAAAGAAGTCATGTCAAAGTTAGTTACAGATATAGACTGAAAAAAGTTACATCAGTAGAGACACAAATCCCATTCAGATATTCTAGTTTTGAAGTAATTGCACCCTACTAACTTTAAGAAAATTTAGGAGTTATTGATAAGTTCATAGTTTGTACTTAAGTTAGTTTGGGTGAATTTCATAAACTTAATTGCTAGTCCTTAAATTAAGAGGGGAAATGCTGATGTACATGAGTGACAAAGAAGAAAAAAGATAGTGTTTCCTTAGGCTGATTTAAGAATAATTTTAACTTAAAATATGACTCTTACAAGTCAGATAAACAATTGTCATATATTTCTACATTCCAGTCTACACTGAATTTGTTTATGTCAATGCAAAGTGTGACCAAAGGATGCTTAGCCCTATTCTTTGAAGATGATATAGAAATACCATGCTTCATCATCAAAAGACATGTAATCTTATAATCTATAGTCTTATACCTGAGCAGAAAATGAATTTACCTTTTTTAAAAAAGAAACCCATAATGTAACAGTTAAATATAGTCTTAAGGACCAAGAAAGCTTATAATAGTAGAGATTTACTTTAATTCCTGTTCTTCTAATACATTTCTGGTATATTATACAGTATTCTGAGATCCTAAATGTTCTAGAGGACATTAAATAACTGTGAAATATTTTTCTGACCTGTATTTATTACTGAAATTACTGAACTAATGGCTGCAAAACATCAAATAATACTGCCCACTATAAATCTTTTGAAATATCCATACAAAGCAAGGAAATGCCTTTATGTGTGTGTATATATTTGCATTTATAAGTTTAGAATCAAATTTTTTAAGTTATCATGCTTAGCTGTTTAAAAAGATGCACTTTTAATGTGTTTAAATATAATTTCTATTATCTATATGTTTGCCCTCAATTTTGCAAAAAGGTTAGTTTGATTTAGCTTTCCAGAAACATCTTTATCAGTCATTGCTCGATTTTTATCATCCAAATGTAATTTGACTATTATTTTAGACTAAAAAATATTGACACAAATGAATAAGTAGATTATGAAATAAATAGGAGATTTTATATTAAGCATCTTACATTTGATAAGATTTTCAGGATTTTTTTAAGACAAACATTTGTCTGCTTCCTTAAAGTGAAAAGTTTCTAAACTATTCCAAAATGTTCCCAAACTGAATGATTTGTTTAAGGACTTTGGAGACATGAGTTTTAACAAAAAAAAAAACTTAACATTAATTAAAAAAAAAAAAAAGTCTGGTGTTATGTCAGTAGTGTTTTTTATTCATATAAGAGAGACTAGTATTATGTCCGTGGGGGTAGCATGCATGTTAGATGGCTGTATTAACTCTTTGATTTTTGTTCATATGTCAGACTTGTCTGTTTTATAAAGAAAGATGGGGAGTTGATATAGCCCATTTTGTGTAGCACTTGTGATAATTTTATATTCCATTTTTTGAATTTGTTCATTTCAATAGTGCATTATCACTTTAAGATTCTGGTTGGCACTTAAACTACAGTAACTAAAGGTTATTTTTCATATTTTAACCAGTTTAGCCAGAGTTTTTAGTACTAGTATTAACTTTTGAATTATGTTTAAGGTCTTAGACTTTACAGCATGTTTAGTTTATTTTCATTTCTTATTAGTATTTTTCAGTACTTAATAGTCTCTTGCCCCCACCTCCAACAAGAACTTTCCTCTCTGTTCAACATCAGAAACATTTTCCTTTTGGCATGTGCTTTCTAGTTCCCCAAACAGTATAAGCAAATTGGAAAGTTTAGCTGTCATTCTTGGAAGGTTACAGATCACACTAGCAGCCTGAGTAATCCAAGAGGTTTTAAGTATCATAGCATTTAGTTTAAAGTGAAATTTGCTCTGACAGGGCTGGCAGACCAATAGGAAAAAGAAATATTTGTGCTTGGAGAAGTGCATATGTAGAGACCAAAAGTATAACTGATGGCTGGAAGTGATTTCAGTCTAAAAAAACAAATCATTAAGAGAGTGCATAGGGGTAAAATACACAGTTCATATTTTAAAGAGTCTCAAAATGAACCAGCAACTAAGGTTAGCATTACATAGTAATTAGTTGTGGTGTTCAGGCTTTAACTCACTCAGTACCAGACAGTATAGTTAAACTGTCGCTGAAAAAACATTGCTACTTACATGATATTCTCTAGTTTAAACCTATAGCAGTAATTTTTGTACCTTAAAAAACCAAGGTATTATGACAGATTATATAAATGTTGAACCAGTAACAGACAAACAATTATTTAAAGGACGTGCTAATGACTCAGTTTATTGACCTAGGGGTTATTTAAGCCGCTCAGCAAGTTCCCTTAACATTTGGTGGTATGAAATGAAGCATTGCTTGATAGTATAGAACTGCCAATTTCAAGAAGTCCTTGTGCTTAATGGAAGAAATGTAAGTTAAAGATGACTAGATGGCATACCTTCATTAAAATATTGCCAGAAAAAGCCAAAGACCTTTATAGGTTTGAGTAAATATTCATTTCAACTTGATAATCACATCTGACAACTTCCATTAGGTACCTATTAGAGCATTTTTTCTGTTAATAACTACAAATAAGGAAAAATAAAATATATTTTAATGGCTCCAGTTATTTCTTGCACGTCATTTTTCTCTTCAAGAAAGCCTATTATGAGCCAGAGGAATCTAAAATTTATATTTTTTTCCTTGAATATGCAGATAAATAATAATAAAATGGGTCAGACACGGTGGCTTACGCCTGTAATCTCAGCATTTTGGGAGGCTGAGGCAGGCGGATCACCTGAGTTCAGGAGTTCGAGACTAGCCTGGACAACGTGGCAAAACCCCATCTCTACTAAAAATACAAAAATTAGCCAGGCATTGTGGCACGGGCCTGTAATCCCAGCTACTTGGGAGGCTAAGGCAGGAGAGTCACTTGAACCCAGGAGGTGGAGGTTGCAGTGAGCCAGGATTGCACCATTGCGCTCTAGCCTGGGCAAGAAGAGTGAAACTCCACCTCAAAAAAAAAAAAAAAAAAAAAAGAAGTAATAATAAAATGAAAAGGACTTCCAGCAAGATGATAGACTGAGCTAATTTGGAAGGGACCACTCCTATGCAGATAATATGTAAATGGTGGACAAAAATGTAACAGAAATTTATATGACTAAGTTCATAAGAAAGATAGGGAATACCCCAATGACAAAAAAACACCAACCGGAATATTGAACTAGGTACGAGTTATTTGGTAAAGGAAGATGGAACTGAATTCTCTAAATAAAGCCTGGAATTTCAATTTTTTCTCATCAGTTGAAAAGAGGACTAAATGATGTTAATTCACCAGCCCAGAGAAGTGGCCAAAACCTGTCTGTGCTCAAAGACCCTAGGTAGGGGAAGATAGTCACCCATGTGAAAGAGAAGTCACAAGCTTGTTTCATGCACATGAGTGGGTTCAGAATTTACACCGTATACTTAATTCAGGGAACCTTAGTCAAGAAATTGCCATTTAGATTGTTTTAGGACAGCCATCTCAATGAAAACATAAAAAGGACCATCATGAAAGAGAATCATCAGAATGTAATGGAAATCCCATTTTATCAATGTTCAATATGCCATGGAGTTTAAATTTGATAAGCCTTGTTTTAAAGCTTTGTAAAGTACATGACAGTACACGACAAGCGCTCTAACAGCAAGAGTGTTAGGATGCCCAAGAATTAGAGTTAATAGAAGAATCTCAATTAGACTATATAAAATGTAATAAAAAAGTAAATTAATAAAAAGGAATAGAAAACTTAATGCAATGATATAGTATCAAAAAGTACCAAGTATAACATCTCCACATTAAAATATAATCACTAAAATATTACTCTGGAGGCAGGTTAATCAACAGATTGAGATGTATAAGAAAAGTATAACTTGAATGAAATTAGAGGAGAGTCAATGAAATGGAATTTCTTTACCATTTAGAATAAATCAGTGCAACTATTTTACACACGTTCCCTTCATCATTAGTACAAATTAGTTTTTATCTGAAGTATCTCAGTGTAGTAACTAAATTGAAAGGATTTTTCCCCAAGGTGCTGTTTTTCACCCTTAGAACTGACAGATGTCCTTCAAAAAATGTTTTTAATAAACTCCAGATGAGTATTTTAAATACAGCCTCCCACTACTCATATAATTTGCCCTTGATTTTTGAAAAAAAATACTAGTTTGAATTCATTAAGAATAAGATTCTTTAAGATGCTGTAGCCATTTAGTTTTATTGTAATAAAAGGAAAATTTATAATTATGCATATAAAAGATTAAGAATAAAACTAAATGGGAAATGACAACTAAACTTGATATATGCTGGTGAAACTCATTAGAAGACTGCTTAACCATGCTCTTGGATTTTATTTTCTCAACAATACAAAAGTTCAAGTCCAAAGAAATGAGTAATACCTTTGAGCAACTTAAAATATATATTTATTACATATAGATTTATAGAAACAAGATGCCATTAATATTGGTTCAATGAAAAATTTTAGAAGCTATGTTATAGTAATAGCACTTTAACATGCATGCATGTTACATTTTTCAGTGTTCAAGACAATTAGCATCTTTTCTTATAACCTCTTTTCTTATGATCTATTTTCTTAGGCACCCAACATTCACAAAACTTTTTTTGCATGTAACTGATAGGTATTTCTATTTAGCTGTAAATTATTTCATAATCATAAAACTGGACATTAATTATCTGCGACAGCAATGGATGCCACATTCTATGAATGTTAAATGTGCTGAGAAGTTTAAATTTAATAATCCTTGCTTTGAAATTTTGTAGAAGTACCTGATACTCAGTGGTAAGACAAGCTCTCCATCTAGTGGTTGGTCTATAAATGACAAACATTTAGATCTCGATGTAGTAGTACATCATTTTACTAGTGTTAGGTATTGTTTTATACTCGTTATTTCGTTCAACCTGCACATCTCTTCTTATTGTAAGAATTTCAAGGAGAAAATATTCTCTTTTCCAAGAACAGTTCAGCCCTGTAGAAGATAGGGGCAAGCTTCTTCTACAATCTGATTTCATCTCCATGGAATACCACAGCATCTCAGTTATTTGATGAAGCATATCCCCATACTAAGGGGGCAAAATTTGCTCCATTCCAATGAAATATAACCTTTAAAATTTCCAGCCAGTTTTCAAATTCTTCTCCTTTAGTCTCAGTCCCCAACTCGTAAAGGTATAACTTTAATTTTTTTTTTTTTTTTTTTTTTGGAGACAGGGTCTCACTCACTCTGTTGCCCAGGCTGGAGTGCAGTGGCGGTCATGGCTCACTGCAGCCTCAACCTCCTGGGCTCAAGTGATCCTCCTGCTTCAAACCCATGAGTAGCTGGGACCATGGGTGTGCACCACCATGCCTGCATAATTTTCTGTATTTTTGTAGAAATGAGGTTTTGCCATGTCTTGAACTCCTGGGCTCAGGCAACCCGCCTACCTCAGCCTCCCAAAGTGCTGGGATTTTAGGCATAAGCAACAGCATCTGGCCTAAAAAAACTATTTTAAAAGAGAAAAGATGGTCCGGGCACAGTGGCTCACGCCTGTAATCCCAGCACTTTGGGAGGCCAAAATGGGTGGATCATGAGGTCAGGAGTTCAAGACCAGCCTGGCCAAGATGCTGAAACCCAGTCTCTACTAAATATACAAAAATTAGCTGGGTGTGGTGGCACACACCTGTAATCCCAGCTAATTTGGAGGCTGAGGCAGGAGAATTGCTTGAACCTGGGTGGCAGAGGTTGCAGTGAGCCAAGATCACGCCACTGCACTCCAGCCTGGGCAACAGAGCAAGACTCCATCTCAAAGAAAAAAAAAAGAGAAAAGATAACATTGTTGTGAATTGTAGCATATTTGATCATTGTTATTTCTGCCAGTACCCCTCTGTAGGTTCTCATTACTTCACATTTGGACAGCTGTAATAGGTTCTTCAGTGTTCATGATTTTGCCTCTCAACCCCCTTTCCTACTACAATTATCTTCCTAAAACATAGAATTTGGTCATTCTCTTTCTTAGCAACCATTGACAACTCTCCAGTAGCCACCAGTTCTTAGCAGGTTTATGAAAAGCTTCAATATCTAGTCCTAACCTCCCTTTCTAGCCTTATCTCCTGCCATTTGCTTATATCATAAATCTAAAACTTTAACCATAACAAACCATTTGCTCTTCGTCAGCCACTCCTCTCTGTTGCTCAGGCTGCTCCACCATCAGGAATTCTGTCTCTCTTTGCCTGTGAGATCTTACTTGACTTTTAAGACTAATTCATTCATGAATTCATGTAATTTTTGAATGCCCACTCCATGTCAGATACAATACTAGAGCCTAGGGATATAGCAATGGCCAAAACACTCCTTGCCCTCCATGGTGTTTATTTTCTAATGGGAAAGAAATACAATAACAAAATATGTCAGGAGGTAACAGATGCATTAAAATCAAAGTATTTTGTATGAAGACTTTCTAGCTGCCAAGATTGTCCTGTAGCAATTTGTACATGTCTCTAATATACTCTTATATTAAATATTTATCCCCCCTCTTTTCTTCTGTAGCAATTTATACATATGCTACAGTAGGATGACATCAGGTTATTATCAGAATATTTCTTCCATGTTAGGTGCCTCCAATCCTTATAGTCAAGGACTATGTCGTATTTGTTATTGCCTTCCCAGCACCATGTTTTTTCCTTGGCTTCAAAAACTATACTTAACCACATTGTAGGAACTCAATAAATGTTTCTACTATTTGGATAGGTGGATGGATGGGCAAATGGTATATAGAGTCACTATTACAATAGACCTAAATTTCCCATGACAAATCATACTTAAGCTGAAATTACCCTGATGATCAATTAACAATCTACTTAGAAAGATAAACATACTGATTTTGATTCTATAATCAATATATTAGAGAAATTGATAAAAAGAATGAACTATTCCAAAAAATTATGAAGAAGTAATTTCATACAGTTTTATAATATCCTGGAAAGTTTCTTCCTATAACAGCTCATGTTAAATTCTTTCACTTGACAATTCCAAAAGAATTCCAGCCTTCAATATTACCTGATGGATCACAAAGACTGGTTTGTTAAGAAAAATCACTGCTGCCTATTTATAAATATGTAGTCATAAATGATTTTGTCTTGGGAAGAATAGAATTCCTAAAGACAGACTCAGACTAAAAAGATGAAATTTAGCATGGTAGTTATAAGTAAAATTTTGAATGTGTGTGTGTGTGTGTGTGTGTACACACACAACTGTACATATATACAGAAAAAACTTAATGTTACATGTAACTATAACTCAATATTATATAACTATATATAACTCAATGTTATATATATATACACATATATACACAGTCAATTATAAGCAGTCAATATTAGGCAACTTTGTGATAATGTCTTCTTAAAATTTTTGTTTAAGATTAATACAGTTTTAGCCTACAATAGTGTAAAGTCAGATATAGGATCTTTTATTCTGTACTGGTTTCAGATCACATCATAAGTATCACGTTAATTTTAGCTTCTTCATTTGAAGACAAACACTAGAAAATGGAAGTGGTTTTAGAGAGCAACTGAGATGGTAAAGATTAGAGACCATGTAATGAGGCTTGAATAAACAAGGGTTGTGAAGCAGTCATATCAAAGAAGAATTGGACTCCTTGTGTGGTTTCAGAGGGTAATTCTAAGACTAGTTGAACTGGATTTTAGAGCTGTGTAATAAAGAACTTTCCAACAGTTTTACATATCCATAAATGGAATGAACTGCCTTGACAAAGTAGTGAGCACTTCCTTCTGGAGGTGTTCAGAAGAGAGCTGGATAGACCCTGTCAAGGATGTTGTGAATAAAAGTGTAGCCAATATTATTTCTTAAAATGTTCCCAAGTCAAAGACTTCCATGAGCCTTTGAAAAAATAATTTGGCCTGCATTTATTCTTTTTGTAGCCATTTATTAATAAATTCATTACTTGCTCTACATTGATATTGCTGACCTAGGAATTTAAAAGAAGAAAAAGGCTTGTGTTGCTTTTATCTCGTTTTAATAAAATAATGATACTTTTCACTTATGCAGCACTTTTCATCCAAGGATTTCAAAGTGCTTTACAAATACGCACTAATTAAGCCTCACAAACAGCCAGAGGTAGGTGGTTTTCTTCTCTTTCTACAGGAATGTCAACTCTGGCCCAGAAATTTAATAAGAGCCTGTGAGTGCCTGAGATTCTTTACTGGCTGCCATTCCCTTGTAATGTGCTGCATGTGAAGCATCACTTGTCATTTCCAGATTTCTTTGTTCCTGCTCTGAATCATATCAAGTTTAGAATTCTAATGATTGCTATTACAAATGTGTTTGAAGTCTTGCAAATATTAGCAAAAATTCAGTCTTCTGCTTGCTGAATGCTAATTAGATTTCTAAATTTGTTTATTTAAAAAAACACACTCTAGATATGGTTTTCTATTTGTTGTTGGGTTTTAAATATAATTTTTCTCTTTTAAAGAATTTGTCATTTTTCTTTCTAGGTACCCAGAAATAATTGTTCTTGGGAGATAAAACTTAATGGCAGATTGACTTTTTGGCCTTATCATTCCTAGTTATCTTTTCACAATAAACAATAACCATTTTCTTTGGACCAGAATTATGTATTTTCAGGAAGAGACACTATTTTGGTGATTCAAAGGTCCAAAATATGTTATCTGAATACGAAGGAAAAAGGTGAAATGGCACTAAATAAGTAATCCTATAAAGAAAAAGTACTATAATAGTTGCATATACTAGTCTAGAGGGATACACCACATTTTATGTGGGTTAGGAGTAGCAAGAAGAAACTATGTACATACAGAGACATGCACCCTACAAGATTGGATTGAATTCCAGTATACTTATAAATAGCCACATATTCAAACTATTATCTGAAGCAAAATGGCCACACAAGGCAAGAGCAGATGTGGCATGTCACAGCTTACTTTTCCTTGCTTCTCAGGGCCCCTAGTGAGGGCATACAAATTCCTGTGATACACACTATTGAAGTCAAGTCTTTCCAGATCAGGAAAGCACAATTTTTCCTGCAACGTTGCCTTTTTATATTCATAGTTTCTATCTCTTTCAAGAACTTACATGAAGAATCTATCTGCTTCTGTTTAAAGGAAAACTCTCCGGGTTTTGAACTAAACTCAGCATTAGCAAGGCTGTATCCTTTTCCCAAGGAAAAAAGTAAAGTGTCTACATATTCCAAAAGAATGTCTCCAGGTTTTAGCATCCTAGAAAGCCTGATTTCCCCCACTATATTAGAAAGAAGCAAATGAGAGTTTAAAGAAACAAACTGTTATGTTTCACAGTGAATTTAATTAAAAATGTATGTAGATATAGTTGATTTTTCATAATACAAAAGGACCTAGGACCTATGTCAAAGTACTCTCCAAACTGATCATAAATGTTTTAAATATTTTTTGCTTTAAACAGCAAGTTCATCTGTGATACATAATGGAGAATTCCAGAAAAGATCATTTTAGAGTTTGGTTTCAAATTTTATTCCTTTTTTCCAAAACGATATTTGTATATAGAAATTCGAAAAATTAAATGATATCCTCTACACTGTAATACACACAGATGTCTCTGGGTGAACTGCTGACTACATAAATAGATCTTTACCATAGTAACCTAAAGACCATACTGTTCAAGACCAGAGATTTACAGGTTCAGAAACTCAGACTCATCAGTGCTCAAGGGCCAGTCTTTCACTGACTTGGGACTGCAGGTTTTTATCAACAATGTGCATGACATATTTTAAAAAGAAAAATCCATTTGTTAATGTACAATGAAAGTTATAACCATCAGGTGGATTAGGTAATATCTAAGTTTATTATTTAACCTGTTGGCAAATTACATGGGAAATTACAGTGATCAATAGTTTGCCTATTAGTCGTAGAAATAAAAAAAAGGGGGAGAATTTTGCAACTTGAATGTAGAATGGCCTCAGACTCTGAGAATGTTAAATTCCCTTCCTGATTGAGGACCAAACTGCAAAAAGGCCAGATATTCCTTATGGTGTTATAGCTTACCAGATCACCACGCAATTGCCTAGGTTGCTACAACCAGCGTTGTAGCTGAGACGCTCCTTGTTCTGTGCCAATGACTGGTGAACTCCCTTCTGAGGACCATCTTCTTTTAGGTAGAATTACAGTGATATTGCTAACAAGTCGTCTGTGAGATACTCTGAAGGTGCCTTTGCATGTTTCCTCACTGTCCCACATATGCCTCTTGTTTTCATATTACTGAAATAGATCTTGCCATAGCCCCTAGATTGAGAAACAAGCATAAGATTAACTTGAGTTTAACCTAAGTCTACTGCTATTTGGCCTCAGAGGAGTTGCTAAAAAAGATAAGGACTGGTTGAAGACAGGTAATAAGCAAAAGATGAAGAAGGAACAAGTTGAAATCCAAGCTATGTAATCAACAGTTATATAATTGAGAGTTCTTTAGATACATGATTACTTGTTAGCCTTAGTGCTTGCAGAGAACAGTTTTCAATAACTTCTCTAATTTTAAGCTGATACCAGTGTCTCTTAGTTCACTGATTCCACTAATTTCTGAAGCATCTTTTAAGCTACCTCTTGATTTCCTCATCACAAAATTTAGTCTCTCTTCCCATGAGATCAAAGTTAGAAAAAGTGCCTATATTTTTACCATTTCAAAATAAAATGTAGACTTAAAAATTTCAACCAACTTTGAGAAACTATAGACAGAGTTTTTATATAGAAGGACCCCAAAACAACAAATTTTGTCCAGAATCGCTCAGTACAAATGCTAACCTGAAACTTGTATTTCAGAACTTCCATTCTCCTAAAGGGCAGAGTCACTGGACCAGTATGTGTTATATGTATTTTGGCTCTTTACATTTACTCTTTAGTTCCATCTTAATACACACAAGCACGCGTGCACACAAACACACACACGCATTCACACATTTATTTAAAACCTTAACATTTTAATAGTTACTTCTAAAGTGTGTCAACTTAATCTCACTCTGAGTGTGACAGGGAGTTAGTGCCTATGTGAATATATTTTTTCATCACATTCAGTTTTTGCTATTGAGGGAAAATTATCTTTCCATCTCATGTAGTGCAAACTTAAATCTTAAATCATTTAAATATGTTTTATTTTTCCAAAGCTTACATTTCTGCATTACAAATGGTGTCCATTGATTGGAAGTCAAGCTCACTAGCATTCACTGCATGAGCTATGCATGAGCATGTTAAGGCCACCATGTTCTGCCTGGCAAAATAAATACTTTATCATTTTCCTAAGTGTTGGATAATTCCCTGACCTTTAAAAAGGACTTTGGAGAACAGATTTTCCTCTAAATAATGTATTAATAGACCAACAAGTAATTTTTTTAAAATAATAATCATGAAGTTTAACATACTTCAAGCTATCTTTACAACTCTGAAGGTTATCTTTGGGTTTCTGTTATTCCCATAGAATAAGTTGAACCAAAATTTGTAATTGTCTTGCTGTCACTCAAAAGAAATAGATATGTTTTGTAATTGTTTGCATTGAGGAATCAGAGGAAGGATTTGCAGATCAAATCTGACTAATTTTCAAATTTTGTCAAATTCCTTATCTTGTTCTTTTAATCATAGGCTTATGGTATGATTTGGCCCTGCATGAGAGTTCACTGATATAACTCAAACACATGTTTTTACTAAAAGTGGAATTAGTCCTGTATCTTCATATGAAAAGACATTATAAACAGCAAAACTCACTTTACTACAGTTTTATTTTTATCATTCCCTAGCAATATATTACTGATCATTGCTAGCATGTAAAATCTTTTCATATTTTTGCTTAAGAGCCATATATAAGTAATTTATTAAATAAAACTTTTCTGATTTGATTCTTCCACTTTGTTTCAAATAGTACCTACTGACAGAGGTTTCCCATACTTTTAACACACATTGTTAGAAGTATTTTATTATATACACTTTTAATGGCTCTATTAACCTTAAAAAAAAAAGTTAATGATATCCACCTAAATCACTATCCCTGCTAGGAAGAGAATCTTGGTGGTATAAAAATGTAGGCCTCTTAATCTGCATTGTGGATGTGTGATGAAAAACATAGCTTATCATTCTTTTTTTTCTTTTTTAGCCTTGGAATGGATGGCTTTGGCCAACCAGTTGGCATTCTTGGACGCCCTGCCACAGCATATGGATTCCGCCCTGATGAACCTTACTACTATGGCTATGGATCTTGATAAAGTATCTGTTTCCATGTGTAATCTCAGCTTAGAAGAAATCTGTGTGGGTTGGGTTAATTTTGGATCTTTGCCTAATAATGCATGTTGATGTTATTGTGGGTCTGTGTTTGTTTTTATTTTTATATGTTGTTAGCTGCAGATTAACCCCAGCCCCTCTGTCTTCTGTTAAGTACAGTTGATACTGACATTGTTCACTCATCAAACCACATCTTGATGCTAAGTAACATTTCCCATGAGCCACAAAACTGAATGCTGAAAAGCTACTAGACTGGAAAACAAACACTGCATTATGTATGTTAAGTGACTAATTTAATTTCAATTAAAAAGCGTAAAGTGAAAATGAATAAGTGAAAGTCATGTGTTTATATTTCACACATTTCACTACGAATTACATGTTAATATAGGGTGCGCGTGAATTTTATTTTTTCTCCTTTTTTTCTGCTTGTAAACTCTTGAGTAATTTGTATAATATATGCTACCTTTAAAATTTATAAAAAGAACATCACCTTCATATTCCATGCCATGTGCCTGAAAGTTTCCTTCCCAAAGTTTATTAACTATGAGTTTTCAATTAATAATGGAACATATGTCATAAGTTATTTATGGTTATAGTCTCTTTGGTGGTTTTAATTCATATCTTCCTAGTTGTAATATAGAAATCCTAGGACAAGTAGTATACAAGACAAGCAGTGATACAAGATTAGCATTTGGCTTTTAACTTTTATTCTTCATAAATTTAGTATCTAAAGCATGGGAAAGCTAATTAAAAGTCGCATTAAGGAAAACTAAGGAACAGAATATTTCACTCACTTGGGTACCCAGTTCCCAATTGTTCACTTGTTCTTATAACGTACATTTAGATAGCAAGAAATGGAGAGACATTATATAATTCATAATGGGTTTTGAAAATAGTTCAGTGTTTTCATATTAAAAAAATGTTCAATTCTACTTGAAAAGCTGAGCAAAGAAATAACCATAATAATAACTATAATCAGAGATAGTTCCATGATCACCTGCTATGGGAGAAAATATGAAGCTTCAAAGGGAATACATAGATCAAAGATAAGACTTCTGTTCTTGAATTTAAAATCTCATTGATCTAACTACACTATTTATGTGGCTTAAATTACATTTTAAGCAGAAGATAACATTTGGAAAAGGCCTTTGAAATAACTCATTCCATCTACTTATTTAAGAAACCAATCACATAAAAAATTTAAATGTAATCAACAGATATTTTCCTGACTACCTGCTATGTGTAAGGAAGTATATGATGCCCCTTAGGAGATGTAAATCTGAGGTATGTTTATGCCTTTGATCTTTCTGAAAACATACATTTATTTGTCTTAGTTTCTATTTTAACCATAAAATATTAAAGCTGGAAAAGGCCTTAGAAGCAACCCTGTCCAACTCTAATTTTTGCAGTCAAAAAAACTGGCCAGGAGAGGTTAAGTGACTTAGTCAATGACATAGGCTGTCTCTTTGCTTCCTATTCAGCAATCTCAATACTAAATAGCTTGTTTTATTATTTATCATGTGTACAAAGTATAAATACACATAAGTGACATTAATAGGAAAATGATGCAAACATCCTATAGCTTTAACTTCCCTCATGTTGTTATAAACTGCATTAGGAAGAACACCCGCCAAAATTGATAAAATTCCCAGGGCTATGCTCGCTCAATTTTACGTGCACATGCTCACTCTCCCTAATTTTGTTTTCATTAGTATAGGACTTAACAAATTTAGAAATTGTAATCTTTCCACTCAGGCTTGAACTGGCTTACCATTGCATTATTTATGAAGGAATATTTTTCTAAAGAGATTAATAAGGAAGACTATGTAAAAAAAGATTTGTTTTAAGACAAGGTCTTGCTCTGTCACCCAGGCTGGAGTGCAGTGGCACAGTCATCATTCACTGCAGCCTCAGCCTCCCAGGCTCAAGTGATCCTCCCACCTCAGCCTCCCAAGTAGCTGAGACTACAAGCACGTGCCACTGCACTCGGCTAATTTTTTGTTTACTTTTTGCAGAGATGAGGTCTCACTATGTTGCCCAGGCTGGTCTCGAACTCCTAAGCTCAAGTAATCCACCTGCCTCAGCCTCCAAAGTGCTGCGATTACAGGCATGAGCCACTGTGCCCAGCCTAATATTTTTACATACTTCAGAGAACAAAAGGTTTTGGCCTTGGGCACTTTTAGAAATACATTTTATGTTGTAAGACAAATATCCTGTCCTCACCAGATTTTGACTACAAATTTAGGTCAGATTTATTTTAATAACTAAATTGCCATGGCTTCAAGCCCTGATTTATAGCTGAAAATTATTTCTTCTCCAGAGTTCTTTGCTCCTTCTGAAAGTTCACTAAGGTGCTTTCTCACATAGGCCCAGGAATAGGTTTCTCATATTATGGTTCCTCCTCTTCCCCCGACATGGCTTTCTCTGTGTTCATGATCCTCATGAGATCACAGCTGCCCTCCACATGGGAGAACCACTGCTCCCTCCACTTAGGACCTGGGAAGATAACACTGCTCTCCCCTTTCTTATTCCCTTCCATGTGTGTGACACACCTGTTGCTTAATTCTGCACAGCACAACAGAAACTAAAGCTGTATGTTTCATCATGATTTTACAGAGATTTAAGTAATAAGAGAAATATCACACAAAATAACTTGCTATTATTACAAGAGGCAACAGTCACAAGGCTCTCACTTGGCCTGCATGGCAGGGCTAACTTGCTCTATGCCACCAGAAATACTCAGGAATCTTTAAAGAATTCTAAGATGAGGCCAAACTGTCAGAAGGTCTCACAGAAAAGAAAGTGTTTTTTCTTCAACCCAGCTGAAGACCTACTTTCAGAGTGTTTCTTCTTCCAAGATTAATTGTTATTAGCTACATGATCTTCAGGATTTTACAGATCCTATATATTTTAAGTCACAAAACAACAAGAGAGAAATAGAAAATATCTGCCTACTTTTTCCCCAAGTGGTACCTGGAGGTTTGTTTTTGTTTTTTTTTCCAGCCCCCCTTTCTTTTGAGACAGAGTCTCTCTCTGTTGCCAAGGCTGGAGTTCAGTGACACTATCTCGGCTCACTGCAACCTCCACCTCCTGGGTCCAAGCCATTCTCGTGCCTCAGCCTCCCGAGTAGCTGGGATTACAAGCACCCGCCACTATGCCTGACTAATTTTTGTATTTTTAGTAAAGATGGGGTTTCACCATGTTGGCCAGGCTGGTCTCAAATGCCTGACCTCAAGTGATCCACCCACCTCGGCCTCCGGAAGTGTTGGGTTAACAGGCGTGAGCCACCGCGCCTGGCCTGTTTTTCTTTTTTGACCTAGTCAACTGACCTAGTTATTGGCAAGTCTTCCCAAATTCTATCATTGAGGATACATTGAGGTTTTTAGTGAGGTGAGTTACTGTGTTCTTCTATGTCTTTGTTGCTAGTTTAGTGGAAAATTTGAAAATACTGGTTTCTCCTCAAATATCTAAAATCCCACATAGACATTTGTAGTAGTTAGGTTTCTCCAGAGAGACAGAACCAACAGGAGGGAGGGAAGGAGAAAGGAAGGGAGGGAAAGAGAGAGAAATTAGAGAGAGAGAGGATTTATTAGGGCAATTGGCTTACATGATTGTAGAGCTTAGAAGTCCCATGACAGGTCGTCTACAAGCAGGAGAACCAGGGATGCCAGTAGTGTGGCTGTTCAAGTCTGAAAGCCTCAGAACCAAGGACGCCAATGGTGTAACTTATCAGTCCAAGGCTGGAAGTCTGAGGACCTGGGACTGCTGGTGCAAGTCCTAGAGTCTGAAAGTCAGAGAACCTGGAGTTCTGATGTCCAAGGGCAAAAGAACGGTGTCCCAGCTCCAGGAAAGTGAGAACAAATTTGCCCTTCCTCTGTCTTTTTTGTTCTATCTGGACCTTCAGCCAATTGGATGGTGCTCAGCCACATCAAGGATGGGTCTTCCCTATTCAGTCCACCAACTCACATGCCAATCTCCTCCAGAAACACCCTCACAAACAACCAGAAATAATGATTTTCCAGCTAAGTATTTCTTAACTTTTCTTAATCCTAAAATTAATTATCACAACACTCTAGGTAGGTAATTAAAAGGCTACAAAACAAATGATAATGCACTAGGCTTTGTGATATGTTCTTGGAGTACAGCAGAACTGCACTCCTATTTGGGATAAAGACTGGTCTGAAGCAGGCATTAAAGAAGAGAATAATACCGAGGAAAAATCAGTGATAACGGAATAAAAACTTGAGAAGCTCTCTGAGAAGGCAGAGGAAAAGAACATATATAATAAATGATAAATAAGAATATAGGAGGTAAAAATTAGAGCACCAACGTTTGGCTAGTAAGTTTTCCAATTAAAAATTTTAAAACTTCTTTTAAAAAAGTACAAGAAGAAGACAAGAAAACATTCCTGAGCTAAAAAAAGGATGTTTTTTCCTACAATATGGTCATCCTTTTTTGAAAATAGAGACTGGCATCTATCTTGACATATGCTGGGAAAGGTCTTATGAAGAATGAGTTAAAACTTCCATAAGAATCTTGGAAAGAAAGACAAAATATCTTCAAAGAAACAGACCACCCCCAGAATTTTGACATTAAGTGGCAGAAAACAGTGAAGTGTGATCCATAGAGTTGTTTCTTTTTATTGAGGAGATAGATTTAGAACTCAAAAATACTACACCTGACCAATTTTCTTTATTTTTTAAAAAAATGTTTATTTTGTGAGGGAGATGGAGATTCTTAAAGATCTCATAAAATATACCTCCCATTTAATTTTCATAAGAAAAGGGTGGCTGGGCGAAGTGGCTAACACTTGTAATTCCGTCACTTAGGGAGGCCAAGGCAGGAGGATTGCTTGAAGCCAGGAGTTCCAGACCAGCCCGGGCAACAAAGCTAAAACCTATCTCTACAAAAAGTTTAAAAAATTAGCTGGGTGTGGTGGCTCACACCTGCCGTTCCAACTTCCCAGGAGGCTGAGGTGGGAGAATCACTTGAGCTCAGGAGTTGGAGGCTGCAGTAAGCTATGATCATACCACTGCACCCAGCATCAGCAACGGAGACCCAGGATGAGGAGGGGGAGGGGAAGGAAAAAAATAAATTGGTGCTATGAGTTTTTTAAGTAATGCAAAATTAGCTCTAGAATTAGCAAGTCATAAAATGACAGGTGTGGGCATTGAAAGCAGTTAAATATTTGCAAATATAGGTAATTATTACAAAACAAAATGCAAATGTACCCCTGAAAAAAATATATAAGGCGAAATAATTTGAGGATGATTACATGGTTTTGAAATTCAAGAATTGGACTGAGGGATAATGCTTTACAGGCTTGCAGAAGAAAGTAAGGAAATTGTTTGGGGATCACTGAAGAGGACGGAGGAAGCCAGAGCCCTAACTGAGCTCTGAGGCACCCCCTCACCACCCCCCCCCGCCACACACACACACACACACACACACACACACACACACACACACACACACACACGAACTCTATACCTACCCTGAGGGCATTACCAATGTCAAGTACATAAAGCCTTGGGTGTAGAAGTCTATGCAAGAGACAGGAGATGGGGGCCTTGGATTCATGTAAAGTGAGCAGTTGGAAGCACAAAGCAGGGATCTCTAAGAAAATACATTATTTAAAAAAAAATTATTTCCCACACAGGCTGGGCTTTGGGTGAGAAAGGAGAAGTGTCACCTGAGAATTCAAACATATGTTTGAACATCTTTGAATTTGGAGTTTCAGATTTACCATATCTGCATAGTGTTGTAACCTCAGGAGCACCTGACAGAAACTAACACAAATCCTCCCTAGAGAAATGAACCTTCAGTTTTCAAAGGATTCTCACAAATTAAGATCAACTGGACATGAGCTTACAGGAAAAAAAATTACAAAACCCACGAGGAAACAAGCCCCAGTGAGAGCAGAAACAACACAGCAAAATGAGGCACGCTCCTTCATCAGACACTGGAATTTTCATGTAGAGAATATAAAACAAATATGTTTAAAATATTTAAAGAAATAAAGAGGGTATAAAAACATAAGAAGTAAAGGACAAATGGGTAAGGTCAGAGATAAAATTAAAAATTCTAGATATAAAATAGATAAATAATTTCAATGGAAGAGTTAAACAGATGGGATACAGATGAAGAGGAGATAAAGCTAGATTTTAAAAAGTTAGCCAGAATGCAGCACAGACATAATTAGAAATGTAAGGAATTAAAAGACATGGAGAGCCGGGGGGGTGAGGTCGCTGGCGCTGGGCTCCGTCCCCTGCACATCCGGGCCTCACAGGCACCGGGCGAGAAGCATGGGAGCCGCGGGGGTCCCGGACCAGCACGGAGGAGAAAGCTGAAGGAACAGACCTGCGGGCATGGCCCCTGGGGGATGCGGGGACTCGGCCTCCTTCTGCATCTTAGGATTGGAAACCACACTCACCCGTTCAGCTGAGAAAAAGTTTACTTTGCCAGGTAAAGGGTAAAGAGGAAAAGGCCAGGGCAAGTCTCCCAGGTGGAAGCAAAAGAAACCAAGAGTGGCCATTCTCAGCCCAGCTGCAGTGCTGAGCTCTGCTACCCTGCCCATGGACGCCACCGATTGCCCGCACCTGCAAGGCTTGCTCCCACCAGGTGCTCCCAAGGCAAAGAAAGGGAAAAGCAAGACTTTGGAGGTAGCCCTTCACAACACATCTATCTCTATTACAGAGAACAGAAGTCGGAGAAGAGCAATCAGGAGAATACAACTATTGCAAGCAAAAGAGACTTTACTGAAGACAACTTGAAATGCAAGCTAAGTGTGCTTTTCTGTGGTAATTATTGATAAGGAAATGCATTTTACTTCCTCAGCTAAGTCCAGGAATGGTTAGTCACTTCGGTTTTTCAGAAGTTAAAGGGGTAAAAAGTCTGAGTAATTCCTACACAGCGTGTTGGAATTGGTAGTACTTTAAAAATGATTATAATCATAATTCTGAGTCATCATTAAACCTTGCTCTCAGAAGACAAAAAGCGGGTGGGGGAGAGAGAAATCAAATATAGAGTTCTGGAAGAAGAAAATAGAAAGGGTGAGGCAATACTTAAAGAGAAAATAGAGAATTTCCTGACTTAACAAAAGACACACATATCTTCAGAATGAGGAAGGAAACATTTCCAAGACAGGACACACACATCCCCTGGATGCATCAGTGTGAAACTGTAGTGTATCAATGAGAAATAAATATTCACAGAGAAAGAATACTTACAAAGATACTGTAATTAGTCCGACATCAGATCTCAGCAACCGTGTTAGCACATAGTAGAAAACTGTCTTCAGTGAACTGATAGAAAATAACTGCCAACTTACAATTGTATATTCAGCCAAACTCATTCAAGTACAAAAAGAGAGAAAGTAAATGCATTCATATGAGAAATATACAAATATTAAAGCAAGCATTATTAGAGGGCTTTATTATCTTTTGCTATGTAATAAGCCATTCCAAAACACAGTGACTTAAAATAACAATCATTTATTTAGTTCACAACTGGGAAGTTTGGCAATTTGGCCTGGACTGAACATGGTGGTTCCCTGGTTCCAGAGACCAGTTGTCCCTTTGAATTAAAAGCTCACTGAGGCAGCAGCCACCATCTTCCAGTGGTCAGTCTAGCAAACCTTGCAATTTGCTCAAAAAACAGGGCACTTGATGAAGTGGAATAATGGAGAGCCAACAGGGCTCCAGACCTGGTATGCTGTACCCCTAGTGTGGATTGCTGGTCCTGATGGATTCTTGTAACCTGTTTGTGCAGAGGGAGATTGAGTGATTGGGAACTGTGCAATGCTCCAAATCAAACACATGTATGAAACACACATGTAGTCATTTCCTAGGGTTGCTAAGCACCAAAACCAGATGGTATAAAACATACGAGTCCGGCATGGTAATGTGCAATGCTCCAAATCAAACACATGTATGAAACACACATGTAGTCATTTCCTAGGGTTGTTAAGCACCAAAACCAGATGGTATAAAACATACGAGTCAGGCATGGTAATGTATTGTCTCACATTTCTGGAGCCTAGAAGTCTGAAATCAAGGTATGAGCAGGGCCCTACTCCCTCTGAGACCTGTAAGGGATAGACCTTCCTTGCTTCTTCCTGGCTTCTGGTGTTTGCTGGCAATCCCAGGCCAGACCTTCCTTGTTTCTTCCTGGCTTCTGGTGTTTGCTGGCAATCCCAGGCCAGACCTTCCTTGTTTCTTCCTGGCTTCTGGCTTCCTGCTTCTTCCTGGCTTCCTGGATTTGCTGGCAATCCCAGGCCTTCCTTGTCTTATACATGCAGCACTCCAGTACTATGCTGTCTCTTCGCTGTGTGTCTTCACATCTTCTTCCCTCTGCATATCTGTCTCTGCGTCCAAATTTCCCTTTCTTATAAAGATGCAGTCATTGGATTATGGCCTACCCTACTAGCCTCATTTTAACTTGATTACCTCTGTAAATATCCTATTTCCAAATAAAGTCACTTACCGAGGTGCTGAGGTACTGGGGGTTAAGACTTCAACATATATTTTTGGGAAGGGATACAATTCAAACTATAATGCTATGCACACGCTGAGCGTAGAAATGAGTTTACTTGTGCATTCATGCAAAATTACAATGTGTTGGCCAGGCACAGTGGCTCATGTCTGTAATCCCAGCACTTTGGGAGGCCGAAGTGGGTGGATCACCTGAGGTCAGGAGTTCAAGACCAGCCTGGCCAACGTGGTGAAATTCCATCTTTACTAAAAATACCAAAAAAATTAGCCAGGCATGGTGCTGGGCGCCTATAATCCCAGCTACTTGGGAGGCTGAGGCAGAAGTTGCAATGAGGTAAGATCATGCCACTGCACTCCAGCCTGGGTGACAAGAGTGAAACTCCATCTCAAAAAAAACAAAAAAATTTACACTGTGTTCTACTGGTGTCTCACAATTCCTGCTGGCCCAAATACTCAAAATAAGTGATAAAAAGAAAATTTTAAGGCCGGGCGCGGTGGCTCACGCCTGTAATCCCAGCACTTTGGGAGGCCGAGGTGGGTGGATCACAAGGTCAGGAGATTGAGACCATCCTGGCTAACACGGTGAAACCCCATCTCTACTAAAAAACAAAAAATTAGCCAGACGCAGTGGCAGGCGCCTGTAGTCCCAGCTACTGGGGAGGCTGAGTCAGGAGAATGGCGTAAACCTGGGAGGCGGAGCTTGCAGGGAGCCGAGATCGCGCCACTGCACTCCAGCCTGGCGACAGAGTGAGACTCCATCTCAAAAAAAGAAAAAAAGGAAAATTTTAAAAGCAACCAGAGGTTGCAATTTTATAAAGACACATTATATACAGAAGAAAACGACAAGGATATTAGCAAATTTCTTATTTTGCTATGGAGAAGATAGCAGAACAGTATCTTTAAAGTACTGTAAAAAAAAAAAAAACCTGTCAATCTAGAATTCTATACCCAGTGTGATGGTTAATTTAATGTCACAAAGTTTTATATGGCTACAGTAAGGGATGCCCAGATATCTGGTAAAGCATTATTTATGGGTGTGTCTGTGAGGGTGTTTCTGGAAGAGATTAGCATTTGAATCAGTAGACTGAGTAAAGATCTGCCAGCCAGGTGTGGTGGCTCCTGCCTGTAATCCCAGAGTTTTGCGAGGCTGAGGCAGGAGGATCACTTAATGCCCAGAGTTTGAGACCAGCCTGGTTAACATAGCAGGACCCCATCTCTACAAAACATAAAAAATTACCTGGGCATGGTGGTGTGCACATGTAGCCTTAGCTACTCAAGAAGCAAGGCAGGAGGATCACTTGAGCCCAGTTAGTTCAGGGCTGCAACGAGCTATGATTGCACCACTGCACTCCAGCCTGTGTAAAAGAGTGAGACACTGTCTCAAAAAATAAGAAAAAAAGCCCAGGCATGGTGGCTCACACCTGTAATCCCAGCACTTTGGGACGCTGAGGCAGGAGGATCACAAGGTCAAGAGATCGAGACTATCCTGGCCAACATGCTGAAACCCCGTCTCTACAAAAAATACAAGAATCAGCTGGGCATGGTGGCGCATGCCTCTAGTCCCAGCTACTTGGGAGGCTGAGACAGGAGAATCATTTGAACCCCAGGGGGCAGAGGTTGCAGTGAGCCAAGATCGCGCCTCTGCACTCCAGCCTGGTGACAGAGTGAGATTCCATCTCTTAAAAAAAAAAAAAAAAATCTGCCCTTACCAGGGTGGGTGGGTATTATTTAATTCATTGAGGGCCTGAATAGAGCAAAAAGGTGAAGAAAGCTTTCTTTTTGAGGTAGGGTGTCTATCTTCTACCTTCAGACATCAGAGCTCCTGGTTCTCAGGCCACTGCACTGTGGGATTTATACCAGCAGCTCTCCTCATACTGAGATACACCATTGACTCCCCCGGTTCTTAGGCTTTTGGACTCAGAATGAATGACACCACCAGCTTTCCTGGTTCTCCAGCTTGCAGATGGCATATTTTGGGACTTCTCAGTCTCCATAATCTTGTAAGCCAATTCTCATAATAAATCTACTCCTATCTAGCTATACCTGTCTATATAGATGGTCCCTGACTTACGATGGATCCCTTTATGATTTTTTACTTTGTGATGGTGGGAAAACAATATATATTCAGGACGTTCCTCAACTTATGACAAGGAACGCCTGTATATCCTTCTGGTTCTGTTTCTGTGGAAAGCCCTAATACACCCAGTGAAAATATCTTCCAAAAATGAAAGTGAAAAAAATGATATTTTCAGAGGTACAAAAGCAGAAAGAATTCTTCACCAGCAGACCCACACAATATAAATGTTAAAGTCTTTCAGGCAGAAAAAAATGATACCAGATGAACTATGGATCTACACCAAATAATGAAGAGCATTGAAAATGGTAACTACATGGGCAAATATTCCCTAGCTTCCTAGTCTCACAGCCAGAAGCCCCTACCATGAATCATTTCTTGAGGTGAGAGGGGTTGGGGGGCGCAGGCAGGGGCAGGGGTGGAAGAGAAGAATTTCTACTTAAGTATTATCAGGACAAACGTCTGTGTGGCTAATTTTAGCTCTCCAGAAGAAAACTTCATTCTCATGGAAGTCTAGCAAACATTATTTTCAGGAAAACTGATTTATTCTCAAGAAGTGCAAATAATCACATAAGACCACAGAGTTCTGTCCCAGCTCATGTTGGGGATAATTGTCTTTCTCGTGCATTAGTAGAAATAAAATGATGCTTGCTCAAACACCAGCAACTTGTTTCACAAGTTGAGCGGTTCTCAAACATTACCTTAAATGAGAATCACCGGGTGGGCTTGCTGGGCCAGACTGGAATTGTTTGTGATTCAGCAGGTCTGAGATGGGGCTCAAAAACTTGCTTTTTTTTTTTTTGAGACGGAGTTTCACTCTTGTTGCCCAGGCTGGAGTGCAGTGGTATGATCTCAGCTCACTGCAACCTCTGCCTCCCGGGTTCAAGTGATTCTCCTGCCTCAGCCTCCTGAGTAGCTGGGATTACAGGCCCACCACCACCACACCCGGCTAATTTTTGCATTTTTTTAGTAGAGACGGGGTTTCACAATGTTGGCCAGGCTGGTCTGGAACTCCTGTCCTCAGAAGATCCACCCACCTCGGCCTCCCAAAGTGCTGGGATTACAGGCGTGAGCCACTTGCATTTCTAACAAGTTCCCAGGGGCTGCTGCTGGCTCCGGTCAAGGACCACACTTTGAGAACCACTGCGCTAGTTCGCAGTATGGGCCCTGTTGTTTATACTAGTATGCATTTTATGGAATCATCTGGGGAGCTTTAAAAATATATATATCCAACTCAAACCAATTAAATCATCTTTGGGGATGGAACACATGCATCACGTGGTTTAAAAGTTCTGCCAGGTCCCGACGGGCTGCCCGGCCGTGCACCGGGACCGGGTCGGGTGCAGAGAGCCCCTAGTCCTGGGAAATGGGGTGCAGCCGAAAAGGCAGCCACCCCCACGCCCTTCATACAAGGCACGTTCGTAGGGAACCTGGCGCTGAATCACTCAGAGACGACCTGCTTCTGGGTCGGGGTTTGGGGTTTCCTATGTAGCAGAGCAACTCTCTCGCTGAAATGTATTGAAAGTCAGCCCTGGACATATAAAAAATTTTTTTTAATTATTTCAAAAAAAATTCTGCCAGGTGATTTTAATGTGCAACCAGGGTTGAGAATTGCTAGTTCATAGGAAATTAACTGGTAGGTATATCTTCAGTATCTGAAACCAGTAAATACACAGGAATTCCCACATGAAACTTCTTGAAATGGCTGTGTGCTTGTTTATAGTTTAGGTATAGGTTCCTTAGTTATAGGTTCCTGTCCAGGTTATATGGGAGAGCAAGGATGTTGTGAGCATGAAATTCTTGTGCCAGTAGATACTACATCTGTATTATTTGTTCCAGCAGATGTGGCAGATGCTGATGTTATAATGTAACTACAATTACTGTTTGTAGTTCAGGCAACAGGACACAGGGGTTCTGCTTCCACATCAGATACATTGGTTGACCTAAAAGTAGCAACAGCAAAAGCTACCATCCTGAGTACCTACAAGCACACAATATAGTACACACAAAACCAGCTGCCGTAGTGGTAATCACTAATGGCTGTTGAGTTGCACAACTGGTCATAAATATTGTCATCATCCCTAATACAATTAAAAGTATAGTGTATATAGTGTAACAGTGTAGCCAAAATTGTCACCAAAGGGTAAATATAACTTTAGTCCATTATATCTTAGGCCTTTTTTTCTTAGCTTGTTCATCACCAGATGTGAGTCATCTGGTCTCTTAGTTACCTATTTCTGTTTCTGCCTTCACCACTACTTCCTTTTTGTTTTTTTGTTTTTGCTTTTTTTTTTTTTTTTTTTTTGAGATGAAGTCTCCCTCTGTCACCCAAGCTGGAGTGCAGTGGCGCAATCTTGGCTCACTGCAAGCTCCGCCTCCTGGGTTCAAGCGATTCTCCTGCCTCACCCTCCCAAAGTAGCTGGGACTACAGGTGCGTACCACCACACCTAGCTGTACTACTTCCATTTCTTTAATGCAAGTCTCTCTCTGAGTAATCAGGCCTCTAGTCCTGCAAAATAAGTGTTTGACACTAATAGAAGGTATTTATTCTAGCCTAAATAGCTATCCTCTCCTATCAGACAAGCTCATTTCCTCATTGGAGGGAAAACTCCTAGCAATGCTTCTTCTTTGCCTTGGGAATATATCCATTGAGTCCCATCAGCTAGAGGAAGGAGAAGAAAAACTGAATGCAATTAGGGACCCCACAAGCCTTTCTGAAAAGTAATTTTCCTCTTCTGCATCTGGTTGTGTACCATCACTTGATGCAGTATGGAAGTGCCTCAGATTCTCTCCAAGTGGTTGGAGTACCCTCTTTATATTCTTCATTTAATTCCCTAATCTATTGGATTCAGAGATGGAAATAACCCCTATTGTCCCAGTTTTCCTTTTTATAGGCTTGTGGTTCAAGTTAGAGCATCTATTTCATATATTTATAAACCTCTCCCTCATCAAGTTGGTATCTACATACATCAGCAGGGCTTTCTATAGTTACTTTTCCCAAGCTGGGTTTACACTAATTATCGAGGCATTTTGTTTCCATCTATGTGACCATATAGTCAGCCCATCAGCCGCAGCCCACCAATCACCTGGCTTCTTGTACTGTCTGCATTGAAACTACCTGGAGCTAAATATATTGTGCCAATTTGCTTGGTCCTTCTTTTCTGAGGGCATGTAGGTGGGAAGGCAGAGCCTAGCATTTAACTTTATTTCAGGTTATGGTGGCATTGCTATCCGTGACGCACTAGTAGTCTTTGTGTTTCCACTGTAAATCCTACCAGGGTATTTTCCTCTTATCACAGGTTCCCCTTTGATCTCAGTTGACACAGCCATCCTTCAGAATAGTGGAGGCCCAGTGTCTGCCATGCCGCCTTCTTGTGAGTGTAATATTTTGGCCCCTTCCTTAAAGTACGATTGATATTTTAATTCGCTCCAGATCTGAGCCATCACTCTGGACTGTTCGCAGTTTAATCTGTTTCAAAATATAGTTAGAAGCTTTGTTGCTACGATGTAGGCACCAGACCCATAAGACCTTCCAACTCAAGTAGCTCCAACTGGACCAAAAGTGGTTGTTTTTCTAAGGGCATAAATTTGTTTGTATCCCCTGGAATCCCTTACATCAAAATCCCACTGGTGGCTCCTGAAGCTTTCCTGACCTGATAGGGATCATCCACAGATCTAAGATCCAGAATCCAGTAAGTAATGCCACTAAAGAAAATTCTGAGACTAATGGGGGCACCTCTTTTTAATTGGGCTTGTATCAGTCAGAGTTTGATCAGAAAAACAGAACCACTATGAGTGATATAGCATATGGAATTTATTACAGGATTACCTCTTGTACAATTATAGCACCATTGTATAATATGAAACTATTCAAAGGAAGTAAAAATGAGCTCTAAGGAACATTCCCTGGCCCTAGAGTAAAGGGAACTGGCACATGTTCCTGGCACCATTTCAGATTTTCTATGAACCCAAGATGACTACACATCTCTGTTTCCATGGGAGTATCCTTTGTGGTTATTGTGTCCATCTCACTGTTGCATGTTGGGTAAGGGTGGAGAGTTCAAGATGGCAGGTACCTTCTTTCAGTCCACAGGTTCTAGATCAAGAAGAGCCATACTAGAAGAGAACCTGAACACCACTCCCAAAGAGCCTCATCCATGCCTGGATGTGATTTTGATGATGAGATCCTACACTTTAAACCAGAGCCTAATGCCATAACGATAGGAGGTTTTTGGCAGAGGAGGTAAGCATATTTTGCTTGTGGATGGGATGTAAATAACTGTGGCAGAAGGAGATATGTAACTAAAAAAGGTGACCATGGTATTCTCCAGCTCCTCTCATCAAAAGATGGACTCTATTTCCTCACTTTTTGAAACTGGGCTTCCCTTGTATCTCACTTCTACCAATAGAATGAGACAGAAATGATGAGTGAGTTCTTACAGGTTCAGCTCTTTTTCCTTCTTCTCTACAATTTACTACTGTTTCAAGTCTGCTGTGTAATCAGCACTGCACTAGTACATGAATATGAAGCTGAACCCCTCAGATTATATCTATTACAGCTTGCACCAGGTGGGACATGGAGCTGCCCACTAAGGCTTAGACTCCAGGAGGGTGAGTCAAGGAAACATCACCTTTTGGTTAGCTTAACTGTCAGGGTTTTTTCTTTTTTCTTTTATTTTTTTTTTACCAGAAGCAGAAATACTTTTTATTCTTTTAAAAATGTTTGTTATTTTTATTTTTTATTATACTTTAAGTTCTAGGGTACATGTGCACAACATGCAAGTTCATTACATATGTATACATGTGCCATGTTGGTGTGCTGCACCCATCAACTCGTCATTTACATTAGGTATATCTCTAATGCTATCCCTCCCACCTCCTCTCACCCCACAACAGGCCCCGGTGTGTAATGTTCCCCTTCCTGTGTCCAAGTGTTCTCATTGTTCAATTCCCACCTGTGAGTGAGAACATGCAGTGTTTGGTTTTCTGTCCTTGCGATAGTTTGCTCAGAATGATGGTTTCCAGCTTCCTCCATGTCCCTACAAAGGACATGATCTCATCCTTTTTTATGGCTGCATAGTATTCCATGGTGTATATGTGCCACATTTTCTTAATCCAGTCTATCATTGTTGGACATTTGGGTTGGTTCCAAGTCTTTGCTATTGTGAATAGTGCTTCAATAAACATATGTGTGCATGTGTCTTTATTGTAGAATGATTTATAATCCTTTGGGTATATACCCAGTAATGGGATGGCTGGGTCAAATGGTATTTCTAGTTCTAGATCCTTGAGGAATCGCCACACTGTCTTCCACAATGGTTGAACTAGTTTGCAGTCCCACCAACGGTGTAAAACTGTTCCTATTTCTCCACATCCTCTCCAGCACCTGTTGTTTCTTGACTTTTTAATGATCACCATTCTAAGAGCTTCTTTATTTCCAGTCCTGGGCTGAAGGAATCTTATTGTTGTGTTCCAGCTTTATTGAGATATAATGGACAGATTAAAAATTGTATGTATTCAAGGTGTACACTGTGATGACTTGATAGATGGATACATTGTGAAATGATTATCATAGCCAGGCACGGTGGCTCACAGCTGTAATCCTAGCACTTTGGGAGGCCGAGGTGGGGGGATCACTTGAGCCCAGGAGTTCAAGACCAGCCTGGGCAGCAAAGAGAGATCTCATCTCTACTAAAATTCTAGAAAAAATTGGCTGGGCATGGTGGTGCATGCCTGTAGTCCCAGCTAGTTGGGGGTGGGGAGAACGTGAGGGGTGCTGAGTTGGGAGGATCGCTTGAATCTGGGAGGTTGAGGCTGCTGCGAGTCCTGATTGCACCACAGCACTGCAGTCCAGGTGACAGAGTGAGGCTTTGTCTTTAAAAAAAAAAAAAAAAAAAAAAAGATTATCATCACCACAATTAGTTACTATTTGTGTGTATGTGGGGTGAGGAAGGGGGAAGCCACTTAAAATCCACTGTCTCCAAATGTCAAGTATACAATGCAGTATTAGTAAGTGTAATCAGTGTGTTGTATGTTAGATCCCCAGAGCTTAGTCATCTTAAACTGAAAGTCTATACCCTTTGTCCAGCATCTCCCAATTTCCCCCACCCCACAGCTTCTGGCAACCACCTGCTACTCTCTGCAAAGGCATCAGTTTTAATTTGGTGATTTTGAAAAGGAGAACCACACAAGTTTGGAGGGTTCATACAAACTCCAGAAATGGAGTGAAATAGTTAAGAAAGGGACGCTGAGCCTGTGTTAGTCCATTCCCACATTGCTAGAAAGAACAACCTGAGACAGGGTAATTTATGAAGAAAAGAGGTTTAATTGATTCACAGTTCCACAGGCTGTATAGCAAGCATGGCTGGGGCATCCTCAGGAAACTTAAAGTCATGGTGGAAGGGCGAAGGGGAAGCAAGCACCTTCTTCACATGATGGAGCAGGAAAGAAAGAGAGCAGGGGTAGGTGCTACACACACACTTTTAAACAACCAGATCTTATGAGAACTCAGTATCACCAGGAGAACACAGGGGAAATCCACCCCTATGATCCAGTCACCTCCCACCAGGTCCCTCCCCCAACACTGGGAATTAGAATTTGACAGGCGATTTGGGTGGGGACACAGAGCCAAACCACATCAGGGCCTATCAATCATTTCTCACTGAAATTACCAAGTCTAGCTACTTGTTTTTATTTTTTAACATTTCTAATGTCTTTATGAGTATCCTCAATTTTTAGTTTTCTCAAATTTGACTTTTAATAACACAGAATATGTTATAAGGCACATGCTGTTGATAGAGTTCCACTTTGTTTCAACTGTTAATGACTTGATGAATGTGATATTCATCTCCCTTCATGTGTACCTGTGTACATGCTCGTACACAGTGATATGGTTTGGCTCTGTGTCCCCACCCAAATCTCATGTTGAAGTATGACCCTCAGTGTTGGAGGTGGGACCTAGTGGGAGGTGACTGGATCATGGAGGTGGTTTGTAATGATGTAGCGCCATCCCCCTAGTGCTGTCTCGTGACAGAGTTCTCATGAGATCTGGCTGTTTAAAAGTCTGTAGGGTCTCCCCTTTCACTCTTTTCCTCCTGCTTCTGACATGTAAGATGTGCTTGCTTCCCCTTCACCTTCTGCCATCATTTTAAGTCACCTGAGGCCTCCCCAGAAGCAGAAGCCTGTACAACCCACGGAACCATAAGCCAATTAAACTTCCTTTGTTTATAAATTACCTAGTCTCAGGTATGTTTTTATAGCTGAGCAAGAATGGACTAATACACATAGCATGGTCTTTTTTTTTAATTGAGAAATAATACAGATACCATAAAAGTACCTTTTTAAAATTTACATTTAAAATGTACTTTAAAAATATAATTTAGTGGATTTTAGTATATTCTAAAGGTTGCACAACCATCACCATTATCCAGTTCCCAGAATGCTTTCATCACTCCAAAAGGAAACCTCCTACCCATTAGCAGTCATGCCCCCATTCCTCCTTACCCCCAGCCCCTAGCAACCATGTATCTGCTTTCTTTCTGTGTGGATTTATCTAACCTGGACATTTCATATAAATGCACTCAAACAATGTGTGGCTTTTTGTGCCTGGATTCTTCCACTTAACATGATGTTTTCACAGCATCCATGTTGTCACACGTATGAAAACTTTATCCCTTCCAATGGCCAAATAATATTCCATTGTTTGGAATACATTTTGTTCAGCCATTCATTGGTCCAGGCATTTTTTAGGCGGCAATAAAAGTACTCAAAATGAAGACACAGCAAAGCTCCAAATGCACACATCTACCCAGCAGACAAGTGACTTCACTGTCTACTATCACGGGGAGCAGAAAGAGTGCCCTGAATTGAGCTCCCCTCTGAGACCTAACCAAATGCACACCTGGCCCAACCTTTGTCTGGAGAGTTAATTTTGTGGTACCAATTTCTGTTTTAGTTTTTCTCTCTAAAATAACTTTATTAGTGTAATCACATTTTCATGTAATTCCTAATTACCCTTCTTGGTCTGAATTCCTATTATTAAAATGCCGTGTTTACACACTTGGTTTAGGGCTACTCTGATTTCAGCACATCACTACCGGATTTCCTTTAGCTGTTTCTTGGTTTCCTATTTCTTGCAGAAGATAAAAAAGACAAATAAGCCCTTCCTCTTCCTCCGCACCTCTCTTATCAAAAATGGTGAGAAGATAGCAGTGGTGCTATTCCTTGTGTTTTGGGAACACACGTGTCTTTGCCACTTGGTTGTACACACCGTAGTGGCTTTTACTGCTGCTAATGTCACTGGATCAATAAATTCATTCCTAATGAACTCCATTTAGATTCCATACAGTGAGAGGCAAAGTTAGGAAAAAAAGTAAATGAAAAAATTCAAAAGATTGGTGAGAAAACAATTGCTGTGAGAAAAGAGGAAAATAATTTTTTAAGAAACTAGTATCAAAATTGAGGGCAAAAGTTTTCAGAGGAGGTCTAAAATCACTGGGATTTGTTTTACTCATTTTTAATATACTTGCTGATGATGGAACAGACATTGCACTGAATCCCTTTGTCCCATAAGCAGTAAGTTCCCCGATCTAGCTGCTTCTTCCTTGAGGTAGAACTGAGACTGGGGTGGGTGTTTGTTTGCAGGGAGGAGGGGAGAGACTCAGGAGAGATGGCAGCCCTGAGAAAGACTTGGAATAGTACAGTGAGCAACAGGGAATTTTTTTTTTTTTTTAAGGAAACAGAGCAAATGGTTTTTATGTTGTCCTGAGCTGGAAGCACAGCTTTGGAGAGGACTGAGAAACTAGCTAAAGATCATAAGTTACTGTTTCTTGGCATAAATTTGTAAAGTTAACTGCCATCTATACCTTATCAGGAAATGTGACCATGCCGTATCCCCTCCTGTTTCCTACCAATGCTTTGGAGCTACTATCACAAGACCCTCAAGATTGTTATCATATGAGGAATTACAGGCTACGGGCACTGTTTTATAGATGTAAGACTCAAAAGCTTCCAATTTAAGTGTAGGAGACTAGAATATGCCCAAAATATGCCTCCTTGGCATAAGGATTATTTTCAGCTGAAGGCAATTGAGAAGGAGCAGATATTTTTAAAAAGTTCTCTATCCTACTCCTACTTCCCTCAAAACAAGATATAAATTTACAAAAGTATTCCTTCTCCCCTCTCCACTAGGAAACACAAAGTTTGATCACTAAAGGCAGCTTCTGTCAACACTAGAAGAACCTACATTAAAAACTTCCATTTATTTGCCTTACCATGGTTTGCCATCCTTTCTTCTGTCTTATTTCTCTAAGAGTTTATTCTTCTTTGTTGAAGATGCCATATATGCCTGAGTTCTAAGCCACCTCTTTGAGTATCTCCTATGTGTATATGAAATACACATGAATAAACTTCTGTTTGTTTTACTCTTCTCAATCTTTGTTATAGGGGCCCCAGACAATGAAATTAAGAGGGGGAAAAGGAACGATTATTTTTCCTCCTTTATACAACTTTACATTCAGTTCCTCATCTCTTTATTAAATTATCTTTAAAATTACAAAAATACATGCATGTAATCCCGGCACTTTGGGAAGTTGAAGCAGGAGGCAAGGTGTTCAAGACCAGCCTGGGCAACACAGCAAAACCCTGTCTCTACAAAAAATAATTTAAAAAATGTATCTGGATGTGGTGGCACATGCCTGTAATCCTTGCTGCTTGAGGGGCTGGGATGGGAGGACTGCTTGAGGCCAAGAGTTCAAAGTTATAATGAGCTATGATTGCACCATTGTACTTCACCCTGGGTGACAGAGCCTGGACTCTGTCTCTTAAACAAATAAACAAAAACAATGTAGGCTCACTGTAACACATAAAACAATATGCAGATATATAAAAAGGTATATAAAGAAAGTAACCTCTCCCTACCTTACATGGTGAATGTTAACAGACTAGTATATATTTTTCTATACTTCCATTCATTCATTCATCAGTAAATAATTGTTGAGCATCTATAATGTTCCAAGCATTGTTCTAAGCATTTATGGCAGATCATTGAACAAAAACAGATTTTTTTCCCTTGTGAAACTTAACATTCTAGCAGGGGAGAAATAAACCATTAAAATGTAATTTTTTTAAAAAAGTACAATGAGGTTTCTCAGGCAAATATAAAATGAACACATGTCAAAGACTCTATTTAATGTTTTTATTAATGAGGGAATCAGTAAGATTTTAAACTAGTCCAAATAGCAGCTGAGAAGATAGGTGTATATGTAGGCAATTTGATAAAGACATGTCAGGTTCAGGTTGCTGGGTTAATAACTTACAGGACAATAAACTGTAACCATTAAGATGATTTGCTGTGCTGGACAAACTTATTTACATCTCTAGTGGATGAAAATGAAAAAGTTAGCCTCTGCCCCTAAAAAGGTAATAAAGAAGTAGTAAAATAACCTAGTCAATAGGAATTTAATCCAGAATTGCATGGGAAGAAAGCCACAGTAACCTCTTTTGCCTATTTTAAAGTTTCAGATAATTGTTTTCTCTCAAAACCAAAAGCCATAATACATAAGCAAATTGTCATATTTCATCAAATATATGATGCCATCACATTTAGGAAGCATCAATATATTTGGTACCACTAAGAAAAAATTATTGACAAATTATATTATGCCATTTGTGGTAAAATGCATTCTGACCTTCAGGGATGTTAAAATGTGAAAAACTATAGTTTTTACAATCTAGAAAATACAGTATATGGCTGTTTATAAGACGGTCAGTGCTATGGAGGGAAAAAGCAAAAGAAAACAGGATAGGAAGCACCAGGAGTGTAGCAGGAAGGAAGGTAAACGTTGTAGAATTAGATAGGGTGGATCAGGACAGACTTCATTGAGAAGACGAGATCTGAACAAAAAATAGAAGTAACAGACTTAGTCAAATGGACATGTGGGAAAAGAGAATGACAGGAAAAGGAAGCGCTAGAGCAAAAGTCCTAAGGCAAGAGCTCACCTGGCATGCTGACAGGACAGCAAGGAGGCCACTGAGCATGGACCAGAGTTAGTGAGCAGGAGGATAGCAGTGAGGCCAAAGGAGGGAGGCCTTAGATCATTTAGGGCAGTTCTCAAACCTTCCTGCAAGGAAGGTGCCTGCAAATCACCTAAAGATCCTGTTAAAATGTAGATTCTGACTCGACAATCTAGCGTGAGGCCTCAGCTTTTGCATTTTTAACATGCTTCCAGAGGATGCTCATGTTGCCTTCAAATATTAATTAACCACCCCTACAGGATAGATCTAAGTTAGTACACATCTGTATCTCCCTGAAGGCTGAAGTATTTCAAAGAAGAGGTAGATATATAATGCACACATTGTTTGCCCCAAATCTTTCTCCCAGGAGTATGATTCCAAGATGATTCATGGCTCTTTGAAGTTGAGAAGCAATTCACACTTCAGAGGCTTTTAGCATCTGAAAGATTTCAATGAGAAGTCTATACTCCTGGGGCAGATACTACAAACACTTCAGCTATCTCTAACTCAGATCAATACTAGTGGCTTTAAGGATGTTTAAAAGTGAATTTTCATGGCCAAAATAAGTAATTTCAAGATGGACAGAATGAATAGAAATGTTGCCATGCCTTACATGATCAGAGTATGAGAATCTAGTGAGTCTAGCAATCTACACACTTTGGAAAGGTGCCCTAGATTTAGGATTTCAGACCAGCCCCATATGGAGAAGATTACAAGAAGATTTTGTCACCCAGCTCTAATGAGGATAGCTGAGTCTGCTATTAGAATACTGTCCCATCTTCCTGCAGTGGATGGACCTTTCATGCAAGATGCTATTCAAGCTCCTACACAAGGAAGTGGAACCTCACTGAGTTTGTATAACAGCTCTACTGCCTGTCTTTAAACCTTGCTAATAAACGTGTGAATGTGTAGAATCCCACCTCAGACTTGCTTTCATTCTCTCTTTGTAGTGGTAGCAAGGTTATGGTGGAACTTAGAAAACACATACTTCTCATTAGAGAAATCTTCCAATATCTATGCAAAGTTCCTAAAAACAACGAGAGAACAAAGTGGCTTAGGTCCAGTTCAGTTTTCTATAAGGTATCCACTACTTATGGATGCTATATGTATTTATCTGAAATGTGCCTGAAGGAGGGTTTGTCATTCATGCAAGTTTCCCCCTTTACACTTCCAGATTCTAATTGCAATTATGCAATTACACAAATTATTGAGGTAGAACATTAAATAGAAATCACTTGAATAACTTTTACTCTCTTTGGTTTTCAGGTAGAGCTTGTAAAAAAGTTAGTTCAAATCAAGTTGGAAAAAAATAATTAAGTTGGATGGCTAAGGCTTTTATAGAACCAGGAATATATCCAAGATACTTATAGTCTACTTGGGAATCTAAGTTAGAAACATGAAAAAGATTAATTAAAAAAACACCTAAAAGTCAAGCTGAATACCATTGACATGTTTTGATTTGAATTAAGAAGAGGATTGGTTGGAAGTAAAATTCAGGTTGATCCTTAAACAGTATGACAAGAAAAAATTATTTCTATTAAGAAAACAAACTATTTGTTTCTAACTGTCCCACCAGCCACATTCCAAGGACAGCGGATTCAGGTTGTTGGAGATTCTTTTCTTTCCTGGCCTTAGACATATTTAAAATGAGGACTGAGGAATCAGTGAGGGAATACAAGATTTCTATGCATAAGAAAGGCAGAAGGAGCTCAGAGAGCAGCTCCAGGGAACTGAGAACTGGAACCAGAGCTATAGAGGGCTCTGTGGGGTAAGGGCTGGGAGGCAGAGAGATGTAGGGAGGGTGCCTGGGACATGCAGTGTGCTCTCAGTAAATTCATTTGTGTGTTTAATATTTACTGAGTACCTAGTATGTTCTAGGCACTGTGTTATGTGCTAGAAATATGGCAGGAAAGAAAGAAATGAAGGAAGGAAGCCCTGTTTTCAGGGAGCTGATGTTCTAGCTGTGGGACAGAGATGCTGAACAAATATGTGCATTGGTGTTAAGCAAAATAAGGCAAAGTCAAAAGACAGGAAGAGGCAGGTAAGGTGCTGTTTTAGACAGTGTTTTCAGGGGAGCTGTCTCTGATAAATTGCATTCAAGTAGAATTTTCAAAATATAATTATAACTCTCATGCAAATATAAAATGAACACATTAGTTAATGAGGAAACTAAAAAGACATTAAGACTGTTCAAAGAGCATTTGTGTAGCTACATACTTACAAGCAATTTTATAAAGAAATACAGTAAGATTACTAGATTAGATTTTAAAATGAGAAATGCTCTCTAGTGCAATAAGAATAAACTTTGGGGTTAACTTTTCCACTGGACAGAAAGATTTGCATCTTTGTTGGACAAAAATATACAAGTTAGCCTGTGATTTCAATGCCCCAAATCTTTAAGAGTCTGAACAGGTGACATTTGTTCAGAGACCTGAGTGACATCAAGAGCAAATAGGTGAGTAGATGAAGAGTGAAGAGGGGAAGGACTGAGTGTCAAACTCCCTCCCATCTCTCTCCTACTCCATTCACTGCAAAATATTCCCTTCTCATTGATATTTGGAGGAGTGGGTTTACCTTGGGGAAATGAAAGGAAATACAGAGTCCTCTAGGCTGATGAATGATTATAGAGGATACCCTGGAGCTCAGCACATCTGGACATAAGATTAGGGAGCAAGGAACAGGGTGGGAAGGCCAGCAAAGACTCAGAGGTGAGGACACTGGGAAGAGGGTGGGCCAGCAAGTAGCTGTGTTGACTGCAGAAGATTTCACGTACTGGTTGAAGGGACTCATCTCTACTCCTCCTGTAAAAGGAGGAAAAACATAGTTATGAACTCTCGAGGGATAGTGTGAAAGGCAAGAGAATCCTTCTGTCTTTCAAATCGACATCCTCAGCATGTTCTCCCGCTGTCTCCTGGTGCTTGGGTGGCTGCTGCTGTTACACCCACAGCCATTTCCTTTAATAGGGAGGAAAAACCTTTCCTAATCCACTGTCTATCTTCCTCCCAACTTCTGCTATGTCTCACCGGCCAGAACTTGTGACCACCCTAGCGGGAAAGTAGGCTCAGAAAGTGATCTTTTTGATTTCTTAACTTCTTTATCGAAGGTGAACAAGGGAGAAGGGGGTGAGGAGTGGGAATGGATGTTGGAGCTAGTAAACCTAGGGTCTATGTGTTGTATTTCTTTTCTAATTCGGTCTCGAGGTCTCTCTCTGGGAGTGGTTATAAACGTTAGCTCTTCCGTGATGGGGCTTGGATATTTACAGTGTGCCTTCCATGGAATACTTCTTTATCCTGGCAGACGGCCTAAATCCTAGGTGTCTGACCCATGACAGGAGGTCCCTCTCACAGGAAGCTTGTTTATATTAGCAGGCACATTTGTGGCTCTTGTCTGCCCCGTGTCTGGTTTATTCCAACCAAGACAGCCACTCTCTAGGAGAGCCCTAACCAGGAAACAAGTCAGGTGTGGGTGTATAGGTCAGGTGAGACACAGAGGAGGTGAACAAAACATGTGAAATAATAGAAGCAGTTTCATTACTTACAGATCCATAATAAGAGGACAGCATGCCTCACAGGGCCAATGAGAAGGGGGACACACATGCTCAACCAGTGGGAGGGGGACGAGACAGAGAGAGGGACTTGCGGGCCAAAGCCTTCACTGTGGTCCTGGGTCCAACATCTTAGTCCCACTGTGACTAAGAGGTGGTCACTGAGGCATATCTGCAAAGTATATGTGGGGTATAGGGGTCAAGGGGATGAAGCAAGCAGCTTGTACCTGATGGTTCGATAGGGAGGTGGTCACCAGAGGCGGTCATACAAGGCAGATGTCTGGACTGACCACATAGAGGAAGTGGGAGGAGGCACAGAACTAGAGACTGTCCAGGGTGACTAAGCCCTGCTTCTAGTTTGAGAAGGTTAAACCTGTCCTCAGAATGGATAGTGAGGCCTTTGATATGTTCTCCCACCTCTTCATCAAGCATATTGACAAATCCTTTTTCACCAACTTGTCTTGCTATAACCGCCCAGTAGGTTCACCTTGCCGTCTGCCTAGATAGAGCCAATTTATCAAGACGGGGAATTGCAATAGACAAAGAATTCATGCAGAGCTGGCTGTGTGGGGGGCCAGAGTTTTATTATTACTCAAATCAGTCTCCTCCAGCAGTCGAGTTTTTAAAGACAATTTGGTGGGTGGGGAGGGGCAGTAAGTCAGGGAGTGCTGATTGGTTGGGTCGGAGATGAAACTATGGGGCATCACTGTCTTCTTGAACTGAGTCAGTTCTGGGTGGGGGTCACAAGATCAGATGGGCCAGTTTATCATCTGGGTGTTGCCAGCTGATCCATCAAGTGCAGGGTCTGCAAAACATCTGAAGCACTGATCTCAGGAGCAGTTTAGGGAGGGTCAGAATCTTGTGGCCTCCAGCTGCATGACTCCCAAACCATAATTTCTAATCTTGTGGCTAATGTTGGTAGTCTAGACCCCAGGCAAGAAGGAGGTTGGTTTTGGGAAAGGGCTTTTATTGTTTTTGTTTTAAACTGTAAATTATAAACTAATTTCCTTCCAAAGTTAGTTCAGCCTATGCCCAGGAATGAACAAGGATAGCATGGAGGTTAAGGACAAGATGGAGTTGGTTAAATTGGATCTCTTTAACTGCCTTAGTCATAATTTTGCAAAGGCAGTTTCATTGCTACCTGAATGATTTTCCTAACTTATCCATCAATCTCCTGGAAGCCTTTCTCCTTAACCAATGTCTTCAACTCTGCCAGACATGTGGCAGCTTCTTCATCAGCAGATGTGGCCTCTCCAGTTATTTTTATGTTTTTCAGTCCAAACCTATTCCTGAATCTGTGTAGCCATCCCTTACTTGCAGTAAATAGCTTGGTGTGCCTAATTTCAGGGGATCCCTTTCTTAAGTCTTCCTATAGGCTCAACACTTTCTGGCAAAACTTACTGCGGTCAGCTGAAATACGTTTTCTGTTCATGTCTCCCACCCACAAATGTAATGCCTTTTCCGTCTTTTGCTGTTGCACCTCAAACTACAAAAGTTACAGCCACAGTGCATGATAGGTGCTTAGTTAACTAGCACGAATCTTTTTCCTTCTTCACAATTTCATGGATAATTTGTTCTTATCATAGATTTTGGCAACCTCAGCATATGACTCTTTTTCTTTCCTTATTAAGTCCAGAGCTTTCACCTTTTCATTTAAAGGAAGCACTTTACAGCTTCTCCTCGGCATATCCAAATTGTCAGCACAATTCCTGTGCTTTGCGGCCATTATTAAGTAAAATAAGGGTTACCTGAACATAAGCAGGTGGTATCTCTCATTATCTCTGCTATACTACGGGTGCATCTGTTAACCAAAGCAGCTACTGAGTGGGTAATGAGTGGATACTGTACACAGCGCGGCTACCTGCGACAGATGATTCGCGTCAAGGGTGGGACAGAGTGGATGGCCCGAGATTTAATCGGGCTACTCAGAATACAGGCGGTTTGAAACTTAAGAATTGTTTATTTCTGGAGTTTTCCATTTAACATTTCTGAACCAAGGTTTGACCACAGGTAACTGACACTGCAGAAAGCATGGAGGGGGGCAAAACTACTGCATTAATATTAAAATTTTCAAATATTACTTTTTGCTAAATGAAATGTGATTCAGGACCTTCCCTCTCAAAGATCAAGCGAGATCACCACGACCTCCGCCAGCAGCGGCTCTGCACGACTCCACCCTCGCAGCCCAGCCAATCAAAGCTACAGGTTGAGTGACGTCACTCTCCTGAAAGTCCTCGCTAATTCCCGTACTCCTTTTCTCCGCCCTGCACCTCTACTGTTTGCTACAAGTGGCCAGCAGCCATTTTGGATTTGGGCGGAAATGAAATTAAAACTGTGCTGTTAAAAGCCTAAAAATTCAAGTCAAGACAAACTTAAGCATTCGACCAACACATCTAGAAAGGGGGCATCTTCGTGGACTAACTAGACCACTGGGGCAGTGAGTGAAACTCGGTATCGTCGCGGCGCCCACACTTAAGATGGCACCGGCCTGAGACTCAGCTGTGCGGCCTCTCTACCTCGGTTCCTGGTTAGTTGGCCTCATTGGTGGCGTCGGAGGGAGGAAGGTGGGCCTTCTGTCCCGTTTCCGGACCCGTCTCTATGGTGTAGGAGAAACCCGGCCCCCAGAAGATTGTGGGTGTAGTGGCCACAGCCTTACAGGCAGGCAGGGGTGGTTGGTGTCAACAGGGGGGCCAACAGGGTACCAGAGCCAAGACCCTCGGCCTCCTCCCCCGCCGCCTTCCTGCAGGTAACAGGGAGCCCTGCGCTGCGCCCCCAGTCCTTGCAGGACTGCGCCGTGGGGGAAGGGGCCGGGCGGGGAGGAGGCGGCGGGCGCGCGCCCCGCTCGCGGGTCTGCGCTCTGGGGCCCGCGCGGGAGCGAGCTCGGCGCGGCGCCGGCGGCCGGTTGAGCTGTGCTCTCAGCTTCGGAGCAGCCTCCCCTTGCTGATTGTGGGGCGCCCTGTAATCTGCGCTTCGCGGGCGGCCCCCGACGGGTGAGGCGCCCGCGGCCAGAGCTCTCCAAGGCGGCCGCGGAGTCGGTCCTCGCAGGGAGGTGTGGAAGGTGAGGGGCCAGCGAAGCGAGAGCGGCGCCTCGGCCCTTCAGTGACCCCGCGGGGTCGCGGCAAGCAGGGCGAGGGTGCTCGGCTGGGCGGGTCACTGTCCCGGGGCGGCAGTGCCCGAGCCCGGGGGGATCCTGGGGGCGCGCCCGCCCTCGGGAAGGCGGCCTCATTCTTGATCCAAGACCAGTGCCCGTCCCCCAAGGCCCAGCTGGCTCCTGTCTTGGCATAGTGCTTTCTGTTTAGAATAAAGATGAAACATTTCTCGGAAGAGCATATTCAGGAATCCATGTGAAATTCTCGGAGTCGGGTCTCGAATTTTGGGGGTCACTGTTAACTGCTGTTTTTAGGGACCCATGTTCTTATAAAATGTATCTTGAGCTGAAATCACAATTATTTTGGTCCATAAAGACTTAATTGTGTATTGCTTGTCAGCTAGCAATGCTGGACTGAGTTCCGCAGAGGGAATATATACCTGAAACACGAAAGCAAGGGCCGGAGTAACGTTACCGCTGGATACCAGAATATCAGCCAGTACAGTGCATCCTTAATACTCAGAGTGCAAGCCATTATCTTTGGAACTTTCAAGCTAAGGGAGCTAGGACCAAGGTAGTCTCGAGTAATTGCTGGGAAAAGAAAATATTTGGTAGAAACATTTCCATAGAGCACACGGGTTTCTTAGTTGAGTGTATGAGTTGCCCTTTGACCTAGACAAGGGTTTTCTTAATCTACAAGCGGTCCAGAAATTTTATGTGCTGCCCAAGTAGGCAAAAGAGTGGAGGGAGATTATTAAAGGGAAGACTGATGCATATTCAAGTCAGAGACTGTCAACTCAGCATTTTATTATAGAGTGGAGATGCTAAGTGCTACGAAATACCTATTACGGGATACTAGGATATCCTTTTCTACCTTCTTGTGACTTTTTAATTTCAAAGCTAATGAGCAAGATTTTGTGTTTTCCCCGTCCTCAAAACAACAGGAAAGCATTTTGGAAGGCCAAGTGTTTTTCTTACATTTCAATAAATCAATTTTAGCTGAATTATCATTTTTAAAGCACTGGCGGGCATGGTGGCACATGCCTGTAATCTCAGCAACTAGGGAGGCTGGGGAGGGCAGGTAGCTTGAGCCCAGGAATTCCAGGTTACAGTGAGATAGGATAGCGCCAATGCACTCTAGGCCAGCAGCAACAGAACAAGACCATATCTCTATTTAAAACAAAAAACAAACAAAAAAACTTCTTCATATAACAGTATTTGTGCTTCTTTAGATATATTAGTGTGAAGAATTACTGCTTCAAAACATTCTCAAATTGCAATAATCAGCACACCTTTTTAATTTTCCCCCAATAAAGTTTGCACTGGGAACATACAATATAATCTTACCACTGTCAGTATTACACTGATGGTATCAGTGGACTTCTGTCAAAGTTAACATGCTTTCAAAACAAGAAAATGGCATCCTTTCCAGTTCTCTCAAGAAATTGAGTCATCCCTTTTTAATTTTTAAGTGATTTTTTTAGTCTTAGACCTAAAATACAGTAAGAAAAATGAATTTTAACTACTTCCTAATGCTTTTATAACTTTGTTAATTATAGTGGAATTCATATGAAATCTAAGGTTAATAGCTATTGCAAGGCCAATGTTCCCACAAGGAAGTATTTTGCTATTTAGAAATAGCTAAGTAAATTAAATGTTCCTTTCTCTTGCCTCTGGTGACTGCCATTCATCAGCCAGAGCACTGACCCTGAATCCTGGTGGCAGTCTTATCTCCCATGAGGATTAATATTAACACTTAAATAAACAGCATGATTTCCTGCGAAGAAGATATTCATTAATATACAGTCCCTTATTCTCTGCTTTTCTCTTAATTGTGTGTTGATTTTGGAAAGCTGTGTTTTGTGGGTGAGAGAGAGACGGTCAGACTAGCTTCAGATACTTTCAAAGTAACACTTCTGTAACTCACTCTTCCAGTCTGACTGGCTTTTCAGGCAGGAGTTGGAGACCAAGTAGAGCTTTCTGCCTATGAAATGGCAATTAGTTTCAAAGAACATAGACCCATTCAAGTTACCTGAGGAAAAGGGGGCTGGTTGTAAGGGTGTCAATGGGATGTTAGGGTATCTGGGTGGAATTAGATTTGAGGCTGGGCTTCCGGTAGTCTTGAGATGGATAGTAGTAATGTGCCCCCTAAGTATGACTAAGCTACGGTCCCAGTGTTTGCTTTTTAAAATTTTACTACCAACTGACTTCCTCTGGAAAGTTTCTGACTTCATGTGGCTTTGGTTTGCCGTAGCTCCACCTCCACCTCATAGCATCCTTCTACCTTCGGCTATGCTTCTAATAGGCAAAAATTGTTCTTAGTTCAAATTCCTGGGGGAGACAATGATCTGGCCAGTTTATCTCTTCACTCAGGCCATGAAATTGATGGCTAATTTGTGAATTAACCGCCCTTTGGCCCAGGATAGGTACCTGCCAACATTAACTGTGCCCAAGAAGAGGTGGCAAGATCAAGTGCTAAGCATAATCCTCCCTACTCAGCAGGAGGTTGTGACAATCTGGCCAGCACTCTATCTCCAGAACAGAGGGATTAGCATTGTTGCTTTTACCCATGGTCCCACATAAACTTTTTATTTGTAGTCCCAGTAGAAAGGTGAATGTTACCATAGTTGCCATACTTGGCATTTCTTTTAGTACTGTTTTTTGCTTCTCTGTCATTTTTAAGAAAGATACATTGCCAGGTAGGTAGGAATTCAGTGAATTTGTTACAAAGCAGATTTAGTTCTTATTCTCAGCAACATTTTTAGATTTTGAAAATCTTCAATTTTAGATAGCTTTAGCCTTTATACATGTGTTTCTTATATAACGATGGTTGTGGATCGGTAGGCACTTTAAATTTTGTTCTAGGCATGTGTTTTGAGCAGCATTACATACCCAGTGTAGAAGGTGTTGTATGGAATTTCACCGAAGTGGGGAAAAATTCCAAGTAGAGGGTCAATGTGTAATGATTATTGAGTTTATATTTGTCCAAAGAATACAGATTTTAAACAAATTTTTAAAGGCCTACATAGAATTATTGGCCGTATTTGTAGCAGTTTGCTTTCTACATTGCCAGAGTTAGTAAGAACTCTATTTTCTAATTTTTATATTATGGTAAAGCCACCACTGAAAACTGACTGCCACAGATTTTTCAGACATACGTTGTTTGGCCTATATAGGTTTAGAAAACATTTGATTCAACATTGAAAAATATGGAGATTTCCACAAAACTATTCAGGCTCTTGGTTCCTCACGATAAGTGGCATGATCTGACAGTTCTGAAACTGCAGTCCTGGTTGGAACTCTGTGATAGCCACTGTCTTCAGAATGCAAGCCTCTCACAGTAGGTCCCATGCACGCACAGTAGGTCCCTCTGCCAGGCTGCCAGTACTGCTGGGGCACTGCACATTACCTGTTGTCACCCTGTGAGTTTGTATCCCTGTTGTCAAGAAAGCTGTTCATATTGTAGAAGATTTGGAAGGTGCAGGCAAGTGTGTGTGTATAAAATTACCTATAATCTGACCTTCCACTGGAAACCTCTGTTAATACTTCAACATATATTTTTCAAGTCTGTGTGTATGTATACATATATTTCTTTTCAAAACAACTTTGAGGCGTAATTGATACAGAATAAATGAAAAAAGTGTACAGTTTTATGTTTTGACATAATCACCCGTTACCATCATCATCATCAAGATAATGAATATATCCATCCTCCCAAAAGTTCCTCATACATCATGATAATCCTTTCCTCTCCCTTGATCCCTCTAACTGTGCCCCTTCACTAGGTGAGCACTGAAGTATTTTGTCATAGTTGCATTTGAATTCTGTGTATGTGTGGGCTTTTGTTTTTTTTTAGCAATTGAGATTATTTGAGATTCAGTTTTGCGGTTTCCCCTTTTTACTTAGGATAGCTTTGAAGAGTAGTGCGATCGTACTTTTTCTTATGTTTATCGTCATTTGTGTTTCTTCAATGAGTTGTCTGTTTTCTTTCCCATTATTGTACTGGTGTTTTAGTGTTTTACTTGGTTTATATGAGCTCTTCATTTGTTAATATGTTTTTCATCATATTAACAATGTTTTTCAACATATTAATATTAAAACCATGATTTTCCTCATTATAAGTATTCTCCAATTTGTATTGTTTTCCTTTATAATTTTAAGTTATTTTCTACATACAGAAGTTTTATTGTTTTTGAGTAATATTTTTACAACATTTTCCTTTGTGAGTGAGGATATACAAGTGAGTTAGGAAGTATGAATTACCTTATTCTATTTTTGATTGCCTTTCCACTCTGAAAGTTTGTATGTGGTGGAGTTTGGGGAGGGACAGTAACTACCTGTGACTATTTAGTAATGTGCATTTTCTCTAGAGCTGTTAGTTGTTAATTAACAACCATTGCTGGTAACTTGCAGAGCGTTTACCATTTTTACTGTCAAATGTCCTAGTTATGAGGATCAAAGAAACTAGTAGTTTGGGGTGGCTATGTCTGGATATCTCTTGTTGATGTTGCAGATAGGGATTTAATGTTTGAAATTGTTTTCTGTTTTCTTTTAGATCTGCTTGGCTTTGAGGAAGAGTGGCAGTACTGCCTCACTGCATAAGGGATGGGATCAGAGAACAGTGCTTTAAAGAGCTATACACTGAGAGAACCACCATTTACCTTACCCTCTGGACTTGCTGTTTATCCCGCTGTACTGCAAGATGGCAAATTTGCTTCAGTTTTTGTGTATAAGAGAGAAAATGAAGACAAGGTTAATAAAGCTGCCAAGGTACCATAATAGGTGACGACTTAATAGTTAGTACTTTTTACTATCTTGTTTTCTTTTAAAAAAATATGAAATTAGTAAAGTTCAAAGGAGGTAAGATCATAAGGACCAGTATTTTATTTATGTCCTTTCAAAACATTGCTCTTACTTCATGGGCCTATCTTCCATTTGCATGACATGGTCAGGTACCATACCTGTAGCCAAAAAACATCATAAAACTCAGTACAATGGCTTTTATCATCATATTTTATTTTTCTGGTGAGAAAGTTAGGGAGACATTTTTATGTAGCTAATATAAGATATAAGGAGCTATATAAGGAGTTAATCTCGTCTAGCAAAATGCAGTTAAGTATTGACATCATTCTGGAGGCTTCAGCTTCCTCCTTAGGGAAAAGATCCTTGTAGTTCATGCCTTATAATTGTTGCTCCAGGCAGAGGGTGCCAGTGCATTAGCATGCTGTCTGACACACTCAGGAGATCCTGGCCTCTTATCAGAAAAAATGATTTTACTGTGGAATGTAAGTCAATAAAATAACCCCAAGTGTCTTTTTGAATTAGGGAAAATGAAGGCATTAGTTGATGCTTCTTTGGATAGCTAGCACTTTGGAAATTTAGGAATTCAGATATATCATCTTCTAAAATGGAAAATGTAATTGTATTAGTAAATTAATTCTCCAGTGTTTATTCTGGTAGGCATGCTATTTTCAAGTTGAACTTGATATCTTGATTTTGTTAGAATTATAATCTCTATTACCTTGAGTCCCTTAGTTATCAACAGGTATGGAACATTGATGTCTGTTTCATAGGACTCTAAATTGTTTTTATTTTTTTAAAATGATTATAAAGGATTATATTAGTAATGGAATTTTGGTCTTCACAACAGTAATTTATTTGATGTTGTATTTTTGATCAAGCATGAAATTGTTATAAGATGGTTCCTAAAGAAAAAGATGGGTAACAGTTCTCTCGAGATGCGTGGTGGTAAAAAGTATATAGCTGGCTGTTTTCTTGCTAGGTAATTTTGCTTTTTGGTAGAACCACATTTTTGACTCTTTTTTTACATCATCTAGGTATTGTTAAGAATTTTTTATTGTGATTTTACAAAAGACAAAATGCCTTACTTCGCTTTCTTGTTCTTACAGTTAATGTCTAACATGCCTCCTGTTATTTTCATCTAATAAGATTGTGCATTTTTTTTAATAAACTATTATCGGCGAGGTACTAGAGACTTATCTTTCTTAGTATTTTTTTCTTTATAAGATTTTTTTAAAATTGTGTTACACTTTATGGTGCACGTACCAAGAAAATTGAATAACCTAGATCGAGTTTTTAAAGGAAAAAACAGCAAGACCACTCTCCATTTTTGAGGACTTCTGTGCTGAAGGAATTGCGAAGCTTGAGAGGGAAGACTTATTCCCCCTTAATATTCATAGATACCCTTTTAAGCCATGTCTGAGTCTTTGCACATAGTTCATCTTTGTCTCTTGTTAAGCCATTCTGTGGCTTTGAAAACCTCATATATGAATTTGGGAAATTTGAAATTGCAACAAAGTGATAACTTTAGATTCTCAGAATGTTTCTCATAATCTTAAAAAACTAGGTCATAGCACTTGAGAAATGTATGGCATTCGATGTGCTAGATTTTAGGAATTTGATGTCCTAGGTATCTGAAATACTAAAACAATATATTTAGCTTGCCTCACTTTCTCTAGAGTTTGGGTTGTTGGTCACACCTTTGGTAGTTTTAACGATTATTTCAAGCAGATATATAGTGTTTTCTGTTACTGGATAACAATATACACTTTCTTCACTGTTACAAGTAAAAAACAACAATCCTAGTATACACCAAGATGAAATGCAGGTATAAGCTCTGGCCACAAAATAATGTGAGAAATACTTAGTTCTATCTGACCATCTCATTTTACATTGAATTCATCAGCTATAATTAACAGTATAATTTGCTAACTGATGATGATGACTCATATATGTAAGCCTATAAACAGTGATAAATTCTAAGCCCGAATTTGGTTGCTGTAGTTTGCTGTAATCTAAGTGTTTAGTTAGGGCTTTGTGGTAAGCTTATTAAAGCTTATAAAAATGATTCTTGAGTGTCTTTATGCCAGGAATCACATTGGACTCTAAGAGTGGTATGTAGATGCTATATAAGTGCTCTATTTAGTATTGTTGGAGTCATTATGCTCTTCCCCATAATGAATTTGGGCTGTTGTGGAAGGGTTAGTCAATGTTATTTAAGAATGCACATTGTGTGGGCATAACAAGAAATGGAAGAGATGATGGCTATGCCCAAAAGAGCTTGCATTCTAATTGGAGAAAGCTGTTCTCCTCTCTCATACTGACTTTTTTTTTTGAGATGTAGTCTCACTCTGTTTCCCAGGCTAGAGTGCAGTGGTTCGATCTTGGCTCACTGCAACCTCTGCCTCCCGGGTTGAAGTGATTCTCCTGCCTCAGCATCCCACGTAGCTGGGATTACAGGCACGCGCCGACACACCCAGCTCATTTTTGAATTTTTAGTAGAGGTGGGGTTTCACCATGTTGGCCAGGATAGCCTCTACCTCTCGACCTCGTGATCCGCCTTCCTCAGCCTCTCAAAGTGCTGGGATTACAGGCATGAGCCACCGTACCTGGCCCATGGTTGACTTTTTAAGAAATTATTTTTTGCCCTTCATAATCAGAATCCAGTGCTCTTACGTGGCTTCTGGGCACTATCCACTCAGAAGAACTTCAGAAGTATCCCCCATGCCTCAGGTATGATGGACCCACCAGATGGAATGGCCAGCTACTTGCTCCCCACCACACCTTGCAGACTTCACGCTCTCCTTTTTCCTTGGATGTTAATAACCATCCAACCTGCCATTCTAAACTAATTATCTGCCAAAATCTCTAGTCTGAGCTCCAGATCTATATTTTCACTTACCTATTGAACATTTCCACCTAAAAGTTTTATCAGTACCTCAAATGCAAGCTCTACAGAATGGAATTTTTATTCCTTTCTCTTTCTGCATTTTATTGTTAGTTTATGATCTAACCTTCAGATAGTGGACATTTACAAAAAAAAAAGCATCTGCATTTTGTCTTAGATTTACATCTTCAGAGAAAAAGGAATAATATTTTTCCCTGAAGATCTTTGTTCTCTAGTTTAGGCATCTTGGTTATTTTGTTTACTTAACATATTTAACAGCGTGAAATTATGGCTTTGTCTCATCTAAAAGCCTGCAGGTGGATTTGGGCTGTAATGCTGAGTCAGTTAACTTTGCATAGTTCTCAAAGTGAAATAGCGAATCAGAGGCAGAACAACAATAAAAAGTTAAGCCTCTGAGGCTTGAATGAATTCTCTGGATAGCTGAATCATAACTGATTCCTGATAAAGGGGAATCATTTATATTTAGGGAAAGAATCTCATACTTAAGATCCCTGTTTGGGTGTAGAAAAATATCATCATTGATAAATTATATAATACTATTCATATTTAACAATAAAGGTCCTTACTCAGAACCCTCTTTCAGAGACCATCACCTAGGACAGTAAATGGGATGTAATAGGTATTCAATAACTTTGGGGAAAGTGCTTTCAAGACACTCATTCAAAAATAGTCATCTTTCTCTACTAGGGCAAGAGCCATTTATTTGCTCAACTGATGTTCATTGAAAAATATCCTAGTTACCCTTAGCAAGTATGTCTTGTTGCTATTCTTTAGAGCAGCAGAGGCTTGAATCAAAAAATGTCCTATTTGATTCTGAACTGCTAGCCTTTCCTGTGAATCTGTGTGCATAATTTATGCTTAATATTAAATGTACCAAAGGAGAGTGAGAAATAAGGTTCTTGCTAAGTTAAGTGCCTTGTTCAGAAACATGTAATGAGTCATTTCTTCTTCTCCTTCTTTATTAAACAAACAAGTACTCACTTTGCATCAAGAAAATTTCTAGGCATTGTAGAGTAAAACAATAAGCAGAAGAGAACATGAAAGATTTGGTTTGAAAATTATTTGAAATGATTCTTAAATGAAAATATGAGGGAGGCTACATAATTTTATACAGAAACCGTAGCTCAAAACACACCTGTAGGCCAGGCAAGGTGGCTCATGCCTATAAGTCCAGCACTTTGGGAGGCCGAGGTAGGTGGATCACCTGAGGTCAGGAGTTTGAGACCAGCCTGGCCAACATGGTGAAACCCCATCTCTACTAAAAACACAAAAATTAGCCAGGCATGGTGGTGGGCGCCTGTAATCCCAGCTATTCGAGAGGTTGAGGCAGACGAATCATTTGAACCTGGGAGGCGAAGGTTGCAGTGAGCTGAGAACACGCCATTGCACTCCAGCCTGGGTAACAAGAGCGACACTCTGTCTCAAAAACAAAACAAAACGAAATAAAAAAACACTTGTAAAAAATTATTCCCAGTTAACTGCACTCATTTAACCAACCTGCTAACACAATTTTTGGTTTATCTGGATCTTTGCTGTATTTATTAGTTTGTAATTGCTAGTTAAAGAAATTTTTTCTTCAATATTTTCTTAATTATTTTTTATTGAATTAACTCGAGGGTAACAACTTTCTTCCTAAGAATAAATAAATAAACCCTATTGGAGCTATTCCCAGAGTTGGCAAAATTTGAGATTATTATAAGAAAATAAAAGAAATTGGAGGCTGGGCACAGTGGCTCACACCTGTAATCCCAGCACTTTGGGAAGCCGAGGTGGGTGGATCACAAGGTCAGGAGTTCAAGACCAGCCTGGCCAACATAGTGAAACCCCATCTCTACTAAAAATACAAAAACAATTAGCTGGGTGTGGTAGCGGGCGCCTGTAGTCCCAGCTACTTGGGAGGCTGAGGCAGGAGAATTGGTTGAACCTGGGAGGCGGAGGTTGCAGTGAGCCAAGATTGTGCCACTGCAATGCAGCCTGGGTGACATAGCGAGACTCTGTCTCAAAAAAAAAAAAAAAAAAAAAATGTAATTGGAGAAACCAACCCACTGAGAAGATTTTCCTATGACCCTGCCTGGAAGTAGTTTAATAAAGTTTGAGGCATCTGATACAAAAATTATACCAATGCAGGGTATGGATTCTTATGCTAGCCCATAGTCCTCCAAGAAGGTGTTCAGTATTCACTGCTTATTTATGAAAATGCCACCTGGTAATATATTGAGGGTTATCTTCCAAATGAAATATTTCATCACTCTCCTCCCAATCTGATTGGACAGGGCTTCCTCAGTGATTGTATAGGGTAGACCCTAGAGCTTTAATATCATGTTAGGACCTAGAGGACATTATGTTAAGTCAGGTGTCCCCAACCCCTAGGCTGCAGACTGGTACTGGTTCGTGGCCTCTAGGAACAGGATGGCACAGCAGGAGGCTGTGGGCAGTGGGCACGCGAGCATTACCATCTGAGTTCTGTCTCCTGTCAGATCAGCAGCAGTATTGTGTCCGGAATTGGTGGGTTCTTGGTCTCACTGACTTCAAGAATGAAGCCGCGGACCCTCGCGGTGAGTGTTACAGTTCTTAAAGGTGGCGTGTCTGGAGTTTGTTCCTTCTCATGTTCGGAGTTTCTTCCTTCTGGTGGGGTTCGTGGTCTCGCTGGCTCAGGAGTGAAGCCGTGGACCTTCGCGGTGAGTGTTACAGCTCATAAAGGCAGTGTGGACCCAAAGAGTGAGCAGCAACAAGATTTATTGCAAAGAGCGAAAGGACAAAGCTTCCACAATGTGGAAGCGGACCTGAGAGGGTTGCCACTGCTGGCTGGGCAGCCTGCTTTTATTCTCTTATCCGGCCCGACCCACATCCTGCTGACTGGTAGAGCCCAGTGGTCTGTTTTGACAGGGCGCTGATTTGTGCGTTTACAATCCCTGAGCTAGACACAAAGGTTCTCCACCTCCCCACCAGATTAGCTAGATACAGAGTGTGGACACAAAGGTTCTCCAAGTCCCCACCAGAGTAGCTAGATACAGAGTGTGGATTGGTGCATTCACAAACCTTGAGCTAGACACAGGGCGCTGATTGGTGTGTTTGCAAACCTTGAGCTAGATACAGAGTGCTGACTGGTGTATTTACAGTCCCTGAGCTAGACACAAAGGTTCCCCACGTCCCCACCAGACTCAGGAGCCCAGCTGGCTTCACCCAGTGGATCCCGCACTGGGGCTGCAGGTGGAGCTGCCTGCCAGTCCCACGCCATGTGCCCGCACTCCTCAGCCCTTTGGGTGGTCGATGGGACTGGGCTCCGTGGAGCAGGGGGCGGCGCTGGTCAGGGAGGCTGGGGTCGCACAGGAGCCCAGGGAGGGGTGGGAGGCTCAGGCATGGCATGCTGCAGGTCCTGAGCCCTGCCCCGTGGGAAGGCAGCTAAGGCCCGGCGAGAAAATGAGTGCAGCACCGGTGGGCTGGCACTGCTGGGGGACCCAGTACACCCTCCGCAGCCACTGTCCCAGGTGCTAAGCACCTCATTGCCCCGGGTGGCAGGGCCTGCCGGCTGCTCCAAGTGGGGGGCCTGCCAAGCCCACGCCCACCCAGAACTCCAGCTGGCCCACAAGCTGCGTGGGCAGCCCCAGTTCCCGCTCGCACCTCTCCCTTCACACCTCCCTGCAAGCTGAGGGAACCGGCTCCGGCCTTGGCCAGCCCAGAAGGGGGCTCCCACAGTGCTGTGGTGGGCTGAAGGGCTCCTCAAGTGCCGTCAAAGTGGAAACCCAGGTAGAGGAGGCGCCGAGAGCGAGCGAGGGCTGTGAGGACTGCCAGCACGCTGTCACCTCTCAGTATTAGATTCTCATAGGAGCAGGAACCCTATTGTGAACTGTGTATGCAAGAGATCTAGGTTGTGCACTTATGGCAATCTAACTAATGCCTGATGATTTGAGGTAGAACAGTCTCATCCCGAAATAATCCCCCCACCCCTGGTCCATGAAAAAATTGTGTTCATGAAACTGGTCCCTGGTGTCAAAAAGGTTGGGGACCGCTGTGTTAAGTGATGTAAATGAGGCACAGAAAGACACACACCACAAGATCTCACTCATGTGGAATCTAAAAAAGTTGATCTCATACCAGTTGAGAGTAGACTGGTGGTTACCAGAGGCCAGGAAGGGTAGGGGATTGTAGGGGATGAAGAGAGGTTGATTAATGGGTACAAATATGCAGTTAGAAGATACAAGATAGAAGATATAAGATCTAGTGTTTGATAGGTCAGTAGGATGACTAGTTTACAGTAATCGATTGTATATTTTTACATAACTAGAAGAGACTAATTCTAATGTTTCTAGCATAAAGAAAAGACAAATGTTTAAGGTGATGGATATCCCAATTACATTGATTTGATCTTTACAAATTTTACGAAAGTATTAAAATCACAGGTACTCCCCCAAAATATGCATATTATCAATTTTTTTAATTTAAGAAAATTAAAAATAAATAGGGCAAAAAATAGTCTACTGTGGTTAATATTGTACTATGTCACATAAAACGTAGAAGCCTTGTAATGTAGGTATCTTCAGCCTCCTATCCCTACCATTCTTTGTTACATATTAATTGTACATTCATTCACACACATTGAAAACCTCACCAGGAAGTATTACAATATCTGCTTTAAATAGCGATTAAATAACTGAAGAGGTAAATATGTGGCCTTCACCTGGGCACGGTGGCTCACGCCTGTAATCCCGACACTTGGGGAGGCTGAGGTGGGCGGATTGCCCGAGGTCAGGAATTCGAGAGCAGCCTGGCCAACATGGTGAAACCCTGTCTCTACTAAAAATACAAAAATTACCTGGGCATGGTGGTGCAAGCCTGTAGTCCCAGCTACTCGGGAGGCTGAGGCAGGGGAATCACTTGAACCCGGGAGGCGGAGGTTGCAGTCAGCTGAGATTGCGCCACTGCACTCCAACCTAGGAGATAGAGTGAGACCCCGTCTCAAAAAAAAAAAAAAAAAGTGGCCTTCATATTTATTGTAATATTTACTGTTTCTGATGCTGTTCCATCATTCCTGAAGATCCAAGTTTCCCTTTGGTATCATTTTTTCTTCCATTTGAAGAACTTCATGAGCATTTTTTATATAGCAGGTCTTCTGGCAAGAAATTTTCTGTTTTTTTTTTTGTCACCAAAAGTGCTTTTATTTTGCCTTTTCCTCTGAAGGTTACTTTTGCTTAGATACAGTATTCCAAGCTGATAGTTTTTTCTTTCAGCATTTTAAACATGTTTCATTGTTTCTTGCCCTCCACCTTTCCTGATGAGAAGTCTGCAGTTGTTTAAATCATCATTCTCCTCCATGTAATGTGTTTCCTTTAGCTGCTTCTAAGATTTTTTTATCTTTGATATTTAGCAGTTTGATGGTAATATGTTTAAGTGTGCTTTTTAAAAAATTTATCTTGTTTTATATTCACTGAAATTCTTCAAGTCTGTAAAATTTAAATTTGGCTAAATACTTTAAGTATTTTCATCCATTTAAAAATTTTCATCCATTGTATTTTTTATGCCCCAATTTTTTTCTTTTCTCTTTTTGGGACTTCAGTTATATTTATTTGACCTTTTGTTATTGTCACAGGTGTCTGAGGCTCTGGTCTCTTTTTTTTCTTTCTTAATTTTTCTTTATGAGATGGAGATTTCACTGTGTTGCCCAGGCTGGTCTTGAACTCCTGGGCTGAAGTGATCCTCCTGCATTGGCCTCCCAAAGTGCTGGGATTACAGGTGTGAGTCCCCAAACCTGGCCCCTCTGATCATTTTTTAAAACATTTTTTATTCTTCAGATTGGTTAATATTTTCAAGTTTACTGACTCTGTATTCTGTCATATTCATTCTGTTAATGAGTCTATACATTAATTTTTGATTTTCAATCTTTTATTTTTCTTTTGGAAATTTAAATTTTTCTATTTATTTTATAACTTTTCCTTTATCTCTAGGAGGATGATTACAATAGCTGCTTTAAATTCTTTCTGGTAATTCTAATATCTGAGGCCCCTTGGAGTGGTGTTTGTTGGTTGTCTTTTCCATTGAGAATGTGTTACATTTTTGTGGTTCTTTGTATGTTGAGTAGTTTGGGGTTGCATCCTGGACATTTTGAATACGATGTCACATAACTCTTTGCTCTGTTATAATCCTTTGGAAAATGCTGATGTTTTTTATTTAGCAGGCAGCTAATTTAGGTTCAGGCCTCATGTTTTTGAACTAGTTCCTCTTACTCTTCCTGTGAATGGTATTTGCAACCTGTCTGTTTCTCAAAACTTTGCTCTGCTGGTTTGGGTCTATCCAGTGGATGCTTGCTTCTGAGAATTTGTGGGTATGTGAAAAATCAGGACATCTCTCCAGCTCTCTCCTCTCTGGGATACCCTCCTCATACTCACCTTCCTTGGTTCTTTTCTATCGTTCTTTCAGCCAGAAAGATGGTAAAGTTTTTACTGGACTTTTAGCACCTTTGTTACACTGCTTTGCAACTGGGGCCTGTCACCATGCATAGCTGTGAGAAGGGGAAAATTTCCCCAAACCAAGAAACTTACCCCATGGGTGTCGCTTCTTCAGGTTTGACTCCCCTCCATAATCTGTTTGCATTTGCTTACTTGTCAGGATTTCAGTTGTTTCTGGCACTTTGTTCAGTTTATAGCAGTAATCGTTGAGGGATCTGGGCTCTTATGAGGCTTACACTACAATGATGGAACTGGAAATTTCTGTAGAGCCATTTAAATATTAGTAAATTGAATGATGTCAGAACAAGTAATAGATCTTTGCCTTATGTGAAATATAGTGGGTAGGGAGGAAGGTAGGGAGCTCAAAAGAGCCTTAACTGCAAGTATACATTTTCTGATTTCCCCCATAATGTATATGAAACTATAATCTGGTTTGGGGTCATTAACTTCAGCTCTTCGGTTTGTATTTTTAAAGCATTTGAAGACACTTCGTCACCCTTGCTTGCTAAGATTTTTATCTTGTACTGTGGAAGCGGATGGCATTCATCTTGTCACTGAGCGAGTACAGCCCCTGGAAGTGGCTTTGGAAACATTGTCTTCTGCAGAGGTCTGTGCTGGGATCTATGACATATTGCTGGCTCTTATCTTCCTTCATGACAGAGTAAGTAACCTGTATAGTCTGCATCACAGACTTTGATGTAGATGGGGGTGGGAGGGTGATGTGTGTGGTAATACTTATAAATTATGGTGTTCATAGAAATTGTAAGTTAAGTGTTATTATTAGAAAACTTCCTGAGGAAAAATAGCATGTTGGAAGGCACAAGAGGTGCTATAGATAGAGGTTTTATAGAATGGACAACTAGTTCTGTGTCCCTGGACAGTTACTTATAGAATTTTATTTTAGTTTACTATAGTCTGTCTCTAGTTTTGGATAATTCTTTGCCTAAACATAGCTACAGCTGGCATGAGTTACTAAAACAAAGAAAAGGTGTAATGTCAGTGCTGCCATAGACCAAAGTTCCTATTTGTTTTCAGGAGTTGTGTCCCATTTTAGATTTTGAAGAAAGAAATGACCATTTCTTAGGAAGAGGCAGAATACATACATATCCTTTCCTTTCCCATTTGAGTAGTTGGGGCCAATTGAGAGACAGCCTCTTAACATTCTGTGGTGTAACCAGTGTGCTTGGCTCTCTGATGATATTTGCTATTACTAGAAGATGGTTCCTAGGTTTACTTCTGGTCTGTTTCTTGACAGTATTACTGTTTTCTTAATGGTATTTGCATTCTGAGGCATTAAGGTCTTTGGCAGTCCACCAAGATTAAAAAATACTAGTCACAGGTTAGAAACACTTGGACTTGACTCATCTTTATGTATGTTTTTAAATTTTTTTCAATTAATTGGAGACAGATTCTCCAAATATCATGTTGGATTTATAGTCTCTTAAAAGTGCATTTACAAGTTCGCATGATAACGAGAATTATTAGTGGTTCAGTGGGGAGAAATATCTTCTTTGTTGACAAAAGTGCATACACATGGTTAAAAAGTTTGTACAGTATGTGGGTGAGGTGTCCCTCTCCCATCCTTGAATCCAGTGCCCTAATTCCTCTCTTCAGAGGCAATGGTGGTAACTCGTGTATTATTCCAGAGATGTTCTTTGTGCATATAAAACAAATATCTAGTGTGTATACTTCTTCTCTTTCATTTTTTTCTCAAATGGAGATATACTATACACACTATTCTAAACCTTCCTTTAAAAAATATTTATCTTTTGGAGTATTCTCTATAAAAATATTTACACATTTGATGTATTGGGTAGAATATTTAAAGTGCTCTTTTGGCCAGGCGCAGTGGCTCACACCTGTAATCCCAGCACTTTGGGAGGCCAAGGCAAGAGGATCGCTTGAGCCCAGGAGTTTGAGACCAGCCTGGGCAACATGGCAAGACCCTATCTCTACAAAAACATTTCAAAAAATGAGCCAGCCATGGTGGCACATGCCTGTAGTCCCCCTACACCGGAGACTGAGGTGGGAGGATTGCTTGAGCCCAGGAGGTCAAGGCTGCAGTGAGCTGTGATCACACCACTGTACTCCAGCTGGGGCAACAGAGACCCTGTAATAAATACATACATTACATACATACATAATAACTTTAAACATACTTTTTTATCACTGAAATGATTTTTGGTTTGGGGAAAAAAACTTAAATACCTGAATCCTGTTCTTATTTTCTCCCTTTCTTTTACTTATTTGACTGTACTATTTTTACAGTTTTAAAATGGGCTCTTTTGTGGTCTGTGGGATATTTCTTTTTTTTTTTTTTTTTTTTTTTTTTTTTTATTTGAGACAAGGTCTCACTCTGTCGCCTAGGCTGGAGTGCAGTGGTGTGATCTCGGCTCACTGCAAGCTCCACCTCCCGGGTTCACGCCATTCTCCTGTCTCAGCCTCCCGAGTAGCTGGGACTACAGGCGCCCGCCACCATGCCCGGCTAATATTTTGTATTTTTCGTAGAGACGCGGTTTCACCGTGTTAACCAGGATGGTCTCGATCTCCTGACCTCATGATCTGCCTGCCTCGACCTCCCAAAGTGCTGGGATTACAGGCGTGAGCCACTGCACCTGGCCAGTCTGTGGGATATTTCTGGTGGTCCTTATCATTCCATTTTCCTCTTCTTCAGGCAGAATTTTTTTAATGCCTACTAACAAGATTTCAGATGAAGTAGATCTGGGTTCGTGATAGAATGTGGGTGAGAAAGAATTTAGAGAAGAAAATAAATAAAATAACCTATGTGAGCAAAGATATATTTTATCTTTAAAGGCATTGGAAGCAAATAATATAGATTATACAGACTTGTAAATGTATGTTTAAGAACATGTATATCCCCTGACTCCCATAGAAATCGGGAGATGACTGTGTGCACTGGCTTTAATGTGTTTATTAACCTGCCACATGAGGCAGGGGGAGATAACAGAAGCCCTTCCATTCCATTTTTCTTTTTATCTAACTTCATTCAATTTGTTGTTTCTTAAAGTTATAGTTCCATTTATTATGCCACAAGTGGGAAGGCTTGTCATAATTTTTTTGGTGATTAGTATTTAGTTTTTTAAAATAAAGATTGTGAGAGATGGAGAAAAACATCTTTTGAAGTAAATTTCTATTTCAGATCCTGGAGTGGCACTCTTCCTTCTGTTCTTTTTTTTTTCCAGGGACACCTAACACACAATAATGTCTGTTTATCATCTGTGTTTGTGAGTGAAGATGGACACTGGAAGCTAGGAGGAATGGAAACTGTTTGTAAAGTTTCTCAGGCCACACCAGAGGTAAGCCAGGGGACAGCCCCCCTTCCTTACTTGGTTTTTAATAGCGTCTTGGTATGTGGTTCTTGCCTAGGCACTTTCCTTCAGTGTTAGCTTGGTCTTAGATTTGGAGACTTGAATTTTTTGTCAGTGCCCTCATTTATAGAATTATAGCATTTTGTTCCTCAGAGGCAGTGGGGGTCATGTATCCTTTCTCCTTATTTTATAAATAGGGAAACCTGAGACGGAGAGAGGTAAAATGTTTCGTTCAGATATTTGAGTTAAATGCCCCTCCTCTCTGCCCCATAGTACCTTGTACTTACTTGGATCATACCACTTGATAGTGAAATTACCTTTATGTATCTGTCTTGTATTCCATTGGTTGGGCTCTTAAGGGTGTGAGTCTCTTATCTTTATACCTCTACCTAGAATAGTGCCTGGCACATACTAGGTATTCAGAAAATGTTCTTTGAACAATTGTCCGAGTTGCCCAATTTCATACATGGTATCTTAGTAGCGGGATTTAGGACCTGTGCATCTTAACTCCTAGTGGACTGTGTTGTTGCTGATGTAGTATTCCTTATACTTTTGTCTGAGAGTTCTGCATGTTTCCCTCCCAGGTTGATGAACCTTTCTGTTTTCTGTTTTGTGTGTTCTTTTCACATTTTGCGTGTTGCTGCTGCATTCACTCTTTCTTAAGGAAAAAATAAAAACCATTTCCATCTTAATATCCCTACGGAAATGGTGGCTCACTGTTGACTTACTGTTTCAGCTTAATTTCCCCTATTCTTTTTTGTGCTGCTTCCACACTTAACTTGGGCCATGTCTAACGTGTACCTTCATGGGTTCTTGCTCAGTTCAGATGTTCTACCACAAAGACATCTTTCTGGTTATTCTGTCCATATTGATCTCTTTCTTCCCTGAATTTACCTTTTGTGTACTTTGTATATAGCATGTAATCCTTTCTGTGCTGTTTATTCCAAATTCTTTGCCATGGGATATAAGGCCCTTCACAATCTTTCTGCAGCCTACCTTCAGCCTCATTTACCATTTAGGTTTTTCTGGGGAGTGCTGGGAAACGGAATTTCTCTCTGTCACCCAGGCTGGAGTGCAGTGGTGCGATCTCGGCTTACTGCAACCTCTGCCTCCCTGGTTCAAGTGATCTTCCCACCTCAGCCTCCTGAGTAGCTGGGACCACAGGTGCACACCACCACACCTGGTTAATTTTTTATATTTTTGGTAGAGATGGGATTTTGCTGTGTTGCCAAGGCTGGTCTCAAATTCCTGACCTCAGGTTATCTGCCCACCTTAGCCTCCCAAAGTGCTGGGATTACAGATATGAGCCACCGAGCCTGGCCTCACTCAAGAGTTCTTGAGCTATAGTCTGGTTACATCTTGTTCCATGCAGTTCAGCTGTGTTCCCACATATGCCTTCTTCCTTCACACTCTTCTTCTTTGTAGGCCATTCTGTTGCTGGAATGCATTTCTTCCCATTGGCTTCTGGAAAATGTGAACTCATCTAAGATCTGGCTTTAATCTCCTTTCTGTGACTCCTTCCCCTAGGCATTCCCCTGCCCAACAAAATTAGTCACCCCAGTGCTTCCAGGGCACTTAGCACGTTTATGGAGATTCTTAGTTTACATTCTAGGTTATGAGCACCTGATTGGGGGCAGAAACTTTATTGCATTCATCTTGTATTCCTAGTGTCCTAAATGATGTTCGGGACATATAGGCTCTTCAAAAATAGTCTTCGAAACTAGCAAATTAATATGCTTATTCTGTGGATGTTGGTTTTGTCTCCATAACTAAGGTTCTCAACTTTCTAATCTCGTGTGGTAGCAAGACTTAAGATTCATTTGGTTTAGTGAGATTAATGACAGATTTGTTCTGTGCTAGAAAAGCCTTCTTATTGTTAATATCTAAGCAGGAAAAGAAAGAAGTGTTCTAATTTCCATATAAGGAAATCAGATGCACAGATGCCTCTGAACAGCAGAGCGTGTCTGTTAAACCAGATGAAGGGGAGAGGAAAAGGAACTACCATTTATTACTGTGCCTTGTGCTGTGCCAGGTACTTTATTTGCATTTTTAAAATTAGAAGCATTTTAAATTTGTGCATCTAATATGCGGCATTGATTTGAAGGTTTAATTGGTGCTGTTTGCATTGCTCATTGCTTATGTAACCTGATGTAAGAGATTAGTTCACCAAACATATGTATGAATCATTTTCTTTAATTTATTTCTCTGTCTAGTTTCTGAGGAGTATTCAGTCAATAAGAGACCCAGCATCTATCCCTCCTGAAGAGATGGTAAGATGATATACTTCACATATAATGAAGGTGCCTTTGTGTAATTGAGTATGAAATTTTAAAAAACTTTCCTCTGCTTACTCCTTTCTTTACTGAGTTATAGATGCCTCATAATTCCTCTGGCCTTAAAGCTTTCTAAGATTAATCTTATCACCACAGCCAGGGAGCCAGCTTAAATTTTTTTGTCACATAAACACCTATGATATTGTTTAGAGGTAGAGATACCTCAGTGTGAACAGACAATTATACCCATTTCACGATAAGTAGTTGTATTAGTCTGTTTTCATGCTGCTGATAAAGACATACCTGCGACTGGGCAATTTACAAAAGAAAGAGGTTTATTGGACTAACAGTTCCATGTGGCTGGGGAGGCCTCACAATCATGGCGGAAGGTGAAAGGCACTTCTCACATGGCAGCAGACAAGAGAAGAGAGCTTGTGCAGGAAAATTCCCTTTTATAAAACCATCAGGTCTTGTGAGACCTACTCACTATTACCAGAACAGCACAGGAGAGATCTACCTCCATAATTCAATCACCTCCCACTGAATTCCTGCCCATGACACATGGGAATTGTGGGAGTTACAATCCAAGATGAGAGTCACAGCCAAACCACATCATTCCTCCCCTGGCCCCTCCCCAGTCTCATGTCCTCACATTTCAAAACCAGTCATGTCTTCTCAACAGTCCCCCAAAGTCTTCACTCATTTCAGCATTAACTCAAAAGTCCATAGTCCAATGTCTCATCTGAGATGAGGCAAGTCCCTTCCACCTATGAGCCTGTAAAATCAGAAGCAAGTTAGTTACTTCCTAGATACAATGGGGGTACAGGCATTGGGTAAATACGGCCATTCCAAATGGGAGAAATTAGCTAAACAAAGGGGCTACAGGCAAGTGTGAAATCCAGTGAGGCAGTCAAATCTTAAAGCTCCAAAATGATCTCCTTTGATTCCGTGTCTCGCATCCGGGTCACGCTGATGCAAGCGGTGGGTTCCCATGGTCTTGGGCAGCTTCTACCCCTGTGGCTCTGCAGGGTACAGTTTCCCTCCTGGCTGCTTTCACAGGCTGGTCTTGAATGTCTGCAGCTTTTCCAGGCACGTGGTGCAAGCTGTCAGTGGATCTACCATTCTGGGATCTGGAGGATGCTGGCCTCCTTCTCACAGCTCCATTAGGCAGTGCTCCAGTAGGAACTCTGTGTGGGGGCACCGACCTCACATTTCCTTTTCACACTGCCCTAGTAGAGGTTCTCCATAAGGGCCCTGCCCATGCAGCAAATTCTGCCTGGGCATCCAGGCATTTCCATACATCTTCTGAAATCTAGGTGGAGGTTCCCAAACCCCAGTTCTTGACTAATGTGCACTTGCAGGCTCAACACCATGTGAAGCTGCCAAGGCTTGGGGCTTGCACCCTCTGAAGCCACATGCTGAGCTCTACGTTGGCCCCTTTCTGCCATGGCTAGAGCGGCTGAGATGCAGGGCACCAAGTCCCTAGGCTTCACACAGCATGGGGACCCTGGGCCTCGCCCATGAAACCACTTTTTCCTCCTAGGCCTGCAGGCCTGTGATGGGAGGGGCTGCCATGAAGATCTCTGACATGCCCTGGAGACATTTTCCCCATTTTCTTGGGGATTAACATTTGGCCCCTCATTACTTATGCAAACTTCTGCAGCTGCCTTGAATGTCACCTGAGATTTTCTTTTCTATTGCATTGTCAGGCTGCAAACTTCCCAAGCTTTTATGCTCTGTTTTCCTTTTAAAACTGAATGCCTTTAACAGCACCCAAGTCACCTCTTGAATGCTCTGCTGCTTAGAAATTTCTTCCGCCAGATACCCTAAATCCTCTCTTAAGTTCAAAGTTCCACAGTTCTTTAGGGCAGGGGCAAAATGCCACCAGTCTCTGCTAAAACATAACAAGAGTCACCTTTGCCCCAGTTCCCAACAAGTTCCTCATCTCCATCTGAGACCACCTCAGCCTGGACCTTATTGTTCATATCACTAGCAGCATTTTTGTCAAAGCCATTCAACAAGTCTCTAGGAAATTCCAAACTTTCCCACATTTTCCTGTCTTCTTCTGAACCCTCCAAACTGTTCCAGCCTTTGCCAGTTACCCAGTTCCAAAGTCCCTTCCATATTTTCAGGTATCTTTTCAGCAACGCCCCACTCTACTGGTACCAATTTACTGTATTACTCTGTTTTCACGCTGCTGATGAAGACATACCCAAGACTGGGCAATTTACAAAAGTTCCACGTGGCTGGGGAGTTCCTTAAAATCATGGCAGAAGGCAAAAGGCACGTCTCACCTGGTGGCAGACAAGAGAAGAGAGCTTATGCAGGGAAACTCCCCTTTTTTAAAGCCATCAGATCTTGTGAGGCCCATTCACTATCATGAGAACAGGGCAGGAAAGACCTGCCCCCCATAATTCAGTCACCTGCCACTGGTTCTTCCCAGGACACGTGGGAATTGTGGGAGTTATAATTCAAGATGAGATTTGGGTGGGAAAACAGTGAAACCATTATCAGTAGTTGCACTTTGCTGGAATCCATAATAATTATGGAAGCAAAAACCCTAGTCCTTTCTTGTATGTCACCCAAACCATTCATCTATCTCTAGCTGCCCATTACTTAGGATTTCAAGATGCACAGAAGAATGATTATTAAGAGTGCTGGTAAAGAAAAATTCTATTTACCAATAAATTCAAAAGCAGATGCTCCTTCTATAAATTTGTTCTTATAGCCACTATAAATAATCCCCAAAGATATATTTAGTGTGCTTTACAGGAAATATGAACTCAACTATAAACTTAAGTATAGACCTAAGACTTGAAATAAATCAGATTTATCCAAATCAGTATTATGTATATATACTAGTGTTTTTAAAATCGGTGATTTGCGGGTTTTAAGTCAATTTAGGGGGTCCTGACTAGCATTTTATAAAAAAAAAAAGAATAAAAGAACATGTCTTTGGGCATCTTAGATAGTAAGGCTAAGCACTGTTTTATGAAACTTTTGTTTCCATTATGTGTGTATTTATGCACGTGTATGTATAGTAGAGCATGATATAAGACATATTCTTTACCATGGATTGCTGTGAAAATATTTGTAAAAGCCACCGACATGTGCCATATTCTAACCTTTTTAAAAATTTTTGCTCATTTTAATGTTTTACAATCTTCAACAAATTCTATTCACTAATAGTGTTAAGAATCTATACATTCATGTGTGGTGGTCTGAAGATAGATTTGAGTATAATAAATACAAACATGGGAGAAGGTGCTTCAGAGAAAATTAGAAATGGCTTATAAGGCAGATCCTCTAGTTTTAATTGTCTTCACTGCTTTTAGTCTCCAGAATTCACAACTCTCCCAGAGTGTCATGGACATGCCCGGGATGCCTTTTCATTTGGAACATTGGTGGAAAGTTTGCTCACAATCTTAAATGAACAGGGTGAGTTGGAGTTATACTACTGCATCTATAGAATAAGTAGGAAAATCATCCATGACGTATTCTGTGTGGAATTCAAAGGACTACAGTCTTTGAGCACAGTAAGGAATCTTTTGCTTACCAGGTAACTTTTTTAGGGCAGATACTAAGAACAGTAAGGAAAGAAGCTTTGGGTTTCATTAGTTTGCATGGTGAAAAGAATTTTAAGTAGGAAGCACTTTGAACTATGGCTGTCAGTATCATGTGTGATTACCTTATTAATTGGTAATAGTACTTAAGCGGTCTAAATGTAGACTCTATTCCTTATTGAACCGGCCAATAAGTACATAACTATCATTAATGATTTATATGTAATAATCTGAATAATAGGGTAAAATTCATAATTTTTTGTTAAATTGAGCTCAACATTTCTTTATTCTTTCAAAGCTCATTTGATTTATTTTCCTATTAATTTACTCTTCACTTTTTTCTTTCATTGCCTCTTAAAGCTCAGGCTGCTAAAGACATTGTTTTCTCCTCTCTTCTGTGTTCTCTAACTGCATGCTTGGCAGCCTGCTTCACTCTCCTGTGCCCACTTTAGGACTTTAATTTTCCACTCATTGAGTTTACTGAGGCATGTGTCACAGTAGGCCCCTTATTGGCCTACATCTCACATGGCTCAAGCTTTGTGCCAGTTCTAATGCGGTTTATTCTGCCAGGCTTATGCAGTGTTCTGATTCAGCTGTCAGCTCTAAATTGTCCCATCCTAAATACTTGAGAATTAAATCCTAAGGCCCAAAGGCATCCATTGTGTATAATGAACTAACTATTCTATGTATTTAGAATGGTAGCAATTATTTACTATCCTTGGAAGAATTGTAAATATAATCATTCATATAACTGTTCTGTGGATGAGGAACCCCTGTTGAGAAAGACCCTCAAACCTATCACTGTTAGCCCTTCTTCTTTGGGCCTGAGCTGGGTTAAATGGATAATCAGGAAATGAGAGGGTATAGAAGGGAATGGCACCTGGGGTGGGGTTTGATGGTGGTGGCAGGACAACTTTCTACACCTGCCAATGAGTTTTGCCTAAGGCAAGCAGGAAGCTGTTTAGCAACAGCCAGGGCTTTGTTTGTTTGGGCTTTTACAGGTTGGTTTTTGCTCTCGGCAGTCTCCAGCTATAGAGGTCCTGAAAAGAGGGAGAAGGCATTGGAAACTAACTGTAGCTCTGGATTTCAGTTTCAGCGGATGTTCTCTCCAGCTTTCAACAGACCTTGCACTCAACTTTGCTGAATCCCATTCCAAAATGTCGGCCAGCGCTCTGCACCTTACTATCTCATGACTTCTTCAGGTGAGGGCATCTGGTGTGGTGACGCCAGCTGCTTCCGGAACACTGCTGCCTGCTCTTGTGCCTTGGATAAGTGGCAGTGGGGGGTTTTTGGAGGACCAAATGATGCAGTTTCTGTTGTTAATTATTAGGAGAGATTGAATCATGTCCACAGGAGAAAATAGAGGAAGAAATTGGGTTGTCTGTCAGTTTCCTATTATAGATAGGAAGTTTTAGAAATCCTTGATTGTCTTGAAGGCTTGGATTTAGAAACTGTAGCCAGATTTATTAGGGCTTCTAATAGTGAAGAAGCTAGGTGTGTCCACTGGTTTACAGTTGTAAGTTAATTGAAAAAGTTACTAAACCTAGCCTTTCTTTTCTGCTGCCATTATATTATGAGTTTATTATTATTCAGTTTTTCTCATGGGGATGGGGAATGAGTTCATATTCTTTGTCTAGTAATATGTGATGGAAGAGCAAATAAGTTGGTTTAGAGGCAAGGGCACAATATAATTTAATACCTTATTAGATTCAGAGATATTTTTGAACCCTTCTTCAAGGTTAGTTTTAATTATGTGTCCTTCATTTTTTTATTTCCATGACTGCAGAACTTCTGCACAGGTTAGTTCCATATTCATGACTTCTATTAGCAAAGCCAACCTTATGTTAGTTTTAAAACTAAAAATCCTATGTGTTTGCATTTAGAGCTTGAGAAAAACCAGAGCAAAGGGAAGGCTAGTATTATTCCCAAGTGGGGAAAATTACCTCTAGGATAGAACTAGGGGTAGGTGGGGAAGGGTAATCTTATTAAATAAGTAGCATTTATGGTTACTGGGCTTATATTGTCATATTTCAAACTATTCAAAACTTTCCCATTATGATCGTCTTTTTTGAGGATGTTTTTAAAAATTTGTATTTTTAATTGACAAATACAAATTTTATATTTATCATTATGAGAGTCTTTCCAAAGTACTTCTATGCCCTTTTGGATGATTCTTAGAAATATTTTATTTCCCTTGATAGAAAGTCTCTACAAAGAACAATCCCTTATGGTAAATAGATTCTCTCATCACTCTGTGTAAAATGAGTTATTTATTAAGAGTTGTATTGTAAATTGAGAGGGGAGAGGAAAACTGAAAACACACAAACCGTACCTGCCAAAATCCCACTGTTAATGTGGGGAGAAACCCCAGTTAAGAGACAACAGTAGGAGCCAGGGTCAGCATCTCTTACAGAGGCAGCTGAACCAATTTGATTGATTAGATTTAAGTTTAGACATCTTTGCTGCTGAACCAGGGGGAAGCCTAAAGTAGGTATAAACATAAGATGTGAAGATCCAAGTGGTATCTCTGCTTACTGGGCCTCCCAATAGGCTGTCCAGCTTGTATGCCGGAGCATCTGGGGTCAACAGTCTCATATACAGTAGGGTGTGAGCTGAGCAGTGCACAGCCTTTGGAATTCTCTGGCAGCCCTGTAGGAAACCGACCACTCCTCTCACACTAATCCCTGCCTGGCTGAAAGAATGACCAAGTAACTTACAGCAGGAGAAATGAGAAGATTGCTGTATGGAAATTCCACTTTCCACAATCTCTTTAATAGTTTTTATTTCATCAAAGGAGACTTGAGAGTCAGCAATATTTTGTAATGGTAATGTCATTTCTCCCAGGATACTTCATTTAACATCCTATTACAACCAACAGTTTGGAGGATTTTTCTGACTAAACCATAAAGCATGTTAGCATATGTGTGTTTAAACTTGTATCCTCGTCACAGATCTCTTTGCTATTAAAATATTAGATTTCAGAGGCGTGTTCCATAGTATTTGTCTCATAAGCTACTTAGTTGTAATAGAATCTTTAAATGGCAAAGGAGAATGTTTCTTGGTTGAAAATTATATTGATGTAGTCTGTGATTATGACCTCAATATTTAACATTCTCTAATCTGTTCTGCTGAATTCCTTCTCTTTTTGGCATTTAGAAATGATTTTCTGGAAGTTGTGAATTTCTTGAAAAGTTTAACATTGAAGAGTGAAGAGGAGAAAACGGAATTCTTTAAGTAAGTTCAGAAAATTAAGAATTTAAATTGAATAACTTGGATTAAGTCCATATAATCACTTTAGGTATTCTAGAGAAGATGAGTCATATATTTGGTTTATTTCACATTTATTGAACATTTCCTATGTGTCAGGCTTTCTGCTAGGCCCTGGTGGGGTAGATATTTCTGGTGAAAGAAATAGATACCCAGACTGATAATCCTTAAACAGAGAGGTGGGTACAGTAGAGCTTTTGGAAGGAGTCCTGAGAACACACAGGGCAGGAGGAGGTCGTTAGAGAAAAGGTATTCTAGGCAGAGGGGCAACATGAACAAATGCACAAAGACAAGACCTAGTGTGACTTGTGCAGGAACCGCAAACAGTTGAGTCCTGCTGGGGGACAAATTCCAAGACAAGGACAGGTAGGAGGTACACCTTGCATGTGGCAGTGAGGAGTGCTGATGTTATTTGTAAATAGGGGACTTCAGGCATTGAAGCCATCAAAGAGATGGAAGCAGGCTGTGAAACAGATTAATGTCCCTTTAGGTGGATCACTTTGTTCTCTATTGAGTGGGAAGGCTTAACTCATTTAAGATTTGGATTGGTTAGTGACTATGGTAGTCCAGGCAGTAAATATGAAGCCACACATAAGGGCATTAATGTCTCCAATGAAGAAGACACTAAGATAAACATTTAAAAAGATAAAGCTGAGAAGCCTTAGTGATTATCACCAAATGAAATAGAGAATATTGGAGGAGAGGACCTAATATGCAGGGAAAATTATGACTTCAGTGTTGGATATGTTGGTTTGAAGTATCTGTTGGACTTTAGATAGAGATATACATGGACCGTTGAACAGACAGGTCTGAAGCTTCAGAGAAGTCTTAAGCTGATGAGCTAGAGGGAAATATTAGGGTGTTATCAGCCTATAGTTGGTGATATTTTCACAGAGAAAGTGGGTAGCATGAAAAGGACAGTGAGCCCAAATTGTAATCCTGGGGCACCCGACCTTATAAGGGGGCTGGTGGGAAGGAGTGGCTGATGAATGAGAAGCAGGGGTTAGAGGAGACTCAGAGAGCTAGGAAGGCTATGATATTCCCAAAGGAGTAGGGAATTTCACGAAGGTAGGAGGAACGAACAGGTACCTGTTCATTTAGTAGTTAGGAAGACACTGGTAACTTTATCTTAGCAAGAGCTGTTCCAGCAGTGAGAGTGCATTGGGCTGAGAAGTGAACAGAAGGTGAGAAAGACACTGGAGAAAAACTTGGAGAGAAAATATTACTGAAGAAGCAAATGGGGTCAAGGAAGGATTTTGTAAGGGTGGAAGAGACCTGAGCATATTAATAGACGAGGGAAAGGAGCTAGCAGAAGAATGGAGGGAGCAGTTGAAGCTGCAATCAAGTTGGGGAGATGGTTGGTGCATTGTCCTGGAAGAGAGGGGAATGCTGGGGCAGTGGCTGGATGGGGGTGGCCTTAAGTAAGAGGAGGCCCTCGGATCCTTAATAACTAGAAGGGAGGTGGGAATGAGTATCAATGTAAACCTGTTTGCTGATAGCGGTGTAGGGGTTTGAAGGTGATAATGCATGTGACCTGTTTCCTAATAAAGTAGGAGGCAAGGATATCTGCTAAGGGTGATTGTATAATGGAGTAATATTACCATTAATACCTAATATCTGTATTTCTTAACAAAGTGCCTTTATATATGTTGTTTTAATTTATGGGGATAGTGACAAAAGCCTATGTTTTGTTAGTTATGGAAGCTTTCTACATTGTTTAAATTTGAGAAAGTGTCTTTTATTATCTACAAAGCCTGTCTTCTTAGGGTAAAAAGGAGGGCACTTTGACTATTAGTAAGGGGATAATTTGGTGGAAACATTTCCTGGTGTGAATTGGAGGTGTGCTGACTAGCTGGCTTTGCTCACACTTTCTGTATTTTTTTTTTTTTTTTTGAGACAGAATCTCACCCTGTCACCCAGGCTGGAGTGCAGTGACATGATCTCAGCTCACTGCAACCTCTGCCTCCCAGCTTCAAGCGATTGAACCTCAGCCTCCCATGCCTCAGCCCCGAGTAGCTGGGATTACAGGCGTCTGCCACCACGCCCGGCTAATTTTTGTACTTTTAGTAGAGATGGGGTTTCACCATGTTGGCCAAGCTGGTCTCAAACTCCTGACCTCAAGTGATCTGCCCGCCGCGGCCGCCCAAAGTGCTGGGATTACAGGTGTGAGCCACTGCACCCAGCCACGCATTTTTCTTAAGTACTTGGGGACCAATCTGTTCACCTTCTCTATCTCCATTTCAAATGCATCACTTTGATAGAAGTGAGAGAGAGGATGTGTGTAGGCTAAACTGTACAAGTAAGCTGATACAGTGTCATGACCAGTTTCCTGGGCTTTCCCTTTTTGTCCTCAGATTTCTGCTGGACAGAGTCAGCTGCTTGTCAGAGGAATTGATAGCTTCAAGGTTGGTGCCTCTTCTGCTTAATCAGTTGGTGTTTGCAGAGCCAGTGGCTGTTAAGAGTTTTCTTCCTTATCTGCTTGGCCCCAAAAAAGGTGAATGCTTTTTCAAAGTGTTATTGCTAGTTAAGAAGTTTGGTGATTATTAGTCCATATTTGAGCAGGATGAGATTACTGTGTGGTGTAGTTAATGTTTGGTTCTAAAAACGGAGAACAATTGTTGGCCCCTGATGTGATAACTTTAATTCAAACCTGGGTACCAGAGTTCACAGGATAAATGAAGCATCTTCCTAGAGAGTCCAATTTACTATAGTAAGTGTTATATCTGACTAGAATCTGAAATATACATTTGAAGTTTTAAGGTAAGGCATGCATCTTCAAAGAACTTTTACATTTATCATGAATCATTTAGGCCTGTGCCTCCTACCTTACCAAGAGCAACCCATTTATTTTCTATTTTCAGTGAAAAGCACTGAGATCATTTTACTTCCTGGGGCTTCAAGTTTTTTTTACGAATGTGAAATGAGGTTATTGCTTTGGAATTTTACAATTTTATAGCACTAGAGATGGTAACAACAGATGAGAGAATATAGTATTAATATGACACTAGAATTTTAAGTTACGTAGAATCCTGCTTTCAGAATTTATTTTCTTAAAGGGATCTCAGTCCAACAAAGCATTGTTACAGTTTAGAATTTCCTTATATCTCTACTTTGATACCATTCTCTTTAGCCATGAATTTTTCTTTATAGCTCTTACATCCTATTCCTCAGTAGGTCTTACATAGGGGTGTGCCTCTGAATCACCTATGTTGCTTTTTGAAAATTTGCCTCTTTGCTTGATCCATTGGTTCTAGAACAGAGAGCCAGGACATAGGTATACATATTTTTTAAAAGTTCCCAAATAATTCTCAATACATACCTGCCTGATAACCACTACCATAAATACTGGAAAAAGAGGAGTATCCAGCATCAAAGTCCCACTGTAGCATTTAACACCTGGTTTTGCAAATAAAACTACAACAATATCAGTATGTCACAAATCTAGTGTATGAAATTCCTCACTGATTAAACATAAATTTATAAAAAGTTACTCAGAATTCTGTTAAAATACAAGCTTTGTTGTACACTATGATCTCTAGTATTTCAAAAACTCTACAAGGTAAGTGTACTTAACATAATTAAGCGTTAAGTAATTTTCGGTCAAGAAAAGAACTTTGCTTTGGTTTGGAGCATTAGAATTTAGAAGAATACTGGCCGGGCGCGGTGGCTCACGCCTGTAATCCCAGCACTTTGGGACACCGAGGCAGGTGGATCACTAGGTCAGAAGTTTGAGACCAGCCTGGCCAACATGGTGAAACCCCATCTCTACTAAAAATACAAAAATTAGCCGGGCATGGTGGCGGGTGCCTGTAATCCCAGCTACTCGGGAGGCTGAGGCAGGAGAATTGCTTGAACCTGGGAGGAGGAGGTTGCAGTGAGCCGAGATCGCGCCACTGCACTCCAGCATGGGTGACAGAGTGAGACTCCATCTCAAAAAGAAAAAAAGAATTTAGAAGAGTACTTAGAATATGTGTAGTTTTGGGTTCAGTGTATGAATTATGCTTAATACTTTTCACTGAAATGAAAATTTGTTTTTTCATCTGTAACCTTTGATTTTTCGGGTAGATCATGCGCAGGGAGAAACTCCTTGCTTGCTCTCACCAGCCCTGTTCCAGTCACGGGTGATCCCCGTGCTTCTCCAGTTGTTTGAAGTTCATGAAGAGCATGTGCGGATGGTGCTGCTGTCTCACATCGAGGCCTACGTGGAGCACTTCACTCAGGAGCAGCTGAAGAAAGTCATCTTGCCACAGGTCAGAGGCCAAGTTTGCAGTGGGGTAGTCACAGAACCTGAGGGAAGAGTGCTGAAAGAAAGAGTTTTGGAGGTATTCAGATAATAGCTTAGAAAGCCTTCAGGCAGCAGTCTGTGGAATACAAAGTGCTGAAATTAAAATTGCATTTCCATTCCATTCACACAGGCAAATTGATTAAACTGACATATTTGGTCTTAACCTGGGAGAAACTATAATTGTTTGTTAATTTTGGGAGGGTAAATGAATAACAATAATGTATGGAGCACTTTGTGAACATAACATATAATTATCCATAATTATTATAAAGTAATTAAATTAGAACAGAGAGGAGCATGAGATGATTCTTATCAGTGGCTTTCAGCCTGTTGTTATCAGCCACTAGGGAACCTTATTATGATTTGCCCACCAAAGGGTTTTGTTAGTGAAACTAATGAAAGGTTTGTATTAGTTGCTTAGGCTGCCATAACAAATTATCACAAATTATAATGGCTTAAAGCAATACAAATTTATTTTTAGTTCTGGAGGCCAGAAGTCTAAAACCAGGGTGTCAACAGGACCCTGCTTCCTCTGAAGGCTGTAGGATGTGAAAGGGACTCCTCTTTACAAGCTTCTCGTAGCTCCCAGCAATCCTTGGTATTTCTTGGCTTGTGGCTGTATCATTCCAGTCTCTGCTTCTGTTGTCACGTGGCCTTCTTACCTCCTTGTCTGTCTTTACATGGCCTCTTAGAAAGACACCAGTCATTGAATTTATGGCCTACCCTAACCCAGTATGACCTCATCTAAAGGTCACATTCTGCATGGACATGAATTTTGGAGGGACACTATTCAACCTAGTATGAGGTTTTAAAAAAATTGTTTTAAAAGACTACAATCACATGGTGTCTTTCAAATAATTTTCCTATGAGATAGATTAACATTCTCTCTGCTTTCAAGGAGCTCATAAGTGGGACATGTTTCAGTCATCCGTTGCCATGTAAGTACCCCAAAACTTAGTGCCTTAAAATAATAATCATTTTATTAATTCTCATGATTCTTTGGATTGACTGGACTCAGCTGAAGGTTCTGTTCCACATATCAGCTGAGTCTTCAGTCATCTGGGGCCCGACAAGGGTTGACACATCCAAAATGGCTCCTTGGTATCTTGGAAGGGGTGGCTGAGAGGCTGCGCCTTTCTCTCCATGAATTTTCAGGAAGCTTGGGGGGCTTGTATCCCCCCATGTGACATTTCCACATGATTTCTCTAGCAAGGCAGGTGGACTTCTTAAATGGCTGGCCAGGGCTAAAGAAAAAAAAAGGGCAAAAGAAGCCTTCTTAAAGTGTAGGTTGTGAACTGACAGTCATTTTTGCCTCATTCTCTCGGTTAGAGTTGGAAAAAGCCCAGGCTCATTGTGGGATGGGTTTACTCAAGGGCATGGATACTGGAGGTGTGATTCGCTGGGGGCTGACTTTAAAGTCTCTGTGTTGTAGTAACTACAACATAGCACTTTGTATTTACATCTGCAGCAGTAATTGTTACCCTGTATGTAGTTGTGTCTGGAAATTTAGAAGAGGAATGAAGCACTTTAACTCTGAAATGGAGTTGTCATCATAGGTCTCAGAATTGGACTGAGGTCAAAGAGTAAATGTTGAGCATGTGGAAGACAATGAAACCTCTCATTACTTAGGAAACTGCTTCCCCTAAAGAAGAGTGGGCCAATTTGTGTGTGCTAGAAAGTTCACTTTGGTAGCAGTGTGGAAGAGACCACAGAAAGGGAGATAAGCTAGGAAGCTGTTAGAATAGTTTAGCTAAGAGATGACAAAGGCTGGGGAAAGTGTGACAGTGGATATAGTAGAGGGACACAGAAGGGGTAGTACTCAGTTTCTCATTAGATGGAAGAGGTGTTGAGGATGACCAATTTTTGGCTTGGGCGGATTGCTGTTTTATGATTATCATATTCAGTGGGCAGAACTCTAATCATATGTAAAAGAAACATGCTTTAGTTTACATGTACAGAAAGTGATCTGTTAGCATTGGTCCTAATAATTATCTTTTGAGTCCTGTTGGAAACCTTTAATCTTACTATATAAATGAGGAAACCAGGCCAGAAAAATAAAAAGACCAATTGGTCAAGTCACATTGAGAATTATTAGCAGAGCTAAGACCAAAACCAAAGATTCCTGATACCTGTCACGCCCTGCTGCTTCCAGTAGGCAGGCCAGTTACCCTGGCCTTGTGTCTGGCTGGTGCAGATGCTTTGAAGGTCATTTCCTTCCTTATATGCAGAGCAGTACTTGCCTGATATCTGCATGTGACTGTCTTCTAAGGTGTTTTTGGTTGCAAGTAACTGAAACTCATTTTAAACCAGCCAAAGCAAAAAAAATTTAAGAATGTTAGACTAACTTAGATGGAAATCAAGTGCAGCTGGGGCTTACAGCCATGTTTTTCATTCCTTTCTTCTGTCTGCATTTGTTTGACTTTTGACTCTCTGAAGACCAGCTTTCCTTGTTTTGGTGTGCACATGGCCAAAATGGTTGTCCCATAACTTCCAAGTTTTCTGTCCTCATAAAAAAAAATTATTTTAGAGATGGGGGTCTCACTGTGTTGCCCAAGCTAGAGTGCAGTGGCTCTTCACAGGCATGAACCCACTACCGATCAGCCCAGGAGTTTGACCTGCTCCATTTCCAACCTGGGCTGGTTCACCCCTCTTTAGGCAACCTGGTAGTCCCCAGCTCCTGGGAGGTTACTATATTGATGCTGAATTTAGTGCAGACACCCAATCAGCATAGCACACTACAGCCCAGAACTCCTGGGCTCAAGTGATCCACATGCCTCAGCCTTCTGAGTAGCTCGGGCTACAGGCACTTGTCCCTGCCTGGCATACTGTCCTCATTGAGTAAACCTATATAAACTGAAAATATAAATTCTAGTTTATATTACTGGACAAAAGATCATGATGGGCTCAGTTTGGGACAGGTGGTCCTACCCTTGAAAAGAGCTGAAAAGAGAAGCATGGACAGGAACATAACTGTTAGTACCCTAGATGAGTTCTGAGTGCGCTCTGCAGAACACTGCCAGTACATGAACTTTTTATTACAGTTCTGTGATGTGAGTACAGATATGAAGACTTAACATTTAAAACCTTTTGTCGCAATTTGACAGAGTAATTTTATGTACCCAACATATGTCTTTTTAATTTTGTTTTGATTGTATTTTTTAAAAATGGTAAGTCTGTGATGGATTGGGAGGGGAAGATACTGGTCTTTTACCACAGGTAGTTTGAGAGCCACTGACCTGGAACACATATCTAAGATAATGTAGTTTATCTAAGCACAATCTGTTTGCAGCCCAATTGCTCATTTACAGGGGAAGAAAGAGATAGGTATTGTGGTTGTCAACCCTTATTACCTCATTTGCTCCTAGGTTTTGCTGGGCCTGCGTGATACTAGCGATTCCATTGTGGCAATTACTCTGCATAGCCTAGCAGTGCTGGTCTCTCTGCTTGGACCAGAGGTGGTTGTGGGAGGAGAACGAACCAAGATCTTCAAACGCACTGCCCCAAGTTTTACTAAAAATACTGACCTTTCTCTAGAAGGTAAGAATTATTAAAAGGTCTAACTTTTTGTGTGTCATTTTTTTAGATTTTTAGTATTATATAAGTAATGTAGGAGGGTCATATTCAGTCAAATGATATAAAGAAGTATAAATAAAAAGTTAATTTCTCTTTCTGAACTTCTCGGGGGGATTTTCAGTGGGAATCCTTTCATACTTTTTTTTTAAGCTTGCAAAAAGACACACAGATATATGTTTACACGTGCATAGAGAGTCATGTACCACATAAGGACATTTTGGTTAACGAAGGACCTCGTAAATGACTGACTGTCTATACCATGATGGTCTCATGACATTATAATGGAGCTGAAAAATTGCTATTGGCAGTTGATGTTGTAGCTGTAGTGGAATGCATTACTCATGTGTTTGTGGTGATGCTGGTGTAAACAAACCTAGTGTGCTGCCAGTTATATAAAAGTACAGTGCATACAATTATGTGCAGTACATAATACTTGGTAATGATAACAAATGACTATGTAACTGGTTTATATATTTACTTTTAATCATTAGTGTATTCCTTCTGCTTATTAAAAAGAAAAAACTTTAACTGTGAAACAGCCTCCAGGGGTCCTTCAGGAGGTATTCCAGAAGAAGGCATTGTTATCAGAGGACATGACAGCTCCCTGCAGACCTTCCAGCGGAATAAGCTGTGGAGGTCAAAGACAGTGAAATTGATGATCTTGACCCTGTGTAGGCCTAGGCTAATGTGTGTGATTGTGTCTTAGATTTTAACAAAAAAGTTTCAAAGTAAAAATAAGTAAATAATTTTAAAAACAGAAAAAGCTTACAGAATAAGGATATAAGAAAATATTTTGGTACAGTTGTACAATATGTTTTAAGCATAGTATTATTACAAAAAAGTCAAACAGTTAAAAACATTAAAAAGTTTATAAAGTTATAGTAAATAACATTATTGAAGAAAAATTTTTAATAAACTTAGTGTAGCCTAAGTGTAGTGTTTATAAACTGTATGGTAGTGTACAGTAATATCCTAGGCCTTCATTCACTGGTAACTCAGAGCAACTTCTAGTCCTATAAATGCCATTCATAGTAAATACCCTATACAGGTATACCATGTATCATTATATTTTTACTTTTCTATGTTTGGACACTCAAATAATTACCACTGTGTTATAATTATCTACAGTATTCAGTACAGTAACATGCTGTATCAGTTTATAGCCTAGGTGTTAATAGGCTATACCATCTATGTTTATACAAGGACAAAATCGTCTAAGATGCATTTCTCAGAACATGTCCCCATTGTTAAGTGACACAAGACTGTGTAGGATTTTTGCTTAAATGGTAAGAAAATGCCATGCACAAATCTATAATTTGTTTTCAAGTAACAACATATCAGGGACCTGTCTCCCAATACATAGAAGTCTAACTTACTCTTTGAAAGCTACCTAATATTTCACTGAATATAATTCATTCAGTGATTTCTTTATTCATGGATACTGCATCCATTTCTGGATTTTTAATCCCTACAAACAGTGCTGCAATGAATATCTTTACACGTGTATCTTTCCAGTTGGTCCCCCATATTTGCAGGTTTGCACCTGCAGATTTAACCAACTGTGGATCAAAAATACTCAGAAAAGAAACCAAAAAATAAAGGTATTATAAGTAACCAAGAAATGACTTAAAGTATTATGGGATGATATGCATAGATTATATTTAAATACTACATCATTTTCTTTAAGAGACTTGAGCATCCGCAGACACTGAATGTTAGAAGTAAACTTGCTGGGCCAAAGGATATATTTTAAATTTAGTAGATACTGTCAGCTTACAAAAAGGTTGCATCAATTCTTATTAACACTAGATGTTTAAGTTTCTTGTGACTTTTGTTGGCCTATGGGGTAAAAAGCTGTTGCCTTTTAGATACTGCAGGAAGTCCTTATTTCTGGTATGTTCCCAGTGGATGTTACCTGGGAGGTAGCAGTAATTTCTGGTCTTACAAGAATTTTTTATCAACAATGTCATTGCTCCTTTGTGTAGCCTTCAGTAAGACAATGAACTTGTTATGTAATTCTGGATCTCTAACCCAGTTCTCATTGATAGTTGGTAACATGGAGACATTTAGCAGAAAAGAGTTAATCAGATAGGCTTTTCTCTAATTTTGATGCTAAAAGAATTTTTAAAGCAACATTGGCTTCCTGAAGTTTTAAAGAGCGTTCACCTCTTCCTTGGTGCTAATGAAACCAGCGTCATGGCTGCAAAGAGCTTGAAAAGGGTGATGTAGAGGCTGTGGTCTCATTTTCAGCTATGAAAGGGAAATAGGAAATTAAGTCTGCCTGAAAGAGAGGTGGAGAACATGGTTCAGAGAAGAAGACATCGGATAAGGCATTAGATAGGACTTCAAGGAGGATAGTGGCACAAATGAGTGGAGGGCTTGTAGAGGCCTGGCCTGAGTGCTGGGGTGAGGAGGGGGGAGATGTGGTGCTGAAGAGAGCTGGGGACCTAATCGTTAAGAGTTTACCCCAGGCTATTCCCCACATCCTCACTTTTTGGCCAAAAATTGATTGACCAATGCCCATTTTTTTAAGTATAAACTTTCTGGCAAACTGTTAAGGACATTTCTTGAAACTAATTTTTTCCCCAGTTGGGGGTTAAATGTCCACAGCTTAAATTTATTATTTTAACTACTTTTAAGTGTATAGTTTTGTGGTATTCACTACATTCATATTCTTATGCTTATACTCTTCAACTTTTATTCTTAAAAGGAAAGTAAGTAGAATCAGTTGGTTTTAAATCTCCACCAACATGTTTTGAAGGGCTATAACTTTTTAGCTAGGTGTCCCAAAGGTTATATCTGTGTAATGCTTTGATCCATCACCACATGGAGTGGACACAGCCTGTTCTTAAACACCTCTAGGGACAGGCAGTCCATTCCATAATGGGTGTATGTCTTCAAATGTTTGAAGATGTTCTCTCCTCCATTTTATCCTTTATATGTATAAAAATATACCCATTTCACTTAACTATGCCCACCAACCATGTGATAGATCAAGAAGCAATTTACTGTCCCTTTCATGTTTTGGAGTTTTTATTTACCTTCAGATTCTCCTATGTGTGTCGTCTGCAGCCATCACAGTCAGATCTCGCCAATCTTGGAGAACCCCTTCTCTAGCATATTCCCTAAATGTTTCTTTTCTGGCAGCACGCCCATCAACAGCAAGAAGCACATACAGCGAGATTACTACAATACTCTTTTACAGACAGGTAGAAATATTAAATTTATATAGCTTTTCCATTGCTTGGATGAATGTTTTCCTGAGACTAATAAGCTTATGGGTGTTTTGGGAGTTTTGAGACTGATTTATTTGTAATTATGTAGTCAGCTTTGGTCTCATCTTGTTTCTCCAGACTATTGGATATATACTTACCTCCTCTTTATAGTTGGTGAGAAGTGCAGGTTGACATTACTTGAATTCTTTTTTGCACTGATACTTTACTTTGAGACTTTTGTTGCCTTAGTGCAGCATCTTCCAAATTGTACCAAGAATGATAGTTTTGAAAGATGTTAATGGGCGTGTTGTGAAAAAGAGTTCTGTGGTTAAATAAGTTTGGGGAAATGAGAGCAAAGTCATTAACACATTGCACAGGATCTCTCAGTGCCTTAACTACTACACTTAGGGAAATTTCTTAAAGTGAGGTTAATAAGTTGAGTTAGGCAAACTTATTTGAGCCTGCAAGACTTTTTCAGGCATATGTAATTAACAAACATCCCAAGGATAACACTGCCTGGCTTAGAGCATTTCTATATTTATGTGAATATACTGTATGTTTGGATATTTAATAAGGATTGAATGCACTAGTTATTACTTACATGCTTCCACTGAGTTAATAATGTAAGTATTATGTAATTATTTGGATAACATGTGACATCGTTGATCTTGAGTAATGTTCTGCTGGGATCTCTTTTGTTTAGTATGCATGGATATTTCCAAGTAATTAGACCTATACTACTACACTTCCTTAATGCTATCCTTCCCATAAGTGTAGTTCTTACCTTTAACCAGTATTTTATGAGAATAATTATTTTCCCTACAGGCGATCCATTTTCTCAGCCTATTAAATTTCCCATAAATGGACTCTCAGATGTAAAAAATACTTCGGAGGACAGTGAAAACTTCCCATCAAGTTCTAAAAAGTCTGAGGAGTGGCCTGACTGGAGTGAACCTGAGGAGCCTGAAAATCAAACTGTCAACATACAGATTTGGCCTAGAGAACCTTGTGATGATGTCAAGTCCCAGTGCACTACCTTGGATGTGGAAGAGTCATCTTGGGATGACTGCGAGCCCAGCAGCTTAGATACTAAAGTAAACCCAGGAGGTGGAATCACTGCTACAAAACCTGTTACCTCAGGGGAGCAGAAGCCTATTCCTGCTTTGCTTTCACTCACTGAAGAGTCTATGCCTTGGAAATCAAGCTTACCCCAAAAGATTAGCCTTGTACAAAGGGGGGATGACGCAGACCAAATCGAGCCGCCAAAAGTGTCATCACAAGAAAGGCCCCTTAAGGTTCCATCAGAACTTGGTTTAGGAGAGGAATTCACCATTCAAGTAAAAAAGAAGCCAGTAAAAGATCCTGAGATGGATTGGTTTGCTGATATGATCCCAGAAATTAAGCCTTCTGCTGCTTTTCTTATATTACCTGAACTGAGGACAGAAATGGTCCCAAAAAAGGATGATGTCTCCCCAGTGATGCAGTTTTCCTCAAAATTTGCTGCAGCAGAAATTACTGAGGTGAGTACTTTTATGGAGTAAACTGTGCTACTAGCTTTAGGATTTCCCTCATAGGTCCTAGTTGCAGTATCCCATTTATAACAAGCAACATGCTATTTTCCTAGTCAAGTCAAGCACAAAATTAACAAAATCAGTTTCTATCATTGGTATCTATCTTTCCTTCCCCCAGAAAAATGTAGCAATGCTTAGTTTGTTTAATGAGCTATTGTAACCTTTTTATTTGAAAAAGAAAAAAAAGGGATTAAAATAAGGATTTGGTGTCATCCACACTGATTTTTACTGGATTTTATGGTTTTTGAAAAGCTATTTTCCAGTGCCATGGTTTTGTAATCCTACTTTTCAACTTTCTGTTAGAGCTCTAAGTTATTTTACTTAGTACGAGGTAGTGTTTCTGGCATCAAAAGATAAATTTTAAATTCCTGCTTTTTCAAATTTGCGTATGATTTTTGCATATGATTTGTTTCAGTGGGTTCTTGGTGTGCTTTATTTTGTTGCAGGGAGAGGCTGAAGGCTGGGAAGAAGAAGGGGAGCTGAACTGGGAAGATAATAACTGGTGACAATAGATGTGAGTTAAACTTTAGGAAAAAGGATTCCCTTTTTTTAAAAAAAATCAATACCTCAAAAGCAGGCTTTGGGACAAGAAAACCCCAAAGTGGCCTGCTTTTCCCATCCCAGGAGCTCATTATCCAGTCTGTGCCAACTGAAGTAGGAGACTGACTGTGAGTGCTGGCTAAAAGCCCTGGGTGGTGAGGCTCACAGTACTGGTTTCCAGGAGGAAGAGCCTTTGTGCATTTGACTGAGGCCAGTTTCTATGAAGAGCAAGTAGCTGAGGAGAGGTCGAATTTACTGCTTTTTCCAGGACAATTCTGGAAGTAAAGAAAATGTAATTCAAGCTGGTTAGCTTAATTTTGTGCCATTCTTTAACATAAGAGTAAGCTCTATTATGAAATACAACTTTAAAAAATTTTAGCTATAAATTATATAAATGATTTTAAATTGCTGAGGTTTCCTTAGGCAGCTTATTTATTTGTTTACAGTTAGACTATCTGAGTAAATGGTTCTTTGTGGACCTAGGCAGTTCCTGACTGTTCCACATGTAGTACATTGTACCAAAGTTCTTAATAAGAATATTCCCCACAATCCTGTTCTCTAAATGTCAAATAAAGATTATTTTCACTAGATTCAACTTTACAAAATTTGTTTTATATCTGTTAGAAAATGTACAGACATAAGTATTTTCAGTTGACAAAGCATCAAACCCAGTTCTGCCTAGTGATAAGTTTCACCCTAGAGTATGTATGTAACGTTTTAGCTTATCCATCCTTTCTTGGAGCGCCTCCATTTCCATTGAAAGCCAGGCTGGAGCAGGACCCTTTTGGAGTAGTGACTCAGTTGCTTCCAAAGCCCCTGCTATTGTATGCAGCGCTGACCTGTACTCTTCTTCCCAGGGGAACTCCTGACGAGCTCTTTTTGCATAAGGCTGGAAAAAAAACATAAGTAATATCACAATATCCATTCTAAATATAAAGAACCTTCCTTTTGGACTGGAGTAAAGCTTACATGCAAATTTTATTCTAGTCATTGGATCACAAGGGTAGGAGGATGCACCCCAAAACCCCTACACAGTCATCTAGAAAAATATGTAAAGGCATTTTGGTTTATCATAGCAATTCAGAGTGCTACTACCAGTGTCTTAGTTTGTATGTGGTATACAACAAGTATCCTGTCCCAAAGGGCTCCCAATGAGAAGTGCTGCATAGTCCAAGCTTACATGTCTTATAAACAAGTTCATAAATGTATTTTCTTTTTATGAGAGTTTGACTAAAACTTATCAGAATGTTGTTCTTCATGAATTACTACTATACTAATTACTATACTAATAGTGCTCAAAACAATATTTTGAATATCCTTATTGGTGTCAAATTCTGCCTTTTAATAAGTAGATGTGATCTTCAGTTACTGCCAAAAATTATTAGGAGACTCATTTGATTAATAAGGCAAGGAATCAAACTAAACATTTAGGAGTAAGTTTCTTTCATTTTCTTCTGTGGTTCAGTAAAGACTGCATTTATAGCATCACTGGTACAATATGTAACTTCCCTTAAAGGTTACTACCAATAATTCAAACATACTGAAAGAATATATTTGATATGGTGTAGTCCCACTTCTTAATTTTAAAAGCAACTACCATAAAACAGAATTTTACATGTCTAGATCTATTTGATTTGAAATTCAGCATAAGGCTGGAAACCACACTGGTTTGTTTCGTCAGTAAGTAAAAAGGGCAGAATTTGCCTTGTTAAAGTTTGGCCCCTATTGAAATCAGCCCATACCTGTAAAGATGACCTCTTTGCTTCTTCTACAGTCACATTAGCAAAGGGTTCCCAGAAAATACCTTTTTCCTGTTTCACACGTTCCACTTTGGCAGCTTCAGTTTCATCTACAAACCCAGTCTGCCAGGGACCATGAAAAACCAAGCAAATAGCAACATGTTAGCACTCTACTAGATATGAAATGGCCACATAATTTAAGTGCTGAGTGTTCAACCATACTAGGCAAATTCTGGAAGTCACATGGACTGATCTATAAATACTCTTAGTATAATCTGGATTAAATCACTCTACTGTGTTCTTCCTTACAAAATAGTTAGTTATAGAGTTGTCTTTGCAGGAAAAAATGATAGTCTGCTAACCTTTACTGTATAAGCTAAGAAACTGGCAACAGCAGTGTATACACATGTACTTAAAATCCAGCTTAGATGTAATATAAGTAGGCCAAGTGTGGTGGCTCATGCCTCTAATCCCAGGACTTTGGTGGGAGGAATGCTTGAGCCCAGGAGTTTGAGGTTATAGCGAGCTATGATCACACCACCACACTCCAATCTGGGCGACAGAGCGAGACTCTGTCTAAAAAATAAAGTTCAGTGAGTCAAGTGGGCCCATTTCACCTAAAAAAATATATATGTAATATATGTAAAATATATAACGTGCATCATTACATGTAATATATCAAATAATTCAGTTTCTCCTGGTAGTCTAAATTTGTGGTTTAACAGTTCCACTAGTATTTCAATTAACTATTATTTCCTCACACTAAGTTCCCAAGTATGCATAGACATAGGAACCTTGTGATTCAAAATTTTGGTTTTAATTGTAAAAACAGGTCTTGGCTGCAAAGAGAATAAAAAAGCCATGCCAAAAAAAAAAAAAAAAAAAAAAAAAAAAGGGCCCTGAGCTTACCCTGGCTTGGGAGGCTGCCCAAATAAAAAAAAAAAAAAAAAAAAAAAAAAGCCATGCCTAAATTATACCCAAAATATGGTAGTAAACATCCTCTCAGGCCTACCTAATTATGTGATCAAGTGTATTTAATTATGATTATTAATAGCTTAGGGATCCTCATTAGTCATCTCACTGCCTGGATAATCAGTGCTATTACACCCCAAACTACAGGCAGAGGAACTACAAGTGTCCTTTTTTGAGACAGTCTCACTCTGTCGCTCAGGCTGGAGTGCAGTGGCATGATCTTGGCTTACTGCAATCTCTACCTCCCCAGTTCAAGCAATTCTCCTGCCTCAGCCTCCCGAGTAGCTGGGACTGCAGGCGCGTACCACCATGCCCGGCTAATTTTTGTATTTTTAGTAGAAACAGGGTTTCCCCATGTTGGCCAGGCTGGTCTTGAACTCCTGACCTCATGATCCACCCACCTTGGCCTCCCAAAGTGCTGGGATTACAGGCATGAGCCGCCGCGCCTGGCCCCAAGTGTTTTACTTCTGTGGCCTCAATTGCTTAGTAAAAGTCGTCAGCACTGTGCTCAGCACTGTGAAAAGTTTAAGCTAAGAAGACACTCAGGTTGGTTACAGTTACATAATTTCGGAAAAAAAAAAATAGGACAAAGAATAAAACATGAGCCATGTAAAGAAAGTACCTTCTCCAGAAAGGATACAACTTTGTTCTTAGTTTCTTCAGAACTGAGACACTGTGGAACTATCTCTTCATGATTTGTTCCCTATTAAAAAATTGATGAACAAGACCAATTTTAACATTTCAACAACTTGCAAAGACAAATAGATGAGTTTTATGAGCTACCTTAACCAAAAATTCATTTTAAGTAAGAGTCCCAGAGGATCCTCAAAGGTGATAAACTCATGATTCCTTCAGGGTCCCTAAGGATAATACAAAATTAACTTCTGTACAAGTGTTGTAAGCTTTAATTACTTCTGCTGGGTCATACTAATGCTTCTGGACTCCCTTATGATCATAGGCATGACTATACAGCAAATGCAGTAAGAGTAAAGGAGCAACCCATCTTACAGGTTTAGGTTCATCAGCCTAACCCTTATGACTGATAGCACAAAATGAAATGTATTATCATTTGACCCAAAAATACTATCTGCTGGAAGACTGTGTCTGTGTCTGTCTGTATCAGTAGGCCTGCTGTGTATGCCTGTTCTGGTCCTTGTTTATTCAGAGGACCTTACGAAATTCACTTCATTTATCTAAGCCTCATTTTGAGAAGCTGTAAAAGAGATAACGAGTAATGTACCCTTCAGACAATTTTCCGATTGCAATACAGAAGCAGTTCAATAAATGTTTTGGGATTGTTCTGGAATATTTGAAATATTAAAATGGTTTGAAAGTCACTGTGATAAATCAGTTTTATAATTACCTCAGCGAACTGAGTAAACGCCTCCAAGGTATGTTGTTCTAGCAGCCAACTCCTGTCAGCTAGCAGTAAGGCAAACATACAGGACAGGTTGGGCAGAATTCTGTCCTAAAAGAACCAAGCCTTATTATAATAGAGAAAAGAAACCATAATAGATAATCATAAAATAGCCATACATTCAATAAGCCCAGTGTTGTCAAGTTAACATAATCCTGTCCCAGGGGACACACACTAAAACATATTAGGTAATGTCACTCTTTTACTCAAATCCTTCCAGTAGCTCCCTATTTCCCTTGTTAGTGAAAGCCAAAGTCCTCAAATGACCTGCAAAGTCCTGCTACCTTTGTGTTAGCTATACTTGCTTCCCTGAATATGAGGCATGCTCCCATCTCCAGTGCTTTGCATTTCAGGTTTTTACTTGCATGTCACCTTGGTGAGGACTTCACTAACTATATATCCCATTTCAAATTGGACCCCCACATTCATATTCCCTATCTTCCTTCCCTGCTTTATTTTTCTCCATAGCACTCACCACCATTTAATATACTGCACATATCATCATGTTGTTATTGTTTATTGCCTCTAAACAGGCTAACAGTGGGGATTTATTAGTTTGGTTCATTACTGCATTGCCAATGATTAAAACAGCACTGGGTACAGCAAAAACGTAATCTTTCCCGAATGGATAAATCAGTCAATCTCATTTCATGGCTTTAAATGCCTCCTATGTTCTGATGAATCTCAAAAATTTCTTCAGGTCTTGACCTCACTCCTGGGAATACAGAAGGCACTGCGATTTCTGCTTATAAAACATTTGTTTCATAATTTCTAGGCCCGTGCATAGTCCATAGTGGTTCACAAATGAAGCAGCATTTTGGAATAGATTTATTTCATGGTAAAAAGAAGACAGCTCAGATGCCAAGTGTCTTTGGATATTTTTGTCAAGAGAGCTGAAAAGCTGTCAACATTCTATGCTTATCTCATGAAATAAAACCTTAACATGATGGAGACAGATGGGATACTGTTAACTTATGAACAAATAAAAGAGCCCCTTAGAAATTAAATTTTTGGTTTCAAAGAGTTTAATCTACATGTTCTGAGATACTGTCTATAATGTGTTTGCTTTAATTATGTAAGAAAGTTCTCATTAGTGAACTCTTTATAGTCTCTCCCTTGGAGATTGAAGTGTCAATTACTAGAATTACTAAATTTTGACTATAGTAATAAGGAAGGCGTAATTCTCAATTTATGAAGATCTCTTTGCTGTAAGTTCTTTAAATTATGTACTGGCCTGGTAATATACATTTACTGAGGTTTTAAAATTCAGTAGATGTGTATTGCCAGGCCAGTGCAGTATAATTTTATAAATAATCTATTTGTCAGCTATACATATTTTGCAACACTTTCAAAAATATCGTCTTTAAAAACAGGTTCTCTTTCATGGATAAAAAACGAAGAGAATAACTTTAATAAATTACCAAATTTCCTAATTACATGCTGTTCCCTATAAGACAAATACACAGGAACTATGTATTAGAACCCAACTGGAATAAGAATCTAATATGGTAGACTACAGCCAACTAATTATTTGTGTATCAACATATATTTTTCTAAAAGAAAAGAACTTAAAATGAGTTGTATTATAAGTTATAAATAGATTTTATAATCTGTCTGGAACATAGTTTTTTTTTTCCAACTTTGTCAGTAATTGCAAAATTTCAGAAAAAGCCTAAAAATCCCTTAATCACTAACTCTTATAGAGATTTTGTTTTAATAATACAAGAACAGAGTTAAGCAATATTACCTGGATAGCTTCAGGTATAAAAAGTTTTCCTAAAGAAGATACAAAATCCAACATTGCCAAACGAACATAGTCAGGAAGCTCTAATTTAAGTAGCGAGGTCTGCAAAGTTACTGCCTACAGAGGTGAAGACCAAAGAACAGTTATAAATAATACCAGTATTTTGTACAGACACAATAACTGCCTAAGATTTGGATGGAAATGTGGGGAGGGGAAACAAAACCAAACCCAGAAAAAAACAAACACACCACAGCCCCTGAACTTCACTGGTAGAATTTAAATAAGACAATCCTATGAACAAGTTAACAGTTAAAGCATTATTCTTACCACACCCTCCTGCCTCCAACCACGTAAAAAATAAAAGTATACATGTTTCTGAAAAACTTTATATACCAAACCTTTAAAACATATTTTGTACAAACAGTATTTTATTGTGCTTTGATTTATTGCAATTTGAAGATACTGCTTTTTTTTTTTTTTTTTTTTTTTTTTTAGAAATATAAGGTGTGTGGCAACTCTGTACTGAACAAGTCTACCTGTACCATTTCTGCAACAGCATGTGTTCACTTCATGGCTGTCACAGATTGGTAATTCCTGCAATATTTCAACTTGTTCATTAGGATTTTATTACGCTGATTTGTGATCTTTGATGTTACTATTGTCATTGTTTTGGAGCACCACAAACTGTGCCCCTATAAGATGGCAAATATAATAAATTGTGTGTTGTGACTGTTCTACCAACAGGTAGGTCACCAGTCTCTCCCCCTCTCCTTGGGCTTCCCTATTCCCTGAGACACAATATTAAAATTAACCCTAAAATGGCCTCTTAAGTGTTCGAGTGAAAAGTATAATCTCATCTCTCACTTTAAATCAAAAGCTAAAGATAATTCAGCCTGGTGCTGTCAAAAGTCAAGAGAGGTGAAAAGCTAGGCCTCTTTTGCAAGTTAGCCAAGTCGTGAATGCAAAGGAAAAGTTCTTGAAGGAAATGAAAAATGCTATTCCAATGAACACGGAAAGTCTTATTGTTGATGTGGAAAGTTTTAGTGGTCTGGATAGATCAAACCAGCCACAATATTCCTTTAAGCCAAAGCCAAATCCAAAGCCAGGCCCTCTCTCCAATTCTGTGAAAGCTGAGAGCTGAAAAAGCTGCAGAAGAAATGTTTGATGCTAATGAGGTTGACCCGTGAAGTTTAAGAAGCAATCTCCGTAACACAAAAGCACAAGGTGAAGCAACAAGTGCTGATGAAGAAGCTGCAGTCAATTATCCAGAAGATCTGGCTAAGATCACTGATGGAAGTGGTTGCATTAAACAATATATTTTTAATGTAGAGGAAACACCATTCTATTGGAAGAAGATGCTACCTAGGATTTTCATAGCTAGAGGGGTGAAGTCAATGCCTGGCTTCAAAGCTCAAAGGACAGACTCTCTTCTTGGGGGCTAATGCAGCTGCTGAAGTTGAAGCCAATGTTCACTTACTATTAAAAAAATCCTAAGGCCCTTAAGAATTCTGCTAAATCTACTCTGCATGTACTCTATCAATGGAACAACAAAGCCAGGATGATGGCATACCTGTTTATATCACTGTTTACTGAATATTTTTTGGCCCACTATTGAGAGGCCTACTGCTCAGAAAAAAAGATTTCTTTCAAAATATACTGCTCATTGACAATGCACCTGCTCAACCAGGCGCTCTGAAGGAGACGTATAAGGAGATGAATATTGTTTTCATGTTTGTTAATACAACAGTCATTCTGCAGCCCATCAATCAAGGAATAATTGTGACTTTCAAGTCTTACTGTTTAAGAAATACGTTTTATAAGGCTATAGCTGCCATGGATAGTGATTCCTCTGATGAACCTGGACAAAGTAAATTGGAAACCTTCTGGGAAGGAGTCATCATTTCAGATGCCATGAAAAACATTCATGATTCATTTGGAGGAGGTCAAAATATCAACATTAACAGGAATTAGAAGTTGATTCCATCCCTCATGGATGACTTTGGGGGGTTCAAGCCTACCGTGGAGGAAGTAACTGCAGATGTGGTAGAAATAGCTAGCAAACTAGAAGTAGATCCTGAAGATGTGACTGAATTGCTGCAATCTCATGATCAAACTTGAAGAGGAGTTGCTTCTCATGAATGAGCAAAGAAAGTGGTTTCTTGACACATAACTACTCCTGGTATAGAAGATGGTGTGAACATTGTTGAAATGAAAACAAAGAATTTAGAGTATTACATAAACTGAGTTATTAAAGCACTAGCAGGATTTGAGAAGATTGACTCTAATTTTGAAAGAAGTTTTACTGTGGGTAAAATACCATCAAACAGCATCACATGCTACAGAGAAATCTTTCATGAAGGGAAGAGTCAATTGATGTGGCAGACTTCATTGTCGTATTTTAAGAAATTGCCACAGCCACCCTAACCTTCAGCAACCACCATCCTGATGGGTTAGCAGCCATCCACACTGAAGCAAGACCCTCCACTACCAAAAAGATTATGTTTTGCTGAAGGCTTATATGATCATTAGTGTTTTTAGCAATAAAGTGTTTTTTAATTATGTACATTTTTTACACATAATGCTATTATACACAACCTACAGTATAGTGTAAACATAACTTCTGTATGCACTGGGAAGCCAAAAAATTCATGTGACTCACTCACTTTATTGTGGTGGTCTGGAACACAACCTGTAATCTCTCTGTGGTATGCCTGTATTTAAAATTCTATTGAGAGAAGTTCATTATTTAGCAAGGACTGGTAAGCTTTTTCTCTAACAGGCCAAATAGTAAGTATTTTAGGCTTTGTAGGCAACATGTTCTCTGTTACATATTATTTTTTATTTTGCAAACCTTTAAAATTCATGCCTAGCTCTTGGGCTGAAAACAGGAGGGCAAAATTTAGACAGAAGGCCATAATCTGCAAACCCCCAATTTAAAAGAATCTTGAGGTGAAATCTTTTATAAAGGAAGCAATACCCTTTGAACAATCTACTTATTTAGAAATTTTAGAACTTTATTTGGGTTTTTTAAAGGTAGGCACATTATATCAAAATTATTGTATTTTTTCTAAAAATATTAGAGCTTTCAGAATCAGAATCAAATTGTTGCATTCAATGAGTTAATTACTGTATTCTGACTCTTTATAACTTAGTAAAATCCATGTTATACATATGGTATAGGACATACTTGTTATTGCTAACTTCTTCATATACATACACCATTAAAAACAGCTACTAAAAGCAAAGCTGTTACTAGTTTCATTCCTTTCTGTTCCACCACATACTGTGACAGGAATCATCTCTTCGATCATCTTCATAAATAAGAAGGGTAGTTTCTCCTCTTAACAGTTATTGTTTATCTTTCTTACCTGACCCTGAGCTTAAGCTAACTCTTAATTTGGGGCATCAATTCTGTCTAGTATGGACTCATTCCAAAGCCTCTAAATCACTTCAGTTTAGCTGAAGGGCTTTTCCACTTTCTCTGTCATCTTAGAACTTCCAAAAGAAAGGCACAGCTGAGGCACCACAAGGGTTCCCTAGACAGTGACCCAGGCTCTGCCTGTCCTAGCCATGTAAGTTGGAGGCCAAAGAGGAAATTCAGCAGTGCTCTTCTTTCAAAATAATTTTATTTTTTCAAAGAAACAATAGGTGCTATCTTTTAATACACACTGGTTAGATTCCACATTCCCACAGCTGCTGAAATGCTTTTGAAACTGCTATGAATGCAGGGTTCAACACATGAACTATGACTCCTAACCTCAGGGGTTTGCAGTGGGTAGTTAACAGTAATAACAAAAAGTATTGACTGCTCAGTATAGGGTGACAGAGAAGAACAGATAAAGGCTGAATTAACAGCGCCATATATTAACAATACTGTAAGGAAGAAAGAGAAATGAGATATCCTTGATGAAGACAAGTCAATATATGACACAACAAGAGGAGGTTTAAAGGAACTATTTCTAGAAAGTTATTTTACATGATAGCAGTTTTAGCAACCTCCTTAGCAAACAAAGTATCAATCTGGTCATTATTCTTACCTGAAGTATCAGTTTAGGATCTAGAGTTTGAATGAAAAATCCCAACAGTGGAAGTAAAAGGCTGAATGTCTGTTGAACATAAGGTTGATCTGCTACCTAAGAAACACAAAGTAATTTTGAAGAAAAATTTTCAATCACATAAGAATAATAATAGCAAGCTTTTATTGAGCATTTATTATATATCAGGTAATATGTTAAGTATTTTATATTTATTACCTCATTTATGCCTTACAAAACAGCTCTATGAGGTAGATATTATTACCTTCACTTTACTGATAAGAAAACAGGGTCAAAGAGGTTAAACAATTTGTTCAAGATCACATGGCTAGGACAAAAAGCAGAGCTGTGACTGAAATCCAAATTTAAGTCTAAAAGGGATCTAATTACTTGTCTATCACTGAAAGGCTTGTATGTTCCTTAGTAATCTTAAAATTTCATTTCCCTTCTTCATAATTTTGGTTTACATTATAATATTGTAAGCTATATCTCCAGCACAGATATCCTGAATGAATACTGAATGATTTGTGAACATCAGGAAAAGTATTTGTTGAAGCCAAAACACTGCAGTAGGGCAATCTGACCATAAAAAACAATAATAAAACATTATCTGTAAAATCATATCTATCATTTCCCAAAAGTATGGCTGTTGCCTTTAGCTTCCTCTAGCTGCCAGAGGCCAATGTTAATTTCTACTTAGTCAAAGAAAACAAACAGGCTATATTTTCAAACTAAGAAACACGTGTACAACCATGTGTGGGATGCATATCATTAGTTTTAGATCATCACTTGGCTTTTTGGCTTTGCTGGGAAAGAGAAATACAAATTAGCCACATCCATTCACTAGCCCTTTCCACCTTTAAGTCAGCTCACTCTCCATTGCCCAAAAGATTTATTAAAGGTCCTAGAATTACAGAAATAGGATACATTAACCTAAGACAGAACAGAAACAATAGGGGAAGAGATGGGGAGGTGGGGAAAGGGTATAACCAGTTAGGAAAGTAAGTAGGTGGACTGCCATCACATTACGTATTCTGATTTTACTAATATAATGCTATCACACTCTGAAAAAGCTGCGTGAGAGAGTACAGGTACTTTAAGTTCTTATAAAGGTCTACCAAGCACCCAAAAGAATTAGATACATTTTACTCTACACTGGAAAATTTCAGTACAATCCTCTTTTTTTGATATTTTCTATTTTTTGATAAGGAAAGGATCAGTTGCTTTCCTTACCTGTTTAATGTTTAAAAAAGCCCAAAGCTGACTCACAACTTCGATAATTGCAGTTTGTTTTCCTGTATCCAAAGCTTCACCAGCAGAATTACATACTGCAAGCAAAGCAGACAGTACTGTGTTCTGAAGGACAGAAACAGGAAAGGACTTGAGTTTAAACACCAGTCTAAAGCACCACCAAGAGCCGACTTAACTAGAGGTTATAAAAGTTACTTTTAACTCTTCATAAAGTCCATGTAGAATAATATTTCTAAGAGCCAAAGCCATCTTTTCAGCTATTTAACACAAGTATATATTAAAAATAATTTTCCTTGTACACAGAAACATTTGCTTTATTTTTCTAAATAAACTTTTTTTTTTTTTTTGAGATGGCATCTCACTCCGTCACCAGGCTGGAGTGCAGTGGTGCAATCTCGGCTCACTGCAACCTCCAACTCCCAGGTTCGAGCGATTCTCCTACCTCAACCTCCCGAGAAGCTGGGACTACAGGCACATACCACCACACGAGCTAATTTTTGTATTTTAATTAGAGACTCAGTTTTCACCATGTTGGCCAGGATGGTCTCGATCTCTTGACCTCATGATCTGCCAGCCTCGGCCTCCCAAAGTGCTAGGATTACAGGCATGAGCCACCGCACCCAGCCATAAACTTCCTTTTAGGGTGAAATGTTGGTAACCCAAAGTTACCAAATGGAAGCAGAAATCTACTTTAATAAATAGTTTTGATACAAGTGGCCAGTATAATCAAGCTAATTTATAATATACATCAACAAAAAGTTATTTTTTCACATTACGCACCCAGCAATCTTTATAGGTTACTAGATTTTTATTTTTCCTGTTGTTTTAAAATTTTAAATGCCTCAGCAACACTGCATTTAATAAGCAAAGATAGTACTTAAAAAATACTAGTATTTGAAACTAAAGGCAATGTTTTCTGGATTAACTTTTACCATGTGTGAAAATACTCAATTCTCTCTCTGGCCAGAAATGAGGTTGTTTGAGGTGTGGTGGGGGTACAGGGAAGGTCTTATGAGAATGTAATAAACAGTAACAATGAATGCCTTGAATCTATTATACTTACACAACCACACTTAATTTTATGCAATTACCATACAACTTCTTAAGATTTACCTATTTCCTTTTACAAATAAACATGTTCTAGATGCAGAAATCCTCAAAACGATACTAGCAAACCAAATTCAATAGCACATCAAAAATTAATTCAACATGATCAAGTATACTCCATTCCTGGGATGCAAGGTTGGTTCAACATATGCAAATCAATAAGTGTGATTCACCACATAAGCAGAATTAAAGACAAAAACCATATTCATCATCTCAATAGATATGGAAAAAGCTTTTGATAAAATCCAACATCCCTTTATAATAAAGGCCATCAAGACACTAGGCATCAAAAGAACATACATCGAAATAATAAGAGCCATCTATGACAAACTCACAGCCAACGTCGTACTGAACAGGCAAAAACTGGAGGCATTCCTCTTCAGAAATGGAACAAGACAAGGATGCCCACTCTCACCACTCCTATTCAACATAGTATTGAAAGTTCAAGCCAGAGCAATAAGCAAGAGAAAAAAATAAAAGCAGCACACAAGTACGAAAAGAAGAAGTCAAACTATCTGTTTCAGGATACAAAATCAATGTACAAAAATCAGTACCATTTCTATACACCAATAACATTCAAGCTGAGTGGCAAATCAGGAACACAAGGCCGAGCGCAGTGGCTCATGCCTGTAATCCCAGCACTTTGGGAGGCCGAGGTGGGTGGATCACAATGTCAGGAGATCGAGGCCATCCTGGCTAACACAGTGAGACCCCATCTCTACTAAAAATACAAAAAATTAGCCGGGCGTGTTGGCGGGCACCTGTAGTCCCAGCTACTCGGGAGGCTGAGGCAGGAGAATGGCAGGAACCCAGGAGGCAGAGCTCACAGTGAGCCGAGATCACACCACTGCACTCCAGCCTGAGCGACAGTGCGAGACTCCGTCTCAACAAAAAAAAAAAAAAGAAAAAAGAAAAGAACACGATCCTGTTTACAGTAGATACACGCACACCCCTAGGAATACATTTAACCAAGGAGGTGAAAGATCTCTACAAGGAGAACTATAAAACATTGCTAAAAGAAATCATAGATGACACAAACAAATGGAAAAACATTCCATGCTCATAGATTGGAAGAGTCAGTATCATTAAAATGGCCATACTGCCCAAAGCAATCTACAGATTCAATGCTTTTCCTACCAAACTATTGACACCATTTTTCACAGAATTAGAAGAAACTATTCTAAAATTCATATGGAATCAAAAAAGAGCCTGAATAGCCAAAGTAATCCTAAGCAAAATGAAGAAGGCCAGAGGCATCACGTGACTTGACTTGAAACTATACTATAAGACTACAGTAACCAAAACATCATGATACAGGTACAAAAACAGAAATGGATCAATGAAACACAATAGAGAACCTACAAATAAAGCCACATACCTACAGCCATGTGATCATTGAAAAAGTCAACAAAAACAAGCAACAGAGAAAGGACTCCTATTCAATAAATGGTGCTGGGATAGCTAGCTAGCCTACATGCAGAAGAATGAAACTGGATAGCCACCTTTCAGCATATACAAAAATTAACTCAAGATGGATTAAAGATTTAAATATAAGACCTCAAACTATAAGAATCCTAGGAAAAAACCTAGGAAACACCATTCTAGACATCAGCCTTGAGAAAGACACCAATAGCAATTGTAATGAAAACAAAAATTGACAAGTGGGACCTAATTAAAGAGCTTCTGCACAGCAAAAGAAACTATCAACAAAGTAAACAGACAACCCATAAAATGGGAGAAAATACTTGCAAACTATGCATGTGACAAAGGTCTAATATCCAGAATCTATAAGGAACTTAAACACCTGAACAAGTAAAAAACAACCCCATTAGAAAATGGGCAAAAGACATGAACAGACGCTTCTCAAAACAAGACACACAAGAGGCCAACCATCATATGAAAAAGCTATCAGGGAAATGCAAATCAAAATCACAACGAGATACTATCTCACACCAGTCACAATGGCCGTTATTAAAAAGTCAAACAACAGATGCTGGTGAGGCTGCAGAGAAAGTAAATGCTTATATACTGTTGGTAGGAATGTATATTATTTCAGCCACTGTGGAAAGCAGTTTGGAGATTTCTCAAAGAACTCAGAACTACCATTCTACCCAGCAATCTCATTACTGGGTACATATCCGAAAGAAAACAAATCGTTCTACCAAAAAGACACATGTACTCACATGTTCATTGCAGCACTACTCACAACAGCAGACATGGAATCAACCTAGATGTCCATCAACAGATTAAAGAAAATGTGGTACATATATACCATGGAATAGTATACAGTCATAAAAAAGAATGAAATCATGTCCTTTGCAGCAACAGAGAGCGGCTAGACACCATTACCCTAAGCAAATTAACAAAGGAACAGAAAACCAAATACCACATGTTCTCACTTATAAGTGAGAGCTAAACACTGGGCACTCATGGACATAAAGATGGCAACAATAAACACGGGACTAGTAGGGGGAGGGAGGAGAGATGGTAAGGGTTGATAAACGGTTGGGTACTATGCTGAGTACCTGGGTGATGAAATCATTCATATCCCAAACCTCAGCATCACGCAATAAAACCAGGAAACAAACCTGCACAAGTATCCCCTAAATCTAAAATAAAAGTTGAGGCTGGGTGTGGTGGCTCACTCCTCTAATCCCAGCACTTTGGGAGACCGAGGTGGACAGATCACCTGAGGTCAGGAGTTCGAGACCAGCCTGGTCAACATGGTGAAACCCCATCTCTACTAAAAATACAAAAATGAGCCAGGCATGGTGGCGGGTGCCTGTAATCCCAGCTGCTCTGGAGGCTGAGGCAGGATAATCGCTTAAGCCCAGGAGGCAGAGGTTGCGGTGAGCCAAAATCATGCCACTGCACTCTAGCCTGGGCAACAGAGCGAGACTCCATCTCAAAAAATAAAATAAAAAATAAAAGTTGAAAAAATTTAAAATAAAAGACGTATGTTGAACAACCTGCTGGACTAAAAAGCTGTGGTCATACTTCAAAAAGTTTACTTATAGTGCTTTTCTTTACCTAATATAAAACAAAACATCCTTTGTCCTTACTATAGAAATTGGTACACATTAAATGCTAAACTCGGACACATTTAACCCATTCTTAACTAGGTATTTGATACTTTTTCTAAAATAAAGTCACATAAAAACATTTCCTTTGGATAAGCCTGGGCACAGTGGCTCACACCTGTAATCCCAGCACTTTGGGAGGCCAAGGAGGGTAGATTACCTGACATCAGGAGTTCGTGACCTGCCTGGCCAACATGGTGAAAGTCCGTCTCTACTAAAAATACAAAAAATTAGCTGGGCATGGTGGTGGGAGCCTGTAATCCCTGCTACTCAGGAGGCTGAGGCAGGAGAATTGCCTGAATCCGTGAGGTGGAGGTTGCAGTGAGCCAAGATCACACCATTGCACTCCAGCCTGGGCAATAAGAACGAAACCTCATCCCCGCCAAAAAATTATAATAATTATGATCAAGTGTCATTACATATAACGGTATCAGAACATTTGTACTCAGCATGGAAACATATGCCCTCAGAAAAACCTGAACTCCTAATTTAGAACTGCAAATAGACCTCTGTCCCTTTGAATGCCCTATCCTTATCTTTGCTTTTCTCTACTTAACATAATTGGCATTTCTTATTTTACTGTCCACTGCTAAGCTCAAATGTGAGTCTATGAGAGTAGAAATTTTTGGTTCCCGATGTACCCCCAATGCCTAGAACAAAGTGGCACATAAAAGTACTCCAAATATATTTGTTGAATGAATGAATGAGCATATGAACACTAAACTCGAAATTTCAACTACATGTACTATATCCAGCCAACTTTTAAAAATCTCACATTTCCTACTTCTTCTAGTAGATAAGTCTCTTATTATTCCATTATTTTATGAGGGAACATTCTATGTAAAAGGTACATAAAGGTTCAGAGTAAGTTAGCATAAAATGGGGGTTGTATTTTGTCGAATGGAAGAATTACATCTGCATAATCCAGAGATACATCAGCAAAAATACACAAGTGAAGTGTTCCATAGTGTGTTTGATCATGTCTCAACATACCTTAAGCGACATAGGAAACAACCCCCCAATATAATACATCAATTAAAATAACAGTTAAGTTTCTCACAGATTCTTTTACAATGAAGAAATCTGAAAATCTTACTAGGTTCTAACAGAAACAGAGAACAGAGAGTGTGTGCATCTTATTAACAACCTAACCCCAGTACCTAAAACAATGCTCAATAAACAGCTGCTGAATGAATAAAATAAATCAAAATTATTATCTTACCAGAGATTCTAGTTCTCCCAAAGTACGACTCCTGCTCAGCCATTTCCTGCATTCTGCAGTGCCTACTGTGGTGACCTCATGGACAGTTTGTTCCCTAAGCTCAGGAGGTAACGCCTGGAAGGAAATATGTTGCCACAGAGGCAGATTTTCTGCTTCTTTTGGGGAAAATTTCTGGATAAACTCCAGCTGAAATAAATTGTTAAAGAAAGAAGAGTAACATGAGACAAGTCAGAGGAATGGATACACAAAAGCTAAGTATTAGTTTCCACATTTAATATTTCGAGAAAGCTTTATAATGGTACGGTAATATCTACATTCCAGACCAAGGTAACATAAATGAACATGCTTTATTATTATTGTTATTGATGCTGCATTGGTTTCCAAAACAAAAACACAGCTTAAGTGGAGCACAATATAAATGCACCAAGACATTAAATAATGTATTTCATTATTAGTTATGTCAGATATCTTATCATGCTCCTACTTACCAATAAGTCTTATTTTCCTATATACTCGTCACCTTGTACAGTTAAGTCAAAAGTAATATTCCAAATATACAAACTGGATTTAGTCAACCTTCATAGCTTACTGTTATCTCACTTGATTATAGCAGAGAACTTAAAGAAGCAAAGATTCAGCTTTCAAATGAGTTAGCTGGTTCTGTCCTACTTTAGACAACATACTAAATCAGTTTCACAAAGGTAAGCCACAAATCAAAAAGAGCGTGGTTGGCAAATCCATTCCACCACTGAAATAACCAAAGTGCTTACTAGGTTAACAGAAAAGTACTGTTTTGTTAAAATGCAGATGTTAGAGACTAGATAAAAATGGAAAACAAAAGTTCTAAGAAACAGTTTAAATGTTGAATCAGTTTTTGGTAGAAAAATGGTAAAAACCAATGCTGCATTTAATGATTAAAATAAGTATAATCCAACTAGGAAGTATATTAGTGTATTTTCTAAGAAGTAGAATAATTCAATTTAAAATATTCAAAATCTACTTGATGAAAACTTTTCCCATACCAAAAACTAAAAACCCACCAAAAAAAAAAAAAAAAAATTAAATCTGACAGAGAAACTTTTCTGTCATATGCTATATTTGTATTTCAATTTTATTTCTTTTGTGGAAAATATTTACCAGTCAATGCAAGCTAGAAATCATGTGGCTATCTGCTGTGACAGAGGCTACAGCCAGAAAAACAGATCCCTTGATGAGCGAGTGTCTATTACAAAAAGCAGCTTTATTCATAAAACCAAACTACATCAGGAAAGCCAAGAGAACTGTGCCAACTGGTAAACATCAGTTCAAATATCACCTTTCTTTATAATAAAGTCCAGTAAGTAAGTGAACTACTTCCCTTTCCAAAATAGAAACTAAAAAAATAATGTCCTGGACAACATAAAAGGGTAGGTATTGCCAAAATTTGTTATAGAAAGAGTTCAAGATTTATTCTGAGGTTGAAAACCCTGGTTTCAACACAATTCTAAAGACTTAAAACTGCTATGACAAAATAGTTCATAAAAGACTAAAGTAAAAGGGGACAATACACAGAGAATTATGACTTCTTAAAATTGGAAAGAGAAAAAATACACTTGTGGGTTTAAAATGCAAATACAGTAATTTTTACTTTACATTAAAAAGGTAGTACAATTATCAGTGTGCTTAGATAAGGCATATTAAATACTTTTCCCTCAAGTAGGTAACCTCCTTGTATTTTTGCTTTTCTTGATACAATGGAATACTACTAATAGTTACATACTAAAAGAAATAATGTGATTTCAATAATTACTCCTATTAGAACAGTAAATGCATTCTAACATCTTTCTATTAGCATTTTCTTCCAAATTAGCATCATAGACACCTTTGTTTTTTAAAGTATATCATCACCATACTGGGATTAACTATTTTCATTTATGTTAAGGTGACATCACTCGTAAAAAAATTTGGGTTCTTATTTTACTATTTAAAAAGACACCATCTTGTATGCAAATAGTTGAATAATTATTTCAAGTTTCATTGCTCACTTCTCCTTTTTTCTCTAATATGCTTTCTTACCTTTGCTTCTCTAGTCCCACCACCTTCCACATTCATCCTGTAACATGTAACTCAAATGCCATCAATTCCAACTCCTATGCCTACCTGTTCCCATACTGCACCTCTTCAGAAATGACTGTCTCAGCTACAAACACCCAACAACATTTGATTTGTGCCTCAGTTTTGGCATTCATCACAAACCACTCTTTAATATGAGTATCTTTATAAATTTATAATTTCTACTAGATTTTATGTTCCTTAAGATATCATGAGATAGTGCCGTGGTTTCCAAGTTGTTTTTTTACAATAAGACAGTCTTGCTATGTTGTCCGGCTGGACTTGAACTTTGGGCTAAATAAAAAGATCCTCTGATCCTCCTGCCTCAGCATCCCAGATCAGCTGTTAGGTGTGAATTTGTGGAAGTTATTTAATTTCCTCGAGCTATTGTTTCTTCATCTGTCAAATGGACACAATATTATCTATCCCACAAGGCTGCTGTAAGGACTAAATGAATTAAGTGCCTGGCCTGTTACAGTCTCAAAAATATTATTTCCCTTCCTCCTTCATTTAAGAGAAAGGATAATGTCTTAAGGGGTTAAAAAAAAGAGCCAAGCAGGAGAGGAGACCTAACATTTGTTAAATGGTCTTTTCATGCCATATGTGTATCTTATCAAGTTTCTTAACTGCCATATGAGTATTAGTATCTATCTCAATTTTATAATTAACTCTCCTAAGGACTCTTAAAATAGGTATGCAGATTCAGGTTTTCTTAAATTTTATCACAATAACTTGTACATAAAGAAAATCTGCATTTGATAACTGAAGATACAAATTAAAAGTAACCCCTCATTTACCTATAATTTACATATCTGATAGTCTCAATTATTTGGAAAAATTTAGAAAACTGAGAGTAAGAGATCTCTAGGCATAAACTATAATTTATCTAATTTAGAACACTGCTTCTAGACCTCATAGCTAATTCATTCTGAGTTATATTATTTTAAAAGTTAAAATTTCATAACCACCTTGGGAAAATAATTTTATTCCTGTTGTATAAATAAGAAAATTGAGGTTAAAAGGAAAGTGACAGCTGAGCTCAATAGCTCACACCTCTAATCCCAGCACTTTGGGACGCCGAGGCAGGAGGATCGTCTGAGTTCAAGTTTGAGACCAGCCTGGGCAACATAACCAGACCCTGTCTCTATTTAAAAAAAAAAAAAAAAAAAAAAAAAGGAAAGTGACTTTCTTAAAGTCTTATGACATGTGACCCTTTCCCTCCCAGTCCCACTTCTTCTAAGATATCTGGAGTAGAAAATTCTTTTGTAAGCAAGCAAGCTCCCCGTGCTCTTAGAGGGCTAATAGGTGGGGCTACGAAAAGAAGGCTAAGAGGTAGGTGTAGTACCTCTGGTTCCTGGCCAACCACTCTAGGGCAGGAAAAGACTTGGACTTGAGGCAAAAACCCTAGTCAGAAATAACTCCTAGCATTTACTGAGCACCCTCTTAAACCCAGCACTATCCTGTTTTGCATGTATTATTTCCAAGTCTTTACAAACTTTTTCAAAATAGTTATACATATCTTCTGCTTTGCAGACAAGGAAAATGAAGTTCAGAAAGGATGACTTGCCTAAGGTCATGGTATGCCAGGATTCAAACCGAGGACCATAAGACCTTAAAGTCTAATCCTCTTCACTAATCTAGTGGTTCCCAAGCTTAGATCCAAGTCTGACTCACGCAGGAACTTAATGATAGTACCAACAAAAACAAATTATTGAGCCTTACTTCATACCCATGCCTCCATACCCACCCATCCACAGATTAGAGTCCAGGAACTTATATTTTTAAAAGAGCTCCTACAACAGTTCCAATGTGACCAGTCTGAGGGACTGCACTAGGCCATACAGGTTTATGTAAGTAAAGACCACTAAGAGCAAAAATAATATTCTAGCTCTTCAAAATAAAAGGGGCAGGGGATATAGAACCATTTCATATCATGTATCTCAAATATATATGAAAAATAAGGGGAAAGATCTATTTCAGGAAGACAGAATTAGAATAATTATCTATAACTCAAAGCAAGGACATCAAAATCTATACCCAGCAACAAGCACAGCAATCAACGTCAAAAATTTATGCTTAGATCACACCAGTATTTAAATTTAAAATAAATGGAGGCAAGGCCAGGCAGAGTGGCTCACACCTGCAATCTCAGCACTTTGGAAGGCAGAGATGGATCACTTGAGCCCAGGAGTTTGAGACCAGCCTAGGCAACATAGTGAGACCCAGTCTCTACAAGTAATTTTTTTAAAAATTAGCCAGGCGTAGTGGTGTGTGCCTGTAGTCCCAGCTACTCAGGAGGCTGAGGTGGGAGGATTGCTTGAGCCCAGGAAGTCGAGGCTGCAGTGAGCTGTGATCGAGCCACTGTAAAACCAGCCTGGGTGACAGAGCGAGACTCTGTCTCAAAAAAAATAATAAGATAAATTTTTAAAAATGGAAAAAAAAAGGCTATCAAAGGAGTCTGAATCCAACTCTGAGCAGCTTCACAGACAGTGACAAAGATGATATCCTTCCTTGCCTGATGGGGTGGTGCCATGAAGAAAAAGAGACGCTTCAACAGTATTGATAGGTTGATGAGTTGATAACATTCTCCAGGGCATGACTTTATCTGGAAAAAGACATGAGAGAGAGAGGAGAGACTGACTAATTTAGAATCAGAATTTTTACAAGAAGAGAATATGCCAAAATATTAATAGCAGCTCTTTCTAGGGGAAAAGATTGTAGGTAATATTGACTTTTAATTTGGGGCTTTTCTTATCTTCAATGAATCTAAATTTAGAATGAGATTGAACTTCTGACATATTTAACACTGTAATTTCTATTTCTAATTATCATTTTGATGATAACTGGGTATGTCAGTCCTCCTACTCAAAGACAATTCATGGAACTTTTTAAGATCTAACTACAATAGTAGAGAGGTAGATAAAACTCTACAAGACAGAAGCTTCATTAAAAGATGTTACAGGGGCTGAGTGTGGTGGTTCACAACTGTAATCCCAGCACTTTGGGAGGCCAAGGTGGGAGGACTGCTTGAGCCCGGGAGTTTGAAACTAGCCTGGGCAACACAGCAAGAACTCCATATCCACAAAAAGTTTTAAAAATCAGCTGGGCATAGTGGCGCATGCCTGTAGTCCCAGCTACTCAGCAGGGTGAGGGAGGAGGACCATTTGCACCCAGAAGTTTGAGGCTGTAGTGAACTATGATTGCACACCACTGCATTCCAGCCTGGGTGACAGAATGAGACCCTGTCTCTAAGAAAAAAACCACCACTAACAAAAAAATTTTATAAATTCAATTTTATCAATTCCTATCATAATATAGTATCATTCCATCCTGGAATCAATTTTATCATAATGAACTAGAAGAAATCCATTCCTACAACATAATGCACTAAGAAAGCTTTTATTTAAAGGAAACTTCAGACATAAAACACATAACATAAAAATCACTCTTTATCTGCTTTGTGAAAGATATGTTAAGGATTTAGTAAAGTGTGTAAGTGATAATCCAGACCATCAGCCATGGAGACATAGATGTCAGCTGTTCAGGTTATTACACACCTCACTGGATCTGATCTACAAAATCCTTTAAAGGTAAACCAAGAAATATATGATACAATAAGACTATTAGAAAACAAAAGATGTATGGCCCACATAAGATCTTAAAGGCCAGGGAAAAAAATATGTAACAAATAGGTCATAATCATCTTATATGGAACACATAAAACACCTCAGAATTTAAAAGCAAAAAATGTTAATGTTAAGATGATGAAATCATTATAAAATAATTTTCTGTCTGTACCCATTCATAAAACATGACTTCTTTTGCCAAAAGTATCTATCAATGTCAAACTCAAGTTCCTCTCAAATCATCTTGACTTAAAAAAAAAATACAACAAAATCAAGAGTCGACTTGTCTAAGGCATATTAGAGAGACAGAAGAGAGAAACCTCTTGGCCATCAATTATAAGTCGCTCTTATTTTCTACTTTGCATTCAATTTTAAATGTAATTTCAATTAACCCAGTCTTTCCTTCCCAGAACAATTACTGAAATTACATAAAATCCTGAGAATATGAGAAAACATTCCCAGTTTCACACTAACGGTTTTTTAGTACATCCTTCTTAAAAGCATCAGCATTAATACAAGACAAAGACTGTCAAAACAATCTTGTTACTGTGATATTTCTCCCGCCGATATTCACATTCTTAAAGATTATCATATCCCCAAAGGAAGTGCATAGAAAGTGGGTGTTTTAGGCCTTGTAATTCTACGCACCAGATGAGCCACTATGGTGACATGGTGTGCACACAGTTCAGCAGTCCCATATCTGCAATATAAAAGAGAAGACAACTATGTTTATACAATTACTCAGAAACATAAGGAGATGAACTTGCATAAAGCACTAAATATTCTGATGAGGACATTAAAAACTGCCATTATTTCCATGACCAAATAATATCACAATATACAAAACTCCCTAAACAGTACTCATCTATTGGCTTGAACCAAAGAAAGAACTTGTTTCCTAATTTAATGCTGTAATATGAAATCAAAGCGTTTTGGGAATTATTTTTAAAGGATTATTGAAACAGTTTTTCTATAAGCTTACAATTATAAAATTATCTACTGTCAGTCACTACTAATAACCAATCCAAAGAACAAAAAAGCAAATATGTTGTACCGAGCAAGGAAGCACCATGCATCCATAGCTAACAAAGAGGTGATCATATTAGCACTAAGTACAGCATTCAGCAGAGCAGCATCCTAATCAAAAACAGAAAAATTAATTTATTTAAATACTAAAGTTCACAATAAGCAATAATATTATATTTCTCAAAATAAAACAAGAAAGCACTATCAGAATCCAAATAACAGATCCTCAATGGGGGAGTTCTACTTTCTAGTATCTGAAAGGACACTGCCATTCCCTCAATATTTATTGAGCACCTACTATACATTAAGTACTGTGCTGTGCTATGGAGAGTTCAACATGATTTTAAATGTAATAACTCAGTCACTAGGATCCACAAAGATTCTCTAAGTAGCCTGAAATATTCAAAACAACATAAATAACATATATGCTTATATTCCTCTTTCTGCCTTTATTCACATACAACATTTAATAGGTGCTAGATATTGTGTAATATCTGAAATGCTACTGATCTTTAAATTTCAGATATTACAAGTATCGAATTCCTAGAATTTCTTAACCTCTTTTCAAATCAAATTCTATCCTTTTTAAAATCTATATTATGTCTGAGATCTATAAGAGACCTGATACTACAAGCTATTTACTTTTCTTTTGAAACTTACTTAAGTACTACATATTTTTCCTCTTCTCACATTGTCTTTGCATACCTCCCCACCCAAAATGTTTTCTCAAATATTTTAGCCAAATATTAGATCTAAATAATACAGGAATCTGGGATTACCATTTTCTAGGACACAACTAAGTTTCACTCAAAAGGAATATACTAAGTATTCCCACATTTTCTTCTGTATATGAATCACAATTTCAATGAAGAGAAAGCAAAAGTGTAACCTTAGCTTAGCACAGTAAGTAATATGCTTACCAGTTCAGCAAACAGTGAGGGATGAAAGGAAGTAATAAATGTACACAGATGAACACAAACATGCTGATACAAGGTGACAGCCACCTCAGCTTTCCCCTTACTCTTTAATCCCTGTAAATGAACAGGTAGAGAGAGTTCACCAGAACACTGCTCAAAACTGTAGAAAACGGCTTTGAGTAGAGATATCCTGCAGGGAAATTGAGAACATTGAACCCAACATTAATAACATTTACTAATTAGCAATTATAATAATAATATGTAACATGGAAGGTTGTTTAAGCAGAAAATGTTTCAAGAGGTATAATCAGCAATAGTTTCCAACACGTGTGAATATGTACACATAAAAGGAAAATATATTCACTGTCAAAGAAATTCCTTAAAGGAGAATTTTCCTGGACATTTTTTGCATCATTTACCAACTGTTTATCTTGGTACTGAGTTACACAAAGTCAAAGTTCCTCAAGGAACTTGAAACTTAAATAGCTAAATTAGATATTATATGGAAAAACAGAAAATAAGTAGCAGACGAGGAGTCATTTTAAGATTAAAATGGTTGAAGAAACTTAGAGGATTTAAACAACAAATTAAAAATAGTCAAGTTATGGGCAGGGTGTAGTGGCTCACGCCTGTAATCCCAGCATTTTGGGAGGCCGAGGCGGGAAGATCACTTGAGCCCAGGAGTTGGAAGACCTGGGCAACATAGTGAGACCTTATCCCTAGAAAAAATTTAAAAATTAGCCAGGACAGCTGGCACACACCATTAGTCCCAGTTATTTAGGAGGCTAAGGTAGGAGAATCACTTGAGCCCAGGAAGTTGAGGCTGCAGTGACCCATGGTCATGCCACTGCACTCCAGCCTGGGTGACAGAGCAAGACCCTGCTCCAAACAAAAAAAAAACAAAACAAAACTGTTCAAATTGTAAGTACGTAAAGAAGACAAAAGCACGAGTAAAAGCACACAAATAAGGGGGTGACAGAAGCAAGGAATATGTGTTGAAAATGAATACAAGAATGAGGAGAAAAAGCAGAAGATGACAATAGTATGGGACAGGCTTTAAATCCAAAGCTGAGAAGTTCTAACATTATGTTTCAGTTTTTGAGCAGAATAGGAAGCTCAGAGCCAGGTTTAGGGAGACTAACCTCATCGTGGTACGCAGAATGGGATAAAGGAAGAGGTGAAAAATTAGAGCACAGAGTAATCCAGGAAGAAAGAAACTAGAGCCTGGACTACGGTGTTGGCAAGGAAGATGATTAAAGGTTAAATTTGCCAGGATATACCTTACAGTGTCTAGTGTTCTATTTATCAGAGCTCGTTTTTAAATGTTTCTACTTATAGCTACTCTATTACAATCAATGTTTATAATGCTGACCATTAAGCAATACTGAACAAAATTAAATATTAAAATATTTTTAGCATCTAATATAGGTTTATATATTTTATATTTATCTGCTTTTATAAAGTAGCAATATATATGTGTGTCTACACAATAACTATTAACATAAATATCTGATTTAAAAAAAAAACACACAAACTTAATTTCAAGACCATTCCAAACAACAGGGCCTTCTTAACCATTGGTAATATGACTGGATAAAAACATGTTTGCTACCTGGTTGTCGTTTCTGAGACCTGGCTGTCTGTGCACCACAGGGTTTGCACTTCCTTAGGCTGAGATGGCAGCTTATCCATGACAACAACCAGAAGAAGACATTGTGGAAACTGCAGTTCACATGGCAGGTCTTACATGTAATAAAAACACATTAATTCAGCAGAAATCTGATTAATACGTAAAGGAATAATTTTTTTTTGTTTGAGTCAGAGTCTCACTCTGTCACCCAGCCTGGAGTGCAGTGGTGTAATCTCAGCTCACTGCAACCTCCACCGTCTGGGTTCAAGCGATTCTCCTGTCTCAGCCTCCCGAGTAGCTGGGACTATAGGTACATGCCACCACACCCAGCTAATTTTTGTATTTTTAGTAGAGATGGCGTTTCACCATATTGGTCAGGCTGGTCTTGAACTCCTGACCTCAGGTGATCTGCCCACCTCGGCCTCCCAAAGTGCTGGGATTACAGGTGTGATTCACTGTGCCCAGCCAGGTATAATTTTTAAATAAGAAATATGTTTCAAGAAAAGAAAGTAAAAGAAACTTAATAAAAATTTCTTAATTGTAAAAAAGAATGGCTAGGGGAAATCAGTGTCTCTAACATGTCATAATAGATGATTTATCATTAAATCTATTTTGAAGCTTACCTAATTTACTGTCCAAAACCACCTGCATGAAAGGCTGAAATGTGAGCAGCTGACTGATAAGTGGATCCAGTGTCACTAGGAAAGCACCTGCTATTTCCTCTTGGTGTGCTTTAGAAATCCTGGTAGCATAAAGGCTTGGAGGAAACTTGCTGGGAAGGGAGAGAAAAAAAACTCATTCATTAATAGCTATCTTCTAATTTTAGGTAGAGTAAGTACTATAAACTGATGTTCTGGTAGTAAAAATATATTAAAAACTAAGTTTTTAAAAATAAGTGTGCATTTTATAAAACAAAATTCAAAGTACTGAATTGATACCAGAATTGGATCAAGATCTCTAAACTAAACATAGCCATAATTCTATAAAATGAGAAGTTGATAATCTTAGAGAAATCTTTGTTGCTTTGAGGCACTGATATCATTTTCACAATATCCTTAAAAATACTATAAAAATCTAAATCTTAAATCAAAAGTAAAAATATATATTGAAAAGACTATGTCTGATAAATTCTAGCTTATTTCTATTAAAAGTTGTTTTTGGGCGGAGCGTGGTGGCTCATGCCTGTAATCCCAGCACTTTGGGAGGTTGAGGCGGGTGGATCACCTGAGGTCAGGAGTTCAAGACCAGCCTTGCCAACATGGTGAAACCCCGTCTCTACTAAAAATACAAAAATTAGCTGGTTGTGGTGGTGCATGCCTGTAATCCCAGCTACTCGGGAGGCTGAGGCAGGAGAATCACTTGAAACCAGAAGGCAGAGGTTGCTGTGAGCCAAGACTGCGCCACTGCACTCCAGCCTGGGCGGCAGAGTGAAACTCTATCTCAGAAAAAAAAAAAAAAAATGCCGGGTGTGGTGGCTCACGCCTGTAATCCCAGCACTTTGGGAGGCCGAGGCAAGCGAGGTTGGGAGTTCAAGACCAGCCTGACAAACATGGAGAAACCTCGTCTCTACTAAAAATACAAAATTAGCCAAGCATGGTGGCACATGCCTGTAATCCCAGCTACTTGGGAGGCGGAGTCAGGAGAATTGCTTGAACCTGGGAGGTGGAGGTTGCAGTGAGCCGAGATTTCGCCATTGCACTCCAGCCTAGACAGCAAGAGCGAAACTCCATCTCAAAAAAGAAAAAAAAAGTTGTTTTAAAATAGGCAGAATGCTGAATTTACTATGAATTAATACTCAGTTTCTCAGAAGCAAGAGCTTTACAAGAAATAAACTGTATACTAACACTGAAGAATGGAAAGATTATTTCATGAAAATGTCTCAGTAACTGGATTTTAAACTGAACTTCAATCAAAACTTATGTGAACTAAGATATGTATTCTATATTTTTTGCCACATTAATTGTAAACTTGACAATACATGAGAAAACTCTGTCTAGCAGAGGATAACAGCATTTTAAAGTATGCACTTAAGATAAACACTTGAGGTTTTTGTAGAGTGATGGAAAAAGCACCAATCTGTCAATTAGTTACATGACTTTGGTTCATTCATTTGCCCTCCCTGAGACTCAGTTTCATCATTTGTGACATTGATTCTGAGTTACTGTGAGGATTAAATTATAAATAAATAAAAGACATATACAAATAAAACATAGTAATGAAATTCCACAGACTTGAATTACATCTACTGAGCATCATTGCAAGAATTTATTTTTTCAATCAACTATTTTTAAATTAATTTGACATATGTTTACTAAGTGCCTATGTATACATGCCATGCACTGTTCCACGAGTGGGTGATACAGTAATAAAGAGAATATACAAAGTCACTGTCTTTATAGTTTACAATTCTAATGAAAGGGGACAGTTAACAGACAAGTGTACAAGTAAATACATAATATAGCAGAGGTTAATTCAATGCTGTAAAGAAGAAAAATAAAACAAGGAAAGAAAGACAAGAAGTTCCATTGATGAAAGTCATTTTGAGGGGTTGAGCAGAGAAGTCACATCATCTGATTTATGTATTTTATCATTTACTTTGGCTACTTTGTGGAGAACAAACTAGCGCGAGGCAAAGATAGAAAGTTTTTTGCAAAATCCAGGCAAGAAAATAATAGGGGGTCAGATCAGATGGTAGCAGTTCAGGTGATGAGAAGTGCGTGTACGTGTGCGTGTGTGCACTGAAGGTAACATTGACAGAACATGTTAATAGGGCAAGGTTTTTTGGCCTGATCAATTTGAAGAACTGCCACTTAAACTGAAATAAAGAAGTTACAAAAGGAACAGATTTTGTTGGGTATGAGGATGATATGGGTGGAAATCAAGAGTTCAGTTTGGGACAATTTAGTATAGATGTCCTGACTAGTAGTTAAACATTAAAGGAGACATAAACTTAAAGTCTTGAGACTAAATGATAATAGACAGATAACAGGCCTGAGGAGTAAGTGCTGGGACACACTTAACTTAGAAGAGAAACCTGCTAAGGAGGCTGAGAAGGAGCAGCTAGTAAGACTAGAAGAGAACCAAGAGTGAGACATGCCCTAGAAACCAACAGAACAAAGTGTTCAAAAAAGAGGATCAAGTGCTACTGACAGGTTACAGAAGGACTATAATTGACTACTGGATGCAGCAATGTGGTGGTCACTGATGACCTTAACAAGAACTATTTTGATGAAGTGTTGGTACAGAAAGCCTGATTGGACTAGATTCAAGAAAGAGTTGAGACAGGGGTATAGACAACTCTTTCTAGAAATTTTGCTGTAAAGAAAGGCAGAGAAACGAGACGGTATTTGTAGGAGGACGTAGAGTCAAGAGATTTTGTTTTGTATTGTTAAGATGGGAAAAATAACAGCATATTTGTATACTCATGAGAGTGACCCAGTATGGAGGAAAGGCTGATGATGCAAGAGGGAAAGGGAATAATTGCTGGTGCAAGGTCACTGAGCCTGTGAGAGAGGATGAAATCCAATGCACAATGGAGAGGCTAGTCTTAGGGGCACAGTTCACTCATGGGAGTGAGGGAATGAATATATGGGTCTAGATACACATAGAATAGTAGATGTGTTAGAGGAAACATACAGCAGCTCTCTTAATTGCTTCCATTTTTCCTCAGTGACACAGGAAGTGAGGTCATTGACAGTGAGGAATTGGGAAGGTGTTGGAAGATACAGGAAGTTTGAGGAAGGAAAGGTGTGAAAAAGTTGTCTGGGACACTAAATGAATTATGAAGCTGCAACAGGACTGCTGGATAAATGAACTCACTTTGTGTCAAATTTAGGGCTCTTTGGAGGAAACCATCAATTTTAGAAGTCACTTAGCCCCCATCTAAATTTTGATACCTTTCTGTAATTCAGTTCTTTTCTGAGATGGTTTCAGAAAAAAGACTGTCCTGTAAAGTGAATTACAGAAAGGTATCAAAATGTAAATTTAAATGGAGGCTAAGTGACTTAAACTTCATAGAAACAAAATAAAAATAAAGATTAAAAAATGCCAATAGAAAAATAAAGGTATACGTATATTTGTGTATATATATATTTATATTTGCCATTGGATTTTATCACCTACTAATTATTACTCCTGTATAAGGTACTAATAAAATACAAAGATAAGCATAACTCATGTGGAATGTATCTTTCAAAAGCCTCTATCTCCAATTATTTCAAGCTAGCAGATAAAAATTACTAAAACATTAAGAAAAATTATTCTGTTTTATCATAAAATGGTAGGTACTTAAGCACTGCATGGCACAGATGGCATTGTTGTATCTTAATAATCATATGGCATTCTTCTTACCTGTGTATCTGAAGATACAGTTGGTGCAAAGTACAGCAAGAATCAGAGAGGAAAGGAAGAAATTCCTAAAATAAAACAACTCTATTCATTCTTTGCATAAAAATATGTCTCTTTAGTACATATAATCTCACAAAGGTATGCAAAATAACATAAAATCCTGAATGTGACCCCTTTTAAAAAAATTATTTGTTTTTCTTTCTTTTCTTTTCTTTTTTTTTTTTTGAGATAGCGTTTCACTCTTGTTGCCCAGGCTGCAGTACAATGTTGTGATCTCGGCTCATGAAACCTCTGCCTCCCAGGTTCAAGCAATTCTCGTGCCTCAGCCTCCCAGGCAGCTGGGATTACAGGCATGTACCACCATGCCCGGCTAATTTTGTATTGTTAGTAGAGGAGGGGTTTCACCATGTTGTCCAGGCTGGTCTTGAACTCCTGACCTCAGGTCATCCACCTGCCTTGGCCTCCCAAAGTGCTGGGATTACAGGCATGAGCCACCACACCCAGCACTAAAAAAAAATTCTTAACATGAGAATGAAAGGAGGATGAGGCTAAAAAACTCATTGTTCTATTTAACCACAATGTTCAAACGTTAAAAACTGTGTCATAATTTTAAAGAGGGCTGCGTATTTGAGAGTCATCAGAACAGTAGCGATAACTGTAAAATAGAAAAGTTGTCGACCGGGCACAGTGGCTCACACCTGTAATCCCAGCATTTTGGGAGGGCAGGGCAGGCAGATCACCTGAGGTCAGGAGTTCAAGACCAGACTGACCAACATGGTGAAACCCCATCTCTACTAAAAATACAAAAATTAGCTGGGTGTGGTGGCAGGCGCCTGTGGTCTCAGCTCCTCGGGAGGCTGAGGCAGGAGAATCACTTGAACCTGGGAGGCAGAGGTTGCAGTGAGCCAAGATCACGCCATTGCACTCCAGCCTGGGCAACAGAGCGAGACTCTGTCTCAAAAAAATTAATAAATAGAAAAGTTGTCAAGGCAGATTATTTGCAAAGATGAGCAGAGAATGCTTACAGCAGCCAGTGAACAAAACATTATTAGTAAAAGATATTAGTGGTTTTTAAAAAAACTATTGTCCATGTTCAATTTGTTTTTGACCTAGTCTTCTGTTTTTGACGAAAGATAAGGGTTTCCAATGACGATTTATTATAGTCAGAATGCCATGGCTGGTACCCTGGCTACTGATACACTGCCATCCAAATTGGTCTTTCTGGGCAGCTGCCATTTAAGAGTAGTTGGCTGCTTCTTACACTGGGTTCCCTGCAGCTTGCAGGGTTTGTATTCCAGTGGCAAAGACACATTGTGGGAAATGTACCAATGGCACTTGACGGGTAGTTGTTACCCATCTGATATTTACTTGGTGTGTAGGGAAGCAAAGTTTTCTCTAACTATGCTGCTTGTCTTTCTGAAAAAATCAATTCTATCAGGGGAATCTTTAAAAATTTTTAAATGACCATCAGCTTTTTCCTATATCTTATAATACAATAAAAACTATTTTTTTTTTACTTTCTAAGACATAGTCTAACCATAAATGATAAAGAAATCACACCTGTACTTAAATCCCAGCCTTACCGGTTTCTAGATATGTGACTTGATCAAGTTATATGCTATCTGAGCTTGAAATTTCTATTCTGTGGAATAGGGATAATAATTCGTTTTCTGAGAGAACTACAATTAAATAAAGTAACGTATAATAAAGCCTTACCTTAGCGTAGTGCAAAAGGGAGTTGGCAAAAAAACGACACAATTTGAGTGTTTTCTGAAATAATCTGTAGTCAGCATTATCCTGATCCAAAAAGGGAAATAAGAAAGCATAATAAATAAGAAAAGAATATAAAATTAGCTAAGCTTACAAATGAGACAATATTTTCTAAAAACAAAAACAAAAAAAACCCCTCTTAAACACAGTATAAAATTTTTCCGAGAAAATATAACTCCTCTTTGAATTATTAGGTGCGATACAAATAACAAATGACAACAGAGGTATTAAATTAAATTCTACATTACTGAAAAGAAAAGAAATCTTAACCTACGATAGCAAAAGAGGTGATCCTTCTCAGTTGATCTGAAAGTGAAAGAAATTTAAATACCTTATTCTTTGTTACATGGGGATCAATTTAACGGATGGTCAAAAGAAAAAGGTCTTACAAATCAAAGAAAGAATGATATATAAAAGAAAACAGGTAAAGACATAAAAACACATTACACAAAAAAGACAAAACAAACTGCTACTGAAAAATATCCAAATTATAACTTAATTATATATATTTCGGGAAGGGGGAGGTTTGAGGGTTATTTGATTAGCAAAGATTAAAAAGACTGATAATATCCCTGCACTAGTAAGGAAGTAAGTTAACAAGCACTTTCTTTTACCATTGGTGGGAGCATAAAATAATACATTATTATTAAAAGTTGAAATGTTAAAACACCTTAATTGAGTAGCAATTCAATTTCTGGAAATACAGTCTATAGAAATACTAGCATAGGTATGCAATGTGACATATTTGGCTGCTCTGCCTATGGAGTAGCCATTCTTTATTCCTTTACTTTCTTCATAAACTTGCTTTCATTTTACTCTATGGATTCACCTTGAATTCTTTCTTGCACAAGATCCAGACCTCTTTTGGGGTCTGGATCAGGACCCCTTTCCAGTAATAACTTCCTGGCAAACCCTGTAGGGACAATACTGAGGAAACCTCCAGCCCCAAAAAGCAGACTGCAGCACCAATTAGTCAACTTTCGTTAAGTAGTGGGGTACCCAGGTGATGAAGAGGATTGGGTTAGAGGCCTAACTTACGGGAGTTAGAGTCTCTCCTAAGACAGGGTGGGTTTAAACGCCCCTCTTAATAAAAGGAAAAGATGCTTGACTGAACTTTGGTTTGCGGCCCAACTTAGGAAAATTAGACTCCTTCTTAAGATTTAGGGGGTTAGAGATCCCCCTCAGTAAAGTCCCTCTTGGCTAAGAACTGGTTTGGCACTACGGGATGTTAACTGCTATTCTCTTTGGATTACTTGGCCTTGCACTCCTGCTGACGGCTGTGGGTGACAGGATTAGGCATGTACAGAATCATGGGACGTGGGGAGCTTTTATCCTCCCCAAAAGGGGAAACTTGAGCTGATGGGACTGCTGAAAAAGGTCCCTTCACTACAGACAAGTGCTGCCTGAACTTGATTCAGTGTCACTGCAATGGAGGGGTCTTTCTCAGGCCTCCCTGAGCTCCTCACCTTCCCCACCCTGCCACAGGCAATGCTTTTCTCCCATTCTCTCCTTTCCCTTTCTTATCTTTTCTGTTACTCAGATCAACTGTCCACTCTTTCATCTTGCCCAGAGACCACATGTTGAAAAATGTCCTTAGGAGCTTGACCTTGTAACCACATGGCAGTACTTGCTCTTTGTCTCTACCATCCAGAGGACAGGAATTTGGGGGTTCATGTTTTAATTAGCTCTAAAAATTATCTTGAGCCTTTGCAAGCTCAAAATTGGCTGCTCTGGGCTCCTTCTGGAAAGAACAATGGAAATTGCCTAGTGCTGGAGTTCAGCAGCTAAGGCTTTGCCATTTTACAATGGCTGGCGGCCCGGGTTCAATCTGGCAAAGGCAATGAGTACTTTCTGGTTGATATCTGTGTGACCTTTACCATTTGTTGATTCTCTTCCCCTCCATGAACTGTCTTGAATTTTTCTTTCTCTGAGCACCTGGAAGGTTACCTTTGGTAACGTTCAAAAGCCAGAAATATCCGCACTTTGGCATGGCTAAAGTCGGGTAATAGGGGATTTAAAAGGACGTTTTAAAAAGTGCTGTGGTTAAAAGTCAGCTTAATTCAAAGTAGACATTCAAGCTCTAACAGCCTGGGACTCCATCGGAAAACAGAGGGGGCACCACAGATCCTTTTTTAGTGAAAACCTCTATTTTCCTCATGGAACCCCAAGAATTAAAAGTGGATAGATCCCTCTCAAAATCTAAGGCTCTGTTCTGTTCTGCTTTGCATTGCATTATCTGATGTTTTTCACTTTGGAGGTATCATAAATTACTTCACAGAGCTTTGGTATATAACTAGGTAGGAAATATACTTTTGGGGATAACTAATGGCACGAGGGGGATACTCAAGATCTTTGCACATTTGGATCAGAAGCATGCTCTTGGCCACTTAGAAGGTATGGGGATGTCCCCACCTTCCCCTCAACCCCCATTGAGAGATACAACTCCCATGAGTGATGGGCTGATCACAGAATAGACTGATTGGCTTTGGGTTACTTTGCAATGAAATGCATGGTAAAATCATTGGACTGCCTTTTTCTATAGTGTTTCTCTTTTGGGAATCCAGGATCCAGTATACAAATGGGACACTTAATTTTGGCGGATCTATTTTGCGTTCCAACTGTGCCTGCTTATTAGGCTGTAGAAACCGCATGCTTTCCTGGCCCTGTTCCTCCAAGGGCTCTACCCTAAAGCCAGTAATCCAATTAAGAAACTGGCAAATGAGCCAGGGGTGATGGCTCACCTGTAATCCCAGCACTTTGGGAGGCTGAGGCAGGCAGATCACCTGGGGTCAGGAGTTCAAGACCAGCCTGGCCAACATGGCGAAACCCTGTCTCTACTAAAAACACAAAAATTAGCCAGGTGTGGTGGCTCATGCTTGTAATCCCAGCTACTTGGGAGGCTGAGGCAAGAGAATCACTTGAACCCAGGAAGCGGAGGTTGCAGTGAGCTAAGATCATGCCATTGTACTCCAGCATGGGCAACAGAGCAAGACTCTGTCTCAAAATAAATAAATAAATAAATAAAACTGGCAAATGAAAAATCTAATAACTACTGGATCTCTTCTTCTGTATATTTATATGTATTGTGTATGAAATATAAAAGAGCTTGATAACTGGTTTAAAAATAATGAACACTTAAATATTTTGTCAGAAAAGTAAAAAGTGGAATGCCTTTTAGTTCATGTGACTTAAGTAATTTCTGGGAAATACAGTTTTAAAGATTATTGGTAAAATTAAAATATCTTCAAAATAAAGACGTGGTTTAAATTAGGCAGGTTAGATATTAGGTTTGCTAAATGCTTTAAGGTCATAAACTGCTTCTTTGACTTTTGAAAACTGTTTAACTTTGGAGCAGATTCTAGGTAAGGCCTGGGGACATGTGGTGTTAGCCATGCCCCCTAGCTATGCTAGAAAGAGTCAGACCTTACCTACACTTCTGTTCTGTGTCCTAGGCTCCATACCTAGTACATAATTAGAATTCCTTACTTACCAAGGTTTTCCACCATAAGTAAAAGTTGCTAAGAGTTAACATTGTAACATGTAATTGAAGACTACTGAAGAAACAGTTTTACATTACAGGTATGTAAGGAAAGTGAAATGTGTTTTTGGTAAAAGATTATAAGAAAGCATGGGAATGTGGATTTTTGACCTAGATTAAAGGGGGATAGGATTGTTTTAAGTTAAATAGGATAACGCTGAAGGTTTGAGCAAGTTGTACAACATTTGTAAAAAATTAATCTTGCAAAAAAAAAAATCTGTGTGAACATATTGGCTAAAGTTAAAGGGGCATTATTCAGTTTTTCCATAAATTGAACACTGGAAAAAATCACAACAGGATTTCCTGAGAGCAATAATCTACTCTTTAACAAAAATTGTAAAGAGTTGTAAATAGTTTATGAGAATCTTACCTTATGGTTATATTGATTAAAATTAGATTTTATACTGATTAAATTTTATACTGATTAAAATTAGATAGATTTGTCTATACAGTTTTATACTGATTACATTTTATACTGATTAAAATTAGATAGATTTGTCTATACAGTTTTATTAAGAATTGGGGTTAACATCAATAGGACACTAGTGCAAAGGTGAAACTTGGCTTTTTTGGTATAAAAATCATACAGGAAGCATAGTCAAATATAAAATGATGTTTGGCTTTCTTTGGGCTATATTTGTATAAATATGTTATTGGCATGTGTTCCAAAATTATGGGAAACAACTATAATTCTGATATGACTTAATGTATACTATAATTGTTATATAAAATTGTTATCTGCCACAGAAGTAACCAAAATCCCCAGTCAATTATGGCTTTAACAGAGGCTGCCCTAAGGCTTTTTGTCATCCACAGACAATTGTTGTCTTGTTTTAATCAAAAGTTGATTTTTAATCAGCTACAGGACTTTGACAGGTGCTTTTCAATGCAGGTTTCTGATAACTTTGGCAATTGTGACATTAAAATAGAGGAAAGAAATTTTCAGGACTCTCATGAAGAGATGGAGTGTTCGTGGATATCAAACAGGGCAAGCATTAACTACATGGACTGAACTAACAGAAGACTGAAGTAATTTTTTTTTTTTTACTTTTTGTTTAAAATGTTGCTGATTCTTTGTTTTATTTTTCAGAGTCAAGAAAACTTCTTTTGAGCTGTTGTGAGCTTTTCTTTGAGCTGTTTAACAATTGAGTAAAGTATATCACTGTGAATAAAATTTGGAGCATATTTGTTTCTGATTTCTCCAGAATTTGGAACCTATTTATGAATATTCTTAACTTACAGCAATATAGTTATTTGCATAAGTGCAATACGAATGTTTTCTTTTGCAACAGGACACAACTGGAGAAACTGGTTATTTTACCAAGGCTTTGGCTGGAATAGTGTGCTTTCCTTTAAGGAATCAAACTTGACTTATAAAGCCAATAAAGGCCCTTGGGAAAACTTGCCTCATACCTTGTTTATGCAGTCCCTGTACAGGGTTCCTTACCTGTGGTAAATAAAGAATGTCACTTTCTGACAGGCCCAGGAGCCCCAAGTTATCTTGGGACCTCAAGAGGAAAGGAATTTACCCAATTCATATTTTAAAAAGTCTTATCTGAGTTTCCTTATGAAACAGAGTTCCATCAAAGCCAATTTTAAAAAGCCCATGTGAAAAATAATTATTCTTGCTGTACTTTATACAGATAATCAGACCAAGTATAAAAAAGCAAATCAGTCTTATCATGATTTGCCTTTAGTAAAAATGGGAGACTGGAGAGAGAAAAAAATTATGTTTCAAAAACTATGGTACACTTGTTATTAGGTGTTTTTGAGTGTTTTTCTCATCAGTTGTTCTTGAGGGTTTTTTCTGCAATTTAGACTAACCCTGCTTATTCCTGTGAACCAACCAGTGATCTCTGGCTGCTGCTCAGAAGAAACAAGAGAGATGGTAATGTGAAAATCTGGATCAGTATTCTAATTCTGGGCCCATACTGGAATCAGCTTGGTTTCCAACAGTTGCCCAGTTCATGGAAAGCCTTCTTATTTAGTTTACTTGGGATAATTTTACTTATTTTGCTTTACTGTTGTAGAATATACTGCTGTTGTTCTCTGTGTAGGAATACAAGATAATTCTGTGTAGGAATATGAATTACTGAATGTTTTATTAAATCGAACACTTACTAATCTTCCAGATATCATCTTTTTTTGGAATTGAGAGTTATGAATGGCCCTCATCATACTGACACTTTCTGACTGATCTCCTCTCTACCCCAAATATAAGAGACCCCAATAGTTAGGCAGGAATATCATCATCCCTATTCAGCCCGAAGAAGTTATAGAAGATGTCTATTTGTCCCTCTACAACCCTTAGGATTAAGGGTTCCCTTATAAAAGGGAGGAGGGAAATATGTCAGAGGTGTTTTAACCAGAGGACTCCATCTTGAAAAGGGGCTGAGTAAAATGAGGACAAGACCTACAGGACTGCATTTCCAGGTTAGGCATCCTAAGTCACAGGATGAGATAGGAGGTCAGCACAAGACAGGTCACAAAGACCTTGCTGATAAAACAGCATGCAGTAGAGAAGCTGGCCAAAACCCACCAAATCTAAGATGGTGACAAAAGTGACTTCTGGTTGTCCTCACTGCTCACTATACACTAATTATAATGCATTAGCATGATAAAAGATACTCCCATCAGTTCCATCACAGTTTACAAATACCCTGGCAACAACCAGAAGTTACCCTATATGATCTACAAAGGGGAGAAACCCTTAGTTCTGGGAATTGCCCACCCCTTTCCCAGAAAGGGAATAATCTACCCCTTGTTTAGCATATAAATCAGGAAATGGCCATAAAAGTGGCCAACCAGGAGACTTAGGGGTTGCTCCACCTATGGAGTAACCATTCTTTATTCTTTTCTTTTTTTTTTTTTTGAGACAGAGTCTTGCTCTGTCACCCAGGCTGGAGTGCAGTGGCGCGATCTCGGCTCACTGCAACCTCCACCTCCTGGGTTCAAGAGATTCTCCTGCCTCAGCCTCCGGAGTAGCTGGGATTACAGGCACCCACCACTGTGCCCAGCTAATTTTTGTATTTTTAGTAGAGATGGGGTTTTACCACGTTGGCCAGGCTGGTCTCCAACTCCTGACCTCATGATCTACCCACCTCTGCCTCCCAAAGTGCTGGGATTACAGGCGTGAGCCACCGCGCCTGGCCTTATTCCTTTACTTTCTTAATAAACTTGCTTTCGCTTTACAAAAAAAAAAACAAAACTTTTTTTATATAGTGAAAACTGAAATGTACCAAGTGTGCATCATGTGGAGAACACCTAAATACAGTTGACCTTTGAACAACATGGGGTCTAGGGGTGCCAACCCCCATGTGGTCTAAAATCCGAGGATAACTTTTGAGTCTCCCAAAACTTAACTACTAATAGCCTACCACTGACTATAAGCCTTACTAATAAAAAGAGCTGATTAACATATTTTGTATATGTATTAACACTGTCTATTTACAAGAAGAATCATCTATCTGAAATGGCAGGTAATTGCAGTTGCAGACCTCAATTTACAATATGTATCAAGGAATTCTCGGGAGCACTTCCAGGATCACTAGTGGCACTTCTTATGGGTTTCCATATTGCATTAAAGATGATGAAAAAATATGGAGGCACCTCAAGCAATAACTTTTTACTGAGAAAAGCAATTTACTTACTGGAGAGACAAACTGCTCACGTGGGGATGGTTAGTATCACATGGCCTTGCAACACTTTTCACAGTAACAGCAACAGGAAGTGGCTATGAAATTATTGTATACTGAATATATAGAAAATAATGGCAAAAACTGCAATTACTTTGGCACAACCTAATAGTACTACAATATGTACCACAGTTAATTTTATGCAGTTATGATTTAATACTGCATATTTACCTTTGTTTACATTTCTCTCAACTGCATGGTACCATGTATGGTCTCTGTGTGCTAAGTTTTGATAAATTTTAACCTTTGATAATAGATTTGTATTATTTTATGGTAATAAATGACAATTTAAAAAAGTCTGCATAAGTTGACCTGTGCAGTTCAGACCTGCATTGTTCAAGGGTCAACTATAAATTTATAGTATAATCACATAAGAATCAGGTACATATATCTTCATGGACACAGAAAGCCCTAAGGATAAACTGTTAAGTAAAAAATCAAATTGTAAACAACTTGTATAATGTAAAATTAATTACAAAAATTGAGTCATTCTTGTCATACCCAACTAAAACAGAGTCAACAGGCCTAGGGGAAAAGCACTCAGGGCACAAAACATTTCTCCCAAAATGTAATTCTCTGTAGGCCTGGCTGCTGAAACTGCCTGCTGTAACCGGAAACCAGTTTTATCTAAGGGCTACTGAAAGAAACTAGTGCAACTCTAAGACCAGTGTTACCCACTGCCATCACTCACCAATCAGAGCTTGACAGCTCCCCAAATCTAGTGCCAATGGACTTTCTTGAAGAGCTATATGTAATATGTCTCCTTTTTTATAAGACCGCTAACCTTCTCCTTTTTCTGTGGACATACCGAACAATTGGTCTGCATGAATGCTCCAAAGTGCAATTACTTCCTCCCAAATAAAACGTTCTGTTTTCAGAGATTTGTCTATTGACTCTAATGATAACACAATCCTATCATTATTTTTAAATGTGTTAAACCACCCCCAAAATAAATCAAAACCTTTCCTGTGATTCTTTCTAGTAGACGAAAATAGGATTTAACCTTCCATGTTAGATACTTGTGTAATATGTGTGAGTTTTCTGATTACGTATTACATTTGTAAATTGATAAAACAGTGGGTAGTGCCAATAATATGCAGGGAGGGCTATAGATTCATCTGCCTGGATTTAAGTCCTGGTCCTACTACAACTACTATATGATCTGGGGAAAGTTATTAAACCTTTCTGTGGCCCAGTTTTCTCATCTATAATGAGGCTAATACAGGATTATTGTGAGATTTAAACAGTGTCTGACGTTTAAGCAACTTAGCTCAATAAATATTGGTTGTTCCACCACCCAAGTTTATAATACACACTATAATCCAAACAGCTTTAAATAGTGCCATAAAATTAAGTCAAATAAATTACTGTCTTTAATTTGTGAATTATTTCATATGAAAATAACATATCTTAACTTATATGTTGATTGGCTATGTTTCTTTTCCAATATAGCAAAATCTTCATTAAACCAAATCAAAACAGAGTTGGATGGTTCGCTAATGGAATATGATCCCTCATTTTGACCCTTATTAAAAATATTTGAAAATAGTCCATTTTCCTCAGCAGAAATAGGGTAGATGAAAATTCACCTTTCTTTGATCATTTTTTTTTTTTTTGAGATGGAGTCTCACTCTGTTGCCCAGGCTGGAGTGCAGTGGCATGACCTCGGCTTACTTCAACCTCCACCTCCTGGGTTCAAGTGATCCTCCTGCCTCAGCCTCCCAAGTAGCTGGCATTACAGGTGCGCACCATCACTCCTGGCTAATTTTTGTATTTTTAGTAGAGACGGGGTTTCACCATGTTGGCCAGCCTGGTCTCGAACTCCTAGCTCAAGCAATCTGCCCACCTCGGCCTCCCAAAGTGCTGGGATTACAGCCATGGGTCACCACACTCAGCCTTTTCGATTATTTTGAAGATGAACTCTCTAATACAGTGCTATGCAAATTTAAAAGCACAAAGTTTATTCTACACTGACCTTATAATCAGCATAGACGTCATCATATCACCATAAGAAACCTTTCCTGACTTCATCACTGGGTACCTATCTTGTACTCCCATGAGCCAGCCAATACCCAGTCCTCCAAAGATCATACCATTCTATAATAATTACCTACTTACTTGTGTCTCAGGCTAGACTCTAAGTTGTTGAGGGCACCTACAACATTTCCTGGCACAGAATAAGTACTCTGGAAATACTTGTTAAATGACTGAATGAGTGGTGACACACAACTTATTTGTTTGCTTACTTTAAATTTTCTCTCTCATTCAAGAGGAAATTACACAAGATTTGTTCGAAGCCTCTAGCTTTACTTCATTACTAAATAGCATACTACTAATTAAACCTAGAGTTTTATTTTTACATTTTCAAAAAGCAGGTAAATAACACAAATAACTTAACAGTCCCATCTTTGATTTACTCAACTGTTTAAAACAAAGTTTGCATCTTAATGCCAACAAAGAAGGTGTGGGTAATATAAGCAAGGAAGACCATTTTTCAATGCTTTAAAATATGAGCACCATTCTTTCTTTCTTTCTTTGTTTCTATCTATCTAGACAGGCTCTCACTCTGTTGTCCAAGCTCTATCTATCTATCTATCTATCTAATCTATCTATCTATTATCTATTTAGATAATCTATTATCTATTTAGATAGATAATCTGTCTATTATCTATTTAGATAATCTGTCTATTATCTATTTAGATAATCTGTCTATTATCTATTTAGATAATCTGTCTATTATCTATTTAGATAATCTGTCTATTATCTATTTAGATAATCTGTCTATTATCTATTTAGATTATCTATCTATCTATCTATCTAGACAAGCTCTCACTCTGTTGTCCAAGCTGGAGTACAGTGGCCTGATCATGGCTCACTGCAGCCTCAATCTCCTGGGCTCAATGCATCCTCCCACCCCAGTCTCCCAAGTAACTAGAACTACAGGTATGTGCCATGAGGCCTGGAGAATTTTTTTATTTTTTGTAGAGATGGGGGTCTCCCTGTGTTGCTCAGTCTGGTCTCAAACTCCTGGGCTCAAGCAATCCTTCTGCCTTGGCCTCTCAAAAGTGCTGAGATTACAGGCACATTCTTTCTTTAATAAAACAATTAAAATACTAATAAAATTTAAATATAGCAGGCAATAAAATCTAAGTGTAGGCAACAGATACAATAGTATATGTTTATTTTCTGAATAATACAAATTTCTAAAAGCATTATATAAACATAAGTAGGAATTAGAGTGGAAATTAAATTAGTTCTAAGGGCCACACAAATAAATTTCCCTGTTTATAGAAAAACTAAATAATTGGGGGCAGGCCGGGCGCGGTGGCTCACGCCTGTAATCCCAGCACTTTGGGAGGCCGAGGCGGGTGGATCATGAGGTCAGGAGATCGAGACCATCCTGGCTAACAAGGTGAAACCCCGTCTCTACTAAAAATACAAAAAAATTAGCCGGGCGCGGTGGCAGGCGCCTGTAGTCCCAGCTACTCGGGAGGCTGAGGCAGGGGAATGGCGTGAACCCGGGAAGCGGAGCTTGCAGTGAGCCGAGATTGCGCCACTGCAGTCCGCAGTCCGGCCTGGGCGACAGAGCGAGACTCCGTCTCAAAAAAAAAAAAAAAAAAAAAAAAAAAAAAAAAAAATTGGGGGCTAAAGAACTATATGTTAAAACTATACATTAAAAACTCTAATAGAATATTCTCTTTTTGAAACCAATTTCAAGACTTAATTGAGAATAAATATCGATTTTAGGGGTTGTTATGGGTTGAACTGTGTCCCTCCCAAAAAGCTTTAAGTTCTAACTCCCAATACTTCAGAATGTGGCCTTATTTGGAAATAGGGTTATTGAAGACATAATTAGTTAAGATGAGGTCATATTAAAGTAAGGTATGCCCTTAATCACTATCACTGGTGTTCTTATAAAAAGATGATGTGAAGACACAGAAAGCCAAAGTAAGCTAAGGATTGCCAGTGACACCGAGAAGCTAAGAGAAAGATATGAAATATATTCTCCCCTAAAGCCTTCCAGAGAACATGGCCCTATTGACACACTGTGAACTTCTGCCTCTAGAAATGTGAGAGAATAAAATTCTATTGTTTTAAGCCACCTAGTTTGTGGTAACTTGTTACGGCAACCCCAGGAAATTAATACAAGGAATGATACATCACATGCTTCTATAAATAGTGTAATATTAATTAAATCTACTGGTTTTATTTTGACTTTTTTCCAAGTGAGATGATATGGCTTGAAGATTGGTGTCCTCCCAGACACCTAACACCCAATGTGATACTATTAAGAGGTGGGGCCTTTGGGGAAGTGATTAAGTCATGAGGGCTCTGCCCTCATGAATGACATAAGTGCCCTTATAAAAGAGGTTGAAGGGAGCTGTCTTGCCCCTTGCACTAAGTGAGGATGCAGCAACAAGGGGCCATTTTTGAAGCAGACGGCACACCCTCGTTAGACACCAAATCTACTGGTGCCTTGATATTGGGCTTCCCAGCTTCCAGAACTGTGAGAGATAAATTTCTAATATTTATAATCCCTTACCCAGTTTAAGGGATTTTGTTATAGCAGCCTAAATGGACTAAAACACAAAGTGAAAACTGCCAGGAAAACTTCAATACTTTACTTTGATTGGTAAATAAATATTAATAGTGAACAGCAGAGGGCGTCGCTGATCAGAATTTGGAGTTAAGATTGAAGAAATTATACAGTCCACCTCAAAGCTCCATTTCAGGCAATGGACAGTAAGCAGAACTGGTCACATTTATCAGTCCCAAATTTGAAAAAATGAGAATTTTCTTGGACAGTTAAGAGAATTTAAATTTTCTGATTTCCATCTATAAGCAGTTTATATAAACTGAAGATATACTTTATGTACAGCCACCCTGGCTAAGCAGCCCCCATACTCTCTCTTGCCACTATAGACTATACTGTTGTTTAGACTTTCTTCATCTTACTCTTGGTCCAAGTATCTCTGTTTAATTTTCCTCTCCAAGTACTAGCTGCAAACTCTGTGGTGTCAAGAGAAGCAAGAAGGAAACTGAAAAAGGAGGAGGTTGGTGTTGAGAATATGAATCTATAGGATAAAGGTAAAGAAGAAAACAACCTTCCTGCCATTGATATAGGATACCCAAACAAACTTCTCCTTTTAGCAAGGTAAGAGGAATCAGAAAGGATGCACGAATGAAGTGAGGACAAAAAAGGAAAGGGAAAAAGGAAGAAGGGATACAAGGGGAGGGGCAGGTGAGATAAAGAAGAGAAGCAAGAAGAAAAAAGTTAGCCCCTTCCTAACACTACTCCTCATTTCCTTCTTACTACCTTCAGAACTTCTTTTTAAAGTTCCACCCTCCCCTAGGGTCTGTCCTTCCAGATCAGCCCTGCCCTAGGAGTTGCTACCAGTTTTAGGACTTGGATGAACCCCTACACTTTCACCCCCATAGCTGACTGGCAGGGAAGAGCGCAGGTACAAAGGAATTCCCTGTATCAGCTTGCAGATGTACAATAGAAGGGGCTATGTCATTGCTATTCAAGGAAGAAATATTCAATTCATGGTCCCATTAAAATTATTACATATAGGCTGGGCGCGGTGGCTCACACCTGTAATCCCAGCACTTTGGGAGGCCAAGGCGGGTGGACCACCTGAGGTCAGGAGTTCGAGACCAGCCTGGCCAACATGGCGAAACCCCGTCTCTACTAAAAAAATTAGCCAGGCGTGGTGGCAGGCGCCTATAATCCCAGCTACTCAGGAGGCTAAGGCAGAACGATCCCTTGAACCCGTGAGGCAGAGGCTGCAGTGAGCCAAGGTCATACCACTGCACTCCAGCTTGGGTGACAGAGTGAGACGCCATCTCAAAAAAAAAAAAAACAAATGACATATAACTGTTAGGTCCTGAGTACTATTAATCTTATAATTTAGGACTACTATAGTTAAATAAAATTGAGGGCTAGTCTGAAAGCAAAAGGTACTATGTATAACAGTGTTACAGGAAAATGAGTTATAATTCCCAATAATCGTACTACAAATTTTTAGAATATAATGTTTCATAAATGGGATACCAATTCAACACTCTAACTTTTCAAAATAAAAACAAATGTATGACTATATCAAATTTAAAAGACTGATACATACATATACATGCACAAACATACTTGTATCCCTAAAGGTCGCAATGCGTTGGTGAAGAAAAAATGCAAGATTGATTGCAGCTATATCAGATCTTATACAAATATGAACAAAAGAATTTTTGTTCTCATGCAGAAAAGAATGAAAGGATTCTGAGAAGAATGCTGTGACCAACCAGTTACCAAGCAAAGAGGGAGCCAGGCAGACCCCAGAGGCAATGACAGCAGTTAGGAATCTAATACAATGCTCTGGGTGAAAAGTAATTATGGGATATAAATAATCCCACAGATCAAAAAAAAACACCCAAATGAAATAAATTAAAATCCTCTTAAATAGACTGACCCAGACATTCAAATGAGATTTACTAACTGCCAAAGAAAATAAGAGTTGCTGTTTAAAATGCTATTAGCCCAAATTTTACCTGTGCATCTGACTGTGTCATCTGCTCAGCTAACTGTAAACAAGAATGGAAGGAGAAAAGAATGTCTTCACACAAGCTAGTAATTATATCTTTGTGTTTCAACTGGCTTTTTATTATGGACTGGTGCTTAAGGCTCTGCCTAAATGAATAAAAAGAAAAGAATACAATCACCACAAGTAACACATCAAGTAACTTAGGACCTCTAACAATATCTACCTTGTAGAACATTTAAAAAAACAATCAAAAAGCATCATATATCACATAATATAACTAAGATGTGCCCAGTTTACCTCTGAAGCAGTTATATTTGTTTAAATAAGTTGCTAATTTTTTCTCTGTGTAAAATATTAATTGAATTCTTACTATGTATGAGGCATTCTACCAGGCCCTGGAGACAAAGGGGTCAAACAAATGGACACAATCTCCGCCTTACCTGCATGAAACTTGTGGTCTAGCATGAGAGAGAATGTTAAATAATTTTAAGAATAATTAATTAGGGCTGTGATTTGTCAAATGACAGAGTCTAAGGTGCTACAATAGAGAGACCTAATCTAACTTATTCTTAGGGTAAGGATATCAATCTAACTTAATCTTAGGGTAAGGATATCAAAGAATGTTATCATGAAGATATAACTCTTAAGCTGAGAACTGAAAGACAGTAAGCAGGAGTTAGCAAGGTACACAAAATAGGAGAGAGAAGCATCCTAGGCAGATGGAAAAACCACGAAAAGACTCTGGGACAGGAGAGTTTGGTATGTTTGAGGAACTAAGAGTAGGGAGAGCAGCATGAGACAGGCTGGTGAAGGAGGCAGCATCCACAGAGGATTAGGTTGTTATTCTTAATCAAATGGGATAGACTTCAAGCAATAGAGTAACATGATCTGATTTACTTTTTAAAAGATCATTCTGCTGGGCAGAAAATGAACTGGAAGAGGGTAAGAGTGGAAGATAATCAGTGATGATGATAGTGATGTGGCTAATTCCTTGAGTATTAACTATGTGTCATGCACATTTCTAAGCATTTCACAGTGATGAACTCAATTCTCACTATAACCCTGTCAAGAAGTTGCTATTATTATTTCCATTTTCAGATGAGCAAACTAACGTTCAGAGAAATTAACCAAATAGCCCAAGGGCTCAGAAGGAGTAAATGATTTCAAGAATGGATTTAAGCACATGTGATACAGCTCCCAGGCAACACTCTTAACCACTGAATGGCAACTTAATGTCCTGGTAGTACAAGAAAAGTACCTAAGACCTGAAAATACACTGACCTTTAATGTTTTATGTATGTGTATAAAGTAGATATTCTTAACCATTTTTACATCTCAACCACATCTCCTCTCACCCCTAAGAATCTGATGAATGCTACAGGCACTATCCCTGGTGACCCTTTAAAATGCTTCAGTTTCAGAAAGTTAAAATTACTGTACAAATGGAATTAAGTGTGAACAACTTAAAAGTACCTAATGAAAAGATTATATTCAGTTTTAATTATAGTTATCAATTTATCTAATCCTAGAAATAGGATACTTGATAGCTGGTTAAACAACAGTAGCAGAAGAAAAGTGGTTAAGTTCTAGTCTGGCCCATGGCCCATTATTTCTGAAGTACTAGCTAACTAGGAAGAACATTTTTTTTAATTTTAGAGGCCACAGGGTAAAGAAGTCCAATTTGGCTTGAGAGCTACATGTAGAATATCTGGATTATCAGACAGCAGTGTCAGTGAACATTAAATTCACACAAAATGTTTTAAATGCAATCTAAAGAATCATGAATAATTAAGATTGGGGAATATGGAAAACATTTTCTAAAAAGTAAAAAATAACAAACAAACTTACTTAATTATAAACTTCCAAGTATTGGCATGAAATGCATGGTCCATACTGGAAATAACAGAGCAGATATCCAATAAAGAATGAATAACTGCAAAGAAAGATAACAGAACTTTTAAGACATCCAAATGTCATGGGGGTGAGTTTCTCCTATAATTAAAACTATCTACTGAACAATTTCAACATTTGATTGAATTAAAATACGTAACACAACTTGGAAACAGTTGTGTCAAAAGAATTATTTAAACTATTTAAGTGTCACACTTGTTAATGGTTTTTATAAATATTGAATATTAACTTCTGAAGTTTATACCTACCAGATGACCTAAATAAAACTAAAGATGTTCAGTGGAATAAAAGTTGTACCCTATTATAACTGAAATATTCTACAGATATAATTCTAATCCAAAATGACAAAACAAATTGCTAAGGAAAGAAAATCTAAAAAGGAAGAATTCAAATTAATATCCATGGTATTCATGCAAGGCTTTTACTCAGTCTGTGGTAGATTATTTATAAAAATGGCCACAATGACTGCCCTTTGTGAATCCACACTTTTCTACAATGACTCTGGGCTAAACGCTATGACCTGCTGTGGCCCGGGGGACAATAATAAAATTAAGGCAAGCAGAAACTTGAAAAGTGCTAGCACACAGCGACCTGCTCACACTTTTGCTACTCTTAGAAACCCTGAAACCACTGGCATCAGGTATCTGAGATAGGGTGAACCTGCTGGATGATGCACATGGCTTTCTCAAGTACTTCTGCCTCTGCCAACAGCCAGATGTGAATGAAGTCACTGAAGTCACATGGGTGAGCTAGTGCCCCAGGTGGATCAGAGAAAGTTGTCTCAGGACATCCCACCCTAAACTGCAGACTCACAGAATCATGAATAAATAAATAGTGAATAAATAGATTTTGAGGTGGTGTGTTGCAGAGCAACAGGTGCCTGATACACTGCACAAAACCAACTTACTCTCTTTATACCAAAGTTTTGAATGCAAACTTTGCCTTTATATTGTTTTTCAAACTCTTGTTCATAATCCATTAATGAGTGATAAAATCAATGAAGTGTGTTACGACCAGCAATTCTTTAAAAATAAACTAGTATTGGCTGGGCACGGTGGCTCATGCCTGTAATCCCAGCACTTTGGGAGGCTGAGGCAGGTGGATTACCTGAGGTCAGGAGTTCAAGACCAGCCTGGCCAACACGGTGAAACCCTGTCTCTACTAAAAATACAAAAATTAGCCAGGTGTGGTGGCGGACGCCTATAATCCCAGCTACTCATGAGGCTGAGGCAGGAGAATCGCTTGAGTCCGGGAGGCGAGGTTGCAGTGAGCCGAGATTGTGCCACTGCACTCCAGCCTGGGCTACACAGTGAGACTCTGTCTCAAAAAAATAAAATAAAATAAAAATAAACTAGTATAAAGTGCATCACATGTAAAATGAGTTATTTCATTATAATATGTATATGAGAATAGACATATTTACATACACATATGCACGTATTTATATGTATTCTGGAAGGAAATATAAACTGCATCTCAATATCAGTTATGGTTAAAAAAATGTGAAAGTTATTGTCTCTGAATATGGACAACCTCAGAGATTATAAAGTTATATAAGTTAATCATTGTGGAGAAATTACAGTAACTAAATACGCAAATCTAGGTTAAGGTACCCAAAATAAATTTTACAAATTCCAAATTTCAAGATTAAAAATTTATTTGGTAAGATTTAAATCAATTTTAATGCATAATTAGTAAGAAAATAACATGAATCATTAGAGACAATTTTAATTGATACATGATTTATAGTCACCATATACTAAGCAGAAAGTTTTCTTCACTCACCTATTACCATATTCAAAATATCATCATTGTCATCTACTAAAGGGTCCATGCAAACCATGTCCAGCAGTTCCATTAACTGCTTTTGAAGAGAATAGGCCTCCTTGAAAAGAGCCTGGAGAAGGTCTGAAACTAGGTGTAAACACCCAGAATACACAGATTCACTATTCTGATTACGGATAAATAAAAATGAGAGAAAAAACAAATCAAAGCTCAAGAGCCAAATTTACTTTAATTCATACTATTAGAGATCATAAATTTACTGAATCACATATTCATTCATTGTTTAGTGAACATCCATTAAATATAGTGTGCTTCAAGAGATGCAAGCATGTATAAAATATTATTTCTGACTTCCATGATCTTGCAAATACAGAACTAAAAAAGGGTAACATTAGGCCAGGTGCGTGACATTTTTAGCATCCTATCAGCAAAGAGAGGTATTAATTAACTAGTGATTTTCATTCGCCCAACAAATAGCAATATTAAAACTGTCTGTGACCCATAAATTCTAGGCAAGCTTTTGTGCCTCAAGGCTACCTCTGGCATGTAGAGATGGACTAAATAAGGATTAACTTTCCTTTATAAAAGGAAGTTCTGACATCTAATCATAATGGTAATTGAATATTGGTCAATGCAACATGACATAACTATTTCAGGATCCCTGTGTCTGTCTCAACACAAATTCTTAAAACTTCTTTCTTTATAGAGGGGAAATAAGATAAAACTAAAAAACCCCAAAAAGCCACTTTTAATGACTTCCTTAAAACCACTTTTTTTGCAACAATTATTTACTTACATGTTCTTTATTCTATGGAAAAGTTTATTTCAATAATATAGACTAAAATGTAAAATCTTATACAAACATTATTTTACTCAGCCCCTATGCACATTGATTATATACCATTCAAAGTATAATTAGACCTTTACTCACCTTACAATGCACAAATGTGCTTTTAATTATATGAAGGACTGAGGAGGGGAGACTCTGAATATTTTCCAAAATGATGGATTCCTGTGTGGCACAGATATGCTGAACACATCCTGTGAGAGCTCCTAAGAGCTGCACCATTGTCTGTGAATAAGGAAGGAAATTTCACTTAGAATATATTTTTTGTGCACTGAAAAGGTATTAGTCAGCATGCTGGGTGCTACAAATACAGCAATGAACAAAACACAGTCTCTTCCTCTTTTCACAGAACTTTAGTCTATCAGAACTACAAATACTGGAACAACTGTCTAGCCATTTAGAATACTAACACAAACTTCAAAACACATGGCAGGTGTTCCACACATATCCTTGAAAATACAGGTAGGGTCAGCTAGCTTGATGACTTCTCTTCTTATAAGAGTTTATTATTCAGAATTCATGTTTCTATATTCACGTCTTTAATTCTATAAATTTAATTCCAACATTAGGCCATTACATAAGAATACATAGCTAATCAGTATCAGTATAAAAATTTTGACATTCTTTAAGCTCCCTCTCTCTCCTGCTTTCTAATACATTTGACTTACTTGTAAAATATTCCTTAGAGTGGTCTGGATTTCCAAATTTTGGCTTGACAGTCCTCTGGCTTGACTGGTTAATTCATACATCATGTCATCGAATAATTTCACAGTCTGTAAAAACAAATCAAGTAATAAACAGGAATAAGAGAAATCACTAGAAAAGACAAGACAAAACTTTACAGAGAAAACACAATACGATAATTTGATTTTGCACTAGTAACATCCACAGGCTATCATCTAGCTTAACAATTGTACCTAATTAAGCACAAAATACAGAGAAAAGGTATTTTTACAACATAATCCCCCCAAAAGCCCCAAACAGAAATTTATTTTCCATTTCTATGGTTTGAATCTATTTAATAGCATCAATTTTTTTAAAAAATCACTCAAAGTTCATGTTTTAGAGATGCAAAAAATAAAAGTATTACTTTCGCACAATAAATTTGACTGTCTTGAAGAATCCACATTCATACAGTCATTTACAAGGGTATTTTCTGGAAGGAATTTGCACTGAATCGCCTATTCACTACTCACTTATTTTCTAACCAGTTTCCTTTTGACCCAATTCAAGCTAACCTTCCTGAATTAAGGGTATAGTAAATGACCTTACAAACAAGCTTTTTGTCTGTGAAAAGTTAGCCACCCTAGATCTTAATACTTGGATCTTTCTAACAATTTAAATGACCTAAACATTATAAGAATAGCAACACAGTCAACAATACAATGTAGCTAAAGAAAATACTGTTTCCCATAGGCCTGTTAACACTCAACATCCATTTTCATCTATGTAACAGTTGAATCTTTTTCTGGTGGTCAAGAACAAATTCTAAGAAATATTTCAGATAGAGAATCATCAAGTGACTATGAGTACAAGAAATTTGAAAGATTACGATTCAAAGCTAAAGTTAGAAACCCATTTCAATAAGAGATTAATTACAAATAATGTTTCATTTTGGCACCAAAGTATCTTTAGTTCCCTCCATTTAAAACAAAAAAGGTATGCTTGTGCTTTTCAGAGAAAACATATACCATATATATCTAAAATGTAATAATGTATTCTGTGAATTTAATGTTTTCTCTTAGTTACTTGATTTTGCCAATATTCCAGCTTTTCTTTTTTTTTTTTTTTTTTTTGAATTAAGGGTTTCACTCTGTCACCCAGGCTGGAGTACAGTGGCTTTAAAATACAAGAGCATTTAAAATTGACTACAAATAATTTAAATTCAGTTAGTAAAGGAACCACACAATCTGAAAATATAAGTTCTTTTTTTTTTTTTTTTTTTTTTGAGACGGAGCATCGCTCTTATTGCCCAGGCTGGAGTGCAATGGCACGATCTTGACTCAATGCAACCTCCGCCTCCCAGGCTCAAGCAATTCTCCTGTCTCAGTCTCCCAAGTAGCTGGGATTACAGGCACCTGCCACCATGTCCAGCTAATTTTTTGTACTTTTAGTAGAGACGAGGTTTCATCATGTTGACCATGGGTGGTCTCGAACTCCTGACCTCAGATGATCTGCCCACCTCAGCCTCTCAGAGAGCTGGGATTACAGGCATGAGCCACCGTGCCCAGCCTGTAACAGTTTTTAACTGCCTAATGATCACACTAACACCATTATAGTCTCACATGAGATCTACTTACTCCTTATTTTTATTTTGAATATATTTGATATATTAGAAAAAGAGAGCCATAATTAATAATAAATCATCTAAGACTGAGGCTAGATTCCTTATAACATGTATTTTCAGGTAATAGTATTATACCTTTGGTAACACTTGTGAAAAGAAAGTCTGTTCCAATGTCAGGTGGTTCATATGAGGTAAAAACATTTCTACAATAATTTTCAAAATTTCTGTAAAGCAAATAACAAATTTTATAAAAATATTGTCATGTCAGTCAACAAAGGCCACTGCCCTTTATTAAATGCAAGAATACTACCAATCTAAAGCTTGATACACTTTCAAAATACCACATTCTATACAGAGAAACTATTAAGTAGTAGCCAAAAAAAAAAAAAAAGAGAGAAAGGAAACGACCTACATATCCAACAATTGTGGACCAGTTAAATAGGTGTGTGTACATCTATTGAATAGGATCTGCCATCATTAAAATGACATTTTAAAACATGAAAAATGTTCACAATGTAGTTAAACAAAAAGTTTCCAAAATATAACACCAATTTTAATGTAGATAAACATGTACGAAGAATGATGGATAGGCTGGCAGGAATATACGGAAATGAGATGAGACTGTTCTCATCAAAATCTTAACCATTTCAGATTAGATGTTTTGTAATCTTTTCTGTTTTTCTATATGTTTCATATTTTCCACAATGAACATGAATCACTTCTATACTCAAGATAAAAAAATAATTTACTTAAAAAAAATTATGCCACGCATGGTGGCTCACGCCTGTAATCCCAACACTTTGGGTGGCTGAGGCGGGAGGACTGTCTGAGCCCAGGAGTTAAAGACCACCTGGGAAACATGACAAGACCTCATGTCTACCAAAAAATAAATATATAAATAGAAAATTAGCCACGCATGGTAGCACGCACCTGCGGTCTCAGCTACTTGGAAGGCTGAGGTGAGAGGATTGCTTGAGCGTGGGAGATGGAGGCTGCAGTGAGCTAGCTATGTTCGCACCACTACACTCCAGTTTTGGTGACAAAGCAAGACCCTGTCCCCCAAAACAAACAAACAAAAACACAGGCCAAGCATCATGGCTCAGACCTGTAATCACAGCACTTTAGAAGATGGAGGCAGGAGAATAGCTTGAACCCAGGAGTTCAGGCTGCAGTGAGCTATGATCGCACTACTGCTCTCCAGCCTGGGCAATAGAGTGAGATCTTGTCTTGAAAACAAAACAAAACAAACTCTGGGGCCAGGCTCAGCGGCTCACGCCTGTAATCCCAGCACTTATGGAGGCCAAGGCAGGAGGATCACTTGAGCTCAGGAGTTTTGAGACCAGCCTGGCCAACATGGTGAAACCCCATCTCTACTAAAAATACAAAAATTAGCCAGGCGTGGTGAAGCATGCCTGTAATCCCAGCTACTTGGGAGACTGAGGCAGGAGAATCACCTGAACCTGGAAGGTGGAGGTTGCAGTGAGCAAAGATCACGCCACTGCACTCCAACCTGGGTGACAAAACGAGACTCCAACAAAAACAAAGGAAAAAAAAATTAGGTCCCATTACACAACGTAGATTCAAATTATAAATGAATATTCCACAACCAAGTGAACTCTAAATAGAAAAGCTAACTCAAAATATGAGTAAACTGAGCAGTCTAAACTCTCTTCTGACTAGAAGAATGAATCTCATCAAGTAAGACTGATGAAGACATGAAAATGAGAAAGTCAACTTCCTCCAAATGGTAAATTTGTTATCACCTAGACAATCAGCTTTTGGCAATTTAGAAAGCATTTTCTAAATGACACTAAACATGTTAGAGGCTGATAGCTATTCAGTAGACTGCATATCATGTTTTATATAGGTCTAATCGTAACAACTAACGTTTAATATTTACAATTTGTTTATACATACATCATCAACAAAACACTTTGGTATTTATCCAAAATGTAATTTAAAACTTTTAAGTGCTGGAATTTGAATGAATTTGTTCATTTCAAGTAACTGAAGGTTATAAAGGCTGTAACATAGAGAACAGTTACATTTCAAGGGAATACAAAACTGTAAGAACACATCTACCGAGGTATGTGGGGACTCGGACCTTAACATCAAAGTACATCATACAGTTAAAACAATTTTACTTACGAATATGCTCAATCCAACTGTCAGAATGTTGAGACAATGAGTAGGATAATTAAGGAAGATACTAGTATCATAGTAATAGGGTATTCATTACTCAGAACAAACCTAAAAAAAAAATAAAACCCTTTTGAAATTTAAGCAATGACTCATAAGAGATTGGAATTGGACTCAAATTACTGGCTTAATTTTGCTTTTAAAAACTTAAGATTTATTAGGTAAACAGTATTGTGAAAACACATTAAAGAAATATTTTGAAAATTGCCCAGGGACAAACTTGCCTTTTCAAACTATGCATAGTCATGAAATATTTTTGACAGATGAGAAACAATGCTACAATAATCCACAGGTTTATGATTTATTTATTTATTTTTTTTTAGAGAGAGGGTCTCGCTCGGGGCCAAGTGGGGTGGCTCACACCTGTAATCCCAGCACTTTGGGAGACCTAGATGGGCGAACAAGAGGTCAGGAGTTGAAGACCAGCCTGGCCAGTATGGTGAGAACCCGTCTCTACTTAAAATACAAAATAATTAGCTGGGCATGGTGGCGCACACCTGTAATCCCAGCTGCTCAGGAGGCTGAGGCAGGAGAATCACTTGAAACTGGGAGGCAGAGGTTGCAGTGAGCCAAGATCGCGCCATTGCACTCCAGCATAGGCGAGACTCCGTCTCAAAAAAAAAAAAAAAGAGAGACGGTCTTGCTGTCACCCAGGATGGAGTGCGGTGACATGATCACACCTCACTGCAGCCTCAAGCTCCTGGGCTAAAGTGATCCTCCCATACCAGCCTCTCAAGGAGCTGGGATTAGAGATGCACACCACCATGCCCAGTTTGTACTTCCGATTTCTATTACAAGAAATTTTTCTTTCCTCAACATTTCTATTGTACTTAATTTATACCTAAGTCACTCATCACCTTCTATCTTTTTTCATATTACTTACATACCTATCTTACCAACTTTATTTGACTGAAATTCTTCTGCACATAGCAGCTTACAAATACACGACAATAAATTCTTCATATACACCATCAAGAATAATTGTTAGAATAATTGTTAGAAATGTTTTACTGTAACAACACCATAAGAATCATCAAAGAATGTTAATAAGAAAAATGAATAACCCGGCCGGGCACGGTGGCTCACGCCTGTAGTCCCAGCACTTTGGGAGGCTGAGGCAGGCGGATCACGAGGTCAGGAGTTCGAGACCAGCCTGGCCAACATGGTGAAACCATCTCTACTAAAGATACAAAAAATTAGCCGGGCATGGTGGCACGTGCCTGTAATCTCAGCTACTCGGGAGGCTGAGGAAGGAGAATCACTTGAACCTGGCTGCTGTGAGCTGAGATCGCACCACTGCACTCCAGCCTGGGTGACAGGGTGAGACTCCGTCTCAAAACAAACAAACAAACAAAAAAAAACCCATAGTCCTACCACAGTAATACAAGAATTCATTCCTCTTCCGAAATCTTATTTTTTACAGCAGCAATCAAAATGAGGTCATCATTAACTCAAATTTGAGTTCAGTAGGGTAGAATTGGCCTCATGAAAAAATTTCAGTAAAGCTCAAATAATTACCAGCTGTTCCAAAATTAGTCAGTTATGATTATGCAGACATGCAGGTAAGGCCTGGAAAATAATACGTAAAATGCAAAACATGAAAAAGATTTTGGGGGGTAATGGCATTGTAGATTTATTGCAAATTTTTCATTTGTTAAAATAGTGAAGCTAAAATACTACCATTAAGCTGAAAAAAAGTATTGTCTAATTAGACTCCCAAGTATTTTTAAAACATGAAATATTTTTAGCCCTTTAATGAATGCTTACTATGTGTCAGGCACTGTTCTAGGTGCTGAGGGTAACGCTGTGAAGAAAATCAACATCCTGCCTTTATGAACTTTGCAACATAATGTGTAGAAGTGGAAAATATACAAAGCAAACAAGAGCATTTCTTTTAATGGTAATGTGCTTTTTAGAAAACTGAACAGGCCAATGTGATACAAGTGTAAGACTGCGTTTGGGGGAACTGCCTAAGATTGAAGGCTCTGAAAAAGCCCCTCTAAGGAAGTGACATTTGGGCCAAGACATAAACATGAAATATGCAAAAGGCTGAGAGAACAAATCAGGCTGAGCAAAAAGATCTTGAGGTAGGTGAGCCTAATGTATTCATGAACAGAGTGTAGTTAATTAACTAGGTATGAGAGAAGGGCAAGGCTTAGATCACCTGGAACCTTGAAGGTAAAGTGGTTTAAAAAGGGAAATGACGAGATCTATGTTTTTCCCCTCTTAACTTTTTTGGAATAATGAATTATGAGTAGAAACAAGGAAACTATTAATACTCCAAGTGAGAGGTGATAAGGGTTTGGAATCAGAGTGGTAGCAATGAGGATGGAGATAAACGGATTGATTCAAGACATAGTTTGGAATCAGAAACAATAGAACTTACTGATCGGGTGTGTGAGACAGAGAGGATTCAAGGTTTCAGTTTGTGAAACCATTTACTCAGATGAAGAAAACTAGAGGAAGTTTGGGCTTTTTTGAATATGTCGTTTGAAGTGCAAAGCTAGGTGGGAATGTTGACTTTCAACTTAATGAAGTCTCTCTATAAGCTTGTGGGGAAGAAGAGGAATCACGTTCCGTGTCTCTGTTCTCCCAAAGCCTAACACCATGTCTCACACACATTATGCACGCAGTTTAAGTGTTTTTGAATGTTTTGAGGGTGGCTATTTGTTTTCAAGTTGAAACTCCTTGAAGACGGCAGTTCTGTACCTACACAAAAACTAAAAAAGGGGGCTTTGGCACCTTCTGAGATTTTGCTAATGCCTAGGTGAATGACTTCTATGTGATTACATAGGGCTTTAGCTGCACAATATTTGTGCAGTATTGAGATTCTCTCAAGTGAAGGTTACTTTTTTTCTTTTGAGTGTAATTGTATAAAGCTGGGCTCAAATGTTGTGAAAAAGATACATATACATATGGTTTACCATGAAAGGCTAGGATTCCAGGCACATTTACAACCACAAAGGCATGAGACCAATCAAGAATGTGCTGCACCCGGACGAAGAAGGCGCTAAGCGCCTCAAATCCAACAGTTGAAAGCCAACAACAAGCGGAAGAACTCTTTCAGAAAGACTCCAGCCTGGGTGAGAGGAGTGAGAACTTGTCAAAAAAAAAGAAAGAAAGAAGAAAAAGAGGTCTGAGAGGGGAAGGAGGAAAATCATTTTTATTTACTGAACATCTTTTAAAGATTTCACACCACAGAACTATGCCCTTTAATTCTTATAACGCTAAGAAAGCCCTTATTCATATTCACCACCCTTTTTACGGGAGACAAAAGCTCAGAGTATCTCGCTTTACCTCAAACTATTAAGAGCCAGAGCTATCGTCATACCGCAGGTCTCAGTCCTTGCCTCCCCCATTATCCACTAGCAAAAGTATTTACACTTAATTGCAAGCAACGAGTACAGAAAAACTGAAAGAAGGAATGGAAGAAAACGCCACATCCACTGCTAAAACCTTGGGTCAGAACACGTCCGCGAGGCTTTCCAGGGCCAAAGCCTTACTTAAATCTACCACGGTTGTCGCTTCCCCTCCAGTCCCTCACTTTTCATCCCACTCACTGACAAAGAAAAGAGGGGGTTCAGGCCGCGGTAATATAACCCAGCCTGGCGGTGGGTCTGAAGGGACAGAAGAGAAAGGTTCGCGACCCGCCCACACCCTTCTCTAGGTAGAAGTGACAACCAAGGAAGGATATGAGGAGTCGGGGCAGGACGGACGGCAGTTCCCGGCGGCATAGCTCCTCTGGCCAGCTACTTAATTCTTCCAGGGGAACCGCGCTAGCTGGGACCGCACCTTCCTGAGACATACTTTCGTCAAACAGGAGAGCTTCAAACCAGACCCGCCAAAGCCCAGACCGGAAACTCGCAGTCCCGCCAACCCTTGCGCGCTCTCCGCCGGCTCCAAAACCATAGAGAGGAGGGCGGCTGGTTTCTTGGTGAGCCCGGGTCCCTCAAGGCCGGAAAGAAAGTCGGGCTTCTCTAGCCCCTGGAGGACTCGACTCACTGGTGCGCGATTTAGGTCCGGAGGAGGCGTTGTGAGGTGAGCTTTTTCAGAAGCGCGATCCCAGGACACGTCGGGAAGCAAGCATCCCCAGGTCTGGATCACTGTAAACATTACATTCAAATGGGGAGGTGAGGGCCAGAAGTCCCCACTTCTGGGGTCGGATTTGTTCCGGGACCTGCAGCCGGAAGTGACTCCAAGCCTTGCAGCGTGATGGGAGAGGAAAGAGGCGCGTTCCTAGCCGCGGGACTGGGTGACCCGCCTCTCCCCCAAATTGTAAATCTTGTATAAAGGGAACAAAGATCCCACTTGCCAGAACTGTGAAAATTGAGGCAGATGGTATAGTGTCTAGCGCAGTAGATAGAAGATTCTCAATAAAGTTGCTTCTTATTTCTACAGGTCTCTCCAAACTACTGCAGTGCCCTAGTTTGCGTTTGCTCTGCCACCGAATTAGTCTTTACTAATTATTGCCAAATTACCCCCACTTCTATACACTTAGGGCTGCTGTTCTCGACTAAATGTTTGGAGTGAAGTCTTGGATGAATTTACACACACCAGGCCATACCTATGCATGTTTTTAAAGGGACGCTGACTTACCAAAATAAAATACTGCACCTCTTCTGTAAAAGACAGAAGTGAAGTTATTCTGGAAGCTTAGGGGGTGAATATGGTTGGACACAAATCAAGACAGCTGAAAGACAGCAAGTAGCTAGGCTGTCCTGTCTGAATATCTTGGACTTTATGTTTGTCCAGGTGGTAGTGGTGGTGGTTGCTGTTGTTCTTCTGTTTGTTTTTATAGTTGATTTTCTTCTCCCACTTTGGAACCCTTAAGGTGTGTATGAGTGTCCAAATCTCTTATCTCTCTCTCTTCCCCACAACTTTTTAAGAAAAAGCAGCTGTATGGTGGGACAGGGAGGGGTGGGGGTGGCTGTTTAATATTACACTTTAGTGAAATGTGCCATTTTGCTTTAATCATCATTTTCTTTCTTTTTTTTTTTTTTTTCTTTCCAGAGCTGCTTGGAAAGAGGACCAAAGACGTCTAAAAAGTCATTTGGAAATATCTCTAAATATTTGTTACCATGTATAAGCTGCTAAAGAGAAATTGGGCCCAACAAAACTAATTGAATAATTGAGGCAGATTTGTGTGTATCATCAAATTCTATCCAGAAGTTGAAGAATCTGAATTTAAAGATTGTGTGCATTTAATAAGAGGATGACCTTTCAGTTTAATTTCACTATAGAAGACCATCTGGAAAATGAATTAACACCCATTAGAGATGGAGCTTTGACCCTGGATTCCTCAAAAGAGCTGTCAGTCTCAGAAAGTCAAAAAGGAGAAGAGAGGGACAGAAAATGTTCTGCAGAACAATTTGACTTGCCTCAGGATCACTTGTGGGAACATAAGTCAATGGAAAATGCAGCTCCCTCTCAAGACACAGACAGTCCACTCAGTGCAGCCAGCAGTTCAAGGAACTTGGAGCCACATGGAAAACAGCCCTCCTTGAGAGCTGCCAAAGAGCATGCTATGCCTAAAGATTTAAAGAAGATGTTAGAAAATAAAGTCATAGAAACATTACCAGGTTTCCAGCATGTTAAGTTATCAGTAGTGAAAACCATCTTGTTGAAAGAGAACTTCCCTGGAGAAAACATAGTTTCAAAAAGCTTTTCTTCTCACTCTGATCTGATTACAGGTGTTTATGAGGGAGGCTTAAAAATCTGGGAATGTACCTTTGACCTCCTGGCTTATTTCACAAAGGCCAAAGTGAAATTTGCTGGGAAAAAAGTCTTGGATCTTGGTTGTGGATCAGGTTTACTAGGTATAACTGCATTCAAGGGAGGGTCCAAAGAAATTCACTTTCAAGATTATAACAGTATGGTGATTGATGAAGTAACCTTACCTAATGTAGTAGCTAACTCCACTTTGGAAGATGAAGAAAATGATGTAAATGAGCCAGATGTGAAAAGATGCAGGAAACCAAAAGTAACACAACTATATAAATGCCGATTTTTTTCTGGTGAGTGGTCTGAGTTTTGTAAGCTTGTACTAAGTAGTGAAAAACTTTTTGTAAAATATGATCTCATTCTCACCTCAGAAACCATTTACAACCCAGATTATTATAGTAATTTGCACCAGACTTTCCTTAGACTGTTAAGTAAAAATGGACGTGTACTTTTGGCCAGCAAAGCACATTATTTTGGTGTAGGTGGAGGTGTTCATCTCTTTCAGAAGTTTGTAGAAGAAAGAGATGTTTTTAAGACCAGAATACTCAAAATAATTGATGAAGGATTGAAGAGGTTCATAATTGAAATAACTTTTAAGTTTCCTGGTTAATTAACATTCACTGAGTATCCAAAATGAAATAAACAGAAGGACCAAAAATTTGAGTGTTTGATTTCTGTTTTGCTATTATTTTTTCTGAAATTTTGATGTTGTTTGTTTAGTTTTGTTTATCCAAATTGTAAGTGAGCTATGTTACCAGTCTTTTACTCACTAGGTGAAACTGAGAAGGTATCCTCGTGCATTTGATGAGATCTCCTGGGAAATCATTTTGTAAGAAAATCCGGTATTCTCCATCTTCATTCTATTTGACCTTTTACCACCTTTGACGTTACATGAAATTGTTCCCAGGAAATCCTGCCATTTCTTCTCTCAAGTCTGTGAATTTCTTCCCAGTCTTCGTTAGTTCCTTGTTCACATTAATATATATCACTAAATATTAGGTTGGGGCCTTATGTAAATAGGAAGAGGTTTTTGTTTCGTTTTGTTTTTATATTCATTTACCTTGTATAGTAAGGATCAGAATGCTGAGAATTTAACTAAATTCACATGGAGATGAGGAAACAAAGGGAATCTGTGACAGAGTATAAAAGTAATACAGAGAACTTGTACTACTTGAGGTTTACCCCTTATAGCCAAGTAAAAGATCCTGCGGTCTTGGTAGGAGGAAAAAGAATAAGAAAGGAGAATTCCAGATTTGGGGGAGTATAGACTTACCAGTTGTTAAATAGTAGGAAAGAAAGGAGAAAGTGTTTTGTTGATTCAAATGCAAAAATTTTCACGTTACCACATTGGGAATTGGGATCTGCCTTGCTCTCTATAAGAACAGTAAAACTGACAGCATTTTTTTCTCTCTTGGAAGTAGCTAAAATAATCGGACATCATGGATTCAATTGAATGTGATATTTACTGGACTTTGTATAGTATCTTGCATAATACTTAAAACCTTATGAGGTTTATGTCATCCCCATTTTAGTAGTGATCATAATAGCTAACTAGCATTTACTGTATACAGGGCAGAAGAGCTTTACATATGTTAACATTAAGTATTCATAACTGCCCTATAAGACTTCAAGAAGTTAATTGATTTGCTCCCAATCACATTTCTCACCTTGAACCAGCATCTGAAGGCTTTAAAATCTTTACACTCTTTCATCACCCAGTGGTCTCAACTCTACCAATGCCTATTTTCATCACAAATATTTCTTAGCACCCTCTTACTACGCTAAGATGAAAGTCATAGTTAAGGAAACTTACTTATATACATTATTAAAAAGCATATTCCTAGTTTATGTATAATTATATGTGATACTCATTCACAACTCTAATATGAAGAAAGTAATTTATAATCAAATAATTTATATCTCATCAGATACACATACAGATGTAGCTACACAGAAGACATGCAGCAGCCAGATGCTTATACCTAGCAACAGGGGTCCCTGATGCCTGCGCCGTGGACCAGTACTGGTCCGTGGCCTGTTAGGAACTGAGCTGCACGGCAGGAGGTGAGCGGTAGGCAAATGAGTATTACTGCCTGAGCTCTGTCTCCTGTCAGATCAGCAGCGGTGTTAGATTCTCATGGGAGTGCACACCCTATTGTGAACTGCATGTGTGAGGGATCTAGCTTGCGCACTCCTTGTGAGAATCTAATGCCTGATGATCTGAGGTGGAACAGTTTCATCCTGAAACCACTCCCCTGCCCAGCCCTTCATGGAAAAATTGTCTTCCACAAAACTGGTCCCTGGTGCCAAAAAGGTTGGGGACTGCTAACCTAGAGTACCATTACTGAAAATGCCACAGCTACAATTCCAGACTTACCTACTAGGTAAGGTAGAACAAATTGGCCTTGACAGCTGGATTGGGGAATTGAGGTACAAATCACTGGATAGAGGCTCATAATACATTAATTGGTTTCAATGATTTTGAGACAAATAGGTATCTCTCAATTCTCCAAGAGAATTAGACTTTTAATGAGGTCTCATCCAGGAGGCCCATTCAGGAACAGCAGAGACATAGCCTCTAACTAGGGGCTCAGGACACAATCTCATTTCCCAGGGAGAGGGTCCAGCAAGTGCAGAAAGGATCAAAGCAGAAGCCCAGTCATGGGAACTAGATAATTTGGGGCATTAAAGATAAATTTGGGGCCAGGCATGGTGGCTCACACCTGTAATCCCAGCACTTTGGGAGGCCAAGGCAGGCAGATCACCTGAGGTCAGGAGTTTGAGACCACCCTGACCAACATGGAGAAACCCCTTGTCTACTAAAAATACAAAATTAGGTGGGCGTGGTGGTGCATGCCAGTAATCCGAGCTATTAGAGAGGCTGGGACAAGAGAATCGTGAGAAGCACTTGAACCCAGGAGGCGGAGGTTGCAGTGAGCCGAGATCGCGCCATTGCCCTCCAGCCTAGGCAACAGGGAAAGACTCTCTCAACAAAAAAAGAGAAAAAAAAAAGATAAATGTGGGGGTATCAAACAGCCCAAAGGGAACACACCTACCCAAGATAGCTGGCAGCAAAAGGGACTTGAGACACAAATTATGGCTACAAATCCAGGAAACAGATACGCAGCTTTCTCATGTAACAGTATCATTTAATCATTTAAGGGTTATGATAACTTGGGTTAAAATTCAATTTCTCCATCTGCAAAACAAGATTTATAATATTATATCCCTAGCAGAGTTCCTTGAAGATTAAGAGTTAAGCATTTATCATGGTTCCTATCAAGTTTCCTATGTATAAGTGGAAATTATTATTTTTAATAATTCGTACTATTTATTCACCTATTTTCTGAACCAGATAGGAAGTCCTGCTCACTTTTGTTAAAAATGGTGTTTGTGCCTTTACAGTATACAAATTTCAGTTCAGAACCTGAAGAAACCACTAAGTTCTAAACCTCGCTCTGCCCACCATTAATCTCCACTCTCTCTCATCCCATTCCCCTCCCTACTCCTCACCTCTGCATTCCTAAATTGTCTTTTTTGGAAGCTTTGGTTGCAGATTATTTAGGATGAAGAAGAGTGCGTCTTGTAAATTTGCTTCTAAAACCCAGTCACATATGTGCTATGTTCTGCCTTTAAACTGCCCATTTCTCAGATGTGCCTGTCCTCTAAGTTCCAGTTTTCATGTCCCACAGACGACGTTCTGTCCATGGTTCAGAAACTCATGGAAATGTCTCTGTGCTGACTGAGTTATGACTTCTCTGTGTCAAATGTGATGGCCAGTGACACATCTGCTATAGGGTCTGTGGGGTGGATAAGTGTCAGCGTTTCATCTGGAGAATTAGATTTTCGAGAAGATTAAACCTATCTTCACTTTTCAATGCCGTCCATAGTATTTTCTTCAGGTGCTTACTAAATGGTCATTTGAAAAAGAGGAATAGCAAGGAAACTCTGACTCCATGAACTTGAGTCTTTGCCTCCACTTCAGCTGGGACATTTTGAATTTTTTATACCATGGTTATGATGGCATTGTGATTGTTGATAATAAGGATTTTCTTTGGGTAAAAGTACACATTTAAAATTGCCATCATAACTAGCGCAACCCAGGAGAGAAGTTGCTCTGTGCTTTGTAAGACTCCTCTACTGCAGTCCAAGGATGCAGCTTCTATATAGCCCAGATGGTTGGGGGAAGCCACAGTACATTTATGACTACTAGCTATCCAATTTCTGCCTTTTCAAGGAATTAAAATTCAGATAGCCCTTAAAAGGAGTTTCATCATCTATACGGGAGGTTATCTAACAAAAATGCTATTTCTGTTTGAAAGAAACTATGTAAAAATTACAATTAACGATTACAAAGAACAACTTTATAACTTAAATATTATCTAACTTAAATATTACTAAAGAAAGTGGGGCATTTTACCCCTCACAGAGCAAGGTGAGTGGCCAATTTGTGATCTGCAAAAAAAAAGATTTGACGCAGGGATACTGTAGCTATCTTTTTCCATTTACTGATGGGATGGAAAAAGTGGATGTAAAGGCTTGCCTTTGGCAGTAAAGTTGACCCTTGAACAACATGGGGGCAGGGGTGCCCACCCCCCTGCAGTTGAAAGTCCACATACACCTTTTGACTCCTCGAAAACTTAACCACTAATAGCATACTCTTGACCTGAAGCCTTACAGATAACATAAACAGTCAACTAAGACATATTTTGTATGTCATATGTATTATAGATTGTATTCTTAACAATAAATTAAGCTAGAGAGAAGAAAGTGTTAAAAAATTAGGAGGAAGAGAAAACATATTTACTATTCACTAAGTGGAAGTGGATCATCATAAATGTCTTTGTGCTTGTCATCTTCAAGTAGACTTCAAGTATCTTTGAGTAGACTGAGGAGTAGGAGGAAGAGGATTGATTGATCTTACTGTCTCAGGGGTGGCAGAGGTGGAAGAAAATCTGCGTATAACTGACCATGCAATTCAAATTCATGTTGTTCAAGGGTCAGTTGTATATATTTTAAGCCTTTACAATAGAATTGCATGTACTTAGTCTCATGAAACCCCAAGTGCCTTGGCTGTGCTGCTGCTAGACTGTGTGGTTCACAGTACAAAGATAAAGATGCTCCTTCCTCCAGGCAGATTCAGCCCCATGATAGGGGGAATGGTGGGGTAAGTCAAACAAAATCTGTTTTTAGCCCCACTTGCCCTTTCAACTCTTCTTAGTCATCTTGTGGCTTAGTACTACAAACTTCCACAGTCTTCCAACTGATAAGATATAGGAAAATGGGCAAAAAGTGATCAACATGAAAAAAAACTATGTAACATACATCACATGTAACATACATCACGTTACAGGGGGCTGTAAGAGATGGGTTTTCCTTCTCACAATGATTTGGTGCTCACAAGAGCCATTCCATTGAGGACATCCAGCATGGCAAAATGGAATAAAGTTTTAGTAATCTCATTGTGCAGCAGATTGTTAAAGAAAAAAATGGTTCAATGTTACTTGTTAAAGCATGGTAAGGCAGACTTTATTCATTACCATTGAGATAGTATAGGGACCATGGCAATGGGATTTTGCAGTAGTGGGGAGAAAATAGTCTTAACTGCAGAGTATGGGCAAGTGGGAATTTATAGCCGAGGAGCAAGGTGGGTCAAGGAGTCAGTGGATGAAAAAATACTAAGAGGAAGCATCAAGGGTAAGGAGGATTCTAATCTAACAGAACCTAATAGAATTCTCGCTGAAGACAAGCCAGACACTACCAGGGAGGGAGATAGTGACTTTTGAGGTGGGGATTCTTGCTAAACTGACTTAGCAGAGCTCTTTACTAAAACTGGATTTTACCAAAAAGTCTGCAGGTGGGCATAAGAGAAAGCCCAGAAGCCTAACTAAATTTTGGCCAAGGAAAGAATCTGTCAAGGTGAATGCAGAGTTTGAACCGGAAATTAGGGCTACAGAAGCAAGTATTCCTGTGTGAGCCTCCCACCACTGCACACTGCACACTGCACACTGCACCCTGCAGGGAAAGCATCAAAATGAGCACTGAAGTCAGATGGCTGCTGAAATCTGTCCCTATCGCCCCATTCAAGAGCCTTAGATGTTCTCTGTGCGTCCTGGCTACACTGCAGCAGCAGCAGCATAGTTCTGAAAGCCTCTAAACATAATCCAGTTAGCCACACAGTATCTGTGTAGCTCTAGTAATTTTCAAAGTCTGCTCTCAAACCTCCAGCAGGTCTCCACCAGTAAAGTTCTACTACTGGTCCCAGTAGAGCGGTCACGGATCATTCAATCAGCTCAGTCACCTCTCAGATCTTCCTAAGGCTACAGAGGAGAAATCAATGTGCTTCACAATGTGTAGATAACAAACTTGTCCACTGTAAGATCCTGAAAATTTTATTCAAAGAGATAAATAGGAAAAGAAATTTCTATTCTGTCATGTCTGGTCAAGACTTGTCCAGATTCTTCTTTCTGTGTGTCTAAAATGTCCTAGAGCTCAAAATTCTTCTAGATCTCTGCTATTTTAGGATAAATAACTTCTAGTGAATTTCTGTAAACTAGATGGTGCGCTTATTTTAAATTGCATGAAAAAAGTATTCAGTGTGTGGGCATTTTTTTTAAAGGGAGAATGCGTGTGGAAAGGTACACTAATGCCTAGAAATTCAGAACACATCCAGTCAGCTCAGTGGCACAGCAAATTGTGCCACTCTCTATGCCAGCTTTTTTATTATCATTGCTATTCCACCCTCTTTGCGTTTTAAAAATCTTCAGAGGAAGACCTATTTTTAATGATTTGCTTTTCTTCCCTAAGCTTTCCACAGATTAAACTCTGCATCCTGTTTGCTTTGCTGTGTTCAAGCTTCTCCAGGATTTTTACAATAACTTCTAAGGAAAAATACCTCAGAGATGCATTTTCTTAGAAGGGTGGTCAGACGTTTTGAATATTCTGCATTTTATTTTCTTTAACAGGAAATACATCCAAGCCTGTATTTTAAATATTAAAATAACCACTCGTTTAACTTTGTGACTAGCTTTCATTTTCCCAAAGTAGGAAAAAAATATTATTTATATAACCTCCCTCTTTGTGTTTCTGAAATACTTCAGAAACTCTTGTGTCTTATCTCCCAACATTGTTCAACATAAAGAGAAATAACCTTAGTTACAGTTGAAATCATTAGAGATTCTTAAGTTTCTGGTAATTTTAATTAGGTTCGCTATCATCTATTACTGTCGTATAGATATTTTACATGATTGCTTAAAAAGAAATGACAAAAGCAAATATAAAAACCTGAATGTAAATTATTTTACCCATAATTGGTCTAAAGAAACATCCTGGATCAGCCCAGTATTTGATTACATTGATATGCACAGGAGACAGGGAAATACAGGTTCGCTGGTAAAGGCCCCACCTTCAAGCCTGAAAATCTATAGCCCTAAGTGAGAAGAGGCATTCCTGTTTTTTGCACCTAAAAAGTTCCCTTTTGGCCTGCCATGCCCCTTATTGTGTACCATATAAACCCCAAATTCCAGGCTCCAGAGAGAGACAGGCAGATGAACGGCAGAACAGCATGGCAGAGAAGGAGAGAAGAGGAGCATCTGAACGTCGAGAGGCTGGGGACGACTGGAGAGGAGATCGGCTGCTGGACAGCCAAACTCCAGGAGAATATCATCTTCCCACTCCATCCCCCTTCCAGCTCCCCATCCATCCCACTGAGAGCCACCTCCACCACTCCATAAAACTCCCACATTCATCCTTCAAGTCCATGTGTAACCTGATTCTTCCTGGATGCCAGACAAGGACCTGGGTACCAAGAAGAAACTGAGCTGGTTAACGCTTAAGCTGCAGACAGCAAAGCTGAAAGAGTGCACTGTAACACATGCCCACTTGGGCTTTCAGGAGTTGCAGGCACCCACCTCTAGACAGTACCACGGGGCCAGAGCCCAAAGAGCTCGCCCAGCTCCTGCACCTTCCTGCCTGTGTGCTCCCCCTCCTATGAGGGGTTTGAGCTCATGGTGGCGCAGCAGAGAGCCACCCCACTGTCACACATCCTGCGAGGGGGGCCAGAGAACTCTCCCATCTCAACATGTACACAAGCTTTTTATTTCTCTGGGGCATTTTTGTAATAGGAAGAATTGAGACCCTCCCAGGTGCCACTTCCTACATGTCAGTCCCTTTGTGTTTTATTTTTCTCCAATACTGGCAGACTAAACAGAATTCTGCCTTACACTAAAGCTCAAACACATTCTCATCCCATCAAGAACGCACTGAGTACTTACTATGAGTAGAGAAGGTAATTTCCATTTTCAATTATTCCTGTAAAAAAAAATTACCACTTATAAGAAAGTTTACTCTTGTGTTGTATAGTAACTCAACACACTTCCCTTTCCACTTCATTTCTCCTGGATCTCCTATAAAAAGCTGAGTGATGAACAGAAAAGACCCTGGGTCTATTTGTGTTCTGTGTGTGCCCCTTTTACTGTGACTTGTGCATTTCCTTTGTTAGTCAGGGGACTTTGTCAGATTTAATTTATGAAGGTTCGGAGATTAACTAACGGGAAACAGAACAACAGGTAACTGAGAGTTTTGGACTCAAGCCTTCTCAGAAAAAGAGAAATGTATTAAAGCAAGCAAGCAAGCAAACAGACAAACAAAATTGGATGGAAGGGAGAGGAAAGAGATGAAGAATGATAGAGAAACACATATGGAATTGCATGAATTAAAATTTAGAGCAGCAGAAAGAGTGCTGGGGAAAAAAAATGGTAGAGCCCAAGGAAGAAGACCAGGCAATCAGGGAGTCAAGGGGTTGCCTGCAATTCACACAATACTTGTGAACTTTTAAACAAGTGACTGTGGGAGATTGCTGGTGACTCATGGTGGTAGAGACAATCAAGAAACAGGGTTGGCAAGAGTGCAAGGAGAGGCCCTTGATGACAGCCCCAGTGACCTTGCTGCACCCTACATTTGACCTCAGTTGGAGTTTGGGACTGTGGAACAACACTGCTGAACTTTATATGTAGAATAACCCACACCCCAGTTTGCTTGAGATAGTGCTGAAGTATGCATCTGATATAACATTCTAGCATTCTTAAAAGTGTATTGATTATGGCCAGGCATGGTGGCTCTTGCCTGAGATCCCAGCATTTTGGGGGACCTTGGAGGGAGGATCTCTCTAGCCAAGGAGTTCAAGACCAGCTTGGGCAACATAGGGTGACCCTGTCTCTACAAAGAATTAAAAAGTTAGCTGGACATGGTGGCACACACCTGTGGGCTCAGCTATGTGGGAGGCTGAGGTGGGAGGATTGCTTGAGCCTGGAAGTTCAAACCTGCAGTGAACCGTGGTCATGCCACTCCACTCCAGCCAGGGTGAGACAGCGAGAACCTGTCGCAAAAAAATGATAATAGGTGTGTTGATTATGGTCAGCTTGTGTATACCAATTCTGTAACACTATTCTTATTCTTATAACTTTGTTGAGTGAGTCATGATTTTAAAACAATCACTTGATAAATAAATATTAACTTCAAATCATGTGTCAAGCACTGGGTGTGAAAATAGAATCTAAAGTTAAAATGATACATTCTGTGCTTTTGTAGAGCTTCCATTCTAGGGTGGAAATACACAAGTGAACCTCTGGTGAGAATGTTTTACATACTGTGCAGGTTTCTGATAGGGTCATCCTTTTGAGCTATAGAGTAAGACTATATCCCTGTAATAGGGTGTATATGGAAGAAAGTTGAAGAGGAAGAGTATGAGTGGATATTTCTCAGTATAAACCATCTCCTGGTGACTTAGTAAATTTTCAAATGGAAGTAAAACTTTGAAAGTTGATCAAAGAGCTAGGAAAACTTGCTTCTTTTTTGACTCTGAACTTCAAGAATTGAGACAGTTCCTGACAGTGAGAGAACAGATGGTCTCTGCCAACTGTAGGCAGGCAATGGGGGACTAAAGGCTAAAGATGAGCAACATAAATCTCGTAAGAAAAATATTAGGAGAACACTCTTCCCCCTTTTCAAGAAGAGCCTCCCCTCCATTGCCAACCCCAAAGGCCAGCAATTTTGTTCTATTAGGGGAAATGACTAGTTTCCTTAATAACATATATATGAAAAACAACTAATATGAAAAAGACTAGAATAATGACAAGTCAACTGGGACAGTGCTAAAATAGAGGAGAAATTCCTTTGGGCCAGTGAGGGAAGACTTCTCAGAAGAGATAACACTTGATCTCAGACTCACATGTAAGCAGATTTTAATCAGACTAATAGGGGAGTGAGACTGGAAGCGTGGTGAGCTGAGTGCTTAAGAGGCAGAAAGACTAGTCTGTGAAAAAGCACTAAACTTTGAGAGCGTGTTAATTCATTAATTCATGAATTAATGAATTGCACCTAGGAGTTCAATATGTATTGAGCACCTACTATGTGCCAAGAATATTCCAAGGTCCTGGGTTCTAGGAGGAAAGTCTGCATTTCCAATAGGTCCCACGTGATCCTGATGCTTCTAGATAATGGATAGCAATCTAAGTAGCAAAGCTACAAATCACTGAACTGTATGACCTCAGTCAGATATGAAGCTGGCTCAGTGACTGATGAAAGACCTTCCAATTCTTTATTTTTCCTGTGTCAATGAAAAAAGCCAAACTCTATACAATATTTAAAGAAGTTTACTGTGAGCCAAATATGAGTGACCAAGGTCTGCAACACAGTCTCATGAGTTCCTGAAAACATGTGCCCAAGGTGGTTGGGTTACAGCTTGATGTTATACATTTTAGGGGAATGGAAGTTACAGGCAGATATCCATCAACACATATAAGGTGTACATTGGTTCAGTCCAGAAAGGCGGGATAACTTGAAGGAGTGGGGCTTTTAAGTCATAGGTGGATTCAAAGACTTTCTGATTGGCAATTGGTTGAAAGAGTTGTTATTATCTAAAGACCTGGAATCAGTAGAAACTAATAGGATAAGATAAGGAGTTGTGGAGACCAAGGGTCTTATTATGTTGATGAAGCCTCTAGATAGTAGCTTCAGAGAGAATAGACGGTAAATGTCTTGTGCTGGGCACGGTGGCTCACGCCTGTAATGCCAGCACTTTGGGAGGCCGAGGTGGGCGGATCACGAGGTCAGGAGTTCAATACTAGCCTGGCCAACATGGTGAAACCCTGTCTCTACAAAAAATACAAAAATTAGCTGGGCATAGTGGCATGGATCTGTAATCCCAGCTACTCGGGAAGCTGAGGCAGGAGAATCGCTTGAACCCGGGAGGCGAAGGTTGCAGTGAGCTGAGATCACGCCACTGCACTCCAGCCTGGGCAACAGAGCAAGACTCCGCCTCAAAAAAAAAAAAAAAAAAACATGCTAGCCTCTTAGTTAAATCTCTCCTGGATCAGTAAAAACTTGGAAAGAGAAGGAAATTCTGTACAGCATGTCAATTTTCCCCACAAGAGACAGCTTTGCAGGGCCATTTGAAAATATATCAAAGAAATATTTTTTGGGATAAAATAACTTGATTTCTTCCAGGGCCTGGCTCTCTGCTACAAAGAGTCTGGCTTGTCAGTCTTAAGATCTGTGTTTTAGTGTCAATGCTGACATTCAGTTGTGCCTGAATTCCAAAGGGAGGAGAGAATAATGAGTCATGTTGGGCTTCCCCCACCTACCCCCAATCCTGGCCAAAACTAGTTTTTCAGGTTTACTTTGGTATTCCTTTGGCTGAGAGAAGGAGTCCATTCAGTTGGTTGAGGGGCTTAGAATTTTATTTTTGTTGTATACCTGTTTAAATTTGCCATCAAATATTATCAAAATTTCATCTTACCTATCTAAATTACATGTTCTATAGACACTTGTGAAAACTGGCATTCTTGTAAAACAGTCTATCACAGTTTAGCACTTTAGTTTTATATTTCATTGGGAAATTTTTTTTTTTTTTTTAAGTTTAGTCTTTGAAAAACCTGTGGGCTGGGCGCAGTGGCTCATGCCTGTAATCCCAGCACTTTGGGAGGCTGAGAAGGATGATTCATGAGGTCAGGAGTTCAAGACAAGGCTGGCCAAGATGGTGAAACCCCATCTCTACTAAAAAGACAAAAATTAGCCGGAGACAGTGGCAGGTGCCTGTAATCCCAGCCACTTGGGAGGCTGAGGCAGGAGAATTGCTTGAACCCAGGTGGCAGAGGTTACAGTGAGCCAAGATCGCACCACTGCGCGCCAGCCTGGGTAAAAGAGTGAGACTCCATCTCAAAAAAGAAAAGAAAAACCTGCATACACTCATGGTTGAAGGAAAATACTGCTCTTCCTACCTGTTAAGCCCACCTCTGAGCATAAATCCTTGGATTTCACTTATCACACATAATGATCCATCTGTGAAGTGTTTGTTTCTTGTAAGCAAGTGACTGTGATGCAAGGCTGGTTCAACATACACAAATCAATAAACGTAATCTATCACATAAACAGAACACTTGGACACAGGAAGGGGAACATCACACACCAGGGCCTGTCGGGGGGTGGGGGACTGGGGGAGGGATAGCATTAGGAGAAATACCTAATGTAAATGACGAGTTGATGGGTGCAGCAAACCAACATGGCACATTTATACCTGTGTAACAAATCTGCACGTTGTGCACATGTACCCTAGAACTTAAAGTGTAAATATAATAAAAAACCATAGTTCTCTAATAAAGAAAGAACAAAACATTGAACTAAAGCGCAGAAATAGCCCTCAAATAGCCATCCAATTCTCAAATCTTGCTCCAAAGTTAGTGAAAGGATAAGAGTTGTGAAAAGCTGATCAGTGGAAACTTGAGTTTATTTTTTTGATTATGTTTTATGTGGAGCTCTCTTGACCTGGCTGTATTTCCAGGAGACTATGGGGTTAAACCACAGTGGTCACAGTGAACCTCATGTCAGCCCAACAGAAACAAACATATGATGCAGGGGTTGTATCCCTGACCCCCGATTAGTCAGTTTTGCCTGGAGTGGACCATCCAAGCATGCTTTTTTACTACCATTTTTCAGAAGACATTTCCCACATTCTAAACAAAGGAAGTCTGGCCTTTTCTCCGTGACGTTCCCTTATTGTTATTTTATGCTGAATCACAGTGCAATGCCTTACTGTGCACCCATGCTCCTTGCTGGGTATTGGCAGTGCTCCCAGTGGGTACCACTGGTCCTGGCATCTCTTACCAAGCACCACCACTTCCCACAGGGCACAGCTTCTAGACGCCAAGGTTGTTCTGATGTAAAGTGCAGACAGAAAGTTCTCCTGCTTTCTTTTTTAGATCACATTCTTTTAGTACAAAAGCTTTTTCAGATGTTTTTAATTTTTTTTTCCTGCAAAGCACCCATCTTCATCCCCCCTGGATTCTGTCGTGTGTTCATTGCAGATCTGGGCCAGGATAAAAAACTGGGAGGAAGACAGTGACTCTAATTACAGAAATACCTCCCTTCCATCACCAAAGAACTTATTACAGAGTCAAGATCTTTCAAGAGAATGGATTAGTTCTGTACCAGGTAGAATTGCCAGATAAGATACAAATATTTCAGTAGACATACTAAAAAAGTATTTGTTGTTTATCTGAAATTCAAATCTACCTGTGTATCCTTGATTTATGTTTACTAATTCTGAAAAACCTACTCGTAGACGTCTCAGTCTCTTACAGAAATTATTTTTGGTGAGTTCAGCTAAGAGTCAAGCCAAAAGTTCAACTGTATTTGGTTATACCAGTGCAAATGTTTGTCCAATTTCCTGCACAGTAGATGAACTGATATAAAAGGGGCTGCCAAGGAATACAAAGATTACACAGAACAGTCAGACTGGAAATGGAATATGCCCCATGTTGGGAAGAAAATTATTTTTATCCTAGTAAAGGAACTGACCACTTAATGTCTTAAGTGATCATTACTTGTCATTATTCATTGAATAGCAAAATGCAACATACCTTCAAATCCCCAAAGGAGCCTGAGACTGGAAGAGCATATAAAAGAGGTAAAAAGAAAGCCAGGCCAGTATACTGGAAACAGATAGAGGAACAGAAGGAAAGACAGACAGTGTCAAATGCCGTAGGTTGGCCGAGTAAGATGAATGCCACTGGATTTGACAATGTGCAGGCCAACAGTCATATTAACAAAGGGCAGTTTTATGGCCAGGCATGGTGGCTCACTCCTGTAATCCCAGCACTTTGAGGGCCTGAGGCGAGCGGATCACTTGAGGTCAGGAGTTTGAGACCAGCCTGGACAACATGGTGAAACCCCGTCTTTACTAAAAACACAAAATAGCCCGGCGCAGTAGCTCAAGTCTGTAATCCCAGCACTTTGGGAGGTCCAGGTGCGCAGATCATTTGAGGTCAGGAGTTCAAGACCAGCCTGACCAACATGGTGAAACCTGGTCTCTACTGAAAATACAAAAAAATTAGCCTGGCATGGTGGTGCATGCCTGTAGTCCCAGCTACTCGGGAGGCTGAGGCAGGAGAATCGCTTGAACCCAGGAGGTGGAGGTTGCAGTGAGCTGAGATCATGCCACTGCAGTCTAGCCTGGGCAACAGAGTGAGACTCTGTCCAAAAAAAAAAAAAAACACACACACACACAAACAAAAACAAAGCAATTAGCCAGGTGTGGTGGTGCATGTGTATAATCCCAGCTATTCAGGAGGCTAAGGCAGGGGGATCACTTGAACCCGTGAGGCGGAGGTTGGAGTGAGCCGAGATCATGCCACTGCACTCCAGCCTAGGTGACAGAGTGAGACTCCATCTAAAAAAAAAGGGAGTTTTTGGTTGTGCAATTAGAGTGAAAATGATAAATGATATAAATGATTATGTTCAAAACAACTGAGGGAGGGGACCTGGGGACAGAAATCATATGTAACTAGTTAGAGTAGTTTATCAGCAAAAAGAAGTGGAGAACTGAGGTGACAACTGGAAGGAGCAGTGGGATCTGGAGAACGATCTCTTAAGCTGGGGAACAACATAAAACACAGCCTGTGTGTGTGGTGATGGACTGATCCTGCAGAAAAAGAAGATTTATTTTTAGTTGTTTTATATATATATATATATTTTTTTATTATACTTTAAGTTTTAGGGTACATGTGCACAACGTGCAGGTTTGTTACATATGTATACATGTGCTATGTTGGTGTGCTGCACCCATTAACTCATCATTTAACATTAGGTATATCTCCTAATGCTATCCCTCCCCACTCCCCTCATCCCACAACAGGCCCCAGTGGGTGATGTTCCCCTTCCTGTGTCCAAGTGTTCTCATTGTTCAATTCCCACCTATGAGTGAGAACATGCAGTGTTTGGTTTTTTGTCCTTGTGATAGTTTGCTGAGAGTGATGGTTTCCAGCTTCCTCCATGTCCCTACAAAGGACATGAACTCATCATTTTTTATGGCTGCATAGTATTCCATGGTGTATATGTGCCACATTTTCTTAATCCAGTCTATCATTGTTGGACGTTTGGGTTGGTTCCAAGTCTTTGCTATTGTGAGTAGTGCCACAATAAACATACGTGTGCATGTGTCTTTATAGCAGCATTGTTTATAATCCTTTGGGTATATACCCAGTAATGGGATGGCTGGGTCAAATGGTATTTCTAATTCTAGATCCCTGAGGAATCGCCACACTGTCTTCCACAATGGTTGAACTAGTTTACAGTCCCACCAACAGTGTAAAAGTGTTCCTATTTCTCCACATCCTCTCCAGCACCTGTTGTTTCCTGACTTTTTAATGATTGCCATTCTAACTGGTGTGAGATGATATCTCATTGTGGTTTTGATTTGCATTTCTCTGATGGCCAGTGATGATGAGCATTGAAAAAGAAGACTTTTTTTTCCCTTTAGGAGCTACTCTGTTAATTGAAGAAAAGGAAAACTTGATGGAAGAAAATGAGAGAGAATGAGAGAATTGCTAGAGCAATGGCCTTGAGTTGGTAAGAGCTGATAATATTCAAAACTGAAGTGGAAGGGTTAGCCTTAGATAGAAGCACAGATAGGCAGTACATCCATGGTAATGAGAGGAAATGCAAAGTATATGGTACAGGGCTAGATAAGGCAGTAGGAGTTTGTGGAAACTCTCTTTTGATGGCTTCTATTTTCTCAGAGAAATAGGAAACAAGATCATCAGTTAAAAATGAGGGAGGGGGGAAGAGATAATAGTAGTATGAAGAGAGAGGGAAGGGTATGGAGCAGTCACATGAATGGAATTGAGGAAATGTAGTATGACTGACAGGCATACTGTCGCATAAGGGCCCGCTTGAAGTTAGCAATTCTAAATTTAAACGGAGACCTGTTTAAATCTAAAGGGAGCAAGGCTTTGTAGATTTTCTCCAACTATGATCTAGTAAATTGGTGAAGACCCAGAGTAGGCAGATAGTGGGATTTAAACAGGGTTGGGATCTAACGAAGAGAGATTAATGACACAAAGTTCAGCAACTCCTCTGTAGCATCAAAGTGGGAGTACTTGTACCTGGAATATGTCTTTTCCCTAGTGCAAGGGAACAACGCTGGGGCCTTGAGCTGCCAACAGACACTTGACGGTAACACTTGGTAGGATCCTTGACTGTGTGTTGCCTGAGGTGGAGGATTAGCATAAACACACACATTTGGCACCTCCAACAGCAATAAAAATGTGATCCAGTCAAGACAGCCTTCATAAGAAATGCTTCTACTCAAATTTCCACTCATTAGTGCTTCCTATCTTTTGCAGTTTGCTAACTTGGATCAGGATGAAAAAATTGGTTGGCTCCTGCTGGGGGAATTTTTTAATGTCACCATTCAATGTTTTGTGGTTTCCTGTATTAGAAAATGGCTGTTTACTCAATTTTGATTGTTGATGAGAATAGACATAATATCTGTTTTTGGTGGCTCTGAATATTTTCACACATTGATTAACCCATCAACCGCATTTACTAAACTCCTACTCCATGCAAAGCCCTAGCTGATAAAATAGTGTAAAGAACACTGTTCCTCATGTTAATGGCCTTAAAAGCTTACTGGGGCCAGATATTGTGGCTCATGCCTGTAATCCCAGCATTTTGGGAGGCCACAGTGGGAGGATCAATTGAGATCAGCAGACCAGCCTGGGTAACATAGTGAGATTCCATCTCACAAAAAATAAAAAATGAAAAGTAGTGGGGTATGGTGGCACATGCCTGTAGTCACAGCTACTCACTAGGCTGAGGTGGGAGGACTGTTGAGCTGGGAGGTAGAAGCTGCAGTGAGTTGTGATCACACCACTTCCCCCCATTCTAGGCGACAGAGTAAGACCTTGTCTCAAAAAAAGAAAATTTTTATTGAGTAGGTAATAAACAGTAAAAACCTTTTTACCTAAATGGCCAATGAGAGAAAAATATTTCTAGCAGTTCAGAGAAAAAGCTAGGGTTTGAGTGGTTAGGACAGGCTTTATAGAGGTAGGCCTGGAGATATAGAAAATGCTAAATTGGGGAAGAAAGTGAAGTGGTCCTGGAGAAGATACTTATTTAAAGGAAGGTTTGATAAGGAAAGGCTGAATGTACTCCAGGGGGGCAAAAAACTCATCCTGGTTAGGGCAGTGTTGTTGAAAAGGGTAGTTTGAGCTAAGTAACAGAGAGTCTTAAGGGCTGACTAAGGAATTTTGCCTTTGTTTTTTACTTCTTTAAAAGCCATTGAAGGTTATTAGCAAAGGAGCAGTGGTGTGAAACACTGATACTTTATAGCTGATCTCCTCACGGTGCTTGCGTATCCTAACAGAATGTTGTTAGGCCAGGCTATATTTTGGACAGTGGCTGAAAATAAATAATAGCTGTATACTATTGATTATATGACTGTACCACAATGTACAGTCTTAATCTATATTTTTAAAGCATTTTCCCCAATTTTTTTTAGCATTAAAAGCAATATTGCAATAGGCATTCTTGTGTGTAAACCCTTGTACACATGCCTAATTATGCTGGACAAATTGATGGGTCAGAGTATATAAATATTTTATTTTTATTTATTATTATTTTTTGAGACAGAGTTTTGCTCTTGTTGCCCAGGCTGGAGTACAGTGGCACAATGTCAGCTCACTGCAACCTCCACCTCCTGGGTTCAAGCAATTCTCCTGCCTCAGCCTCCCGAGTAGCCAGGATTACCAGCATACGCCAACATGCCTGGCTAGTTTTTGTATTTTTAGTAGAGACAGGGTTTCACCATGTTGGTCAGGATGGTCTCAAACTCCTGACTTCAGGTGATCCACCCGCCTTGGCCTCCCAAAGTGCTGGGATTATAGGCATGAGCCACCGTGCCTGGCCTATAAATATTTTTAAAGTGTTCTGATCTATATTAATTACATGCCGAACTAGGTGTATGATTTTTTTTTTTTTCTGAAACATTCGCAGCTCAGTATTCTTACAGATTTTGGTTATTTGTGGGAAAAGGCTATTTCCTTATTTGATGTTTATTTCTTTGAGAGTTTACTTCTTTGATAAGGTTAAACTTTTTCACATACATATATGCATAGTTTATGTTTTTTGTTTTGAATTGCTTTTAGCAGTTTAGTTTTGAATACTCCATTGGGAGTATTCATTGTTTTCTTACTGTTTTGTAAAGGCTCTTTTTGTATTCATATATATACATATATTTGTCATAAGTGCTACAAATTTTTTGTGTTTGCTTTTTAACTTTGTTTATAAAAATTTCTGATATATATTAGTTTTAAAAATTAGTATTTTACAAGCTTTTCATTTATGGTAATGTGGCACTATGTTAAAAAATGTCCCATCAGCCCAGCTCTTTGGGAGGCTGAGGTGCTTGAAGGCAGAAGTTCGAGATAAGCCTGGGAAACAAAGCAAGACCCCTGTCTCTACAAAAAATAAAAAATAAGTTGGATGGGGTGTCGCATGCCTGTAGTTCCTGCTACCTGGGGGGCTGAGCTGGGAGGATCACTTGAGCCCAGGAGTTCAAGGCTGCAGTGAGCCATGATCATGCCATTGCACTCTAGGCTAGGTGACAGAGCAAGACCCTGTCTCTGAAAAAAAAAAAAATTCCCATCAAAAGACTATATAACAACTTATATTTTCTTCAAGTATTTTGTGGTTTCTTTTTTTAAAAAAATTTAAATGTAATACATCTGGAATTTATTTTAATGTAAGATGAAGGCAGGAACCTAATTTTATCCTCCCTCCTTTCCTTCCTCCCCTCTAATGATTAGCTATTTGTCTTAACCCTATCTATGCCAATTTCTGCTGATTTGAATTATGTCATGTTTATCATACCTTAAATCTTCATCATAATTAGGTATAGTTCTGGTCTTTTTATGCTGTTTCATTGCTTTGCTGCCTATTGCTACACTAGTATTAAATTGTTTTCATCAATACACCTTTATAATAGAATTTTGTATCTGGCAGGCAAGACTCTCCTTGATTTCTGTCCTTTTCAGACCTTTTTTGTTTTGGGGGGAGTGGTGGGGTCCCATTCACTCTTCATATATGCTTATATTTCCCAGGTAAACTTTGTAATTATCTGACAATTTGTAAGCAATTCCTAAGATATTTCGTTTGACATTGTATTAAATGTATACATTAATTTGGTGAGAAATGGAACACCTAGACTATTAAATATTAGAATCCAGTAAGATGGTCTATCTCCCCATACATGTAAGTTTTTTTTTCTTTAGGCCATTATTAACATCTTTTAGTTTCTTTACATATCCTACAAATGTGTTAAGTTTATCCCTATGTTTCTTCTATCTTTTTTTTTTTTAACATTGTTAAAGTGAATAGGATTTTTCCCATTATATTTTTAAACTAGTGGTTTCTGGTAAATAGGAAAGCTGTTTATTTAGGACATTTCCCTTTTTTTTCCTAAGCTTGTCTTCCCTTGGCTTTATGACCCTTCTCTTTTCGCGGAATGCCTCAGATCTCACCTAGGGAAGCAATGTGGAGTAGCAGAAAAAGCTTTGGTTTAAAATCATGTCTTTGACTCTTGGTTCTGTATCTTAGAAATTGCATGACCTTGAACCAGTTAGTTAACTGGTTCTGAATATCAGTTTCTTCTTCTGAAAAATTGGGATCATAAAACCAACCTCATGGGTTTGTTGTGAGGATTAAATGAAATAATATGTGCTACACTTACTAGGTTCCAGTCCCTAGCATGATGCACATATAAATGCTCAATAAATGTTTGTTGAATAAATACTGTTAATAGAGAGCCACAATCTCCTAAAAGTATACCATGAGCATTTGTCCCTTGTACTTTTTAAGAGAAGAAGGTAACACATTATTAGATAAAAGGTCACTGAGCAAATTTTAATCTGCAACCTGGTGCCATGAATGAACAAACTGGGAAGTAAGAGTAGGGAGGCTTCCTGTCATGGAGGTGGCTACATAAATGGAATAATTCCAGGGGACTCAGAAACCTACTGTTCATACCTGTTTCCCAGCCATTGGCCACAGTGTCTGAAATGAAGTCGAGAGCCTGCTGTTGGGCCAGACAGCATTCTCCCCTTAGGTTATCTTTGAAAATACAATCACATTTGGACACAATATAAATCAGTTTATCAAATCACTTTTTTTTTCTGTAGAGATGAGATCCAGGCACCATGATATTTCTGGTGCCTATGGAAAAGGAAGACACAAAAAATGGAAAAGGAGGATTTCAAAGATTAATTTTGCTTGCATGACATTTTCCCCAGTAGTTGCCTGGGCAAGGGAACTCATTTGCAAATGATGATCTCTCATTTTCAGTTGAGGGTATTTCCTATTAGTCAGTTATCATTATGGCTTATAAATATGTCCATTGTAAGTTTGCTAAGTATACAGCAATTCCCCAGAGGCTGGTTAGTCCTTGGTAAGTTTATGAATTTAACAATTTCAGGAACACGGGGTCGAAAGGTAAGGTACAACAGCCATGAGGTTGGAAGGAAAGAGCTAACACCCTGTGTCTTACCATGTTAGTCACTGAAAGCTATTGTTTGATTCCTATGGAAAGTGTCTTCTTAAAACAAATCTTCTCTGAGAATTGTCTTTCCACTGTTGCCTAGACCAGTTAAGTATACAGGTCATTTTCTTGTTCTTGACAGAGTTTTGGGAACAGTAAATCCTAAGAACCCCAGAGAATCTTGAACTTTCTAATAGGAGCTTCAAGTTTTCTGTTTTTCTGTCCTGAACGGGAAATAATTTTACAGTTATTAACTTCAACCAGTGAAACACCAAAAATGCTTCACTAGGAACATGTCCAATATCAGTGATCACATTTAAAAATCCTAAGTGAACAATTACATAAATTATCTAAGGACTCTTCTAATGTCTTACTTTCCTGTCTAACTGACACCAAAGAATAAAAATCTAAACTCTTCTTTCTCCAGTGCTGTTTTTATTTCTGCTACCAGTATCCTCTTCTTGGCAAATCAGAAGTCTTCCATCCATCCATCCATCCTTCCATCCATCCATCCATCCATCCATCCATTCTTTCACCCATCCAGTCATTCAGGCGATAAGAATTGAGAACATACTTAAGTGCACATTAGCTAGCTCTATGCTAGGTAATGTAGAGGTACAAAAAGCAGAATAAAATACTATCCCTGATCTCAAACTATTTACATTTCCCATAGAAAGACAAGACATGCTAAGACTCTGTGTCTGTTTCCTTTCACAGAAAAGTCTCTCAAGAATTGTCTGTGCTTGCAGGTTACATTTTCTCATTTCTCGTTATCTCCTCAATCTACTCTAATTGGTCTTCTGTCTCAACACTCCACTCAAAGTGCTCATCATATTTCCAAATCCAATGGTCACTTTTCTGTCCTTATATTATTTGACTGCCCAGAAGTTGATGACTGCCTCGCCTCTTTGACACCCTTCTTCTCTTGCCTTCTATGATGCTTCATCTCCTGGCTTTCCTCTCCACCTCATTGGGTGCTCAGTGTTACTTATTTTGCCAGTTTCTATTCCTCTTATAACCATCTAAATGTACACCAGAGTCCTAGGCCTTCATTGCCTCCTTATCTTCACCTACTTTGAGTATCTCATCTACTCCCCTGGCTTTAAATACTATGCATTTGCCAATGATCAGATTAATTTCCTTTTCCCTTACGTTTCTTATTTATTTATTGAGACAGGTTCTCACTCTGTCACCTAAGCTGGTTTGCAGTGGCGAGATCTTGGCTCACTGCAACCTCCGCCTCCTGTACTCAAGTGATCCTCCCATCTCAGCCCCCCAAGTGGCTTGGACCACAGTCATATGCCACCATGCCCAGGTAATATTTTGCATATTTTGTAGAGACAGGGTTTTCCCATGTTGCCCAGGCTGGTCTCAAACTCCTGAGCTCAACTGATCTGTCTGCCTTGGCCTTCCAAAGTCCTGGGATCACAGGCCTGACCTACCACACCTGACCCTGTCCCTTACCTTTCAATGGGCTCCACTCACCTGAAATCTCCACTGGGATGTCTAATAAGCCTCTCAAAATTAATTTGCAAAACAAAGCCTGTGATTCTCAATCTCCTTTATCTCAATTCACAGCACCCATTTATTCAGTTGCTCAGGTACAAACCTAGGAACCATTATTAATTTATTTTCTTTTTTTTACTCTCATATATGATCCATAAACCAAACCTATTATAGACTCTACCCCCAAAGTAGAGTGCCACTTTTATTTATTTCTACGACTACTATCCTAGTCTAAGCTACCATTATCTCTTGTCTGAGCCACTGAAATAGCCCCTAACTTAGTTTACTCCTACCTCATTATAGTTAATTCTCCAGAATTATCTTTTAAAAATACAAATCACACCTCTCACCCTAGTGCAAAACCTCCAGTGATTTTTAAATCCTCTTGGAATAAAATCTGGTTGCCTTATTATGACCTATAAGAGACTATATTATCTGGCTCTACTTATAATTCCAATCTCAGCATATAACAGTGTTTTCCTCTGTGCTTAGTATGCTGCAGGCACACTGGCCTTCTTTTTGGTCCTTGAACAGGCAAAGCTTGCACCCAAGGGCATTTGTATTTGCTATTCAGTCCAAAAGTTCTGTCCCCACATCTTTGCACACCTAGCTTCTCGGTATCCTTCAGGTCGCAGCTCACATGTGGTCTCTTTCTTAGAGAGATCTTTTCTAACCATGCAAAGGTAAGCAGGCTTCCTTCCAGTGCCTTTTCGCTGTCCATTACCTTGTTTCATTTTTTTCACAGTACGTACCATTGTCTGAAATCATCTTGTTAAATGATTTGTTTATGTATTTATTGTCTACCTTTCCCTCTCTGGAATGTCAATTCTGTGAGATCTAGGATTTTATGTGTCCTATTCACTGCTGTATCTTTACTACTTAGAATGATGTTCTTCACAGAAAGCCTCAAAATATTTGTTCAATGAATGAATAAATGAAAGATTCTTTAGAAGCTTCTCATTACATTTAGGGTAAGGTCCAAGATACTACATAGGTTTTAGAAGCCAATCCTTGCTGCTTTCTCTAGCCGTATTTTTCACCACCAGATCCCTTCTGAACTCTGCTTGGCTTTGACTATGTAGTATTACTTTTTACCATTTCCGTACTTTTGCACGTATTGTTCTTTTCCCCTGGATGTACTTCCTTCTCTGTACACATCTTTACCTGGATAATTTCTACTTATCTTTTAAGTCTTAGCTTAGAGTCCACTCTCTGTGGTGGTGGTTGGTAATCTTGCCAAGCTGCTTCCCATCAGATCAGGAAGATTGGAGTCTTCATTTAGAAAGTTCAGAGGTCTCCTTGTCTTCTTGGAATTGGATATTCCCATAATTGTCAATACCAATAAAAATGTTGGTGTTTTTGACTGAGACCATGGTGTGACAATTCTTAATGAAGGCTTGTTTTAAACCATCTATCACCATAGCAATCAGAAAATAGTTGTAGTGACTAATAGAGTAATAAAAATAAAAAGATTAGGCTAAACAAGGTGTTTCCTATGCAAACTGATGGCTTTTGGTTTCTCGCCCTTCTGCTCTTGGGTCTCTCAGATCTTTACTGTGTTTCCTAAGAAATGCTCATGTTTGGGAATTGGTCTCTAATCACCAAGTTTCGTGACTGTGTTTCTAGGTCAAAGCCAGACATCTGATTAAATTAAATTGGTCAAAAATCCTTGTTCTTGAGAATGGGAGTTTGTCATCTATAAAAGGCATTCCTTTCTTCAGGGAAGACAACTGAGGAGGAAAAGAACAAGAAAATATGATCATATTTATCATCCATGTGTGGCAGGTACCTGTAATCCCAGCTACTTGGGAAGCTGAGGCAGGAGAATCACTTGAACCCGGGAGACAGAGGTTGCAGTGAGCAGAGATCGCACCACCACAGTCTAGGCTGGGAGACAGAGTGAGACTCCATCTCAAAAAAAAAAATTTTTTTTAATGTTTCTTCCATGCCTGTAGGAAAAAGGCTCTGACGTCCTTTCTTCCACGTATCTCTCCTGAACTTCCAGGCTGGATTATGTTCCCCATGGTCTCTGCACTAATACTTCTATCACAGATATACCACATTATAATTATTTTTCTACTTGCAGATTGCCAAATAAAATTTCAAACATATCTATAATCTATATAAAATCAATAATATTTTTCTAACTTGGCATTTAATAAATAATTGTTGAGTTTGTTGAATGAATAGGTTATGGAAGAAAATTAAAGTAAACACGTCAACAAAAAATATCACAAGATCATATATAAGTAAATGTGATTTAAAGAGTCAGAAGAATGTCCTGAACTGCAGAGCAGTTAAATATCTCTGTGGGCTGAAGTAGCCAGGGGAGGCTTTGTAGGAGCACAGCCTTAGAGGTTGGATATAGTTGAGTAAACAAGATGGAGAGAGGACATTATTCCAAAAATAGTGGCAGAGAGGCACAGGCCAGTGAGCGGACAAGTACTGCAATGGAATTAGTGCCACAAAATCAGGTTAAAGTCCATTTAGATAGAGCTCTGATGCCCAGGCTAAGGAGTCAGAGCCTTTTTCCTACAGGCAAGGAGGAAACATTAAAAAAAAATGTGTTTTTTTTTGGGGACCGAGTCTCACTCTGTCTCCTAGCCTAGAATGCAATAGTCTGATCTCTGCTCACAGCAACCTCCACCTCCCAGGTTCAAGCGATTCTCCTGCCTCAGCTTCCTGAGTAGCTGGGATTACAGGTACCTGCCACACTACACTCAGCTAATTTTTGTATTTTTAGTAGAGACAGGGTTTCACCATGTTGGCCAGGCTGGTCTCGAACTCCTGACCTCAGGTAATCCACACATCTCGGCCTCCCAAATTGCTGGGATTACAGGCATGAGTCATCACACCTGGCCAAAAATTTTTAATTGTACAAATAATATGCTGTACATTCTGTTTAAGGAAAACTTATTTTGTCACGGAATGCAGGATGTGTTGAAAGGAGGAAAGAAGGCTTACATTTAAGCAAGGGGCTTTGGAAGGAGTATTGGGATGAGAAGGACAGCAGCCAGTCATAGAGAGGCAAAGCATTAGGGAGTTGATAATCCACTGATCCTTCACTTAAAAGTATAAACATACATGACTTCCTGGTGGTTTTTGTGGACTCATAATCCTATATTCGTCATATGCCTAGAGTGTCAAACATCCTTTATCATTTTAAAATCTAAACTCCAAAATCCTTCCTATTAGGGCCTTTCCTCCCTCGTTTCCTTTCCTCTCCCCCACCCTGCCCACTTTCTTCCTTCCTCTCTACTGAAGTATAATAGATATACAGTAAACTGAACATTTTAAAAGTGTATAACTTGATGTTTTGACATATGTATGCACCTATGAAACCATGCCACAAGATAATGAACATATCAATCACCCTCAAAAGTTTTCTTGTGCCCCCTTTTATCCAGTTGTCCTTTCTCAGATACTCTACAATACCTGCGCCCCCTCCATCACCAGTGGGCAAAATTTTTCTGCTTTTTGTTACTATAGGTTAGTCCTCATTTTCTAGAACTTCAATATAAATGGAATTATTCAGTATGTATTAGTTTTGTCTGACTTTTTCCATTCAGCCTTACGGTTTTAAGGTTCATCCTTGTTATGTGTTTATTCCTTATTCAACCATTTATTCCTTTTTACTGCTGCGTAAAAATTGTGGATATACCACAATTTGTTTATGTATTCACTTATTGAAGGACATTTAGGTTGTTTCCAGTTTGTGGCTATTACAAATAAGGCTGCTATAACCATTCATTGTATCAATATATATAAAGAGGTTTATTTTAAGAAATTAGCTGATGTGATTATAATGCCTAGCAAATCTTTAGGCTGGCTGGCTGACTGGAAACTCAGGCAGGAGTTGAGGCTGCAGTCTTGAGGCAGAATTTCTTTCTCTCCGGGAAACCTTACTTTTTGCTCTTAAGGCCTTCAATTGATTGGATGAAGCCCACCCATACTATCAAGAGCAATCTCCTTTACTTGAAGTCAACAGATTGTAGCTGTTAACCACATCTACAAAATACCTTCACAGATGCACCTAGATTACTATTTGATTCAGTAACTGGGTATTATAGCCTAGCCAAGTTGACACACAAGGCTAACCATCACCTTTAAATACAACTGTGTGGGGACACGTTTTCATTTCTCTTGTGTAAATACTTAGGAGTAGAGTGGCTGGGCTGCATGGTGGGTCTATGTTTAACTTTCTAGAAACTGATAAAATGGTTTTCTGAAGTAGATGCTTCATTTTACATTCCTGCTAGCAGTGTATTAGAGTTCTAGTTCCTCTAAGTCCCCTCTGTACCTTGGCTGTGAGAAAACAGCAAGTATGCCTATCAAAGAATGGGGAGAGAACAGAGTGATTTTTTTGGGTGGGGGCTGGAGGGCGGGGTTTGTGCTAAAGCTCACTCAAGCTCCTTTGGCATTAATACATATTCAATTATATATTTTGTTTGGAATTTGGGTTGAGTTTTAAATGAGCCTGCCTTTGATATATCACAATGTCTTCCATCCCTCACCATGGCCTTCGTTTATCTGCTTGTTGTAGTTATGAACTACGATTGTTTTCTCCCCACTTCTGTCTGTTGATTGGTGGAAAAATATCTGATGACTTTTGCTACAGTTCAGGCTAGGTCAAAGGCCATGTTTGCCAGCAGTCTCAGCTCACTCCAGTAAAATGAGGGGAGTGGGGGTTATTGGTCAGATTTGTTTGTTTCTTCTCCGCTCTCAGCTGTGTTCTTAGCTCTTAGCTTAGTACTCCAGGTTGGAGTGCGATAGCACAATCAATCATAGCTCATTGCAGCCTTGAACTCCTGGGCTCAAGTAAGCCTCTCACCTCAGCCTTGTAGGTAGCTGGGATTAAAGGTGCAAGCCACAGCATGAAATTGGTGAGGTTTTTTTTTTTTTCTTAAAAATTAATCTATCCATTTTCTCTCTTGGAGAGTGAAAACATATTGTTATCCAAAGTTTCCTCTTAGCGCAAGAGGCTGTGTTTCTGGATGAATAGCTGTTGAAGTCGCAGATATAGTTATATGGGGAAGAGCCCTTCCCTGTTTTCAGTACTGCTTGCCTTTCCTGTTTCATTTCTTTTGCTCATTTCATTTACGAAGGGGGAGGAAAGTTCTCTGAGCTTATACTTGCATAACTGTCATTTTCAGTAGTCTTATAGCAGATATTAACAAAGCTATCCACTAGGTAAACTCATCAACTTTATGACATTAAATTTTTGATATGTAGTATATCTGTTATTTTTAAATAATTACGGATTCACAGGAAATTGCAAAAATATATGCCAAATGTCCTGTGTTCCCTTTACCCAGTTTCCCTCAATGACAATGTTTTGTATAACTGTAGTCTGATATTGAAACTAGGATACTGATGTTGGCACAATGTGCGGAGCTTCTTCACATGTCACCAGTTTTATATGCTCTTGTGTGTATGCGTATGTAGACCCATACAATTTTATCACATGTAGATTCCTGCAATCACGACTACAACCAAGACATAGAATCCTTCAACCACAAGGCTCTTTTGTGCTACCCCTTTATATTTACACCTTACCCTTTTCTCACTCCCCATCCCAAAACACAGTACCCATTAATCTGTTCTCCATCTCTATGATTTTGCTATTTTTAAAATGTTAAGTAAATAAAATAGTACAGTATATACCATTTTGAGATGTGCTTTTTTTCCCACTCAGCATTAATTCCTTTGAGATTCATCTGTGTTATTGCATGTATCAATAGTTCTTTTCTCTTTATTGCTAAGCATAATTCCATTGTATGGATAGACCACCGTTTGCCTAAGCATTCACTCAATAAAGACATCTCAGTTTTTTCCAGTTTTTTATGAATAACACTTCTATGAACTTTCATGTATATGTTTTTGTGTAAAAAAAATGCTTTTTTTTTTTTTCATTTATCTGGGACAAATGCTCAAGAGTACAATTGCTGGGTTGTTAGTACATGTTTAATTTTCTAAGAAACTGCCAAACAGTTTTCCAGAATGGCCATACCTTTTCACAGTCCCACCAGCTTTTGGTCATGCCTCTCTCCTAAGCTCCGGAACGTTGCTTCCAACTGCCTCTTGGATAAATGCGCCTGGATGTCTCACATCCGGGAACTCAGAGTGTTAAAACTTGAGCTCATTATTTTCCCCTAGACACCAATTATTCCTTTTTTATTTTCCGTCTTTATTAACGAAAGTGTTTACTGCCTAAGCCAGACACTGAGAGCCACCATGTATTCCTCTCTCTCTCTCACCTATTCCCATGTTTAATCCATTATTTGGATTGGTCCATTTTATCTCCATTTTCTCAAATACAGGAAAAGACAGATCATCATCAACCAGCAATTGTGACTATCTACATATTCACATAAGGATTTCCCAACTTGGGGTATTTTTGTCAAGTTGAGACCAGGCATCTTGGAGTTAGTAAGTATAGTAATGTTTAAGGCATAGATAAGTAAAACAGACTAACTGGTCACATATAAGCAGCACTAAATTGCCAAGTGAACTCAAATCTCTGTATGGAGTAGCAGATTGCAAAACATAGACCTATTCTGGGGAAAGTTCTGGACTTGGGGCTGTGTAGAAAGTGCAAATGAATTCTAATGTATTTATGAAACAACTTATTTTACCAGTGTGGACACTGTCAATTAATCTTATATAGCAGAGTGTGCTGGCTTGGATCCACTATTAGTTGTAATATTTTATAGAATAGTCCTTAAAAGTCACCTAAGGGTCAAGTTAATCATAATTGTGCCTTAGTGGCTTTGTTACTAAGAAATCTTAGCTACTAGGATTTTTGAAGAAAATTGTCAAGTTCCTTGTGAGATAAGCTAGAGCATGCTTGTTCCTGGTCAGCACTTTGGGCATTCAATAGAATTTCAGGGCCATTACTCACTATTTTTACTAGCTACACTTATGTCACTAGCTACATGTATGTCACCTTCATGACTCCAGACTCCAAACTAGGTCTTTCTGGCCAGAGGAGCAAATATCTACCAACATAATTCTCAGAGACGTGACATAATACTTGTGAAACTGTATCCTGAAATAAAGGCCTGCCAGTGCTGAGAGGTAATATAAGGAAAAGGGGAATCCAGAGGCAGGTGCCAATCCTTTTAGTGGCTCCCTGGAGATCACGTCTTCCTGTCTTCTCTTCCAGTTGGATAGCCAATTCTACTTCAAGTGGAATATCAGCCGTTGGCCGTTTTGCTATTAGTATAAATGATTATTAAGTTGTTTGTGTTAAAAGAATCACTTAATATCATGTCCCTAGGGACTCTATAGTGTGACTGCTTGGCATAATTGTAGGCAAGGAAGCCAACCTGGCTTCCTAACAATAGGGAATATATTCAGGAAATTCCCCATTTAAGCTCATTTCCAACTGGCTTTGTTTAGCTAGTGCTGTGGGACATCAGAGTCCTTGGAAGTCGGAGCCATTGACACTTACTTCTTTCATCATGATCCAGGTTCCATCAGGTTACTGTGACTGTCATCGATAGCCTCCAAGGGAAAACAACTCACAAGAGTCAGCCTGGGACATATGAGAAAGAGATGCCGGTCTCCTACCTCTTGTTTCCTCACTTGAAGTGCAACCCATTTCCAACCATCTTTTCTTTCCAACTACTCAGGGTCCTGCTTTGATTTTTCTATGCACACAGCTGACATATGCTGGGCCTAAGAAAGGGAGGCTGCAGGACTGGACATGCTGGTTTGCTAGGGAACCAGTGAATCCTCTGTGAAGCTTGTCCAGTGAAGACCCAAATATTTACAAATTATCAGGAAAGAACTCATTCTCTTTCTCTCTGTATATTCTGTCTGTATTGGCTTTCCATTGCTTCAGTAATAAACTACCGCAAATTTAGCAGCATACAATAAAACTTTATTATCTTATATTTCCATAGGTCAAAAGTCTGAAACAGGTCTCACCTGGCTAAAATCAAGGCATTACAGAGCTGTGTTCCTTTCTGGAGGTTCTAGGGGAGAATCCATTTCCTTGCTCATTTGAGTGGTTGGCAGAATCCAATTTCTTGTGGTCAGAGGACTGCTTTCTAGCTGGCTGTCAGATGAGGGCTTTTTCCTATTTCTTAAGGCCACTCATACTCCTTGTTTTGTGGCCTAGTTCCTCTATCTTCAAAGCCAGCAACAGTGGGTAGAGTCATTTTCATGCCCTGAATCTCTTTCCTTTTTACTCTGTCTCATCTCTCTCTAACCCAGCTGGGAAATGTTTTCTGCTTTTTTAAGGTCTCATGTGATTAGATTGGCCCTGGTTAATCCGGGATAATCTTACAATCCAAGGGTCTGAATCCTTAATCACATTAGCAAAGTCCCTTTTGACATGAAATGTAACATATTCACAAGTTCTGGGGATCAGCATTTGGGCATCTTTGGGTATCAATGATCTGTCTACCATACTATATATAGGAATAGGATTCATGTATGCATTTATTCAAAAAACATTTATTGAGTGCCTACTATATACCAGACAATTTGTAAGACACTGGATGGATGTTCTGTTCTATCTCACTTGAGAACAGTGAGAGGTGATAAAGAGTTTGTGCACTGAACAAATTTACTGACTGAATTTTCTCTTGAGCCACACATTGTCCACAAGGAGAAAAGGCCTGGGAGGGAAATGATAACAGGATTCATTTCATTTTTCACAGAGTAGGGGCTGGGCACAAAATGAAAAATTAACGGTATGAAAGTGCTACTACAGAGGTCCTCTTAACTGAGAAAGAATCAATTCACGTAACAATATATAACAGCTTTTGATATGTGTCATGGTATCATGCTAATATATATAAATATGGTTTGTGCTCCATAAAAGCTTGCAATTTAGCTCAGGAGGTGTGGCATTTCAAATAGATAACAATACAGAGCAGTATTTCATATGATTAAAGCAACAGTCATGCTTCAGGCCACATGTGATGACCCATGCCTGTAATCCCAGCACTTTGGGAGGCCAAGGCAGGTGGATCACTCAAGGTCAGGAATGAGACCAGCCTGGCCAACATGGTGAAACTACGTCTCTACTAAAAATACAAAAAAATAGCTGGGTGTGGTGGCGGGCACCTGTAATCCCAGGTACTTGGGAGGCTGAGGTGGCAGAATCACTTGAACCTGAAAGATGGAGGTTGTAGTGAGCCAAGATTGCATCACTGCACCAGCCTGGGTGACAGAGTGACAGACTCCATCTCAAAAAAAAAAAAAAAAAAAAAAAAAGGCCGGGCGCGGTGGCTCACGCCTGTAATCCCAGCACTTTGGGAGGCAGAGGCGGGCGGATCACAAGGTCAGGAGATCGAGACCATCCTGGCTAACACAGTGAAACCCCGCCTCTACTAAAAATACAAAAAATTAGCCAGGCGTGGTGGCGGGCGCCTGTAGTCCCAGCTACTCGGGAGGCTGAGGCAGGAGAATGGCGTGAACCCGGGAGGCGGAGCTTGCAGTGAGCCGAGATCGCGCCACTGCACTCCAGCCTGGGCGACAGAGCGAGACTCCGTCTCAAAAAAAAAAAAAAAAAAAAAAAAAAAGCCATGCTTCAGACAGACCACAGGGGGCCTGATACACAACCATGTGTGCCAGCAACAGGGATTTAGGAGATTGTCAGAGTTCATGGGAGAGGAGGATCAGAGTTAAAAATACCAAGTGTGGACAGAGTCCTTCATTAAATGATGGACTATAAATAAAGGACAGAACTGTCCTCGTATATCCTTTCTCTATTATCTGTCATATTATTTCCTTCAAAAAGAATACCTAGGAAAAGTTAGATCAAAATGCTATTGCTCAAAACATTGACGACACCAAATGCTGGTGAGTATGTGGAGCAACAGGAACTCTTTCATTGCTGGTGAGAATGCAAAACAGTACATCCAGTTAGGAAGAGCGTGGCAGTTTCTTACAACACTAAACATACCCTTATCATACAATCCAGCAATTGCACTCCTAGGAATGGAGCTAAAAAAGCTGAAAATGTTCAATTCACAAAAAAACATGTACATAGATGTTTATAGCAGCTTTACTCATGATTGTTGAAACTTGGAAGCAACCAAGGTGTTCTTTGATAGGTGAATGAATACATAAACTGTAGTACATCCAGACAATGGAATATTATTCAATTCTATAAATATTGAACTATGAAGCTTTGAAAAGATATGGAAGAACATCAAATGCATATTACTAAGTGAAATAAACCAGTTTGAAAATCCTACATACTGTATATTTAAACTATATGACATTCAGGAAAAGACAAAACAATGGAGACAGGAAAATTAGCAGTAGTTGTCAGGGATTAATGGGGAGGGAGTGATGAATAGGAAGAAGATCAAAGATTTTTAGGACAGTGAAACTATTCTTTATGATACTGTAATGGTGAATACATGTCATTATACATTTGTCAAAACCCATAGAAGGTACAACACCAAGAGGCATCCCTAATATAAACTATGGATTTTGGATGAAAATGACACGTCAATATAGATTCATCAGTTATAATAAATGTACCACTCTGGTGCGGGATGCTGATACTGGGGGAGGCTATCTGTGCTTGGGGGTAGGGAGTGCTATACGGAAACTCTCTGTACATTCTGCTCAATTTTGCTTTGTACATAAAACTCTAAAAAATAAAGTCTACATTTTTTAAATGTTGTTTCTATTATTTTTTGAGTAGCTATTTTGTGCCAGACACTATGCAAGGCTATGTTAGTTATCATTTGTCCTCACAGAAATCCCATAAAAGGGGTGTCATTATTTTTGTTGAACAAATAGGAAACCTTTTATTTGTGGAGATTAGGTGACTTTCTTAAGGCTCTCTAGCTGGCATGGTATGGCTGTGTCCCCACCCAAATCTCATCTTGAATTGTAGTTCCCATAATCCCCACCTGTCATGGGAGGGACCCTGTGGGAGGTAAATTAATCATGGGGGCAGTTACCCTCATGCTATTTTCATGATAGTGAATTCTCACAAGATCTGATGGTTTTATAAGGGGCTTTTCCCTCTTTGCTTGGAACTTCTCTTTGCTGCCACCATGTTTGTAAGTTTCCTGAGGCCTCCCAGCCATGCTGAACTGTGAGCCAGTTGAACCTCTGTTCTTTATAAATTACCCAGTCTCGAGTAAGTCTTTATTAGCAGCATGAGAACAGACTAATACAGTAAATTAGTACCATGGGGAGTGCCACTGCTGTAAAGATACCCAAAAATGTAGAAGTGACTTTAGAACTGGGTAACAGACAGAGGTTGGAAAAATTTGGAGGGCTATTAGAAGACAGGAAAACATGGGGAAGTTTGAAACTTCATAGAGACTTGTTGAATGGCTTTGACCAAAATGTTGATAGTAACATGGACAACTAAGTCCAAGCTGAGATGGTCTCATATGGAGATGAGAAACTTGTTGGGAACTGGAGTAAAGGTCACTCTTGCTATGCAAAGAGACTGGCAACATTTTGTCCCCTAGATATCTGTGGAACTTTGAACTTGAGAGAGATAATTTTGGGTATCTGGGGGAAGAAATTTCTAAGCCGCAAAGTCTTCAACAGGAAGCATAGCATAAAAGTTTGAAAATTTGCAGCATGATGATGCAATAGAAAAGAAAAATCCTGTTTTCTGGGGAGAAATTCAAACCAGTGACAGAAATTTGCATAAGTAAGTTGGTGCTGCACACGGAGCTGAATGTTAGTTACCAAGACAATGGGGAAAACGTCTCCAGGGCATGTCAGGCACCTTCATGGCTGCCCTTCCCATCACAGGCCTGGAGGCCTAGGATGGAAAAATGGTTTCCTCAGCTAGTCCCAAGGCCCTCCCACTTTATGAAGCTTCGGGTCATGGTGCCCTGTGTCCTAGATGTCTAGGCTAAAAGGTGTCAACGTACAGCTCAGGCCATTGCTTCAGAGGGTTCAAGCCCTGACCAAGCATTGGTGGCTTACATGTGGTATTGAGCCTGTGGGTGCACAGGAGTCAAGAATTGAAGTTTGGGAACCTCCGCGGCTTAGATTTCCGAGGATGTATGGAAATGCCTGGATGTCCAGGCAGAAGTTTGCTGCAGGGGTAGAACCCTCATGGAGAACCTCTACTAGGGCCGTGCAGAAGGGAAATGTGGGGTCAGAGCCCCCACACAGAGTCCCCACTGGGGCACTGCCTGGTGGTGCTGTAAGGGCTACCATTCTCCAGACCCCAGAATGGTTTTTTTGTTTTTTTTTTTGATGGAGTCTTGCTCTGTCGCCCAGGCTGGAGTGCAGTGGCACAATCTCAGCTCGCTGCAAGCTCCACCTCCTGGGTTCACGCCATTCTCCTGCCTCAGCCTCCCAAGTATCTGGGACTACAGGCACCCACCACCACGCCTGGCTAATTTTTTGTATTTTTTAAGCAGAGACTGGGTTTTACCGTGTTAGCCAGGATGGTCTCGATCTCCTGACCTTGTGATCCCCCACCTCAGCCTCCCAAAGTGCTGGGATTACAGGCATGAGCCACTGCACCTGGCCCAGACCCCAGAATGGTAAATCCACCAACAGCTTGCACCATACTCATGGAAAAGCCACAGACACTCAATGTCAGCCTGTGAAAAAGCAAACAGGAAGCAGGCTATACCCTGCAAAGCCACAGGGGCAGAGCTGCCCAAGGCCATTGGAAGCCCACCTCTTGCATCAGTGTGACCTGGATGTGAGACATGAAGTCAAAGGAGATCATTTTGGAACTTTAATGTTAATGACTGCCCTATTGGGTTTTGGACTTGCATGGGGTCTGTAACTCTTTTGTTTTGGCAATTTCTCCCATTTGGAATCAGTGTATTTACCCAACGCCTGTACCCCCACTGTATCTAGGAAGTAACTAACATGCTTTTGATTTTATAGGCTCATAGGCAGAAGGGACTTGCCTTGTCTCAGATGAGACTTTGAACTTGGATTTTTGACTTAATGCTGGAATGAGTTAAGACCTTGGGGGACAGTTGGGAGGGCATGATTGAGTTTTGAAATGTGAGGACATGAGATTTGAGAGGGGCCAGGGGTGGAATTATATGGTTTGGCTATTTCTCCACCCAAATCTCATCTTGAATTATAGCTTTCATAATCCCCATGTGTCATGGGGGGGAACTGGTGGAAGGTAATTAAACGTGAGGGCAGTTACCCTCATGCTGTTCTCGTGATAGTGAGTGAGTTCTCATAAGATCAGATGGTTTTATAAGGGGCTTTTCCCTCTTTGCTTGGAACTTCTCCTTGCTGCCACCATGACTGTAAGTTTCCTAAGGCCTCCCCAGCCATGCTGAACTGTGAGTCAATTAAACCTCTTTTCTTCATAAATTACCCAGTCTCCCAGTCTGGGGTATGTCTTTATTAGCAGCATGAGAAAGGACTAATACACCAGCTAGTAAGTTAGAATCTGGGATTCTAACCTTGATTATCTGGCTCCAAAGCCCAGCAATATTTTACTATTCTACAACATTGTTTACTAATAAACAGTAAATTTTCTTTTTATAAATGCAGTTGGGGATATTGTATTTAGTAATATGGGGGTCATTTGATAGCAGTCACTGAATCTTCAAGTAGGAAAATTGTCTGACTTAGGAAGTATGAAAATAAAAAGATTACGGATGAGAAAAACAGGAAATAAAGAAGTACATAGGGAGTAGTTAAAATCCTTTTCCAAAGAAGAATACTACTCAAAGTCTATTCATAATTACAAGCTTCCAGCTTCCAGTTTTGGGGGAGTAGTTTTTATCAGACCAACTCTCCCACAGAAAACAATGATAATCTTTAGACTCTGGAGAGCAATAAAAAGCAACTGGAAATTAGAGAGGTGTCTACATCTGGAAGAAAGGAGTAGCATCAAGATGAAAATTATTTTTTATTTTGTCTGAGAGGCAGGTAAAACCTAAAAGTTCCCAAATCTTACTGCCGTAAAGAAACAGAGGACCGAGTTTAGGGCAACCACAGCTGCTGGAAAATGAGAAAAGAAATCCAGAAAAGGAGAAATCCAGAGAAAGGGAGACCCAAATTCTGTGTATAACGTGCCCAGATCTATAGCTGACCCATGAACTTCATGTATTCATAGCAGATGCCAAGCAGTGCCAATAAATTTTTTTTTGAGAGGGAGTCTCGCTTTTGTCACCCAGGCTGGAGTATAGTGGCACAATCTCGGCTCACTGCAACCTCTGCCTTCCAGGTTCAAGTGATTCTTCTGCCTTAGCCTTCTGAGTAGCTGGGACTACAGGCGCCCACCACCACACCCGGCTAATTTTTGTATTTTTAGTAGAGGCAGGGTTTCACCATGTGGGCCAGGCTGGTCTCGAACTCCTGACCTCAGGTGATCCTCCCACCTTGGCCTCCCACAGTGCTGGGATTGCAGGCATGAGCCCCCGTGCCTGGCCAATAAGTCTTAAAGAACTAAACAAAGATTACTGCAGTTGCCCATTACAGAGGACCTAGAGTTTGGAGTTTGAGTCCAGTCAAGTTACCTGCCTGATGGAAAAAACAAGTCAATACTCTCTCGAGAATCCAGAATCTCTATAATGTTTAATTCAAAATGTCTAGTCTGCAATCAAAAATCATTTTGCATATTAAGAAACAAGGCAATGTGACTTATACTGTTTTTGTAATAAGGCAATGTAACAGAGACTGACCCCAGAATAATTCAGGTGTTAGAATGTGCAGACAAGAATTTTAGAAGAGCTGTTATAATTATGCTCAATAATGTAGAGAAAAATATGGTCATAATGAATGAACAAATAGGAGATCTCAGCAGAGAAATGGAAACTTAAAAAACTCATGTGGAAATTCTAGGACTAAAAGATATACTATATAAAGTTAAAAATTCACTGGATGCATTTAACAGCAGTTTGGACAAAATAAAAGGTCAGTTAACTTGATGTCAGCTCAATAGGAATGATCCAATCTAAAGAACAGAAAGAGTGGATAAAACAGAAAAGAAAGTAAGGACAAACAGCCTCAGAAACATGTGGAACTGAGAAGTGAGTAGGTAAGATAAGACAAATATGATTCTTTTCTTATCATAATCCAGATTTTCTATATTCCAAAAGCATACTTCTTGCCTATACTAAATCTTCTGCCTTTCAGGATGATGTCAATATCTGGCTCATAGTTTTCTTTCCATGCTGGTCTGCAGTTCCTATCCTCAGTAGCTTTATTAGGTTTTTCACCCAGCTTTTAATGATCATTTTCCTTATGCCAGGCACTGTGCTAATTGCTGTATAAAATAAAAAGATGAAATATGTATTCTTCTTGAAAGAACATGAAATGAGTGCTGCACTAGAGATGTAAACAAAAGGCCATTGTGGGCTGGGCGCGGTGGCTCACACCTGTAATCGCAGCACTTTGGGAGGCCAAGACGGGTGGATCACCTGAGGTTAAGAGTTTGAGACCAGCCTGGCCAACGTGGAGAAACCTCGTCTCTACTAAAAATACAAAATTAGCTGGGCATGGTGGTGCATGCCTGTAATCCCATCCACTCAGGAGGCTGAGGCAGGAGAATCACTTGAACCCAGGAAGTGGAGGTTGTGGTGAGTCGAGATCACACCATTGCACTCCAGCCTGGACAACAAGAGCAAAACTCCGTGTCAAAAAACAAAAACAAAAACAAAACAAAGCCGTTGTGTTATTATGATGGTGGGTCCAGGGGAGCAATCTTTGTGGACACTGTCCACCTCCGTACATTGCAGAGTTCAGAAGAAATTGACCATGCAGTGTCTCAGCCCTTTCCTCCCTTCTCTTTGGGATTTGCCTGCCTGCAGAGAACCTGTGTCCTACTCTGCTCTATGATATGTGGTATTAGGAGTCTGCTCCTGCATGATAAGTGACTGAGTGGGTAAGTCTAACTCTGGAGTGCAATGTTAAGAAGCCAATTTTGCTGAAGACCCAAGCCAAGTTAATTTAAAAACATATGCTTATATTAACATTTTTAGTCATTTGATTTCTATGACCTAGATATACCATAGTTTAGATAGCTTCTGATTTTTAAAACTTTTTCCTATGAAAAACGATACTGTAATGAATAACTTTTTATATGTATACCTACGTGGGTATTTCTGAAGAAAGAAATGGAATTTCTGGGTCAATGGTAAAATTCTCATAGCTATTGACAAAATGTCTTTCATTGTAAATAATTTTTACTTGTACTAATATTTCACAACTTATCTCTTCATTTGGACCATTCACCCATTCTCACAAAACTTGCAAGATCTCCATTTTGATTTCCTCATTCATCCATATCTTAGTATTGTTAGTAGCCAATAAATTCCTGGAGACTGGTGCCTGGGGAAATTCTGCAAAACGTGCAGTGTTTGCTGAAAAATGTGTAGTCTTCTATTCCTCAATAAGTCTTTTCAATTTAGACATAGACAACACAAATATAAGCAGTTTTCAAATGTATGATTTAACCATGTGGATGTCAAAGACTAAACAAAACTGATGTTTAACCATGTAAAGTTTGTCATTTCCTGAGGATTTGTTTGTGGAGGAAAGTGGATGAGAAAAATCGGATTTAAGTCATATTTGAGGATAAAGCCTTTTAATTCCACACTCTCTAAACCTGAACCATGCTAGTGGAGTTAGACAAAACAGTTCTGTTATCATATCTCAGAATAACTTTACCAACATAATGATACTAGCAACTCACACATGTTTAGGTTATAAAGTTTATAAAAGACTTGCCATCCAAGTGGAATATAGATTAATCTTCCCATTCTACAAATGAAGAATGTTCTCTGAGGTTCAGAGAATGTGTTTTGTCTAGGGTCACATTATAACTGACAGAACGGGGATTTAAATTCAGGTCTACATTCTAATTTGAACTGATAAGAAAGATGGAAGGCAGATTAAACAACATAGTGAATGACTAAGAGCAAACTTGGTTCTCTTTCCTCTGCCTCCATCCATGAAAGGGTAAGCAGAGTACAACAGAACAGGGAAACGTGGGTGGAAAGGTGTTAGCAAGAAGTTGTTTCTTTCTTACTTTTCTGCTCTTGAATTCTCAGCTAACTGTCTGCTCAGGAATTATCATCACCAAGATCTTCTCCCCTAGGGATTGGTGCTGCCACCTCTACACTGGGCCTCTAGGGGACCACTGATTCCTCCCTACTTGGGTGTGAGAAAAAAAGTCCATAATGATTTATTAATTACGTTCCATGTACCAGTTACTGGGCTAGATTCTTTAATTTTATATTGTCTTATAGATACTGAAATTATTAATAGTATTCTCTTTTTACACGTGAGGAAATTGCCAAAACTATACTAAGAACAGAATAATCGAACACATTTCTTTTTTCCTTGAAGTGGCAAAGATGAGTGGCAAATTCTTTTGAATTTTAAAATTAAAATTAAAATAATGTATCAAAATGTAAAAGGAAAAAATTAAGACAGCAAAAGGAGCCATAATTCTACCAATCTAACGCAACTATTTTTTTGTTTGTACTGTTTTATCCTTATATGCACGTATTTTTTATAAGTTACAATTGGAGTATATGTAAGTTTTGTGTTCAGGTTTTCAAATTTACTCTCATAACTGTCTTCTATGTTCTCATAATCTTCACAATAAATATTTTAGTGTTTGCTTCATAAATGATTCCTGTAATGGACATTTAGGTTGTTTCCAGTGTTTGGTTGCCCAAATCAAATTGCTATGCTTTGTGTTAATAGTGTTTTGTTACTATTCAATTATTTCCTTAGAATAAACTCTCAAGAGTCATATTAAATAAAAGATTGTAAACATTTTTATAGCCTTGCCACATGATACTACATTACTAGGCAAAAAAGCTATGTGAATCTGAGTGACACACACAAGTAACTTTAAAGTTAGACATTTTCAAAAGAAACCATGCTGTTTTCTATTTTTGGCAATACAATGAGTTAGAAACTCTGAATGGTTCTCCAAGCTAAAGTATTGAATAAAAGATAAAAATCATCTTAAATAAATTTCTGAGCTGACAAGAAAGTAAGAAATCTTAAAATCCAAAATGAATTAAAACCAACAATTCTGATTAGTAAGTGAGAAAGCTGCCTTTACCCTGGGTGGTCTGTTGAATACAAAAGAATACAACGTTCATGACGTTGCATCCTTCCTGGTGCATCATATTAGGAGACACATGACTCAGTATGATCCATTATTGGTGATACTAAGTTTGATCACTAGATTAAGATGGTTTCTGCTAGATTTCTTCATTGTAAAGGCACCATTTTCCACTTGTAATAAGTTATGTTTAGGGTGACACCTTCAGACTGTATGAATATCCTGTTCCCCAACTGGTTTTACGCAATAGTAATACATCCATTAATAATACTTGCCTGAATTGATTATTACAGTGGTGTTTTGCAAAATGATGTTTCTCTAATTCTGTCATTTCTTCTGTCTTTGCTATTTGATATTCATCTGTAAATAAGAGCTCCCCCTCTCTTCCCCTTCTGTGGGCTATGGATTATTTTTTGTTTTAAGTGTTAGAATCCATTATTCTCAACATTTTTTTTTTTTTTGATGCTCGATTGTCCTAAATATGGCCAGTGAGGATTCAAGTTGCCTCACGTGTGTTTGTGACATGTTCCCATGTTTTTGAGCACTTTCTTACTTCTGATTCAGCAAGAAATTCCAGACTAACGTTGTACTTTACCTAATCCAGACCTAGAATCAGTCTTTTCTCCAAGAAGACCTTGTTCCTTTTAATGGAGAATGGCATTTGGAAACCATGTTCTGAGAAAGGGGTGCCCTCCTGTCTATCAAGATAAGATTGAATCTAGGCCTTTTCAGTAACAGAGCTAGGACACTTATAATTTTTAAAATAATGAGTTTATATGGTTATCTCTCTGCAGGTCTTTGTTTCATTTGCCAAGTCCATATTTATATTTCTCTACTCCCAGAATGATAATTTTAGTTCCCAATAACATCAACATATTTATTCATTTACTCAATTCTATAATACACGAACATTAATTTCAGAATTAGTACATTAGTATTGCTACCAATAAAAATCCTACAAGCTAAAGTTCAAGATATTTTTGCAATTTTTCTTGTCCTTAGACTATAACCACTGAATGTATACAGTTAGAATATTGTGTTCCACTGGTATGTTGGATTATGTTTTTTTCTTCTGAGTTTACGTTATCACTTTGATATACTGTTAGATTCAATTATTTCTGTTTGTATTAAATTTTAAAGCTTGTGATTTCTTCTTTTTTTGTTATTTCTGTTGATTAATTTATATTTTTGACTATGTAAACATAAACATAATTCAAAAGTCAAAACTATATATAAACATATACTCAAAGAAGCCTAATTCACTTTCATTCTATTTCTACTAACACTAGGAGATAACTAGTTTTACTAGTTTCTTACTTATCCTTTCTGTACTTATTTTCACAAAAATAAACAGATGCACACATATCTTATTTCCCCTTTCTTATACTAAAGAGAGCATAACAAATACTCTTTGGCTCTGGATTTTTGGAACAAATTAACAACATAAGTGAATTGCACTTTATTGTACAGATATACCATAGTTTATTCAGTAAGTCTCCTATTTGTTCATGTAGGTTGTTTTAAATATTTTGCTATTAAAAATTAAACCATAACTAATAACCTAATGTATATATATTTTTATTGTTGAGGTGTATCTTCACCACTAATCCTAGAAGCGGGATTACTAGGTCAAAGAATAAATGCATAAGCACTTTTGCTAGATATTGCCAAATTCCTCTCTATAGGGATGTCACTATTTTACATCCGTACCAGCAATCTATGAAACTGAGTGTTTTCCCTCAGCCTCGTCAAAAGAGTCAAGTGTCAAGCTTTCAAGGATACCCTCCCTTTTAAACAGTTTGTCCTTATATAGTCTTTATTCTTCTTTCAACACCCTGCTTCCACAATTTGTATATATATATATATTTTTTGCCTTGTCAGGACTTTCTTTGGGGCTGTTAAGTTTCTAGACATAGCACCGACAAGGAGTTTATTATATTTGCCTTGGAATTTTTGTAATTACAACATTTTGAGAGAAGCTGCTTATTTGTGAATCAGTGTGTTCTAAGACAAGAAGGCTTTCCTTCATATTCTTTCATTTTATAACAACCAACTTAAACCACTGAATGCTTCATATTCTTAAAACACCTAAACACATCACAACTGTTCTAAAAATCATTAGCCATGAAAAATTCACACAATATCATGCTGAACTTTTCAAAAGCAAAGCCAAATTTCTTTTAGGGACCCATCACTCAGCAAAACAAATGTCAAAACAAGTTTTTCTTGACTTGAACTTTTACATGGTCACGTACAAAAAGGAAAATGAGTGTCTAAGTCAGCACCAAAGATTATAAGATAGATGGAAAAATGATAAGAGAACATCTCATATTTTTGCTTATGTAGGTAAGAGACTGAATCTTCTTGTAAAAAATGTTTTTTCTTTCTTTTTTTTTCTTTTTGTTTGTTTCTACCAAGTGGACTATTTTCTTTGGAGAAGAACTAATGCTTATAGCAACACTTGTATATACAGTGGTCTCTGGGCTTACAAGACTTAACATTTGCAGTTTTGAGTATTAGATGGACATGACATTTGATACTTTGCAATTTTGCTGAGACAGGGATTTGAATTCTGTACACAGCAAAAAGAAAGGTAAGTGTATGTTGGTTAGAATGTCTCCGAGCTAGGGAGTGAGCTATTTTCTCTAGGGTTCTGTTGGTCTTGATTATATAAACAGGTATACCTTGTTTTTATGGTACTATGTAGATAATTGAATTTTTTACAGATTGAGTATTTGTGGCAACCCTGCATGAAGTAAGTCTATCAGCACCACTTTTCCAATGACATGTGCTCACTTTGTGTCTGTGTGTCACGTTTTGGTAATTCTCACAATACTTCAAATTTTTCATTATCATTATATCTGTTATGGTGATCTGCGATCAATGATTTTTTATTTTATTATTGTAATTGTTTTGAAGTATCATGACCTGTGCCCTCAAGGTGATAAACTTAATTGATAAATGTTGTGTGTGCTCTGATGACTGGCTGTTTCCCCATCTCCCTCCCTCTACTCAGGCCTCCTTATTCCCTGAGACACCATAATATTAAAATTAGGCAAATTAATTAACCCTACAATGGCTTCTAATGGCAAATTGAGCATTGGCTTCAACTTAAAAGTCGCCAGCTGTGTTAGCCCCTAATAAGAGAGTCTGCCTGTCCTTTCAAGCTTTGAAGCCAGGCATCATCATGTAAGTGTTCAAATGAAAGGAAGGGTCACACATCTTACTTTAAATAAAAAGCTAAAATGATGAAGCTTAGTGAAAAAGGCATGGTGTAAACTGAGATTGGCTAAAATCTAGGCCTCTCATATCAAACGGTCAAATTGTGAATAGAAAGGAAAAATTCTTGAAGGAAAGGAAAAGTGCTATCACAAAAAATAGTAAGAAAGTGAAACAGTCTTATTGCTGATATGAAGAAAGTTTTAGTGTTCTGGATAGAAAATCAAACCAGCCACAGCATTCCCTTAAACCAAAGTGTAATCCAAGGCCCAACATTCTTCAATTCTGTGAACTCTGAGAGAGGCGAGGAAGCTGTAAAAGAAGAATGTGAGGCTAGTGGAGGTTAGTTTATGAGGTTAGAGGAAAGGAGCCATCCCCATAACATAAAAGTGCAAGGTGAAGCAGAAGTAATGATGTAGACACTGTGGTAAGTTATCCAGCGGATCTAGGTAAGATCAATGATGAAGGTGGCTACACCAAACGACAGATTTTTAGGGCATAAAAAATGGCTTCCTATTGGGAGAAGATGCTATCTAAGATTTTCATAGCTAGAGAAGAGAATGATGCCTGGCTTCAAAGCTTGAAAGGACAGGCAGACTCTCTTATTAGAGGCTAACACAGCTGGCGACTTTAAGTTGAAGACAGGCTGGGCGCTGTGGCTCACGCCTGTAATCCCAGCACTTTGGGAGGCCGAGGCGGGTGGATCACGAGGTCAGGAGATCGAGACCATCCTGGCTAACATGGCGAAACCCCGTCTGTACTAAAATACAAAAAATTAGCCGGGCATGGTGGCGGGTGCCTGTAGTCCCAGCTACTCAGGAGGCAGAGGCAGGAGAATGGTGTGAACCTAGGAGGCAGAGCTTGCAGTGGGCCGAGATTGCACCACTGCACTCCAGCCTGGGTGACAGACCAAGACTCTGTCTCAAAAAAAAAAAAAAAAAAAAAAGTTGAAGCCAATGCTCAATTTGCCATTCCAAAAATCCTAAGGCCCTAGAGAATTATGCCAAATCTACTCTGCTTTTGCCCTATCAGTGGAAAAACAGAGCTTGGATGACAGCACTTCTGTTTACAGCATAGTTTACTGACTATTTTAAGTCCACTGTGGAGATCTACTGCTCAGAAAAAAAATTTCTTTCAAGATACTACTGCTCATTTGACAATGGGCCTGCTCACCCAGGAGCTCTGAAGGAGATGTATGAGGAGATGAGTATTGTTTTCATGTCTGGTAACCCAGCGTCCATTCTGTAGCCCATGGATCAAGGAGTCACTTTGACTTTCAAGCCTCATTAGTTATGATATACATTTTGGGCTAGACACAGTGGCTCAAGCTTGTAATCCAGTGTTTTGGGAGGCCAAGGTGGAAGAATCACTTGAGCCCAGGAGTTTGAGTCTTCAGTGAGTTATGACTGTGCCACTGCATTCCAGGTTGGGTGACAGGGTGAGACGCTATGCCCCCACAAAAAAAGAAATACATTTTATAAATCTATAGCTTCCATAGATAGGGATTCGTCTGATGGATCCGGGCAAAGCCAACTGAAAACCTTCTGAAAACGTTCACCATTCTAGATGCCATTAAGAATACCCATGAATCATGGGAGCAGGTCAAAATATCAACATCAACAGGAGTTTGTAAGAAGTTGATTCCAACCCTCATGAGTGACTTTAAGGGGTTCAAGACTTCAGCGGAGAAAGTAAGCACAAATGAGATAGAAACAGCAAGAGAACTAGAATTAGAAGTAGAGCCTGAAGATGTAACTGAATTGTTGCAATCTCAGGATAAAACTTTAGTGGATGAGGAGCTGCTTCTTATAGATGAGCAAAGAAAGTGGTTTCTTGAGGTAGAATATACTCCTGGGGAAGATGGTGTGAACATTGTTGAAATGACAACAAGGGATTTCTAATACTCCATAAACTTAGTTGATAAAACAGCACCAGAGTTTGAAAGGATTGACTCCAATTTTGAAAATTCTACTGTGGGTAAAATGCTATCAAAGAGCATTGCAGGCTACAGAGAAAAAAAAAATCATTTATGACAGGAAGGGTCAATTGATATGTCAAACTTGATTGTTGTCTTACTTTAAGAAATTGCCAAAGCCACCCAGTCAGCAGACATCAACACTGAGGCAAGACCTTCCACCAGCAAAAGATTATGACTTGCTGAAGTCTCAGATGATCATTAGCATTTTTAGCTAACAATGTAAACACCTTAAACTGAGATAAGCTAAAATCTAGTCCTCTTGTATCAAACAAATTGTGAATAGAAAGGAAAAATTCTTGAAGGAAAGGAAAAGTGCTATCACAAAAAATAGTAAGAAAGTGAAACAGCCTTATTGCTGATATGAAGAAAGTTTTAGTGGTCTGGGTAGAAAATCAAACCAGCCACAGCCTTAAATTAAGGTGTTTACGTTGTTTTTTAGATATAATGCTATTGTATATATAATAGACTATGGTATAGTAAAAATGTAACTTTGATATACATTGGGAAACCAAAAAATTCATGTGGCTGGTTTTATGGCAGTGGTCATAAAACCGAATGTGGTTTTGGAGATATTGTGGGAACCAAACCCATAGTATCTCCAAGGTATGCCTGTATATAGTTTATGCAGAAAAGGTAAATGCTGTGCATTTATATTTAGATTATTCTCAATATTTTCTATTAAAAAGTATGCCCTAATGAAGAACCTCATGCATATATATTTATTTCATGTCATTGGAAGCATATCAGAGAATGGTGTTGTAAGGAAAAAACTATCCATAATCAAGTATATTGGGAAACTGCCGGCTTAGCAGATGTGAAGCAATTTCTGCTCTGCAGGACTTCTCAAGACTGTTTAACATGCTAATGTGCATTAGAGTCTTCAAGGAGGTGGCCACATAATGGAGTGTTTCCAAACTTATTTGACTGTGGCATTCTTTTTTCACTGGGCATCTCTGGGAAGTAGTGTTCCATGGAACATACAGCTATGGTGCCATTTATACAATTGGAGATTCCCGAAGGTCTTTGAATCTTTGAATCCATTTCACAAGAAGGTAAAGCGTCTTCCCTACTTCATCTTCTAGAATTCAATTCATCCTCTCCAGAGCCTCTAGAGAGCCTTGCTGCTTTACCATGGGTTTTACTGTTTCTTTTCCTTCACTCAGTCCAGGACCTATTTCCCAAGAAATGGGCTTCTCAATACTAGCCTAGAAATTTCCCACCCATCCAGATGGATAGGTTTTTCTAGGCTTGAGACATCATTGACAGTTATTTATTCATATTCTGAAGGACAGGCAAATTCTCAGTTGCCTCTACACTAGCAGCTTTGGCGGATCATCTCCAAATGGTTAACTGTAAAATTAGCATTTCTAACAGGATCTTTACATGCTGCTATATATTAACTATATATCCCAGGCTCTTTAATTCTGATTATCTCATCCATTTTATTTTATTTTTTAAAGCTACAGCATTATGATATGAAAATAATTCCCATTTTACAGATATGCTATTTAACAGATGAAGAACCTGAAATTCAGAGAGAGTTAATACCTTGCTTAAGGTCACATAGCTAGTTAGCAGCAATACCCAGACTTTTTTGTTTGTTTTGCAGATTTGCATGACTACAGTGACCAGTTTTTTCTCCCATTCTATGCTGTTTCCCAGAAATTTAACAAAGTAGAGACCCTTAGTCTATTAGACTAAGAAAACCCAGAAGAATGTACTTTTGATTCAGTTTTCTGAATATTCCAGGGAGGCAAGTGACTCATTCCTGACTGCTCCACAACCGCCTTATTTCTTCTGAGTATTTAGTAGCAGGGGTTACAGCCCACTCATATCGGAGAAAGTGTTTCATTTCCCCAAGCCAGACAAGGCTCTCTTAATGAAGGGAAACATTCCACTTGTTAGAATCACAGATAAAGACTTTCCCATGCCAATTACCTTTAGCCAGACAGACTGGAGGCATCTTTCTATGAGATAAGGCGATAAAGCTGAGCTTCTTAAAAAAGTATTGTTCCTCTCTTCCTTTCTTCCTATCTATTAGAAGCAGAGATGAGGCCTTGCTGGCTTGCTGAAATTATCCTCTGTATTCCGGTAATACTCCCCAGGGAATGACTTGTGGGTTTTTCAACTCTGTTTTCTCTCCAAAATCAACATTGTTCAACAACACAAAGGCACCACCTCTGAACATCAAAGGCCAAGTAAGCCAACATCCAGAGAGTGAGGAAATTCTGTTTTGAAATTCAGCCCAAAATCTTCCACAGTTCCTTTCTGGACAATGCAGCATAGTACTCATTGTCAGGTTGATCATTTCATCATCTTTGATGCTTGCTTTACATAAACCTTAGCTTTTCAACCTGTGTAACATTGGCAAACAGGTGAAAGAGATGCAGCTGACTACCTTGACTCCTTTATCACAGCTAGATGGCTATTGTCTGTGGACAAGTCACCCTCATCCACTCATACAGGCCATGCCGGGGTGGCTGGCACAGATGAGGTTTCCAGGACTCACTGGGCCCAATGCCCAGTCTTCCTTCTAGGTGGCCTCATTGGCTTCCTTCTTTTGTGCAAGCATTGTCCAGTTTTGGTATGAAGGTTATAACCTCCTAGTATTAGTTGGGAAGGCTCAATTTACTCTTCTCTTAGAATTTTTAAATATTCTAAGAAGGGTTTGTAAATGCTATCAGTAGAAGTGCTTGGTGAGTGCAGTGGCTCATGCCTGTAATCCCAGCACATTGGGAGGCAGAGGCGGGCAGAACACCTGAGGTCAGGAGTTCGAGATCAGCCTGGCCAACATGGTGAAACCGCATCTCTGCTAAAAATACAAAAATTAGCCAGGTGTAATGGCACACACCTGTTGTCCCAGCTACTCGGGAGGCTGAGGCAGGAGAATCACTTGAATCCAGGAGGCAGAGATTGCAGTGAGCCGAGATAGCACCACTGTACTCCAGGCTGGGAGACAGAGCGAGACTCTGTCTCAAACAAAAAAAAAAAGAAGTGCTTCCTTACTGTGAAAACCTACTACCTTTACACATAAAAACAGTTGAACTGTGTATATAATATTTATTTAAGTCTCATTATTTCCACTGTGGAAATGTATCCCTCAAAAGACACTTCCTGCTCTCCTCGGGTCTGACCCCCAGGACTTTTGCCATGATGAGGTTAGAGGCATGGCCCATCATCCCTCTCCCTTAGCTTCTCCATATCTGTGCTCAGTTTGATATTAGGAGACACAGCGGCTGGCAGCTTTTTTCAGATGCTTTTCTTTTTTTATATTGTGAGAAATTAATGTAGCAAGAACAGTGTGCATGCTTTCCTTTTAGGATGCTTACTATCCTGAAATCCACGATTAGGACACATGAACAAATGTTTAACATGTTTCAGGTGACTCCATTTATTCATTCAACAGGTATTTTTGATCATTTACTAAAAGCCAGGCTGTGTTGGGGCCTGGAGATACAACAACAAATAAAATACCCTATGAGAAGAAGGCATCATTATGACTTCCAAAATTATCCCCATTTCTCAGTAAAAACTTGGGCACCAGCAACTAATTAATAGTAAAACTGGATTAGAGCAAACATCAGGTATTAGAATGGCTCTGTGTAGTAAGTAGGCCCTTCCTTATTTTGCATTCATGTGTTTTCTGTGCTGTGTGTGCCCTCCTCTAGACAGACTCATGGGAGATGGTAAAGTTAGTAGAGTGTGAATATAGTAGTAAAACCACAGGTCACTTGTAGGAGAGGCAGTGTGGTAGCCAAGAACATAGACTTTGGAGTCAGATGGACCTGTATTTGAGTCCTAGTTTTGTCACTTACAGGCTATGACATCTTAAGCAAGTTATTTAAACTCTAACCCTCAGTGCCTTCTTTGTAAAATTTGGATAGCAATACTTAATTCCTGACCATATTATGATGATCAAATGACATGGTATTCTTAAGTCCTAAGTGCTGTGTCTAATGTGAAGTGGCCAATTAATGATAACTGCTAGATTAATAATCGTAATTATTGTTCAAGAAGACTGGCAAAATGAAATGTCTATTTATGGGACATCAGTTCACAGAGTATAGGAACAAGTGAGATATAAAAACTAATAGAGTTGGGTTATCCAAGAAAGATAAATGCCAAGGGGACATGGATGAGGCACCCATAATATCTCCTGTACTTTGGATATTTAACTCCCACTTAAAACTCTAGACAAACCCTTGCATTCATGGATTAGTTCCACATCTAAGCAGAGGAGCTATAAGGACCAAGTCAGAAAACACATCACAGTGCTAATTTAGGTTAGCCATTCACCTAATTCCTGGGTTATGTCTCTGTAGGACAGCCTACTATGATGGGCAGAATTCTTTTTTTTTGAGACAGTCTTGCTCTGTCTCCCAGGCTGGAGTGCAGCGGCGCAATCTTGGCTCACTGCAACCTCCGCTTCCTGGGTTCAAGTGATTCTCCTACCTCAGCCTCCTGAGTAGCTGGGACTACAGGTGCCCACCACCATACCTGGCTAATTTTTGTATTTTTAGTAGAAATGGGGTTTCACCATGGCCAGGGTGGTCTCGATCTCTTGACCTCATGATCCACCCACCTTGGCCTCCCAAAGTGCTGGGATTACAGGTGTGAGCCACCGCGCCCAGCCTTGGTGGGCAGAATTCTAAAGATGCCCCCCACTCCTGAAGATTTCTGCTCCCTGGTTGTTTAATCAAACATGAATCTAGGTACTTGATATGGTTTGGCTGTGTCCCCACACAAATCTCATCTTGAATTCCTGCATGTTGTGGGAGGGACCTGGTGGGAGTAATTGAATCATGGGGGCAAGACTTTCCCATGCTGTTCTTGTGATAGTGAATAAGTATTATGAGATCTGATGGTTTTAAAAAGAGGAGTTCCCTGCACAAGCTCTCTCTCTTTGCCTGCTGCCATCTATGTAAGACATGACTTGCTCTTCCTTGACTTCTGCCATGATTGTGAGGCTTCCCCAGCCATGTGGAACTGTAAATCTAATTAAACCTCTTTCTTTTGTGAATTGCCCAGTCTTGGGTATGTCTTTATCAGTAGCATGAAAATGGACTAATACAGTACTATTGGAAGGGACTTTGTAGATGGAATTAAGATCACTAGTCAGCTAGCCTTAAAATATGGAGATTATCCTGGATTGAATAAATCCAATGTAATCCCATGAGCCCTTACAAGCAGTAGAGGCAGACATGGTACACAGAGGAGAAATGAGGTGAAGGCACAGTTGGAGACATTTGAAGAGAGGGACTCGACTAGCCGCTGCTGGTTTGAAAGGTGAAGTGGAGACACGAGTCAGAGAGTACAGGTAGTCTCTAGAAGCTAAGAATGACTCCTGGCCAACAGCCAGCAAGGCAACAGGGACCTTGGTCCTGCAACCACAAGGAACTGGATTCTGCCAACAATCTGAATGAGCTTGAAAGTGGATTCATCCCCAAGCCTCCCAAGAAGAGCCCAACTGGATGACACCTTGATATTGGCAATGTGAAACCTAGAGCAGAGAAACTAGTTGAGCTAACCTGTACTTCTGACCCACACAAACTATGACATAATAAATATGTGTTGTTTGCAGCCATCAGGTTTGTAGTAATCTGTTACAGTAATGACAGAAAACTAATAACGCCCACCCTGTCCCAACACAGCATTCAGATCATGTCAGATTTAAATACAAGCATCTGGAATTCATTGTAGAGGGCTTTTTCTGACCACAGGAATCCACTTGAAAGTGCAGAGGAATTAACCATGCCCTCCCAGGATCAGCTCTCAGCCAGTGACTGAGTTGGCGGATATATACCCTAGGCAGACTTCTTGCCCCTCCTTGGGGAGACCCTGAGGTTTTCTGTACTAGACAGAGTTTGTTAGTGCAGCTGAGCCCCATGGCTGCCCACAGCGGTAACCTGCTTATTAACACACTTCTTGTGGAGTTTCTTCCTTTCCCCATCTCACTTCCTCACTCTCCTACTAGGCTTTCTTGGGATCATCTTTTCAATAAATGACTGGCACCCACATCCTTATTTCGAGGTCTGCTTCTAAAGGAACCCGATCTAAGGCACTAAGCTCGTGAAACTGGGATGGGGGTAAAGGAAGCCGAGAAGGCTGCTGTAACATTTTCTCATGTAAAAACTAAGGTTTACTTCCCTGCTGAGATTTAAATCTGAGTAGGCATGGAGCCAATAAAAAGGACACGGACTTTAGAGTAACACAGATTGAATCTCCACCCTACCATTTATTAACTGAAAAAACACTGGCAAGTTATGTAACCTCTCCAGATCTCTATCTTGTCCTCCATAAAATGAGATTAATATCTACCTTTCACTTTGTAAAATTTGTAAGAAGCAATGTATGTGAAGTGCCAGGCCCATGCATAGTAAACACTCTAAATATGGTATATTCTTATGAATTATTAGCTAAAAACTTCACAGCAAGGAAAAACGAAGAACGCTTTGATATAAATTAGTGCCTTTTCCCATATTTATACCTTTTGTCATATTATGTCACAGCTAGCAGAGACGGTAGTAAAGCACTCTTGGTATAAATAAATAAGCTCTCGGGAAATCTGAGACTTAATGAGGCAAAGAAGCTTGCCCCAGTGACAGAGCTCATTAGTGTGAAATAGAAATCTCTTGTGTTAAATCACTGTATTTATTTATTTATTTATTGAGATGGAATTTCGCTCTTGTTGCCCAGGCTGGAGTGCAATGGCGTGATCTTGGCTCACTGCAACCTCTGCCTCCCGGGTTCAAGCAATTCTCCTGCCTCAGCCTCCCGAGTTGCTGGGATTACAGTCTTGCACCACCACGCCTGGCTAATTTTGTATTTTTAGTAGAGATGGGGTTTCACCATGTTGGCCAGGCTGGTCTGGAACTCCCGGCCTTAGGTGATCCACCCGCCTCAGCCTCCCCAAATGCTGGGATTACAGGCATGAGCCACTGCTCCTGGCCAAATCACTGTATTTAAATATTCATTGTTATCCGGTTAATCCAATCATTTCCAAATATCAAAGACTTACATAATTAACTATATCAGTTGTTGAGCTCTAAAGAGATCTAGAAAATCCAGGTTTTTCTCCTACTTCTCCAAAATCACCTATTTTAGATTTGGGGAAGAAAAAAAAGTTACCCATTTTCTTTGCCCTTTGGTGTCCTTTTAGTGCTGTCTGTAATTGTTACATTTTCTAATACAGTAAAATCCAAGTTATATGTTTAAAAGTGGCCAGAGCAGAAGTTTTCTGACGTGAGAACAAAGCTAATAATAGTCCTTCAGGAAATTTCTGACTTACAAAACAAGCAGCACAAATGGCCAAGGAAAACAAACAAGGGGCTCTTCTAAAATCCAGGGGTATTTCTTCCCTCATGTTAACAACAGTCGGCAAACAGTCTGGCTACATTCAGGAAAAGTTCTCTTAATTAACCAGCCCGATCCTCACTTGTTTCTTCCGCTTTGGGAATTCACCAGAGTTTGCTCATTTTGAAGAAATTCCCATTAGTTAGTTTTTAGGTCCCCAAGCAGAAAGCGGAAACTTCAAGATAAGATGCTGCCAAATAGGAAGCAAAAAGCACATGAAAAATTCAAGTCTCAGATCATCCTGGAAGCTCAAGAAGAATTAGTGGAATTACAAAGTCCTCTGGAATCAGAGGAGAAAAGAGAATAACTAATATATACATATTTGTGTTAATTCTTTAGCAGCTATTCTCTCTTGCTTTTTTTTTATTGGTAAGAATTCTTATACATTTACTTTCCATGTGTAAGAATTCAAAATGCTACTCACCCTAAATTTTCCTTGTATTTTCCCAGCACTTTACAAGTGGGGTTCTGGCCTTCCAGTTCCGAAGAGAAGTGTCACAATGATAGTAAATTTTGATCAAAATTCTGGTACCTATAGCTGAGCACCAACCACGGGGTCTTACTAACATTTTCTCCAAGTTAGGTGGCCCTAGGCCAATACATCTAAGTGTGATAGGATCTGGTCATCTTACACATTCTGTATTAGAATCATCTGAGATACTCATTTAAAGCCCAAATTCTTGGGCGCCACCCAGACCTGTTGAGTCAGAGCCTCTGAGTATGAGACCTGAAGATGTGCATTTTAGGTGAGTTGTCCAGGTGATTCCTCTTTATTCTAAAGTCTGAGAACCCTACACTTCCCCCTGGGTGTGGGAGAAAAGAGTGAGGTAGAGCCCGGAGCTCCTACTCGACTCAGATATTATAAGATGTCTATAAATTCCAAGTGAGTAAACATGGCTTTCTGGGAAATAAACTTAGAACCAGACACATTTTCATCAAATATATTTAGGTTTTGATCAAACAAAAAATGCCATTCTCTACTGTGGTGATACACATTTTCTTTCACAATTTTGGGAATGCAAGAAATACCATGTTTGTATTTTGCAGATAGGGTGGAATCTTTATTGGGATTTCCTCCCTCTACCTAAGACTCTGCAAAGGTAACTTAGATGTTAGCAGAGTAGAGCTTTTTTATGGGAGAGAGGGAACTAAGGCTTTCAAAACTAAGCACTCAGGGGTAAAATAAGCCTTCGCAGAGGTAAGGGAACAGAGTGCCTCAGGAAGGCAGGAGGACACCACTGCCCCTGCTTCCCGGTCACATTCACCAAATATAACTTCACTCCTCGATAGATGCTTTTGCCACGTGTGGTTGTGGCCAGTGCTGCTTTCCACTAAACCCAATAATCTCCTGTCCACAGGGTGGCCTTGGTTAAAATTCTAACATTTGTCTTGGGGTCCCCAATCTCTTCTTTCTGGCTATCTCTCTGTCTCCCACTCCCTTTGCCATAAAAGTGAGAATGAGTGGGCCTGGGCACACAGCAAAACTGGTTAAAGTCTTTGATGCCTGATTAAAGGGTGTGGAGGAGAGGACAAGAGACTTCCAGGAAGAGACAATAAAGCCAGGAAGGGTGACACCTCAGAGATTAAATAGCACTGGTGGCAGACACCGGGGTGTGCCTGAGTTTGCACCGTCTTCTTTCCTCTTTTCATTCCCATCTATGTAGCGGATGCTTCCCCCATGCGAGAAACTGCCAAGAGGGTCCATGTGAGGCGAGGCTTGAAAACCGGCAATCCGGTAACAGCTAGCTACATCTTCAGAGCTTGGGAGATTCAGTGGAGCCTTGAAGCACCTCTAATCAGCCTGTTTCTTGGGGGTATATTTTGGATTATTTGAAGAGGGAGATGATATTCATAATATTCAACATGCCCAACTATTCAAATCTTACCCAATTTCCTCTTCAACTCCCCCTGATTTGCCCCCACCCTCAAAAAACAAGCAATTGCCTCTTATGAAATCCTGATAGGAAAAAGCAGGTGAAGAAGCTATAGTCTGGTTGTAATCCCACTCCCACGCAGCGCTGGCCCAGGGCCTCTCCACGAGAGGAAAGCTGGGTCTGTCTATGGCCCCTTCAGCAGCCCAGGTAGCCAGAGGGGAGCCCATCAGCTCCCAGTATCCATGTACCTGATTTGCAGTGACAACCTCGGGGGCAGGGACACAGAAAATACTGTGGGAGAATGCAGGTAATTGTAAGGATGAATGGATTTTGAATAACATACCTCTGGTTAAAACAAGTACATATATTATATACATATAAATTATATACATACATGTACATATTGTAAACCAAAAAGTAACTGAAGCATATCTCAACAGATTAGAGGTTTATTTTGTCCCAGGTAAAAGAAACACAAATCACTGTAGGATCTGTGACCTGCGCTTTTTCCAAAGAGAGTTTTGGGAACTTCCATCTTTAGAGGGGAAAGAGCAAGCAGGAGGGGAAGAAAATAAACGAAAGATGGGTTGGCAATGAGACAAGTGTTTACATTGTGGCAAGGCTCTGTAACACTCAGTGAGTCTACACTTTACATGTAAAAAGAAGGGACTAGAGGGAAATTATGCATGGATCTCATGCTCAGTACATCTACATTTTATATAAGATAAAGTAAGCATGTGAAATTACAGGTATTTGGGAACAAAAGGAAGGCAGTTTTTGCATGACTCATTTCCCAAGCTTAACTTTCCCTTTGGCATAGTGAATTTGAGGTCTCAAGATTCTATTCTTCTTTCACAGTATTTTACATATATTTATATATAATATATATAAAAATATCTATATTTATATATAAAATATAAAAATATCTATATTTATATATAAAATATAAAAATATCTATATATATAAAATATATAAATATATATAAATAATATATATATTCCACATATATAATATATTGTAATTATATATATATACTCTACATATATTATATATTATATATAGTCTACATTTAAGTTACTGTTACTCACCTATCTCTTCCACTCCTCATTTCTCTTATCCTTCGAATATTGGGATCTCTCCCTGAAGCTTTCTCAATTTAGAAATAATCAGTTTAGAATTTAGAATAATCAGTTTGCCCTTTGACCTTAGAGAAAATTTGCTTTTGAATCAGGAACTTCTGGGAACTGTGGCTTAGGGATCAACTTTACCTAGGCATGGCTCCACCTGCCTTGCTTGTTTTTTCCTTTGTCCACTTTCTCCCTGCCTATGCACCGGGGATCCAGGGTCTGTTCTCACTGCATCCTCTCCCTACTGCTCACTGTCCCTGGGGTCCCTTCCAGCCCCCATGTCTCAGAACCCAGGACACAGTTATCTCAGTGGAGAGCTGTGATGGTCAAGGATGTCTCAGGAAGAAGAGGGCAAGAAGAGTACAGGAAACTTGGGTAGAACAAGGAATCTCGGGGCATAACAACAAAAGAAATCATGGTTTGGAGTAGCAGGTAAGGGAGTGGGCTCTGGATATCAACTGCCTGGTTTCAACCCTTAGCTCTGTGCTTTTGAATGAGATAAAATCCCCAGATTCTCAATTTCCTCATCTGTAAAATGGGGATAATAGGAGTACCTATTTCATAGGCTGTTGTACGGATTGAATAATCAATAGGTGAACATACAAAATGCTCAGAATATGGCCTGGCACATAGTAAGCACTCAATAAATGTTAGAGATTATAATTGGGGGTCCAGGACATATATATGTAAGTAAAATAGAAACTTCATCACCACTGGGGCTATTTTTAGATATCTTTGAACTAATTTTAAAAAGGGGAAGAGATAAACTATAAACTTAGTTATGAAAAATTCGCAATAATAAAGTTAGTTATCTAGGGATGTTAACGACTAATTTCTATTAGCAATATAATTATTAGGTACTTTATTGATATCGAAGATAAATTGTTTTTTAAGATTTGGCTACTCTATACATTTGACCATGCTTTTTAAAAATAGCAGATTATGTATTCATACTTTATTAAAAATAAAATACATACAGATAATGTATTAACCCAACTTGACATTCTGCCCTAAAATCTAAATAAACACTATATGAGTGATTACTCTTCTGAATTTATTGAAGCAACAACCACATTGAGCTAAGTAAAGTGGGATAAAGAATTGGAATAATGTCAGTATCTGGATCATGTAAGAGAGTGGTAAGGTGGAGGGAATAAATTCTATGCTTTTTGATAGGGGTTGAATTAAATTCGTTAATTAAGTTATTTTTTTCTAATCAGTTGTCTTTTTTGGAATTTTTCTTCTCTTTTCTTGTTTTTTTTTTGGGTCTTGACATCTTTATGAACACAGAAAGACCAGTGCTAACAAGTAAAGAGAAAAACGAGGCTTTTACCACTACTCGTTCAGGTCTGCTGACAGTACATTTTTAGATAGACCTCCTATTTTGAAAGGCTGTAGATATAGAATATTAGCTTGACTTGAGCTCTGAAAACCTACAGAATATGGAAATTAAAATGATCCCCATTTACTGTTACCATCATTTAGATAGGGTAAGATGCAGAGATGGGGAATGTATACAATCACCCAGAAGAAATGTCAAAATGAAGAGCAGGAATATAGGATACCACATACATCTCCTTCTGTTGCATTTGGAAACAAATTTCTTTTCTTTTCTTTTTCTTTTTTTCTTTTTTTTTGAGATGGAGTCTTGCTCTGTCGCCCAGGCTGGAGTGCAATGGTGTGATTTCAGCTCACTGCAACCTCTGCCTCCTGGGTTCAAGCGATTCTCTTGCATCAGGCTCCCCAGTAGCTGGGATTACAGGCATGCGCCACTACACCCCGGCTAATTTTTGTATTTTTAGTAGAGACAGGGTTTCACCATATTGGCCACGCTGGTCTGGAACTCCTGACCTCAGGTGATCCACCCACCTCAGCCTCCCAAAGTGCTGGGATTACAGGCATGAGCCATCATGCCTGGCCTAGAGACAAGTTTCTTTAAACTGTATTCTTGTTACTATAAAGGTGAAAAAAAGGGAAATTGAAAAAAACTTTAAAATCCTGAAAATAATAATGAAGGATATAAAAATTATCCCAAATCCTGCCATCCAGAGTTAGTCACTGTTAACATTGTGGAAGAATTTTTATTCTTTGCACATTAACATTTCAAAAATTTTAAACAAAATTTTGACCAATTAAATATATATATATAGTTTTCCGTTTTATTTTTTTTCTTTTCTTTTCTTTTTTTTTTTTTTTTTTTAAGACAGAGTTTCACTCGTTTCCCAGGCTGGAGTGCACTGGCGTGATCTTGGCTCACTGCAACCTCCACTTCCCGGGTTCAAGCGATTCTCCTGCCTCAGCCTCCCGAGTAGCTGGGATTACAGGCATGCGCCACCATGCCCAGCTAATTTTGTATTTTTAGTAGAGATGGCGTTTCTCCATGTTGGTCAGGCTGGTCTTGAACTCCCGGCCTCAGGTGATCCGCCTGCCTCGGCCTCCCAAAGTGGTGGGATTACAGGCGTGAGCCACTGTGCCTGGCCTCCTTTTTATTTTTTTCACTGAACAAACCATGAAACTTTCCCAGATGTAAATATCTATTTCCCATTTTTCTTTTTTTAAAATAAGGCATTATTTTAACCATTTGAGTGTTAGATATTATTTTTAGATAATATTTTAATTTAGGCATAACTGCCGTGCAAAATCTGAAGATTAATATCTACCTTGTGAGTCATTCCTCTGTGAGACAGTGCATGTTAAATATGTTGAATTGGCAGGTGAAAAAGGAAGAAAAAATGAGTAGTGATTGGTTATCCACAGCTATGAATGAGAAATTGAAGGTAGTAGACTATGGATGACAAACCTATTCTTGGTTTCCTTCTGTTTCTGAAATTCTAATTACTACCACAACTACATGAGAGACACTACTAACAAGCAAAGTTTTACAACTTTTTAAAGACATAGACTTTATGTTATTATAATTAAAAATCATGCATTTTTGTCATATTAATAAAATTGCATATACGATATAAAGGCATGGACAAAGGTGAAGTAGCTTCAAGAGACAGAGTTTCTGACATCATTGTAATTTTAAGCATCGTGGATATTCCCGGGAAAGTTTTTGGATGCCATTGGGGATTTCCTCTTTACTGGATGTGGACAATATCCTCCTATTATTCACAGGAAGCAATCCCTCCTATAAAAGGGCCTCAGCCGAAGTAGTGTTCAGCTGTTCTTGGCTGACTTCACATCAAAACTCCTATACTGACCTGAGACAGAGGCAGCAGTGATACCCACCTGAGAGATCCTGTGTTTGAACAACTGCTTCCCAAAACGGTAAGTGCAGAACGCTTTATAAGGGCAGCCTCGGGCCATGAAACACAGATATGCAAAAGGCCTTCTAATAAAAACCACATCTGTACAAGCTCTTATTGTATTGTAGCTAAAACCTGTCTTTTCTCTTTGACCTAAATAATGAAAGTCTTAAAATTTGTTTATTTATTTGATTAAACTCTGAAATAAAGATTATTGCACTAGTGTCCTTTGCCCAAAATCTTAGGATGCTGCCTTAAACATCATGGTAGAATAATGTAACTAGCTACCCACGATTTCCTTCTTTAATTCATTTTGTGTTTTATCTCCCCAGGAAAGTATTTCAAGCCTAAACCTTTGGGTGAAAAGAACTCTTGAAGTCATGATTGCTTCACAGTTTCTCTCAGCTCTCACTTTGGGTAAGTCAGTGCCATTAGACCAAGATTTCTCATTCTCGCACTATAGATATTTCAGACTGAAATATCCTTGCTTGTCTGGGGCTGTCCTGCACAGGATATCTGGCAGCATCCTTGACCTCTACCTGCAATGTGTTCTTCCCTGGGCTTGGGGTCATTTACTTTACCTCTTGGTGTCTCCCTTTCCTTAAGTGTAAAGTGTGGATCATAATGACCTATTTCCCAGATGCATTGTGAGGATTCAATAGCATGGTTCATGGAAAGTACCTCATACAGTGCTTCTTGGTGCATACTAAGTGCTCAATAAAGCTTAGTTATTCTGATTATTATTCTACTACAAAATGGGTATACTATAATGTTGTGAGTGAGTGTGGATAAGGTACCTAGTGGGTGGCAGTCACAAAAGAGATAAACAATAAGTCGCTGTTTCTTCATACGTACTTCTTACTTTTGAAAAGATGAGAAAAGTCTGGGCCATGTCACAAACATTGCCAAAAATAAGACAATAAAAAGCACAGTTGTCAGAGTTAAACCACAACAGTACCAAACTCTACCATTTCTTTTCTTTTTCTCCCACTAGTGCTTCTCATTAAAGAGAGTGGAGCCTGGTCTTACAACACCTCCACGGAAGCTATGACTTATGATGAGGCCAGTGCTTATTGTCAGCAAAGGTACACACACCTGGTTGCAATTCAAAACAAAGAAGAGATTGAGTACCTAAACTCCATATTGAGCTATTCACCAAGTTATTACTGGATTGGAATCAGAAAAGTCAACAATGTGTGGGTCTGGGTAGGAACCCAGAAACCTCTGACAGAAGAAGCCAAGAACTGGGCTCCAGGTGAACCCAACAATAGGCAAAAAGATGAGGACTGCGTGGAGATCTACATCAAGAGAGAAAAAGATGTGGGCATGTGGAATGATGAGAGGTGCAGCAAGAAGAAGCTTGCCCTATGCTACACAGGTAGGGAGTTTGCGGCAGCAGTGGGAGGTAGTTTCAGTGTGTGGGCATCTTGGCAAATTTACAGCATGCAAAAACTGCTCTCTATTGTGGTCATTTTATGTTCCAAAAGATTCTGTTTAACTGCTAAAGTTTCTCTCTTTTGCTGTTTTGTGTGAATGTGGGCAAGAATATGTGGATATGTATATATATACACACACACACATATATACACACACACATATATGTGTGTGTGTATATATATATAGCCTACAGCATTTATATACATTTTATATATATACATACACACATATACACACATATATGTGTGTATGTATATATATAAAATATATATAAATACTGTAGGCAAATATGTAGTTCTTTACATATAAAAATGCACACACACAATACATATTTTAATTACTTGTTTATTTGTGGTAGGGGAACTGTCTTCAGAGTTTGTGAAGAAGTAAATTTTCTACGGTAGGTGCCAGCCACAGCTATACATTAGCATCAAGGTTTAGGATAGGTGGGCCTGAAACTCAGATTTGGAACTTTGTAAAACACTTCAGTTAAAGTCTATGGCACTCTGTAGGACTGCTGATGTCTCTGTTGCACACTGTTGATTCTAAAATCAAAGGCACTCAGTATAAGCACAGTAATAGTCCTCCTCATCATGCTTTGTATTTTCCGTAGCTGCCTGTACCAATACATCCTGCAGTGGCCACGGTGAATGTGTAGAGACCATCAATAATTACACTTGCAAGTGTGACCCTGGCTTCAGTGGACTCAAGTGTGAGCAAAGTAAGTCTGGTTCTTGCCTCTTTCTTCACTTGAGATGGTAGCACCATCTCACGTCCTAGCTGGCATTAGAGTCAGGTCTGCATGCCTTCCCTTCCCTGGTGCAGATGGTGTCATATGGTGATCGTGAGCTGAGACTATGAAGTCAGACCCTGCTGGGTTTGAGTCCTAGATTCACCAGTTATTTATTTTGGCACCTTGACAAGATAGTTTAACTCTCTATGTCAGTTTTCTCATTGTAAAATGAGGATAATAATAGTGTGAACTTCATAGGCTCATGGTTACATGGTGCCTGGCACACAGGACACATTCAATAAACTGTAATTCTGTGTCCCTGCGAGGAACATGTACTCACCTCATCTAGGTGGTAACAAGACGTTGCAGTAGAAATGAGTGAGTTACAGAGTCCAGGGTATCTTGGTTCATGCTCTGGCCTCTGGCTCTGTAATGACTAGCCGTGTAGCATGGAGCAAGTCACTTGAATGAAATGAGGTCTCAGTTCCTAAATTTGTACATTAAGAGAGTTAGATGAGCTTCTCTCCAAGATTCCTTAGCACAGCGTTGTGCAGTAGAGCTTTTGTGATAATGGAAATGTTCCATAGCTGTGTTTTCCAGTGTGTACCTATGAGCCACATGTGGTTATTGAGTACTTGAAATGTGGCTGGTGACACTGAGGAACTGAATTTTAAATGTTATTTGATTTCAACGAATTCAAGTTTAAATTTGAGTAGCCACACAGATAGTGGCTACTATAGTAGACAGTGCAGCATTAGGGTTTTAAAATTTGTAATGTATTCTAGTACTTAAATTTGAAATATAGCTTTGTGAATGGTTCTCATCCTGGTTGGAAGCTTACTGTAGTATTTTTAGCAGTTGTGAGAAAAGTAACAAGAAATTTGTTGTGGTACCTAAGTTTGCTGTGTTTGTTCATATAATTTGAACAGTTTTGAGGTAAACACAATTACACTACTCTCCCCATATCACTCAATATTTCTTTTTTATGGTTGTCATCACTGCTTTTTTGTTGTTGTTGTTATGGATCAGCATTTTCTTGAATAAAAGAAAAGGGGTAGAATTACAGTCAATTTTACAAATTCCATTAGAAATTTTATAAATTTTTAAACTAAAAAAAAAAAAAACCAAACTGTAGTTCTAGTTTCCAGTGTTCTTATCTGTTAAAGGTGAGAGATGAGCAGAACTGATTTGGGTTTCTTTTTCAGTTGTGAACTGTACAGCCCTGGAATCCCCTGAGCATGGAAGCCTGGTTTGCAGTCACCCACTGGGAAACTTCAGCTACAATTCTTCCTGCTCTATCAGCTGTGATAGGGGTTACCTGCCAAGCAGCATGGAGACCATGCAGTGTATGTCCTCTGGAGAATGGAGTGCTCCTATTCCAGCCTGCAATGGTAAATCCCTCTGAGAATGCACAGAACGTTCTGTAACTCATCCCTCATTGCTTCTGTTTTTTGATTCAACTTACATTTTCAAAACTTCAGGGAAAGTTTTTTTTTTGTTTTTGTTTTTAATACAATTTGTTCTCTCAGCCAATGTATATTGCCAACCCAGTACCTGCTTGGGTTGAGAGAGGTTTTTTTATTCTATGCTTGAAATGGGTGTTTCTGAGGCTCTGGTGATTTGTAAGGGAGACCATAAAACAATAAAGCTCTAGAAATCTCAATGGATTTCTCATCTTGTTTCCCTGTTTAACTTTTCCAAGCCATGGGACTAACTTAAGACCATGATAGTCAAGCAGTCTTAGTATCTCTTTTTCTCTCTTAATTTTATCTTTCTGAACCAGAGGCCAAAAAAAGAAAAATCAGTTCTTCAGGCTCTGATGGGCTAAAATAAATGAATAGCCTACGTATGTCAGTACTAGTCATAACTCCTAATCTGGAATCTATTTTTTTTAAATTTTTACCTCACGTAAATGATAACATAGATTAGAGACCACTCAGCATAGGCAAAGTGGAAATCAGAAAAGATAGAATATCCATGAAAAAGAATAAAAGCTTTTATTCTGGCTGTGCATGTCCCTAAGAATTGACATAGGACTTTGGGATCTACCCTTTGAAGGCAGCTTCCTCACTCTGTTAGGCACCCAGCTCAATAGGAAGTGAAAAGATCATTCTTCTGTAAAATTCATGGTGCTCTTTAAAATCCTCAGTGGTTGAGTGTGATGCTGTGACAAATCCAGCCAATGGGTTCGTGGAATGTTTCCAAAACCCTGGAAGCTTCCCATGGAACACAACCTGTACATTTGACTGTGAAGAAGGATTTGAACTAATGGGAGCCCAGAGCCTTCAGTGTACCTCATCTGGGAATTGGGACAACGAGAAGCCAACGTGTAAAGGTAGAGTTGTTCCACATGGAGACTTACTGTGAACATTCTTTCTCTCAACCCATACTGGAAATGGGCAAGCTAATTCTAGGCCGTGCTAATATCAATGCGTATATTTGTTACAGCTGTGACATGCAGGGCCGTCCGCCAGCCTCAGAATGGCTCTGTGAGGTGCAGCCATTCCCCTGCTGGAGAGTTCACCTTCAAATCATCCTGCAACTTCACCTGTGAGGAAGGCTTCATGTTGCAGGGACCAGCCCAGGTTGAATGCACCACTCAAGGGCAGTGGACACAGCAAATCCCAGTTTGTGAAGGTAAGCTTGAGATCCTTCGATTTATACTTTCTTAAAGAACAACCATCTTCAAACTTGGACAGTGAAAAAAAAAACCAATACCCACTTTAACTATAGAAATCAGATTTGATGAGCAACCCTCGTATCTTTGAGATTCATTTAAAAGAACTAATGTTTGGCCAGGGAAAGGATCATATGTGTTAAGAATGAATTCTTTGCTGTTTTTTTTTAACTGTGATGTGCTGATAAAACTTTGTAGACATTAGCATGGAATAGACAGAATTCTTAATCTAAAGGAATCATATTAGAAAATTCGGAAAGCAGAATAATGAGAACATGATTTGAATGTAAAACTCTCATCACACCTGTCTTCTGAAATGGCTCATAATTAGCAGTGATGAGACTGTTTCAAGCATGGTGTCAGCTACAGAGATAGTATTGATGCATATATAAGCAGTAAATTTTAATTCACTTTAAAGTGAGAGCAAGGATATTGAAAACAAGCAGTTTTTACTATCAGGCACTGGCCTTGTCCTAGCCAAAGCCAGCACAGAATGATTTCCAGTAGCAAAACATAACACAAAAACCAAACTGCAAAACAGACAAATTTTATAGGGGTGCTTTCTTTTCTTTCTTTTTGGCACCATCTATAAACATCCATGACCCATATGTTGTCCTCAGACTGCGTGAAATCTTTCCTTGGACCATAATTTATTTTGTGTGTTAGAAGAACAGTGCTCAGGAACTAATGTTCTGATTAATTAGTCTTTTAATTAGTGCCATGATCAGTGAGGGGGCTGAAATTCAAAGAAAACACAGCCATCTTCCCATTTGTCCAGGGAATTATAAAGAATCTTCAGTTCTCCAAGTGTTGCTTGAATGAACTGGGTTCACTCAACAAACGCCAAGTACTCTCTAGTTCCACTGCAATATTTTCTGACCATCATTTTGATGTCTCAGCTTTCCAGTGCACAGCCTTGTCCAACCCCGAGCGAGGCTACATGAATTGTCTTCCTAGTGCTTCTGGCAGTTTCCGTTATGGGTCCAGCTGTGAGTTCTCCTGTGAGCAGGGTTTTGTGTTGAAGGGATCCAAAAGGCTCCAATGTGGCCCCACAGGGGAGTGGGACAACGAGAAGCCCACATGTGAAGGTACAGTCTTTGTTTTTATTTTATTTTAAGATAAAAAGAACTATTGAAGAGCTTGGGAACTTGGTTACCTTGGGAAACGTATTGCTGGAGATGCAAACAAACTTCTAAAGTGCTCTCTCGTGTGTTCCAGCTGTGAGATGCGATGCTGTCCACCAGCCCCCGAAGGGTTTGGTGAGGTGTGCTCATTCCCCTATTGGAGAATTCACCTACAAGTCCTCTTGTGCCTTCAGCTGTGAGGAGGGATTTGAATTACATGGATCAACTCAACTTGAGTGCACATCTCAGGGACAATGGACAGAAGAGGTTCCTTCCTGCCAAGGTAGAATTGAGTGCAGACTTTTTTAGGGTACAGGTCAAATACTTCATAAAGTTTCTGAACCTAGATTGCCCCAAAGGGGTTTGGTCCTAATTTCCTACATGCTGAAAACTAAGTAGCGCTTACACTTTACATTCATTGTTGACTTTTAAGCAAGTTTTGGAAGTTTTCCAGTAGATTTTTCTGAAACTCTGCCTGTGTACCTAACATTTGCAGTGGTAAAATGTTCAAGCCTGGCAGTTCCGGGAAAGATCAACATGAGCTGCAGTGGGGAGCCCGTGTTTGGCACTGTGTGCAAGTTCGCCTGTCCTGAAGGATGGACGCTCAATGGCTCTGCAGCTCGGACATGTGGAGCCACAGGACACTGGTCTGGCCTGCTACCTACCTGTGAAGGTGATGCATTGATTGATGGTGGTTGTCTGGTGATTAAAAAGAAAAAGGGGGAGCTATCTTGTTACAGTAATCAACTATTCATTATATCCAAACCAGAAAGTTCGCCCAGGTTGACAAGTTGTGAATATTAAGTTGTATGGGGATAGAGAAAAAACAGAAGTTGCATGTTGATGGAAAGGGTAGAATTCTGACAACTGGAAAAAGGAGACAGAGAGAGGAGAGGAGAAAGGGGAAATGGAAAACAAGAGGGAGTGAGAGCAAGAGAGCAAGCAAGTGCAGTGTTTATTAACCAAGGTGTGGTGTGGTATTGTGAACGAGCTTGGCAAGTTAGAGTTCTGCCTGCCAATGGTGGAAATAGCTTCAAAGGTGGCTTGGAGCAGATCTCAAAGGCCTGTAATGCCACATCTCTGCTTCTTGTATTAAACTAGATAGCTCTTCTGCTCCTAGTAATGAATGTACAGAAAAAAGGCCAAAGGGACAGGACGGAGAGACTTTAACATCAATTCTTCCTCATGACCTTTCTTCGTCTCTTACTTCCTTAGCTCCCACTGAGTCCAACATTCCCTTGGTAGCTGGACTTTCTGCTGCTGGACTCTCCCTCCTGACATTAGCACCATTTCTCCTCTGGCTTCGGAAATGCTTACGGAAAGGTGAGGAAGTTTATGAATGTACTTCAAAAATGTTTTTGAAAATACATTTCTTTCTCATTGATAAGTCATGGTCTTGCTTACTGATTTAAACAATAATTAGAATCTGGATAAAATGCAGTATAATTAAGCAGAAGTATTAAGAAAAGAGTTAGTAGTACAACTCAGTGTGGGAAGTGTTTCAGGAAATAAAAATGTTAGTCGTGCCTAATATTGTACAACTCCAGGGGGTGCTATTCATGTTGAATTATATGATGCCTCCCGGAATTGTGCAATGGAACTGCCATGATGAGCACTCTAAGGAAAATGGATAAAATTCTTCCTAAGGAGATTTATTTGGAGTACAGGCTTAAATTTGAGAGTCTCTCATAAGGAATATGGAAGCACATCTGACTACACTCATGGTTTGTTTGGCTTACATGTTTAAGAGTACTTAAAACATTTTTGAGTTAAGTTCTGACGTTTACAAAATAGGAAATCTCACATTTAAATTAAGACTTTGGACTTCTCATGAAAAATTGGGAGCTGAATTGGGCAAGATGACCCCGTAGCTATTTGCTGGCATTAGGAAGCTGCTATGCCCTTTGGATGGCTGTGCACTTTGCATTTTACCCTAGATGCCACAGAGCCATGCTTGTGCTCTGATTATTACAGAGGCCCTGAAGCATCGAGTTTGCAACACTTGATGAATTAAGTCATATTGTATCTGGATTTAATATATCCTTAAAAGTCATTTAGTCTGAATTAATGGTTGTTTGTCTTTTCTTTTGCAGCAAAGAAATTTGTTCCTGCCAGGTAAGTTGCATTCTTATACAAAGCATGCCATTGAACATTCCACATATTTTTCTCTCTTCATGTTGGAAGACAGTGCTTTACCTAGTGTTCTCATGTATTCCACAGCAGCTGCCAAAGCCTTGAATCAGATGGAAGCTACCAAAAGCCTTCTTACATCCTTTAAGTTCAAAAGAATCAGGTAAGACTTGTAAATCACAAATGGTTATGAGAGAGGTATCTTCTCTACATGCTCTGTTTCTCCTTGAACCCTCCAAACTTGCCAATATCTTAGGGAGGGAGCAGGGGAGAAATCATCACCTGGGTATTGTTCTGGAAAGTTGCTTTATTTTTTGTAGAAGGAGAGGAAAGAAACGGATCTAGCTTTATTGTGTAATTTCATTTATGATAGATAATAATAATGAAGATAGCTGACCCTTACATTGCACTTATTATATTCTGGGAATTTTTCTAAGCTAGGAACTCTGAGATAGGGGCTGGTACTATATTTCTTATCTTTTCTTTTTACTTTTTTTTTTTTTAATTTTGAGATGGAGTCTCATTCTGTTGCCTAGACTGGAGTGCAGTGGCATGATCTTGGCTCACTGCAACCTCCACCTCCTGCGTTCAAGCAATTCTCCTGCCTCAGCCTCCTGAGTAGCTGGGATTACAGGTGCCTGCCACCACACCCAGCTAATTTTTGTATTTTTAGTAGAGATTTTGTATTTTTTCGTCATGTTGGCCAGGCTGATCTTGAACTCCTGATCCACCCGCCTTGGCCTCTCAAAGTGCTGGGATTACAGGCGTGAGCCACTGGGCCTGGCCTGTTACTTTATTTCTTATCACACAGATGAAGAAAATGAGACAGAGAAGTTAAGTAAATTGTCTGAAATCTCAAAGCTAGTAAGTGGTGTAGCCAGGATTCAAACTCTGGCAGTCTGGTTCTAAAATTTGTGTTCTTAACTACTCCGACCTGCTTTGAGAGAATTTGGAAAGGTCAAGTCCCTCTGAATACTTTTTAAAAAATTAAAATAACTTTTTTTGTGTGTGCGGTTTTAAGTTTACAGAAAAATTGAGCAGAAAGCACAAAGAGTTCCAACATATCTCCCCACCACCCCTTCAATTCCCCCTGTTATTAACATCTTATATTAGTGTTACAACTGATGGGCCAATATTGATACATTATTATTCATTAATGTCCACAGGCTACATTAGAATTCACTCTGTGCTGTGTTGTATATTCTGTAGGTTTTGACAGAGGTATAATATGTAGACATCATCACTGTCCTAACTGAATAGAATTCGATGTTCCTACATGGTCTATCCTAGTGAGAGTGTCTGTGTTAGAAGGTACATTTTGTTGTCATGATCAGTATGCAGAATATTAAGTGTTCTGATGACATGCATGTTTATATTTACAGAAACAGGTGCATCTGGGGAACTAGAGGGATACACTGAAGTTAACAGAGACAGATAACTCTCCTCGGGTCTCTGGCCCTTCTTGCCTACTATGCCAGATGCCTTTATGGCTGAAACCGCAACACCCATCACCACTTCAATAGATCAAAGTCCAGCAGGCAAGGACGGCCTTCAACTGAAAAGACTCAGTGTTCCCTTTCCTACTCTCAGGATCAAGAAAGTGTTGGCTAATGAAGGGAAAGGATATTTTCTTCCAAGCAAAGGTGAAGAGACCAAGACTCTGAAATCTCAGAATTCCTTTTCTAACTCTCCCTTGCTCGCTGTAAAATCTTGGCACAGAAACACAATATTTTGTGGCTTTCTTTCTTTTGCCCTTCACAGTGTTTCGACAGCTGATTACACAGTTGCTGTCATAAGAATGAATAATAATTATCCAGAGTTTAGAGGAAAAAAATGACTAAAAATATTATAACTTAAAAAAATGACAGATGTTGAATGCCCACAGGCAAATGCATGGAGGGTTGTTAATGGTGCAAATCCTACTGAATGCTCTGTGCGAGGGTTACTATGCACAATTTAATCACTTTCATCCCTATGGGATTCAGTGCTTCTTAAAGAGTTCTTAAGGATTGTGATATTTTTACTTGCATTGAATATATTATAATCTTCCATACTTCTTCATTCAATACAAGTGTGGTAGGGACTTAAAAAACTTGTAAATGCTGTCAACTATGATATGGTAAAAGTTACTTATTCTAGATTACCCCCTCATTGTTTATTAACAAATTATGTTACATCTGTTTTAAATTTATTTCAAAAAGGGAAACTATTGTCCCCTAGCAAGGCATGATGTTAACCAGAATAAAGTTCTGAGTGTTTTTACTACAGTTGTTTTTTGAAAACATGGTAGAATTGGAGAGTAAAAACTGAATGGAAGGTTTGTATATTGTCAGATATTTTTTCAGAAATATGTGGTTTCCACGATGAAAAACTTCCATGAGGCCAAACGTTTTGAACTAATAAAAGCATAAATGCAAACACACAAAGGTATAATTTTATGAATGTCTTTGTTGGAAAAGAATACAGAAAGATGGATGTGCTTTGCATTCCTACAAAGATGTTTGTCAGATATGATATGTAAACATAATTCTTGTATATTATGGAAGATTTTAAATTCACAATAGAAACTCACCATGTAAAAGAGTCATCTGGTAGATTTTTAACGAATGAAGATGTCTAATAGTTATTCCCTATTTGTTTTCTTCTGTATGTTAGGGTGCTCTGGAAGAGAGGAATGCCTGTGTGAGCAAGCATTTATGTTTATTTATAAGCAGATTTAACAATTCCAAAGGAATCTCCAGTTTTCAGTTGATCACTGGCAATGAAAAATTCTCAGTCAGTAATTGCCAAAGCTGCTCTAGCCTTGAGGAGTGTGAGAATCAAAACTCTCCTACACTTCCATTAACTTAGCATGTGTTGAAAAAAAAGTTTCAGAGAAGTTCTGGCTGAACACTGGCAACAACAAAGCCAACAGTCAAAACAGAGATGTGATAAGGATCAGAACAGCAGAGGTTCTTTTAAAGGGGCAGAAAAACTCTGGGAAATAAGAGAGAACAACTACTGTGATCAGGCTATGTATGGAATACAGTGTTATTTTCTTTGAAATTGTTTAAGTGTTGTAAATATTTATGTAAACTGCATTAGAAATTAGCTGTGTGAAATACCAGTGTGGTTTGTGTTTGAGTTTTATTGAGAATTTTAAATTATAACTTAAAATATTTTATAATTTTTAAAGTATATATTTATTTAAGCTTATGTCAGACCTATTTGACATAACACTATAAAGGTTGACAATAAATGTGCTTATGTTTATCTCTGTGTTAAGTCTCTTTCTTAGAAATTTTATTTAGATAAAACTCACTTTCCATAAAACGCACCCTTTAAAAATGTATGTGATTGTACAGCTATCACCATTGTTTAACTCCAGAAGATTTCTATCACCCTGATAAAACATTATTTCTCAGTGTGTCTGTGAGAGTATTTCCAAAGAGATTAGTATTTAATTGGTAGACTAAGAGGATTGCCTTCACCAATGTGGGTGGCCATGATCCAACCCATTGAGGCCCTATGTAGAGCAAAAAGAGTGAATTCACTGTCTTTTTAAGCTGGGACACCCATCTTCTCCTGCCTTCCAACACTGGCACTCTTGGTTCCAGGGCCTTTGGACTTTGAAGTATTCCACTGGCTTTCCTGGTTCTCAGCTCGTAGACAGCAGGCCATGGGACTTCTCAGCTTCCATAATTGTGTGAGACAATTTCTATAAAAAATACCACACCCCCACACCCCAACACACACACGCACACACGCACACACACACACACACACCATTGGTTCTGTTTCTCTGGAGAACTCCAACTAATACATGTCCCTTCACGAGAACTGGCTACTTACACTAGGTCTCCTCTTTAATGCCCTCATAATCCATATGTCTCTTCCTTCCTTTAATTGTAATAAATAATTATAGATTATTACTTGCACAATTGTTTGTTTAATGTCTGTCTTCCCCACTAAACTCTAAGTTCCTTAGGGGTAGGGAAAAATTACCTTGTTCATTGCTGTATTCCCAGAACCTAGCACATTCCTGATACAGAGTGGACATCCAACAAATATTTATTGAATGAATAAATCAATGCATGGGTGAATGAATGCATATTTTGGCTCATAATAAGAAGTAGAATCACTTTTCACAAATGGAATGAGTGGTCTCAGAAGGCTAGACTTTAAAACCTAGTTATGTATCAACTGCCCCCACTACTGCCAGTTTGCAATTTAATATATCTATCTCTCAAAAGTCCAGCAATTATTTCAATCCCCATTTACAGAAATGGGGCTTGTAGGAATCATTGTGAGGGCTAAAGGTCAATAGAAATAAAAGGGAAAAAATTTTTTAAAAAAGGAGGTGTAAAAATAGCACAAGAGGAAGTAATAAGAGAGAAAAAGGAAAGATACTAAAAGAAAAAATATTGAGATGCATAGAGTAAACAGTACAGATGCTACAGAAGGGAAAGATCTAGTTTTGTATTCACTCACCTGGGAGCTTAAAACATCCACACAAGTGCTGGGCATGGTGACTCACGCCTGTAATCCCAGCACTTTGGGAGGTGGAGGCGGGTGGATCACGAGGTCAAGAGATCAAGACCATCCTGGCCAACATGGCGAAACCCCAACTCTACTAAAAATACAAAAATTAGCTGGGCATAGTGGTGCGTGCCTATAGTCCCAGCTACTCAAGAGGCTGAGGCAGAAGAATCGCTTGAGCCTGGGAGGCGGAGTTTGCAGTGAGCAGAGATCACGCCACTGCACTCCAGCCTGGCGACAGAGCGAGACTCTGTCTCAGAAAAAAAAAAAAAAAAAAAAAAAATCCACACAAGCGTACATGCTAATGTGCACACACATACACAGAGAGATATATTCCTAAACCCTAACCCACAGGTAATTTGCCCTGAAGATAATGAAAATTAAGCTTCAGGGCCCATTACTTAGATAAACCTTTAAATTACAAGGGCCTGGGTCCTAGGAATGTGTTTACATGGTAATACATCTTTGTAAGATCTATAAAAGCAAGACGCTTTTACGTTCCTTTTCTCAAAGAGAGACCTCAAATTATATAAACCTTGGACCCTGAAAAACTCCTGAATGTTCCTGAACCAACCCAAAATATTCTGATTCAGTAGGATTGGGAGCGAATGTTGCGTGTATATTTTTTTGTTTTTTTAATGTTACCAAGTGATTTGGATGCACAACCAGGTTTGGAAATTACTGAAAAAGGACTATAGGCTGATTAGTTTAAAGTGTCCCTGATGTCTATGTGGTATTTCTGGAGCTTTGCCACCGTTGATTGGGTCATATACCATATAACACTATGTAGTTTGGGAAAAGTGGACAATGGGTAACATTCATTTGCACAGTGCGGTGATGGTCACATCCCCCCGTGTTGAGTAATTAGCTATCCATCTGTATGTACTGGCTGTAGCAATATAGTTCTTTTCAACAAGAAATAAAGAGAATTCAGACACAACATTCACAGTTGTAAATATCAAGAAAACAGAATAAATTCATTAAACAAAAATCCAATTTTGGAAGCAAGATATATCTGCCAACAGTGTAACTGTCCAATGGGTTCCTTTTGTTTGCTGCCCAGATAAAGGTGATTTATCAAGATGGGAACTGCAATAGAGAAAGAATTTAATTCATGCAGAGCCAGCCAAATGGGAGACCGGGGTTTTGTTATTACTGAAATCAGCCTCCCCCAAAATTCTAAGGCTAAGATTTTTCAAGGATAATTTGGCAGGCAGAGGAATGGTTGCTGCTGATTGGTTGGGATGCAATCATAGCGGTGTGGAAAATGGTCCTTGTGCATGTTAAGTCTGCTTCTGGGTGGAGCCACAGGACTTGTTGATGGGTCCAGGTAGAGCCACCAGTTGAAATGTAAGAATCTGAAAAGACATCTCAAAAGGCCAATCAGATTCTATGATAGTGCTGTTATCTGCAGGAGTAATTGGCGATGTTGCAAATCTTGTGACCTCCGGAATAACAGTTGGTAATTGTTTACATCTACACCTTAGCAGAATTCAGGCTCCTCTCATCCTCCTAACCTTTCATTGGTGGTCTTTTATTAGTTTTACAAAGGCAGTTTAGTTTTGGAGAAGGGCTATTATCATTTAAACTATAAACTAAATTTCTGCCAAAGATAGCTTGGCCCAAGCTCAGGAATTATTAAGGGCAGTCTGGAAGGTAAAGGCAAGATGGGGGTTGATTATTTCAGATCTCTTTCACTGTCATAATTTTCTCACTATTATAATTTTTGTCAAGGCAGTTTTAATAGTGCAGCATAGACTTGAAATAAATAAGGAGAAACCAGGTGGGGCATAGTGGCTCATGCCTATAATCTCAGCACTTTGGGAGGCTGAGGCAGGTGGATCACCTGAGGTTAGGAGTTCGAGACCAGCTTGGCCAACATGGCAAAACCCCTTCTCTAATAAAAATACAAAATCTTAGCCAGGCGTAGTGGCATGCACCTGTAGTCCCAGCTACTCGGGAGGCTGAGACATGAGAATCACTTGAACCAGGGAGATGGAGGCTGCAGTGAGCCGAGATCATACCACTGCACTCCAGCCTGGGCAACAGAGTGAGACCCTGTCTCAAAAAAAAAAAAAAAAAAGAAACAAATAAACAAACAAACAAGTAAGGAGAAACCTGATGGTTAGAAATAAGGAAATGTTTAATGGCCTGGAGGTTCAATGAGGTAGAAGTAAAAAGCATTGCAATGAGATACTTGAGCAATACACTTGCAAGAATAGGAGACAGTGGTTAAAGAGTGAAGTGTTTGAACATGTGACTTTAGAGACGGTACAGTCTTAGGTGTTGTCGAGGTTGAGGCTGTGCCTAGGGAAGGAGGTAGCTCAAGTCTAGTGGAGGAAAATGTCATTGGAGAGCTGAGGATCTGGGCTGTGGTATTGGTTGTGCCATGGATGGTGAAGTCCCGTAAGACTATGAGAAGTGCTTACAGGGAAAGGAAGATCAGGAACTAGGTGCCAAAGCCAATCTTGCATGAGGAGTTGAGAGGTCACTACAATGAGGACAGTGAGATGGTTTATCTCAGTGTCACAAGCTTCAAAGAAGCAGAGTTATTTTATTTCTTCTTTGTGTGTGTGTGTGTGTGTGTTTTACAAGAGGGCAGATGAATAAACATATATAAGAGGCACTCATTATAAAGGAGAAGATTGCCCCTGCCTTCCAACCCTGAAGTATGTGCTGTGTGGAGAATAAATATTGTCATCTTGAGAGATCTGCAGGGGAAGTGATGTCCTAGGGAGGCAGTCGGGCTAATGACAAAGCAAGGAGGTAGGAGAAAAGTTTGAACAGGAAACTGGAAGATTGAGGGGAGTTTGGTGATGGTGAAGACAGGAATCCCAGAGATGGCAAGGAAGCATTTGGGATGAAAATCAAGGTTGGGTCAGGAGAGAACAGTTTAGGTGAACTGTGTAGGAGATAGATGACAGACAGTAAGAGGGGCTTACATGCCAAATGTAAGGAAATGTGAGCCATGGTGATTTGTCCTGATAGGATTGTGGAGGTAGGTGGGCAGTTAGTTAGTTCTCTACTGCACATTCCTTTTACCCATGATAAACTGATAGCAACTGCAGTGAGTGCAGCCTTGGTTGGCAGCAATGAGCAAATAAATCTTGCGGTCATCTGTAATGGAGGCGTAGGCTAGGGAAGGGTTGGGTAGTGGTCCTTTGACCATCCCTTGGACCCAGGGATGCTGCTTTCAATGGCATTCACTGGTACTTCCCTCATGTCTCATGGCAGGCAAACGGTTCTTCAGCACTGGGTCCTCTCTCCAGGGTTTTGTGATGGTTTTATAATGCTCACCAACTCGATCTAGTTCTACCTTTTGAGGGCCACAAAACAGTCTAATAACCACTCTTTTCCTTACCACCCATCAAATGGCTGTTAATATATCTCCATGACCTTTCCTATTCCAAATCTTCTTTTGGCTGAATGTACATTAAATATTTTTTTTTATTGAGGTGAAGTTCACACAACATAAAACAACCATCTTAAAGTGTACAATCCAGTGACGTTTATCGCATTGTATAACCACCATCTCTGATATGGTTTGGATCCGTGTTCTCACTCAAATCTCATGTCAAATTGTAATCCCCAGTGTTGGAGGTGGGGCCTGGTGGGAGGTGATTTGATCATGAGGGTGGGGTTTCTCATGAATGATTTAGTACCATCCTCTTGGTACTGTCTTCATGATAGTGAATGAGTTCTCACAAGATCTGGCTGTTTAAAAGTGACTGTCACCTCCCCACATCCCTCTCTTGCTCCTGCTTTTGCTATGTGATATGCCTGCTCCCCTTTCACCTTCTGCCATGATTGTAAGCTTCCTGAGGCCTTACCAGAAGCTGAGCAGATATCGGCACCATGCTTCCTGTAAAGCTTGCAGAAGTGTAAGCCAATTAAACATCTTTTCTTTATAAATTACCAAGTCTCAGGTAATTCTTTATAACAATGCAAGAATGGCCTAACAAAATGTCTATCTAGTTCCAAAATATTTTTATCAGAAGAAAACTCTGTACCCTATAAGCAGTTAGTCCCCATTTCTTCCTCAGCCCCTGGGAACCTCTAATCTACTTTCTGTCTCTATGGATTTACCTCTTCTATATGTTTCATATAAATGGAATCAGACAACATGTAACCTTTTGTATCTGGCTTCTTTTGGAACAGGAATTAAAAGAAATTAAATAATGTGTAAGCGGAAACTCAGTTGTATGTAACAAAACCCAACTCCCCCTGAGAAAGAGAAAGAGCTGGAGCCCTTTAAAAATTAACTGCCTGTTTTTCTGTGGCTAGTGAGACTTACCTCTCCTCCTTTCCCAGGCATTGTGAAGACCCTGTTTCTCTAGCTGTGCAGCTGCAAGGTCACTAGACAGATAAACTCAAGTCGCAAAACATGTTTCTTCTTGAAAAGTAAGAAATGATGTAATGCATGTCTCAATTAATTGAATAACTGTCTTTATTTCTCACTTCTGTAGTATGCTTCCCCCTGCACAGATACCCCTCTCTCCCACCCCACAAAATGCTTAAAAGGTAACTTAACTCTTTGTTCAGGGCTCAGTCCTTTGGATGTTAATCTGACTTGGCCAGTGCACCTAAATAATAAATATCCTCCTGAACCCCATCGGTCTCTCTGATTTCTTAAAAAATCCCGCAATATTTCCACTACCAAAATTTGTTGACACATTGGATATGACTTGTGAAAAAAAAGAGAGGTGTCTCAGTTAACTCCAAAAGTTTTGGTCTGAGTAACTGGAAGGATGGAGTTATAATCCACTGAGATGGAAAGGCTGTGGGAAGAGCCCTACAGATTGGAGGAGAAATTCAGAAGTTCAGTTTGGGATATGTAAAATATGAGAGGCTTATTGAACAACTAAATTTGTTTGGGGATGGAGATGTTGAGTAGGCATTTGGCTACAGGAGAATGGTTCTGGTTGTACAGAATTTAGAATTCGTTCGCATTTAAATGGTATTCAAAGTCAAGAGTGTGAATTGGACCACCAAGTTAGTGAGGTTAGACACAGAAGAGCAAAGCGGTGATCTCTGGAGTACTCCAAGGGTTTGGAGGTTGGGGAGATGAGGGAGAATCAACACATGATACAGAAGAAATAGCCAGTGAAGTAGGAGGAAAACCAGGAGCTCCCTGGTGAAGTAAGATGAGGATGGAGAATAGGCTGTTTGTGTTAGTGAAGTGTAGGACCTTGGTGAGAGCAGTCTCAGGGAATTGGTGTGGCTGAAAGCCTGATTGGACAAGCTTCAAGACAGAATTACAGCCTGAGCAACATAGTGAGATCCTGTCTCTACAAAAATAAAAAATAAAAAAATTAGTCGAGGGTTGGGGCATGTGCCTGTAGTCTTAGCTACATGGGAGGCTGAGGGAGAAGGGGCACTAGACCCTAGGATTCCTTGAGTGCAATGAGCTATGATCGCACCACTGCACTCTAGCCTGAGTGACAGAGCAGCATTCCCATCTCTTAGAGAAAGAGAGAGAGAGATTGAGAGAATTAGAGGAGAGGACTTAGAAAAAAGTAAGTCTAGATACTTCTTTCAGGGTATAGTGGGAGCACTGGCACTTTCACAAGTCTCCCTGGCTCCACGTTTTTCCCCATTTTACCATGTCTTCCAAGTTCCTGCCATAAGTTCAGCTTAATGATCAAGAGCATGGATTTGGAACTGATTGGCCTCTGTTCAAATTCCCAACCATGTCTCTTACTAGTTATGTGACTAAGGCAACTTTCTTTTTTTAAACTTTTTTTAAATTATACTTTAATTTCTGGGATACATGAGCAGAACGTGCAGGTTTGTTACATAGGTATACATGTGCCATGGTGGTTTGCTGCATTCATCAACCTGTCATCTACATTAGGTATTTCTCCTAATGCTGTTCCTCCCCTAGCCCCACATCCCCTGACATGCCCCAGTGTGTGATGTTCCCCTCCCTGTGTCCATGTGTTCTCATTGTTCAACTCCCACTTATGAGTGAGAATGGGTAATGTTTGGTTTTCTGTTCCAGTGTTAGTTTGCTGAGAATGACGGTTTCCAGCTTCATCCATGTCCCTGCAAAGGACATGAACTCATCCTTTTTTATGGCTGTATAGTATTCCATGATGTATATGTGCCACATCATCTTTATCCAGTTTATCATTGGTGGGCATTTGGGTTGGTTCCAACTCTTTGCTGTTGTGAATAGTGCCTCAATAAACATAAGTGTGCATGTGTCTTTATCGTAGAATGATTTATAATCCTTTGGGTATATACCCAGTAATGGGATTGCTGGGTCAAATGGTTTTTCTAGTTATAGATCCTTGAGAAATCGCCACATTGTCTTCCACAATGATTGAACTAATTTACACTTCCACCAACACTGTAAAAAGCATTCTTATTTCTCCACATCCTCTCCAGCATCTGTTGTTTCCTGACTTTTTAATAATCGCCATTCTAACTGGCATGAGATGGCATCTCATTGTGGTTTTGATTTGCATTTCTCTAATGACCAGTGATGATGAGCTTTTTTTCATATGTTTGTTGACTGCATAAACTTCTTCTTTTGAGAAGCATCTGTTCATATCCTTCACTCACTTTTTGATGGTGTTGTTTGTTTTTTCTTGTAAATTTGTTTAAGTTTCTTGTAGATTTTGGATATTAGCCCTTTGTCAGGTGAATAGATTGCAAAAATTTTCTCCCATTCTGTAGGTTTCCTGTTCACTTTGATGATAGTTTTTTTTTTTCTACTGTGCAGAAGCTCTTTAGTTTAATTAGATCCCATTTGTCAATTTTGGCTTTTGTTGCTGTTGCTTTTGGTGTTTTAGTCATGAAGTCTTTGCCCATACCTACGTCCTGAATGGTATTGCCTAGGTTTTCTCCTAGAATTTTTATGGTTTTAGGTCTTCCATTTAAGTCTTTAATCCATCTTGAGTTAATTTTTATATAAGGTGTAAGGAAGGGATCCAGTTTCAGTTTTCTGCATATGGCTAGCCAGTTTTCCCAACATCATTTATTAAATGGGGAATCCTTTCCCAATTGCTTCTTTTTGTCAGCTTTGTCAAAGATCAGATGGTTGTAGATGTGTGGTGTTATTTCTGATGCCTCTGTTCTGTTCCGTTGGTCCATATATCTGTTTTTGTACCAGCACCATGCTGTTTTGGTTACTATAGCCTTGTAGTATAGTTTGAAGTCAGGTAGCATGATGCCTCCAGCTTTGTTCTTTTTGCTTAGGATTGTCTTGGCTATACAAGCTCTTTTTTGGTTCCATATGAAATTTAAAGTAGTTTTTTTCTAATTCTGTGAAAAAAGTCAGTAGTAGCTTGATGGGGATAGCACTGAATCTATAAATTACCTTGGGCAGTATGGTCATTTTCATGATATTGATTCTTCCTACCCATGAGCATGGAATGTTTTTCCATTCATTTGTGTCCTCTCTTATTTCCTTGAGCAGTGGTTTGTAGTTCTCCTTGAATAGGTCCTTCACATTCCTTGTAAGTTGGATTCCTAGGTATTTTATTCTCTTTGTAGCAATCGTGAATGGGAGTTCACTCATGATTTGGCTCTCTGTTTGTCTATTATTGCTGTATAGGAATTCTTGTGATTTTTTCACATTGATTTTGTAACCTGAGACTTTGCTGAAGTTGCTGATCAGTTTAAGGAGATTTTGGGCTGAGACAATGGGATTTTCTAAATATACAATCATGTCATCTGCAAACAGACACAATTTGACTTCCTCTCTTCTATTTGAATACACTTTATTTCTTTCTCTTGCCTGATTGCCCTGGCCAGAACTTCCAATACTATGTTGAACAGGAGTGGTGAGAGAGGCATACTTGTCTTGTGCCAGTTTTTAAAGGGAACGCTTTCAGTTTTTGCCCATTCAGTATGCTATTGGCTGTGGGTTTGTCATAAATAGCTCTTATTATTTTGAGATACGTTCCATCAATACCTAGTTTATTGAGAGTTTTTAGCATGAAGGGGTGTTGAATTTTATCCAAGGCCTTTTCTGCATCTATTGAGATAATCACGTGGTTTTTGTGATTGGTTCTGTTTACGTAATGGATTCTGTTTATTGATTTGTGTATGTTGAACCAGCCTTGCATTCCAGGGATGAAGCCAACTTGATTGTGGTTGATAAGCTTTTTGATGTGCTGCTGGATTCAGTTTGCCGTATTTTATTGAGTATTTTCGCAATGATGTTCATCAGGGATATTGGCCTGAAATTTTCTTTTTTTGTTGTGTCTCTGCCAGGTTTTAGTATCAGGATGATGCTGGCCTCATAAAATGAGTGAGGGAGGAGTTCCTCTTTTTCTATTCTCTGGAATAGTTTCAGAAGGAATGGTACCAGCACCTCTTTGTACCTCTGGTAGAATTTGGCTGTGAATCCATCTGGTCCTGGGCTTTTTTTAGTTGGTAGGCTATTAATTGCTGCCTTAATTTCAGAACTTGTTATTAGTCTATTCAGGGATTTGACTTCTTCCTGGTTTAGTCTTGGGAGGGTGTATGTGTCCAGGAATTTATCCATTTCTTCTAGATTTTCTAGTTTATTTGTGTAAAGATGTTTATAGTAATCTCTGATGGTAGTTTGTATTTCTACGGGATCAGTGGTAATATCCCCTTTACCATTTTTTATTGTGTCTATTGATTCTTCTTTCTTATTAGTCTAGCTAGTGGTCCATCTATTTTGTTAATCTTTTCAAAATGCAGCTCCTGGATTTATTGATTTTTTGAAGGCTTTTTCGTGTCTCTACCTCCTATGGTTCTGCTCTGATCTTAGTTATTTCTTGTCTTTCGCTAGTTTTTGAATTTGTTTCTTAACCTCTTTGAGACTCTTTAGAATGGGGATAATAATCATATCTATAGCAGAGAGCTGTTATAAAGATTAAACAATATAATAAATATGGGGCGCTGAGCTTCAGAGTTTTTGTTGTTGTTATTATTATTTTCCTAAAAATGCAAATCTGATTTGCATTTGACTCATTGACTCACATCAGTGGGTCTTCCTTTTTATTGTCCTTCATCATATGGGTCCTAATTTCACATGCAGTCTTATAAAACCATCTCATTTTATAGTCCAAGAATATTAAAGGTACTTGTAGGCTCCCAAACCTACACGGTGAAAAGCTAGAGAGCATGGGCTCTCTTCAGGGGTTAACTTCAGGAAGTGCCACTAACAAGGACGTCCACTAGGTGGTGAGCAAGGAAAGACGGAGGTGAAGGAACCGAAACGAGTCAAGTCCACTGCTTAGCTCTACTGAAGTTTTGCAAACATCATAAATATGTCTGAAATGCAGTTTTGATTTGTAGTATTTGCAATTTCCAAGGGCCATTTACCACAGGTAGCCAAGAGTTAGTTTAGCATTTATGAAAAAGATAGGGGAGGGTGGTGGAAAAGAAGGAGGAGGAGGAGAGAGAGAAGGAGGAAGAGGAGAACAAGAACCAAACAAAAACAAGAACAAGAACAAGTAGAAGAAGAGGAGCAGGAGGAAAAAGAAGAGGAAGAAGAACAGCAACAACAATGAGTGAAGGAGGAGGAGGGTAAGGAAAGATGCATAGGAGAATGGAAGGAAGGATAGAAAGGAGGGAAGGAAGAGAGAATCTAGTCACATTACTTTCTGATCAGCAGTTCATTTTTGTCTCAGTGGGAGGCAATAGAGGCCAGTCTAGGAAAGGGGTGGGGAAAGAGGAAAGAGAAGTGCAGGAGGAAGGGGAGGGAAAAGGGGAGGAGGAGGAGGATGTGAGACTGGGTTAGAGAAATGAAAGAAAGCAAGGCTTTCTGTTGACATTCAGTGCAGTCTACCTGCAGCACAGCACACTCCCTTTGGGCAAGGACCTGAGACCCTTGTGCTAAGTCAAGAGGCTCAATGGGCTGCAGAAGAACTAGAGAAGGACCAAGCAAAGCCATGGTGAGCCTTTCAGCCTAAAAGACGTTTAGATGCTCAGATAGAAACTCTTGGGGTTGTAGAGGCAGGTGGCAAGGATAGGAATCACCCCATTTCAATTCTGGTTTTAAATAATATAGAAACTAAACATTTTCTCAGACCCTCAAAAAAAGTGATCCTGAAATCTTTCTTCTCAGATATGCTGATTTCCTCTTCTTGACTTTGTCTCTGGGGAGACTCTTGAAGAAATACTATTGAAATCAGATCTTTTGCAATAAACACTGTGTCTACCTGAGAAGTGATATGCTTTGGAAGATAGAATTTTTTTAAAATTATACTTTAAGTTCTAGGGTACATGTGCACAACATACAGGTTTGTCACACATGTATACATGTGCCATGTTGGTGTGCTGCACCCATTAACTCGTCATTTACATTAAGTATATTTTAAGGTGTGCAGGAAATTTGTGACTTTGTCATTTCAGTTGCTCAAAAAGGTATTTCTTTTTATTAAAAAAAGAAATACTTTTCTTTCCTGGTGTCTGGCTATCTAATTTTTTTTTTTTTTAGGTATTTGAGGCATTGACCCATTATGATCAAGAGTGAGGCTATAACATTAAATATAAGCATCAATAGTTAATTAAGCAGCAACAATACTTTAAAAAATATACATAGTAAATATTAAATAGTTTTATCTAATAGCTCAGCAGAAAAGCAGGTATAAAAATTACCAAACCATAGAAAAAATTCAGGGCAGTACCGATTAGCAACTTGAGACTAAAGCGTAAAAATAAAATAGAACAAAACAAAACTGTGCATCAGTTCTGATGTAAATTTGAAGTAATTTTTCATCTATGTCTGAGAAACCTGTTACCTCAGACAGGGTTAGTAGACATATGTGTTTTATTCTGATTATTAAGAAAGTTGTAAGCACCACCTCAAAGGCTATAAATGTGTGGTTTAAGAGTATACATCTAAATATAATTTTGTATTTCATTTGCAGATATTTCCATGGAAATGTCAGAGCACCCAGAGGGACTTATGGAACATCTTCAAGTTGTGGGGGTGGACAATGCTCTGTTGTGGTATGTTATGATATTTATATATCGCTAAGTCTATTTTACTTATATTCATTTTTCTTAAATATCCACTAGTTATACATAGTCTAAGGGAAAATTATTTCACAGAGCTGTTAATTCTATCCCTTCTGTAAACATCTCTTTTCTTCTTACCTTTAGTTCTTCCCCAGAAACTCCTGAACACTATTTTTAACCTATAATAGCCCATGCTGTAGAGTTCAAATCCCAATAACCCCACAAAATCCCTCAATTATAAAGGAATAATGTTAATTAAGAAATCTCTGTTAAGGTACTTACAATCTGTACCAAATATTTAGCACCTCATTTTCTATTTTTTATTCATAGTTCAGTGTACATTAATGTCATTTCTACAATTACAATACGAGCTTATTAAGGGACGGGGGTTTATCATTTTTTGGTCCTTCTCCCATTGTTGTGACAAATTTTATATCTGATTCTTGAAGACTCTCCAGCAATAGCTTTGAACTTGGTTTTTCATTTCCTAAGTAAACTAATGTCTTCTTTCTCCCTAGCCTGGATTTTCAGCTCTAGCCAAGCAAACATGCTAACTCTCCCGTTCACACATTCCTTATGCCATGTCTGCACTGTGTCACATAGAAACTTAGTGCTCTTTTCATACAACAGGTATTTTCTGAGTCCCTACAATGTGTGAAATTTATGCTAGGCACTAAGGATACAGCAGTGGACACAACAGTTTTTTCCCTCTTAGAACTTGCATTCTAGTGGAATGCTCATTCAAAACTCTGTTCAAAATGTTTATTTTATGATGCTCTTTACCATCAATTATATCTGTTTCTTTACTGTATTAAATAGTGATTCATGTAGATCATACCATGCTTAGAATGCCATATATTATTATGAAGTCATTGTGTAATTATGTGTTTAATTAGATATCTTCAAAGCCCTCATATTTGATGGGTCCATATGTTTATTAAACATCATCAGTTGAGTCTCTTTGTGTATAGAACATGATCTAATGAATTTCATAATCCTATACCATTTGGCTTTGTAAATTGTTCTTTTTAAAAATTATACAGTTAGATATATAAGAGTTGAGTGGTATATTGGGCTTTTCCAGAAGCAGTTCTTCCTATGGTAAAATAAAATGTTTTTTATGTAAAAGAGGTTACTTAAAAGTATGTCACTGTTCTTCCTGTCCTTATTATGCTTCTCCCATAGGTACATATGTGTTGGCCTTCAAGAAATGATTCCAGGATTAAAAAGTATACGTAAATTGTATAGTTATATGATATTACACGGTAATTAGTTGTAAATCATTAACAGCTACAAAGAAAAAGAAATATGAATGTCTAAAATATGTTGGTTAAATTTCACCTGAAATAATTTTGAGAAAAAAATTAATAAGAAAATAAACCTAGAAAACCACTAAATTTGTTTCAAATAGAACCTTAGATAAAAGCATCTTATATTCAAGCCAGAAGGTCTAGGTTCTACTTCAAATCTGCAAACAACTATTCTGTGATCCTGAGATGGTCACATACACTCTTAGGCTCTGTTTCCTCATCTCTAAGTGTCTAGCTCAGCCTGGAGTAGTGCTAGGTTCTTTTTAGCTGTAACATTATGTAAGTCTGCATAGGTCACACTGATGTCTTGCAGATTTCCTGGCACATCATGGAACCGACTGCTGGACTTACCATTATTCTGAAAAACCCATGAACTGGCAAAGGGCTAGAAGATTCTGCCGAGACAATTACACAGATTTAGTTGCCATACAAAACAAGGCGGAAATTGAGTATCTGGAGAAGACTCTGCCTTTCAGTCGTTCTTACTACTGGATAGGAATCCGGAAGATAGGAGGAATATGGACGTGGGTGGGAACCAACAAATCTCTTACTGAAGAAGCAGAGAACTGGGGAGATGGTGAGCCCAACAACAAGAAGAACAAGGAGGACTGCGTGGAGATCTATATCAAGAGAAACAAAGATGCAGGCAAATGGAACGATGACGCCTGCCACAAACTAAAGGCAGCCCTCTGTTACACAGGTAGGGAGTGACAAGACGGCTATGCTGCCTCAGACTCAGGAAGGGCCACGGTTAAGAGAATACTCAGATTTACCCCATGGAAAGGTGGGGGGATGAGAACAGCTTCTGGTTCATTCTAAAATACATCTAGCCCTCTATATAATCTTGCATCGTGTCACTCCTAAGAATTTTTGGTGTGTAAGATTTGTCCCTGTGCACAAAAGCTATACCCCTAAATCAAGTTACATCAAAATGATAGATCTACGTAGGAAGTACAGAGGAAGAGCTAGACAATCAGTGCCTTTGATAATAAGGCAGGGGAGGAGAAGCTGACAGCTGGGGCCAGTTGGAAACTTAGGCTCACATCACCTCAGTTTTCACATTGTGAAGTAGAGAGTGTGGTGCTGCGTGCTTCCTTCTTGGTCTAACCTTATATAATTTTATATAAAAATTGCACTATCTTTGGTGTATGAATATTTCTGTAAAATCTTCTACAATTCCAAAACAGCCAGCATTTTCCAAGTGATGTTTTAATAATGAACCATAGTTAATTTGGTCTCTTATAAATTGGACTCTACCGTTTTAGCAAATTTGGACTTTTTAATCTTTGATTTCTATAAAGAAAGGGATTGCCAAGAAATAATTGCATGCAGAAATGATTGAGGTCAGGTCATCATTTAACCTTCTCACTCATTAAAAACAAGTAATTTCAAGAGTTTCAAGGTATGCCACTAAGTTTCCTATAAGTGTTACAGAATATTAGTATTGGTAATTTCATTCCAAAAGCAAATAAATGCCTATGACTATATGCTTAGTGTATTTTATACGTAAAAATTTTAGCATATGATTTTTATGCTATGAATTTACAAATAAACCTTTCCTGATTATTTAAATCATCTCAGACAAAAGGTTATCTATGTCTAAAGAAATGACTTTGAGTACTAAAATGTAATCACATTAAAATATTTTTTTTCTGACCTCCTTAAAGCTTCTTGCCAGCCCTGGTCATGCAGTGGCCATGGAGAATGTGTAGAAATCATCAATAATTACACCTGCAACTGTGATGTGGGGTACTATGGGCCCCAGTGTCAGTTTGGTAAGTCTCTTTCCTTTCTTTGCTTCTTCTTAGGTAAAGTCACAGGAATCATTATAGCTTATCATGAAGCTGGTTGGAACAAAATGATACTAGCCACTCTGAGAAATGGGAAGTTTTGATCAGAAAGCTCTGCTTTCACAATATTGTTACCTTTCCGTAAAGATTTCATAAGTCAGCATGAAGTTTCGACTCACTTCTCAACAAGTCTTTTTGAGTACCACAAGAAGCACAGTGTTGGGATAAAAGCTGTCAGGGTTACCATAAGGAATTAGCATGGTAGATTCCCGCTCTCAAGAAGCTCACGATCTAATGAGCTTGTTAGATTAATTAGAACTCTAAGGTCTGGAAGAAACTATGCCATTTATCATTAGGAGGCTGAGTTACCCAGAAAGTATCTTGCTTTTTCCTTCTAGTAGTTCCTTTCCTTCTTGCAGTTCTCCACACTTAACACATGTGCTCTGTAGCACACTGACTTTGCTGGTGGCCTTCTCTCTCATTTTGCACATGGCCAAAAAACATGTCATCTTTAAGACATTGTTCAAAGACAGTTTCTTCTAGGAAGCTTTCTTAGTTCTGATAGCTCCACATATTTCTTCCTCATTTCTCCCACTTATGTTGAAGTCATCTGTTCACTTGTCCGTCTCCTCTGGTACTGAAAACTTCTTGAGATCAGTAAGTGTCCTATTTATCATTGCATCTTTGGGATCCACAAAATGCCTGTATATATGAGGCACTTGCTTGTGAGCCTGAATTGAATTGGACAATTTAATTTTTTAAAAAAGCAATGTTTGTAAACAATAAAGAATTAAAACCAAAATACATTTAAATGTCAACCAACTGAAATAGATCTATAGATCTAACTCATTTCACTTGATCCCTGGGCCATGACTCCTTCCTAATACTTTACCCTCACCCCATTTTTGAACTCTATTTTTTAACCCTTATGTTATTGGTATGCCTATTTTACTCATTTTTAATTATTGGTATGCCTATTTCACTCATTTTTAACATTTTACTTTTCTTTGTCTTGGTTTCTCTCATATCACTCTTTTCTCATTCTTTCTACCTGTGATCATTTCTCCTGAGATCCTTCATGAGCACTTATCCAGGACCATAAACTACTATAATTTCTCAGCTTTTGTCTTTTGTATATTGCTCTTCTGACTCTAATCTACATGTATCCTTTGGTCAAACTTACTGACTTTTGCGGACTCACAAATCTATGTGATCTTTGGACTGATAAGCCTATCTCCAGCTCTGAACTCAAATATGCTAAGGATGTCCTTTGGGATGTTTAAAAGACTATAAAACCAATTGTTCCCAGTCAGCTTTTCTCTTCGTATTTCTTATCTCAGTATGTGGAATCACCATTTACATGGGCACCCTGGTATGAGACTCTCTTAACTCCCCCAACATTTATGCAGGGTAACATTCTACCAATTTTTACAACTTAGTGTTTTTCTAATTTGTCTTCCACTTGTCAACTCTACTACCATTGCCGTCATTATCTTTCTTCTAGATTCTTGCAATAGTTTATTAGATGAGTTCCACAATTTTAAATTAGCTCCCCTCAAATACATTATTCATACTACAGGGAGACTGATCAATTAAAAGCAATTAAAACACATCACACATACATGACAATCCACCCATTAATTTCTACCTACCATTTTGTCCTACAGGGTGAAATCTAAGCTCTTCAAGCCCCAGAGTAATGCTTGATATATAATAGATACTCTTTAAATCAATGAAAAAAGATAACATTTTCTCTTAGTTCCCATGTTTCTCCCTAATCTCATCTCATATAGTTTCCAAATACAAAAATTCTTCTGATTCCTTGAGTCCATTCTTCCTTGAAGTCTCTAGAGCAAGGTAGCAATAATGGCTTAAATTTGACAGATGAGGAATAAGACATGAAAGTTGTACTGTTTACTAAATGGCATGGCAGGGTCTAAAATGTGAAAACTTTGATTTCCAAGTCTTAAATTTACCTATTGTACCACCAATCAGAACAGGGAAATAGATACAGTTTCTGGAGAGGGTTGTCAAAATCAAAAGAGTTAAAATTCTGGAACTGAGCTAGAATAGAAGACAGAATTGAGGTCAAAATGCTTCCTAGACTTTTATATTCTCTCCTTGCAAAGAAGGCTTATTATGGAGACCCACTCTTTCTCTGAACATCTTGCTCCCAATACTCTAGTAGACTCAGGGGCTCTGATGTGATAGTTATTTCCCGACTAAGCTGGTCATTCCCAGTTACACCTATTTGGCTTTAAGGATTCTCACTACAGATAATGCTGAAGATAATAATATGAAGACTAGCTAATGTTTACTTAGAATTTCTGATGAGTCAGGCTTTGTTCTAAGGTCCTTGACTTATGCTAATTGAATTACATTTAGTTTCCATATCAATTTGATAAAGATAACACAATTTCATTATTCCTCTTATATAGATGAAGAAACTGAAGTTGGAGGGTTCAAGTAACCTTGTTTAAAGGCACATGGTTATCAAGTGGCAGGGCTAGGATTCAAATCCAGGCGTCAGTTCCTCTTAACTCTTCCCCATACTGTTTCTTTCCCTATTGAAGTGATTCAGTGTGAGCCTTTGGAGGCCCCAGAGCTGGGTACCATGGACTGTACTCACCCTTTGGGAAACTTCAGCTTCAGCTCACAGTGTGCCTTCAGCTGCTCTGAAGGAACAAACTTAACTGGGATTGAAGAAACCACCTGTGGACCATTTGGAAACTGGTCATCTCCAGAACCAACCTGTCAAGGTGAGTAACTTCAGACTAGAGGTTTTGTCATGCAATCCTGGGCTTACAGTCAGAACATTCAGTAGAAGTTTGCTGAGAAGTCAAACTTAGGAGCCTAATTTAACCTAACTTTGTTTAACCTACTGTGATGTTTCTCAAAGGACTTATTCTAACTAAATTTTTTTGAAAAACCTCCCAAACAAAAAGTAAAAACCAAATACCCCTGAAGCCATCTCCCAGTGTGTAACATGACTTATAGCAATACAGCATGGTTATACTGTGTTTTTTATTTTTCTCATTGCCATTGCATAAATAATGTCTTGTTGAACCTCAGTTACATTTTGGTTCTTCTCCTCTCAATAACACCTGTTTTATGTGGTGTCCTACTTAATACCAACCAGTTTCCTTCCCAGGGTAGTGGAGGTCTTTCTTGGTTGTTTTATTTGGCTTATTCTTAAAATCACTTTTACTTTTCCTCATGCATAAACTTTTAGGAGAATAACAACTGAAAAACAAAAACACAATCTCTTGATCTTTTCAAGTTTGAAATAAGGTAGGTTTTTTTTTTTTTTTCATTTTTAACTGCCAACCTTATCTCCATATGGGAGAAAACCAATGTCATCTGAACTTACGAAGTTTTGGTTAACTTTTCTACAAGTATGCTCCTGATGCATTAGTTTAAGTAGTTTAATTCTTAGAAGTGCTATCAAAATCCCTTATTGAAATTATAAAACTGTCAACCCACCTACTGGAATTTACGGAAGTTGGACTTGCTTCAGTGAATTGGGATGTTTTTCAAAATGCTTGGGTAGATATCAGAACAGATGAAACGGCAGAGATTCTCTGAGAATATCCCATAAGAGCCCTTGATGCAGAGGCCATATGGCATGGTACTTCCAGCAGAAGGGGAGGGTCACCTTAGCTAGGGCAGCAGCCTGGAGTAGCTACTCCTCTCCCCACAGCTTTCAATGCTTCCTTGCCTTCATCTCTCATTCACCACCCACCATCATTCTCAAGAAAATAAAGCCTGGAAGCAATATCACAAGTAATGTAGTCAGGCAGCTTTGGCTAAAAATCCTTTGCTCAAGGGAGGGTCTCTACTCAGAAATACTGTTTTGTCTTTTTTTTTTTTTTCTTTTTCATTGAAGTGATTCAGTGTGAGCCTCTATCAGCACCAGATTTGGGGATCATGAACTGTAGCCATCCCCTGGCCAGCTTCAGCTTTACCTCTGCATGTACCTTCATCTGCTCAGAAGGAACTGAGTTAATTGGGAAGAAGAAAACCATTTGTGAATCATCTGGAATCTGGTCAAATCCTAGTCCAATATGTCAAAGTGAGTAAGTTTGTCCTGGAAAACTGAAATCTTAACGATGGAGCTGATGGATGAGCAGATATGAGGAAAGACATACATAAACATTTACATGTTGTTTTGCTAAGAATATGTGGCCTAGAAATAAATTTGTATGCTTAACTCACTGTAAAATCTTTGGCTGGTCTTTCCTCCTCCTTTAATGACAATCATTTCCTTTTTTTGTTCTCACCTCTTGCCATCTTAACTCCTAAAATCTGAACTCACTGATTTACTTTTTACCCATTCTTCTATTCCACTACAATCTAACATCTCTGTTAGCCCATTGAAATGCCTGTAAAAGGTCACTAATGACCACCTACTTCCCCAAATAATGGATACTCCTGAATCATCACTAAGCTAATGCCTCCAAAATCTATCTGTATATGAGAAGAATCATGTCTTGTTCATCTTTGTATACCCTCCACCTGACACAGTGCCTGGCAATAGGTGCTAAAGCAAATGCATGTTAAGCTAGCATGTGAAAGAATAGCTACCTGTGTCTGCTCCTGAGACTATCTGCATGGATGACAAAAGTCTTTAAATGGTAGGATCTACAGAAGCTGTCAGAAATGCTGATCTCTGTGTGCTGCGTGCCCAGGGCCAGGGAGTAGAGTGGATGAGCAGAGAGAGGCAGGGAGGCCTTTAGCAGAGGACTGTGTATTAGGCCTATCAGAGACATTTCCCTTTAAGGCCTAGCTAGTGTTCATTTCCTCCTCATCTTCATCAAGCCAACAGGTACCTTCTGTCTGGAGCTCCTGGGAACTTGAGCCTTCTCTCAATCATATATTTGGGTGTGGGGATCAAATCACCTTGAAAAGGTTCATCAAAGTAATGGGAAGAACTAAGGATAGAATCAGACCCTCTGCCAATATGTAAAAAAGTAGATTCCTTCAAATGTTAGTATCAGGAGACAGATTTTTTTTTATACCAGTATTTTCAAATAGAGGCTCCCAAATGAACTTAGTTTACACTTACAAGAGTATCTCTAAACATGCCCTTTTACTTATTCGTGAAGGAAGTAGAGGGAAGTGGTAACTACTGCATTGGAAAGAAATTAGTGCAGGTCCTTGGCATGTAAAAATCAAGTGCTTATTTTTGCACAACTGCTTTAAAGTAAAAGCATTAATGATTTCCTTTGACTGGTGAATTATCCAGTTCAGATCATTGGCTTTTATTTTTCCTGAAGTTGTATTAGGCTTTTAGCTCTTCTCTGTGTTTCAGAGTTCCAGTCATTGAACAAGTCCATGGAGCTAAATACAACGATGACCATTCTTGCCAACATTTTTAGGTGCATTTTCAGGAACTCTATGAACCACAAATCTGGGCATTGAGATTCTGTAGGCATTAGACTAGCAAGGCTGGTCCAGTCTTTGCCTATGCTGTAGACTCATCAGGGGCCTTCCCATGCCAGTTTCCTCATCTGTCAAATGGCATCAAATGGGCTACTACTGGGAGATGTAAGGAGGAAAAAAGTCAAATATCATGAGATAGACTAAGGAAATAATGCTGGTGGTCTCATGCTATGTGCCTTACTGATTTCTCTTTCAGAATTGGACAAAAGTTTCTCAATGATTAAGGAGGGTGATTATAACCCCCTCTTCATTCCAGTGGCAGTCATGGTTACTGCATTCTCTGGGTTGGCATTTATCATTTGGCTGGCAAGGAGATTAAAAAAAGGTATGTGAGTTTAACTTCACATGAAAAGAACACAACTTTAAAGTGAAAAAGAAAAAAAAAAGAAACCCACAGGAAATTAAATGTGATAGATTCAACACAAGCAGGATGCCAAGCTTTACATTCTAGAGCCATCAGTCCCTGGAGACATGTAAATCAGCCCAGGACACACCTTCATTAAAACAGGTTGGCTGATTTTCGCTTTTCATCTGATAAACTTTTAAAAATGTCTATTACCTTCAAGGCAGCTTGCTAGGCTGATAACAACTAAGTGAGATATTCTAATGGTTCTTTGCTCTTATGTAATTCTTTAATACTTTTTTTTTTTTGAGACAGAGCCTCACTCTGTCACCAGGCTAGAGTGCAGTGGTGCAATTTCAGCTCACTGCAACCTCCGCCTTCTGGGTTCAAGCTATTCTCCCACCTCAGCCTCCCAAGTAGCTGGGACTACAGGAGCGTGCCACCATGCCCAGCTAATTTTTTGTATTTTTAGTAGACACGGGGTTTCACTGTGTTAGCCAGAGTGGTCTCGATCTCCTGACCTCGTGATCTGCCTGCCTTGGCCTCCCAAAGGGCTTGGATTACAGGTGTGAGCCACCACGCCTGGCCTGCTCTTAATTAATTCTGAAAAAATGACACACTATCTCTGTCCTCTAAGAGCCTACATGCCTTGGATTTCAATGCTACAATTCCACTAGGAAGTGGGTCTAATGTCCACTAAGGTTTCAAGGCACTGCTCCCAAATACCTGACCTCTTCAAGAGTCACCTGGTTCCCAACACATGGGCATTGCATTAACCCTGGGAGAAATTCCCATGTATTCTCCCAAGTATCTATTCACCAAGGCCACAGCTCTAACCAAATGCACCATATATGCTTTCCAACCATCCGTCACTGGAGAGGAAAAGAGAAGGAGGACTGCCTTGAGAAGTTAACATCTGCTGCCCAGATTATCACTCCCTTTACCTTAAGGCATGAGTGTGTCTCAGCTTTAAAGTGTGAGCAACCCACTAGCCTGCAGCAGGCCTTGGGTGTATGGTGCCACATTTGGCCAAACTCACCTGGAAGAACCATTCAAGGCTGTAACATTCATGGACATTGGGCAGCTTTTAAGATATACCTGTTTTGGCCAGGTGTGGTGGCTCATGCCTGTAATCCCAGCACTTTGGGAGGCCGAGGCGGGCGGATCATGAGCTCAGCAGTTCAAGACCAGCCTGGCCAACATGGTGAAACCCTGTCTCTACTAAAAATACAAAAATTAGCCAGGCGTGGTGGCGGGCACCTGTAATCCCAGCTACTCGGGAGGCTGAGACAGAAGAATCACTTGAACCCGGGAGGCGGAGGTTGCAGTGAGCTGAGACCGCACCATTGCACTCCAGCCTGGTGACAGAGTGAGACTCTGTCTCAAAAAAAAAAAAAAAAAAGATATACCTGTTTCAAGTTCAGGGATGATCTCGAAACAATTGCTAACCAACTGCTCTGTGTTGCCTTTCTGTGGGCTCAGTTGATTGTCATTTTAATTTTCCTTCCATCAAATTAGTTAGTACGTATTCTGTTCACTGAATATGGTATGTAAAGGTTGCCCCCTGTCCATTTACACTGGCAATTACAAAAATATTATTTATCAGTCCCTAATTGCGTGCCACTCTGATCTTATCTTTCATTTAAATTTGAGAATAGTGGGCGCTAGGTAAGTTTTCTAACCAATCCAGAAAGACAAAGTGTGTGAGGGGGGTGGGGATTGTTGATATGCAAGAACTTCATTAGCTATGTATAACCTGAGAGCACTGAGCAGTTAAAATGTCTCTGCCCTTGCTATTAGAAATTCTGTGCTGATTGAATCTCACTATCTTATAGTATTATACAGTACTAAGTACTATACAGTACTAAGTATAAGTATCAAGTACTGCATTAAGGCAAAAGAAGAATGACAGTTTTCTCCAACCACTGATTATTCTTTCCATTGAGACTTCAAATCTTGACCCCGGTTGTCCTGTCTTTCTTCCTACCTTGGGCGATGATGGCAGAACTGACGGATAGAGAACAGGGTGGGTTATTACACACTGCCCCCTGGGATAAGGTGGCTATTGTCTAAATAATTTTAAGGACTTTGGGGCTGTAAGTCACCTTAATAAGGAAGCTATTTATTTCCGAATTCTAAAATCTTTTAATAAGTGTTTGTAGAATCAAAAGAATAGAATCAAACTCATTTGCATGTAGTGAGGGGTTAGCTGGCTAAGGCTGTTTTATAAGCAAGGGTAAAAAAATTAGAGGGGTTGTTTTTAAATTTTTTACCTTGGAGTCATTTCTGTACAAGATCTCAAACCGATAACTTGAAAACTGCTGTGGGAATCAGTGTGGGGCAAACAGGAAACAGATAACGGGCAGTTAGGCTAGTTACAGTTATGCCAACAAAGAAAACAGAAGCCCCAAAAGATCACTGGCTTGGTAGGAAGCTTAGGGTATCTTTAAGATAACATTAAATAGTCTTCATCTGTGGGCCAGGCACCTTGGCTGTCACCTCTAATCCCAGCACTTTTGGAGGCTGAGGCAGGAGGATTACTTGAGCCCACGAGTTCAAGACCAGCCTGGGCAACATGGCGAAACCACATCTCTACAAAAATACAAAAAATTAGTCAGGCATGGTAGCATGCACATGTAGTCCCAGCTACCCAGGAGACTGAGGTGGGAGGATCACTTGAACCCAGGAGGTCAAGGCTGCAGTAAGCCATGACAGCACCACTGCACTCCACAACAGAGTGAGGCCCTGTCTCAAAAAAAAAAAAAAAAAAAGTCTTCATTTATAAAACAACATCTTCCATTTTCACCAACTTACAAATGATTCTGCTTTCCAAAGATTTTAGTTGTAGGTTGGTCCTTTAAAACATGAAGAGTATTTTTCCTATGGAGGCAATGGTAGAAATAATGGCTACATTCCCAGGCTAAATCTAAGACAAAATATAGTTAATGGCATTTACAAGGATAAAAGTAAAAAGTCATAAATCTCTATGTGTGTGTTTAGGTGTGTGTGTGTGTCTATGTGTGTGTGTATATGTATATATATACACAGAGAGAGAGAGAGAGAGAGAGAGAATTTATAGGCTTTTTGGGTTCTAATAGTTAGAAAAAGGGCACAGGTAACTATTTAGAGCATGGTAGCCAATGAAGTGACTAGAGCCTTCACCCCTATTCTTCTGTCCTCAGATGAATCTTCTGACTCTAGCACTTTGTCCCCTGCCCTAGTAGTCTTAGTATGGAGACTTTCCCTCCTTTCTTTTAGGAAAGGAATAAGGAACAGTTCCAGAAACATGTGTCCTTGTGCATGGGCTCATCTAGACACATTTTGTGCACCAGGCATTATCATTTTCTGATTAGTCACTACCATTGGCCCTGTTTGGTAAATAAGGAAACCAGGGCAATGATGTTTTAGGCCAAATCTCAAAAATACCATATCAGCAGGACCCAGAGTCAGAGATTAGACTCCAGTCCAGATACATCTTCTAAAATCACTGGTCTTCAGATTTGTGAACTGGTTTTTTCCTCGGTTGGAAGAATTTCCCACCAGAACCAACACACAGGGTTAGACCAGGGCATGAAACTGAACACATGCCCCCTTAGTTCCTTTTTCTTCAAAATGAAACTCTCTCAGTAGGAACAGATTCTTACTCATCTATTGCTGTTAGGTTCATCATCCCTAAAAAAAATATTTATGTGAAGCTAACCAGAATCTGAAATTAATTCAGATTTGATTCCCCCTGCTCAAGTGCACTTGGTCATCAGCAGGCTGAATTTTAGAAGAAAAGATTTCAAATAGTAGTCTTTAATACTTTAAAGGATTAAAACAGTAATGCAACACTGTCTACGTGCTAGGACCTGAACTAAATACTTGGAAATATTTTATTTTATCAACCCAATGAGGATGATACAATTATTATGCCTCTTTAACAGATGAAGAAATTGTAGTTTAGAAAAGAAAGTAGCTGTTCAAATACACACTACACTACAGGTGGCAAAATAGGGCTTTCACCTGGGTAGGATGATTCTAGAATGCCACTTTACAGCCACTGAAATATATTGCCTCCCAAATGATTCTTTCTGCTCAAAGAGTTTTTTTTAAGTTATCTACTTATTTATATTCTGCTTTTTTCAAAAAGAATGTGAGAACAGTACAAAATGTGTTCAGTATAGCAAATTAAAATTAATTAAAAAGTAAGAAAAAGAAGCCAATTTGGGCAACCCACTCGGGTCCCCTTCCACGCTGTGGAAGCTTTGTTGTTTCGCTCTTCGCAATAATAAATGAGCTTGATGTTTTATTGAGTACAAAAAAAAAAAAAAGAAAGCCAAATTTAAACTTAGGGTACAAAAATCATTTGGAACCAAGGTTGAAGTTATGGCACAAAAATGTATGTCACAAAGTTTTATATACTTGGTAGGAGAGGGTCTCAGATCTAGCTCTGAGTTTCCTTACAGCCAGTCAAAGGAGAACCATGTGATATTCCTTGTGTTTGTAAGATAAAAACACATTAGTTACTCAGATGAGGCTGCACAATTCCTACCAACAAGACCAAAGTGAAATTCTCTTGTGGATTCTCATAGAGATGATGCTGTGAGCTGTAATGGCACATAGTTTTACAGTATTAGCAGCTGTCCCTCAAGGGAAGAATCTGCAGGTAGGATGAGATGGCAGATTGGGAAGGGATAAACACTTGAATGGACATATTGGGTCTTGCCACCAGGCAATTTAGCAATTCTGTCTTCTTGAGTAGCACGGAGAATGGAATGGAACCTCAGGAGGCATCTGCATCAACATGTCTGTTCTGTATTAGTGTCTACCACTGTTTATTAAGCCAGTTCCTCAAATCTCCTTTGACACAGATAGGGTCCACCTAACAAATACCTAATATACTTCAAAAGACAGTTTTGAGAGTGGGAGTCTTCCTTCTCCCTTACTTGAAAAACTTTAAATTGTCTAATTTTTGCTAATGCCTTTTCTCTATTTTCTATTTTCAGGCAAGAAATCCAAGAGAAGGTAAGTTTTATTAGTGGCGAGGAGTTTCCACATCTGCTGATTCATTCTCTACTTCCTTAAGTTACTTCCTGCTCTAGCTAGACACATTAACCCCATAGTAGTTTATTTACCTGGGGTCCTCATCCAAATGACCAGATAAGGTGATAAATCTACTAGCTTCCTTTCAGAGCTGTGCTTTTTGGTGCTAGTGGAGCTGAATGAATGAATGAACGAACAAGTAATCCCTATTAGAAAAGGGCAGTTTATGTAAAGGGAGATTTTTCTGATTACCTCAGAATTTTTTCTGAGGGTTAAAAACATTGTGGTGTGTTCTTCTTGTTCTTAAATATATTATTTAAGAAATATTCAATTGAACAAGCACTTATTGAGAAATGAATAAATGCTTATTCAATTGACTATTTGCATTCAATTGCTCTAACAGGCATTGTCCTTCAGAAATGTGGGAAAGATAGGGAGCATGAATTCTACCTACAGCTTCCCCAAGGAGGCAAGTATTTTTCAGTTTGGTCTTGAAGCTCAAATTTCTTCTACTGGAGAAATAGCACAGTGGGAGGAGATGCAGACATGTGAAAGTTGATGGCCCACCTGGCAGAAATGAAGATGGAAAAATATTTCTCAGTATCTAGGGTTTAGTGACTTGCTCTGGAATTTTAGGAAGGAGAGTTTAAGTAAAATAAACTATGAAAGGAGGACTTTGGTGACATATTCAGTACCCAGCTGGACAACTGAGCTTCCTTTAAAATGCTAGAAATGAAGTGAGATGATTTCTGAAGGGATTGGATGCTGGTTTGGGCAACCATCCTACCAATCACAAACTTAGTATGGGCCATTGCTTAGAATGCAAAGGAAAAAGTGGGGAAAAATGAGGCACCAGAAGCCAGATCATAAACTAATGTATAAGCCATGTGATATGGGCTTTATCTTGAGGTCTTTTGGGATATCACTAAAGGGGTTTAAACAGTGAGTAGCCTTACCTCTGGCATCTTATAAGGTCACCCTGCAGAGCAGTATGGCAAGTGTGGGAGACAGGTGAGCCTGGATTCAAAGAGACTTGTTTTGGAGGCATTTGCAGTTATTAGATTAAAACCGATGGCGCCTGTCTAGGGAACTAGTAGTAAGAATGGGTTCATGAAATAAGAGGAGGTGATATTAACTGAATGTGTCTGTTAATTGGCTAAAAGTGAGAGAGAAGAATCAAATTATCATCTTTCTCACCTGGAAACTGGCGGATGGTAGTCCTGTTTACTTCTGAGAAGGGAACATAAAAGAATGAGAGGTTTTGGAGGTAAAGATCATGGGTTCAGTTTTGTACTGAGCTTTGGGTGTATGCACATCATTCACTGTGGCTCATTGGACCTATCCAAAGCACAGAGGCTATGGCAGGAGAAGTGGATTTGGGTCCCTCACATTTCAGGAGGTAACTGCCATCTCAGGAGTGGGTACTATCATCCAGGGAGGGTGTGAGTGCTTTAAGAATGGAAGAGGACCTGGGAGAGAGTATGGGAGCCAGAGGAACATCATTATCTAATAAGTCACCTAAGGGAAAGAGAAATGAAAAGATGTTGCCAGGCAGGGAGAAGGAAGAGGAGAAAGAGTGTGGGGTAATGAATGCCAAGGAAACAAAGAAAGGGGAACGGTTTCAAACATTGCCAAGAGAACCAGTAAGTATCCCCTGGATGCAACAAGGGTGTCAGTGGGGAGACTATTTGCAGTGCAGACATCAAGACAGAGGTCAGACGGCCAAGCATTGAGCATTACTGAGGATGAGAAAGTAGAGACAGAACAAGCAGTCATCTCTTTTAAAATGTTTGGCTGTGAAGGAGAAGTGGGGCAGGGGTAACTGGATGAGGATGTACGATCAGTGGAGGTTCTTTTTATTCTTTTTAATTACTCTGTCTTCTCTTTACTAGTGCAAATGGAGTCTAGTGAGGAAAGGCTTCTTTCTCTGGGCTGGTCTCCCTATGTCTGTGGCAGGAAACCCACAGATGTGAAGATTTCTTTCAAACTCGCACCTACTGAGTGAAAGTATTTTCTGGCACAATCTACCCAGAGCTGTTTTCTGGCTACCGGAACCACCTGTTTTAATTGCCACTAGATGGAAGCAGATCAACTAGATTTTTTTTTTTTAAGATGTCCTTGAGGCACAGGAGGAGAGACTGGCTGGAAGAATATTAGCAAAAAGCTAATTACCATGCTAAGCAAATTGCTATATTAAGTTTAATGGTTCACTGATTTTTTATAATCAGTCAATTAATAGTTGTTTATTGAACATTTTTGTGTTGGAAACTGCTAAGCTTTCTTGAGACAGCAAGAGGAGTCAGCCTGGTCCCTGATTTCAGGAAAATTATTACCTAGCTGGGGAGTTAAGACAGGAATATAGAAAGAAAAAAATCAGAAAAATACAAGGCAGAGCATGGTAATGGCCAATGGGTGCTATATTTAAGAAGGAAAAGGTCATTTGGCTTGGTGGTTATAGAAAATGTTATAAAGAAGGTTGCTTATGAAGAATAGATAGGATTTAGGTATATGGAGAAAAGCAGGAAAGGAAGGCAGTCTGTAGGAAGGAAATTGTGTAAGCAGTGGTATGGTAGTGAGACTATGAAAGCATTTTTCAGGGGCCACTGAGCAGAACTTTCTTGAGCCCATGGCTTATTGAGGAGTTGTGGAGTTGAAGTTGGAAAGGAAGGCTGGCCCCAATAACATAAGTCTTGAATGCTTCACCAGATGGTCTAGAAAGGCCTAGCAAAGAAGAATTATTTGCCCAGCTCTCATTTATTGACCAAGGCTGTATTAATTCATAAGAATCACAGAATTCTAGGTCTGAATATGATCTTGGTGGATATCACATTCAAACTCTTTTTGTAGTTGAACTAATTAAGTAAGTTTTCTATAGGCCTTGAGCAAGTGACAGAGTTAGTTACAATAATCATAAACCTTTATCAAATATTAATTCCATGTTGTATACTGTTATGAATGGTTTACATGTCTTAAATCATGAAATATGCCTTTAAGTCTGTGGGAGAAGGGTCTATGAACATCTTCATTACTGATAAAGAAACAGGCACAGAGAAATAAAATAGCCTGAGGTCACAATAAATGGCAATGCTGAGATCCATACTCATTTGGATCCAGGAATCATGCTCTTAACGCGTATGCTTTTAGAACTCAAGACCCTTGACTACCAGCTTAGAGTGGCAAGTCCCAGGCACCCTCCTTTTCCAGTAACGTGGTTTTTTTTTTCACACTGAAACCATTGTGTGACGGCACTGAGGAAGGGTGGGGTAGAAGTATGGTGTGTTTTTAGAACAAGTCAAAGGTAAAATGAATACTATCACACTAAACACCATGAGCCTTTTTTTTTTTTTTTAAGTTCTTGGGTGAATTTTCATAGTAGTTTGTGTTCATTTCTATTAGCTTTTGAATGGTGAATGAATGACTCCTTGGGCATTTGTGGTTTCATTTCTTGCTGGGTTATTTTGACTCTTCTGCAAAATGACTCTGTTTATCACCTCATTTGGTTTCTACTGTCTAAATTCTGGCAGGATAGAAGCTACACCCAAGATACACAGGAAGATATGATGCCAACCTCAGAGGAGGGCATATGTGAAATTTTGTTTTCAGAAACATTTTTTTGTCTCTATTTTGGCAAGCACATTTGCAGCTGCTGAACTGTGGTTTACCCTGACAGTTCATCATGAGACCAGCTCCTCAGAATCTGGTTCTCCCTTTGAAAGGTGCTGTGAAGACATACCATATTTCATTCTCTCCTTGTCCTTTCCAAGAATAAGACAGTTGTGTCACACAAAAAAAGTGTCACTTATTTCTTTAAACTAAATGTGTTACCATCTCATTAAATTATATCCCAGGATATAATTTATCACGAGTTTATAACCACCACTATTTCATGAGTTTAAATTTTCTCCAATTTCACTTTCCATTTAAGCATGCCTTCTAATTCCTTGACTTTCCACTGCTCAAAATCAATCTACAGCTGGGCTCGGTGGCTCACGCCTGTAATCCCAGCACTTTCGGAGGCCGTGGCAGGTGGATCATGAGGTCAGGAGTTTGAGATTAGCTTGGCCAATGTGGTGAAACCCCATCTCTACTAAAAATACAAAAATTAGCTGGGTGTGCTGGCACGTGCCTGTATTCCCAGCTACTCAGGAAGTTGAGGCGGAAGAATCGCTTGAACCCAGGAGGCCGTGGTTGCATGAGCTGCCTCCGTGCCACTGCACTCCGGACTGGGCAACAGAGTGAGACTCCATCTCAAAAATAAATAAATAAATAAATTAAATTAAATTAAATTAAAATAAACATAAATTTAAAAAATCAATCTACACTGTCCTTCAGACTCATTAGATCTGGAGACAAAGACCGTATGCACCACAAAAATTTCTCCAAGTGGGGTCTGTGCGCCAGTGGCATAAGCATCACTAAAGAGCTTGTTAGGGGTGCAGAATCTCAGGCTCCACTCAGACCTACTGAATCAGAGTCTGCATTTTAACACCATCTCTGAGTGGTAAGCACATGAAAATCTGAGAAGTGCTGCTACTAGGGTTTGCTTACATTTGTTCATCTTCAGAGGTTCCTAAAGCCTGGCCTCTTGTCTGAGATTTCCAGCTGAAAGCATTTCCTTGCTCCTCTTCTCATCTCTAATGAATATTTACCTTTACTACTAACACTCCAAGTTTTGCAATTTTTAAACTCTTATTATCTTTTGTTTTTCTTTCAGTATGAATGACCCATATTAAATCGCCCTTGGTGAAAGAAAATTCTTGGAATACTAAAAATCATGAGATCCTTTAAATCCTTCCATGAAACGTTTTGTGTGGTGGCACCTCCTACGTCAAACATGAAGTGTGTTTCCTTCAGTGCATCTGGGAAGATTTCTACCTGACCAACAGTTCCTTCAGCTTCCATTTCGCCCCTCATTTATCCCTCAACCCCCAGCCCACAGGTGTTTATACAGCTCAGCTTTTTGTCTTTTCTGAGGAGAAACAAATAAGACCATAAAGGGAAAGGATTCATGTGGAATATAAAGATGGCTGACTTTGCTCTTTCTTGACTCTTGTTTTCAGTTTCAATTCAGTGCTGTACTTGATGACAGACACTTCTAAATGAAGTGCAAATTTGATACATATGTGAATATGGACTCAGTTTTCTTGCAGATCAAATTTCACGTCGTCTTCTGTATACTGTGGAGGTACACTCTTATAGAAAGTTCAAAAAGTCTACGCTCTCCTTTCTTTCTAACTCCAGTGAAGTAATGGGGTCCTGCTCAAGTTGAAAGAGTCCTATTTGCACTGTAGCCTCGCCGTCTGTGAATTGGACCATCCTATTTAACTGGCTTCAGCCTCCCCACCTTCTTCAGCCACCTCTCTTTTTCAGTTGGCTGACTTCCACACCTAGCATCTCATGAGTGCCAAGCAAAAGGAGAGAAGAGAGAAATAGCCTGCGCTGTTTTTTAGTTTGGGGGTTTTGCTGTTTCCTTTTATGAGACCCATTCCTATTTCTTATAGTCAATGTTTCTTTTATCACGATATTATTAGTAAGAAAACATCACTGAAATGCTAGCTGCAAGTGACATCTCTTTGATGTCATATGGAAGAGTTAAAACAGGTGGAGAAATTCCTTGATTCACAATGAAATGCTCTCCTTTCCCCTGCCCCCAGACCTTTTATCCACTTACCTAGATTCTACATATTCTTTAAATTTCATCTCAGGCCTCCCTCAACCCCACCACTTCTTTTATAACTAGTCCTTTACTAATCCAACCCATGATGAGCTCCTCTTCCTGGCTTCTTACTGAAAGGTTACCCTGTAACATGCAATTTTGCATTTGAATAAAGCCTGCTTTTTAAGTGTTAACTAGTTTGCCTAGTTTGTTATTTTGAAATTATCATATGTTTTGTTTTCTCCCCAGTGAGATTACATGCTCCTTCAGGGCAGAGTTTGTGTCAGATCCCTGGAGTATCTAGTGCATTACTTGACACTCAATAAATGAATGTTCAAATAAATCAGAAAGAGCATACAGTGCACTGCTGATATAAGTTTCAGCAAACCCTCTTTCTCTATGGCATCTGATGACCTGGGCAGATATCACCTAATGTCAACAGCTGAATTCTTATGAGAGAATAGAGCCCTTTCAGAAGCTAGCTGGAAATACCTCCTTGTCCCATGGCCAATATAGATTTCATACAAATTTGCACACATTATGAGAATAATTTTTTGGTAATGATTACACTTTTCTTTCTCAAAGACATCTCAGATTCTGTATTATAGCAAAAGCTGTTGCAAAAGATTCTCCCTATAGTACACTGTAAATCTTGGATGTGCAAATCACATTCATGTGGTTTAGGGTACATCCCCTGGAGGTGTACAGTGCACACGTGCACAGACACACATGGCAACCCTGACAAAAATGTTTATTCCACTAACACATCAGGGCCAAGGAACCCAAATGGACACTACTCCTTGTAATTATGATGTATATAGATTTAAAAATAAAGTTCTATATTCAAGCTCTAGGATTCCTATATGATCTTAGGAATTACATAATAGTAATCCCATAAATCAAGATTCATAATATAAAATTCTCCAGAAACCTTGGTCTTAACCTCCCTGAGACTTACTTCCTATGCCCATAAAACAAGAATGAAATTTGCCTTGCTTACCCCACAGGGTTATTGTGATGGTACCTTAAGTATGAAACTGCTTTGTGAACTGAATCTGAAACACAGACTTTTTTTTTTTTTTTCCTCACTCAAATCTTACCTTTCATGCTTTCATGGTGTAAGATTCTGGTTCTTATCCTAAGGCTGGAACAGATGGAGCTCTGAGTCCTTATCCTGAGATTAGAAGCCAGGAAGTCTTTCACTTGTGTTCCAATAGGAACTCAGCCCTCAGATTTTCACTGCACAGGGTCAGCTCTGCCCCCTGCACTTCTGCTTGCGGGAGGAGGAAGGGCCTGGGACAGGGAGTCAGAGGCATCAGTGGGAACCCTGCCTCTGTCTCCGTGATGTGACCCTGGCCAGTTGTTACTCTCTCTGAACTTCAGATTTATTTATGAAATGGGGATCCCATTATCTTTGTCACATGATTGTGCTCCACATTTTATGAAATAACTCCTCCTATGCTTTACTCAGAGTACCAAGTTCATGAAATTGTCAGAGTCCCAGGAACACAGAATTATTCATTCCTTCTGATTTGTTCACCCAAGATCAATGTGCCTGGGCTGTATTATTGTAGTTTCCTACAGAAATAGTTCACCAAATTAAAATCTAATTTTTAAAAAATTAGCTGGGCATAGTAGCACATACCTGTAGTCCTAGCTAGTCGGGAAGCTGAGGCAGAAGGATTGCTTGAGCTCTAATGATTTAATGAGAATAGAAAGAAGCAAGAAAGAGGCTTCTTGTCCAAATTGCACTGTGGAAAATGAATAAATGTATTCTTTAGACATCTATATTTTTCCCCTTAAACTTCCTCCCATCTGCCAGTTGACTTCTCTGTACAGTTCTTTCTCCAAAGTTCTTTGCATTGCCCTCTTTCAACTTCAGCAATTTGATTTTTCCCTTCTGTTCAAATGTCCTATTATGGACATTTTATGGAAAGAAAATCTGCCATCACCATAACAGCCTACCCACCATTTATGACAAAGGACAGGGAAATTATTAGGAGAAATAATGAGATCTTTACTTCCCTTTGGCCTTTGTGGCCTTGTCTGATCCAGTGGGCCCCAACATTTTATGAGATATATACAGCCTTCCCTGCGAGACTCTGAAAGGGTTTTAGTTAAAAGTAATATAATAATTATCACGCGTGTCGGTGTGAAGAGACCACCAAACAGGCTTTGTGTGAGCAATGAAGCTTTTGAATCACCTGGGTGCAGGTGGGCTGAGTCCAAAAATAGAGTCAGCAAAGGGAGATGGGGTGGGGCTGTTTTATAGGATTTGGGTGGGTAGTGGAAAATTACAGTCAAAGGGGGTTTTTCACTTGTGGGTAGGGGTGGGGGTCACAAGGTGCTCAGTGGGGGAGCTTCTGAGCCAGGGGAAGGAATTTCACAAGGTTAATCCCTCAGTCAAGGTGGCGCAGGAACAAATCACAATGGTGGAATATCATCAGTTAAGGCAGGAACCAGCCATTTTCACTTCTTTTGTGATTCTTCACTTGCTTCAGGCCATGTGGATGTATACGTGCAGGCTTGGGCTCAGAGGCCTGACATTTCTATCTTCTTATATTAATAAGAAAAATAAAACGAAATAGTGGTAAAGTGTTGGGGCAGTGAAAATTTTTGGGGGTGGTGTGGAGAGATAACGGGCGATGTTTCTCAGGGCTGCTTCGAGCAGGATTAGGGGTGGCGTGAGAACCTAGAGTGGGAGAGATTAAGCTGAAGGAAGATTTTGTGGTAAGGGGTGATATTATGGGGTTGTTAGATGAAACTGTAGCAGGACAAGACACAGACAAAACCCCTCAGACACTGAGTTAAAGAAGGAAGGGCTTTATTCAGCTGGGAGCATTGGCAAGACTCATGTCTCAAAAACCGAGCTCTCCGAGTGAACAATTCCTTTTCCTCTTAAGGGCTTACAACTCTAAGGGGGTCTGCGTGAGAGGGTCATGACTGATTGAGCAAGCAGGGGGAGCAAGCAGGGGGTACATGACTAGGGGCTGCGTGTACTGGTAATTAGAGGAACAGAACAAGACAGGGATTTTCACAGTGCTTTTCCATACAATGTCTGTAATCTATAGATAACATAACTGATTAGGTCAGGGGTTGATCTTAACCACCAGGCCCAGGGTGTGGCATCAGGCTGTCTGCCTGTGGATTTCATTTCTGCCTTTTCATTTTTACTTCTTTCTTTGGAGGCAGAAATTGGGCATAAGACAATATGAGGGGTGGTCTCCTCCCTTAAAACATTTGTCGTATAGAATGATTGGTGATGGCCTGGATACGGTTTTGTATGAATTGAGAAACTAAATGGAAGACACAAGGTCTGCATAAGAGAAGGAGAAAAACAGGTATTAAAGGATTAAGAATCGGGAGAACCCAGGACATCTAATTAGAGTGCCCAAGGGGGTTCAGCATAATTACTTGCTTGGTTGGCAAGGTTTTTGGCTCTATCCTTGAGTTTTTTTTATGTTGTCATATACCAGGCCAGATTGATTTAGGTAAAAACAACACTCTTCATTTAAAAATATGCAGAGTCCCCTTTTTTAGCAGTGAGTAAATTGAGGACTCGGTGATTTTGGAGGAAAGAGAAATTGTAAAGCCAGCAATTGTTTGTTAAAGAAGGATTAGAAATGGCTAGGAGAGAGTGAGTGAGATTGATAGTGTGGTGGAGATAGCTGGGGAGAGGTAGAGAGTGGCATAAGAATGGGAACAAGAATAAGAGTGAATATAAAAGTAAAGAATAGGGCTTTATTAGGGTGAAAGTATTGGAGTGTACCTTGTCACTGAAGATCTTCTATCCACTTTAAGAGAGACTTAAGGGTGGCGGTTTGAGGTAAAACCAGGAGATATCAGTTATGATGGTTTGGAGGAAAAGTATAAATCAGCACTGTAAAAAAGGGCAGGGCATTTACAAGTAGTTGAGAATGGTGAATAGGAGTATGACTAGACAGAAGATTGTAGGGATGACAAGTTTTTGGGGCACAGTTCAAGTTGGGCTGGTGTCTGGAATGAGACTGGGGCCTAATAAAAAGGAGCGTCCATACAGAATCTTAAATGGGCTGTACCTTGTAGCATTTCGAGGACAGGCCCGAATTCTGAGAATGGCAAGTGGTAAAAGTACTGTCCAGTCCTTTTTAAGTTGGAGGCTGAGCTTGGTGAGGTGTGTTTTTAAAAGACCATTAATCAGTTCTACCTTTCCTAAGGATTGAGGACGGTAAGGGGTATGAAGGTTTCACTGAATACCAAGAGCCTGAGAAACTGCTTGCGTGCTTTGACTAGTAAAGGCTTGTCCATTATCAGACTGTATAGAGGTGGGAAGGCCAAACCAAGGAATTATGTCTGACAGAAGGGAAGAAATGACCACGGTGGCCTTCTTAGGCCCTGTGGGAAAGGCATCTACCTATCCAGTGAAAGTGTCTACCCAGACCAAGAGGTACTTTAGTGTCCTGATTTGGGGCATGTGAGTAAAGTCAATTTGCCAGTCCTGGGGTTGGGGAGATTAGCTGGACATGATCAGCAGGGAGAGCACGTGTGTTTTCATGAAGAACTATGCCTGGATAGGTAATGGATGAAGAAGAAATTTGGGTTGACTGAGGTAATGGGGGCTGTCCATGAAGCCTTGCGGCAGTACAGCCCAGGTAAGTTGCTGAGGCTGATGGGTGTCAGGGTCAGTCCAAGTGAAAGTGAAGAGAGGCTGGGATGAAGGGTGCAAATGAATAGTAAAGAAAGCATGTTTTGAGATCCAGAACAGAATAAGGGTTATGGAGGGGTTTTGGAGGGAGGTATTGAGGATAGGAGAGTATATGGGTTTGGCACCATGGCGTGGATAGGCAAGACAATTTGGTTGATAAGGCACAGATCCTGAACTAACCTGTAAGGCATGTCCAGTTTTTGGACAGGTAAAATGGGGGAATTGTAAGGAGAGTTTACAGGCTTTAAAAGGACATGTTGTAACAGGCAAGTGATAACAGGCTTTAATCCCTTTAAAGCCTGTTGTGGGATGGGATACTGGCGTTGACCCAGGTAAGGGTGATTAGGTTTTAATGGGATAGTAATGAGGGTGTGATTTGTTGCCAGGGAGGGAGTAGAGGTGTCCCATACCTGTGGGTTAAGGTAGGGGGATATGAGAGGAAGTGGCAAAGGAGTTGCCACTTTTGGGTTGGGAAGAAGGGCAGCAATGAGATGTGGCTGTAGTCCAGGAATAGTCAGGGAAGCAAATAATTTGGTTAAAATGTCTCAGCCTAATAAGGGAACTGGGCAGGTGGGGATAACTAAAAAGAAGTGTATAAAAGAATGTTGTTTAAATCGGCACCAGAGTTGGGGAGTTTTAAGGGGTTTAGAAGCCTGGCCATCAATACCCACAACATTTATGAAGACAAGGGAAACAGGACCTTGAAGAGAAGGTAATGTGGAGTGGGTAGCCTCTGCATTGATTAAGAAGGGGACGGACTTACCCTCCACTGTAAGAGTTACCAAAAGCATCTGTGATGGTCCAGGAGGCTTCTGAGGCGATCAGGCAGCATCAGTCTTCAGCCACTAAGCCAAGAAGATCTGGGAAGGAGTCAGTCAGAGAGCCTTGGGCCAGAGTTCCAGGGGCTCTGGGAGTGGGTGCTGGGCAAGTTGGACAGTCCGATTTCCAGTGGGGTCCCACACAGATGGAACATGGCTTAGGAGGAATCCCAGGCTGAGGGCATTCCTTGGCCCAGTGGCCAGATTTCTGGCACTTGAAGCAAGATCCTGATGGAGGAGGTCCTGTAGGAATGCTTGACCACTGTGGCTTAGGCATTTTGAAGTTCTTGTGTACTGGAGATGTGGCTGGGGTTTCTCTCACAGTGGAGGCAAGGAATTGCAACTCAGAAATATGTTGCTACTTGGCTGCCTCTACTCTATTATTGTACGCTTTGAAGGCAAGGTTAATTAAGTCCTGTTGTGGGGTTTGAGGGCCGGAGTCTAACTTTTGGAGCTTTTTCTAATGTTGGGAGTGGATTGGGTAATAAAATGCATATTGAGAATAAGATGACCTTCTGGCCCCTCTGGGTCCAAGGCTGTAAAATGTCTAGGAGTTGCTGCCAAATGAGCCATGGAGTGGGCTAGGTATTCATATTTGATGAAAAAAAGCCTAAATACTAACTGAGATGGGAGAGGTTGGATAAAGAAAAAGGAGCATTAACCTTGACTATGCCTTTAGCTCCAGCCACCTCTTTAAGAGGAAATTGTTGGGCAGGTGGGGGAGGGCTAGTCACAGAATGAAACTGTAAGCTGGACCAGGTGTGAGGAGGGGAGGTGATAGAAGGATTATAGGGTGGAGGAGCGGACGCTGAGGAAGAATTGGAGCCTGATTCAGCCTGGCGGGGAGCGACCTGAGGAGGAGCAGTCTGGGGAAGAGGGGAGAGGTCAGATGGGTCAGTAGAAAAGGAAGATTGGAAAGACTCAGCGACACTTGGGGTTGGGACTGAGGGGACAGGCAGGAGGGAAAGAAGGAGGATTTGGGATGAGTTGCATTGGGAACAGAGACTAGGGAGGGACCGACGTGTAAAAGAATGCCCAGATGTCAGGCACCTCAGACCATTTGTCCATTTTACGACAAGAATTATTTAGATCTTGTGGGATGGAGAAATTGAAAGTGCCGTTTTCAGGCTATTTGGAACCATTGTTGAGTTTGTATTGGGGTCAAGCGGTATTGCAGAAGAAAGTAAGGCATTTAGGTTTTAGGTCAGACGTGAGTTGAAGAGGTTTTAAGTTCTTGAGAACACAGGCTAAGGGAGAAAAGGGAGGAATGGAGGGTGGAAGGTGGCCCATAGTGAAGGAGGCAAGCCCAGAGAAGAGAGGGTGGAGACATGGAGAGAAGGGGTTGGGGGGTACTTGCCCCCCAGGAGAGGTGGTGCTTGCCCCCCAGGAGAGGTGGTGCTTGCCACCCAGGCAAAGTGGTACTTGCCACTAAGGTGAAGGATCCAGGCAGGCGTCCCTGCAGTGATCAGACAGCTCTGAAATGTGGGTGAATAATCAGGCAGGCATCCCTGCAGTGATTAAACATCAAGGGAAGACTGTCTTTCCAAGTCCATGACCAGTGCTGGAGTTTTGGGTTCACAGATAGAACACGTTTCCTCTGTCTCTACCAGAAAAAGAAAGGAACTGAAATTAAGGGAAGGGAGAGATTGAAGCGTGGTGCCAAGATTGAAAGGAGAAAGATGTTGAGGGATAGTGAGAGAGGCTGGAGAAGAGAGTAAAAAGAGGCCACTTACCCAATTTAAAATTGGTGAGATGTTCCTTGGGCTGGTTGGTCTGAGGACCAGAGGTCATAGGTGGATCTTTCTCATGGAGCAAAGAGCAGGATGACAGGGGACTGATCTCCCAAGGGAGGTTCCCCGATCTGAGTTACGGCACCAAATGTCACATGGTCTGTGTGAAGAGACCACCAAACAGGCTTTGTGTGAGCAATAAAGCTTTTGAATCACCTAGGTGCAGGCAGGTTGAGTCTGAAAAGAGAGTCAGCGAAGGGAGATAGGGGTGAGGCTGTTTTATAGGATTTGGGTGGGTAGTGGAAAATTACAGTCAAAGGGGGTTTTTCACTTGTGGGCAGGGGTGGGGGTCACAAGGTACTCAGTCGGGGAGCTTCTGAGCCAGGGGAAGGAATTTCACAAGGTTAATCCCTCAGTCAAGGTGGGGCAGGAACAAATCACAATGGTGGAATGTCATCAGTTAAGGCAGGAACCGGCCATTTTCAGTTCTTTTGTGATTCTTCACTTGCTTCAGGCCATCTGGGTGTATACCTGCAGGCTTGGGCTCAGAGGTCTGACAATAATATTTACTTGACATCTTGGTTTGAAGCTTGATCTGGTAGTGGTGTTTTCAATACCAATTGTTTTAACACTGGTAGTAACCATAATGATGATAACAGTAAGTAATGTGATTTCTTTTAAAAGTTTTTAAATCTTGGTTGAGTGCTGTGGCTCATGCCTGTAACTCCAACAATTAGGGAGGTAAAAGGCAGGAGGATTGCTTGAAACCAGAAGTTTGAGACGAGCCTGGGCAATACAACAAGACCCCATCCCTAATTATTTTTTTAAAAGTAGCTGGGCAGAGTAGCATATGCCTGTAGTCCTAGCTACTCAGGGAGCTGAAGCAGAAGGATTGCATGAACTCAGGACTTTGAGGCTGCAGTGAGCTATTATTGCATCCCTGCACTGCAGTCTGGGTGACAGAATAAGTACCTATCTCTAATAATAATAATAATAATAATAATAAAGTTTGTTAGGTTAAACTTATCTTGGCATCCAGTTATCTTAGTAGGCATCCAAATCCCTTTTTAGGAGAAAGCTATCTTTTTTTGATAAGCCTCTAATATAGCAGGTGTGACCCTACAGACGTAGTGTTGGCAGGAACTCAAACAATAGTAATATGTAATTAAGGCACTCTGTGTTAAGAAAACTTAGAGGAGTTAATTTTCTCTGCTCCCGTGAGCACATGAGAAGAAAAAAAAAAAGAGAGAAGGTAATGAAAGTAGAGAGAGAAGAACTAGAAATGTGAGAAGCTGAAGAGCTCTGTGGCGGGAGGGGTAGGGGTGGCAGAAGCAGCCTGGCCTCTGGGGACTAGTATGGATTTAAACAGCATGACTCCTCCTCTGCATCACACTAACCTCTGTAACATCCCACTAGGAATACAAACCCAGACCTGTATTTAGGTTGCTTTGAAGGAGGAGTTTAAGGTGAAGGGGCTGCTTCTTTAGTTTGGGAAAGTGGATATGAAGAAATAGCCATAAAAGGCAAAATTGGGACAAAATATTTTGGTAGAAACAAAATATTTAGAAGAAAATCGGTGCTATGGTGAGCATGAAAATTAAGCTCTCTGAGAATTTTGAGAACTCTTAGAGAGGGTTTGCGGCCAGTATTTTTAATTCATTTTATCTGGATTTTAGAGAGATGGTACCTGACATCTGGTTTACATTCCTCATAGCATTTAATCCCCGGCCATAGATGGTATTGTCCTCATTTTAAATTTTAAGAAACTGAAGCTCAGAGATATTAGTTTGTCTAAGTTCATATAGCTAGACAGTGTCTATAGAGTTACTGAATGTCTGTTTAATAGATAACGAAAGGTAGTTTAAAAGAGCTGTGTGTCTAATGCCATAGAGAAAAGGGAATAAAAAATTACTTAGAATAGATTTGGTTTCAAACACTCTTGCTGAAGTGGGTAGTCCAAAAGTAGGCAGCCAGTTCTCAATTCACAACAAAATCACTCTTGAAAGCAATTTTGAGAGAATAAGCTATGTCTCTTGATTTCAGCATCCTCGGAACTGACCCCTATGTCAGGAAGAAAATAGATCAAAATAGTTGTTCAATGACAAAGGACACAGGCATGTTTAGCAAAAAGAGAGGCTTAAGGCATGGGACAGTTGTCTTCAATTAACCAATTAAACATTTGCTGAAAATGTACGACTGCAAGACATACTACCAGGGGCTATGGACACATAAGGGCAGAGTTCCTATCCCTGGGGATCCAGCATCTGGAAGGGGAGGGAAGGTAAACACCCTGAACTGCAAGCTAAGGCTGTGTGTGCTATGGCTATGCTAAGTGTGCAAGCTCAGAGATGCTGCGGCTCAGAGGAGGAAGAGATCACTTGGCAAAGGGCAACAGAATTCAGAGGCAAAATTAGATCCTAGATCAGGTTTAATTAGAAACCAGGAGGAGAGTCTAGTATCTAAGACAAAGGTATTGAAGTTAGAGATGTTGGACAGGTTATACTGCCTTGGCAGAGACCTGGGGATGAAAAAGAGATAGAGTGGCTTTCAACTCTAAAGCTTATAAAGTTTGTACTCTAGTTTCTGGGAAAACTTGAGCAAGAGTGGAACAGGATCACAATGGTATTCTGGGAAGATTAAGGTGTCAGAGGGTTTAGGAGTGGAGATAAACGGAAGCAGGGGAGACCAGTCAGTGAATGTAATTATTCAGGCGTGATGATGAGGGTGGGGCCAGGAAGGTTCAAGTGTAAACCATTGTGAAGGCTTTGGTCTCTGACTAGTTGGGGTCAGGGAGGGGGGGGGTTGGCTGGGAGGAGGTGTAACAAAGTATTCAGAAAGGAAAATATAAAACAACAGTTCTGGCTAAATATGACTTATGCAAATGTTCCATTTTTCAAAGATCTTGTAGGAAAGTCCCTCCTTTGTTATATTTCCTCTGCATGAACTTAGCTGTTTAATTCTTAATATAAGAGAGAGTCAAGGATGTGGCCAAATTGCCTGTGGATTCACAAAGACCAATAGCGGAGACTGGGAATAGGAAAAGCCCCACATCTAAGGCTTTTAAAAATGTAGATTTGAATCAGTTCTGACCCCTTAAAAGAAAGCAATCTGAGTTTAGTTTCAGAAATGCAGTTTTGACCAAGACCCTAACGCAGACTGGCCGACCCTGTCTCAATGTACCAGGAAGTCTCCAAAAATGCCTCTCCACTGGGCTCGCCTTTGACTGTATAATCAGTTTCATGTGGATTTGGAGTAAACAGGCAGAATGTATAGTTGATGATGCACAGACTTGCACAATTGTGCTAATTACTTCTGGAGCATTAAATGAATATTCTAGAGAAATTACTATCCCTTTAGAAAGTATATACCCATAGCAATGGTTTCCAAACTTTTCTATTATGAGGAACACTCATTAAAGTTAAAAAATATTACAGAAGAAAAGTTATATTTTACTACCCGATAATTGAGAAAAATACAGATGTGCATATAGATTAAAACCAAAAAGGATTTCTTGTTCTGAGAAAAGTTAAAGCCTAGAGATTTAAAACCACTGTTCCTATATCCAGCGATATCTTTAAATATCTTTTATCTTCAGTAGAATGTATATTCACTTGCAATTCACATGCAAAAATAGCTACAAGTAACTCAGGGCCATCTTCTCTTGGACTGTAATGGGAGGAGGCTGACTAGATAACATCTAAGATTCCTTCTAGCTCTGATTCTTAAAGACTCTATGACTTAGGTGTCCTTCCCATCCCTTTGAAGTTTGAGAGCAAATTGAGCAACATTGTGGCTTCACTAAGCTCTGTAACTTGGACAAGTTACTTAAACGTTTTATGCCAGTTTTCTCATCGGTAAAATGGTGACAATGAGGGTACATCCCTCATATGGCAGTTATATGGCAGTTGTATAATACATGTAAAGAATTTAGAACAGTGACTGGCAAATAATAAGCACTAAATAAATGACAGCTACTGGTATAATAATGGTAATAGTTATTATTATTATTAATTTCAGAAGACCTGTGCTTGTATCTGGGTTCTAGTATCTAGTAGTAGTGTGCTATTCTAGTACCCTTCTTAGACTTGGGCAAGAGTGGCCCCTACTCAGGACCCATGCTTTAGAAGTCCTCACTCTGACCCTCCTCCAGCACCCTTTCTACTGTGGGAGAAGTTCACAGAATTAAGAAAACCTGTCTTCTGAGGCCTCCCTTATAGACCACACTACTGAAACCGTCCCAAGCTTGCTTCCAGAACTTGTATGGACTTTTCCAGGTTTTCCTGAGGATGGGCTGTGTCTCTGTGTATGCACAAGGGTGTCCCATTTTGTTTAGGGTTTGGACTTGGAGGCTGGGGTGTTCATACATGTATGTGAAAGGTGATTTAGTAAAGAGAAGGTGGGTGGACTGAAGGCTGGGGACCAACTCACTATGTGCCTCCACATTTCAGTGTGGACTCTGAAGCATCAAAGATTTCTAAATTCGAACCCCAGCTCATTAGGAAGGTATGTCTGTCAATATAGAAATTGGAGCACATTTTATTTAGCAGTTTTAAAGCTTGAATTAAAATGCTTAAATATCTAGTTATAGGATATGTGGGCCTTCATTTGTATCTTTGCTTCATTCTTTACAAATAGTAGAGCTAGCTTTTTTTTTAACCCTCAGGCTCCTCATGTGTAAAGTGGAATTAATTATGGCTGCCTCATACAATTGTGGTGAGGATTAAACATGACAACATATAATAGCACCTAGAACAATATATTCAGTAAATTTCTCTTTTTCTCTGGATTACACTTGATTTCATAGACATATGTGTACTTTACTCAACTATTAGCCAATTCTACTACAGATGTAACATGAACAAAAGTAGACCATATAATAGACTATGAAGCAAATGTCAATAAATTTCAATGATGTAGAATCATACAGGTTAACTGTTCTACTTGTTATAAGTTAATAATAAAAAGGTAAATTACTTAAAATCCCAATATGCTTAATAATTTAAAAATATTTAAATAACTCATAAGTTCAAAAGTCACATAGCTCTCACCACAAAAAATGATAAGTATGTGAGATAATGCATACATTAATAAGCTAAATTTAGCCATTCCACAATGTACATATATTTCAAAGCCATATGCTGTGCACAATAAATATACACAATTTTTATTTGTCAATTTAAAAAGTTAGTTTTTAAAAACCAAAAAGAAACTTTAAAGTATTCTAATTGAATAGAAATTAGACAATAGAAATATCAACAATTTGGGGTGCAGCAAAAGAATAACAAGGAAAATTTGTAGTTTTAATGCTTATCCTAAAAAAGCAAAGCAAGCTAAAAATTAAACACCCAACTTAAGAAGTTAGAGAAAAATTGAAAGAATAAACCATAAGGAAGTGGAAAAAAGAAAATAATAAACTTCAGAAGTTAATAGAAACAAGGAATAAGAGAAGATCAAAGAAGATAAAAAAATAGATGAACATCTATGACACTCATCGAGGAAAAAAGAAAAGTGGTATAAATAGACAAAATCTGGAGTACATAAAGAATATCTCTAGAGTAGGTAATTTTTTTAATTAAGAAAACATTAAGAATAACTTAATTAAAATATATTGGGTAATACTCAAAATAGCCAAAACAAATTCCCCAAAAAATTACTTGCCAAGGATTGTTTGCCAAATATTTCATAAGTCTAAAATATCCTTAATTTAAAAACCAGATAAAAATCGGCAAGAAGGAAAAATAGTCCAATCCCATTCACAAATATATGTGAACAAATCTTAAACATAATACTGTATAGCAACCAAATATAGAAGCAAATAAAAAATATAGCCTCATGCTCAGTTTAGGTTTATTTCTGCAATATGAGTGGAATTTACATTAGAAAATTTCTAACCATTAAATCACCATATTAACAGATTAGAGAAGAGAAACCATATAACCACCTCAATATTGCAAAAAGGAATTCACGATTTTTAAAATGGAAAGAAAAAACTTTCAGCAAGCCAGAAGAGGGGATTTCCCTTACTAAAAAGGAGTACCTTCCAAACATTGCAAGAAACATCATATTTAATGGGGAATCGTTTGCAGCTGTGTCTCTATAATCAGGAGTAATTCAATGATGCTGACTGACAATGTTGGCCATGAAAATGCATCACTGGCATCTCCTGTGGGGGAGCAGAGTTGACTGAGTTGACTGAGTTGACTGACAGCCCAGCCCCAGTTGCTACCCCTCTGGATCTAACATGACTTTTTTTTTTTTTTTTTTTTGAGACTGAGTCTCCCTCTGTCGCCCAGGTTGGATTGCAGTGATGCGATCTCGGCTCACTGCAAGCTCCACCTCCCGGGTTCACGCCATTCTCCTGCCTCAGCCTCCCAAGTAGCTGGGACTACAGGCGCCCACCACCACGCCTGGCTTTTTTTTTTTTTTGTATTTTTAGTACAGACGGGGTTTCACCGTGTTAGCCAGGATGGTCTCCATCTCCTGACCTCTTGATCCGCCTGCCTTGGCCTCCCAAAGTGCTGGGATTACAGGCGTGAGCCACCCTGCCAGCCTAAAATTCTACAGCTCTCTGTGTGATTATAGTAATGATCACAACCTGTCACACACATCTTCCTATTGTGTATGACCCTTCTACCAGATGATTAACTCCTGAAAAATCAGTCATGGCCAGATACCTAACTCCTGAAAACTGCTCACAGCTTGTGCACAATACATGTTAGAATTAAATTAAGATCAAAACCTAACCTATTTATGCCTTGCAAATAAGTGTAAAAACATACTAATACAAAACATTTTTACTTATTCCATCAGCCTTCATTACAGTGATAATAGAACGAGTATCAGTGTGGATCTAAACCCTGCAGTTTCAGTGAGCTGCAAGATCATTTCAGCTCTATATTTTCTTCAGAATTCTTCCCTGAAACCCTACACAATTCTTCCCTGAAAAAATAGTTCCAATATGTAATTAGCCTAGCATTACAGGCTAAAGGAAGTTATTTACATCTAGCTTAAATTTGTCTTGCTGCAACATCAGTGTATTTTTCTTCTTCAGGGGAACTGATGTAAACAAATGTGATTGGCTGATTCTTCCACAGAGGAAGAGTCAATATTCTAGTTATAGTTAACCCAAGATTATTTCTTTCTGCCAATACTTGAGTGTTATTAAAAATTTTAATAAAAGCTGGTGGTGGTCCTGAACTATTACTACTGGCAAAGAGTCTGCTTCTCTGGTTAGGGTTTGCATTTCTCTCACCTGTGGTGCTGTTCTAGGCTGTGCCACTTCCTCAGAGCAGGAGAGAGAGAGTGGGGTGGACCAACTGGCAAAATTCCCTGAGGTTACAGGCCACCATTTCCCCTTCCTGCTCTATTGAAATGTAACGACTGAGTCAAACCCTAGCCATCCCCCAGGTTGACCCTTTTGTGTACCAAACTATGACTGTTCACCAGACACTTAAAGATGATGGCCATAAGAAAGTTCTGGGAAAACTTGTGGGCTGGAGTCCTGATTCATGCACCAGGCATCAACAATAGCAGATGCAAACACAGACAGCATTTGCACAACAGGGTATGCTAGTATAAGTGATGATAAGCGTAGCTTTTAGCTTTGTAATGCTGATAAAGAACTTGCCAAGAAAATCATTTTTCCTCAAAGGCAACTTGTTATTGCCAAATATCCTGCTCATCTGATTGGACATTGGTTCCTCTATTGTTCATCAATATGCATACAGTACAACTACTGACATTAACTTGCTTATTCAGAGGCATTTACTTCCCTTCTCCCTCTCTCACTGGGTATTTGTTGTGTTTTAGAAAATGGTGAACTTGGCATTTAAAATGCTTAAACCCAGGTCCCAAGTTTATAGCTGTCTTCTTTCCCGCGGATTTAAAATGAGAATATCACTGCAGATGGTTTCTGCAGCTACTGTTAATCCTAAATTGCTCTTATGGACCTCAAATACATCCAACCTTGAGAGACTCTGATAAAGGGATAATTTGTAATCTATGAACTATAAAGTATACTGTAGGTCCCCTCAGGGTTCCTATACTGCACTGCTCCAGGGACACCATTTATGTTGTATTCTGCATGAATGGTGCCCCTTTTGGGTTATGCAAAGCAGTGGCCTGGATATTATATGTAATACTTATACAAAAATAGCTACTATTTATTGATAAACTTACACAATTGTCTCAAATCCATACATTGCAAGAATGAATCACTATCTCTATTTTATATATGCGAAGCTGGAAATTCAGAAAAGTTCAATAAGTTGTCCCACACACACACCTGCCAAAAAAAAAACGTCAATAACTGAGGATGAGGGAATAAGGTTTTAAAACCTGTTTGACTCCAGAGTTTGAGTTTCCCCCATTATGCCATCAATATTAGACACACTTGCAGTAAATGGGTATTTCTTCACTCATTTAACAGATATTTGTTAAATGCCACTAGTAATAATAGTCAACAACTATTGAATGCACACTGTATACCAGGTTGGGGATGCAATGTGGAACAAAACCAACATGGTCCTTGCATGCATGCGGCTTAGTGGTAGGAAAAACATGAGCCCAATAAGACAACAGCTCGTATATTTGTGTTCAGTATGTGAAGGCATTGTTGTTAAGTGGCCTACATACGTATGCTCATTTAATGCTCACACCAATCCTATGAGGTGGATATTATTTTTATCTCTATTTTACAGATGAAGAAACTAAGGAACAAGAGCAATTTACCTAGTATTGCTCAGCTGGTCAGTGACAGATCTGGGATTAAAATCCAGGGAGGCTAGCTCCAGAGTTCATGCACTTAGCTATTAGCTTACTAACAATGACCATGTAAATCATTATCTCATGACTGCTGTGATAAATGTTATAAAGTAAAGGCAAGATGTTAAAGCATACACATTGTATTTATTTTCATTCAAAGGGCATTAATCTCCTAGTTTTTATTAAAAACTTTATATACATTTATACAAAGAAGTTTAGGATGATATATATGTATATATGTGTGTGTGTCTATATATCAAATCTTTAAGCACTATTATCTCTGGATGGTAGAATTTCAGGTAATATCTGAAAATTTATTTTTAATGATTTTTAAATCAAAATTTTAAAAATAATAACATTGATTTTATCATATAAAATGAATACACGGTTTTCATTTGGAAAAAATGTCCCCACTTGATATAAAAACAAGGTTTTTATTTTAAAAATTATCTTTCAGCGGGTCTGAGGAAAAGAAAAAGCTGATGTCCAAATGAGGAAAAAAAATTACAGTGAATCTTTCCATAAGACTTACCTTTGCAGTGGAACTACATAAAAATTGAGAACTACTCCATAAAATTTCTCAACTAAGCATTGAATAAGAGTTATTTGGCTTCAGAAGATCCATACTGTACTCAAATTTTTGAGTAAAAATTTAACAGCATATCTTGAATATTTAAATAAATATTTGCTTCACTTAAACCAAACAAGACAAACACCAGAAAGGACCTGTTCTTCATGGCAGGCCATGCTATAATGTGGAAAAAACAAAGCCTACAAAACCATTCAGAACTGAGTTTAAATCCTGATGCTTCCAGTTTCTAGTCAAATGGCATGCCCCATGCATTTAATCTCTCCAAGGCTCAATTTCCACATATGTACATACAATGGACGGTTGTTATGAGATTAAAGATCATTGTGAGATTAAACATCATGTGTGTAAGGTACTTGGCTCTTTGCTTAATAAATGTTAATTACTCTAATGAGGTAAATATTTTATTTTAATATGAATGCTCAGATTTATACCACAAAGTAGCTTAACCCCACCCCCCCACCATTAACTTTTAGGTTCAGGGGTACATGCACAGGTTTTCTATATAGGTAAATTGTGTGTCACAGGGGTTTGGTGTGCAAATTATTTCATCACCCAGGTAATAAGCACAGTGTCCTATGGGTACTTTTTGATCCTCACCCTCCTCCCACCCTCTATTCTCAAGTAGGTCCCATGTCTATTGTTCCCTTCTTTGTGTCCATGTGTACTCAATATTTAGCTGTCACTTATAAATGAGAACATGTGGTATTTGGCTTTCTGTTCCTGCATTAATTTGCTTAGGATAATGGCCTCCAACTACATCCATGTTGCTGCAAAGGACATGATGATCTTGTTCATTTTTATGGCTGCATACTATTCTGTGATGTATATGTACCACATTTTTTTTTTTTTAGCTAGTCTACCACTGATGGGCATTTAGACGATTCCATGTCTTTGCTATCGTAAATAGTGCTGTAATGAACATATGCATGCATGCGCCTTTACGGTAAAACAATTTCTATTCCTTTTGGTGTATATCCAATAATGGGATTGCTGGATTGAAAGGCAGTTCGGTTTTACATTCTTTGAGGAATCACCACACTCTCTTCCACAATGGCTGAACTAGTTTACATTCCCACTAGCAGTGCATAAACATTCCCTTTTCTCCACAACCTTCACCAGCATCTGTTATTGTCTGACTTTTTAATAGTAGTCATTCCTACTGGTATTAGATGGTATCTTATTATGCTTTTGATTTGTATTCCTCTAATGATTAGTGATGTTAAACATCTTTTCATATGGTTGTTGGATGTGTGAATGTCTTATTTTGAAAAGCATCTGTTCATGTCCTTTGCCCACTTTTTAATGAGGTCATTTTTTTGCTTGTAAATTTGTTTAAATTCCTTATAGATTCTGGATATTAGACCTTTGTCAGATGCATAGTTTGCAAAAAATTTTTCCATTCTGTAGGTTGTTTACTCTGTTGATAGTTTATTTTGTTGTACAGATAAACTATCTGTTGTACAACTAAAGAGTTTCATTAGTTTCATTAGTCAATTTGGTTTTTGTTGCTATTGCTTTTGGTGTCTTGTCATGAAGTCTTTGCCAGGTCCTATGTCCAGAATGGTATTTCCCAGGCTATCTTCCAGGGTTTTTATAGTGTTTGGTTTTAGATTTAAGTCTTTACTCCATCTTGAGTTATTTTTTGTATATGATGTAAGGAAGGGGCCCAGGTTCAATCTTCTGTATATAGCTAGACAGTTATCCCAGCACCATTATGGAATAGGGAGTCCTTTCTCCATTGCTTGTTTTTGTGGATTTTGTCAAAGATCAGATGGTTGTCAGTGTTCAGCATTATTTCTGGCCTCTGTATTCTGTTCCATTGTTTAACCCCTCTTTTGAGTGAAATGTATTATGCGCAGCAGTCAGAGGTTATTAAGGTGACTTCCATTTGTACATCTTTGCAGAGCCTTCCCTGGCTTTGGTCTGCACTTCTCAGGGCTGGCTCTGCAGATGAGGAATGAAGAAACAGTAACAGACAGAAAAGTCTCTAGGGGCTCAAGGAGCAGATCTTGTGGGAAAAAAGAAAGAAGCCTGTAACTTCCATTCTATAGCACCAATTTACTTATTTTCAGACTATTGCCCCCTGGCAAGTTTTAAATACTTTCTACTGTATCTTTAATCCCACCTATTGGTCCCACTTATTGGTGCCTGGTAGGAAATAGGCACCAAATTTCTCCTACAAGAAAAATGTGGTTCTTTTCTGTTTACCAAGTGCTGGTAGATACAATGTATCAGGTGTTAGAAGCACATGCTGTCTTCTTGTAAGATACATGAAAAAGACACAATGCTGAGACTTCTTAAGAACTGGAATCAAGAAATAAACGGGCTTTGGAAAATGGAGAGACTCTTACCCAGTAAACCTTCATTCTGGATTTTATACTCTAACTTTCCCTGTGAATTTTCCTACTTGTAAATGACTGATGGCTTAAGGTAAAACAAGATTAAGCCAGAGGCTTGCTGGGGCTAACTGAGCTACTCTACAGTGACATGAGAAATTATTAACTGAACTTCTTTGAAGTATAATATACACATGGAAAAAGCTAGATATAAAAAAATGCATTTTTACAACCAACACATCCTGTAGCCAGCATCCAGATCATTACCACTCCCCAGAGGATTCCTTATTTACCGCTTCTGGGCATTAAACTGTCCCCTCCCCACAAAGGTAGCCTCTCTTCTGATTTCTAACACCACCATGAATTGGTCCCACCTATTTTTGAACTTTGTATATAGAGAGAATCTTTCAGTATATGTTCTTTGGTCTGATTTCTTTAACTCAGCATTTTATGAGATTCATCCATATAATTGTATGAAGACTGTTCACCATCATTGCTGTGTCTGTGTGTCATATAATTGTATGAAGACTGTTCACCATCATTGCTGTGTCTGTGTGTGATATAATTGTATGAAGACTGTTCACCATCATTGCTGTGTCTGTGTGTGCATTTATATACTTATTTATATATCAAATGCATAATAGGTAAAAATTTTGATCAGATATGCTTTTTCAACACATAGAAGTTAAAAACAGCTATGCACTGATGTGAAGCTTTTCTTTTTCCAACTTTCTAACTTCCCAAAAAGTCTCCTAAATGAGTTAGGCAAGGAAACTTTTCGCTATAGAAAAGAAGATGTTGGATTCCTGTTAATTCTAGTTTGTTTAGATTTTTCCACAGTGGGAGGTGTTAACAGGGGAAGAAGTACAATGCTGCCTGGGAAAGCCTGCCACTGTTTATCATCCAAGTATGTCAGGTCAATCTAACTGATTTCCTGTGCTTGAAGACAGGAAAAGACGTTGCTGCCTGGCTGCTCCTGCCCTCGGTTTCAAACCAAAGCTGGGGTCAGGCCCAATTGTGAAGTGGTTTAAATTGGTCTCTAGTGCCACCCCATTCTCCTTTCTATACCATCAGATACCCTCCCCCTATTGCTCACTAAGGAGCTTGTGATTATAGCCTTCCTCTTCATCAGTAGATAACATACCACCTAAAAGTGATGTTTTTTAAAAAAATTACACTTTAAGTTCTGTGATACATGTGCAGAACGTGTAGGTTTGTTAAATAGGTATACACATGCCATGGTGGTTTGCTGCACCCATCAACCTATCATCTACATTAGGTGTTTCTCCTAATGCTATCCCTCCCCTAGCTCTCCACCCCGCAACAGGCCCTGGTGTATGATGTTCCCCTCCCTGTGTCCATGTGTTCTCATTATTCAACTCCCACTTATGAGTGAGAACATGCGGTGTTTAGTTTTCCGTTCCTGTGTTAGTTTGCTGAGAATGATGGTTTCCAGCTTCATCCAAGTCCCTGAAAAGGACATGAACTCATCATTTTTTATGGCTGCATAGTATTCCATGGTGTATATGTGCCACATTTTCTTTATCCAGTCTATCATTGATGGGTATTTGGGTTGGTTCCAAGTCTTTGCTGCTGTGAACAGTGCTGCAATAAACATATGTGTGCATGTGTCTATAGTAGAATGATTTATAATCCTTTGGGTACATACCTAGTAATGGGATTGCTGGGTCAAATGGTATTTCTGGTTCTAGATCCTTGAGGAATCGCCACACTGTCTTCCACAGTGGTTGAACTAATTTACACTCCCACCAACAGTGTAAAAGCATTCCTATTTCTCCACATCCTCTCCAGCATCTGTTGTTTCCTGACTGTTTAATGATCACCATTCTAACTGGCATGAGATGGTATCTCATTGTGGTTTTGATTTGCATTTCTCTAATGACCAGTGATGATGAGCTTCTTTTCATACATTTGTTGTCCACATAAATGTCTTCTTTTGAGAATTGTCTGTTCATATCCTTTGTCCACTTTTTGATGGGGTTGATTTTTTCTTGTAAATTTTTTGAAGTTCCTTGTAGATTCTGGATATTAGCCCTATGTCAGATGGATAGATTGCAAAACTTTCTCCCACTCTGTAGGTTTCCTGTTCACTCTGATGATAGTTTCTTTTGTTCTGCAGAAGCTCTTTAGTTTAATTATATCAAATTTGTCAATTTTGGCTTTTGTTGCCACTGAGTTTGGTGTTTTAGTCATGAAGTCTTTGCCCATGCCTATGTCCTGAATGGTATTGCCTAGGTTTTCTTCTAGGGCTTTTATAGTTTTAGGTCTCACATTTAAGTCTTTAATCCATCTTGAGTTAATTTTTGTATAAGGTGTAAGGAAGGGATCCAGTTTCAGTTTTCTGCATATGGCTAGCCAGTTTTCCCAACACCATTTATTAAACAGGGAATCCTTTCTGCATTTCTTGTTTTTGTCAGGTTTGTCAAAGATCAGATGGTTGTAGATGTGTGGTATTATTTCTGAGGGCTCTGTTCTGTTCCATTGGTCTATATATCTGTCTTGGTACTGTGTCCGGAATTGGTGGGTTCTTGGTCTCACTGACTTCAAGAATGAAGCCGCGGACCCTCGCGGTGAGTGTTACAGTTCTTAAAGGTGGTGTGTCCGGAGTTCGTTCCTTCTGATGTTCGGATGTGTTCAGCCTTCTGGTGGGTTCGTGGTCTCGCTGGCTCAGGAGTGAAGCTGCAAACCTTCTCGGTGAGTGTTACAGCTCTTAAGGTGGCCCATCTGGAGTTGTTTGTTCCTCCCAGTGGGTTCGTAGTCTTGCTGGCTTCAAGAGTGAAGCTGCAGACCTTCGCAGTGAGTGTTACAGCTCATAAAGGCAGTGTGGACCCAAAGAGTGAGCAGCAGCAAGATTTATTGCAAACAGTGAAAGAACAAAGCTTCCACAGCGTGGAAGGGGACCCAAGCGGGTTGCCACTGCTGGCTCATGCAGCCTGCTTTTATTCTCTTATCTGGCCCCACCCACATCCTGCTGATTGGTAGAGCCAAGTTGTCTGTTTTGACAGGGCGCTGATTGGTGCATTTACAATCCCTGAGGTAGACACAAAAGTTCTCCACGTCCCCACCAGATTAGCTAGATACAGAGTGTCGACACAAAGGTTCTCCAAGTCACCACCAGAGTAGCGAGATACAGAGTGTCGATTGGTGCATTCACAAACCCTGAGCTAGACACAGGGTGCTGATTGGTGTGTTTACAAACCTTGAGCTAGATATAGAGTGCCGACTGGTGTATTTACAATCCCTTAGCTAGACATAATGGTTCTCCAAGGCCCCACCAAAGCAGCTAGATACAGAGTGTCGACTGGTGCACTCACAAACCCTGAGCTAGACACAGGGTGCTGATTGGTGTGTTTACAAACCTTGAGCTAGATACAGAGTGCCGATTGGTGTATTTACAATCCCTTAGCTAGACATAAAGGTTCTCCACATCCCCACCAGACTCAGGAGCCCAGCTGGCTTCACCCAGTGGATCCCACGCCGGGGCTGCTGGTGGAGCTGGCTGCCGGTCCCGTGCCGTGAGCCCGCACTCCTCAGCCCTTGGGTGGTTGATGGGACTGTGTGCCGTGGAGCAGGGGGCAGCGCTCGTCGGGGAGGCTCGGGCTGCACAGGAGCCCAGGGAGTTGGGGGAGGCTCAGGCATGGTGGGCTGCAGGTCCCAAGCCCTGCCCCGTGGGAAGGCAGCTAAGGCCTGGCGAGAAATTGAGCACAGCAGCTGCTGGCCCAGGTGCTAAGCCCCTCACTGCCCAGGGCCGGTGGGGCCGGCCGGCCGCTCCGAGTGTGGGGTCCACCAAGCCCATGCCACCTGGAACTCGCGCTGGCCCACAAGCACCGCATGCAGCCCCGGTTCCTGCCCGCACCTCTCCCTCCACTGCTCCCCTAGAAAGAGGAGAAGCCATGTTGCCCAACTCCAGAGGCTTGTATAAGAGTTTGAAAGATGTCTGATTTCAGAAGCCTTTTCCTGTAAACACCGGGCGGCATTTCGTACTATCCCTGACTGGTTAGTGTAAAAACAACACTCTTGCCCTAAGAAGGTGCAGAGTCATCCTTTTTCAGCAGTGAGGAGGTCTAGGCCTTGGCGGTTTTGGAGAGTCACTGCTACCAAAGAGTCTATTTGGGACTGTAAAGTAAGGATAGATTTCATTATTTCTTGCAAACTGTCTGAGAGGCAGATATGGGTTGAAGATCCACATAAGTAGAATATGCCTTGGCTGGGTAGATAGACATTTACCCTGGGTTTTAAAGGAATAGGGTACACTGTTTTTTTTTCTTTACTACTTCCATCTCTCTTTCTCTTTCTCTTTGACTTCTCCTTTGTCTCTCTTTCTCTTTCTCTTTGACTTCTTCCTCTCTGTCTCCTTCTCTGTCTCTTTGACTTCCTGTCTCTTTCTTTCTCTCTGTTTCTTCCTCTCTCTCTTTCTCTGACTTTCTCTTTCTCTCTTTCCTTCTTGCTGATCTTTCCCTGCCTCTGCCAGCCGCTTATGCTGCTGCTCTCCCCTCTTCTTCCCATTTTGATGGCTTTGGCAGTGTAAGAGTGCCACCCCCTTGTGTTTTTGCATTGTGTGCAATAACTCTATAATTTCCTTGTGGTATTTGATGGGGGTTCCCCCAGAGGTTAGGAACTCCCTCTCTTTCCATATTGCAGCATGGGCATATAGGATTAGATAAGCATACTTGCTATCTGTATACACGTTTATTCTTTTTCCCTTTCCCAGTTCTAAGGCTTGGGTAAGTGCCACTAGTTCTGCTAACTGGGCACTGGTCCCTGGGGGAGGAGGCTTACTCTCAAGTATGGTTACATCACTAACTATGGTGTAACCTGCCCTTCGTATCCCATTCTCCACAAATGAACTTCCATTGGTATATAGGTAAAGGTCAGGATTAGTTAAGGGGACTTCTAAGAGCTCATCTCAGGCGGTGTGAGTCTGGACTATAATTTGTTGGCAGTCATGCTCGATTGTTTCCCCGTCCTCTGGGAGAAAAGTGGCAGGGTTGAGGGCCACACACGTGTGTATTTGAAACACTGGTCCCTCAAGGAGGAGTGCCTGGTATCTAAGTAGGTGGTTGTCTGATAGCCATAAACTTCCTTTGGCACCTCGTATGCCATTTACATCATGAGTAGTCCAGACAGTGAGACCCTTTCCTTGTATTATTTTGATAGCCTCTGACACTAAGACGGCCACTGCTGCAACTATGCTTAAACAGTGAGGCTAGCCTTTTGCTACTACATCAATTTCCTTACTTAGCTATGCCACTGGTTGTGGGGTTGTCCCACGAGTCTGAGTAAGGACTCCAAGAGCTATCCCGGCTCTCTCTGTGACGTATAAAGAGAAGTTTTGTCCTGTGGGAAGGCTTAAAGCTGGAGCTTGTACTAGGGCCTGTTTTAAGGTTTTGAAGGCTCTTTCTGCCTCTGGTTCCTATTCGACTAGATGAGTATTTGCCCTCTGGGTTTCCTTGATTAGAGTATAGAGGGGCCTGGCTATCTCACTATCTGGGGATCCATAGTCGGCAAAAGCTAGCAATTCCAAGGAACCCCCTCAACTGTTTTAATGTCTTAGGGTGACGATAAGCCAGTATAGGCTGTATTCGTTCCTTGCTGAGGGCCCTGGTCCCTTTGGCTAAGATTAGGCCTAGATATTTAACCTGCGGTAGGCAAAGCTGGGCCTTCGACCTAGACACCTCGTACCCTTGATTAGCTAGAAAGTTCAAGAGATCTAGAGTAGCCTGCTGGCACGAGGCTTCCGAACTGGTAGCCAAAAGTAAATCATCCACATATTGAAGGATCAGAGTGCCTGGACTTGAGAAGTGGCCTAGATCTTGGGCCAGTGCCTGACCAAACAGATGAGGGCTATCCCTAAACCCTTGGGGCAAGACCGTCCACGTAAGTTGGGACATGTGGTCTGTGGGATCCTCAAAAGCAAAGAGGAACTGGGAATCACAGTGCAGGGGAATACAGAAGAAGGCATCCTTGAGGTCCAGAACCATGAACCATTCTGCCTTCTCTGGTATTTCAGAGAGCAGGGTATAGGGGTTGGGTACAACTGGATATAGTGGAATTACTGCCTCATTGATGAGTCTAAGATCTTGCACTAGTCTCCACTGACCATTCGGTTTTTGTACTCCTAGAATTGGGGTGTTGCAGGGACTGCTGCATTTCCTTACTAAGCCTTGAGCTTTCAAATGTTTAACAATATTCTGTCATCCTTTATGAGCTTCAGGCCTTAAGGGATATTGCCTTTGATAAGGAAAAGTGGTGGGATCTTTTAACCTGATTTGGACTGGGCGGGCATTTTTTGCCCTTCCAAATTGTCCTTCCAATGCCCAGACTTCAGGGTTGATTCCCTCCTCAAGTAGGGGACAACAAATGGGTAACTTGTTCCCCATATTCATGTAGATAATAGCTCCAGCCTTGGCTAATATATCCCTCCCTAATAAGGGTGCGGGACTTTCAGGCATAACAAGAAAGCCATGTGAAAAGAGCAAAGTCTCCCAATTACAACTGAGAAGGTGGGAGAAGTACCTGGTTACAGGCTATCCCAGGATTCCTCGGATGGTAACGGACCTTGAGGACAGTCATCCAGGACATGAGATTAACACTGAGAAGGCCATGCCAGTGCCCAGGAGGAAGTCAATTTCATGGCCCTCAATGGTGAAACATACCTGGGGCTCAGTGAGGGTGATGACATGAGCTGGCGCTTGCCCCGGGCACCCTCAGTCCTGTTGTTGGATCATCTGGTTGGGGGCTTCTGACCCAGGGAACCTTCATCCTCTGGCACAGTGCACCTTCCAGTGATTGCCTCAGCATAGTGGACATGGACAAGGGGGCAGCTTGTTTCTCATTGGACAATCTTTTTAAGTGTCCTAGTAAATCACACTGATAGCAAGCCCTACCGGGTGATTGGCCTGCTCCATTTTCTATCCTCTCTGAACCACCAAGGTTTGTTTATCTGAGGGCCATGACTAAGGCTGCAGCCTTTCTCTGATCTCGCTTTTCCTTTTGGGCCTCTTTCTCTTGGTCCCTATTATAGAATACTGAGGTTGCCAGGTTTAATAATGCCTCTAGATTTTGTTCAGGGCCCAGGGCTTGCTTTTGGAGCTTTCTCCTGATATCTGCAGCTGATTGGGTAATAAACTTATCTTTTAGAATCAATTGACCCTTGAGTGATTCGGGTGACAGGGGAGTATATTTTCTTAAGGCCTCTCGTAGCCGCTCAAGGAAGGAAGAGGGATTTTTCTTTCTTTCCCTGAGTTATGGTGGACATCATTGAATAATTCATCAGTTTTTTTCTAATTCTCCTTAGTCCTTCTAGAACATAGGTCAACAAATGTTTATGACTCCAGTCCCCATGATCGGAGTCAAGGTCCCAGTGGGGATCCATACTGGGGATGGCTTGCTGACCAGTAGGGAATTTGTCCCTTTCTTTGGTTGTCATTCTATCATTTACTTGACTAAGATACCAGGTATCTCCAAACTCTCGGGCTGCAGCTAAAGCTGCATTCTTTTCATTAAAGGACAGGGTTTGATCTAACAGTAGCATGACATCTCTCCAAGCAAGGTCTAAGGTTTGCCCTAGACCCTGTAGGACATCTACGTACCTATCAGGATCATCTGAAAACTTCCCCAGGTCTACCTTGATCTGCTTTAAATCAGAGAGGGAGAAGGGGACATGTACCCAGGTTGGGCCAAATTCCCCTCCCCCTACAGCTTGAAGGGGACATAACCGATAGCCCAGGGGTTTTTGTGGTCCCTTGGAGATTTCTTTGCTTGTTTCCTTCCGGCAGGGGAGATTAGAGGAGGATTATTATTAATAGGAAGGGGAGCTATAGGGAGGCTGGGATATGGGGGTAAGCTGAGAGGTCCTCCTGTGGGACATAAATTGCAAGCTTTGCATAGTTGTGTATTCTCCCTCAATGAAAAGAAAGCTTGGACATAAGGTATTTCATTCCATTTGCTTTCCCTCTCACAGAAAAGGTCAAGCTGCAGGATAGTATTGTAATTTGTACTTCCCTCAGGTGGCCATTTTTCCCCATCAGAAAGAGAATATTGGGGTCAAGCCGTAGTGCAGAAAAAAAATGAGCCACCTCTTTTTCAGGGTTTGTGGGTCAAATTGGTCCCAGTGGCTTAGGATGCATTTCAAGGGTGAGCCTGTTGATGCCTGAGTGTTTCCCATCTGAAAGACAAAACCGCCCATGGTTTTGGTTTATTTTGTTTTTCCCCCTGCCCAAGAACCTGCAACAGTCCCTGGACCCTGCTGATCAGAATAGTTGTGCTCACCGACGCAGCAGCAGAAACAACCCCTGCCCAAGAACCCGCAACAGTCCCTGGACCCTGCTGATCGGAATAGTTGTGCTCACCGACGCAGCAGCAGAAACACTAGTTTTCCTCCCAGACCACATGGAGAACTGAGGAAGGTCGGATTTAGTGGCCCTTACCAACACATTCTCGAAAACCTGCACCCTTGCCTGTCCTCCTAGACCACAAGGAGGACCAACCGAGAAAAATCGGCTTTAGTGGCCCTTACTGACGCATTCTCAAAAACCTGTTAGAGTCCTAAGCATTCTTCTGTTAGTATTGGGACTTTACCCCTTTCCTATAAAGATGTTATGCCCCAAAAATGAAGTGGAGGGCCATACCCTGAGGGAGGGAAGTGATCTCCAGGGTTGGAAGAGTGACACCTTTTGTCCTCACTTATATGAATAGGAAGGATACAATTTCTGAGGCTCCCCATATCCTAGCTTCAGGAATAGCTTTTGTTATGCCTATTAGTCTGAGGAGGGATCCTAAAATTCCAGGTAGTCCCCACTATGATGGGGCTTTGGGCAAAAATTATGTCTTTCTGATTGGTGAGCCCGGGTGCCTAAAGAAGGTAACAGAGTCCTGGAGTTTATTCTAGAAATCATTCTTATAGGAGAAACTAGAAAAGCACCAGAGACAGGTAGCAATTTTTAGAAGTGGGACTAACCTCGGAGAAGAGAGGCAAGAGGAAGTTTGTCTGGCAGGCATTAGGACCCAGGGGGCAAGCATCAGGATAGATAGGATAGATGGGCGAGAGTCTCGCTTGGGCAACATGCCTTTGAGAGTTCTGCTCATGGCCACAGGGTCAACCAACTTGTTGTCAGGACCCCGGAGCTGCATGGCTTTCCTCTCTGTCAACCCTCGGCTCAGCCCAGAAGTACAGGAAAAGTGGAAGCTGGTTCTAGGCAAACCAACAGTCCCAACTTCGAAGAGTCGGGGGTTGTTAGAGAGCCCTTTCCCAGAAAGCCTGACACCCGTGTCTTTAGTCTGGCGGCCGTGCTAGTCGCTTTTAACTGGCCAACAGGTGCCCAGTATTTAGCCCTCGAATTTTAAGGAAAAATAGGACAGAATAGCAAGTGAAAAGCGTCCGATGGTACTCACTGCTTGGCGATAAGCAATTGTCTCGCCGCACAGTGACAGGCAATGGTCTCACTGCTTGGCGATAGCCTCACCGCTTGGCAATAGGTGATAGTCCCTTCGTGGTCACCAAAATGTGCCCGGAATTGGTGGGTTCTTGGTCTCACTGACTTCAAGAATGAAGCCATGGACCCTCGCAGTGAGTGTTACAGTTCTTAAAGGCGGCGTGTCCAGAGTTTATTCCTTCTGATGTTTGGATGTGTTCGGCCTTCTGGTGGGTTCATGGTCTCGCTGGCTCAGGAGTGAAGCTGCAGACCTTCTCGGTGAGTGTTACAGCTCTTAAGGTGGCACATCTGGAGTTGTTCTTTCCTCCCAGTGGGTTCGTGGTCTTGCTGGCTTCAAGAGTGAAGCTGCAGACCTTCACGGTGAGTGTTACAGCTCATAAAGGCAGTGTGGACCCAAAGAGTGAGCAGCAGCAAGATTTACTGCAAAGAGCGAAAGAACAAAGCTTCCACAGTGTGGAAGGGGACCCGAGCGGGTTGCCACTGCTGGCTCATGCAGCCTGCTTTTATTCTCTTATCTGGCCCCACCCACATCCTGCTGATTGGTAGAGTCAAGTGGTCTGTTTTGACAGGGTGCTGATTGGTGCATTTATAATCCCTGAGGTGGACACAAAAGTTCTCCAAGTCCCCACCAGATTAGCTAGATACAGAGTGTTGACACAAAGGTTCTTCAAGTCACCACCAGAGTAGCTAGATACAGAGTGTCGATTGGTGCATTCACAAACCCTGAGCTAGACACAAGGTGCTGATTGGTGTGTTTACAAACCTTGAGCTAGATACAGAGTGCCGATTGGTGTATTTACAATCCCTTAGCTAGACATAAAGGTTCTCCACATCCCCACCAGACTCAGGAGCCCAGCTGGCTTCACCCAGTGGATCCCACACCAGGGCTGCAGGTGGAGCTGCCTGCCAGTACCATGCTGTGCACCCACACTCCTCAGCCCTTGGGTGGTTGATGGGACTGGGCGCTGTGGAGCAGGGGGCGGTGCTCACTGGGGAGGCTCGGGCTGCACAGGAGCCCAGGGAGTTGGGGGAGGCTCAGGCATGGTGGGCTGCAGGTCCCAAGCCCTGCCCCGTGGGAAGGCAGCTAAGGCCTGGCGAGAAATTGAGCACAGCAGCTGCTGGCCCAGGTGCTAAGCCCCTCACTGCCCAGGGCTGGTGGGGCCGGCTGGCCGCTCCAAGTGTGGGGTCCACCAAGCCCACGCCTACCCGGAACTCGCGCAGGCCCACAAGCACCACGCACAGCCCCGGTTCCTGCCTATGCCTCTCCCTCCACACCTCTCCGCAAGCTGAGGGAGCCGGCTCCAGCCTTGGCCAGCCCAGAAAGGGGCTCCCACAGTGCAGCGGCAGGCTGAAGGTTTCCTCAAGTGCCGCCAAAGTGGGAGCCCAGGTAGAGGAGGCGCCAAGAGTGAGCGAGGGCTGTGAGCACTGCCAGCACGCTGTCACCTCTCAGTACCAGTACCATGCTGTTTTGGTTACTGTATCCTTGTAGTATAGTTTGAAGTCAGGCAGTGTGATGCCTCCAGCTTTGTTCTTTTTGCTTAGGATTGTCTTGGCTATGTGGGCTCTTTTTTGTTACCAGAATGAAATTTAAAGTAGTTTTTTCTAATTCTGTGAAGAAAGTCAGTGGTAGTTTGATGGGGATAGCATTGAATCTATAAATTACTTTGGGAAGTATGGCCATTTTCATGATATTTGTTCTTCCTATCCATGAGCATGGAATGTTTTCCCATTCGTTTGTGTCCACTTTTATTTCTTTGGGCAGTGGTTTGTAGTTCTCCTTGAAGAGGTCCTTCACATCTCTTGTAAGTTGTATTCCTAGGGATTTTGTTCTCTTTGTAGCAATTATGAATAGGAGTTCACTCATGATTCGGCTCCCTGTTTGTCTATTATTGGTGTATAGCAATGCTTGTAATTTTTGCACATTGATTTTGTAACCTGAGATTTTGCTGAATTTGTTTATCAGCTTAAGGAGATTTTGGGCTGAGACAATGGTTTCTAAATACACAATTATGTCATCTGCAAACAGAAACAATTTGACTTCTTCTCTTCCTATTTGAATACCCTTTATTTCATTCTCTTGCCTGACTGGCCTGGCTAGAACTTCTAATACTATGTTAAATAGAAGTGGTGAGAGAGGGTATCCTTGTCTTGTGTCGGTTTTCAAAGGGAATGCTTACAGCTTTTGCCCATTCAGTATGCTATTGGCTGTGGGTTTGTCACAAATAGCTCTTATTATTTTGAGATACATTCCATCAATACCTAGTTTATTGAGAGTTTTTAGAATGAAGGGGTGTTTAATTTTATTGAAGGCTTTTTCTGCCTCTATTGAGATAATCATGTTGTTTTTGTCATTGGTTCTGTTTATGTGCTGGATTACATTTATTGATTTGTGTATGTTGAACCAGCCTCACATCTCAGGGATGAAGTTGACTTGATTGTGGTGGGTAGCTTTTTGATATGCTGCTGGATTCGGTTTGCCAGTATTTTATTGAGGATTTTCGCATTGATGTTCATCAGGGATATTGGCCAGAAATTTTCTTTTTTTGTTGTGTCTCTGTCAGTTTTTTGTATCAGGATGATGCTGGCCTCATAAAATGAGTGAGGGAGGAGTCCCTCTTTTTCTATTCTTTGGAATAGTTTCAGAAGGAATTGTACCAGCTCCTCTGTACCTCTGGTAAAATTTGGCTGTGAATCCATCTGATCCTGGGCTTTTCTTTGTTGGTAGGATATTAATTACTGCCTCAATTTTAGAACTTGTTGTTGGTCTATTCAGGGATTCAACTTCTTCCTGGTTTACTCTTGGGAGAGTGTATGTGTCCAAGAATTTATCAATTTCTTCTAGATTTTCTAGTTTATTTGCACTAGGTGTTTATAGTATTTTCTGATGGTAGTTTGTATTTCTGTGAGATCAGTGATATCACCTTTATCATTTTTTATTGTGTCTATTTGATTCTTCTCTCTTTTCTTCTTTATTAGTCTGTCTAGTGGTCTATGTATTTTGTTAATCTTTTCGAAAAATCAGCTCCTGGGTTCATTGATTTTTTTTGAAGGGTTTTCAGTCTCTGTCTCCTTCAGTTTTGCTCTAATCTTAGTTTTTTCTTGTCTTCTGCTAGCTTTTGAATTTGTTTGCTCTTGCTTCTCTATTTCTTTTAATTATGATGTTAAAGTGTTGATTTTAGATCTTTCCCACTTTCTACTGTGGGCATTTAGTACTATAAATTTCCTTCTAAACACTGCTTCATTTGTGTCCCAGAGATTCTGGAACATTGTGTCTTTGTTCTCATTGGTTTCAAAGAACTTATTTATTTCTGCCTTAATTTTGTTATTTACCCAGTAGTCATTCAGGAGCAGGTTGTTCAGTTTCCATGTAGTTGTGCAGTTTTGAGTGAGTTTCTTAATCCTGCATTCTAATTTAATTGCACTGTGGTCTGAGAGACTGTTTATTATGATTTCAATTGTTTTGCATTAGTTGAGGAGTGTTTTACTTCCTGTTATGTGGTCAATTTTAGAATAAGTGTGATGTGGTGCTGAGAAGAAAGCACAGTCTGTTGATTTGGGGTGGAGAGTTCTGTAGATGTCTATTAGGTCAGCTTGGTCCAGAGCTGAGTTCAAGTCCTGAATATCCTTGTTAATTTTCTGTCTTGTTGATCTGCCTAATATTGACAGTGGGGTGTTAAAGTCTCACACTATTATTGTGTGGGAGTCTAAGTCTCTTTGTAGGTCTCTAAGTACTTGCCTTATGAATCTGGGTGCTCCTGTTTTGGGTGCATATATTTTTAGGATAATTAGCTCTTGTTGCATTGATCCCCTTACGTTCATTTAATGCCCTTTTTGTCTTTTGTGATCTTTGTTGGTTTAAAGTCCGTTTTATCAGGGACTAGGATTCCAACCCCTGCTTTTTTTTGCTTTCCATTTGCTTAGTAAATATTCCTTCATCCCTTTATTTTGAGCCTGCGTGTGTCTTTGCATATGAGATGGGTCTCCTGAATACAGCACACTGATGGGTCTTGACTCTTTATCCAATTTGCCAGTCTGTGTCTTTTAATTGGGGCATTTATCCCATTTACATTTAAGGTTAATATTATGTGCGAATTTAATCCTGTCATTATGATGGTAGCTGGTTATTTTGCCCGTTAGTTGATGCAGTTTCTTCATAGTGTCGACGGTCTTTACAATTTAGTGTGTTTTTGCAGTGGCTGGTGTGGGTTTTTCTTTTCCATGTTTAGTGCTTCCTTCAGGAGCTCTTGTAAGGAAAGCCTGGTGGTGACAAAATCTCTCAGCATTTGCTTATCTATAAAGGATTTTATTTCTCCTTTGCTTATGAAGCTTAGTTTGGCTGGATATGAAATTCTGGGTTGAAAATTCTTTTCTTTAAGAATGTTGAATATTGGCACCCACTCTCTTCTGGCTTGTAGGGTTTCTGCAGAGAGATCTGCTGTTAGTCTGATGAGCTTCCCTTTGTGGGTAACCCAACCTTTCTCTCTGGCTGCCCTTAACATTTTTTCCTTCTTTTCAACCTTGGTGAATCTGACAATTACGTGTATTGGGGTTGCTCTTCTTGAGGAGTATCTTTGTAGTGTCCTCTGTATTTCCTGAATTTTAATGTTGGCTTCTCTTGCAAGGTTGGGGAAGTTCTCCTGGTAATATTCTGAAGAGTGTTTTTCAACTTGGTTCCATTCTCCCTGTCAGTTTCAGTTACACTAATCAAACGTAGGTTTGGTCTTTTCACATAGTACCATGGAGGCTTTGTTTGTTCCTTTACATTCTTTTTTTCTCTAATCTTGTCTTCACACTTTATTTTATTAAGTTGATCTTCAATCTCTGATATTCTTTCTTCCACTTGACCAGTTCGGCTATTGATACTTGTGTATGCTTCACAAAATTCTTGTGCTGTGTTTTTCAGCTGCATCAGCTCACTTACATTCTTCTCTAAACTGGTTATTCTAGTTAGCAATTCCTCTAACCTTTTTTTCAAGGTTCTTAGCTTTGTTGCATTGGGTTAGAACATGCTCCTTTAGCTCAGAGGAGTTTGTTATTATGCACCTTCTGAAACCTACTTCTGTCAATTTGTCAAAATCATTCTCTGTCCAGTTTTGTTCCCTTACAGGTGAGGAGTTGTGATCATTTGGAGGAGAAGAGGCGTTCTGGTTTTTGTAATTACCAGCCTTTTTGTGCTGGTTTTTCCTCATCTTCATGGATTTATCTACATTTTGTCTTTGATGTTGGTAACCTTCGGATGGGGTTTTGTGTGGACGTCTTTTTTGTTGATATTGATGCTATTCATTTCTGTTTGTTAGTTTTCCTTCTAACAGGTCCCTATGCTGCAGGTCTGCTGAGTTTCCTGGAGGTCCACTCCAGACCCTGCTTGCCTGGGCATCATGAGCGAAGGCTTCAGAACAGCAAAGATTACTGCCTGTTCCTCCTCTGGAAGCTTCATCCCAGAGGGGCACCTGCCACATGCCAGCTGGAGCACTCCTGTATGAGGTGTCTGTTGACCCTGCTGGGAGGTGTCTCCCAGTAAGGAGGCACGGGGGACAGGGACCCACTTGAGGAGGCAGTCTGTCCCTTAGCAGTGCTTGAGCACTGTGCTGGGAGGTCCGCTGCTCTCTTCAGAGCTGGCAGGCAGAACATTTAAGTCTGCTGAAGCTACACCCACAGCCATCCCTTCTCCCAGGTGCTCTGTCCCAGGGAGTTGAGAGTTTTATCTATAGGCCCCCGACTGAGGCTGCTGCCTTTCTTTCAGAGATGCCCTGCCCAGAGAGGAGGAATCTAGAGGTCAGTCTGGCTACAGCAGCTTTGTCGTGCTGCGGTGGGCTCTGCCCAGTTCGAACTTCCCGGCAACTTTGTTTACACTGTGAGGGGAAAACCACCTACTCAAGCCTCAGTAATTGTGGACACCCCTCCCCCCACCAAGCTCGAGCATCCCAGGCCAACTTCAGACTGCTGTGCTGGCAGTGAGAATTTCAAGCCAGTGGATCTTAGTTTGCTGGGCTCCATGGGGGTGGGATCCACTGAGCTAGACCACTTGGCTCCCTGGCTTCAGCCCCCTTTCCAGGGGAGTGAACACCTCTGTCTCACTGGTGTTTCAGGCGCCACTGGGATATGAAAAAAAAAACTCCTGTAGCTAGCTCGGTGTCTGTCCAAACAGCCGCCCAGTTTTGTGCTTGAAACTCAGGGCCCTGCTGGCATACGAACTTGAGGGAATCGCCTAGTCTGTGGGTTGTGAAGATCATGGGAAAAGCATAGTATCTAGGCTGAAGTGCACCATTCCTCACAGCACAGTCCCTCACTGCTTCCCTTGGCTAGGGGAGGGAGTTCCCTGACCCCTTGCACTTCCTGGGTGAGGCAATGCCCCACCCTGATTTGGCTCACCCTCCATGAGCTGCACCCACCATCTAATGAGTCCCAATGAGATGAGCCAGGTACCTCAGTTGGAAATGCAGAAATCACCCGCCTTCTGCATTGATCTTGCTGGGAGCTGCAGACTGGAGCTGTTCCTATTCAGCCATCTTGTCAGCCACTGGCCCTAAAAGTGGTTTTAACTGTGTGGTTTTGATTGCTTCTCCATCACTTATTACCCCTGCTGGCACCATTAGAGATGGCATAAATAAAGTGACTTTCCTAGACACTTGCCATGACGCTTTGTATTTAACTGTGTCTTTATATTACAGACACTTGTAGATTAAGTATCTTCGAAGGAGAGGAATAAGAGTTGGACAGCCTCTTAAGATATATAGAATCCTAGTGAGAATATTAATCTTCTATAGGTAATGAAAGCAATTCATTATTTCATACCAAAGACTAGGGTCTGTTAGTATCATCACCATTCTTGGGAATTGTGAAGTGAGTCATGTGCATGGAAGTGGGAGGAGTCAAAAATCTGGAGCTTTCCTCTGGGTCTCTCTCTCTCTTTTGTTTTTTTTTTTTTCTGAGACAGGGTCTCACTATGTTGCCCCGGCTGGTTTCAAACTCCTGAGCTCAAGCAATGCTCTTGCCTCAGCCTGCCAAGTGCTGGGATTATAGGCATGCACCACATCTGGCACGGTCTCTCTGGATCTCATGTTTTCATGGTCACATTTGGGAAACTCAGCTCACCTCACTCTTCAAAATACTGGTCATATTTTCCATTTTCTTAGTTTCTTGGTGTCCTATGTTAGGTGGTTGTTTGATAAATTTTCCTCGTACAAAGCAGATGCTCAACAATATTGATAATATGGAATGTCTACCACTCTCAGGGATGTTGACATTGGAGCAGAGGATCCTGAGTGCCTCAATCCAAAGAATAATTATTAAGTTTATTGGTTAGAATAAAAATAATAATAGGCATAACTTTATACAGCATTGACTATGTTTTAGGCACTATTTTAACACTATAAATGCATTCTTGTTTCATCTTCTTCTCCTCACTTTATGGATGATGCATTTGCTGAAGATCATACAGCTGATAAGTGGCAGAATTGTAATTCACTTGATCTTAGCCAAAAGGCTGAGAAGCAATGCAGAATTGTAATTCAATTCTAGCCAAATCTGTCTGATGCAGGAGTCAGGTTCTCAACCATTATAATATAGGGACTCTGTTTTGTACTGTGTATTTATTTTTCTGCAGTAGTAATTCTGCTTTTTACTGCATATAGCCACTATTTTCTTGCTCTATCATTTATTTCATTGAACCTGTGTTTTCTCCTACTTGTTCCCATTCTGTTGCCATATCGTCTTTAATCTCACTGGGCATAGGAAATAGCCAGTTGTGTAGAATATTCTTCTGATTCATAAAGTGAACCTCAGAGGAAAGGAGTTTCTCAGCTCTTGACTTTTTGTTTCTTTTCATTATAAAGCATTTGTTTTCTGCACTATTTAGTCTCCATGATTTTGACTTGTTGATCCTCCTTGCTATTCACAAATCTAAAAAGATGGTTTTAACTACTTGTCTTAAATGTTGGTATTTGAAGCTTCCTAGGACAAGGCTGAAGTAGCAGGCCATATGGGGTGACAGCCCTGACCCATGCCAGGTGGGCTGCCAGGGTTTCATTAACTAGGACTGGGGGTACAGGTCTTGGATCCCATTTCTGAGGTATGGTTGTGCATAGATTTTCCCACCACACACATCTGGCCACTGAGGTTAGGCACGTTAGAGGAGAAAGCCAGACTGTGACAAAGTCTTACTTGGTTGTGAGGCAGGGTAGAGGCTTTATATTATTATTGTTGTAGTTACTGAAAAATATTTACAGTAATAACATTGGAGACAAGCAGGTTGCTGACATTGCTACTTATTCCACAATATTCCTGAAATCCTACAGTCTGAACCAAGTGTGGAATTTTTCACAAACTGTGACAAACTGAGATCTTTTAGAGCAGAAGCATCCCTGAAATCACACCACAGTTGCTGCCAACTTGGCCTAAACACAGAGCCCAGTGGTGCTGGCATCTGTGAACACCCATCATGCATTTCACTGTGACTGTAGCACTTGACTTTTGCAGCTTTATACCCGCGTCATATATATTTTGTGAGGGTTTGAGACATAGTTGTGGCCCTATAGAGGTACACAGAGGAATGCATGCTGGCTGAGCTTTTGGACAAAGAGGGTCTTGGAAATCTGCATGATGATGTGGAAAGAATGTAGGCTTTGAAATCAGACTTGTCACTCTTGGCTTTAAAAACTGGCTCTAATATTACTAGTTCTGTGATCTTGGGTTTGGCAAATGACATGTTTAGTTTCAATTTTATCATCTGTAATATGCCAATCACACAGCATATAATCAACATGTCAAACTAATAATTACGTATTTTAAGTCAGTTTCTCTCACTAGTCCAAGGTTCATGAGAATGGAGAGTTCATGTCTTGCTCATTGCTATATTCTTACTATACCTAGTACAGTGTCTAGCAAGGACTAAGTGTTCAATAAGCATTTATTAAGTTAATAAGGAGCTCTACAATAAAACTGCTTGGGTTTTAATTGGAATTGCATTACATGCATAGGTCAATTTTAGGAATATTTACATTTTTATGAGTACACACTTTAGGATTCATGAACATATCTTTGTATTTAGGTTTTCTATGTTTTCAATAAAATTTTGTATTTTTGCTCTAAAGATATTATACATCTTTTGTTAGATTTATTCCTAGGTATCTGAAATTTTTACTGTACTGTAAAAGTCTTTTTATAAAAAAGCACATTTTAAAATTTTTGCGTTGATACTTAGAACTGCAACTCAAATGTACATATTATTTTTTAAGGAGCCAAGTTTTTAATTTTTCTTACTATTCTAGTAATTTTTCTGTAGATTCATTGAAGTTTTCTACCCAATGATATAATTTGCAAATAAAGACAATTTTATTTCTTACCCCCCAATCCTTATATCTTTTCTTTTTTCTTTTTTTTTCCTTATTGCCTTATCTAGGACATCTAGTACAATATTGCATAGAGACAGAAATAGTGAGATCCTGTCTTGTTATTCATCTTACAGGGAACAGTTATAGTGTTTCCCCATTAAGTATAATGCCCGTTACGGGTTTTCTTTGTAGATACCATTTACATATTATAGCAGTTCCCTGTCATTATAATTTTTTAAATAAATAAATGTTAGTTTATTGAACTTCTTTGTATGTTGAAAAGATTACATTTTGAATTATCTTCAATCTGTTAAAATGTAGATAATTATATCACTGATAATGTTAAATACATTTTGCATTCCTGGGGTAAATCCAAATTGTTTACGGTACACTATGCAATCTCTTTATTGTTTACATAGGTCACATAGGGAAAATTAAACTCAGAGAAGTTGAGCTACTTGCCCAAGGCCACACAGCCCAAGTATTTGTAAAAAGCAGATGACTGAGGCCAGACACGGCAGCTTATGCCTGTAATCCCAGCAATTTGGGAGGCCGAGGCAGGGGGATAGCTTGAGTCCAGGAGTTTGAGACCAGCCTGGGCAATATGGCAAAACCCCATCTCTACAAAAAATACAAAAATTAGCCAGGCATGGTTGCGCATGCCTGTAGTCCCAGCTAATTGGGAGGCTGAGGCAGGAGGATTGTTTGAGCCCGGGATGCGGAGTTTGCAGTCAAGTGAGATTGTGCCATTGCACTCTAGCCTGGGTGAGAGAGCAAGACCATGTCTCAAACAAACAAACAAAAAACAAAACAAAAAAAACCACACACACACACACACACACACACACACACACAAACAAACAAAAAAACTGAAACCTTGAAGTTCTGAGTAATATAGCCTGGATGAAATGGACTAATCATAAAAGGTGTTTAGGTATTGCCAGCAGACCACTTCATTTAGAAAGAACGAACCACTCTGCCCCTTGGATAACATCACTTAAAACTAAACTGTCATGCATTACTGCCCTCTGGGATCCCAAAGTTTCATTTAGGGTCATTGCAGGATCCCCATTATCTCTTAAGTAAATCCTCGGGGAAGCTATTAAACCTCTGGGTAAGACAATTCTCTGTTATTAGAAACCAGGATCATATAATTATTTGAGGATTAAAAAATTGGACTTGATTTGATTTTTCCAGCTAACTGACTTTAGACAGTTGCTATTTTCCATTTGTTTATTATATTATAATCTATTGTTTAATATCACAGTTGGAGTATGCATATATTTCAATCAGTGACTCATTTTGGTAACCAAGATATTCGGTTGTCAAAGTATTACTCCAAAATACATATTAAGTTTTTTAAGAATTATATTCAAATTCACGTTTATCAGACCAGAATTCCTCTCTTTGAATTTAGTGTGCTTCTAGCAATGCAGTCTCTGGCACACAGGGTTATGAAAAGACCCTAATTTGCTAAACAAGCCAACTGACCAGTCCTGCAGATAGAAGGTGAGCAAGTACAAAAGCAGCAGCCGTGAAACCCAGGGAACAGTCAGTGTTTGTGTCTTAGACACCTATATTTTCATTTAATTATTTTTAATAGGCTTTATTTTTAGAGCAGTTTTGGGTTCACAACAAAATTGAGCAGAAGGTACAGAAGTTTTCTGTGTATCCCCTGCCCCCACTCATCCATAGCCTCCCCCATTATCAACATCTGCTACCAGAGTGGTACATTTGTTACAATTGATGAACATAATTGACACATCATTATCACTCAAAGTCCATAGTTGACATTAGGGTTCACTCTCGGTGTTGTGTATTTTATGGGTTTGGACAAATGTACAATGATGTGTGTCCACCATTATGTTATCATACTGCCCAAGAAATCCTCTGTGCTACGCCTGTTCATTCCTCCACTTACCATAACTTGGCAACCATTAGTATATTTACTGTCTCCATAGTTTTGCCTTTCCCAGAATGCCATATAGTTGGAATTGTCTAGTATGCAGTCTCTTCAGACTGGCTTCTTTAACTTCAAGTAATTTGAATTTAAGTTTCCACCACATCTTTTCAAAGCTTGATTGCTCATTTCTTTTTAGCACTGAATAACATTCCATTGTCAGGATGTACCAGTTTATCCATTCACCCACTTAAGGAAATCTTGGTTGCGTCCCAGTTTTGGCAATTATGAATAAAGCTACTATAAACATGCATACACACGTTTTTGTGTGGACATAAGTTTTCAACTCCTTTGGGTAAAAACCAAGAAGTGTGATTTCTGGAACGAATGATAAGACTATGTTTAGTTTTGTAAGAAACTGCCAAACGGTCTTCCAAAGTGGCTGTAATATTTTTCATTCCCGCTAGCAGTGAATGAAAGTTCCTATTGTTCTACATCCTTTGTGTTGTCACACAAAGGATGTTAGCATTTGGTGTTGTCAGTGTTCTAGATTTTGGCCATTCTGACAGCTGTATAGTGGTATTTTATTGTTCTTTTAATTTGTATTTCACTGATAACACATGATGCAGAGCATCTTTTCATGTGATCATTTGTAAGCTGCACACATTCTTTGGTGAGGTGTCTTGTAAGATCTTTGACCCACTTTTTAACTGAGTGGTTTGTTTCTCAATGTTAAGTTTTAAATATCTTTTTATATTTTGGATAACAGTGCTTTCTCACGTGCATCTTCTGCAAATTTTTCTCCCAGCCTGCGGCTTGTCTTTTCATTTCTTTGACATTGTCTTTCACAGAGCAGAAGTTTTTAAAGTTAATGAAGTCCGTCTTAATCAATGATTTGTTTCATGTATTGTGCCTTTGGTGTTGTAGCTACAAAGTCATCACTATATCTAAGGTTATCTAGGTTTTTTCCTGTTATCTTCTAGGAGTTTTATAGTTTTGCATTAAATTTTCCATTTTGAGTTAAAATTTGTGAAGTGTGTAAAGTCTATGTCCAGATCTTTTATGCGTGTAGATGTTCAGATGTTCCAGCTCCATTTGTGCAAAAGACTATCTTTGCCCCATTGTATTGCCTTTGTTCCTTTATCAAAGATCAGTTGACTTTATGTTGGTCTATTTCTGGGCTCTCTAATCTATTCCATTGATCTATTTGTGCACTTTTTCACCAATACTGCACTTCCTTGATTACTGTAGCTTTATAGTAACTTTTGAAGTTGGGTAGTATTGGTACTTCAACGTTGTTCTTCTCCTTCAATATTGTGTTGGCAATATTGTGTTAATACACTTGGGCTGCAATAGCAAAATACCTTACACTGAGCGGCTTATAAATTTATTTCTCATGGTTCTTGAGGCTGAGAAATCCAACATCAAGGCATAAGTAGACTTAGTGTCTGTGCTCTGGTTCATAGGTGGTGACTTCTAGTTGTGTCGTCACACGGTGGAAGGGGTGAGCTCTGTGGGGTCTGTTTTATAAGGGCACTAATTCCCTTATGGTACAATCACCTCTCAATGGCCCCACATTACCCTGGGGGTTTCGAAATATGAATTTGGGGGACATACAAACATTTAGGCCTTAGTAGCAAATAAACTTTAGAATCAGTTTGTTGATATTGACGAAATAACTTGTTGGGATTTTGATTGAGGTTGCATTAAATCTAAAGATCAAGTTGGGAGGAATTGATATCTTAATAACATTGAGTCTTCCTACTCGTAAACATGAAATATCTTTCAGTTTATTTAGTTCTTTGATATCTCTCATCTGAGTTTTGTGGTTTTCCTCATTTTCCTTCTCTCTAAAGAACTTTTAAATATATTTTTTGCAAGGCAGGCCTACTGACAAGAAATTCTTTCAACTTTGTTTGAGAAAGTATTTCTCCCTCACTTTTGAAGGATTATTTCACAGGGTACAGAATCCTAGCCTGGTTGTTGTTGTTTTTTTTACTTCAATTCTAAATATTTCACTGTATTCTCTTCTTGCTTGAAAGGTTCTTAAGATAAGTAGGATGCAATTCTTATTTTTTTCCTCTATAAGTGCTATGGTTTGGATATGGTTTGTTTGTCCCCATCAAATCCTGTGTTAAAATTTGATCCCCATTGTGGTGGTGGTGGGAGGTGAGGCCCAGTGGGAGGTGTTTCAGTCATGAGGGTGGATCTGGTACAAATGGTTTGGTGCCATTCTTGTGGTAGTGAGTGGGCTTCACTCTGGTGAGACTCGTTTAGTTCTCACAGGAATGGATTAGTTTCCTCTGAGAGTGAGTTGCTGTAAAGCCAGGATGCCCCTCAGGACTGGTTCCTCTTCACATGTGCCCACTTCCCCTTTGACCTTCTCCACCATGTTTTTTGACACAGCACAAAAGCCTCACCAGAAGAGGGGCAGATGCTGGCATCATGCTTCTTATACAGTCTACAGAACAGTGAGCCAAATAACTCTCCTTTCTTTATAAATTACCCATCCTCAGGTATTCTTTTATAGCAATACAAAATGGACTAAGATACTAAGTAAGGTATTTTTCCCCTCTGGCTTCTTTTGGGATTTTTTTCTTTATCTTTGATTTCCTGTAGTCTGACAGTGATAAACCTACGGGTATTTTGCGGGGGGATTTATCCTTTTTGATGTTCTCTGAGATTTCTGTATCTGTGGCTTGGTGTCTGGCATTAATTTGGGGGAAATTATTAGTTGTTATTGTTTCAGATAACCTTCTAGTCCTTTGTCTTTTTCTTCTCTTTATGGTATTTCCATTACTCACATATTATATCCTTTGTAGCTGTTCTGGGTTTTTTCAGTCTTTGTACTCTGCTTTTCAGATTTGAAGGTTTCTGTTAAGATAGTCTCAACGTCAGAGATTCTTCCCTGAGTCGTCTCCAGTCTACTAGTAAGCCCATTGAAGGCATTCTTCCTTTCTGTTATGTTGATTTTTATCTCTATCATTTCTTTTTGGTTCTTTCTTCCATCTCTCTGCTTACATCATCCATATATTCATGCATGCTCCCTACTTTATCCATGAGAGCCCTTAGCATATAAATCGTAGTTGTTTTAAATCTTGATCTGATAATTCCAACATCCCTGCCATATCTGAGTCTGGTTTTGATGCTTGCTCTTTCTCTTACAAATGTGCTTTTGGCTTTTTGGTATGTCTTATAATTTTTTACTGATAGCCAGGCATAATGTATCCTGCACTGTTTCCCATAGAGATTATTACTTCAGTAAGTTGTGATTTTCTCTATTCTCCTGTTAGTCTTTTTAATTTGGCGGTAGGGGGTGGGGGTGGTGGCAGCAGTTTTCCCTGTGACCTTGCCTCTCTTATGGATCTAAGAAAAGCTTCTGATTTTTCAGTTTGTTCAGCTTTTTACTTATTGTTACATGGAGTGACAATCTTTAATATTCTTACATGCTAGACTGGAAAGCAGAAGTCCTTTATTTATTTTTCACCTTTATTGAGCCTGCCACCTTTCATGACTCACTGCTAGGGACTGCACCAAAGTCTTCAAGCTGTGAAGTGGCAAGAGGTGACATCCAAGGACATCTTTATGCAATGTCCTAAGTTTTTTGTGTTACTCCCCAAACATTATATATTGGGTAAGCTCCATAGTAATTAAAGTTAGAAAAATGAGATTTGTTGTTGTTGTTCTCTACCAGCTTGGCCAGGTTTCTTAAACTGGAAAATGTTGGAACAGGAGTAGGGGAATGGTCACCATCATATACTGTTGGCAAGAGTTCAAATTTATACTTTTATTTGAAGGATAATTAAATAATATCTGTCAATATTTCAAGTGCACACATACTTTGGTCTAGTAAATTCACTTCTAATAATTTTCCAAGAGAAATTATGGGACAAATATAGGCAAAGACACATATTCTAGAATGTTTTGCAGTTTTGTGTATGATAGCAAGAATTTATAAATAGAAAGATTTTCATCCATATGGGATATTTTGAATACATGATGGTGCATTTTACAATGAAATATTATGCAGCCACCACAAAGAATGATAGAGACATATTTATTAACATGAAAATATGTCCTTAATATATGACTTAACTTAAAATACTAAAATACAAAAGTAAAGCTTAAACCTATTTTTGTTGAAAATTATCTGTGAATATATGAATTTAAAATTCTAAAAGCATACCAACATGTTAATAGTGGTTGTTTTGGATGATTGTTTTCTTCTTTATGTCTTTCTGGTATGAGTCTTTTATAAGAGAAACATAATTTTTCTATTTTTATTTTAGAAAAAGACTGTTTTTGTGAAAATTCATTTTTATGAATTACATTGACAGATGAGTTACAAAATTTAAAAGTTTTATTTTAATAACAAAAAGAAAAACAAGCTCTAAAGAACACTTATTAAGCCAAGTTTAAGTACAAACAAGTCTCCTAAATTTAAATCCCCAATGACACCTTTTCCTCCTTCTTCATTGTTCAAAGGAAAGCAAATCCCTAGGAGGCTATTATGCCTTTTGGAAAGACAATTTCCTCTTATCGGGAGCCAGGATCACAGAATTATTTAAGGATAAAAAAACGGACTTGATTTGATTACTTCCAGCCAAGTGTCTTTATATAGCTGTTATTTTTCCGTTTCTTTATTTTATTATAATCCATTGTTTAACGTCACAGTTGGAGTTTATATATATTTCAGTAAATTACTCGTTTTGATAACCAAGGTATTTGTAAGAAAAGGAAATAATTTTTAAGCAGATGTGTCAATTTTGAAACATTGTTCAAAATTACCTTTTCACTTACAGGACTCATTCAGGGGCACTGTGGCCAGTGGTAGATGCAATTAAAGTTGCATGTATTCTATTCATACCTGGAGAATATGTATTCTCTCTGTAAGAACCCACTGGTTCAACTGTACAGCGAAACTCATCTTAGCCCCAAATTCAGAGCAGAGATACTGCTCAGGAAGCCATTTCCAAAAATACATCTCCAAATTTAACGGAAAGAAATCTACTATTTCTTAAGTTCTATTATTTTTTTGTTATTAAATGAAAAATTATTAATGGATAACATCCATGCCTTGCATGTGATGGGAACAAAACGTGGGTTTATGGCTCTCGAATGTGAAGACATTTAATGAGCTCTAGGCTAATAGGGTTTGTGGAGAGGATGCCAGTCCCACTAAGACAATGGAGAAGCAGTGGTTTTTTGGTTTTTTTTTTGACATGGAGTTTTACTCTAGTTGCCCAAGATGGAGTGCAATGGCATGATCTTGGCTCACTGAAACCTCCACCTCCCAGGTTCAAGCGATTCTCCTGCCTCAGCTTCCCAAGCAGCTGGGACTACAGTCACTCACCACCATGCCCGGCTAATTTTTGTATTTTTAGTAGAGACAGGGTTTCACCATGTTGGTCAGGCTGATCTCGAACTCCTGACCTTGGATGATCCACCTCGGCCTCCTAAAGTGCTGGGATTACAGGCGTGAGCCACCGCACCCAGTCAATAGTGGTTGTTATAGGCAGAAAACATCACTGCACTGATACATTCTATAGAAGGCTTATTGGAAGAGAGAATATTTCAGACACGACTCTGATATAACTTGAATTGACTATTATTATGAGCCAGAGAAATAAAAATAACACATAGTCACTGCAGTTGATAAACCTGCCAACCATAGAGGGAGACTGCTGTTCAGGCCCAATGTAGAAAAGGCAATTGTGGGCACACGGGGTACTTGTCACTCAGACAAAAGGCCACCAGCCTTGGTGCCTTTACTGAGCATGCAGCTGCCTGCACGGGCTTATACCTATGTACCTGTCTCTACTTTGGGCACCACAGAAAATGTAATTCCTAGGAACCTATGATAGGGGCAAATATTGAAGAAAAGAGAAAAAATCCATATTCACAAACTTCATAAGAAACTCATTATACTTTCTTTCTTATATATTCTCTTTCAGATATATATTTTAAAGTGGATGTGTAGTGTATGCGTGTGGTGGGAGAAAGGGTAGAATGCATTCCTCCCCTGCAATTCCTTTATGCCTAATATGAAATTGTTCAATTCCTAAAACCTAACAAATATTAGCATTTTGAGAAATAATAGAATTGAGGCTGGGTGCAGTGGCTCACGCCTGTAATCCCAACACTTTGGGAGGCCAAGGTGTGTGGATCGCTTGAGCCCAGGACTTCAAGACCAGCCTGGGCAACATAATGAGACCTCGTCATTATAAAAAAAATACAAAAATTAGCCAGGTGTGGGGGCACATGCCTATAGTCCCAGCTACTCGAGAGGCTGAGGTGGGAGGATCACTAGAGCCTTGGAGGTCAAGGCTGCAGTAAGCTATTATTGCAGTACTGTACCCCAGCCTGGGTAACAGAGTGAGACCCTGCCAAAAAATAAAAAAGGAAGGGAGGAAGAAAGGAAGGAAGGAAGGAAGGAAGGAAGGAAGGAAGGAAGAAAGGAGGAGAGGGAGGGAAGAAGAAATAGTACAATTGGCTGTCTAGGAAAATCCACAGCTTTACGGGAGGCAGTGGGAGGCTGACCTCACCTAGACTTGTGGGACTGAAGAAGAAAGCACGAGATGCACTTTGTGTCCTTTATTCTCTGTGCTTGGTTATTTCACTCTTTCTCTGAACTCTGGTGGCTCTCACCTGTGTGGGCATGCATTGTCTCATAGAGTTATATCTCCTTTCTTCGTGTTTGGCCTGTATCTCCAACTAGATTAAAATCTCCCAGAGGCAGTTTTTAATGCAGACTCAGCAAACTGAGTCTCCTATTTTTGTGAGGTCCCAAGCCCTAGAACAATGGCCTATGGAAAAGACACAATAAATGATTGTTGATGTTGCTGTTAACATTGATGGATGCTGGTTTGAGAGGTCTTATTTCGTTAATTGCTTAATCCTTAAACAAAAGTTTCTCTACAAGGATTGGCTTTTGTTCCACACACTTGCTAACACTTGTTGGCTCTTGTCTTTTTGATAATAGCTGTCTGTGATATCTTATAGTGATTTTGCTTTGCATTCCCCTGATGATTAGTGATGTTGAATACCTTTTCATATACCTGTTGGCCTGTTGGCTTTTTTTTTTTTTTTTTTTTTTTTTGAGACAGATCTTGCTCTGTCATCTAGGCTGGAGTGCAGTGGCATGATCTTGGCTCACTGCAAACTCTGCCTCCCAGTTAAAGTGATTTTCATGTCTCGGCTTCCCCAGTAGCTGGAACTATAGGAGTGCACCACCACACCTGGCTAATTTTTGTATTTTCAGTAAAGACAAGGTTTTGCCATATTGGCCAGGTTATTCTCCAACTCCTGGCCTCAAGTGATCCGCCCACCTCGGCCTCCCAAAGTGTTGGGATTATAGGTATGAGCCATTGCCCTTGGCCCCATTTTTATGTCTTCTTTGGAGAAATCTCTATTCAGTCCTTTGCCCATTTTTAAATTAGGTTATTTCCTTCTCTGCTATTGAGTTGTATTTTGAATATTAACTCCGTATCAGATATATGGTTTTCAAATATTTTCTCCCAATCTGTAAGCTATTTTTCCATTTTGTTGATTGCTTCCTTTGCTGTCCAGAAACTTTTTAGTTGGATATTATTCCATTTATTCATTTTTGCTTTTGCAGCCTCAACTTTTGGGGTCATATCCAAAAAATCATTGCCAAGACCAACTTTAATGAGCTTTCCTCCTGTGTTTTCTTCTAGGAGCTATGGTTTTGGGTCTTATGTTTAGGTCTTTTATCCATTATGAGTTGATTTTTAAGCAAAAAATTAAACTGGAGAAACACTTTCATAAACCATGGGATGTGCCTCTAAATGCTTAATTAGCATTTTTAATTTTTAATAAATGTTTCAATGAAAATTTTTAATGCATGTTTTTATAAATTTGATATCTATTTGTAATTTCAGAGATGTATCTCTAAAGAACGAATGATTGCAGAGACCTGGTATAATCATCATTGGAGGTAACATTCCCCTGAATGCATTAAAGAAAATGAATATTATTAGCTATTTAGTCTTTTATTACCTTTGATCATGGGAAACAGTAGGACAAGTCAACCAGGAAGGTTTCAGGAAACTCTTAACCGCATAATTTTTAATTCAATGATTGGGTGGGGACTCAGAAATTAGCCAGTTCTACGTCCCATTCAACCTAGGCTTTTTTTCTTACGAATTGAAGCATGTTCATGTTTGCCCCACATTTCCAGATCAAAAATACTTTCCCCACCTGTAGTCCCAGCTACTCAGGAGGCTGAGGCACAAGAATTGCTTGAACCCAGGAGGCGAAGGTTGCAGTGAGCCGAGATTGAGCCATTGCACACCAGCCTGGGTGACAGAGTGAGACTTTGTCTCAAAAACAAACAAACAAAAAAACAAAAAAATGATTGCCCAGAAAACTGACCAAAGCTTCCCTGTGTAAACAAGGTGATTTTGACTCAAGCAGACTTAATAACAGAAGATCTTGCCCTGAGATGTGATTTCTGTGTCCTGACACAGATACAAGAAGTAGCTTGATATAGTCTTACTTTTAATTCATCTTTAATTACCAGAGATTTCTAGCATAGAGCTCACCAGAAAACTAAGGGAAGGGGTTCTGAAGGACCTCTTCTCTTAACAAAAATGAGCACTTTTAAATGAGTTTAATGAAAAATCCCATATTTTAATATAGTATTATTTGGGGTGCACTTAAATTTGAATCCCATTTATTTCACTTAACAACTGTGCCATCTTGAGGAAAACAGTTAACGCTCTAATCTTCAATTTCCTTTTAAATAAAATGGACATCAAAATACTGTCTAAGTAGACAGACCAGTTGTGCAGATGGAACCTACCTCATGATGTCGTGGTGAGTATTAAATGAGATATAGCTTTTTAAATGTGTAGCCAGGGTCTGGCCCAAGAATAATGTCAGCTCATAAATATAACAATATCTCTGCTTCCTTTCCTCAGTGACTTTTAAATAATCTATCATGGTGTTCATTTATAAATAGATCACCCATGTGACTATGTTTCTAGTATTCTAGAATGGGTGATAACCCTTCTGTGGTTATCACAGCCTTTTGGTGATCGGAGCGTGCAGACACAGTATGCTTTGGGAAGGATAGAACTTTTTTTAAGGAGAAAAACCACTTCCTAATTTGTCTGTTGATTTTAGAGCATTTTCCTTGTGTGCAAGTTTAACCATTGAGTTTGCACCAAAGAATCCAACTTATTTCACTCAGCTCAAGGGTTTCTCCTCCACACCCTTTCTGACCATCTCTCCACCCCCACTATCAGACTGTCAGATGGCCTCTTGTGGGTCTCTTGTGGGAGTCCCTTTTGTGGGACTGTGTTTATTGACTCCTTGACATTGTCTATAATTATCTGTTTATATGCTCACTTCTCCACAGGTGTTCGAGCTCCTTCAGGACAGGGACTCTGTCTTATTCATCTTTGTGTGATCAGAGCGTAGCTTAGATAATAGCACAGAGCAGGCCCTCACAAAAATATATAAAATGAAAAAATGAACCATGAAGTGGGGCTAAGTGGGTATAAATATGGAAATGTATAGTGTTTCCTGAGGATCCTATTTCTATTTAAGGATATATAGGAAGACAGTTTTTTCAAAGTTCATGTTTACTGTTTGGGACTTTTGTTAAGTTGACTTATTTCCTTGCCTTTCCTTCCCTTTCAAAAACTGGAGAGCAAAGATAAAGAAAAGAAATGTTTGAGCATAATACCACAGGCCAATTCAAATGGCATTTCAGCAAGCAGAGTCACGAGTTCATGAAACTTGTATAAGATACCTTTCTAAAGCTGTATGGGGAAAATTGGCATCTTTTTCCATGACAAGGGGAGAGAACATTAGGAAAGGGACAGACACTTCAGGCAAATGGACCAGAAGTGTTCCATCTCCCTGGGAAGTTTTGTTAAGGACATTAAGCTGTGGGGAGGTTGAATTTATCTTCATTCCTCATCATTATGTTGTATCTCTATCTATATGTATATCTATATCTCCATGTGTATAGTTATACTTATATCTACTTATATATTTGGGAGTTTTTTAGTTGTAACTAGAACAGAAATATATTTTAAAACATCAAAAAGGTTTATGATATATCACTGAATATTAAAAAGCATATTTTAAAACAATGTACAATGTGATTCAGATTCATTGGTGACAGTATTATGAGCAATTTTTCCCCTTCTTTGTGCTTTTCTGAACTTTCAATGTATTTTTTCACAATGAACATATATTAACAGTAAAGAAAAAAAGCTGTAAATTCTTTTTTTTAAATTGTAACTTGTCTTCCTATAACCTATTATTTACAAAGTTCCCTAGTCTTCTGAGTGGAGGAAACAGCTTTGCAGGTGAAATTTTCCTGAAGAAATAACTGTCTCTGATTTGATCTAATGACAGATGGCACATGTGAAAACTCAATTTTAACATAGACCTGGCATAGCCAAGGCCCTCCCTACATCTCTAGCCTCTGTTCCTGCCCCAAGGCCACCATGGCTGTCTCTAGGCTCCCAGGCTGCTTGCTCCAAACCTTGACTGGCCTAGAAAGTTCTCCCAACCTAGACCTCAGCTCCAAAGTCATTCTCTTTATATATATATATTTTATTATACTTTAAGTTCTAGGGTACATGTGCACAACGTGCAGGTTTGTTACATATGTATACATGTGCCATGTTGGTGTGCTGCACCCATTAACTCGTCATTTACATTAGGTATATGTCCTCATGCTATCCCTCCCCCCTCCCCCACCCCACAACAGGCCCTGGAGTGTGATGTTCCCCTTCCTGTGTCCAAGTGTTCTCATTGTTCAATTCCCATCTATGAGTGAGAACATGCGGTGTTTGGTTTTTTGTCCTTGCGATAGTTTGCTGAGAATGATAGTTTCCAGCTTCATCCATGTCCCTGCAAAAGACATGAACTCATCATTTTTTACGGCTGCATAGTATTCCATGGTGTATATGTGCCACATTTTCTTAATCCAGTCTATCATTGTTGGACATTTGGGTTGGTTCCAAGTCTTTGCTATTGTGAGTAGTGCTGCAATAAACATACGTGTGCATGTGTCTTTATAGCAGCATGATTTATAATCCTTTGGGTATATACCTAGTAATGGGATGGCTGGGTCAAATGGTATTTCTAGTTCTAGATCCCTGAGGAATCGCCACACTGTCTTCCACCATGGTTGAACTAGTTTACAGTCCCACCAACAGTGTAAAAGTGTTCCTATTTCTCCACATCCTCTCCAGCACCTGTTGTTTCCTGACTTTTTAATGATTGCCATTCTAACTGGTGTGAGATGGTATCTCGTTGTGGTTTTGATTTGCATTTCTCTGATGGCCAGTGATAACGAGCATTTTTTTTCATGTGTCTGTTGGCTGCATAAATGTCTTCTTTTGAGAAGTGTCTGTTCTCTTAAAGGAGTTTTCCAATTCCTATCATGCCCTTTCATTGTACCACATTCTTTTCTTCCTGAATTTATTTGTGTGATTTTTATTTAATATCTGCTCCCCCACCCCCAACAAAACCATGGGCTTCATGAGATATACTCATGACTGAATCCCTATGCTAGCACACTCTCAGGAGTCTCAAAGGGACTTAGCTATTTCTTGTGTATTTGAATGCACCAGTGTAATGAGATAAATAGAATTCAGAGAGGAACATGGGAGGGAGCACTTTCATTGTGTCCCCTTGGGGTCTAATGAATCAACCAATGAATCAACAAGTATTTGCTGAGTGTCTCTCTGCCCTCTGCTAGATACTTCAGGTGATGGAAGATTAATATAGGAAAGGATCCCTGCCCTCTGGGAATGTATGGTATAATCTGAAGACATAAAAAAAATACAAACCAGATATATAACACTACTAATTAAATTATATTGGAATTATATCCCATTTTTAGTGACAACCCAAATTTTCTACACAGATTATATCCATATGAGAAAATGGTATTGAGCCTGAGTAGCTTTTAAACAAATTCAGTTTTTTCTTCTCATTCCTATTCCTAGAGATTCTTCTTTTTCATTTTCTTTTTTCTTTATTTTTGGTGGGTATGTGTATATGTATGTATGTATGAATTTAACTGTAATTGATAAATAAAAATTATATATATTTATGGTGTACAACACAATGTTTTGATATATCTATACTTTTGTGAAATGGCTAAATTAAGCTAATTAACATATCAGTGACCTCACATTATTATTTTTTGTGTGATGAGAACATTTACAAGCTACTCTTTTTGCAATTTTCAAGTACAGATGCCCCTCAAGTTACAATGATGTTACATCCTGATAAACCCATCATCATAAGCTGAAAATGTTGAAAGTTGAAAGTGCATTTTCAACTTACGATATTTCCAATTTACAATGGGTTTATCCAAGCATAACCCCATCATAAATCTATACTGAATAAATATGGCTCTTGCACCATGATATAGTCAAAAATCCTAAGTTGAAACATTTTATGTCAGGAATCATCTGTATATAATACATTGTTATAAACTGTAGTGACCATGTGGTACAATAGATCTCTTGAACTTACTCTTCCTAACTGAGACTCTGTATCCTTTGACCAACATCTTCCGAATTCCCACACCTCACCTCCAGTCCTTAGTAACTACCTTTCTACTTTCTGCTTCTATGAGTTCAGTGTTTTTAGATTCCAAATATAAGTGAGATCACATATTGGTCTTTCTATGCCTGGTTTATTTTATTTAACATAAAGTCCTACAGGTTCATCCATGTTGTTGCAAATGACAGGATTTCCTTCTTCTTTTTTGGGTTTTTTTTTTTTTTTGAGACGGAGTTTCACTCTTGTTGCACAGGCTAGAGTGCAATGGCGCGATCTTGGCTCACCGCAACCTGCACCTCCCGAGTTCAAGTGATTCTCCCGCCTCAGCCTTCCTGAGTAGCTGGGATTACAGGCATGTGCCACCACGCCTGGAAAATTTTGTATTTTTAGTAGAGACGGGGTTTCTCCATGTTGGTCAGGCTGGTCTCAAACTCCTGACCTCAGATGATCCGCCCGCCTCGGCCTCCCAAAGTGCTGGCATTACAGGCGTGAGCCACAGTGCTGAGCCAAGGATTCCCTTCTTTTTAAAGACTCAGTAGTATTTCATTGTGTGTATATACCACTTTTTTTTGAAAGCCGTTTGTCCATTGACAGACACCTAGGTTCATTTCATATTTTGGCTATTGTGAATAATGCTGCAAAAAACATGGGAGTTTAGCATTTCTTTGACATACTGATTTCATTTTTTTTTTTTGGCTACATACCCAGTGGTGGGATTGTGTCATATGGAGGAAACTCCATACCATTTTCCATAATGGCTCTACCAATTCGCATTCCCAGCAACAGTGTGCAGTGGTCCCTTTTCTTTGCATCCTTACCAACACTTGTTATCTTTCATCTTTTTATTTTTTTTTTTGAGACAGAGTCTCGCTCTGTCACCCAGTCTGGAGTACAGTGGTGCAATTTTGACTCACTGCAAGCTGCAAGCTCTGCCTCCCAGGTTCACGCCATTCTCCTGCCTCAGCCTCCTGAGTAGCTGGGACTACAGGCACCCTCCGCCACGCGTGGCTAATTTTTTTGTATTTTTAATAGAGACGTGGTTTCACTGCGTTAGCCAGGATGGTCTCAATCTCCTGACCTCGTGATCCGCCAGCCTCGGCCTCCCAAAGTGCTGGGATTACAGGCATAAGCCGCTGCACCCAGCCTTTCATCTTTTTTATAGTAGTCATTCTAACAGGTATGAGGTAATATCTCATTGTGGTTGTAATTTGCATTTCCCTGATGATTAGTCAAATATTTTAAATATACCTGTTGGCCATTTATATGTCTTATTTGGAGAAATGTCTATTCAGGTTCTTTGCCCATTTTTAAATTGAGTTATATGTGTGTGTGTGTGTGTGTACGCGAGTGTGTGTGTGCATTTTGCAATTGAGTTTCTTACATATTTTGCATATTAATCTTCTATCAGATACATGGTTTGTAAATATTTTCTTCAGCTCCATAGGTTGTCTCTTCACTCTGTCAATTGTTTCCTTTGCTTTGGAAAAAGCTTTTTAGTTTGAAGTTATCCCATTTGTTTATTTTTGCTTTTGTTGCCTGTGCTTTTGTGGTCATATACAAAGTCGTTGCCAAGATTAATGTCATGGAGCTTTTTTTTTTTTTTTTTTTTTGAGACGGAGTCTTGCTCTGTCGCCCAGGCTGGAGTGCAGTGGCGTGATCTCGGCTCACTGCAAGCTGTCATGGAGCTTTTTATGTGTGTTTTCTTCTAATCGTTTTATAGTTTCAGGACTTATATTTAAGTCTTTAATCCATTTTCCTTTGATTTATGTATGTGAGACAAGAATCCAATTTCAAGCTTCTTTATATAGATATCCAGTTTTCCCAATATCATTTATTAAAGAGACCCTCCTTTCACCATTGAATGTTCTTGGCATCTTTATCAAAAATCAATTGACTGTAAATGCATGAATCTATTCCTTATCTTTCTACTATGTTTCATTGGTCTAAGTATCTATTTTTATGCCAGTATGCTGTTTGAATTACTATAGCTTTGTAGTATATTTTGAAATCAGGCAGTGTGCTGCTTCTAGCTTTGTTCTTTTTGCTTAAGATTGCTTTGGCTATTCAGGATTTTTTTGTGGTTCTATATGAATTTCAAGATTGTTATTTTTTATTTCTCTGAAAAATGCCATTGAAATTTTGATAGGAATTACATTGAATCTGCAGACTGCTTTGGGTAGTATAGACATTTTAACAATATTAATTTTTCAAATTCATAAATATGGGATATCTTTCAATTCCTTTGTCTTCTTCAATTTGTTTCATGGTTTTCAGTATATAGATCTTTTATCTTTTTGGTTAAATTTATTCCTAAGTGTGTTTTTTTGTAGCTGGTATAATGAGATTATTTTCTTAATTTCTTTTTCAGATAGTTTGTTGTTAGTGTATGAGAAACACTGCTGATTTTTGCATGTTGATTTTGTATCCTGTAACTATACTAAATTCATTTATTAGTTCTAAAAGTTTTTTTTTATGAAGTCTTTAGGGTTTTCTACATATAAGATCATGTTTTAGGGTTTTCTATATATAAGATCATGTTGTCTGAAATCATAGACAAGTTCTTGTGATTTGGATGTCTTTTATTTCTTTCTCTTGCCCAATTACTCTGGCTTGGATTTCCAGTACTGTGCTGCATAGAAGTGGCAAAAGTGAATATCCTTGCCTTGCTCCTGATCTTACAGGAAAAGCTTTCAACCTTTCACTATTGACTATAATGTTAGCTGTGGGCTTATGTATATGGCCTTTATTTTGTTGAAGTTACTTTCTTTCCACACCTGAGGGTATTATTCCTTCCTATTGCCTGAGGGCACTATTCCTTCTTTACCAATTGTTATCATAAAATTATGGTAAAATTTGTCAAATGCTTTTTCTGCATATATTGAGATGATTATATGGCTTTTGTCCTTCATTCTGCTAATGTGTGTATCACATTTATAGATTTTCTTATGTTGAACCATCCTTGCATCCCAGGGGTAAATTACACATGATCATGGTGAATAATCCTTTTAATGTGATGTTGTTGCTTTGTAGTTACTGTGAGACTTAGATAAAACATATAATAGTTATAACAGGCTATTTTAAGCTGATAAAATTTAACTTCAAGGATAAAAAAACTCCACACTTTTACTCTCCCTCCACATTTTATAGGTTTTTAATATTTTTCAGACTTTATGCTTTTGATGTTATAATTTACATCTTTTATATTGTGTATCTGTTAACTTATTGTGGTTATAATTATTTTTAATAGTTTTGTCTTTTAACCTTCATTCTAAAGATATAAGTGATTTATACAGCACAATTATAATATTGGAAAATTCTGAATTTGACTGTATTTTTATTTTTACCTGTGACTTTTATACTTTCGTAGATTTTCATGTAATTAATTAACATCCCTTTCTTTCAGCTTGAAGAATTCCCTTTAACATTTCTTGTAAGGCAGGTCTCGTGTTGATGAACTACCTCAGCTTTTATTTGTTTGGGAAAGTCTTTATCTCTTCTTTATTTCTGAAGGATGGGACTCTTGGTTGGCAGTTTTTTCTCTTTCAACACTTTGAATATATCATCTCACTCTCTCTGGGCCTAGAAGCATTCTGCTGAGAAATCTTGTGATAGCCTTATTGCAATTCTTGTCTGTGATATGCTTCTTTTCTCTTGCTGATTTTAGGATCCTGTCTTTGTCTTTGATTTTTGATAGTTTGATTATTATGTCTTGGTGTAGTCTTTTTTGGATTGAACCTGACTGGAGATTTTTAAGCTTCCTGTACCTGAATATTAATATTTTATTTCAGATTTGGGAAATTTTCAGCTAGCAATCTTTAAATATGCTTTCTGACCCCCTTTTCCTCTATTTTCTCCTTCTTAAACTACTGTAATGTGAACATTAGCTCTCTTTTTTAATTTTTAATTTAATTTTTGTTTTTATTTTTTGAGATGCAGTCTCACTCTGTCACCCAGGCTGGAGTGCAGTGGCATGATCTCAGCTCACTGCAACCTTTGCCTTCTAGGTTGAAGAGATTCTGCTGCCTCAGTCTCCCCAGTAGCTGGGATTACAGGCATGTGCCACAATCCCTGGCTAATTTTTTTGTATTTTTAGTAGAGACTGGGTTTCACCATGTTGGTCAGGCTGGTCTTGACTCCTGACCTCAGGTGATCCACTCACCTTGGCCTCCCAAAGCGCTGGGATTATGGCATGAGCCACTGAGTCTGGCTGAATGTTAGCTCTCTTGATGCTGTCCCATAAATCTTGTAGGCTTTCATCATTTCTTTTCATTCTTTTTTCTCCTCTCACTGTATATTTTCAAAAACCTGTCTTCAGTTCACAGATTCTTTCTTCTGCTTGATCAAGTCTGCTACTGGTGATTTCTACTGCATTTCTCACTTCATTCATTATATTTTTCAGCTCCAATTTCTTTTATGATTTCAATCTTTCTGTTACATTTCTTATGTTGTGCATTTATTGTTTCTCTGATTTCACCAAATTGTTTCTCTGTGTTTGCTTCAAAGTAACTGAGCTTCTTTAAAAACAATTATCTTGAATCCATTGTCAGGCCATTTGTAGTACTCCATTTCTTTTGGGTCAGCTACTGGGAAATTATTGTGTTTCTTAGGTGGTGATATTTTAATTTGGGTTTTCATGTTTCTTGCTGCCTTACACTGCTGTCTGAGCATCTGGTGGATCTGCCCCAATTTCAGGCTGTATGGGCTGACTTTGGTGGAGAAATACCTTCTTATGTGGAATAATGCGAGGATGCTGGCTGGGTGGGATGCAAAAGTTCTGACTTCAGTAGGGGCAAAGCTGTGTGGTCTCCATGCAGATCTGTCAGCTGAGGTTGGTGTTAGTGAATACTACAGGGATCCTTAGAGGCCAACACTGTGGGTATCTACAGTGGCAATGAGGCTGTTGAGGTTTTCAATTGTGACAAGTCCTCCATATCTCTTTTTTTCCCCACCTGGGAAGTCATGACTGAGGACATCCCTCTTGGAATTAGGTCTAACTTGCAGGCCTGCTCCTGGTGGTGGTGACACTGGTGTCTGATGAACAGTGCCCATGGAGTGGCCAAGAGCCAAGGCCTGAAGCATGGGCATGCATGGAGGGACCACAGCACCAGATTCAATTGTAGCAATGGTACCAGTGCCCAAGGCACAGGCATACTTACTATCACATTGATAATGGTGTGTAAAATGCAGGTACTTATAAAGCAGCTAAGGAGCCAGGGACTTTACTGCATGCATACGCAGAGCTACAGTGGCTCCAGGATCCAGGGTGTGGGCTAGCTCTCCTTGGTGGCTGAGCTGGTGACTAGAGCATGGACAGGCACAGAGAAACCTTGACTCTAGGACCCAGGGTGTTCACTAGCTCACTATAGTGGTGGCTCTGGTGTTGGAGGTGTGGGTGTGTGTAGTACAGCCTCAGAGACAGGGTCTGGAGCGCAGGTGTGCACATTACTACAGCAGCTCTGGAGTTGAGAATATGGGTTACCTTTCTACAGTGGCTGAACTAGTGTCTGGAGCAAAGACTTTCACAGAGAGAACTTGGCTTGGGGTCCCAGGGTGAGATCTAGTTCACAACAGCAGTGACTCCAGTGTCTGAGACATGAGGAGGTGCACTGCAGCCACAGAGCCACAGTCCAGAGTGTGAATATCTGTAGAGCAGCCACAACTTTTGGGGATCAGGAACACACATAGACTTGTGAGAGGTGGTAACCCTGGCCCCAGTCCTGGGGCAGTGCAACAATAGCTGCTTCTTGGTGAGGGGGTGTGAGGGGTAGTGCAACTGTGTTTCCCTTTTTAGCATCCTGCTATGGGAATGGCTGTTGGATAAAAGATGCCAGTGTCCTCTGTGGAGCAGGACACTGGGGGCCTCAGTGGCTCTGTGTCACATGACTGACACAGATAGCCTACAAATTTCTTTATTCGTAGCTATCTCCTGGTGTCTCATATATGCCAGTCTCACCGGTGATTCTTCTACATGGATATTCTTTCTTTTCTCCATTGTGTTGTTCCAAATTCTTTAACAGGCTCTTGAGCCCCATCCCCCAACTCCCCACCCTTGTGAGGGCTATTTTGGTTTGTGTATAACTGTCTATGTTTGTTTTTTTGTTGGGGCATAAGGCTGACATCTCCTACTCCACCATCTTGCTAATGTCACCTGCATAGGAATCTTTTTATGCTTTCCTTATATTCACTAAAATTTAACAATATCAAACTTAAAAACATATGATCAATTGAACTTATTAATATCAAACTTATTATAAATAAGAAACTACCAGGCTGGGCATGGTGGCTCATGCCTGTAATCCCAACATTTTGGGAGGCTGAGGTGAAAGGATCACTTGAGCCCAGGAATTCAAGACCAGCCTGGGAAATATAGAGAGACCCTATCTCTAGAGATTTTTTTTTTTAATTAGCCAGTAGTGATGGCACACATCTATAGTCCCAGCTACTCAGGAGGCTGAGGTGGGAGAATTGCTTGAGCCCAGGAGGTCAAGGCTGGAGCAAGCAGTAATCATGCCACTGCACTCCAGCCTGGGCCGCAGAGTGAGACCCTGTCTCAAAAAAAGAACCTACTAGTCTACATACCACACTTCCTCATCCCCATCTGAGACTATATATATTTTTTCTAACATGAGGCAATGCCAAAAAGAGGGGCTGGTGAGTGAAAGTAAGAACAGAAAGACATGGAGGCAAGTCTTATAGAATAATAGCCAACACTTAAACTTACACTTAACAGCGTGATAGGTATTGTTCCAAACACATTAAATTCATTTAATGGTCCTTACATGTCTATGTATTTGGTGATTATTATCCTTATTATTCACATTGCTGAGTGTATTATTCTGTTCTCATGATGCTGATAGAGACATACCCGAGACTGGATAACTTATTAAAAAAAAAAAGGTTTAATGGACTCACAGTTCCACGTGGATGGGGAGTCCTCACAATCATGGTAGAAAGCAAAAGACACGTCTTACATGGCAGCAGGGAAGAGAGAGAAATGAGAACCAAACAAAAGGGGTTTCCCCTTATAAAACCATCAGCTCTCATGCGACTTATTCACTACCATGAGAACAGTATGGGGGAAACCACCCCCATGATTCAATGATCTACCAGGTGCCTCCCACAACCTGTGGGAATTATGGGAGCTACAATTCCAGATGAGATTTGGGTGGGGACACAGCCAAACCACATCACTGAGGAAACTGAGTTATAGGGAGATTAGTAACGCCCAACACAGCTGGTAGGTGGTGGAGCCAGGCAGTCTGACTCTAGGGTCTGGACTCTGAACTGCATCATGCTGCCAAGAAGTTCCTCATTTTTTCCTCTCTCTAAGTTTCCCTTATTCCCCTACAGTCATTCCTTCAACAGCATTTCCTTCACCATCTTTTCTACTTCTACTATATAATTAATTTTTTCTTCTTGGTCCCAAATTCCAACGTGCAAATGCAGCCTTATATACCCTAATTCATCTTTACCTTTAGACTTTCTTCCAATGTTTCTACTTCATTCCATTTTAAATTTATCCATGAGATGCCTATTTACAAGCTGTAACCATCATGAAGTGAATGAAGAATAATACCTACTACTGTACAATAGAATTCCAAGAGTATAAATAGGAGTTATGGCTTTCTGACTTGAAACTAAATACTTGATACTTGATTTTGCTGTCTGAGATCAATCTGAAAAGTAATAATAATCACTAACATTTGTTGAGCATCAATTGTGGGCCAAGTGTCATTTCAATCACTCTGTACATATTAACTCATTTCATCCTACAACAACCCGGTGAGGCAAGTTCTGTTATTCTGTTTTACAGTTGAGGAAACAGAGGCATAGAGAGCTTAAGTAGTTTGCCCAGTAGATAGCCAGAAGAGGAGCCAGGATGGGTCTCGGGCAGTTTAACAGCACAGCTGAAGTCTTAACCACTATGCCAACAGCTTTTTGGTCCTACACATCCCATGGGAAGAGGAAAATAAAAAGGTATCTATTTGTATACCTTTTTATTTCTGATATAAGAAGCAGAATTCCTTTCACATGACCTATGTCTATTTAATACGTCATTTTGAAACTTACCAATAAAATTTCCCAAGCGCCAGAAAACTGTTAGTGGCTTTTTCCATTTCTCTCTATTTTTTTTTGTGCTACTAATTTTGCTTCTTTCCCTCAGAAGGCTGCCGGAATAGTAAACATTCACTGACATGTCATAATTACTGGAAAATGGGCACTGGAAAATCACATTGTAATTAATTCAAAGCATGTTTTCCAAATGTACTACTTTAAATTGGAGCTTATATCATAATCCAAGGAAACCTTTGTGTGTGTACTGTTCCCACATTGCTCAGCCTGGGATATCCAGGAGTAATTCACCTTGCGCCTGCCTCCAGACCATCTTCCATGGAAGGGGGTGACCCCTTGCCTCTTGGCAACCACTATTTCTAAGCTGCCAACATTACTCTTGCATTATCAACATTCTAACTTCATGGGAAGGGCTGTGGTGAGTTTCTGGAATGTGAATAGGAAGTTGTTTTTCTAAACAGCCTGACACTGAGGGGAGGCAGTGAGACTGTAAGCAGTCTGGGTTGGGCAGAAGGCAGAAAACCAGCAGAGTCACAGAGGAGATGGTGAGTTTATTTTTTTCTGCATGGGAAGTGGTTGAAGTGAGTTGGAGTGGTATGGAGTAAAGTCAGGCAGGTAAAGGTTCAGAAAGTGAGGAACAGCGATAGCCATGGAGTTTTATGTTGAATTGCCTATTAGATTTTGTGAGTACTTTTAAACTTGCTGTCCACTTTGACCCTCCCAACACCCTTGTGAGTTGAGGTTGCTATTTCTATTTTACAAATAAAGCCATCGTGGTTTACAGAGGCTGTGTTTTATCTAAGCTTCACTGTTAGGCTACATGATGTTGGGATCTGGGGCCTGTCCTCTGGCTCCGCAGCTGCTGTTCCTCCTACTAGAATTTATAGGGGCTCTCTGAGAATAGATCATGGTAAACCTGTCACCCCATTTTCCAAGACTGTACTTCTCTCTGGGATAAATGATGGAATAAATGGAAGACTGGGTAGGTGCCCTGGGACAAGCTTACAATTGAATAGTTTCTCATCCCCATCCCTCCCATTTCTTTCTGTGAGCCTATGAATCTTCTGGGACTGATCTGGAATATCCACATAGTTTCCTTTTCTGCCCTAAGACTCAATCTTGTTAATGACTCAGTTTCTTCTTCTATAAAATGGATATAGTAATAATACTCTATAGTTTCATCATGAGGATTAAATAAGATTTTGCTGAAAAGCATCCAGATCTGAGCCTGACACATAGTAAGTGATTAGTAAATGTTAGCCATTATTGTTACAATAAAAAGAAAATTCTTAGGAATAGTGGGGTTTAGGATTCAGGGAAGATCCAAGGATAGCTAGGCATTTTGAACTCAGCAATGTTATATGCTCATGGATAAGATGCACGTGGTTAGGCTACTTCTAATTCAGGGAAGATCCAAGGATAGCTAGGCATTTTGAACTCAGCAATGTTATATGCACCTAGATAAAATGCACATGGTTAAGCTACTTCCAATTTTCCTCAGACTTTCCAAGAGTATCCCACATAGTCCCAGGGTCCGAAATCCTGCAGTCTGTGGCTATGGAGGAACCAGGCAGGTCTCTGTTTTTGAGCACCTTTCTGTGGGACTCCAGAAAAAAGTACCGCATACACCTGATTCATCCTACTGCTTTGCTTTACTATAGCACACTTTTCAAGTACTTATAATGTGGGTTTCTGTGTTGGGGAAAACAGGAATAAGAGTATGATAAAGAGAAGAGGAAGGAGTTTGAGCCTGTCTTAAGTTTGAACCACAATGACCTAAGGATATGAATTACTTTTGTCCTGTCTTTTTGCATGTCATACTTCTGAATTGGTTAACTTAAATGAGCAGTTATTCCTCTCTTCCTTCTACTCTCCTTGGCATCCTCCTCTATTTCAAAGGTATGAACTTATTGGATCAGAGAGTTCTTTGAGATTTTGATGAAAGTTACAACTTGTCTTTCCCAGATGAAAGCAAAAACATCGACATAAACACCAACCTTTAGAGACAACCACAGGAGGTTCCCAGACCTCCATGTGGATCCCAGGGTAAGAACCCTTCTCGATTGCCTCCTGGGCTTTATGTTCAGAAGCCCCTCTCTTGGTACCCTGAAATTAGGCTTGAGCTCTACAGCGAAGTGCTAAGGCCCCAGCCCTGGAATGGTTTTTAATATTTCAAAGACAAGACCTCTTCCTTTTCCTCTGAGCACATTTGGCCCCAAAGATTCAGAAACCTCAAACTGCCTGTGTAAATTTTGCTTCAAGTTCAGAGAGTGGCTTTAATTAACTTTTAGGACCTGAGAAAATGAGGATAAGGTTTTTCTGGTGGGGTATTTTCAATCAGATAGATCTCAGAGGAGTAGCTCTTGATTGGGAACTTATAGTTAAATTGCACTGATGTTTGTCAAAGTTTTAGCGGGCTATGGCCGGGCTCAGTGGCTCATGCCTGTAATCCCAGCACTTTGGGAGGCCGAGGCGCATAGATCACTTGAAGTCGAGAGTTCAAGAGCAGCCTGGCCAACATGGTGAAACACCATATTTACTAAACTTACAAAAACTGGCTGGGCATGTTGGCATGTGCCTGTAATCCCAGCTACTCAGGAGGCTGAGGCAGGACAAACTCTTGAACCCAGGAGGTGGAGGTGGCAGTGAGTTGAGATCACACCACTGAACTCCAGCCTGGGTGACAGAGCAAGACTTGTCTCAAAAACAAAACAAAAAAAAAGTTTTAGTGGGCTAAGGAGCAGGTCTGGATTTTCGTCCATTTATACCTTTTAACCACCTTATGTGGCTTCCAGTCCTTACTCTTCTTTTCATTACCTGTTTTTCAAAATGCAACTAAAATAGTTCAGACTCTCCTGGGCTAGCCACCAGCTCTTAGAATGTGCATCTTCAGAGATCTTTAAGTAGAAGCTTATTGATCAAATCCTCAAAAATCAAAATGACTTACTACATAAAAAACTGTGTTTAGAAAAAACCCTGGACCTAAACCTAGAGAGTAGGCACACAGTGGTTTTATAAATGACATTCATTATATTGTCTTCAAGGTGTCTAATCTTTTTGATTAAAAAGTAAATCAGAAACTTCATGAAGTCAAATACAGAGCAAATCCTCACTATTTGTAGAGATATAACTCATCTCTGATCCAATAGACTTTTTAAAAAATTTTAAGTGTCGTACTTTATTTTTAATGCTAATATTTTACTCAAAATAATGGCAATTGGTAGTCTAAATTAAATATATGCTTGGATTCTAAGTGTTGATGTCCTGGGTCCCTTCTTGTCTATATTCATAATTTGCTCTTTGGCTTAGAGACAACCTCTTTTCTCACTGTATTTCTTTTTCCACCCCTAAGCTGGGCTACCAATATCTGTGCCACACCACTAACACCACCACCGTCCAGAAACATAAGGGAACTAATGTATTAGCTGTAATAGCTTGTAACATCTGGGCTTTGCTACCAACAAGTTGTATAGTTCTGCATCCTCAACAACTCTCATATTCACCTCCCCTATTTGCATTCCCACTGATGCCAGACCAAACCTGTCCCTCTTTAACTCTCACTGGGACCATTGCAATAGCCTCTTCTTTTGCAGTGCAATCTCCCTGATTGTAACTCATTTAAAAAAAAAAAAGTATCGCACTACTCTCACCCCTATAATATCAGCATTTTTGGAGGCCAAAGAAAAAGTATTGCTTGAGCCCAGGGGCTCCAGGCCAGCCTGGGCAATATAGTGAGAACTTATCTCTACAAAAAATTAGCCGGGTGTGGTGATGCATGCCTGTAGTCCCAGTTACTCAGGAGGCTGAGATGGGAAGATCACTTGAGGCCAGGAGGTGGAGGTTTCAGTGAACCCAGATCATGCCACTGCACTTCAGCCTGGGCAACAGAGCAAGACCCTGTCCCCCAGCCCCACAAAAAAAATCATACCACCATTAAGTGCATGTGTTCATGATACTTCTCTGTTCAGAAGTATCCCTTCTGCCAACTGGTATTTGTGACCCACAAGATATGGTCTCAAACTACCTTTTCAGTTAACCTCTAGGATCTCCCAATCTTCAGCAGGCTGGAGTGCAGTAGTGCCATCTCAGCTCACTGCAACCTCTGTCTCCTGGGTTCAAGCGATTCTCCTGTCTCAGCCTTCTGAGTAGCTGGGATTACAGGCATGCGCCACCATGCCCAGCTAATTTTTGTATTTTTTAGTGGAGTTGGTTTCGCCATGTTGGCAAGGCTGGTCTTGAACTTCTGACCTCAAGGGATCTGCCTGCCTTGGCCTCATAAAGTGTTGGGATTACAGATGTGAGCCACCGTGCCCAGCTTCCGTTGGCTTATCATTGCACTTAGAATAAAATCTCATCCCCTTGTTTTGGATCCCAAAGCCCGATGTGATCTGTCACTACCCCCGGCTCGTATTTTTCTCTCCATTGCTCATTCCATTCTGGCCACACTAATGTCTTCATGTTCTTTGAACACACTGCAGTTTGCTTCCACCTTAAGGCCTTTGAAATAGCTTTTTCTTCTTCCTTTAATGCTCTTCTTCCTGCTTCTCACTGGCTGGTTTCTTGCAGTCATTCTTCTCTCCACTTAAACATTATCTCATTAAAGAGGTCTTCCCTGACGTTCCTGACCAACATAGTGACACAGTCATTCTATCACATAAGTTTCATTTCCTACCTAGCACTTATGGCTATATTCTGTTAATATTTTTCATGTTTACTTGTTTAGTACTGTTGTGTAGTTATTAGTATTTGTTTCATTGTCTTCTCTACCAATAGAATGTGCATTCTATGAGGACTGGAATTATGTCTGTTTTCACCATTTTATTTGTTCACTTAGCTATTATCACTACTGTAAAAGTAATGCATTCAGTTATAATTATTATGTATTTTTCCAACATTTTCTTATTTAGCATATTTTTGTCTTACTTTCAGTTATTCCTCTGCCATTATTCATTCATATATTTATCCATAAAATGTTTATTGAGTATTGAGTATGTGCCCTACCATGGCTGGGGATTCAGACCTGAGTAAGTAATAGTCCTTGCCCTTGAGAAGCCTCTGTCAGTAGCTTCCTCAGCTGTATGCTCACATGTTTGTTGCGCATTTAAATTGTGGACCTCCTGCTCAAGAGAATATTCAGAAACGGAGATGCTGATTAGAGGACATTGGAAACAGATGACCATAAGGAGGTCATCTTTACTTCCCAGGAAAGCAGAAGAATGAGAAGAGAATAGGGCCATGGAGGTGGGAACCTAGAGAAACACTTACCTCTGCAAGGGAAGGCAGAGGATTGAGGTAGATTCAGAAGAAGACTCAGAAAAGTTTCTCAAACATTAGAGCAGAAGAACAACAGAAGAGCTAAGGGAAGCATTTTAGGCAAAAGGAAGTAGTGGTATTTACTGCTACAGAAAGGTCAAGGAAGATAAGGGTGGAAAGTCTTCATTTGGTTTGGTAATGAGGATGTCAGCAATGAAGTTTGCAGGGACACTTTGATAGGATGGTCGGGCAGTGGGCTGGAGAGTAAGGGGGAGGCAAGGAAGTTAAGAAAGTTTAGCTATAAGAGGAAGGAGAGAAACAGGCAGATGTGGGCAGGAGGACAAAGGGTCAAGGGAGGGACATTGTTTGATTCCGCCTTTCTAAAAGCACAAAGCTGTGGTCTACAATGTAGACAAAAAGAACAAGATCTCCTTTCTGTGGCACTATTCTTGCCAACTTTGTAAGCCACCTGGAACGTGGCAAGCCATGGGACACCTACTAGCCTCTGGTACCTCCTTGTGTGAAAAGTTAGGTCAAGGCATTTGCTTCTTCCACTTTCTCTCTGCTTTTCTCTTCACCCTGCAATCATTATTAGTTTTTTTGCTTGTTTGTTTGTTTTGTTTTTTGAGAAAGAGTCTCACTCTGTTGCCAAGGCTGGAGTGTCTCGGCTCACTGCCACCTCTGCCTTCTGGGTTCAAGCGATTCTCCTGCCTCAGCCTCCCAAGTAGCTGGGACTACAGACATGTGCCACTATGCCTGGCTAATTTTTGCATTTTTAGTAGAGACGAGGTTTTACCATGTTGCCAGGCTGTTCTCGAACTCCTGACCTCAAGTGATCTGCCCACCTTGGCCTCCCAAAGTGCTGGGATTAGAGGCATGAGCCACTGCACCAGCCCAGTTCTTTATTAAAGTAAAATTAAAGATAATCATGGTACTTAATGAAGGCTTACACAGGCACAGGATGTTATTCTAATGACCCAGTCTCTGACTCCTTTCCAGCAACTTCCAGTTGAACCAGCCTTCCAGAGAACATTAAAGACTAGCAGAGCATGTGGATGCTTCTAGAGAGGAATTTCCTCTTGTTTTAGTATTTAACTTGCTTAGTAACACAGGACAGAGCAGCATCCTGCAGACTATAATGCAGAGTAGGAGCAGGTATGAGAAGGCCTGCCCACCCCAAGCAGGTTTCAGAGGAAAACTGTTACTCAAAGAAGATTTTTAAACATCATCCATTCTCCATACCTCCACACAAAATCCCTATCAGTTGCCTTACAGTTAACACAGAATCTTGAACTTGGGCCACATTAAACATGGACAGACTTAGTAGGTCATGAACCATCTGAGATTCTCTAAACTACTGCAAGCATGCATTTGTTTTGAAGAAATCTGACCACGGCTTTTATCAGATTTTCAAAATTCATAAGCCCTGGAAGAATAAGAATAACTGTGTTAACCCTATGCACATTCATGTGAGCAAGCTTGGGCAAATCATTTACGCTCACTGAGTCTCAGTGGTGGGGAGTGGTGGCTGCCCCATCTTAGGCATTCGAAGTCTGAAAGACTTCCTGCAGAACAGCAGATAAATGCTAAGTTGGCTTGGAAGTGACCTTTATGTTCTCCTATAGCTCTGAAATAACCTGTAAGAGGTGAATCTTGGTATTTGGTGATGCATAGAAACAGAAAAGTATGTCAGATTAAAGCAGGGGATGCACACTGACTTGCATTTTCCTTTCTTAGATGTTGTGCCTTCATCAAAAGCACTGTACCAGTCCTCTAAAACCTTCAAATGTTTAAAACAAGTTGTCTCGCTCTCTCTCACTTTGTTTTATCTTGTGTGGTAGAGAATTTGCTGATGAAATTTTGCTTAAAAAAAGTTCAAACAAACAAACAAACAGGTTAAAATGGGAAACATCTCTTTTTGGAAATTTTGTTTAAACCAAATCTTATTTAAAAGTTTAAACAAACAAGTCAAAGCAGGAAACAGTGGGTAGGGTTGGCCACTGTGATGGGAGACTGGGAGCCTCACCGACTCCTTCGCCCTACACACTCTTGTGAGCTGGCCCCAAAGCCAGGGAAATCCCTAGAAATACTCTGTTCAGGGAGAAAACCACTTCCACAGGAAGAGTACCACTAAATTTAAAATCGTTGCACTCCTTCTGCAATCTGTCTGAATAGAGCAAAGCCCAGGTTCAAAGGCAAGCACTCAGGTCCCCTTCATGAAGGCTGCAGAGTTGTGCTCTTCAGCAGCAATATTTTTGCTCCTATACCTCCAAAAATATCCTGGAACACTATGTTACCTCTTACACCTTTCTAAGTGGAAAGCTACAATTTTTTATCCCAAATTTTAAAAGCAAAAGAAGATTGGATTTTCCAGTGTATTACAAAAATTAGACTGTAAAAATAAAATTGTTACATAATTTCTTAAAGTTTATCCAATGGAATAAAGTACTAGCATGATCTGCAATCCTCATCACTTAAAAGACCACAAGCAGGCTCTTAAGAAATTTTATATTATTCATTTTTCTCTCCTTGAATAGTTATTTCTATCCCACTTCTACAGTATTTAGCCTAAGATTACACATTTTAAGCTTAAAGTATTTTCTTGATTATTATACTTCTTTGCAAAATAAAAATATAAAATTTCAATTTTCTACAACTGTAAGTCTCTATGTGTTAAAATGTTTTTCTTTTCTATTGAGTTAGCATGACAACTACTTTCAGTACACAATTAAATAAAGTAAATATACTGCAAGTTTTGACAAGTAACTTAAACCTTTATATTTAAATTGCTATTAAAGATTCATCTCTAAGACAGGAGGAGCTTTCCCTCATTTGTTCATATATCCATGAATGAATATTACTTATCAACAAAATTAGACAAGTTTGGCATCAATATTATTCCCATATTTCATTTTCAAGGATTTAAACATTGAGAAACTTCATTCATATGAATAAGTAAATGGAATTAGAAGTTTTATTATAGCAATGTCTCAATTCCTTGAAGTCCTTCCAAGTTATATGCCCCAAATTATATAGTGATTTACTATCAAAATTTAGTCAGACTTGACAACTTAATCGGGTGCTCCCTCAAAGCTGATGAAAGGAAATAAATGGAAATCACTAGACTTGAAAACGGATTTGCTGCAATATCATTTACAATATTCAAATTCTTAATACCTATACCAATATTTCGAATCATCTCTGGCATACGAATGTATTTATATCCAAAGGCAAAGCTCTGGAATAAATAAGAAATTAGTAAAAGGTATAATTTTTCTCTTATAAAGTGGGAGAAAGGTGTATTTTAGGCAGATTGTTTTTAAGAAAGTATATATGTGAAAGTTGAGAATCTGAATACAGATTTAATTAACACTCTCTTTGCTTGTGAACCCCTTGGGAAGTCAGCCTTATCCTGGTTTGAAGAATTCCACTTCAGCATTTGGAATGGTGCATTTTGAAATGTGATAGGAAGAACAGCTTGTGACACAACACAATTCAGAGAAAGCAGTGGGGTTAGGTTCGCACCAAAGGGTTATCGATCACTCTGCATTTTGTGCAAATAAACAGCTGTAAATCATAACGTTATGATACTCTCAGTGTTTAATCATAGGTCCTGCAGAGATCAGCAGCTTATAAGAACACAAAATATGCCTACTTACCAAAGTCAAGATTCAGAAGCTCCCAGATGAAAAGTTCTAGGCTTATGAGATAACTCTACTCTCTGGGACACATTAACTGGTTTGAGTTGAGTTCTCCCTGGTATCTGGTCAGGCTGTAGTCAAAAGTGCATGAACACATGCACACACATGACCCCACACTGTCCCATGCACCCTACTGGGCGTGACACATACACAACCCCACACTGTCCCATGCACCCTACATAATCCATCACTGGGCGTGACACACACACACACACACACACACACACACACACAACCTCACACTGTCCCATGCACCCTACATCATCCATCACTGGGTGTGACACACACATACACACAATCCCACACTGTCCCATGCACCCTACATCATCCATCACCAGGACATGATACATGAACACACACACAACACCACACAGTCCCATGCACCCTACATCATCCATCACTGGGGTGTGACACAAACACACACACACACAACTCCACACCATCCCATGCACCCTACATCATCCATCACTGGGGCATGACACACGAACACACACACAACCCCACACAGTCCCATGCACCCTACATCTCATCACTGGGGTGTGACACACACACACACACACACACACACAACTCCACACCATCCCATGCACCCTACATCATCCGTCACTGTGGCATGACACACACATACACACAGAACCCCACACTGTCCCATCCACCCTACATTATCCATCACTGTGGCATGACACACACACACACACACACACACACACACAGAACCCCACACTGTCCCATGCACCCTACATCATCCATCACTGGGGCATGACACACGCATACATACACAACTCCACACAGTCCCATGCAGCCTACATCATCCATCACTGTGGCATGACACATACACACACACACACACACACACACACACACACAACCCCACACCGTCCCATGCACCCTACATCATCCATCACTGGGGCATGACACACGAACATACACACAACCGCACACCGTCCCATGCACGCTACATCATCCATCACTGGGGCATGACACACGAACACACACATAACCTCGCAGCAAATTGTCACAGACCAAATTGTGGTCTGAGGCAATTTGAGATTTCTTTACAGGAAAGGTTTTAGGTAGCAGTCTGGCTGGGATAGTGACAAAACTGCAAATGCATAGCAAATGCACTGTTTTTATGTTGATAGTAATGTTGAGTGGCTTTAGAGGGGAACTGATGTAGCAGCTAGGCTTGGTCATGTCGCATGCTTTATCATCCAAAACAGCAATGCAGCATGGGATTTAGAAGCCTGGAGGTTAATGAAGGTTAAAAAAAAAAAAAAAAAAAAGTACAGTGGAAAGAGCTCTTTCTTGTTTCAAAGTCAAGCTCTGCTACTGTCATTCTGAACGTGTTATTTAGATGCCCCAAGCTTCAGTATTTTCATGTGCAACATGAGGAAGTCGGACAAGATGAGCATCACTAGAACTTAGATGCCCAAAAACATTTTTTGTTGTTTTTTTGAGACGGAGTCTTGCACTGTCGCCCCGGATAGAGTGCAGTGGTGTGATCTCCGCTCACTGCAACCTCCGCCTCCCGGGTTCAAGCGATTCTCCTGCCTCGACCTCCCAAGGAGCTGGGATTACAAGCACCCGCCACCACACCTGTCTAATTTTTTTTTAATGTACTTTTAGTAGAGACAGGGTTTCACTATGTTGGCCAGGCTGGTCTTGAATTCCTGACCTCATGATCCGCCCACCTCAGCCTCCCAAAGTGCTGGGATTACAGGCATGAGCCACTGTGCCTGGCCCCAAAAACATTTTAAAAATATTCATAGATTTGATGAAATCCCAACAGAAGAGAGTTCATGAGAAATAATAGTTGCTATAGATCCAAGGGGAACAAGTTTACTGCATATATTAAGAAATATTAAATATATACATACATATGTATATTAAACATTGAATAGTATTGTAGATGTGTACAGAAATGAAAAAGCAAGAAGATAAAACAAAGATCCATAGTACAAAATAGATGGCATAGCATAACACAATTTGTTGATGCTCTGCACCTCAAAGTATAGGTTAGACATTATTTGTGTGGGTCAGGAAGTTCTCATGTGACTTTCTGTTATTCTTGGGTATGACATACCACTTCTTAAAAAGATTGTTTTATAATAATAATGACAGCCATATTAATGTGTTTAGCTTTCTTCCATACACATTAAAAATGTATCTTAAAATAAAAACATTGGTGGCACAAACTACTCAATAAACATTTGTTGAATGAATGAAGAAATGAACTCTGTCCCCAGCCTTGCTACAGTGTCCATCCAGGGTAGAACTTAGAAGCAGGGCAATGAGAAGCAAGAAGGAAGCAGAGGGCTTGAACCACTCTTCCAGTGGAAATTGGCACAATTATACTTCAACATAATGATTGTTAACTAGAATTATTTTTGGCCATGTTGGTGGTGTATGGATACTAAAAGAAAGTTTTCTCTTCTTGTTTCAGGCCAACTGCCAAATAGCCATCTTGTACCAGAGATTCCAGAGAGTGGTCTTTGGAATTTCCCAACTCCTTTGCTTCAGTGCCCTGATCTCTGGTAAACTTTATGCTAACTTTTCACTTAGGCCTAAGTAATTAGGGTAGAGCCCAGATCTATGTGTGAGAAATTTAAGGATTGTAGCCAGTTGGTTTGAGGCATGGGAAAACTGTCCAAGTCCAGATTGCTGGAAGACAAATGTACCCAACGCCATCATATTGGTAGAAAGGGCATAGGAAAGAACTTAAAATGATATATCCAGGACGAATGTATCCATTAGGCACAGTAGACACAGACGCACAAAATTTTCAAAGACCCACACACGTCTGAATTTCTTTTATAATTATTTTCTTTGAAGTCAAAGAAAATGTTTTAATATATAGTGATATATTCATCTTTGTACCAGTGCAGTTGCAAAATAGAATTTTTAATATGTTAGCATGGAGGAAGAAGCCTACATAGGCAAAGTTGCCTGAAGTCTATGAAAGTCATAATGCAGCCCTGGCTATATCAGAATGAAGTCTTTAAGGCAAAACAATGCCCTGGAAATGTCAGCAAGGGAGGTACAAGCATGACTAACCCTCATGCAGGCAGCAGAGGAGAGGGTTGGATAGAAACAAGCCTTTAAATAAACAGGAAAGAAACCCATTTCCAGGCCTGATTGCTTGCTTTGTACACCTCTTCATGTGGGAAATGGCCTCTCCTGCCCCGGGTGGACTCCCACAGACTATGATAAGAGTGCTGTAGTACCTTTATACTTTTGAAACGCACATTCTTTAGTTCATTTGGTATCAAAAACACTTGTGAAAAAGGGCTGTTCTGAGCCCTATCTTAATAAGGGAGTATTCAGACATGGAAGAAGTAGAGTAGTTAATGAAAGACAAACAGCCAAGAAGAATGGAAAGACTATAAGATTGCAGATCAGGATATCTGATTTCCCACCCGGGTTCTGCCACAAACCTACTGTGTTTCACTCATTCAACAAGTATTTATTGAAGGCCTATTAAGTGCTAAACTCTAGGCTCAGTGCTAAGGATCCAAAGCTAAAAAGAAAACACCGTCGGAGATTTACAACCTGGCAGATGTAGACTGTATCATAGAAACAGACATTACCGTACATGGCAATGAGCACAATGGAGGCAGGGATGAGGTGCTGTGGGAGCCTGGAGGAAGGAACACAGAGTCCACCTGGGAAAGCCATGGAGAATAGGTGGAGTAAAGTTTATCAGACATAAGAAGAGAGGACAGCCAGGATTGTGGGGAGAGCATGTGCAAATTCAAGGAAGTAGGAATTCTGTTTTGCTGAGAAAGTACATACAGTGGGCAATGAGGCTGGACCAACTGGTAGGCTCCAGGTCATAAAGCATGTTATTTTCCATGTGAAGAGGTAGAGCTTGCCCTTAAGACATTTTATATGTCATTTAATCTGAGCTTGGGCAAATTACTTATGTCTCCTTCTTTTATAAAAGGACAGGAGTAAATTAGATGACTTCCAGGGTCCCTCCTAACTTTGATATCTTATGATTCCAAACCTTTAACATCAAGGATCCTCAGAAGATGACATTTTCCTATTCTGACATCATTCACACTTTTAAGTGAAAGGTGGAAACCACTCTTTTTCCTTCAAACAACTACATTAGACATAAACTAGTCGTTGTTTTGTGTATTAATGTTCTGGTCGGAAATTCATCTGAGTATGCAGAAGCATACTTGGGATCACGGCCTCTTTTTTGGTGAGGGGTACTAACCTGGCACTCACTCTCCTTTACTCTAGAACTAACAAACCAGAAAGAAGTGGCAGCATGGACTTATCATTACAGCACAAAAGCATACTCATGGAATATTTCCCGTAAATACTGCCAGAATCGCTACACAGACTTAGTGGCCATCCAGAATAAAAATGAAATTGATTACCTCAATAAGGTCCTACCCTACTACAGCTCCTACTACTGGATTGGGATCCGAAAGAACAATAAGACATGGACATGGGTGGGAACCAAAAAGGCTCTCACCAACGAGGCTGAGAACTGGGCTGATAATGAACCTAACAACAAAAGGAACAACGAGGACTGCGTGGAGATATACATCAAGAGTCCGTCAGCCCCTGGCAAGTGGAATGATGAGCACTGCTTGAAGAAAAAGCACGCATTGTGTTACACAGGTAGGGCCTTCTCTACTTTGAAACTTTCCTGTTAAAAAAAAAAAACCCTGCCTTCTCTGGTTGGCCAACATAACCACCGAGTCAACACAAAGATACAAAGGCAGGACATGAAATCAAGGGGTAAATTGTTAGTCAATCAGTATTATTGAGCACCTTGAAGAATATAAGATCAGAATTAGAGAAAACTAGCTGCTTAAAACTAGAGGGAAATTTTAATATCATCCAGCTCACCTGTCTCATCTTATAACTGATGAAAAGGACACTCACGAGGTTTTAGTTTCTCAAGGCCGTGGAGCAGGACAGAAGCAAAGTGAGGACCAGAAACCAGTCTCCCAAATTTTAGGTGTAGAGCTTTTTTTTCACCCCTGTGTCTTGTATAACAGAGAGTGTAAATTGGAAGGAAATTTAGCCCTGCCCCTAGGTGACACAGCTGTAACTAATAGCTACTGAATGTCAGTATGCTCTAGGCATTGTGTTATTAGTTTATTTAGTTCATGTGTCATTTGCTCATTTAATATTAGTCAAATTTAGTCCTCATGACAACTCCATCAGTCAGGTTTTTCTATTACTCTTACTTTGCTGATGAGGGAAAGGCTCAGAGCTATTAAGTAATCTGCCCAGGGTTCTAAGCTAGTTGATGGTGGAGCCAGTTTCACACTCATGTTGATTCCAAAGTTGGTGTTTTTTAGCCATGTAAACTACCACATTCTTTGCTCTACATTTTTATGAGACAATTTGAGAATATAACCAAGGATTGTAAATGCTTTATAGTTTCTCTTCAACAACAACATATCTTTAGATCCATTGAACTTTGGTGGGAGGGTAGTGGTGGGGAGTGGGCAGGAAAGGAAAGAAGTAATTGAAGGTGAAATACTTCGAGTGTATTTTAATTCTCAACTTTACCAGTGCCAGAGTAAGCAGACATTCCTGAAAGCTTGGTCTTCCTCTAGTCACGAGCCTAGTGTCAGAGCTGATTCCTTCTTTCTGATGTTGCTTCCCTGTCCAGAGGGGCCGGTTCTGTCCTTTGTAGCACACGAACACTGTGCCTAAGGATGGTATGGACTGCCCCGAGCAGGAAGTTTCTAAGTACTCTGAAGCTTCTTTGATAAATCATCTGCCATACATATTCTGAATTCTTTAGATTTTAAACACCTCTCCCTCAGAAGCCCTCAACAGTACAGGTATGGAACAGAATACACAGAATAAAGCAAGCCTTCTACATTGTCCCTCTTCTCCCCAAGCCTCCTAGCTGAGGCAAAACATATCCATGAATGCATTATCATATAATCAGATCTACTTTATAAATAATGCATTTATATATAAATAAATTGATTAATTGAGCATATATTCATGGATCAGGATGGACATTACCAGGATATTAGCTCATCCTACTGCTCTCCCAGTCAGCTCTCTACCCCTTTCTGGGCTATGCCTCCCTAGAATTATCTCTTATCAGATAACCTTGACTGCCACTAGCTGTTTCAATATGCCACTACTTCCCCTTCACACCCAACCTTCAAAATCCATTTCTGCAAGACAGTCTTCCTCAATAAAGCTTGCCAAAAAAATTGCAAGATAGAAAAAAGATAAAAAATTACTGGCATAAATGATGACACTCCTCTAACCCACAACAGTGGTAGAGACATCACTAATTAATACAACTTTACCTGAACACAGATGGGTTTTATCTCCACCAACACAGTACTCTAAGCAGCCACTACCATTGATTGTCGTTTTGCCATCTAAGATGTAAAGGATGTAGAGAAGCATCAATTATCCATGGGAGATGAGAAATAGATATATTTACTGTAATATGAAATTAAGTTTGATTGTTGGAATAATTCTCCACATGTCAGGAATTATTAGACCTCAGAGCAGGCTATCGAAAAAAGATTTATTCATTGAATCATCATGAATAAATCATCTTCTCCCTGGAGATCCAAAGGAATAGACAAATTGCTAACCTATCTATTCAGGAAACCCTGAAATGGGATAGAATACAGAACATTGTCTCTTTTTTTCCCCTAGAGTTCTGAGATCCCAAGGAAGCTATAATTGGGGAAACATTTGTATGCTCCAAGAACATAGGGCAGGCAGGGGTTGCTACTGTAAGGTATTAAGACATTGGTGGGGTTAAGGTCAGGGAGCGAAGTGAATAGGATGTGGACCAAACCTGTATCCATTTAGCTGCTATTGCCTCCTACATCTTCTCTTTATTTGAACCCTTCCCAGTGTCTCAGTGCAGCTTCACCAAATTCACTGGCTGCCACAGGAACTTCTTCCTATAGAACCTTGCATGGTTTATAGAATTTTAGTATCTCAGAATTGAGAGGAAACATAGAGATCATGTAGCACAGCATATCCACATATGACATATGGATATTCTTTTGTAATATACTTCCAAGTGAACCAGCATGTGGACAGGGCTTAAGACAGAGGAAGTAACCACCAGAAAACAGTTCAGCCATAGAACTTACCCCCAACTATGACCTCATTAATAAAAACATCTCAGTGCTTTGAAAGTATCAATTCTAATACTAATTCTCATCAAGTGCATATACCCTAAAATACTTTCTTGCAGGAAAGAAACCATGGCCCTTCTCTATTCTGTCACCTGAGTGGCACTATCTTGGTGAAGAGGACATGGCAGTTCAGCCATAGTCAGTACTCTCTTCGCCTGCTGTATTCAGACTCATGAAACATCACCTCATAAGATTGTTTGTCCTTTACCATGAGTACGTCTTAAACATCTCATTTGGCTCCTCTGTTTCTCCACTGTAGGATTCTGGACATAGATTTGAAGCAAATGAAAGGTGAAAGGGTTTGGGCTCTAACACTGTGCAAGCTGAGCTCAGAGAAGTAACTTGCCTAAGGTCACATAGCAAGTAGGCAGCAGAGCCAGGATTCATATCACACCTGTGTGACCCCACGCCCCACATCTGGTGCCTAACCTCAATGCAGTAATACGTGACATTGGGCTTCCATAATAAAACAATGCTTGGTTTGAAAACCACAGCCCATTTTGTACCACATAGGGTTTCTCTGTCCACACATCTGTCATTGGCTCCATTTGTCCCTCTGTGTCCACACACAACAATACCCTCCTTAGGAAATACTAAATGCAGTATGAAATGGGAGCCACGCAATACTCCAGCAGGCCCCTACAATGCTTTTCACAAGGGACAGGTTGGCTCTCTAGAAGATACTGTGCTTCCCTCTTGTCTGGCTAGCTCAGTCCTATCTGAGAGGGGATGAGTCTGTGGTCAAAACGAGAATTCAGCCTTTCCTCACATCTGTGAATGTCCATGACTCTGACCTTTCCATATCTATGCAGCCTCCTGCCAGGACATGTCCTGCAGCAAACAAGGAGAGTGCCTCGAGACCATCGGGAACTACACCTGCTCCTGTTACCCTGGATTCTATGGGCCAGAATGTGAATACGGTGAGGCTTCCTTTTTGTTGATATTATTTTGGTTTTATGCTAGAGATGATGCCAAGAAGTAAATAAATCATGTTGAAGTCTCTCCAGTGAGAATAGGATGGTACCAGCCCCCCTCTATCATCTGTCTCCTCCACTCAGTGTCCCTAGACACACACTCTAGGTAAAAACATTTTATTCTTGGGAGAAAACATTGACTCATAAATTTCAAAAAAGAAAAGGGAAAGGGAAAGGAAGCAAAACCAACAGAACTTTCAGGCTAATTTTACTTGTTTGAAGTAAAAACTTGTGAAAGAATGACTATTTCCCAAGATGCAGCCAATACAAAGAGACCAAGTAGAGATGGATAGCTTGGGTTAAAAGTTTAGAAAATTAGAGTTAAGAGGGTTACACAAATAGTTACAGCTTTCAGCAAACATGACATTGCTGTTAATTCTACATGGAAAATAAAAATCACTATTTTGTCTCCTGCAGTGAGAGAGTGTGGAGAACTTGAGCTCCCTCAACACGTGCTCATGAACTGCAGCCACCCTCTGGGAAACTTCTCTTTTAACTCGCAGTGCAGCTTCCACTGCACTGACGGGTACCAAGTAAATGGGCCCAGCAAGCTGGAATGCTTGGCTTCTGGAATCTGGACAAATAAGCCTCCACAGTGTTTAGGTATGTAGACCTTATTCTTTTCATCCTCACTGACATAGAATTTTGGGGGAGAAGAGGACACAATGAGCTTTCTCCATTAAAAAATGTGAGAAATAATGACCATCTAGGTTAGATGGAAAACTCTGGTTATCACTGTTAACTGTCAACCAGAGTAACATTAATTTCAATTTTCATGGTATTTTTTTATGGGTAGAGTGACTTAGTCAGTTTAATTGTTGATTCGCAGGCAAAAACATTACAAAGGGACCCCTCTTTCCCTTTGTTAATTGTAAAGTAAACAGAGTACAATGATGAGGACTTAGGGGTTAAGAATTATTAATTTGATAATTTTACCTAACTTCTCTACATGAAAAACAAGGGTGTTTGATCTTTCCAAGCAGCTATTGAAAACACCATTTAACCATTCTAGTGCATCAACCTGCCTGCCACTTTGGGAAGGTGTGACTGCTGCAGAATTTGAAGGCTTCCAAGGTGATGGACAAAATTTGTCCAAGGACTCACACTATTATTCTGTGGTTGGTTTTAGCTGCCCAGTGCCCACCCCTGAAGATTCCTGAACGAGGAAACATGACCTGCCTTCATTCTGCAAAAGCATTCCAGCATCAGTCTAGCTGCAGCTTCAGTTGTGAAGAGGGATTTGCATTAGTTGGACCGGAAGTGGTGCAATGCACAGCCTCGGGGGTATGGACAGCCCCAGCCCCAGTGTGTAAAGGTGAGTTTCAGGTAGTTGGGATGTATAATGTCCATTGCACCCAGTCCTTACTTAGTGCATAGATGAAATTGACCAGCTTATGGAGAAGCTGGCCTGAATTGCCAAAATTTAATTCTCTTCCTACCTGCCATTCAGCTAGATTGGGTTCATCTGAGATGAGAAAGGAAAAAAATTCCTTTCTTTCCCCAAACACAAATGCAGGCAGTTTCAGAATGGCCTCATTCATAATTTCCCCATAAGATTAGAAAGGGTGGCCTCTACATCTATAAGTGGACACTAGAAGACCTACTGAGACAGGTTTATAGAAGTATAGGGAATAGAGGACATTAAGAATACAGCTTGGAGGAATCTTTGTTTTTAACAGACTCAGATCACCCTGGGAACTGGTAATCCAAGTCTGGACAAACATCATTAGGGTCTCTTGACCTTTACATCTTGCTAGCTCCACCTGCATTTCAGAGGTGGTTCCACCATTGCTCTCTGTGTGGCTTTTCTCCTTTCTCAGTATCTTTCTCTTTATCCTTGGTTATTCTCTCCAGCTGTGCAGTGTCAGCACCTGGAAGCCCCCAGTGAAGGAACCATGGACTGTGTTCATCCGCTCACTGCTTTTGCCTATGGCTCCAGCTGTAAATTTGAGTGCCAGCCCGGCTACAGAGTGAGGGGCTTGGACATGCTCCGCTGCATTGACTCTGGACACTGGTCTGCACCCTTGCCAACCTGTGAGGGTAGGATTTTTCATTAGCAACCTCCATTCTGTCCAAGAAGGAATCATGGCATGGTAGAGAGGCCAAGGGCTCTCAGTGTCGGGGTGATCTCTTCTAAGTTCTTGCACTAGAGCAAGCTCTTCAACCTCCAGGAACCATGGTTTTCTCATCTGTGAAATGGAGCTAAGAATTGCAAGGTGCTTGTGAGGATTAAGTACATAAAAAGTATACAATTAAATAGCATGTATAAAGTACCTAGCATAGAGCTTCTGCTCTACTGACATATCCGAGGTATAGGACCATGTCCTATACTTGAGAGGGAGTTGGGAGCAGCGGCTAAGGTGGCTAAAGAGAGTGGTTCACCATGTAGTCTTTGAGGGTAGCCTTTGACAAAGAAGCAAAGGAAGGAACACTGCATCGAAAAAGTGTGTGATGCAATCCCAGGCAATTACATAATTCCGCCAAAATGAATTCTCTGCAATTGCCTCACACCCTCAGTTTATAAGGCGGACAGTGGTAATGGGAGAATAGGAAATTTACGATAGATTAGTGAATTCCCAGACCTGGATGACAAGCCCAACCCTGCTACTATCTAGCTATGAGACTTTAGAGAAGTCACTTAACACTTCTGAACCTCACTTTTCTTGCCTAAAACATAAGAGAGAAGAGAGAAACACTAGAGGATTTTGGTGTTTTTGTTTGTTTGTTTGTTTGTTTGTTTGTTTGTTTGTTTTGAGACAGAGTCTCACTCTGTCGCCCAGGCTGAAGTGCAGTGGCACGATCTCAGCTCACTGCAACCTCTGCCTCCCAGGTTCAAACGATTCTCCTGCCTCAGCCTCCCGAATAGCTAGGATTACAGGCAACTTTTTGTATTTTTAATAGAGACTAGGGTTTCACCACTTTGGCCAGGCTGGTCTCAAACTCCCGACCTCAAGTGATTCACTCACATCAGCCTCTCAAAGTGCTGGGATTATAGGTGTGAGCCATTGTGCTCAGCCGGATTTTTGGTTCTTAAATGCTCTGAGTCTGTAAAAACCAGAGGTCAAAGCCCAGAGCAAAGAGGTAGTCTTTACACTTTGAAAAGTTTCAGAAATAGCCTGGAAATGAAATGCTTTATCAAGGAAGAGCATGAGGAAACCAATCTTTATCAGAACTGAGGTCACTCAGGGCTTAATTGTGCTCAGGAATTCACTTTGGCTGCACTCACTTGGCAACTGAAGTCTGATTAGGATGACATCCTGTGTTCTAGAGACAAAGCCCGGTCAGGATCATTTTACAGGACTAGGTAACAGTGTCAACAATAAGCTATGCTAGTCCAGCTTTTTTTTTTTTCCCTATAAGTCCAGCATTTTCCTGTATATACTCTTTTCAGGTTCAATTTCACAGATAATGTCAATATTTAATGAGCACTTTCAATGTACAAAACACTCTGCTCAGCTCCAGAATAAAACTATGAATGACTGAGCCCAACTTCGAGGAGACCACGGTATAATGGGGAAGAATGACAATCATGTATGAACAGCGCAAGAACAGAGGCTGTGGGAGCACATTGCAGGGGCTTCTACCCTTAGTTAAGGTGGGAAGGGAGGGCTTCCTAAGGAAAGGGAAGTCTAAGCTGAGACCTGAAGGGCAGGTGAGAGTGAGTCAGGCCAAGAGGGGCATGGGAAGGTGTTCCAGGCAGTCTCTCTTTTGGAAAATGGAGGTTTTAGGGTTCTGAACACACTGAAAATGTGGACAGGAAAGATATAGCATCTAGGAATTTTTTCTGAGGAAGAACCCGGCCCTTCCATTACCTGGCTTTAGAAGATACCTTTTCCACTTAGCTATTTCGTGTGAGCCGCTGGAGAGTCCTGTCCACGGAAGCATGGATTGCTCTCCATCCTTGAGAGCGTTTCAGTATGACACCAACTGTAGCTTCCGCTGTGCTGAAGGTTTCATGCTGAGAGGAGCCGATATAGTTCGGTGTGATAACTTGGGACAGTGGACAGCACCAGCCCCAGTCTGTCAAGGTACTGTAACAGTGGTAATGTTTTTCTGTGTGTCTCAGCTCGTTAGAGGCATCAGCATCTGCACTGAGCATTGGCATGCCTTTCTTTATCAGATATTCACTGAGAACCTACTATGGGCCATGTCCTTTGTGCTTGGGACCAGGGATGAGATGAAACGGTGCGTGAAGCCAGTCTTAGGCACATGTCCACTATAGTATAGTCAAGGTGAGGTTTGCACTGATTGACACATATAGGGTGCATTGGAATGAAGAAGATGGGGCTTGGGGGAATAAATCATGCATGAGGAATAGCATGGGATGGGGAAGGGTAATGGACAAGGTGTTTAGCTCAGTCCTGTCACTTCCTGTCCTTAAGCTAGTGGTTTAGACTCTCTGAGGCTCAGTATCTTCTGTAAAATGGGGCTACTATTATCAGCCTTACCTACCTGCCTCACTAGTAGTTGTGAATTAATGTGTGTAAACGCAACTTTAAAACTCTTATAGGATTTATAGGGAAAATGATGATGATGACATGTTACCTTATAAATCACATGTCTGTGGTCTGATTTGACAAAATGATCCTCTTTCAATATGTTAGGTTTCTAATCTTTTGCTCTTATACTAAGGCACTCATGGGGGGCGGGTGTGGTGGTTCACAAGGATTATTATTTTTTTTACGAGGAGTACCTCACACTAAAGTCATGTTCCAGAAGTGTAATATTGACATTTTGTGTTTTCATTTACGGAGACCTCTGAGCAATCTATGTGACTCCTCTGGGTTCCTAAGTATACCTTGATTTTAAAATGAGGCAGTGGTTTGAAAGCAGGTCTTGAAGAGATATTTGTGCACCCATGTTCATAGCACTATTAATCACAACAGTTAAAATGTGGAAGCAACCCAAACACCCATCAATGGATGAAAGGATAAGTAAAAAGTATTCCACATACTTACAGTGGAATATTATTCAACCTTAAAGAGGAAGTAAATTCTGACCTCTGCTACAAACATGAATGAACCTTGAAGACATTATGCTAAGTGAAATAAGCCACTATGAAAGGACAAATACTGTATGATTCCACTCATATGAGGAACTTAGAGTAGTCAAAGTCATAGAGACAGAAAGTAGAACGGAGGTTGCCAAGGGCTCGGCGGAAGAGGGAAATAGGGAGTTATGGTTTAATGGATACGGAGTTTCAGTTTGAGATGATGAAAAGAGTTTTGGAGATGAATAATGGTGATGGTGGCACAATAATATGAATGTGCTTAATACCACTGAACTGTACACTTGATATTGGTGACATGGTAAATGGTAAATTAAATTTCATGCTACGTATATCTCACTATAATAAAAAATTGAACAGCAAAAAAAAAAAAAAAGAAAAAACAAGAAGGCAATAGAATAGATGGCTATACACCATGATGCTGACACTTAGTCTGAGTTATGGAATGTATTGTATATGTTATCTGGGAGAAAAAGACACAATGAGCTCTTTGACACACTTAAAACGGATCATAAGGGATTATTCAAGCCATTGTTGTCTCCAGGAAGGTAAATGTCTAATCAAGAAAAGATAGTTGGATATTCTCTTAAGTATCCAGAGATGTGGTCTCACTAACCCCCTTCATAGGCCTTCTGAATGTTTCCCACTCCTGAACTCAGTGTCTGCATGTGACGCAAAGCCTTAATGATATTATTACTATCTATTACTACCACTGCTACTAATATAGCAGCTAATGTTCATTGAGCACTTTCTATGATCTCAGTCTAACTCTATGAGGTAGTTACAATTATTACTACCATTTTAAAGATGAGAAGAGACAACACATGGAATATGTGTGCTCTCTTCGTATATGGTTATTTATTTTACATCTTTGAGATCATGGTGTATATTATAATTTTTACTCTGATTTTTTATTTAACATCATACATTGAGACCTCTCTCCTATCTTTACAAGTTAAAATATATTATTTTTAGTGACCTTTAACATTCTTTTCATGGATCCACCATCATTAATTTCCACCCTCAATTAATGGCATTTGTGTTTGTTTTCAATATTCCGCTCTTACAAATAATGTCTTCACAAAAATCTCTAAATAGATTTTTTGGTATGCATCTTGATTACATACTTAGCATAAATTCTTGGGTCCAAAAGCATGATAACTTAAAAATTATTGACACATGTTGCCAAGATGCTCAACAAAGGTTTAGCATTTCCTAATAAAATCCTTCATGTGCCGTTATAATTAAATGACACTTTTTCTTATCTTCTATGTTAAACAAGCCCAATTCAGGAATCCCTGTTCTTGACACTAGAAAGAGTTAATGGTCAAAAATCAATGAGTACATGTGTATTACTGTTTCTTTATTCCTTACTTCCTCATCCCTTAGCTTTGCAGTGCCAGGATCTCCCAGTTCCAAATGAGGCCCGGGTGAACTGCTCCCACCCCTTCGGTGCCTTTAGGTACCAGTCAGTCTGCAGCTTCACCTGCAATGAAGGCTTGCTCCTGGTGGGAGCAAGTGTGCTACAGTGCTTGGCTACTGGAAACTGGAATTCTGTTCCTCCAGAATGCCAAGGTAAGAGTGTATTCTTTCTAACATCATGGAAATAAATTGTAGGCAGTATTTTTAAAGGCTGGATTTTAGAGGTGACAACTATGTAAGATCCACCTTGAAATGGACTGGAAAATTCATAAATACTCTCACTCATCCTCTTGTCCTATAACCCAAGGATCCCAAATGCAAATGCCTCCGGGGGATAGGCAGATTACACAAGTGTCAGGATGTCTGGCCATAGACAGTAGGGCATGGCCCTTGCTAACTCCTTATCAGGGTCTTTACCCAGACCTGAAGGCTCCTGCCACAAACCAGGTAAACTCTTCTCACCTGGCCAAACATGGCATCTGGAAAGAAGACCAGGTGGGAAAAAAATTGCTTCAGAGTGGTTGTCCCAAGGCTGGTCTGGCACTTCTAGGAACCACAGGGTATAATGGTAAAATGGGAGGGGCAGAATTTACAAGTACCCAGTTGCAAACACTCCAAGATCTGTATAAAATTGGAGAAATAGACTTAGAATAAGGTGAAGAGTGATAGAAAAAAGAGAAAAACTAATCTGTATACTGGAGGTTACGGGATTCTCAGAAGAAAGAAATGTGTGGATTCAGTATAAACATTCTATCTGCATTGTACTTGATATACATACATTTTTTGAGACGGAGTCTCACTCTGTCGCCCAGGCTGGAGTGTAATGGCACAATCTCGGCCCACTGCAACCTCCGCCTCCCGGGTTCAAGCAATTCTCCTGTCTCAGCTTCCCGAGTAGCTGGGACTACAGGTGCCCACCACTGCACCCAGCTAATTTTTGTATTTTTGGTAGAGATGAGGTTTCACCATCTTAGCTAGGCTGGTCTCAAACTCCTGACCTCAGGTGATCTGCCTGACTCGGCCTCCCACAGTGCTGGTATTACAGGTGTGAGCCACTGCTCCCGGCCTTGTACTTGATATTTAACAAGCCAGTGTGCTCTGTCAGTATTGCAACATCTTGTATGAACTTGAACGGGTTCTAGTCATCCATGTTTGTGAATTGAAGGATAGACGTATATTTTTTATATTCCCCAAGCTTTTTCCCCCTCAATGTATCCAATTCCTTAGTTAACTTTTATAGACAATGCTGCTTTTTAAACGCAAGATTTTCATTTATAAAAATCTGCAGAAATATAATAAAGAAATGAAGAAATATCCTCTTAAATACTCCTATCCTAAAATAGACACTGTTAGGCTTCTGGTATGAATTCTTCCAATATTTTCTCCGCTTTTCCTCCTATGCAATTAATATTTTTATGATGTATATACAATTTTAACAATAAAGTTGAATGGGTAAAAGACTAGACAGTTCTACATTATTTGCCATACCTTTCACTTTGTATAGACTTTCAACATTTGAGTGAAAGTGGGCAGATACATATTTTTTACTAAAAGGAAACCACTCACTATTCAGGTCACACAAAAGCATAATCACATACACACACACACACCCCCCACACACACACCCCATTGTTAAGCTAGGTCAACAGTAAATGAATGAATGAATGAATGAATGAATGAATGAACAAATGGACAAGCAAACAGCAGAATTGAATGTCCTTCATCGCCAGGCACCAGAGAGGATGGCAAGCCCCTGGACTTAGGGTTGGGTGCACCTTCAGAGCTGGGTCTGGAGAGAACAGGGCGGGGCTGTGACCTTGCCCCTTAAGTGCTCATCCTGGCTACGTTGAAGTCTGGACATATCACAAAGTCCACACAACTTTGGGGAAGTTGTGGGAAGAACTGGGAATCCCTGAGGACAGTGATCACAGTGATTGAAACTCTTACAGGCAAGCCTGGGTGGTGCAGGGCACAGATTACAGTTCATTGCTCCATACTGTCCTGCCTCTGGGTGTTTCACAGCAAGGAGGTTGCCACTCACCACGGCTTCCTGTGACCTTCCAGTTCCCTTCTGCTTTTAGTTCTTTATTTACTCTGAACTTTCTCCTCTTGTTGCTGGGTGCACATCAAGTGAAATACCCAAATGTGGGCTGGGCAGGAAGGTACCATGCAGTGTGCAATCCACTCGCTGTTGTAATACTTCTGAGAGAGTGTTATCAGACAATTTCCCTTTTTAATGTCCTCCCACCCCTCCACATCTACCCCTGCTGTCAGAAGGCAAAGCCACAGAAGAGCTGGAAATGGGTTCTGTGGTACCAACATCCTCACCCACACCCTTTCCCCCATAAGTCCTTGCAGTTTATAGGCTTCTTGAGTTGTGTCCTCTCCAGCCCCACATACACACTTACTACAGAAATACTTTTCAACTAGAAGAAAAGAACCAGATCTTTGGACAAGTTGATCAGATTGAAAGGAATGTAGCTAGAGAGGGGAAGGAATGAAGGGAAGAGAAAGGCGTAGAAAGTGTTCTTGAAACCTCATGCTGTTTAAGTCAGTGGCTGAAAAATGACCCTAGGAGCAAGGACTTCATGTCTAAAACACCAAAAGCAATGGCAATAAAAGCCAAAATTGACAAATGGGATCTAATTAAACTAAAGAGCTTCTGCACAGCAAAAGAAACTACCATCAGAGTGAACAGGCAACCTACAGAATGGGAGAACATTTTTGCAATCTACTCATCTGACAAAGGGCTAATATCCAGAATCTACAATGAACTCAAACAAATTTACAAGAAAAAAACAAACAACCCCATCAAAAAGTGGGCAAAGGATATGAACAGACACTTCTCAAAAGAAGACATTTATGCAGCCAAAAGACACATGAAAAAATGCTCATCATCACTGGCCATCAGAGAAATGCAAATCAAAACCACAATGAGATACCATCTCACACCAGTTAGAATGGCGATCATTAAAAAGTCAGGAAACAACAGGTGCTGGAGAGGATGTGGAGAAATAGGAACACTTTTACACTGTTGGTGGGACTGTAAACTAGTTCAACCATGGTGGAAGTCAGTGTGGCAATTCCTCAGGGATCTGGAACTAGAAATGCCATTTGACCTAGCCATCCCATGACTGGGTATATACCCAAAGGATTATAAATCATGTTGCTACCAAGACACATGCACAGGTATGTTTATTGCGGCACTATTCAAAATAGCAAAGACTTGGAACCAACCCAAATGTCCAACAATGATGGACTGGATTAAGAAAATGTGGCACATATGCAAGGATTTTCCTTTTTCCCATTTCGAAGATAAAGCAACTGAGGCTCAGAAAGGTTATTGTCTAGTGATAGATTGCTAGCAAGTAACAGAGCCAAAATTTGGGCGCAGATTCCACCACTTGGTTGGGAAAGGGGGAAGAAAGTATTTTCCTCCATTTCTGTGTTTCCAATCATTTGTCATTGTTTTCTGGTAAGGTCATTGGGGTGTTTCTGAAGAAGGTATCAAGGGAGAAACCAGTTCCACCCCTGTCTAGAAGCAACAAAAATGAGTTGCACCACTATCCTCCCAAACAGAGCACCAGCTTCCTTTAAAAATCACCTCTAAAGCTGTTTGTGATTGAGCACTTCAGGATGTCAATCAACTGTAAGCTGCTGCTATTTTACACCTCTACAATCTCTAACTGGTGATGAAGCATCATGAAATTCAAACAATCACTTTTAGCCAAATACCATCGTTGTATATTAATCACACACACACACACACACACACACACACACACACACACACAGAGAGAGAGAGGGAGAAAGAGAGAGAGAGTTACAGAGTTCAGGTTGCTGAATTATAAAATGATCTCTTCTTTTCTCCTCTGCCATGCCCATGATAGCCATTCCCTGCACACCTTTGCTAAGCCCTCAGAATGGAACAATGACCTGTGTTCAACCTCTTGGAAGTTCCAGTTATAAATCCACATGTCAATTCATCTGTGACGAGGGATATTCTTTGTCTGGACCAGAAAGATTGGATTGTACTCGATCGGGACGCTGGACAGACTCCCCACCAATGTGTGAAGGTAGGCTGTGGGTCTGTCCTTTCTTATGGCTTTAAAGATGACATCAGAGAATGGAGAATCATCAGGGATTTATATAAAAGTGTTCTTGAGCTGAAGCAAACAACACTCTCCACAACAATGGTAATCTAGATAAAAAAGTTCTCCCTCTCTTTAAATAATATTTTAATAGCTTTAGTTAAATATTCCACAGTTTCAAGAACATCCTGGCCAACATGGTGAAACCCCGTTTCTACTAAAAATACAAAAAATAGCTGGGCATGGTGGTGCATGCCTGTAGTCCCAGCTACTCGGGAGGCTGAGGCAGGAGAATCGCTTGAACCCAGGAGGTGGAGGTTGCAGTGAGCTGAGATTGTGCCATTGCACTCCAGCCTGGTGACAGAGTGAGACTCTGTCTCAAAAAAAAATTGCACAGTTTCAGGAAGTGCTTTCATGTCATTATAGCATTCCTGTTTACCACAATTCTAAAATAATAAGGAAAGGCAGTATCATCTCATTTTATAGATAAGGAAGAGACACAAGCTTAAAGAGGTTAAATAACTCGTCCAGGGTCACACTGTTAGTAAGTGAAAAGGCTCAGCTCTATGTCACTGAAAGTTTTACTTCCTTACAGAGTCTTCTTCAGCTACATTCTTCATTTCTTCATTCCTACATTCACCTTCAACTGAGCATTACTAAATCCCAGCCACAGACCTTATTTAGGGATGGGTGAGATTTAACCCTAGCATAACTATGTGTGCACTTCCCTCCTCTCTCCACTTCTATATTGAATATAAGCTTCTTGAAGGCAGGAGCTGTGCCTTCTTCATCTTTATACCCCCTGCAGCAGCTAGACAGAATAAAAATGGGTGTGTGTGACAAATATCTGTTGAATTGAAGGTGATCATTTACCAGTAAAATTTACTCAAACACAAGCTTTGGTAATTTAGTGGAATTCTCAAAGGCAGGGGCCAGATCTTATCTGTCTTTAATTCCCCTGAGACATCTGGCTGGCAAAGTATCTAGTATATTTTATGTTCTAAAATAGAAGTGCACTGAATTAATTAATTCATAGCTCCTGTTTAGTTGCAAAAGGTGCTATTGTTCTAATGTATTGTTCAGTGTAGAGTTAGTAATAATGAGACCAGTGATAATGGTAATAATTATTGCTTAATGTAGGACTACCTATTTCATAAGCATCATCACATTCAATCCACACAAATGACCCTTAAGTTGGTTATTACTATGCCCATTTTAAAGGTGAAGAAACTGAGGCTTTGAGAGGTTAAGTAGCTAGCAAAGTTCATATAGCTTGAAGTATGGAGACAGGATGCAAACCCAGGCCTAGTCTGATTATAGGGCTAGTGTTTTGACCACTGAACTACACTATCACCCAGTGGCAGAGCTTCTGAATCTCAGGTAAGTCACTTGTGAATTTACTCTTTTCCACTCCACAGATTGCAGCTATAACTGCTAAATGAACTTTAGAAATGGCAGTGCCTGGTGATCAGATGAGAGAATATGTTGGTAGAAATCTATTCGTGTTACACAAAAACAGCTAAAATATTATTTATTCCTTCCTGTGGAATGAGCACTAGATTAATATCCAAAGACTTGTATTGCTCTCTCTCCAAGTCATGTGCCATTAGGAAAGTCTTGTCACACCCTTAGGCTCCCGTTTTCTCAATTCCAAAAGGAGAAGAGTGGACCAGACCATCTTTGAGGTCGCTTCCCTGGTCAAGAATTCTGTAGGGTGAAAGACATAAAATGCTACCATCTGCTGTCAAAAAGATATACTACAAGTTCCCTGAGAATTCTAGAACATGTATGGAGGAAAGCATTTGGGCTTGTGGTTTTTCACTCATTCATTTATTCCTCACTCTCTTATTCATTTATTCCATTGACATTTCTCATAAGTTCTATTTTCCCACATTTTAAGGCTAAAGAATATTTAAAAAAACCTTTAAAAATCTCATTCACATTTTAAATCATGTAGGCAACCAACATGGCTGCTAAATCTGTAATCTCTAAAGCCCTTGCTTCCCTTCACTACTTTCCAGCCCCCCTTTCTCTGCAGGAGGAGGCATTTGCCTCCCACTTTGCAGGCCCCATCCCCACTCACTGTCAAGACCCAACCCTGACCATGAACAGCAGCTTTAACCCACTATGGCCCTTGGAATTATCAACCTTGACTGATCCTGATCTTGAGCCCTGGTTTTTGCATTTGTGTTTCTTCTTCGTTCTCCAAATTTATGCTCTAAATTTAGGCAAATGGTTCCTCTTATTTTCCCATATGCCTGAACCCATTAATTTTTAACCCTCAGCACTGCCCCCTAGAACCCCAATTTTCACATGGTGTTTTGCAGAGTTCTAGGATACATCAGATGGACTCAGGGGCCTCCAAGTAAGCAGAGGCAGTGTGGCAGGTGGAGTTCTCAAGCTGTCTCTTCAGAGTGCAATGTGAGATTTCATTTTGGGGGATGGCTCTACCGATAGTTCCACTTTAGTTAGAATGCCGGTTCCCTGGGCCCTCTGGGATGTGGCCTCTGCCTAGTTGTTCCTCAGTATCTGCAGGGGGAATTGGTTCCAGGACTCCCTGCAGATACCAGAATCCCCAGATGCCCAAGTCACTTATATAAAATGGCATAATATTTGCATATAACCTACATACATTCTCCTTTAGACTTTTAAACCGTCTTTAGATTACGTATAATACCTAATGCAAAGCCTACACATCACTTCATCTGCATGGATTCAACATACTCAGCACATGGCAAATTCAAGTTTTGCTTTTTGGAACTTTATATAATTTATTTTTTTTCTGAATGTTTTTGATCCACAACGAGTTGAATCCGTAGATGCAGAACCCTTGGATACAGAGAGTCGGTTATTTTTCAGCCTTGTCTCTGCCTTTGCCCTTCAGGACCTGAAGTCCTTTTCATGAGCCTAAGCAGTGCTTGAGGTTCTTGTGCCAACTTTGATGATGCCACCTGCATGATGGAGTGCTTGTACACAGTTTCCGTATCCCTCCTGTCCCTGCCTGTTGGACCACTTTCATGATACAGACTGCTGAATTCCTAATCCCTTAACACTGTCTGTCATTGATCCTCTGGTGACCATGTTTGGCTGCTGAACCCAACTCCTAATGTCTATTTTCACTGCGTGGGGAGGGGTCCTGGTTCCAAGTCCCAACCTCAACTCTGCTCTTCTGCCATGTGCCTGCTTACTCACGTCCTAAAATATGGTGAACTGGTGCCCCCTAAAACTCTGGCCCAGCTGACATCTCCATTTTTTTCTTCATTCCCCCAACATTTCTCTGAATCTGTGGGGCTTCCTAGTTTTATTCCTAAAGTTTGAGTTTACAATATTCAACTCAGATACATTTATTATTCATACTATATCTTCTTTCCAGAAAATTATTGAGAAAACTCTATCAAACTCAAGTAAAATGATATAATGAAAGGAAACAGATAATTTACTAAATCTATTTGAAATAATATAAATCAATATGTTTAAGAATTCAGATGCAATCATGTATACTTTCTTGATGGACTATAGAAGAACACCAATGAATACCCATATGTGATAGAACTGCCTTGGTAGTCAGTGAAAATAGAACACTAAGCGTGCAATAAATGCAAACCTTATCTGTTTTCTATTTTTGTAATTATTCAGGAGTTTTTTTTTTTTTGCCAAAGTTTTAGAGTAGGCTCAAGAATATGACCACTTCTCAAAGTTATGCACAAAAGTCATTCCTGGGTATAACTCTTTTCCTGCATCTGCACTAATCTCCATTCCAGCAGCATCCTTGATAACTCCACAAATGTCATTCATCCCATGTTTGCTGAGTGCCCACCATATGCCGGATCTGGGTTAGGCTTCCATGTAACTCATCTAGGCTGCCCCTCAAACAGGTAAACCCACTTCTTTACATGATCCAGAGCCAAATTCTTAGTATGTAAGGGTCAAGGTTAATTTTTACCTGAGAGAGTTCAGAGACTTTTATAAATATGAAAGTCTGGATATGTAACCTTGGCTGAGCATGACTGATAAGACTGAAACCAAAGCACTATCCCCCAAATGAATTTAATGCTGTAGTAGTTCTCATTTTATACTAGGGCCCCCTTCGGTTAATTTTTAAAAACAGTAATTCCTCTTGTTTCTTTTCAAACCAGGTAGGCATACCTTTTAGAATGCATTTAAATTAAATTGTATTCATTACTGTATTCATTCAATTCATAAGTATTTGTAGAACCCCTCCTATGTGTCAGGCCCTGTTCTCTGGGATACAGTGTTCAAAGAACTGACAAGGTCCCTGCTTTCCTGCAGCTGACATTATACATATTCTTCAGTTTAAAGTTGTAATTCTGGGAGATTATGAAAAAGTTATTTTTGTGAAAATGTTCACAGATGACTTCATGTCTAGGAGTTACACCAGTAGACATGTTTCAAAAAGGTTTAGTAAATTGATTTGATGTGTCAGATATGAAGTTGTTAATTACTCAACAATTTGAGAGTACTGAACTGAAATTCACTGTGTTATTTTGGCTATTTGAATGGATTCATGCAATAAGAATCCATAATCCTTCAATGAATAGCTTGTTACTGAAAAATACATGGGCCAGTATGTAAAAGCCAAATACTGTACATTGGTTTTCCATGAGGGAGCATATAGGTCTTGAAGAGGTTTGTAAAAATCAAACTATCTAAGTAAATGAGACTTATCTGACCAAGGTATTGTTGTCAGAATAGCCTTAGATTTAAAGAAAGAATAGTCACTTCATTTGTCTATAACCCAACATTTATTGATAAATAATAGTCTTATATTAGAGAATTAATGGGGAGAAAAGAATAATGCTAAGAAAATATGTAACTGCAATAATTTGTAAAAATACTTTTGGGGGGAAATTGTGAATTAAAATTTAAATTCATTTATTCATTCACTTGGCAAGTGGTTACTGAGCACTGCCTCTTGAGATCCTGGGATGGGAGTTATGGAAGACTCAAGGATGAATCATTCTTGGGTTTTAGACACTTTCCCATCCAGTAGAAGAGTGAGGGTATGACATGGGACATGACAGCACATCAGTTCAGACAAAAAGTTGAAGAATTCAGAGGAGAAGAGTTCAGGCTGTGGTGATCAGCAGAGTCTTCAGAGACTTTACGAGTTAAATCCTGGAGGATTAGTGGGATTTTACGCCATAAAAGTGGAAAAATTCTCAGGGGAATGTGAGCCAAGAACCAGAAGCAATAACACACAAAGTCACTTCAGGGAATTCCAAGAAACTAATCTATCTTGACCAGGAGGTTTTGAGTTTTCCTGTGTTATCTGGATGGGTGGTATTAAAATACAACAGCAAAATAAACAAAACAATTAGTGAGGAGATTCAAATGGAAGAAATAGTTTGAGGCAGAAAGCAATCATTGCAGTTTTAGGTGTGTTGAATTTGAGAAGATGGCATGATATATGGGAGCAAGTAGTCTCAGGCAAGAGGAAGGGCGGAAATGAAATCCTGGATTGCACCCATTCAAGTAAGATAGAGGGAGCTGCGGCAGGCTACGAGGTCTCTGAAGCAGAGGGTGTAGAGAAAATAGGGTGACATTGTAAGTTCTTGAGTATGGCTGCCTAAATCTTTGACTTCTTTGTCTTCGTGACTTGTACCTATACTCTTCTCTGTAAGCTTACCATCCTCCCACTGCCCTTTGCAGCAAATGACCTACATGATATGTTGTGGAATGCTGCTGCCTAGCAAAATACCTGGAATATAGGTGCTTAATAAATATTTTTTGAATATATAAGTGAATGAACTTTGTGTAACACAGAACTTCTGAATAAACTTGGAGATTGTGACACTCTTAATTTGATACTCTAGCCATCAAGTGCCCAGAACTCTTTGCCCCAGAGCAGGGCAGCCTGGATTGTTCTGACACTCGTGGAGAATTCAATGTTGGCTCCACCTGCCATTTCTCTTGTGACAACGGCTTTAAGCTGGAGGGGCCCAATAATGTGGAATGCACAACTTCTGGAAGATGGTCAGCTACTCCACCAACCTGCAAAGGTAATAATATGTACTTGCTAAGACAGTTCTACTTTTGGAAATTTATTCTACAACAACAAACAATTATCTAGTTCTTATATGTGAACTAGATAATTGTATATATTACCATTATTTGGGTTTAGCAAACAGCTGAAGGATTTTAAAATGTCTAAGGAGTGACAGGATATTTTTATGTTTGTGAATAAAAGGTATATTGATTCTTAAGCAGGAATTTTGTTTCATGGCTTCTTTTTTTGAAAGAGCTTTGTTGAGTGAACGGAATGGTCTCCATTAATTTATTGCTGAGAGAAACAGACAATACTGGGGTAGAGTCACTGGTCCAGTTTTTCAAATCTAGGAATTGAGGTGCAGAGAGGTCAATCATCATCTTCCTGCCACATGGCAAGTTAATGACAAAGCTGGTGGGATCATTCAAATGGAAGAAATAGTTTGAGACAGAAAGCAATCATTGCAGTAAATTTCAACTTTCACATTGACCTTTAGTCAGAGAACAGTACCATTTCCCAATAAGGCAGGGTTGGGCAGGCAGTTGGCCCATGTATATTTGGCTTTCTGCTGAATTTCTTATATTTCTGTACCATTTCTTGCTTCTTTTTAAAATAGCAACAACAATGACTCCTCTGATTTCTTCTCTTGGCCAGGAGAATCATCTCCTCAAGGATGATTTTTAATAATTTTCCTCATCTGGTTTTCTATCTCTGACACTGATAGTTTTTCTTAACTTCCTTAAATAGCTCTTGCAGGAGCCTCCCTTGTTATGAAGGGAGTGAAAAGCAGTTATTCCAGATTAGCCTTAACTCTGTTAACGCTTCTTTTAATTGGGAGGTCTCTGAATGGAAACATTTTCTCACAACAGGCATAGCATCACTTCCTACTCCAGGGGTGCAATGTCCAGCCCTCACCACTCCTGGGCAGGGAACCATGTACTGTAGGCATCATCCGGGAACCTTTGGTTTTAATACCACTTGTTACTTTGGCTGCAACGCTGGATTCACACTCATAGGAGACAGCACTCTCAGCTGCAGACCTTCAGGACAATGGACAGCAGTAACTCCAGCATGCAGAGGTAAGGTGAAAAGGAGCAGGCAGTTCTGAACCTGCCTTCCTGCAAGTACTCAAGCTAGCCATTGTGCCTGTATGTTGAAGTCTCACCCAACCACAACCACTACTCCAAGTGTCATCTCCCTTATGAAATCCACACCAATCCCATTAGAAGTAATGTGTCACAGGCATTTCACTTCTGTCCTTCCTCATGTCACAAGCTAAAGCTAATACACAAGTACTCAGAGACTTAAAGGAAGAAACATTTGCAGATGTCCAAGATGTGTTAGAAAAATAGACATATTAAATGTAAAACCTGCTATAGAAATTGGTAAACTAGAAGTTGCATATTATGTGACAGTATAAACATTCCATATTTTCATAATAATTTGAACCTAAATAAAAAGTTAAGCCATACATGATATTTCCTGAAGAGCTATCGCCCTACACATAAAGCATTGAGACCTATGTTTCTTTCATTTTTGTATCCCCCACAAAACATAGCACAGTGCTTTGCAAATGTCACTACTGATAAATAACATTTATTTGAATTAAATCTAATTTCTTGACCTTTAATTTCCTATCCATAAATTAGAAAGAATAACCCTGAAGTTCCCTGAAAATGTAGTTTAAGGAGGATGACAGTCTACTTCTTTCAAACTTCCAGTGTCCAGATATGCTGAACACTTATTAAGTATTTCAATAAACACATACTGACATGCCAGTTGATCACAAATGTAGTAATAACATTTAGACTAACAGTATTTTAAGAACCAAAATTTTGTAAATAGTATATTTGGAGGCAAGATTTATCAATGCATTAGCAGGTATTTGTCGGATGCTACTATGTGTCCATCTTTGCATCTTGGTTCTTTGGATATCACCCTTCGAGAGAATATTTTCATATATGTGCTGTTAGAAGAGCTACTGTGAATATTGGAAGTGGCTCATATCCTTTCTGACCTTTTACATTCTGCCTCATTTATTGGCAATGTTAGGTTACAAAAGAAACTATAATCTCTTTCACCTCCAATCCACATGTTGTTTCTCTTGCATTATTTCTTTTCTGCAGCTGTGAAATGCTCAGAACTACATGTTAATAAGCCAATAGCGATGAACTGCTCCAACCTCTGGGGAAACTTCAGTTATGGATCAATCTGCTCTTTCCATTGTCTAGAGGGCCAGTTACTTAATGGCTCTGCACAAACAGCATGCCAAGAGAATGGCCACTGGTCAACTACCGTGCCAACCTGCCAAGGTACAATTTTCATGTGGGTTAAGAAGTCACTTTGATGTGGAAAATAACAAAATCAGTGTTTCTTCCCTGTGTCTTTCTCATAGTGGTCTTGCTTTCCATCCCCGGGTTTCCCCCTGCTTAATAAGTGTTTCACAATGAATCAGGCAGAATCTCCTTGCCTTATAAAGTAGTGGAAATTAAACCCAGTGACTGTGTAGGTAATCACCCCTCCTCTTCAGTGTTCAGTTTGTGAAATGAAACCTTTTGCTTCGTTATAATCTCTGTTTAACAGACCTTGAAGTTTCAAAATGTTTTAAACTGGGAGTTATTTCATGCAGATTTCTAATTTATTATCTCAGAAGACCTTTGCTTACCACCTAACTCTAAAAACCTCCTAGCAGATCTTCCTTAATTAAATTCCATCTGTTTGCAAGGTATATTTCAGCCCCCTATTTTTTCCCCTCATAGCTTGTCCTGACTGCCTTTTGTTACATAACTGAATCTTTGCCAAAAAATTATGCACAGTTTATTTTATTTGCCTAAACTTACATGTATAGGCTTCTTATGTCTACAATTTAATTTCTTTTATTGGGACCTTACCCTAATTCTTTTGGAAATTACAGTTTATATTTAAGTCTTAGGAATAAATTAAGGCCCCACTTTTATTTTATTTGCCCATACTTACATGTATAGGCTTCTTGTGTCTACAATTTAATTTCTTTTATTGGGTCCTCACCCTGATTCCTTTGGAAATTACAGTCTATATTTAAGCCTTAGGAATAAAATAAGGCCCCACTTCCCATTCTGTTGCAGTGGATTTATGAATTCCAGATCTTCTTTCATGTTAGCTTGTCAGCATTCCCAGGACCTTTGGTGATCCTACTTGATCGCACATCTTAGAGTTCTTGAAAACTTTCTGGGAGAGAAAGACTAGTCTTTTGCATAATACACTTCTTATGTCTTGCATGTGTGTGTGTTTGTTTTGTAGCAGGACCATTGACTATCCAGGAAGCCCTGACTTACTTTGGTGGAGCGGTGGCTTCTACGATAGGTCTGATAATGGGTGGGACGCTCCTGGCTTTGCTAAGAAAGCGTTTCAGACAAAAAGGTAAATAGGAAAGAGTCTTCTCTTTGCATCTTGGTTACATAAATCAAAAGAAATTGATTTATGTAATTTAGGGTGGGGAGGCAAAAACCACAACTTCAGTAGTTCATGTTGGAAAACATTTGCATTAAAAGAAAATAAAGCCAAGATAAGTGATCTTGAGAACTGATTGTCCATTAGAATCACCTAGGGAACTTCCTAAAAATATAGATCCTTCTATGGGGAGACTTGGTAGTGGGTGTGGAAATCTGAATTTTTCAAAAGCTCTCTCCCAAAATTCAAATGAGGCTACTTTGCAGTTTTGCATTTGGGGCCTCTGGTCTAAGTACCCTAGGCTATCACTAAAGCTAATTAGAAAGGTGTTATGCTTCCTGACTTCACTCATTTCTTCATGTAGCAGTCATTTATTCATCAACTCTGTTAGAGTGTGAGACTCATAATGATGGTTTCTGATATTAAGGAAGGAAAAATCCAGTAGGGGAGACAGGTGAAATCAGTGCCGGTAGTGAAGTGTAGTAAGTGTGTTAGGACACAAATACAACCTAGGTATTATTAGAACATAGACTAGGGATGCCTAAACCAGACTGGCAGGTCAGAAAGCCTTTTTCAAGCTTAGCTTTGAAGAATGAGAGGCATTTAGCCAAGGGGAAAATGGAAATAGAGTTCCATCAGAGAAAATGGCATGTAGAAAGACATGAAAGTGTAAAATCAATGAGAAGATGGTATGTTTCGCAGTTCAGTGCATCTGAATCAAAAGGGGATTATGGAGGAGGCAGGAGATGAAGTTAGGGGCAGAAGAAGCTGCCCCTGTATTGGTGACCTGGTGTGATAAGCTAAGAGATTTGCTTTTTCTCCTGAAAATTTGTAAAGTTGATGCAGGATTTAAACAGAGAAGACCAAATAGATGAAAACTCTCTGTAAGGGAAACTGTGTTCATCAGACTGTTCATCAGAAAAAGAACTTTAGTCTAGGAATTAAAGATGGGAACATCCCATCTCTTAAGGTTTAAAACATCCTTTCTCAATCTTCTCCAGACACTTAGCCTGCCTATAAGTTCATAAAGTTTTGTTTATAACCTAATGGGGCTCTTCTTCATCACTCCTCATAGAAAGTAACTGGGGGCATCAGAGAGACCATTAATTGCTCAAATCAAGGTAATGGAAAGTGGCTATGTTAAAATATCTGAAAGAGATCTCATTGAATTTCTCTATTGTTGACATAGGTCTCAACACCTATTCTTAACTGCTCAGAGGCAAAACCACGTGTTCCTTACTCTTATTCTTTCTCCATTTACAATGCTACCAAAACATTGAGGCTGTTTTTCCAAATTTCCTTCATATACTCTCCTGTGAGTGGCTAAGACAATAGACAAAGGTCAATACTCTGCTTCAATACCAAAGAGATGTACTGAGAGCTACAGTGAATCCCTCCATGCAAAATGTGTGCTTGCTCAACCAAACCCAGAAGGCAGAGGCAAGAGCTCCTAGACCTTAATCTCTATGATCATGTAGGAATCACTCTAATCTTGATGTTTCCCCCAAGTCCTTTCTTTGACTTTGAGACATTTCCAGAGGACCCTCTAACAGTGGAGAAGGACAAATGGCCACTCATGCCCCAATATTTTTAATAATAAATACATTCATTTGTTGGGGATGGGAGCTTTTTTCCTCAGCTTCTCCCAATTTGATTTTAGGCTTTGAAGTTTTCTATGGCCAAATAAGAGGAAAATGCTGCAGCCATAGCTGAAAATTCAACTATGAGAGTCTGTTATTTGGATAAAAATATGCTACCAGGGAGGAAAAACATCCACTGTTCTGTTGGTTTGGATTCATGTATGTGATTAGCTTGCTCAGCTAAGGGCTGAGGGCAAGTGACACAAGATGCCCTCAAAAGAAATTGATTTATGTATTTACTGAAAGGAAGGAGGAAGAAAGTGACAGGACTCTGGAGTTAAATATTGTCGAATGTTTAATTTAGCCTAAAACACTTTCTACCTTTCAGGGAGAAACTGTTCCCAATATTCCCCTTATAATGAGCCCTCCTGAAAATCAGTCTACTGGTTTTCCCCAGTAATTTCTATCCTTAATGACCCTCTCTTTCATCTTGTTTTTTTTTTTTAATCATTCATTCTTGTCTTCTTGCTGATTTTAGATGATGGGAAATGCCCCTTGAATCCTCACAGGTAAGGTAGAAATGTTTTATGATTGAGTAAATTTTGCTACCTTAACTTTATAATTCACTGTAATATGTCAGAATGATTACATGCAATGCCTGCCTCCTTTTTACAATGTCTTTTGCAATGTCTTCTTTTCTACTCTGAAGTAAAATACACAGATAACAAATATTCTAATTAAAATATAAAGTAGGAATAAAATGAAAAGTAATTTATAATAAAAACAAGATGCAAAAACTTAGGCGCTGTGCCAGTAGATGCAATGAGGTCATCAGAAGCGTGCACCTTCCACAGAATCACTAGGAAAGCAACGCCCACGCAGGTGGACTGATGGGGGAATGTTGTATTAGTGACTCAAAGAGCATTAGAACTGTGGCCAACACCAGCCTAATTTTTCAACATGGTGAACAACTCCGGTAAAGAGTCTGAAAACCTGTGATAATTGTCCTTTGATTCATATGGCAATTGCATTTTAAAGATGCAAAAAAATGCTTAATATTTACATGTAAAGTGCTTGAGTTCCAGGCTCAGAGATTTTTAACCTGTATGAATATCGAGCAGATATTCCAAAGTTATGTGGGATGTTGGACAATTCTTTTGTGTCCTGTACCCCTTGCTATTTATAATCTAGCAATAGTTTTCAAAAAGGGACAGTATGCCCCCAAGGGTATTTTTTTATTTTTGTAATGAACAAGAGTTCTACTGACATTGAGTGGGCAGGAGGCAGGGGTGCTGGATATCTTTTAAAGACATTTCCGTCCTGGAGGACATGGAAATCCTTATATGAACTCTATTGTCGTAGACATCCAGCACCCTTGCCCCATACCCACTCAATATCGGAAGAACTCTTGGTTATAAAAATCAAAAAACACCCCTAGGGGTCATATTGCACCCTTTGAAAACTATCGTTAGATTATCAAGTGTTAATGCCAAGAATTTTGTAACTACCTCTTGTCACCTAGAAGAGGTTGCAGCAACTTAGAGGGTATAACAGGTATTCAGTACATAAAGCATGAACAATAACTTAGTGTGGGTGCAAAATGCAATGCAAATTACCCAGAGCTGGTAAGTGGGATATCGAATATTTCTTTGGCATTTATTTTTCTTTCCTTTCTAAAGCAGAATTCCAAGGGTGGATGGTAATTTGTGGTTTCTGGAAATACTATGTGTTGGACTGTGTTGTCGAGAACTAAGCAGTATATTGTTGCCATCCTTGTGTTTCTGTTCTTTAGCCACCTAGGAACATATGGAGTTTTTACAAACGCTGCATTTGACCCGAGTCCTTAAGGTAAGATCCCTATAAAGATATTTTTGAAGGAAATAGAACACTAGGGAAAAATGGAAGACTATAAAGCTTAACTTTTCTTTACATAATCATATATTAAATTTTAAGTATGTATTAAATTTTCAGGCATGAAGGAAATTGTGTTGGCAGTAGGACACAGGTATGACAATGGAGTTACAAAAGAGTTCACAAAAGGATTTTCATTTCCTCCAGGACAGAAATGTCCTAACAAGACATAACTTATTTCAGGATGTGTAACATTTCCATTATTAACTGCTAGGTGGTGATGATGTGGCCTTGCCTGCAAAGCAGAAGTCAGGACTGCTGAAAAATGTTTACGAACTGTTATGGAGTCAATTCCCTATGCTACCTGCTGGAAAAACAAAAATAATCTGATGCTATCCCTCTCCCAAAAAGTGGGTAGTTGAGTGTCCTACAAAAAGCCTGAATGGCAGAATATTCGAAATCTAGAAAGAAAAGATTATGCTGCGCCTCAGGGTGTAGATATGATGAGCAATTTTTTTCTTTCTTTTATTTTTTTAAGGAAATGATAATTATTTAAATTTCTTTGGTCTCATTTCCAGAGACCTGTCCTTTTCCTGGTCTCCTCATTCAGCCTCCATATGATCCTGTTGTGAACATCAAGTTTCCTGCTACACTGGACTTAACTATAATGCATTTGCTGCAGGTTTCCATAAACACCCATGAATCAAAGACATGGAATTACCTTAGATTAGCTCTGGACCAGCCTGTTGGACCCGCTCTGGACCAACCCTGTTTCCTGAGTTTGGGATTGTGGTACAATCTCAAATTCTCAACCTACCACCCCTTCCTGTCCCACCTCTTCTCTTCCTGTAACACAAGCCACAGAAGCCAGGAGCAAATGTTTCTGCAGTAGTCTCTGTGCTTTGACTCACCTGTTACTTGAAATACCAGTGAACCAAAGAGACTGGAGCATCTGACTCACAAGAAGACCAGACTGTGGAGAAATAAAAATACCTCTTTATTTTTTGATTGAAGGAAGGTTTTCTCCACTTTGTTGGAAAGCAGGTGGCATCTCTAATTGGAAGAAATTCCTGTAGCATCTTCTGGAGTCTCCAGTGGTTGCTGTTGATGAGGCCTCTTGGACCTCTGCTCTGAGGCTTCCAGAGAGTCCTCTGGATGGCACCAGAGGCTGCAGAAGGCCAAGAATCAAGCTAGAAGGCCACATGTCACCGTGGACCTTCCTGCCACCAGTCACTGTCCCTCAAATGACCCAAAGACCAATATTCAAATGCGTAATTAAAAGAATTTTCCCCAAATGCCGTGTTCCTCTATTTTATGGTTTGTTCAGTAAGGTCTGTATACATCACATTGTTTACCATCAGTGTAATAACACACAATTATGGTTGTCCTATTTACACCTCAACCATTCATTCAGTCAGCAAATATGTATCGCACACCCTACACTGCAAGAGAAAATCAGAGAAATGGAAAAATTCTTCATCACCTTAATATTTTACAGGGAAGAACAAATGTGTTTTACATGTTCTTTAAATCCCATGTTTAATAAATAGGTCATTGAAAGTTATATAGTATTTATCTGGAACTGATGTTAAAAAAAATAGAGAGCCAAAAATTATAGTAGTCATCTTGTCTCTGTAAAATGTAATTAAATAAATATGTCATGTACACTGTATATACATAAGCAAACATGCAAATAAAAAAGCAGCCTACTCAAAGGTTACAATAATGTTGCAACAATTCTGGTAGTAACCTTGGGATTTAGGGACACAGTGCTTTCAAAACGTTTCTCTGATACACTGCCAGTAGCATCTCTGACTGCTTATTTAAATGTCAATCAGTAGGCTAGGTGTTCTAGGACTTTGGTCTCAACCCTGTTTCCTGAGTCAGAATCTACATTTTGTAAAAGTTCCCCTGGGAATTCTGATGGTCTGCCAACTTTGGGAGACACTGATAATATTGTAGATAAAGAAGTGTAAGCAACTGTTCAGTTAGGGAGACAATAGATACCTGCATGGAATAACAAAAGGTAATTAACATGATTATATAATTTGAATAGTGTTGTAATAGTTCATAAAATGGAAAAGCCAATTTGAGCCCAGAATCTGGGAGATAGGCAGAACTCTGGACTGTAAAGAATGGCCCAGCAAAGAGGAAGAAAATGGGCATTCTAAGTTGGTGCAATAATATCAGCACAGGAGAAAAGACAGAATATTGGGGGGAGTGGGGAGGGAGGAAGAGGCTGTTGATGAGCCTGATATCATTAACAGAGACCTCATGTGAGGTGCCAGATTACAATTTATTGAATGTACTGAATGCATAAAGCATAAGACAGAAACCTGGAGCCATGCAGATACAGGGAACCCAGGACAAGTCATTATGATGCCTCAGACAATATAATTCGCAGATTCTCTATCAATAGCAAAGTAAGATTTAAGGTGCTGTGAAACAGTCAGATCCTTCAAGAAAAACAAGAATACAAGGGGTCCTGGAGACAGGAAAATATGATCATAATAATAAATTTGTGATTCCTTCTTTCTCTCTTTTTCTCTTTCTTTCTTTTTCTTTCTTTCTTTTTTTTTTTTGATGGAGTTTTGCTCTCGTTGCCCAGGCTGGAGTAAAATGGCATGATATCAGCTCACTGCAAACTCCACCTTCCAGGTTCAAGCAATTCTCTTGCCTCAATCTCTCGAGTAGGTGGGATTACAGGTGTCCACCACAACGCCCGGCTAATTTTTTATATTTTTAGTAGAGAAGGGTTTCACCATGTTGGCCAGGCTGGTCTTGAACTCCTGACCTCAGGTGATTCACCCGCCTTGGCCTCCCAAAGTACTGGGATTACAGGCGTGAGCCACTGCGCCTAGCCTCTGTGTGTTAAGTGCTGGAACTATAGTTTACAGTAGCATTTTATCCTCCCAACATACCCTATCAGGAAAAATTATTATTGTCATCCTTATTTCACAGATGTCAAAACTGAACAGAGAGGTACAGTAACTTGCCCAAGACAACACAGCTAGTAAGTGAAACTGAAATCTGGACAACTGATTTTTTTCAGCCAAGCTCTTCAAGCCCGCTGCTATGCTGCAGCTTAGCTGGCGACAGGCCCTTATCAAGGCAGAACTGTGCCTTGATAGAGGCCAGGAAGGCGATTCAGAGCAGTAGGCCTTGTCCATGTGTTTGTTCCCTGCTTCTTCACCACTTGAAAATAGTGTTTCAGTGCCCAGTAACAGGGCACAATACTCTTTTCCTCAGATTAAAAGGGGAGCCATCTGCTTAAGGTGGTTGGGTGCCACTGCACTGCACAGAAGGTTCTCCAAGTGTGAGCTTGGACCCAGGCAGGCCTCAGGTCAGTGGTAACGGACGACTGCTTCCGTGGTGTTGGCAGGTGGAAATGGAGGGATACAGCTTTGTCCGGCTCATGAATCCCTGGGCATTGTCCCGCCTGCTAGAGCCTCTGATCTCTGCCCCTTCTTCACCTGCAGTAAAACAGTCACTAGTTTGGTTGCTCTCCCTAATACCTCTGGTCACTGGGAGCTGTGATCTCACCAAACCCCTGCCAGGAAAAGCCCCAGAAAAAGCGGAGGGAGTGAGAGCCAGAGGCTGCTGCTGCCGTTTGCAAGAACTGCAGGGGAGGAGGACGCTGCCACCCACAGCCTCTAGAGCTCATTGCAGCTGGGACAGCCCGGAGTGTGGTTAGCAGCTCGGCAAGCGCTGCCCAGGTCCTGGGGTGGTGGCAGCCAGCGGGAGCAGGAAAGGAAGCATGTTCCCAGGCTGCCCACGCCTCTGGGTCCTGGTGGTCTTGGGCACCAGCTGGGTAGGCTGGGGGAGCCAAGGGACAGAAGCGGCACAGCTAAGGCAGTTCTACGTGGCTGCTCAGGGCATCAGTTGGAGCTACCGACCTGAGCCCACAAACTCAAGGTAACTCAGGTGTGGAGTCCGGGTGGGCTTCTCTAGAGAGGAAAATCTATTTCTTTTAGAGAACATTCCCTTTGCAATGTCATGGCTTTTTTTTTTTTTAACTTCAGGTAAGTAAATATAACTAATAGGAGAGTATACTGAATTAAATAAACTGGGCAAATGCTAATTTTGCATCCAACAATGTAGTTTATCATTCTGAGGGTTTAGAAAGCACCCTATTTGATTGGTTAGATGCTACCTTCTTTTCAAGTTTATTTTCAATACAGTTTTGTTAGTATGTTTGTGTTGGCTTATATATTGGTTAATTCAAAGGCACCAGGCACTTGCTCCCTCATTAGCCCTTCCTGCAAACTCCTGTTCCAGATTTTTAGTTGTATAGTATTTTTATGAGACTCCTAGTTACATATTATTTATTCCATTGTCTACATAGCTTCATCTTCTAAAACTAAAAATGAACACCTTGTGCTTTTTGTCATATAATTTTATTGCTGCCTTATAAATGACTTTCAAAATATCATCAGTTCTTGTATGTTTTTGTACTTTCACCTTTTTTCTGCTTCATATTTGACTTATTTATCCTATTGAATGTGACTCTTCATTTTTTTTTCTCTCTGTTCATCATGTCCTGGGATATGGTTTACCTTGGCTACTTAAAGGCATATGTAACTGAGAGGAGGTTTAATTCAGATAAAATACTATCCTTGAGTTGCAAACTATTTTTTCTAATTGAAATGTTAAAAATAAGACTTCTCAGAAATTAACTAAATCATACAGTCTATTCAATATTTCCAGTTAGTTATTTTTTAAATGGTAAACCTGCTAGTGTGACTCACTTTTTTTCCTTACATCACACTTCATTATGAAAGATGTGTTCCTCTTTTACAATTACAAAACCAAAGTAATCTGCCAAAAAATAATGTAATATTTTGAGATCTTTTAGTGTATAATATTAACCTTTTTAAAACTCTCATTGTAACTGGGTTATTTTGGAGGGTATTACATACCATCTTGGTCTTATAATAAGAAGAGATCCCTCCTTCTCAAAAATAATCATTTTAAATATCGTACTTCAAAGTGATAATCTAGGTCACACCCACACCCTTTGGGAACTGCCGTAAGCTAAAACCCCAAGGAAAATAACAGTCCTTCTAACACTAATCTTGCCTGCTCATGAGTAGAATGCAGACTTGGTTGTTGGCTTTCTTGTAGCATGCTGGGTTCATGCTTGGGAGTTTTTTCTCTTGTCTGTAGTTAGCGTTGAAAATAACAAGCAAAATACCGGAGGCAGAACCAGATAGGGCAAAGGTCTGATTCACATGGTGAGTACACAGGGAACCATGACTGGTCATTCTGTCCCCTCATCCTGTGGGTAAGTTTCCAAAGTTCTGGAGATTCGTTCCTCTGGTAGGAATTGTTGAGTCAAAACCATAGAAACACAACCCAGACAAACTGTCATATTGTTTAACCCTAAATCATATCATTTCTCTCTAGCATTTTCTTATGAAAAATCTAATCCATATATCTGGCTGCTTAAACTAAGAACTTGTTCTAACTTGTCCTGCCCCTAGAGCTATGATACTCACTAGGTGAATATCAACATAGCCAACTCCATCTTTTGGCAAAGTGTATTTTAGCACAAAGCAGACATCTATCTACTTATTTCATATAATATTAGCAGGACAATGCCTTTTAAAGGTAAAATGTATCTATTATTCTTGCTCCAAGTCTAAGGTGAACACTTTCAAAAATTTCCTTAGAAAACTTGTTTAGTCACTCACATGTATACAAAGAGATATTGAAGAAAAGATATACATACATTTTCCTTCTAGGGTTCTAGCTTTATATGATTTTGTGATTATGAACAAATCATCTTTAAACAATCCTTATAAATGAAAAACTCGTCGTACACATTGTTTGAATTCATATGATCTGTAACTTTTTAATCAGATAGATTATTTTCCAATAGAAATTGTTCAGATCAAAATAGACATACCTCAGTATGAATACACAGCATACATAGTAAAAACATGTTAGGAAACATCTCTCTGTTGAAATTACTCCACGTAAGAGACTGATATTTTTTAGTAAAGATTTTACACCATCATCTACATTTCTGTATTAAAGATCTGGGGCAGGGGAGGACAATAACTTTTCAATTGTACTAAAAATAAATAAATAAAAATGGACTTCCACATTAGGGACATTAGTATATAGAATCCTGGAATTCTTAAGTTAGAAGAATGCTAAGAGTTCATTTAATTCATATTCAACTTCCACGCTTTAACCTTCTACTTTTCCCCTTTCCCTCAGCACCAATGACCTTACCAAGTAGTTGTCTAATTTCTACTTGAATGCTTCCAGTGATGGAGAATCCACTACCTTCTCTATCTAGCTATTCTAAAAGTACTTACGTGCCTCCTTTAATTCTGCCCCCACATATTAACACAGTTTCTGTATTCCACATATTACAATTTGTGAGCATTACTGTAACTACAGATTTGTTTTTGCTTTCTGAGAAAACCTGAAGGGTAAAGACTAACTCTTATTACATTTACAAAATAATATTACTAGCTAACATGGATTGAGTATTTCTAGTGTGCCAGCTCTATGCCTTTTGCACATATCAACTTATTTAAAATTATACAACAATTCTGTGAAGGAGATTTCAGTATTAATCTCATTTCATAGTTGTAGAAACTGAGGCACAAATGGATGAAGTAAACTTTTCAAAGTAAAACAATAAGAGGTAGATATAGGCTTCAAGTCCAGAGATACTGAATTCACAGCCTGCACCCTAGCCACCGCGCTGTATAGAAGTCATGGCATATGTGGGTGCTGTTATGTCTTGATTATGGCTGGGCCACTGTCCCCACATTAGGAAGCAAAACAAAGCCACTCTGATCAACTGATTTAGACATTTGCAAGGTATTTTCTCCAAATTCTCTTTCCTTTTACCCTCATCTTTGAGTTTAAGACAAGGATAAGACTGATTTGCCTTTAGAGGTACAGAACAATAACAACAACAGCAAAAACAGGAAAGTAACCCACCACTCACAACTCTCCCTGTTGTCTGTCCTCTCTCTAATTTTATTTAAAATCATGAATGCAGTGGTTTCACATTTTTTAATCTTGGTTCTGCCACTTATCAACTGTATCTCTTGGACAAGTTACTGACTCTTTCCAAAACAGTTTTTTCATTTGTTTGTTTCCAATATGAATCCCAGGGCTTTTACCCCATTAGCCATCTCTCACCTCTCAACTAGAAATAAATTCCACCAAATCAATACTTTTTCACAATGTTCCCCAGTAGATTAAAACTATATTTGATTGATCAGTTGAAAAACAGCTCATATATTTATTCATAAAGGATTTGGTCATATTTTAATCATATAAAATCTAAACCTACAGTTTGGGTTTCTACTGTGATATTGGGTTCTTTTTAGAAAATTGATTCTGAGGAATGATATTAGGGTAGATTAACTTGTGAACAAATAGTTATCACAACAGGATATTTTTGAAGAGACCAATAATTATTTCATTAACTTTACTTATTGATCATATTTATAAAACTGTGGACTTCTGAAATACAATAAAGATACTGGTATTCTACTAGAAGTCTGAAGATATGAGAGATCTACTTTTTTTGTAATGTGAGAAATAGATATTGAATATGCCTTTCAAATTAGTTTTTGTATTTTATTTCCAGTTTGAATCTTTCTGTAACTTCCTTTAAGAAAATTGTCTACAGAGAGTATGAACCATATTTTAAGAAAGAAAAACCACAATCTACCATTTCAGGTAAGCCTGAAATATACTTTTTTAATTTTAAAGATAAATTTCTATGGGTAATTTGGCATTCACATGCATCTAAAATATCCATTTACTGAAAATTTATAGAAACGTGTGGTTTTTTTTTTAAGAAGTACTGGCTACATAATATGTGGGGCCCAGTGCAAAATGAAAATGTGAGTCCCCTTGTTCATATTATTGAAAATTTCACAGTGACTGCAAAGCATTAAACCAAGCCAGGGGCCCTTTGGGGCATGGGGCCCTGTGAAACTGCCCAGGTCACATACCCATGAAGCTGGCTCTGTTTTTAACCTTGATTAAAATAACTAAATAAAACTTATAAGTGTTTGAATTTTTATTCATTCATCTAAAAAACTGTTATTGAGTACCTGGTATGGGCTGGGCATTGAAATAGGCATTGTGGATGCAATAGTGGACAAGACAGTCTCATATCCTGGGTTCATGGAGATTATGGTCTAGTTTAATGAGCATAGATGTGCCTTCGCAAAATGATATTTTGCTTCCATTTGGCTCCCTAGATTCATTCAAAGGAACTATGTATGGCTGACTCTTTTGCATCTCTTTCCCGTCTATTCTTCTGTTTATTTAGTGTGATATATACAATAGCCATAATTTTTAAAGAAAATCTCTTATTTTTTCCTCATCTCTTCCTTTATCAAGAAGACTGGGTTGAATAGGGTTCTAATATCTTAACTATGATACCATATTCCGCAGGGATGATAGAGACCATCAAGGGAGAACTTCCTCCAGTTGAATCCCCTTGTCAGTAATTCACCTGTCCCTTTCCCCAATCAGATGAAGACCTGCTGTCTTTCCCAGAATCATCCTAGTCTGTCCTGCCTCTTCTGATCTCCTTTAATCTTCAATATTTAGTCAATGGGAGTCTTCCTTTCAGTTAAAAATCAACGACTAAACCAAAACCAAATCAAACCATGTCCAGTTAACTCCTATCTAGAAAAAGAAAAAAAAAAATCTCCCCTTGACCCTGCCTGCCTTTTCCTTTTCTCTCCTTTCCTTCACTACCAGTTTTCTGTATGAGAACTCTGTATCATTCTCTACATTTCTTCGCCTATATTCCTTCCCTAATCTGCTTTAGTATGAATAAGTCTACTAAAATTACTCTCACAAAAGGGCACCTAGGACTTGAGGTGCCAGAGCCTATGTTCTTTTACTACTAGACATTACTAGGACATTTAACACTCTTCCTTTCTGAAGCTCTCGCTTTACCTGTTTTTTCTAGTGCCACTTCCCCTTGGTTTTCTCAGACTTCTCTTACCACTCCTGCTCAGTATCCCCACCAGATATTCTTCCCCAGGGTTCGAATCTCACCCAAAACCAAGGCTTTCACTACTACCTACCCAGAAGCCACTTTCCCTCTGAAGCTACATTGACACCCCCTCAATACCAGCAGAATTAAATCTTCCCTCTTCTATACATCCCCAGTACCTTGAATTAATCCCTACCTTCTAAAGATATTAAGAGGATCAATTGAGTTAATAAGTACAAAGTATTTATAATGATGCTGACACATAATAGGCACTCAGTAGAAGTTAGCTACATTATTGTTATTGTTGCTGCTATTACTAATCATAACTTAGATCATATATATCATAGTATTATGGATATCTATATATCTATATTTCTCCACTCATTTATATAGTCTTCACATGTGTTCATTTATATATTTATTTAATTTTAAACAGATCTGCATTTAAATATTCTTTTATTTTTAAATAATTGTGTATTGAGGCCAGGCGTGGTGGCTCATGCACTTTGGGAGGCCAAGGCAGATGGATCACTTGAGGTCAGGAGTTCCAGACCAGCCTGGCCCACATGGTGAAACCCCGCCTCTACTGAAAATACAAAAATTAGTTGTGCATGATGGTACATGCCTGTAGTCCCAGCTACTCAGGAGGCTGAGACATGAGAATCACTTGAACCCAGGAGGTGGAGGCTGCAGTGAGCTGACATCGCATCACTTCACTCCAACCTGGGTGACAGAGCGAAACTCTATCTCAAAAAAAAAAAAACAACAACAACAACAACAAAAAAGTATATTGAGAACCTACTACATTCTAGGCTCTGGGATAAAGTGAATAAGACATGGACCTTGATTTCCAGGAGCCAATCAGCTATTGGGGATAACCTATGGATAGACAAGCAATGACAGTAGAGTAATAAGGAAGAACTATGATGAGGATTCTGTAGTAGGACATAGGAGACCTATCTCCAGTCTGGTGGTCAGGAAAGTATTTCTATTTCTAGATTGATAGCTGAAAAAAGAGTAGGATCTTGGAAAGCCAAGTGGGGAGGCAAGGGGTTGGGTGATAGATGCATTTTAAACCAAGGCACAGAATGTTTAAAAGTTTGGAGGTGAGAGTATGGTATATTTGTGGAACCATAACTGGATCAGCACAGTTGGACCACAAACTTCAGGGAAGGAATTAACAAGAGATGCAACTAGATGGGGATCAGGGATCCATGCTAGGCTTTATATTGAGAGGAATAGGGAGTCCCTAAAAGGATTTCAGCAGGAGAAATATTTGTCCTTTAGAAAGATTATGTTGTCCAATTATAGAGAATAGATTGGAGAAAGACCAGTCCAGAGCCAGAGAAAGTAGTCATGGGACTGTTGTATCAATCCAGATAGCAGAGAAGCTGAGATGGAGTCCAAAGATATTTAGGAGCTAAAGTTGATTAAACTTGGTGACTCATTAGATGCAGATAATGAGGAAGAAAAGGGAATTGTTATGGACTTCAAGGTGTCTGGTTTGAACAGCAGAATGGATAGGGTGCCATTCAGTGAGAAAGAAAATGTAAGAAAAGGAGATAGTTTGTGAGAGAAGGTGATAAGTATAGATTTGGAGTCTGAGGTGTGTATAGAATATCTACCTAGAGATGTTAAGTGAGCAGACGGGTGTAGAAGTTTGGCCCTCAAAAGAGAGATCTGAGCTAGCTGTCAACATTTGGGAGACATCAGAACAAAGATGGCAAATGAAGAATTTAGAGGGTGTGAACTCACCCAGGGAGGATGTGATGAGAAGAGAAGGCTGCAGACAGAGCTCAAAGTAGCAGCAAAGTCCAAGGGATGAGCCAAGAAAGAAAAGTTTACCAAGGAGCTTGAGAAAGCCTGTTCAGGGAGGGGAGAAGAAATCTAGAGAATGTGTTATCCTGGAGGCAAAGGGTCAAATGCTATTAATATAAGGGTCAAAATATGGTCCCTTTGTTATGGAATAGTGGGACAAGACCAGATGGCAGGGTGTTGAGGAGTGAATGGAAGGCGAGGAAACTGAAGCACAAGGGTCTTATAGATAACTCTTCCCTGAAACTTGGTTCCAGATGGGAGGAGAGACAGGGTAGTTTCGGGGGTGGGGGTGGGTACTGAGGAGCTTAAGGACATTTGAGAATTTTATAAAAAGGAATACAGAGACTTAAATATTTAAGGGAAGACTCTATAGAAATGCCATGAAGTCCTTTCCAATAGAAAATGTGGGGATAAAACATCTGAGAGAGAATGATTAATGGAGACTTAGAAGAAGCAGGAAGCATTGGGATTCAAACCTTGGGCTGGCTTGGCCTTAGGTAGAATGGCTACCACCTTCATGGGGGGCCAGGAAAGCAGAGGATAACGTTGCAAATAAAATTAAGTTTGTAGTTATGAGTAGGAAGTTGAAGGATGTCCTGTCCTATATCACAGAGTCTATTCATTTTCATAGCTCCAGCTCCAAGCTTAGCATGTACAATAGATACTTAAGAACTATTTAATTAAATTAAATTGTAGGTAGATGAAGGGAATATAAGGTGGGAAACATACTCATTAGGGCCAGGAAAAGAGGATTGGGGCCGGTATTTGAAGGTGTACCTTTTGTGGCTTTTGCCAAGCTAAGCAAATTTTAATCCCTTTGCTGTGTGAGACATTGTGCTAAATGCCATAAGAGACGGAAAGGACTAATTCCAGGCTGAAGACTTTTAAACAATAAAAAGGCATGGATAGCTTTTGAAGAAAAGGGTTCTGTGATCAAAGTCCTTTCAGATGATTAAATTTTTTAGTGATTTCCTGATTTAACCTTGTTAGAGGTAGACTCTGACAGTTGGTGAGAACAGTCTCCAATTTATGTGTAAGGCCTTTGCACCTTTCTGTCAACCCCTGTGTATCTCAGAATATATTTGTTTCATGTGGACAAAGGTGTTTCGACGTCCATTTTAATGTAATCTCTTCCTGAATGTCCAAAGTTGCTTAACTATGAACTTATGAAGTGCAGGAGTGGTATCTTATTCACCTTTGTAACTCTATAGTAGTTGATACAAGGAGGCAAATCTGGCGTGAAGGAAAAGCCTTTTATTTTGACTGAGAAGATCTGGATTTGAACACTGCCATTAACTATGTGGCCTCTCCCATTCCCCAGACTAGTCCTGTGTTATTTGTACCTTTCCCCTATGTCCTGCTCCACTCATCTGCTGGGTGTGATTCTAGCTGAGCCCTGAAAAAGTCATGAGCCTCACTCCTGCAGCATGAACTATTGTTGTTGTTAGTTCTTGTAATTGTAGGGGGCTGGGCTGTAGGATTGGAGGTATGAAGATGCCCATCCAATAAGGTTTGTGGACATTTGGGCAGGTGAGGGAGTACAGCTGGGGTCATTTTTAGGAATTCTGTCTTGGGCTTTAAAATGGCTAGTCTTGGCTGGGCATAGTGGCTCATGACTGTAATCCCAGCACTTTGGGAGGCCAAGGTGGGAGGATTGCTTGAGGCCAGGAGTTTTAGACCAGCCTGGGCAATGTAGTGAGACTCTGTTTCTATTTAAAAAAATACATACATATATATATATATATATATATATATATATATATATATATATATTTAAATTAGCCAGACATGGTGGTACATACCTGTCATTTCAGCTACTGGGGAGGCTAAGGCAAGAGGGTCATTTAGGACAAGAGCATCACTTGAGCCCAGGAGTTGGAGGCTGCAGTGAGTTATGATCACACCACTGCACTCCAGCCTGGGTGACAAAATAAGACCTCATCTCTAAATAAATAAATAATTAATTAAATTGGCTAGTTTTGAGTCTGCATATTTTTCAGGGACAAATTATAAAATGTTTGTCCCTGAAGGAGTTTTGAAATAGCTGCAACAATCACTACCTTGTGTTATGTAATGCATTGTTCACCTAAGAGCAGGGGATTGGATTAGTTGACCTTCTGCAGTCCTTTCCAGTTCCACAACTGCACTAAATTGGGTACATGCTGTGCTGGCTTCCCCAAGCCCTGAAGTAGGCCACTCCTTTCCCCAATCCAGCTTTGGGCACTGAGGAGAGGGTTAGAAGGGTTTTAGGCCATCTGGCTGTTGGAGGAGCTAAAGAGCAGCTTGAAAACCATTTAGCCATGTGTTTTCCTACATGCGTGAAAGTATTTGGTATGCATTTATGAAAACATCCTTTTGTTTTGCCTTAAATCTGAAGAAGCAGGAGGGGAGGTTGAATAAATACTCCAAACTGTCCACTGAAGTAATAGGTCTTATTAGGTTAAATAACTTAGGAGACTTTCTCTGGGCATCTGGTATTTGCAGGCATGTGATGCCAACAAACAAATCAACCAAGCAAGAGAACCATGGCAACTAAATGCGGCACACAATTGGCAGCATAGTCAGCACCCTGTTGGGCTCATTGGCAGCTGGGGTAGGTGGGAATAGTCAGTGGAAACTTCCATCAGGAGCCAAGACAGAGGGTAGCAGCTGGAAGAGGGGGGTCAGTCAGTGGAGTCCGACATGTCAGGAGTCAAAAGAGGTGTAGACATCTGGACTATTCTATAAAGATGGGGGCCTGAGCCTGCCCCGTGGAAGGAATAGGGAGAGCTTTGGCTCAGGAGTCCAGAGATCTGAGTTCTGATCCCAGCAATGCTACCAGATCACTGACTGACCTTGGGCAAGTCACCTTTGTCCCCCGATTCCTACCTCCCAGGCTTTGTTAACTAAAATAAGGACTGAACTTTGTGACCTCCACAGTCCTGTGTAAAGCTAACATAAAAACAAACAAAAAGCTTCAGGCACAAGATCAGAATAAACTCCAGGAGTAGGAGTTCAAGGAAAGGAATAGGACAACCGTGGGTGGCAAGACAGGGGTAGGGAAAGATAGGACCTCTGTCCCAGAAATCAGAGTTTACCATTGCTTCTGTAACCAGTTACTGCAAACTTAGTGGCTAAAACAACACAAATTTATTCTTTTATGATTATATATCTGCAGATGAGAAGTCCAAAATGGGTTTTATTGGGCTAAAATCAAGGTGTTGGCAGAGCTGCATTCCTTCTGGAGGCTCTGGGGGAGAATTGTTTCCTTGTCTTTTCCAGTTACTGGAAGCTGCCTACACTCACGGGCTCATGGCCCCTTCCTCCATCTTCAAAACCAGCTGAGTAGCATCTTCCAAGCTCTTCCTAACTCAGATTCTCCTGCATCCCTCTGATAAGGACCTTTGTTATTACATGGGATCCACCTGGACAGCCCAGAAGAATCTCATCTCAAGATTCTTAATCATAGATACACAGTCCCTTTTGCCATATAAAGTAGCATATTTCCAGGTCCCAGAGATTAGGACGTGGACATCTCAGCAGGGGCACATTATTCTGCCTACTACACCCACCAAACAAAGCCCTCCCACGGTGTCCTCCATCTCAGAGAATGGCACCCTCCTCCACCCAGCTCCCCAAATCAGAACCTCATCAGCCATCCACAGCAACTGATGTCCTTTATTCTCTACCCCACATCCAATCCATCTTCAAGTTCCAACTATTTTATCTCATAAATACATCACTAATATATTCTCTCCTCATCATCTCATCATAATCTCAGTCACCACCATCTCTCCTGGAGTCTTCTATCTGTTCTCTCAATTGTTCTCTGCTCAGTCTCCTCCGAGATCATCCTCCACAAATACAGCCAGAGATTTTAAAACCAAAATCTGGTCCATGTTGCACCCCTGATGAAAACTCTTTAATGGCTTCCAGATACTCTTAGGCTAAAGGGAAAACTCTATGAGGCTTACAAAGCCCTGCATGATGGGACTCTGAGGATGCCTTCGGCTTCACCTTCTGCCCCTTCCTTTCACATACTAAGCTCCACCTCCCCACTGGATAACTGTCAGTTCTCTAAAAAGGCCACATTTTCTGGCACCTCAGGGCCTTTGCGCACGCTACTCTAACTTTTTAGAATGTCTTTGGCCATCCCTTTTCCTCTCTGCCTTTGGACCTCAGTTAAAGGATTAATTCCTCGGGAAGGGATTCCCCAACTCACCTCCAATTGGACTAGATTCCACTGTCAAATACTCTTCAGAGTATTCCCTCCTTTTCTGTCATAATATTTACCATAGGTTTAAATTGAATGTTTTTGTGATCATTTGTTTAAAATCTGTCTTTCCTACTATAAAAACGTATAAAGTTATAGAACTATAAAAATGTTTGACTTTTATAAACTCTATGAAGGCAGGGAGTGGGTGTATCTATTTTACTCTTTTACGCACCATTGCAATTCTGATGCCTAGGATAATATAGGCACTTGATATTCATTGAATAAATAAAGGAATGAATAAAGGAATGAATACAAGGTGGAGGTGTAGTATAAAGAAGTGGCTTAAAAGTCACGATCTAGAGACAGACATATTAAACTTTAAATCATGATGCTGTGTGATATTAGGCAAGATATTTAAACTCTCTGAGGCTCAGTGTCCTCACCTATAAAATGAGGATCTTAATATCTACCTTAAAAACTTGTGAGGATTAATGTAGGGACTTACAGTGCTTGAATGTATTAAGGGAAACAGTACAGGAAAGCCTTATTATGATTATCATCACCACTGCAAACAAATGCTGGCTGAACTCCATGAGTGCCGTGACTTCCTTCTCCTGCTTCTAGGACGCCTAATGGCGAGAAGCCAATCCCATGACACTTGTGGATGGCTCAGAAATGACAGTAGTTGATTTCTGTCACTTGTCTGGAATGGGGCTTTTGGTCATAGATTCTCAAGATTTCAAAGACATCAAGATCACCAAGGAGCACACGTTAAAGTCCAGATTCCCAAGTTTCACCTCCAGAACTCAGATTCATTGAGGCTGAGGTGATATTTGGAAATCTGCCTCTTATTAAGACCCTAGGTGATTCTGATGCAGAGACTCCAAGGACTACACTTTGGAAATTCTAGTACAGTCATCCCTTGGTATCCACAGGGTATTGGTTCCAGGACTACTCACAGATACCAAAATTTGCAGATGCTCAAGTCCCTTATATAAAATTTCATAGTATTTGCAATAACCTATGCACATCCTCTCATATACTTTAAATCATCTTTAAATTAGTTATAATACTGAATGCAATGTAAATACTATGTAAATTGCTATTATGTTAGAGTTTTATTTGTATTGTTTTTATTGTTTATTTTTTATTGTTGTTTTTTGAATATTTTTGATCCAAAATTGGTTGACTCCATGGATGTGTAACCATGAATATGAACCATGGTCATGGAGGGCTGACTATATACAATTCCTCAAATTCTGACTCAGCCATCAACTTTTTCCCTAACTCCCCAGACAGAATTTGTGCTTCATCCTCTCTTCTTCTGTAATATTTTGCCCATATCTCAGCAGTCGCTCCTATCATACATCTATCTCCAAACTAGCTTGTGAGTTCCTTCAGTACAGGGACTGTATTTGATCCAGGTAGCCAGAAACTTTCTAACACAGTGCCTGGCATGTAGAAAGTAAAACCTCATTCTTGATTTCTGCACCCATAACCTCCTGTCTCTGCTGTGTTCTCCCATTGCAGTAACTAATAACATCATTTACCCAGTTGTTCTGATAAAACACCTTGAGGTCATCCTTGACTTCTGTCTCTCACAAGCCACATGCAATCCATCAGCAAGTCTTGTTTGCCTTACCTACAAAAATGTCCAGACTCCAACCACTACTCATCACGTTCTGCTACATGTGCTGGCCCAGTACACTGCAGTCTCTTTCCTATACTGCCTAATCTCTCTGCTTCCATTCTTGTCCCTACACAGACTATTCTCTACACAGCAGCTATGATGAACTTTTTGTTTTAGGATGAACTTTTAATACACGTTATACTATGTCTCTGCTGTACAAAGTGGTTTTTCATTTTACTTAGAAATGCTCCATTTCACTTAGACGAGGCGTGGTGGCTCACACCTGTAATCCCAGCACTTTGGGAGGCTGAGGCGGGTGTATCACCTGAGGTCAGGAGTTTGAGACCAGCCTGGCCAACATGGTGAAAAGTCATCTCTACTAAAAATACAAAAATTAGCTGGGTGTGGTGGTGCATGCCTGCAATCCCAGCTACTTGGGAGGTTGAGGTAGGAGAATTGCTTGAACCCAGGAGGCGGAGGTTGCAGTGGGTCCTGAGATTGCATCACTGCACTCCAGCCTAGGAGACAGAGCGAGACTCCATCTCAAAAAAAAAAAGAAAAATGCTCCAGTGATGTCCCATTTCACTTAGAAGAAAATTCAAGTTCTTACCGTAGCCCATAGGGCCTCCCTTGTTCTACACACCTACCATCCACCTCATCTCTTCTTTCTTCCCGTACTGTTTTTCTTACTGTTCCTTAGATACATCAAGACTACTCCTGCCTCAGAGCCAGAGAGCTGTGTGATTTGGTTCCTCAATTCATCTAGGTCTCTGAGCACACCCATGTCAGAGAAATCTAAAGTAACTACCCTCTCGCATCACCCTCTGTAATTGAAATGAACATCTTTCTTAAGCAAAGAAAGTTATTGCTAAGGAATGACAGTGGGTCAAAGTGGGCAAGACTTGGCCAGAACTATTTCTCCTACTCTGTTGACTTCTTTTGGGTCCAGGACAAGTGTTTCTACCATTCTATTGTGATCTGTGTACATGTAATGTTGAGTTAATGAGCTGCTAAAACCTTCTAGATTGAAAATAAGTGAGTCAGCCTCAGGACCAGGAGGAATGGTAGCAATCACTCTTGGTATCATCTGTTTGTTTTTCTTGCTTAGCAACTCTGCCTTTGATGACCCTGAATACAGACATAGTTTAAATATTTGTTTTCACAGGACTTCTTGGGCCTACTTTATATGCTGAAGTCGGAGACATCATAAAAGTTCACTTTAAAAATAAGGCAGATAAGCCCTTGAGCATCCATCCTCAAGGAATTAGGTACAGTAAATTATCAGAAGGTAAGATAAATCTAATATTTTTCTGAAAAGGGAAAATGTCTAAGTCTTTAATACCAGCATCAACATTTAAAACTATACTGTTAACCACGTGTTGTTAGGGAAATCTCTTGCAACTGGTAATTATAAAAATTGTTGCTGTTGTAAGTTTTGAGAGAAGAAAAGGAAAAGGTTTTGGAGTCCTCTAGACCTGCATTTTTCACTGGGTTCTTACTCTTTAATGTTTGGGAGGGCAAGTTATCTAATTTCTCTGAATTCTCATATGTTCATCTTAAAATGGGAATAATAATACATACATTGAAAGATGGTTTAAGGCGGGGGTCAGTAAATTTTTCCGTAAAGGGCCAGATAGTAAGTTTGTTTGGCTTTGCAGGCCATAAGATCTCTGTTGCAAGTACTCAACTCTGCCTTTTAGTACAAAAGCAGCCATAGACGATACCTATTTTTTTGGCTTTGGTTACAGATGCCAGAACTAATTAACTTTGTTACCGTATTCTTTCCCTCAAGTCATACACCAGAGTAAGACCGCCTCTGACAATACAATTTTATTTACAAAAACAGGAAATTGGTTGGGTTTGGCCCATGAGCCACTGACATAGTGACATAGAACTAGCCTGATATAGGCTTCCTGGCACATAGATGACACTCAATAAGTGGTATTTGGTGGTGGTGAGACTAGAAGCATTAATAGTATTAGACTTTTGGACATAGTGAAGTGGTTAAGAAAGTAAGCTTTAAAGGCAGACAAGTTAAAATTCTAGCTTTATCATTTCTGATTCTACGACTTTAGCATCTCTGAGCCTCAGTTTTCTCATCTATAAAATGGAAATGATTATAACCACCCATAAGATTGCCTGAAATTTAAATGAAGTCACTTAGGTAGAGTACTAAACATGGTTCCTGGGATCGGATAAGCTCTCTATAAATAATGATGACAATGATGGCAATAATCATAAAGATAATAGTCATGCAAGTTATTGTATCAGCCGCTGAATAGTAAGTACCTGATGTTAATATGGTTCTAATTATCCCATTATGCTGATGTTCAGATCATTGTAAGCATAGTAGAGTTCCATCAGGCACTGGTATAAAAAATTGTATCCATATTATAATAGTTGTTGGTATGAGAACATTTTAAAATAATTTCAGACTTTTCATGGTTCACATTTAAATATCTTTCCTTCTACATGTTCCAGCCATCATACCTTTGAGAGAATAATTGAGTAGGAGAGTGGTTTATGTGCAGGTTTTAGAACTAGACTAATAAGTGCAAATCCTGGCTCAGTGACTTTTATGAAGTTATTTAACCTCTGTGTGCCTCATCTTTCTCATCTGTAAAATGGTAATAATAATCATGTCTCTGTCATACAGGTTTGTTGTCGTGAAATCTTAGAATAATGACTGGCATATAACAGATAATAAATATTAGCCATGATAGTAAAGATAATTCTTCAATTAAAATGTGTTCAAATAATTTAGTATTTATCTTAAAACTTGTTAGTTTCAGAAAAAATCAGAAAGTAATTTTTAAATTTATTGTTTTCTATATAAACTGTTGTCAAACTCATACCCACTAAGGTATAAGTGACTGATAATAGGTCAATGAACTACCTTCCTTAGGAGTACTTGCATTAGCACTTAATCTTTGGCTTGAGGAAAAACAATGAAGCATTAACTGTGGCACTGAGATTTCTTCCAAAGTGAATTTGGCAAGACTCTGGGTGAGGTAGTGGGAACAGGAGTTTCTCCTATGTTCTTAAAATCATACAGTGACATAGTGAACAACCACTTCACCTACTTATGAGGCTTCTAGACGACTGCATCAGAAGTTCAGCAATGTAAAGAAGAAGGGGGAGAAACCTCAAAATATCAAAATGTCACATGCAGGTTTCATTTCAAATAAGGGAGGAGGTAAGAATTGTAGACTTTGGACCCTACCTGGGCTGTTTGCACAGTGAATGAACCTTGCAACACTATCCCTCTTCCTTTACTGTTTATTTGTCCCTACATTCCCTACAGCCAGCAATTATTTATGAGCAATTGCTTAAAATGCTCCCACAGCTTTCACTGGAGACATGATTATTGGCATATAATATTGCCTCTGGTCCTATGAATCTAAGAAAGGTAAATACATATTGGTAGGGAAAGTAAAATTTTACCTTGGAAATGAGATGCAAACCTAGTAAGCAGATAGTATCTTTTATGGTAAAAGACAAGCCTTATAAGTTGATTTTATTATGCCCTCTGCATTAAAATAAAACATCTCCTCCTCCATGTCTGACACTCACCCTCACCTATAGCCTCCCTCTGTGGTTTGAGCTATTTTTTTGGGAGTGGGGATAAACTAACTGCATGCTGAGCCAGTTACATGAGAATCCAGATTCCTCTATCTCAGAGGTAGATATTTGAGAGATAGGTGGTAGGGGGTTAAGATAGTATTACACTGGCTTGAGAAACCACAACAGAACATAAGAGAACTCTGGATAACCCTTTTTGACAGAATGGACAAACGGTGATTTGTAAAAATGCTTGTAAGGACATTTCCTTTAATAATGTATTTAATAAGACTGTCTTAGATCAGGGAATAAAGTATCTGCAACTGTAACTAATCACTTAAAAGCTGTCACTAAAGGGTTTCAATTTGAGGTTAAATTTTCAGAAACTCTGTAACTAGCATGCATCAAATTGACTTCAATGCTGCACCTTTGAGCAAAGTTTGTTGTTCAGTAAAATTTTCAAAGTCGTTTTGGTCAATTACCTTTAAAAAGCTTGTTTCATGGAGAATTTAATATTATTCTTTTCTTTTAGTTATATTCTCATATTTTAAATATATGAGTTGCATATGAATGTGATGTCACAAAATTAGTTCTATAATATATAGCCATCTGCTGGTAAGCCAGCTCTCCAAATAAAACACGTTTTCTGCCAGACATTGTTCGTTGTATCTAAGTGTTGCCAAATTCTCTATACAAAAATTTGCTCTTCTAGATTTTTCCAAAACATTCCAATGCTTGACTTAATGTAGGTGATTACATTTTTTCACTTCTCATCTGAATATTTTGGCCTTATGTAGAGACTTCCTTGAGTATATGATAAACACCTGAAACAAACTATAACGGCTATAGTTTGTATATTTAATAAATCACAAAAATGTGGATCCCTTTTCCAAAGAGACTTGCAAGTCCTGTGCAATGAAATCAGCTCTTTATAAAACGTCAGCATTGATTCGCCCATTGCCTACATTATAGCTTCTAAAAGAATATTCTGAATCTTTGAATGTAGTGAAGCATTCACTAAGTTTATTAACTTAGGAGAGGAAAAGAGTTGTTCACAAAAATAAGTAACAAGGGAAGAGTTACTGAGTGAGCACCCTAATGAGTAACCAAAAAGGCTCTTTATGTAACTTCACTTTCCCAAAGCTTGTATGCACCATTTTTCATTTTTAAAAAATACTGAGAGCCTTTGGCAAGTAATTAGTACATCATGACAAGAATAAATACAATACAAAGCTGACTATCGACTGAGCAGGAAATGAACAGAACTGAGTAAATATAAATGAAGAGCTACCCTTGTGTAAAGATTTTATTCCAGCAAGCAGCTGAACAAGGACTTCTTGTGCTCTAGCACAATAGTTGTCCCTGTCCATTTCTCTTCTTTTCAGTTTAGAGCTTAATTTTTTTTATTTTGATTACAAAGTCAAAATCACATTCACCAAAACTGCATCTCACAAATGCTTCCTCTTAATAGCTGTTTGTATTTTATACTTTATATTAATGTATGTTGTAAAATCAAAGATACAACAAACCTGTTTTATTCTAGACTAAAGGTAAAATAATTTGAAGTGAAAAGAATAAAAGCATTGATAAAATTACACCCCAATTGTCTCATTAGCCATCTCACTCAGTGTAATTATAGAATATATCCTATGTACAAGTCTATATCATTCACTGTTTCAAGATGCTCATAATTCAACTTTTAGTAGTATACTAAACTTAATTAACATCATTCATTTAATTATTTGAAATTCATCTTATATGTAACTGACAGGCGAATGTGAAATTCTGAGTAATTTAGTTTGATCAATTAGACAGACATTAATTTGTGTGACTAGAGTAACCTTTCATTATCTATCTCAAAATATCATGTACACAAGTATATACAATAATTTTTTAAGCCCAGTATGTGTTAAAATAAATCTAGGTGTGAAACATTGATTGTTTACAGATAGGTTCAATATTGTTAGAAAATCAGTCACCCTGCTATACCTAGCACAAGTGTTATAGCATCTTGGGCAATTTTTAGATACTTACATTGGTTGGTTCTCATTCCAGATTGACAGTGTGTTCTAATTGTAGCCCTAGAAGAAATCTAGAGGTCAAACCTATCACAATTAGGGCACCAACATGTACCCTAGAGTTAACTAGGCAGAGCCCCTCAGGGGCCCAGGCCCTGTCTTCTTTACATTTGTACTCTGGCATTTAGCACAGAGCCTGGAACCTAGTGGATGATGATGGTCATGATCATGATGATATTAATCATTACTGAACTAAACTGAGGGGCCGAGGACTGATTAGAAAGTAAGGACTATGCATTATTTTTCCCTTGCTTTAAAATTATTGATTTTGCTGATAATTTTGAGCAGGTACTTTGTCTTACTTATTACCAAAAAAAAAAAAAAAAAGTACTTTTACCAAAAAAGTCTTATTTACTTTCATCGCCTTTGGAATAGATACATCACTACAATGGATTGGAAGTTTGTGTCCTCCAAAAATTCACATACTGAAATCTAACCTCCAGTGTGATGGCATTAGCAGGTGGGGCCTTTGGGAGATTTTTTTTTATTATACTTTAAGTTTTAGGGTACATGTGCACATTGTGCAGGTTAGTTACATATGTATACATGTGCCATGCTGGTGCGCTGCACCCACTAACTCGTCATCTAGCATTAGGTATATCTCCCAATGCTATCCCTCCCCCCTCCTTTGGGAGATTTTTAGGTAATGAGGATGGAGCCCTCATGATGAGATTAGTGCCCTTATAAAAGGGACCCTCTCACTCACCCTCTTTCTACCATGTGAGGATACAAGGAGAAGATGGCAGTCTACAACCTGGAAGAGACCCTGCACCAGAACCCAACCATGCTGGCACCCTGATTTTAAACTTCCAGCCTCCAGAACTGTGAGGAAGAAGTGTCCGTTGTTTATAAGCCACTCAATCCAGGGTACTTTGTTAACAGCAACCCAAACTAAGAAAATCACCAATTTCTATCTTACTCACATGTGTTACCAGAACTCAAGCACACTTAAGATCTATCTTATCTAAAGTAGAACATAAAGGAAAGAGGCTGTATTAATTGCAACATGACTGGGAAAGAAAATACTTAACCAAAATGTGAACATGTATTCCCACAGGCTATCAGAGCATTTGTTAGGAGCCAGAAATTTTACAAATATTTTCCAGTCTTCATAACCCATCAAAAAGGATAAAGTTATCTCTAGAAAAAGGATTATATTATCTTAAATTATAAATGAAAAAACTGAGGTTAAAGGGACTTCAAGAAACCTTCCCAAGTTCCCACAGTTAGCAAATGATACAACCACCAAGATATTTTCAACTCTGACCCTGAAGTTCAAGTGCTTTCTCCCACTATCTAGCAGAAAAAAGTATCGTTAACCATATAGTCTCACAAATACTGAATTACAAATGGCGATGAGTGCTGTCAAAAAACCAACAACAAACAAACAGGTATCACAATCAGAGATCAAGAAGGGTGTAAGATGATATTTGATCTGACATCTGAAGAATGAGCACACATTTACCCAGAAAAATAAAGGGAGGAAGAACTTCAAAAGTTATCTCCTACCCTGCAAAGAATATAATGTTTTGCCCTTAGGGGAGCTTGTGAAGGCAGTGGAAAGAATATCATTTTCTACTATAGAAACCCCATGTGATGTTTTAACAGTTGAAACAGTGGAAGCTGCCTGTCCAGAAACATCATTTTTCAACTTTATGAGGCCATGTAGCAAGAAGCATTGAAGAAGGGCTGTCATGCTTGATTCAAGGTAGATGGTGCAGCTCATCAACTAGCCATGCTAATTTCAGTTAATAGACAAGTTCTGACCTGAGAGGGCAACTCTCCTTATCAGTCCTGTTTGTGCTTTGTTACCAAAGCTCTTTTGTAATCTTTCACAGATAATGCTTCCTGCTTATTAGTGGAGACTTTCTCCATAAACTTTTTTTCTTTTATAGACTAGAATTATGTTATAACTTACAGGAAGTGACTTAAGCTTTTATCATTTCTCAGCTCTTGACAGTTTTATTATCAAAGTGAAAGTACAGCCTAGAGTAAATATTAGTTATTAGTGTCAAGCTATCCTTTGGGGTGTGTTGGGGGAAGACACAACAAAGTCCACTTTATGCTAGCGCAAAGTTCACAAACTCAGATGCCTATAGTAGCCAGATAAGTAGTTCAGTGAACAAAATTGGTCCAGTAAGAACTGATCATCAGAAAGCAGAAAAGGGCAGCTAAGATCCAGATCCAACAAAATTCTGTGCAGGAGTTTGGTCCTGTTGTTAACCAGATCTCCAGGTTTTTGTTTTTTAAAGAGAAACCAGTAATCCAAATTCTTATATAATTTCTCCGGATGTTTAATGTTGGCATTTAATCTATTTTAACATTACGCAATCATAACAACACACAGCCATGAGCTTTGACTTGTTGACCTAGGCTGTAGCCCATAGGACCTTAAATTTTAGGAGTTTAATAAATATTCACTGAGCATCTTCTTCATGTTCATGTTCCATGCTTCTCTAGGTACCTATGGAAGGCACCAGAGACACTAAGACAAATACAATCCAGCACTTTTCCTTGAGGAACTCACACTTGGGTGACCAAAATGTGCAGGACACAAATACTTATGATCTAGTAGAAGAAAATGAATTAGTCACATAATCTCACAGGCATTTAATTACAAATTGTGATGGGTGCTGTAAAAGAAAAAAATGTGTATCAGAATTGGAGATAAAGGTAGAAGTGAACAGATATTCAAGGTGATGTCTGAATGATGAGCACATATTTATCAAAAGGAAGACGGGAGGAAGAGCACTCTAGGCAGAGGGAATGGCATCTGCAAAGACCCTGAGGTAGGACAGAACTTGGATGTCTGGGGAACTGACAGGGGACCCAAGGGACAAGGAGCCCATAGTAAACAAGAGAAAAGACGTATGATAAGACTGAAGAGAGAAGTAGAGGTAAATCATACATGGACTTGTGGTCCACGTTAAGGACTTTATGCAAGAAGTAAATCTAGATATACCTACTCAACTTATGGTTTCCATGCTCAGAACCTCATGAGATACATTGCACGTTACTGTAGTACCTGAATCCTTCATTGCTATTGAATGGATGTGCCTTATTTTCCACTCCCACCTGGAGAATCCAAACATATGCTGATGCCATGCAAACTCATGCAAAGCGTTTTGAGTGGAATAGATTTTCCACAGTTGGGATGGGGAAAGGTACAATTAAAGAAGGGAAGCTGACATTGCTGTAATGTAAAAAAATATTTTATATGGAAATTTAGCATCTCAGACTTTGGCTTCAGAACATAAGGAACCAGATTTACCCTTTTTCTCAACAACTAGACAGGCAGACAAAACATATAAAACAGAAGTTTTCAGACATCGAATGACAGACAACTCAAGACAGTAAAAGAAGAGTAACAAACCAGATGTGCCCTATGAGCACCTAAGCTTACTGCTTGAAGAGTGTTTCCAGGGAACAGCACAAGCAGGGAGAACCCAGACAGAGTCTCTATGGGTTGAGGAAATAGAGTTTGGACTTCGGAGAAGCTCAAATGGCTAGAATTTGTGATTTTAGGGCAGAGTCCTGCAGAGGACAGTATAATCACAGAGAAAGAGCTCTAGAGAATCTACAGAGAGGTTTTGTCAAGTTGAATACTGATCTGCACATACATGTGAGGAAAGTACTGAGGGTAAGAAAAATGTCACTTGAAAGGAACAGGTGGAACAGTCCCTGGACCTTACTCAGGGCCGGTAATCGTTTATGTTCCTACCATCAAACATAGAAAGACCTCCTAATAAATGAGCACTGGATAGAATTGTCAGAAGGATTTAGAAACAGTGGGTGGATAAAATTAGACTACAGGCTGCTGAGGAGGCAACAGAATAAAAAACAAGATTTGATTTCAAGTATCTTAACTGTGAATAAAACTCAATACTAGTTAACAAGAATGCAACAAACAACAATGTAAATTCACAATGTTAATAAAAATAAACAAGCATTAGAAGAAGCAGAAAGAGATGACTCATAACCAAGAAAAAACTCAACAGATTGAGAAGTGAAAGAGAGAATAGAAGCAGCAGGCAGAGACAGTAAGACAGCTATCATAAATCTTCTCAATATGTTCCAGAAAGCAGAGAAAAGCATGAGCATGATGAAGATAGAGAATATAAATATGCATACACAGAACTTCTGTAGATGAATACAATTGTTGACATGAAAAGTAAAAAATAAAGCATAGAAAAGAAAGGTAAAAAATAAAGGATAAAAAAATATATTATAAACTGAAGGATACCACTAATACAACAAACACTGGATGAAATTAATAGCACATTAGACACTGTGAAAGGAAATAGTAGAAAATATTAATACATTGCAATAGAAACTGCAAAGTGAAATACAGAGATTAAAAAGGCTGAAGAAAGTGAACAGAGCATCAGTGAACTGTGGGACCATATCAAGTGATCTAACATATGTGTAATTGGATCCCAGAAGTAGCAGGAACAGAAAAAGTATTTGAAGAAATAATGACTGAAAAATTCCCAAATGTAATGTAAACTACAAACCAACAGATTCAAGATGTTTGACAAAACTAAGAAGAAGGAACATGAAGAAAACCACACCAAGCCACATCACTATCAAGTTGCTGGAAACCAGTGATAAAGAGAAAATATTGGAAGCAGTGAGAGATAAAAACACACACCACATACAGGGGAACAAAACCAAGAAATGATAGCAGACTTATCGTTAGAAACTATGCACACCAGAAGACAATTAGGGACATCTTTAAAGTGTTGGGAGGGTAGAAGATAGGGGAATCTGTCTGTTTAGTATTCTATACCAAGTCAAAAAGTCTTTTTTAAATGAAGGCAAAATAAAGAGTGTTTTAGACATACAAATGCAGAAAGAATTTCTCACTAACAGAGCAGAAAAAAATGTTAAAGGAACTCCTTTAGATAGAAGAAATATTATGTCAGAGAGACATTTAGATTCATAAGAAGGAATGAAAAGTTCCAGAAGTTGATAAATATAGAGAAATTTTTTCCTCGTTTTAATCTATTAAAAAGGCAATTGATTATCTAAATGTTAAAGCAAAATAGTAACAATTTATTGTGGGGTATATTATGTATATATAAATAAAATGTATGACAATAGCACAAAGGCTGGGAGGGAAGAAATGGAAATATATTATTGCAAGGTTCTTACAAGTGAAATAGTATAATATTATTTGAAGGAAGTTTGTGACAAGTTAAAAATGTACTATATATTGTAAACGGAAGGGCACCACTAAGAAAACAAAGCTAAGAAGGCAACAATGGAGATTAAACATCACTAACTATACTCAATCCAAAAGAAAACAGAAAGGAAGGGGAAAAGGAATAAAGACCAGATAGACAAATAGAAAATAAATATAAAGATGGCAGTTTTAAATTCAACCATATCATCAATTACATTAAAAGTAAATGGAAAGAACACTACAATTAAGAAACAAATAAGATTGAATAAAAAAGCAATGCTAAACTGTATGCAGAATTTAAGAAATCCACTTTAATGAGAGAGACAAAGATAGGTAAAAAATAAAGGATAGAAAATTATATACCATACCAGCTAACACTAATCCAACACAAAAGGGTGTGTAATGATGATTCCATTGATATGACATTACAGAAAAGCCAAATTATAGTGAAATAAAGCAGATTAGTGGTTGTCTGGGCCCAGAGGGCATTGGCTACAAATGGCATGAAGAAATGTTTTGGAATGATGGAACTCTTCTCTATCTTGATTGGAACTATAGCTATAAGACTGGGTAATTGTTTTAATCAAAGCTCAGCAAATATTATACTTAAAAGTGGTAAATGTTATTATATGCAAATTATACCTCAATGAGGATAATGAAAGGAAGAAAGAGAGGGAAGGAGGGTGGGGAATAGGGAAGGAAGAAGACAAAGAAAGGAAGAAAGGAGAAAAGAAAAGAAACTAGGAAAGGAAAAAGAAAAGAAAGGGAAGAGAAAGGAAGGGGAGGGAAAGGATTAATCATTTCAGTTTTCAAAAAGTGTAGTTGCTTCAGTAAGAGGAGTTTTATTGGCCTTTTACCCCATCATGTAAAACATTTCAGGCTTTTTTCCCCAGATCCTTGTTGTCTGCCTACATCCACACTGATGTTCTCACCTTCTTCTCGTAAAGAATTTATCAAGTTATTGTACCAAACAAAAATAACTGCATCCCAAAGAGAAATTCTGTCACCAGCTGATGATAGGGAATCTTTCACCTAATTAAATGAGGAATTCCTCAGGCAGAGGAAACTGTTCATTCCACTTGGCTCTCTATGGCACTCACCTCTCCCCTTCCTGACCTCACTTGCTCCATTTTATTATTGAAAACCTCACCCAACCCTCTACACTTCTTTTAATATTGAGTATCTCAGTTCCTTCTCTTCAATAAAGAAGACCAATTTCTTCATCCTCTCCCTCTCCTATCAGTAGGGAAAGTCCAATATACATGGAGGTGTTAATGATGTGTCTTTGGGTGCACAAAGTACAAAGTAAGACATCTAAGTTTCAGGGGATGGACACATTTCATATTCATACAGACAACCAGCCTGCATAGGGGAGTTAGACGCTGTGGCTCGGGGGAAAAAATTGAGATAATCAGATGGCTAAGATGAAATAAAGAGATAAAACAAAGCTGAGGATCACAGCAGTTGGAAAGAAGATCTGAAATAGCAAAACAAAATAATACATAAACAGCTCTGACTATCCTCCCATCTCATGTTAATAGGCTAAGTATGTCTTATTAAACACCACAAAGAAGATATCACCCATTCTTATATTCTGAGATGGTTTACTAATCAAAGGCGATTCAATTCTCTGATTATATTTAAATAATAATTGTTCAGGTACCCTGGAAAATTAACTTGCTAAACTTTAATTTACAAATAACATTTGTTATTCTTAAGATCACCATGTTATCAAAGCCTTTGTAAGTACATGAGCATAGAAATGGGCATATGTGAATCTTTCCAAATAATAAAAGTTCACTATTGAAGGACATATGCATCTCCAGAGAACTCATCTTAGCTATCCCCAGATTTGAGAGTGGTGAAAACGCAATCCTCAGAAACTGCCCACATGTCTTGATGGCTGTTACTCCTCCAGGTGCTTCTTACCTTGACCACACATTCCCTGCGGAGAAGATGGACGACGCTGTGGCTCCAGGCCGAGAATACACCTATGAATGGAGTATCAGTGAGGACAGTGGACCCACCCATGATGACCCTCCATGCCTCACACACATCTATTACTCCCATGAAAATCTGATCGAGGATTTCAACTCGGGGCTGATTGGGCCCCTGCTTATCTGTAAAAAAGGTAAGAACACCCCCACCAAAAGATTCAACAACTAAATGTTGGAATGGTCAGGAGTTCTGTCATGGGACAAAGCTTGGGAGCATCTTGGTAACTTCTTGTACATCAAGCAGAGGAAGACGGCACGGAGACCAGATCATTGTTTGACAAGAGAAAAAAACACCTGCTATTTCAGGGTGTGGATCCACCTCTGTTTCTTCTCATTCCTCCTTCATCTCAGTCCTTAAGGTTCTCCCAGGCAAATTCCTGTTTGAGAGTATGTTCTGATGTCATGCTTGTATGATCTGTAACATTTACCTCAAGGCCAAAGTCTTTTAGAAAGTATACAGTAGCCTATACTCTGCTGAAAGAGCTCTTGGAAAGAACTTTGGCTAACATGTTTGACATATCTGAGGTTTGGGCTGGTAATTTGCTCTATAAACACGTGAAATGCCAGCTTCCTTTCTTACAAACAAGTTGAAAACTTTGGGTGGTAGGTTTCAAACACACTCAAGTGACTTTACAAGAACTTTTATTGGCTGGGCTTCTTAGGAGCAAGCTTGGATTTTCATTTTATCCCATGAGAATCCAGCCCATCTTTCATTAAAACAAACAACCACAGTGAGCCACAGCATGGGAAATAACGTGATGGACTCACCATCTGCCTATACATACACGCTCAGGCCATACCTACATACATGCCCAATGTATTTACTCATTATACAAAGACTTTTTTTCCATTTCCTGGTATATATAAGATACTGTGATGGTACTGAAAAAAACCTTAAAACTTACAAAAGACTCTTCTTGCATTTTACCATCAGCAGCATGTTTTTCTCATAGTGAGAATGGATTAATGCTGATACTTCCACCCAATTATCTAATGCCCCCTTTCATATACAAATAAGATGACAGCATTAAACTTGGGGCATGATGCTTTTACCAACTGAGCTAACGTATCTATATACTCTTCTATTGAGACTGGGGGAAATGGATACTTGTACAGAGTCTTGAGAGTCACCAAATGTTTTCTTCCCAAGCTGGATGAAATAAAGCCTGTTCCCCAAAGCAAGAAGGTATCAAAGAAGACAGTGTGGCACCAGATTTTAAATAACCCTAGAACCATTATTACTTGATAAATATGCTATTTTAAAAAATAAGAATTTCTTCAAGTTGAAATCATTATGGTTGATTGCTTGCCCTAAACTCTTTGCTATCCAGGAAAGCTAATGAGCGTCTTCTATCTGCAGTGCTACTGAAAACATGTCTTTCCTTTCATAGGGACCCTAACTGAGGGTGGGACACAGAAGACGTTTGACAAGCAAATCGTGCTACTATTTGCTGTGTTTGATGAAAGCAAGAGCTGGAGCCAGTCATCATCCCTAATGTACACAGTCAATGGATATGTGAATGGGACAATGCCAGGTAACACGAGGGCTGTGTACCATTAAACAACAGTAAAATCATTAGTAATTTTTCGGTCCTGTTTTCTTCAAAGCACTAGAGAAGTTGACCATACTCACTGTTTTGCAACTCCCTATCAAGAAGGAAATATTTTCTCTTTTTTTTTTTAAACAGGAAATAGAAGAGACAAATTAGAAGCTAGAGAAGAAATGTGCAGCCTTGTTAGGTATAGTGACCTGAGTAGGTTTCACCTTGGCCTGTACTTTGAATAAGACCTTAAGGTATCAGCTCAGCCACTCTCTCCGAGTTCTGCAGTTCCTCTATATGATGACCATGGCTTCTTCAAGGACAAGCCCTAGCAGGAAGGATCAGCAGGAAGATTGCAGTAAAGATGAACAGATTAGGAGTAATCCTCAACACACAAAAAAAACCAGCATTTCAAAAGGTGACAGAAGAGTAATATTCAGTGGCATCTAGAATATTTTCTCTTTCCATTTGCATTTGGGCACTTATGAGAAGGCAAAATCATAGCAATCGTTAAGAGAAAAAATAACTAATTCCCACTTAGACCACATCTCTTCTATTTCTCTCTGGTAGAACTGACCTACAACTAAAGATCCAGGGTATATGATACTAGCCTGAGGGAAAAACATTAAAAAATTAAAATGCCACTTTACTAAATAAACCATATTTCAAAACACTAAACTTCTTAGAGGTTATTCTCTAATGCCATCTGAAAATCACAAATAGCTTCACTTACTAAAACACAAATATTGTTAAGAGTTGAGATCTGGGTAGTGTTTTTAAATTGTATTCTATTTCATTTGACTACATTTTCCACTTGGTTTTCTGAAAATATACTCATATGACTCTCAATGTTGATCCCAAGTTCCAATACTAGGAGCTTGTAAAAACTGGGGCTTAGTTAACTGACCTCGACCTTAGATAATCTGAGTTCAGACTTCAGATTATCAGACTACCTTCTGTGGCCCTGGATAAATTAGTTGTCTCAATGTGCTTACTTACAAAAGTGGACTAACCATTTATCCTAACATCTATTTCCTGGCAGAGTGAACAATCTGTATAAGTATATGGATGCCAAGAAAAGCAAAACCATATGCACAAAAATAAAAATAAATTGATCTGAGCTTAGAGTTTACGAATTTATAGTTCCCAAAAGAATAATTGGGGGTAAATGGGACAAGGTAGGGAAAGACCATCAGTAGAAACTAAGAATAGTAAACATTTGTAAAAACCCTCTGCCTTATAAAGCAGAATAAATTGAATACATATGATAAATGCTAACACAGATATGTTAATTGCTGAACTCAATATAAGCATTTCTTTGGCATGGATAAACGCTTCCACCAAAGCCTCCTAGTGATGCAAGGAATCCTGGCTTTGTTGCAATGGTCTCCTAAAAAAAACAAGCCTTTGTGTGGGTAAGGAACTGATTCTCAGGCCCATTATCTAGTATCTAGTGATTATGTATCTGAGATGTAAAACAGAAACCTAAAAGCCAAGGATGGAGTCTCCCCACAGAGCAAATGAGCATTTTCCCAGTGACTGTAGGAGCAAAGAAGGAGCAAAACTAAGTTTTTATATTCAGTTATCACTACTCCTTCCATGAAAAGCTCCCAATGGCTCAGCATAATGAGGACTTGTACACTGCATTTTAAGGAGAGTGTGTAACCCCAAAGTGATTTCGTTGACTTGTCATTAAAACAATCAAAAAGTAAGTAAAAATAACAATTGAAAATCCTCATATCATCTTCACATCTTCTTCCCTTAGGCAGAGCTTCGACCACTACAGCTAGAGAGCTGAGAGGATTAAGTGCTTGAACTCAGCCCTATTGGCGGTTCTGGTGATTTGACTCCCTCCAGCTGAGATCAGACTGGGGTGACCAAACATTCCATTTTGCCGTGGACTTTTTACCAGTTCTAATAGTTAAAGTCCTGAATCTTGGGAAACCCCTCAGACCAGAACAGTCGGTTACCTTCTTGGTTCCCTTCTTGGCCTAATCCTTTAGCAATCCCTGTGTTTTTGAGTTCACATCCACCATCTCTAAGCTCTGTTGTTACCTGTATAATGCCATTTATCACAATGAGTTGTCACTGCTTGTTTGCTGGTCACTCAGATGTCTGCTTTTGCAGGGCACAAACTACAACTGGAGTGTCTGTTCCCTCAAAGCTTTATACAATGCCTGACACACAGCAGGTGCTCAATACACTTGGTGAGTGAATGTTTGATCACAGAGTACTTGACTGAATGCTTATTTTGGCCTGTGTCTCTCCCTCTTTCTCAGATATAACAGTTTGTGCCCATGACCACATCAGCTGGCATCTGCTGGGAATGAGCTCGGGGCCAGAATTATTCTCCATTCATTTCAACGGCCAGGTCCTGGAGCAGAACCATCATAAGGTCTCAGCCATCACCCTTGTCAGTGCTACATCCACTACCGCAAATATGACTGTGGGCCCAGAGGGAAAGTGGATCATATCTTCTCTCACCCCAAAACATTTGCAAGGCAAGAAACTCTCCTGACAGTCTTGCTTCTCAATGCAGAATCCTTTCTTCCCATGCACTAACTCCCTCTTTCTCCCTTGCCCTTTCAAGCCACCTGCACCGCAGACAAACTTTCCTCAGTTCCTAACAACCAAACTTAGATATTTTGCTCTTAGATTTATAACTTGCTCTTTGGGGATGGAGAAAGCGAAGGAATTGGCAAAGGTTTTTTTTTTTTTTTTAATTAAGCAAAAGCTAAAGAGATCTCTAACTTCCTCGAAAGAAGAAAAGAGGAAGAAAACAAATGCATACATAGAGATATTCTTTCTTCGGGTTACTTCATATGCAAAAAAGACCTAGATGCTAGCACAAGACAAACTGCAAATTTACAGAAGCACTAAGTTGTAGAAAGTGTAAAAGTTTAGCATGAAAACATTAACCTTTACAGTGGGATGAACACAAAGTCTAGCACAGAGAGGAACTCAATGAATGTGTGTTGAATGGATCATACATGGCATATACTGAGGGGTGAGCTCCAAAGAACACTGGGGAATTCAGGTGGGAAAATAAATCAACCCACGTTATGTGGTATCGTGTAAACAAAATAACTGATTGTTCTACTACACATTTTTGCTTTAAAACTGTTGAGATTAGAGTTCATATAAATGGAGACTAAAATCTAAGGAAATGATATCACAATAGGAAATCATTTTGTTACCAAAATAATGTATAAGCAACACATATAAGGAAGAGATACTTCATGAGATCATTTCTGTTTCTTTTCACACGAGTAGTCAAAATTATATTTGAAGTAATAAAACCATCATGATATCCGTGGAAGATAGAGTTCCCAATAATATTAAAACAACAATGTAACTTTTGTTTCTTTGTTGAGGATAAGTGCATTATGTATTGTTATTAATATTTAATTTTTAACAACAATTTTATTAGGTACTGGTGCTACTTCATTTTATAGATTAAGGGACAGATGACAGAAAAATGAGAATTTAACAAGACTTAATTCATAAGGTCTTAAGAAGTTAAAAATTATTAGAAATTTGCCTGCTCAAGAAGAAATAAAGGGAATCTTTCCAAATTTTTTCCCTAACCCCTCCTCCTTTTCCCCCTTTTAAAATTCTTGCCTTTTCTGGATGCCACTTAAAGAGTTCCAAACTAAAATGTTCAAAAATTGCCTGAGCATTACTTTCACTCTTATTATATTAATATAAACCTTCCACAAGTTGATTTAAAGGATATGCATTTCAATCAACCATAATTTCTTCTCTTGAGTTATTTCATTGTCTTTCTGTCCTAACTCAGCTGGGATGCAGGCTTACATTGACATTAAAAACTGCCCAAAGAAAACCAGGAATCTTAAGAAAATAACTCGTGAGCAGAGGCGGCACATGAAGAGGTGGGAATACTTCATTGCTGCAGAGGAAGTCATTTGGGACTATGCACCTGTAATACCAGCGAATATGGACAAGTGAGTTGTTGGGGTTCATACCACTGGGCAAAGGTTCAAGACACATTCCATAGGGTCCTAGATGTTTGGGGTGAAATGTAAGTTCACAGCTCTCAAGGGGACACATGTATTGGTTTCTATTCAAGTCTTTTTGTAAAAATTAATCTTGAATTACCCCCAAATCACCAAAGAAATTCAGCCTAATAATAATAAAAATGACAACAGCAGCTACCTTTTGTTGAATGTTTGCCATTGCCAAGCACTGTATTGTCCCTTTCTGAGAGCTTCGCTTCAACTCTACAAACTAGATACTGCTCTTATTTCTTTTTATAGATGAGGAAATGGGTCTGAGAGATTAAGAGATTTGGAAATTCAAATAGCTCTTAAACCCTTGAAAAGTTACTCAAATTCACTCATAATAACAGAAATGCAAATTAAACTTCATGGGAATACTACTTTTATCTATCACATTCACAAGTCCAGATGACATCATCTGTTGACAAGGCTGTGAGAAAAAAGAACTATCATATATTGTTCGTGGAAGATTAAATTGGTAAAAGGATTCTGAAGAATAACTTGGCAATATGTATCAAAATTCTAAATGCATATACCCTTTGACTCAGCTATCTCACTCTGGAAATCTAACTATACAGATACACTTGTTCACAGGTGAAATGATGTATGTACAACATATTCACTGTTGCAACGTTAGTAGTAGTAAGACTGGAAACAACCCAAAATGTCCATCAGTAGAAAACTAGTTTAATAAATTAGGATACATTCATACAATGGAATACTAAGCATCAAAAAAAGAGGATGCAAACACTCTGTATGTACTAATACAAAAAGTTCTCCAAGATATGTTATTAAATTAAAAAGCTGGGATGTAGTATAGCGTGTATACATAGCTGCCTTTTGTTAAAGGAGTGAAAGGGATAAGAATATTTATATTTTCTTATTTGTAAGACATAAAGGTATTCTGGAATTACACGCATGAAATTAATATATGGCTACCTAGAAAATTCAGGGAGGGTAGGGAGGTCATTTTGAGAGTCATCAGAGAAAAGTGAGAGTTTTCACTGTAATAAAAATTATGTGAATGTATTTTCTATTAAAAACAATTAAACTAGGAAAAAGAACAAAAAAAATTTGGCCAAGATTATAGAATTGTTGACAGAACTGAGATAGGAATCCAGGAGTGTTTGGCAACAGTCAGTGCTTTCCACTGGGAAAAATAAATTCATAAAATGATATTCCATCTTAAAAGATTGCTGGGTTAAATGATATTTCTGACTTTAGGTCTTGGAGGAACTGCCATACTGTCTTCCACAATGGCTGAATTAATTTACATTCCACCAAGAGTGTATAAGTGTTCCTTTCTCTCCATGACCTTGCCAGCATCTCTTCTTTCTTGACTTTTCAATCATCGCCATTCTGACTGGCATGAGAGGGCATCTCATTGCGTTTTTCTTTCTTTTTTTGAGACGGAGTCTCGCTCTGTCGCCCAGGCTGGAGTGCAGTGGCGCAATCTCTGCTCACTGCAAGCTCCGCCTCCCAGGCTCACGCCATTCTCCTGCCTCAGCCTCCCGAGTAGCTGAGACTACAGGGGCCCGCCAACACAAATACAAAATACAAAAAATATAATTTTTTGTATTTTTAGTAGAGATGGGGTTTCACCGTGTTAGCCAGGATGGTCTCGATCTCCTGACCTCGTGATTTGCCCGCCTCGGCCTCCCAAAGTGCTGAGAGTACAGGCGTGAGCCACCGCGCCCGGCCTCATTGTGGTTTTGATTTGCATTTCTCTCATGAACACTGATGTTGAGCTTTTTAAAATGTGCTTTTTGGCCGCATGTAGTTGCTTTTGCAAACTAAGGTAATAAAGAGGGCAGGGGAAAAGTGGTTCATGTTTCTGCTCCCAAAGTATTTATCCCAGTAGCTACAAAAGATGGGTGAAGGAGGTTGCTTTTCAGTCAGCTCAGAGAATTGGCTAGATGGTGGAAGAGATAGCCCAATAGCACAGAACTATGATTAACAATGCTAGTAAATGTTTCCTGGGGTTGGAAGTTGCTTTTAGGGATTAAGAAATACCTTTAAAACCAAAAAGGCTATCATAGAATAAGTGATAGGACAGACTTTAGAAAAATTCCTAGTATCTTTTCAGCCAGTATAGGCCTTTTCCCAGAGATATCAAATGTCTGCTGTAGCAATAAGAATGACAGGAAGATCTAAGTAGCTGCTTCTAACCAGTTACCTATGACTTTTATCAGTGATGCAGGAGACAAATCAGAAGTTTCCAGTTTTCCAACTAGACAGAAAACATAAGGACTTTGCAAACTACACTAAGAAATTTTTAGAGAACTAGTATGTTAGCTAATCTAAGAGCAGAATGTTTAAGCACAAGGGTTTCCCCATCCTACCGAGATCTCTATTTGAGAAAGTGGTTTAATTTTTTTTTACTTCACTTTAAGAAAATACAGGTCTCAGCATTTGGATAATTTCTCAAACCAAATTGGAAAACATTATAAGAAAGTTATGTACACACAGTACGAAGATGAGTCCTTCACCAAACATACAGTGAATCCCAATATGAAAGAAGATGGGATTTTGGGTCCTATTATCAGAGCCCAGGTCAGAGACACACTCAAAGTAAGTAACACAAATACAGAATCATGGGAGAAATTACATAGTAAAATATTATGGAGTACCTGGTTATTTTTTAATTTTAAAAGAAAAAGATGCTCATATAATTTTAAATTCAAATGCAACTTTTAGTTTTTATTTAGTATTTGTATTTATTTACAGCTTACTCAGTAATACAAAGGATCTGAGACAGTTTCTCAAGTTATAAAGGCATAAAACAAGGAGTCTATGTAATTGGGATAGAATACGGGGACAAAGAAAATAAAGCCACAGATAAGTAGATACCATGTGACCCTGTAAGGCTGTCTTCAAATTTTGTCCTAAGCTTTATGGCAGTCAGTGTAAAAAAGGAAATATGTCAGGGTGAAGTTTACATCATCTACAAAAAGAAAGCACCATTTATCCTGATGTTAAGATCTAAGAGGAACTTCTTTAATGAGTTCTACAAAAGAGAGTGCTGAGTGATACAGTAGATGGCATCCTTGATAAAATTCTTATAACCAGCATAATAGATTAAAAGTTGCATAAAATAATAGATTAAAAGTTGCATTAAAATATTTCTCATTATAGCTAAGATATAACAGTAAACACAATTGAATAGAAACAATTTTTACTCATTTTTTAATGTAGTCTAGGTATGCAGCTCTCTAATGGTTGGACTCTGATGAAGGTAAACTCCATGTATCAAGAGCACGGAGTTTTCCTCAGACAATTCTCCTTAAATGTCATGTCACTTCACCAAGATAGATAAGAATTGGACAGCAGAGAATTAAAGGTTGCAATCTTTGACAAAATCCTAGAGTGTAGTTAATCTACAGACAAAGGATGATCCAAAGGCTTTGACAATCAACCAAATAGAAGATAGGATTAAGGTTCTCTTTTGCAGATTAAAGAGCCTAACTAGGACTCCTGTGTGTTTTATGCACCTGACAAGGTCTATTCTGTTCATTTAAAATAGCCAAAGGACAAAAGCAGTTTTTTTTCTCCATGCCTCTTTCCCTTCTTCCATTTCTGATCCCTTTTATGTGCTCTCAGCAAGTGTAGACATACCTTATTAAAAGTTCAGGATCTGGCTATTTGTCTGTGCCTCTCAAGCAAGTAGCTTTTCCCCCCCACCAAGGGTCTTACTCTGTCACCCAGGCTGGAGTGCAGTGGTGTGATCATGGCTCACTGCAACCTCCACTTCCTGGGCTCAGGCGATTCTCGCACCTCAGCCTCTCAAGTAGCTGGGACTACAGGCACACGCCCCAACGCCTGGCTAATTTTTGTATTTTTTTGTAGAGATGAGGTTTCACCATGTTGCCCAGGCTGGTCTTGAACTCCTGAGCTCAAGTGATCCACCTGCTTCAGCCTCCCAAAGTGCTGGGGTTACAGGTTTGAGCCACTGAACCTAGCTGAGAAGATGACTTCAAAGACAGTGTCCTAAAAAATCTACCGGGCAGGGGAAGGGGATCATGGTCTAGAGATGAGAAGCAGATTCAAAATGAGATGTGGCCCAAGCTGAAAAGAGAAGGGCAGGGGAAGGAGGACTTGCTTGGAGAGAGTGATACTGTGAGGAAAACGTCACTTCTCCTAACCTATCCTCTAAAGTCAGACTTCTCTTTCCATTTTCCACCTTAATGTGTGAGTGAAACACTCTCTCCAATGCTCCTGCCAAGTGATGAGGGGAGGTTACTGCTCAGATAAACAGATCTAATTTTCCTACTGTGTGTACACATGTATACACACACACCATCCAAAAGGTGAATATGCAAAGCTAGTATCTTATATTATTTGTCATGATCAACCTTAAATCCTAGAATAAATTTGATTTAACTTTGTAGATCGTGTTCAAAAATATGGCCAGCCGCCCCTATAGCATTTACCCTCATGGAGTGACCTTCTCGCCTTATGAAGATGAAGTCAACTCTTCTTTCACCTCAGGTTTGAATCTTTCACTTCTACTGAATCCAACTAGTAACTTCTGAGAGGCTGCCACATTTTTCTGCTATTCTCCTTGCCCGGTGGTGTCACTACTGCAGTCAGGTAGTATACATGTAGGAGTATCCTAAAAATCACAGCCAAACCCTTCTCACTTCAGGAGTTTTGTCTCTTAGTGGTAACAAAATATGGTGTCTTTTATTAGTGTCATAGTGGCCTCTAGTGGAGCATTATCTAATGGCTACATGTTATCCAGGTTCCAAGTAGAATATTTAAAGAATTCAATTGAACAATGAGAACATTTAGACACAGGATGGGGAACATCACACACCGGGGCCTGTCGGGGGGGGGGGGTGGGGGGCGGGGGGAGGGATAGCATTAGGAGATATACCTAATGTTAATGACAAGTTAATGGGTGCAGCACACCAACATGACACATGTATACATATGTAACAAACCTGCACGTTGTGCACATGTACCCTAGAACTTAAAGTATAATTTAAAAAAAATAAAAATAAAAGAATTCCTTTTGCAATATTAATTGGTTCCAGCGAAAGCTTATTTATTTATTTATTATCATGAAATAACTTTGCAAATGAAAACAATTTTGAATATATTTTCTTTCAGGCAGGAACAACACCATGATCAGAGCAGTTCAACCAGGGGAAACCTATACTTATAAGTGGAACATCTTAGAGTTTGATGAACCCACAGAAAATGATGCCCAGTGCTTAACAAGACCATACTACAGTGACGTGGACATCATGAGAGACATCGCCTCTGGGCTAATAGGACTACTTCTAATCTGTAAGAGCAGATCCCTGGACAGGCGAGGAATACAGGTATTTTGTCCTTGAAGTAACCTTTCAGAAATTCTGAGAATTTCTTCTGGCTAGAACATGTTAGGTCTCCTGGCTAAATAATGGGGCATTTCCTTCAAGAGAACAGTAATTGTCAAGTAGTCCTTTTTAGCACCAGTGTGATAACATTTATTCTTTTTTTTTTTTTGTCTTGTCTATTTTTATCAGTACCATCACTGCCGAAGGCAAGTCTAGAGTGTGATAACATATTTTGTCTTAGTTTCAAATTCCAGGTCTGTTGGTATTGGATGTGTTGAGCAAGTTGATTAGCCTTTCCTAATTTCTTCCTTTTATCAAATGGGTAATAACCCTCCTAAAAATGTTACAGGTCTGTTTGGGGGTTCAGTGAGATACCATCTGGTAAAAGTATAAAGCTCTTTACCAGTCTTTGCTATTTTTAGAGACCTGCAATAGGGAGACAGAGGAGAGATTCTCTGAAAGCAACCAAATTTAGAGACATAGTTCCTAGTGAAATTGGACCCAGATTATGGCCCATCTCTGTTGAGACTAAAGTATACAGAAGAATGTGAACAAAGATACTGAATTTCTGAGTTTGTCTTCATTGAAGAATTGTAGTCTCATATTATTAAACTAAAATTCCCAATTATGCTAAACTGTAACCAAAGAGGTCTTATCTCAAGGCATACAAAATAAACATATGCCTAGAAAAAGCAGAAATGAATTTCTGGACATATGGAAGATCCTGATTTATTGAGCTAGGAAAGGAAACAGGTAGTAGAAGCATAAGGCTTTTCTATTGCAACCTTCTCTTTCATCCTTTGCACTTATTCAGAGCATATTCAGTCAATCATTCATGTTGAAAGGTGTGCAATTACAGAGATAGACAGACTTTCAGCTGCCATAGCGAAATGAGATTTTTCTTTTGGGATTTGTTTTTTTTTTTTTTTTCTTTTGAGACAGAGTCTCACTCTGTCACCCAGGCTGGAGAGCAGTGGCACCATTTTAGATCACTGCAACCTCTGCCTCCTGGGTTCAAGTGATTCTCCTGCCTCAGTCTCTTGAGTAGCTGGGATTACAGGCGCCCGCCACCACCCCCATGTAATTTTTGTATTTTTTAGTAGAGACAGGGTTTCACCATGTTGGCTAGGCTGGTCTCGAACTCCTGACCTAAGGTGTTCCACCTGCCTCAGCCTCCCAAAGTGCTGGTATTACAGGTGTGAGCCACTGTGCCCGGCTCTTTTGGGATATTTTAATCTCTGAATTTTCTTATCTGTTCTGTTTGCTTTTGCATATTACCTTTAGCTCTAACAAGTGCTGTGTACACAATGGACTCTCATAAATGCCTGAATTATATGGCTTCAGTAGTTCCAAGAACTATGTCACTTTGGTTTCTGAGAACTCAGTGGTGTAGATAATTTGCTGCAATGTTAATGACTGAATACAGCACTTTTTTTTCTTTTTTTTTTACTCTTAAGTTCAGGGGTACTTATGTGCAGGATGTGCAGGTTTGTTACATAGGTAAACATGTGTCATGGAGGTCTGTTGTACTTACTACTTCATCACCCAGGTATTAAGCCTAGTATCCATTAGTTATTTTTTCTGATCCTCTCCCTCTTTCCACCCTCCATCCTCTGATAGGCCCCAGTATGTATTGTTCCCTTCTATGTGTCCATGTGTTCTCATAATTTAGCTTTCACTTGTAAGTGAAAACATGCAGTATGTGGTTTTCTGTTCTTGCGTTAACTTGCTTAGAATAATGGCCTCCAGCTCCATCCATGTCCCTGCAAAGGACATAATCTTGTTCTTTTTGATGGTCACATAGTATTCTATGGTGTATATGTACCATATTTTCTTCATCCAGTCTGTCATTGATGGGCATTTGGGTTGATTTCATGTCTTTGCTATTGTGAAGAGTGCGAAAATGAACATACGCATGCATGTGTCTTTATAACAGAATGATTTATATTCCTTTGGGTACATACCAAGTAATGGAATTGCTGGGTTCAAAGGTATTTCTGACTTTAGGTCTTTGAGGACTCACCATGGTATCTTCCACAATGGTTGAACTAATTTACACTCCCACCAAGAGTGTATAAGTGTTCCTTTTTCTCCACAACCTTGCCAACATCTGTTAGTTTTTGACTTTTTAATAATAGCCATTCTTATTGGTGCGAGATGGTATCTCATTGTGGTTTTGATTTGCATTTCTCTAATGATCAGTGATGTTGAGCGTTTTTTTCATATGCTCTTTGGCCACATGTGTGTCTTCTTTTGAAAAGTGTCTGTTCCTGTCCTTGGCCTACTTTTTAATGGGGCTGTTTGTTTTTTTCTTGTAAATTTAAGTTCCTTATAAATGCTCCATATTAGACCTTTGCCAGATGCATAGTTTGCAAAAATTTTCTCCCATTCTGAATGTTGTCTGTTTACTCTCTTGATAGTTTCTTTTGCTGTGCAGGAGCTCTTTATTTCAATTAAATCCCATTTGACAATTTTTGCTTTTGTTGCTATTGCTTTTGGCATGTTCGTCATGAAAGCTTTGCCCATCCCTATGTCCCAAATAATATTGCCTAGGTTGTCTTCCAGGGTTTTTGTAGTTTGGGGTTTTACGTTTAAGTGTGTTGTTGTTGTTTTTTGTTTGTTTGTTTCTGTTATTTTTGAGATGGAGTCTCGTTCTGTTGCCCAGGCTGGAGTGCAGTGGTACGATCTCAGCTCACTGCAACCTCTGCCTCCCATGTTCAGGTGATTCTCCTGCCTCGGCCCCTCGGCCTCCCGAGTAGCTGGGATTACAGGCATAAGCCACGATGCCTGGCTAATTTTCTTTTCTTTTCTTTTCTTTTCTTTTTTTTTTTTTTTTTAGTAGAGACGGGTTTTGCCATGTTGACCAGACTGGTCTTCAACTCCTGACCTCAGGTGATCCACCCGCCTTGGCCTCCCAAAGTGCTGGTATTACAGGCGTGAGCCACCGCGCCAGGCCTACATTTAAGTCTTTAATCCATCTTGAGTTAATTTTTGTATATGATGTAAGAAAGGGGTCCAGTTTCAATTTTCTGCCTACGGCTAGCCAGTTTTCCCAGAACCATTTATGGAATAGAGAATCCTTTCCCTATTGCTTGCTTTTGTCACAGATCAGATAGTTGTAGGTGCGCAGCCTTATTTCTGAGTTCTCTATTCTGTTCCATTGGTCTATGCGTCTGTTCTTGTACCAGTACTATACTGTTTTGTCCTCCAGAGGGCAGCAGACATCGAACAGCAGGCTGTGTTTGCTGTGTTTGATGAGAACAAAAGCTGGTACCTTGAGGACAACATCAACAAGTTTTGTGAAAATCCTGATGAGGTGAAACGTGATGACCCCAAGTTTTATGAATCAAACATCATGAGCAGTAAGTCAGAGTACTATTTTTGTTCATCAGTTTTTCATTCCTGTGGTTGAAATATGACTGTGCCTAGAGTCAGAGACATGGATTAAAATCTACTCGCTAAGGGGCACCTCCAATCCTCACTTCCAGTCCAAAGACTTGGTGATGAAATCCGTGGGTGACATCATAGCAACATTTTTAAGCAAGAGGTCAAAGGCTCACATCCTTAGAAATGCGTTTGATCTTCTATTCCAAGCGTGTGTGTGTGTGTGTGTGTGTGTGTGTACACAGACATACTCTGCGTGGTGAGGAAAAGGGTGAGAGAGTAGGACTAATGGAAGGTGTTATAGTCCATGTCAATAGTATCCTAGACTGAGTTCAGGGTGAATATATGGCTAGGACAGAAAGAAGGCAAGTAATCCAAAGATGGATTGACACATCAAAGTAGAGCAAAATGAGTATAGGGACCCAAGAGTCTTGGAAAGGCATGCATGAAGACATTTCAAGTGATCAGTAAGATTTTCAGAACAAAAGGAATTCCCTGAATGAGGGTTCCGGCATTTGCTGCAGTTCTAAAGTTCAGTGGCCAAAAGCACTGCCATGGCAGTCTGAGAGAAATGTCACTGAGCCAGCTGGAAGCAAACTTCTCCACAACAGCCAGGGTCCCCCTACTGATCCTCAGAGTCTAGAGTCATGGTAATCACCTTCTCTAGTAGGTAATCACACATGTGAGGATGATTTCTGCATGTTCTGTTCATATAGCTTCAGATGACTGACAGCTAGGGATTATCAGAGCTGACAGGTGCCAGGTCAAATAATTCAAACAGAAAATTACTCTCAGCTTTCTTTGCATAACTTCCTTTTGGCAGTGAATCTATCATAGTTCTAGACCAGTGCTGTCCAATAGAAACTACGTATGAGCTACATGCGTAATTTAAAATTTTCTGATAGCAACATTAAAAAGTAAAGAGAAATAGGTGACATTAATTTTAGTAATATGTTTTACTTAACTCAGTATATCCTGAATATTATCATTTCAACATGTAACCAATATAAAAATTAATGAGACTTACTTTATTACTAAGTCTTTGAAATTCAATGTATATTTTATACTCACAGCATATCTCAGTCCAGTCTACCCATATTTCAAGTGCTCGATAACCACTTGTAGCCAGTGGCTACCATATTGAACAATGCAGTTATAGACCATTTAGAAAAACATCTAGAATGAGGTATAAACTAATAATACATCATGTAAATTATTAAAGTCACTTAAGTGATTTAAGTAGGTATTTAAATATTTGTTAATGCCAGTCATTATACTGGTACTAAGGCTAAGAGTGGTAATCGAGGTAGACATGAGCCCTGCCCTTGTAGAAATCATACCTTTGGTTTTTTACTATGCTTAGTACATAAGTAAATAAAAATATTGCCTACAGCAGTGTCCCTTTTAACAATAATGAAATGTATGAACTGGATACTCAAATGGAAACTGTGAATACTATGTAGATTATAAGACAGCAATAAAAACTATAAAATATGCTAAATGGGCTTTATTTTTAGGGACATTACTTCTTACCCAATGACTAATATATCAAAAAGATGAATTTCTTATATTATGCTTTTCCTCCAAGTGGAATTATTAGAATATCTTTAAAGGCAGAGAATGGAGCACAAAATATTTACTATACATTTGATGAATGACTAAATCAATGTAAATGGAAGGCTTTATCTTTTTCCTGAGATTTCTCCTTTGGCTAATTTAGGAGAATAATCTCTCATTTGAAAATTCTGAGTTTGATCTTCTAGTCACATGTTAGACTAGATAAAGCTTATCTTGGATAATCACTGCTTTGACACAACCAAATTAACATGGAGACATTTATCTTAGGTATAATTAGACACATGCCCTTTTGTTGGCATAGACTTGGAATTTTAACAGATTTTACACTTTCAGCTATCAATGGCTATGTGCCTGAGAGCATAACTACTCTTGGATTCTGCTTTGATGACACTGTCCAGTGGCACTTCTGTAGTGTGGGGACCCAGAATGAAATTTTGACCATCCACTTCACTGGGCACTCATTCATCTATGGAAAGAGGCATGAGGACACCTTGACCCTCTTCCCCATGCGTGGAGAATCTGTGACGGTCACAATGGATAATGTTGGTGAGTAAGAGTCTGGACACTCACAGAGGAAGCTTGCTTTGAATTTCTGGTCTATAAAGGTCTGCTGCAACTCTCCAGGCTACCAGTGCTCCTCTATGTATCTCCCTGACCCCCTGCAGGCTTTTCTTTCAATGTTTCTCATGATTTCTCTTTGAGAAATTAATGACTTAAATGGATCCAGTTCTTTAGTGTGGGTTATATTTTTCCTTCTCTGGGCAAAGTAGGAAGTAAAAATATACAACAGCAGAAAAATAAGGCATAACTCTGAGGAAGAAGCATAAATATTTTGGCCACAAAAGAGCATTTCTTTTATCAAAATGCCCTATTCGGTTTTTTGCAACAGTCATCTTCAATCATCAGGTACAGTGCCTTAAAGGCTGCTTCAGCAACAGCTTTGGAGTTTGTCAGACTGGAATGCAAGTCCTGATCTGCCAATCGATTGCTGTGTAACCTTACACAAGTTACTTGGCCACACTGAGCCACAAGTCATTTATCTGGAAAACAGTGTAATCACATCTCACAGAGTTACTTTGACCATTAAAATAGTAATATGCGCCAAGTGCCTAGCACTCAGTAGACACCAACAATGGTAACTATTGGAGACTCACCAAGAAATCTTTGATGTTCCAGCAATGCATGCCATTTCAGAGATTCAAAATTGTCCTCGTGAATTATTACTTAGAAACATCTAAATGTCTCTTATTTGTGGGGATAGAGCTCATCACCATCCCTTTAATTCTAAGACAAGATGTGCTGTTAGGATATTTATGATATTAAAAGTCCATTTTATTCTTGATTCATCCCTTTCTTAATATATTTTAAAATAGTGAGCAACTATCTGTGCTGAAAGACCTTTTTTCCCCTCTAATCTCCACTAAGCAACACTTTTGTTTTTTATTCTGTTAAGCGAGATGAACGCACTGGTCATGTGCTTAGAGTCACAGCAATGTCAAATTGCTTTAGAAAAACAAAAGTTTACTAAATATTTCATTCTCATTTTTCTCTCCTTGTGTTATTTTGACCCAGTAATCAATAGGTCACAGACAAGCAGTGGTCCACAGCCCATACTTGAATATTCCTGACGAAAGTTTATTAGAAATTACCTGCCACAATGGATTATTGTGTTTTCATGTCTTTTCCCAGACTTCCAGATCTCTCTTCTGTCTGTCTCTCTTCTGTAGGAACTTGGATGTTAACTTCCATGAATTCTAGTCCAAGAAGCAAAAAGCTGAGGCTGAAATTCAGGGATGTTAAATGTATCCCAGATGATGATGAAGACTCATATGAGATTTTTGAACCTCCAGAATCTACAGTCATGGCTACACGGAAAATGCATGATCGTTTAGAACCTGAAGATGAAGAGAGTGATGCTGACTATGATTACCAGAACAGACTGGCTGCAGCATTAGGAATCAGGTCATTCCGAAACTCATCATTGAATCAGGAAGAAGAAGAGTTCAATCTTACTGCCCTAGCTCTGGAGAATGGCACTGAATTCGTTTCTTCAAACACAGATATAATTGTTGGTTCAAATTATTCTTCCCCAAGTAATATTAGTAAGTTCACTGTCAATAACCTTGCAGAACCTCAGAAAGCCCCTTCTCACCAACAAGCCACCACAGCTGGTTCCCCACTGAGACACCTCATTGGCAAGAACTCAGTTCTCAATTCTTCCACAGCAGAGCATTCCAGCCCATATTCTGAAGACCCTATAGAGGATCCTCTACAGCCAGATGTCACAGGGATACGTCTACTTTCACTTGGTGCTGGAGAATTCAAAAGTCAAGAACATGCTAAGCATAAGGGACCCAAGGTAGAAAGAGATCAAGCAGCAAAGCACAGGTTCTCCTGGATGAAATTACTAGCACATAAAGTTGGGAGACACCTAAGCCAAGACACTGGTTCTCCTTCCGGAATGAGGCCCTGGGAGGACCTTCCTAGCCAAGACACTGGTTCTCCTTCCAGAATGAGGCCCTGGAAGGACCCTCCTAGTGATCTGTTACTCTTAAAACAAAGTAACTCATCTAAGATTTTGGTTGGGAGATGGCATTTGGCTTCTGAGAAAGGTAGCTATGAAATAATCCAAGATACTGATGAAGACACAGCTGTTAACAATTGGCTGATCAGCCCCCAGAATGCCTCACGTGCTTGGGGAGAAAGCACCCCTCTTGCCAACAAGCCTGGAAAGCAGAGTGGCCACCCAAAGTTTCCTAGAGTTAGACATAAATCTCTACAAGTAAGACAGGATGGAGGAAAGAGTAGACTGAAGAAAAGCCAGTTTCTCATTAAGACACGAAAAAAGAAAAAAGAGAAGCACACACACCATGCTCCTTTATCTCCGAGGACCTTTCACCCTCTAAGAAGTGAAGCCTACAACACATTTTCAGAAAGAAGACTTAAGCATTCGTTGGTGCTTCATAAATCCAATGAAACATCTCTTCCCACAGACCTCAATCAGACATTGCCCTCTATGGATTTTGGCTGGATAGCCTCACTTCCTGACCATAATCAGAATTCCTCAAATGACACTGGTCAGGCAAGCTGTCCTCCAGGTCTTTATCAGACAGTGCCCCCAGAGGAACACTATCAAACATTCCCCATTCAAGACCCTGATCAAATGCACTCTACTTCAGACCCCAGTCACAGATCCTCTTCTCCAGAGCTCAGTGAAATGCTTGAGTATGACCGAAGTCACAAGTCCTTCCCCACAGATATAAGTCAAATGTCCCCTTCCTCAGAACATGAAGTCTGGCAGACAGTCATCTCTCCAGACCTCAGCCAGGTGACCCTCTCTCCAGAACTCAGCCAGACAAACCTCTCTCCAGACCTCAGCCACACGACTCTCTCTCCAGAACTCATTCAGAGAAACCTTTCCCCAGCCCTCGGTCAGATGCCCATTTCTCCAGACCTCAGCCATACAACCCTTTCTCCAGACCTCAGCCATACAACCCTTTCTTTAGACCTCAGCCAGACAAACCTCTCTCCAGAACTCAGTCAGACAAACCTTTCTCCAGCCCTCGGTCAGATGCCCCTTTCTCCAGACCTCAGCCATACAACCCTTTCTCTAGACTTCAGCCAGACAAACCTCTCTCCAGAACTCAGCCATATGACTCTCTCTCCAGAACTCAGTCAGACAAACCTTTCCCCAGCCCTCGGTCAGATGCCCATTTCTCCAGACCTCAGCCATACAACCCTTTCTCTAGACTTCAGCCAGACAAACCTCTCTCCAGAACTCAGTCAAACAAACCTTTCCCCAGCCCTCGGTCAGATGCCCCTTTCTCCAGACCCCAGCCATACAACCCTTTCTCTAGACCTCAGCCAGACAAACCTCTCTCCAGAACTCAGTCAGACAAACCTTTCCCCAGACCTCAGTGAGATGCCCCTCTTTGCAGATCTCAGTCAAATTCCCCTTACCCCAGACCTCGACCAGATGACACTTTCTCCAGACCTTGGTGAGACAGATCTTTCCCCAAACTTTGGTCAGATGTCCCTTTCCCCAGACCTCAGCCAGGTGACTCTCTCTCCAGACATCAGTGACACCACCCTTCTCCCGGATCTCAGCCAGATATCACCTCCTCCAGACCTTGATCAGATATTCTACCCTTCTGAATCTAGTCAGTCATTGCTTCTTCAAGAATTTAATGAGTCTTTTCCTTATCCAGACCTTGGTCAGATGCCATCTCCTTCATCTCCTACTCTCAATGATACTTTTCTATCAAAGGAATTTAATCCACTGGTTATAGTGGGCCTCAGTAAAGATGGTACAGATTACATTGAGATCATTCCAAAGGAAGAGGTCCAGAGCAGTGAAGATGACTATGCTGAAATTGATTATGTGCCCTATGATGACCCCTACAAAACTGATGTTAGGACAAACATCAACTCCTCCAGAGATCCTGACAACATTGCAGCATGGTACCTCCGCAGCAACAATGGAAACAGAAGAAATTATTACATTGCTGCTGAAGAAATATCCTGGGATTATTCAGAATTTGTACAAAGGTTTGGCCAGTTTTCTCCTTTTTTATTCTCATTTTTCCATTACTGCTGAAAAAAGTAGCTACTACAATTCAGGGGGATAATTGTGGGCAAATTATACTAAGAACAGTGTGGTTCCCCTATTGCAAGTTGGCCTGTTCTTTTTCCTTTGTCAATTCCAAGATTGCTTCTTTACCTTAGATGACCCCTGGACAATATAAGAACAATCACTGTGAGAACTCTATAATATTCTGTAATTAAGCATTTTTCTGTGTCCTCTCCTCTTACTACCCATGTTTCTACTGACTCTTATTGCTCCAGGCAGAGCCCAACCTATCCATAGCTATATGCTAATCAATATGATTTAATTGAAGTTAGCCTCAAATCCAAACTCAAATATGATGTAGAAATCTCCTTTTTGCATTTACTTGTTTAGATCAGAATTTCTAAGAGATCCAAATCCCTTTTTTAAAAGAATATTTACAATTCAGTTTTGCTTAGGGGTAGAAAGCCATGTTGAACTGGGCTCTTTGTTCTGGGATGAAGATACAGAAAGAGAAGAGAGAGGAGGAAAGGAGCAAGGCTTAGTCAACTACAAATTCTCAGGGATATAGCATGATGACTGTGCATCAGCTGTCTAGATATGCCCACAGCTTTTACTAAAGCTGTTACACTAATCACTTAAAAAACCAAAGTGTAATTACAGTAGGCAAACACAATGTATGGTGTGACTTATGCATATGAGTTCATTAATCTGATGCCTGACATCTCCACATTAGAACTCTGTTTAAAACACCTTTTCCTATGACTTCCTATTTAAATGTTGCACTCAATACCACATGAGAACAACTAGCTACCTGAGTATTTCTAAGCAAGGCCCCGAGGGAGTGAGATGCAGGGCCTGTCCAGAGTGAATAGGGATGGAACCACCTTCAAAATCTTGTATTCCATTCAAGGCTCACAACCCACTTTTATGGCATTCGGAGTTGCTTTACCCACTCCCTTGTGTTCTGTGAGTTTGCATGTTATGCTCAGAGTCTGGAAAGATGGGATTAGTAGGGGAGGTAGACCAGAAGAAAGGCAGAAGGAGATTCTCTGTTGATGACTCACAGTATATAGCAAATATTATGGGTTTGATGGGTGAGTGTTTGGCTTGTTTCCACAGGCTTGGGAAATGTGAGAGTCAGTGGGAGAATTCGACATGCTTCAGTCCTAGACTGAGCCAATGAACTAGATGGAAATAATGTGCTTTATTTATTTATTTATAATTTGTAATTAAACTTTTTATTTTGGAACAAAAATAAAATAGATTCACATACAGTCAAGAGAAATAATACGGAGAGATCCTTTGGGTATCCTGAGTATTCTTTACCCAGTTTCTCCCAGGGGTAACATTTTGCAAATCTATAATACTATATCACAACCAGCACACTGATGTTGATACTGTCAAGACACAGAATGTTCACCATCACCATAAAAATCCCTCTCATTACCCCTTTATAGTCACATCTGCCTTCCTCCCACCATAGCCCTTCCTTATTCCCTGGCAACCAGTAGTCTGATCTCCATTTCTATAATTTTGTCATTTCAAGAATATTACATAAATGGAATCAGGCAACATGTAACCTTTGGGGACTGGTATTTTTTCACTCAGTATAATTCTCTGGAGATTCATCTGGTTATTGCATGTATTCCATTATATGGGTGTACCCCAGTTTTTTTGTTGTTGTTGTTTTATACACATTTATGGTGTAAACATGATGTTTTAATATATTTATAAATTGTGAATTGGCTAAATCAAGCTAATTAACCTATGCATTACCTCACATACTTTTTTGTGGTTAGAACACTTAAAATGTACTCAGCAATGTTAAAAATTCAGTGTGTTGTTATTAACTACAGTCACCATCTTATACAACAGATCTTCTAAATTTATTTCTTCTAACTGAATTTTATCTTTTGACCATTTTCTCAATGCTCCACCTCTGTATCCCTTTGTTAACCACTGTTCTACCTTCTGCTTCTATGAGCTCAATGTTTTTAGTTTCCACATTATAAGTGAGATCCTGCAGTACTTGTCTTTCTGTGCCTGGCTTATTTTATGTAACATAACGACCTCCTGGTTCAGTCATGTTGTCACAAATGGCATTTCTTCGTTTTCTTTTTTTTAAATGCTAAATAGTATTTCATTGTTTATGTAGATCACATTTAAGAAATCCATTCATTTGTTTATAGACATTTGGGTTGCTTCCCTATCTTGGCTAATGTGGCTAATGCTGCAGTGAACGTGGGACAGCAGATATCTCTTCAACATACTGATTTCATTTTCTTTGGGTATATACCCAAAAGTGGGATTGATGGATCATGTGGTAATTCTATTTTTAATTTTTAAAGGAACCTCCCATACTGTTTTCCATAATGGCTGTACTAATTTACACTCTCACCAAGAGTATACAAGAGTTCCCTTTTCTTCACATCCATGCCAACATTTATCTCTTGTCATTTTTATAATAGCCATCCTAACGGTGTGAGGTGAGCCCTCATTGTGATTTTAAATTGCATTTCTCTGATTATTAGTAATGTTGAGCATCTTTTCATATATTTGTTGGTCATTTGTATGTCTTCTTTTACGAAATGTCTATTCAAGTCTTTTGCTCATTTTTTAATCAGGCTATTTGGGTTTTTTGCTGAATTGAGTTCCTTATATTTTTAATATTAATATTCTTATCAGATATCTGGTTTTCAAGAATATTCTCCCATTCCAAAGGTTGTCTCTTCACTCTGTTATTTCCTTTGCTGTGCATAAACTTTTGAGTTTGATGGCAATCCCATTTGTCTATTTCTGCTTTTGTTGCCTGTACTTTCGAGGTCAAATCCAAAAAATCTTTGTCCACACCAATGTCAAGAAGCTTAAGAATAATGGACATTAGCAAAAAACAAATGTGAGAAGAGTGGCTACTTTTAGGGTACAAAACATTCACCCATCCAGTGACTTTCATAAGTGTGACCTTCTAATTAATCTGACCATTGTCACCTGATAGCCCCAAGCTCTGGCACTGTCCCATTACATGGCTTTGTCTGCCTTTGATCTTAAAATTTGGTGTGTTAACATACGATTATATTTATACATTCATTTATATGTTTGACAAAAATTTATTAAGTTCCTGCTGTGTGTCAGATAATGTGCTTACCACTGGAGAGAGTACTATGAGCAAACTAGGCACAATGGCTGACCTCATGGCACTTATACCCAGTGAGAGACAGATATTAATAGATAATCTCACAAATAAATTATATATAATCTACAATATATATTCTAGAGATATTATAAGAATACTACAGGAATTTACTATATATACTATAATAATACTATAGAAATATGAGAAATTGATATAGAGACTTGACCTAGTCTAAAAGGTCATAGGAAGACTTACCTATAAAATAATATTTGAGTTAGGAATTGAAAGATATTTACTGGCTTTTGTTTTTATCCACTTATATATTTACTCATTTATCCACCAAGTATTTATTAAAGACCTTCTCTATGCTAGATGCTATATTTAGAAAGAGACAATTTCCTAAATTCTGGGAACAGTCTTTAATTTCTTCTTTTACACAAATAGTATTATTATTTCAGGGAAACAGATATTGAAGACTCTGATGATATTCCAGAAGATACCACATATAAGAAAGTAGTTTTTCGAAAGTACCTCGACAGCACTTTTACCAAACGTGATCCTCGAGGGGAGTATGAAGAGCATCTCGGAATTCTTGGTCCTATTATCAGAGCTGAAGTGGATGATGTTATCCAAGTAAGTCTTTTGAGCACTGCTAAGATCTTCGGAGGAATTTCCACAAGCACCAGAGGGTTGTAAAGGTGCAGGTGGCAAGAGAGCTATAGGTGATTTGTTTGTTTTCCAGGATTAATGAATAATTACATTTCTTTTCAAAGACTCCTTGCCAAGCAATTTGGCAATCTTCGAACTAAAAAAAAAAAAGATCTCATTTTTTAAATGCTGAAAACTATATAATCTGTGGAAAATCTTTCTGTAATTTCTATCTAAAGCTAACCTATCTAAAGTTAACACAGAAAATTAATATATTCAAGAGCAATTGAATTGGGTTTCATAGCAGTGGTGGTGGTGGTGGCAGTAGCAGTGCTAGTAGTAATAGTAATTTAGAAATATCTTCAGGTGTTTTCCTAAAAATTAAATAAAATGAAGTTAAATAAAATGAGTAAGGAAAGTAAAGATGTCTCCATGCCCTCCAAAAGTGAGCAAGTTTCTTCAGTGTCTTCCTAGTTCTGGTAATTTCTTTCAAAATCTTGTGTCCAGACCCACGATTATAACTTGCTTTTATAACAAAGTTTACTTCCGCCATTTTTGCTAACCGCTCACATTCAAAAACCCAGAAAGAACCCTGATTCTAAAGTAAGCTATTCTAGATTTTAAAATATAATCTACTATACCTGTGTAAGCATTCACTACATTTTCAGTGACCATTTGCTCTTTTTAAAAACGTAAACAAGTACATAGGGATATAAGAATCTTAATTATTCTAAATTTTCCATGAAGCTATGGGAGGCAATATTCTCTTTTATGATTAGGGGATCCTTTTTCAAGATGAACGATAATTTAACACAATATTTAAAAAACTTATTCTAAGTAACTCAGGAATCAAAAACCAGACACTGTATGTTCTCACTTACAAATGGGAGATAAACTGCGGGTATGCGAAGGCAGACAGATTGGTATAATGGACATTGGAGACTCAAAAGGGAACGGGGGATGGATGAAAAGCTACCTATTGGGTACAGGGTACACTACTCAGGTGACAGGTACACTAAAATCCTAGACTTCACCACTATACAATTCATCCATGTAACCAAAAACCACTTGCATTCCTAAAGCAACTGAAGTTTTTTAAAAAATTTAAAAATCAAAATTAATGCACGAAAGCCACAATAAACAAAACCTCACAATTGTGAATAAAGACAGGATAAGTAACAATGTTGCATTGAGACATACTGGAGCCTTAGGCAAAAGGAAAAAAATCAAATACTGAATCTTTGTTTTAGCCCTGGATTTCACTAGATAAAAATGACTTCATTTGTGTATTTTTAAAATAATTTTAACTTTTATTTTAGATTCAGGGGGCATATGTGCAGTTTTGTTATCTGGGTATATTATGTGATGCTGTTGTTTAGGGTATGATTGATCCCATCATCCAAGTAGCGTGCATAGTACCCAATAGTTTTTCATCCCTTGCTCATCTCCTTCCTTCCCCCTTCTAGAAGTCCCCAGTGTTTATTGCCATCTTTATGTTCATGAGTACCCAATGTTTAGCTCCCACTTATAAGTGAGAACATGTGGTATTTGGCTTTCTGTTTCTGCATTAATTCACTTAGCATAATAGCCTCCAGCTGGCATCCATGTTGTTGCAAAGGACGTGATTTCAGTCTTTGTTATGGCTGCGTAGTATTCCATGGTGCATATGTACCATATTTTCTTTATGTAGTCCACCACTGATGGGCACCTAGATTGATTCCATGTCTTTGCTACTGTGAATAATGCTGTGATGAACATCCTAGTACATGTGTCTTTTCAGTAGAACAATGTATTTTCTGTCTTTCTTTCTTTTTTTTTTTTTTGAGATGGAGTCTCACTCTGTCGCCCAGGCTGGAGTACAGAGGTATGATCTCAACTCACTGCAACCTCTGCCTCCCAGGTTCAAGCAATTCTCCTGCCTCAGCCTCCCGAGTAGCTGGGATTACAGGCACCCACCACCATGCCCAGCTAATTTTTGTATTTTTAGTAGAGACAGGGTTTTACCATGTTGGCCAGGCTGGTCTCAAACTCCTGACCTCGGGCAATCTGCCTGCCTCAGCTTCCCAAAGTGCTGGGATTACAGGCATGAGCCATTGCGCCCGGCTGAACAATTTATTTTCTTTTTTGGCTATATACCCAGTAATAGAATTGCTAGGTCAAATTGTAGCAGGACAAGCCACAGACAAAAACCCCTCAGACACCAAGTTAAAGAAGGAAGGGCTTTATTCAGCCGGGAGCTTTGGCAAGACTCATGTCTCCAACAACCGAGCTCCCCGAGTGAGCAATTCCTGTCCCTTTTAAGGGCTCACAACTCTAAGAGGGTCCACGTGAGTGGGTCGTGATTGATTGAGCAAGGAGGGGGTACGTGACTGGGGGCTGCATGCACCAGTAATTAGAACAGAACAGAACAGGACAGGGATTTTCACAGTGCTTTTCTATACAATGTCTGTAATCTATAGATAACATAACCGATTAGGTCACGGGTCGATCTTTAACTACCAGGTCCAGGGTGTGGCGCCGGGCTGTCTGCTTGTGGATTTCATTTCTGCCTTTTAGTTTTTACTTCTTCTTTCTTTGGAGGCAGAAATTGGGCATAAGACAATATGAGGGGTGGTCTCCTCCCTTAAAATAGTAGTTCTGTTTCAAATTCTTTGAGAAACCCCCAAACTTCTTTCCACAGTGGCTAATTTACATTCTAAGCAGCAGTGTATAAGCATTCCCTTTTCTTCACAGCCTCACCAGCATCTATTTTTTGACTTTGTACTAATAGCCATTCTGACTGGTGTGAGATGGTATTTCACTGTGGTATTGATTTGCATTTCTCTGATGATTAGTGATGTTGAGCATTTTTTTCACATTTGTTGGCTATTTGTATGTCTTCTTTTGATAAGTATCTGTTCATGTCTTTTGCCCACTTTTTAATGGGGTTATTTGTATTTCGCTTGTTCAATTGTTTAACTATCTTATAGTTTCTGGATATTAGACCTTTGTCAGATACATACTTTGTGAATATTTTTTCTATTCTGTGTCTGTTCACTCTGTAGATAGCTTCTTTTGCTGAGCAGAAGCTCTTTAGTTTAATTTGTCAATTTTTGCTTTTGTTGAAATGCTTTTGAGGAATTAGTCATAAATTCTTTCCCAAGGCTGATATCCAGAATGGTGTTTCCTAGGTTTTTCTTCTAGGATTCTTATAGTTTGAGGTCTGACATTTAAATCTTTAATCCATTTTGAGTTAATTTTTGTATATGATGAATCCAGTTTCATTGGATTCATTGGGGTTCAGTTTCATTCTTCCACATATGGGTAGCCGGCTATTCCAGCACCATTTATTAAATATGAGTCCTTTTCCCCTTGTTTTTTGTTGTTGTTGTTGCTGTTGTTGTTGACTTTGTCAAAGTTCAGGTGGTTGTAAGTGTGTGGCTTTATTTCTGGGTTCTTTATTCTGTTTCATTGGCCTATGTGTCTGTTTTTGTATCAGTACCATGCTATTTTGGTTATTGTAACTTTATAGTATAGTTTCAAGTCAGGTACTGTGATACCTCCAGATTTGTTCTTTTTGCTTAGGATTGCTTTGGCTATTCAGGCTCTTTTTTGATTCCATATGAATTTTAGAATAGCTTTGTCTAATCCTGAGGAAAATGATTCCAGTAGTTGTTAAAAAATAGTGTTGAATCTGTAGATTGCTTTGGGCACAATGGCTATTTTAACAATACTGATTCTTCCAATACATAAGCATAGAATGTTTTTCCATTTGTTTGTGTCATCTATGATTTCTTTCATCAGTGTTTTGTAATTCTTCTTATAGAGATCTTTCACCTCTTTGGTTAGATGTTTTCCTAGGTATTTTGTATGTGTGTGTGGCTATGTTTAATGGGATTTCGTTCTTGATTTCGCTCTCAGTTTGAACATTACTGATGTATAGAAATGCTATTTTGTACATTTGTACATTTTATTTTGTATAATTGATTTTGTACATTAATCTTGCATCCTGAAACTTTACTGAAGTCATTTATCAGTTCCTGGAGCCTTTTCATGGAGTCTTTAGGGTTTTCTAGGTACAGAATCATATTGCCAATGAAGAGAGATACTTTAACTTCTTTTCTTCTTTGGTTGCCTTTTATTTCTTTCTCTTGCTTGATTGCTGTGACTAGAATTTCCAGTACTATGTTGAATAAGAGTGATGAGATTGGGCATCCATGTCTTGTTCCAGTTCTCACGGGGAAGGCTTTCAGCTTTTGCTCATTCAGTATGATGTTGGCTGTAGGTTTGTCATAGATGGCTCCTATTAGTTTGAAGTATGTTCCTTCAATGCCTAGTTTGTTGAGGGTTTTTATCATGAAGGGATGTTAGGTTTTATCAAAAGCTTTTTCCACATTTATTGAGATGATGATACTGTTTTTGTTTTTAATGCGGTTTATGTGGTGAATCACATTTATTGATTTGCATATGTGGAGCCACTTTGCATCCTAGGAATGAAGCCTATGTGATTGTGATGAATTAATTTTTAATTTGCTGCTGGATTTGGTTTGCCAATATTTTGTTGAAGATTTTTGTGTCTATGTACATCAGAGATATTGGCCGGTAGTTTTCATTATTCATTGTGTCTTTGCCAGGTTTTGTTATTAGGGTGATGCTGGCTTTGTAGAATAAAATAAGGAACAGACAATTAGGGAGTCTTTAATCACTAGAAGTTATAGAAGGGCTGGGAGGAGCTTCATGGGTCTGACTGCTGGGGTGTGAAGACTTCTCATATGGCATTTAAGTCCTTTACCATCTGGCCCCAACCTGCTCCTTTTCTAGCCTCATTTCTCACCAGGTTCCACCTGTCCCTGTGCATTTCACAGCCCAGTTCCACCGAGATCCTTGCTATTCCCCAAACTCTTCCTTTACTCCCCTGCTCACAGGCATCCTTCTGCCCTTCTGAGAGTCTGAAATGTCTTTCTAGCTCCTGTTCATTCTATGATGGCCAATTCCATTTCCTCTAAGAAACTTACCTTAATTCTTCCAACCACTCCTAAATATTCAACCAAATTGTTCCTCCAGGGCATTGTCATCTGAACCCACTTAGACTTTGTATATAGCACCTGTTGTCTCCAGATTTGTAGTGTGGATGCCCATGTGCATGTCTGTTTCAGCAGGAGCTTAAAAGCTTCTTATGAACAAGAATCAAGCTTCTTTCATCTTCACATCTCCACTACCTATCACTCTCATTTCATTAGTAGATAATGTCAGTACTTTAGCCTTGAGCCTAAGAACAAATATCTTTTGGTATTTCTGGAGAAAACTACTTGGGCCATATCTCACAGGATGGTTATGAAAATTAAATGAAATAATATACATAAGTTATTTTGTACCTTATATCTTAGCTCCGATTTTATAACCAGCCATTTTGACTTATAATGCTGACATTTTTGTGGTTTAGATTTTTGTTAAGCTTAAGTACATTTGTGGATCATTCCTTTTCCTAGGTTCGTTTTAAAAATTTAGCATCCAGACCGTATTCTCTACATGCCCATGGACTTTCCTATGAAAAATCATCAGAGGGAAAGACTTATGAAGATGACTCTCCTGAATGGTTTAAGGAAGATAATGCTGTTCAGCCAAATAGCAGTTATACCTACGTATGGCATGCCACTGAGCGATCAGGGCCAGAAAGTCCTGGCTCTGCCTGTCGGGCTTGGGCCTACTACTCAGCTGTGAACCCAGTAGGTACTTTCATTGAAAGTTTTTCTCATTCCCCTAACCTCGTAATCTGAAGTCCACCAAATGGAAGAGTCGGGGTTATTTCTTGTCAAATGTCTGTCTTGCTTTTCATGAGGAATGCATAAGGGTGTGGTTAACAGTCTGCATTTATCATAACCAGGGACTCTCCATGCAGCTCTTCAGATGACAGAGAGAGAAACATTTATTCAGTGGAGAGGAGGAAAGATTACTTGAATGATTGGCCATGAATTAGAATGCCTACATTTACAGAAGATGGCATTTATTTGAAATTTTCTTGAACAAGTATTAGCTATGTTCTGCTCTTTCTTTATGAAAAGAACTGCAAAGTCAAGACTCCTTTATCTGACATTCTGCAATGTATATATACTTCAAAACAATATGTCATACACAGTATATGCATACAATTTTATCTGTCAATTAAAAAGAGAAACAACTCCTCCATTTCAGGCATAGTGGAAAGAGCACAGACTCAGATTTAAATTTTTACCCTGTCAATGCATAATCCTAGGAAATTCCTTGACCTCTCTTAGCCTGGTATCAGAAGTTAAAAATGAGATAACAGTACATAGTGCATGGTAAGCACTTGGTAAATATTTGTTCAATGAATGAATTTATATTTACCATATAAGATAGTTGTCAGGATTAAATGGGAGATTGCAGGCAAATCATTTAATATAGTAATAGATTCTCAATAAATAGTATCCCTTATATTATCAATTTATTATTATCATCATTGTTACTGGGATAAAGATCAATCAGAGGAAGGAGGATTATGAATACAACAGAATTAGGTGATAAATATCCAGGCTTATTATGCCATTCATTTATAATCTTCATCTTCAAATTCAGAGCCTATCAGAAAGTTTCCTTTTCTATATGATGAGTGATTATCAGAAGAGCAAGGAAATTCCTGAGAAAGAGGCAATACAATTTACTCTGTTTTTCCAGGAAAAAGATATTCACTCAGGCTTGATAGGTCCCCTCCTAATCTGCCAAAAAGGAATACTACATAAGGACAGCAACATGCCTATGGACATGAGAGAATTTGTCTTACTATTTATGACCTTTGATGAAAAGAAGAGCTGGTACTATGAAAAGAAGTCCCGAAGTTCTTGGAGACTCACATCCTCAGAAATGAAAAAATCCCATGAGTTTCACGGTATTTTCCTCAGACTTTGATCTAATCTCCTAATTAAATCACACTGGGTCACAGTGATTTCTGCCCTTAGATATTCACAAGATTAGACATGAGATGCTTCTGAGACACCCAGAGCTACAACTAAAACCGGTTCCTTAACATTCCAGAGGGCTGATGTAATCTGGCAGGTGACACTGTGGGTGAGGCAAAAAGAGAAAGTCTGAAAGATAGCACAGAGAAGCTGCTGCAAAACAAACCAACAGAAAACCACAACAACAAAAAGCCAGTGTGCTTCAGCTGGTAACATACATTGAAAAGGAATTAACATTGTTCTGCAATTTAAAGTTAATAAGCTTGTTTCTGGATCTCTAAAGGCACAAGTGTTTATATAAAAGAAATGATCACCTGTGTGTCTTTTCTAAAATAAGAATGACGCTAACAGTTTTAGCTCTCAGCAGCTACCAGGTGGCACCCAAAGCATATGAGAACAAAATGAGATAAGAAACTAGGTACCCAGGTAATAGGAGAATAGTGGCAAGAGAGCATTTGGGTGGTCACACTGGGAAAAGTGTGCCTATTTGGAAATTCACAAGGAAAATTTGCCCTGTAAGCTAGTAACTGAAACAGAAACTGAGAAGAGAAAGGTACGAGCTTGTGTTATGAATATGTAGATAGGTGTTCTCACGCCTGATATAATTTGAAGGATGCCCAAATGATCTCAACCCGTCCCTCTCCAAAAATTCACCTGCCTGGTTTCTGAAATTTCACAGCAGTTCCTCTAACTTAAGAAGGAGGAAACAAAGCACTTCCTTCACTTTGGTTTCAGTTAAACGTTTGGTAACACTAAACTTTATCTTTACAGTTTTGTGTTACATTTTTAAGGTGATCAAGTTTCTCAGGAACTTTTTAAAAAATCCGCGTATTTTACTGTGGGGAGAGTAGATAAAGCCTGAGAACCCTAGTTATCTAATCTGAGAAGTGGGCAGAGGAGTTGTCATACCAATAAGAGAATAAACATGACTTGCTATGGTTGCTGGATACACCAACGATAAACTCCTAATTTTATAAACTCCTAGACTTCCTAATTTGCCTGAAACTTTCTCTGAATTTAGAAGGCCTTAAGGTGACATGCTGCATATCTCCTTGCTGACTCTAATCCCTGGAGTTTACTTTGTCTGCCCATATTTGTATTTATCTTTTGTAGTTAAGGAAAATTAAGACTGTTAATGGAAAGTATACACGGGTAAAGCACGGAACTGTAAAAGCTGAGGAAAAGAGTGATAAACTGCTTGGAAAGGGAGTTCCCCCTGCCTTCTGCTGTAGGCTGGTGTGAATGATATGAGAAGGACTAGTGGTTCTGCTTTAGCCTCTCACTAATGTGACATACAAGAGGGCCCTTTCCATGGCTAGGTAGGCCTGGGAATGCAGAATCATGAGGAACATGGGTGTTGAGTGGGTTGCCCCATATTTCCTTACCACTCGCCCTCTCTGTGTCAACAGATTTTTAATTGATTTCAACTCTTTGTCCTTTCAGCCATTAATGGGATGATCTACAGCTTGCCTGGCCTGAAAATGTATGAGCAAGAGTGGGTGAGGTTACACCTGCTGAACATAGGCGGCTCCCAAGACATTCACGTGGTTCACTTTCACGGCCAGACCTTGCTGGAAAATGGCAATAAACAGCACCAGTTAGGGGTCTGGCCCCTTCTGCCTGGTAAAGATTGGGTAATGGGAAGAGGTCCCTGCTAAGAAATACAGGGAAAAGGCAATCTGTAACTCCTTCTCATTTCTTCCTTGTGCATATACTTCCTAAGGGGTCAGAACACAGGGTTCTGGCATAGAGCCTAGGCAAACCCATAGACCCAAAGTATATACGGAGTACAAAAATGTCACCTAATTTATGAACTATTTGCAGCACCACACAGGCTAAATGTGTGACCCAACTCAGTTGCAACATAACATGCAGTTTCTCCCAAGCCACTGTGTGTCATACAGATGAGGTCTTAAGCAGATGAAAAAATGAATCCCACAGGGCTCAGGCAGCTACAGCTATCTCTGCTGGGAGGGTTTCCAGATTCTTCAGTTCTGCTCCTCTTCTAGGCCCTATCACCCTAATATCTTTGGGCAAGTGACTCCAGGAATCACATTCTTAAACTGACTTATAGACTGTTTGAAGAGGAAAACATTTTTAAAAAATAATAATAAAAGTTAAAGAATAACAAAGGTATTTAGAACTTTTCATGTGCAAAATAAAGATAAATGTAGATTTAAACAGTCTACAATTATACAGAAGGGATGTTTCTGTGCCAATGAGTTGTTTGTAAGTGTATCTACTTGTGCAGCAGTATAAAAACCTAGGAAGTCAGTTAAAATGCAGATGTGAAGGCAGAGGGATTTTGTTCTCAGAGACTTTAAAGTAGATTTTGGGCAGAATTCCAAGGAGTCTGTATTTTTAACAAGCAGCCTTCCTTCTATTTTGCCTTCTATTAAAAGTAATGGCAAAAACCGCAATTATAGTTTGCACCAACCTAACACATGCTGCCTGAGGAGTTAGTGAAGGCAGCCCCTCGACAGCACTTTGGGTGACGTTGTGTGAATCTGCCTCAGATGCAGGCACAGAAGTCCAAATGGACTGGTTTGATTAAGAGCAGGGAAAAAAAGAGGGTTCTTATTGGTTTTTCACATGCCAGTAACTCACTAATACATCTAGAGAGTATTAATTGTATTATATTAATATCATATTAATTAATTAATATAATAATTAATAGATAATTTATTGTATTAAAATCAGAGACAGAAGAGATTCAGTCAAATTTACTCATCTTTTCATCAAGTATTAGAAGATCAGTCATCCTTCCTATCAGCCTGCAGACAGACTGAGAAGCTAGGATTGGCTGGTGTCTCTAAATCTGCAAACCTAAATACCTGCATTGGAGAGAGGAAAACTGGAGACATTTTTCAGTGTGTTTGAGGAAGATAATCATATCTATTCATTTTCACCCACAATCTGGGAAACAGTCATAAATTATAGTCAACAGAATTTAAATATTAACTGCCAGGGGGTAATGTTAAATACCAGAATGGATAGCCAGAGGTTTTAGAAATCTCATTCTTTCAGTGTTTTTTCTGAGCAATTTATGTAAATCTCTATTCAAATATGTAAGCTTTATGGAAAACTTGAAAACATGGAGGAAGAAGGTTTTATTTTTATTTTCTTATATAAAAAAGAGAAAAAAGCAAAAATGAAAAGAGGGAAAGGAAACATGTATGATATTTTTGAAGCCCAATGATGTCATTCGAGGTCACTTTGATAATTAGGACTGTGAAGCTGTATTGTATGTGAGTTAATTTGTAACATTATATTTAGATAAGTGAAAGTTTCTTCTAGTGAGGTGTGGTGGTGATTTAAAATTTTTTTTAGTTATCTCTGTGTATGTGTTGTTATTGTTTTGTTTTTATCTGTTATACTTTCAGTCCTACCTAAAGAAAAATGGTTAAATTCTATTTGAAAGCCTCTTGTGAAGCAGGAATTTTAGGATTCTTAGAGAACTATCAACCACAATATTTACTTGTTAATTTTTGCAAATGTAATGTTGTTCTTTTTATTTTAGGTTCATTTAAAACTCTTGAAATGAAGGCATCAAAACCTGGCTGGTGGCTCCTAAACACAGAGGTTGGAGAAAACCAGAGAGCAGGGATGCAAACGCCATTTCTTATCATGGACAGAGGTATCACAAGAGCCATGTGATATTTGGTTTGGCAGGAGAGTGCCTATTACTAGAATATTACCAACTTTTAGATTGGAAATATTCAACTCTAAGAACTCTGATGTGACAAAGGCATAATTTGTAGCCATAATTGCTTTTATTCCGGCCCATGGTCTGATTGCATTGAAAACACATCAGTCAGATCAAAAGCATTCCTGTCAATTGGGAAACCTGTGTAAAGCATCCTTCTTCATGACTTGTGATCCATGGACAAGTGCATATAAGAAATTTTCCAGCTTCCAAGAGTTGAGGAGGGAAAAGGTCACAGGAATTTAACAATGACTGAGTCACTAAACTTGACATTTCAGCATTTAGGAAACACAGTTTTCATCTGTCCATCTGTTCATCCATTCTTTAAGCCATTACTAAGCACTGTTGAGTATGAAGCACTGTGCCAACATCCAGGTAGCACAGTGGCTGGTATCCCTTCCTTGATCAAGATATAAATAACCTTGTAACTTTGAGGTCAACTTTTGAGAACATAGTCTCATCAGGACTAGAACTTTTTTTCATATTTTTATATTTTGTATTTTTATTTTTTTTGTAGAGAAGAGGTTGCCCAAGATCAAACTCCTGGCCTCAAGTAATCCTCCCCCCTCGGCCTCCCAGAGTGCTAGGATTACAGGCATGAGCCACTGCACCTGGCCATGGATGGTACCTAATGTTGTAAAATAGCATAATTTAAGATAAAAGCAGAAGAAAATCAGTTTAAAAAATGATTACATTTCAGGATTTCAGTTGCTTTCTTCTAGGATGCCACTATATCTATTAAAGCACCAGTCTTGTTAGTGCATTTACCATTTTATAATCAGATATATTTAAGTCAGGGCCACACAAGGTAGGTAAAAATATCTAATTATTGAGTCAGAAACATAATCCCTAACCATGGAGTTTTACTTTATTGTATATATTTTCTAAGCAAAAATTATTCATTTTTTTTCTGTTTTTCATAGACTGTAGGATGCCAATGGGACTAAGCACTGGTATCATATCTGATTCACAGATCAAGGCTTCAGAGTTTCTGGGTAAGTTGTAGCACCATGGTCTGTGAATGGTACCCCCTACAGTTGTGCAGCATGCAGCCTATGAAACCATACATGACAATCCTATCTATGAATCAGTTTTTCTCTTTATGCTTTTCTCTACTACAATGTAGTGAAGCAGCTCCATTTGGGGTACATATATGGTAAAGGAAGGAACACTATGGTAGGAGCTAAAGGCCTGTTAGTGTGCTCTTAACACTGCCACCTCTTCTGGTGTATAATGATCCCAAAGAGTCTTTTCCAGGAAAAACCGATAGCTGGGGGTCATTGATTTCTCTACATAAAAAGCCCAGCCTCTCTGCAGGGATTTGGCAAGGATCAGATACCTTACTCTTATGACCACGCGCCCATTTCCAAAACTCTCCTCAGTCATCTTTTCTGGGTTTGACCACACATGTAGTATTTCAGCCAGATTCACAGGGTCTTATCAGCCAGGCATTATAGTCCCCATTAATATGGCCCTTTGCCTGTGGCAACCATTCATCTATTCAGAAAACTTTGTTGAACCTCCACTATATGTGAGGAACTCCTCCAAAGTTTTCCCACACTGCCTCAAAGCCCTTCCCAAGATCAAGAGGTCATGATCAAGAGGATGATGAGGCTCCCATATACCCTTCCATGTCTTCCTGTTAGGCAGGCACATTCAGCATTAGGAATATAAACACAACAGAAAAAATCAAACATGACCTGTGTGCAAGAAAGGGGATAGGAGGTGGTTGGCAGTTGACCAAACACAGACCTGAAGCCCAGATTTCATCATCAAGGACTGGCCTAGTAGCTGAGGCCCATGCCTAGACTCCTGACTACAACACAGGTCCTCCAAGGATCTGGTTTTCCACTGGATTAAACTCACTTGAGAAATTGCTGGGTTTTTAAAAAATTCAGAATAAATCTTTTTCTTCCCTTGAGTTTAGGTTACTGGGAGCCCAGATTAGCAAGATTAAACAATGGTGGATCTTATAATGCTTGGAGTGTAGAAAAACTTGCAGCAGAATTTGCCTCTAAACCTTGGATCCAGGTTTGTCTTAATAGACTGATAATATTTACTGCTATCGTAATAATAAAAATGAAAGTGATTTAGTAATTCCTTGTTATTGTTCTTGCAATGTTGTTAGGGGAAATAGCAAGTACTAAGTGTGAGGCACTGTTCTAAGTACTTTATATCCTTAAAATCAACCCTCTGAGGTTGGTTCTAATAATATCTTGTTTTATAGATTAAAAAACAAAAGGCACAGAGATACTACCTACCTTCCCAAAGTAACACACAGCTAATTAGTCATTGAGTTGGGATTCAAATTTAGGTACTCTGTGCCCAAATATGAATTGCATGTAGTCATTGTATCAGTTTGCTAAGATCTTATGTGCTAGCTCTTTAGTTCTGAAGAAAGCTGATTGTATAATGAATTTAGGCAGTGTGTGACTTGTTGACAAGGACAGTTCTGTTTACTGGCTTTCCTATATTGCAGGTGGACATGCAAAAGGAAGTCATAATCACAGGGATCCAGACCCAAGGTGCCAAACACTACCTGAAGTCCTGCTATACCACAGAGTTCTATGTAGCTTACAGTTCCAACCAGATCAACTGGCAGATCTTCAAAGGGAACAGCACAAGGAATGTGATGGTTTGTGTGCATATTTCTATCTGAATCTCTAGACTCTAGACTTGGCCTAGAATTATTATGACTATACCTAATGATTATGTATTTTAAAAAATACCTTTCTGGGTATTAGAAATGTGAATGGCTTTCTAAGGGTCATATGGAGAAAAGCAGTAATATGATAGGTCTGTGTCTTACAAATTAAAGAGAGAAGCAGGGTTACTGAAACTTCAAAACCCCACAAAACTTTAAAAAATCATTTTATCATCAAACAAAATACCCAGATTTCTCAGACTGGCCAATGGTATACGGCAGAGTAGAACATCTGGTCTTGCGCCTCAAGGAGCTCATGCTAAAAATTGGCTACCAAGACTTTTGATTTTACTATTGTAGTTTGTTTTGTTCTTTATTTCAGTGTACCTGAAGTAAATAGTAGTGTTAATGCTAGTAAGCCTCTGAGGCAGTGTGATTCTCAGACTTTTTGGGGGGCCATGCCTGAGGAATGACATTCTCCTTCTGGTTCTTCCAGGGGCTCAGCCATAAGCCCTAACTCTTCTCCTCCTCTCTATTCCCTTCCCCAAAGAAGTCTGAATGCAAGGAGTCTGCCTGCCATTATTATACCAATAACCTTGAGTCTGTTTCTGCTTATATTTTATATAAAATTATTTACTGTTTATTAGTTACCTATTTTTAATAATTATTTATACTATGTCTCAGAACCATTGAAATCCTAAATTATGGTTCTTACTAATCAGTATTATGAGAGAAAACACAGATTGCAGTTGAGTCCATAGCATAAAGATTTTGTCGTCTATGTTCATGAGAGGATATTGGTATATAGTTTTATTTTTTTAATTGTCTTTTTCTGTTTTTGATACCACAGTTATACTAGCTTTCATAAAACTGGTAAGCATGCTCTTTTCTACATTCTAGGAGAAAATGTCTGCAATTGGTAATAATTCTTTAAATATTTGGTAGGAATCACTAGTGAAACCATCTGGGCCTGCAGATTTCTTTTTGGGCAGTTTTTAAATTACAGATCCTATGTTCTAAATAGTTACAGGGCTATTAAAATTATCTATGTCATATTGGGTGAATTGAAATACTTTGTATATTTCAATTAACTGGTCAATTCCCTCTACGTTGTTAAGTTTATATGTGTAGAGTTGTTTGTATATTCCCTTATCCTTTTTCATGTTTGTAGTGATTTTGCCTGTTTCATCTCTGATATTGTCATCTGCCCCTCCTTTCTTTTTTGTGTGAATCTTGCTAGAGATTTGTCGATTTTAAAAAAATCTTCTTGGCCGGGCGCAGTGGCTCACGTCTGTAATCCCAGCACTTTGGGAGGCCGAGGTGGGCAGATCACGAGGTCAAGAGATCAAGACCATCCTGACCAACATGGTGAAACCCCCTCTCTACTAAAAATATTAAAAAAAATTAGGCAGGGTGGCGTGCACTTGTAATCCCAGCTACTTGGGAGGCTGAGGCAGGAGTATCGCTTGAATCCGGAAGGCAGAGGTTGCAGTGAGCCGAGATCACGCCACTGCACTCCAGCCTGGTGACGGAGTGAGACTCCGTCTCAAAAAAAAAAAAAAAAAAAAAAAATCTTTTCACAGAACCAGCCTTGTTTTATTGATTTTTCTCTATTGTTTTTCTGTTTTCAGTATTACCGATACCTGCTCCAATCTTCTGTTTTAAAAAGTTGGCTTTTTCTGACATTGCTCTGTCAGGAAAAGGGGTAGGGCACAGCCTGTTTACTGCCAAGTGGGGGTCAAAGTCCAGGTTCCCCACTCCATTGCCACCTAAGAAGGGATTGTTCCTTGGTGGCTGGGTGGGAAGGGAAGTTCCCCATTTGGCCTCCACTGATACTGCAGGGGCAGGAGCTTCATTAGGGGCTGGAGATGAAAGCCCTAAATCCCTACATGGCCTTTTCTGACACAACCCCAGTGAGGGTGTAGGGTGCCTCTTTAGCCTCAGGAGCATAGAAGTCTAGGCTCCCCATTCAGCCTTTGCTGTTGTGGGTTGGGGAGGGGCCTCAGGTTTTTCTGTGGTGTTTGACTAAAGGACAGAAGTCAGTGTCCACCAGTTTTCTATCATATCTCGCTATGCTGCCCTTTACTGGTACTTTGGTTAGAGAAAGCAGATTTTATTTGGGCTTTTTCAGTCTGTACTCATTGGTGTTTCCAGGTTGCCGGCTTCTTCATCTCTAAGTCTGGGATTTATGAGGCAAAAAGAAAATTCAAGACACTGATCACCATTTTGTTCCTTCCGAGAACCCTAGCCAGTCTGTCTTCTGAGCTCTTTTCAGGGTCTTATGTTTCTCTGAGCTATAATGTCCAAAGTTTTTAGTTGTACTTAGCAGGAGGAATAGGGCAAAGTACATATATACAATCTTCCTGGAACTGGAATTATCCCCAAGTATATTTTATAACCAAATTGATTTAGTTTGGACCCCATGAAAATGTAGTATTACAATATTAAATTAGATCAAAATTTTAATATAAAGTCACTTTATAGATCATTGTTACATAACTAAACTTTCCTCTTTTCTTCTAGTATTTTAATGGCAATTCAGATGCCTCTACAATAAAAGAGAATCAGTTTGACCCACCTATTGTGGCTAGATATATTAGGATCTCTCCAACTCGAGCCTATAACAGACCTACCCTTCGATTGGAACTGCAAGGTTGTGAGGTAAATGGTAAGGTACAAAGATGCATTATTTTCTCACTGCCACTCAAAGAATCAAGATTTGGGAGGTATAGGAGAATGAGTAGAATTTTTAGTTCTTTTCAGTGACTTAGGCTCCTAGGAAAACCTTTGTGAAACAGAGGTTCTACTCAGGTAAACTCTCAGTGTGATCTAGACCAAGAATGGTTCTGCCAATCAGAGTGCCGACAGCATCTCTGTGAAGAAAGTGCCTGGATTATATAGACACATCACAACTCTCCAAGGAAGGGCTCTAATTTGGAATTACCTCCATCAGCCCATTTTCAATAAGACCTACCTGAGATTCAAACTAGGCCTGACTCTTCCAAAGTCCTCAGGTCACTCAAACTTCAATGTCATGACAGTATCTGGCAACATCACTGCCATATATATGGTGTTCAATGAGTGTTTTTGAAATCTGAATTGGCTTCCCAACTTCCTGAAACCACAATTCTTCTTTATATTTTCTTTCATACCCTGTGTAGGTACTCAAGTCTTTTCTATGTTAGCTGCTATTTCTCAGGGGCTGTAATGTGACCTGTGGTATAAATAAATCCAGGTAATCATAAATGGTCATAATAAAATTCTACTATATATAGCAAGGATGTTTAAGAGTCTTAACTGTTCTTCTTGGACTCTTAAAGCAGTGCTTTCCAATATTTTTTACTTCAAAGCACACAAAGAAAATAATATCTGCCTGGCATTCTGAGGTAAAAGAATGAAGCAATAAATCTAAGGCTTGGCTGATCCAGGCCCCACTTGGCTGCTGAAGGGCTGGAGGTGGGAAGAGGGATCAATAAATAGGTGCACTAGAAACCTGCCGTGGCACACCTGTCAGGAGTTGCAGTACTTCCCTTTGGGTGGAGAGAAGCCACCATGATTCACAATGGAGAAAGTAGCTGAAACCTGGAATCAGTTTCCTGTTGAAGCAGATAATGGCACAGTATACCCTTGGATGGATATGGGTATTTTGCCAATGTCCAGATAGCAGTAGTCTAAAACATCTCCCAAATAAAACACAGATCTTGTATCGGCAGGACCACTCCTTGAAACAGTTCCATAAGTCATTGCGTTTTTTTCTTTCCATATGGTATAAATAGATTTGTTCAGATCCTAATAAACTACCCTAAAATGTGACATTCAATTCTGCTAACTTATTTAAAACATCTATTTTTTATACAAGAAGCATTATTTTCTTCTTATTCATTTTCTTGATACTTAGGTAATTATTAGCAGTGGGTATTATTTTTAGGACCCTTTGTTTTTTTCATGGAGAAAGTAAGGCATCACTTCAAGAAAATTTCTGCATGATTTACCAACAAGAACAAAGTGTCACAGAGATGATGGGTGGTCAGCCAGGTTCACTCACTAGCTGTGTTTCTTACAGTCACAGGTCTGCCTTGCTGCCTATGATATTCAAATTACACCTTGGAAAAATTCCAAAGGGTACATAACTCGAATTACCCTCTAAGGGTTGAAACAGAAAATATTAAATAGTGACTGAGGGTCCATTGTATCTTCTTGGTAGCTTTTGTTAGAAGAAACAGAGTATTTTTATATATAGATAATTTAGGATTATTGTCACCTGAAAGCAAAGACCAAAGTTTCCAAGACTCTCAGAAGGAGGAAGTGAGTTTAAATGTTTAGAACATGGTATTTGGTATCAGATTGTCTGAACTCAATTCAGTTTCTGATTCTTGTGGCTGTGTTACCTTAGACAAGTTACTGTGTTTTGGCTGTACTAAAATGGAGATATTTATGAGCATTATATAATACATGTAAAGCCTGAGAACAGTATTTGGCACTTGGATTCAATAAATCTTCATTGTTGTGGTTATTGTTTTTGTCATTTGTTGGTAGTAATATTATTTCTTATCTCCTCTGCAGTGCATGAAGCCATGCAGGGAATATTGGTGTGTAATTAATCACGTTACTTTTCTTTTGATAGGATGTTCCACACCCCTGGGTATGGAAAATGGAAAGATAGAAAACAAGCAAATCACAGCTTCTTCGTTTAAGAAATCTTGGTGGGGAGATTACTGGGAACCCTTCCGTGCCCGTCTGAATGCCCAGGGACGTGTGAATGCCTGGCAAGCCAAGGTCAAGTATACTCTATGCATGGTGTTCTCTTAGGGCTCCAGAAGAAAGCAAAGGCCCTCACTACCACAAACATGGAGGATCTGGGAAGCAGGAGTATTTTAATCTGTTTCTGCAGATTAAAATCCTAGGTCCAAGAGTCCAGGATGTCTGTGGACTTGATAGCTTTGACTATAACTTTGTCTCAGAGAGAAGTCATTTATCATCTCTGTGGTTTTTGGTCTAGTCTTGATTTAAACCAATAATAAGCAAATTAATTTTTCTGCAAAGGGATAGATGGTAAATATTTTAGTCTTTGTGGGCCATACATTCTCTGCCATAACTACTCAACTCTGCCATTGTAGCAGTAAAGTAGCCATAAACAATATGTAAATGAATGAGCTGGCTGTGTTCTAATAAAACTTTGTTTACAAAAAACAGGCAGCGGGCCAAATTTGGCCCATGGATCATAGTTTGCCAACTCCTCATTTAGACAGCTTACATTAGTGATAAAAAAATGATTTAGATTTGCAACATCATCTCTTATTTTTTCTTTACAATTTAGCAATATTTTTTCATTTTCCTAAATGAAATGTCATCTAAACTTTTTTGTTCTCTTCCCCGCCCTCCTTATTTTAAGAGCTTTGTGATATTCCTTGAGGCAACTAGAAGCATAGTAAAATGTTGCAAAACCAGAGTTATAAAATCAGTGATCTAAGTTAAACAAACACCTTCCAGAGAGTTATACTGTCCCTGATATTAGCCCACTGAGTAATTCAGGTGATTTAATTTGGGGGTAACTCTTAATATTTGACTCATTTTTATTAATTCTTTAAATGACCTGAGATATCAGAATGGCATGAATAACTTGATGATCCCTTCAGCCAACTAAATCCAAATTCCCTAATTTCTATCCTCATATCTCCCTCCCTTAAGATACCTACACTCCAATTTCCTGGCTTTCTATAGAATTCCAGGGCCTATCCTTAAATTAGGCCACTAGAAAGGAAAAAAGAATTGTGGTGCTGGTGGCGTAAATAGAAAAGATTGGATTCCACACAGTCTTGGGAACTGATATCTGTGTCTTGAAACTCATTCTGGCCCAATATGGAATCACAGAATGTTACAGTAGCAAGGAGCAAAGCATCTGGTCTAGATTTTTCCTTTTAATTCTAAATACACAGGAGATTAAATAATTTTAGCTTAGTTTGGTAGCAGAATCAGGACTAGAATCCCATTCTCCCAGTAAACAGGCCATGCTCCTTCCACCATTTGAAGCAGCCCAAATACCTCATTTTGCAATTTTGCAGAGGGCAAAGCTGACACCCAGAGAAGTTAAAATAATAAAAATAGTGTTATATTACATTTATATAATTTACATAGCAATATAAATAATAATTAAAGAGATGTTATCCAATTCTTTTTCAGATGACTCTTTAGACTTGTTCATGGTATAACCTTGTCACTCCATACTTCATTTTACAATCTTTTAAAAAAATTTGCACTCTCTATAATTTGCTCTTAGTCTTTGTGATATAACAAGGGCCTCAAAGATAAAATGCTAATTTTTAATGGTGTCATTTCAAAGTTAGAATTCGGGATCAGAAATATGTGTTTTACTTAACCCCCTTCCATTCACATGAAATGTCTTTATATGGTCTCTTTAGAGAGGTTGAAAATCAAAGCTGGACATATGCAGTGATGCACATAGATGCTGTTCTCTCCATAACTAAAATGTCTCTACCTCTTTTATGCCTGTGAAAACCTCTAGCTGGTTATACTCTGCATCACTGGTACAACCTTGATATGAAGACACACTAAGATACCACCCAGATGTCACTAGAGGATGTTATAGACTTAAAAGTTTTCTCATATAATCATTCTAATTCAGTTAATTTGCTTTTAAAATACATATAGCATGTGAATTTTTGTGTATACACATATATACACATACACCTATATATACACATACACTTATGTATGTGTGGGTGATGTTGAAGAAACATATCAATATTATTTCCTTTAGAATTGAATGAGGTTATGGTAGACGATAAATCTCCCAAAGGTAAAAATTTATCTTAGATGACTCTAAAACTCAGTTTAGACCTTCTGATCTTTCTCCAAACACATATCACCAACCATGTGATTAGGCATTTTGTTAGGCCAGAGACAGGACAATAACTGTACTGTGTATCAAGCTCTACTTATGGTTTTATCAGGTCTCTCAAATGTTACATTTATTTGAAATATTAGAAGAAATTGAACTATTTCTGCTCTTTGACATTAACAGGGGGAAAGAGAAGTTGTGTTTTGTAAAACAGGTGAAATAGAGAGAGAATGCTATCCAATTATTTCCCAGATAACCCTGCAGCAATATTACCAGAGTATTTAAAGAAATTTGCTTAAGAAAATAATATTCACAGATAATTTAGCAGTTTAATTATTTTTCCAAATAAAGCTCATTTATTCATTCATTTATTCAACAACTATTTATTGAACACCAACTGAGTGTCTTAACATTGTGGTGAGTACCAGGAAACAAAATGAAATAAGCCTCTACCCTTAAGCAGTAAGGAATGCTAAGAAGGAAACAATTATAGTACAATGTGTGAAATACTTCAATAAAAATTTACACACATATTGTGGCAATGAAGAAGAAAGAGGGAAAGCTTCTAGGAGACTGTGAATCCTAAGGGATAAGATAGAACAAAATCCTTTTGAGCTCTGTGCTTTTTTGCATAACTTGGTCTAAAAAAAAAGCAAAGGTTTTAACATCTTCCTTATCTATGTGTTTTTGTCATTTTCATAGGCAAACAACAATAAGCAGTGGCTAGAAATTGATCTACTCAAGATCAAGAAGATAACGGCAATTATAACACAGGGCTGCAAGTCTCTGTCCTCTGAAATGTATGTAAAGAGCTATACCATCCACTACAGTGAGCAGGGAGTGGAATGGAAACCATACAGGCTGAAATCCTCCATGGTGGACAAGGTAGAGTGGCATCTGGGCAAAGAGAAAGCAATCTGAAGACTGTGCTATAATGAGAATAACAGTATTTTGCATTTGACAAATATGCAGTGACATGTACCACCTCTTTAAGTCTTCTAAATCTTAGTTCTTAAGGTGCCTGGTCTCAGACAAACTCCTGGTTGTCTGTTTTGGTTTGTTTTATTTCTCACTACACCAGGTTGCCCTCATAGGAGGATAAATATCATTGTCATAAAAAAAAAGAGTGATTTTATTTCTGGTGTGTGTAAACCTTGGGGAACTTGCTGATGATGGAAGGGGGAAAGTTATACACTTTAGTTGAGGATATAAGGTACATGCCAACAAGAATAAATAAATTAAAATGCATGGTCACATTTTAAATGTTAGCAATAGTCAAACATTTATTGGTGGCCACTTCCTGGCACTTACTATGCACTTACGTTGACATACATTTTTAAATATTTACAATGACTTCTGTGAGGTAAAATGTTATTATCCTTATTTTGCCAATGAGGAAATGAAGAATCAGAGAATAAGTAACTTGTTCAGTCATACAGCTAATACAGACGGGCTGAAGGCAGAAATGGTTTTGCAGCTGCTCCACAGCACCATGTGAGACTTGTTTATTTTTCACTAATTTAAGTCAGATCACTGGTGAGATGAAATCTATCTGGCATGTGATTTCATAACTGATAGAGGATCATCTCTGTGAGAGTGTTCTATGTGTTCTTTGATATGCTCATTTTGAGCTAATAGGATAAAAAATTTTCTGGGTTGGGCATGATGGCTCATGTCTGCAATGCCAGCACTTTGGAAGGCTGAGGCAAGAGGATTACTTGAGAGGAGTTTAAGGCTGCAGTGAGCCATGACTGTGCCACTGGACTCAAGCCTGGGCAACAGAATAAGACCCTGTCTAAAAAAAAACAAAAACAAAAAACCTTAGCCATTTATGTTGTCATTAAAGATTTTCTCTTATTTGGCTTTCAGATTTTTGAAGGAAATACTAATACCAAAGGACATGTGAAGAACTTTTTCAACCCCCCAATCATTTCCAGGTTTATCCGTGTCATTCCTAAAACATGGAATCAAAGTATTGCACTTCGCCTGGAACTCTTTGGCTGTGATATTTACTAGAATTGAACATTCAAAAACCCCTGGAAGAGACTCTTTAAGACCTCAAACCATTTAGAATGGGCAATGTATTTTACGCTGTGTTAAATGTTAACAGTTTTCCACTATTTCTCTTTCTTTTCTATTAGTGAATAAAATTTTATACAAGAAGCTTTTATAATGTAACTCCTTGCTACCAGTAAGTAAGATAATGGCTATTACTTCTGCATTAATTTGAATACAGGTAGGAAAATATCAAGAACCAACAAGAAAAGGGCTTATCTTTCTTAATGATTGAAAATGCTATGAAGTAATATTTATGTAGTTAAAATGCTTCATTATAACTCTTTTAAATCCTTTACACACTAGTAAAACAGATATTACTTTAAATAATAATTGATAGACCTGGATAACTTTCACAAACACATGATTTTTTAATGGTTTTTCTTGAGTGAAGAGAAAAACAATATTATCAAATGAAATAAGTACTTAAAATATCCTGTCTTTCCCATATAACAATGATTTTTCTGACTTTCCATGAGTAAAAAAACAGCCAAGCATCTTTCCAGTAGCCCCATTGAAATTGTGAATCCGTCCTGGTCTCCCTAAGGACTGCACACATTGATATTCAAGGTTGGTGGTCATTAGATATGGAACAGAACTGAAATAACCATGGTAGAACTGAATGTGTAATGTTGGCTTTATTCTAGCTGGTACTACATGGCACACAGTTTCAAAACATAATTTCACCTACTGGAAAGCTCAGACCTGTAAAACAGAGCATGGGAACTGCTGGTCTAAATGCAGTTGTTCCTGCTCAAAGAGACCTCTGGCCAAACTGGCAAGCAGTTAAAGTTTTCTTTCAGGGCCTTCCTCTCTATGGCCTCAACTTCCTCCTCTCTCTTCTTCCAGCAACTTCCCCTTTCATCATTCCTTTCCCTGGGGACTTGGCATTCAGTGATCCTGTAGATATTGCACAACTGGGGAACCTTTAGACATCCTTAAAATCACATGAGATAGACAGTCATTTGGGGTGTCTGAAATAAACCACCCCAAAACTTAGTGTTAAAAGAGCAACCAAAAAAAATTTATGTGAGATTATGGATTTGTTACTTAGCTTGATTTAATCATCCTGTAACGTGTACATATATCAAAATGTTATGTATACCATAAATATATAAAATTTTATCAACGAAATTCATAACAATCTCTCAGACCACAGAGAAATCAAATTAGAACTGAGGACTAAGAAACTCACTCGAAACCACACAACTACATGGAAACTGAACAACCTGCTCCTGAATGACTACTGGGTAAATAATGAAATTAAGGCAGAAATAAATAAGTTCCTTAAAACCAATGAGAACAAAGAGACAACATACCAGAATCTCTAGGAGACAGGGCTTTGCTTTTGCTGCATTCTATTCGTTGTGAACACAAATTACAGGCCAGTCTCGATTCAGTGTAGAAGGGAACTGCATAAGGACCACATACCAGGAGGCATAATTCACTGGGAGCATCTTTAGAAACTACCAGAGTTACCTGTTGCCCATACCAGTGGGGTAAGCCCTATGAATGTATATGAGAGTTTCAAACATCCACAAAACATTGGCTTTCTAATATTCGTATTCCCACTATTCCTTTCTTTTCATGATTCATGTCATTGTCCCATCAACATTTCTAAGATTTCCATTCCGTTAAGAGCAAAAGAGAATGTTGGAAGGTGGGGGAAAACATTTCTTTGTTTTCTACAGGGCCAGCTTCTTGGATGTGTGTGATCTGTTCAGTTGCAAAGGGTCACATGCTCAGAAGGACCGCATGCTAAATTTAATGCTTTGCAGTTACCCTCTTGAAATCCTTTATTTTTTAAGAAGGAATTCGACATTTCCATTTTTCAATGAGCCCCACAAATTACGCAGCTAGTCCTGGGCTTCTCTACTCTGAAATTGGGCAGGATCTCTCTTGATCTAGAATTTACTAAGGCATAATAGGGGCAAGAAAATCTTATGAAATAATGGGGGGTAGGGAAGAGATGGGAATGGAGCATGAGATCCAGCTTCGTTATTCTCTACTTGAGAAAAATAAGGCCCCAAAGATTAAACAACTTGCCCAAGGATATTGCTTGTTAGTGTCAGAACTGAAACCAGAAACCAAATGATCATATCCCTAGACTTTTAGTCTGCTTTCTCTTCCATAAAATGAAACTTATAATGTTTCTAATCCATTGCTCAGACAGGTAGACATGAATATTAATTGATAATGACTATTAATTGATCTGGAAAATACTTGTTTGGGGATCAATAATATGTTTGGGCTATTATCTAATGCTGTGTAGAAATATTAAAACCCCTGTTATTTTGAAATAAAAAAGATACCCACTTTTTATTTCTCTCTCTGATCTCACTTAGATGAAATTACAAGTTTGACTACATAGTACGTCTCCAGTGACATAAACCACTGTTTGTTACAACTGGGTGCTTTGGAAAGAAGTTAAATGACTCACGGTAGAATCATGACTTAAGAGAAACCAACAGATAAAATTCTAAACATTATTAGTCATTCTAATTGCAATTTGGAAAAGAATAGCTGTGAATGTATCAAAAATATGAAAGGACTAGAAGAAACATGAAATTATTTCTCCAGAATTCTTTCAAGTTATTAAAAGAAATAACAAACTTCATGCCATTTTTATAATCATTTTGAATAAACACCATATTTTGAGTTCAGGGCCATTTTGGCAAACCCAGGGAAAAGCTCTTGCCAAATAGCTTGGATGTTCCCAAGAGCCATGAATATTTCACCATTTACTTCTCTGGACAGACCAGGAAGGAACAATTTACTAGGCAGTGAATTTTGGTTTTACGAAATATTGGCACATGCCCCAATGCAGTGGGCCTAACACATACTTAAAAATATCTGATAGCTCCATGTTAGCATTTTTCTTGTTTTATATTTCCTAATGGAGAAGTATTTTATGGAAAATTCTGAATGCCTAATTCTCCCAAGTTCATATATTCTCATAGCCTAGAGATAGGGAAAGCTGTAGACAAAGACAAAATGATTATGTGTGGAATAATATTTACATGGTCAATGCCCAGATAACAAGGTTTTTCATATCCAAGTACTTAAATTGTTGGGAGAGACTACAGAGCTTTAAGATTTTATTATCTCTGGCTTGTATGAACTGTCCCCACCAAAACATATACATGTATTTTGCATTTGGTACATGTAAAGAAAACTTGATATTAACCTCTCTACATGTACCATCATTTTAATTTTTTAAAAAGTATTAAGCTCATTCTATCGACACAGCAAACCACTATGACAGGCATTGTAGGGGAGAGTATATAAAGGAAATAAAAGACACTTCTCTGGCTTATTCAAATACATCATCTAGTTGCATAGAGAAGACAAACATAAGAAGCAAATAGACACTATGAGCCTATTAAGCCTAACAGATTACACCCTGAGTAGTAAAGAAAAAGACAATTAGATGAGTAGCCTTGTGGGATGGAATCAGACTGTGAAAACTTTTGGAGATGATTTAACCTAGGTCATCTGATATTAGATGTGTATGAAGGCAACCTGTGCAGAACTCCAGAGAAGAGAGGACTGGGATAAGGATCAATAAAAACCAGGATAAATAAGAGCTTTATGCTCAAATTCAGGGCCCAGTTAAGCTTTCTCTGACATACCTACTCATTTTCCCTACCCTCTCTATATAGTCTAATAATGACTTATCCACCTCCCTCCATCTCCTGTACCATGCCCATAAATCCAGTGTATGTGCAAGGTCAAAACAAATAAGAATTACCTGGGTAGAACTGATGATGTGAGGGTGGGGAAAGACACAAAAACAGATACAATACATATCCCTAATCTCCAAATCGTGAATTACAGATGGTAGTGACCAGATTAAAAGTGGGTCACCTTTGGAAATATTATAGAAGACGCCCATGAGGAACAGGATTCTGACTTGCTTAGGGTGATAGGAGAATGACACTGGAGTGGGGAGAAGACGGGTAAAAGTATGTTGTATGTGAGAAATTGACTAATGGAGAGATGAGACAATCATTGAGGATGTTTGGACAATGACAAGAGTTCAAAGTTCTTATGCGATGGTTTTATTTTTACCACTGGTCCACATCTAAACCACTTCTACCTCATCTGTACTTTCATGTTTTACACTTAGAAGAAGCTTCTCAATGTCTTAGGAATGGTGTGCAGTTAATTTCATACCCCACCTGCTTTTTATTGACAGGAAATTTGGTAATGGCTTTACCGTCTTAGTTATCTCCACCTTGTATTGAAGTTCCTTCCTGCTGATTAAAAAGACTTTCTGAAAGTCTGGAATGTGGCAACCTTGTTTACAGATGTGACAAGTAAAAATGTTTAAAAAGCTTTTCTTTTATGAATAGACTGGGAGAAATAGTGACAAAGGCTATAATTCTATGATTGCAATAGTATTGGTACATAGTAAGCATTCTATCAGTATTTATTATTAGCATTATAATGAAAATATGATATACTATGAATATAATGGTATTAATTACTAATATTAATTTCTACTATTCTCTAATGCTTTTTAATACTGCTCATTACCTCTTTAGAAATTGTAGTAAAATACACATAAAAGTTACTCTTTAAGTGTACAATTCAGCGGCATTAAGTACATTCTCATTGTTGTGCAGCCATCACCACCATCCACTGCTCATTACTTTTTATTGCAGCTCTATTTTCTACCCATACTTGATGCTCTTCCCAGTAGGTGGCATGTCTGGTTCAACTGTACTTAGCCAGAGTTCTGAAGACATTCACATAGAGGTCAAGCTTTAATTATTCAGGCTAAACAAATAATTGAACAGCTTGCATGGACTTTTTTCAGTGGGTTTAACTGACCTAATTATGTTTTTCTCAGGGGTAGGGACTATTGGCATTAGTTTACATCCTGAGCCCACAGGCCTAGTATAGGATTCAGAAATTATCAAACTATCCACAAATTTGAAGATTTAAATAAAATCAAGTAAAAATTTTCTCTCCAAAAAAAAAATCAATTAGTTGCCAATGAAGGAGTTTAAATGGGAGAGGTAAATAAATTGTGCCAGAAAATAAACTAGAAAGAACAGTCAGCATGCTAGGTTATAGTAGATATTGTGAAAACTGTACTTCTCTGCAATACACAAAGTAGGTTATTAAAAATTATTGGCTGGTGATGATAGTGTGGTTTCATATTTGCCAGCATTATGAATAATCTTCTCTGCACTCCTAGCAGCTAGAATTTTAAATAAAAAGTTATCATATTTCTTCAGGTGGCAAAATAATTGTGAAACACAATGTTCTTGGCAGAAAATAAAACCCAAATGACTAAATACAACATATTTTTAGGCATGTGTGAATGAATATATTTCTCTCTCATCTTGTCCCCCCAAGACTTAAGGCTGCTTAAAAAAAATAAAAAATACTACTAGATGACATATGTTAGAAGTAGGGAAGAAAGCAAAACCGGAGGTAGAAACATAAACAGGAAGCAGAAAAAAGCTAACAGGAAAATGCATATCATAAAGCTATCGACCTTGCTATGGGTGAACTTGGGTTTAAGTGAACTTTTTAAACAGCCAATGCACAAAAAAACCTTATCAGTTATACCATATGGTGTCCCCAAAAAATGTACAAAAGGAGCACACTTTTATTGAGACTGAAGTTAAAAATAAACTTCTCCCAAAGGTCCGCAGAAAGAGGTCACTATGTAATGAGCAGAATGCCTCTAACAAGAGCACATTATATAGGCTGCTTTCTGTGCAGAAGGTGCTGAGGACTTCCCACCAAAGCACAGTTCAGTAAAAACAAGTCTTCAGAGGCCACTGCTGTGTGGTCCATGTGCAGGGGCTCTTTGCTGGTCTGGCTTAAGCCAAAGGTAGATTTTACAGCCTCTAAAAATCATTTTCCTTCAGGCAAAGGCTCATATCATAAATACTGTTTCTCTAAGGCATGATTTTGTTATCTACTCTGTGACAATGAGCTCAAGATTGTGTATTCTGCAAGGTGTAACAACTGCATTTTTACAAAATTGTTATGTTCTTGCACAAGATTCTATCATAAGCAAATGGCAATAGAAGGCAAATGTTTCAGAACAATTAATGCAAAAAAACGTAAATAGAGAAAATTATTTTTATTAATCTAATTTCTTTCCTGCTATTTTGGAAAACAGCATCTTTCTGTTCTGGGGGTAGAACACCTTAATCCAATTCACAGAATAGATGGCAAAGATATCAAGATTCAAACATATGTGCAATCTAGTTCTTATTTATACTTCATTTAGCATAAATTAACTTTCTAATAATCATCTTTCTTAAAAGTGAACATAGCATGTTTGGAGTTTTTCAAGTCAATTAAACAAATATTTCTTGTTAATCATTTATAGAAAAGGAAGTTTTAGCTACTGCAAAGAATAGTCCCTGGCAGAGCCCTCAAAGATCTAACAAACTTATTTATACATTTTCAGTTATTAAGTCTTGGTTTGAATAATTACCTATTTTTTCTTCATAATTACTGGCTTCTTAATATTTTGTGGTTTGTTGTCATATTAACACTAAGTACAATGGACTCTAAAAAAAGTTTCTCTCAGATTTGAAATCGTTTGGACTATAACCTAGATTTTGAAACCCAAATATGAGCTCCCTATATAAGATATTTGCTTTAAGAAGGTCCCGTTTATCAAGATTAAAGCTTTGCAAATAAAACCAGGTTTATATTTAACTACCTTCCCCATCCTCCTCCTCAATGCACTCATTTCCCTAATACTTTACTCATTATGCTTTTTCAACACTCACAAAAAAACACAACCTTTTCTCCTTTTTTATACTAAGATAACTTCTTTTTTATTTTATTTTACTTTAAGTTCTGGGATACATGTGCAGGTTTGTTACAAAGGCATAAATGTGCCATGGTGGTTTGCTGCACCTATCAACCTGTCATCCAGGTTTTAAGCTCTGCATGCATTAGGTATTTGTCCTAATGCTCTGCCTCCCTTTGCCCCCCAATCCCTAACAGGACTTGGTGTGTGATGTTCCCCTCCCTGTGTCTATGTGTTCTCATTATTCAACTCCCCCTTATGAGTGAGAACATGGGTTGTTTGGTATTCTGTTCTTATGTTAGTTTGCTGAGAATGATGGCTTCCAGCTTCATCTGTGTCCCTGCAAAGGACATGAACTCATTCTTTTTTATGTCTACATAGTATTCCATGGTGCACATGTGCCACATTTTCTTTATCCAGTCTATCATTGATGGGCATTTGTGTTGGTTCCAAGTCTTTGCTATTGTAAATAGTGATGCAATAAACATATATGTGCATGTGTCTTTATAGTAGAATGATTTATATTCCTTTGGATATATACCCAGTAATGGGATTGCTGGGGCCAATGGTATTTCTGATTCTATATCCTTGAGGAATCACCACACTGTCTTCCACAATGGTGGAATTAATTTACACCCCTACCCACAGTGTAAAAGCATTCCTATTTCTTCACGGCCTTGCCAGCATCTGTTTCCTGACTTTTTAATAATCACAGTTCTAACTGGTATGAGATGGTATCTCATTGTGGTTTTGATTTGCATTTCTCTAATAACCAGTGATGATGAGCTTTTTTTCCATATGTTTGTTGGCTGCATATATGTCTTCTTTTGAGAAGTATCTGTCCATTTCCCTCGCCCATGTTTTGATGGTGTTGTTTTTTTCTTGTAAATTTAAGTTGCTTGTAGATTCTGGATATTAGACCTTTGTCAGATGGGTAGATTGCAAAAATTTTCTCCCATTCTGAGGTTGCCTGTTTACCCTGATAGTTTCTTTTGCTGTGCAGAAGCTCTTTAGTTTAATTCGATCCCATTTGTCAATTTTGCCTTTTGTTGCAGTTGCTTTTGTTGTTTTAGTCATGAATTCTTTGCTCATGCCTATGTCCTGAATAGTATTACCTAGGTTTTCTTCTAGGGTTTTTATGGTTTTGGGTTTAACATTTAAGTATTTAATCCATCTTGAGTTAATTTTTGTATAAGATGTAAGGAAGGGGTCCAGTTTCTGCTTTCCACATACGGCTAGCTAGTTTTCCCAGCACCATTTATTAAATAGGGAATCCTTTCCCCATTTCTTGTTTTTGGCAGGTTTGTCGAAGATCAGATGGTTGTAGATGTGTGGTGTTATTTCTGAGGTCTCTGTTCTGTTCCATTGGTCTATATATCTGTTTTGGTACCAGTACCATGCTGTTTTGGTTACTGTAGGCTTGTGGTATAGTTTGGAGTCAGGTAGCGTGATGCCTCCAGTTCTGTTCTTTTTGCTTAGAAGTCTCTTGGCTATACAGGCTTTTTGTTCCATATGCAATTTAAAGTAGTTTTTTCTAATTCTGAGAAGAAAGTCAATGGTAGCTTGATGGGAATAACATTGAATCTATACATTACCTTGGGCAGTATGGCCATTTTCACGATATTGATTCTTCCTATCCATGAGCATGGAATGTTTTTCCATTTGTTTGTGTCCTTTCTTATTTCCTTGAGCAGTGGTTTGTAGTTCTTGAAGAGGTCCTTTACGTCCCTTCTAAGTTGTATTCCGAGGTATTTTATTCTCTTTATAGCAATTTTGAATGGGAGTGCATTCATAATTTGGCTCTCTGCTTGTCTATTATTGGCGTATAGGAATGCTTGTTATTTTTGCACATCGATTTTGTATCCTGAGACTTCGCTGAAATTGCTTATCAGCATAAGGAGATTTTGGGGCTGAGACTATGGGGTTTTCTAAATATTCAGTCATGTCATCTGCAAACAGAGACAATTTGACTTCCTCTCTTCCTATTTAAATACCCTTTATTTCTTTCTTTTGCTTGATTGCCCTGGCCAGCACTTCCAAAACTATGTTGAATAGGAGTGGTGAGAGAGGTCATCCTTGTCTTGTGCCAGATTTCAAAAGGAATGCTTCTAGCTTTTGCCCATTCAGTATGATATTGGCTATGGATTTGTCATAAATAGCTCTTATTATTTTGAGATATTTTCCATCAATACCTAGTTTATTGAGAGTTTTTAACATGAAGGGCTGTTGAATATTATTGAAGGCCTTTTCTGCATCTATTGAGGTAATCATGTGGTTTCTGTCATTGGTTCTGTTTGTGTGATGGATAACATTTATTGATTTGCGCATGTTGAACCCAGCCTTCCATCCCAGAGATGAAGTCAACTCGATTGTGGTAGATAAGCTTTTTGATGTGCTGCTGCTGGACTCGGTTTGACAGCATTTTATTGAGGATTTTGGATACTGGCCTGAAATTTTCTTTTTTTGTTGTGTCTCTGCCAGGTTTTGGTATCAGGATGATGCTGGCCTCATAAATTGTGTTAGGGAGGAATCCCTCTTTTTCTATTGTTTGGAATAGTTTCAGGGTACCAGCTCCCCTTTTTGTCTCTAGTAGAATTCTGCTGTGAATCAGTCTGGTCCTGGGCTTTTTTTGGTTGGTAGGCTATTAATTACTCCCTCAATTTCAGAACTTGTTATTGGCCTATTCAGGGACTTGACTTCTTCCTGGTTTAGTTTTGGGAAGATGTATGTGTCCAGGAATTTATCCATTTCTTCTAGATTTTCTAGTTTATTTGCATACAGGTGTTTATAGTATAAGAAAACTTCTTTTGAAGTAATCATTTTCATGAACTATTTTGCTAAAACACATCTTGTCATCCTGTTTAGCTCCCTTTAGCATACTGGCCTATTTAACCTAATGCCATGCTTTTTAAACACCCTTTCTAATGATATTCTGCAGTTCCTTACAACCTAAATTTTCACGAATGTGGATAGATGTTAAATTAGATTATGGCTTTTCCTAGAATATGTACTTAGAATACAAGGCCTCCCAGTGATTTCTTAAATCCATATCCTACTTCTTTATTTTCTGTCTCTGACCTTTGACCTGTCTCAGTTTTTGAACTATTAAGGAGCTAATAGTTAATTAATAATTAAACAGCAGCAGCTTTAGTTCTTCCTTTCTTCTTTTTTTCATTTTCTTTCTTTTTTCCCCAGAGGAAATTATCTTTTTTTTTTAAATCATGGCTTGTTATCCTTTTTCTTAGTATCTAAGCCTACATTCAATTAAAATTTTGCTTTATAGTCAAGGCAAATATCTTTTTTATTATCATTATACTTTAAGTTCTAGGGTCCATGTGCACAACGTGCAGGTTTGATACATAGGTATACATGTGCCATGTTGGTTTGCTGCACCAATCAACTCATCGTTTACATTAGGTATTTCTCCTAATGCTATCCCTCCCCCAGACACCCCACCCTCCGACAGGCCCCAGTGTGTAATGGTCCCTGCTCTGTGTCCAAGTGATCTCATTGTTCAGTTCCCACCTATGAGTGAGAACATGCAGTGTTTGGTTTTCTGTCCTTGTAAGAGTTTGCTGAGAATGATAGTTTCCAGCTTCATCCATGTCCCTGCAAAGGACATGAACTCATCCTTTTTTATGGCTGCATAGTATTCCATGGTGTATATGTGCCACATTTTCTTAATCCAGTCCATCATTGATGGACATCTGGTTGGTTCTAAGTCTTTGCTATTGTGAATAGTGCTGCAATAAACATACGTGTGCCTCTGTCTTTATAGGAGCACGATTTATAATCCTTTGGGTATATACCCTGTAACAGGACTGCTGGGTCAAATGGTAATTCTAGTTCTAGATCTTTGAGGAATCACCACAGTGTCTTCCACAATGGTTGAACTAATTTACACTCCCAGCAACACTGTAAAAGTGTTCCCATTTCTCCACATCCTCTCCCGCATCTGTTGTTTCCTGACTTTTCAATGATTGCCATTCTAACTGGTGTGAGATGGTATCTCACTGTGGTTTTGATTTGCATTTCTCTGATGACCAGTGATGATGAGCATTTTTTCATGTGACTGTTGGCTGCATAGATGTCTTCTTTTGAGAAGTGTCTGCTCATATCCTTTGCCAACTTTTTGATGGGGTTGTTTTTTTCTTGTAAATTTGTTTGAGTTCTTTGTAGATTCTGGATATTAGCCCTTTGTCAGATGGGTAGATTGCAAAAATTTTCTCCCATTCTGTAGGTTGCCTGTTCACTCTGATGGTAGTTTCTTTTGCTGTGCAGAAGCTCTTTAGTTTAATTAGATCCCATTTGTCTATTTTGGCTTTTGTTGCCATTGCTTTTGGTGTTTTAGTCATGAAGGCTTTGCCCATGCCTATGTCCTGAATGGTATTGCCTAGGATTTCTTCTAGGCTTTTTATGGTTTTAGGTCTATCATTTAAGTCTTTAATTCATCTTGAATTAATTTTTGTATAAGGTGTAAGGAAGGGATCTAGTTTCAGCTTTCTACATATGGCTAGTCAGTTTTCTACATATGGCTAGTCAGTCACCCATGGCTGGCCGGGGACCTTGGCACAGCTGCCTCCTCCCTCGGTCACTCCTTAGGCAACACTCCAAGCTGAAAAGGCCCTTGGAGATCATCTCCTCCGATCCACGACAGTCAGCCAGATGAAGAAACTGAGGCCTGGAGAGCCCAAGATCCCATAGCAACACTCCAAGCTGAAAAGGCCCTTGGAGATCATCTCCTCCGATCCACGACAGTCAGCCAGATGAAGAAACTGAGGCCTGGAGAGCCCAAGATCCCATAGCAGTTCCTTTTTGGAGCTGACAATGTACCAATTATGCGGTACATTAGTCAGCTTTCTACATATGGCTAGCACCATTTGTTAAATAGGGAATCCTTTCCCCATTGCTTTTTTTGGTCAGGTTTGTCAAAGATCAGATGTTTGTAGATGTTTGGTGTAATTTCTGAGGCCTCTGTTCTGTTCCATTGGTCTATATATGTTTTGGTACCAGCACCATGCTGTTTTGGTTATTGTAACCTTGTAGTATAGTTTGAAGTCAGGTAGCATGATGCCTCCAGCTTTGTTCTTTTTGCTTAGGATTGTCTTGGCAATGTAGGCTCTTTTTTGGTTCCATATGAACTTTAAAGTAGTTTTTTCCAATTCTGTGAAGAAAGTCATTGGTAGCTTGATGGGGATTACATTGAATCTATAAATTACTTTGGGCAGTATGGCCATTTTCATGATATTGATTTTTCCTATCCATGAGCATGGAATTTTCTTCCATTTGTTTGTGTCCTCTTTTATTTCCTTGAGCAGTGGTTTGTAGTTTTACTTGAAGAGATCCTTCACATCCCTTGTAAGTTGGATTCCTAGGTATCTTATTCCCTTTGTAGCAATTGTGAATGGGAGTTCACTCATGATTTGCCTCCCTGTTTGTCTGTTAATGGTGTATAGGAATGCTTGTGATTTTTGCACATTGATTTTGTATCCTGAGACTTTGCTGAAGTTGCTTATCAGCTTAAGGAGGTTTTGGGCTCAGACAATGGGGTTTTCTAAATATACAATCATGCCATCTGCAAACAGGGACAATTTGACTTCCTCATTTCCTAATTGAATATCCTTTATTTCTTTCTCTTGCCTGATTGCCCTGGCCAGAACTTCAAACACTATGTTGAATAGGAGTGGTGAGAGAGGGCATCCCTGTCTTGTGCCAGTTTTCAAAGGGAATGCTTCCAGTTTTTGCCCATTCATTATGATATTGGCTGTGGGTTTGTCATAAATAGCTCTTATTATTTTGAGATACGTTCCACCAATACCTAGTTTATTCAGAGTTTTTAGCATGAAGGGCTGTTGAATTTTTTCAAAGGCCTTTTCTGCCTCTATTGAGATAATCATGTGGTTTTTGTCATTGGTTCTGTTTATGTGATCAATTATGTTTATTGACTTGGGTATTTTGAACCAGCCTTGCATCACAAGGATGAAGCCGACTTGATTGTGGTGGATAAGCTTTTCGATGTGCTGCTGGATTCAGTTTGCCAGTATTTTACTGAGGATTTTCACATCGACATTCATCAGGGATATTGGTCTAAAATTCTCTTTTTTTTGTTGTGTCTCTGCCAGGCTTTGGTATCAGGATGATGTTTGCCTCATAAAATGAGTTAGGGAGGATTCTCTCTTTTTCTATTGATTGAAACAGTTTCAGAAGGAGTGGTACCACCTCCTCCTTGTACCTCTGGTGAATTTGGCTTTGAATCTGTCTGGTTCTGGACATATTTTGGTTGGTAGGCTATTAATTATTGCCTCAATTTCAGAGCCTATTATTGGTCTATTCAGAGATTCAGCTTCTTCCTGGTTTAGTCTTGGGAGGGTGTATGTGTCCAGGAATTTATCCATTTCTTCTAGATTTTCTAGTTTATTTGTATAGAGGTGTTTATAGTATTCTCTGATGGTAGTTTGTATTTCTGTGGGATCAGTGGTGATATCCCCTTTATCATTTTTATTGCGTCTATTTGATTCTTCTCTATTTTCTTCTTTATTAGTCTTGCTAGTGGTCTATCAATTTTGTTGATCTTTTCAAAAAACCAGCTCCTAGATTCATTGATTTTTTGAAGGGTTTTTTTGTGTCTCTATCTCTTTCAGGTCTGCTCTGATCTTAGTTATTTCTTGCCTTCCGCTAGCTTTTGAATGTGTTTGCTCTTGTTTCTCCAGTTCTTTTAATTGTGATGTTAGGGTGTCGATTTTAGATTTTTCCTCTTTCTCTTGTGGGCATTTAGTGCTATAACTTTCACTCTAAACACTGCTTTAAATGTGTCCCAGAGATTCTGGTATGTTGTGTCTTTGTTCTCATTGGTTTCAAAGAACATCTTTATTTCTGCCTTCATTTCGTTATTTACCCAGCAGTCATTCAGGAGCAAGTTGTTCAGTTTCCATGTAGTTGCATGGTTTTGAGTGAGTTTCTTAATCCTGAATTCTAATTTGATTGCACTGTGGTCTGAGAGACAGTTTGTTGTGATTTCTGTTCTTTTACATTTGCTGAGGAGTGCTTTACTTCCAATTATGTGGTCAATTTTAGAATAAGTGCAATGTGGTGCTGAAAAGAATGTATATTCTGTTGATTTGGGGTGGAAAATTCTATAGATGTCTATTAGGTCTGCTTGTTGCAGAGCTGAGTTCAGGTCCTGGATATCCTTGTTAACCTTCTGAGTCAGGACAAATATCCTTACAGTCAATTCATTTATTGATTGCCTATTAAGTGCTAGGTACTGTTCAGGTACTGAAGATAACAAAACAGACAAAATTCCTACTTGAATGGAGTTTATTCACAAGTTGAAAGAAAGAGACAATAAACCATAATAAAAATATATAAGATATTAGATAATAAGTCCTATGGCAAAAATAAATCAATAGCAGGAGCTGAATATTTGTAGTGGGGAGGAAGTCAACATTAAAAAGGATGGTCAGGGGAGGCCCTAGCTTGATGTTTGAGCAAAGAGCAGAGGAAGTGAGGAAGTAAATACCACAGACATATAGGAAAAAAAAAAACTTAGAAAGCAGAAAGAACCATGAATAAACATTTTGTAGTAAAAATATGCAGGTAGTGATCCAGGATTGACAAGGAGAACCAGGTGGCTGAAGCCAAATGAGCAAGGGGGAGAGCAGAAGTTGAGATCAAAGAATAAAATGGGTGGGGAAAGGTGGAGAGAGACAGAGGGTGGGGAATAGAGTGGCTATTTAGGTCTAGCAGCCCTTGGGCTCATTTGCTGAATGAGATGGGAAGTTATTGGACAGTATTGAACGGAGAAGAATATCATCTGACTTGTGCTTTAAAAGAATCTTTGTGACAGCTATAACAAGAAGAGACTATAGGGGATCAAGGATGTTAGCAGGAAGTCCAATTTAGCTGCAATTACAGATATTCATATCAACTGTGGTAGCAATAAAAATGGTGAGAGTGGTGGAATTCCGGCCATATTTTGAAGGCAAAGTCAATAGGATTTGCTAATGAATTAAGCAGTATGCAATGTAATAGTTGTCTCCCAAGACTATGGGTAAGAACACTACCCACTGAAACACTGGCAGTGCTTTTTAAAAGCCCAGTGTTGGGCCAGGCATTGTGGCTCATGCCTGTAATCCTAGCACTTTGGGAGGCCGAGGCAGTGGATCACCTGAAGTCAGGACTTCGAGACCAGCCTGGCCAACATTGTGAAACCCCATCTCTACTAAAAAATACAAAAATTAGCCAGGCATGGTGGCAGGCACCTATAATCCCAGCTACTCAGGAGGCTGAGGCAGGAGAATCACTTGAACCCTGGGGGCGGAGGTTGCAGTGAGCAGAGATTGCACCACTTCACTCTAGCCTGGGCAACAAAGTGAAACTCCATCTCAAAAAAAAAAAAAAAAAAAAGCTTAGTGTTGTCAAAATTATTCTTTCTTTTCTATCCATTATTAACAAATTAACTTTGCATTCCACTGTATGTGAAGAGCTGATTTCTGTGAGCACAACATGAACTTTGTTATCTGATATGATTAGGCTTTGTGTACCCACCCAAATCTCATCTTGAATTATATTCCCCAGCTGTTGAGAAGAGGCCTGGTGGGAGGTGACTGAATCATATGGGTGATTTTCCCCAGTGCTATTCTCATGATAGTGAGAGGGTTCTCACAAGATCTGATGGTTTTATAAATGGCAGTTTCCCCTGGACTTCTCTCTCTCTCTCTCACCTGCTGCCATGTGAGATGTGCCTGCTTCCCCTTCTGCCATGATTGTAAGTTTCCTGAGGCCTCCCCAGCCACGTGCAATGTGTCAATTAAATCTTTCCTTTAAAAATTACTCAGTCTTCAGTTGTATCTTTATAGCAGTGTGAAAACTAATACATCATCCTTCAGAATATGTCCTCCATGGAATGTTAAATCCAACTAGCAAGAAACTCCCTGTGCATCTCAGCTCGTGTGAACTCCCACCCCACCCACTCTCACATTTCATGGAGATACCCAGCTCTCTCAGTCCCTTCATTACATGATACCTCTGGGTCCCCTCATGGCTTCCCTTCCTTCTCTAAGCAGCACACACCCATGGTTCATCAACAATACTTACAAACCCTGGGGAAAACTCTTGTCTCCAGCCTTCTGCTCCTCATTCTTACCCCCTGAGAAGCCCCCAACCTTGAATTAGTCTAGCACTCACACTCTCCGTGCTACACCCAGGCTGTAACATATACACAGACCTAGCTGGGCAATTTCTATTCACATTCCTTGTCAGTCGCTCCCCACATATGCTATTTAAACTTTCATATTCTAAGGTAGAACCTGTCTCATCCTTGTTTACCTTTTTTTCAGCAAGTACCTTGCCTCTTATCACATAGGAGAAATAGATAACATTAGGGAATGTTTTCAATGTCATCTCCTACCCCCTCCTAGTGCCTATTTATCTACATTTTCATCCACCTTAACTCCTTCCCTGGGGAGCCTGAGGCCGTTACAGGAAAGGGGTCCCAATCCAGACCCCAAGAAAGGGTTCTTGGATCTTGTGCAAGAAAGAATTCAGGGTGAGTCCTCAGTGCAAAGAGAAAGCAAGTTTATTAAGGAAGTAAAGTGGTGGAAGAACAGCTATTCTATAGACAGAGTAGGACATTCCTGAAAGTAAGAGGAGGAACACACTCACCCTAGGTACAATGCTTGTATTATATGGGGAGATGTGTTCTGCTACTAGGGTTTGTGATGAAGGATGAATTTTCTTAATTACTATATTTTTCAAGAATTGATACTACTGTCTTTAAAGCAAAATTAGGAATGCCTTTATTCTCCAGATATCGGGATACCCGGACACTCCTAAATCTGGGTGTGTTTAGTAAACATTATTAATTTGTCCCCTTAACCATAAACATCTAAGAGCTAGGATTGCCTAACTTTTTTAGAATGCAGCCCAGCAAGTCTCAGCCTCATTTTCCTAGCCCTCACTCAAAATGGAGTCATTCTGGTTTGACCACCTGACAGGGTGAATTTTCCTTTCTTAGTCAGGTCACACCTTATATTTCTGTTTTGGATCCCAGTACCTCCATACCTCAGGGACTTGTTTCATATGTGTGATTACATATGTTTGTCAAAACTTATCAAATATATATTTAATATATACTTAAAATGGGTGATATTGGACAAAAATTATACCTCAATAAAGTTGTTTAAGGAAAATTTGGTATACTCTGGATCTCTTCTTTTTCCTCTGCTCATGAATATGCTCTAGTCTCTGACAAAATAAACAAAAGCCAAATTTGAAAACGTAACTGGCATTTGCTGCCTGCACAGTATTTAAAGAGCTCCTACTTTGTGCAAGGATCTTTCCTAAGTACTTGGAAGCTGGCCCACTATGGTACTTAGATAATAATAGATCTCCTTTTTTTAAAGATTAATTTTGTGCTAGGTACTATGGAGAACATTTATCATATATAATCTTATTTAATCCTCCCAACTACCCCAAGAAGTGGATATTATTATCTCCATTTTACATGAGAAAACTGAGCCTTAGAAGGGAATGATACCTTGTCCTAGGCTGCCAAAAGTTATAATGGTGGCTAGGTCCTAAACCTAGGTCAGCCTGATGTATCCCACCATTAAGCTCTTTATATGCTAAGCCAGGTGATGAGGTTTTAGATAGGGTGGGAGTGGGGAGGTAAGATATCAGAATATTCAGATGCTCACAAGTTTCATTAATTTCTCTTTCTTGTACAAAGTCCCTGTCCTCACTGATGGGTACATATCAAAGTATCCTTTGGAGAATAAAGAACTGAGGTTCAGAGTTCTTGGTGGACCTCCCAGACACAAATTCTTGAATCTGTAGATCTTCTCTTGTATTTCACATTAGGAAGAGCTTCTGCTATGGAATGCCAATGGAAAGCTAAAGAAGAAGAGGTTAGAAATTAAACTGATATGAGTTATATGCAAAAGCATGAATGTAGACCTCTCCTGAAAGGATGTTCATACTGTAATACAGATAGGTCTTTTTCACCCTGTGGTTCATGACAGACTCTAAAGATGGTTTCACCTAAAGATCTCTACACCACAATAGAAGAACTTGGCTAACTATAAGGATGGAATGCTTCATCTATAGCTAAACGGAATGTTATAATACCTGTAAATGAGCTGCAAAAAAGCATTAGTGAAGGTTGAAAGTATAATTCATGAGGACTCAGAAATGTGTCCACCAAACACTTACTGGACAACTCTTATATTTAAAACACCACAGGAGACACCAGGAAAGATAAAGACCACACTTAGTTTCTAATCACAAAAATCCCTACAGTTAGTGGGAGAGGAAGTCATGTATATAAAAACCAGAAATTATTTACCAGGCAGGATGTGACAAGCATGCACACACACGGCTTAAATAGTCATGTTCTGTAATACCTGAATGCCTCACCAAGAACTGAAGATGTCTTCTCACTGTTAGCAAATATTCCAGCCAAGAACTCTCATCTTGAAAATCAGAATTGAGAAGGAGACAAAAGCTGAACAGCATATTGGGAATTTGCAGTTATGAGAACCTGGACGGGGGTCCTGAATCAGTATTGTATTCAGATTGAGACTTGGAAAGAATATTTCTTTACTAATCTCTTCTATCTGGGAGAATTTTACATAAAATTTTTTGAACCTTTAATTATCCATTGAAGAGTATTTTAAAATATCTCACCAAACCACATGGAGAACACATAACTGAGAGGAGATAAAATAAATGTGTGACTGTGTGTTTGAATGCATTTATACCTCATTAAGAGGGAAGGAGGGAGGAGAGTCACATATCAGAAACATTCATAGATATGGCCTGTCTTTGTGGCTTTGAGAATTTCAAAGCACTTAATATCTGTGCCTTGAGTCCATTATGTTGCCAAAAATGAATATTTGATGAGAGAAATCAACATACCCTTATTTCAGATCATTCAACATTTCTTAGTTTATGACTCATTCACATGTGATTGTAAATGCTGCTTTGGAGATTACCATAAGAGGTGACATGCTTTTACAAATCAAGACTCATCACTCTTTCCCAAAAAAGTTCTGATACATTCTCTAAGAAAGATAAAGTATATCAGAAAATAAATTATTTCACCACCTGTCTTGGCTAAATATATAGTCCAGCCCCTTCTGGTCTCACATGAACCCCATTCTTAATGGAAGTCTGTCTGATGTGAGGAAACAAGGAGGCTGCTTTGAGTCACAGACAGGGCTTGCAGAACTGCCACCTCATAGGTAACTGTGACTGCTCCCAGTGTGCCTCTGGCAATCTCTGGAAGCCCCATGGGAACTCCCAAAGGAGACACCCTGAATGCTGGGCCACATTCATTCTCATTCTCAGAGAAAAATCCAACAGCAGAGCTTAGCCAATCACTACAATGCTGGCAAGTTTGCAGTCTCCTTCCTAAGACCTCAGCTAAACATATCTCTCAAATCCAGCTAGTGTCTCAAACCCTTTCCCTCTTCCATCTTTTTTTTTTTTTTGAGACGGAGTCTCACTTGTCCCCAGGCTGGAGTGCAGTGGCGAGATCTCGGCTCACTGCAACCTCCGCCTCCCAGGTTCAAGCGATTCTCCTGCCTCAGCCTCTCGAGTAGCTGGGACTACAGGCACGTGCCACCACACCCAGCAAATTTTTGTATTTTTAGGAGAGACAGGGTTTCACCATGTTGGCCAGGATGGTCTTGATCTCTTGACCTCGTGATCTGCCCGCCTCGGCCTCCCAAAGTGCTGGGATTACAGGTGTGAGCCACCGCGGCCGGCACCCTTTTCCATCTTAGTGGGAGTCCAGTTTCTGCAAGTTTGGGAAAAGCAGTTGTGTCTATAGGAGCAGGAGTACAAACAGGATTTGAGACCTGGGTCCAGGCACTGCTAGGTGTCAAAACTCTGTAATCACTCTCACATTCAAGGTCATTGATGTTGAGAGAGAATACATTCCTCTTCCAGTACTCAGTCTGTTCTTGTTACTTAGGTACAGTCTCCCAGCTGAATCAATAGAGTCAGTGAACTTTATAGCTAGAAGGCTTATGGAGATCATCTACTCCTAACACCCATGTTAGAGGAACCTCAGATACAACATGCAGCCATTTATCTGAAGTCATGTAGCCTATTTATAGAAAAACCTGAGTGAGAATTTAGGGTTCTCAATTCCTAATCCAGTGACATTTTTGGATCACAACAAAATTTCCCCTAGATTGATTCCTAGAGTCTGTATGAGGGAGGTCCACAGAACTCATGGCATCCAGATGGATAATGTGTTAAAGTCTTTTTTCTATGAACATCTATTTCATTTTCCTATTGAATTCCACGTTATCACTGTTTGTGATATGGCCTTATGACAGAACTGTTACATATTAGCTTGTTTTTTTTTCTTTTTGAGACGGAGTCTCGCTCTGTCGCCCAGTCTGGAGTGCAGTAGCACGATCTCGGCTCACTGCAAGCTCCGCCTCCCGGGTTCACGCCATTCTCCTGCCTCAGCCTGCCGAGTAGCTGGGACTACAGGCGCCGCCACCATGCCCGGCTAATTTTTTGTATTTTTAGTAGAGACGGGGTTGCTCCGTGTTAGCCAGGATGCTTGTTTTTAAAGCTTCAGCCACTCAAGTAGTTTACGGGATAATACCCAAGTATTTTCCTAAAGGAAATTTGGGAACTTGTAGACCAGTAAAATATCGTTTTTGCCTTGAGCATCTCTATTGAAATAAATGCCACATATAGTACCAATGCAGCCTCCTGAAGATGGGATTAATGAGGGCTCAAACATGTCCATCCTCGAATCTGCAGAGTGGCTGTATTGCTATTCTTCTTCGACCTTCATTCACTCTACTCATTTTCACCAAATTTGTGTTAGGAAGGATATGATAAGACATCTGCTTTTAAGGATTCTATAGGCTGGTGAGGAAAAAAAGTTACAATAAAATGTGATAGCTATAGTAGAGGTATATACATAGTTCCAAGGGAACAGAAAACAGAGCAATTGCCCAAGAGGCATCAGAGAAGTGTGCAGAGAGGAATTGACACTTACTTCATTCATTCAACAAATATGTGTCAAGTATGAGTATGTTGCCAAGCACTGTTCTAGAACAGTAAACAAAAACAAAGCCATTGCTTTTATGGAGCTCTTATTGTAGTGCTTATTCTCAGAAACAGGCAAAATAAATAAATATATAATATAGCAAGTGGGGACGAGTGCTAAGATGAAGAAAGCAGGGTAGAAGAATAGAAGGTGGCCAGGATGGGAATGTGTGCTATTTTAAGTAGAATAAGGTGATAATTAGGCAGAAACCTGAAAGTAGTGAGGGAGGGCATCATACTAATATCTAAGAAGAGACTGTTCTAGGCAGACAGAATAGCAAGGGCCAAGGTCCTGATGTAGAAGTGTGCTTAGTACATACAAGAAACAATGAAGAAGCCAGCGTGAATAGCCCAGAGTGGGAAGGTGGACAGTCATAGGAGATGAGATTAGAGATATACTGAGATGGAGTGAGTATATCAGGTAGGGCCTTACAGACCACAGTAAAAACTTAGGATTTAATTCAAAATTTGATGGGAAGCCACTGGAGGAATCTGAGCAGAAGAGTGGCATAATTCAATTTAGGCTTTAGGGAGGTCAATCCACCTGCTGGGCAAATAGACTAGTAGGGGAAGGCTGTGGTCAGAGAAATGGGTTAGGAGCTAGGGTAACAGCTCAGAAGATAAATAATGATGGCCTGAACTAGGGTGGTAGTGGTGAAGGAGATAAGACATCTGAATGACAACTTGAGAAACTGGTGAGCATTAATGGACATTAGTAGAAAATGAGATTGAAGCAGTTAGCAGAAGTCAGAAATAAGAAGTTTCTACTTTATTTATTAAGCACCAGAGATTCCTAAACAATCAGAGATCAGGGCAAGGGTAATATCAGATTTGAGGAAGATTCTTCTTACTGTGGTATAAAGATTGGCCTGGGCTAGGGTGAGACTAGAGGCAAGAAACTACAATCAAATAAATGCAAGTCAGAGGATGAAGATAGTGGTTTAATAATAACTGAATTATGGTTAATAACCAGTTTGTTCTTCCAGAGTGCACTAACTTTTCACATAGGATGACATTTTTGAGATCAATAGGTGATGACAGTTTTCCAATTTACACATCAAAGGATGGCAGAAGACAGGCAGAGTCAGGAGGGAGGAATGGTGCCACAGAGTGTTTATGGGGCAGGCACAGAGCTCTTTCCCAAAGGGTATGTGGTACCATGCAACGGGGGGAATGCCTCCCCTGCATGGCACCACATTCCCAGCCCACACAGGCTGAGCAGGCTGATGAGTAGGCAGCCTTTTAGATGGGCTGGCTGTTCCATGACACAGCTCAGCTGTGGGGCGATGTCTTGATGACTACATGCAAAATTCTGGGTCAAGCATTTAAGAAACAAAGAAGAGAGTCACTTGTGAGCTGAACTAGCATTTTACTGGATGGCACAGCAAGTCATTTCATCTGTGATTATTGTCAGAACAGAACTTGGTTCTGTTTGTGAAATAAGTCATCAGTTTAGGAGCATCTCAGGGGCATAGCCTGGAGTGGTTCTTGGGTGACTGATTCACCGTATGAGCTCTCTGAGGTTGGGGACTGTCTTATCTTTGCTGTAGTACCAAGTGCAAGGCCTTGAACAACAGGCTGTCAATATACTCATGTTGAGGAAATAAATGTGACCTAGAAGGACTAAGATTCTTTGTCCCTCAGTGTTCCCACCTATAAATTGAGAAAAAATGTGTATTTGTACCTATCATACTTACAGGGATGAAGTAAGAATCCAAGTTCTAGTAAATATCTTTGAAAGGCGTTTCAATACTCTGTTTTTCCAGGCGAACTGCTTTGCGGTACCAGTATATTGAAAGTGAAGAAACATTAACTAGGCAAGCACTTAAGAGGTTACATGGCATGGAGGAATAGTATTGAATTGTAAGTTTGCATGACCAAAGACTATTTAGAATTTGCTGCTAACTCTCTAGGTTATTTTGGTAAGCTGATTTACATTTCTTGGTCTCAATTTCAATGTTTTTTTCTAAAATTAACAGTTTATGATTATAATTATTTTTTATTGAATTCCATCATTTCTAGAACAAAGTTCAAATTGGGCTAACCAGAATGTTTCCAATTTTAGCATATCATATGTCCCTTAACTCCTCTGTAACTTAGTGTCTTCCTCAGAAAAGTAATGCAATGGACAGACCAATCTTAATGCTTCTTTTTGCTCTAAAATTCTACATGTCACACAATAGGTATGAATCAATGCTCCTTTCTAGCCTGCACTAGTCCATAGATTAAAAACGTCTGATTTGTACATCCAATTGGAATTGTGTTAAAGTTACAGATTAACTTTAGGAAAAGGACATTTTTATGATGCTTCTTTTCTCATCCAAAGACACAGTATGTCTGACCATTTTTTCAGACCTTGTTTTAATGTCTACAATAATATTTTACCATCTAGCAAAGATACTACAAAAGTCAATAAAAAGTATATTTGAAAAATAAATGTTTTCGAATAGGAAAAATAAATGATTAAAAAATATAAAAAGCTCTTTAGAATAAATTAATGAGAGGGATAAGCCACCAAAAGAAAAAATGGGCAAATAATATGGATAGGCTATTTGCAGAAGGATAAATCCAAGTAGCTGACAAACATATGGAAAAAAGTGCTCAAACTCATTCATAAAGATTTTCAAATTGAAGATACAATGAGGTACCTTTTTTTTTTTTTTTTTTTTTTTGAGACGGAGTCCAGTCTCAGGCTGGAGTGCAGTCGCGTCGATCTCTGCTCACTGCAACCTCTGCCTCCCGGGTTCAAGTGATTCTCCTGCCTCAGGCTCCCGAGTAGATGGGACTACAGGCGTGCGCCACCACACCCAGCTAATTTTTGTATTTTTGGTAGAGACAGGGTTTCACCATGTTGGCCAGGATGGTCTTGATCTCTTGACCTCATGATCCGCCCACCTTGGCCTCCCAGAATGCTGGGATTACAGGCATGAGCCACCTCACCCAGCCACAATGAGGTATCTTTATACCATGGTTTCTTATCTTTCTCACTAGTGGCAGTCTGGGATGGACAACTCTGTTGTGGGTGACGCCTCGAGTATATTGCAGGATATTTAACAGAATCCCTGGTTCTGCCCACAGAAGCTAGTAGCACCACCCGCCCCGCCCCCCCGTCCCCCCGCCATTTTGACAATCAAAAATGTCTCCAAACATTGCCAAATGTCCCCTGTGGGACAAAATCATTACCGATTGAGAACCACTGATTTATACCTATTAGATAAGCAAAAATTGTAAAGTTTGATTATAACTGTAATCAAGGATGCAGTGCAGAAAGAATGTTTTCATATATTGCTAGTAAAAATGTAAGTTATTAATGTAAAACAATTGAGCAATATCTATTAAAATTAAAAACACATATACTCTTTAAACCAGAAATACTACTCCTCAGAATAAATCCTTTTAAACTGAAATTTAAAATACATAAACATATATTGTACAAGGATGTTAACTGCAGCATTGTTGGCAGTGGCCAAAAACTAGAAACAGAATGAATAACCATAAGTAGGGGGTGAATAGCACACCCATGCAATAGGATATTATGTAGGCATTAGAAAGAATTAGAGGTATACCTTAACACATGGAATGTTCTTCATGAGTTATTCCTTAGAGAGAAAACCAAGAGCCAAAGTGTATAACATAGTTGTATAATACTGTGTAATCTTACTTTTTGCAAAACACATCCCTTCATGCTTTTTTATATTACTATATAAAAAGTCTCTCAATATTCTATTTACCCCTACTGAATGGAAGAAAATATATTTGCAAATCATATCTGACAAAGGTCTAGTACCTAGAATTTATAAAGAACTCTTCTAACTCAACAACAAAAAGACAAACAACTGAATCAAAGAGGGGCAAAGGACTTGAATAGGCATTTCTCCAAAGAAGTTATATGATTGGCCAACAAATACATGAGAAGATGCTCAACATCAGTCATTAGAGAAGTACATCAAAACCACAATGAGATACCACTTCACACCCACCAGGATGGCTACTATAAAAAGGAAAATAAGTGTTGGCAAGGATGTGGACAAATTGGAACCTTTGTACATTACTTATGAGAATGTGAAATCATGCAGCCTGTGGAAAACAGTTTGGCAGTTTCTTAGATAAACACAGAATTACCAAATGACACAACAATTCTACTCCTAGGTATATACCCCAAAGAAATAAAAATAAATATTCAAATACACACTTGCATACAAATGTTCATAGCAGCACTATTCACAATAGACAAAAGTAAAAATAATCCAAATGTTATCAATTGATGGATAAACAAAATGTTGTATATACACATATTACTTAGCCATAAAAAGGAACGAAGTACTGATACATGCTACAATGTGGATGAATCTTTAAAACATTAAACTAAGTGAAAGAAGCTAGACACAAAAGGTCACAAATTGTATGTAACCTCCAGAATAGACAAATCCATAGGCAGAAAGCATATTAGTGTTTGCCAGGGACTAAGGGGAGGAGGGAACAGGGAGTGACTGCTTAATGGGTATCAGTTTCCTGTAGGGTGGTGAAAATGTCTTGGAATTAGACAGAAGTGATGGTTTCACAATATTATGAATGTAGTAATGCCACTGGGTTGTACACTTAATTAATGGTTAATTTTATGTTATGTGAATATTGCCTCGATTTAAAAAATATATTCTATTTACCTTTGTGTTAGATTCCTATTGCTGCACAACAAATGAACAAAAATTTAGCGGCTTTAAAATATTACCACATCAGCTTAGCTCACAGTTCTGTAGATCCAGGTGGGCTTGAGTGGATTCTCTGCTTACGGTTTCGCAGACCAAAATTAAGATGGTGACCCGGCTGGGCTCTTCTCGGAAGAATCCCACTTCCAAGCTCATTTAGGTTTTTAGCAGAATTCAGTTCCTTATGATTCTGGGACTGATATCCTGATTCTCTGCTGGCTGTCAGCCAGGAGCCAGTTTCAGTTGCTATAGGATGCCCACATTTCTTGGTATGTAGCCCCCTCCAACAGCAGCACGTCAAATTCTTCTCATCCTTCAAATCTCTCTGACTTCCTCTTCTGCTCTTAGCAGACGGAAAATCTCTGCTTTTAAAGGGCTGTTGTGATTAGATTGGGCCCACCTGGAAAATCTCACATCTGTCATAAAACGTAACATAATAACAGGAGTATTGCCTCATCAAATTCATAGGTTTCACCTCACACTCAAATGGGTGGGGGTTATACAAGGGCAAGCGTCACTGGGGATCATTCTTAGAATTCTGCCTATCGCAATGACCTCTTAGACAAAAATAATAAGAAAACATCTACCCAATTCAAGGACAATTACTGTTTATACCCAACCTCATTGCCTATGTGATTTATACCAAGGAAAAGTTACAGAAGCAGTGATTTACAGATTAACGTGGTTCAGGTACCCAAGCCTCAGGGAAGGGATGGAAAGCTGTTTTTGTTATTGTTGTTTTGTTTTTTGAGACGAGTACTCGCGAGTCTCGCTCTCCGCTCACTGCAACCTCCGCCTCCTGGGTTCAAGTGGCTCTCCTGCCTCTGCCTCCCAAGTAGCTGGGACTACAGGCGTGCATGCCACTATGCCCGGCTAATTTTTGCATTTTTAGTAGAGACGTGTTTTCGCCATGTTGGCCTGGCTGGTCTGAGACTCCTGACCTCAAGTGATCCGCCCGTCTCGGCCTCCCAAAGTGCTGGGATTACAGGAGTGAGCCACCGTGACCAGCCAGAAAGCTATTTTTAATAAGTAGGCTTCTCTTTCCGAGGCCTCTCTGGCTTGCTTTCTCTTTCTTTCTTCTCTTCTACTAAAGCACTGAATGTAAATACAAAGCGATTGTCAAGAAGACCACCTGTTTTCTCTCTGTAGTCCTGATAAGAAGGGTTGGAGTTTAGGGGACTAGACAATTGAATAATATCGATTAGCAGTCCTCAAACATTTTGGTCTTAGGACCCTTGTTAGAGGTGCCCCAAAAATCTGTTGGGTTTTGTGGGTTATACTTATTGAAAATTGCCATATGGTAATAAATTAAACCTGGAAAGTCTTACAAACACAAGAATATACAAGCACGTATTCTCTCATCCTATAAAGCGATGATGTCATCAGACATTATATAGCCTCTGGAGTGGAAAAGGAAATAAAGACTTAGCATGGTTATGAAAATAGATTTGAGCTCGTGGAACCTCTGAAAGGGTCCCAAGGACCCCCAGGGCTTCCTCGACCACACTTTGAGACTCATTGAGATATGTAAATACTGCCAGTTGTATTTCTTCACAGATTAATCAACTCACAGATTTGGGTGCATTCATTTGTGCAGTCTTAGAAACAAATCTTTCCCTTTACCAGTATCTTATTCCATCTGGTAGACTCATTTCTGCTGCTGATGCTTGAAAAAAGTGTCATTTGCTACCACAGGAGGAAAACGGTGCTAGATGGATCATAACATACAGAAAAGCAAGATAGTTCCAAAATGTTTCCAAGAGCTTCTGGCAGGATCTGTCATTCTACAAATACTGCACAGGAAAAATTGCTTTAAATGCTGCATCTTTGCAGTAGAAAGATTAGGATTGAGCCAGGCTGTGAGTCAGGCAGAAAAAGGCACACAGAGGGGGATGAAAGAAAGCACTGGAGAGTCTTGTCATGCTTTGCCCTTGAAAACTATGCCAAGACCTCTTTTGTGTTTTTAAATGAAGAAATCCATCATGTTTTGTGATTGCTGTAATGACTCAGGATCTTCCACCTTCCTTTTAACTATAAACCGTAGCGTAGTTAGGTGTTTGTTTTCTTTGTATCATGCTTGCAAAAAGTGACGAAATAAAGTTAAAACCCTTTAACTGGGACTCCATTACGGTTCTGCTGTTCAGTGACCAGCTTGTTCATTATTCTCACAATATTATCTACTTTCTTCATTTCAGTCTGTCTCTTAGATCCTGGGCTTCTGATGTCTTTCCATGGCGGATGAATACAATTTAAAACACGAAAGCTGCTGGAGGAAAGGTTTAACGTTCCCCCTCCCCAAGGTGAAATCTTTGCCTGGCCTCAGTCACTAAGTCTCTCAGGAGCGGAAACTGAATGGACATTCCGGAGACGGTGAATAAGAATGATAAACGGTGGTTGGGGAGAACAGCGCGTTTCTTCCAGCGGAGGACTAGGCCCACAGGACGCATTCCCAACAGATGAGCGGAGCCGACAGCAAGTGTGCCACGAACGCCAGCTGGCCGCCTCACTAGAGAGAGCTCCGCCGCAAGCCGCCGCTTTTGGAGTGGAGTTCCACATGTCCTCCGCGCTTGAGCCCTGGGACGTCAGAGGCCTGGCGTGCTGCCACCGCCCCAGTTCACGTCGTGTGACCCACGACCAATGGAAGAGCAGGCAAGTATTCCCGGCGTCCGCTGTGATTGGTTCCCGGAGTGGAGGCGGTGGCAGAGGGTGGGCCTTAGGACGGGTCTCCCTTAAACTGGGCGATCAGGCAGCGACCCTAGAGGCGTCTGTAGGGTAAAGCTGGGGGTTCTGTAGCCGGAGGCGGCGGCGAGTCCAGAACGTCCTGGCCTTACAGGGAGAAGGCGTCACTCGCGGTTACAAGTGCCTGACCCTCACTCCAGTTGGCGGAGGAGGAGAAGGAAGGGGCCGGGCCGGGTCCCCTCCCCTCGCGCCCCGGATGGATGTGCCCGGCCCGGTGTCTCGGCGGGCGGCGGCGGCGGCGGCCACTGTGCTCCTGCGGACCGCTCGGGTCCGTCGCGAATGCTGGTTCTTGCCGACCGCGCTGCTCTGCGCCTACGGCTTCTTCGCCAGCCTCAGGCCGTCCGAGCCCTTCCTGACCCCGTACCTGCTGGGGCCGGACAAGAACCTGACCGAGAGGGAGGTACGCGCGGCGGACGCGGGGCGCGGGAAGGGCGGGCGACCGGCCTGCGGGTGGGCAGCGGAGGAAGAGAGGACCGAGAAAAGCGCTCGAGCCATTCTCGGCAGAGATTTCTGATTTTGCCAGTTGGAGGTCGGCTTCGTGCTCTTCTTTGTGTTCATGATTTTCTGTTTTCTTCGGCTCTGTAGGACGAGTCTCCTGCGAAGGGCTCAGAACACGCGTCCAGAGGCCCCGTGCCTTGTGCGTCAGGCAGTATGCTGATCGTGTTGTAATGTGGCTTAGCGTGACTGCCCAGACTGGTCCAGCAGTTCCTGCTGGGGGCGAGGGGGCAATATTTTGACAAAGAAGTGAAAACAGCAAAGTGTACTTTGGACACGGCTTAGTAAATATTCATTGACTGAAAGTAGGCAACCACTGCTTTTCTGAAAGGATCTTCCCTCTACCTCCTTCACCTGCTTCCTGTCCATACCTTACTTTGTTTGCATTTGGCAGAATGGGTGGGCTTAATCAAGTAAGGACAGGACAGAAGTACAGAACATCTTAATTTGTCTTGATTTTTAATTGGGTGAGGTTGTGTCCAAGGATATCCTGCCCCTCTCTACCTTAAGACCAACCTCCAGGGATAAAGGCAGATGGTGAAACATAATTGACTTTTAATTATAGTGTTTCTTGTATTGCGAATTGTTGCTTCACAGATGTTAGTTTTGCTTCTCAGATACAAGGTGATGTCTTTGAAGGCCTTCTGTGATGTTCAGGGTAATTGAGAGCACGTAGTCCATCATCAAGAGTTTCTTGCTGATTGATTTTTTCCCTAGATGAGGGCTTACAAATAAAGTACTTCAGAAGCGCATAGTGTACTTTAGAAATGTGCTGACCTATTTAAGTGCATGGTCAAAACCAGCACTTGATTTTTGCAGAAGAAAGACAATATATAAACTGAGAAAGAAATTAAACCCAAAGTACTTCCACAAAACCGAAATAAAGCCGATTCAACACCCTCTTCCTTGAATACAACAAAGGGTGAAAGCTGAGGTCTCATGTTCTTTTTCCTACTATCAGTCAAGGGGCCACTTGAGAGCTTTTTCTTTTTTCCTACACCTGTTCCTTCCACCCTGCCTCCTTGCCCCAGGTGCTGTAAAATACTCCTCCCATTTAAACCTTACTCTTCTCTATGTGGGTAGTAGTCAGTCACTTCTTTTGAGTAGCCACTCAGTAACCCTGCATAACAGGTCAGAACAAGAGATGGCACTACCGGAATCATTTGCACACTGGCGAGATATAGTTACTCATAGTTTGTTGTTTGCAGTTTGTTTGTTGCAATGCTCCGTCATTTTCAAGGGCACTTGAGAGAGAATTAAGAATCAGTATTGACTTACGTATTGAGGGTTTCACTTGAGAGTCTGACATTTGTTCACTTCTAGCAAGTATCACTGACTTTTTGCCTGGCCTTAAATTACCCTATTGACCTGCCAGTTGTGGGATGGAGTGGCTGGGCCGTTTCTCAGTCTTGTGGATCATTACATAAGCGACCGTAACAGTTATTCATAACCTATTTGAGTTTTAATACTGATTTAAAGCAATAATGTCAAAACAGCCAAATTTCATGACAGAATGATTTTACAAGAAAATTACTGCACTGATATGAGAAAGTATGATTCTGGAGACCCAAAACAACCACTGAATCTGAGGTGTAGCCACTGAGGCAGAATTGATACTGCTGTGAACAGCTGACCATTAAAGTTTCATGTGAACTGCCATGTGATCTGCACAGTTTGTGCGCCTTTCCGGATAGTGAAACACAGGGAGAGAAACATGTTCCCAGTGTTGATATTTGAAAGCTGATCTGTTTTGTCATGTGCTCTGGGTAGAAGGTTGCTGTGTGACGTGCTACCAAGATCATGTGCTCTGTCCTATCAGAAAGCTTTTCAAGGTGAGTGAAGTGTGTTCAGGGGGCACAGAAATAAAGCAGAGTTGCCAGGCGTAGTAACTATTTGCTGATTGTGTAACAAAAAACATAAGTGTACTTCTCTTATTGCAAATTAGTTGAGGAAAAGCGTGGGATTTGAAGAGAAATCTAGTAGTCTGGGGAAGGGGTGTCTTCTCAGAGGACCACCAAATCATGGCTGATTCTCCTCTGCTTACCTTGTGGCAAACCCTACGTTTTTTTGTATAACTAATAATTGAAATAAATAGAACAACTTATTCATTACTTACTGAATGCTTGTTTTTTGCCATGGACAGTTAAATAAAAAAAATTACATGATTTTTAAGCAAAGCTAATGCTAAGTCATATTCAGCGACATTTGTATTAAAGTTTGTATTTGCTCTTAGAAGACTGCAGAAGGGCCAAGTTGGTTTGAATAGAGCTATTGTTAACTAAATCCTAAAACAAAAGGAGAGGAGAAAAAGATTTCTTCTGTCTACTCTCAAAAGTTTTTTTCTTAGATTTCAGGAAAAGCATTAATTTTAAAACAGATACCAGTGTGTAAGTTTTAAGCAGGCTAAAATTTGACTGTATGTTAATAGTTGAAGGCCAGACTTTCAGTAAAACAGATCTTTATCTCTAAAAACTTTTTTATCCTTTCATCATTGTAGCATGTGTTTTGACAGACATTTACTACCTTTCTTAGATTTTTTTAAACATTCCACCTATTTTGCCTGATATTCAGAGCCTCACGAAGTTTGGTTTTTACCTCCTTGACAGCCTTATATCCTACTACAAACCTTCTTCCCCTTACCACTTCCACATAACCAAGCTCCATTCATATTAATCTAATAGTCTTAAGTCCAGCATATCCACAGTCTCATCTGTTGACATGTACTCAAAGACTTATTCTCTTCTTGGAATAATCTTCCCATATATATCTGTTGATATCTTTGTTAGCCTTTAGGTTTCTCATCCTTCAAGGTCCATTTTGAAGAAACAACCCTGTATTTCCTATTTCCATTATAAATACTGCATATATTATATATTCCTCACTAGGTTCAATACTCCTGGAGAGCTGAGGATCTCAGTTTATTTATTTAGAGACAGTCTTGCTCTGTTGCCCAGGCTGGAGTGCAGTGGTGCGATCTCGGCTCACTGCAACGTCTACCTCCCAGGTTTAAGCGATTCTCATGCCTCAGTTTCCTGAGTAGCCAGGATTATAGGCTTGTGCCACTACTCTCAGCTAATTTTTTATATTTTTAGTAGAGTCGGGGTTTTGCCATGTTGGCCAGGCTGGTTTTGAACCCCTGGCCTCAAGTGATCTGTCCAACTTGGCCTCCCAAAGTGCTAGGATTACAGGCATGAGCTACAGTGCCTAGCCTTATTTTATTCTTTTTTTTTTAAATTTTTTAATTTTAATTTTAATTTTTATTTTTTGAGATGGAGTTTCGCTCTTGTTGCCCAGGCTGGAGTGCAATGGCGTGATCTCGGCTCACTGCAATCTCTGCCTCCCAGATTCAAGTGATTCTCCTGGCTCAGCCTCCCAAGTAGCTGGGACTACAGGCACACGCCACCATGCCCGGCTAATTTTTTTGTATTTTTAGTAGAGATGGGGTTTTGCCATGTTGGCCAGGCTGGTCTCGAACGCCTGACCTCAGGTAATCTACCCACCTCGGCTTCCCAAAGTGCTGGGATTACAGGCATGAGCCACTGCGCCTGGCCATTTTATTCTTTTTGTCACCTCCGTGCTGGTTGAAAACAATGTTGTGCAAATAACTGCCTATTAGTTGTTTAATTGAAACTTGATTCTAATTTAAAGCCTAAATCTAAATTAGAACTTAAAAATGAACATCTGTTTTCCCTTGACTTTGTAGCTCAAGAAAACACAAGCACTGATCCAAAGAGTTGTGAAAGGCACCTTGGTCATAATAAAATCAATTCCCGTTGCTCACATAGCAGATGTTACGTGAAGTGAGAAGTTGGAGTATGGACAATTAATAAGGGTCTGTAATTGGTACATTTTTGCCTGTAGGATGTTTCCCTTCAAGATTCAAAATATCAAGGAAGCATTTTTTGCTGTCATTGGAAACACTGAAAAAGAAAAGGATCTGCCTTGGAGACCCATTAGTTAAGTGCTGGAGACTGTAGTCTTTATCTCTTCATGAATGCCCTGTAAAAGCACCTCAGTGCAGATTGGAAAAGCTACTGCAAGCATTAGAATTAACCTGGAAGATAGTAGATGATTAATAGCAGTTTTCTGATTGAAGAAACCAGGCATTTTAGTGTGGCGGATTCAGAATTTATGAATTCAGATCCTTCTTCTGCCAATCCTGTGATAACTTGGGACAATTCACTTAACCTTTCTTTAAGGCCAAGTTTCCTTGTTTGTAAAATAGAGATGATAGAAGCATTTACCTTAGGTTTGTGGTTTGGATTAAATAGAGAGAATTTAGAGAAAGTGCTTAGCGTGGTGTGTAACACAGCAGTAGAGGTTTGTTATTATGATGCTGATAATAGTGTGAGTGGGGCATTCCCCCTGGGTTGATGTCTTTTAAAGGAGAAAATGCAGGTTTCTTATTTAGAATAAGTTAAAGAGAAACTATCTGGTCTTCCCCCTCTCCCCTATTTGCCTTTCTTTTTGTTTTTAGTTGTTATTGCAAGGTTGGCAGTGTTACTCTCCTCCATCTTCATTATCTAAATTGTAGTTTTGTAATAGTAGAATTAGACTCATGAGTAAAGATACGTTAAATTGATAATTTAAAGGATGAAACTTAGACAATGAAAACTTAGCAGTTAATCATTTTGGGACAACTATGGTTAAAAGTTATGTAACATGTCTAAGCACAGACAATATTATTGGAGTGAAGAGGTCATCCAAAATCCCAAAACAAAGGAAGATGAACTATTGAAGGGAGCAGTAGAGGACATTTTTAAAGGAAAGGTTTAATGGCTAGTACTTCATGGTGCTATGTTGGGGAAATTGTGAAGGTGACACTTAGTCAAACAGAGGAGGCAGTTTCAAACTTTAGAAAATGGACAGGCTGGGTGCGGTGGTTCACAGCACTTTGGGAGGCTGAGGCGGGCGGATCATGAGGTCAGGAGTTCGAGACCAGCCTGGCCAACATATTGAAACCCTGTCTCTCCCAAAAATACAAAAAATTGGCCCGGCATGGTGACAGGCACCTGTAATTCCAGCTACTCGGGAGGCTGAGGCAGGAGAATCGCTTGAACTCAGGAGGCAGAGGTTGCAGTGAGCCGAGATCACGCCATTGCACTCCAGCCTGGGTGACAAGAGTGAAACTCCGTCTCAAAAAAAAAAGAAAGCTGACAGATAGTATCTGTAAAAGTATAGGCCACAAAGGAATGACAAGTTGTTAATTAGAACACAACTGGAAATCTCAAGATTACCCTTACCTGCTTTGGTTTTCTACTTAGAGTTATTTAATGCAGCTAAGGGCACTTTTTTCCTCATTTGCTAAAATTTCCACAGTTTTGAATACGAATCATTTCTACATTTCTTGATTATTCGTTTAGGCACATAGTCAGGTGCAACAAAATTTCCTGATCAAGTGGAGCTTGCTAACTGATTTACCAACACAAATTAGACCAAAATTCATGAAGGTGAGGCCATTAAACAGATCACTTTTGTCTGGAATGTATTTCAGAAAACAGGGATTATGTTTTACTTTTATAGCTATGCTCTGCACTGGCAAGAGATTTTGCAACAATTTTTTATTGTTTGCCTAAAACCTTAGAACCTTAGCTCATATTAGACTTGAGTGAACTGAGATGTACAGGAAAGATAAAAAGAAAGTTACTATTGGTCTCAGAATGTAAAAGTCTGGGATTAGGTTGCTTCATCACAAAGTATTCAGCCTTTTACCAAAACTACCTTTCAAAAAGCACTTAAAAGTTGAGGCCACTGACAAAAGGAAGGAAAAATCTCCTACAGTGATTGTTGTTGGAAGAATGGGAATGATAGCTCAATTAATTTAGTTAATTCATACTGCCCCAGATGTCCTTGTCAGCTTGTCCTCTAGTCTTCAGACTTTGTGAATAAATCAGGTGGAGTAAGTAATTTACATGTTGTGTCTCATTTACTTTTTGCAACAAACAACCGCCCTTTACTGATAATGGAGATTAAGGCTAAGGGGAACTAAAAGAATGTTGTCTACAATCACACAGCAAGTGATGGAACTGAAATTCCTGTTGGGGTCTTTCTGGTTTAAAGTTTATTTTAAAGATCATTTCTACTATATCCCAATTTTAAAATATGCATTAGAAAGAAAACAGCAAAAACTTCTTTTTTCTATTTAAAAACAAGCAAAAAGAAGGACATAAAAGTTGCCTATATTCCTGCCATCTAGAGAGACTTAATTCTGTCAAGACTGTAGGACACATTGACCATCTTTATTTGTTCCTCTGCCCCAAAAGAAACAAAACTTAAAGTCAGAGAAGCTTAATGAAACAGTAGGATAAAGGCTCCCTATCTTGTGTCTAGAAGTAAGAATTGACAGTGATTCCGTTTTCAAAGCATTTATTGAATAGTATCTTCCAAACAGTATGCTGGCTTTTAGACAGGTTATACAGGTGAATGTAGGGGTCTATCCTTAAAAAGCCTATAAGGCAGTTGTTCTCAACTCTGGCTCATTTAAAACTCTATTGGGAAGTTTTTAGAAAATATCTGTGGCTGGGCATTTTTTTTTTTTAAAGAGACAGAGTCTTGCTCTGTCATACAGACTGGAGTGTAGTGGTGTGATCATAAGTCACTGCAGCCCCAAACTCCTGGGCTCAAGCAATTCTCCCACCTCAGCCTCCTGAGTAGCAGCCATAGGCATGTGCCACAACGCTTGGCTAACACATTTTTTTAAAGCTTCTTAGGAGATGCAGCCATGGTGAAGAGCCAGTATTATGAATTAATTGGGGAAACTGATGCATATAGATCAGTATTAGGAGAGTTTGAGGCTAGGCCAGATGGCTCACATGTCTGTAATCCCAGCAGTTTGGGAGGCTGAGGCTGGTGGATTGCTTTGAGCCCAGGAGTTTGAGACCAGCCTGGGTAACGTGGTGAAACCCTATCTCTACCAAAAAAAAAAAAAAAAAAAAAAAAAAAAATTAGCTGGTTGTGGTAGTACAGGCCTGTAGTCCCAGCTACTGGGGAGGCTGAGGTGGAAGGATCACCTGAGCCTCACCTGAGGCGGAGGTTGCAGTGAACCATGATTCTGCCACTGCATTCCAGCCTAGGTGACAGAGGGAGACCCTGTCTCAAAAAAACAAAAAACAAAACCAAAAAAAAAAAAAGGGTTTGAATGTTGTAATACAAGTACTTTTGGCTTCCGCAAAGTCTTTCTGAATAAGGAAGTCTTTGAACTAGGCCTTGATTAATGGGAAGAATTTATTAGGAAAAAGATGATGGTATTGGGGATAGGAAAGGATATTTCAGGCTGGGCGAGGTGGCTCACCCTTGTAATCCTAGCGCTTTGGGAGGCTCCTCATTTGAGGTCAGGAGTTTGAGACCAGCCTGGCCAACATGGTGAAACCCCACCTCTACTAAAAATACAAAAATTAGCCAGGCGTGATGGTGGGTCCCTGTAATCTCAGCTATTCGGGAGGCTGAGGCAGGAGAATCACTTGAACCTGGGAGGCAGAGGTTGCAGTGAGCCAAGATCGTACCACTGCACTCCAGCCTGGGCGCAGAACAAGACTCCATCTCAAACAAAAAAGAGAGAAAAGACATTTTCAAAGTTATCTGAACTGCTGTTGTCAAGGTTGAGATCTTTGAGGTATTTGTAGGTTGTTTTTTATGAATAAATTCTTTATGAGTATTCCAGGTCCTTTCATCACTAATGTTTTTTGTTTTTTTTTTTTCTCTTTCTACCAGGTCTTCAATGAAATTTATCCAGTATGGACTTACTCTTACCTGGTGCTACTGTTTCCTGTGTTCCTTGCCACAGACTACCTCCGTTATAAACCTGTTGTTCTACTGCAGGGGCTCAGCCTTATTGTTACATGGTTTATGCTGCTCTATGCCCAGGGACTGCTGGCCATTCAATTTCTAGAATTTTTTTATGGCATCGCCACAGCCACTGAAATTGCCTATTACTCTTATATCTACAGTGTGGTGGACCTGGGCATGTACCAGAAAGTCACAAGTTACTGTCGAAGTGCCACTTTGGTGGGCTTTACAGTGGGCTCTGTCCTAGGGCAAATCCTTGTCTCAGTGGCAGGCTGGTCGCTGTTCAGCCTGAATGTCATCTCTCTTACCTGTGTTTCAGTGGCTTTTGCTGTGGCCTGGTTTTTACCTATGCCACAGAAGAGCCTCTTCTTTCACCACATTCCTTCTACCTGCCAGAGAGTGAATGGCATCAAGGTACAAAATGGTGGCATTGTTACTGACACCCCAGCTTCTAACCACCTTCCTGGCTGGGAGGACATTGAGTCAAAAATCCCTCTAAATATGGAGGAGCCTCCCGTGGAGGAACCGGTAAGCTCAGCCTTAAATATCTTGTAATTGCTACTATGGGGGCTGGACCCGTGGTGAAAAAAACAGCAAACTCCCTCTTGGTAGATCTTGTATTTATTTGGATTCATGTTTTATCCTGAGTTGGTTTATTGCTTTATTCATTCATTCATTCATTCATTCAAGCTATGGTTTATTTATATTAGGGATGACACATTTATTTTTTCCTGGAGTGCGTGACCTCCAAAGTCAGACTGATACAGCATTATATTGTTCATGTCAGAGATGCCTTGGATTGCAAGGGCTGTGTCTTCATCTTTTGAGTGTTTGGCATATAAATAAAGCACTCAGAAAATTGTTGCTAAATGAGTAGATGAAATGATTCTAATAAATGATTAAGTATCTACTTCTAGTTTCTGAATTGAAGCCCAAATTATTATTATTATTATTATTATTTTTGAGACAGAGTCTTGCTCTATTGCTGAGGCTGGAGAACAGTGGTGCGATCTCGATTCACTGCAACCTCCGCCTCCAGAGTTCAAGCAGTTCTCCTGCCCCAGCCTCTCCCTAGTAGCTGGGATTATGGGCGCTCGCCACCACGCCCAGCTAATTTTTGTATTTTAGTAGAGACGGGGTTTCATCATGTGGGCCAGGCTGGTCTCGAACTCCTGACCTCAAGCAGTCCACCAGCCTCAGCCTCCCAAAGTGCTGGGATTACAGGCGTGAGCCACCGCACCCAGTCATGAAGCCCACAGTATTTAAGGGTAAGAAGTTAATTTCCTCTTCTGTGCTAGAAGGGATATCTGTTATTTATTTTTCAAATGACAATTTGCTGAAGTGAAGTAGTAATGAATAATACAGACGAAGAGATCACAAGAGGACAGTTTGAGGTGGTGATGGAATAAATAGTAAAAGTGTGTTATGAAGCTGTCTCTTGGAAGAGAGAGGTATGGCATTAAAATAATTTATCCATCTGTTCTGTCTAGCCAGGAAGATGAATTCCTTTCCCTAGACACCCACCCTTTTTTTTTTTTAAATATTCAAGTGTTTTTTTTGTTTCTATTAGGTTATAAGCTGTGAGGAACAAAGTTAATTCCAGCCACACTGTAGTCTTAGTTTTCCTGGGACATGTTTGGAAATAAGCCTATTAACATTCCAGCTTTGTAGGTGGCCTCAGTCGGACTGAGCTCCATAAGCTTTGTAGGCTGGCTGATAATAAAGAACCATTATGAGTAAAGTCTTTCATTCTCTACTGAGAGTTAACTGAATTGTTTAAATGTGGCATCTAATGTCCTCATTGAAAATTACTCTCTTTTCTCTATCCCCGTTCTTCAGCTCTCAAATTACTACTTGAAATTTAGGTTATCATCCCAGAGAGCCTGGGTAGACTTGTAGAGCCTGGGCAACCCTCATCATGAAACTCACCTTGATTACCAGGGCACCTGTGAGCACTTTTTGTCAGAATGACCAAGGATTAAGTGGCAATGAAATGCTGATTTTTTTCATAGTTTGTTAGGTGATATTAGAGAGTCAACAGAGGGTTGATGGGGGAGGGAAGGAGGTGTGTAATCATTTCATAGATTTTATGAAGTGGAAAAAAAATAAAGACACTTCTTTATCTGTTTTGAATGTGTTACAGTGGCTTTAGCTAAAATTAACGTATATACAGATAATATGTGTATAAATATATATTTTAGATATTAACATATTGACCATAGTTCTAAAGATTTTTATAGACAGTTTCAAACTTTTTTGAATATAAGTAAGAAACATAGAAAACATTTTACATAGAAAACCTGTACATACATAGGTATGTATATATTTTATATATAACAGAAACAAGTTTTACAACAGTGTTTTATTCTGATACATTCTTTTATTTTTTTTAAATTCAGTTCACTGTCCTCTAAATCAATTTTATTGCCAACTTATGGGTGATGACCTATAGTTTTAAAAACTGTTCTAGATCAACTTGAAATACTTGTTTATAGATACACAGTGTGTCAGTATTTTATATACTGAAGAATTGTAGAATTTTAGAGTTAGAAATGACTCTAATCACAAGTCATAGAAAAAGCAGAGCATTTTAAAAAGAGATTAGATTTCATCAAGACTGTCCTTTTAGAGATAAGGATTAGGATCAGAGATTAGCAACTTATGCAGAATTGTACAAATATACTCTTGAACATAATTTAAAAGTGTGTATGAGATCCAGTTCTTTCTAAACCTTTCTCGGTGAAGTCTTTTAACTGGGGTAACAATGTCAGAACCATCATGTCAGTTACACTGTTTTCAGAATTAGGATTCAAGTCAGTTCCCTGATATCCTAGGCTCTGCTACTGATACCATAGCAGATGGGCAGTGCTGCTTGGTATTGGCACTGACTGGCCCTAAAATGCTGCTGTTTTTCTTTGGCAAGCATGAAGAAAATTCAGAATATGGATATTAGGGATCACAGAGCTATTTTAAGTTGACAAGACCTATAATTAAACCATAAATTATAATTGTGGTAATTATTGAAGAGTAGGTAGGTAGGTGGTTTTATCTTGATTTTTATAGAAAGAGAAAATGAAGTAAGAGGAGTCTAAGTGATAGCTCATTCTACAAGTTACCTTAGAGTATTTGTGAGTTATTTTTAAAGAGAGTCTATTGCATTGGGGCAAAGGGTGCTGATCTTGCAGAAAGAAGAACCAAAGCTGGTGACTTTCTTTTACAAGCAGAGCTGGATTCATTATGTAGTTGGCTGATTGGTGAAACTGATTTATTTTGAGTTCTTCATCTATTAGAAATGACATAAATTAAACCACTTCTTTAGCACAGGTTCTGACATGTAATTAATACCTAGTAAATGATTCTCTTAATATAGCCATGCTTTTATTTGTAGTTTGATATCTTTTACTACTAGTAAGTGTTCTTTCTGTGTCTGCATGTCTAAGGTCTCTAAACAATGACAACAGTGAAATTAATGCTTCCACTTTGGTATTAAATAATGTCATTTCTAGCAGCAGGGTGTAGTGAGTTACCACCTACCTCCCTCACCAAAACCCATAAAAATAAAAAACTACAATAAACCCTGAGAACCAAAATGAACGAAAATCTATTCGCTTCATTCATTGTGAGTTTTTAAGAAAGTGAAGTCCAAACCCTAGTTCTAATACTTGGGCAAGTTACTTAATTCTGTGAGATTTAGTTTCCTTATGTACATATCTACCTTATACAGTTATTTTGAGTATTTAAAGCTTTCAAATGAGTTTACATAGTAGGTTTCCAATAAATGGTAATTGCTATTATTACTATTATCATTATCATTACACGTGAATAATCCGGAACAGCTCTGTACTTTTATGGTAGATAGTCATGTATTTGTGAGGTTGTAAATAGAGCAATCTTTCCTTTTCTCTTTGAATTAATCACCCCTGGTCATCTTCATCATCATCATCATCACACCTCCTGTTTATTTTGACCTGGGTATCAGATACTGTGCTAAGAACTTTAGAGTCAGTATGTTATTTGATTCTTATTAAAACTCAATAATGTAGATATTTGCTCATTTTACAGAAGAGGAAACTAAATTTAGTTAACTGACTTGCGCAAAGGCACATAGGAAGTGGCACTTTAAAACTTTCCAACTCAGGCTGGGCATGGTGACTCACACCTGTAATCCCAGCACTTTGGGTGGGCAAGGCAGGCAGATCACTTGAGGTCAGGAGTTCGAGACGAGCCTTGCCAACATAGTGAAACACGATGTCTGCTAAAAAAAAAAAAAAAATACAAAAACTAGCTGGGCGTGGTGGTGCATGCCTGTAATCCCAGCTACTTGGGAGGCTGAGGCAGGAGAGTTGCTTTAACCCGGGAGGCAGAGGTTGCAGTGGGCTGAGATAGTGCCACTGTACTCTAGCCTGGGCAACAGAGACTCTGTCTCAAAAAAATAAATAAATAAATAAAATTTCCACCCATATCTAGTTGACTCAAAAACCACCACTACAGTAGAAACTTCCATTCCCTGATAGAGGGAAGTAATTGTTAAAGATTTTTAAATTTATAAAACAGCGTCAAAATCTTATGTTCAAATGAAATCTGAAACTAGATGCCCGTTATGATAAGTAAATAAAAATTGAGCCTTTCTGATTGAAACAGGAATGCAGGTCTGATAATTTTACATACTTGAGCCTGTTATTCATCCCACATGAAACTCTTAAAGCTCCATGGAACACAGTGAAGGCCACTTATTAAATTAGAGCATGCATGATTAACTATGAGCAGCTCAGAGTTTTGATGTAATAGAAATAAACCTTTGTTTGTAGATGTAATTTAACAAGAAACATAAAAGGTAATATGTCAAATGCTACTTTATAAAGTGTGATTCATATAAGCTTAACATTTGAAGCCTAGAAAACAGCATAGAAGGAAGCCTGCAGATTATAGCACGAGGTGCTGATTTTATAAACAGGACCTGCCATCTTTTCTTTTTGGCATGGCCAGATAATAGATTGAGTAGTTATTAACCTCTGTGTGTGGAATTCATTATTATGTAATAGATCTAAAGTTCTCAAATGCATTATACTGGGCATTATTTTATGTATGCCATGACTTTTTAAGCTATGCAATAAAAATAACACTAATTGAGCCCCTCTATAATAAATATATACATTATCTAGTGTAACTCTGTATAATCTTTTGTGGATAGGTTTTATTGTTATCATTTTCATTTTCTAGATGAGAAAAGTAAGGCTTTCTTATCAGTTTATGGTAGGATTTCTAATAGAAACTTGTGAATCCTTTTAATAGTTCCATTCTTCCAGGAATATACTTTCTTTTCTTATAATCCTTCCAGCATCCTTGAAAGTTTTAGATATCCCAGTTGTTTTCCAAGTTATATTGGTTAAGCAACTGAAGCTAAATAGTAAAATTCTGATGTAGTTCAATAAAACTGGTGGACCTTGAATAAAGACTTATGAAAATGTGCTTGGTACCATTCACTCACTCTTAGCAAATTCACATTATATATGATTAACAATTGTCTTGTGATTTGTTTAAATTCACAAGGTTTGCTCTCATACACAGTGCCAAGAAATCAATCTTGTAACAGCAGTATGTTGTACTTCTAGGTGGTTATCTTATGCAAATTCATCAAGTAGAATTTTCAAGTGTCGGTACTTCTTTCTCTGAGTTATTTTGATTAACCTCAGTACTCCTCCCTGAATTTTGGAAAGGGGCTGTAGTAATGGTACTTGAAGGATATCCCCCTCTGGGCTAAACAGCACAAAGAAGGAAGCACCACACTGGGGTTGCTTTGGGATGGTATGAGAAGGTAAAACAACGATGAAACTCGGATTCTCAGTCCAGTGAGGTTTTCTAGCCTCTGAGGGAGAAAATGGCCTTTATTTAACTAATGTTGATGGTCACTGTTACTGTATATAAGAGGAGAAAATATCTATTAATTTTATAAAAATGATATATATGGTGTGTGTGTATATATACACACACACACACACACACACACGTTTGTTTTTTGAGACAGAGTCTGTCTCTGTCGCCCAGGCTGGAGTGCAGTGGCGTGATCACGGATCACTGCAGCCTTGATCTTCTAGGTTCAAGTGATCCTCCCACCTCAGTCTCCTGAGTAGCAGGGACTACATGTGTACACCACCACACCCAGCTAATTAAATTGTGTGTGTGTGTGTGTGTGTGTGTGTGTGTGTGTGTGTGTGTGTGGAGACGGGATCTTACTATGTTGCCCAGCTTGATCTTGAACTTCTGGGTTCAAGCATTTCTCCTGCCACGGCCTCCTGAAGTGTGATGATTCCAGGTGTGAGCCACTGTGCCTGGCATCTACTTATTTTTTTAAATTAAATGTTACAGAAAGCTATATAAAAAATAAAAAATCACCTGAACTACTACCACCCAAAGATTAGTGAACTTCTTTTCAAACATCTCTTTTCCTATATACATATGTACGTATACATTTTATAGTAAATGAAATTGTGATCTACATGTAGTCTTGTAACTTGCTGTTATTTTACTCAGTGGTATATTGTACTCATCTTTCCATGGCTCTCATTTTGCCTTTCCATGTTAGCCACAAAAGTAAAATTTTCTGTGGGTTTTTTTTTTTTTTGGTAGAGATAGGATCTCACTTTCTTGCCCAGGCTGGTCTTGAACTCCTGGGCTCAAGCAATCCTTCTGTCTTGGCCTCCCAAAGTGCTGAGATTATAGACATGAGTCACTACACCCGGCCTTCCCATGTTCTGAGCAAGGCCCAGGGATTACAGTAACCTTTGGTAGATTAGTCCTTTCATACAGTTGAAATCAGAGATATCTCACAGAGTGTCTGACATCTCATATTGACTTCTTGGGATAGTGCGTAGCTCAGTAATGTCTTGCTTCACTCAATTATAAGCCCAGTAGCTTTATTTATTACTTTATTATAATACTATTTCTCATTGTTTAAATATTAAGTAATATAAAAAGTTTAAGGAAGAAAATTTAAATCACTAAGAACCCACCACCTAGAGAGAACTGCTAATATTTTGGTCTACTTCTTTCCAATATTTCTATCTTAACTGTTGGATCAGTCTGTCAATTATAACGATAGGAGGCCTTAACTGAATAGTGATTTATTAGGGTTGCTAGTCTGTTGCTTATTATTATTCTTGTTATGTTGTTTGCCAGTTTATGGGAGATGTAGATTACAGACTCCCATTGGCTGAAGCCTGCGGTCTCTTTTCATCATCTTCATTTTGTAAACAGTACATCTTTTGCTGGGTTGATTACATACAGCTGTGTTAATGCTATAGTGCATTTAAAGCAAAAATCCTATGAGAACATATTTTTCGCCAGAGGGGATAAATGTATTTGTTAATAAGTTTATGAAGTAAGCAGTTAGTTTTCACAAGGAAAAAAGTCTGTTAGGTAAGTAATTGGGCCTGTAAATTGCTTTCTATATAATTGCCTTCATCAGAGTTTGAGCATTGTTCCCTTTTGCTATGTAGGAACCCAAGCCAGACCGTCTCCTTGTATTGAAAGTACTATGGAATGATTTCCTGATGTGCTACTCCTCTCGCCCTCTTCTCTGCTGGTCTGTGTGGTGGGCCCTCTCTACCTGTGGCTATTTTCAAGTTGTGAACTACACACAGGGCCTGTGGGAGAAAGTGATGCCTTCTCGCTATGCTGCTATCTATAATGGTGGCGTGGAGGCCGTTTCAACCTTACTGGGTAAGCAATGCAGGATAATAGAGGGTCGTGGTGGGGGAGGGATTCCTCTGGTAGTTAAGCCAGCCATAATCAGATTTATTCACCCCTCCCAAATTTGAAATAGCCTCAAAAAATGATTATTTTGAGCTAGATTTTACAATTTAGGAGGACAACTTAGAAGTACTCAAGTGGAGCAGGACTATGACTAACAAACTGGAATTTTTTTATAAGCTTTGAGTAAACCTAATATAATAATTTTCAAGATTGTTTATCCAAGTTTCCATTATCTCTGTATTTACTGGGTAGTTTTGTCACTTGATGTGAAATTTTGAATGGCAATATATAATAGTTTATAACAATAGTATCTAATATTTGTTGAATGTTAATATGTGCTAGGTACTGTTCTATGGACATTATATACATTAACTCAATCCTCACAAAATTCCTGAGATAGGTAGAATTTATCCCCATTTTGCAATGGAAACTTGGGACTGGTAGGTTAATAACTTGCTCAAGGTCATATGGATGGTAAGTAGTAAAGTCAAGACTTGAACTCAGGCAGGATGGCTTCAGAGCCTGTGTATTTGACCATCTTACTCTATTGTTCATTTCTAATTTGTTGACCTACCTCCTGAGGTTGTTGGATGGTGTTATATGATTTCTGTAAACACTTATTATCTGTCTTGGCCCTCAGAAAACACTTCATAGATTTTAGCTATCCTTATCATCATCACTGTTTTACCAAAAGGCAGAGAAGCCCTTTTGCCATGTTCTAGACTGCTCCTTGGTTTGAAGGAGAGATGACTCATCCTGCCATGATGCCAAATTAGAAGCTATGGTTCTTTTTGACTCTTGCCTCTGCTTCAGCTGCAGCATTTTTTTTCCTTAGCAATGTCCCTGTGTCTTTGTCCTGCATTTTCATCTCATTGCCACCTCTCCTAATTCAGTCTGTCATCTCAGTGGCTCCATTTTATTGATTCCATCAAGTTCAGAAATTTCTGTGTGAGTTTCAAGGCCCTCCATAATCTTGAGCTATTCTGTTTATAAGTTTGCAGATTTTAAAATTTAATAATCTAAGCTGAGTTTTTAATTTATTGCAACAGCATTTGTGTAGCAAAATAATTGGATTTTTTTTGTTTGTTCTGTAGGTGCTGTTGCTGTGTTTGCAGTTGGTTATATAAAAATATCCTGGTCAACTTGGGGAGAAATGACATTATCTCTCTTTTCTCTCCTGATTGCTGCTGCAGTGTATATCATGGACACTGTGGGTAACATTTGGGTGTGCTATGCATCCTATGTTGTCTTCAGAATCATCTACATGTTACTCATCACGATAGCAACGTATGTATTTTGGCTCATAGAAGCCTTAGGAAAAATTGTAACAGGATAAATTTTTTGGTTTCTTTACAAACCAAAATATTCAAGTTTCTAGTTAAATGAGGCAAATGGGAGGAAGCATTGTATTATATGTGCATTATCAGTTTTTCTCCTGAGGAAGCATTTAGGCAAGTTTTGTTTATTCCCATGTTTGTATGTTCCTACTGTTTTCAGATGTTTGCATGAGATTTATATCATTTAGTTGCAGAATGTTTTCATTTGGTTGGAAAGGCAATTGACAGTAGAAAGAAGGACTCTTCATGTTTAAAGATAAATGTTTACTTTTATTTAGAATAAATATTATAAGTACTCCAGAAGTAATTCTTATTTATTCACTCTTTTATTTTTTTTTAAGTTTTCAAATTGCTGCAAACCTCAGCATGGAACGCTATGCCCTAGTATTTGGTGTAAATACCTTCATTGCCCTGGCACTGCAGACGCTGCTCACTCTAATTGTGGTAGATGCCAGTGGCCTTGGATTAGAAATTACCACTCAGGTAAGATCTCTCCTTTGGCATCGAAGGTAGTATGTGTGACTTGATCAGGGTGACAGAAGTATATGTATGCTTAATGAAAACAAATCCAAACAATAGGGAACAGATGTAAAGTAAAAGCATACCCTCCTTCCTTCATTCAACATCTTCTCCCCTATCCTTAGTTCTTTTCTCCTGGGAGGGTGTTGGGATTGTCAGGTCTTAGAACATTCCCGAGTGTAACTCATCAGCCCAATGGGGCTGTTTCAGCTGAGAGGTAATATTGATTCCTTACAGACCAAGACCTTCTGCTTCCTCATCCATTATTTCCCTCTATACTTAAATCTATGCTTGGAATACTGTATCCCATGTTTGAGATTCCCTGCTTCATCTCACAACTCTTTAAGTCTCCTCCCTTCTTTATTTAAAACACCCCTCACCCAAATACCACGGTAATGCCTTGCTGCTGATGAACAACATTATGATTTGTAACTTATGACTATTGAGAAACTTGCACCAACACCCAACAACAATGTGAATACTTTTTACGTTCAGGAATTGTATAGTTGTATATGCCTTCATGCATTGTGAGTTTTAAGTATATCTTGTTTTGTACTTTGGTAAAATGGGCAACTGAATGAATCAAGAAGTATTTACTCCCACCCCCATCCCAACCCAAATGATTTCTTCCCAACATATTAGCCGTAATTAACTTTGTTTTTACTGAAGCGATCTAAGAGAGAAATAGTAATAATAGACAATGTGCATTGAGTGCCTCTACGTGTCAAGTGCTTTATATAGGATTTGTAGGGTTGCTGTATTAGACATGAAGAAGATGAGTCTGAGAGATGTTAAGTGACTTGTCCATACCATCACTAGTAGTGTTCCAGAGCTTAGAGTTAAACCAACATCTAACCCCAAAACTTATTTCAGGATGGAAAGTAGGAGAGAAACTTAAGTGCTTGCCATCCTCCCTGTATAAGGGAGAGTTCCCAGGACTATTACAGTTGAGGGAAACATGGCTGTCATTGGAAGTGGAAATTTGTCAGCAGATTCTTATAGAAATGGTGGATTTAAACACGTGGAATAATAGGATTTTATGGGTGGTGCTGAAACCCTAACTGCCATGATTGATTAATGGCTTCCTGCAGAAGTGTAGCCAACATTGAAAGAAACTGGCTCAGTGATTTAAGGCCATACTCTCATTGTACTTTTGAACCAGTTTGTAAGTATTTAGTATGTTATTTTAAGAAGATGATGATGATGATGATGTTAATAAACCATATAGTCACATTAAAATTTCGCTTAGGGCATCATCCGCCGCAAACTAACACAGGAACAGAAAACCAAACACTGCATGTTCTCACTCATAAGTCGGTGTTGGACAATGAGAACACATGGACACAGGGAGGGGAACAACACACATTGGGGCCTGTTGGGGGGTGGGAGGCAAGGGAAGGGAGAGCATTAGGACAAATACCTAATGTATGCAGGGCTTAAAACCTAGATGATGGGTTGATAGGTGCAGCAAACCACCATGGCACACGTATACCTATATAACAAATCTGCACATTCTGCACATGTACCCCAGAACTTAAAAAAAAAAAATTGTCTTAGGGAAGAATTCTTACATTAAGTAATCCTGTAATGGAATATAGTTGACCTGCCGCTGCCCTCTTCTGGGGAAAAATAGAGAAGTTCTTGATCTTCAGAATTTGGCCTATTTGTACCCACCTATCAGCTTGAAGGCAGAGACCAGGACTGAATTATAACAATAACAGCAACAACAATAAAAGTAATACTAACAGCATTAGCATTGTGCTAATAAGCATTTATGATCTCACTGATGGGTACCAACATCGCTGTAAAGTGAGAACTACTATGAATTCCATTTTGTAAGTGAAGAAGGGCTCAGAGATGAAGTATCTCAATCAAGTTCACGCAGCTTGTAAGGGATGAAGTCAGGATTCACACTCAGGCAGTCAGGCTTTATTTAGTACCACCGTGCTGTGATGCTGCTTTGTGTCTTCAGGGTCTGGCACGTGGTGTAAGTATGCAATATTTTTTGAGGCTTTATGGACAAATTCTGAATATACTTTATTATAGAGTAATCCTCTTGTCATTGATAATTCAATAAACTGCTTTTCCCCCTTCTAGTTTTTGATCTATGCCAGTTATTTTGCACTCATCGCTGTGGTTTTCCTGGCCAGTGGTGCAGTCAGTGTTATGAAGAAATGTAGAAAGCTGGAAGATCCACAATCAAGTTCTCAAGTAACCACTTCATAATATACTGCTGAAGGGCTTCTTCTTATAGCAAGAACTCTGCACAGCAACTGCCTGGATGTGTTTGATTTTTTAAAGCGTAGACATATATTTATGAATGTGCATTTCTTGACTTCACAGCAGCCACTTGACTAATACCTTGTGTTCCGGGAATAACATGATACTATTCAGAGGAGCCAGAAGTAAAGTTTATTTCATGGATTATTTATGAGAGCTAATTTAAGGATGACTTTTTTTCTGATTCAAAAGTGAACTTGATTTTAAAAACCAGTCAAGAGCAATCAAAGCAGCACATGGTGTTGTATACTTCATTAGCAAGTGAGTTTGGTGTTTTATAGGTCACATATGTCTGTATCTACTTAGCCAGATGCTTGGCCTGGTGGGACCAGGGCTCCACAGAGGCCACAAAATGTTGCAAGTCATGATGGATGGAAATATGTTCTAACAGCATCTGCCTCTATTCAATTTAATTCTTATTTCTGTGTTACTCATGTACATTGGTCTTTCTACATAGTTATTCTATCACTGGCAATATTTGTTCTGGTTTAGTGTTCTGTATTTTAAGGTGTACGTATCATTTCTAATTTTAAGTTATTTTAAAAAAATTCATCATATGAATGTTCTTGGTTCCCATTGTGACGATTATTTATTTCTGTAAAATTTGTTTAGAAGTACGTTTTTGCATTATTCATATGCTTCCCAGAGAAGCTCATTTAGTTAGAAAATAAGGCAAGTTTTGAAGCCTGCTAAATGAAGAGACTTAAGAAAGCTTAAGGTACGCTTGCTTGTCTTTAAATCTTCAATATGAAGGACTATTAATTCCAAGATTAAAAGTTCATATATAGGCTAAAGATGTAACTAGGCCATTTGTATTTGTATTCCCTTTTATTTCCAAAATAAAATGAAAAATCTTTTTTTAATAATTTCATCCCTATTTATAGTTTTTATATTAATTTGTTTTTCTTATCCAAGTAAAGATGTCAATAGGAATTGCATTAGTCCAAGGCCTTTTTCATAAACTGAGCCTCTTTTCAATTATTTCAATGGGACAGGAACTAGGATAGATGTGATTCCTGCATTTTTTTACCTTAAATCTGCCTTTGTTTCTAAAGGTAGATCATCTTGAATATTTGCTTAAAATTGCTAGTGATTTCATTACCAAGTTACTTGAAAAAATGTTCTATATGCATTTAATTCTGAAATCAGTCTACCAAGGGGCTGCTAGTATATGTCAGACATGAAAACTATTTTAAAGCTGACTTTGTTGCCTTATCTTGAAAAGAATCTAGATAGGTGCTTTTAACTGGGGTATTAACTTTTTTAGAATGACACAGCTGAACAGTGTTAATAATAGTGTGTCAAGATTGCAAAGTCGACATACTCATTTGGTTTAAGCAGGAATCCTAGAAGCAAATGGATGGGGATAAGAATAGGTCATTTTCTATTCACCATCCTTTACTATTAAGGGAAAGGAAAAGAACACTAGCTAAGGAAGGGAAAGGGAAGTGATATCATAAAAGTAGCAACCTTCATTTTACATTCTGTCTGTTTTTCTTTTTTTGCTTTGTTTTGTTTGTGCTAATTTGGGAATTGTGTACTCCGAAACAAGTAGAAAAGTGCTGTTTGAGGGATTTTATTAAATCTTTTTTTAATGGAATGTGGTACAAATTGTTCATGTTACCAAAGCAATATTTCCCTGGAATTTAATTCAAAGTTTGTGGCATACAACCTGAGCCTTTTCTTATATAAGACAAGAATATGTTCACATCTTGGTATGTGGCCATATTTATAGAATGCTGAACTCAATGTGCAAGTTGTACTGTATGCAGTTTTGTAAATAAGTGAAAATAATTTGTTGTACTTTTTATTCAATTCTGTATAGATTATAAAATTATTTTTATTAAATAAATATTTTACAGTATATTTTCTCTTTTTAATCAAAATTGTTTTAAATTTATCTTCTATTTCAGTAGGAGCTTTAGATTATATCTTTAAATATTTTAATAATTTATCCTAGGACAAATTTCATATTAAGTCTTCCCCTGGTCTAACTTGCCTAGTTAACCTTTTGTTATCTTTTTAATTATTCCATTGCTTTGTGATTTTTACCTTTGACTCTTCCCCCTTATTTCAGATGTTTTCCCCCTTTTTTTTGGCACCCCGTTGCACTGTTTTTTTTTTTTTTTTTGGTTTTCATGTTGGCACTGCTCTTATCTCTTTTTAAAGCATTCTTCCTTAAAAAAAAAAAAAGACACTCTCTTTGATGTTAACTGAATTTTTACAATAAAGGAAATTAAAGCAAGAGCAGAAAATACCACCTTGTTCTGAAACTTCATAGCCTCTTTGTTCCACCTCAAATTATTCTGATACCCAGGGAGGAATCTTCTTGCCATGAGTTGAGAATCATTTGTCCATTATATCCCAGAAACCTAATCAGTATTTTCTTACAGTATCCAAATGAGTACCATTTTTTAATATACCATTTCAAAATCTACTTAAGGCATTGATTTCGCTGCTTATCACCAAAGTCCTGGAAATTTTTCATGCAAAAATAAATTTTTTTTTTTTGAGACAGTCTTGCACTGTTGCCCAGGCTGCAGTGCAGTGGCAATCTCGGCTCACTGCAAACTCTGCCTCCTGGGTTCACGCCATTCTCCTGCCTCAGCTTCCCGAGTAGCTGGGACTACAGGCACCTGCCACCACGCCCGGCTAATGTTTTGTATTTTTAGTAGAGATGGGGTTTCACGGTGTTAGCCAGGATGGTCTCGATCTCCTGACCTCGTGATCCGCCCGCCTCGGCCTCCCAAAGTGCTGGGATTACAGGCATGAGCCACTGCGCCCGGCCAAAAATTTTTTTAAATATAGTTTTATAGCCCTATAGTTTCATTGCCTGTGTCTTATTACCTTTCAGATTGGAAGCCTTCAGACCAGGGACCATGTCTTATTTTTGTTTTTTGTTGCAAAACAGATTCTGGTGTCATGTGAACATTTAATTATATAAATGGTATGTGATGGACTCAGCCACCTGCCAATACAATAGTTAAATGCTCATCTTTTTAAATTTTTATTTTAAAGAGTCAGTGTTCCTAGGCTGGAGTACAGTGGCACAACCACAGCTCACTGCAGCCTTGAACTCCTGGGCTCAAGCAGTCTTCCTGCCTCAGCCTCCTAAGTAGCTGGAAATCACAGGCGGGTACCAACACACCCAGTGAATTGTTATTTTGTAGAGATGGGGTCTCACTATGTTGTCCAGGCTGGTCTTGAACTCCTGACCTCAAGCGATCCTCCTACCTTTGTCTCCCAAATTATTGGGATTACAGGCATGAGCCACCTTGCCCAGCCTTATTCTTACTGTATTTTTAAATGCAGCCTACAAAATTGGAGTTGTCATTTTTAAAAAGCACATCAGACTGCGGTGGCTCACGGAATCTCAGCACTTTGGGAGGCCAAGGCGGGTGGGTCACCTGAGGGCGGGAGATCGAGATCAGCCTGGCCAACAAGGCAAAACCCCGTCTCTAGAAAAAATACAAAAATTAGCCCAGCTATTTGGGAGGCTGAATCGCTTGAACCTGGGAGGCGGAGGTTGCAGTGTGCTGATATCATACCACTGCACTCCTGCGTGGGATAGAGAGACTGTCTCAGAAAAAAAAAAGCACATCAGTGTAAAATATTAAGATTAAAATGCCTGTTGATCTCTAGTCCACTGGATGCCTTATTCAAGGTACTGTTGTGCTTAAATGATAGAAATGGTATGATATCTATTTGTTTTACCTATTATGTCATATTCCCCATAATTAATACCTTATATTTAACATACTTTAGGAAGGGCATTTATTAACATCATCTCCTTTGATTCTTGAAAAGGACCTTGTAGAAATACTAGTTCCTCTACTTTTTTCAGTAAGTAATACTACAGAAGGGGGTTCAAAATGTTAGGTTTGCCACTCAAAGCTGTGATACGTTAGCAGAGTCACTCTATTGAGCCTCAGTTTTCTCATCTGTAAATGGTATGATACCTCACAGAATTGTGAAGAAATGAGCAAACATAAGTGAAAGCACCTGTCACATTGCAAGTACTGAGCAGGGATTTAAGAAATGAGTTTCCTTCCCCTTGCTCTCCATTTACAACTAATTTGTAGCTACCAATTTCAACATTGCACTCTCAAAAGAAACTTTGAATGTTTCAATCGAAATGAAAATGATCAGAAGCTTTCTAAATCCTCCCCTTATTTTTAGTTCATATTTTGGAAAGCACCTGTGAGGATACAGAGATGAAAAAGTCGTGGTTCTTTCCCTCAAGGACCCTAAGATGTATAATTGGAAAAGATAAGTAGAAAGGATAACAGAGGTACACAACTGCAATACAAGATAGGTATCATAACAAAAGGCTTCGGTCTGGAAGAGAGAATGAGGACACTGGGAAAATCAGGAGTGGCTTCCTGAAGATGGCATTTAAGTTGACCATGCAGGATGGGTAGGATTTTAACAGAAATGTGGAAAGGGGAACTGTGTAGTGGAGAAAGGGCCACAAGTGAAGATATGAATGCCAGAAAGTGCAGGAGATGGGTACAGTCAACAAGGAATATGTGTAGAAGAGTAGGATGAGATAGAGTTGGGAAGACAGCGTGAGTCATTTTGTAATGATTATTAACTGGAGATGGGGATGGGGAGTAATGACTAAGCTTATTTTTAAGAAATTTAATCTGGCAAAGATGGATATGATGAATTGTATGGGAAGATACTACCTAAAATTGCTAGCTGGATTGCCATTGCAATTGGCTGGGTGTAGTAGGTAAGGAAGCCCTTTTATGACTTAAGGCAGTGGAAAAAACGAAAACAGGACTGATCTGAGGTTGCTAAATTAACATTCTACAATGTGTGTTTACGTTTCAAAAAGTAGCTTAGAAAGTTTAAATAACCTGCCAAGATTACACATCTATGAAGCGGATAAACCAGGATTCTGATTCCCACCCTACCCGGCAAATTAATGGTCACTTTGGCCCCAGTTCCACTGTCAAGTTTGTAAGATATTAACCGCAGTGGGGAAGGGTTGGGGGAGTAGGCCTTGCTCAGAAAGCAGAGCTCAGAAAACAATGCCAGGCAGGGCAAGAGCAGCCGTCAGATGGGTGTGCTGAGTATGTCCCACGATGGGTGGGTAAGTGGCAACGGAGTGAGGTGTCTTGGGGTCCAATTTGTGCGCGTGGAGTGAGACAGAAAACCTGGAGCCCGATCTCCCGGCCAGCGACTCCCTCCTTCTGGGTGTGCGGCTGAAGACTGGAAGCAGGTTGCCTTGCCTGCTGCAAGCCCGCCGTACCTACCCCTTCTCCGCGTGCGCCCCTCCCTGTGCCTGCGCATTACCGGCTAGCCGGCGGCGGGCGCTGCAGCCCCTACGTGATTCTGCGGCTCACTCCCCTCGGATGGTCTTTCCACCCGAGTTTTTCCCGGGAAGAGGCTCTCAAGACTAGCCAGTGCAGGAGGAGGAGTCGAACTCTGGATAGCCTGTTTATAAAGCCCTAACTGTGCCGATGTTGACCGTTTTCTGAAACTCCTCCTCCAAAACCCACGCCAAACCACAAGATGAAGGAAATTCACACATCAGGTATTGGGAAGGGCGTTGGCTGCGGTCTGTGACGTTTTAAACGTCTTCAGTAAACGGTACTGACCGCTACAAATCACCCACTGAAATAGTTTATTATCGAATTGTCTTCCTTTAAAATAAGTAAATAAAAGGGGGTAACAACCCTTTCCAAAGGAAAATCTTACCCTCCAGAAAAGTCTTTCAGAGGAATCACAGGCCCAAGTGCTGTCCCAAATGCTGAAATGTTAACAAAAACTATTTAATATTTAAATATTTAAAACCTCTAAGTTTGCTCATCTGTTTGATATAGTTCTATCTGCTCCTGCTTCCCCTCCGCCTCCTCCTTTTTTTTTTTTTTTTTTTTTTTTCCTAATTTCAAACTGCGTAACTTGACCATTATTCCCCACAGGATGCCAAAAACCATGGAAGACTTCTGATGTTCTGGGAGGGTTGACAAAGATGGACCTTAAATTCTAGGTCAGTACTAATCTCTAGGATCGAGCACTTGGAGAAAACAGCTACCTGGAAATTCTTGCTTGTGTCTTATGCTTGACTAAGTAAAAGGCCGTATCCCAGAGAATAGCCATAGTGGGAAATTATCCAAGTAACCAACAATAGGCCTCAAGGTCTGTTTTTATCTCCAACCCTTGTAATTAACTCCCAGTTATAGTTTTTTCTTTTTTATTCTGTGCTCCTCACCCTGCTATTTTCTCTGCATTTTGGGCTCCTTTCCTTAGGTATAAATACCATACCTAAATATGCTTACCCGTAAGTCATGTCTCTATATCCATTTTAATAACAAGACATGGTTATGTCTAATGATGAAGGGATTCCAGCATTGAGCCAGGGATTCTGGACCGGGGCTAAGGTGCTCCCAGATGGGTAGAAATTCTAGCTTCTATCAGAAGCAATATTTCAAAAATCATCTCGAGAAATCATTTCCTCTTAAGCCTCTGCATTGATAGAGTTATCCACAGTGTGGAATAGGAAAGCACAAAGAAGGGGACACCTTAATTTTGAATAACTAGCCTCTTAGGAAGTGACCTAAAATCCTATTTCATAATGCAAATAAAATTTTGCTACTTGATTTTGTGTTTGGCAAATATTCTGGTTCCATGATTATTTTATTATTTCATAGTTTTAAAAGCATTATGTGTTTATGGTAGGAAATTTGGAGAAATAAAAAAGCATAATAAATAATTATTGCCCTTTTTATTTTATTTTATTTTTTACTCACTGCTGTACAAACGAGAATGAATAATTATTTTAATATTTGTCAACTGCAATCCCATATGCATGATTTTTATCCTCTTACAACCCCCAAGAAACCACAGTAGAGTATAAGAAGTTAATAGGACGTTTGGTGGACTATTACTCTCAGATCAAATAAATATGTAAAATATTTACTATTAGAAATTAATTATTAAAAATTAAAGACTATTAAAAATCACCAAAGACATAAATAAATAAGCAACTGCAAGTAAGAGTCAGCAGAACAACAAACAGATTAAGAGTCTAATGATTTCAGATATTGGAATTATAAGAGATATACAGTATAAAATAAATATGTATAAAATTTAGATACAAAAGATGAAATCACAGAAATGAGCAAGTACCAAGAAAGTAACAATATGACAAGACTGACTTGAAAAAGAACCTAAAGAGATATTTTAGAATTTAAAAATAGAAATGTTGGGAAGCTTCCAAATTGGTGAACACATCTCTGTGCCAGTAGAGTGCCTACCCCAACTCCATGGGGACAGAAGCTCCTGCACTCAGGACCCTTCTAGATTTCCCCTGTGTGCCTTTTTATCAAATTGTTCATTTATATCATTTATAAGAAACTGGTAAACATTTAAAAAAACAGAAATGTTGAAGTTAAAATTCCATGGATAAGATCTCATAAATTGCTGGTGGGAATGTAAATTGGTACAATCCCTTTGAATAACATTTTGGCATTATCCTTTAAAGTCAAATATATGCATTTCCTATGACCGAGCAATTCACCTCCTATTTATATTTATAGGTTGGTGCAAAAGTAATTGCGATTTTGGCCATACTTTTAAATGGCAAAAAAAACAAAACAAAAAAAAAAAAACAAAAATTACTTTTGCCCCAGCCTTTGGTTGGAGCAGCACTTTTCAATATGGTAGCCACTAGACACTTGTGACTAGTGAGTACTTAAAATATGACTATACAGGAATGAAAATGAATAAGCCAGAACCACAAGCAATAATTTTAGTCAATCTTAAATAAAACAGAAAGACACAAAAGAACTAAGACACAAAAGAATCTATCAATACAATTTGTTCAAACTATTGTCTAAATATTTATATATAGGTGACAAAAATATAAAACAATTATCATAAAAGTCTAGCAAATGTTTATTTCTAGAAAGATGAAGAAAGGTATACTTAAGAAGGGGCACACAGATTTCTATGGTACTTGTGTTGTTGACTTGGAATATTGTACATGTATATTTGCTATATAATTACATATTTATGTTCTTTTTTGTATATTTATTAAATTTAGCACTAAAACACTTTAAAAAGCTCAATGGCTAGGTTAAACAGCAGATTAAATACAGTTAAAGATAAAATTAGTGAAGTGGAAAGTAAAACTGAAGAAATTACCTAGTATAGTAATTCCTCTATGTCATGGATAGGTTCTTAGAAACCGCATCTTTAAGTGAAATGATATACTGTATGCTATAGGAACTTAACTCTTGTTTGTATCAATTAGCCTATGGTAAAATTGGTTTGATTATACAGTACATCATTTTTCTTAAAGTTGCAGTTTCCAAGAACCTGTTAATGATGTTAAGTGAGGACTTACTGTATGTAGCAATGAGATAGGAGATTAAAAAATATAAGAAGAGGTTAAGATATAAGGTGAACAGAATGAGAAGATCTTATAGCCTCAGAAGGAATGAATAGATAGAATGGAGGAGAAGCAATATTCTATGTTAAGAATGAGAATTTAGCAAAACTGACGAAAAACATGAATCCACAGATACAGGAATCAGAGTGTATCCCAAGCCAGATATCTAAAAACTACTAGACACATAATAGTTAAATTACAATTAACTTAGGACAAGGAGAAGATCATAAAAGCAGCCAGAGAGAAAAGACATCATATATAAAAAAAGAATCAGTTAGCTAACAGCCATTTCTCAAGAGCAACAATGGAAGCTAGAAGGCAACAGTAATGAAATTACTGAAGGAAAATAACTTCCTACCTAAAATTGTGTACCCAGAAGAGTGATCTGTTAAGAACTAGAATAAAAACAGTCACAGATTTTAAAAATGGAAAAAGTCCATGCCAGCAATGGATTATCCAGGAGAAATGAACAAGACCCTAATAGGAAGGTCTCACATACAAGAAGTGAGGATGAGATAAAAGGATAAGCATTTAGATAAATCCAGATGTCTGAGTCCAGTTTCTTTTGTTTATAACAGAATACCTAAAACTGGGTAATTTATAAAGAAAAGGGATTTATTTCTTACCATTCTGGAGGCTGGGAAGTCCAAGGTTGACTGCATGTGGTGAAAGCCTTCTTTCCAGTGGGAACTCTACAGAGTTCAGAGTTCAGAGTTCCAAGGCAGTGTGGGGTATCACATGGCAAGAGGACTGAGCATGATAATGTGCTAACTTAGATCTCTCTTTTATTATAAAGCCACCATTTCCCCTCCCATGATAACTCATTAATCTGTTAATGGACACATTTTTTCATGAGTGCAGGCCCCATCTCTCAATAACTGCCACATTGGGGATTAAGTTTCAATATGGGTTTTGGAGGGAACATTGAAACCACAGCACCAAACAGTCATTAGCTTTACTAATTAATAATGATTATTTATTCTGTGGTTTATATTTTAAAATACTATACATGAAGAGTATATAAATTGGGCTTATGCGAGGTACTTAGATACAGCAACAATGCAACCTGGCTTTGTGAAGGGTTGCACAGTGCATCTGTGCTCCCCACCACAAAACACTGCCAGGAAACTAAAGATGATGATCACATTAGCTAAGTGAGAGTTAAGGAGGAGCTCTTGAATAGTTCGGCAAGGTTCCTAGCCACTTCCTACAAAAATTGAAACTAAGCCAAAAAGGGAGGAAGAAAGGATAAATCTTCAGCCAAAAAACTGCAAAGGAAAATGGGGAGCAAAAGGCAAACAGGCTGAAATGGCCATCTAAGAAACTAAAGACAACTTTCCTGCAGAAAGTAGAGAAACTAAAACTGAGGAGGGTCTAGTCTTTAATTAAGGAGAGAAAAAAAATCAAATCTGATTAATATAGTTACCAAGTCTTATGGTTCCTGTATCTTCTTCATTATAATCTGGATAAATATTTTTATTACCTATGTTGTAAATAAAAGATTGTTTAAATAGCTCTAAAAACACATATTTTAGAAGGAAGTTGTGTGTGTGCACAAGTGTGCATGTGTGAGTGCACACCTGCATGTATGTACTTTCTTTAAAAAAAGAAATGATATGCCTGTAATTTTTCTGTACAACCTAAAATGTGAAGATGTCAACATAAGGGAGGATTTGACAGTCTTGGGTGTTAACTGTATTGGCTGCTAGGAAGGGCAGTTTTTGTATCTTATGAATTTAACAAAATGGCCATTAGCAGTCACAATTATCCACTAATATCTCTGAATATTTTAAATTACTTAAAGCCTATCTCCATGTTCTTGCTTTAAAAACAAATAGAATTGCTCCTAAAGAAAACTGCTCCCTCATTTTGGCTCTCCATATATCAGAATTGTTAAAGTTTGGAAATTTTGAAGTATAGCAGTATGATACTAAATTGTTAATTAGTGGGGCTTTAAACCTAACAGTTTATCAATATTTGAAATTACTAGGGCCTGATATATTTTCTTAAGGAAAGTTTGCCTCTAGCTTTAAGTTGGAAAGTCACTACAATTACTGTTTAGAAAAGAATGGAATAATTAATACTTTAGAAAACTTACATTAGGACTTGTTTACAAATTATCCATAATGGCTATGTACTGATTGAATAAAATCTCAATTATGAAAGAAAAAATTTAAATGAAAACATACGAGCCTTGAAAAAACCCAAATATTCATTTTCCTGTCAATAGACAGGAAAATTAAAACAAAACATAAATGCAAATTAAATATATTACTAATTTAACTCTCATTTAGTCAATAGACAGGAAAATGAATAGAAAAAATTTGGTATTTTGTGATAGCGGAATGTTATACAGTGGCAAAAAACAAATGAATATAATTGCATACAGTAGCATTTATAAATTTTAGAGAATAATTAAACTGTTGAGAAAAAAACAAGTAGCCGTCTATGTTGTATTGTACCATTTCAAAAATAAAGCTCAAAATCAAGTATGTAAATCAAACAACATATTGGTTAAGAATAACACACATAATGGATAAAACTTTTTCTTTAAAGGCATGTAATAATATACTTAAAATTTGTGATAGTGGTTACCTTTTTTGGTAAGACAGGGAGATGGAATAGGTAGGTCATGAACATTGGTAATGTTTTTAATTTGATAGGTAAGTTTTATTATTTTATACTTTTAAATTTATATGCCAATATATTCTTTTGTATGTATCAAATACAACATTTTTTAAAAGAAAAAGCAGTGTGAACGTCCTGTGAATTTTGATTAGTATTTCTATTATACTCCTGCTTTCCCTGCCCAGAATTTAGGTATTCATGGTTGAGATCCTGAAGAAAACATTTTCTGCTGAGCAGAAGCAATTTAATAATTGCCTCCCTTCATTGTAAGTTTTTTATTTCTTCCTTATGTCTGATTAATCCCCCAATATAAACTTCAATTAATTGAGCAGCTCTGCAAAATATATGAATAAAACACCACATATTAAGATATTATATCTTTTGTAAAATCTTTTTTGAGTTGGCAAGTAGTTTTGTGTTGAATTATCTATACATAACTTTACATTATTTAAAGAGGGAAAATGAGTAGGAGTATTTTTATTCCATGGCATAATAAGGCAAGGAATAGCCATTCCACCCATGTTGCCTATATATATTCCAATAGTGTTGAAATATAGATTTCATTTTCTCCTTATTAAAAACATGAAGTGTTTAAAAAATACATCTAAAAGAAGGAGGCTGTGCCTTTGTCTGACTACCGCAAAAATAGCCTTGTTTTATAATGAGTACATTCTAAAAATGGGAAAAAGTCAGTTCTTGGTTTAAAATTGTTTCAAGAATGCATCTATTTGGTCCTGAAGAAGGAGGGGACATCAAAAGCAACAAGTTGATTAAGACTGTTGAGAATCCACATGTATCATACAGATGGCAGTATCTGGTGTCCCTTTGAAAAGAAGCCCACCACAAGTAAGGTGGAGGTAATTTCAAAATTCATTTAACTGGGATTTGTCAGCTATGCAAGTGTCTTAATAGACTTGAAACTATTGTGGCAATTGTGATCCCAGGAACACATTTTCTCTCTGATGCCCACTGGTAGGGAGGGACATTCACTTTATGCTCTTTTAAATGCCTTTTGTTAATGCCAAAAAAAAAAAAAAAAGAATTATGTGTAGATGTGTAGAGAATGAAAAGTGAGAAGTGTGGAGAATCGTTGAGGAAGGATGAGAGCAAAGAGCAAAAACGAAAATAAAAGTGAACTTGGGGGCAATATTTCCAAGATGAGAGGCTCTGATCCATGTTTGTAGTCAGGGAGGTCCTTGCTGTATTATGAAGCAGAATAAACCAAAAAATATGGCCTCCCCATTAGAGTGGCAGATTCTGTGTCATTCACATTCTTCTAGGAGAGACTGAATGACCATATATTTGTATATTAGACTAGGAAAGGGTTGTATGAAAATCTAGCAGCTTACATAAAATCATTTAGGGGGTCTTGGGAAATAAAGAGAAGTTTCACATACATTACTATTTAGTGTGCATCAAGATGTAGTTATGTTGTAGTGTCCATACAATATTTTTCAGACATGGTGACTTGCTGCTGTTTCAGATTAATATTAATCAAATTATGGCTGTCTTGACATTTCAGAAAAGTCTAAAGAATTCCAATAGAAATACAATGTCCTTTTGAATTCTGTTTTACCCTGTGTAATAAGGAGGTTTTGTTCTTGGATATAGTAGGAATCTACTGTAAAAGAGTGCATATTTTGCTGATTCATCTTCCTATCTCATAGCGTTTCTTTTTTTTTTGTCGTTTCAATTCTTTCTCAAGTCTATTTTGCTTCACATTGATTATGTATTTCTTCAAAAAATGAAAAAAACAAGTAGACTACAGCCAAAAATAACTATATTACTTCATAAATTAATGACTAGAAATGTATAATTCTTGGTACTTTTCATAGTGCTTTAGACTTGAATGGGTCATATTTTGTCATTCCAGTTCTTCAGGATTTAAGAGAAAAAGGAAAATAATTTTTAATTCAATTTAATTATTTTTGTTATACTTGAAAATAATGTTTTGTTCAAAATTAAAACAAAACATAAATGCAAATTAAATATATTACTAATTTAACTCTCATTTAGTCAGAATCCAGAAGTGTCTGCAGCCAACCAAAGAGGGAATGTTTGATGGACAGAAGTTGGAATGGAAGGAGAAAATGGCTTATTTTAGTTAAAATGTTTTACTTTTGGAAATTTTTTTAAAAACTTATTTTCACATATCACATAAATACATTGTTAGGACCCCTCCCAGGGCCATAGAAGTGGCCTGCACAGGTGAGAAGCCCTGAAACTTAGACTTCATTAGCTTCATGATAAATCCTCCTCTACTTGAATTCCTGTGCCATTCTACCTCCTGCCCCATTTCTTTTTTCCCCTTTAGAGTAAAACTCCTTGAAAAGAACTGTCAGTACTGCTGTCTACTTTCTGTTCTCCTATTTAGTTTAGAATCCCCATCATTCCACTTAAACTACTGTCAAAACAGTGATTCCTAATCCTCTTTGTATTTCACCTGTCAACAGCAGGTTTGATATAGCTGAGCATTTTTTATTGAAACATGTTCTTCCTATGGCTTCTGGAACATACCTCTTTCTGGTTCTTTTTCTTTACCTCACTGGTTACTCCTGGATCTCCTTTGCTGGTTCTTCCTCTTCTTCCTGACAGCTAAACTTAAGTGTAACCTAAGGTGTAATCCTGAAGCTAAGTTCTCCAATCTCTTTTTTTTTTTCTTCTCATCTACATTTCCTCTCTGTCTTCCCCCTGCCCCATGGCTTTATGAACCATGTCTACGCTGATCACTTTCAAATTTATATATATCTAGTGCTTTATTATCTGAATTCTAAACTTACATATTCAACTACCTAGTTCCATATTTACTTGATTGCTTAATTAATCATAACATAGTCAAAAAACAACTTATCGAGTTCTGGTCACCCACGCTGGTTCTCTTGGATCTCAGTAAACTGCCGTTCTTTCATTTGCACAAGCTAAAAGCCATAAGTTATCTTTGACTCCTCTGTCCTTTCACTCACTCCTTACCCTATTAGCACATTATCTTGACAAAATTTCTCTACAATTTTCATGTCATCTTTTTTTTTTCTTTAAATTGCGCCAGCTTGGGTATTGTGTAATTCTTTGTGATGTTATTTATTTATGCTTGTTACCTGGGTATTGTTTAGCCTGGAACCAGGGAAAGGGGTAGAGTCTGAAACAGAACTATTTGTTCTGCTCTGCATTTTCCTGCTTCCTCAAAAAGAAGAAAAAAGGGAGTGGCAATCATTATAACAGTTTGCTGTCACTTTGTCAAAACATATTTGGTTTACTGCCATGTTAGACCAGATAAAGACAGGCATAAAAGTAGTTGTGATTTTACATGTTCAGCCTTTAGGATTTCTGTTTATGTGCCACTCCCTATCAACCCCATTTACAAATTGTGCTACTATAGTTATCTTTGTGGCTTACAATGGTCCTAAAAGCAAATTTTATGCTAATTATTACCATTAAAATAAAAATTTTTTGGCAGACATCTGGTTTTAAAGTGGCAGTACAGAAGCAAGCTGGTTTCACTGTCCCCACAGAAAACCAAAAATATACAGAGCTGTGATTTTCCCCAGCAACAGTCCAGAACTCATATATGAGGATGAGACAGATCCTAGGGCCATAAAGAAAAAAACTTCTTTGGAAAAAAACTCCAAGCAGATGGTAAGAGAATTGGACTTCCACATCTGTAATGTTCCCCCACTCATTCTGCCCAGCAACAATTGTATGAAAAGGAAATGCTCATTGGAGCATTTTGGATTTCAGATTTTTGGATTAGGAATACTTATGTGGTATGTATTCTGCAAACATTTTAAAACCTGAGAAAAATAAAAATCCAAAATACTTAGGTTCCTAGCATTTTGGATAAGAGGTGTTCAATCTGAATATGAAAAGTTCTTAACAGTATTTGTCATTCGGGAAAAGCAAATTAATGCCAATGAGATAGCAGTATACATTCACTAGAATGGTTGTAACAAAAAAAGCAGAAAATACCAAGTATTAACAGCTGTAGAGAAACTGGAATTCTCATACATTGCTGATGGGAACATAACACAGTACAGCTACTTTTGAAAACAGATTGTTAGCTTCTTAAAAATTACGTACAAACCAACAATTCTATGCACAGAAATCTAACCAATATAAATAAACACATAGGTTGACACAAAGACTTGTATGCACATTCTTATAGCAATAATATTTATAATAGTCAAAGGTAGAAACAACCCAAATGTCTATCAGCTACTGAGTAGATAAATAAAATGTGGTATATTCATACAATGAATTCTATTCTGTGATAAAAAGGAATGAAATACTGATACATACCATAACGTGGAGAAACCTCAAAAACATTATGGCAAATGCAAAAGACTCCATTGTTAGGAGGCAGGATGGTGGTTTCCAGGAGCTGAAGGGAAGGGAAAATGGGAAATTTGTGTTTAGTGTGCATAGTTTCAGTTGGGAGACATGAAAATGTTCTGTAGATAGAGGGGGAAAGTAACCATTATAAAAGTAGGCCTAGAACATTCTCATAACAAAGGCCTACTCTCCAGGGAAAAATACATTATCACGGCCTTATCCTCTGTAGGGGAAGGACAGTTTCTTCAACTCTAGCTTCCTCTTGAGCCCTTCTGTTTCACCTACTGGGATGGAGGGAGAACCTAAGAAACACTTGTAAAAGTCACAGCCCAGGGACACAGGCCAACTAAAAAATTGAAATTTAATCATAAGATTCTAGAATGAATGATTCTCTTCATACTTCACCCCCATATCAATCGGGCTCTATTGTCATAACTGAATTATAGCTGAAGGAGCTGAAAAACACAGACTCTCTTGAAGAGGAGTCCTTAGGAAGTGTGATAGTTAATATTGAGTGTCAACTTGATTGGACTGAAGGATGCAAAGTATTGATCCTAGGTGTATCTGTGAGGCTGCAGCCAAAGGAAATTAACACTGGAGTCAGAGGACTGGGAGAGGCAGACCCACACTCAATCTGGGTGGGCACAATCTAATCAGCTGCCATCGCAGCTAGAATAAAAGCAGGCAGAAGAAGGTGGAAAGACCAGACTGGCTGAGTCTTCCAGCCTTCATCTTTCTCCCATGCTGGATGCTTCCTGCCCTCGAACATCAGACTCCAAGTTCTTCAGCTTTTGGATTCTTGGACCTACACCATTGGTTTGCCAGGGGCTCTTAGGCCTTCGGCCACAGACTGAAGGCTGATATTGGCTTCCCTGCTTTTGAGGTTTTGGGACTCGAACTGGCTTCCTTGCTCCTCAGTTTGCAGATGGCCTGTTGTGGGACTTCACCTTGTGATTGTGTGAGCCAAGACTCTTTAATAAACTAACTTTCATATATACATCTATCCTATTAGTCCTGTCCCTTTGGTGAACACTGACTAATACAGGGAGGCCCAAATACTATAGGAAGGAAAACGGATACTAGAGAAATTGGAAGCTTATGGCATGTGCAACTTCAGCAAACATCAAATACAACCCACCTCCTAGCCATATTAAAACAAAACCTCACACTTAAGGCCTATTTACCTCAGTTCCTAGTATCTGATCATGTCTAGCTTTCAACAAAAATTTACAAGATATGCTAAAAGACAAACAAAAACAGTCTGAAGAGATAAAGCAAGCATAAGAATCAAACTCAGATATGACACAGACATTGGAATTATCAAACCAGGAAGTTATGGTTAATATTTAAGGGTTCTAGTGGAAAAATATAGACAATAGGCATGAACAGAAGGGGAATGTAAGCAGAGAAATGGAAACTCTAAGAATCAAAGGGAAATGCTAAAAATCAGAGACACTATCTTAAATGTGAAGAATGCCTTTGATGGGATCATCAGTACACATGGCATAACAGAAGAAAAAATCCACTAAGCTAGAAGATAGGGAAACAGAAAACTCCCTAACTGAAATAAAACAGATAAGTGAATTTAAAAAAGGAACAGAACACCCAAGAACTGTGGAACAATTTCAAAAGATGTAACATACACATTGTTGAAATACCAAAAGAGAAGAAGGAGTGAATGGGACAGAAGAAACATTTGAATTAATAATGGCACAAGAACATTTCAGAATTAATTATAGACAGGAAACAACAGATCCAGAAAGCTCAGAGAACACCAAGCAGGATAATTACGAAAAATCTACACCAGGGCATATCATATTCAAATTTCAAAAAACCAAAGGCAAAAATATATTGAAAGCCACCAGATGGGAGATTAAGGACAAGAATTGCAGCAGATTTCTTGTCAGAAACCATACAAAAAAGAATAAAATAGAGTGAGATATTTAAAGCATTGTAAAAGAAAAAAAAAGCCCTGTAACCTATAATTCTACATCCAGTGAAATTATCTCTCACAAGTGAAGAAAAATTACTTTCTCAGAAAAACAAAAACTGAAGGAATTCATTGCAAGCAGATCTACCCTGTAAGAAATATTAAAAGAAGTTCTTCAGGGAGAAGGAAAATGACATAGGTCAGAAACTTAGTTTTATATTTAAAAAAGGAATGTTAGAGAAGGAATAAATGAAGATAAAATATTTTATTTTTCTTATTCTTAACACTAAACTTTAAACTGTTTAAAGTAATAATAGAAACAATATCTAGCATATGGATAAGTGGAGTGGATGACAATGATGTCATAAGGGTCAGAAAGTAAGAACTGGGACAACTCTGTTATTAGGTACCTGCACTACATGTGAAACAGTATACTGTTATTTGAAGTTAGTTTTCAGTTAGTTTTAAGTTTGTTAAAAATATATATTGCAAACTCTGGAGCAACTAACTTTTTTCAAAAAGAGGAGAGGAGATAAAATGGATAGTATAAAATGTTCAAAAACAAGACAAGGCAGAAAAAGATATGAAAAAAGTAACAATGTTACAAAAAGCCCACTTTAAATATGAAGACATATATAGATTAAAGGGATGGAAAAAGATATACTATGCTAACACTTAACAAAAGAAAGATGAAGTAGCTATATTGATTTCAGACAATACAAAATTCAGAACAAGGAAAATGATCAAGATAGAGAGGCATTACATAATAAGGAAATCAATTCTCCAAGAAGATATAAGAATCCTTAGCATGCATCTAACAACAAAGGGTTAAATTACGTGAGACATATAGGCAAATATACTGTAACAGTTACAAACTTCAACACCTTTCAGTAAGTAATTCATAAGTCAAACAGGCAGAAAGTCAGTAAGGATATAGTTGACCTGAATAGTACTATCAATTTGATCTAGATGAACTTGATGTAATTGAAATTTATAGAATACTTCCACAATGGCAGAATACACATTCTTCTCAAGCTTGAATAGATATGTATTAAAATAGGTTACATTTGAGCTACAAAATACAACTTTACAGGCCAGGCACCGTGGCTCATTCCTACATTGTAATCCCAGCATTTTGGGAGGCTGAGGCGGGTGGATCACCTGAGGTCAGGAGTTCGAGACCAATCTGGCCATCATGGCGAAACCTTGTCTCTACTAAAATTTCAAAAATTATCTGGGTGTGATGGTGGGTACCTGTAATTCCAGCTACTCGGGAGGCTAAGGCAGGAGAATTTCTTGAACCTGGGAGGCAGAGGTTGCAGTGAGCCAAGATTGCATCACTGTACTCCAGCCTAGGTGACAGAGCAAGACTCTGTCTCAAAAAAATAAACCAAAAACAACTTTTAAGAGTATAGAGATTACACAAGTTATGTTCACAGACTATACAGGAATTAAACTAGAAATAAGTAACAAAAAGATTGCTCGAAAGTCTCCAAATATTTGGAGATTAAGCAAAATACTTCTAAATAACATGTGTCAAAGTCTCAAGATAAATTAGAAAATATTCAAAATAAATGAAAATGCAACTTATCAAAATTCGTGGGATGCAACAAAAGCAATGTTTAGAGGGAAATTTATAACATTAAGTACACATGGTCATTTCTCAGTATCCATGGGGATTGGTTCCAGGGCCTCCTGCAGAGACCAAAATCTGCAGATGTTCAAGTTCCTTTTATAAAATGGTGTCATATTTGCATATAACCTACATACATTCTTCTGTAAACTTTAAATCATCTCTAGATTACTTATAATATCTAATACACTGTAAATGCTATGTAAATAGTTGTTATAGAGCATTGGTATTTAATTTGTATTATTTTTATTGGTTTTACTTTTTCAAACATTTTTGACCTGCATTTGGCTGAATCTGCAGATGCAGAACCCATGGGTATATGGAGGGATGACTGTTTATTAGCAAAGAAGAAATATTCAAAGCCAGTAATCTAAGATTTCATTTTAGGAAGCTAAATGAAGAAGGGCAATTTATTTACTTATTAATTTTTTTTTGAGACAGAGTCTTGCTTTGTCACCAGGCTGGAGTGCAGTGGTGCCATCTCACCTCACTACAATCTCTGCCTCCTGGGTTCAAGCAGTTCTCCTGTCTCAGCCTCCCAAGTAGCTGGGACTACAGGCGTGCACCACCATGCCCAGCTAATTTTTGTATTTTTAGTAGAGATGAGGTTTCATGATGTTGGCCAAGATGGTCTTGATCTCTTGACCTCATGGTCCGCCTGCCTCGGCCTCCCAAAGTGCTGGGATTATAGGTGTGAGCCACCGCACCCGGCCTAAGAAGGTCAGTTTAAACCTAAAGGAAGCAGAAGAAAAGAAACATAAAAATTAGAGGAGAAATCAACGAAATTGATAACAGGAAAACAATAGAGAAAATCAATGACACCAAACAGCTGGTTCTTTGAAAAGATCAATAAAATCAATAAACTTCAAGCCAAACCAACCAAGGACAAAAGAGAGAAAACACAAATTACCAGTATCAGAAATGAGAGAGGAATCATGACTATTGATCCCATGAATGTTTTAGGATAATAAAGAAGTAATATGAACAGCTCTATGCACACAGATTTGATAACTTAGATAAAATGCACTACCTCCTTGAAAAACAATCTGAATAGACCTATATCTATTAAAAAAAATAGTGTCACTAATTAATAACCTTCCAAGAAAGAAAGCACTAAGCCCAGATTGTTTCACTGGTGAAATGTACCAAATATTTAAGCAAGAAATGATACCAATTCTCCACAATCTCTTCTAGAAAATAGAAGCAAAGGGAACACTTCCTGACTCATTCTATAAGGACATCATTATCCTAATGCCAAAAACAGACATTATAAGAAAGAAAAACTACAGACTCTGATCTCTCATGAACATTGATGCAAAACTCCTCAACAAGATTAGTGAATCAAATCCACCAATGTACAAAAAGGATGATATGCCACTACGAAATGAGATTTATTCCAGGTAGGCAAGGTAGTTCAACATTTCAAAATCAATAAATGTAATCAATGACATCCACAGGCTAAAGAAGAAAAAATAATGTGATCATTTTAATGATGTAGAAAAAGCATTTGACAAAACCCAATACTCATTCATGACAAAATCTCTCAGCAAACGAGGAATAAAGGGGAATTTGCTCAAACTTTCTAAAGAGCATCTACAAAAACGCTACACCTAAAATCATAGTGAATGATGAGAAACTGGGCATTTTGTCCCCCCTAAGATCAGGAACAAGATAAAAATATCCACTCTCATCTGAACGATAGGAAGGAGCCAGCTATGAAAATATCTGCAGAAGATCGTTCCAGGCAGGAGGAAGTATCAAACATGGGAAAGACCTTGTTATACTTGAGGAAGAAACATGGCTAGGATGATTGGTGCATAATGAATGAACTGGAAAGTGGTAGGAGGTGAGATCACAGGGTGAGAAGGGGCCTGATTATGTAGGACCTTGGAAGTAAGGTAAGGAGTTTGTATTTTATTCTAATAGCATTGGAAAGTCATGAAAGGATATAATCTGATTTACATTTTTGAGAGTATTCTGGTTGCTGACATGAACCTCTCAATTGTGGCAATCCGTAATCTTGGGAGATAGTCTCTCTTTGCATCTGGATCCAGAGACAAGATGTGCTCATTATTTGCTAATGCCAAAGGTACTCTTGCATATCTAAGTTTTGTAATTAGCTTAAGAAATGTGCCAAGGCCAGAGAAGAAAAATATGTAGCCACCACTGCTTTTGGATTGTCACTACAAGACATGCGGTATTCAAGAGGCAAAGGTGAAGATAAAATATTTGGAAGAATTCAAATTTAAAAAAATCCCAATTTTTAAAAGCATGTGGTTTTTGAAGTGTAGTTTGTCAAACTATTACCAAGAAAATGTGACAATGCAGAATCATCTTTACTGAGATTTACAGTTATGCTTTTAAAAAAGTTTAAGGTCATTGTAGGAAACAACCATTAGGAACGTGTCTGGACTTTGCTGTAAAAATGCTACTGAAGGCCCTGTCACTTACATCACTCACTACCCCTAATAAAAATGCCACCTGAGAAATTACTTTAAAAATTAATGCGAGGATAACAAGTTTTTCCTGAGGAACACTCGTGATTTCTTCTTCCTCGTGCAAGAGCTAGGTATTGTAGTACTGTATTTTCTTTTTAAAACTGGCTGCTTAAAACCTGAAGCTCTACACCATCATAGGTGTCAAATAAAAAAGCACTATCCTGATTTAAAGGTTCAAGAGAGGAAGTTTTCCCAATGAAGGGTGTTGGCACTTTTGCTGGATCCGTTTACTGCCTGGCTTTTTGCCATAAAGGTATCTTCAGAAACTGAGCAAACTTAGGGTTAGCATATTGACTTCCTCTTCGTCTGTATTTACCATTCACATCAATGTTACTGCAAGCAGCCTCAGATCTGTTTGAGAATAAGTTGAGTATAAATTTAACCACAGGCAAATTTTATAACTATGTCTATTACTGTTAATAAACCAAAATGTACTTTTAGTCTTTCTGTGAAGTGATATTAACAGTACAGAATATAAGTGAATATGAATATGAGAGACTTAAAAGAACTTTTATAACAACAGAGCAAATTAAAGAGCATTTTCCTTGTGTATGTGAGTCAGTTATTCTTTGCTTTAGCACGGCACATGAGCAGAAGATGATTATTCTTATCGCTAATCATCAATACTATTTATATACCTTAAATGGAGGCTTGGTGTTTAGCTTCCTTATTTCTTAATTTTTGCTTTTGATGTTAAATATTTTTGTCTGGATGAAGTACAGCTTCTGCTATTAATCTGCACTGAGAAAAGCTAAAACTATAGGACATCTTAGTAAATGGCACTTAGATTCAATGATATGGGTAGATATTTTCAAGGAGTAATTATTAGCCAATGAGGCACCACTTATAAACAGAGGGTTTTCTTATTGATAATTTAAAAAGTAAATTATGTTTGTTGATTTCTCAAAAGCTAAATTCTGATTCATTTCGTTTCTTTTCCATAATTTATTCCTATTAAATCCTTCTTCAGTTAAGGTCGATCACAAGACTTCTAATCACATACTGAGAAAACAAAAGCATCACTGCAGGAAATCCCTTTAAACTTTTGCCTTATGGCAAATGGACATATGCTCAAAGGTGCTGAACACATGAAATAAGGCTGTAAAAATCTACTAAACAAATGAAAATAATTACATTGCAAATGCTTTTTTCCTTAGAGCACTTGTTTTAAGAAATGTATTTCTGGAATACAAGCTAGAAGTGGTTTTGTCCTGCTGCTGAGGGTTAAAGGCAAACTTAAGGTCTCCAGCCTTTGGTGTGACACATGAGAGCGAATAACAAAAAGAAGGTCTTGAGTTTTTTGATAGTTAGGCATATTTTCATTATAATGGTATCCAGATATGTGATATATCTGATATATAATACACATATAGACACATATATGTCTCTCTATATATTTGTATATAGGTAGATTTTATTATATGTGAAATCTGCATATAACTATAATGAAAGTCTCAACTGTTACCTCAATAACCTTTAACCTGACTACAATATTTAAAAGTTCAATCTCACTACCAGAACACACCCTGACACTTCTGATTCTATTTTGCTTTATGTTTTGCATATTGTTTGTCAACTTCTATCATATGACTTAGTATGTTTATTATTTATTGTCCTCTCTCTCCATTGAAGAGAATTTTTGATTCCTTAAAGAAAATATTTCTCACATGATCAGTTTTTTAATTTACAAAATATCTCAATGTCAATGTACCCATTTCAAATATATGTGTGTTAAACATTACAATTATAAAGTCTTTGTGTTCTATAAATGAATGTGCATTAACAATAGCATGTACAGGTGTAAAATTCAAAAAGTAATCTACTTAAAACATCTCACCTCTTTTCTTTCCCTTCCTTTCAAGTTATCACATTCTACTTTCTGGACTAGAAATTCAGAGATCTGAGCTTATTAGAATAAAGTAAATCAAAGGACTGTGAGAGATTTTCACAAAAATTGCTCAAACTTAACTCACAAAACTTTTTAATGGCTTCATATTATTGTTTTCAAGACATTTGTACTTTTTTTTTGCAACTGGGTTCTAGGTGGTTGAAGTAATTGACTCCTAAGGAATATATTAGTTTGCTGATATATTCCAAATATATAAAAACAGTGTTTTGCACATATGTTCTGAATAACTATTTTTAAGTGATTTAAAATTTCATGAATCTATGTAGAATCTAAACATTTTTTATAAAGTGTGTTACTTTGAACAGTTTTATAGGAGATGTGCATGGTCACATGTTCTCAATTCCTGGCACTCAACTTATTTAAATTTTCTTCTTGGTTACCTACATTAAATAAATATTGCTTTTCTAAGTGAAATCATTTATTCAAAATGTAGAGAGTTGCCCAACTTTATACTGTTCTCTTCCTCATATTGTTTACTTATTTATTTCTATACATAGTATAGTAAATGATGACAGATAATTGGGAAGTATTATCTATTTCCGGGATCATATTTCAGACTATGCACATTTAAAATTTATACACGTAACTAGTATTAAACAGTGGAGAGGGAAGACACATGGCACTGTTTACATATATTGATCTTATATTTGTAAAATCTCATAGTCCTTGATGAGTCATAAATTCTAAATACATTTTTCAATGCCTATAGTTGAAATACAGTCATCTATTGATATCTAGTATCGTCAGAGTTTAAAAAGCATAAAGCCCATCAAAGGAAAAGTCCTTGAATAAGAACCAGCTTCCTTTGCTTCATGTACCTACTTCTTGCTAAATCACCCTGTTCTTACATGTTCTTAATTTTCTTCCCTTGTATAGTTATCGATAGCCAGAGGGTACCCACTTTAGAGGGGAGAAGGAAGAAGACATTAAATGGAATGTGTAGGGAGAGGGAGAGGGTACCTAGAACTGCTGTATTCTATAAAATTGCAAAGTATGTCATTAACATCCCCTCATCATTCCTTCCTCACCTACATGCAAGTTCTGTGTTTTCATGGTGCCTCTGATTATCCTAATTTACTAGAGTTCTGCACTTTCCCAAAATGCCCCATTTTAGAAATTTATTCCTCTCTCTTCCCTGATCAAAAACACTAATTTCTTCAGTAACTTCCATTTTCGTGATTAAGTATCAGAAAAAGTGATGAACTTAATAGCATAAAGCACGTAAGTTACTCACAAATTATTAGTTCATGAGTTCAGTAATGTGAACTCAATAAATATTCATTAAAGACTTAAATATATATACTACTAAGTGTACAGAAATGCCTAAAATGCCATTGCTGCTTTTAAAGAACTCACAGTTTAGCAGAAATATGCTTAACTAGCCCAAGGTTAGTATTAGTTTTAATGGAAACTTTTGTTCACAGATCAGAATTGCATTAGCTTTCACAGTATGTTTGTAGTATTTCAGAGGCTGCCATGGGCAATAAAAAATAGATTTCATGTTACGCCATACCTCATCTTGCCTTTTTTTTTTTTTTAGACAGTCTTGCTCTGTTGCCTGGGCTGGAGTGCAGTGGCATGATCATGACTCACTGTAGCCTCCTGCCTCCTGGGTTCAAGTGATTCTCATGCCTCAGCTTCCCAAGTAGCTGGGATTACAGGTGTGCTCCACCATGCCTGGCTATTTTTTTGTTTTGTTTTGTTTCTGTATTTTTAGTAGAGATGGGGTTTTGCCATGTTGGCCAAGCTGGTCTTGAATTCCTGGCCTCAAGTAATCCGCCTACCTCAATGTCCCAAAGTGCTGGGATTACAGGTGTGAGCCACTGTGCCTGGCCCCATCTTGCATGTTTTGAGCCAGCAATTCTGAATTACCTAAAGATCCTGGAGTTAACTAGTTGATGCCTCTATGTCTTGGCAAATGCTATCATCTCTATGTACAATGCCTTATCCTTTTTGCACAATTCTTTTTATTCTTCAAAACTCAGCTCTGGGAGGCTGATTTGAGTGATAATAAAACTCCAGTCTCCCATACAGCCGGCTCTGTGTGAATTACTCTTTCTCTATTGGAATTCTCCTGTCTTGATAAATCAGGCTCTGTCTAGGCAGTGGGCAAGGTGAACCTACTGGGCAGTTACAAATTTGGGGGCTCCTCTGGGATTGCCCTTGTTGCTACCTGCCTGTGGTTTGGTATCCGCCTCCAGCGATGGATCCAGAGGTCAGCCCAAGTGGGCCTAGTTCTCTTGGACTGGGGGCTGACTCTGGTACTCTCTCTACTGGTGGGGTGCTGCCAACCCAACTGATATGGACAGGAGGCAAGGAAATAGCGGGTAGAAGAGAGCAGTTCCCCAGAAAAGGCCCCACCCTCAAGCCTGGAAACCCACGGCTCTAAATGGGAACAGGCATTCCTGTTTTCACATCCCAGTGTTGCCTTTTCCAAGACCACTCTTGCTCACCATGCCCCTATCCTGTACCCATAAAAAGCCCAAACCCCGGGATCCACAATCAGAAGAGCAGCAGAGTGGAGCAGCAGAGAAGAAGAGAAGAGAAGAGAAGGAGCATCTGAACGTTGAGAGGAGTTCGGCTGGGGATGGTCAGAGAGGAGATGGGATGGCTGAACTTCAGGGAAAGATCATCTTATCACTCTATTCCCTTTCCAGCTTCCCACCTATCCCTCTGAGAACCACCTCCATCACTCAGTAAAATCCCTGCATTCACCATCCTTTAAGTCCATGTGACCTGATTCTTCCTGGATATGGGACAAGGACCCGGATACCAAGAGGGCAGGGTGTAAAAGGCTGTCACCCTGACTCCACTGAGCTGGTGTAACACTTAGCTGTCTGTGGATGGCAACTGCTAAAAGAGCATTAATTGTAACACACCCCGAGATGCTACTGTGAGTCCTGAGACCAAACGTGCTCGCCCTGGCTCCTGCACCTGCCTGTCTGCATGCTCCCCATCCTGTAAGGTATTTGAGCGCAGTGGCTGAGCAAATGAGCTGCACCCCTGTCACAAGTTCCACGAGGGAGGGGGTCAGGGAACTCTCCCATTTCATAATATGAATGGATTTAATTGCAAGAGAGAAATAGTTCTGGGGAGACATCTCATAACAGTAGCCCTATCACAGGGTGTCTCTCTGTAGCCCCATGGTGGGGTGTCTGTAGCCCTATGTATGGTAGGGTGTCTGTCTGCAGCCCCATTGTGGGGTGTCTGGGTTGGTGAGTATCCTAGGAGCTGCAAACACCTTCTTCCTTCTCCCAACTGGTCTTGTAGCCCCATGGTGGGGTGTCTGTCCATAGCCCCAATGCAGGGTGTCTGTAGCTCTACCATGGGGTGTCTGTCTCAGTTCAGCTCCTTTGGGGGTCTTGGTTTGGATATAGCCCCACTGTGGGGTGTCTGTCTCAGTTCAGCTCCTGGGGGGGTCTCAGTTGGCTCTCCCTAACTAGTAGGAAGAGTCTTGGTTAAGGAGACTTCTCCATCAGGAAGATTTCAGGGAGATTTCTCAGATGGAGAATAGGAGGATAGTTTGGAAGGGATACTCTTGGAGTTGTTGGTTAGGGATCAGATTTGGAATCCTTCTGTCTGTCTCATCTTTGTGTGTTTTTGTATATGTGAAGGGGACCTCTGAAGAAATTGCTTATGGAAGTCCAGCAGACTTAACTCAGAACCCCCCCTTATTTATCTGGTCACATTTGGTGATCCCTAAAGAAAGCTCAACAGGCCTGTCTCAGGGTGGCTATTCGCTCTTCACCTTGACCAGAGATCCCAATGTGAATTACCATCTGGAGGTGATCCCTTCCCATCTGGAGTGGATCAAAGACAACAGGGACCAACAGGAGAAAGTTTGAGCTTTGTCAGGTTGATATTGGGTGCTGAACAAGGTGACTAGTGTCTGTTTTGTTGTATGTATTTTGCTGGGATGAAAAATGTTAATTCGGTTCCCCATGCAGACCATTGGGCAGCATCTTGCAAAACTGAGAATCTTTTGCCTATGGCTTCATAAAACAGAAAAGGATGATTTTCTTTTTTTAAGTGGCTTGACCCTCACAGCTATGGCACAGCAAGCAGGGTCATCAAAAACTGCTCCATTCTTATGGAAGCTGCAGAGAAAGGGAACCTGAAAACCTAGTATGCCGGCAGAAAGGGTAAGAAATTCTTACCACACGAGTTTCTGGTCTCTCTGTGTGAGTCTGTTTGTGGGTGTGTTTGTAAGTGTAAGTGTAACTGGTTGTCTCCTCTGCAAGGGTTTGATTAATATATTTAAAAAAAAAAGGATTTGTGAGGCTAGTCTTAGGCTGTAGCAAATCTGGTACACTTTGTGCTAAAAATTTGTCTTTATATAATGGAGAGAGGGATATCACAGGATAGAACATGGGTTTAGGACACCTACAAGCCTGCTTTTCAAGCCAGCCTGGCAGGCTGGTGAGGTACAAACTTTGCTGCAGGTCCGTGAAACCAATACCAGATGAATTTTCTCTATTTAGTTTTGTATCCTTAAGAGCTTAACCTTGTGACCATGTGGAAATACTTTCTTTTGGTCTCCAGAGGACAGGAATTTTGGGGTTCACGTCATAGTTAGCCCTAAACATTATCTTGCAAATGTTTACTTTTAAAACTGGGCATTGCACTACTTACCCTAGTACTCAGTATTTACTTTATAGTACACTGTTCCTTTAAATGTGGTACTAAAACTATAGATGACAATACTAATGCCTTTGCCATGCAAGCCTTGGAACCACAGCCAGGTCTGCATGAGTATGCTCAGACAGTTGCAAAGTGGTTCCACTCCTCTCTTCTTGGGTCAACACCTACCACCACTATGCCCCTGATCAGCAGGAAGAAGTTAGAATGGTCTTCACTAGCCAACACATTAAGATTAACATGTTATAAAACCCAAAGGGAGGGATTGAAACTGCCATTGCAAAATTGTAACTGAGACAGTGAAAGGGATGTGACCTAACCGACTCCACCTTGTTTCTAACCTCCAAGCTGTCCTTGTTCATTCCTGGGCATAGGCTGAACTAACTTTGGGAGGAACTTAGTTTATAGTTTATCCCTTTCCCAAAACAAATTTCCTTCTTGCCTGGGCGCTAGACTGCCTTTGTAGGACTAACATTAGCCACAGGATTAGAAATTATGGTTTAGGAATCATGCAGCTAGAGGCTACAATATTTAAGGATACACTGCCCTTAAGATCAGTACCTGAGACATTTTGCAGACCCTGCACTTGATGGATCAGCTGGCACCACTCAGATCAATAAACTGGCTCATCTGATCTTGTGGCCCCCACCCAGGAACTCAGTGCAAGGAGACACCTTCGACTCCCTATGATTACATCTCTGACCTAACCAATCAGCATTCCTGGCTCACTGGCTTACCCCCACCCACCAAATTGTCCTTAAAAACTCTGATCCCTGAACGCTTGGGGAGACTGATTTGAGTAATAATAAAACTCAGGTCTCCCTCCCGCCAAAAAAAAAAATGTCAGCTCTGATGTCAACACTTTGTAGAAATCATTTTATTGTCACTCTCCTCCTAATTAATTCCTCCATTTTTCAAGCTAAATCTGTACCTTGTGTGTCACACTGTGCTCCCTTTGTTTAAGCCTATTTTCTTTTTCAGTCTGTGAGCTCTTTCATGTAGAAGTTATGAATTATTCACCTCCCAGTGGGCCCAGAAGTTAAGGAGCTCAACAGGCTAAATTGAATGAAATTATTGAAAACTAATAGTGCTCTGCCTTACTAAAGAGGTAATAGTGAAATCAACCTTTTTTAGAAGCTCAAGATTGTCACTATAGATTGTGAATTACAGATGGTGAATGATTGTACGATATTGCAATTTAATGTTTGTCTCTGCTTGCCGTTAGAAGAGACAAAAAAATTTTCTTTTAGTCTAGGTCGTCTTTGCTTTTCATTCTTTTTATTTTTTGTTTTCTGCATGTCAGTCTGTCAACCTTTGAGAATCACTTGAACTCAGGAGGCAGAGGTTTCAGTGAGCCATGACTGTGCCACAGCACTCCAGCTTGGGTGACAGAGCCAGACTGCTAAAAAACAAAAGCAAGATGGGGTATGGCATAAGATGAAATCTATTCCTCACTGTGCATGGTAGCCTCTGAAATACCACAAACATACCGTGAAAACTAACACAATCCTGATCTGTGAACGAAAGTTTCCACTGAAACTTATACTGTCTTTGGGATAGTTAAGCATATTTCTGCTGAGCTGTGAGTTCTTTAAAAGCATTTTTTTTTTCTGGTGTCAGAGTACCTACTTTTAACAACACAACTGTTTTTCTTTTTTGAAATTATCACGTCCTAATTTCTGGGCTGGGAATTCAGAGACCTGGGTTTATGAGACTAAAGTAAGTGAAAGGACTGTGAAAGACTGTCCTAAAAATGGCTCAAGCTTAGTTCACAAACTGTATTAGCTTTGCATTATTGCTTTCACATCTTTTACACTTGTTTTTGTTTACAGCTTGGTTTTAGGTGGTTGAGATAACTGGAACTCTGACTTCCATTTAAGTGGGGATGTTATTATGATTTTTACACTATCCATTTCACCTTTAATGCTCAGTTATATCGCACAAGGTTTCTATAATTGTAATATTTAACATTTATTTGAAATTGATACATTAATATCTAAACCTTTCATAAGTTAAAAAATGTTTGATAATGTAGCAACTATTTTTCTTACAGAATTCCACACATAATTTTAAAAATTTTATTATTTTCATTTTGGAATATCAATAAAGATACTCTAGAACCTACTTTCATCCTTTTGGAAAACTATGTAATGTAATAGTCCCTGTTAAGCACTTTGTATGCATCAGGCACTGGGCTAAGTACATGGATTAACTCACTTAATCTTCACAAAAATAAGGCAAATATTATGATCTCTATGTTATTGATGGGGAAATTGGCCAGAAATTAAAATCTTCTACAGGCTAGTTAAACATAGGAGATATGAGCCATATATCAATCAGTCCTGGAAAACCCATTTTTCTTACATGTTCAACTCCACAGTTATGGTTTGCCCACCATTCCATTAATACTTCTTGTAACATCTTTTTTGTTGACATATAATTCATATACTAATACCATACAATTCAACTTTTAGTGGTCACACACCCATTTCCTCTCAACAACTCCTTTGTTCCAGCCCTAGGCAAACACTAGTTCATTTTCAATCTCTATAGATTTACCTATTCTGGACATTTCATATTAATGGAATTATACAATATGTGATCTTTTGTGTCTGGCTTCTTTCATAACATAATATTTATGTTTTCAAGGTTCATCAATGTTGTAGCATCTATCAGTACTTCATTCCTTTTTTTGTCTAAAACTTTTTATTGTGGTAAAAAAACACCTATCATAAAACTTATTATCTTAACCATTTTTAAGTGTACATTACCATGATATTAAACACATTCACACTGCTATGCAAACATCATTACCATCCATCTCCAGAACACTTTATTTTTTAAAACTGACACCTTGTACCCATTAAACAATAACCTCTCATTTCCCCTGCCTTAACAGGCTCTGGAAAACACGATTCTACTTTCTGTCTCTAAGATTTTGACTGTTCTGGGCACTTTATATAAGTGGAATGACACAATATTGTGTTTTTATGACTTTTTCTTGCCTAATTGCTCTGGCTAGGACTTCCAGTATTATGTTTAATAGCAGTAGTGAAAGCAGGCATCCTTGCTTTGTACCTGATTTTAGATGAAAAGCTTTCAGTCCTTCACTATTGAATATGATGTTTGCTGTGGGTTTTTCATACATGGCTTTATTATTATTTTACCTAGCGTAATGTCTTCAAAGGTTCATCCCATTGTAGCATATGTTAGAATTTCCTTCCTTTAAAAGGCTGAATAATATTCCATTGTGCATATATACTACATTTGCTTATCCATTCATCTGTCAATGGTCACTTGGGTTGCTTCAACATTTTAGCAATTGTGAAGAATGCTTCTATGAACATGACTGTACAAATATTTTTTTCAAGATCCTGCTTGTGATTATTTTGGGTATATGCTCGGAAATGGGATTGCTGGATCATATGGTAATTCAATTTTTAATTTTTTGAGGAATTGCCATACTGTTTTCCATAGCAGTTGTACCATTTTACATTCCCACTAACAGTGCATAAGGGTTTCAATTTATCCACATCCTTGCCAATATTTATTTTGTCTTAATAGTAATCTTCCTAATGAGGGTGGTATCTCATAGTGGTTTTGATTTGCATGTCTCTAATAATTAGTGATAGTTAGCATCTTTTCATATGTTTCCTGGCAATTCATGTATTTTCGGAGAAATGTCTAATCAAGTTGTTTGTCCATTTTTTGAATTGGAGTGTTTGTTTTTATAATTGTTGTTGAGTTTAGAAGGTCTCTATTTGTTATGGATATTAATACCTTGGATACCTATGAACATTAGATATATCATTTGCGAATATTTTCTCCCATTTCATAGGTTGCCTTTTCATTCTGCTGATAATGTCTAGTGAGCAAAAGTATTTAAAATGCAACAGTACTTAATATTTGTGCAGTCCAATTTGTTTACTTTTGCATGTGCTTTTGCTGTCATATCTAAGAAATTATTGTCAAATCCAATGTGGCAAAGCTATTGCTCTGTTTCCTTATAAGAGTTCATAGTTTTAGTTCTTACATTTACATCTTTGATCCATTTTATTTTTGAATATGGTGCGAGGTAAGGGTCCAACCTAATTCATTTGCATGTGGATATCCAGTTTTCCCAGAACCATTTGTTGAAAGATGATATCCTTTCCCCTCGGAGTTTCATAAAACCCTTGTGAAAAATCATTTGACCATATATGTGAGAGTTTATTTATGACCTCTAAATTTGATTCCATTGGTTTATAAAGCTGTCTTTATGCAGTACCACATAGTTTAAATTATTTTAGCTTTATAGTAAGTTTTGAAATCAGGAAGTATTAGTGCTCCAACTTTGTTCTTTTTCAAGACTCTTTTGGCTTTTGGGGTTCCTTGAAATTACATACAAATTTTAGGATGGATTTATTTCTGCTTTTCTGAGATTTTGATAGGTATTACATTGAATCTGCATATCTACTTTGGGTAATACTGACATCTTAATAATATTGTCCTCCAATCCATTAACAAGGGATAGCTTTCCATTTGTCTGTTTTATGGTTTACATTGTATGCATCTTTCATCCATTTAGTTAATTCTTAAGTATTTTATTCTTTTTTATATTATAAATTGAATTGTTTTCTTAATTTCCTTTTAGACTGTTCATCATTAGTGTATAGAAATACAACTGACTTTATGTGCTTTGTCTCTTGCAATTTTTGCTGAATGTATTAATTCTAATAGTTTTAAAAATGATATCTTTAGGGTTTTCTACGTATAAGACCTGTCATTTGCAAACAGAGATAATTTCACTTCTTCCTTTCTAATCTGGCTGCCTTATATTTCTTTTTCTTGCCTAATTGCTCTGGCTTGTACTTCCAGTACTATGTTTAATAGCAGTAGTGAAAGCCAGCATCCTCATCTTATACCTGATCTTAGATGAAAAGCTTTCTGTCTTTCAGAATTGAGCATGATGTTTGGTGCGGGTTTTTCATATATGCCTTTTATTAAGTTGAGGCAGTATCCTTCTATTCCTAGTCTGTTTGTTTTTTATCATGAAAGAGTGCTGAATTTAATGCTTTTTCTGCATCAATTAAAATGATCATTCAGTTTTTCTCTTTCCTTCTGTTAATGTAGAATACTGCATCGATTTTTGTATGTTAAACCATCCTTACATTCTAGGAATAAATCACTTTTGGCCATGGTGCAGTATCTTTGTAATATGCTGCTGAAATCAGGTATTTTGTAGAGGATTTTTGCAAATCCCTTGCATGTGATGAGTTGCTTCTTTCCTGTCTTTTGACAGTTAGATGGATAATATGCTTCAGTGGAGGTTTGTTTGAATTCATACTACTTGGAGTACATTGAGCTTCTGTGATGATCATATTCATATCCTTTATTAAACTTGGGAAGTTTTCAGCCATTATTTCTTCAAATTATCATACTACTTCTTTCTCTTTTCTCAAGGACTCCCACAATGCAGACTGTGGTCCATTTGGTGGTGTTCTACAGGTCCCCTAGGCTCTCTTCACTTTTAACTTTTTAATTTTTTTGTTTCTCAGATACAACAATTTCAATTGTCTTATCTTTAAGTTCACTGATTCTTTCTTCTGCCTGACCAAATATGCTTTTGAATCCCAACAGTAAGATTTTCATTTCAGTTGTACTTTTCAGCTCTAGAATTTCTTTGATTTCTTTTTTAGTTTTCAATTTATTGATATTTCCATTTTGTTTATATATTATTTTCTTCACTTTCTCCACATCTTTCCTTAGTTATTTGAGCATCTTTATGATTTAAGGTCTTCTCAGGTATTTTTCTGAGTTTATGCCTTTCTCTGGGTGTTCAATTTAACTTTATACTTTTCTCTGTAAATGTAGTTGCTTTTTAATGTCTTAGTCTTTAATGTTTGTCTTCCAAAAGGAAGAAAACAAGGAAAATTCCCTGGAAGTTGCTTCAGCTGGAGGAGTAAAAGCTTACAATGGTGGGGGAAGGTGCAACAACAATGGCGGCTACCTCTGTGTTTGCATCTCCTTGATCAGAAGCAGTAATCAATTATCAGAACATAGACCCTCATCAATAGGAGGACAGGGTCCTTACTGCTCATTGACTCTCATGAACTATGTTAAAGCTGCTCCTGCAAGTAATACAGACTGCCTGCTAGGGAGCTGGGGTTTGGGGTTGGGTAGATGATACTGAACTAAGAGCTGAAATTCACCAAAATAAGTTCAGTTTTCTGTCCAAGCCTTCCCTTGAAAGTTGCAAGCCTTTAATAGACTCCACAGTTCCAAAATAGTTACAAGAGATAGGTTTTGACAGTGCAATTGTTTTTCCAGGTGGGGAGATAGATTCCTGGTGCTTCCTATTCCACCATCTTTTTAGAATCCTCCAGCAGTACTTCATTTATTTTTATTGCAGAATAATATTCCATTGTATAGATATATAACATTTATCCATTCATCATTTGATGGACATTTGAGTCATTTCCACTTTTGGCTACCAATCATGCTGCTATATCCCAACCAGGCAAGAGAAAGAAATAAAGGGCATCCACATTGGTAAAGAGGAAATCAAACTGTTGCTGTTTGTCAGTGACATAATCATATACTAGAAAACCATCCAAAAAGATTCTAGAACTGATAAATTAATTCAGTAAAGTTTCAGGATATAAAATCAATGTACACAAATCAGTAGTGAGGCAGGAGAATAGGGTCTGGAGTCAGTGAACCTAAGGCCATTTCACACTGACTTCCTAGAATGCAGTTGAAAGGAAAACCCTAACTTGCCATGTTTAAGTAACAAAAGGACCAGAGGCTACTTCCTTGGCAAATCCTCTTTCCTGCAGATGGGAAATTGAAAGTACCCCTGATTGGTTGCAAAGAGCATAGGAGTGTAATGTTTGCATAGGAGTGTAACTTTGTAACTTCACTTCAACCTCTGATTGGTTGCTTTCCACAACCAATCAGACTGATTGCGGGCCACCACTTCATTTACATGGGGTGAACCAATGTAAAGTGTCCAATGGGAAACCTCTAGTGGGTATTTGGACCCAAGAAGATTCTGTATCTGGAGCCCTTGAGCCACTGCTCATGCCTGTTGCCACATTGTGGAGTGTACTTTCATTTTCAATAAAAATCTCTGCTTTTGTTGCTTCATTCTTTCCTTGCTTTATTTGTGTGTTTTTTTTTTTCCAATTCTTTGTTCAAAATACCAAGAACATGGACACCCTCCACCGGTAACAGTAGCACTGCTGTATACCAACATCAACCAAGATGAGAATCAAATCAAGAACTCAACCCCATTACAATAGCTGCAAAAAATAAAATACTTAGGAATATACCTAACCAAGGAGGTGAAAGATCTCTACAAGGAAAACTAAAAAACACTGATGAAAGAAATCATAGATGACACAAACAAATGGAAGCAAATCCCATGCTCATAGATGGGTAGAATCACTATTGTGAAAATGACTATACTGCCAAAAGCAGTCTACAAACTCAATGCAATTCCCATCAAAATACCATTATCATTCTTCACAGAACTAGAAAAAACAACCCTCAAATTCATATAAAACCAAAAAGGAGCCTGCAGAGCCAAAGGAAAACTAAGCAAGAAGAACAAATCTGGAGGCATTACATTACCCAACTTCAAACTATACTACAAGGCTATAGTCACTAAAACATCATGGTACTGGCATAAAAACAGGCACATAGACTAATGAAACAGAATAGAGAACCAAGAAATGAAGCTAACTGATCTCTGACAAAGCACACACAAATATAAAGTGAGGAAAGGACACCATATTCAACAAATGGTGCTGGGATAATTGGCAAGCAACATGTAGAAAAATGAAACTGGATCCTCATCTCTCACCTTATACAAAAATCAACTCAAGATGGATCAAATACTTAAATCTAAGACCTGAAACCATAAAAATTCTAGAAGATAGCATTGGAAAAACCCTTCTAGACATTGGCGTTGGCAAAGACTTCATGACCAAGAATCTAAAAGCAAACGCAACAAAAACAAAGGTAAGTAGATGGGACTTAATTAAACTAAAAAGCTTCTGCATAGCAAAAGAAATAATCAGCAGAGTAAACAGACAACCCACAGAGTGGGAGAAAATCTTCACAAACTATGCATCTAACTAAGGACTAATATCCACAATCTTCAAGGAACTCAAACAAATCAGCAAGGAAAAAACGAATAAGCTCATCAAAAAGTGGGCTAAGGACATGAATAGACAATTCTCAAAATAAGATATTCAAATGGCCAATAAAGAGATGAAAAAATGCTCAACATCACTAATGATCAGGGAAATGCAAATCAAAACCTCAATACGATACCACCTTACTCCTGCAAGAATGGTCATAAGCAAAAAATAAAAAAAACAACAGATGTTGGCATGGATGTGGTGAACAGGGAACACTTTTATACTGGTGATGGGAATGTAAACTAGTACAATCACTATGGAAAACAGTGTGGAGATTCTTTAAAGAACTAAAAGTAGATCTACCATTTGATGCAGCAATCCCACTACCGTGTATCTACCCAGAGGAAAAGAAGTCATTATGTGAAAAAGACACTTGCACATGTTTATCGCAGCACAATTCGCAATTACAAAAATAAAGAACCAAACCAAATGCCCATCAACCAACGAGTGGATAAAGAAAATGTGGTACATATACATACCATGGAATACTACTCAGTCATATGAAGGAATGAAATTGTGGCATCGTAGCTACCTGGATGGAAATGGAGGTTATTTCATCATTATTCTAAGTGAAGTAACTCAGGAATGGAAAACCAAACATCATATGTTCTCACTTGTAAGTGGGAGCTAAGCTATGAGGATGCAAAGGCGTAAAGATGATACAGTGGACTTTGGGGACTTGGGAGAAAGGGTGGGAGCAGGATGAGGCATAAAAAAACTACATATTGGTTAAGAGGCCCAGGTGGGCAGACTGCCTGAGCTCAGTTGTTGGAGAACAGCTTGGGCAACATGGTGAAAACCCATCTCTACTAAAAATACAAAAACTTAGCCAGGTGTGGTGGCGTGCCTGTAGTTTCAGCTACTCTGGGGGCTAAGGCACAAGAATCGCTTGAACCCGGGAGATGGAGGTTGAAGTGAGCCCAGATCGTGCCACTTCACTCCAGCCTGGGTGACAGAGCGAGACTCTGTCTCAAAAACAAAACAAACAAACAAAGAAACAAACAAAAAAACTCTACATATTGGGTACAGTGTACACTGCTCAGGTGATGGGTGCACCAAAATCTCAGAAATCACCGCTAAAGAACTTATCCATGTAACCAAACACCACCTGTTCCCCCAAAACCTGATACTTAAAAAAAAAGCTGCTATCACCCATTATTTGAAAAATACAAATTTAGGAGGATGGTCAGAGGAAAAAACTATTAACCTAGGAGTTCTGAAACCTAGGGTCTACTTCCAGCTTTGGTAAGTAACTCTACAACTCTACATCCATTAAAGGAGATTTGACTAAAATTCCTTCAACCTTTAGCAGTGAATAACCTTTTTTGGGAGCGTCTTTTTTCAAGCGCTGAAGCAGTAGCAACATTAGGTCATTACAACTACACCACATCTAGGAAGTGCACTCAATATTACAATTCATTTTAACCTTCCATTTTAAAAGACCTTAAGTCTATAACTTGAAGAATATCTAAAAATTTAATTTTACATTGCCTCTCTTGGAGAAAAGGTGCTCTCCATCACATCAAGTGATAGAAATCCTAATAATAAACAATTTAAAAATAATCCGAACACACTGGATTGTACTGAGGAAATATTTTTACTTCTCCCAGTTCTTATTTATTTCTGGCTGGGAATGGATAGTTGTTAAAATCATCTCAACTTTCACCACAATCTAAATTCATCTTGCTTTGCCTTTATACATAAAGATAAGCAGAATTTGAGAAAATTCTAGTTGACCATTTTGACATGCCTCAAAGCTAGAGCAAAAATCCTATTTTCTTTGGCAACTCTCTTGGGTAAAGTTTTGGTTTTGATTAGGAAAAAAAGAAGCTGAGGGTCAAAAATATGGTAACTCATTAGCAATTTGCTTATCTACTAATGAAAACTAAAAACTACTTTTCTACGTTAACTGTGAAGCACATAACATATAGAAATATAGTTTTAGAAGTTGTCCTAAGAAATTCTAAATCTGACGAGAGACAGCTACAAGAGGGAAATTTCACAACCAACACAGCGGCACTTCGCGAGTCTCTATAACGTTAGTGATGCGTGGATTCCTTAGTCGTCCCCTTAGAAACCTCAGCTTCACTGGCCCTTCGCAAGCACCGGGATGGGTGCCGGGAGGGGTCGGTGGTCTGAGGATATTGCATGCGCCTGCGCAGATTTTTGTCGCTCTCGTAGTTAGAGAGGCCCGGATGGAGGACGCAGAGGCACGCTGTTGCCATGGCAGTGTGGTCCTGGCTGCCGCGGAGGCAGGTGCCGGGGTCTCCTTTGCCTCAATGTGAAGAGCTTAGAAAGAGGAGGAGAGGAGAACTCCCCCGGCCATCTCTGTGATCCCAGCCGCCGCATTTTACACAGGCAAGAGGGATATAGAGGGAGAGAAGGGAAGGACGATGCGGAGATGTTAATGGTGGGATAGAGGGTAAAGGTATAAACGTCTGGTATAGCTGGGAGGGAGGGTAGGTAGTGAGGGAAGAAGCTTTCTGGTGGCGCCTTATCCTCTGGAGTCCGAGGTCCACCGAGTCTGGCACTGGTGGGGAAGTCTGGTAACACCTTTCTTCACTATGTATGAAGGATACTCGTCTGAGAGTAGCTTAGACTAAATTTTTGTCATATTCTTTCCCCTCTCAAAGTTCTTGAACGTGGAAAGTAATAATTTTGTCCCTGGGAGAAAAAGTCACTCCCGAAATTGTAGCTTCCATGAGGAGGCAATGGTATTCATTTCGTTGGTGGTACCTTGGGATCCTGAATACAGATTAAAATTATCACCTAAAGTCCATAAAATATTTATCATCATACTTTGTGACAGTTTATGATTTTTTAAAAACTTACTTATAGGATCACAGTCTTGGCAGGATACACAGGAATAATGGGCCAGATGGTTTCATGATGTATGGATTAGTTTTTGCTTAAGTACTTACTTTATATTAAAAGGCATTCTCTTTGACATGCTTTCAGTTCTTAGATTTTTAAGCAAGCATATGTTTAAAACGCTGTAAGATGGGACCCAATTATTTAAACTATTTTTGAATATCCTGAATTCTGGAAGAAAGTTATCAAAATTATGTATACATGTGGACTTGGTTTAAGACTCCTACTGAAAGATCGGCAGTTCACCTATCCACATGGGATTTACCAGACACTCAGGGAGGAAGGAATTTATTTCCGTCTCTTACTACAGTTCCGTATTAAGAGGGTAGAGCTGGTCTAAGCCGTTTACCTAGATTTTTACTGATGATAAATGTTGAAATTTAAATGTGTGAAACTCACAAGCATAAAGTAGGAAGTGTTAAGTGATTTTGTTTGTATAAGATGTATTTTTGTTCTAGCTTGTTGATTCTGTACCATATGGACAGTACCCTGGTGATGAAGATTAAAAGAATTGAAGGGGTTGAATATCCTGTGACGCATTTGAAAAAGGCTTAAGGGATTTGATAACCAGAGTTTGTAATTTATGTTCTTTGTTTACTTGAGAACCGGCCATGAGGGTGTTTTTTTGTTTTTAAGTTACAACAAAAGAATTGCACTTCAGATTTGATGTGACTTAATTTACTTCTCAGAGTTACCTTAACTATGGCTTTTTTTTCCTTTGAATTATGGCATAATAGTATGACTTAAAGACCCCTAACCTGTTAAATTTTTAATTACTGTGCTTTTATTATACAGATTTTATGTTTTCATTTTAAATTTTAGTTTTCATGTGTGTGTGATTCTCTGTAAACAATAAAACATATCTACTAAAGTCTTCAGGCAACCATTTATTTATAAGTTCAGAACTATGTTTATCATAAAATAAGGGAAAGCACTGAAGAGTTCCAAAGAAATATTCTTATAATATTTATGTAACTCAAACATCTTAAAATAATAAATTTCAAGATCCCTGCTCTGAAAAGAAAACTGATTATTCCAAGGCATTGTGACTGTGAAAAGTACTATTTTTACTGTAAGTATTTCGGATTACAGTGAGTTTTATTCTGTATCATTCATGGTGCCCTTGCTTTTAATTGGTAGGTAGTTAGATATAATAGCTTAAGCAATTTAGCTTGTCTTGCAGTTAGGAAGTGAAACTCACTCTGAAGTGTTGACTTGATTTCTCCAGATCACTTCAAAATTTGTGCTCAACCTGATTTAGAAATTATTGAAGGGCTTACTTTTGAGTCCTTTAGCAAATCTATTTTGTGTTTTTAGTTTAAAATAAATAAGTATCTAGAAAGAATTATAGTCCAATGAATAGTTTAGAAAAAAACAATAATTATCCAGTTGAACAATTAACAGTTATTTTTGAATAATAATTAAGTTGAATAACAGTTATTATTCAGTAATAACTTAGTCTGGCCAAAGGTTTGGGGAGAACAAAGCGAAGCTAATGGCTAAAACAGCTGGTGGATTATTTATTAATTCAGCATACCTAAAGTGTACCAAAAATTAACTTTATCTTGAGAGGGAAAAGGAACCAACATCAATAACTATTTGGGGAACAGGGGGAAGGTGGGAGAGTTTTTAGGAATGTTTACCTATGGAAATGTCTTGCCATTGCAGATCTCTCTTTCATGGTGTATTCAAGTGCATGTTCATTTTGAACATTCTATTTTGTGTTTCTCTGTGTTAATTAGCTTACCTACAGCATTAATCTCCATACTCCATTCCTCCTCTAGAGTGGGCATAACATATACCTTATCTTTTAAAATCTTACAGCATATTTCCTTCACAAACAGAAAATGAATGAAAATAAAGATACTGATTCAAAGAAAAGTGAAGAATACGAAGATGACTTTGAAAAGGACCTGGAGTGGTTAATTAATGAAAATGAAAAAAGTGATGCCAGCATAATAGAGGTATATATTGCCAACAGCATTCATAATAATTATATTACAAAGTGCTTTGCAATTCTTTAAGGTTTTCACATTATTATCTCATCTAAACATCACAAAATTTCTTTGATCTACATTGGGCAAATTACTATTATCCTCATCTTAAAGATAAGAAAAATGAGGCGTAGATTGCTTAAATGTTGTATCCTAAGGCATAGGGCAGGTTAGTGAGAGAACAGTTATTACGCTAGCATTTAATAAACTAAAGTGACCATTATAAAATTATAATTTAAATAATATAAATAAATAGTAAAATCATGATTTATTGCATCGAAAGTAAAAAATACAGTTAATTCCTACTTTCTGTGAACTTGGGTAAAATCATGGGGTTATGCTATTAAAATAAATGAAAAATAAAGCAAATCCTCTAAACACATGACCTTTTAGCTAATATTTAAAACTTTAAGACTGAATTAGCTCTTCTTGGCAATGAATATAGAGAACAAAGTAAAGGGTCAAAGTCTGAGTCACAGGAATACTCCTAGGAAAAGTGGATGCATTAAGCATGGTCATATACTATTTATCAGAGATGAAGAAAGGAACTCCAGGAAAATTAACCAGTTCCTGCATCAAGGTAGGTTATTTCTCTCTCTCTTTACATGTGTATAATGTGTATATGTATTTCTGTAAAACATATATATGTATATATGCATATGTATGTGTGTATATATATGTATATACATAAGTTAGTGTCAATAAGTAGAAAAAGGAATAACACTAGGATATAAATAGGTGACTTTGGAGGGATAATGATCAGAGTTATAGCAGAAGCCAGTTTTAAAGGTGTTAAGGAAAAGACTATGAGGAAATGCAGGTTTTATATTACAGATTTCTTAGTTCCATTTTGCTTTCTTATATAATGGAAAAGACAAATGGAATACACAATGTTTGAAGATGGAAACAGAGTCAAAAGTGAAGATTTTTCTAAGATGGCTTTTAAATGGGAGTTTTATGCATCCTAACAGAAAAATAAGCAGAATGAGTAGAGGCAGATACCCAGAGTGGTAAGGTTGAACCAATTTCTCAAGACTGGAAGGGTGTGAGATCCAAAGCACAGTGCGATAGAATTAGAGAGGTAATAGGGATGATTTATTGTTTTATTTTCTAATTCAACAAGTATTAATGATCACCTATCATATCAGAGGCTGTTCTAGGTGCTAGGGATATATATAGCAGGAATAAAATAAAAGTGCTGTTATGAATCTTACACATTCCAGCGGATGATTATAACAACCTCTTCTTTTGAGGCTTTTGGGAAAAGGGGATGACTGAGCTAGAGACACATAAGAGGGTCAGGGGAAGATTTTTTTGTAAAAAGTGGGTTTTCAAAAGAAAAGAAAAGAAAAGCTAAAGGAGAGTTCAGAAACAGAGACTATAAGAATGAACCAGAGATCTGCCATCCTCATGATATTGGAAAAATAAAAAAGAGTCAACTAGAGAAACAAATAAGGCTAAAATGAACACTTGTGATACAGAGCTCTTAGTTAAATCATAGTTATTTGGCAGTCATTTAAATGGGCCAGGTTTATTTGCTTATTAGACATCTGACTATCAGACAAGATGACCTTCACTATCACACAGGATGACCTATGAGCAAATGAAGGAGGAAAGTGATTTTAAGGGGTTGAAGAGAGAAGCATGTAGTAGCTCCCATAGAACTGCTTTAGGAGGGAGAGAACTTTGACAAAGAGAAAAAATATATATATATATAAAATATTTATATACATTTATATATTATATCTATTATATTTTTATATATATAAGCTTTTAGTTAGATACAGCAGAAGTGGAGTTTTGTGCTGCACTGATACTGGTTTATGGTTCATGTGGAATTAACTTTTTTTAATTTAAGGCCAAGTTATCTGATGGTGGTTAGCATGGATTTCTGAAATCTCTGAGTATAGTTGAAGAAGGGAAATCTGATCTAGAGGTAAAAATTGACCTGGAATTTAGATAGGTCCTGCAGATTATAGTGATAATAATAGTCTGAAAAGATTAAAAGAACCTCAAGTGATTAGGACCTGACCAAATAATTCATCCTTGAAATGGTCTGGGGAGAAAGCTGTTTGATTGAAGAATGCAAATATTACAAGGAGGAAAGATTTTTGAAAATTGTTTTTCTGAAAATGTAAAGAGAGGAAAATTTTATAGGGGAAGGAATATTAATATTGTTATTTGTAGTTACCTTTTGATACATTAGCATAAAAATGTTTAAAAATCAATGTAGCACTTAGCTACATCAAATTCAAATTTAAAGTTGAATTTTTCCTGCATTGCTGTCACATTATTTCCCTTGGATACTCATAAGTATGAATTAGAATGTTATGAGCAAATTATGAGCAATAAACACTTAAATTTTCCCATTCATAAAATAAATTACATGAACAGGAAAAATCCCATTTTGTATGTCTACTTATAAATGAAGAATCTCAATTTTGACTGAAAAATATCTTGTTTTTAGATGGCTTGTGAGAAGGAAGAGAATATTAACCAAGACTTAAAAGAGAATGAGACAGTAATGGAGCACACCAAACGGCATTCTGATCCTGACAAATCTTTGCAGGATGAGGTCTCACCAAGAAGAAATGACATCATTTCTGTACCAGGTATTCAACCTTTGGATCCCATATCAGATTCAGATAGTGAAAACTCTTTCCAGGAATCCAAACTAGAAAGCCAGAAAGACTTGGAGGAGGAAGAGGATGAGGAAGTAAGGAGATATATTATGGAGAAAATTGTACAAGCTAACAAGCTTCTACAGAATCAAGAACCGGTGAATGATAAAAGGGAGCGAAAACTTAAGTTCAAGGACCAGTTAGTTGATTTGGAAGTTCCTCCACTAGAAGACACTACTACTTTTAAAAATTATTTTGAAAACGAAAGGAATATGTTTGGGAAACTGTCACAATTATGTATTTCCAATGATTTTGGACAAGAAGATGTGCTCCTGTCACTTACTAATGGAAGCTGTGAAGAAAACAAGGATAGGACAATACTGGTAGAGAGAGATGGAAAATTTGAACTTCTGAATTTACAAGACATTGCCAGTCAGGGGTTTTTGCCTCCCATTAATAATGCAAATAGTACAGAAAATGACCCTCAGCAGTTGTTACCCAGATCTTCCAACTCCTCTGTCAGTGGCACCAAGAAAGAAGATTCTACAGCAAAGATTCATGCTGTCACTCACTCATCAACAGGAGAGCCGCTGGCTTATATCGCTCAGCCACCACTCAACCGCAAGACTTGTCCAAGCTCTGCTGTCAACTCAGATCGAAGTAAAGGGAATGGGAAATCTAATCACAGGACACAGTCTGCACATATCTCACCAGTGACTTCAACATACTGTCTTTCCCCTCGACAGAAAGAACTACAAAAACAACTAGAAGAAAAGAGAGAAAAACTGAAAAGAGAGGTGAGAACCTAAGTGGGCATTATATTAAAAGTAGAGTATGTTTTACTGTTTTATAAATGCAATGGGAATTAAAACAGTTGTTCAAACCATTGGAGACTTTTTTTGATTGCTTTATTTATCTATTGTTAGATTGATTAAGTGTTAAGAATGTGCATTTATGGAATGAACACAGTGATTACTTTGGTCCTTGTAAGGATCACAAAGAATAGTAGACTGATCTGTGTTAGCGGAGATCTCAGTGATGACTTCATCTGATCCTTTCATTTTAAAGGTGAGACTCATGAGACGTTAAGTGACTGCTGAAAGTAATCTTGATATGATAGGTAAAAATAAAATGTCAGATGGAAAAATGAAGGCATAAAGTGTAGAGGTTTAGGAGGCAACAGGAAGACTTGGACTATAATTCTTTTATTTGCATGTGTTTCATGTTATGTTCTATGCTTACAATTCTTTTATTTCCAGGAGTTTAGTTTCAGATTAAGAATATAGCCTAATATTCTTAACGAAATGTCTCCAAAATGCCATATAGAATCCCAAATTAATTTTTTTTGTTTTTCATATTTGTTCTTATGTGAAACTCTATGTATCTTATAATTGAAAATTCCAGGACTTAAACTGGTGAGTTTTCTCAGAATTACTTATGTCAGTGCTCCAATTCTTTGTTTTACTGGAAACCTAATGGTATTAAGCTGAGCCATACAAAATGTCTAATTCTAAATACAAAGCTCAGCAGATAATACATGAGAAGTGACCTTACAGATCATTTTGCAGATAAGAAAACCTTAGAAAGTTTAAATAACTTTACCAAGGTATATCTGTACTTGTTAGTAGCAAACTGGAATAAAAATTTCCAGTTCTCTGGCACCCTTGAGAAATGGTGTGTTATCTACTTTATATGGGAAATTATCAGGGAAATATCTGGCATTTAAATCAGGAATTGGCATTAGCAAAAAAAAAAAAAAAAAGTGAAACATGACTTCGTAAGAACGTGTAACCTCTAGCACACTCAGATAAGAACCTAAAAGGGTGCAAGCTTATAGAGCTTCGTTCACTTGGTCACTAATAGCTCTAATAGTCAAACTAAGTTTACTTGATTCAGGTATAAAAACACTTGAAAGTATAGGAATTTGGTGACAATACAAAATAATTTTTTGAGAATGACATCTATATGTTTGCTATACACAAATGTGTAGGTATGTGTATATTTTTACAAAAGTTATACAGGTGATTTTATATAGTTGTCACTGCCTTTTTATTAATGAACTGATGTTAGTCTTTAACTGGTGTGAAGGATGGATAATTCTGTTTTCATTTGGATTCTCTTTTCTGAATGTCACACACTCTTTGTTCTGAAATACACTTTTATTGTATCCTATAACTAACTTGGCTCAAGGCATGGTCTTCAAGTACTAAGGCTTTTAACATGTTTTAGTTGGTTTCAGGGGAAGGCTTTGCTTTTTTATGCCCATATTTTCTGGGTTGGGCTGCTATACTCTGTCTTTCTAACCTAAGTGCATCATTTCAGTGTTCTCTTTGGCAACTCCGTTATCAGTGCTTTGGCTGATAGCTTCTGTGTAATATACCTGAATGTTCCCCTTGGAAAGATAATCATCGTTTGTCATACTGTATTCATGCAAGGCATCCAAAGTCCTTTGTGTGAAATGGAAATGTATAAATAATGTAAAATTTAATTCTTAATAAATTCATTTATATTTCCTATAATACAGGCTACTTTAGGGCTCAGAAAATAGTATATAGGTATTCTCAAATATATTTTATGCTGTTTGGTAGAATTTTCCTTTCCTCCCTTCCTTCTGTTCAATCAAAAGGAATTAGAAAGTCTTGCTATATTGTCAAAATGTAAGGAAAACACTTAGAATTCCATTATTTGAAGAAAATTTTACTATGAACTTGTTAAATTAGCCCAGCTAATTTTTGTATTTTGGGTAGAGATGGGTTTTCACCATGTTGGCCAGTCTGGTCTCGAACTCCTGACCTCAAGTGATCTGCCTGCCTCGGCCCCCCAGAGTGCTGGGATTACAGGCATGAGCCACCGTGTCTGGCCTAGAAGGACCAGTTTTCTGATGGAAAGTTTTAGGGTCAGGGAATCCTAATTTCAGATCTCAAAATATATCTCTCTACTCTGATAACTCATACAATTTTATTAATCTTCCATTAATGTCTTTTCATATTCTTTTACTAGGAAGAGCGACGAAAAATAGAAGAAGAGAAAGAAAAAAAGAGAGAGAATGACATAGTATTTAAAGCGTGGTTGCAAAAGAAAAGAGAGCAGGTCTTAGAAATGAGGAGAATTCAGCGAGCAAAGGAAATTGAAGACATGAACAGTAGAGTAAGTAAAACTTCTCTGAAAAATAAGTTCATACAGATATGAAAGCTGAACTTATTTATAGAAGGGAGTCTGGATATCAGACTAACAGCCTATGGAAGAAGTAGAAAAGTTGTTCAAGAACTACCCTTGCAAAAGATGCAACATGCAGATAACTACAATTAGGTTCTAAGAGGTCTTGTGAAAATAAAATGATTCCTATTTTGTTCAGACTTTGATGGAACAGAAAACAGAAAACTATCAATTCGTTTTTTCAAGGTGTAACTTTGTTATTCAAACAGGGCAAAGATACACACACACCCCCCCACAAAACCCTAGAGACTGGTCTCACTTAAGACTAGACGTATAGAAATATTATGTAAATCTTTAGCAAATTAAAGACACCAAATTATTTAATTTAAAAGAATTAAAAAAACTAAAACAGAAAATAGAGAAAATTTAAAAATCATTCATATTCTTACTAAAAAAAGATATATATGTAAAGTTGAAAGTATAATAATAATAAAATTTAAAAAAAAAGAAAAAAAGAAAATTTAACCCTAAGCTCCTCCAGGCTCATCTCCAGTGATAACCACTTTTAACAGCGTGGTGCAAATCCTTTTATATCTTATTTATATTTATATATTTACATGTCAAAAGTTTTATTCAGTTTTTTTTCACTTCATCATGGAACTCTTTCTAAGCCATTACATTTAAATCTCTCTTTTTCAAATAGCTGCATGGTATTACAGTGTTAATTTATTAAGCCATTCTTCATTTGTAGATATTTAGGTTGGTTCCAATGTTGCGTTAGTTAACAGTGCTGTAGTGAAGAGGTACATTCTATGGGAACATCAGTAATCTGTAGGAGAAGTTCTTCAGAGGTGAATTTAAAATGTTTGAAGGCTTAGAGTGAAATGTTTCGTTAAAGATGCAAAAGTAACCTCCCAAAAGATAATATGAATTTATAGTTCCTCCAACAGTGTGTGAGAGTAAATGTTATACCTGTTCCTCCAACGGTGTGTGAGAGTGAATGACTAACACTGTATGTGGGTTATCATCTTATTTTTCCTTCAAATTAATAATATACATGCTTGTATATGAGCATGTGTGAGAAATAATAAGAGATAGATATAGGTCTCTACCCCTAGTTTTTGGCACACAGCTCCTAAAACCTTTTTAATTTCTTGAGTGATGGGGGTTCTACATGTATCTCTTGTTCTAATAACTGAGCTTTTATCCTGGCTTCTGACAAACAGCTGCTAATTCCTTGGAACTTCTTAGGTGATAGGACTCTCTTTGTTCTAATAAGATGACTCTTGGTGGGCTCCTGGTTAGGTGCTGGCTGCCAGAAAGACTAAGCCATGATTAGAAGCCCGGAACTTTCAGTTCTAACTCCTTTCTTCTAGGAAGGGGGAAGGGGCTAGAGATTGAGTTAATAATCTCAATAACTATGTGATGAAGCCTTTATAAAAATCCCCAAGCTGCAGGGTTCAGAGAGCTTCTAGGGTATGGGAAATGTGGTGTTGGGGGGGTGGTGTGCCCCCAAGAGGGCATGGAAGCTTCACACCCCTTCCCAAATACTTTGCCTTGTGTAGCTCTTCATCTGTGTCTTTTATTATATTCTTTATTAATAAACTTGTAAATGTGTTTCCTCGAGTTATGTGAGTTGCTCTAGCAAATTAATCAAACCTGAGGAGAGGGTCATGTTCCCACCACTCCCCACCCTGGCAATATATAGCTGGTCAGACAGAAGCTCTGGTCACAATCTAGGCTTTTGATTGATATCTGAAGTGGAGGCAATCTTGAGGGATTGAGCCCTTAACCCATGGGATTTGATGCTAACTCCAGGGATATATTATCAGAATCGGATTAAATTGTAGGATACCCAGCTGGTGTTAAACTTGTCAGTGTGGGAAGTGGGAACCCTTCCCCATTTTGGTAACCAGAGGTGAAGTATTCTGTGTTGAGTGTGAATGAGAAGGAAAACCAATTGGTTTTTCTATTTATATAGCGTGTGTATTATTCTGTGAATTTCCTGTTTATAATCTTTTTCCTTTTTTAGTTTGGTTTTTATTATCTAAGTGGTATATGAGAGATTTTGATCCTTTGTCTATTATATATGTTATATATTTTCCTAGTCTGACAATATATTTTTTGTTACAGTGTTTATTATGCCATTTGTGGAAGTTTTTAGCTTTTTAAAATCTTGGGATGGGCAGTACTTTCACAGGCAAGGCAGAAAAAACATAAACTAAAAGAGGAAATATGGAGAAATTTGACTGATACCATATAGTAAAATAATAATACACTGAGTAAGATTTAGGAAGGAAATTATGGATCAGTAATAACATGTACTAATATCATTCATCACATCAGTAAGTAGATAAAAGAATATTATCTTGAAAGATATAGCAAAGGTATAATTTCTTTTTAAAAATTCCTAATAAAATGCGGATAATAAACACTATAATGGGGAAATACTCTAGGCATACCTGTTACAATCAGAAACATGTAAGGTTCTATATTAAATAACTGTATTCTGGTGTTTCAATCCAATTCATTAAGAAAAGGAAATGAGGTAAAAATAATAGGAGTGACGGGGCCAAGATGGCTGACTAGAAGCAGGGGGGCTCAGAGGCTCCTATCGGAAAAAAACATAATAAGCATGTGAATCCTTCACTGGCAACCAAGGTATCCAGGTTCTCTCATCAAACTTGACTAGAAGGCTGGCGTGACCCATGGACAGAAGGAAGAGCAGTGTAGTGCGTGGCCCACCTGAGAGCTACATGGGAAAGGAGAACCCCCTACCCCCAGCAAAGGGAGGCAGTGAATGAGCACGCTACCCAGAAGGGGAAACTGTGCTTTTTCCACAGAACTGTGCAACCCATGGATCAGAAGATCCCACTAGAAAATCTAGGCCACTGGGGCCTAGCGTCCCAACCCTAGAACACGATTCTTACAGCTTCTCAGCTGGAATCTACTTAAGCCTACTGAAAACTCCTCGTGGGAGGGGTGACCAATTTAAGTTGTTGAGTTTCAGGTATGCACAAAATATCCAGATGAAGATATTGAAGATTAGTTGGAGAAATTTATCCGGTTTTCAGGAGAAAAGTTGGGACTGGAGATAGGAAATTAGCGATTTCAGAGGTGGAGTAGTTTGTGTGATGAGGATATGGCCATAGAAATACGTGGCAAGTGTAATGGAGAAAGACGTAGAAGATGAGAGAATCAAAGGTCTTTGGGGGTGGATGTTCAATGGCTCTTCTATGTAGTTAAAAATATACCTTGGGACTGGCATGGAGAGGAATATTGAGTCAGGAGTGATCAGAGGTGGTTACATAACTATTTTTAATAGAGCCAAATGATACAAATGTCAAAGGAGGATGGGTTTTCTCAGGAAAACAGAAATACAATTCAGAAGACGTATGGGGGAATGAAGAGAATATTAATTTATTTGTCTGACCACCGAAGTACTTGAAGTATGGTAGAAAATGCAGCCTCTGTTTCAGAGAAGATGTGGCTTGGGGGAGAATCAGAATTTGCATAAGATAGGAAATTTAGGGCCAGATCCCTTTCAGTGACTTGGGAGGATGGATGTTGTTTGGGAGTTTTTATATCATTGAGTAGGAATTACAGAGAACTAACAAGGGTTATGAAGGACAGGAGGAATTTGGGATTGGGTGAAGAAGCAGCACAGCATATTGCTGTAGTGATTACAGGTATAGAAGACAAGAGGAGTTTATGTTTCAGTCAGTGACCACGGAAAACACAGCTATGGCCATACTGCTGATAGCTTCTTGGACGATGATGGGCCTTCAGGCCTCATGGCATTCCAAGTATTATAATTTTTTAAATGGGGTATTTGCAAAAATAAATGTACAGTATATTGTGCAATATTTGCACATAATTGTGCTGTATTTGTACATAGTAAATAGTAATCTTGGATTGTATTCTCAGAAAACATGAGTCATATTGAACATAATTTATTTCAAAAAATTTTATGTAGAAGACATCATGGTTATATATTTCCCTTTGAATATTTATTTTGAATATGTAGTATTTTTTGCTACATTTCAAGTTTGTCTCAAAAATATATTTTAATGAGAAATAGTATCACAAACTAATAGTATTCTGAAGTACTTTTATGAGCTTTGTCTCTACTCAAGCTGAAATATAGCACAATTTGGTAGTTGATTAATTTGGCTTATTAATACATTGCTATAATAAGTGCATTATGTTGATTATTTCTGTGGGACATTGTGTATAATGTGAGTCATAGTTTCCAGAAAATATCTTTAGATTTATAGATTGTGGAATGACCTTTTTTACATTAGATGGATAAAAGATCTTAGGTGATGTAATTTTTATTGCCATTTTTAGGAAAAATAGCTAAAAATGTCTTTCCAACGTTGTTTTGAAATTTGCTTCTCTTGCTCAGTGATATATATGTATACACACACATGAAAATGTATGTATGTATATAGTCTATCTATGTTAACCGTCCATGGGTACTTGTATACCTTGTGTATTCTGCATTGGATGTAGTGCTGTATTAATGTCAATATAGTCTAGTTGGTTGATAGTGTTGTTAAGATCTTCTGCATGCTTATTGTCTTCCCCCATTTTTCCTATGAATTACTTAGAAAATAGTGTTAATAATTTCATCTATCATTGTGCCCTTGCCTATTTCTCCTTTGGTTCTGTTGAGTTTTGCTTCATGTATTTTCAAGTGTTGTGGGTATACATTTAGGACTTTATGTCTTCCTGATAATGACCTTTTCCCATTATGAAATGTCCCTCATATCCTGAAGTCTGTTTTGGCTGAGGTTAATGTAGCCACATCAGTGTTGTTATGCTTACCATTTGCATGGTATAACTTTTTTCATATTTTACTTTCAATGTATCTGTGGCTTTATATTTAAAATGGCTTGTGCAGACGTCATATATTTGAATCTTCCAGTCCAGCAGTCCACTCCTTATACTTAGTATTCACTTGTATTTAATTATTTTTTTTAATTATATTTTAAGTTCTGGGATACGTGTGCAGAAAGTGCAGGTTTGTTACATAAGTAGACACGTGCCATGGTGATTTGCTGTACCCATCAACCCGTCATCTACATTAGGTATTTCTCCTAATGCTATCCCTCCCCTAGCCCCCCACCCTCCGACAGGCCCCAGTGTGTGATGTTCCCCTCCCTGTGTCCATGTGTTCTCATTGTTCAACTTCCACTTATGAGTGAGAACATGCAGTGTTTGGTTTTCTATTCCTGTGTTAGTTTGTTGAGAATGATGGCTTCCAGCTTCATTGATGTCCCTGCAAAGGACATGAACTCATCCTTTTTTATAGCTGCATACTATTCCATGGTATATAACTGCCACATTTTCTTTCTCCAGTCTGTCATTTATGGGCATTTGGGTTGGTTTCAAGTATTTGTTATTGTGAATAGTGCCTCAATAAACATACATGTGCATGTGTCTTTATAGTAGAATAATTTATAATCCTTCGGGTATATAATCCAGTAATGGGATTGCTGGGTCAAATGGTATTTCTGGTTCTAGAGCCTTGAGGAATCACCACACTGTCTTCCACAGTGGTTGAACTAATTTACACTCCCACCAACACTGTAAAAGAATTCCTATTTCTCCACATCCTCTCCAGCATCTATTGTTTCCTGACTTTTTAATGATCGCCATTCTAACTGGTGGGAGATGGTATCTCATTGTGGTTTTGATTTGCATTTCTCTAATACCAGTGATGATGACCTTTCTTTCATATGTCTATTGGCTGCATAAATGTCTTCTTAGAGAATTGTCTGTTCATATCCTTTGCCCACTTTTTGATGGGGTTGTTTGTTTTTTGTTGTAAATTTAAGTTCCTTGTAGATTCTGGATATTAGCCCTTTGTCTAGTGGATAGATTGCAAAAATTTTCTCCCATTCTGTAGGTCGCCTGTTCACTCTGATGATAGTTTCTTTTGCTGTGCAGAAGCTCTTTAGTTTAATTAGATCCCATTTGTCAATGTTGGCTTTTGTTGCCATTGCTGTTGGTGTTTTAGTCATAAAGTCTTTGCCCATGCCTGTGTCCTGAATGGTATTGCCTAGGTTTTCTTCTAGGGTTTTTATGGTTTTAGGTCTTCTGTTTAAATCTTTAATCCATCTTGAGTTAATTTTTGTATAAGATGTAAGGAAGGGGTACAGTTTCAGTTTTCTGCATATGGCTAGCCAGTTTTCCCAGCACCATTTATTAAATAAGGAATCCTTTCCCCATTTCTTGTTTTTGTCAGGTTTGTCGAAGATCAGGTGGTTGTAGATGGGTGGCATTATTTCTGAGTCCTCTGTTCTGTTCCACTGGTCTATATATCTGTTTTGGTACCAGTACCATGCTGTTTGGGTTACTGTACCCTTGTAGTATAGTTTGAAGTCAGGTCCATGATGCCTCCAGCTTTGTTCTTTTTGCTTTAGATTATCTTGGCTATGCAGGCTCTTTTTTTGTTCCATATGAACTTTAAAGAAGTTTTTTCTAATTCTGTGAAGAACGTCAATGGTAGCTTGATGGGGATAGCATTGAATCAGTAAATTACTTTGGGCAGTATGGCCATTTTCATAATATTGATTCTTCCTGTCCATGAGCATGGAATGTTTTTCCATTTGTTTGTGTCATCTCTTATTTCCTTGAGTGGTGGTTTGTAGGTCTCCTTGAAGAGGTCCTTCACATCCCTTGTAAGTTGTATTGCTAGGTATTTTATTCTCTTTGTAGCAATGTGAATGGGAATTCACTCATGATTTGGCTCTGTTTGTACTACTGCTGTATCGTAATGCTTGTTATTTTTGCACGTTGATTTTGTATCCTGAGACTTTGCTGAAGTTGCTTATCAGCTTAAGGAGATTTTGGGCTAAGATGATGGGGTTTTCTAAACATACAATAATATCATCTGCAAACAGAGACAATTTGACTTCCTCTCTTCCTACTTGAATACCCTGTATTTCTTTCTCTTGCCTGATTGCCCTGGCCAGAACTTCCAATACTATGTTGAATAGGAGTGGTGAGAGAGGGCATCCTTGTCTTATGCCAGTTTTCAAAGGGAATGCTTCCAGCTTTTGCCCATTCAGTATGATATTGGCTATGGATTTGTCATAAATAGCTCTTATTATTTTGAGATACGTGCCATCAGTACCTAGTTTATTGAGAGTTTTTAGCATGAAGTGCTGTTGAATTTTATCGAAGGCCTTTTCTGCAACTATTGAGATAATTGTGTGGTTTTTGTCATTGTTTCTGTTTATATGATGGATTATGTTTATCGATTTGCATATGTTGAACCAGCCTTGCATCCCAGGGATGAAGTTGACTTGATGTTGAACTTTTTCATGTGCTGCTGGATTTGGTTTGCTGGTATTTTATTGCGAATTTTCACATTGATGTTCATCAGGGATATTGGCTTGAAATTTTCTTTTCTTGTGTCTCTGCCAGGCTTTGGTATCAGGATGATGCTGGCCTCATAAAATAAGTTAGGTAGGAGTCCCTCTTTTTCTGTTGTTTGGAATAGTTTCAGAAGTAATGGTACCAGCTCCTCTTTGTACTGCTGATAGAATTCAGCTGTGAATCTGTCTGGTCCTTGGCTTTTTTTGGTTGGTAGGCTATTAATTACTGCCTCAATTTCAGAACTTGTTATTGGTCTATACAGAGATTTGACTTATTTCTGGTTTAGTCTTGGGAGGGTGTATGTGTCCAGGAATTTATCCATTTCTTCTAGACTTTCTAGTTTATTTGCATAAAGGTGTTTATACTATTATATGATGGTAGTTTCTATTTCTGTGAAATCAGTGGTGATATCCCCTTTATCATTTTTTTATTGTGTCTATTTGATTCTTCTCTCTTTTATTCTTTATTAGTCTGGATAGCGGTCTATGTATTTTGTTAATCTTTTCAAAAAACCAGCTCCTGGATTGATTTTTTGAAGGGTTTTTCATTTGTCTATCTCCTTCATTTCTGCTCTGATCTTAGTTATTTCTTGCTTTCTGCTAGCTTTTGAATGTGTTTGCTCTTGCTTCTCTAGTTCTTTTAATTGCGATGTTAAAATGTTGATTTTAGATGTTTCCCGCTTTCTCCTGTGGGCATTTAGTGCTGTAAATTTCTCTTTAAACACTGCTTTAGCTGTATCCTAGAGATCTGGTACATTGTGTCTTTGTTCTCATTGGTTTCAAAGAACTTATTTATTTCTCCCTTAATTTCGTTATTTACCCAGTAGTCATTCAGGAGCAGGTTGTTCAGTTTCCATGTAGTTGTGCAGTTTTGAGTGAGTTTCTTAATCCTGAGTTCTAATTTGATTGCACTGTGGTCTGAGAGACTGTTTGTTATGATTTGCATTCTTTTGCATTTGCTGAGGAGTGTTTTACTTCCCATATGTGGTCAATTTTAGAATAAGTGCAATGTGATGCTGAGAAGAATGTATATTTTATTGATTTAAGGTGGAGAGTTCTATAGATGTCTATTAGGTCCGCTTGGTCCAGAGCTGAGTTCAAGTCCTGAATATCCTTGTTAATTTTCTGTCTTGTCGATCTGTCTAATATTGACAGCAGGGTGTTAAAGTCTCCCACTATTATTGTGTGGGTGTCTAAGTCTCTTTATAGGTCTCTAAGGGCTTGCTTTATGCATCTGGGTGCTCCTGTATTGGGTGCATATATATTTAGGATAGTTAGCTCTTCTTGTTGCATTGATCCCTTTACGATTATGTAATGCCCTTCTTTGTCTTTTTTGATCTTTGTTGGTTTAAAGTATGTTTTATCAGAGACTAGTATTGCAACCCCTGCTTTTTTTTTTTTTTTTGCTTTCCATTTGCTTGGTAAATGTTCCTCCATCCCTTTATTTTGAGCCTATGTGTGTCTCTGCATATGAGATGTGTCTCCTGAATACAGCACACCTATGGGTCTTGACTCTATCCGATTTGCCAGTCTGTGTCTCTTAATTGGGGCATTTATCCCGTTTACAGTAAAGGTCAATATTGTTATGTGTGAATTTGATCCTGTCATTATGATGCTAGTTGGTTATTTTGCCTGTTAGTTGATGCAGTTTCTTCATAGTGTCAATGGTCTTTACAATTGGCATGTTTCGGCAGTGGTTGGTATCTGTTTTTCCTTTACATATTTAGTCCTTCCTTCAGGAGCTCTTGTAAGGCAGGCCTGGTGGTGACAAAATCTCTCAGCATTTGCTTGTCTGTAAAGGATTTTATTTCTCCTTCACTTATGAAGCTTAGTTTGGCTGGATATGAAATTCTGGGTTGAAAATTCTTTAAGAATGTTGAATATTGGGCCCCTACTCTCTTCTGGCTTGTAGGGTTTCTGCAGAGAGATCTGCTCTTAGTCTGATGAGCTTCCCTTTATAAGTAACCCGACCTTTCTCTCTGGCTGCCCTTAACATTTTTTTCTTCATTTCAAACTTGGTGAATCTGGCGATTATGTGTCTTGGTGTTGTTCTTCTTGAGGAGTATCTTTGTGGTGTTCTCTGTATTTCCTAAATTTGAATGTTTGCCTGCCTTGGTAGGTTGGGGAAGTTCTCCTGGGTAATATCCTGAAGAGTGTTTTCCAACTTGGTTCCATTCTCTCTGTCACTTTCAGGTACACCAATCAAACGTAGGTTTGGTCTTTTCACATAGTTCCATATTTCTTGGAGGCCAAGTTTGTTCCTTTTCATTCTTTTTTCTCTGATCTTGTCTTCACACTTTATTTCATTATGTTGATCTTCAATCTCTGATATCCTTTCTTCCACTTCATTGATTTGGCTATTGATAGTTGTGTATGTTTCACGAAGTTCTCATGCTGTGTTTTTCAGCTCCATCAGGTCATTTATGTTCTTCTCTGAACTGGTTATTCTAGTTAGCAACTCATCTAACCTTTTTTGAAGATTCTTAGCTTCCTTGCATTGTGTTAGAACATGCTCCTTTAGCTCAGAGGAGTTTGTTATTACCCACCTTCTGAAGCCTACTTCCGTCAATTCGTCAAACTCATTCTCTGTCCAGTTTTGTTCCCTTGCTGGCGAGGAGTTGTGATCCTTTGGAGGAGAAGAGGCATTCTGGTTTTTGGAATTTTCAGCCTTTTTGCGCAGGGCTTTCCTCATCTTTATGGATTTATCTACCTTTTGTCTTTGATGTTGGTGACCTTTGGATGGGGTTTTTGTGTGGATATCCTTTTTGTTGATGTTGATGCTATTCCTTTCTGTTTGTTAGTTTTCCTTCTAACAGTCAGGCCCCTCTGCTTCAACTCTGCTGGAGTTTGCTGGAGGTCCTCTCCAGACCTTGTTTGCTTGGGTATCACCAGCAGAAGCTGCAGAACAGCAAAGATTGCTTCCTGTTCCTTCCTCTGGAAGCTTTGTCCCAGAGGGGCACTCTCCAGAGCTCTCCTGTGTGAGGTGTCTCTCGACCCCTGCTGGGAGGTGTCTCCCAGTCAGGAGGCGCGGGGGTTAGGGACCCACTGGAGGAGGCAGTCTGTCCCTTAGCAGAGCTCAAGCACTGTGCTGGGAAATCCGCTGCTCTCTTCAGAGCTGGCAGGCAGGGACATTGAAGTCTGCTGAAGCTGTGCCCGCAGCCACCCCTTCCCCCAGGTGCTCTGTCCCAGGGTGATGGGAGTTTTATCTATAAGCCCCTGACTGGGGCTGCTGCCTTTCTTTCAGAGATGCCCTGCCCAGAGAGGAGTAATCTAGAGAGGCAGTCTGGCTTTGCCGAGATGTGGTGGGCTCTGCCCAGTTCCAACTTCCTGGCTGTGAGGGGAAAACTGCCTACTCAAGCCTCAGTAATGGTGGACACCCCTTCCCACAAGAAGCTCGAGCGTCCCAGGTCGACTTCAGACTGCTGTGCTGGCAGTGAGAATTTCAAGCAAGTGGATCTTAGCTTGCTGGGCTTTGTGGGGGTGAGATCTGCTGAGCTAGATCACTTGGCTCCCTGGCTTTAGCCCCCTTTCCAGGGGAGTGAATGGTTCTCTCTCACTGGCATTCCAGTATGATGAAAAACTCCTGCAGCTAGCTTGGTGTCTTCCCAAACGGCCACCCAGTTTTGTGCTTGAAACCCAGGGCCCTGGTGGTGTAGGCATTCAAGGGAATCTCCTGGTCTCCTGGTTGTGAAGACCCTGGGAAAGGGGTGGTATTTGGGCAATAATGCACAGTTCCTCGTAGCACAGTCCCTCACAGCTTCCCTTGGCTAGGGGAGGGAGTTCCCTGACCCCTTGAGCTTCCCAGGTGAGGCGACGCTTCACCCTGCCTCGGCTCACCCTCTGTGGGTTGCACCCACTGTCTAACCAGTCCTAGTGAGATGAGCCGAGTGCCTCAGTTACAAACGCAGAAATCACCTGCCTTCTGTGTTGGTCTCACTGGGAGCTGCAGATTGGAGCTGTTCCTATTTGGCCATCTTGCCAGCCACCCCTGTATTTAATTATAATTATTGATCGATAGTTTTTAAATCTGTCATCTTGATATTTGTTATCTATTTGTTCAATTACTCATCCTTTTCTGCCTTATAATCAAGTATTTAAAAAACAGTCCTTTTTATTTTCTTATATACTTTTTAAGTATGCCTCTGCATGCTTTTTTTAAGGCATTGCTCTGAATATATACATATATACTGAATGTGTGGAAAATCACCGAAGAATTTTTTTTTCCTTTTACTTGGTATAGAATTTGAGGCTGACAGGTATTTTTCCCCTGCAGCATTTTAAAGATGATGTTCAATTGTTTTACAATGTCCTTTGTTTCTATTCAGAGGTTGGCTATCATTCTTATCATTGTTCTGGTGTATATAATAAATCTTTTTCCTCTGGCTTCTTTAAAATTTTCCTGGCTTTGGTTTTTAGAAGTGTATTACATGTGTGATTTTCTTTGAATTTACCTAACCTGGGTTTTGCTGAGCTTCTTGAATCTTTATGTTCATGTTTTGTACCAGATTTGGGAAATTCTCAGCCACTGTTTCTTCAAAGGCTTTTTTTTTTTTTTTTTCTGCCTCATCTTTTTTCTCCTCTCCTTCTGGAAATCCAATTTTACGTATGTTAGAAGACTTGCTATTATCTCATGTTACTAAACGTCTGTTTACTGAAAATTTTTTTCATTTGTTCAGTTTACATCATTTCTATTGATCCATCTTGAGGCATCAGTACTTCTGCAATGTTCATTCCACTGTTAAGCCCATTCAGGGAATTTAGGTTGTGTTTGTTTGTTGGTTTATTTTTTTTTATTTTTTTTGTGGTGGGTTTTTTTTCTTTTCTTTTTTATTATGCTTTAAGTTCTAGGGTACATGTGCCACAACGTGCAGGTTTGTTACATATGTATACATGTGCCATGTTGGTGTGCTGCACCCGTTAACTCATCCTTTACATTAGGTATATCGCTTAATGCTCTCTCTCCACCCCACAACAGGCCCTGGTGTGTGATGTTCCCCACCCTGTGTCTAAGTGTTCTCATTGTTCAATGCCCACCTGTGAGTGAGAACATGCGGTGTTTGGTTTTCTGTCCTTGTGATAGTTTGCTCAGAATGATGGTCTCCAGCTTCATCCATGTCCCTAAAAAGGATATGAACTCATCCTTTTTTATGGCTGCATAGTATTCCATGGTGTATATGTGCAACATTTACTTAATCCAGTCTATCATTGTTGGACGTTTGGGTTGGTTCCGAGTCTTTGCTATTGTGAATAGTGCTGCAATAAACATATGTGTGCATGTGTCTTTATAGCAGCATGATTTATAATCCTTTGGGTATATACCCAGTAATGGGATGGCTGGGTCAAATGGTATTTCTAGTTCTAGATACTTGAGGAATTGCCACACTGTCTTCCACAGTGGTTGAACTACTTTACACTCCCACCAACACTGTAAAAGAGTTCCTATTTCTCCACATCCTCTCCAGCACCTGTTGTGTCCTGACTTTTTAATGATTGCCATTCTAACTGGTGTGAGATGGTATCTTGTTGTGGTTTTGATTTGCATTTCTCTGATGGCCAGTGATGATGAGCCTTTTTTCATGTGTATGTTGGCTGCATAAATGTCTTCTTTTGAGAAGTGTCTGTTCATATCCTTCACTCATTTTTTGATGGGGTTGTTTTTTTCTTGTAAATTTAAGCTCTTTGTAAATTCTGGATATTAGCCCTTTGTCAGATGGGTAGATTGTAAAAATTTTCCCCCATTCTGTAGGTTGCCTGTTCACTCTGATGGTAGTTTCTTTTGCTGTGCAGAAGCTCTTTATTTTAATTAGATCCCATTTGTCAATTTTGGCTTTTGTTGCCATTGCTTTTGTTTTAGTCATGAAGTCTTTGCCCATGCCTGTGGCCTGAATGGTATTTCCTAGCTTTTCTTCTAGGGTTTTTATGGTTTTAGGTCTAACATTTAAGTCTTTAATCCATCTTGAATTAATTTTTGTATAAGGCGTAAGGAAGGAATCCAGTTTCAGCTTTCTACATATGGCTAGCCAGTTTTCCCAGCACCATTTATTAAATAGGGAATCCTTCCGCCGTTTCTTGTTTTTGTGAGGTTTGTCAAAGATCAGATGGTTGTAGATATGTGGTATTATTTCTGAGGGTTCTGTTCTGTTCCACTGGTCTATATCTCTGTTTTGGTACCAGTACCATGCTGTTTTGGTTACTGTATCCTTGCAGTGTAGTTTGCAGTCAGGTAGCGTGATGCCTCCAGCTTTGTTCTTTTTGCTTAGGATTGTCTTGGCAATGTGGGCTCTTTTTTGGTTCCATATGAACTTTAAAGTAGTTTTTTCCATTCTGTGAAGAAAGTCATTGATAGCTTGATGGGGATGGCATTGAATCTATAAATTACCTTGGGCAGTATGGCCATTTTCACGATATTGATTCTTACTATCTATGAACATGGAATGTTCTTCCATTTGTTTGTGTCCTCTTATTTCATTGAGCAGTGGTTTGTAGTTCTCCTTGAAGAGGTCCTTCACATCCCTTGTAAGTTGGATTCCTAGGTATTTTATTCCCTTTGAAGCAATTATGAATGAGAATTCACTCATGATTTGGCTCTCTGTTTGTCTGTTATTGGTGTATAAGAATGCTTGTGATTTTTGTACATTGATTTTGTATCCTGAGATTTTGCTGAAGTTGCTTATCAGCTTAAGGAGATTTTGGGCTGAGACGATGGGGTTTCTAAATATACAATCATGTCATCTGCAAACAGGGACAATTTGACTTCCTCTTTTCCTAATTGAATACACTTTATTTCTTTCTCCTGCCTGATTGCCCTGTCCAGAACTTCCAACACTATGTTGAATAGGAGTGGCGAGAGAGGGCATCCCTGTCTTGTGCCAGTTTTCAAAGGGAATGCTTCCAGTTTTGCCCATTCACTATGATATTGGCTGTGGATTTCTCATAAATAGCTCTCATTATTTTGAGATACGTCCCATCAATACTTAGTTCATTGAGAGTTTTTAGGATAAAGGGCTGTTGAATTTTTTCGAAGGCCTTTTCTGCATCTATTGAGATAATCATGTGGTTTTTGTCTTTGGTTCTGTTTAGATGATGGATTACGTTTATTGATTTGCATACGTTGAACCAGGCTTGCATCCCAGGGATGAAGCCCACTTGATCATGGTGGATAAGCTTTTTGATGTGCTGCTGGATTTGGTTTGCCAGTATTTTATTGAGGATTTTTGCATCAATGTTCATCAGGGGTATTGGTCAAAAATTCTCTTTTTTTGTTGTGTCTCTGCCAGGCTTTGGTATCAGGATGATGCTGGCCTTATAACGAGTTAGGGAGGATTCCCTCTTTTTCTGATGATTGGAATAGTTTCAGAAGGAATGGTACCTGCTCCTCTTTGTACCTCTGGTAGAATTTGGCTGTGAATCTGTCTGGTCCTGGACTTTTTTTGGTTGGTAGGCTATTAATTATTGCCTCAATTTCAGAGCCTGTTATTCGTCTATTCAGGGATTCAGCTTCTTCCTGGTTTAGTCTTGGGAGGGTGTATGTGTCCAGGAGTTTATCCATTTCTTCTAGATTTTCTAGTTTATTTGCATAGAGGTGTTTATAGTATTCTCTGATGGTAGTTTGTATTTCTGTGGGATCGGTGGTGATATCCCCTTTATCAATTTTTATTGCATCTATTTGATTCTTCTCTCTTTTCTTCTTTATTAGTCTTGGTAGCAGTCTATCGATTTTGCTGATCTTTTCAAAAAACCAGCTCCTGGATTCATTGATTTTTTTGAAGGGTTTCTTTTGTCTCTATCTCCTTCAGTTCTGCTCTGATCTTAGTTATTTCTTGCCTTCTGCTAGCTTTTGAATGTGTTTGCTCTTGTTTCTCCAGTTCTTTTAATTGTGATGTTAGGGTATCAATTTTAGATCTTTCCTGCTTTCTCTTGTGGGCATTTAGTGCTATAAATTTCACTCTACACACTGCTTTAAATGTGTCCCAGAGATTCTTGTATGTTGTGTCTTTGTTCTCATTGGTTTCAAAGAACATCTTTATTTCTGCCTTCATTTCGTTATCTACCCAGTAGTCATTCAGGAGCAGGTTGTTCAGTTTCCACGTAGTTGAGCGGTTTTGAGTGAGTTTCTTAAGCCTGCGTTCTAGTTTGATTGCACTGTGGTCTGAGAGACAGTTTGTAATAATTTCTGTGTTTTTACATTTGCTGAGGAGTGCTTTACTTTCACCTATGTGGTCAATTTTGGAATAAGTGTGATGTGGTGCTGAGAAGAATGTATATTCTGTTGATTTGGGGTGGAGTTCTGTAGATGTCTATTAGGTCCGCTTGGTGCAGAGCTGCGTTCAATTCCTTGATATCCTTGTTAATTTTCTGTCTCGTTGATCTGTCTAATGTTAACAGTGGGGTGTTAAAGTCTCCCATTATTAATGTGTGGGAGTCTAAGTTTCTCTGTAGGTCTCTAAGGGTTTGCTTTATGAATCTGGGTGCTCCTGTATTGGGTGCATATATATTTAGGATAGTTCGCTCTTCTCATTGGATTGATACCCCATCATTATATAATGGCCTTTTTTGTATCTTTTGATCTTTGTTGGTTTAAAGTCTGGTTTTTTCAGAGACTAGGATTGCAACCCCTGCTTTTTTTTTTTTTTGTTTGTTTTCCATTTGCTTGGTAGATCTTCCTCCTTCCCTTTATTTTGAGCCTATGTGTGTCTCTGCACATGGGTATCCTGAATACAGCACACTGATGGGTCTTGACTCTTTATCCAATGTGCCAGTCTGTGTCTTTTAATTGGAGCATTTAGCCCATTTACATCTAAAGTTAATATTGTTATGTGTGTATTTGGTCCTGTCATTATGATGTTAGCTGGTTATTTTGCTCGTTAGTTGATGCAGTTTCTTCCTAGCCTTGATGGTCTTTACATTTTGGCATGTTTTTGTGGTGGCTGGTACTGGTTGTTCCTTTCCATGTTTAGTGCTTCCTTCAGGAGCTCTTTTAGGGCAGGCCTGGTGGTGACAAAATCTCTCAGCATTTGCTTGTCTGTAAGGTATTTTATTTCTCCTTCACTTATGAAGCTTAGTTTGGCTGGATATGAAATTCTGGGTTGAAAATTCTTTTCTTTAAGAATGTTGAATATTGGCCCCCACTCTCTTCTGGCTTGTAGAGTTTCTGCCGAGAGATCCGCTGTTAGTCTGATGGGCTTCCCTTTGTGGGTAACCCAACCTTTCTCTCTGGCTGCCCTTAACATTTTTTCCTTCATTTCAACTTTAGTAAATCTGACAATTATGTGTCTTGGAGTTGCTCTTCTTGAGGAGTATCTTTGTGGTATTTGCTGTATTTCCTGAATTTGAATGTTGGCCTGCCTTGCTAGCTTGGGGAAGTTCTCCTGGATCATATCCAGAAGAGTGTTTTCTAACTTGGTTCCGTTCTCCCCGTCACTTTCAGGTACACCAATCAGACGTAGATTTGGTCTTTTCACATAGTCCCATATTTCTTGGAGGCTTTGTTCATTTCTTTTTACCCTTTTTTCTCTAAACTTCTCTTCTCACTTCATTTCATTCATTTGATCTTCAATCACAGATACCCTTTCTTCCACTTGATCAAATTGGCTACTGAAGGTTGTGCATGCATCGCGTAGTTCTTGTGCCATGGTTTTCAGCTCCATCGGGTCATTTAAGGTCTCCTCTACACTGTTTATTCTAGTTAGCCATTCGTCTAATCTTTTTTTCAAGGTTTTTAGCTTCTTTGCGATGGGTTCAAACATCCTTCTTTAGCTCGGAGAAGTTTGTTATTACCGATTGTCTGAAGCCTTCTTCTCTCAACTCATCAAAGTCATTCTCCATCCAGCTTTGTTCCATTGCTGGGGAAGAGCTGCATTCCTTTGGAGAAGAGGCACTCTGATTTTTAGAATTTTCAGCTTTTCTACTCTGGTTTCTCCCCATCTTTGTGGTCTTATCTACCTTTGGTCTTTGACGATGGTGATGTACAGATGGGGTTTTGGTGTGGATGTCCTTTCTGTTTGTTAGTTTTCCTTCTAACAGTCAGGACCCTCACCTGTGGGTCTATTGGAGTTTGCTGGAGGTCCACTCCAGACCCTGGTTTGCTTGGGTCTCACCAGCAGAGGCTGCAGAACAGCAAATATTGCAGAACAGCAAATGTTGCTGCCTGATCCTTCCTCTGGAAGCTTCGTCTCAGAGGGGCACCCGGCTGTATGAGGTGTCAGTTGGCCCCTACTGGGAGGTGTCTCCCAGTTAGCCTACTTGGGCGTCAGGGACCCACTTGAGGAGGCAGTCTGTCCTTTCTCAGATCTCAAACTCCGTGCTGGGAAAAGCACTACTCTCTTCAAAGCTGTCAGACTGGGACGTTTAAGTCTGCAGAAGTTTCTGCTGCCTTTTGTTCAGCTGTGTCTTGCCCCCAGAGGTAGAGTCTACAGAGGCAGGCAGGCCTCCTTGAGCTGTGGTCAGCTCCACCCAGTTGGAGCTTCCCAGCTGCTTTGTTTACCTACTTAAGCCTCAGCAATGGCAGACATCTCTCCCCTAGCCTTGCTGTGGCATTGCAGTTTGATCTCAGACTGCTGTGTTAGCAGTGAGTGAGGCTCTGTGGGAGTGGGACCCTCTGAGCCAGGTGCGGGATATAATCTTCTGATGTGCCGTTTGCTAAGACCGTTGGAAAAGTGTAGTATTGGGGTGGGAGTGTCCCAGTTTTCCAGGTACCATCTGTCATAGCTTCCCTTGGCTAGGAAAGGGAATTCCCCGACCCCTTGTGCTTCCTGGGTGAGGCGATGCCCCACTGTGCTCTGTGGGCTGCACCCACTGTCTGACAAGCCCCAGTGAGATGAACCCGGTACCTCAGTTGGAAATGCAGAAATCACCCGTCTTCTGCATCACTCACGCTGGGAGCTATAGACTGGAGCTGTTCCTATTTGGCCATCTTGGATCCTCCTATCAGTTTATTTTTTTAAATTTCCATTTCTTTACTGAGATTCTCTTTTTATTCATTATATTCACCTGTTCATTTCTTACATATTAGACCTTTTTTATATTCATCTTTTCATTTCTTAAATATTAGACCTGTTTGTATCTAAATGCCAATATCTATGTCATCTTAGGATCGATCTGTTGAAGGCCTCTTTCTCTGGATTATGGGTCACATTTTCTTGTTTCTTTAGATATCCAGTGATTTTTTTTAAATTGGTTAATAGACTGTGGATCTTTTCAATATAAAAGTTGTAAGGAAATATAGAATACACTGTTTTCCTTTAAAGGGTATTGAATTTTTTTCTTGTAGGCAGTTAGATTAGTAAGGAATACTCTTGATCCTGTCAGACTTTGTTTTATGCTTTGTTAGGATGGGTTTATTTTGCTTTTGTCCTTAGTCCTAGAGCATGGTCCTTACTCTAGGACATGACCCTTATTTCCAAAGCATGGCCTTTTTAGGGTTGTAAGTGGTTGACCAAGGTAAGCAATGAAGTATTCCCACTATAGTTGGATTGGAACTCCAATGTCTCCAAAACTATGCAACCTTTATTATCTTCTTCATTAACAGCAGCTACTCTCTGTTAGACCTTACAGAGCCTCACTCTACACATGTGCAGCCCAGGCCTTGCCAAGACCCAAGGGAAACCCCCACACAGACTCTTGGAGCATCCCTCCACATGACTGCTTCATTTCTAGTACCCTGCCCTGGAAATTCAGCTGTCTCAGCAGCCCCAGACTCCTATCTGTTTCATGAGCCCAGTGAGACTAGTGACTGCTTGATGCTATGACTCCTCCTTCCTATACCGTTGTCTGGAAAGTGTCACCAAGTACAGAGCCAGGGTGAATATGGGGGTTATATCATGTTTTTTCTTACTCTCAGTTATCAAGCTGCTGCATACATTTTATCTAGCTTTATAGCTAATTAGGGCAGAAGGGTAAATCTGATACCAATTATGATATCATGGATGGATGCAAAAGTCTCCAATTCAGTCATTTATCCTTTTTTATAATCAGATAATTTAATCCATTACTAATTATGTGTATAATTCATATTTTATCTTTAGAATTTTTTATTTTCCTCTAATTTTTTATTTTGGTTCCCTCCACTATTGAGAGTTATTTGCTATGATCTTATGCAGTGACATATTTGCATACCAATGCAGTCTATCATTCTGATGATAGTTCTGCTGTAATTTACCTTGTTTTAAAAATATATTTTCTTGAATTTTTATTATACTAATAAACCTGGAATAATTTAAAAAATAATCATTTAAAGCATGACATAAAACTATCCATTCAATTTTTGAGCAAATTATGTTGGTTCTATCTTCAGTGCATATACAGAGTCCCACTACCCTAATCTAAACCACTATTTTCTTCTGTTGGCTGGGCTGTTACAAAAGCCTAATAACCCAGCCCCCTTCTACCTTGCCTCTCCCTCATTCAGTTTTCCACATAGCAGCCAGAATGATATTTCTAAAATGGTGAATAAACTGTGTCACTTATGCTCAGAAACCCCCAATGGCTTCTCATCTCAAAATGAAATCCAAAGTTCCTACCATGGCCAGCAAGGTTATACATTACCTGATCCCTACTACTTCCCTGACTTCATCTTCCACTCTTCAGCTACTTTGCTACAGCTTCACTTTGACTTCTTTGCTATTTATTGATCATGCCAAACACAATCCCTTCTTAGCTCCTTTGCTCTTATTGTTACCACTGTTTTTCTCCAGATATCCCATAACTTCCTCCCTTTCTATTTAAATACCATCCTTTCTCCTCACTGCTGTGTTTATTACCCTCCTTCCCATATTTTCTTTTGAATCAGACAGATCAGTCAATCAATCAGTCAGTCACTTATTTTTATCCTGTCTGTGCAGAACACTGTCCAATAGAACTTTCTGGGATGATGGAAATTTTCTGTATTTGCACTGTCCATTAGAGTAGCTGCTAGCCATGTGTGTCTGTTAAGCACTTGAAATGTAGCTAGTATGACTGAGAAACTGAAGTTTAAATTTTATTTAAATAGCCACTTATGACTTGTGGTTACTGTATTGTACAGTACAGAATGTGTGAGAGAGGGAACCTTAATTTTATTAATGCAACCCAGTACTTTAGTGCCTGCTATGTAGTAAATACTATGAATATCTGTTGAAAGAACAAAAGAATGGGGATACCCATGTATCCTGTTGCTCCCTGAATCCTTGAATCTTTAAAAATATTTTAACTTTAAAATTGTATTTAATTGACACATAATTTCACATATTTATGGAGTACAGTGTGATGTTTTGATACATGTACACATTGTGTAATTAGCATATTACCTCAAACACTTGTCATTTCTTTATGATGAGAACATTCAAAAATCCTCTCCTCATTATTTTGAAATATACGGTATTGTTAACTGTAGTCACTCTACTGTGTAATAGAACACCAGAACTTATTCCTCCTATCTATTACTTTGTATCTGGACTCTTTTGATCTATAACTCCCGATTGAACATTTTTATGTCATCTCTAGCAATTCCCAGACTTCCAGGTGTTTGGCAATGATTCTTTAGATCCAGGGGTCTTCTCCACAAAGTTCAGTTGTGCATCAAAGATCCTGAATAATCTTCTAAATTAGACTAGAGCATATTTGGCAATGTGGGTTACAAACAAGGGAAAAAATGCAAGATATAGGCAACAGATGAGGGAAATGCAAGATATAAGCTCAATCACAAAGCTTATATTTGGGGGAAGTATTAAATGAATGTATCTTTTCCTTTTGCATTCTAGCCAGGAATCCACATGAGGTGACACTTTTCCCAAGGGTAAAGAGTACCAAATCTGTCTTCTTTCTCTCCTTTATTCCTCCAAATAAGAGCTCTTTGAACTTTTGAAAATTCCCTGAAGATACTATCCATCATGAACTTTGAGGGACCACGAAATAAGCCACTCCTACTAGCTTTTTCTTATGTTAAAATTATCATGGCTGCTATCTTTATAAGAAAATTCTTATGACTGAAAATCCTTATGGCCACCCTTTACAATAGGAACTACAGTTTTGAAAAATGGGCTTAGCCATTTTAAGTAACTGCTGAAAGATATTCTTAAAACTTAAGCGTGATGTATTTGGTTTGGATACTAGGAATGCAGGTAATGAGGCTGGCATTATTATGAAAAATTGAAGAGTAGGAAATATATTCTTGTAGGATCCCATAAGCAGGGCTTCAAAATGTAGTTCTTGTTTATCTAAACTAAGTAAAGCTTGTTTTTCTAATCAGCAGGAAAACAGAGATCCACAACAAGCTTTTCGATTATGGCTTAAAAAAAAGCACGAAGAGCAGATGAAAGAAAGACAGACAGAAGAACTAAGAAAGCAAGAGGAATGTTTATTCTTCCTTAAAGGAACAGAAGGCCGGGAAAGGGCCTTTAAACAGTAAGTTAAAGGCAGGGCATTTCCCCCCTCCTCCTTCCTCATGTTCATTTTAAAAGTTATATCATCAATTAAGATTGGAAAAAAAAAACCCTCAAAATGTTTTCTCTTACAGCACGTACCTATTCAATTTTAAATTCATGCTTTTAAAAATGTATAATTCTTTAACTCTATTATATATATTATATATATGGAGTTATATATATATATGCATACCAATTTTTCTTCAAGATACTTTTCAATACTTAAATTATTTCTTATGGCACCAGTGTGATAGCCTTTGATACCTTATCATTTATTGTTTACTTATTTCTGTGAGAAATGGGTTGAAGATTGGTTACAGCTTCTCCTACATAGCCCTCAGAAAAACTGAATTTACAAATAAATGCAACCAATAAAAGTTGCATTTACCAGTAAAAGAAAGGCAGGTGGACTAAGGAGGAAAATCTGTATAGACCAAAGGAGATTTGGGTACATATTTTGGTAATTTAAGGCAAACCTGATATTTTTTAGTTATTTGGGTAAGACACTGCATTGCCTAATTCTGACAATACAGATGTGGCTTCATATTTTTGCTAGCAAGTGTGGGGAGAGTTGGGGGACCAAATGTGAATATTGAGTCCAATTGTTTGAAGTTCATTTCATTCTTTCGTCTCTTTTGCTCTTTCCTTCTTTTTTCTCTTCCTTCCTTTTTCTTTTCCTGTCACCCAGGCTGGAGTGCAGTGGCATGATCTCAGCTCACTGCAACCTCACCCTCCCAGGTTCAAGTGATTTTCCCACCTCAGCCTCCCAAGTAGCTGGGACCACAGGTGTGCACCACCACACCTGGCTAATTTTTATATTTTTTTTGTAGAGATGGGGTCTCACCATGTTGCTCAGGCTGGTCTCAAACTCCAGACCTCAAGTGATCCGCCCACCTTGGCCTCCCAAAGTGCTGAGATTAGAGGCATGAGCCACCATGCCCAGCCTCCTTTTTGTTTTTCTAACATACCCTTTTATTATAACAGAAACAGTAAATGTGCATTGTAGAAATGGAGCGGTTTCAAGTTACATTTTCATCACCCAGAAATTGTGACTGTTAACACCAGTATGCATACTGTCTAAGTATTTGTCTGTACATGTATTTACAATTTCAAAATACTGAGATCATACTGTATTTCTGCAATCTGCTTTTCATTAATGATATTACCGAATATCCAGCCCATATCCATTTATTCCCCAACTAACCCATAAATGACTTACAGTTTATTTGCTTAAACTAGTAGCCAATTCAGGACCACATATCATCAGATTATGATATTTAGTAAGTTTCTTTTTTTTCTAATACAGTTATTTAGTTGTTTATTCTGAAAAAAAAAAAACAACAAAACCAGGTGTATGTATGTGCATATACACACACACACACACACAAACATACCACATACACACTTACATACCAGGTATATATGTATATGCAGTTATTTTTGCTATTATTTAAACAAGGTTTAAGACTTGAATTTGTTAGAATGTGGACTTTTCCTTTCCTGCTTTTGATGTTTTCATGTTTGGCTTACTTTTCATTTTAAGAACTATTTTGTGGACTTAAAAGCTCTATAATTTACCTATAAGAAGAGTAAGGCAGCATTTCTGCATGATAGTATTCTTAACCTAGCTAAGTAATGTTTTAGAATACAGCTAGTTACAAAGAGTAAGTTATTTGGAATCTACCAAATAGTAAGAAATCCTGTTTCTAAAAAAAGAATAGGATCTACAGCACACATAAAATAGTGTTTATTATTAAAAAACCAATTAAGTTGGCAGTTTCATTGTAAGACAGACAATTTCAAACATTTGACCCCAAATCTAACGGTCCTTTCTTGTATGAGCCTTGGGTGTAATCTTTACATTTTTCAGTTAATACTTAAAAATTTGTGCTGTGACAGTATTTCATTGTAAAGAAATGTCCATTTATTTTGTCTATAATAGTAACTTTATAGCATGAAGAGTGTATTCAGGTTGATACTCACCAAATCTGATCATGCCTGTTTCTACAGATGGTTAAGAAGGAAACGGATGGAAAAAATGGCAGAGCAACAAGCTGTCAGAGAGAGAACTAGACAGCTCCGACTAGAAGCTAAGCGTTCTAAACAGTTACAGCACCACCTATATATGTCAGAAGCCAAACCTTTTCGTTTTACTGATCATTATAACTGAAAGTTTCTATTAAATATTTCAGTGGGCAGCTGCTATCAAAATTTTGGATATGATTTCTTAGGGTCTGTGTACTTTGGTTGTATTCTAAATTATGGAAATGGTATTTATCTTTTATTGACAGTGAATTTGTTTTTTTAATACTAGAACAAAATAAATTTTTTTCTCACAGTGTTGTAATGTGTTGTGCCATCTCTTAGTCTGTGCAACAAATTGAACAACGAATGAATTCTATGTCCTTCTACTTCTAAATTATTTTATTAACGTTTCTAGGAGAAAACACAAGAAAGGTACAGATTTCTATTCATACTTCCTATTATTTTTAAAAAATTACAATGGAACATTTCATAAGGCTGAAGGAGTGACTCCTTAAACAAGCCTGGTTCAAGGCCTTAAAGTCCTATTTATGTCAACTTTGGATTTGAATAATCATGGCAAGCTAAGCAATAGGGTAGGCCTAATTCCACCCGTTAGTACCTTAAAAAATACACCCTATATGTGAGAGCTAAACATTGTGTATTCATGGACATAAAGATGTCCCCAGTAGACACTGGGGACTCCTGGGGGTGAGGGAAGGGAGCAAGGGTTGAAAAACTAACTATTGGGTACTATGTTCTTTACCTGGGTGATGGGACCAATCATACCCGGACCCTCAGCAACATGCAACATACCCATGTAACTAACGCACATATGTATCCCCGAATCTGAAATAAAACTTGAAATGATAAAATAGCAATTATGTGTAATACTATTTTAGGTAGGTATGTTACAAAATTAGCCAACTTTTATTGAGAGCTTAAAACATTTTAAAATGTATTATAAATGCTTTATATAAATAATGTAATCATATGACAACCCTATTAGTGTCGTTCTGCAGAGAAGGAAACTATATAGACATGAATATTTTGTTCACATAGACTGATCTGTATGGTTGCAAAATCCTTTCTCTCAGTTATATTATAAAGATTACATTCCTTGGTAGAATATGTGATATTTAAGAGTATACAAGAATCCAGTGTGTAGAGGAATAGTACTTCTGATACATGTAAGAGCATGTAAGGGGTGAAGGACAAAGGTAAGCATACAAGTGTGATGGAGAATGGACAGTCACTGTAAGCATTCTGGCAAAGTTTAAAAGACAAACTTCTGGCTGGGTGCGGTGGCTCACGCCTGTAATCCTAGCACTTTGGGAGGTTGAGGCAGGAGGATCACTTGAGGCCAGGAGTTTGAGACCGGCCTGGCCAACATGGCGAAACCCCGTCTCTACTAAAAATACAAAAATTAGTTGGGCATGGTGCCATGCACCTGTAGTCCCAGCTACTCAGGAGGCTGAGGCATGAGAATCGCTTGAACCCCAGAAGTGGAGGTTGCAGTGAGCCAAGATTGCATCACTGCACTCCAGCCTGGGTGACAGAGTGAGACCGTATCTCAAAAAAAAGAGACAAAGTTGTTTTTTTTTTTCCCTTAGACAGTCTCACAGTCTCCCAGGCTGGAGTGCCGTGGCACATCTCAGCTCACTGCAACCTCCACCTCCCGGGTTCAAGTGATTCTCCTGCCTCAGCCTGCTGAGTAGCTGGGATTACAGGCACCCGCCACCATGCCCAGCTAATTTTTTTTTATTTTTAGTAGAGACGGGGTTTCGCCATGTTGGTCAGGCTGGTCTCAAACTCCTGACCTCAGCTGATCCACCTGCCTCAGCCTCCCAAAGTGCTGGGATTACAGGTGTAAGTCACTGCACCTGGCCAGTTTGATTCGTTTTTACTTAATTTTTATATATGGCGTGAGGTAGAGTAAGAAAAAACAAACTTTTTCCTTGTATACTCTCAATACTCAGTACATCACTTCTGACACCAGATGTTTAGGTTGTTTTCCCCAAGACCAAGCAATTTCCCCGTTCTCTGCAGACACCAAGTAGGTATTCTACAATTCAATTCTGACGCTAACCAGAGTTAATGCAGACCATACACCCAGGCTCAGTCCCATGAAACTGCCCCCCACTTCAGACATCAATTGCAAATAATAGGTCCCCTGGTTACAGTTCCCACAGTACTTTGCTAGAATCGCTCACAGAACTCAGAGAAACACTTCTGTTTCTCTTTTTAAAAGGATGCAACTCAGGAATAGCCAGATTGAAGAGATTCGTGGGGCAAGGTATGGAGGAAGGGTCGTGGAACTTCCATGCTCTCGGTACCTGCACATGTTCAGCAACCTAGAAAGCTGTCTAAACCTTTTGGGTTTTTATGGAGGGGCTTCATTATGAAGGCATGACTGATTAAATCATTGGCTACTGGTAATCAACTTAACCTTCAGGACTTCCCCCTCCCCTGGAGGTCTACTCTCTAATTACTTGGTTGGTTCCTCCTGGCAACTTCCCCCCATCCAGATCCCCCAGACATTAGTCATTTCATTAGCATACAAAGATACTCACAGCTTGGGGACTTGGGATGTTGCAAGGGTTTTAGGAGCTATGTGCCAGGAAACTGGTACAAGACCAAAATATGTATTTCTTCTATCGCAATATCACATAGAGGTTCAACTTTTTTTTTGCATGTGTACATTCAGTTATTGCAGCATCATTTGTTGAAAGTCAGTTGGCCATAGATGTATGGGTTTATTTCTGAAGCCTCAATTCTATTCTATTGATCTGTATGTTAGTATCATCTGTACTTGTGCCAACAGCCCACTGTTTAGACCACTGTAGTTTTATAGTAAGTTTTGAAATTGGGAAGTGTCAGTCCTCCAACTTTGGCCTTTTCCGCATTGTTTTGGCTATTCACGGCGTTTACAATTCCATATGAGTTTGATGGTAAGCTTTTCCATTTTTCAAAAAGGCTGTTGGAATTTTGATAGGGCTCTCAGTGAATCTGTAGACTGCTTTGGGTAGTACTGCCATCTTAATAATACAGTCTTTCAATACATGAACACAGGATTGTGGCAGGCCAGGTCTCACTAATGCAGGCCTCCATAACGACTGTTTCACTACTGACTGAAGGGTTAAGTTAAATATTAAAAGTCAGTCTCCTTATACAAAGGCTGGGATGCCACAAAAGCCCATCAAGAGTTTTGCCTAGGTCTTTCCTGGGCCTTAAAGCATGACAAAATAATACAGGAATTCTTAACAGGGCCCATTTAGGATTGAACAAGTTTTATTGTGGGTCTGAAGAAACTCCCCAGGCCTCCACAAACAAGTTTATCGGGGGTCTGAAGGAACTCCCCAAACCTCCGTGATTTAGCAGGAGACAAGGGTAACTGCCCCAGCACCTGGACCCATTTAGATTAAGTAAATTTACTGAGGCTCCAGAGGAAGGCCTTCAGGACTCAGACCTTAGTTATAGATTAAAAGAAGTTAATCACTTACATCCTTAGATGAATGCACACTTACACATGGACATATAGCTTAGAAGGTATATAAGCTCTGGAAAACTTTGTAATTTTGAATTGGTCTGGTGATAATTTCCAGGCCTTCTCCCTGTAACCGGTTGCAGAAATGAAAACTCCCTTCCTCCCCAGTTCATTTGCATCTCGTTATTGGGCCACGAGAAACAGCAGCCCAAACCTCAGTTTGGTCTGGGAACAAAATTTGGCGTGCCAGCCAGGAGAGACTGGAATGGTGCTGCATTCAGTGGCCAGTGGCTTGCAAGGAGACAGTCTTTAGGGGGATCCCAGCAGCTGCAGGTGAGATTTTCCCAGGGACCCCCTTGAAGGCTGTCCTGTGCTCAAAAGTGCACAACCCTTACAATGCTGGGTTAGAATGGAGATCAGGAGCGGACGAACTCAAAGGGTGAGTTAACTGAATGGTATGCTGGGAGCCTATTGTTTTCCCATCTAGGCTTGTTAAACCATTTGTCTGGCACTGCCACGGGAAGCAATAATAAGGCTTGGTTATACACCCGCTTTGCATTTTGATTGAGATCAGGTTTTGAATCTGTTTTGCCCGAGTGCACTTCCCCTTGTGTTGTCCAAAATTTGTCTCCACTTGTTTATCTGTCTTACTCCTTTTGATACCATGTAAACTTAAAAATGGAAGGTATTGGGTCCATTCCTGCTGAGAGGCCTCTGGGAAGGAAAATATAATTTTTAGGAGCTCAATGGTTAAGTCAGCTTAATTAAAAGCTAACATCCAAGATATGTAAATGTATGTGTGCATGTGTGCATGCTTGTATTTAAAAGGCCTTTATGTTTTTGTTTATTTCTTAGGACCTTGTCTTTTTGAGCAAAAGTTTTTTTCTTCTCAGTTGACTGAATTCTGTTTTCTTCATTAATAGCTATTGCAACAGAAGCTACTCTGGGTTTTTTAAGAAAAAGTGTAATTTAGACACTTAGAAATCTCTTGTGTGGGAAAAAAAATTTTTTTTAAGTGCACTGTAAAAGCATCACATGGTCTAGCCTCAGAATAATTCTCCCTTTTTGAAAACCTCTTTCCTTTATAAATTACTCAGGTTTCTTTGTAGCACCATGAGAGTGGACTAATACATGTCTTTCTAGGAATTTGTCTGTAAACTAGTTTACCTAGTTTATTGGTGTACAGTTTTTCTTTATGTAAGGTGACTAATAATGTCCCCACTTTCATTTCTGATTTTAGTTTTACCTGTTTTATTTTTCTTAGTCAGTATGGCTACAGATTTGTCAATTTGGTCTTTCTTTTTAAAGAACTAACTGTTGACTTCTTTGATCTCTCTTGTTTTTCTATTCTCTATTTGTCTGCACTCTAATCTTAATTTCCTTCCTTCTTCTCACATTGGGTTTAGTTCTTTTTTTATTTCCTTAAGGTGTTATGTTAGATTGCTGATTTGAGATCTTTTTTATTTTTTAAATTTAGCTCACTAACTCTTATCTTTATTATTATTGTTATTGACACTGTTAAACCAACAGTTGCAGAAGTGTGCCACGAGTTTGTGGTTACAAAAGTGTATATAATTTTTTTTTAGTTTTTTAATTGTAACGTGTAAAATTTACCATTTTAAATATTTTTTAAATGTACAATGCAGTAGCATTAAGTAGACTGACATTGTTGTACAACCATCATCACTGTTTATCTCCAGAACATTTTTGTCATCCCAATCTCTAATTCTATACCCACTAAATAAAAACTTCCCATTCTACACTCTCTCCAGTCCCTGATAACCACTATTCTGCTTTCCATCTCTACAAATTTGTCTCTTCTAGGAACTCATATAAATGGAATCATTTGACATTTGACTTTTTGTGTCTGACTTATTTCACTTAGTATAATATTCTAAAGGTTCATCTACATTGTAGCATCAAATTTCATTCCTTAAGGCTGAATAGTATTTCTTCACATGTATATACCAGATTTTGTTTATCTATTCATCCATCGATGGACACTGTGTTACATCCACCTTTTGGCTATTGTGAATAATGCAGCTGTGAACACTGTTGTACAAATACCTATTCTAGTTTCTGCTTTCTTTTGGGAATCTACCTAGAAGCAGAATTGCTAGGCCATATGGTAACTCTATGTTTAATATTTTGAGGATCTGCCACACTGTTTTCAACATTTTACATTCCCACAAACAATGCATAGGGGTTCCAATTTCTCCACATCTTTGACATTTATAATTTGCTTTTTTGATAACTGCCATCCTAATGGATGTGAAGTGGTATTAATTTGCATTTCCTTAATGAGTAGTTATGCTGAGCATCTTTTGATGTGCTTATTGGCCATCTATATATCCTTTTTGGAGAAATGTCTATTCAGGTCCTTTGCTAATTTTTTTTGTTTTTGTTTTTTTTTGAGAGGAAGTTTCACTCTTGTTGCCCAGGCTGGAGTGTAATGGCGCGATCTCGGCTCACTGCAGCCTCCACCTCCCAGGTTCAAGAAATTCGCCTGCCTCACCCTCTCCAGTAGCTGGGTATACAGGCGTCCACTACCACACACGGCTTATTTTTTGTATTCTTTTTTTTTTTGAGACAGAGTTTCGCTCCGTCACCCAGGCTGGAGTGCAGCGGCGCGATCTCGGCTCACTACAACCTCCGCCTCCCAGGTTCAAGCAATTCTCTGCCTCAGCCTCCCGAGTAGCTGGGAGTACAGGTGCCCGCCACCATGCCCAACTAATTTTTTGTATTTTTAGTAGAGACGGGGGTTTCACCATCTTGGCCAGGCTGATCTTGAACTCCTAACCTCAGGTGACCCACCCACCTCGGCCTCCCAAAGTGCTGGGATTACAGGCGTGAGCCACTGCGCCAGGCCAATTTTTTGTATTCTTAGTAGAGATGGGGTTTCGCCATCTTGGCTCGGCTGGTCTTGAACTCCTGGCCTCAGGTGATCTGACTGCCTCAGCCTCCCAAAGTGCTAGGATTACAGGCATGAGCCACCATGCCCAGCCCCTTTGCTAATTTTTATTGGGTTGTTTTTTGGTGGTTGAGTTGTAGGAGTGCTTTATATATTCTGGACACTAGACAGTTATCAGATATATGATTTGCAAATATTTTCTCCCATTCTCTGTGTTGCCTTTTCACTGCATCTTTTAATGCACAAAAATTTGAAATTTTGATGAAATTCAATTTATCTATTTTTTCTTTTGTTGCCTGTGCTTCTGTTGTCATATTCAAGAAATCATTGCCAAATACAATGTCACGAAGCTTTCCCCTTATGCTTTCTTCTGAGACTTTTATAGTAAGTAAACCTAAAAGAAAAGGCTGAAGAATCAATTGGAAGTAGTTAAGCTAGACAAAGACCTAAACCAAAGCACTAATTCTGGGGGAAAAAAGGAATAGTCGCAATAAAGAAGGTAGATAAATTTATTGCCACTTGAAAACTAAATATAACTCAGATGAGTCAGACAAAAAAAATCATTGACATTAAAATTATTATTATTTGACCAGGTTTGTCTTTTGAAGATTTCTCTCACAGGCACTTCTGCAACAAATTTGTATAATTTAATATAAATATTTTGTGATTATTCTTAAAGGCCAAGCAATGGGCATTTATGATGGCTAATCATAAATACACAATAATATATATTACATAGTATATATTAATTGACAGGTTGCATTTTTTCTTTGAGCTTATACACTTTTGGAAAAAGTCTACCTTTTATAAATATCAAGTTGGATATTCTTGTCTGTTGCATTTGCTAAATAAGAGTCAATAGTTAAGAATCTGTTTCTTTTATATATGTCGGATTGTATCCATTTGGAATACAGAATCCCCTGCATAAAACTAGCATGTTTTGCTGAAGTACTTGTTAACTTGGCTCTAAAATATTTTTTATTTTCCTAATATATAGCATTTATTTTTAAAAGATTAATCCCTTCACCCATTTCTGCAAGGCTCTTTTGTAGCTCAAAAAATTACCATAAAGGGAAAGAAAGTCCTCCAGCTCCCTACTACAATTACTTTAGAATTGAGGTCAGAAAACTTTTTCTGTAAAGGATCTGCTGCATCTATTCAACTCTGCAGTTGTAGTGCAAAACCAGCTTAGACAATAGCACATGAATGGGTGTGGCCATGTTTGACTCATGGTTGTAGTTTGCCTACCTTTGCTTTAGTGCATCTAAATTAACACTGTTCATATAAAATATCCAGCAAGATAAACAATAATTTGGTGCTAAAAGAGAGTTACAGAATCTTTTTCTTTTAGAGTCTTTTAGGAAAAGTATCATGTATTGCTTGGAAAGTATTCTCTATTTTAAATATATCTATACAGTTTCTTTCTTTCCTTACCCTGAGATATTTATTAAGAAAGGGTAATCTGGAGTCTAGTACATAAAATATCTTTGGGTGTATACATTATGTAAATAGGAAGTGATATTATTTCTAGCATTGTAAGAACCCCAGCTCCCAAATAATAATGACTCTTGGGTAATAAGGAAGTACCTTAGCATGCCTCCAACATATTGACTGTTAAAGGGCAATCAGTTCTCCCCGGCAGTGATTGCAGCAATTGAAAGTTATATTTTCATATCTAGTATAGGGATGAAATCGTCCAATATTTTTCTTTGTAGCAAGTAAGGTGGTTGGTGAAGACTCAAAAAATGGATTATCAGGTGAACTCTCTTTGCAGGTAACTGGATCTAAAATTCTTAGAACCTAAGGAAAATAAGATATAATGTCAGAAGTATGCAATATAGATGGTAAAAGCCTAAGATTTCATTGATGTATACCTACCTATAAAGTTTCACTTCATTAATATATAACTATTACTAAAAAAACAGAATGACTAATCTGATTGAAAAGACAACTTACTTCCTTAAGCTGTAAATTTAACAATGATGTCTGATTACTATATTATCTAGGTTACATATTTTTTTAAATAATGACGTTAATGTTTTACAGATATTGGTAGGAAAGCAGGAAAACATAGAAGAAAATGAGGTTATATCATTATGTCTTTTTTTTTTTTTTTTTGAGATGGAGTCTCGCTCTGTGGCCCAGGCTGGAGTGCAGTGGCGCGATCTCGGCTCACTGAAAGCTCTGCCTCCTGGGTTCACGCCATTCTCCTGCCTCTGCCTCCCGAGTAGCTGGGACTATAGGCGCCCGCCACCATGCCCGGCTCATTTTTTGTATTTTTAATAGAGATGGGGTTTCACTGTGTTAGCTAGGATGGTCTCGATCTCCTGACCTTGTGATCTGCCTGCCTCGGCCCCCCAGGAGGTCAGTTTTTTTACATGTCAATTATATCATTAAGTGATGTCAATTTCTTTTCCTTAACCAAAATGGACTTACTACTTCCCCTCTTCAATCTTTCATTCAACTGCTCAGAATCAGGATTTTGTTTTTATTCTTCTATGGAAACGATATTTCAAAATCCTTGATAACTTTTTATCTGTAGTATCAATGGCTTTTCATTTCTCTTTTTCTAATTTATATGCAGTATTTTATGATTACAGCCACTTTTTGTTTCCTGGGTTCCACAACACAATGCTCTCCTAATTCTTCTTCTGCTCTGATTTTTCCTAATCTGTCTCCTTTACTGAGACCCAAAACAGGAACTCTTGAGCTGAAAAAATTTCTCCAGTTAAGGGCAGGGATAACGTGCCTGGCTCACAGCTCTTGATTCTCATGTTCCTATTTTCCCAGTCATCACCACATGATGTGTTTGGGTTATGGTACAAAGGTAGCAAGCACTGCAATTGGAAAGAATTCTGAAATGAATTGGGAAAAGTGCTTTCTCTCTTTCTTATATAAGGCTTGTTCAAAGCAGCTTTCTGGAATGGTTGGTGATGCCTGTTTCCCTAGCGGTCATGTGGTCCTGCAGATTTTTTTTTTCCCTTCTAAGTTACCACCAAACCCAAAGAGCCATCACTACTCTAAGAATGTCCTGGCATCATTTAAGAGCCATCAACTTACTTTAGCACCTCTATTTTTCAACTAGACTGCTTTTTCAATTTAGTTTTTGAGATCCTTCTATTTTTATGGAAGTTTGTTTGGTATTAGAGGATAAGCAAAGATGAAGGGCTTACCTTAACATTGCTTATAAATTTAGAGGAGAAAATAAGTTCTCAAATACTATAAAGATGTTATTACATTATAGGTCTTTATAGAGCGAGAAACAAAATGCTAAGGGAATTCAGGAGCAGGAGACTGACCCACTAATATGAACAGAAAGGTTTCTGTATTTTAGCCTGAAAGTGATGGGGAAGGATTTTATGCAGGGTGCCTTTCAGAGAGATCATTCTATACACAGTGTGGGGGATGGGGGAAGCAGTATGCATAAGCAGACATAAGAACAGAAAAAGGGAGGTTATTGTAATAATCTAGCTAAGAAATGATGGCACCTTGAAGCAATGGGACTGAAAAGTTTAAGAGACACTAAGGAAGAAGGGCTGTCAGTTTTGTTAAATAGGAGAATGTGGTGGATAAAGGTCTGGGAGAAGAAGGGGATCTAAATCAAGCCCTGAGGATACCTAACATTGTATAGTGAAATAAAATGGTTGGATAAAAGAGAAAAGCCTGTAAGCTATAAAGTTATATAAACCTCGGAAAGAATAGTTCGAGAAAGAGGGAGTGGTCAACTATACCAAATGCTACTGGCAGCAACTAAGTAGGCAGTGACACAATTTCCCAACAAAGAGAATAGAAAAGGAGAAACAAAATTTTGGATAAAAATGATTAATTTTAGGTACTGACTCATTCAGTAAATAGCTGAGCACTTAGTATGTGCAAGGGATTATGCCAGACCTTGAGGAAACATAAAAACACAAAGTCCCCAGCCCTTTAGGAGTTTACAATTTGGGAGAGGGATGGAAAATAAAACTATTATAATTTAATACAGTAAAGAGCAGTTACAGATATAAGTGCAAAGTACAATGGAAGGATGGAGAAGGAACACTTCAGATTGCCAGCAAGATTCAGAGAAGGCAGGTTCTTAAAGGTGGTACAGAGGTTGGGCAACAAAAGAGGTGTGGGGAGGGTAGTCCAGACAAGAAAAAGTATGTACAGAGGCATGAGATACAATGGCCTATGTGCATCATGAAAAGTGGTTAAACCCTGCTGGAATGTTAAGTGCAGTGGGTAGTGACACTTGGGAAATGATTCTTGAGAAGGGGAGATGGAAGAAAGATTATAAAAAGCCTTCTATACAATATGAATGAATTCTGATTCAATAATGAGGGAGACTGGGAACTGTTTGATGACTGATTTGGCCTTCTGAAATAACTCTCTGCCAGTAGTGGGTGGGCAGGAGCAGCTAAGAAGGAGGGCAGGGATATCAGTGAGGGGGCAACTGCAGTGGGCTAGGCTGGAAGTCAGGTGTTTGAACTTGGGAGGGGATAAATTAGAAAAAAACTGGTAAGATCTGTAAAATCAACAGGACTAGGGGAATGAAGGAAATAGTAAAAACGATAGCTACCATTTATTGAGAAATTACAATATATTGGAAACTGCTGCAGGCTTTATATGTGTTTTTTATCGAAATCTGAAAACAGCACTATAGAGTAGGTATAATTCATCAAGATAGGGAATACAGGAAAAGGAGGAGATTTTTAGGGGTGGGGGGTTGTACAAATGCAAAAGCAAGGAGAAAAGAGATTATATTTTTAGCCATCTGTGGAACAAGTAGATGGAAATACCTGGCTGGATATAAATCTCTCAGACTCAGAAAAAAGTCTGAGATGGAAAAGTCACAAGCATAAAGCTATGGTAAACAGAATAACACCAAGAGAATAGAGAAAGTATGTTATGTAAAGAAAGCTCAAGAGGGGTCACAGGAAGAGGATGCCCCTCCCCCTCAAAAACTTAGAAACAATGGTCACAAAAGTAGTGAATCGTTTCAAGAGTATGGTGTTTAGGAACGAAGAGATTTTGAAAAGGGGAACACAGATTCCTATGAAACATGAACATCTAAAGGAGGAAAAAAGTCTATGAAGAAGAGCTCAGAGAGGTAGCATCAGGGCCAAGAAAGAGTGATGTTACAAAGGTCAAGGGAGTTTCCAGGAAGGAATGCTCGATACAGTATAATATGATAGTAAATGTTCATGACCTTTTTAAGAGTACTTACTGAGAATAGTGGGGCAGGAAGTCTACAGATTTAAGTGACGGTAGGAATTGAGGAATGGATGGTGTTTAAGTACAAACATGTCTGGACAACTTGTCCAAGATTCTTGGATGTGAAAGGAAGGTGATAAAGCCATATCCAGACATCTTACAATAGAGGGAAGATTTTTCTTTTTTAGATGAATGATGCTTGGACATGTTCTTAAGCCAAAAGGAAAGAGCCAACAGAGAGAAGGAATAACTGTTGAGGGTGAAGCCAGGGCCTAGAGGGGAGGTATGCTTAGGAGAAGAGGAAGGACACCTTTTCCTCTGAGAGAAATGTATGCTGCCATACAGATAGGCTTCTAGATATCTAATGAAACCTTCAGGCAGTTTTCTGCCTCTGTCCCCTTTTTCTTCTGTGGATTAGGAAGGAAAGTCATCTGCTGAATGTGAGGTAGTATTTGATGGGTACTGAAATAAAAAGGCAAACAGCTGAACTGACACAGGACTGGGGTTTGCAGCATACTCGGAGAGGAAGATAAGGCAGTAAGGCACTTATGAATAGAGTCTAGGAAAGCTATGTGGGAAGAGAAACTAAAAGAGTGAGCTGATGAGATACATAAAAAAATATAGGGACCAAGGGAATAAAAACAATTATATGATCAAAGATGTGTTCACATCCAGGGAGTCAGAATGAAGAATCAGAGTTGGAAAGAAAAAAAGTTGAGATCACAGATCACAGAGACAGAGATGTTGAGTTGAAGATTTTAATAGTGCAAGAGTTATGGCGACAGGCAGGGACCCAGATGGGGACATGAGAGTTGTAACGAAGGTGAACTTGGTTGTTGTCACAGACATGTGAGATGAGTATTTGACAAGCCAGCTGCATGGACCCTGAATTCATCCAGGACTATACTATCTGTACTGTAGTATTTGATACATTTCCATCTATATGTGGAAATTAAGTAATTTCTTAGATCAGAAGTAATCTATGAATCTACTAATTTAATCTACATTAAAAATTCTACACAGTGGTTTTTATATCAAAATGAACTCATGAAAAGGATTATCAGTGACTTAATAGCTAAAACATAGGACCTCTTTCAAAACAATTACTTTTTTTGTCCTTAAAAATAGAACAGTAGTGTTAGAAAATATTAAAGCGCAGAAGAGGAAATAATTTTCTCCAAGATAACACACTCAATAGCATGAGTGGTTTAGATCCCACATTTCCTAATTCCTAATGCCAAATGCTTTCCATGATATGTCACCTTTCAGTAAAAGGACAGTGTTAGAAGTTCCATAGATCACAAAAGAAAATATTTTACCGTTTCAGCCATTTTCTCAGCTGGGGTGCTGCAGAATTCAACTGTTGATGGAATCTTTTTTTGATTGTTAATGCCAACATTTCCCAGAAGATGAGAATTTACTGCTTTTGCCAACTTGTGATTTGTTAATGCTAGCTCTGCTGTGCTGTGGGGTTGTACACTAGGGGAGTAAGTTTGCTCTCTTCCCCATTGCAAGGAAACTAAGAGCTCCTCCAATAATCTGCATAGAACACACATGAACACCGGACATAGTAAGAGAGCAAAATGTAAAAATTAATAATAGTAAATAGGTAATACAAATATTTCTGAAATTATATAACATCTTTCTCTGATCCCTTTCTCTCTCAGAGTTCCATAAATTCGGATGTCTTAGTCAAGTAAGTTAGACTACAGAAAGCATATGTTAATCTACTAGGTTGTTGTATGAAAATCATTTAACAAACAGTACTTTTCTTTGTTCTCATCTTTTAGTATAGGAACTACTTACATAATTTGTGCAACTATGGGGATATTCATACGGTTTTTCTTTTTTGGTGAGTTACATTAATTGATTCTTGAATGCTAAACCAATCTACAATTCCTGGGATTCACTTTACTTGGTCAAAATGTATAAAACTTTTTCTGTATTGTTGGACTTGATTCACTGAAATTCTGTTAAGGATTTTTGCATTTATGTTCATTAGAGATATTAGTTGGTGGGTTTTGGCTAATGGTTCTGATATCAAGACAATGCTGGTCTCATGAAATGAGCTGGAAATTGTTTCCTTCTCTTCTGTTTTCTAGAATAATTTTTATAAGTTTGGTTTTATGTCTTCCTTAGATGTTTACTAGCATTCATCAGTGAATCCATCTAGACCTGGAATTTCCTTTACTGGAAAATATTTAATTTTTAACTATAAATTATATTTGCTTTAATAGGTTAGGGCTATTCAGGTTATCTATTTGTTCTTGAGTAACCTTTGGTAGTTTGTCTTTCATGGAGTTTGTCCATTTCATCTAAATTACTGAATTTATTGACATGGATTTGTTCATAACATTTCTGTATTATCTTTTTTATGTGTATAGAGTCTATATTGTACCCCCCCCTTCATTCCTGATACTGGTAATGTATATCTTCTCTTTTTTTCCTGATTAAACTGGTTAGACGTTTCTTGTGTTTTCATTCTTCTAATTTCCCCTATAATTTGCTCTTTGACACTTACTGATTCTACGTGTAATAAATCAACTATATAAAAATGCAAAAGGCTTTTAAGGAAGACCATCAATTTTGATAGTTCTGGAGTATATGGACATGAAAACAAGCTCTAATACTGTAGGAAGTCTTCAAAAAGATCTCTTTCCACAGGAGAGACAGGTACACTCCTTGGCTTCTACCGAAAACTGTACGACTACAACTATTACCAGCAATTGCTTTTAAATCCAGAGAATCCTTCTACTACAGATATAACTAATTATTTCCCCAATTAAGAATGTGAAAAGCATGCCTTCTATTTTTTCAGTCCTCTTCCCTCCCAGAGCATCTATTTTAAAATGCTACTAAAAGTATATGCTCAGTAAGTTATCAAATGTAGACACACCCAAAACAAAAACAAACAAACAAAAAAACCAAAACTACAATAACTTAATTTGCAGGAGAAAGCAGAAGAGTTCAGAATGTAAACAAGTGCCATACTTCTGGGTAGCTATCATTTCTTGACGAAACTGTTCCCGTTCACTTAGGAGATCTTGTATAGCCCCGTGTGCATCACGGTTTTGACGCTGTAAAGCTGCTCTTGAGTTGGTTAACTCATCTGCCATTACCCTGAAAAAGATTAAAATCTTACATATAAATTTGCTGACAATAATACAGTGTAAAAAATTGAATATACTACTTTGTGACTGTCACTTTCAGAAGCTAACAAAGATTTAACAGTATAGTTACTTCACAGTTTTTAAATTTTAGCTAAAGAGCATTAAAAATGCTTATTAGCTTAGAGTTCATTAAAGGGATTCAGTTAAAATATTCATTTAGACAATGACAAAGGCAAGAGTTATTCAACTTTCCTATATAATGACTTTTGGAGTACATCTCAATCTTACTCTAGATTGACCAAAATTTGAAAGAAAAAATTATTAAATATTTTTAAATACAGAAAAACTTAAAGAGACAAACAAAACTAAATTATCTTCTTCACTCAATTACCTCTTTGCCCCCAGAAAAATATTAATATAAAAAGATTTATATAAAGTCTTTTGTCATGCCCAGCATACCTATCCTTTTATATGCAGTCAACAAAGTTTTTTTACACTTCTCAAAAAAAAATTTATGTATATTTCAACATATACATGTGTTAAAAATAAATTTATCCACTTTATTTACAAAAAGAGATACTGAATACGAACTTTTCTAAATCTTAGTTTTTCATTTAATAATTTATCTTAGAGACTTATCCATATTAGCACATATACAGCTATCTCATTCCCTTTTTTCAAAAATTAGCTTCATGTTTTCTACTGATTGGATACACAAAATTTTATTTAACCAGTTTTCTATTGATGGAATTGAAGCAAAATGTTCAAGTATGGTTAATCGGCTGAAAAATTTAAAATTAAAATTTAAGTCTGAGACTGCAGTTACTACCAAATTCCTCAAAATGAAAACAATGTTGACATTAGAAGATTACATCAATTAAAATACCAATAAAGTCATATTTAATTTTTATTTAAAAATCTAATGAAATGTTACTATTGGTGTTGATCAGGATGTTAAAAAGTTGCATATTGCAAAAATTTGTACAATATATTCATGATTTGCCTCTTAAAATGTACAATGAGAATTAACTCAATTAACTTTCATTCTAAGTGAATAAATAGTTCATTTTTCCAAATAGCATAATGAACTAGCACAATTAGGAGATAAACAAAAGACTGTTAAAGAGAGTGAACTACTACTACAAAGTGTCAGAGATATTAAGACATGAAAAAACATTTTCCTAAAAATGTATTCATCAAAATCAATGGTTCCTCAAATACAACCTGTAAACCTTTGGTTGTTTTATGAGAAATCTCCAGATGATTCAATTTAAATCAACAGTTATGAAACATACTCTATAAAGTATTTTGCTAAGTTCCAGAAATACACAGATGGATAACATCCAGATCTTGTTATCTAGTAACTATCAGTTGAGGCAGGGAGGGGATAAATAGACAAAGAATCATACTATATAGCAGTTTCCCAACCACCAGTGTGTTGAGAGGCCTGGATGAGAACCCCAGGGTTTTTGCTGCCATATGAGAGTAGCCTCATCCAGTATGTCATAAAAATGTTATAATTTTCTATTTGTGCATAGAGAGAAAAACGTTGGGAAGCTTTATTATATAGTTAAAAGAACAATGAGAAAAGCGCATTTAGAATGAATAATATTATCTTGGGGAGTCCAAATATTTGAATGGGGAAAAATAATTTAGTTTGGCTTTTTGTGATTTTAATGTTTACTAGATGTCTGAGTTTACAGTTTTGTTTCAGTCTTAAACATTATATTTTTACTATACAGTAAACTAGAACTCAGGAATAAGGGATGATCCTTATATCACTTCTTCATTTAGGGAGACTGTGTGACTATCCAGAGGAGAGAGAGTCCACATCTTAAATGAAGTACTCTGATGACCTTAGTCAGAAATTTTCACACTACAATCTACTTTCTTGTGTTATAGATCAAAAACCTGATGGAGCAAAAACTAGGAAGTGAAATACTATTTGCTGTAGAAAATACCTGCTTGCAAGGAATTTACTTCGCCATACATCACACTGTATTGACATACGTTCTAACTGTTCAGAAAGCTGAGCTGTGTTTCGACCTAGGGCTTCATTTTCTAAAATAAGCTGATTTTTCTCACGGGCTAGACGTTCAAAGTGATACTGAAGATCATCCCCAACAGAAGCCACCAGTAACTTTTTTAACTCACGATTTACCTAGAAGAGAACGTAATCAATACAACAAGCTCAAAGTAATATCACTAACTTTAATGTAACAAAATTAACAAAAAGAGACTGTGTTTCTGTGTAATTTTGGACCTCCGTGACTTGAAGTTTCTATCAAAAAGTAAAATTAAATATTTAAGTTCCATACGATATACAAACCATCTCTCTCTACTTCTCTCCATACATCTATATCCACAGTCCATGTGGTAATAAACTGAGCCTCTTGTAGTAAGAGTAAAAAGAATTATGAAAATAACAAATTGCTTCTAGTCAACACTTAAAGGAAAAAAAATTAAAACAAAACCAATATATTTTGATAAAAAATATGACAGAGAATGTTTTATGTTTTTTATTAAACATTTATAAGTTAGTGTATTGCATCCTAAGAATTTACTTTTAAAAAATAAAGCAAAGTAATCCAGTATGTTTCTAAGTATGTTCTTTACATCATTACTGAAAAGAGCAAAAAATTAAAAGATATCCAATAACAGTTATTGGTATATGGTATAGCTATTGAAGAACACTGTTACTATTAACAATGACACTGTAATAGAATATTCTGTGACATGGCAGAACATTAATAACTGAAAAAAGTGGGTTGTGACACTAAATGAACTCAATGTATATGGTTATGCACGTATAGCTGGATGAAATGATTCAGGTGGCACTATTTTCATTGTGTTTTTCTGTATTTTCTAAAATTTTTACACATAAATTTGTACTACATTTTGTAATGAGAAATTAGTTATTTAAAAATATATTTGTATAAAAACACTAACCATGGTCTCACTTATGAAGACTTGTATCTAGCCAAAAGATGCATGGTCTAATAGAGAAACAAGGGAAGGGGCAAGGCAATTTTTACTAAGATGCAAAGATTAAAGCAACACACTTAAGGGCTACAGATTTTTTTCATTTACAATGAAGACACAGTAAGTTATATCGCCATTCTCTTTATTCCAAGTATCCCGTATACACAAGCAAAACTACTTGGAATTTACGGATCCTTAAAACAAGGACTGCTGGTCAATTACTATGCCTGACTTGGTCAATCTTTGGTCTGGCAGTTTATAATTGTAACCTACTTTTACAACTTATTGGTGGTCTTGTCCAAAGCACCTCACACCTCCATCTTCAATGAGGTTTAGAGTATAAGTTCCCAATATAAAGTATCCCTAGAGAACTGAGAAAGAATGAGAAATTTAAGAGGAAGCATTTTAGAGAACTGACAAGCTAGGATGAATGACATTCCCATAAAGAAATGTAGTTTTCTAACATGCACGTTTAAAAGGTCCAGACGTAAAGAGTAGTACTCATTTTATCGATTAAGGCTCTTCTTACCTCTGTCTGTACACGGAGCTGGTTTGAAAGACCTTCTTTGTCCTGTAGTAACCTTCTTTCAGAATTCTTGAGCTTTTCCAATACATTCTTTACCTCTGAGAGTTCCTTATTAGGTTCTATAACTCCCTCTGACTGACCAAGGAATTCTCCTTTATGATGTCCCAGAGACTTAACCTTTGTATTTTTGTTGGGGATATCATGAGTTATAGCAGCTTTGGGAACTAATATTCTTACAGCTTTAACTTCCATTGCTTTTTCAGTGAGCATTTTCCCTAGCTGAAGAACTCCTGGGCTCTCTGATGGAACTGCTTTCTTCCATGGACTCTGAAGACTATGATGCTTTCTAGATTGGACTCCGGAGGTAACTTCAACAGATTTAGGTGGTTCCTCAGTTTCCATTCCATCTCCTGCTCCTCGGATTGGGGATGAAGTAACGGTGACTAACAAAAAGGAAACAAAACAGAAACTACTTACCAAGAAGAAATGCCAAGAAAATGCTAATACATGCTATACCCTATATTCAAAATTACTGGCACTAAAAAGAATGCAAAAAAAAAATCAGAGAAAAAGTAATTTTCAAAACAATCATGTGTCAACAAAAGATACATGTTTAAACTTTCCTTCAGTAGACAAGAGATTTGGAATCAGAATATTTGGTTCTGACTTTTACTTTCTAGTATAACCCTGGGTAAATAATTTAATCTTCCATGAATCTCTATTTCCTAATTTGCAAAACGGAGATCATAACAACTTTGCTATAGAATTTTGGTAAGAAAAAATGTAATAAGATGAAATGCTTGGCATACTGTAGACACTCAATAATGTTAGTTAAAATAAATGTCAGCTATATAGATGCATATTTGAAACCATCTACATCATAAGAGATTCATCTGTTTTGTGAACTCTTGGAGTAAGAGGAAGCAACATATATGTTACACCGAAAAATTTATTAAGAAAAGATTCAATCCTATTCTTAGGCCTAACAGTTTATGTCCTGCTTACACAAGTGAAACTACACTGGATTGTCAGATTAAACATCCTTATACCTCACTTTCACCATATCATACCCAAATTCTTTTATTGTTCTCTCATTCCCTCTAGTGGCTTTCAATTTATTTTGAGTGCACTGTATTCCCAATAAAATGCCTTGCATGTAGTGTGTGTGTATATATATATATATGTATATATGTTATAAACAATAAATGAATGATAACAAGGGGAGGGACAAAAGACGAGCACACAGATCAGTAACAATGGTTATAATGATGAACTCTGAGTGGTCACGGGCAGCAAACATGATGCTGGGTACCTAATGAAGGCTAGACATTCTATGAGGTAAGACCACTATGCTTAAGAAATTTACTACCTAATTTAGGGGACAGAACATACATATAAAAAGATAAAATGTATTACAGGATAATATATAATAAGTGTGCAGGTAAGTGGTATAAAAATATTTCAATAGAAATTTTATGTCTATAGAAACATTAAGGACAATCATGAACTACTGATTGGTCTTCAGTGAATTCATCACTGTCCAGCCAGACCATATATATATATATATATATATATATATATATATATATGTTTTATATATATATGTTTTATATGTATATATGTTTTTTATATATATGTTTTATATATATATGTGTGTGTGTAATGTAATCTCCTAAAACAAAGACTTAAAACAGAATTCCTTTTATACTTGTAACAGTAATAAATTTCGTAAGCTTAACATATTTTTTATTTTATGGCTAGAATATATTCCCTTCAAGTTAATATAGCATTTACTTTCTTATTCTACTGTTGAATATTTAGACTCTTTACAATTTTTCACTATAATAAATAAGGCTTTATTGAACACTTTTATGCCTACATATTTTTCTTAACTTCTGAGTTATTTTTTCAAATAAATTCCCAAGCATAAAATTAATGGGTTTGGTGAAGATCTGTACGGCCGAAATGCCTTCGAAAATCACTCTACCAGTGTATCTGTGGATCTATGCCTAATATCCTTACTATTTATTTATTTGCATGCTCAATACCTATGATTTATATTGTACTTAAAAATAAATAAGAATACATGTAAACTGTTTAGAATGGTATTTGACACAGTAAGCACTCATTAAATGTTAGGTCCTATTGCTTTTATTATTCTTTAAATAAATTCCTAATAAACTTTGGATGTTGATATAGACAGAAATAAAGTTAATTTATTTAATGCCATAAAATACAATTCTGACTTTCATTCTGTTATGTAAATCTTAAAGTTATATTGCTAGACTATAGGACTATTTATTCAAGTAACAGATTTACTTTTTTCAAATTTTTCCCATGTAGAAATGTTCTGGGAACCTCGAGTTATGTTAATTAGACAGGAGGTGGAAACATAGCTGAGGTATAATTAATGTGTTCTATTTTACAAAACATTTTACATTAGAATAAAATCGTGTCATTTCCATATGAAATGTAAACTAAGTTTAAACACCCCTTGGGCCTTGGGATTGACTCTACTTTTAAAAAGATAAACAAAGGAATACTTCAGAAAGTGAAATAAAGGCCTAACATGCTGGGTTTGGTAAATTAGTTAAAACAAAGCATGGTAGCACTGACAAGGAGAACTTCCACTGAATCATTTAAAAACAGCTTACTGCAGCCTTGACTTCCTGGGCTCAGGTGATCCTCCCACCTCAGCCTCCCAAGTAGATGGGACTACAGGCATGTGCCACCATGACCAAATAATTTTTTGTATTTTTTTTGTATTTTTTTTTTTTTTTGTAGAGACAGGGTTTCATCATGTTGTCCAGAATGGTCTTGAAATCCTAGGCTCAAGCAATTCTCTGGCCTCAGCCTCCCAAAGTGCTTGGATTACAGATGTGAGCCATCACACCCAGCTACCTGTATTCTTAAAATCTGATTTTAAGTTTGTCTAAACTTAACTAACTTGTCTAATCTTGTCAATAAGACATTCTGGCATTTAAGAAGTAACACAGAATCATGTATTAACTATAAATTAATAAAAACCATCAACAATAAAAACACGCACTACAGCCATGGTTCAGGCCCACTGAGGCTGAGGAAATAAAAAACAGGTGTGATACTTCCATTATGGTCAAATAAAATTTCTAGGCAAGCTGTAACATTTTTGAGTTGGAATTTTAAGTAACAGAGATTCAAGAACAAATTACAAAATGATTAAAGTTAAATTTAAAAGGCAAAGAACCATTAATAGGTATTTAACAGAAATCTCTTTTTGAACAAAATACCTTGTTGGAAAATCAAGAAGTTCAACCAACTTGTTTCCACCCCAATTTACTCTTAACTTTATTTAAACTGTTCTACTTACTCAAGCATTTATGAATATCAAAGTTGTATTATATATTACGTGAGAGCTCCCGCTCAGTAATAACTATGATTCTAGCTAATGTGCATAGGTAAACAGGCCGTAAGAGCCAGGGCTTAACATTTTCTCACCTGGTAACTTTCGTAATTCGATTTTTCCTTGTGACATACCTAGAAACCTTTATTACATATGCAGTAGGCACAATCCAGGACACATTTACGAATAATTACCTTCTCTCAATTGGGAAGACAAGGACCTATGGTAACAGCTCCATAATTATGAGTAACGCTTAAGTCAAGAAAAACACCAATCCTTATTCTTCCCCACTATTTGAAGGGAACCAACAAAACAATCCTTAAATTATTCATCATCATTACTTCCACCTGTGATCAATTATCAATGAATTAAAACATATCTAAGGTTTGCTCATTCGTATTGCCTACCAGGATTGGTGAAATGTAGGGAAAGAACAAAGAAGGTCACTAGTCTAACATTCTAGGATGGGAGCTGGCAAACTTTTTCTGTAAAGGACCAGAGAGTAAATATTTTAGGCTTTGTGAACCAAAAGGTAAAATTGAGGATACCATGTAAGTATTTAATAAGAGAAAAAAAATTTATTGATGAAATTCAAACTATAACAACAATAATTGAAAACAATTTTTTGATAACATAGGTCTAATAATGGGAAGAACAGATTTTTTTTTAATTCAGGATAATGTTTGGCTTAAATAGTGTTAATGTCCACTATTATCAAACTGATTGCAGATATTCTCAGGAGGCTGAGGGCCACAATTTGCCAACCCTTGCTCTAGAATATTGAGGCAAAAAAAAATTTATTGTCTGTCATTGAACAAATATTTCTCTTTTATTCATAAAACTTCAATCTATGATGAGAGGTACTCTAAGTCAGCAGAATGGGGTAGTGAAAAGAAATCTAACTCACTAGAGCCTGAGTTAAAATAACTTAAGTCCCTACTGCCATGTATTGTGTGACCTTGGACAAAGCACTTAACCTCATCCTCCTCCCATCCCTTGGTGCTTTCAGAGTAATGCAAACATGGTAGTATATATTTTAAAAATAATTTGTTTCTCTTGTAGACTAGACTGTTGGGAGCTCTTCAGGGTATGGACCGCCTCCTAATCTTTGTGTCATGAACTAATAAAATGGTCCTTGTCACAGAGAAAATGAATAAATGCTTACTGAAGCTCATTAGTCTGTTAATACACTACCTAGAGTGTTTCATTTTTAACATCCAAAAACTAACCCATTTAAAAACTGCTTTATTTTTTTTCCTCTACCCTAAATCATTAATTCCTAACTTGGTTATAGTCTGAAAGACTTTCCAGAACATATACAAATTCAGCTATGATACAGTTAAACAAATTAGGGATTGTCATGTGGTAATTTTAAATCAAGAGTCTTTTTAAATGTCACCCATATCACCTAATAAAGTTTAGTTATTATTAAATTAGTAAAATAAGTTACATACAATGGACTTAAGAGTAACATCGAGATTTACTGAAGTGGAATCTAAGCATTCTTCTTACCACAGGCTCTATGGATAGAGATCCCTGGTCAAATAAGTGTGGGCAATGTTGCATACTGCATCTCTACAGAGTTTCAATGTACATTAGTATTAAAGTTATACTATAGGACTCTGAGAGGTCCCATAGTATAGCCTCTCTTTTAATACAGCATTTATCAAATTTATCTGCTCATGGAATATCTTTTTTACCTAACACCTATTATTCTACAGAACTAGTGTTAGACTATTTTATGGAATCAAAAATATTTAAATGTCTCAGACCTTTCTATTTGGTCTACTATTACTAAACTAGTTGACTTTAATAGCTTTATTTTCAATTTTAATCCCACATCCAAGAAAAGCTTTGGATTTTAAGTTTCTAATTGTTACTATTTACTGTATGTTTCCCTTTCAGAAACAGCACTAGCAGCCATGATACAACCCTCTTATGATGACAGTGCTGCTCAAATGTCTTCTGAGAGGAAGTTCTGTTGCTATACCAAACAACCGTACTTATCTCCTGAGGCAGTTACAGGAAGCACAGACAACTGACAAATGTCAACCAAGTACACCTTTTCACAGGCCATGCAATACAAGTAACTTTTGTTCACTAACATCAGATGACAGATTAAATAGAAATATGGCTAATAGAATTATTTTCCTTACTGGATAATTAAGATCACACAAAATAATGTTTGTTAAAGTGCCTTATAACTCTAATCCTCATTAAAAACAAGTAATAATAAATATTAAAAAGTAATTTAATTTCACAGAGAACTTGCCAGTACTTCTAATGACTAATCATAATATTGTATTTAGTTTTTGCTTTTTGACAAGCACCATGTTGGTTGCTTTCACATTAATTATTTAACTGCTCTTATTTCCCATTAATCCCCAGTTTATTACTTTCATTACAGTCTCTGACTTGCTTATCTAATGGTATAAAAGCCTTCTGGTGACTTATGAAATGCTGTTGCAAAGCTGAATTAAATTCAATTAAATATTTATTAGCATGATCTTTCTTCCTTGTTTCTTAAACTTATTTCAACCTGCTTTTAGAGAGGGTTTGTGGCTGGAGGTCAGTTTGCTGAAAAATTGGCATCTAGAAAACAGTTTTCCATCTTTAACTGATGGTTCTAGCATGCAGAACTCAACCCATCCAAAGAATAAGCTGGGTCAGGAGAAGTTCACTATGGGACATGTTAAAATTGTTGCCTACAGCTATGTGAAGATGGCCAGTAGGCAGTAGTCTATAAGGGTATGAATCATAAAGAAGGAGATTAGGGATATAGATAGATTTGGAAGTCATTTATATAGATAATTACTGAAGTCATGAGAGTAGAAAAGAAACAGTGGTGGAAAGTGTTGATATTTAAAAGATAAATAAGAAGGAGAAGAGGCTGAAAAAGAAAGAGAGAAGATACAGCTACAGCAGGGCTGTCCAACAGAATTTTCTTCAATGATTGAAATAGCTACTCGCCATATTTGCCTACCGACCACTTGAAGTTTGGCAAGCGTCATTGAGAAACTGAATTTTTAATTTTTAAAAAATATTAATTTAAATTCAAATAGCCACATGTAATTACCGCATTGGACAGTGAAAGGCTACAGAGTAGACTGAAAATAAAAGTGATGTCATGGAAGTCATCAAAAGAACGTATCTCAAAAGGCAGGGAATGGTCAACAGTATTAAATATTAGAGAGGACAAATCAGCTAGGACTAAAAAGTGACTACTGTATTTAGCAATTTAGGGGTTGAATTGTGTCCCCCAAATCTTTATTTGTTGAAGTACTAACCCCCCACTACCTCAGAATGAGACTTCATTTGGAAACAGGATCACTGCAGATGTAATTAGTTAAGATGAAATCATACAGGAGTAGACTGGGTTCCTTTTTTCAATATGACTGCTGTCTTTATAAAAAGGGTAAATTTAGACACAGAAACATGCACATAGGGAGAATGCCATGTGAATATGAAGGCGGAGATAAGGGTGGTACGTCTACAAGACAAGGAGCACCAAAGACTGCCAGCAAGCCACTGGAAGCTAGGAGAGTGTCTCTAATGCCTTCCGAAGGAGCACAGCCTTGTTGACATTTTCATCTTGGACTTCTAGCCTCCAGAACTGAGAGAATACATTTTGTTGTTCAAGCCATGCAGTTTGTGGTACTTTGTTACAGCAACCCCAGCAAACTAATACAACATGAAAGAGATCTTTGATACACCCTAGTTGCTTTGTCTATCTACTTAAATCTTTAAAATGTGTATTCTTATTTAAATCGTAATCTTCTAGTGTATAGGGAATATAGCTGTTAAAAACTTTGCATTAACATTAAATGTTTAAGAGTAGTCACCTAATAAATTCTAACTAATGATGTTAAATTTCACTTGTACATCTAAAGTACTGAAATATAAACACTGCACTAAAAAATAAACATAAAGGGATCTGAAATAACAAATGATTCCCAAGGGGGTCCATGAGATCTAGTTATCTGGCTCAAACGTTCCTTCACATCGTCATAAATGTCATGTTTTAAAAACAATTATAAAAAAGCCACTTACCTTTGGTTTCTAAATTTTTAGTAGTCATTTTTTCACCTTAACCACTGAAAATGCACTCCAAGACTTCTGCTGAACAACCTAGAAATGTATGCATATGAAATAATTTTAAAAATATCATATAAACACATAGAGTACCTCCAATTTAAAAGTTATGATATTTTAATTGCTTCTGTATTTAGTACGCATGCATTTAGAAAGAGAAATGTCCCTTATATCCCATTCTCACAGAAGGCATTGTTATGTCTACTAAAAGTCTCAAAAAAAAAAATTAGGGGTGGTTTACTTCTAAATACTCCGTTTCACCATCCTCACCAATACACTCTAAATTGTCAGAAGTATGTCCTGAATTTTAGCCAAGCAAAGGGAATGAAGTTACTGTGGTGGTTTTGTCATCCATATGACAAGAGGAATTTTAAAGTAATTACTTTCTTAGGAGACATACCGACACAATTTGTATACACACACACACATATCAAAAAGGAGCTTCTGTTTAGATGTTTAACAAACGACAAAAAATATTACTCAAGATAACATAATTTATACTTTTTTGGTAATAAAAAGTTAAAATTAAAATAGTGTAGCTCCAAAAGTAAAAAGAGAAACATATCGAGCCCATGCTTTCAGAAATGTATACATTGTCTTACAGTACAGACTCAGATTTACCAGAGAACATATAAGAAGGTGATGCTACTGCAATGATATAAATATGACAAACTGTACACTAGATGACAACTGGTTTCACTACAAAAAAAGATCGTTCTCAGTACTAGATACAACTCAGTTCAATTAGTGAACCCGACGACTAACTTTCTTAACAGTCACAAACTTTTCTACACTTACACTCTACTGCTCCGAAAAGAGGTATCCAAAAAACCCTTCGTAAGAGTAACGATCCCTGAAACTGCCCTTGATAGCTGCTCTGCGAAACGTACAGGCACAGCGAGTGCCTGCTGGCAAATGCCAAATGAAGCGGAGGGGGTGAAGAAGTAAGTAGGGGGAGTGAGCAGGTATGAAAGCGATAGGCCGGGAAGCGACAAGCCTGTCAACTTTGCTGTCCGGGGAAGTCGAAACCTAAGTTTCATCCCTGTCTGAAAAAGTCTTCCCGGAACAATCTTTCCCTAAATCCAAAGCTACTGGCCACCGAGCTCCAGCCAGACCTCCGTCCCTTTCCAACATCCTTAGTTATACCTGCTTGTCCTCGGATTTACCTCTAAGATTCTTATTCTCCGTATTTCAGGGGGCTTCACTTGATAGGCTCTTCGGATCGGTATCACCAGGTTAACTTCTCACAGACCTCTTCCATTCGGAAGCCGACCCGCCCAGTCCCTCCGCATATCCAGCAGCTCTCTCACTCCTAACCACTTCCGATTACTCAGGGTTTCGCTTCCGGAATACGTTTCCAAAAGAGCAGGGTAAACAAATTCTGCAGTGCGTATAAACTCAAGTAACACAGAACACACACTGTAAGGCCTCCGTAAGTGAAAAGCGGACAGATTTCTACTTTAAAATAAAATACCGTACAGCAACTTTTGGAGCCCAAGCCGCATATTCACTTAAACTTCCGGGCCAGCTGTTAAACAAACGGAAGTAAAACTGCCGGAAACAGAATAATGGCGTCTCGTAGCCCCAGGCGACAGCGTGGAGGGGCGGGTCTGTCGATTGGATGAACGCAGCTGAGATTACTCCCAGCCACTAAGGACGAAGAGGTGGGGCGGTGGCGTCCCACGCCTCGTGCGACAGTGGGCGGGGCTTTGTTGCCTGAGTAACCGTATGATGGTGGTGGTGGTGGTGTCTTCCTGTCTCAACGATACCTATTTTCTAGTGCTGAGATCCTGAGACAATGGTGAGTGCCAGGGGATGCCAGAAGAACGGCTCTGGGGTCCTACTTACTTAGCTTTCCAAGTCTTCGGGCGGATGGGCACTTAAAGTTGTCCGGTCCTCCCGACCTTCTCCCCGTTATCTCTTTCCCCCTTCCCACGGGCTGTTCCTGCAGTCTCCTCGCTCTCCGTATTTCTTACAGCACCCTGAATTCCACTAATGTTACTAAGTCTCTAGAGTAATGAAACAGAAAATTTAGGGTAAGGCATCGAGTCTAATAACCTGTTTTGAACAAACATTATGTGTTTGCATTGTTCATCATGGCATTTTTCATGTTCACAGATTCACATTAACGCGCTTTATTAAGAGTATGGGGTGGTGTGTATGTGACTGTCTCAACACTGATCTGAATCTCCCTAGATCTTGGAGTCTTTTTGCTTTTCTGAGTGGCAGAGCACTGCCCCACGCCCCCACGAGGGCCATTAACAGGTGTATGTTGGATCAGCGCTCTTCTATCCAGTTGGTTACCTTCTAGGTCTGTGCTTGCTTTTCTTTTCTCTTTTCTTTTCTTTCTTCTTCTTTTTTTTTTAAACAGAAATTTCTCCTGGGATTGCTTGGAGAGCTTCTGGAATTCACTGTTTGGGCTTCACCCCTGGAAATTCTGAATGAAAGGAATGGAGCTCGGTATTTGCATTTTAAATAAGCCTATAGGTTATTTTAATTCACCCCTATGTTTGAGAGGGTTCTAGTTAATTCACTTAACTACCATATCTTTTAAGCACTTATGGATAACGGACTGGAGGATAGAAAGATCTTTAGATAGTTATAGCTATGAATTTAGAAACAGAGCCCTCACCCACCACCCCTTGTTTCTTCATACTACTCAGCAATCCTTTTGGTTACCCCAGTTTTCCCCTGACCCATTCTCTGTGAAGACATTTTCAAACCTTCCCTTTACAAACCCTGTCTTTTGCCCTCTTCATTTCTCCTTTCTAAACATGATGGAGTATAACAGGCCATTTCTTCAACCTCATGCCCCCAACCTACACATTGCTCTATATTTTTGCCGAGCCTTTAGTCTTGTATTTCTAGTGTAGAGAAAGGGATATTAAAGGATAATCCATCCATCTTTGCTCTTGATCTCATTTGCTTCCATCTGTTACATTTCGCTTCCAGTTGTTTTTTTCTTTCCTGTGCGTTCAGCCTTTTCCTCTCCAGTTTCTTCTCTTCAGTGCTCAAGTCACACATCTTATGAAAATTAAATAAAGCAAAACCATGTCCTCCATCCTGTGTTTATCCAGTTATTTCCTAGTCCTCCTATCTATCAGTAAACTTCTTGAAAGGATATTATTTTTACTTATATCAAACAGACAAAAGTCTTCTGTCTGGCTTCTTTAATGGCTTCAAGAAAGTTGTTCTTGCTTAAGTTTCTAATGGCCTTTTAAATACCAAATACAGTAATTACTTCTCAAAATTTACATTACTTAGTCTCTTTGTGACAACTGAGGTTCATAGTCATTAATTCCTTTTACTGGCTGTGCCTGGTTTTTGAATGTCATTCTTTGGAATTAACTCCTTGATTACTTTCATTTCTTAGTCTAGACATTTTCCTTGGGTGATTTTGTCCACTCACATGGATTCTACTAACACCTTTGATTTTGCTTCTAAATTTCAATTTTCCTCTCAGATCTACTAATGCCTAACTCAGTTGCTTCCCGGACACATCTGTCTCAAATGTCCTTCAAACTTAATATGACCAAAACTGAACTTGCTATCTTTCCTCCTGGTTTCTCCTATTTTCACCAAGTTAAATAATGCTACTACTATATTATAACCTAAACTAGAAATCAGAGTTATCCTACATTCCTCCCTCTTCTATTTCTCCCATATTCAGTTGTTCACTAGATCAAATTTTAGTTTGTCATCTCCTCATTTCGTGATTATTTTAATAGTGACTTTTACAGTCTGGTCTGGAAATTCTCCAATCCATTATTTTCTCTGCCACAAGAAGGAATTTTTAAAAACCCAACCTGTTGATTTACTCACCTCCTTAAAACTCTAGATTCCCTATTTCCTACAGTAAAATGTCTAGAATGGCACACAAGTTCCTCCATGAACAAGCACTTTTCTGTCTAGCTTTTGCCTTTCCCTTTCCATACTTAAAAAAAAAAAATTCTCTTGCCTTTTAGCTACTTGCTTTTCATTGAACATACCAAGCAACTTCAAACTGGTAGTATGCCTCCTCTTTCTACTTTGCACTTGCAATTCCTTCTACACAGAATACTTGCACCCTCTTGTTGCTTGCCAAACTTATTTATTCTCCTATTACAGGCCAACGTGTTCTTCTTGCCCACTTCCCAGAAAGGCCAAACATTGAGAATGCAGGAGTTGCAGCAGAGAAAGAGTTTAATGGAGGCAAGGCAGTTGAGTGGAAGGATGGGAAATATTTCTAAAATCCGCCTCCCTGACAGCTTGGAAGTTGTGGTTTTCAAGGATAATTTTGTGGGCAGGTTGGTAGGGAATGGGCGCTGCTGATTGGTTGGGGATGAATTTATAGGTGTTTCCAAACTGTCTTCCTGTGCTGAGTCAGTTGTCTAGGTGAGAGTCATAGGACTAGTAGAGTCAGTTTCTTGGTATGAGGCATGTATCTGGGTGGCATCAGGAGGTTTGCCAGAATGCAGAAGCCTGGAAAATATCTCAAGACCAATCTTAGGTTTTACAATAGTGATGTTATCTAAAGGAGCAATTGGTGAAGTTACAAATCTTGTGACCTCTGGCTACATGACTTCTGAATAGTAAGAAATTATAGAAAAGCAAGGAACAGTAGCTGGTTATTGCTTACCTATGCCTATATTTTAGCAGATTTTAGGTCCCTCCCATAGTCCTAACCTTGCGGCCTTCTATTAGTCTTACAAGGCTGTTTTAGTCCCTAGAGGGGGTCAGTTTTGGAAGGGACTATTACCATCCTTGCTTCAAAGTTAAACTATAAATTTCTCCCATAGTTAGCTTGCCTATGCCCAGGTATGAGCAAGGGCAGTTAGCTTTGTGAGGTTAGAAGCAATATGGAGTCAGTTAGGTTAGATTTCTCTCACTGTTATAATTTTTGCAAAGGTGGATTCACTTCCAGACCCAGTGTAGGTGTCTTTTCTGTGATGCCTTCCTTCCCTACTCAAAGAGGGTTGAGTCGAGTCAGGTGCGGTGGCATATGTGTGTAGTCCCAGCTATTGAAGAGGCTGAGGTCAGAGGATTGCTTGAGGCCAAGAGTTCAAGGCCAGCCTGAGCAACATAGCGAGACCTTGTCTCTAAAAAAGTATAAATAAATACAAATTTAAAATCTATGCAGATATTCAGAGCTTTCCCCTCCACACTGTGAAATCAAGAAAAAAAGAAAAAGAGGTTGATTGTTCATTCTTTTTGTCACCATTTTATGTAGTATACATCTCTCCTATTGTACTTGCCTCATTCGGTTGAAATTATTTGTTTATAGATCTGTCACTCTTACTAAAATGTGAACTGTTGGAGGAATTCATGCTTATGTTGTTCACAGTATTGCCTAGATCATATTAGGCACTCAAATGTTTGCGGAATGAATACAAAATAAGAAAGAATGCGCTAAGTGGTCTGAGAGAATACAAAGTAATAGGGGGCAAATTGTACAATTGAGTCCCTGCTTCTCAGTCAGAGTCAGAAAAGTTGTCATGAAGAAAATGGAATAGAATTTCAATAGTTAGAATTCTATGACCTGTGCAATGGCATAGGGAGGTAGAAAGTGACATTTGCTCAATACTGTTTTTGGTTTTTGCCTGTCTTACATTATGTTATCAAACTTCCCAGGAATGCTAAGGGCAATGAATGAACTCCTGTTCCCACTCCTCCTGCCGGGATTGCAGGCTGGGGCTCTTTCAAATTAGGTGGTCAATGAAGGCCTCTCTGTGGAAAGAACTTTTATATTGAGACCTGCATAATATAATACAAAGTGCAGTGATCTGGAGGAGTCCAGGCCACGCTAACAACAAGATCAAATACCCTGAGGCAGAAAAGAGATTGGTATATTTTAGGAACTTATGGTTCAATGTAATAAAATAATAGAAACTGGGTGGTGGGATGGTGCAGGGGTGGCTGCAGTAGGGAAAATATGGTGCAAAATACCATGAAATGTGGTTAGGGAGGTAGGCAGAGGCCAGACCACACGTATACGTACAGCAGTGTTTCTCAAACTGTACCTGATGACTCATTACTCAAATTTGTGGTATGTAGCCAGCATTAAAAAGATGACATAAAATAGCAACTTAACATATTCACTACATGTTGTAAGGGTAACGTTCATGAACTTTTGTTTAATTGTATATGTATTGGATGTGTACTGGATTCTGATGTAAAATATATTTCTTACTGTGAGTCCTGATCCACAAAGTTCAAGACACAGGGTACTTTGAATAATATATACTTTATTTGTTTTATCTTATTATTTTATTTTTATTTATTTATTTTTTTTGAGACAGGATATTGCCCTGTCACCCAGCAGGAATGTAGTGGTGAGATCATGGCTCACTGCAGCCTCAACCTCCCAAGTTCAAGTGATCCTCCAGCCTCAGCCTTCCGAGCAGCTAGGATAATAGGTGTGTGCCATGATGCCCAGCTAATTTTTTTTTTTTTTCAGAGACAGGGTCTCACTATGCTGCCCAGCCTGGTCTTGGACCCCTGGGCTCAAGTGATCCTCCCACCTTGGCCTCTCAAAGTGTTGGGATTATGTTTATGTTAGCCACCACGTTCAGCTAATATATAGTTTAAAAGGCAAAATAGTTGAAATCTCAAGGCCTGCAGATATTCTTATTCCTCTTTTGATCTAGTGAAAATGTTCTTGTTGTATGGCAGATACAGCTTTGAATTAACGAAAGCCTAAAATTGGCTAGAGTAAAATTTTCAAGTTTCTTTGTGCATCCAGATCACTCTCCTCCATATTTGCCATCAATCATTTATGAGAAAGAACAGGCCTAAGAAACAGATGTCCCTTCTCTGTGTTCAGTCTAGCCACTGTTGTATGTATTGCAGCAAAGGATTATGGCCTCTCAATAAGCAGCTGAAGATGGAGGTTGTTTGCTCTGTTGGTGAGGCTTCCTGACCACTGCAGTTTATCTAATCAGCTTCTGTCTTCATCTAGTTTGTTATAGTTGAGGCTTCCAAATTCTGGAATCACCTTTATATTGTGAAGCAGAGATAGGGAACCATAGTTTAGCATGTTTCTCATACACCTCATTTAAGATGAAGCGTATGCTGGACTCATCAATTTCTTTTACATATTATAAAGAGGACAGAGAAGGTAATTCTAAGATATATTTGACAAAGATATTAATATTATGTATCTTCTAAAATATAGCATTTATTAGAATATCATTACTCCAGATGAACTGTTAGTGTAATAAAGGACTTTAAAGATTATTAGCTATGTTCCATAAGAACTAATCTAAACCTTTGAAGTAAAATGTCTCAAAGTTGTTTGTTTGTTTATGTATTTATTTATTTTTGAGACACAGTCTCACTCTATCACCCTGGCTGGAGTGCAGTGGTGTGATCTCGGGTCACTGCAACCTCTGCCTCCTGGGTTCAAGCGATTCTCCTGCCTCCACCTTGTGAGTAACTTGGATTACAGGCATGTGCCACCATGCCTGGCTAATTTTTGTGTTTTTAGTGGAGACAGGGTTTCACCATGTTGGCCAGGCTGGTCTCGAGCTCCTGACCTCAAGTGATCCACTTGCCTCGGCTTCCCCAAGTGCTGGGATTACAGGCATGAGTCAAAGTTGTTTTTAACAGAGTTTTCAAAGACAGTTTCATAATTACTGAAGAACAAAATTTTATTCCATGAAATGAAATGCTTTTCAGTTTCCAACTTTATGACGTTTCTCCTAATAGCTTTTCTGGTTTTGTTTTTAGCACCTGCCTTTTTTTTTTTTTAGACAGAGTTTTGTTCTGTCGACCCGGCTGTGGAGTGCAGTGGCGCGATTTCCACTCACTGCAACCTCTGCCTCCTGGGTTCAAGCAATTCTTGTGCCCCAGCCTCCCGAGTAGCTGGGACTACTGGCGCATGCCACCACGCCTGGCTAACTTTTGTATTTTTAGTAGAGACGGGGTTTCGCCATTTTGGCCAGGCTAGTCTCAAACTCCTGATCTCAGGTCATCCGCCTGCCTCGGCCTTCCAAACTGCTGGGATTATAGGCATGAAGCTTGGCACCCAGACAGCATCTGCTTTTTAGTCATCCAGAATTCCTTTTGTTACTTGAATTGCTGATTTGGAAGAATTGCAGTTCCAAAGATCCACAGGATTTTATTTACAAAAAGTGAATCAGAAAGCACAGGGCATAAATTGCAGATATGAAACTCTTAAAAGTTTATTTTCCTATATATTGTATTACAAATGCAGTTTAGAGCCTGTTATATTCTTGTTTAGTAGGAAACAGTGGTATTTGGAGAACGGAATAGTAAGTGGTTAATATAATGCCATAATTTTTTTCATGTAGCTTTTTATTTATTTTTGCTTTCCTTTTTCTGCCTTTTTATTCCCAATTCTTTCTCATTCACCAGTTATTCTTCTATTCGAGAAAGTATTTATTGAGTACTTTCCATATACTGGTAACTGGTGGGTATACATTGATTAATAAGATAGCACACAGTGGCCCCTAACTCATGGAATTTATGGAGAAAAACAGATATTGGAAAATAAATTACAAGTATAAGTTGGATTACAAAAGAAAAATGACAAGGTGAGGTGGAAGTTAGTAATAAAATAGAGTGATCTGAACTAGCCTGGGGTGGTGAGGGAAAGTCTCTTTGATGATAAAACTCTTTAATTGTTTTTTTCCTTAGTTTGAGAGAAAAACAGTTTACATGAATAAATAAACGAATGATGACCTCATATGATGATAAGTACTATGAGGAAAATTAAACTAAGTAATGCAATATTGGTTGGTTCCAAGAGCAAGTAGCCTTGAGTAGGACAATCAGGGACGGTCCTCATGAGGATGTGACTTTTAAGCTGAGATGTCAATGATAGAAAGCAGCTTGCCAGGTGAAACCTAGGAGAAGAGCATTCCAGGCAGAGTCAATAGTGAGCACAGAGGTGCATTAGAGGAACAGGAGGGAGATAGTGTGGCTGGGGCCTAGGGAATGAGAGGACAGCTGGAGGAGAAGAGATCTGAGAGGCAGGAAGGAGCCAGGAATACTGAGACTTATGGAACTTGGGAGGGATTTTGGATTTTATTCTAAATGCAGTAGTATTATACATCTTATATATTTTACCTATTCCATCAAAATATTTTATTTTCCTTGGATTTGCCTTAAACTTTTGCCATATTAATTTGGTCTCTTGGTGCTTATTTTTATCTTATCTGTAAAATTTATGATCTTATAAGCTTTGGGAAATATTTTTCTGAGCTTCTTTTGTCTTTGAACTTCAGAGACTCCTAATTTCATCCCTTATAGTTGCCATTTCATAATTTATTTTCCCATTTCTGGACTTATTTTTTGTTTCTATAATATCTACTCTAAGGTGTGGCGAGCAGAGCTACATATTCCAGATGGGTATGCATTATAGTTTCAACATGGGAGTTATGTTTGCTGCTGTGATCTTCACCTAGTACCTTTCTTGATGCTGCTATAGCATATGATTGAAGTATCTTACTTTCCAGAAGTATCTCCAGCATTCCCAATGAACTTTGTATTCACATTTTTTTCAAAAACTGCCTAAACTTCTTCACTTCCAAAGTTGTCAATATTTAAAACTTTCTGTTAATTAGATGTGAGAAACTGTAGCTATTAAAATGTACTGCTTAATTCACATTTATTTTCTGATACTGGACACTTTGCCTTAATAAGTTGCTGTTGTTCTCTCTCCTGACTCATCTTATGTGCTGTGCCTTCTTCATATTTCTATACTCTTTAAAATGTATCTTCATATGCACACATAATGGCTCTAGAGCTCTCTGATAGATGTAAATTCAACTTTTATCCTTTGTTTTCCATAGTTTCAATATTTACATGATACATATATATGCTATATATGTTTTATATATGTTTATAAAGATATTTAACTTATTCTGTTGTAGAAATATAGGAAAATTACTTAGTCATTTTTAGAAATGAGAAAATATAAAAGTAAAAGTAATAAAATTACATTTATCTATAATAACACTGCCTGTATACAATCGCTATTAATATTTTTGTGTAATATCCTGGTCACATATATACTCATACATATATACACACACACACAGAGATACATATCCTTTAAAATATGATTCTATTATATTCATTGTTTAGAAATCTGTTTTATCCCACTTAATATATCTTTTGCATTTTTCCAGATCAGTTTTAAGAACTACAGCCAGCCCTGGGTAGCCATGGGTTCTGCATCCAGATTCAACCAATTGAGGATTGAAAATATTTGAAAAAAAAAAATAACAATACAATGATAAAAAATACAAATAAAAACAAAGCACTATAACAAGTATTTACATAGCATTTGCATTGTATTACGTGTTGTAAGTAATTTAGAGATGAATTAAAATATACTGGAGGATATGCATAGGTTATATGCAAATGCTATATCATTGTATGTAAGGGACTTGAGCGTCTAAGGATTCTGGTATCTGTAGGAGTCCTGGAACCAATCCCCTGCAAATACTGAGGGACAGCTCTACGTTTTATTCTTTCATTTACTCTGATTTAACCAATCCATTTATTAATTTGTTCTGTTAACACAATACTAACATATTTTTGCGAACACATTTTTATAGACATCCATAATTATTTCCTTACAATAAATTAAAAAGGAAATAACTAGGTGCGAGAGGTCATGTGCATTTTTAGGCTTTCAATATACATTGCCAGACTACTCCCAAAATAGTTTTGCCAGTGAATACTCTGCTAGCAGTATACCATGGTGCCTGTTTCTTCTAAACTCTAAACTGGTATTTCTATACATTACATACATATGTCTAACAATAGATTTGAACTTTTAATAAAACTGTCACCTGCTTTGCTCAGAATATTGAGAGAAATATAAATTACTGTATGTTCTATAGATGAAAGGCACTGTTAATACTTACCTACAATATTTCTTTGTAATTATTGTTTTACATCTATTATAAATTGTTAAAATTCAAGGTTTATTGTCTGACTGTAGTGAAGAATATTAAGTTGGCCTTTTTTTAACTATTATTTGTAGACAGATTTTCCAGTCCTCTCTTGTGTACTTATTTTCAAGATGTAGCTTGTTGAAGTACAAACAAACTGATGTAGAGCTAGAAATCTAAAATTTCAGTCTTTATTCCAGTCCTGGCTTAAGCACTTATGAGCTGTGTGTTATGTAATCTTTTTGGATAGTTATTTTCTCATCCATAAAATCAAAATAATACTTTCTGTTTAGATTACCTTAAAGCATTTTTTGTGAAGATCAAATAAGTTAATATGAAAGTAATTTATAAACTGTAATATACATATGAAATGTGTTATTTTCATATTAACCAGATTGCTGCCTAATGAGAAGATAGTTGAGGAAAATGGAAGAGATTAAAATATCAACCTTCAAAAATAAATATTTGAGGTTAATGGTGTTATGCAATTTTGTGGCTATTGAAAAATTTACTTTTATATATTAAATTCCCTCTTCCTAAATTTCTCTTATAGATTCATTTTCCTAATGGAAATAAGAAAAAGCTGGTAAAAGGGAGGGAAATGGCAGAGATTGGTCTTGAGACCAGTTTCAATAATGGTCATATACTTTTGTGGATAGGGGCAGCTAAACATGTGTGATATGTATTTAGCAGGTATTAGGTGTGAGATCCCTGAATATCTACTCAATTTAAATGGATTAGCTGGGAACATTTACTTTTATTGCTGGTCATGTGAGATTTTATTATTCAGTAATTTGACTGTGAAAGTACAATGAGACCGTTCAGACCCAGTCTGTTTCTTGCCACTTAGACTCAGAAATTCGGCTCTGGAAAAACTGAAAATCCCTTCATCTAGTGGCAAGTACAGTTTTATCATTTATGTTAAACCATATTGCCTTTTAGGTACCTTATTGGATTTTACTGCATGCACTGAGATCTCTAAAAGGTGAATATCTGTCTATCTTAGATATCTGAATATTTTTCATAATTAAAAATGTTCAAGTTTTTATGCAAAGAATGAATGGCTTCTATAATATTATGATCACTTTTTCTAGCATTTCCACATAAAAATTAGTATTGGCCTGATGATTTTATCTTGTCTCCCAATACCCTTAACACCTAGGTTGTGGCATGCATTATTAGAACACTTCTAGAATCAAACTTGACATAATAAGCATTTATATTCAGATATAGAGCAGAGGCTCTTGAACTCATCTTTCTGCCCACTTTTGGGTTCTTGCAACATGCTATATATATGAGATACAAAGATGAACAAGACTAGATTTCTTTTTTAAAAAGCTCACAGTCTTGGAGGAAGAAAAAAGAGAAGAAGAGAAATACATGATACACTGTAACATTGTAATACTAACTTAGAGAAATTCAATTTCTTCATTTGTAAAATGAGGATAATAATAATAATAATAATACTAGTTCCCTTATAGGGATATTATTATAATTAAATGATAAACTGTTTAGCCCAATGCTTTATACACTGTAAGCATCCAAAAAATGTTTGCTGTTATTACTGTTACTACTGCTGTTGTTATTTCCAAGTGTTAAGATAGAGACCTACTGAATGTGGGAACACAGAAGAGAGGCTAATGACTGAAAGAACGCTAATTAAAAACAAGATTAGTTGACTTTACTGCTTTTTCTCTGCAATTTTTCATTCACTGAGCTTCAGGTTTTCTTTAACATGTGAATATGTATAAATCCAAAATTAAACTTATGCATATTAATGTCAACATTGATTCCCTAAAGTTACTGGAACGCATTTGGAAATGAAGTAGGAAACTCCGTCATTGTGGTTCATTCTTCAGGGTTCAGCCTAGTGTCCTGTACAATTAAGTGCTTCACAGATGCTGCCCCCTACCCCACTTTCTTTTAAACATTTTTGTTCATTGACCCAGATGTCCCTTTGGGTGAGTTTTGAGAGGACACAAGATACACAGAGTTGGTGACTATTCAGAATTATTTGAGGTAGTTCTTATTCATATAATTTTTAAGCAATTCTTTTTGGTTTAGCCTTCTGAGATATACATTTTCAAAGTTTACATCTTTTTTTTTCCAGTTTTACATACACTTCAGCTGCACTTACTATTCCATTTGCCTGAAATGCTCCTACACGTTTTTTCAGATGTATGTTCAAATGACACCTCATCAGAGAGGACTTCCTTGTCCACCTTTCTAAAGTAACAACTCCAGTTGCTCTCTGTCCCCCTACCAGCTTCACCTTCTTTTTTCACTTTAGCACCTGACAAAAGCTTTGCAAATCTGCCATTTTAACGATAGTGCCTGACACTTAGAGAATGTTTTCTATTTTTAAAGGCATTTAAGATTCTTAACTAATTGATAGTGTCCTTGGAAGTAGGTATTGTATTTACAGAGAAAAGATATCAATATCATCAGGGAGCAGAAAGGCACAAACATCCAAGGAAGAAAGATAATCCTCTGAAAAGACAGTTGAGAAGAAAGGAAGGTAACTTTCCACTGAATTTCCCTGCTAGTTACTTGGTAGAGACCAGGAGTGGACAAACAGTTTTGATCAAGGGCTGTTCACCTCTAGAGAAAAATCTAGAATTATGGGTCAAAAACAGTGGACTCTTTTATTCTGAGAGAGAGCTCTAGCTTCATTCATTCAACAATTATTTTTAAGTTTCTCTTGAGTGCCAGGCACTGTTCTGAGCAATCAGTGACAAAGTCCCACCCTTATGGAGCTAAAATTTCTGGGGAGATGCAGAATAAACAAATATGTAGTATAATTTGAGGTTTTGATAAGTGTTATGGAAAAAAAATCAAACAAGACAGAGAGTGAAGAAGTTGGTATTTAGTTAGCTGGTCAGAGAAGCCTCCTTACATTGCTGACATATGAGTGGAGACCTGAATGAAGTGATGATGTGGAGAGCCCTGGGAATCCTAGCCCTAGAGCTGTCTAGGTAGAGGAAATAGTACATCCAAAGACCCTGAGGTGGGAGCCTGCTTGGTTTATTTAGTAACCAGCAAGAAGGCCAGTGTAACTGGAGCAGAGAAGGTGAGGGAGAGGGTGGCAGAGGCAGGTGAGGCAGATGAGATAAAGAGGTAGCCTGAGACCAGATCATACAAGGCTTATGTGGCATGAAATCAGTCTTTTTTAAACAAAATTAAAATTTTTATGGGTACATAGCAGGTATATGTGTGTGTGTGTGTGTGTGTGTGTGTATAATATATATTTAATATATATAATATAATATACAATATATTATATATAATATACAATATATTATATATAATATACAATATATTATATATAATATACAATATATTATATATAGATATAATATATAATATATTATATATTATATCTATAATATATAATATATATTATATATTATATCTATAATATATAGTATATTATATATTATATCTATAATATATAGTATATTATATATTATATCTATAATATATAGTATATTATATATTATATCTATAATATATAGTATATTATATATTATATCTATAATATATAGTATATTATATATTATATCTATAATATATAATATATAATTATATTATATATAAACATATATAATTATATTATATATAAACATATATAATTATATTATATATAAACATATATAATATATAATACATAATAGATATATTATATATTTTATTATATTTATTTTATATTATATTCATTATATATTATTATGTTTATAATTATATATCTATTATATAATATAATATATCTATTATGTATTATATATATTATATCTATTATATATAATAGATATGTGCACACACATATATATATATAAAACATATATACACACCCATAGTATACTAGGTGTGTGTATGTGTGTATATATATATGTATACATTTATATATACCCACTATATATAATATTTATAAATATATAAGTATATATTTAATACTTTAATATATAAATATGTACACCAGATATTTTGGTACAGGCATGCAATGCATAATAAACATATTGTGGAAAATTTGGTATCCATTTCCTCAAGTATTTATTCTTTGTGTTAACAAACAATCAAGTTACACTCTTCTAGTTATTTTAAAATGTATAATTAAATTATTATTGACTATAGTCACCCTGTTATGCTATTGAATACTAGGTCTTACTCACTCTTTCAATTTTTTTTGTACCCATTAACCATCCTCAACTCCACAACCCCCTACTACCTTTCCCAGCCTTCTACTCTCTATCTCCATGAGTTCAATTGTTTTGATTTTCACATCTCACAAGTAAGGGAGAACGTGCAATGTTTTTGTGCCTGGCTTATTTCACTTAACATAATGACCTTTAATTCCATTATGTTTTTGCAAATGACAGAATCACATTTTTTTATGGCTGGATAGTACTTCATTTGGTATATGTACCATATTTTCCTTTTCCATTCTTTAGATGGACACTTAGGTTGCTTCCAAATTTTGACTGTTGTCAATAGTGCTGCAATAAACATGGGAGTGCAGATAACTCTTTGTTGTACTGATTTCTTTTGGGTATAGACCCGGTGGTGGGATTGTTGGATTATAAAGTAGCTCTATTTTTAGTTTTTTGAAGAAGCTCTAAACTGTTCTCAATAGTGGTTGTACTAATTTACATTCCCAACAACAGTGTATGAGTGTTCCCTTTTCTCCACATCCTTGCCAGCATTTGTTACTGCCTGTCCTTTGGATAAAACTTTTTTAAAATGGGGTGAGGTGATACCTCATTGTAGTTTTGATTTGCATTTTTCTCATGATCAATGATATTGAGCAACTTTTCATATCCCTGTTTGCCACTGGTTGTCTTCTTTTGAGAAACGTATATTGAGATTTTTTGCCCAATTTTTAGTCAGATTATTAGATTTTTTTTCCTGTAGAGTTGTTTGAGCTCCTTGTGTATTCTGATTATTAATGTCTTGTTAGATGGTTAGTTTGCAAATATTTTGTCCTATTCTGTGGGTTGTCTCTTGACTTTGTTGATTGTTTCCTGTGCTATGCAGAAGCTTTTTAACTTGATGTGCCCCAATTTATCCATGATTGCTTTGGTTGCCTGTGCCTGTGTGGTGGTGGTCAAGAAATTTTTGCCCAGACCAATACCTTGGGAATTTTCCTCAATGTTTTCTTGTAGTAGTTTCATAGTTAGAGGTATTAAATTTAAGTCTTTAATCCAAATCCATTTTGATTTTATTTTTGTATATGACCAGAGAAAGGGGTCTTGTTCCATTCTTCTGTGTATAAATACCCAGTTTTTCCAGTACCATTTATTGAAGAGGCTGTCTTCTCCAATATATGTTCTTGGAAACTTTGTTGAAAATGAGTTCATTGTAGATGTATGGATTTGTTTCAGGGTTCTCTATTCTGTTCCATTGATCTATGTGTCTGTTTTTATGCCAGTACCACGCTGTTTTGGTTACTATAGCTCTGTAGTATAATTTGAAGTCAGATAGTGTGATTTTTTTCAGTTTTCATCTTTTTACTTAGGATGGTTTTGGCTATTCTGAGTCTTTTATAAATTTTAGGATTGTTTTTTCTATTTCTACTCTTTGAAGAATATCATTGATATTTTGATAGTGATTGCATTGAATCTGTAGATTGCTTTAGGTAGTATGGACATTTTAACAATATTGATTCTTTCCATAAACATGGAATCTTTCAATTTTTTAGTGGCTTTTTCAATTTCTTTTATCTGTGTTTTAAAGTTTTCATTGTATAAATCTTTCACTTCTTTTGTTAATTCCTATGTATTTTATTTTGTTCATGACTATTGTAAATAGGATAACTTAAAAAATTTTTTTTCAGATTGTTCACTGTTGGCATATAGAAATGCTACTGATATTTGTATGATTTTGTATCCTGCAACTTTACTGGATTTATCAGTTCTAAGAGTCTTTTGGTGGAGTCTTTAGGTTTTTCCAAAGGTAAGCTCATATCATCTGCAAACAAAGATTCTTTGACTTCTTCCTTTCCAATTTGGATGCCCTTTCTCTCATCTGATTGCCATAGCTAGGACCTCCTATGTTGAATAACAGTGGTGAAAGTGTATAACCTTGTCATGTTCCAGATCTGAGAGGAAATGCTTTCAGTTTTTCCCCTTTCATTGTGATACTAGCTGTGGGGCTGTCATATATGGCTTTTATTATGTTGAAGTATATGTTCCTTCTATATCCAATTTTTTGATGTTTTTAACAAGAAGGGATGTTGAATTTTATCAAATGCTTTTTCGGCATCAATGGAAATGATTGTATGGTTTCTGTTCTACATTCTGTTGATATGATGTATCACATTGATTGATTTGCATGTGTTGTACCATCCCTGCATCTCAGGGATAAATCCCACTTGGTCATGATGAATGATATTTTTAACGTGTTACTGAATTCAGTTTTCTAGCATTTTTGAAGATTTCTGCATCAATATTAGAGATATTGTTCTGTAGTTTTCTTTTTCATTCTTTTTTTTTTGATGTGTTGTTGTCTGGTTTTGGTATCAGGGTAATACTGAGCTCATAGAATGAGCTTGGAAATATTACCTCTTCCTCTATTTTTTGGAATAGTTTGAATAGGATTGGTATTAGTTCTTTATATGTTTGGTAGAATTCAGCAGTGAAGCCATCAGGTCCTGGGCTTTTCTTTACTCAGAGACTTTTTATTATGGCTTTGATCTTGTTACTCATTATTGGTGTTTTCATGTTTTGGATTTCTTCCCAGTTCAATCTTGGTAGGTTTTATGTGTGTAGGAAGTTTTTGATTTTTTACAGATTTTTAAATTTATTGGCATATAGTTGCTCATAGTAGCCATCAATGATCTTTTGAATTTCTGCAGTATCATTTGTAATGTTTCCTTTTTCATCTCTGATTTTATTTGTTTGGGCCTTCTGTCTATTTTTCTTACTCTGACTAAAGGATTATCAATTGTGTTTATCTTTTCAAGGAACCAACTTTTTGTTTCATTGATCTTTTGTATTTTTTTTTCATTTCAAATTCATTTATTTCTGCCATGATCTTATTATTTCTTTTCCTCTAATTTTGGTTTCAGTTTGCTCCAGGTTTTGTAATTTTCTAAGGTTCATCATTAGGCTATTTATTTGAAGTTTTTCTCTCTTTTTTTTTAATGTAGGCACTTAGAGCTATAAATTTCCCTCTTAATACTGCTTTCACTGAATTCCCTAGCTAGTAGCATTCCATAACTAATAGTATATTGTGTTTCCTTTATCGTTTGTATCAAGAAAATTTGCAATTTTCTTTTTAATTTCTTCATTGACCCACTGGTCATTCAAGTCATAAAGTCTTAGATCTGAAAGAGACCTTTGATTTTGGTTAACATCAGTGATTATGAAATTGAGGTTATGATGTATCACTGGATTGTAGGCGCTAAATTGTAAGTAATAGACAGCTTTTAAAAAAAGGTATAAAAATATCAGTACATTTCACATATTGAGAATAAGAATTGTTTTTGAGAATTTTATTCCAGTTGTAGGGCATGTGTGTGTGTGGTTGTGGGTGGATGTGGGTGTGGGTGTGTATTGGTCCCAATGGAAACTGTGGTTCTTACTATAGGTTAAGAAATAGGGGAAAAAGAAAAAAGAAAAAAAAGAAAGAAAAAAGGAAACAGGAAAATGTTTTTGAACTATTGATCTAGTCTTATTCCCAAATTTTATAGCTAAAGAAACTAGTTGGGACATACTGAAAGGCCCACATGTCTTCTACCTCAGTGTGATGATCCCATTTACATGTGATGTGCATGTCTGTATGTGTATATGACTATTCCACATTGAAGTAATTCTAATTTCCAAACGAAGGAAAGAAATTACAAAGTTTATTTAGTTAATACCATATCAGTAAGTGCTCACATCACTTCTCTATTTTTAATCTCTTTTATGTTTGCCTTATTTTTCTTTTTTTCCCTCTTTTCTTGAATATCCTTCTATTTCTCTAGGAAAGAAAGATATACAACGTGAAGCTAGAGAGAGGGAGAGAAAGAAATCCAGGACCAATAAAGAGGGAGAGGGACAGACATCCAAAATCTAGGAGACAAAAGAGAGAAACATCCAGGGCCAAGCAGAAGTAGAGGCATCTCTGCCCCATCACTCCTGCTTTCTTCAAGATCCCCTCTGCGTTTTGCACAGGCTGTAGTCTTCTGGGAAGGCAGTGCTGGTGGAGAATGGATCCATCTACTTTCAAAGACATGCATTGGGAATTTATTAATACCTCTCTATCCTGCTGTCTGGCTCTCTGAGTTGGGACTCAGTAATGTACTAAGGAGAGTGAGCTCCTTGAGAGCAGGGCTCTTTCCTTCCTTCCTTCCTTCCTTCCTTCCTTCCTTCCTTCCTTCTTTCTTTCTTTCTTTCTTTCTTTTCTCCCTTTCTTTCCTTTCTTTCCTTCCTTTCCTTCCTTTCCTTCCTTTCTTTCTTCTTTCTTTCTTTCTTGGCACGATCTTGGGTCACTGCAACCTCCACCTTCCAGGTTCAAGTGATTCTCCTGCCTCAGCCTCCTGAGTAGCTGGGATTACAGGCACCCACCACCACACTCCGCTATGTTTTTGTAGTTTTAGTAGAGGCAGGGTGTCACTATGTTGGCCAGGCTGGTCTCGAACTCCTGTCCTCAGGCAATCCATCTGCCTCGGCCTCCCAAAGTGCTGGGATTACAGGCATGAGACACCATGGAGGTAGGGCTTATTTCTTACTCACTCTTGTAGTCCCTCAGTAATAGCTTGCTTAGAAAACTATTCTAATTAATACACTGAGCTTTTGAGATACTGTTCCTTTTATACAGTTACATTCTTACTAATACAAATGAGAAATCTATAGCCTTAAAGAAAGGATTAGGCTAAAAAGGGACTTAATTTTGGAAAATTTGTAAGGAGCTTGATAAAATGAATCCAGGGTTTTAAAAAAAGAGGTTCTGTTACACACACAACACACACACACTAAATAGACATACATTGTGGATTAAACCTTTTTTAAAAATGTCATGAGAAAGATATTCTTGAAATGATTTAATAGCATTTTTTAAATTATTGTTTTTAATTGTTTAAGATACTGTTATGTAATTTGTTAGATGTTAGAAAGCAAGCGAAAGGAATTTATTAGATGTTAGAAAGCAATGGAAGAGAATTCACTGAATGTCACGCATATTCCATAAGAGTGGCTGTTTGATAATTTCATCAATAAATTTAAAAACTTTAAACTTATTTGGGGCTGACTGGGCAAAGGATAACCCCCCCACCCCAGATTGGGTCCTCTTTTATGCAAGGAATTAGAGAGAAATGAAATTGTTGACCTGGCACAAGCTATCCTTTCATTAAAATGTTTCCTAAAGTCCCGATGACTGGAGGGGATATATTAAAAACAAAAGGAGGCTGCTCTTCCTATGGAGTAGGCATTCTTTTATTCCTTTACTTTCTTAATAAACTTGCTCTCACTTTTCTTTAAAAAAAGAAACTTATTAACTTATTCTTTAAAAAAGAATGGGAAATCTCTTTTTCTTAATAGTTAATATCTATCACTTATTGAATGCCTACTGTATATTCTTTTCACATAAGGAAACCTCAGTTTTTTAAAATACCCAAGATTATACGCTAGAAAGCGGTAGGGCCCAAATTTGAACCTATTTAGCCTAGAACCTCATGTTCTTTCTAGCCTACTACTTAGGGTCACGATGTTTAAAATTTTTTTTTTTTTTGAGTTAACTCTTTCTTTTGCTTTTATGTAGCTATAGAAATTTAACTTCCTTTTCAAAAACTCAGTTTCTAGTGGATATAGGTGATATACATTTTTTTCAGGAATTCATAATTCATATTTTGATACTTGACTAGGGCTCTGCAAAATTACTATGGTTTAATGAATAACTACAGGGCTAAAATTGAGGGTATTTGTGAAATGGCTTTGTGAAATGGCTTTGTGAAATGGCTTTTTGGGCAGGATATGTTAAATCCACATTGAACACTAGGTGGCACTCTTCCATCATTGGACACTTTCAGGAAAAGCTATCCTTTATGGATTTTATTAGTTGCTTATTAATTTTAATCATATTGAAGTGGCATTCGAATGCTATTCATCTAGAAATCACAGATGTACACAGTATCACAGATTATTTCTCATAAAGTCAAAGACACACGTTTTTCTTTCCTAAATTAGAAAACTTTAGCCTAAATGATGAAACAAATGGTCATCTTTGGGATTAAGCTTGAAAATGTGGGTTTTTTTTTTTTTTTGCTTTTTTTTGGAATCTGTTACTTTACCAAAATATCCTTTGACTTATTTTTAAAAACTTAATCAGGAAACTACAAAATAAAAATAATGTTTGAATTACATGAGGTAATATAGGCAAATGCATTCCAAAGAAAACACTGTCTTAATATCTTCTTCAGATAGACTGTCTGATGATCACTACTTCTAACACTTGTGGATGTATTTAAGACTTTTACCACTTTTATAAAGGTACATTAGTGGTTACAGCCACTTAAGTCTGTATCACTTTATTGTAAACACAGTATTTTCTCCATTGACTAATATTCAAAAAGACTCATTCTTTTTCTCATGATGAAAATGCTATCAGAATCAGTAGCCAACTGTAGCTAATGCAGAATAGTAGTAATTTGCAATGCATGTAAATCTATATGTATATTTAGCATCTGCAGCATTTGGTATATGACATACAGGAAAAAATGGAACCATTTTGGTTTGCATATTTTGCATAGAGCTACTTTTCTCTATCTCTGCAACCAGGGCTGCTACATACTACATATAGGACATTGCACAATTATGAGTGAGTTGCTGATATTCTTATTTATTACGTATTTTTCTAACACGTGGCAGTAAAGTGTTCTCAGGAAGGCACAACTTTTTCTGTTTGCACAGGAGTACTAGATGGACTAAAGAATAGTCTTTTCAGATTTCTTAGCAATGATACTGCTCGTCTATGCCATTGGCTCTTATTCTTGAAAGAAAAAAGAATACGAGAGGAGGGAGCACAGGAGAGAGAAGGTGATATAAAAGTACCATTCCAGGATGCATCTAATTTACTACAAATGTCAGGGTGGGTTTAGGGCCTCTACAATGGACAGATGCCACAGGATGCCATCCCACTGTATCTTCTCCTCATACTCTACCTTCAAATCATACTGGCTTTGTTTGTTAAACTTGCCAACGTCCATCTTCCTCCCAAAGCTTTATACTTTTTGTCTACCTGGAATGTATTTTTACCCCAGGTTTCTGCATGACTGGCTTTTCCTCATCCCGTTTTGACATCTCAGATCAAGTGTAGTTGTTATTCTAGTTGAAGGGGTACTCCCTAGCTCACTACCCCAATAATTGGCATGTTTACCTATTTATCCTATTGTTTTTGTAACACAATTTATTTATTTACTTACATTTTTAGAGATGGCGTCTCACTGTGTCGGTCAGGCTGGAGCGCAGGGGTATGGTCATAACTCCAACTCCTGGGCTCAAGTGATCTTCGTGCCTCAGCCTCCTGAGTAGCTGCAATTACAGGCACGAGCTATGATGTCTGGCTATAACACATATTATTACAAGAATTATATATATTTTTTATTTTTACATTCTATAAGGAGAGACAGAAAATTAGTAAGTAAGCTCCATGTCAACAGGGCCTTGTCTGTCTTCTGTCTTGAATATCCCCAGTGTCTGTTGCAGTGCCTGGCAAAGAGAAGCCATTCAGTATTTGTTGAATGAATGAAGGCATGAATAAATTCAACTTTTAAGGCATAACTAATATTTCAATTGATGATAGCTAGCAGAGTTCTGCTTTCTAAATTTATTCATTCAACAAATACTTAATAGATATCTGATATATGCAATGCATATACCTAGTCCCTTGGGATGCATCCATAAATAAAACAGACAAAAGTCTCTGCCCTAAAAGGGCTTGCATTCTTTTGGGGCAGATATGCAATAAGCAATAAACATATGAAGTATAGTATACATTATATTTGAAGGTAAATAAGTGCTACGGGAAAAAAATGAGCAGGGTAATGAATGTTGGGGGTACTGATAGTGGTGTTGAATGTAATTTAAAGGGAAGTGGCCAGAGTTAGTCTTGTGGAGAAGATGATGATACCTGAGCAAAGTCTTGAGGGTGAGAAAAGATAAGCCATGTAAATATTGGGGAAAAAGTATTCCAGGAAATAAGACAGTCAGCGGACAGACTTTTTTAGGTGGGAGCATGCCGTATGTTCAAGAAACAGTGTGGCTAAGGCAAAGTAAGCAAGAGTGACAGTTGTGGGAGATGAAGTCAGACGGATCACTGGAGGCCAGATCTTGGAGGGCTTTGTGGGCTATTGAAAGTGGGTTGACATTATTCTCATAGGCTGAGTTGGCAAATTTTAAGCAGAGGAATGAGGTGATACAATTTATATTTTTACAGAATCCTCTCTGGCTGTATTTTTTTGAGAGAAGCTGTAGGGGGCAAAGATGGAAGTAGAGAGGTTAGTTATGAGGCTATAATCTAGGTGAGGGAGTATGGTGGCTTGGAGTAGGGGGTTTGCAGTGGAGGTAGTAAAGTGGCTAGAATGTGTATATGTTTTGCAGGTAGATCTAATAGGATTTCCTGATGAATTAGATCTATGGTCTGAGAGAAAATGAGTCAAGGATAGAGTTAAAAGATGACCCTAGGATTTTGTCCTGAGCAATGGTAAGGATAGCGTTGCTGTTAACTAAGATGCGGAAGACTGGTGAAGAAGCCAATTTGTGTTAGGGGGCTGGGAGCAGGATTTCAACTTGGGGCTTGTTAAACTAGAGCTGTCTAACATCTAAGATAAAAGGCAGTTGGATAGATATATGCAACTAAAATTTAGAGGGAGTGGTCTGGCCTGAGCACTGTCAATATGTAGATTATATTTAAAGCCATGAGACTAGATAAGATGATAACAGAGTGAGTGTAGCTAAAGATTAAGGGTCCAAAGACCAAGTTGTAGAGTATGCTGACACTCTAACATCAAGAAACCAAGGAGAAATGCCTGTACTGGAATAGAAGAGAGGTTTCAAATCAGCAACTTAAGGTTCTACCTTAAAACAAAAAACAAAAAAAGGCAGAGTGTGATGGTTCACTCATGTAATCCCAGCACTTAGGGAGGCAAAGTTAGAGAATCACTTGAGGCCAGGAGTTTGAAACTAGCCTAGACAACATAGTGAGACCCCCCCATCTCTACTAGAAAATAAAAAGAGAACAGAAAAAGAAAAATAAGAACAAATTAAACCTAAAGGAAATAGAAAAGAAAGGAGATAAGTATTGGAGTAGAAAACAGTAAAATAGAAAATGGAGAAAATCAATGAAACTAAAAATTAGTTATTGGAAACAATTAACATAGGCAAAACTTTGGTTAGACTGACCAAGAAAAAAGACTGAAGATACAAATTATCAAAATCAGGAATGAAAGAGGAGACATCGCTCCTATCCCTGCAGAAATTAAAAGGATTATAAGGGAATACTATGAACAACTTTATCCCATTAAATTAGACAACTTAGAGGAAATGGGCAAAATCATTGAAAGACATAACTACTAAAACTCAAGAAGAAATAGAGAATCTGAATAGAGTTATACTAAATAAAGCAATTGAATTAGTAACTAAAAATCATTCTACAAAGCTCATACCCAGATGACTACTCTCATGAATTCTATTCAACATTTAAATAATAAATAATAGCAATCTTTCACAAACTTTTCTGGAAAACAGAGGAGGAAGTACAACTCACTCAGCGAAGCCAGTATTGTCCTATACCAAGCCAGATGAAGACATTGCAAGAAAAGAAAACTGCAGACCAACATCATGAATAGAGGTGAAAAAATCTTCAGTAAAATATCAGCAATATTAGCAATACATAGAATGGATTATATACCATGATCCAGTGGGATTTATGCCAAAAAGATTTAACATCAAAAATCAATGAATATAACACAAAAAATAGTGAAATAAAGGATAAAACACACATAATTATCGTTAGACACAGAAAAACACTTTACAAAATCAAATACCATTCATAATAAAAATTCTCAACAAATTAGAAGTAGAAGTGAACTTTGAACTAAGGGGATTCATGAAAAAGCTGCAGCTAGCAACATATTTAAATGGCAAGTGTGAATGCTTTCTTCCTGAGATTGGGAACAAGGCTAGGATGTGTGCTCTCACAATTTTATACAACACTGGAATGGAAGTTCTAGCTGGTACAGTCAGGCAAGAAATAAATGAAAGACATCTAGACCGGAGAGGATAAAACTGCCTTTATTCACAGAGGATGTGACCCTGTATATAGAAAATCCTAAGGATTCCACAAAAAAGTTACTACAACTAATGTGTTCATCAAAGTTGCAGAATACAAGACCAATTGATTTCACAAAAATTAATTATATTTCCATATACTATAATGAACACTCTGAAAAAGAGATTAAGAAATTAACTCCACTTACAATGACACCAAAAGAATACTCAGGAATAACTGAAAGAATTGTACACTGAAAACTACAAAACATTGCTGAGTAAAATTAAAGACCTAAATAAATGGAAACATTCAAACTTCATGGATTAGAAGACTTAATGTGGTTAAGGTGGTGATTCTCTCTAAATTAGTAGATAGATTTAGTGCAATTCCTATCAAAATCCCAGTGGGCATTTTTGCAGAAATTGACGAGCTGATCCTAAATTTGATATGGAAATGTGAAGGGCCCAGATTAGCCAAGGTGTTTTAAACAAGAACAACAAAACTGGAAGACTTATACTTTCTGGTTTCAAAACTTACTACAAAGCTACAGTAATCAATTCAATGTGGGCCAAGTGCAGTGGCTCATGCCTATAATCCCAGCACTTTGGGAGGCCGAGGCAGGAGGATCACTTGAGGTCAGGAGTTTGAGACCAGCCCGGCCAACATGGTGAAGCCCTGTCTGCTATAAAAATACAAAAAAAATTAGCCAGGCATGGTGGCATGTGCCTGTAGTCCCAGCTACTCGGGAAGCTGAGGCAGGAGAATTGCTTGAACTGGGGAGGCAGAGGTTGCAGTGAACCAAGATCATGCCATTGCACTCCAGCCTGGGCAACAAGAGTGAAACTCTATCTCAAAAAAAAAAAAAAAGAGACAATGTAATGGCATAGCATAGGGATAGACATATAGATTAGTGGAACAGAATTGAGAGTCTAGAAATAAACCCTTCATGGTAAATTGATTTTTGACAAAAATGTCAATACCATTCAATGAGGAGTAGTCTTTTCAACAGATGGTGCTAGGGCAATTATATATCTACATGTAGAAAGAGCAATTTCGACTAATCTCACACCATGCATGAAAAGGAGTTCAAAATGGATCATAGACCTAAATGTAAGGGCTATAACTATAAAGCTCTGAGAAGAAACTATAGAAATATATATATCTCTGTATCCTTGGGTCAGGCAAAGCCTTCTTAGATATGACACCAAAACACAAGTGACCAAAGGTTGCCATTCCCTCCCCAACAAAAAATCGTGTGGAACTGGCAATGTGAGACAGGAAGGACCTCTATCCCAAAGGATCATTCTGAGTCCTAGCTGGACACAGGTATGTATATATATATATGCATATATATATATATATACTAATACAAGTATATATATGTACTTGTATATATATATATATATACTAATACAAGTATATATATGTACTTGTATATATATATATACACTATATATATGTACTTGTATATATGTATATATACTATATATATGTACTTGTATATATATATACTATATATATATGTACTTGTATATATATATACTATATATATATGTACTTGTATATATATATACTATATATATATGTACTTGTATATATATATACTATATATATGTACTTGTATATATATATACTATATATATATGTACTTGTATATATATATACTATATATATGTACTTGTATATATATATACTATATATATATGTACTTGTATATATATATACTATATATATGTACTTGTATATATATATACTATATATATGTACTTGTATATATATATATACTATATATATGTACTTGTATATATATATATACTATATATATGTACTTGTATATATATACTATATATATATGTACTTGTATATATATATATACTAATACAAGTATATATATGTACTTGTATTAGTCCATGTTCACACTGCTATAAAGGTACTACGTGAGACTGGGTAATTTATAAAGAAAAGAAGTTTAATTGACTCACAGTTCCACATGGCTGCGGAGGCCTCAGGAAACTTACAATCATGCCAGAAGGCAAAGGGGAAGCAGGCATCTTTTTCACAAGGTGGCAGGAGAGAGAGAATGTGCAGGGGAAGCTTCCACTTTTAAAACCATTAGATCTCATGAGGACTCCCTCACTATCATGAGAACAGCATGGGGGAAACTGCCCCCATGATCCAGTCACCTCCCACTAGGTCCCTGCCTCAACATGTGGGGATTACAATTCGAAATGAGATTTGGGTGGGGATACAGAGCCAAACCATATTATTCCACCCCTGGCCCCTCCCAAATCTCATGTCCTTTTCAAATTTCAAAACCAATCATGCCTTTCCAATAGTCCCCCAAAGCCTTAACTCATTCCAGCATTAGCTCAAGAGTCCAAGTCCAAAGTCTCATCTGAGACAAGGCAAGTCTTTTCTACCTGTGAGCCTATAAAATCAAAAGCAAGTTAGTTAGTTCTAAGATACAGTGGGGGCACAGGCATTGGGTAAATGTTCCCATTCGAAATGGGAGAAATTGGCCAAACCAAAGAGGCCACAGGCCCTATACAAGTCCAAAACCTGGCAGGGTACTTGTTAAAAAAATTTTTTTTTAATTCATTAAAGCTCCAGAATGGTCTCCTCTGATTCCATGTCTCACACCCAGGGCATGCTGATGGAAGAGGTGAGCTCCCAGGGCATTGGCAGCTCCTTCCCTGTGGATCTGTAGGGGACAGTCCCCATGGCTGCTTTCAAAGGCTGGCATCGAGTGCCCCTGGCTTTTCCAGGCACATGGTGCAAGCTGTGAGTGGATCTACCATTCTGGGGTCTGGAGGACATTGGCCCTCTTCTCACAGCCCCACCAGGCAGTGCCCCAGTGGGGACTCTGTGTGGGCACCCTGACCCCACATTTTCCCTCTGCATTGCCCTAGTAGAGGCTCTCCATGAGGGCTCTGCCCCAGCAGCAGACTTTTGCCTGGACATCCAGGTGTTTTCATACATCCTCTGAAATCTAGGTGGAGGCTCCCAAAGCTCAGCTCTTGTCTTCTGCGTACCTGCAATCCCAACACCATGTGTCGGCTGCCAAGGCTTGGGGCTTGCACCCTTTAAAGCAATGCCCCAAGCTGTATCTTGGCCCCTTTTAGCCTCGGCTTGAGCTGGAGTGACTGAGACTTAGGGTGTCACGCCCCAGGGCCACACAGAGCAGTGGGGCCCCAGGCCTAGCCCACAAAACCATTTTTCTCTCCTAGCCTTCCAGGTCTGTGATAGGAGGGGCTGCCACGAAGATCTCTGACACGGCCTGGAGGCATTTTCCCCATTGTCTTGGTATTAACATTCCGTTCCTCATTTTTTATGCAAATTTCTTCAGCCAGCTTGAATTCCTCCCTAGAAAATGGGTTTTTCTTTTCTACCACAGGGCCAGGCTGCAAGTTTTCCAAACCTTTACATAAGTTCCAATCTCAAACCATCTCTGTGAATACATCTGACTGAATGCTTTCAGAAAATGCCAGGTCACCTCTTGAATGCTTTTCTGCTTAGAAATTTCTTCTGCCAGATACCCTAAATCATCTTTTGAGTTCAAAGCTCCACAGATCTCTAAGGCAGAGGCAAAATGCCGCCAGTCTCTTTGCTAAAGCATAGCATGAGTGACCTTCACTCCAGTTCCCACTAAGTTTCTCATCTTCATCTGAGACCACCTCAGCCTGGACTTCATTGTCCATATCACTGTCAGCATTTTGGTCAAAACCATTCAACAATTCTTTAGGAAGTCCACAACTTTCCCACATCTTCTTTTCTTCTGAGCCTTCCAAACTTTTCCAACCCCTGCCTGTTACCCAGTTCCAAAGATGCTTCCACATTGTCAGGTTATCTTTATAGCAGTACCCCACTCTGCTGGTACCAATTCTCTGAATTAGTCCATTTTCACACTGCTGTAAAGAATACCTGAAACTGGGTAATTTTTGAAGGTAAGAGGTTTAACTGACTCACAGTTCTGCATGGCTGTGGAGGCCTCAGGAAAGTTAACAATCATGGCAGTAGGCAAAAGGGAAGCAGGCATCTTCCTCACAAGGCGGCAGGAGAGAGAACGTGCAGGGGAAACTGCCACTTTTAAAACCATCAGATCTCGTGAGAACCCGCTATCACAAGAACAGCATGGGGGAAACTGCCCCTGTAATCCAATCACCTTCCACCAGGCCCCTGTCTTGACACATGGGGATTATAATTCAAGAGGAGATTTGGCTGGGGACCCAGAGCCAAACCATGTCAATACTCAAATGGAATAACTGAAGAGTTTACTGAAGGGACTAGTTACAAAGGTATGGGCAGAGTAAGAGAAACTAACAAGGGATGGTACAGGAAGCAGAAGTCAGGGAGCCTTTACTACTTCTTGACCTATCAGGGAAAATGGAGAGAACTACCAGAGAGCAGCTGTAATGGAAAGGCTGTCTGACATGAGCTGTGGTCTTCATTGCAGAGGAGAAACTTAACCAATGTGATCTGGCAAGGAGGAGGAAGTAGAATAAATATCTTGGCCTCTCTGTTCTTCCTTTGATTTGTAGCCACTGGCTTCTACTGGCCAAACCCATGTAAAAGTCCAAGGGCAAGGGGGTCCTTTGATGAAGTTCATGGAGGTCAGCTGACCAGGCTTAGAACAGGATGGAGAAGAGCAGAGTGAAGGTCTGGAGAGACAAATGGAAAATGACAAATGGAAAATGTCTAGCACATCCACTTTCAGACCAAGTAGTACAATAGCTATGGGATAAAGGAATAACAAGACTTGGCTCAGTGTGTTTGTGACCTTGACAACAGTTGCTTTTTTGGAAAAACTCAAGGTTAGCATTTATATTGTTATTTTCTGTGTTATCATTTGATTTCTAGCTCAATAATAAAGTCAATTTTCTATCTGAACATTGAGTAGTTTATAATTGCTTAAATATTTTCATGCCATTATAATTAGACCCAGAATTTATTTATTGATTAAGAGCCATCTCTCTTTTTGGAATATTGTGGTTCAGTTAATTGTTGGCAAGTGATCTCTCATGGGTAACTCATGTCCTGGAGTTACTTAATACTTTATCAAGTATATTCTTTTAAGATGGTAGTCAGAGAAGCCCATACTTACCAAAAAAGTAAGAAAAGATGTCCTCTTTGAGAATCTTTCTGGAAATATAAGTAAACAGACTTACAAACAAATATTAGAGTTTGGGGGGGAGTTTTTTGAATATGGAAGAGTGGATTTTTGCCATTTTGTCAAGATCTATTGCTGTGCACATTTATTTACTCCTTTAGATCTTTATTTTGGTAAATATTTATTTGAGTATTTTATGGTCCCAGAACTAGGAGAGCCACCTTGAAGTTTCAAGAGAAATAAATGTTACAGCTTCTTTGAGAATTTCATAATTTTATTAGAGAGACAATTTGTATTGTATAATACAAAATTAGACGACAACCCAGTGTTCTACTGTGGGAACATCAGTCTGCCCGTGAAGAAACAAGGGTCCTTGTTAAACTATGCCACTTAACAAGTCAACATCATTTTTGCCAAGTCATTTAACTTATCTGACCTTCTGTTTCCTCATTGTTAATGTTCCTTTGATCTCTGAAATTCTGTGAAAATCAAATTCCAAGTAACAGAAATATACATTGGCTGGGGTTGGTCTGGGAAGACTTCATAATAACTGTGTTTTCTTTGAGATGTCTAAAGGAAAGTTCAACCTTTTTAGAGAGGTTTCCCTTGATAGATGGTGTGTGGCATTGTTTTTTCACTGGGCAGTGATCTGCAGAAGTCAGAGAGCAAAAATTTTCAAGATTATGGGGCCCAAGGTGAAGAAGTTTAAAAAGCTGTTTCTCCCCTGAAACTGGATGTGTGCCTTTTTAAACGATTCCATCTTGTTTGACCAGCTTCCTGCTATATATTCATACTGTGGAAATGGTTCTTTTCTGGCATTTTTCACTAACAAAATTTAGCAGGAGTTAAGTTGAAAGTGCATCTTAAACATCACAGTTGGGGAAATACAGGTGTTTGTGTTCTGTTCATTGCATCACTGACTTTTTTCTGTAAACACAAAAACAATGCATTCTATTTCTGAGATATTGTCTTGAAGTAACATTAAAAAACACAATCTTGGAAATATGTGGAATTCTGTTGAAAATATTTTTTCAAAAGAAATTTTAAACTGTAATTTTTTAAAAGCAAAAAGTGATTGCAATGGTATACTTAGTGTTTAAAGAATTTAAGTGAAATAGGATAGCTAACTAAATTTAATGATTCACCTAACTTTTCCTTCTGTTATAATTTGTTTTCCTTTATTAATGAGAAATGCTAAGTTGGAGTTGACAAATTAGATTCTTCACACGTGAAGACCCTTTTTACTTGAGTTTGCCTTCTGTCTGTCTTTACAAGATAGATTTATGAAGAAGGAATAGGTCTCTGTGAACAACCTGGACAGGCTCAAAACTGGTTATGGTCACACTAAAGTAAGGTTAATATTTGACACTATTCAATGTAAGAAAATTTCTTGGTCTTTGAAGGAAGCCCTGGAGGAAGACTATTTGATAAAGGATAGGTACAAAACAAGTTAGTGCTTAAAATCTAGCCTCTGACAATGGGATAATATAAACCTTTTCCTTGTGTTTTTATTTCTATTGTACTTATCACTGTGACATCTAAGTAAAGCAATGTGAATTACTATGCTTGTTTGCCTACTGTGTAGATAATACATTTTTAATGATCTGCTATTGAGAGGTGACAGCATGCTGGCAGTCCTCACAGTCCTCAGTCGCTCTTGGCACCTCCTCTGCATGGGCTCCCACTTTGGCGGCACTTGAGGAGCCCTTCAGCCCACCGCTGCGCTGTGGGAGCTCCTTTCTGGGCTGGCCAAGGCCAGAGCCCACTCCCTCAGCTTGCAGGGAGGTGTGGAGGGAGAGGCGTGAGCGGGAACCAGGGCTGTGTGCGGCGCTTGCGGGCCAGCTGGAGTTCCGGGTGGGCGTGGGCTTGGCGGGCCCTGCACTGGGAGCAGTCGGCCAGCCCTGCTGGCCCTGGGCAATGAGGGACTTAGCACCCGGGCCAGCAGCTGCGGAGGGTGTACTGGGTCCCCCAGCAGTGCCAGCCCACCGGCGCTGCGCTCGATTTCTCACCGCGTGCCTTAGCTGCCTTCCCACGGGGCACGGCTCGGGACCTGCAGCCCGCCATGCCTGAGCCTCCCACCCACTCCGTGGGTTCCTGTGCAGCCCGAGCCTCCCCTACAAGCGCCGCCCCCTGCTCCATGGCGCCCAGTCCCATCGACCACCCAAGGGCTGAGGAGTGCGGGCACACGGCACTGGGACTGGCAGGCAGCTCCACCTGCAGCCCCGGTGCGGGATCCACTGGGTGAAGCCAGCTGGGTTCCTGAGTCTGGTGGGGCCTTGGAGGACCTTTATGTCTAGCTCAGGGATTGTAAATACACCAATCGGCACTCTGTATCTAGCTCAAGGTTTGTAAACACACCAATCAGCACCCTGTGTCTAGCTCAAGGTTTGTGAGTGCACCAATCGACACTCTGTATCTAGCTGCTCTGGTGGGGCCTTGGAGAATCTTTATGTCTAGCTCAGGGATTTAAATACACCAATCAGCACCCAGTGTTTAGCTTAAGGTTTGCGATTGCACCAATGGACACTCTGTATCTAGCTGCTCTTGTGGGGCCTTGGAGAACCTTTATGTCTAGCTAAGGGATTGTAAATACACCAGTCGGCACTCTGTATCTAGCTCAAGGTTTGTAAACACACCAATCAGCACCCTGTGTTTAGCTCAAGGTTTGTGAATGCACCAATCGACACTCTGTATCTAGCTGCTCTGGTGGGGACTTGGAGAACCTGTGTGTCCAAACTCTGTATCTAACTAATCTGATGGGGACGTGAAGAACCTTTGTATCTAGCTCAGGGATTGTAAACACACCAATCAGTGCCCTGACAAAACAGGCCACTCGGCTCTACCAATCAGCAGGATGTGGGTGGGGCCAGATAAGAGAATAAAAGCAGGCTGCCTGAGCTAGCTGTGGAAGGGAAGGTCCCCTTCCACACTGTGGAAGCTTTGTTCTTTCGCTCTTTGCAATAAATCTTGCTACTGCTCACTCTTTGGGTCCATGCTGCTTTTATGAGCTGTAACACTCACCGTGAAGATCTGCAGCTTCACTCCTGAGCCCAGCGAGACCACGAGCCCACCGGGAGGAACGAACAACTCCGGACGCGCTGTCTTAAGAGCTGTAACACTCACCGCAAAGGTCTGCAGCTTCACTCCTGAGCCAGCGAGACCACGAACCCACCAGAAGGAAGAAACTCCGAACACATCTGAACATCAGAAGGGACAGACTCCGGATGCGCCACCTTAAGAGCTGTAACACTCACTGCGAGGGTCCACGGCTTCATTCTTGAAGTCGGTGAGACCAAGAACCCACCAATTCCGGACACACTATGTTCTCAGAATGTTCAAGGCAAAGTGAAAATTTCCTTGTTTAGAAGCCACTTTTCACTCACCCTTACTGGAAGCAGCTGGCTTGAGGGAGCAGGTTCTTAGATGGTGTTGATTTCTTTCTATATATATGTATATATATATATCTCTTCTGAAACATATATATAAATATATATTTAATATATAAAAGTATATATTAAATATATATTATTTATTTAATATATATAAAATATATAAACATATATATTATATATATTTCTTCTAAAAAAATCAGGATACATGTGCAGAACGTGCAGGTTTGTTACATAGGTACACATGTGCCATGGTGATTTGCTGCACCTATTGACTCGTCCCCTAAGTTCCCTTCCCTCATCCCCCACCCCACAACAGGCCCTGGTATGTGTTGTTCCCCTCTCTATGTGTTCTCATTGTTCACCTCCCACTTATGAGTGAGAATGTGTAGTATTTGGTTTTCTGTTCGTGTGCTAGTTTGCTGAAGATGATGGCTTCCAGCTTCATCCATGTCCCTGCAAAGGACATGATCTCATTCCTTGTTATGGCTGCATAGTATTCCATGGTGTATATGTACCACATTTTCTTTATCCAGTCTATCATTGATGGGCATTTGGGTTGGTTCCATGTCTTTGCTATTGTAAATAGTGCTGCAGAAAACATATGTGTGCATGTGTCTTTATAGTAGAATAATTTATATTCCTTTGGGTATATACCCAGTAATGGGATTACTGGGTCAAATGGTATTTCTGGTTCTAAATCCTTGAGGAATCACCATACTGTCTTCCACAATGGCTGAACTAATTTACATTCCCACCAACAACGTAAAAGCATTCCTATTTCTCCACAGCCTCGCCAGCACCTTGTTTCCTACTTTTTAATCGTCATTCTAACTGGTGTGAGATGGTATCTCATTGTGGTTTGGATTTGCATTTCTCTGATGATTAGTGATGTTGAGCTTTTTTTCATGTTTGTTGGCCACATAAATGTCTTCTTTTGAGAAGTGTCTGTTCATATCCTTTGCCCACTTTTGGATGGGGTTGTTTGTTTTTTTCTTATAAATATGTTTAAGTTCCTTGTAAATTCTGGATATTAGACCTTTTCAGATGGGTAGATTGCAAAAATTTTCTCCCATTCTATAGGTTGCCTGTTCACTCTGATGATAGTTTCTTTTGCTGTGCAGAAGCTCTTTAGTTTAATTAATTAGATCCTATTGTCAATTTTTGCTTTTGTTGCAATCGCATTCGGCCTTTTTGTCATGAAGTCTTTGCCCATTCCTATGTCCTGAATGGTATTGTGTAGGTTTTCCTCCAGGGTTTTTATGGTTTTGGGTTTTACATTTAAGTCTTTAATCCATCTTGAGTTAATTTTTCTATAAAGTGTAAGGAAGCGTTCCAGTTTCATTTTTCTGCATATGGCTAGTCAGTTTGCCCAGCACCATTTACTGAATAGGAGATCCTTTCCCCATTGCTTGTTTTTGTCAGGTTTGTCAAAGATGAGATGGTTGTAGATGTGTGGTATTATTTGTGAGGTCTCTATTCTGCTCCATTGGTGTATGTGTCTGTTTTGCTACCCATACCATGCTGTTTTGATTACTCATGCTGTTGATTTCTATTATAATGTCATTCAAGGTGAATGTGGGTTCATGGAGACTCAGACTAAACTTTAGAAGCTTGTTGAACTGTAACCTTTATCATCTACATAATTTACTCCAGAATGTCTTTGAAGTCAAACAGAAGCAGATACTTGGCTTGAAATAGATTGACTAGTTACTGACCCTTCAACATGCAAATCATGAAAATAAGACTTCTAGTTAGTTTAAGATATTTCTCCATCATGCATTATGGAATCCATTTAGTATGATTTAAAGAAGGGAGCACTTTTGTATGAACAAAAATATTTTGCTGCCTATTGTGAAGTAATTTTTCCTAAAATACAGCATTACAAAAATGCAATGTACATTTTTTTCAGTGCACTGTTAGAATTACAAGTCTGATAAGTATGTCCTGATTTTTATTGTTGTGGTTGTGTTGGTTTTTAAAACCTGATTTGTCTTAATAGGGGGTTAAATTGAAAGAATATAGTTGCTATTTCTAGAAATCGAGCAAACACTGCAGCTTATATAGGCTGCTTAGTCCAGTGTCTCTCAGAAGGGAGTTTCCATCCCTTCTTGCCACAGTTAAGGAGAGTGTCTAAGAGCAGATCTGGAGTCAAGCTGCCTGGGTTCACCTCTGTTTATAAGCTGTGTGATCTTGGCAAATTTCTTTTTTTTTAAAATATTAAATGTTTATGGGTACATAGTAGATATATATATTTATGGGGTTCATGAGATAGTTTGATACAGGCATGCAATGTGAAATAAGCATATCATGGTGAATGTGCTCTGTCCCCTCAAGCATTTATCCTTTTGATACATTTATCCTTTTGATATCCTTTTGTTACAAACAATGCAGTTACACTCTTTAAGTTATTTTAAAATGTACAATTAAGTTATTATTGGCTACAGTCACCCTACTCTGCTATCAAATATTAGGTCTTAGTCATTCTTTTTAATTTTATTTTTTTTGTACCTGTTATTCACCCCCACCTTCCCTACAGCCTCCCACTACTCTTCCCAACTTCTGATAACCATCTTTCTACTCTCCATGTCCATGAGTTCAATTTTTTTTCATTTTTTAGAACCCACAGATAAGTGAGAACATGTGATGTTTGTCTTTCTTTGCCTAGCTTATTTCACTTAACATAATGATCTCCAGTTCCATCCCTGTTGTTGCAAATGACTGGATCTCATTCTTTTTTATGGCTTAATGGTACTTCATTGTGTATATGTACCACATTTTCTTTATTCATCTGTTGATGGACATTTAGGTTGCTTTCAAATCTTAGCTATTGTAAACAGTGCTGCAACAAACATAGGAGTGCAGATATCTCTTCAATATACTGATTCCCTTTTATTTGGGTATATACCCTGCAGTGGGATTGCTGGATCATTTTTAGTTCTGTGAGAAACCTTCAAACTGTTCTCCATAGTGGTTGTTTTAATTTACATTCCTAACAACAGTGTACAAGGGTCCCCTGTTCTCCACATCCTCACCAGCATTTTTTATTGCCTGTCTTTTGGATAAGAGCCATTTTAACTGGGATAAGATGATATCTCATTGTAGTTTTGATGACATTTCTCTGATGATCAGTGATGTTGAACACCTTTTCATATGCTTATTTTCCATTTGTATGTCTTCTTTTAAGAAATATCTATTCAGATCTTTTGCCCATTTTGTAGCTGGATTATTAGATTTCTTCCTGTAGAGTTGTTTGAGTTCCTTAGGTGTTCTGGTTATTAATCCCTTGTCAGATTGGTAGTTTGCAAATATTTTCTCCCATTCTGTGGGTTGTCTCTTCACTTTGTTGATTGTTTTATTTGCTGTGCAGAAGGTTTTTAACTTGATATGATCCTGTTTGTCCGTTTTTGCTTTGATTGCCTATGTTTGTGGGGCATTGCTCAAGAAATTTTTGCCCAGACCAATGTCCTAGAGATTTTCTCCCATGTTTTCTTGTAGTAGTTTCATAGTTTGAGGTCTTAGATTTAAGACTTTAATCCATTTTTATTTTATTTTTGTATATGGCTGGAGATAGGGGGTCTAGTTTCATTCTTCTGCATATAGACATCTAGTTTTCCCAGCACCATTTATTAAAGAGGCTGTCTTTTCCCCAGTGTATCTTGTTTGCACTTTTGTTGAAAATGGGTTCGCTGTAGGTGTGTGGATTTTTTCTGGGTTCTCTATTCTGTTCCATTGGTCTATGTGTCTGTTTTTATGTCAGTACCATGATGTTTGGGTTACTATAGCTCTGTAGTATAATTTGAAGTCAGTTAATGTGATTTTTTCAGTTTTGTTCTTTTTGCTTAGGATGGTTTTGGCTATTCTGAGTTTTTTGTGGTTCCATATAAATTCTAGAATTGTTTTTTCTATTTCTATTCTTTGAAGAACGACATTGGTATTTTGATAGGGATTGCATTGAATCTGTAGATTGCTTTAGGTAGTGTGGACATTTTAACAATGTTAATTCTTCCAATTCCATGAACATGGAATAGCTTCCCATTTTTTTTTTGGTCTTTTTCAAATTATTTCATCAGTGTTTCATAGTTTTCATTGTAGAGATCTTCATTTCTTTTGTTAATTCTTAGGTATTTTATTTTATTTGTGGCTATTGTAAATGGGATAACTTTTTAAAATTTCTTTTTAAGATTGTTCACTGTTGGCATATAGAAATACCACTGATATTTGTATGATTTCGTATCCTGCAACTTTACTGAATTTATCAGTTCTAAGAGTCTTTCAGTGGAGTCTTTAGGTTTTTCCAAATATAAAATCATATCATCTGTAAACAAGGATAATTTGACTTCTTCCTTTTCAATTTGGATGCCCTTTATATCTTTCTCTTGTCTGATTGTTCTAGCTAGGACTTCCATTATTATGTTGAACAACAGTAGTGATAATGGGCACCCTCGTCATGTTTCAGATCTCAGAGGAAAGGCTTTTAGTTTTTCCCCATTCAGTATGATACTAGCTGTGGGTCTGTCATATTTGTCAAATATGCTTTTATTATGTTGAGGTATGTTACTTCTATATTCAGTTTTTTGAGAGTTTTCATCATGAAGGTATGTTGAGTTTTATCAAATGCTTTTACAACATCAATGGACATGATTGTATGGTTTTTATCTTTCATTCTTTTGATATCACATATCACATTGATTGATTTGCTTATGTTGAACCATCCTTGCATCCCAGGGATATATCCCACTCGGTCATAATGAATGATCTTTCTAATGTATTGCTGAATTCAGTTTGCTAGTATTTTGTTGACAAGTTTTGCATCAATATTTATCAGAGATATTGACCTGTAGTTTTATTTATTTATTTATTTTGATGTGTCATTGTCTGGTTTTGGTATCAGGGTAATACTGGCCTCGTAGAATGAGTTTGGAAGTAGTCCCTCCTCCTCTATTTTTTGGACTTTTCTTTACTGGGAGTCTTTATTATGGCTTTGATCTCATTACTTGTTATTGGTCTCTTTAGGTTTTGAATTTCTTCCTGGTTCAATCTTGGTAGATTGTATATATCTGGTTATTTTTCTGTTTCTTCTAGAGTTTTCAGTTTATTGGCATATAGTTGCTTGTAGTAGCCACTAAAGATTTTTTTAATTTCTCCAGTAACATTTGTAATGGATTTTATTTATTTATTTATTTAGAGACAGAGTCTTGCTCTGTCACCAGACTGGAGTGCAGTGGTGCGATCTCGGCTCCCTGCAATCTCCTCCTCCCGGGTTCAAGCAATTCTCCTGCCTCAGACTCTCAAATAGCTGGGACTACAGGCGCCTGCCACCATGCCTGGCTAATTTTTGTATTTTTAGTAGAGATGGGGGTTTCACTATGTTGGCCAGGCTGGTCTTGAACTCCTGACCTCGTGATCCTTTTGCCTCAACCTCCCAAAGTGCTGGGATTACAGGTGTGATCCACCACGCCCAGCCATTTTGACTTCTTAGTAGCCATTCTGACTGGTGTGAGATGGTACCACATTGTGGTTTTGATTTGCATTTCTCTATACGCCACAGTTACAGTGTTATAATATCCTGTGTTTTTCTGTGTACTTACTATTACCAGTGAGTTTTTTACCTTCAGGTGATTATTTGTTGCTCATTAATGTCTTTTTCTTTCTGATTGAAGTACTCCCTTTAACATTTCTCATAGAACAGGTCTGGTGTTGATGAAATTTCTCAGCTTCTGTTTGTCTGGGAAAGTCTTTATTTCTCCTTGATGTTTGAAGGATATTTTAACTAAATATACTATTATAGGGTAACAGTCTTTTTTTCCTTCACCACTTTAAATATGTAATGACACTCTCTCCTGGCCTGTAAAGTTCCCATTGAAAAGTCTGTTGCTAGATGTATTGGAGCTCCATTGTTTATTTGCTTCTTTACTCTTGCTGCTTTTAGAATTCTTTCTTTATCCTTGACCTTTGAGAGTTAGATTATTAAATGCCTTGAGGTGGTCTTCTTTGGATTAAATCTGTTTAATGTTTTCTATAATCGTCTTGTATTTGGATATTGATATCTTTCTCTAGGTTTGGGAAGGTCTCTGTTATTAGCCCTTTGAATAAACTTTCTACCCCTATCTCTTTCTCTACTTCTTCTTTAAGACCAATAACTTAGATTTGCCCTTTCCAGCCTATTTCCTAGATCCTATAGGTGTGCTTCATGTTTTTTATTCTTTTTTTGTCTCCTCTGTGTATTTTCAAATAACCTGTCTTCAATCTCACTAATTCTTCTGCTTGATCAATTCTGCCATTAAAGGACTCTGATGCCTTCTTCAGTACGCTTTTTGCATTTTTCAGCTCCAGAATTTCTGCTTGATTCTTTTTAATTATTTCAATCTCATTGTTAAATTTATTTGATGGAATTCTGAATTTCTTCTCTGTGTTATCTTGAATTTCTTGGGTTTCCTTAGCAGAGGTTTTTTTTTTTTTTTTTTTCAGGAAACACAAATTTTCATGAAATTTGAAAATTCAAACCACAGCATGACATTAAGAAAACACAAATATTACTTATCCAGAAGAAAAAGTGTTTTGAACTTTTTCATAAAATATTTAGGAACAAGGAAGTTGAAGCTTGGAGCGGTAGAGTGAGAAATAAGGAATATGTGGGAGAGAAAGTAAAGTGAAAAAAATTAGATCAGATTTTTTTTTTGTTGTTGTTAGCACTAAACTGGTTTGCTTCAGGCCCCTAGCCAGGGTTGATTTTGAAACCTATAGCAGAGCTATTTTGAATACTCTGTCTGAAAGGTCACATATCTCTGTTTCTTCAGGATTGGTCCCTTGTGCCTTATTTGGTTTATTTGGTAAGTTCATATTTTCCTGGATGATCTTGATACTTGTGGATGTTCATCTGTGTCTGGGCACTGAAAAGTTAGGTATTTACTGTAGTCTGCAATCTTGGCATGTTTGTACCCATCCTTCTTAGGAAGGCTTTACATGTATTTGAAAAGTCTTGGGTATTATGATCTAAGCTATATCTGCTTTAAGGGGCACCCTAAGTCCATTATAAAACTAATGATGAATGTGCAACAGATAGTGTTATAAAATTTAAAAAGAAAATTGTTACTAAAATTTTTATTGACAAAAACAGATCTATAACTGTTTGAACTCCCCAAAAGGTAAGAATTGTACTTTGGCTCTGATTTATTAATATGATATATCCTTTACAAAAAAATTTACCTAGTATTATATGTTCAATAGTTTTTATTTTCATTTATAAATATAATTTTAGTCATTTTTTTGTCCATCATAAATCCCTTTTTCCTTCATACTGATTTTTTTCTGCAAAGACCTTTAAAAAACTATTTACCTAGGGTTAGTTGCAGCTGAGGCTGCATCATCACAAATCCAGAGTTGCTCTTCTTGTATGTCAGAAAAAGATCAGTGAGGGAGATGAGTGTGTACAATGCAGTTCTAAAGTCACAGGTGGACCTATAAGCCACCATCATCGCTTTGGGAGACATAGGCAACAGAAATCCTAAGTGCTTCATGTAAACTAAGTCATTTAATCCCCAAAACTACCTTATGAAGAAAGTACTGTTTCCATTTTTCAAATGGGGAAAATGAGAGTTAGAGACATTAAGTCTTGCCCAGGTCTTTTGGACTCTCACAAATATTCCTCCATAATCCCCCCCTCCAAAAAACCCCTTTATAGTTTCCTGGATCTTCTCTTTAAGCAACACATTTCAGGGCCATGTCTCTTGCTGTAGGCTGCCAGCAAATGATAGCAGCAGTAGCACCAGCAGCAGCAGACTTATCAGATTGGTGTGCTCGTTGCACTCAGCATGCTAGTAGTACCAGGCCCAGTTGGTATTTGTTGATTGATGATCATAGTATCATCAGGAATGGAATAGCTTTCTGATCAGTATTATTGAAATGAGGCCAAGGTACAATTTTGCTTGGTAACATACGCTTAAACTTACTCTTGAACTGAGAGTTTGGATTTTTTAAAGTATATCTGTATGGAAAAGATTGTTAATTTCATATGATCCACTGTAAAGCTGGACCTTCCTTTAAACAGTAGCAGAGAGAGGTGGTGGTGTGATTTATTTCTCCAAAGACTTGTTTAATCTTCAAATATAATTTCACTTGCAATTCCAATATTGGTCAATATTTCCATAAAATCACCTATTTTTTGTTATAAAACTTATATGAATTTTACATTCCACTCAATAACATATATTTATATACACATATATGCATGTTGCAGTGTAAAAATTGTTTACGTTACTTACCATCGAGTAAGACTGGTGCTCTAGGAAAGTTCTCTCTGTATAGACAGAGACCTTAAGACTTTAAGATACTAAGGCTTCTGGGTATAATAATACCACATTGTCCAGTTCAAGTCACTTCAAGACTTCTGGTATAATAATACACATTTTCCTTTAAGACTTTAAGATTTCTGGAACAAAGTGTGATTATGTGTGAGGGATCAACTCTTTTATTATGTATAACTTATATTTAAAATGTTCAAAAGAGGAAAAATGATTTGGCTTCTTTAAGAAAGTCTCTTTTTGATGCAGTGTAATCTTTAAATGTTCCTCATAAAGTACTTTTGATAGAAGTTGGAATCTTCAGGGAAGAAGGAGCTAATGATTGTCTGTGTAATCATTAGGTTGTGGCATTCTCATCAGAGCATCTGTGACAGACAACTCAAGGTGTATCTATGTGCTACTAAAGTGTTAGTTTCTCTCTCTTGAGTTGGCCCTGGAAGGCTAGTGATATGGAAATATCTGAGTCATAGGAAATGTAGTTTCCAGTTTTGGCTCAGTTATTAACCAGCTCTGTGACCTTATGCTAGTCATTTATATTATCTGGAGTTCAGTTTCTTTATCCATAAAGTGAAGAGTTAAAACAAAATGATATATAGCTTTAATAGCATTTGAGGAAGGAAACCAAGTTCCTCCTTTTTTCTAGATTTGGCTCAACAAAGCTGAAAAGTAAATTTTCTTTAAATTTTAAGGGTGGCTTTGGTCTGGATGGTGTGTGTATGTGCATGTGTGTCAGGCAGGTAGTTGAAAGGCCAACCTCACTGTGATGTTTTATCCCAAGTCCAGATGTACCACTGTTATATCTCCAGGTACATCTTTTAACTCTAGGAAGTAAACACAGTTTTTACTGTAAAGGTAAACCAGAAAGTTAAGTTTAAATCAAGTTTGAATATAATTTGTACTTGGAGTAATAAACCTTTTCCCACAGAGGAAACAGCACTAGCTTGGGAGTTCGTTTCCAAAAGCTCTACTGAACAAGCACAGGTTTCAGCTCACTTTTGTACCTGTTTCTCTGTCCCTTGGTGGGCTCCCTCTACCAGCTTCTTAGGCTTCTCAGTCACTTGTCTGCTTGACTTGAGACTCAGCACATGTCTTACGAGTAAAGACAACGCAATGAATGTTGGTTTCACTTCAATGGGCTTCCTGTCTTTCTGGATCTTGGATCCTCAGATCCTGGCTGCCTTAAAAGCTCTCCAAATCTTTGATATCCTACTTTTCTAGTTGTTCTTAGAAGTAGCATTGGTTTGCTGTGAGCTACTTTGTCATAGCCAGAAGCAACAGTTCCTCAGTTTATTTTCTTTGTATTAAAACTCTTTTCTGGATAGAGTATAGTGCAAAATTCTGCTGCCCAATTCAGAATTAAAGAGTGTGGTTGGCAGGTTTGGTGGATAGGCTACATGGATAAATGGAAGTACCAGGTTTCGTGGATTTTTCATTTGCTTTAGTTAGATGTGTCATTTCTTCTATTTTATATTTATTTTAGTGAAGGCAACATTTCAATTATGTATTTAAATAAATATTTTATTATGGATAGTAAAAATTTTAATAATCTACTAATATTTAAATTTTTATTTGTAGGTGAGTACAATACTAGAATGCACAGTGAAACCTAAACTCAAAAAAGCTGTATTGTTATAATCAATATGAAAAATATATATGATGAAAGGCTTTTACAAATGTCATAGTATGTCTCTTATTTTACATTTATTTTCTCTTGAGTAATCAGCATGGTTTAAATATGTCTTTGGATGATTGTGGGAAAAATAAAAGTGTCTTAAAAATAAAAGTGTCATCTACGTTATAGTTTATGGATATATTATAAACATCATTAGACACACAACTTCTACCATTAGAATTTATAAGTCAATTATTAACTTAAAAAGAACCCCCAAATTTTCCCTAACCAGAGCATCAGATGGCAAATCCAGAATTAGCAATAAAACTCCTAGATTCCCTTCTTCCCTATGCTTTTATTTGCTTATTATAATGAAGATCTTTGGGGCGAGGGTATTTTTACTAACATATATGATGGGAAGTCCTGCTCAATAGTCAAGGGAAAAGGACCCATCTTTGACTTATTTTTTTCATTTTTTGCTCTCTGTGGTAGCCCTAAGAGTGTACTTCACAGACCTCCAACTACAGGCAACCTAAGTGACCAAGGGTCCCAGCTGCTGTTCTCTGAAATCCACTGCTGCTTTTGTGCTGAGCACTTGCTTCCCAAAGGCTGCTCCCAGCCACTGATTGAGAGGAGCAGGGATACTAAAGCTGGCCCCTCCCTGTCCTTGGGAGTCACCTGGCTCTAGCACTTCCTGATGGGCTTACAGAACCTTTCTTAGAGGGTGTAGCAATGTGGGATGATTCCACTTAACCTTCCTTGCATCTCTCCACCACTCTGTGTCAAACTTCTATTGTTTTTATCGGCTTTTCTAGTCTTCCTTGGCTCCCTCATCATTTTATATTACGGGAATTTTCCTTAATGAAATTCTTGTATGTTCAATCTTGTCTTCACATTCATTTTCAGAGGTCCTAGACTAACACATTCTCTATTTCTATAAAAAGATACTATCATATGAAATTACTAAGGAAAAAAAAATGTTTGCTATAATTTTAATGGTAATATTCTGATACTACTAGATTCTCAAATTTAGGGAAGTCAAAACTTCATATAATTGAGAGCTCTCCTCAGAAATTTATTCTTATATTAGTTTATTGATAGTCTGTATGTAAACTTGCTTTCAGAAGGACTGAATTGTTACAATAGTAAAATCAGGAGCTCATGTTCTCAGAAAACGTTAATTTACTCAGGATGATTAGATGGCTGTAAAGTAAAAAGCAATCCATAAGTCATCTTTGAGATATCTAAGGGTATTTAGTGAGAAATTGAAAGGAAATATTGCTGAGGGTGTGTTGATAACTGATACTTTGTTGAAAAGCAGAAACATTCAATATAATAGGTAGAAGTAATTTTGTTTCTTGCATATTGGTAATTTCATTTTGTGTGACTTACAGAAGAGTGCTTGTTCTTTATATGTTAGTGTTAAAATTCTTCTGTCTTTCTTTGCAGAATCATAGTGAAAGATTCGTTTTCATTGCAGAGTGGTATGATCCAAATGCTTCACTTCTTCGACGTTATGAGCTTTTATTTTACCCAGGGGATGGATCTGTTGAAATGGTAAATAAGCCTTTCTTTGCTTGAATGTTGGCAAAGGGGGTGAACATGGGAACCATTGCCTTTTATATAATTGCTTTTTAAAAACACATTTATATGTATGTGTGTGTGTATATATACATATGGAAATTCTTTTTAAACTTATTCATTATAATTCCAATATAAGAAGTTAACTTGTGCCTTTATTTTTAATGTCAAAAATAGGAATTTTTTGTTGTTGTTGTTAGAAGACTGAAGTGGGGGCTGGGCGCGGTGCCTCATGCCTGTAATCCCAGCACTTTGGGAGGCCGACCCAGGCAGATTACTTGAAGTCAGGAGTTCGAGACTAGCCTGGCCAACATGGTGAAAACCCATCTCTACTAAAGATACAAAAAATTAGCCGGGTGTGGTGGCACATGCCTGTAATCCCAGCTACTCGGGAGGCTGAGGCAGGAGAATAGCTTGAACTCAGGAGGTGGAGGTGGCAGTGAGCTGAGATCACGCCACTGCACTCCTGCCTGTCCTGCCTGGGCGACTGCATGAGACTCTTGTCTCAAAAAAAAAAAAAAAAAAAAAAAAAAGACTGAAATGGGATTATTCATGTTTTGGATAAGAAATAAACAAGTGATTATAGATAAGGATTATTATGGTCATAAATACGTCCTCATTATTGAAAGCTGTTATTGCTACAAAAAGTCAAATTGAAGAGGCTCAAGCTAAGAGACTTCTGTTTCTTTGTGTTCTTTCACTGGCAACACAATTTTAACAAGTAGATCTTTTTGGTATTGGGATTTTGTGTACACAAGAAAGCAGAAATTTGGGTGTATGACTCTTTCTTTAGCATTTTGTAAGGACTACTTTGCTGAAATGATTTGGTAATAAACAAATCTTTCTATTCAGGTTTTTAAGAGTATTAAATTTGTAATAAGAAGCTTTTATGTTATTACCAGATTGGATTAGGAAATATGGAAGTTATTAAAAATTATGATTTATATTTGTAACAAAAAAGAAACAGAATATAACCTATCTTTGATAAGACAGAATTAAGAATTATTTCTACCTTATGATGAGATTAACTTTCCTTATTCATAACTTTTTTTGTTTGTTTGTTATATTGTTGTGTCTGGTTCTAGCATGATGTAAAGAATCATCGCACCTTTTTAAAGCGGACCAAATATGATAACCTGCACTTGGAAGATTTATTTATAGGCAACAAAGTGAATGTCTTTTCTCGACAACTGGTATTAATTGACTATGGGGATCAATATACAGCTCGCCAGCTGGGCAGTAGGAAAGAAAAGTAAGAAAACAATTATATAATCTTTTTACATGCTCTAACTTTGGGTTCAAAGTCAATCTGAATCAAGACTGGGAGTATGTAACCATATGAGGATGGATAGGACCTGGAAAATGGTTGTCTTCATTCTTTTTCTTTTTTTCAATTTAAAAAAAAATTGATAATACCATAGTTGTGCATGTCTCATCTGACTTAATTCATGTTTATGTCTCCTGTGGCACTTAGCACATCTCCATCCACATTGCAAGCACCTTGTCTGTATTAGCTGAACGAATTAATGAATCACAATTTAAAATCTATGATCTATTCTTTCCTTTTTCCACTTTCTCCCTGTTTTCAAATGATGATCTTTGATCTAGTTGACCAGGAGGTTTTTGCCTAGATTGTTTGTAACTAATGCTGCCTATTGTCAAGTTTTGTTAACAGATATATATATATATATTTATATCTAATAGATGTTGACCAACGGATCAATTGAAAAATGACAATGTGAGTGTTGTAAAAAGGAAAAAAAAAAGAAACCATATAAAGAAATTATGATACAGGGAGACTGATGTATCTTATTCATAACTGTATCCCTAAAAACTGTTGTAGTGATACCTCAAACAGTAAATTATTCACAGAGTGTGACCCACAAAAGTTTGTTAAATATATGAATGAATAAATTTATGTCATCGAAATGTCTGGAGGTACGGTATGTCTAAAGGAAGAGTTTCCCACTGGCTGGCATCCCCGCCTCCCTATCTTCCTCCCACTGCATGTGGCTCTTTCTGTGAGAGAAACTGTGACATGGTGCCTCCACATGTGTCCCTGTTCTTCTCTCTATTGTTTGTCAAAGCTGCATTCATCATTCTTTTTCTCAGTTTTGATTTAGAAGAGATACAGTCATCTGTAAAAGGGGCTAAGAAAAAAAATGGAAGAGAAAGAACAACTTGTAGATACAGCTGAAAATTAGACTTATAGAAAACAAGAAAACAAGGATTTTTGATGTTTTCCTTCTGAATACTGATTTTCAGTATTAGCAAGATGACATTTTAATTTTCAGTCTCTACATTTATGAATTTCAACTTTCTGAGACTAGAATTAATTATATTTGAAGTGAAATTTTAATTCCTTTGTCATCTTTCTTGGCTTTAATTTCTGTAGCTTATACTTTGTATGGTTTGGGGAGTTTTTTTTTCCTGTAGAGTGATTGGTGCTGTAATTAAAATAGGGATTATTTGTAGAAGTTAAGGCTATATGTATAAAAGGCTCCAAAAATGATTTAATTCAATAGGGAAAACAAATCAATCAAACTATTTTTTGAGATCTACTACTCAAATGACTAGCTGATTGCCTAACGTCTGAGTCACTCTTATAGTAATATGATATCTCTTTCTGTGACTTCCATAGTCTTTCTGTATAAGCACTTTATAGCTCTTGAGGTGATTGGATTCTTAGTGTGGGTGTTAGTACACAAATGGTGATGGATCAGAGGGGTGGTGCATGCCTCATTAAAAAGGAAGACCAAAGACTCTCTTTGAAATAGGACAGAAATTTCAGGTATTAGATAAATAAATAGGAATCTTTTAATGTTATGAGATCTTATGTAAAAGTCTTTGGGATTAAAGAAATGCCAACCATAATTCCTTTATTTAAAACTCATAAATATGTGTAGCATTCATTTATGGAGCACATACTATGTGCCAGACACTATGATATGCACTTTACATACACCTCAGTTCAAGACTACTTTATTTTATTTAATTATTGTTATTTTTGAGGTGGGGTCTGGCTCTGTCACCCAGGCTGAAGTGAAGTGGCATGATCATAGCCCACTGCACCCTTGACTTCCCATGCTCAAGTGATCCTCCCATCTAAGCCTCCCAGGTAGCTGGAACTACAGCCATGCACCACTATTCCTGGCTAATTTTTTGGTATTTTGCTAGAGATGGAGTTTGGCCTTCTTGCCCAGGCTGGAAGACTGCTTTAAATTTTTATTTAAACTAGCAAAATAAGTGAGTTAGGGAGTCAGGGTTAACAGTCTGACCTAAGAAAAATAAAATAACAACCATAAAAATTATAATTTATGTATTTTAACTATGATTTGACTGAAGTGAATGTTGTTAAATCTATTTTATAGAATGGGTAAGTAACTTGTCCACAGTAACACAGCTAGAAAGTAAAGGGAAACCAGAAAACCGTGTTTTGTTTTTCCCTAAAATTCATTCTCTTTCTACTAAACCTCTAATTAATATGCTGGCAAATACTGTTGAATGGGACTGATTTTAAAACAGGATGAACAGAAGAATTCTATTTTAATGTAAAAACAAATTTGAAGTATTTGGGCTTTATATAGTTAATGAAAATGAAAATATATGTAGTATATATTTTACTGACTCAAATTGATTCACCATTTTCTCTTCTTATTCTTTCTTAATTGCATATGGGTTAGTAAATCCAACAACCATTTGGGTGATTTAAATAAACTTCTTCCAAACCGAAGAGTTTCAAAAATTTATTGTTTTATTTAAATGGCAAAAAGTAAGCATATGGAAATATGTGTGTATGTCTATCAGCGTTCCACAGAAACACCTTCTATGTAACAACCGATTTAGTCTAGTTCTCAGTTTTGTATAGTGTTGAGAAAAATTTTTGAACCAATTACATTTTCAACTCTTTTCTTTCTATAGTAAAGCCTGTAGTGAGGAGGATGAGTGAAATTGATCCCCATGGAGCCTATCAGCTAATTGGGGAGCAGTTATCCAGATAATTTAATATAATTCAGCTTAACTCATGAACTAGCTTCAGCTTTCCAATTCCCTTTGACTGTAGAAATCTGACATTTGATTCACATTTTTATCCTCTCTTTATAAAGATCCTCTAATCAAATGGATAAAGGTTACAAGTTGTCAATGAGTCAGTCTTTGATTTTAATTTTAGCTAGTAATTAATTGGTGCTTTATGATTGTTGTTTAGATTTGGAGACACGATACAATTTGTGTCTTTCTAAAAATTTATTACCTCAAACCAGAAATAATTAAAGTTTTCATATGATGAGTCAATATGTATATGTATGCATGTGTATGAATGATAGAGGAATTTTATATGAATAGACAGCTATTCCCCATGTGATAAGTGAGGTATTAAATGTTTACTTTGATAGCTTATATCTTTAGTAAGAAGTTTATAAAAATCAATGAAAAATAATGCTAGTATCCTATTTAAAAATCCATTAATTTTAAGTACTGAGCCACATATTTACATTGAGCAATCCTCATTCCTTTTGAGTCTCAGCCAGAAAGCAAGCCATCTAATCAAATTAAAGGGAGAAAGGCATCAGTAGGTTGGGTGAACAACATTATAGTAGATGTTAAATACATGAAATTCTTGTGCCCATCTATTAACTTTCAGTGAAAGGAAGACCCCCCTGTTTTTCAGAAGAAAAATTATGAAGTCAACTGTGTGTATAATCTTTGATCCCAAGGTCTAAGCCCAAGTTATTTGAGGCTCCATCACAGCAGGAACTCAGTCACAGTATGCATTTTCCTGTCCTCTTGGAGATGTACTGAAATGGTATATGGATAAAAAAACAAGCCGTATTTTAGATGAGACCTGTGCTTGGAAGGGGCTTAAGAATACTTCTCCCTGGAGGTAGGGAGATTGACCTAAATAACCTTTTGAACTAAATCACCTTTTGAATTTTTAAATACAGCCCAAAAATTCCAAGCATTTGCTTAATTGATAATTTTTTAAAAGGTACTGAAATAATACTTTATATGTTTTCTAGACTTATGTAGTTTAACAATTCTTATGGATGAACATACATTTTCTAATATTAGAATTTGACTCATATGAACTATACGTTTTTTCTATGTGAAGATTTGGCAGTATCATCAGATATATGTTTGAAGAAATTTCATTGGAAGGAAATGTCATAAAATCTTGGCTATATCAAGTTTGAAACAACTTCAGTGTTCAGGTATTATATAGTTTAGCAGGATTACAGTATTGGGATATCATAATGTATGAATGACTTAAAAGACATTTTAATTTTAATTAAAATTAAATTTAAAAATTAAATTAAAATTAAAATTAAAATTAAAATTAAATTAAATTTAATTTTAATAAATACAAAAAATGTACCTCTTCTGTTCTTCCATCCCAACTGGAATAAATTAAGTTTAGAATACTTTAAAAATTATTATTCTGTCTTCCCCTGGTTGTTATGGCACTTCACCACCGCTACCCCCACCGCTGCTTCCATCTCTATCTCTCTGGCTATTTTTTCTCAGAGTCATTCCTTCTCAGAGGCAAAAAAGACTCCTGGTATTCCCCAGGGTTCTGTTCATGGCCCTTTTTTTCTCATTCTATATACTCTCCCAGGGGATTCTATGTACTCCATGACTTCAACAATGTGTTGCTTTCCAAATTTATGTCATCACCCCAGCTGTAAAACCATATGTTTAAGCTTTTTCCTGAACGTTTCCATGTAGATTTTTCACAGGAACTTAAAAATCCAAAATTGAATTAATTGACAAATTCAAAATTAAATTAATTCTCTTTCATTGAAAAACCTACTTCTGTATGCACTAACACAATATTCACCTAATTACATACTTACAAAATTGGTGGCTGTCCTTGAGTTCCATATGTATTTTATCCCTAAATCCACATGGGGACCTAATCTTACCAATTTACTTGTCTCCTTCATAGATCTCTCTTATTTCTCTTCTCTTTTTTATCTTTTACATTCCTCCTTAAAACAGCTTCTTGTCATCTCTTGAGCTCAGTTAGTCTCCATTCTTCCCTCCAAATTACTAACTGATGAAGAACTAACACAGGAGATAGATGTAGATCAAAATATTAAGTATTAATTTTACTTAGGCTGTCTTGTGAAAGCGTGTTTGAGAATGGTTGAGGCTTTCTTTCTATTCCTATTTCCTCTATCCCTTACACTGATCTGGAACTTGAGGCCTGCCTGAGGAAAAGTTGGATCTACAGAACAAACTAAGGGCATACTTGCCCAGGGTTCTCATCCTGCCTCCCAGCCCATGGAGCACAGGAGAGAGAGCACTAGAGAGAAACAGGCTTCCACTGCAGGTGCCGGACTCTGATTCCAATGTGCTTAACATGTGAAAGCAGGAGAACAATACGCTATCCCTTACTTGTACACTATCCCCTACTTGAGGGTCTGCAGGTCTGAGAAAAAAGAGGTCGGGCCACAAATAACCAGAAACCCTTAAATATGGCCGGACATGGAGAAGCAAATGGAAGAAGTAGAGAGAGAGAGCACTTTCTTATGGGAACAGGGATAGAAGTTACTTTACTCATGAGGAGCAAGAGTACACATTCCTAGTTGTTTTCTGGGTTTTATACCTTTAAGCCAATTGGCTGCCATGCTCTAGTAGACTATGGCTACTTCTCGGGGAACAGACCAGATGAATATTAGTTTAGTCTTGCTCTCACCTTTGGGAAACCTTTCCCTCAATACCAATTACTGTTGCTTTGTATATTGTCCTAGGACCAGTGGTGAGCAGTTGAGTTTTGGCTGCAGAAGGGCACCCTAATGCCTTAGAGGAATACCTTAGTTCAGTAACAGAGGCCTTGCTAAAAACTCACCCCCAATCTTTTTCTCATCTTTACTTATCTATAGTATCGTTGTCTAAGATGGCATGCTATTGATTATACGATAGACCCAACAACAGTGTAACTGCCTCCCAAATAATACAATGAAGAATGCCTTCTCATTATTAAATTCCCAGGGAGAAATTGATATTTTTTTCTGTAAAATAAGAATTCTGCCTTTCCATTCTACAATTCTCAGTCATATGGTCCTTGGTCAGTTAACAGATTAGAGTTGAATTTCCTTTTCAGCTCCAGCTTGAGCCATCTTTCCTTAGAAAGGGTTTGATTGATAGCGTATTTGGGTTAATTAATATCTTTTTGCCATCTCTTTTATACTTGCCCTGTTATGCTTTAGATATGTCTCTTGTAAATAACATATAGGTTTTTTTTCAATTTAATCTGGAATGGTTATATTTTCATTGGTAAAGTTAATACATGTACATTGAAATATGCTGTGATTATTGTTATTTTTGTATATGTTTCTATTTTACTGTTTTCCTGTTTTTCTATTTTTTTCTTCTTGCCTTTTCTTTGGATTAGTTGAAGAAATTTTTCTTCCTCTCTTCAGTTTTTTTTTTCTATTATATGGTTTTCTATTGAAGTTATAACAAATTACTACCAAGTTAGTCACTTAAACAATACAAATTTATGATCTTACAGTTCTGTCAGAAGTCCAATCAGATCTCATCAGGTAAAGATCAGGTGTTGATAAGACTGCATTTCTCTTGAGGCTCTAGGAAAGAATCAATTTCCTTGCACATTCCAACATCTTGAAGCCATCCACATTCCTTGGTTTGGGGCCACCTTTCTCCATCTTCAAAGCCACCAATAGCAGGCTTGAGTCCTCCTCACACTGACATCTCTCTGGTTCTCTAAAGCTAGGAAAGATTCTCTGACTTTAGGGACTCATGTGATGAGATTGGGCCCAGGGGAATAATCCAGAATAATCTCTACTATCTCAAGGCCTGTAATCTTAATCACATCTGCAAAGTCCTTTTTGGCAGGTGAGGTAATATATTTATACGTTCTGGAGATTATAATGTGGACATTTTTGAGGGGTAGTGTTATTCTGCCTACTATATTCTCTGTTGCTTTAGAGGTTATGTGATTTTTATACTTGTTCTTTATTGGTTAGGCTTGAAATTTTTTCATATATTTAACTTACAGTTCTATAATAATATGGCTCTCTCCCAACTCATACAACAAGATTAGGACACTTTAGCTCTAATCTTCTCTCTTAAATCTTACATAGTTTTGTTATTATTGTTGTTTTTGGACATTCAGTTTTTTTGCCTGCATGTTAGACATTCTTTTATTTATTTATTTATTTATTTTGATAGAAACAACATTTGCTTAGATTTACCTAAACATTTGTTCACCAATTTTTCTTGCATATCAACCTGTCCTTTTAGAATATTTTCTCTTCTTGTTATTCTTCATTTCTTCATTGTAAACTACCCGTTTCTTTTTAATCTGCACGTTTTTTATTTTACCCTCTTTCTTTAATGATACTATTGCTAGACACACAATTCTAAGTTGATGGTTATTGACCAATTTTCTTTATTCCCCTTTTCTGCTATTAGTAGTTACAGAATTATATATTCTATCAATTTTTAATATTTTTAATATATGCAATTAAGGGTATAAATTTCCTTCTAACTGCTTATAACTATATCCTATTATTTTTGATATGTAATTTTTATTCAGTTTGAAACATTTTTTACTTTCTTTGTGTTGTCTTCTTTGGTTTATTATTTATTTAGAATTATGTTTATTTCCAAACATACGGAGATTTGTTTTTCTCTTTTTGTATTGGAATCTAGCTGAATTGCATGTGTCTAGAGGACATATTCTTCATGATTTTTGCCTTTCAAACTGGTTAAGATTTGCCTCTGGCTTAGAATAGTCAATTATTAATGATCTATGTGTGTTAGAAAAGAATGTTTAGGCCAGGTGTGGTGGCTCACGCTTGTAATCCCAGCACTTTGGGAGGCTGAGGCGGGTGGATCAGTTGAGGTCAGGAGTTGGAGACCAGCCTGGCCAATGTGGTGAAACCTTGTCTCTACTAAAAAATTACAAAAATTAGCCGGCCGTGGAGGCGTGTGCCTATAGTCCCAGCTGCTTGGGAGGCTGAGTGGGAGAATTGCTTGAACCCGGGAGGTGGAGGTTGTAGTGAGCTGAGATGGCACCACTGCACTCCAGCCTGGGTGACACAGCGAGACTCCATCTCAAAAAAAAAGAAAAAAAAAAAAGAAAGAAAGAAAAGAAAGGAATGTTTAGTCTGCAGTTGTTTTGTATAGTTTTATATATTTATTCATTAGGTGAAGTCTGTGAATTGTGATGTTCAAATCTTTCACATATTTACTAATTTTTGGGCAGCTTATTCTATCAATTGCCAAGGTTTTATTAAAATTTTCTAATGTAATTATCATTTGTCTATTTCTTCTTGTAGTTATGTTAGTCTTTATATTATAATTTTAAGGGTATGTTACTAGGTGATTTAAATTGTTATATCTTCTTGGTAAATTGAATCTTTTATTACTATGAAGAGACCATCTTCATCTCTAGCAATGCCTTTTACTTTAAACTGTACTTTCTCTGATATTACTATAGCTGCACTGGCTTTCTTTTAGTTAACATTCGCATGGTATACCTTTTCCATTCTTTTTACTTTAGATTTTCAGTATTCTCTTCTATGTGTGCCTTTCATTAGTTTTTGTTTTTGTTTGTTTGTTTTTTATATCTTTTTTTTTCTTTAAGTTCCGGGATACGTGTGCAGAATGTACAGGTTTATTACATAGGTATACATGTGCCATGGTGGTTTGCTGCACCTTTCAACCTATCATCTAGGCTTTAAAATCCAATCAGATTATCTTTTTAAAAAAATTTTTTTATAAATACAGTTTTATAATCTGCATCTACTGTAGAGCACTTATTTGTAACGTAACTACTAATATACTTGGCTTTAACTCTGACATCTTATCCTGAGCTTTCTTCTCCTGCCTGTTTTATTATCTTATTTTTGATTGTTCGGATTGCTTGAGGATTTTTTTCATCTATTTTTTTTCTATATACAGTTAGTATTTACACTAGAAACTACAACATATGTACTTAACTTGATAAAGCTTAAATCTAATTAATATTTTAACCTCCTTCTTTAAAATCTAAGAATCTCAGAAGACTTTAGCTCAATTTTTGTTGGGATTTTTGCTGAATTATATGCTGTTTTTGTTGTGTATTTTTTTTTGTTTTTTTTCCATGAACCTAATGATTTACTATTATTGTTTTATGTAATGAGTATTCATTTAGGTTTCTTCACTTTTTGCTTTTTATCCTTTCTTTTATCTCAAACATTCTGTTTGGGATTATTTTACCTTTGCTTAAATTACATTTTTAAAAAATATTTTCCTTTTGAGTGTGTTTACTAATAGAAAACTCAGTTTGCACTCATCTGAAAATGTCTTTATTTCACTTACATTCATGAAACTATTTTCTTATCTCTGTTGTATCTTTTTGTTTCTCTGTGCTTCATTCTGAATCTGCTTTCTTCTGTCAAACCCTTTATCTAGTTCTCATTTTCATTATTGTATTTTCATCACAAGATATTCTAATATATTCTTTTTCAGATCTGCTTATTCCATTTTGTAGCTTACAGTTTTCTATTACCTGATAATGTTTTGTAGCTTGTCTTTTAGTCCTTTAACCATAGTTTGCACAGATACTTTACAGTTTTTCTCTGATTATCCTAGTATCTGAAGTATTTGTGGGTCTCTCTCTTTTCTGTTGTTTCTCCTGGTTTTCCCTCATGTTGGCCTTTTCCCTGTATGTGTGTATGTGTCTGTGTGATTATCTTTCTATATGATTGCCATGTGTGTATGTGTGGGTGTATTGCATATATGTAAATAATATATGTGAGATATGCATTTTCATATGAATTATTTGAGGTACAGGATGACATTACTTTCCTACTAGGAGGGAATTAATTGTCTTTGCTTCTGTCTTTTTCCCATAGGCATTAGCAGTCTGTATGATTGGTAGTTCAAAAATTCTAAGTTTTGAGACTGCTTAGATGATGTGAACTTGTATTGCCATTCAAGACCTGGTTGTTTCTGATTCACCTTAAGCGGGGGTGGTATAGCCTTTGGGTCCAAATTATTTTAGGAAGGATCATCTCTTGGGTTCTGTTACCCTTTCCCAATGATGTACTGCAAATCAAAGTTCAGATTTTCCAGATAGGCAATGCTGTCAAGTCAAAAACAACTTTCATTCTTACTTTTCATTCTTTGGTTGTTTTTTTTTTTTTTTCACTTTTGTCCCAGTAATTATTTATGATCTAGTCAATTTATCTTTAATTTTTAAAAGATTTTTTAAAAATATCAACTTTTTTAGTTTTTGGTGGAAGAATTGTTCTGAATAATTTTGCTATTGTTGCCAAGCAAAAGTCTTGATCACTGAATTTTCCACCAAATTACAGGTGCCTCATTTGAGACAGTTTTCCTTTATCCATGGGGCAGATATACACTTTATGCTTGTAAACAAAGTATGAGAAAAACCAAAAATTTAGCCTTGATGTTTAGAATAGGTTTACTTTTAGAATAGGTTTAGAATAGAATATTTACTTAAGACAAATATGAATCCCATATAGATTAAAGTTTACATATTTATTCTTTTTGGTCAATGGCATTTAAAGAGTCCATAGCACTGCACTATCTAAGATGTTTAATAGCACTGTACTATCTAAGACTTTATTACATAGCAATAGCACTATACTGTCTGGGACATTTATTGTACTGCAATCAGTCATCTTTCTCAGAAATATATTTGCTGCAATTTTTGCTCAGAACCTGATGGTATATGAAGACATTTATTGCATAGCTCTGTGAGAATTGTTATTTTCTGGAAATCTATATTCTGGGTTCGTGAAGGCTGGCCATACTGTTTTTTCACAAGAAGTAGTTACCGTGTATTGCTAAGAAGTTTTAATCTTAAATAGTGGTTTTTATAATGTTTTGTTTTCTTTTGAGAATATCTCACGCTGCATCTTACAGTGCTTGCCTCAGTGCAGGCAAGAGGATTACTAAGTGGTAGATTGTTACACTGATGGCTCTCAATGAATCATACCTTGTGGTTTTCTCTCACAGTGACTCTGAGCTTGACCACGTGACTTGCATTGGCCAAAGATATGTCAGCAAAAATGACTCAAGGGGACACTTGATAATTGCCTGTACATTGGTTGATGTGTGGTGGTATTTGAAGAGGCCTGCTCTAGCCTCCTTAAGGACCACAGGAAAGAAAAGCCTAGTTGTCTCAGCTGAGCACAGCCCCCAGCTGGCCCACTAGCTGAATACAGCTGTGTGAATGATCCTAGGTGAAACCATTGCACAGCCTACCTACAGAACCTTGAGAAATTGTTGTTTTACGCCACTACATATGTGGATGGTTTGTTATGCAGTTACAGATAACAGAGATACTACTGATATATCTTTGTCACCCTATTGTTTCTTCATGTGCTGTCTTTATTTTTAAATTAACACATATGATGCTGATCTCTCTCTTATTTTCCCTCCAAAATACAATTTACTATTACTTACTGAAAAATTAAGCAGCAAAGACATGACAGAGGAATTTATTTAGAGTTATTTATCACATAGTCAATCCTTTGTCTCTTGTAGGCATTTAAGAGAAAATCAGATTACATTTTAAGCTGTTTGTCAATTTTAGACTTTTCACATTGCTTCTTGTTTATAGACATTGATGACTACTGCCATGTTTTATTTTTTCTTTAAGAGCCATGGTCAGTGAAATGTTCTTCCAGAGTTTAGCATAAACAGTTTATAGGTTAGTCTGGATTAAAATATTTAAATAATATGAATTAAAAAGTGAAGAGTTTTAAGTGTGTTTTCAATGAAGCCAGACAATATAAAGTAATATAACTGACTCATCTGCTTTAAAATAAAGAAAAACATTATCTGGTATAATTTGTAATAAACACACTAAGATGAACAATTTCTTTTGTTATTACAGTTTTAAAACTCAGCCATAAGCTATATCCAATTTAAGTAAGGATATTTGATTTTTTTTTTTTTTTTTTTTTTTGAGATGGAGTCTCGCTGTCGCCCAGGCTGGAGTGCAGTGGTGCTATCTTGGCTCACTGCAGGCTCCGACCCCCGGGTTCACATCATTCTCCTGCCTCAACCTCCTTAGTAGCTGGGACTAGTAGTAGCCCGCCACCTTGCCTGGCTAATTTTTTGTATTTTTAGTAGAGACGGGGTTTCACCGTGTTAGCCAGGATGGTCTCGATCTCCTGACCTCTTGATCCGCCTGCCTCGGCCTCCCAAAGTGCTGGGATTACAGGCGTGAGCCACCGCGCCCGGCCAGGATATTTGAATTTTATCCTGAGCTAAGTTTGTCTTATTGGTGAAAAAAATCCAAAATGAAAAGACCAACCTTTCTCCTTTTATGGATTCCTTGAATTAATGCCAGTGTTATAAGAACAACTGGAAATGCAGAGGGAAAAGTAGCAGCAATTCTTTATCACAAAAGCAGAATTACTCCAGCTAATATAGTTTTTATGTTGCATTTGCAAATAGTATTCTTGAGGATTTGGTGATGATGCCCCTTTTTAATAATATTAATAGTAACATTATTTGTGATGTGGAAGGACAGACCTAGGAGTCTGGTAAACTGGGTGTTTTGTCCTGAAAATGTTGCTGACCAGCTGTGTAACCTTTGTCATGTTACCTTGGTAGGCCTAGTTTCATCATTAGTAAAATGAGGACACTCAGGTGATCTTCATCTCCAAATTTCTCTTAATTCTGAATCTTCAGAGGGGGAGAGTGGAGAATGCATTGTTCTGATGTATCCTCCTGGAGAAAAACATGATTTTAAAAGTTAGCATGTTGTTACGTATTCATATACATTGTTGTATAAGAAGACATTTGATTCTTCATGCAGTCACCCATGTTATGAATAAAGAGTCAATAGAAGAATTTATAATTATTTCCAAATCAATGTTGAACTGACTATATAGCATACATATGTTGAAGTCTAAGAGACCAAAAACCAAGCTCATAATATATTTAATGCAATGTTTTAGAGATTAGTCCTTTGTATAAAATGTATTCTAAGAAATGGAGATTCTAAATGCCTGTGTTTTCTCATTTGGATATATTAAAAATAATTAAATTTTAGTGCTTTTTTTCCTAAGCTTCTCCCTCCCCCAAGTTTAGTATCTAATTTTGATGTTCATGGGAAAAATACTAAGCTTACTTTGTGTAAGTTTTTAAGGGATGTCTTTAATACACTTTTCTATACAATTAATTTCAAATTTTGATGATCTAGGATGATTGTTGAGAATACTGCTGCTTGGGAATTATAAATAAAAACTGTTGAACTATTTTTATTTGCAAACTTATTTTTTGTTTCCTTATAGAACGCTAGCCCTAATTAAACCAGATGCAATATCAAAGGCTGGAGAAATAATTGAAATAATAAACAAAGCTGGATTTACTATAACCAAACTCAAAATGATGATGCTTTCAAGGTAATTTTTTTATCATTTTCAGTTATGTAATGTCTGATTCCTTTTTAAAAAATCATTTTCTGTCTTTCTTGTCATTGTTTAAAATTAAAAAACCTCGTATTGAATGACAAAGAATAGAATAGTAACTTAACCAAAATGGGAACTGACAGGAGTTCATCTAGAATGTTACTGACAAAGCCGGCCCCCTAAAAGATTTGATCTTTTCCTATTCAGTGTCATGAAGCCCATATACAAAACCGAAAGTGAGTATCAAGCAGTGCAGGCTTTATTCAGTGTCTGTGGAATTGAGAAACAGGAGTGTGGCTCACAAATCAACTTCTCAACTAGTGAGGGGTGAGGGGGTTAAAATAAAGGATTTCTCTAATAAAGGACATGAAAAGCAAGAGGAGCAATATGCATGTCTTTTCTGGAAATTGGTGGTGAACTTCCACCAGTTTCACAATTGATGGTGAATCGCAGTGCTGCTTTCCTTTTTGTCTTTTTATGGCCTCTTCCGGTCATTGTCATGGTGATTTTCAGCTGTCATGGTGCTGGTGGGAGTGCCATATAGTATGAAAATGAGATTATAATGAAGCCCGAGGTCTTTTTGATGTCATTTGGTTGCATATCTTGGTTCTAACCAGTCTTAACTGGTCTGGTTGTAAAGGGAACCTTTTATTGCAGAAGTCCTGTTTCTTAAAGATAAGCAAAGTTAGGACAGGGTAGAAATTCAGCTGTCATGTAGGCATTACACCAGGCAACAAAAAGAAAAAGAAGAAAGAAAAGAACAATAAGACACCAAGTAATCAGATGCATAAATAACCACTGAAGTCTAAGTAATTAGGAGTTGTCAAATTATGCATGCCTCATTTAATTATTATTGTCTTTCAAAACCCCATCTGCTTTTATAACACCAGTGCTTGATAATTATAATCATTTCTTAATATATAAGGATAACACACTGTATAAAATTAATAGAGGAAATGATGTCTGATTATTTTTATTTGACAAGAGGATTTACTGTTGAGATTTCCAAAGATGATGCATTTGGAAATGTTTACATTTAGCTCTTCTTATTATAAATAATAGGCAAATATACCTATTTATTTTTTACCTAGATAGGTAAATATACCTATCTAACAAGCAGTACAACCTGTTTGACCAGATATTTTCTAAGTTATTTAGTGAAAATAAGACTTATACATTTACTTATCCCTTTCTATCATGAAGTAAGTAACTCTAACCCCGTAAGAATGGCAAGGAGAATATTAACAACGTACAAACAAAGGATAGGGAAAACCTTCTCTTCAGTTTTTTTTAGAGATCCTTTAGAAAAAAAACTAGTGATTTTTCCATGATATTGGACATTTGTTTTTAAAAAATTTCCTACCAAATGGACAAAGCAAAGACTGAAACATTCTGGAAGATGAAGAAGGGAGATGAGTATAGGACAGAGGCCTTTGTTTCCTGGGATCACCCTCTGGTTGGCTGAGTGTAACACAGAGTGTCTCTAGGGACAGGAATGTAGCAGTTAGGCAGATCTGGCTCCAATAGTGTTCTTATGTTTCTCCACTAGTTTTTGTTTGTTTTTGGTCAGATATCTTCTTAATGCTTCAATAAATCATTCATTTCTGGATTTATTCCATGGGTCAGTTGCATTTTTGTTTCTGTGAGAGCAGGGACAATGGGGAGCAGTAGACATTCAAGTCAGCTTCAATACATCTGATTCCGAGAAACTTTAACACAAAACCCTCCATTTTACCCTGACAATGACATGTTTAATTGGAATTTTTCCCTTATGTATGATCTCCTAGTTTACATATTTTCTAGAGAGACAGGAGGCTTACATTTCAGAGCACAGTATTTAGACCAGATTGCTTGTAACTGTGCTACTTACTAGGTGTGTGACTGAACAGTTGACCACTGTGTTTATTTCTTCATTTGCAAAATGGGATTTTTTTTTTTTTTTTTGAGATGGAGTCTTGCTCTGTTGCCCAGGCTGGAGTGTAGTGGCACGATTTCGGCTCACTGCAACCTCCACCTCCCAGGTTCAAGCAATTCTCCTGCCTTGGCCTCCCAAGTAGCTGGAACTACAGGAGCACACCACCACGCCCGGGTAATTTTTGTATTTTTAGTAGAGACGGAGTTTCGCCATGTTGGCCAAGCTAGTCTTGAACTCCTGACCTCAAATGATTCACCCGCCTCAGCCTCCCAAATTGCTGGGATTACAGGCATGAGCCACCGCGCCTGGCTTAAAATGGGATTTATAATAGTACCTATCTCATAAAGTAGTTGTGAGGGTTACATGAGTTTAGTGTCTCTATACTTCTAGTGTCTGATGACTTGGTATCTAACTTCCTGTGGTAAAGATGCTACTTGTTTATCATAATGGCCCTATAGCACATGAAGAAAAATGCTAAAACCAGCAAACACTTCAAGAGCACCATAGGGCATACATTTGCTAGTTTCTTTGAAACCTTAAGTCTTGTTAATTCCACCCATGCCTTTTGAAATACTTCATTCTTTGGAGTACCACAGATGCAAGCCCTTCTAATTACTTGTTGACACACCTGTTCATTTGTAGTTATGCACTTCCTTTTCCCATAGTCTTCTGAACACAAATCTCTTACCAAACCATTTTCACTGGCCCCTCTGGAAATCAAGTTTCATTGTGAACAAATATCCCTATGTCCATAGTGTCTTAACAGAGTGTATCTTTGCCCGCACATTTTTAGTTTAGTTGAAATCTGACCCTTCTCCAGGGACATTCCTTTCCTTTTAGCCCTGTAGGCTGCTCACTCACAAATGTTTCTTATGTCACAGGGTCACGATATAGCGTATTTTAGCTCTCTCCTAAAAATCTATACTCTTCTTCATCCTTGGAAATTCATGTTATTTAGTTGTTTTACCATCCACTGAGCCTCATTTCCATTCTACAGTTCACAAACTCCACATTTGTTAAAGATTTGGGCACTTTGTTTATAGTCTCCTTCTATTCCAGTGTCTCCTGACAGTTGGGATGACTTCAACATCTCTGTCAGTGATCATCCAGGGCTCTGCTCTATTTGCTTTCCCATCTCAGTGACGGTCACTATGATTTCAATTAGGTATTCCTCCAGATCCTTGCTTTTTGTTTTTTTAAAAAACGTGGTCTCGCTTTGTTGCCCAGGCTAGTCTCGAACTGGCCTCAAGTGAGTCTCCTGCCTTGTACTCCCAAAGTGCTAGAATTACAGGCATGAGCCACTGCATCCAGCTTGTTGTATGTTATTTTCTTTACAACTTTACTTGAGTAGTCCCATGCATGTCCATATGATCACCTACCACTTACTTATAGATGAATTCCAAATACATCTTCAGCCTTGACTTCTCTCTGCAACTGTCAATCTGAAAGTGATCCTAGATTCATCTTGCTGCTCCCCCATTCCTCATACCTACCTGATATATAAATATTTTTACTTCTGCTTTCTGTATATCTCTGGGAGCAATTCTCTCCTTATAATTCCTATTGCAGCCCCTTAGTTTAGGCATTTTATAGGCTCATATTCAGGCTTTCAACGTATCAACATAGGCTACTGACTGATTTGTCTACTTCTTGACTTACTACCTTCTATTCCTTGATGGCTCATTTCCTACCTCAAGATTGCTCCATGCCATTTTCTTATTGCCATTAGAATGAACCTCATAAAATGAAAATTTGAACATGTTACCATTCCCTTCCTTAAATCCGTCAGTGGTTTCCCATATGCAGGAAAATATGGTCAAGCAGACAAGCTCTTTGATAGAGTATACAAGACTCTTAGTCATCTGTACTCACCTACTGTAATAGCTCTAAGAGGATACTTAGGTTTCAGTTCCCTGAACATGTTGTGCTTTATCACATCTCAGTTTTCTTGTACATAATATTGTACTGTCTTGAATGCTCTGCCTTGTCTTCTGTCTCATCCATTCCTATTCATCGTTCAGAACCAACTCAAATGTCTCATGGAAACTAATTCCCAAGAAAACTTAACTGCTTATCTAATCATTCATATCACTTCATATATTTTTATTAGTATGTTGAGCTTGAGATTTCATCCAATTTATAAGCTAGGAAGTTACCTGTAACTCTTCCATGGATGTTAGCAGATGACATGAGACTTCTGGGTCAGAGACAAAAGACTTTATAATGGTAGAGCAAGCAGCATGAGCATTGTGTTTATATTGGTTCTCCTTGCCTCCATATCCTACAGGAATAAAATGACCAATGCCCAGGTGTATACTGTGTATCTAGAGGGTGGCATCACAACTGAGGAGGAGTGAGCTTGGGTTACCAGCTGTTCCATTAGCAAGCAATAAACAAGCCTACTCTTTATACTGAAGAGAGGCTTTACCTTATCCCTCAAGGTTTCTTGTTGCAAACACAATCCTGAGAAACGACACCGATGAAGATCAGTCAGGTCCTTGCATTCTTGGCATACCCGATAAGACAAGTTAGAAGAGAGAAACTCACCTGGAGGAATTTCTCACAATGTATGCATCTTTTCTAAAATTGTTTGTTCAAATGTCGGTTCCGCCATGATGACAATATCCAGAAGATAGCTGCTGAGTTCTGTATGACTTTGTATTTCTAGTTCTTGGATCAGTGCCTCAATCAAGGTTGGCATTAAGTAAATATTTCTTGAAAGGGTTAATGGATAGATCTTTGTGAAAGAATGGTTAGTTTCTTCATAAAAACACAACAAAACATAACAAAACAACAAAAAACTTCTCTAGATAGTGATTCACTTGTTAATACCTATTTCCTTCTAAACCTTTAAAGCAAAGAATTAGATAAGAATGATGGGAAAAAATTTATGAACTCTCATCGTGGTTTCAATTTTAGATTTTGAATGGAGATAACTATGGAATCAGGGACATGTTGGATGAAAACAATGAAACATTTTTAGTAATGGATTGAGGTTTTTCTTTTCAATGACGTTAAAGATTATGATTGCTTTTTCCTTTCTTGTAGTTCAGTTTTTTGCGTTTGAAAAGCTTAGAATTGGTTGTTTTAGTATTCTTCTGCTAACTCTTCTAATTTACTCTCCATGTAAGTTTTTCAGTTATTCAGTTTTACCCCATTTTAGGCTGTAATGCAGTATATACGTATCTCTTTTTTTGTGAGTTTTTCTCTTTACCCTCTAGAATGTTGTTCTACAGTTAGTAGTAGCAAGAGCATAAGCAGTCAGAAATTTGCAATCAGAGAGCTTTGGGTTCAAATCTTCTTGTCTTGTCCTTACTAGCTTTGTGAACTGGACAACTTATGTAACCATGCTGAACTTTATTCTTTTCCGATGTAAAATAAAGGTGATCACACCTATTTCAATATATTGTTGTAAGGAATAAATATAATAATTTAATCATGGCTATAATTGGCTCTAGAAAATTTTGATTTTTTTCTCCTTTCCATGTCTCGGGATGAATTTTATTCTCTATATTGGCATTACATATTTCATAATCTCTTCATAGCCAAATGAATGTTTAAGTACATTTGGTTAGAATGAGAGTATGCGTGATATAACTTGTTATGTAAATTCATTTTGTAATATCCTGATAAAATCTTAAAAGCATTGCATATCAAATGAATTCTCAAGCCTGAAAGGTTGATTCTTTGCTAGGGAACAGTTTCCAGTTTTAAAAGTAGTTAATGTTTACATATATTTGTCACATACTGTGAACCCAGTTCAAAGCCTTTAAGAAAACTACACAGTGTTAGGAGAGTCATCTGGTTTGCTTTTAAAAAAAGTTTTTTAGACTTTTTAGCTAATCAGTTTAAAATGCATTCTTTTATTGCCGCTGTAGATATTCTTTAGTGGTAATATAAATGTAAAAATAAATCCCTGTTACAATTAATAAACTCTGAATTCTAAATGTTTCCATATTCTCCCCTTTTTTAGTGATGTCAGTTAAAGCATTAGTAACCAATAAAATAAAAACATATTAAGATACATAATTTCTCAGGCAGCTTTTAAAAACACGACTGTAGTCTTTCCTTTGGAGAGACCTAGCTAAGAAAAAAAGCTATAAACATTAAATTAAAATTCTAGCCTAAGCTCTTAAGTTTAAAGCCTGTGGAAAAAAATGACAAATTTTTAATTAGAAGATGGCTTTGCATTTTTTTGATGCAACTTATTTAGACTTTAAAGAACAAATATTCTCACTGGTCAAATATTAACCTTTGTTTCTAGAACGTTCAGGATGCTGTGTAAAAAGATGGATAAGGCCAGGTGCGGTGGCTCATGCCTGTAATCCCAGCACTTTGAGAGGCCGAGGTGGGTGGATCACCTGAGGTCAGGAGTTTGAGACCAGCCTGGCCAGCATGGTGAAACCCCATCTCTAGTAAAAGTACAAAAATTAGCTGGGCATTGTGGCACACGCCTGTAATTCCAGCGACTTGGGAGGCTAAAACAGGAGAACTGCTTGAACCCAGGAGGTGGAGGTTGTAGCGAGCGCCAAGATCGTGCCACTGCACTCTGGCCTGGGTAACTCAATCTAAAAAAAAAAAAAAAAAAAAAAAGAAGAAGATAGACAATATATAACATAAGTAGAAAAGTAAACATTGCCTCCTACATTAATTTTTATTTACATTGATATTACTCATACTTAAAAAATATTTTAAAAGAGTGGCTTTGACAGAATATTTGGTGAAAAATTATTAATTAAAATATAAATTAGTATAAATTGAGAGGATTTTATCTTAATTTTATTAATGTAAGCTAAAATAATAAGTGTTTAATTTTATAATTCTTAACTATTGCCTTTTTGATTATTTTATAGGAAAGAAGCATTGGATTTTCATGTAGATCACCAGTCAAGACCCTTTTTCAAGTAGGTCCTTAATTTGGGGATTAGTGGTATGTAAAGGAGGATATCCTAGAAAACTATGGAGTTACATTTGTAAAATTTATTACTTGAGAATAATCTGTCAAAAGGGCCATAGCAACATCTTGCAACTGCACAGAATTCTAAGAATTATATTCTCTGTCTTTTTATTAAGTAAGAATTCCTATATTTTATCATTAAAAATCTTAAAGTTTAATCAGTTGCAAATAGAAAGATTTGTTTACATTACAAGAAGGATAACTTTTAAAATTTTTGGTTGATTAAAAATGGAGTGATAATTATATTTGATGTTCAATATTTTTATTATGCTTTTGTGTTTGTGGGGCTTTTAATTTTTTTAATTTTTATTTTTTATGTCAACTTTTACTTTAGATTCAGGGGGTACATGTGCAGGTTTGTTACCTGGGTATATTGTGTGATGCTGAGGTTTGGGGTACAATTGATCCCATTACCCAGGTACTGAGCGTAATACCCAATAGTTAGTTTTTCAACCCTTGCTCCCTTCCCTTTCTCCCACTCTAGTAGTCCCCAGTGTCTGTTGTTGCCATCAATAGATATTATTGTCCATGAGTAGCCATTATTTAGTTCCCACTTATAAGTAAGAACATGTGGTATTTGGTTTTCTGTTCTGCGTTAATTTGCTTAGGATAATGGCCTCCATCTCCATTCATGTTGTTGCAGAGACCATGATTTCATTCTTTTTTATTGCAGCATGGTATTCCATGGTGTATATGTACCACATTTTTTTTATCCAGTTCACCACTGATGGGCGCCTGGGTTGATTCCATGTCTTTGCTATTTTGTATAGTGCTGCAATGAACAGGCAAGTGCATGTATCTTTTTGGTAGAAAGGTTTGTTTTCTTTTGGATATATAGCAGTAATGGGATTTAAGGTTCAAATGGTAGTTCTGTTTTAAGTCCTTTGAAAAAACTCCAAACTATTTTCTACAGTGGTTGAGGTACTAATTTGCATTTCCATCAACAGTGTATAAGTGTGTTCCCTTTCTCTACAGACTTGCCAGCATATCTGTCGTTTTTTGACTTTTTTTTTAAAAAAAAATCAACTTCTATTTTAGATACAGGGGGTACACATGCAGATTTGTTACGTGGGAATATTGTGTGATGCTGAGGTTTGGAGTATGGATCCCATCATCCAGGTAGTGAGTATAGTACCCAATAGGTAGTTTTTCAAACCACCTGCCTTCTCTCCTCTAGTAGTCCACAGTGTCTATTACCCCCAAATTTGTGTCTATGTGTGTTTAATGTTTAGCTCCTACTTGTAAGTGCGAACATGCAGCATTTGGTTTTCTGTTTGTGGATTAATTTGTTTAGGATTATGGCCTCCAATTGTGTCCATATTATTGCCAAGGACATAATTTTATTTTTTTATGGCTGTGTAGAATTCTGTGTTATATATATATACCACATTTTCTTTATCCAATCTGCCACTGATGGGCACTTGAGTTATTTCCATGTATTTGCTATTGTGAATAGCACAGCAATGAGTGTATGAGGGCATGTGTCTTTTTGGCAGAATTTCTTTTCTTTTGGGTATATACCCAGTAATGGAATTGCTAGGTTAAATGGTAGCTCTGTTTTAAGTTCTTTGAGAAATATCCACACTGCTTTCCACAATGGCTGGAGTAATTAATATTCCCACCAACCGTGTATAAGCATTCTCTTTCCTCTATAGTCTTGCCAGCATGTTATTTTTTGACTTTTTAATAATAACCATTCTGACTGGTGTGAAATGGTATCTCATTGTGGTTTTGATTTGCATTTCTCCGATGATTAGTGATATTGAGCGTTTTTTCGTATGCTTATTGGCTGCTTGTATGTTCTTTTGAGAAGTGTGTATTTATGTCTTTTGCTCTTTTTTTAGTGGGGTTGTTTCATGCTTGTTTGATTATTTAAGGTCGTTACAGATTCTGCATATTAGTCCTTTGTTGAATGCATAGTTTGTGAATATTTTCTCTCATTCTGTGGATTGTCTTTTTACTCTGTTGCTAGTGCAGAAGCTTTCTGTGCAGAAGCTCTTTAGTCCCACTCGTCAATTTTTGTTTTCGTTGCCATTACTTTTGAGGACTTAGTCATAAATTCTTTCCCCAGGCCAATGTCCAGAATGGTGTTTCCTAGGTTTTCTTCTAGGATTCTTATAGTTTGAGGTCTTACTTTTAAATCTTTAATCCATCTTGAGTAAAGTTTTGTATATGGTTAATGTTAAGGGGCCAGTTTCTTTCTTCTGCTTATGGCTAGACAGGTATCCCAGCACCATTTATTGAATAGAGAATCCTTTCTCCATTGCTTATTTTTGTTGACTTTGTCAAAGTTCAGATGGCTGTAGATGTGTGGCTTTATTTCTGGGTTCTCTATTATGTTCCAGTGATCTATGTGTCTGTTTTTGTACCAGTACCATGATGTTTTGGTTACTGTAGCCTGTTGTACTTTTAAACTATTTTGGTAGTCTTGTATACATAAAGCAATGTTCATGGAACCTTTCTATTTTAACTAGTTTGATATATATTTTGTTCCTTGACATAGAACAGATAATATATGTTACACTTTATGTATTCTAAATATTTGACATGTAATTAAATTTAAGTGAATATTTTGCATGCTCATATTATTATTACTGTTGCCAAAGACTGTTTACACTTCTAATAAGAAAGAATGTTACATCAGCCAAACTAAATGGCCACAGTAGACATGTTATTTGATATCCTGCACTGAGTAGTGGGTTTTTAAAAAAATTTGTATGTAAGAAAATTATTATGCTATAGATTATTTCAAATCAAGTGTTATAAAATATTCCTAAGCCTTCTTAGAATAGCTATATACACTTTTCTAGAAAATTGGTGGAAATTATCTTTTGGTATAAACTTTGTATATGTTTATAGCATTAACTTACAACTCCTAGTCTAATGATTTATGTGTGATTTGCATGCAGTAAATTTTATTAAAGGAATGAATTAACTAGTTGCCTGTTAATGAGAATGATGTAACAAAAGACTAGGTGAAGTAATTAAATTTTCATGAAGCAGTATCTATGATCAGGCACATCCTTCCCTATATTGTTACATGCCATATTCATAGGCTTATTCAATTGTGTGTTTTGAGAATTTTGTATTAATAGGGCGTTAGATTGTAAGTGTCTTGAAGGGGGATCTTTTTTGTGGCACAGACGCTGATATGTTATAGGCAATTATTAAATGCTTATTGAGTGAATAAACATGGTTTGCTCCTTTGATTTGGGTTTTTTTAAATCTAGTGGTTGGTCTTGGGGGTTTTGTTTGTTTTGGCAGCAAAGGTCTGGCAGAAAATGTATGAGGAGGTATTATAGAACTCTTAGGATAGAAGACAAGAATACTTTTTTGTACATGCTGTTTTTTAGAAATATTCTTCAAAATGAATGGGAGTGTTTTAAAAAGGAAGTACTGAGGGGAGCTGACATATAACATGCAGGGTGGAAGGAAGTGTGTAAAAAATAGTCATAAGTTAGTGGGCACAAAAGAGCCTGTCACACCATGCTCCTTTCTCCAGGAGGATCTCTTCTCTCTACTTTGGATGAGAGAAAACCATGGGCTTACTCTAAAAAGTACTGTGTCCCTGCTTAATATAGTCAGAGGGAGGATGTCACTTATTTCATAGTTAAACTTGTCATTGCATCCTGTACACATATAAAAGTAGAAAATAAAATGAAGTATTGTCTTTTATACCTTGGGGGACTGTGACTCAGTGCTGGATTTTTAGTCAAGAACCGATGCGTACACTTTAATAATTTAATACAGAAATAACCCAGAGTAGTTTTTACGCTAATAAAAGGATATTTCTTGAAGCCTGCTGGGGATTTTTTTTTTTATCACCAAACCAGCTCAGTGTTTATTGATTAAGAGAGTTCTTTGTCAGTCTTTGAATTCTAATAGTTTTACACAAAAATAAATAAATTCTTACTAAAAATATGTTACAAGGCATCCATCCCTATATATTGTGAAATTGTACTTGACTGCAGTGGTAAACACATGTAAATAAAAAGGAAAATCCTCTGTACCTGTTAGAGCACTGGGAAAAGCATAGGTCAACAGTATGCATTTTAAGTCATGAAATAGTCTTAATTCAACAGAACAGTGATTTTTCTGGTAACAGTAATTTGACATTACTAGTGATTTGAAGTGAATTGAGCCACTGCAAGACACTCAATTTATGAAAAATTTCTCCTGCCCATGTAAAATTAACTATGCTTAATGGTTCTAAGATTATAATATTCATGTCTATGTTGAAATAATCCAATTTAAATATATCCTGTCGTTAAGACAAATACCTAGTTGACAGAAAAAAGAAGCAAACTAATCTTCTATCTGTTTTGTAGTGAGCTGATCCAGTTTATTACAACTGGTCCTATTATTGCCATGGAGATTTTAAGAGATGATGCTATATGTGAATGGAAAAGACTGCTGGGACCTGCAAACTCTGGAGTGGCACGCACAGATGCTTCTGAAAGCATTAGAGCCCTCTTTGGAACAGATGGCATAAGAAATGCAGCGCATGGCCCTGATTCTTTTGCTTCTGCGGCCAGAGTAAGGTGTTTTAAAAATATTTTAATGCTCTTCTAGTTCTGTTAAATGTTTTATATCAAAGGAAAGCATTTCTATCACTGGTGACTTAGGGTGGATTTATGCTGCTGCTCTAGTAGTAGAGAAAACCTTTGACATCTTGCCTACTATCAAACAGTGATTCAGTGTGTCTCCTTTGTGAACTGGTAACCTGATCATGATCAACGTAAGTTTTCTCCAATTAAAACACTTCTCATCCTGTTTCTTGTTCCCAAGACTTAAATTACTGAGGCTCCTAAATGTTTGAATTATTGAATTCATGTAAGAATACCAGTTTATGGCTAGTAGATATTAAAAAGAAGATATAATTTGAGATATTTCCTTTTGATTCAGACGTAACACTGTGCTTTCAAGCTTAACATCCTATTATTTTCCTATATATAGCTAGTGTTTATGAAAGTTTCTCTACTCCTTATTTTTAAATCCATATAAATAAAGCATTTATTGGATTTATACTGAGGTTGAATTAAAGAAGTGTAAGTTTATTTTTAGCATCGTGAGAAGTGTCTCACTTAAGGTAGTTTTTAATCTGGTTGTGTTTGCAATGAAACAATATTAGACAGTTTTATAATTGATTTCTTTCTTTTTCCTACCATTTCATCAGCAAGTCCCTTCAGCTCTTTCAAAATAAACCCTGAATCTGATCATTGTGGTCTGAATCACTATTATATTTTGCCAGAACTGCTACAATAGCCTCCAAATTCTTTTTTCCTCTTTTCTTACACTCAATTAATGAAAATTTTACCTTACCCAAGTAAAATCAGCTATGCCCAGTGATCTTTTAAAGACAAATCAGATTAACATTCACCTGCTGAAAACCCTTCAGTGAATTTCTGTCTCTTCTAGAATAAAATCTAAAGTCTTTATTGTGGCCTCCAATGCTCTATCTAGTCTGGCCCATATCTATCTCTAACTGTATCTTTGATCAATCTCTATCTTAATCATTGTGTTCCAGGCACACTAACCATCTCGCTATTCCTTGAATAGCATATTTCTGTCTGGAATGGTCAACTAACAGCAAAGAGGACAGTGTGGTTGGATAGGAATGAGAGAGGGAGGAAGAGGGTGATGAGGTTACAGAGGTAATTAGGGGAAAGATTATATGGTCTTATAGGCCGTAGTAGTACTTTTAGATTTTTCTCTGAAAAAATAGAGAGCCATTTTAGGGTTTTGAACAAAGGACTGATATCTTCCACTTGCCATTTAAAAGGATCATTCTGGCTGTTGCATTAAGAATGACTATAGAGGCTGGGAGTGGTGGCTCACACCTGTAATCCCAGCACTTTGGGAGGCCAAGGCGGGCAGATCATTTGAGGCCAGGAGTTCGAGACCAGCCTGGCCAATATGGTAAAACCCTGTTTCTACTAAAAATACAAAAATTAGCTGGGTGTGGTGGCGCCCACCTGTAATCCCAGCTACTCCAGAGGCTAAGGTGGGAGAATTGCTTGAACCAGGGAGGTGGAGGTTGCAGTGAACTGAGATCATGCCACTGTGCTCTAGCCTGGGTGACAGAGTGAGACTCCATCTCGGGGGAAAAAAAAAAGAATGACTATAGAGGGCAAAAACAGCAACAGGGAGCCTAATCAGGAGTCTGTTGGAATAACCCAGTGAGATGATGGCTTGGACCTGGGTGGTAATAATGAAAGAAGTATACAAATATATTTTAAAATATATATTAACGGTTGAAGGTCAAATAAACAAGATTTTCTGCTAGATTGAATGTAGAGTATGAGAAAAAGATACCAAGTATTACTCCAAAGTTCTTAGCCTGATTATCAGAAGGATAGAATTTACGTAAACTGAAATGAGGAAAACTGTGGCTAGAGTCAGAATGAATGGACAATCAGGAGTTAACGTTTTGGACATTTATAAACTTAACCTGTTTGTTAGTTTTCCAATTAGACTGATGAAAAAAATTAGTGTGACAGCTTAGAGTTATCAGCACATAAATGGTATTTAAAGCCGGGAGACTGGTTGAGATTACCAAGGAGAAGGTATAGATAGAGAAGTAAAGAGGACCAAAGATGAAGCTACATCTTGATAAAAGGTAAGGAGAAGAAGGCAGCAAAGGAGGTTGAAGAGGAGCCACCAGAGAGGTAAGAGGAAAAACTGAGAGATAATTATGTCCTGGAGGCCAAGTGAATCAAATATTCTAAAATGAGAGAATGACCAGTGGTGTCAAATAAGGCAAGTAAGAAGAGGACTAAGAATGGATTGTTAAATTTTGCAATGTGGATATCATTGGTGAACTTTGTAAGGTGAATGTTGATGGGGAGGTGGAGGCAAAACCCTGTGTGGAGTAGACTTAAAAGAAAATTGTGGGACGGGAATTGTAGTTAGTGAATATAGACAACTTTTTTTTTGAGGAGTTTTTTTGAGGAGTTTTCCTGCAAAGAGATGAGGTGGTAGCTGTCAAGAAAAGTAGTATCAATTTTTTTTAAGAGGAGAGGTATTGGGTAAAAAATTGATGATGTAGGAAAAAGAGGAAGACTTGTTGGAGCAATTTCATTAATTAGGCAAAAGGAAATGGAAATTAGAACCCAGGTGGAGAGATTAGGCAGGTGTGCCTCTCAGGTACTCGTCTATAGCAACAGATGGGAAGGGAGAATATGTGAACACAGATGCTGATTCTTAAGTAGGAAGCAAGATCAAAACAGCTGAAAGTGAGGATGAGGTATAAGGTATTGGTTGGTCTGAAGGGAGAGAAGAATATGTGAAATGGTGATCTGGAAAAGGAATAGATCAGGGAAATGTGGTGTGTGATTGCTATACTGAATTAATGGCCCATGTAGTGTTCATGGCCATGAACTATGAGTGTGGTTCTCCAGCCTGTTCAACTGCATGGCTGAAGGTAAGGAGTAGGTGGAGAGCTGGCTTTTAACCATGGCTGTGGTTTTGTGAAACAAATGTGACGGAAGTGTTAAGGAAGTTAAAGATACATGCAAGAGAGCAATTATAGTCTTTGACCATATCTTAGTAGTAGACATTTATTGTAAATGTGGTATTGTTTTGTATAGTTAAATTTCCAATCATATTTTAAAGCATTATAAAAATAATAAACATATCTAATTAATGAAGGAAATAATTGAGGCTGAACTGAAAGTCACTACCATGTTTACTGATATTTCCTGCCTATTTCACCCTATTACCACCTTATGCCATCCATTTCTTTTTTATTTCTACTAGATTATTTAATAAATTTGAGCATAAATATACTTGTTAGATTTTAGCATATCTTGTAGTGGAGCAACTTTTGTTAAGTTAGCTACTGTCTCAGTCCATTTTGTGTTGCTGTGAAGGAATACCTGAGGCTGGGTCATTTATAAAGGAAAAAGGTTTATTTGGCTCATAGTCCTGATGGCTGGGACATCAAGATTGGGCATCTGCATCTCGTGAGGGTCTCAGGCAGCTTCCACTGCCTGAGGTGGAAGGTAAAAGGGAGCCTGCGTGTGCACAGATCACATGGTAAGAGAAGAAGCAAGCCACCGGGAGAGGTGTCAGGCTGTTTTTAACAACCAGCTTTCAGAGGAACTAATAGAGGGAAAATTCGCTCACCTTGGAGGGAGGGCATTAATCTATTCATGGGATTTACCCCTACTATCCAAACCTCCCATTAGGCCCTATCTCCAACATTGGGGATCAAATTTCAACGTGAGATTTGGAAGGAACAAACATCCAATCCAGAGCAGCTACCATTGCCATTTCACCTAAAGAAATGTCTTAAACATATTCGTTTATATTTTGTGCATTTAATTTTTTTAACCTCTTTCTGCCATTAGTTCCTGAAATATCCTATTATTTGTATGAACCCTTTAGGATATATATTTTTTTACCCTTGTCTGGGGAAGAGTGAGTGTTGTTGACATTATGTTAGGTGGCTCTAGGAATTAAGGAAAAATATTGTAGCTGGAAAATGAGCTTATGTGAAGAAGCAAAGACCACAGGTCTTAAAAAATTGAAAAACATCACAGCCCCAAACTTATGCAGCCCCAAACAGCCTCTTCTTTACCTTGAATTCCTATTAGTTATTGTCTAATTTTTCATTCCATCTTTCCAGATTTTACCAAAACATAGACTTATACTCACTATTTTCATTCCTCAGCTATCTTTGACTACTCATTTGTGAGCAATTGTTAAAATTTAGCATTATTTTCATCATTCCTGAAAATACTGTCTTTGGAGACCATGACTTGTGTCTTACTAATTGGTTTTTCTTCCTTCACTTGTCCTTTCAGATGCTGGTATTGTGCAGGCTTCTTTTCTTGGTTTACTGCTTTTCTTGCTCTAATTTTCAGTTTCCTAGTCTGTAAAATAAGATAATGATTGAACCTGCATTATAGAGGTCTTTGAGGATTAAATGAAATTATTTCAGTGCTTAGTATAGTACCTAGAACATAGTATTTAATGAATGGATGTTATCTTTTATTATTAATATTTTACTTGCATGGTGCTTCCCAAACCTGTATCTGTAATTTGTACTGGATGTAATATTAGTATACAAAAATCAATAGTAATCTTGATATACTTGAAATAACCAGTTAGAAAATGTAATTTTAGAAGAGATTTCCATTCATACGGTTAAAAAAAAGTCTATGACACCTAGAATAAATTGAACAAAAGATGTGGGAGATCTGTATGGAGAAAATTATAAATATTTATTTTAGAGAATAAGGAAAGACATAAATAAATGAAGATATATGCCATGTTTATGAATGGGAAGAGTCAGTATCCTGAAGATATCAGTTCTTTCCAAGTTGATCTATAAATTGGGTAATTTCATTCAAAATCTTAGCACAGATTTTCATGAAGTTTAACAAACTTATGAAACAGCCAAGGGTCCAAAACAGTTAAGACAGTTTTGAAGAGGGAGAAAAAGATGTGGTGATGATAAGGTGAGACTTATTTTAAGGATATCATGACTTTTTATAAAGCTTTAGTAGGAAAAACTGTGGTATTAGCATGGGAGTAGGTAAGTATATCAGTGTAACAGTCTAGAGTGCTCAAGAGATGACCCAAATATAATGAGAAGTTGGTGCCATTATAAATCAGTGGACAAGGGATAGATTGATTAGTCAATAAATTGTGTGAGATAATTTTATATGGAAAAGTGTAAATTAACTTCTTAAGTTTCTATCTAGGATTCTCCTTAGAGTTTCAGACTTATATAGAAATAATACATTTGAAACTGAACTGACTACAATTTTTTTTTTTTTTTTTTGGAGACAAGAGTCTCACTCTGCTGCCCAAGCTGGAGTTCAGTGGTTGGTGTGATAATAGTTCTCTATAACTTTGAACCCATGGGCTCAAGCCATCCACTTGCCTCAGCCTCCCAAGTAGCTAGGACTACAGGCCTGTACCACCATGTCCAGCTATTTTTTTTTATTTTTTCTAAAGACAGGGTCTTGTGATATTGCCCAGTCTGGTCTCAAACTCCTGGTCTCCAGTGAGCCTCCTTCTTGGCCTCCCAAAATGCTGGGATTACAGGCATAAGCCATCATGCCCAGCCTGCACTGATTATAATTTACCAAAGTATTCCTTTTGTATTCTGTACATCTCTAGGAAAGAAATTTGGGAGCCAGTATTCTTTCTTCTGCCCTGTTTATCCCCTTAATAGAATCAGCAAAAGATCTTGTAGGTTTTTCCTTCTGAACATTTTCTTGAATTATTCCCTTTCTCTGTATTCCTACCATCACTCTTCTAGTTCTGACCTGGGCTGCTGCAAGAGTCCTGGAATATACTTTTCTACCTCAAATATATCTTCCACATAGGCTTCAGAACAAGTTGTCTAAAAATATTAATCCGTCAATCTCATGACTATTAAAAATTTTTAAAGTACTCCATTATTCCCAGAATCAAGTTCAAGCTCCTTGACATGGTTTCCAAGGCGTTCCAGTGATCTGTCTCCCAGCCCCTCCTCCAGCCTTATATCCTGCCTCACCTTCTGTATACTGTGGGATTCTTACTCTGTTGCTTTTACTCATTCTACCCCTCTGCCTTGGAATTCCAATTCTGCCTTTGCCCAGGTAATTTTTATTTGCCTTTTAACACTCAGCTCAGAGTTCTTTATATTATGCATACAAATTCTTTATCCAGAGATATGATTTGCAAGTATTTTCTCATGGTATGTGGTTTGCATTTTCATCCTCTTTAACAATATCTTTGGATGAGCAATTTTTACTTCTGATGAAGTCCAGTATCAGTTGTTCTTTAATGTATTGTGCTTTAGGTGTCAAGTCTAACAAACTGTTCCCACACCTAAGGTCACCAATATTTCATTATTTGCTTCTAGAAGTTTTATAGTTTTAGTTTTTATACTTAACTCTATGATGCATTTTGAGTTAATTTTTATGTAAGGTGCAAGGTATGATCACAATTTGTTATTCTTTAGACATATATTCTTCCAGCATTATGCTGAAAAGACCTTATTTCTTTAATTAATTGCTTTTGCACCTTTGTTGAAAATGTATTGAATATATATATCTGGGTCAATTTCAGCGATTTGTTGTGTTCTATTCATCTACAAGCATACCTCAGAGATAATGTAGATTTGGTTCAGACCACCACAGTGGAGTGAATATGGCTATATAGGGAGTCCCATGAATTTTTTAGTTTCCTGGTATATAAAAGTTATGTTTATACTGTAGGCTACTAAATGCAATAGCATTGTGTCTAAAAAAAACTATGAATATATCAATTAAAAATACTTCATTGCTAAAAAATGCATGCTAACAATCATCTGAGCCTTCAGCGAGTCATAATCTTTTTGCTGATCTTACTTTGATGTTGATGTCTGCTGATTGATCAGGGTTGTTTTTGCCAAAGGTTGAAGTGGCTGTGTCTATTTCTTTTTATTATTATTATTATTATTATTATACTTTAAGTTCTGGGATACATGTGCGTAACGTGCAGGTTTATTATGTAGGTATACACGTGCCATGGTGGTTTGCTGCACCCATCACCCCATCATCTACATTAGGTATTTCTCCCAATGCTATCCTTCCCCTAGCCCCCCACCCCGCAACATGCCACGGTGTGTGATGTTCCCCTCCTTGTGTTCTCATTGTTCAACTCCCACATATGAGTGAGAACATACAGTGTTTGGTTTTCTCTTCCTGTGTTAGTTTGCTGAGAATGATGGTTTCCAGCTTCATCCATGTCCATGCAAAGGACATGAACTCATCCATTTTTATGGTTGCATAGTATTCTATGCTGTATATGTGCCCCATTTTCTTTATCCAGTCTATCACTGATGGGCATTTGGGTTGGTTCCAAGTCTTTGCTATTGTGAATAGTGCTGCAATAAACATACGTGTGCATGTGTCTTTACAACAGAATGGTTTATAATCCTTTGGGTGTATATCCAGAAATGGGATTGCTGGGTCAAATGCTATTTCTGGTTCTAGATCCTTGAGGAATTACCACACTGTCTTCCACAAAGGTTGAACTAATTTACACTCTCACCAACAGTGTAAAAGCGTTTCTATTTCTCCACATCCTCTCCAGCATCTGTTGTTTCCTGATTTTTTAATGATCATCATTCTAACTGGCATGAGATGGTATCTCATTGTGGTTTTGATTTGCATTTCTCTAATGACCAGTGATGAGCTTTTTTTCATATGTTGGCTGCATAAATGTCTTCATTTGAGAAGTGTCTGTTCATATACTTTGCCCACTTTTTGATGGGGCTGTTTGTTTTTTTCTTGTAAATGTGTTTAAGTTCCTTGTAGATTCTGGACAGTAGCCCTTTGTCAGATGAACAGATTGCAAAAATTTTCTCCCATTCTATAGGTTGCCTGTTCACTCTGATGATAATTTCTCTTTTGCTATGCAGAAGCTTTTTAGTTTAATTAGATCGCATTTGTCAATTTTGGCTTTTGTTGCCATTGCTTTTGGTCTTTTAGTCATGAAGTCTTTGCCTATGCCTATATCCTGAATGATATTGCTGAGGTTTTCTTCTAGAGTTTTTATGGTTTTAGGTCTTACATTTATGTCTTTATCCATCTTGAGTTAATTTTTGTATAAGATGAAAGGAAGGGGTCCAGTTTCTGTTTTCTGCATATGGCTAGCCAGTTTTCCCAATACCATTTATTAAATAGGGAATCCTTTCACCATTGCTTGTTTTTGTCAGGTTTGTCAAAGATCAGATGGTTGGAGATGTGTGCCTTTACTTGTGAGGCCTCTGTTCTGTTCCATTGATCTATACTGTTTTAATTTGGGACATTTACAGAAATGATATTCATTTTAAATTACTATTACAAGTACAAAGTTTTGGAGAAACTTTTAACTGGCCACCATTTAGCCATACTTTTATTATCATAATAAAATTATTAGTATAGATTAATTACAAATGCTTTAGTGAAATTACCAGGAAATCCTATCAGCGTGAAAATTTATGAAGTAGTACAACTATATACTTTATAATTTGTTTAAAAATTTAAAAATTATATACCTAAAGCTTTCGAATTCAGTCTGAATTTTTAATTTTTTGTAAAGCTATAAATATTTATTCTTTCCTACTAGGGAATTTAGGAAAATGTAAAAGGCCAAGAGTAATAGCAGGAATCTTTGGAAGAACAGGATCTTTATACAAAATATTTTAGCCCCTCAAATCCCAAAGAAGCCTGGATATTATTTTTGTGACTTTGTTTTATAAAGACTTTGAATTAATTGCCATAACAATGACCTAGTAAAAGCGCTCTTATTCACGTTTCACTAAGAAGATATATTTATGTAAAATCTTTATGCTTTATAAATAAATATTTATTCAGCATAGGTAAATATGGTACTTGAAAATCTGGGTAGTTGGAAAGCTGGCATTTTTATTTTTAAAAATTGAGCGAGAAAAGAAATCAAAGGAAAGTTGAGACAAAAATAATTGGTCAATTAATTGTTAAATAATTTGTTAAACTAGAGACAGAACAATTTATCACTGCTTTTTACTTTGGAAAGACAGATAATAGAAAAAGTACATGGTTTTTGGAGCTACAGTCACTTGGATTTGAATCCTGGCTTTGCCACTTGCTAACTTGTAAGGGCTTGTTACTTAAGCTTTCTGAGTCTCATTTTTCTCATTTGTACACTGTGGATATATTTATTTTGTTTAGCACATGCAGAATTTATTAGGTGCTGAATTTCAGTCATTCCCAAATATTCATTGAGAAACTGCTAGTGAACAAGTAATAAAGATGGACTAAGCCCTGGTGCTCTCCAACACATAGAGGTCAGCTAGATAGGAGAAAACCATCGAAGGAGACTGAGAGGGAGTAGCCAGTGAGGTAGGAAGAAAGGCAAGTAATGAAAGCATTCCAGAGTGTAGGATGTGACAAACTGTGTCAAATACTGTTGGTCAGGTAAGGTGAGGGCTGAGAATAATTAACCAGTGGACTTAGCAACATGGAGGTAGTAAGGGATTTTAATGAGCAGCTTTGGTGGAATGAAAACCTAATTGGTTGTGGATTTAAAAGAGACTGTAGGAGAGGAAGTAAAAATGGAAATGGAAAAGAAAGACATTTCTTTTGAATTTTGTTGTGAAGGGAACAGACCAATGGGAACTCTCGAAAGAGCATGCCCTTTCTAGTTTGCTACTCTATCATATTCTCTTGTCACACCACTTCTACTTCATTCCTTCATTGATCATCTGCCAGGTCCCTGTAGGTATTTGAATTTTCATCTGTACCATAAAGGTTCTCTCGGACCATGCAATCAAAGCATCTGGTATAGGACTAAAAGGGGTAGTTGCTGTTGTTATTGATTAAAAAGAATAATAAATAATGGCAGCAATATGATAGAAAGGCAGTTGGTATCTTAGGAATAGAACACTTTTTATTCTAGTGTCTTACCACTGGAAATGCTCAGGTGTATACACTACTATTTGAATAATTCCTCATCATCCTTGTGTTTAAAAAAATGCTCATCAGTGTGGCACATTAACACATTCTATAATCTTTTCATTTTAAATTTAATGAAAAATAAATACAGTTGATCCATAAACAACACAGGTTTGAACTGCACGAGTCTACTTATATGTGGATTTTTTTCAACAGAAGGATTGAAAATGCAGTATTTGCAAGAGGTGAAACTCACATCTACAGAGATTTGACTTTTCCTATAAGCAGGTTCCACAGGGCTGACTGCAGGACTTGAGCATGCATGGATTTGAGTACACACAGGGATTTGAGTACCAATCCCTTGTGTATACCAAGGGCTATTTGCATTGAGCCAGACATTGTTTTAGGTGCTAGGGGTCCTACAGAGCTATACAACTTAGTTCCCTCTTTTTCAAATTTATGATTTGATGGAAGATAAGTACCCAAATAACCATAACTTTGGGGGAACAAAGGTTGCCGGAAGGAGGCATCAGGAAATGCCTCCTAGTGGAAAGTGGTATTTGAGGTGGCTCTTTACACATTGGTAAGATTCTTTGGAGCTTGAGTCAGAGGGTTTTATAGGAAATAGTAGAAATAATAGCAGTGAAAGCTTAGAGACAGGAAAGCATCTAAATAATTAAAAGAACTGATTAGTGTGAACATCTTTGTGGCTAGTTCAAATTGTTGTGTTGTCATTTTAGTGAACCACATGCAAAGTGAATAACACAGCCTGAATCTGTTTATAAAACATGGTTCATTTGATTTTATTTTATACTAGGCCTATAGTTAGTTTTAAGTAGCTGTAGTTCTCAGATTCCTGATATTAATCTCTGTTCCTATAAAATTTCCTAGTTTTAAATTTTATTTTACATATTTTAATGAAAAATTTAAAATTAAATTTGTGTCTAATTAACTAATGCTTTGGGGAGAATAAGAACTTTATATTGGTATTTCCAATATTCAAAATTTATTAAATCTTTGTCCACTATATTCCTGGAACAAAATGACACATATTCTCATTGCTTTGATTGATACTTCTTTATATGCTCTTCTGGTTCTAAGTCTTGAAACAGGGTTAATTTAATCAGTGTGTCTTTGTAAAACTCATTTTTAGAAAATCTGAAACAAAAAATTTATATGATGAAACTCTAAAAGTAATTGCATGATTCTCCTCCCCCACAGAAATATCTTGTAAGTTCAAGATAAGAGATCACATTTGTCAAAATCATTTCTCTCTGTCTTTAGGAAATGGAGTTGTTTTTTCCTTCAAGTGGAGGTTGTGGGCCGGCAAACACTGCTAAATTTACTAATTGTACCTGTTGCATTGTTAAACCCCATGCTGTCAGTGAAGGTATGTTGAATACACTATATTCAGTACATTTTGTTAATAGGAGAGCAATGTTTATTTTCTTGATGTACTTTATGTATAGAAAATAAAGTATACTTTTAGTATTTCCATTTTTTTTCTTTGAAGGCACTTGAGTAAAGGTGACAAAATATAAGGGAAAATCTGTCTAAATCTCTATTTGTCTTTTCTTTGTGGATTTTTAGGAGGTGTTCTTTGAGTTGCTGATCATGCTCAGGCTCAGTCATACTGTTACAGATCTTGGCTAATTGACTTTTAGTCTGCCTTCTCTCTTTCTAATCACAAATTGTGATTCACTTAATTTACTTCAATAGCACTTTTTTTTTTTTTTTTTGAGACAGAGTCTAGTTCTGTTGTCCAAGCTGGAGTGCAGTGGCATGATCTCGAGTTACTGCAACCTCAGCCTCCCGAGTAGCTGGGACTACAGGCACATGCCACCATGCCCAGCTAATTTTTGTATTTTTAGTAGAGACAGGGTTTCACCATATTGGTCAGGCTGGTCTCAAACTCCTGACCTCAGATGATCTACCCACCTCGGCCTCCCAAAGTGCTGGGATTATAGGCATGAGCCACTGTGCCCAGCCAATAGCACTCCTGTTGTACAAATTAAAACAATGTCTGCCATACCTCTAGTATACCCTTTCTGAGAAGGCTGGAGAAATTTCCTTCAGTTCTTTGTATCTGAAACAGTTCTTTGACATATGTATGTATATACATGTTTGCATATATATACATATATAAAGAGAAAGAGTTTGCAAGTTCTTTTCTTATTTTTGTCTCAATTTCTTTATTTTATTTATTTTAGTCTGGTATATATATTTTTGTTAGGTATCTCAAATCTTTTTGGAAGTAAGATGGGGTATGGTTAAAAAGATCACCCTTAAAAAACTAGAATATACTAAATAATATACAGAAGTGATTGGATTTTAAAATTTTATGTCTCCTAAGTATCCAAGTAATCCATGTATATAGTAGAAAATTGGAAATAAAAAACCATTAAAAATGAAGTAAAAAAATACTGAATTCCCATCACCTGAAGATAGTCATTGTTAATGTTTTGATGCATTTCCTCCAAATCATTTTTTTCTGCATTTGTATGTGCATGTGTGTACACTGCTACACATGAATGTAATGGTTGAGATGTAGGTCTATAGGCTGTTGTTTAAATATAATTTTTGTGAGCATTTCTGGCTGCTGTTAAGTCCTCATTAATATTTTAATAGATTCTTTAATATTTAACAGCAATTGTATAGATGTAGTATGGTATTTGGATACTTAGGTTGTTTTCAGTGTTTTGATATTAAAATTAAAACTTTGAAGAATATCTTTATACGTAAATATTTGATGATATCTCTAATCTTTTCCTCTGGCTAGTTTCCTAGAAATAGAATTACTTGTTGGAAGGATATGAGCCTTAAAGATCTTGCTGCATAATTAATACTTCTTTAATTTTTTAGGAAGTATTTTAGTATATTGTAAATCCTTAGGACCATGATTATAAGTAACTAACATGCAGCATGGATAACAAACACTTATGGAGAATATACCATTATGTGCCAGGTGGCAGACTGGTTCCTTATACATTATTTTTAATCTTCACAGCAAGTATGTCAAGTAGGTAAATTTGTTGCTCTTTTCCAGATAGGCAAGCTAAGGTTCCATGAGATTAAGTTGTTTCTCCTAATTTGGAATGGAAATTGAGGATGCAAACCCTGTTTGTTTGTTTGTTTGTTTTTAATCTCCATTCTGTTCCCTCTATACTCTATTGCCCTAATAGCAATAGCCACAAAAAAGTCACATGGCACATGATTAGTAACAATTCCATAGGAAGTGATAGTAATATTTGAAATGGCTGGTGTTGAAAATTTATGGAAAAAAACCTGGGATTTTATGTTTCACTCATTTTTCTTAGCTGGAGAGATTGTGTATGTGTATGTGAGTGTCTACACAGGTGTGGTATCCCTAATCCAAAAATCTGAAACCCAAATTACTCCAAACTCCAAAACTTTTTGAGCACAGACATGAAGCTCAAAGGAAATGGTCGTTGTAGCATTTTCAACCACTGGTTTATGTTTATTGGATTTTTGAATTGGGTATGCTCCACAAATACGTATCTACAGATATTTCAAAATCAAAAAAAAAATTGAAATCCAAAACACTGCTTGTCACAAGCATTTCTGTAAGGAATATTCAACCTGTACACACACACATGCACATACATACACCCGTGTATATTTGTGTACATATACATATATACATAAACACACATAGTACACTCACATTTTGAAAAAGTTCTTGTTTATAGGCATCAACTTTTTAAAAAGCTTATCCTTGACACCCTAAAATGTTTTATTCAATTTACCTGATCTAATCCTTTTCAAGGAAAAATATGTTGCAAGGAGAGTGAAATAAAATAAAGTGGTACTAGAATAAATACTAGTTGTATACCTTAATAATTGCACATATAGCTGGGAGAACTGATAGCCACATGGAGAAAATTGACACGGGACCCCTTCCTTATACCGTATACAAAAATTAACTTAAGATGAATTAAAGACTTAAATGTAAAACCCAAAACTATAAAAACCCTAGTAGAAAATCTAGTCAATAGCATTCAGGACATAGGCATGGGCAACAATTTTGTGAACAAAATGTGAAAAGCAATTACAACAAAAACAAAAATTGCCAGATTGGATCTAATTAAACTAAAGAGCTTCTGTACAGCAAAATGAACTATCATCAGAGTGAACAGACAACCTACAGAATGAGAGAAAATTTTTGCAATCTATCCATTTCACAAAGGTTTAATATCTGGAATCTACAAGGGACTTAAATTTACAAGAAAAAACAACCTCATTAAAAAGTGGTCAAAGGACATGGACAGACCCTTCTCAAAAGAAGACATTCATGCACCCAACAAACACATGAAAAAAAGCTGAAGTCAAATTGCTAACTAGAATAACCAATGCAGAGAAGAACATGAATGACCTGATGGAGCTGAAAAGCATAGCACAAGAACTTTGTGAAGAATACACAACTATCAATAGTCAAATCAATCAAGTAGAAGAAAGGATGTCAGTGACTGAAGATCAACTTAATGAAATAAAAAGAGAAGACCAGATTAGAGAAAAAAGAATAAAAAGAAATGAACAAAGCCTCCAAGAAATATGGGATTATGTGAAAAGACAAATCTGCGTTTGATTGGTGTACCTGAAAGTGACGGGGAGAATGGGACCAAGTCGGAAAACACTCTTCAGGATATTATCCAGGAGAACTTCCCCAAACTAGCAAAACAGACCAACATTCAAATTCAGGAAATACAGAGAACACCACAAAGATGCTCCTCGAGAAGAGCAACCCCAAGACACATAATCATTAGATTCACCAAGGTTGAAATGAACAAAAAAATGTTAAGGGCAGCCAGAGAGAAAGGTTGGGTTACCCACAAAGAGAAGCCCATTCAGACTAACAGCAGATATCTTTGCAGAAACCCTACAAGCCAGAAGAGAGTGGGGGCCAATATTCAACATTCTTAAAGAAAAGAATTTTCAACCCAGAATTTCATATCCAGCCAAACTAAGCTTCATAAGTGAAGGAGAAATAAAATCCTTTACAGACAAGCAAATGCTGAGGGAATTTGTCACCACCAGACCTGCCTTACGAGAGCTCTTGAAAGAAGCACTAAATATGAAAAGGAACAACCAGTACCAGCCACTGCAAAAACATACCAAATTGTAAAGAACATCGACACTATGAAGAAACTGCATTAACTAATGGGCAAAACAACCAGCTAACATCATAATGACAGGATCAAATTCACAACTAACAGTATTAACCTTAAATGTAAACAAGCTAAATGCCCCAGTTAAAAGACATAGACTGGCAAATTGGGTAAAGAGTCAAGACCCATCAGTGTGCTGTATTCAGGAGACCCATCTCACTTGCAAAGACACATATAGGCTCAAAGTAAAGGGATGGAGGAATATTTACCAAGCAAATGGAAAGCAAAAAAAGCAGGAGTTGTAATCCGAATCTCTGATAAAACAGACTTTAAACCAACAAAGATAAAAAGAGACAAAGAAGGGCATTACATTAATGGTAAAGGGAACAATGCACAAGAAGTACTGACTATCCTAAATATGTATGCACCCAATACAAGCGCACCCAGATTCATAAAGTACATGCTTAGAGGCCTACAAAGTGACTTAGACTCCCACACAATAAAAGTGGGAGAATTTAACACCCCAGTGTCAATATTAGACAGATCAACGAGATAGAAAAATAACAAGGATATTCAGGACTTGAACTCAGCTCTAAACCAAGCAGACCTAATAGACCTCCACAGAACTCTCCACCTCAAATCAACAGAATATACATTCTTCTCAGCACCTCATCACACTTATTCTAAAATTGACCACATAATTGGAAGTAAAACACTCCTGACCAAGTGCAAAAGAATGGAAATTATAACAGTCTCTCAGACCACAGTGCAATCAAATTAGAACTCAGGATTAATAAACTCACTCAAAACTGCACAAAATACATGGAAACTGAACAACCTGCTCCTGAATGACTACTGGATAAATAACAAAATAAAGGCAGAAATAAAGATGTTCTTTGAAACCAATGAGAACGAAGATACATCATACCAGAATCTCAGGGACACATTTAAAGTAGTCTTTAGATGGAAAATTATAGCTCTAAATGCCCACAAGAGAAAGCAGGAAAGATCTAAAATTGATACCCTAACATCAAAATTGAAAGAACTAGAGAAGCAACAGCAAACAAATTCAAAAGCTAGCAGAAGACATGAAATAACTAACATCAGAGCAGAACTGAAGGAGATAGAGACACAAAAAACCCTTCAAAAAATCAATGAATCCGTGAACTGGTTTTTTGAAAAAATCATCAAAATAGATAGACTGCTAGCCAGACTAATAAAGAAGAAAAGAGAGAAGAATCAAATAGATTCAATAAAAAATGATATAGAGGATATCACCACTGATCCTGTAGAAACACAAACTACCGTCAGAGAATATTTTAAACACCTCTACGCAAATAAACTAGAAAATCTAGAAGAAATGGATAAATTCCTGGACACATACATCCTCCCAAGTCTAAGCCAGGAAGAAGTAGAACCCCTGAACAGACCAATAACAGGTTCTGAAATTGAGGCAATAATTAATAGCTTACCAACCAAAAAAAGTCCAGGACCAGACAGATTCACAGCCAAATTCTACCAGAGGTACAAAGAGGAGCTGGTACCATTCCTTCTGAAACTGTTCCAAACAATAGAAAAAGAGGGAATCCTTCCTAACTCATAAAATGAGGCCAGCATCATCCTGATACCAAAACCTGGAAGAGACACAACAAAAAAAGAAAATTTCAGGCCAATATCCCTGATGAACATCTATGAGAAAATCCACAATAAAATACTGGCAAACCGAATCCAGCAGCACATCAAAAAGCTTATCCATCACAATCAAGTGGCTTCATTGCTGGAATGCAAGGCTGGTTCAACATACACAAATCGATAAACGTAATTCATCACATAAACAAAACCAATGACAAAAAACACATACCTCAATAGATGCAGAAAAGGCCTTCAATAAAATTCAGCACCCCTTCATGCTAAAAACTCTCAATAAACTAGGTATTGATGGAACATATCTCAAAATAATAAGAGCGATTTATGACAAACCCACAGCCAATATCATACTGAATGGGCAAAAGCTTGAAGCATTCCCTTTGAAAACCGGCACAAGACAAGGATGCCCTCTCTCACCACTCCTGTTCAACATAGTATTGGATGTTCTGGCCAGGGCAATAAGGCAAGAGAAAGCAATAAAGGGTATTCAGATAGGAAGAGAAGAAGTCAAATTGTCTCTGTTTACAGATGACATTATTGTATATTTAGAAAACCCCATTGTCTTAGCCCAAAACCTCCTTATGCTGATAAGCAACTTCAGCAAAGTCTCAGGATACAAAATCAGTATGCAAAAATTACAAGCATTCTTACACACCAATAATGGACAGAGAGCCAAATTGTGCATCAACTCCCATTCACAGTTGCTACTAAGAGAATAAAATACCTAGGAATACAACTTACAAGGGATATGAAGGACCTCTTCAGGGAGAACTATAAACCACTGCTCAAGGAAATAAGAGAGGACACAAACAAATGGGAAAACATTCCATGCTCATGGATAGGAAGAATCAGTATCACGAAAATGGCCATATTGCTGAAAGTAATTTATAGATTCAATGCTATCCCCATCAAGCTACCATTGACTTTCTTCACAGAATTGGAAAAAAACTACTTTAAACTTCATATGGAACCAAAAAAGAGCCTGCGTAGCCAAGACAATCTTGGGCATGAAGAACAAAGCTGGAGGCATTATGCTACCTGACTTCTAACTATACTACAAGGCTACAGTAACCAAAACAGCATGGTACTTATACCAAAACAGATATGTAGACAAAAGGAACAGAATGTAGGCCTCAGAAATAACACCACACAGCTACAACCATCTGATCTTTGACAAACCTGACACACACAAGCAATGGGGAAAAGATTCCCTATTTAATAAATAGTGTTGGGAAAACTGGCTAGCCATATGCAGAAAACTGAAACTGGACCCCTTCCTTACACCTTTTACAAAAATCAACTCAAGATGGATCAAAGACTTTAATAAGACCTAGGACCATAAAAATCTTAGAAGAAATCCTTGGCAATACCATTCAGGACATAGGAATGGGCAAAGACTTTATGTCTAAAACACCAAAAGCAATGGCAACAAAAGCCATAATTGACATATGGGATCTAATTAAACTAAAGAGTTTCTGCACAGCAAAAGAAACTATCATCAGAGTGAACAGGCAACCTACAGAATAGGAGAAAATTTTTGCAATCTATCCATCTGACAAAGGGCTAATATCTAGAATCTACAAAGAATGTAAACAAACTTACAAGAAAAAAACAAACAACCCCATCAAAAAATGGGCAAAGGATATGAACAGACACTTCTCAAAAGAAGTGCAGCCAACAGACATATGAAAAAATGCTCCTCATCCCTGGTCATTAGAGAAATGCAAATCAAAATTACAATGAGATACCATCTTACACCAGTTAGATTGGTGATTATTAAAAAGTCAGGACATGACAGATGCTGGAGAGGTTGTGGAAAAATGGGAACGCTTTTACACTGTTGGTGGGAGTATAAATTAGTTCAACCATTGTGGAAAACAGTGTGGTGATTCCTCAAGGATCTAGAATTGGAAATACCATTTGGCCCAGCAATCCCATTACTAGGCATATACCCAAAGGGTTATAAATCATTCTGCTGTAAAGACAGATTCACATGTATGTTAACGCAGCACTATTCACAATAGCACAGACTTGGAACCAAGCCAAATGCCCATCAATGATAGACGAATTAAGAAAATGTGGGGAGGAGCCAAGATGGCCGAATAGGAACAGCTCCAGTCTACAGCTCCCAGTGTGAGTGACACAGAAGATGGGTGATTTCTGCATTTCCATCTGAGGTACCGGGTTCATCTCACTAGGGAGTGCCAGACAGTGGGCGCAGGACAGTGGGTGCAGCGCATCATGCGCGAGCCGAAGCAGGGCGAGGCATTGCCTCACTCGGGAAGTGCAAGGGGTCAGGGAGTTCCCTTTCCTGGTCAAGGAAAGGGGTGACAGACGGCACCTGGAAAATCGGGTCACTCCCACCCAAATACTGTGCTTTTCTGATGGCTTAGGAAATGGCGCACCAGAAGGTCATATCCCGCACCTGGCTTGGAGGGTCCTATGCCCACAGAGTCTCGTTGATTGCTAGCACAGCAGTGTGAGATCAAACTGCAAGTTGGCAGCAAGGCTGGGGGAGGGGATCCTGCCATTGCCCAGGCTTGCTTAGGTAAACAAAGCAGCCTGGAAGCTCGAACTGGGTGGAGCCCACCACAGCTCAAGGAGGCCTGCCTGCCTCTGTAGGCTCCACCTCTGGGGGCAGAGCACAGACAAACAAAAAGACAGCGGTAACCTCTGCAGACTTAAATGTCCCTGTCTGACAGCTTTGAAGAGAGCAGTGGTTCTCCCAGCACCCAGGGGGAGATCTGAGAACGGGCAGACTGCCTCCTCAAGTGGGTCCCTGACCCCTGACCCCCAAGCAGCCTAACTGGGAGGCACCCCCACAGGAGGGGCAGACTGACACCTCACACGGCCAGGTACTCCTCTGAGACAAAACTTCAAGAGGAACAATCAGTCAGCAGCATTCACAGTTCATGAAAATCCACTGTTCTGCAGACACCGCTGCTGATACCCAGGCAAACAGGGTCTGGAGTGGACCTCTAGCAAACTCCAACAGACCTGCAGCGGAGGGTCCTGTCTGTTAGAAGGAAAACTAACAAACAGAAAGAACATCCACACCAAAAACCCATCTGTACATCACCATCATCAAAGATCAAAAGTAGATAAAACCACAAAGATGGGGAAAAAACACAGCAGAAAAACTGGAAACTCTAAAAAGCAGAGTGCCTCTCCTCCTCCAAAGGAACGCAGTTCCTCACCAGCAATGGAACAAAGCTGGATGGAGAATGACTTTGACGAGTTGAGAGAAGGCTTCACATGATCAAACTACTGCAAGCTATAGGAGGAAATTCAAATCAAAGGCAAAGAAGGTGAAAACTTTGAAAAAAATTTCGACGAATGTATAACTAGAATAACCAATACAGAGAAGTGCTTAAAGGAGCTGATGGAGCTGAAAGCCAAAGCTCGAGAACTACGTGAAGAATGCAGAAGCCTCAGGAGTCGATGCGATCAACTGGAAGAAAGGGTTTCAGTGATGGAAGATGAAATGAATGAAATGAAGTGAGAAGGGAAGTTTAGAGAGAAAAGAATAAAAAGAAACAAACAAAGCCTCCAAGAAATATGGGACTATGTGAAAAGACCAAATCTATGTCTGATTGGTGTACCTGAAAGTGACGGGGAGAATGGAACCAAGTTGGAAAACACTCTGCAGGATATTATCCAGGAGAACTTCCCCAAACGAGCAAGGCAGGCCAACATTCAGATTCAGGAAATACAGAGAATGCCACAAAGATACTCCTCGAGAAGAGCAACTCCAAGACATATAATTGTCAGATTCACCAAAGTTGAAATGAAGGAAAAAATGTTAAGGGCAGCCAGAGAGAAAGGTCGGGTTACCCACAAAGGGAAGCCCATCAGACTAACAGCGGATCTCTCGGCAGAAACTCTACAAGTCAGAAGAGAGTGGGGGCCAATATTCACCATTCTTAAAGAAAAGAATTTTCAACCCAGAATTTCATATCCAGCCAAACTAAGCTTCATAAGCGAAGGAGAAATAAAATACTTTACAGACAAGCAAATGCTGAGAGATTTTGTCACCACCAGGCCTGCCCTAAAAGAGCTCCTGAAGGAAGCGCTAAACATGGAAAGGAACAACTGGTACCAGCCGCTGCAAAATCATGCCAAAATGTAAAGACCATCAAGACTAGGAAGAAACTGCATCAACTAACGAGCAAAATAACCAGCTAACATCATAATGACAGGATCAAATTCACATATAACAATATTAACTTTAAATGTAAATGGACTAAATGCTCCAATTAAAAGACACAGACTGGCAAATTGGATAAAGAGTCAAGACCCATCAGTGTGCTGTATTCAGGAAACCCATCTCACGTGCAGAGACACACATAGGCTCAAAATAAAAGGATGGAGGAAGATCTACCAAGCAAATGGAAAACAAAAAAAGGCAGGGGTTGCAATCCTAGTCTCTGATAAAACAGACTTTAAACCAACAAAGATCAAAAGAGACAAAGAAGGCCATTACATATTGGTAAAGGGATCAATTCAACAAGAAGAGCTAACTATCCTAAATATATTGCACCCAATACAGGAGCACCCAGATTCATAAAGCAAGTCCTGAGTGACCTACAAAGAGACTTAGACTCCCACACAATAATAATGGGAGACTTTAACACCCCACTGTCAACATTAGACAGATCAACGAGACAGAAAGTCAACAAGCATACCCAGGAATTGAACTTAGCTCTGCACCAAGCGGACCTAATAGACATCTACAGAACTCTCCACCCCAAATCAACAGAATATACATATTTTCAGCACCACCCCACACCTATTCCAAAATTGACCACATAGTTGGAAGTAAAGCTCTCCTCAGCAAGTGTAAAAGAACAGAAATTATAACAAACTGTCTCTCAGACCACAGTGCAATCAAACTAGAACTCAGGATTAAGAAACTCACTCAAAACCACTCAACTACATGGAAACTGAACAGTCTGCTCCTGAATGACTACTGGGTACATAACGAAATGAAGGCAGAAATAAAGATGTTCTTTGAAACCAACGAGAACAAAGAGACAACATACCAGAATCTCTGGGACACATTCAAAGCAGTGTGTAGAGGGAAATTTATAGCACTAAATGGCCACAAGAGAAAGCAGGAAAGATCCAAAATTGACACCCTAACATCACAATTAAAAGAACTAGAAAAGCAAGAGCAAACAACATTCAAAAGCTAGCAGAAGGCAAGAAATAACTAAGATCAGAGCAGAACTGAAGGAAATAGAGACCAAAAAACCCTTCAAAAAATCAACGAATCCAGGAGCTGGTTTTTTGAAAGGATCAGCAAAATTGATAGACCGCTAGCAAGACTAATAAAGAAAAAAAGAGAGAAGAATCTAATAGACGCAATAAAAACTGATAAAGGGGATATCACCACCGATCCCACAGAAATACAAACTACCATCAGAGAATACTACAAACACCTCTACGCAAATAAACTAGAAAATCGAGAAGAAATGGATAAATTCCTCGACACATACACTCTCCCAAGACTAAACGAGGAAGAAGTCGAATCTCTGAATACACCAATAACAGGCTCAGAAATTGTAGCAATAATCAATAGCTTACCAACCAAAAAGAGTCCAGGACCAGATGGATTCACAGCCGAATTGTACCAGAGGTACAAGGAGGAACTGGTACCATTCCTTCTGAAACTATTCCACTGAATAAAAAAAGAGGGAATCCTCCCTAACTCATTTTATGAGGCCAGCATCATCCTGATACCAAAGTCGGGCAGAGACACAACCAAAAAAGAGAATTTTAGACCAATATCCTTGATGAACATTGATGCAAAAATCCTCAATAAAATACTGGCAAACTGAATCCAGCAAGCACATCAAAAAGCTTATCCACCATGATCAAGTGGGCTTCATCCCTGGGATGCAAGGCCGGTTCAATATACGCAAATCAATAAATGTAATCCAGCATATAAACAGAACCAAAGACAAAAACCACATGATTATCTCAATAGATGCAGAAAAGGCCTTTGACAAAATTCAACAACCCTTCATGCTAAAAACTCTCAATAAATTAGGTATTGATGGGATGTATCTCAAAATAATAAGAGCTATCTATGACAAACCCACAGCCAGTATCACACTGAATGGGCAAAAACTGGAAGCATTCCATTTGAAAACTGGCACAGGACAGGGATGCCCTCTCTCACCACTCCTATTCAACATAGTGTTGGAAGTTCTGGCCAGGGCAATTAGGCAGGAGAAGGAAATAAAGGGTATTCAATTAGGGAAAGAGGAAGTCAAATTGTACCTGTTTGCAGGTGACATGATTGTATATCTAGAAATCCCCATTATCTCAGCCCAAAATCTCCTTAAGCTGATAAGCAACTTCAGCAAAGTCTCAGGATACAAAATCAATGTACAAAAATCACAAGCATTCTTTTTTTTTTTTTTTTTTTTTTTTTTTGAGACGGAGTTTCGCTCTGTCGCCCAGGCTGGAGTGCAGTGGCGCGATCTCGACTCACTGCAAGCTCCGCCTCCCGGGTTCACGCCATTCTCCTGCCTCAGCCTCCTGTGTAGCTGGGACTACAGGCACGCGCCACCATGCCCGGCTAATTTTTGTATTTTTTTTAGTAGAGACGGGGTTTCACCGTGTTCTTATACACCAATAACAGACAAACAGAGAGCCAAATCATGAGTGAGCTCCCATTCACAATTGCTTCAAAGAGAATAAAATACGTAGGAATCCGACTTATAAGGGACGTGAAGGACCTCTTCAAGGAGAACTACAAACCATTGCTCAGTGAAATAAAAGAGGATACAAACAAGTGGAAGAACATTCCATGCTCATGGGTGGGAAGAATCAATATCGTGAAAATGGCCATACTGCCTAAGGTAATTTATAGATTCAATGCCATCCCCATCAAGCTACCAATGCCTTTCTTCACAGAATTGGAAAAAACTACTTTAAATTTCATATGGAACCAAAAAAGAGCCCACATCGCCAACTCAATCCTAAGCCAAAAGAACAAAGCTGGAGGCATCACGCTACCTGACTTCAAACTATACTACAAGGCTACAGTAACCAAAACAGCATGGTACTGGTACCAAAACAGAGAGATAGATGAATGGAACACAACAGAGCCCTCAGAAATAATGCCACATATCTACAACTATCTGATCTTTGACAAACCTGAGAAAAACAAGCAATGGGAAAAGGATTCCCTATTTAATAAGTGGTGCTGGGAAAACTGGCTAGCCATATGTAGAAAGCTGAAACTGGATCCCTTCCTTACACCTTATACAAAAATTAATTCAAGATGGATTAAAGACTTAAACGTTAGACCTAAAACCATAAAAACCCTAGAAGAAAACCTAGGCAATACCATTCAGGACATAGGCATAGGCGACGACTTCATGTCTAAAACACCAAAAGCAATGGCAACAAAAGCCAAAATTGACAGATGGGATCTAATTAAACTAAAGAGCTTCTGCACAGCAAAAGAAACTACCATCAGAGTGAACAGGCAACCTACAAAATGGGAGAAAATTTTCGCAACCTACTCTTCTGACAAAGGGCTAATATCCAGAATCTACAATGAACTCAAACAAATTTACAAGAAAAAAACAAACAACCCCATCAAAAAGTGGACAAAGAATATGAACAGACACTTCTCAAAAGAAGACATTTATGCAGCCAAAAGACACATGAAAAAATGCTCATCATCACTGGCCATCAGAGAAATGCAAATCAAAACCACAATGACATACCATCTCACACCAGTTAGAATGGCAATCATTAAAAAGTCAGGATACAACAGGTGCTGGAGAGGATGTGGAGAAATAGGAACACTTTTACACTGTTGGTGGGACTGTAAACTAGTTCAACCATTGTGGAAGTCAGTGTGGCGATTCCTCAGGGATCTAGAACTAGAAATACCATTTGACCCAGCAATCCCATTACTGGTATAATATATACCTAAAGGACTATAAATCATGCTGCTATAAAGACACATGCACACGTATGTTTATTGCGGCACTATTCACAATAGCAAAGACTTGGAACCAACCCAAATGTCCAACAATGATAGACTGGATTAAGAAAATGTGGCACATATACACCATGGAATACTATGCAGCCATAAAAAATGATGAGTTCATGTCCTTTGTAGGGACATGGATGAAATTGGAAATCATCATTCTCAGTAAACTATCGCAAGGACAAAAAACCAAACACCGCATGTTCTCACTCATAGATGGGAATTGAACAATGAGAACACATGGACACAGGAAGGGGAACATCACACTCTGGGGACTGTTGTGGGGTAGGGGGAGTGGGGAGGGATAGCATTAGGAGATATACCTAATGCTAAATGACGAGTCAATGGGTGCAGCACACCAGCATGGCACATGTATACATATGTAACTAACCTGCACATTGTGCGCATGTACCCTAAAACTTAAAGTATAATAATAAAAAAAAATTAAGAAAAAAATAGAAAAGAAAGTGTGGTGCATATACGCCATGGAATACTATGCAGCCTTAAAAAGTGATGACTTCATTTCCTTTGATTGGACATGGATGAAGCTGGAAACTGTCATTCTCAGCAAACTATCACAAGATCAGAAAACTAAACACTGCATGTTCTCACTCATAAGTCTGAGTTGAACAATGAAAACACATGGACACAGGGAGGGGAACATCACACACTGGGGCCTGTCAGGGGGTGGGAGGCTAGGGGAGGGATGACATTAGGAGAAATACCTAATTATATGTGATAGGTTGATGGGTGCAGCTAACCAGCAGGGCACGTGTATACCTATGTAACAAAACTGCACATTCTGCACATGTAACTTAGAACTTAAAGTATAATAATTTTAAAAAAAGCTCAACATCACTGATCATTAAAGAAATGCAAGTCAAAACCACAATGAGATACCATCTCACGCCAGTTCGAATGGTGATCATTGAAAAGTCAAGAAACAGCCGTTGCTGGTGAGGCTGTGGAGAAAAAGGAACACTTTTACACTGTTACTGGGAGAGTAAAATTAGTTCCTTCATTGTGTATGACAGTGTGGTGATTCCTCAAAGATCTAGAGGCAGAAATACCATTTGACCCAGCAATGCCATTACTGGGTATATACCCAAAGGAATGTAAATCGTTCTATTATAAAAATACATGCACGTGTATGTTCATTGCAGCACGGTTCACAATAGCAAAGACATGGAATCAACCCAAATGCCCATCAATGATAGACTGGATATAGAAAATGTGGTACATATACATGATAGAATACTATGTAGCCATAAAAAGGAACAAGATCATATCCTTTGCAGAGACATGGATGGAGCTGGAAGCCATTATCCTCAGCAAACTGACTCAGGAACAGAAAACCAAACACTGCATGTTTTCACTTACCAGTGGCAGCTGAACAATAGGAATACATGGACACATGGTCAGGGAACAACACACGCTGCGGCCTGTCATGGGGGGCGGGGGGAGGGAGAGCATCAGAAAGAATAGCTAATGGATGCTGGGGTTAATACCTAGATAATGAGTTGATATGTGCAGCAAACCACCATAGCACACATTTACCTATGTAACAAACTTGCACATCATGCACATGTGTCCCAGAAGTTAAAATAAAAGTTGAAGAATAAAAATTGCACATGTAACTAAAACCAAAAAATACTGTATGTAAGTGAAAGTTGATATCAAAATAACTATTAATAATTTTAATATATTATTTTTCTGTTTATACAGGATTTAATGGTTTTTAGAGCTATTTATAGATTATATTTTATATATTTATATTTGATATATAACATTAGGTCATATAACTTAATTAAGGCAAAGAAATTTTTGTAAAAATCTACTCAGATGGCAGAATAAACTTTGGCAACCCAAGGCTTTTTTTTCCTTTTATTTCTAAACCTGTATTTTTGGAATAATTTAAGACCATTTTGAAGTATGTAATTAACCCAGTTCAGATTAAACTGCCATTTTAATGAAATATAGTTTGAAGTCTCATATTGAATTTATTATTAGGTTCACATGGCCCCCTTTCATTTGCTGGTTTATGTTTATCTGTTTCTATAATAATCCCATCTCCTGGTATTAATATATTTAATATTACCTGTAATATAGTATAGGCATGAAAGATTTTTATTTTTATTTTTAAAGATTTTTATTTTAAAAAAGGAGTTGCTGATAAGAGAGCAGCTGAAATGGAATAGGATTATCCCTTCTGTTGACTGCTGACTTCCCAAAAAAAGGCCAGAATATCCTGTTGATGAAGCAAAGCTAAGTTTATTCCTTAATACAATAAAGGGCAAGCACAACCTTGATAGAGCCTTAGTAGACTCTGCAAGGGAGAGTTCAGGGGTAGATATTGCAAAACCTTGAGATGTTTAAGAGCTTTCAATGCAGTCGTCTGATTGAGACGACAGCGTTCATGATATAATAATGGTTGAAGGTTTGTAGCAACAGCAGGCTAAGGATCTTAACCAAGTCTTGTAAATACACAGTTGTTTGATAAATGAGTTGTTTGAGCAGTAGAGGGAGTACTGTGAAAGGGGACTGTTTGAGTACTCTATTGTTGGGGTAAATGGATTTTTGGGAAGTTCCTGAAGCCAACAGTGAAGTTATTTACTGATTTACTGCCTTATCTTTCTGGGCAAGAAACTTCTTGGCACAAGTAGTAGTCATGTGTATGTAGGCGGCCTTAGTTCATAGACCTATAGTTAATCTATGTGGATGCAGTGGTTTCACTTCTCATTTCTAAGAGAGCTAGAACATAAAGAGTTCTTGGTCTGTGAGATAAATTGTGGGAAAAATAAGGTATATTTGAGGCATCTGTGGTCTTTTTAGATATGCAGATTAAAATATATTGTCATTTTAGGACTCAGGTTTTAAAAGGAAAGAAAAACAAGGTGAATGTTCTTGTGTTCTTTTTACTTTAAAAATTATGCAATGTGTTTATTATGTTCTCAGTATTGTTTATAGGTTATAGTTATTAATTCCATCCATAAAATAAATTACTTTTACTCTGAAATCAGGCTGTTTAGGTTTGAATTCTGGCTCTGCCACTTACTAGCTATGGGATATTGGATTAATTACTTCATCTCTTTCTACCTTGTTTCCTTATTTCTAAAATGAGAATAATTCTATACATTTTTCATGGGGTAACTAAGGATTAAGTGCATTAGTGTATGGAAGGTGCTCTAGACAGTTCCCAGCACGTAGTTTAGTGCTGTATAAGTGTTACACATTGTTAGTATTATGATTACTACTCTATTACTACTACTACTGCTGCTGCCACTAATATCATTATCTTTTAATTTTTAAGCAAAGTTGAATGACTGTCTTGTAACAAAGTAATAGTTTTATAATGCTAACAAAAATCCAACATTTACATTCATCATCTACAGGGAGAAAAATGTAGTCATTGTTAAAGGAATAAAGTGCTTTAATTTTTTTCCCCAGTTAAAGCCTAGGTCTGATTTAAGTGCATGAAGTAGGTTTATTGCTTACATCTGGTTGATTCAGTAGCTATTTTTTGATTGCCTATTATGGTTGACACTGGGCAAGAGGAGGTAGCCAAATCTGGGAGAGTGGCTTTTATACTTGTAATGGAGAAACAATTTAGTCTTTTTATTGAGTAGTAGAACCCTGAAATTTTGTTAGAAATTTTCCTTATAACAGATTTATGCATTAAACAATTTTACTGCATTGTTTATAACAGTCCTTTTTGAAGTTTAGTTTCATCAGTAAAATGAGTTAAGATTGTTTTAAAGTTTTATCTGAGCATTTAAACCCAGTTATTCTATTATTCTGTGAAACTGTGTAGAAAATTCTTATAAAGGAAAATTTTGGCCAGGCATGGTGGCTCATGCCAGTAATCCCAGTACTCTAGGAGGCCGAGGTAGGAGGATTGCTTGAGGCCAGGGGTTTGAAATCAGCCAGGCCGGCATAGCAAGACCCTGTCTATATTAAAAAGAGAGAGAGATAGAGAAAAATAAATAAATTGGAAATTGTATTCTATACCTTGATGTTGTGTTTTGGTTGTAAAAAATAATTCTATTTTCATGGAGAATGTTTCAAAGAAAGTTTAGATATTTTGTGGTTGTCTGCATTTAATTTACTAGGAAGCAAATTATTTATTAGAATATTGACCAATTTGTAAATTTAGCATCAGAATTGGCTCTGGTATAAGAATTAAAATGAGACTGGTAGGCGCTAGGTCTTATTTATCATGTCCTCACTTTTAGAAATTGGGTTATTCTTACTCAGAGCCTCTTTCAGAGTTTTACTATCCACTGTAATGGTAGCTTTGGTGCTGTGTAAGCCAAGAGCCCTGGTAGATGCATGCAACCTCCTAAATTTGGGCCGATTGAATCAGTTAAGTGCTCAGCTTTTTCATATTTGATTTCCTTCATGCAGTTCATCCACTAGGATACTGTGAAAGAGGCATGACATTTTTTGGTATAAAGAGAGCTAAACATCGTATATTTAACTCAGTTTTAACAAAAATTCCAGAAGTGGTCCCAGTTTTGCTTAGAATGTCACCATTTTGGAGTTTTGTGAATGTGTTCTGTTCTATCTGAAAAAGTAAACAGTTGGATGGAATTTTATCAATTGCACCAAGTACACTGAACTACATGTTAGGACCCTGACTTTGAATGCACAGAGCTTAGCATACATTTTTGAAACATAAAATTATAGACAGTGAAAATATCCTAAGGATCTGTAAGTTTTAGGGACTTTAAATAAAACTGGTGATTTATTGATTTAGAAGGAATCTCAAGAGTTCTGTTAGTCCCTACAAAAGAATCCTAATTTTGAGGAAGGATTGCATTTAATGGCCCTGAAGAGGTAAGTATGTATTAAGCTTAAGAAAAATCATTTACAAATAGTGAAATTTAGATATTATTGCTGTATAACAAACTATCCTAAAATATTTTTTAAATTTAATTTAACTCTTAAAAATATTTTAACTTCTATTTTAGGTTCAGGGGTACATGTGCAGTTTTGTTATGTAGGCAAACTCTTGACTCGGGGTTTAGTTAACAGATTATTTCGTCACCCCATTACCAAGCACAGTACTCTGTAGGTATTTTTTTTCTTCCAAACCTATCCCTTCTCCAATCCTCCACCCTTAAGAAGGCTCCAGTGTCTGTTTTTCAACTTCTGTCCATGTCTTTTCATTATTTAGCTTCCACTTGTAAGTGAGAACATGTGGTATTTGGTTTTCTGTTCCTTCATTAGTTTGCTAAGGATAATGGCCTCCAGTTCCATTCGTGTTCCTATAAAGGACATGATCTCATTTTTTTTGTTAATGGCTGCAGAGTATTCCATGGTGTATATGTACCATGTTTTCTTTATCCAGTCTACCAGTGATGGGCATTTAGGTTACTTTTATGTCTTTACTATTGTGAATAGTGCTTCAGTGAACATTTGCATGCGTGTTTATGGTAGAATGATTTATATTCCTCTGGGTATGTACCCAGTAATGGGATTGCTGTGTCAAATGGTATTTATGGCTTTAGGCCTTTGAGGAATCGCCACACTGTCTTCCACAATAGCTGAACTAATTTACACTTCCCCCAACAGGTATATAAGTGTTCCTTTTTCTCCACCACCTAACCAGCATCTGTTATTTTTTGACTTTTTAGTAATAGCCATTCTGACTGGTGTGAGATGGTATCTCACTGTGGTTTTGATTTGCATTTCTCTAATGATCAGTGATATTGAGCTTTTTTTCATGGTTGTTGGCTGCATGTGTGTCTTCTTTTGAAAATTGTCTGTTCATGTCCTTCACCCACTGTGTTATGGGGTTGTTTTTATTTTTTTCCTGTAAATTTGTTTAAGTTCCTCATAGATTCTGGATGTTAGACCTCTGTCAGACGTATAGTTAGCAAATATTTTCTCTCATTCTGTAGGTTGTCTGTTTACTCTGTTCATAGTTTCTTTTGCTATGCAAAAGCTCTTTAGCTTATTTTTGATTTATCAATTTTTGCTTTTGTTGCAATTGCTTTTGGCATTTTTGTCATGAAATCTTTGCCAGTTCCTATGTACAAAATGATATTTCCTAGGTTATCCTTTAGGGTTTTTATTTAGGTTTTAGGTTTTATTTAGGTTTTAGGTTTTACATTTAGGTCTTTCATCCATCTTGAGTTGATTTTTGTATATGGTGTAAGGAAGGGGTCCAGTTTTAGTCTTCTGTATATAGCTAGCCCGTTATCCCAGAATCATTTATTGAATAGGGAGTCCTTTCCCCATTGCTTGTTTTTGTCAGCTTTGTCAAAGATCAGATGGTTGTAGGTGTGTGGGTTTATATCTGGGCTCTCTATCCTGCTCCATTGGTCTGTGTGTCTGTTTTTATACCAGTACCATGTTGTTTTTGGTTACTGTAGCCTTGTACTACAGTGTGAAGTTGGACAATATGATTCCTCCAGCTTTGATCTTTTTGCTTAGGGTTCCCTTGGCAATTCAGGCTCTTTTTTGGTTCAATATGAACATTAAAATAGTTTTTTTCCAGTTTGTGAAGAATGTCACTGGTACATGGAAAGGAATAGCATTGAATCTGTAAATTGCTTTAGGCAGTATGACCATTTTAATGATATTGATTCTTCCCATCTAAGAGCATGGAATGTTCTTACATTTGTTTGTGTTATCTCTGATTTCTTTGAGCAGTGTTTTGTAATTTTCATTATAGAGATCTTTAACTTCCTTGGTTAGCTGTATTCCTAGATATTTTACTCTTTTTGTGGCAATTGTAAATGGGATTGTATTCCTGATTTGGCTCTCAGCTTGGGCGCTGTGTAAGAATGCTACTGATTTTTATAAATTGTTTTTGTTTGTTCGTTTGTTTTTTGAGACACAGTTTCACTTTGTCACCCAGGCTGGAGTGCAGTGGCATGATCTCGGCTCACGGCAACCTCCACCTCCCAGGTTCAAGCGATTCTTGTGCCTCAGCCTCCCAAGTAGCTGGGATTACAGGCACGCACCACCATGCTCAGCTAATTTTTATATTATTAATAGAGACAGAGTTTCACTATGTTGGCCAGGCTGGTCTCGAACTCCTGACCTCAAGTGATCCACCTGTCTCGGCCTCCCAAAGTCCTGGGATTACAGGTGTGAGCCACTGCACCTGGCCCTGATTTTTATAAATTGATTTTGTATCCTGAAACTTCGCTGAAGTTGCTTGTCATCTCAAGAAGCTTTTGGGCAGAGACTAATGAGGTTTTTTAGATATAGAATCATGTCATCTTCAAACAGGGATAGGTTGACTTCCTTTCTCTCTATTTGGATGCCTTTTATATCTTTCTCTTGCCTGATTGCTCTGGCCAGGACTTCGAATACTATGTTCAATAGATTTGGTGATAGAGGGCATCCTTGTCTTGTTTTGGTTTTCAAGGAGAATGCTTTCAGCTTTTGCTCATTCAGCATGATGTTGACTGTGGGTTTGTCATTGATGACTATTATTATTTTGAAGTATGTTCCTCAATGCCTAGTTTATTTGAGGGTTTTTAACATGAGGGGATGCTGAATTTTATCAAAGGCTTTTTCTGCATCTGTGGTTCCTGTCTTTAGTTCTGTTTATGTGATGAGTCACATTTATTGATTTGTGTATGTTGAACTAACCTTGTATCCCAAGGATAAAGCCTACTTGATCATGGTGGATTCACTTTTTGATGTGCTGCTGGATTTGGCTTGCGAGTATTTTGTTGAAAATTTTTATATAGATGTACATCAAGGACATTGGCCTGAAGTTTTCTTTTTTTGTTGTGTCTCTGTCATATTTTGGTATCAGGATGATGATGGCCTCATAGAATGAGTTGAGGAGGATTCCCTCCTCCTCAATTTTTTGGAATAGCTTCTGTAGGAATGATCCTAGCTCTTCTTTGTACATCTGGTAGAATATGGCTATGAATCCGTCTGGTCCTGGGCCTTTTGTTTGATTGGTAGGCTTTTACTGATTCAGTTTCAGAGGTCACTATTGGTCTGCTTGAGGATTCAATTTCTTCTTGGTTCAGTGTTGGGAGGATGTACATGTCCAGGAATTACTCATTTATTTTAGATTTTCTAGCTTATGTGCATAACGGTGTTCATAGTAGTCTCTGATGGTTCTTTGTATTTCTGTGGGGTCAGTGGTAATGTCTCCTTTGTCATTTCTGATTGTGTTTATTTGTATCTTTTTTCTTTATTTGTCTAGCTGTCAATTTATCTTACTTTAAAAAAAAAAACAACTCCTGGATTCATTAACCTTTTGTATGATTTTTTGTCTCTATCTCCTCCATTTTAGCTCTTGATTTTGGTTATTTCTTGTCTTCTGCTAGCTTTGGGGTTGGTTTGTTCTTGGTTCTCAAGTTCTACTAGTTGTGATGTTTGATTGTTAACTTGAGATCTTTCCAACTTTTTGATGTGGGTGTTTAGTGCTATAATTTCCCTCTTAACACTGCCTTAGCTGTGTCCCAGAAATACTGATTTGTTGTGTCTTTGTTCTCATTCATTTCAAAGAACTTCTTGATTTCTGCCTTAATTTCATTATTTACCTAAGAGTCATTCAGGAGCAGGTTGTTTAATTTCCATGCAATTGTATGGCTTTGAGCAATTTTCATGGCCTTGATTTCTGTTTTAATTGCACAGAAGAGTATGGTTGGTTATGATTTCAGTTTTCTTGAGTTTGCTGAGGGTTGTCTTATGTCTGATTCCGTGGTTGATTTTAGAGTATGTATCATGTGGTGATATGGTTTGGCGTGTCCCCAACCAAATCTCATCTTGAATTGTGGTTCCTATAATTCTGACATGTCATGGGAGGGACCTGGTAGGAGATATTTGAATCTTGGTAGCAGTTACCCCCACACTGCTGTTCTCATGATAATTAGTGAGTTCTCACGAGATCTGATGGTTTTATAAGGGGCTTTTCCCTCTTTTACTCTGCACTTCTCTTTGTTGCCGCCATGTGAAGGACATGTTTGCTTCCCCTTCTGCCATGATTGTAAGTTTCCTGAGGCCTCCCTAGCCATGCTGAACTGTGAGTCAATTAAACTTCTTTCCTTTATAAATTACCCGGTCTCAGATATGTCTTTATTAGCAGCATGAGTACGGACTAATACATGTGATAATGAAAAGAATATATATTCTGTCTTCTTAGGGTGATGAGTTCTGTAGATGTCTATTAGATCCATTTGGTCAAGAGTTTAGTTCAGATCCTGATACTATTAATTTTCTGCCTCAATGATCTATTACTGTCAGTAGGGTGTTGATGTCTCCCACTATTATTGTGTATGAATCTAAGTCTCTTCATAGGTCTCTAAGAACTTGTTTTTTGAATCTGGGTGCACCTGTATTGGGTGCCTATAGATTTAGGATAGTTGAATCCTAAATTTTTAGGATTTAAGAATTGTTGAATTGGACCCTTTACCATTATGTAATGTCATTCTCTGGCTTTTAAAAATCTATTTGGCTTAAAGATTGTTTGGTCTGAAATTAGGCTTGCAACTCCTGCTTTTTTCTGTTTTCCGTTTGTTTGGTAGATTTGTCTCTATTTCTGTTTTGAGCCTGTGGGTGCCATTGCATGTGAGATGGGTTACCTGAAGACAGCATACCATGTATCTTGCATCTTTATCCAACTTGCTACTCTGTGCCTTTTAATTGGGGCATTTAGCCCATTTATATTCAAGGTTAGTATTGATATGTGTGAATTTGATCCTGTCATTATGTTCTTAGCTGGTAATTATGCAGACTTCTTTGTGTGGTTGCTTCATAGTATCACTTGTCTGTGTACTTAAGTGTGTTTTGTAGTGGCTGGTAATGGTCTTCCCTTTCCATATCTAGTGCTTCTCTCAGGAGCTCTTATAAGGCAGGTCTAGCATTAATGAATTCCCTCAGCATTTTCTTGTCTGAAAGGATCTTATTTTTCCTTTGCTTTTGAAGCTTAGTTTGACTGGATATGAAATTTTTGGTTGGAATTCCTTTTCTTAAAGAATGTTGCATATAGGCCCTCAGTCTCTTCTGGCTTGTAGGGTTTCTGCTGATAGGTACACTATTATTCTGATGGGCTTCTCTTTTTAGGTGACCTGTCCTTTCTCTCTAGCTGCTTTTAACATTTTTTCTTTCATTTTGAACTTGGAAAATTTGATGATTATGTGTCTTGGGGGTGATCTTGAAGTATCTTGTGGTGGTTCTCCACATTTCCTGAATTTGAGTGTTGGACTCTCTAGCTAGGTTGAGGAAATTCTCATGGATGATATCCTGAAATATGTTTTTCAACTTGTTTTCTTTCTTCCCATTTCTTTCAGGTATGCCAGAGAGTCATAGATTTGGTCTTTTACATAATTCCATATTTCTCAGAGGTTTTATTCATTCCTTTTTGTTCTGTTTTCTTCCTGTCTGACTGTATTATTTCAGAAAGCCAGTCTTCAATCTCTGAGATTCTTTTCTCCACTTGTTCTATTCTGCTGTTAATATTTGTGGTTGCATTATGAAATTCTTGTAGTGTGTTTTTCAGCTCTATCAGATTGGTTGTATTATTTTCTATATGAGCTATTTTGACTTTCATCTCCTGTATTGTTTTATTGTGATTCTTAGCTTCCTTGGATTGGGTTTCAACATTCTTCTGAATCTTGATGATCTTCATTCCTATCCACATTCTGAATTCTGTTTCTGTCATTTCAGCCATCTCAACCCAGTTAATAACCCTTAACTGGAGAACTAGTGTGGTTGTTTGGAAGAAAGAAGGCACTTCAGCTTTTTCCATTGTAAGAGTTCTTGTACTGGTTCTTTCTCATTTGTGTGGGCTGATATTCCTCCAGTTTTTGAAGTTGATGTCTTCTGGATGGATTGTTTTGCTTTTTTTTTATTTGATGCCCTTGGGGGTTTGATTGTGGTATAAGGTGGGTTTGGTTGTCTGGCTTCAATTCTAGTCTGCTCCTGGGTCTTGCAGGAGGCCCCAGTTATTACTGCCTTTGTGTCTGCATTTCTTTTGTTGGTTATTCTGGTCCAAGGGGCTCCCTCAGACTGGGGCTGCAGTTGAGTGACAAGCCCTATCCTAGCCAAGTTGCCCTAATCTACTATCTGTGTGCTTCCTGGGGGGACATGGGAGTTGCCTCTGCAAAACATCTGAGTGGCTCACTGCCTCAATCTAGAAGTATGTTGGGGAATTGTGGGGAAGCCAGGTTGATTCTCTCCTTCTCAGTCTTGCATGGGTCCATGTGGTAAGGGTGAGTCCCCCTGGGGGCTGTCACTCACTCACCCTTTCCCGTGTTGAAGAGGTTTTCCTGGCTCTGCACTGAGCCCCGACAGACTGGTGCCCAGCTTTGCCCCTCTTTGTTCTCTGTGTTCCCCTGCTGCCTTGATGTATCTCATCATGGTTTCTCAGATGATCAGCCTGCAGAACCCGTGTTCACTAGCACTTTTGTTTTCTCCCCCTGGGAGTGGCACACATGAACTACTTCCAGTCTACCATCTTAGCCCTGCCCCCAGATATCCAAAAACTTAGTTTCTTAAAAACAATGATTTATCTCATCATTAAGAAATAGAGGCTAAAAAGAAAAAGGGAAAAATGATGTATTATTTTTCACAATTCTGTGGGTTATCAATTGATGATTCTTCTGTGCTATGCCTTGCTTGAGTTATTCATGTGGCTTCATTCATCTGGGAGCTGTACTGGAGCTGGAGTGTACAAGACTGAATCTCATTCTCAAAAGACTCTTTCCATGTGGCCTCTCATCATTCAGTAGTATAGCCTGAGCTTCTTTACCGGATGGTTTCTGGCTTCTAAGAGTAACATTCCAAGATAATCCTCAATGGAAATTGCTCATCATGTCTCTGTTTGCATCACAGCTAAGGAAAGTCACATGGCCAGGTCCAGAGTCAGTATAGGAGGAGACTCTACAAGCACATGAATACCAGGAATTATGGTTCACTGGACCACCAATGTATCATTCTACCTCAAGTGGTATAAGGCATCTTAAGTCCTTCATGTGGTTGGGACGTGAGACTAGAACCTGAACCAGTAGTATTGTGACACTAAGATGCTAGATAGTGCTTCTCAAACTTTAGTGTGCAACAGAACCACTTGGGGAGACTGTTTAAAATTATTATTCATGGACCCTAATTTTAGAATCTTTTTTCAGTATATCTGGAGTAGAGCCCAAGAATATGCATTTTTAAAAGAATCCCTGGGTTTTCCTGATAAACACCCAGTACAAGAGCCACTTATGAGAAATTCTGGGCAGGGACCATCTTGCATTTCCTTTAGTAATCTGCCATCATCAGAGTCAAGCCTTATAAAAGTTGATACATGATTGAAGATTCCTAGTTTGTTCACTATGGCAGGTCAATAGCAACCAAGGAGATGGTTAGGGAAGAGTCACCTTTTGATTTTCAGCTGTTCTTATAACTCAGATCCCTGTGCTGGATTTTAGGTTGGTGAGAATTTTTTGGAGTAATGGAAAATGTGAGTAGTTGGGACACTCTGCTTTACACAAGTAGCTTCTCTAATGCACGTTTACTTCTTTATAGCAGTTGTTTAATGAAAATAACGGTAAATCTTGATCTGTTGCTAGACAGTGCTTAGATTGATCTTTCTCTAGTGAGATTGGAATGAAACCCAGTTTCATGGAAAGAAATAGCACTGGCAAAAATGTAACATGGGGTTTTCTCAAAAGTCATAGCACAGTTTTAAGCTTTAATAACTTCAGAACTATAAATACCACAAACAATAAATATCACTTATAAGCTTAATTATCTAAGTTTCTTTATACCTTTTCAGTTTTTTATTTTGAATAATATTTAATTTCAGTGTTTTGTTTCAGTAAACATTTATAAAAGAAATTTAGATAATTCCTGTTTTTCACTTTTTTTTTTCTATTTTAAGATTCAGAGTCACGGTGATTCAGGGAATGATGTTATTGAGGCAACCTGACACACATGCCTTTGGAATATTCATTTGTTGACCCAGTAGGTTCTATGTATGCACAGATACTTCTAGGAAGAACAACATTAATGTAAGCTTTATGCAGAATTTTGATGACAGTGCCACTCCTCTTGCCTGTTTTTCATTCACTTGTCTGTTAGAGGACCATGCCATTTTAGAACTCATGGTAACTAATGCTGAGCATAGCTACACATGATTTAGACCTGAGGAAAACATATCTTAAAAAAGAGTTTGTAGCAAAGATAGAATGTGCCCACTCCTCTGCTTTGGAGGATCCTCTAGTACTGGTTTTCTATGTATCCTCCTAACCCTTTCCTCTGCAGATTAAACATCTGCGTAATTGCACAATGACAAAAGGAAGACAAGAGTTTCCTCCTACCATGCTGTGGTTCTGCTTTTCAGGCTTTTTTTTTTTTCTTCTACCCAAGAGCTGGGCTAATCTTTATGAATCTGTGATCCAGGATTCAGAACACATGATGTTACTTTATCAAGATATGTTTTAAAACATGAAAACCCAAAGTAGCATGATCTCATTTTATAAGACTTGAAAAAATGATTCAAGTTACATGGCAGATTATAAATGCTGACATTCTGGCAAGATAATTATAATTGATTCTTAGGAGGAAGAAAGAGGGACGATTTCTAAAGAAAAGGTAGTATCTTTCAGAAAAGTCTATGAAAAGCTTGGGTTTCCAAATAATAAGTTAAAACATGGGAGGAGTTGACATGAAAAATATTGAAGGGACATGGTCAGTGTAATTGATTTTTGAATGGATTAATAAATGGTACCCTTCTTTGCTTTTCTATATATTCACACATCTTACTTACTCTAGAAAACCTATGGTTCAAAGTTCTAACTTATTTTAGTTATTAGTTCTTTTCTAACCTATCACCAACTTACATCTACTATGTCTCTTTTAACACTTAGCATACGTACTGTGACTTCTATGTGTGCAAAATAGGAAGTGAGTTACTCATCCCAGTTATTTCACCAGAGCAGTTTCATGGTGGTTATTGAAGAACAGCCTTGTTATCAAAGGGAGGGTAGTCTTCTAGGATAATATTAAGGATTTCAATTTAAGCAGATTGGAAGGAACTAAAGTGACTCTAGTGTGCTTAAAAATGACTCTTGAAATTGTGGTTACAGGTCTGTGCCACAGACTTTCTTCTCCGTTTTTAAAAGTTATTCTTCAGAATATCCTGAATTTGAGGTCAGAAAATCTTTAAGCCAAATCTTATTTAAGTATTGGGCTGAATCAGAATATGAAGTTTCATATATGAAATGAAAGTTTAATAAATGAAACAAGGTTTGGCTTTGCATCATAGATTTTTATTTAATCTGTTAATGTGATTCAAAACATGCACCTCAAATTATTTGATACAGAGGTGGGAAATGCTAAGTTTTACTCAGGAATTCATCTTAGTAGAAAAATTTAGAAATACAGACAAATGTCTATTTTAAAAATCACTTACTCCTACCATCCAGAGATTCTAACTGTTTACATTGTTGCATTTTCTTCCTTCCCTTTCAAATAGAAGGAAACACAACAAAATGAATGAATTTCATAGTAATGAACTTGAGCAAAATAAGAAAGACATGAAGCATATATGCTGTATTACTCTAATCACAAAAAGTTCAAATATAGGCAAAAATCAACCACATATTTCAAGAATTCATATGTAGGTGGTAAACTATAAAGAAAAGTTTATTCCAAAGTCAGGTAGGTGTCTCCCCTAAGAGAAGAAAGGGTCATGATTGGGAGGCATATATAGAGGGCTTCGAGGGTGGGCTTTTGATGTGGGTGATGATAACTGTAGATGTTCACTTTAAAATTATTTAATCTGAGCATATCTGTTATATATTTTACCATAAAAGTATATTTTATATTTTACAATGTAAAATGTATTCAATATTTTACAATTTAAAATATAAAAATTTTCAGCTATATCACCTTTTCCATGGCCAAAGGAGTAGTTGTGATGCTTTGTTGTTCTCAGAGACCTTACTCGCAGTAATGGTTCTGAAACGTTAGTGTGCATCAGGATCACTTGGATTAAATATAGATTCCTGGGCCCTGACTCCAAAGTATCTGATTTGGAATATCTGGTTTAGAGCCCAAGAATCTGCATTTGTAATAAGTTCCCAGGTCATGCTAAAGATATTTTTGCATGGACCACACTTTGAGAATCACCAGATAGCAAAGCTGTACCTATCTATAGAACCATGCTGGGGAATAACAGAAGAAAATGGAGGCCCATATTCAGTGTATATAGTATATGCTTACAACAGAAAAGGAGCAAGAATTATATACCTTGTGATCCGTGTTGTGGTATTAGTCTATTTTTAAGTCTATCTATGAATGGCAATATAAGCCTTGCCAGTGCTGAGGGAATCAGAGCCATTTAAAACAAACAAAAGAAACAGTGTTCTTATAATAAGATGTCTAAATTTGTGAATTTCCTTAACTGTGACTTTGGAAAGTTAGAATAAGTAAAAATCAACGTACCTGTTTATTAAAAAAAATGTTGTGCAAAGGCTAACTTTGAGAATGAGAAGATATATGTGTGTGTGTATGTGTGTGTGTGTGTGTGTATATATATATATATATATATATATATATATGTTTTATTTTATTTTATTTTATTTTTTTTGAGACAAGGTCTTACTCTGTCATCCAGGCTGAGTGCAGTGACCTGATCATAGCTCACTGGAACCTCAACCACAACCTCCTGCAGTCAAGTGATCCTTCCACCTCAGCCTCCCAAGCAGAGCAGCTGGCACTACAGACACGTGCCACAACACCTAGCTAATTTCTTATTTTTTGTAGAGACAGGGTCTCACTATGGTTCCCAGGCTGGCCACAAACTCCTGGACTCAAGGAGTCCTCCTGACTTGGCCCCTCAAAGTGTTGGAATTATAGGTATGAGCCACTGTGCCAGGCCTATGTCTTTTTAAAATAGAAACAAACACTCAAACTAATTATAGGTAAGGAACAACATTTATTTACTTTGTGTTGTTCATGTTAAAGTTAATGGATCCATGGTCTTGAATTATCATTTCAGTCTTCTTTCATTGTGTTTGCTTGAAAAACTAAGAGATTTCCTCAGCAGAAACCTTTTAAGCCAGAAGGGATTGGAGTTTTATCTTTAGCCTTCTTAAAGAGAATAACTGTCAGTCAAGAATTTTGTATCCAGAACAAAACTAAGTTTTGTAAATGAAGGAGAATTAAAGTCATTTTCAGACAAACAAATGCTGAGAGAATTTGTTACTACTAGACCAGCTCTATTGAAAATGCTAAAAGGAGTTTTAAACTTTAAAAGAAAAAGGCAATTATGAACCAGAATAGAACCTCTTGAAAGCATAAAACTAATGGGGCCTATAAAACAATAACAATAAAGAAACCAGAGGGGGAGGAGCCAAGATGGCCGAATAGGAACAGCTCCGGTCTACAGCTCCCAGCGTGAGCGACGCAGAAGACGGGTGATTTCTGCATTTACATCTGAGGTACTGGGTTCATCTCACTAGGGAGTGCCAGACAGTGGGCGCAGGTCAGTGGGTGCGCGTACCGTTCGCAAGCCGAAGCAGGGCGAGGCATTGCCTCACTTGGGAAGCGCAAGGGGTCAGGGAGTTCCCTTTCTGAGTCAAAGAAAGGGATGCCGGACAGCACCTGGAAAATCGGGTCACTCCCAACCAAATACTGCGCTTTTCTGACAGGCTTAAAAAATGGCGCACCACGAGATTATATCCCGCACCTGGCTTGGAGGGTCCTATGCCCACGGAGTCTCGCCGATTGCCAGCACAGCAGTCTGAGATCAAACTGCAAGGTGGCAGCGAGGCTGGGGGAGGGGCGCCCGCCATTGCTCAGGCTTGATTAGGTAAACAAAGCAGCCAGGAAGCTCCACCTGGGCGGAGCCCACCACAGCTCAAGGAGGCCTGCCTGCCTCTGTAGGCTCCACCTCTGGGGGCAGGGCACAGACAAACAAAAAGACAGCAGTAACCTCTGCAGACTTAAATGTCGCTGTCTGACAGCTTTGAAGAGAGCAGTGGTTCTCCCAGCATGCAGCTGGAGATCTGAGAATGGGCAGACTGCCTCCTCAAGTGGGTCCCTGACCCCTGACCCCCAAGCAGCCTAACTGGGAGGCACCCCCCAGCAAGAGCACACTGACACCTCACACGGCAGGGTATTCCAACAGACCTGCAGCTGAGGGTCCTGTCTGTTAGAAGGAAAACTAACAAACAGAAAGGACATCCACACCAAAAACCCATCTGTACATCACCATCATCAAAGACCAAAAGTAGATAAAACCACAAAGATGGGGAAAAAACAGAACAGAAAAACTGGAAACTCTAAAAAGCAGAGCGCCTCTCCTCCTCCAAAGGAACGCAGTTCCTCACCGGCAACGGAACAAAGCTGGATGGAGAATGACTTTGACGAGCTGAGAGAAGAAGGCTTCAGACGATCAAATTACTCTGAGCTACTGGAGGGCATTCAAACCAAAGGCAAAGAAGTTGAAAACTTTGAAAAAGATTTAGAAGAATGTATAACTAGAATAACCAATACAGAGAAGTGCTTAAAGGAGCTGATGGAGCTGAAAACCAAGGCTCGAGAACTACGTGAAGAACGCAGAAGCCTCAGGAGTCGATGCGATCAACTGGAAGAAAGGGTTTCAGTGATGGAAGATGAAATGAATGAAATGAAGCGAGAAGGAAAGTTTAGAGAAAAAAGAATACAAAGAAATGAGTAAAGCCTCCAAGAAATATGGGACTATGTGAAAAGACCAAATCTACGTCTGATTGGTGTACCTGAAAGTGATGGGGAGAATGGAACCAAGTTGGAAAACACTCTGTAGGATATTATCCAGGAGAACTTCCCCAATCTAGCAAGGCAGGCCAACATTCAGATTCAGGAAATACAGAGAATGCCACAAAGATACTCCTCGAGAAGAGCAACTCCAAGACACATAATGGTCAGATTCACCAAAGTTGAAATGAAGGTAAAAATGTTAAGGGCAGCCAGAGAGAAAGGTCGGGTTACCCTCAAAGGAAAGCCCATCAGACTAACAGTGGATCTCTCGGCAGAAACCCTACAAGCCAGAAGAGAGTGGGGGCCAATATTCACCATTCTTAAAGAAAAGAATTTTCAACCCAGAATTTCATATCCAGCCAAACTAAGCTTCATAAGCGAAGGAGAAATAAAATACTTTACAGACAAGCAAATGCTGAGAGATTTTGTCACCACCAGGCCTGCCCTAAAAGAGCTCCTGAAGGAAGCGCTAAACATGGAAAGGAGCAACCGGTACCAGCCGCTGCAAAATCATGCCAAAATGTAAAGACCATCAAGACTAGGAAGAAACTGCATCAACTAACGAGCAAAATAACCAGCTAACATCATAATGACAGGATCAAATTCACACATAACAATATTAACTTTAAATGTAAATGGACTAAATTCTGCAATTAAAAGACACAGACTGGCAAATTGGATAAAGAGTCAAGACCCATCAGTGTGCTGTATTCAGGAAACCCATCTCACGTGCAGAGACACACATAGGCTCAAAATAAAAGGATGGAGGAAGATCTACCAAGCAAATGGAAAACAAAAAAAGGCAGGGGTTGCAATCCTAGTCTCTGATAAAACAGACTTTAAACCAACAAAGATCAAAAGAGACAAAGAAGGCCATTACATAATGGTAAAGGGATCAATTCAACAAGAAGAGCTAACTATCCTAAATATATTGCACCCAATACAGGAGCACCCAGATTCATAAAGCAAGTCCTGAGTGACCTACAAAGAGACTTAGACTCCCACACAATAATAATGGGAGACTTTAACACCCCACTGTCAACATTAGACAGATCAACGAGACAGAAAGTCAACAAGGATACCCAGGAATTGAACTTAGCTCTGCACCAAGCGGACCTAATAGACATCTACAGAACTCTCCACCCCAAATCAACAGAATATACATTTTTTTCAGCACCACACCACACCTATTCCAAAATTGACCGCATAGTTGGAAGTAAAGCTCTCCTCAGCAAATGTAAAAGAACAGAAATTATAACAAACTATCTCTCACACCACAGTGCAATCAAACTAGAACTCAGGATTAAGAATCTCACTCAAAACCGCTCAACTACATGGAAACTGAACAACCTGCTCCTGAATGACTACTGGGTACATAGCGAAATGAAGGCAGAAATAAAGATGTTCTTTGAAACCAACGAGAACAAAGACACAACATACCAGAATCTCTGGGACACATTCGAAGCAGTGTGTAGAGGGAAATTTATAGCACTAAATGGCCACAAGAGAAAGCAGGAAAGATCCAAAATTGACACCCTAACATCACAATTAAAAGAACTAGAAAAGCAAGAGCAAACACATTCAAAAGCTAGCAGAAGGCAAGAAATAACTAAAATCAGAGCAGAACTGAAGGAAATAGAGATACAAAAAACCCTTCAAAAAATTAATGAATCCAGGAGCTGGTTTTTTGAAAGGATCAACAAAATTGATAGACCACTAGCAAGACTAATAAAGAAAAAAAGAGAGAAGAATCTAATAGACGCAATAAAAACTGATAAAGGGGATATCACCACCAATCCCACAGAAATACAAACTACCATCAGAGAATACTACAAACACCTCTACGCAAATAAACTAGAAAATCGAGAAGAAATGGATAAATTCCTCGACACATACACTCTCCCAAGACTAAACCAGGAAGAAGTTGAATCTCTGAATAGAACAATAACAGGATCTGAAATTGTGGCAAGAATCAATAGCTTACCAACCAAAAAGAGTCCAGGACCAGATGGATTCACAGCTGAATTCTACCAGAGGTACAAGGAGGAACTGGTACCATTCCTTCTGAAACTATTCCAATCAATAGAAAAAGAGGGAATCCTCCCTAACTCATTTTATGAGGCCAGCATCATTCTGATACCAAAGCCAGGCAGAGACACAACCAAAAAAGAGAATTTTAGACCAATATCGTTGATGAACATTGATGCAAAAATCCTCAATAAAATACTGGCAAAAGGAATCCAGCAGCACATCAAAAAGCTTATCCACCATGATCAAGTGGGCTTCATCCCTGGGATGCAAGGCTGGTTCAATATACACAAATCAATAAATGTAATCCAGCATATAAACAGAGCCAAAGACAAAAACCACATGATTATCTCAATAGATGCAGAAAAAGCCTTTGACAAAATTCAACAACCCTTTATGCTAAAAACTCTCAATAAATTAGGTATTGATGGGACGTATTTCAAAATAATAAGAGCTATCTATGACAAACCCACAGCCAGTATCATACTGAATGGGCAAAAACTAGAAGCATTCCGTTTGAAAACTGGCACAAGACAGGGATGCCCTCTCTCACCACTCCTATTCAACATAGTGTTTGAAATTCTGGCCCGGGCAATTAGGCAGGAGAAGGAAATAAAGGGTATTCAATTAGGAAAAGAGGAAGTCAAATTGTCCCTGTTTGCAGGCGACATGATTGTATATCTAGAAAACCCCATTGTCTCAGCCCAAAATCTCCTTAAGCTGATAAGCAACTTCAGCAAAGTCTCAGGATACAAAATCAATGTGCAAAAATCACAAGCATTCTTATACACCAATAACAGACAAACAGAGAGCCAAATCATGAGTGAACTCCCATTCACAATTGCTTCAAAGAGAATAAAATACCTAGGAATCCAACTTACAAGGGATGTGAAGGACCTCTTCAAGGAGAACTACAAACCACTGCTCAAGGAAATAAAAGAGGATACAAACAAATGGAAGAACATTCCATGCTCATGGGTAGGAAGAATCAATATCGTGAAAATGGCCATACTGCCCAAGGTAATTTATAGAATCAATGCCATCCCCATCAAGCTACCAATGCCTTTCTTCACAGAATTGGAAAAATCTACTTTAAAGTTCATATGGAACCAAAAAAGAGCCCGCATCGCCAAGTCAATCCTAAGCCAAAAGAACAAAGCTGGAAGCATCACACTACCTGACTTCAAACTATACTACAAGGCTACAGTAACCAAAACAGCATGGTACTGGTACCAAAACAGAGATATAGATCAATGGAACAGAACAGAGCCCTCAGAAATAACACCGCATATCTACAACTATCTGATCTTTGACAAACCTGAGAAAAACAAGCAATGGGGAAAGGATTCCCTATTTAATAAATGGTGCTGGGAAAACTGGCTAGCCATATGTAGAAAGCTGAAACTGGATCCCTTCCTTACACCTTATACAAAAATCAATTCAAGATGGATTAAAGACTTAAACGTTAGACCTAAAACCATAAAAACCCTAGAAGAAAACCTAGGGATTACCATTCAGGACATAGGCATAGGCGACGACTTCATGTCTAAAACACCAAAAACAATGGCAGCAAAAGACAAAATCGACAAATGGGATCTAATTAAACTAAAGAGCTTCTGCACAGCAAAAGAAACTACCATCAGAGTGAACAGGCAACCTACAAAATGGGAGAAAATTTTCGCAACCTACTCTTCTGACAAAGGGCTAATATCCAGAATCTACAATGAACTCAAACAAATTTTTAAGAAAAAAACAAACAACCCCATCAAAAAGTGGGTGAAGGACATGAACAGACACTTCTCAAAAGGAGACATTTATGCTGCCAAAAAACACATGAAAAAATGCTCATCATCACTGGCCATCAGAGAAATGCAAATCAAAACCACAATGAGATACCATCTCACACCAGTTAGAATGGCAATCATTAAAAAGTCAGGAAACAACAGGTGCTGGAGGGGATGTGGAGAAATAGGAACACTTTTACACTGTTGGTGGGACTGTAAACTAGTTCAACCATTGTGGAAGTCAGTGTGGCGATTCCTCAGGGATCTAGAACTGGAAATACCATTTGACCCAGCCATCCCATTACTGGGTATATACCCAAAGGACTATAAATCATGCTGCTATAAAGACACATGCACACGTATGTTTATTGCGGCATTATTCACCATAGCAAAGACTTGGAACCAACCCAAATGTCCAACAATGATAGACTGGATTAAGAAAATGTGGCACATATACACCATGGAATACTATGCAGCCATAAAAAATGATGAGTTCATGTCCTTTGTAGGGACATGGATGAAACTGGAAAACATCATTCTCAGTAAACTGTTGCAAGAACAAAAAACCAAACACTGCATATTCTCACTCATAGGTGGGAATTGAACAATGAGATCACATGGACACAGGAAGGGGAATATCACACTCTGGGGACTGTTGTGGGGTGGGGGGAGGGGGGAGGGATAGCATTGGGAGATATACCTAATGCTAGATGATGAGTTAGTGGGTGCAGTGCACCAGCATGGCACATGTATACATATGTAACTAACCTGCACAATGTGCACATGTACCCTAAAACTTAAAGTATAATAAAAAAAAAAAGAAAAAAAAAAAAAGAAACCAGAGTATCTAGGTAACAAGTAACAGGATAACTGGAACAGTACCTCACATCTCAATATTAACATTGGATATAAATTGCTTAAATTCTCCACTTAAATGATACAGATTGGCAGAATGGATTTTAAAAATCACAAACCAAATATATACTGTCTTCAAGAGACTCACCTAATACATAAAGATTCATATAAACTTAGGGTATAGGAGTGCAAAAAGATATTCCACTCCAAATGGAAACCAAAAGTGAGCAGGAGTAGGTAGTCTTATATCAGATAAAACAGATTTTAAAGCAACAACAGTAAAAAAAGACAAAGAAGGTCATTATATGATGATAAAAGGATCAATCCAACAAGAAGATATTATATTCCTAAATTTATATACACTTAACACTGGAGCTCCCAGATTCATAAAACAATTACTATTAGACCTAAGACATGAGATAGACATGAAATAATAATAGTATGAGACTGCAACAGTCCACCGACAACACTAGACAGATCATCAAGACAGAAAGTCAACAAAGAAATAATGGACCTAAAGTGCACTCTAGAACAAATGGACCTGACAAATATTTGCCGAACATTCTACCTAATAACTGCAGATTGTACATTCTTTTAATCAGCACACAGAACATTCTCCACAATAGACCATATGCTAGGCCACAAAACAAGTCTCTATAAATTTTTAAAAATCGAAATGTTATCAGGTATCTTCTCAGACCACAGTGGAATAAAACTACAAATCAACTCCAAAAGTAACCCTCAAAACTATACAAATACATAGAAATTAAACAATCTGCTCCTGGATGATTTTTGAGTTAACAGTGAAATCAAGATGGAATTTTAAAAATTCTTTGAAAGGAATGATAATATTGACACAAGTTATCAAAATCTCTGGAATATAGTAAAAGCAGTACTAAAAGGAAAATTTATAGTGCTAAATACCTACATTAAAAAATCTGAAAGATGATAAATTGACAACCTAACATCATACCTCAAGGAGCTAGAGAAAGAACAAACTAAACCCAAAGCTAGCAGAAGAAAAGAAATAACAAAGATCAGAGCAGATCTAAATGAATTTGAAACAGCAGCAACAACAACAACAAAAATACCAAAGATCAATGACACTAAAAGTTGGTTTTTCAAAAAGATAAACAAAGTTGATAGACCATTAGCTAGATTAACCAGGAGAGGTTAAAGTAAGTTCAATTAGAAATGAAACTGGAGACTTTACAACCAACCCCACAGAAATAAAAAAGATCATTTGAGACCACTGTGAACACCTCTATGCACACAAACTAAAAAATCTAGAGGAAATGGATAAATTCCAGGAAACATAAACACTCCTAGATTAAGCCAGGAAGAAATAGAAACCCCGAACAGACCAAGAACAAGCAGTGCGATTGAATCACTAATCAAAACAATTGCCAAGAAAAAAAAATAGCTTGGGGCCACATGGATTCACAACTGAATCCTACCAGACATTCAGAGAACTGGGACCAATCCTACTGAAACTATTCCAAAAGATTAAGAAAGAGGGATCCTCCCTAACTCATTCTATGAAGCCAGTATCATTCTGATACCACAACCAGGAAAAGACATAAGAAAAAAAGAAAACTACAGACCAATACCCCTGATGAACATAGATGCAAAAATCCTCAACAAAATACTAGCTAATTCAAGCAGCACATCAAAAAGATAATACACCATGACCAAGTAGGTTTCATTCCAGGGATGCAGGGATGGTTTAAAATATGCAAGTCAATAAATGGGATACATCTGATAAAAGGAATTAAAAAGAAAAACTCTATGATCATCTGAATAGATGCAGAAAAAGCATTTCATAAAATCCAGCATCCCCGTATAAAAAAACTCAACAAACAGATATAAAAGGAACTTTACCTAAAACTAATGAAAGCCATATATGACAGACCCACAGCTAACATCATAATAAATGGGGAAAAGTTGAAAGTATTCCCCTTGAGAACTGGAACAAGACAAGGATGCCACTTTCACCACTTCTATTCAGCATAGTGCTGGAAGTCCTAACCAGAGCAATCAGGCAAGGATAAGAAACAAAGGGCATCCAAATTGAAAAAGAGGACATCAAGCTATTGCTGTTCATGAATAATATGACTGTATACCTAGAAAACCCTAAATACTCCTCCAAAAGACTCCTGGATTTGACAAATGAATTCCGTAGTCTCAGGTCACAAAATCAATATACACAAATCAGTAGCAGTGCTATACACCAACAATGACCATGCTGAGAATCAGATCAAGAACTCAGTCCTTTTCACAACAGCTGGAAAAAAATAAATTACCTAGGAATATATTTAACCAAGGAGGTAAAAGATCTCTACAAGGAGAACTACAAAACACTGCTGATAGAAATCATAGATGACACAAACAAATGGAAACACATCCCATGCTCATGGATTGGAATAATCAATATCATGAAAATGACCATACTACCCAAAGCAATCCACTGATTCAGTGCAATTCCTATCAAAATACCAACATCATTTTTCACAGAATTAGAAAAAACAATTCTAAAATTCATATGAAACCAGAAAAAGAACCTGAATAGCCAAAGCAATCCTATGCAAAAAAACAAACAAACAAGAAAACAGACGTAGAGGCATCACATTATCAGATGTTTGCCACAAGGCTGTAGTTACAAAAATAGTGCTGGTATAAAAGTAGGCACATAGAGCAGTGGAACAGAATAGAGAACCCAGAAATAAAGCCAAATACTTACAACCAACTGATCTTCAACAAAGCATAGAGAAACACAGGCTGAGGAAAGGACACCTTATTTAATAAATAATGCTGGGAAAACTGGATAACCACATGTAGAAGAATGAAACTGGATGCTTATCCCTTACCTTATACAAAAATCATCTCAAGATGGTTCAAAGATGTAAATCTAAGACATGAAACTATAAAAATTATAGAAGATAACCTAGGAAAAACTATTCTGGACATTGGCTTAGGCAAATAATTCGTGAGTAGGACCCCAAAAGCAAATGCAACTAAAATAAAAATAAATAAATAGGACCTAATTAAATAAAAGAAACTTCAGTACATTAAAAGAAATAACTATCAGAATAAATAGACAACCCACAGAGTGGGAGAAAATATCTGCAAACTATACATCTAGCAAAGGACTAATATCTAGAATCTACAATGAACTCAAGTACATCAACAAGAAAAAAAAATCCCATCAAAATGTGGGCAAATAACATGAATAGACATTTCTCAAAAGAGGATATAAGAATGGTAAAGAACATATGAAAAATGCTAAACATCACTGATCATCAGGAATATGCAAATTAAAAATACAATGAGATACTGCCTTACTCCTGCAAAAATAGCCATTATTAAAAAGTCAAAAAATAATAGATGTTGGCATAGATGTGGTGAAAAGGGAACACCTATACACTGCTGGTAGGAATGTAAATTAGTACAAACTGTATAAAAAACAATATGGAGATTTCTTAAAGAACTAAAAGTAGATCTGTCATTTGATTCAGCAATCCCACTACTCAGTATCTACCCAAAGGAAAATAAGTGATTATATTAAAGACACTTGCACGCATATGTTTATTGCAACACAATTCACAGTTGCAAACGTATGGAACCAATCTAAGTGTCCATTAACGAATGAGTGGATAAAGAAAATGTGATATATATACACCATGGAATACTACTCAGCCATAAAAATAATGAAATAATGTGTTTTGCAGTAACTTGGATGGAGCTAGAAGCCATTATTCTAAGTGAAGTACTCAGGAATGGAAAAACCAAAAACCGTATGTTCTCACTTATAAGTGGGAACCAAGATACGGGTATGCAAAGGCATACAGAATTCTATGATGGACTTTGGCGACTCAGAAGAGGGAGGGTTGAGGGGGGTGAGGGATTAAAAAACTACTTATTGGGTACAATGTACACTACTTGGATGATGGGTGCACTAAAATCTCAGACTTCACCACTATATAATTCATCCGTGTGACCAAAACCACTTGTACCCCAAAAACTATTGAAATAAAAAAATTTTAAAAACTGAGATTTTCATATAATGAGAATAGCCCCTGCATAATAACATTCATGAAAATCTCCTAGAAACATGGATTTGGCTTCTAATGGGACATTTGCTTACTCCAACCACATAGAGACTGGCCTCTTAAGATTAGGAAGCAGCTCACTCTATCCATAGCTGGCAGTACCCTGTGCTGTAGAAACTTAATTTTACTTTGTGATTGTGTGGTTAACTTTTCTGTATTAACCTGACTTTGACTTTAGACTTCATATGACCTATTTACCCAATCTTACACAGTTTTCAGTTTCCAGCCTATCTACTCAGTACCGTACTTTATTTTGTTTTTCTTAGACTGTCCTTGTTTTAAAACTGTGATCTTATTTCAACCAAGGTATAGCTGTTCTTAGCTTCCTTTGCATGCTGAGCCTGTCTTTCTTCACAGTGAGGAGGAACCCCTGACTACTCTTTCCTGGAAATCTTCATTCCCATAGGTCTTCTCTGCTGTCCCTATGATGGTATGGAGCCTGTTTTTATTATTTTCTACTCACTTAATTGCATCTTGATGAATTTCAGTACACAAAGTCACCATATTGTAGGTATATCTACAAAGGTGTTGTTATACTGGACCAGATGCAGTGGCTTATGCCTGTAATCCCAGCACTTTGGGAGGCTCAGGTGGGAAGATCACTTCAGGCCAGGAGTTTGATACCAGTCTGGGCAACAGTGAGACCCTGTCTCTACAAATAATTTTTAATAATTAGCTGGGCATGGTGGCACATGCCTGTAGTCCTAGCTGCTTGGGAGGCTGAGGTAGTTGAATCACTTAAGCCCAGGAGTTCAAGTCCAGCTTGAGTAACATAGCAAGGCCCCACCTCTAAAAAAAAATACAAATAAAATAAAGTTCTATTGGTTACTCTTTTTACTACCTTGTAAGGAATGTACAGCTTGTTCTTGTTAGGAAATTGGTAAGGAAAAATGTGAATTTCAGATTTGGGTATGTGGTGTTAGTGGAGGATCAGAAATCTATTGGATGAATTAAATCTGTCTTTTAAAAGCTACTTTCTACTAATGTGGGTTTTATGATCACCTGATGGATTAATTTGAGATCCATTAAGACCTAAGTGCCTTACTGGTTCCCAATTTAACAATTCTGTGGAATCCAAACTCTTATTTATTTTGATTTGTTTTTACTTTTTTGAGACACGGTCTCGCTCTGTCACCCAGGCTGGATTGCAGTTGTGCCATCTCAGCTCACTGCAACCTTGGCCTCCTGAGCCCTAGTGATCCTCCCACCTTAGCCTCCTGAGTATCTGGGACTACAGGCACACACCATCATACCTGGCTAATTTTTTTTTTCATATTTTTTGTAGACATGAAGTTTTACCATGTTGCCCAGGATGGTCTGGAATCCAGACTCTTGTCTGCAATTGATTTAATATAATTCTACAATATTTTTCCTTATTGCAAGGCAGAAAACCATAGACATTTGTAGCTTAAACCAATCTGAGTGCTTCCATTAAAAATTACAGGAAGATTATCAGTGAAGTGGTATTGCCTAGTAACATATTGCTCTCTAGGAGACAGAAAGCTTTTCCACCTGGTTTTTATGCCTAAGGTTATTTGTTATGCATGTTTGCCAAGATTAGTATTAAATTCCTTCTGTTGACTTTAGTAACACTTGTGATTTCTTTTATATGTTAGCATTGAACATTAAACTCTCATAATCTCTAGTTTTTTGATTTGTCTTTACACTAATCATGTTTTAAAGATACACGTCTATTTTTTAGTTAAAATGGCTTTGAATTTTATTTCACTAGATTTAAATTTTAAAGGAAATCATATCCTTCCAATTTGATTTAAATTGGTTATGGTTATTAATATTAAACATGTCTATTTTAGGCACCAGTTTTATTAGTTCGTGTACTCTTGGCTACATCACGATTAAAACTTTTCTTTCAGTTTCTTTCCAAAATAAACTGCAAGATTTCCTTGTTGACATTTTTTCATTTTTAAAAATCGTTTCGTTTTATTTCCCACCACCCCTGTTTATTATATGGATTGTGAAGCAAAGCATACAGGTGATAGTGAATTATCTTGTACAACAGCCTGGTCGCTTCTTTAAATTTCAGTTTTGTAAGTTGTTTTGCTCACCAAAGTGTCCTTTTCATGGGCTCTCATGCTCGTGAGTAGGGTTTTGTTGTCATCTGTATCTTGCTGTTACATCCAGTAAGTTTAACATTCATGGTAACGATATTTTTCAAGTGTTTCTACAGTGTAAGGGGCTCATTGGCTGCAAGATTGCTGTGAGGTATATTATAGATGATAGATACTATGATTTTCTGTTTATTTGTTTTATTTTTGTTGTTGTTGTTCTGAGACAGAATCTTGTTCTGTCACCCAGGCTGGAGGACAGTGGCATAATCTTGGCTCACTGTAAGCTCTGCCTCCTGGGTTCAAGCGATTCTTGTGCCTCAGCCTCCCAGGTAGCTGGGATTACAGGCATGTGGCACTATGTCTGGCTAATTTTTGTATTTTTAGTAGAGATAGGGTTTCTCCATGTTGGCCAGGCTGGGCTTGAACTCAGGACCTCAAGTGATCCACCCACCTTGTCCTCCCAAAGTGCTAGGATTACAGGCATGAGCCACCGCACCCAGGTGGTAGATATTGTGATATCAAGGGAAAATATTGATGCCAGGAAAGACCTTAACATCAGAATAAGTTATTTTCACAAGAAATATTTTTGATATAGATACATGTGGCAAAATAAAACTATTAGATTATTAACTATGAAAACCAATTTTGTTAGAATTTTGAAGAATACTATGCATCTACTTTTTAACAACTTAATTTTTTTTTTTTTTTTTTTTGAGATGGAGTCTCAGTCTGTGGTCCAGGCTGGAGTGCAGTGGTGCAATCTCGGCTCACTGAAAGCTCCGCCTCCCAGGTTCACGCCATCCTCCTTCCTCAGCCTCCCGAGTAGCTGGGACTACTGGCACCCACCACCATGCCCAGCTAATTTTTTGTATTTTGTTTAGTAGAGATGAGGTTTCACCGTGTTAGCCAGGATGGTCTCGATCTCCTGATCTCATCATCCTCCCACCTTTGGCCTCCCAAAGTGCTGGGATTACAGGCGTGAGCCACCGCACCTGGCCAACAACTTAATTTTTAATGATGTTCTCTCTATTAAGCAGTTTTCTAGAACTATTAATAAACAATAAAGTGATCTTTTTTTCCTCCTTTTTCTGCCAAATTGATAAGAATCAGAATGGTAAGAAGGAAAGAAATCTTAAAGTCTGAATAATCAGTAAGTTAAGTGATGATCCTCTGAACAATTCAGAATTTACTACATATACATTCTATAACCATCTCTGTTAAAGATTTTATAGTATATATTCAGAAGATCAAACAGATGTTTCATAGCTGTATATACACATATATACACATATGTATATTTTTGCATATACATAAATTATTTAATTGAGGTACATACATATGCCAACTAAATATTTTGATTATTTATTTTATTATAATATAATCTTAGGCTCTGGGGCAAGCAAAACTGGGTTTGAAATTCAGTTCTATCACTTACTAGTTATTAAGGCATATTGTTTAATCCTTGAATATAGATACTCAACATCTATAAAATGAAGATTATACTAGTACTTTCCTCATAGGCATTATCTTAGTTCATTTGAGCTGCTACAATATAAATACCATAGACTGGATGTCTTAAACAACAAACATGTATTTCCCACAGTTCTCCATAGTGGGAAGTCCAAGATCAGGTCCTGCAGGTTCAGTTTCAGGTCAGGGCCCATGGTTTTCTTCATAGATGACACCTTCTCACTGTGCCTTTACATGGTGAAAGAGGCAAGAGAACTCTCTGGAGCTTCTTTTATAAGGGCACTAATGCCATTCACATGGGCTTTGTTCTTGCTATCTAATCACCTCTTCCCCACAAAGGCCCTACCTTTATCACATTGGGAGTTAGGATCTTAATTTCAGAGGGTCACAAATATTCAGTCCATAGCAGCGTTGTGAGGATTATGTGTAATAATATGTGACTAGCTTACACCATGTATAGATGAGAAAAAACTAGCTGTTTCCCCAAATTTGTGTTATCCTTTCATTGTGTAGACTTCCTTCTGGGAAGTAACTCTTTTTTCTTGGAGACTTTATTTCCTAACTTTACTGAGTTTGTTGAAAAGTTATCTCTCTAATTTGAATTGCTTTTGCACTTTTGTAAAAAATCAGTTGGACATATTTGTGTGGTTCTATTTTGGGATTTTTTTGTTCTGTTCCATTGATCTCTATCACTGACAATACTACACCATCTTTCGGTTATTGCAGTTAATAATGAACCATGAAATTGAGTAGACTGATTACCTCACATTTTTCTTTTTTGAAATTGTTTTAGTTATTCTAGTTCCTTTATCTTACCATATAATTTTAGAATAATCTTATCTATTGCTACAAAAAAAACTTGCTGGTATTTTGATAACAATTTTGTTAAACTTATTTGTCAATTTAGGGAGAATTGACATCTTTATTGTGTGAAGTATTCCCTGAACACTGTATGCTCTTCATTTATTTAGCTCTTTCATCCAGCATTTTGTAGTTTTCATACACAAGTTCTATACATTTTTGGTTAGATTCACACCCAATTTTATTTTCTTTTTGAGTGATTATAAATGCTATTATAGTTTTAGTTTCAGTGTTCAAGTATTTATTGCCAGTGTGTAGAAATACAACTGATCTAGTATGTTTACCTTGTATCTTTCAACCTTGCTGAAATAATTAGTTCTAGATTTTTTTTTAGGCTATTTGGGATTTTCTATATAGACAGTCATGTCATATACAAATAGAGACAGTTATATTTCTGCCTTTCTTGTCTGTATACTTTTTATCTCCTTTTCTTGTCTGGTTGCACTGACTTGAATTTTCCAGCACCATGTTGAATCAGAGCAATGAGAATGGACATTCTTGCCTTGTTTACTGTCTTGCATGGAAAGCATTCAGTCTTTCACTATTATGTTAGTTGTAGGTTTCTGTAGATGCTGTTTATGAAGATGGGGAAGTTGCCTTCTATTTCTATTTTTTTCTTACAGTTTTTTTGATTTATGAGTGCTGTATATTTTCAAATGTTTTTTTCTGTATCAATATATGCAGATATATATCTATAGATAGATATGTGATCAACATATATTGATGTGTTCATGTGATTTTTCTTCCTTAGCCTGTTAATATATTGGTTGATAGTTTGAATAATGTACCAGGCTTGCATATCTGAAATTAACGTCTCTTGGTCATGGTGTATAATTCTTTGTATATGTTGCTAAATTTATAAAATTTAAAATTTATTGGAAATTATAAAATTTCTAAAATTTTAACATTTGGAAATAATTTTTATGTTTAGCCAGATACAGTGGTATGTGCCTGTAATCCCAGATATTTAGGAGCCTGAGGCAGGAATATTGTTTGAGCCTAGGAGTTCAAGACCAGGCTAGTCAACATAGTAAGACCCTTTCTCATATTAAGTAAATAAATTATTGTTTTAAAATTTTTTAAAAAGTATTTTTATATTTATATTTATAAGGGCTATTGGAGTGTAGTTTCGTTTTTTGTACTGTCTTCATATGATTTCAATATCAGGATAATACTAGTTTTATAAAGTGAATTGGGAATTATCCTATGTATACAATTTTGAATTGCACTAACATTGTACTTTGAATTTTTTTCTATGCAATTAAATAATATTTGAAAATGTGATTTTTAAAGTCTGAGTAAAAAGTTAGTTGTAGGAACTTATTCTTCTTTATCTAACTTTTTCCTGTTTTTTATTATTTAGAACTTAAAATTTTTTTATTACTAATAATTCTATGGTGAGCATCTTCCTATATATCGTGTGAACTTGTCCTATTTATTCTTAGAATTTGTAATAGATATAGATTATAAATTTCTTTTCATATTGATTGAAGCATAGTGTTTAATATTTAGATTAGATTAAATTTCATATTTAGATTAGGGTTAATATGTAATCATTTTTTTATTATCATTAATGAGACCCTTTTATGGATCTGCAAGACCAAAGCTGATTTCATACTTAATTGCCTTTTTTAATGTGTTGTCATTTGCACTGATGGTGCAAAAGCGATGGTGAACAAAACTGCCACTGCCTTAGAACGAATCAAGGCAGTGGCACCAAACTGTGCTAGTAGTTACTGTATTTTTAACCATCATGCATCTGCAGGGGGAAAAAAAAGCCATACTTAGTTAAGAATATCTTAGATGCAGTAAAAATAATTTTATTACTTTTTGATCCTCAAATATAGGTCTTTTTAATACTCTGTGTGAAGTAATGTGAAGTACACATAAAGCTCCATATAATGGTTTTAAGGAAAAGCATTTGTGAGTAATCCTATTCACAATTGTTTGCACTGTCAGCTCAATTAGATGCTTTTTCTTTTATGGAATACCATTTTTACTTGAAAGAATGACTGACAGACAAATTGTGCTTATTCAGACTTGGGTATTTGGCAGGCGTTGTCTTTCAAATTAAGTAAGCCTATCATATCAAAGAAAACAACTGACAATAGCCTTTGCCAAAGATAAAATCCAAGTGAAGATAAACTACAAAGGAAAACTAAACTTAGAACCTTGGAAAACTGTATTCACCACTTTCAGTTTGACAACTTCCCAATACATTGTATAACAGAATAGAAAGACTATTCTGATGAAATTGGTGATGATATTAACAAATTTTTAATTGATTTTTGACGTATAATGAAATGAATCAGCATTTGGAAAATCTGCATAACTCAGTGAGCTGGTATTTGCCAAATGATTAATGTGTGATATTAAAAATCATGTCTGAGTCATATCATAGTTTCATTCGAAGTACATACAAGATAGACCAGTGGATTTTAATGTAACAGGGTAAAAAAAAGTTTATTGATAAAGGTTTTAGATTATACATTGCAACAAACTTTTAAGAAGCTACCACTTATCAAGTAAAGGAAAATATACACAGTTATTGTAAAAGATTATTAAAATATTCCACTATTTTTCAACTAAATATACTCCAACCAAAACAACATATGGCAACAGATTGAAAGCTGAAGTAAATGTGAGAGTCCAGCTGCCTTTTATTAAATGAGACATTAAAGAGATTTTTAAAAAATGTAAAACAATATCTCTCTTCTCACTAATTAAAAAAAATACTATAATCTCTTCCTGACCTTTTGGCTTAGATCACATTTTTAAAAAATTATAATTTTCCTCACAAAATGTTATTTATGTTAACATTTAAAGGATTTTTGTTATATTTAAATATTTTAAAATTTTGTTTTAACTCATAATAAATATGGATAGAGATAACCTATATAAAGGCTAAGAAACTACCACTTGTCAAGTAAAGGAGAATAAGCACACTTTAACTTATATTATAATAAATATTGATAGAGATAACCTATATAAAGGTCTTCAGTACTATCTAAGAGCTAAAGGGTCTATGTGACCAAAATGTTTGAGAACTTCTGGCCTACAGGATAAAATCCAAACCTCTGTATATGGTCCATAAGTCCTTCTATCATGGCTTCTGCCACCTCTGCTCCCTTCTCTTCTGTCTCATTTCCTTTCCACTCTATTATTCAGTAAGATGAAGATACTTTTATTCCAGAACTATGGTGTTTTACATCTCCTTACCTTTGCTTAATGTTCCTTTTGCCTTGAATATGTATTCTTCTCCAGCTCTTTATATAAAGTACTGTCTCCAAATGCCTCTTGGCATCATTTCAGTTCTAACCTCTCTGTACCTCTTATTCTGTCTTTATAACTCTATCTGTTGGTATGCAATCCCATGTCACTAATTTTGTGCAGGGAGTTTATTTTACTCATTCAGCCATTGGATATGCTGCATCCTCAAGATCTGATCAGTTTCCTACTCTATAAATGCTATTTAGTATGTTTTGGGTTTCTATGTCCAAAATAATTCAGTGTCTTTCCCCTTATTAATTTGGTTTCATCATTATTTGTTTTCTTCTTAAAAGTATTGTCATTCTTCCATTCACTTGGATTCAAAATCTTGAAATCATCTTTTATCCTTCTTTCATCTTCATACTCTGTATCCAGTTTAATCCCATTGCTTCTTGTGTGAAAATATCTTATATTCACTACCTCCTTTCTCTACTGCTGCCATCCACGCTTTGAAGCTCAAAATAAGAGAGAAAATATTTAAATATATCATGGCCTATTTTTTTCCAATCAGCATTCTAAATGATTTCAAAAGCTTTTGCTATTCTTTCCACTACTTATTCTTTTCTTCAGACCAGCTTGCTCATCACTATTGCATTAGTGACCTTCCTAAAATACTACTTTAGTTTTGTATTTTCTCACTCAACATTTTTGTTGACTTCTCATTTCTTTTGGCAGTGTTTCTTTTTGAAGGAAAACTATTCTCATGGACGCTCAGTGTTGACATAAATTATTTTAATTTTTAGTAATACAACTTAAATATGTCCAAATATAAAACTAAATACAAACTTTTGCACATACAAGTGCATGGCTAAAATAATTTGCAAATTCGTAGCAAGGAAAATATAAAACAGAATTTAACATAATAGCATTAATGTGACAGAAGATGTTATTTGCCATAAAAACAAGCTTAACGTGAATATAGTACAGACTCTGAGTTAGGCATGAGCCTGTTCTACTGTGATGACTCAGTTAATCCACCACTTTTCTGTCTTTGAGCTTCTGAGAACCTTTGTTTCTACAGCATGCTATGATATCATTTGGCCTTCATTTGGTACAGATGTATCATTTGAGAAACAGATCCACCTCTGGCTTTTTCTCACCCCTCAGCCTGCTACAATTAAAATAGCACTACTTGGCTATGGTAAGATAGTAAATACGAATGCACATTCAGACACTAATAGTACATGGTGATTTAGGGTCACTCGGTAAGATCCAGATGATCCAGAATATGGTGTGTGTGTGTGTGTGTGTGTGTGTGTGTGTGTGTGTGCCTTTGTGCATGTATGTGTAAGAGACAGAGTTTTAGTTGACTTGAAAAAAAGAAACTTAGACTTTTATAGGAAACAAATGGAATCTCAAAGTCAGCCCCATTTGCCCAGAGACTATAGACTCCAATATAGAAACCACTCATCTGTAGGATAAAGACTATATTCCTCATGTTGGTATCCAAGGCCTTTATCGATTTGAATTCAATCTCTTTTCCTTTTTTATTTGTTTTTCTTTTCTGTCTTCTTACTGTCTTTTAAATATGCTCATACTTTCCCAGATGTGTGCCTTCTCTCCTATCCCTGTATAAGCCCATCTGTCCACAGCCTTTAAGGACCATTCATGCTTTTCATTTCCCCGTGAAGCTTCTTCCTATCTCTTCAGTTACAATTTGATTTTTCTCCTTCTTTGAACTCTTGTTTGAATTCCTTCTGTATCTGGTACTTTGGCATTTCGTTTCTTTGTATTAAATAATGCCATTTATAATTGTTTGATTTTTATGTTCTCTATATCACCTAGACTTCAGGGGCTTTAAAGGCAAAATATTATCTTAAAAGTTTTTTGCATAAACCTCAGAACCATTGTTGATATTCTTGAAGCACTTACAAAGGAAATCAAATGATTAGATTTAATGCTCAGTATTAGGGATTTAATTTAGTTTCTCTTGCAAAATATGTGTTTTTTTAAATATAGAGTATAAACAAAAAGTACTTTGCTATAAAAAATTTGCATTTCTAAGAAACTAAAATGTCTTAAAATTTTGTATTTTTTCACTCATTGTCCTTCATTTTCAGGACTGTTGGGAAAGATCCTGATGGCTATCCGAGATGCAGGTTTTGAAATCTCAGCTATGCAGATGGTAGGTAGTTTACAATGAACCATAATATTTGTGAGGATTTTTTTCAAAAATAGTTATAAAATGCTTTACATTGAATGTTCCCTGTGTACTCATGAACCACATTAAAAATAAAAGACATACTTACTGAACTCAGTAACCTTCCTGTAGTCAAAAAATGGTTTTTGAAATGATTTTTCCCATATAATATTTTACTGAGAGAAGTAATATTCAATGATACACCTAATTTAAGCTTATAAGGTAAGTTTATACAATTCTGGAAACTTTAGTTGCAAAATAAATAAGGACCAAAAACTGTATTTTGTTCTTATAAACAAAAAGTAGAATCAAAGTGAGAAATTGTGATGAGTTTTCTGTCTTCTGGATTCTTCACTAAACAAATAATGAAGGAAGAGAATCAGTTCAGATTTTTTTTCCCTAACCAGTGCCTTTTGCTGGTTTTTGGACTTTCTCTCAAGACTGTCTTTGGAGTTAGTGTATTCTAGCAACTCTGTTGGCACTTGTACCGCTGCACCTTCAGAGCCCACGCTTGTTCAAAATTGCGTTGTTCATACACTCCTAGGAAACCTTTCAGTGAGAAACAACACCCACTTTGGTAGAGGTCATACCTTTGTGCTGTACTCATCGGTACATTTGACTAGAAATTGGGCAACAGATTATTATATAAATCAGATAAACAATTTGGTTTTTACAGTGTTTGAAGCCCAGCAAGTTTGTGCTTTTTTGATAGTGAAATACCAAAATAGCCATTTTGAAGCTGAGAATTTTCTTACTGGTATTATTTGTATTTTATTTTCTGAAAAGAAACAGCTTTCTAAAGTCTTAAGATTACCCAAAATCAAGGACCAGGACACAAACTGGAGTTCTATTTTGTGCCAATAAGCCAAAAAAGAAAAAAAAAAAAGGGAAATAGTTTACAAAGTCATTGAGCAAAACTTAAAGACTAATGAGAAAACTGATATTTGAAGAATCTTACCTAGAATTATAAAGTAATTGTCAGCCAAAACTTTCTAAAAGTATTAGCTTGGTGATATATTAACAAGATTGTAGGATGACATGTAAGCCTATTTAAAAAAATATAGAAATGTTAGTTTTAAACACTGACCTAATTCTAGATCTACAGTTTAGCATAGTGATTGGTGATTGGGTATAGTTTGTACTAATGAAAAAAATAATTTTAAAAATGATTAATTGAGCCTATAGGTAAGGCATGGTAGTGTAGTAGCAAACACAGTCGTGGACTTGTGGAGTCAGAAAGATCTATTTCTGAATCTTGGGTCAGCTGTTTTCTAGGCATGTGGCCTTGGCCAAATGTCAAGCATTCTTATTCTCAGTTTTCTCATCTAGGCAATGAAAGCATTAGTATCTGCCTAAATGGGTTACTCAGCAGATTAAATAAAATAATCATTTCTGGCTCAAATTCTAAGTATTTAATAAATGATATCTTCTATTAGTATTTTGTTGCATTTAGCAAAACATATGTGAATGTTGGATAAAACACTGAAATCCAACAGAATTTCCTCCCTATGGTAGTAATGTTGCCCATAAAAATAAATCCTCCTAGCTTAAATGATTGTCCATATTGGCAGAAATTTCTCAGTGGGTCTTCAATCCTGGCAACAATAAACAAGCAAAATGGAGGGAAAATAAAACTGGGAATTCTGAGGCTACTTTTTAAAAAAAATAAGGTCTTAGTTTTTGAGAACCTTAGAATTTAACGAAATTTTATTCCTAACTAAATTTAAATTCAGCCTTGATAAGAATAAGTCCCTCTAGACTTACTTTGTAAGCACACTTTTACAGTTCTTTTTGAAGAGTAGCAGGAAGTCCACATGACTTGTATAAATGCTTTAACACAAACCAGACTAACTAGGGATTTTTCCGAATGCTTGGGAGGAAAATGGTATTGTTTTCTGTTTCCTCTAAAAGTCTGAACTACTTTTCTTTAGTAATATTTCTTTCTTGTGCCACTAATCTATCAATAGTATAATTAATATTGCATATAAATCTTCTTTTGTATCAAGAATGAGGTTTTATTCAGAGAGAGGTGTAGTGTAGTAGGTAAAAGTATTATCAATGGGGTCAGACTGCTTGAGATAGGATGCCAGTTTGAGGAAGTTGTATGACTCCTCTGAGTCTTAGTAGTCTCATCTGTAAGTTGGAGCCATTAATACTACCTATGCAGTAAGGTGGTTGTGAGGGCTAAATGAGATGATGCACGTATAGAACCTAGAGTGATGCTGTTATCCATTATTATTCTTGATGAGTTGATGTTTAATAACACTTTTTCTTCAAAGAGTAATCTATGTAAAGTTTATGTTTTAGAGTAAAGAAGAGATTACAAGTGTTAAGTGCTAAGTGTGGCTTATTTATTTCCCTTTTGTTGGTTGGTTTATGGTTTTGTTTTGTTTTATTTTTTAATATAGTTCAATATGGATCGGGTTAATGTTGAGGAATTCTATGAAGTTTATAAAGGAGTAGTGACCGAATATCATGTAAGTATAAAAGTAAATGTAAAACATTTGTACTGTTAAGTGAAAAGTATAGGATGCAGTGTTTTGGACTAAGCTCCTGTACTAGGTCCCAAATGGCCAGACTGAAAATCAATACAGAGTCATTCATACTAAAGTTCTGTGTCAACGACCTAGGTTGTTATCTGACCTTCTGAGAAATCAGGAGAGAGCGAGCCAAATTTCCCAAACAGGCTAATTTTGTTTGGTATAATAATGAAGTTTTCTCTGTCTTTCATCCATACAACAAAAAGTAACCTGAGGTAACCTGATGTTAACCAGTCAGTTATTTCCACATTACATTCTTCAAACTGTATACCTTTCATATCTCCCAAAATTCATTGCAACCAGCCTGCAGCTTCCTAAATTCAGTTCTCTTCTTTTTTCTTCCCCCTCTGTAGAGTCAGATGCTAGGTTCAGATCTTAAATCTTCTAGTTATATGACCATCGACAATTTATTTACCTTCTTTAAACCTTGATTAACCCATTTATAAAATGGGAATAATGCTATTACCTACCTTATGAGATTGTTGTGGGAATTAAATGAAATAAATTATGTAAAACTGTCTCACATATTAAAAGTACTCAGTAAATATTACCTGCTATTATTGTTGTTTTTATTATTATTTAGTCTGATATAATTCTTTGGTAGTAGATTCCGTGTTGATTATTTACACCTGTATTTTCTGCTTCAACATGTACAGTCATAAAAAGGTGATAATTCCTATCTCATGCTGTTACTATGATCCACACTTATTATATATATTGAGTATCTGCTATAAGCCAAATAATCAGTGATGAACAAAAAACATACTGCCTGCATTTATGGAGCTTATGCTCTGGAGAAGATAGACATGAAATCAAATGATCCTACACATAGCTACCTAAGGACAGCAGTCAAAAGGCTGTAAAGGAAACAGAAAGGTTGTTTTTTTGTTTAAAAAATTTGTGACTTAATTAAAAACTAGGGTGACTTAAAAATTCTGAGTCAATTTTTGAAGGAACATGTTATGCTTTTGATGAAGTTCTTTGTTTAACATGTTTTTTCTTTCCATTTTATACATTTTGACAGCCTTGTATGTCTATTTTCAGTGGTATCTGTAATCAACACTGAAAGAGAATGAGTGAGAGAGACAAAGAAAGAAAAAAGGAAGGAGGGAGAGAGAAAAAGAAGAAAGAAAGAAACAAAGGAAAAAAAGGAGGGAGAGGAAAAGGAAGGAAACAAGGAAGGGAGGGAGAAGAGCAGACAAAATTTACTCTTCTGTTTTTGGAAAACTTGTTCATGCCTTCTGCTCCTTCTGAAAATTTGGCTTTGACATTTGTGTGTAGGCAGTACTTCAATATCAGAGGCAGAAAATCAGACTCAATATAATTATCCATAAAAAATCAATTACATATGACCTTTGTGAAATAGCAAAATGGCTTTGGGGGATACACTCAGGAACTCTAATGAGTAGAGTTATGAGTACCATATAAATTTTGAAGTCCTTTTCCTCCTCTTTTAGCTTCTGTAGTTTGTATTAGCTGAGATGACTGCTTTTGGATCAATATTCAAATATATTCTGTAATAAATTATTTTACTTTGATGTTGTGTATCGTAAATCCTCAAAGTCATGAAAATGGTTTACATGACCCTGCATGGTCTGGCCTCATCTCTTACTACTTTCCCGTAGTCTCACTCAGCTCCTAGCCTCTAAGCTGATCTTCATATATCCCTACTGTACTTCTGCCTCAAAGTCTTTATATCCATTTTCACTTCTGCCTAAAGTATTCTTTCCTATTCAAGAGGGTGAAAAAAATTATTTTTGAGTGTTCTAGACACTATGAGAGGCATTTTTCTTGGATCATGTTTTTCATTATACAGCTTTATATAGAGAGCTAAGAATCTTAAAACAGTATACTTATATTTTTCCCCTATTATTCTGTGTGCTGTTGTTCTCATACATTTTACATCTATATATGCTATAAACCCAACAATACAATGCATTTCTTTGAACAATTATGTTTGAAAGCAACTGAAAATACAAAAATTAGCTAGATGTGGTGGTGGGTGCCTGTAGTCCCAGCTACTCAGGAGGCTGAGGCGTGAGAATAGCTTGAACCCTGGAGGCTGAGGTTGCAGTGAGCCAAGATCGTGCCACTGTGCTCCAGCTGGGCAACAGAGCAAAACTCTGTCTCAAAAAAAAAAAAAAAAAAAAAAAAAGAAAAGAAAACAACAGAAAGGAAAAAAAAGAAAAATAAAGCAACTAAAAAATAAAAATGCATTTTATGTTTATACTTGACATGTTTACTGTTGCTTTGTATAGATTTATATTTTTGTCTGGCATTTTTTTCCTTCTGCCTAAAGAACTTCCTTTAATATTTCTTATTATATAATGCTTCTGATGGTGAATTGTATCAGGTCTTTTTTGTCTTAAAACGTCTTCCTTTTTTCTTCATTTTTGAAAAATATTTTCCCACCTGGGTATAGAATACAGATTTACATTTTTTGGTCATCATTGTTGTCATCCTTATCTTTTTCCCACTGTTATATAATGTTCTTTCCCCTGCCCCCCCCCCAACACCCTGGCTGCTTATAAAGCTTTTTGTTTTTGTTTTTAGCTAATTTTATTATTTTGCATCCTAATGTACTTCTCTTTACATTTATTATCCTTGGGTTCTGTTGGATCTATAGGTTTATGGGTTTCAGCAAATTTGGAAAGTTTTTAGCACTTATTTTAAAAAATATATTTATGTTTATCACCTTTTCTTCTCTTCTGAGATTCTAATTACACATATAATAGACAGCTTGACATGGTTGCACAGCAGGGCTTTTTTCTTCTTCTTCATTTTTCTTTCTCTCCATGCTTATTTTTGAATAGTTTCTATTGAATGTCTTCAAATTTATTGCTCTTCTGCAGTGTCGTATCCTGTTCACCCCATTCAGTGTATTTTTAAATTTAGATGTCTTAGATTATATCTCTAGACGTTGTATTTGGATCTTTTAAATATTTTTTATTTTCTCCTCACCAAGTTTATATTTCCTTGTATAATTTGAGAATGTGGAGCTTATAATAGCTGTTTGGATATCCTTTTTATGTCATTTATTTAATTGCTGGGTCTATTTATTGAGTTTTCTTCTGGTAATGGTTAGTATTTTCCTACATATTTGCCTGCCTGGTAATTTTTTTACTGGATACTGTATATTGTAAAATTTACATTGTTACATGGTAGATTTGTAAAGAGTGCTCAATTTTGGTCTGGCACCTAGTTAAATCACTTGGAATCAATTTGAAACTTTTGAGTCTTGCTTTTAATCTTTGTAGGATGGGTATAGAGCATCTTACAATCTAGGGCTAATTTAGGCCAACTGCTATGGTGCAGTACCCTTCTGAGGACTCTCCTTGATGCTCCATATATCATATAAAAAGGCCTTTCACTCTGGCTGGTAGAAACATAAACTCTTCTCAGCCTTGTGCTGTCTCTGAGTTGTTTGGTCTACTTTCTGGCAATTCTTTCCCCAGCCTCAAGTAGTTTGCTGTACACATGTGACAGATTAGTAGCCAAAGACTCATGGGAACTCCTCTGCAGATCCTGTAGCTTATTTTCTGCATACTCCCCTCATCTCTCCAGTATTCTTTCCTGAAAATAAGGCTACATTGGCCTCCCCGAAGTGCAATCTTTGTCTTTTCAACTCAGAGAACGTTGGGCTCTGTTGTGTTTCCTCTACCTGGTCTACTGGTCTGGAAACTGCCTCTAGACAGTAAGACAGAGCAATTCTACAGCTCACCTAATCTGTTTCCATACTTTCAGGGGTCATAGACCTGTGCTGCCCATCACCCAGTGTATGAAAACTATTGTTTCGTATATTTTATCTAGTTTCTAGATGTTTAATATGGGAGAATAAATCTGGTCCTATTATTTCTTGTTGCTAGAATGCATTATGATTTTTAAAAGGTTTTTTAGGATAAAACCTTTGAAATTTATATATATATATTTAGTAATGTGAATTCAACAACATTGTATTCAAGAAGGCCTTTGCAAGGAAGATATACTAGAAGATCATTCCAAATAATGAAAGTGTCGGATGATAAAGCATTATATTAAAATGTGATAGGAATGGAGAAGAGAGAGCATATCTAAAAAATATTCTTCAAGGAAAAATGGACAGAATTTGGGAACTGCTTGATATGTGGGATATAAGTGGGGAAGAAGTCACAGATGACTTTAAGGACATTAGTGGAACAGTGAAACAATTAAAAGGGGAGAGTTAAAAATTGTTAAATTCTTTTCATTCTTTTATATTACATATCATAGGACATGGTGACAGAAATGTATTCTGGCCCTTGTGTAGCAATGGAGATTCAACAGAATAATGCTACAAAGACATTTCGAGAATTTTGTGGACCTGCTGATCCTGTAAGTTATTGTTTAAAATATTATCCTAGTTTGTGTTATCTATTCACTATTTTAACAGGTTTAAAATTTTTCGTTTGTTCCTTTAAGTAAATAATGTAAAAATGAATATAATATACAAAGTTTTAATTCAAAATGGCACTTCATAAAATTTATTTTTACATAACATTCCAAGAAAGATAATTTTTTTTGTTAACTTAGTGACAATATAGAATAGGCAGAAGCATTTACTATCGCATTTTCTTTTTTTCTTTCTTCTTGCTAAATTGTCCAGGTAAATACATTTTGCAAGCTTCATAATAGAAATTATCTAAGGTATTATATATCCTTTGACATAGGGGGGCCATAAATAAAGCTTTTATAATACAGTGGCAACATACCAATACATAAATAAATATGGGCAATAAGACTTATGTGAAATTTGGTATTCACTAGTATACCTTTCAGTTTGCTTTGGGTTTTCTTCCTAAAGCAAACTACTTTTTCTTGGACATTTAACAGTGCATGTATGTATGTGTGTATAGGTGTAGGGGGGTGACAAGTAGAAGTAGCATTAGAACGCTATGATAAAGCTCTATGCAAATATTAGAAACTTGATAGGATTATGGGAAGTATTAATGATTTAAATACTAACCTTAATGTAAATGTACTGTTTCCTGTATTTTACTATTATTTATAAGTAGTTTATTGAAGATGAGCAGCCAATTCAATTTAATTTTATTCAGGGCATTGTTTATTATTTTTAATTTTTTTTTTTTTTAGATGGAGTCTCACTCTGTTGCCCAGTGTAGAGTGCAGCGGTGCAATCTCGGCTCACTGCAACCTCCACCTCCCGGGCTCTAGTGATTCTCCTGCCTCAGCCATCTGAGTAGCTGGGACTACAGGTGTGTGCCACCCCGCCTGGCTAATCTTTTGTATTTTTAGTAGAGACAGGGTTTTATCCTGTTGGCCAGGCTGGTCTTGAACTCCTGACCTCAGGTGATCAGCCTGTCTCGGCCTCCCAAAGTGTTGAGATTACAGGCATGAGCCGCTATGCCCGGCCATTTATTGAACACCCTTAGATGTAAGACAATAAATCCACAGCATCTATTAAGAAATCATCTTGTGTCAAAGTGCTGCTAGATTAAGCCCAGTAGGGGAGAACAACACTCCTGTTGTCAGTGATCTAAAAGTATATACATAAAGATCTTTTAGAACATTTACAGTGCCACATGCAAATAAGGATATTGTTATTTCAGTAAAATCCAAATGTTGGATTGTGTAGCAACAGAGCAGTTAATATGACCTGAAAGTAGTTAAGAAAACTTAAAGGAAGAGAGATATAAGCAGGGGTATGAAAGACAAATTAGGGCACAAAGAGAATGAGAAAAGATCTAAAGCATGTGCAAAAACACCAATGAAGGAATTTGCAAATTTACTGTGGTATACAGCAAGAATATTTTCTTGACTTCAGTGGGAAATACATAGCTGGAAGCACAAGGAAATACATTTTCTTAGATAGAGGAAATATGGTAGAGAATTCTGGTAGAGATGGGTGTGATTTTAGCCTTAGAAGCCAGGATAAAAATTGTAATTCTATTTAATTTGAATCCCATATCATAGGAAATTGGAATTCCTTGTATGCAGCTTAATTTTGACTATACTGAATTGTTACTTTGATGCAACTAGGTCAAACTAAATTGGAAGAGATTAAAGTCAGAGGCTCTAGAAATAGAAAGAGACAGACCTGATGACATCAATAGAGAAAGTCGGCAGGACCTCCTTTATATCTTTTCAGGGAGAAAGAATAGATACTTAAATAACACATGTGGTTGTGATAGAGTAATGATTACAAGGTGACTCTGTTGCAAAGGCCATTGAGAGAAATTGGTAATGATGCTGTTTATTGAAAATTAATTATAATAAATTAGGAAGGGATTGCTTTTTGGCTAGATGAGTAAAGGTAACAGTTTTTGCCATTTTTAACATTTTAAATTTCTGATTTCTGTTTGATGGGCAAGAGGGGTTTTTGTACTTTTTTTTTTTTTTTTTTTTTTTGAGACGGAGTCTCGCTCTGTCGCCCAGGCCGGACTGCGGACTGCAGTGGCGCAATCTCGGCTCACTGCAAGCTCCGCTTCCCGGGTTCACGCCATTCTCCTGCCTCAGCCTCCCGAGTAGCTGGGACTACAGGCGCCCGCCACTGCGCCCGGCTAATTTTTTGTATTTTTAGTAGAGACGGGGTTTCACCTTGTTAGCCAGGATGGTCTCGATCTCCTGACCTCATGATCCACCCGCCTCGGCCTCCCAAAGTGCTGGGATTACAGGCGTGAGCCACCGTGCCCGGCCTGTACTTTTTTTTAAGGTAAGTAAAACTGTGAGTGATCAGCTTGACCTAACAAACAGAAGTAAATTAAAGAGATAAAAACTAAAACAAAAAAGGAAAGAAATAAGATGATTCATTCTTTTGTTCTCTCATTTATTCAATAAATATTTATTGAGCCCATGTCAGTATTTGTGAATATATAGAAGCCCAGGCTGGGCATGGTAGCACACACCTGTAATCCCAGCATTTTGGGAGGATAAGGCAGGAAGATTGCTTGAGGCCAGGAGTTGGAGACCTGCCTTGGCAATATAGTGAGACCCTATTGCTATAAAATTACACGTATATATGTGTGTGTGTGTGTGTGTGTGTGTGTGTGTATACACACATAATTATATATTTTTTTCTATCTTTATTTTTGTTATATATATATATTATGTAATAAAGTTGATATAATATAAGCCTCAAAGATCTTAGCCTGTGAGTAAACAACTGTAAGTGGCTAATTTCCATGCAATATGGCAATTGCATTGTTAGATATTTGCGGGTACTCTAGGAACCCAGAAATATAGCACTTAGCTCAGCCTGGGAATGTGTGACACAGTGGTTTGAATGTGTCCACGAAAAGTTCATGTGTTGGAAACTTAATCCCCATGTGTATATGTTGATGGTATTTGGAAGTGGGGCCTTTGGGAGGTAATAGGATTAGATAAGGTCATCATGGTGAGGCCCACATGGTGAGACTAGTGGCTTTATGAGAAGAGGAAGGGAGACCTGAGCTGACATGCACACTCTTGCCCTATCACCATGTGATATCATGCATCATGTTATGACACAGTAAGGTCTTCACCAAATGCTAGTGCCGTGCTCTCAGACCTTCCAGCCTTCAGAACTTAGTTATTTCTTACAGAAATAACTTTTAAAAAATATTTTCAAATGCTCTCACCCAGCAGAAATACATTTATTTTCTCCATAAATTGCCTAGTCTCAGATATTGTAGCAAAAGAAAATGGACTAAGATATGTGACAAATGTCAGGGGAGACATGGCTTCTGAGCTGAATTGTAAGGAATTAGAACTTATCTTAGTGATGAAGGTGGCAAATGATATGGTTAAAGTTTTGAATGCCTAAAACAACAACACTTTGGGGCTACAGCAAGCTCTTTATTACTGCTGGAACTAATGTTCAGCGCAAGGAATGATAAAGGATGGGGTCATTCGGGAGGAGCTGGGGAGTGAGCAGGTTCACGATCATAGAAAGAAGAGTCTCGAAAAGAAAACAATGCTGATTCCCATTTTTTTTCTAAGTATTTATTCAAGGAACATTTACTGAGTGAATAGTATGTGCAAGGCTCACTCCTGGGTCCTATTGCTGGGGCATAAAAAAGATGACTAGAATACGTTATATTTCCTTAAGGACCTCGTAACCTCATGATAGCTCAATCTTGAAACTCTTTCAGGGCCCTGAATCTTGTCTCATTAAGTATGGATGGCATTACTCTACTGTGTTTTTTTGGTTCATTTTAGTTGTCTATAAGTTCCTCATAGCATTATAGAAAGTTGCACCACAGGGATTTTAAAATTTGGAACTGATTTAACGTGTAAAATGTTAACAGTGGTTATCTTTAGGAGGTGGAAATATGATAATGTTTCAGTTCTGTTTTCCTATATTTTGCAAAATTTCTTTAAAGTACTTATATTACTTTTATAATAACAAAAATACTTTTTATCTTAAAACCTGAAAGTTAATGAACTTTTGAATGAGGAGGCATATACTTCTAAGAACTGATTATCTTGTGTCTCAGACTCCTGAGTTACATTCTGTTTCTAAGTGGAGATCCAGGATGTCAGGCAGGACTGTATGCCTTTGATGGGGGTTTTCAAATCAGAAGAAATACTATAGTAGTTACAATCAAGCTATGTTTTGAGGACAATAAAATGGCTCTTTCCCTTTGGTCTCAGAATTTCAAAATCCATTTGATTCCTTTTCTCCATTCTTTTCTTTCCCCCTTTTCTCTCCACCTCGCCAACAAATGGATATTGAATGCTTACTGCATGCCAGTAACTGCTAGGTGCTACTAAGTTTATATTAATGATCAAACCAATACAGGTTTGTTTTTTGAAGAATGTATGATCTAGCTCTAGGAAGAGATAGAATTGATAATTAAATAGTAATCTCACCTTAAAGTGCAGATGTGCCAGTCTATTCATGTATTATATTATCTTAAAATAATTTAGAAATTCATTTCTTCATTGCCTAGTCACTCCCATATCTAAAGAAAGACCCTTGGTGATGAGATGTGCAAATATAATTAGTGCTTGGAAGATGGCCAGGTACCTAATGGCCATGCAATAAATATTTGATGAACTAATGAATAAACTGGCTATATTATATATATATACCTAACACCTGGTACTAACTTATTATTTAAATATTTTTTCTATCGAAATGGGTCCTGCTTCTTACAAATTATTTTCTAAGATATAGAGCTATTTTATAAAGTGATTCACAAGAAAGTTCAGCCTAACAGTGACCATTAAATCAGTTTGTAACTATATATGTTGCAGATTGACATGATTTCATCATTGATGTCTGTGCTTTTGGCATATTCTTCCCCTTCCAGTTCTTATAGCTGGAAGGAATGCTCATTATGTATTAACAAAATTTTTTTCGGTCTCTCTAGAAGTGGTGTCCAAAGAGGAGAGGGTGCACAAGACAATTCATTAGGGAGGGGGGAAATATTAGACTTGCAATTTCTATTTACTATCTACAAAGTAATAATGAGATTAAGTTTTAATAAAATATAATGTGTGGACTGATAAGACTGCATTTCTATAATTTATTTAAAATATCTGCTTAAAGCCCTGCAGTGGCTCCCTATTACCTTCCATAGGAAGGCTTTCAAAGTCCTCCATGAAACAGCCATTCCTACTTCTAGCCTCATTTCTTGCTGCATTTTGTGCCTTTCCTCTGTCCTCTGCATTTGCACTTTACCCTCCACTAACGTCAAACTGGACCGAGCAGGGTGGTTCCACCTGTTATCCCAGCACTTTGGAAGGCTGAGGTAGGCAGATCACTTGAGGTCAGGAGTTCAAGATCAGCCTGGCCAACATGGCGAAACCCCATCTCTGCTAAAAGCATAAAAATTAGCCAGGCATGGTGGCGGGCACCTGTAATCCTAACTACTCAGGAGGCAGAGGCAGGAGAATTGCTTGAACCCGGGAGGTGGAGGTTGCAGTGAGCTGAGATTGCACCACTGCACTCCAGCTTGGACAAAAAAGTGATACTCTCTCTGTCTAAAGAAAAAAAAATTATATATTATATCACACTATTTATTCTTCCTTAATAAACCAGTGTCTTTCTTCTTTCTTCTGTTTCTATATCCTTCTCTTATTGTCTTATTGACAGAGAAACTTCCTCAGCTATTGAAACTTTGCCCAAGCACCTGAGAATTAAATATTGGTCCCACCACCCTCAGACAGAATGGCTACTTCCTCTTTTGTGGCCTTATTTTACCCTATATATACTATTTTTATATCACCTGTTAAATTTTACTGTACTTATTTATTTACCGTCTGTCTACTTCCTGAAATTGTTCCCCAAGATCATGTTTTATTCATCTTAGTATTTCTAGCATGTAGCAGAGTACCTCGAATGTGGAAAACACTTGATAAATAGTTGATGGTGGAACAAATGAATGGAAGAATACATCTAGAGTCATGTACTGGACAAATGAATAGATTTTTCGAAATAGAATATGGTCCTATTAAAGAAAAAAAGTCCAGGATTTCCCCCAGACTTTTGAATTTGCCTTGTTTTCACCACTCATATTGTAGTATGACATGATATGTAAAATATTACAGATCTGTTAAATATATATGTATAAATGTGTGTATATATGTATATATTCATATATATACATATATGAATATCCAAAATCTATTAAACAGGAAATCTCAGAAGAAGAGAGCATCCACACCTGAAGACAGCTTAGCGTAAGATGAGGAAGGTTCAGACTTGGAAAGACAACCTAGTATGGGGTTTTAGAGCCCAGGTGGGGTAAGCATGGTTTCCCTGTAGAAGGAATGGCCTGGCATAGGGTGCCCGATCTTATGCACAGAGAGGAGGGCCTGTGATCCTGGGGAGCAGCCTGGCATGGGGAGTCAGAACCTGAGTGAGGTGAAGAGAGCATTCACACTTGGAGGCAGCCCAGTGCCAGATGGGCATTGATACAGAAGGGAGATCTGGCCTGGTGTGTCAGAGCCTGATTGGCATGACCAAGGCATCCAGGTGAGAGGCATCGCCTGGGTCAGGATATTGAAGCCTGTGTGAGATGAGAAGAGCATCTTCATGGGGAATAGATGATGACAGATATGGGAGGTTGGTTATATGTGGTAGAATTCATCAAATAACTAGATAAATTAAAGACAATAGGAGCCAGATTTCTCTCAGAGGAGAGATATACAAATACAGAAAATGAGAAAACTGCAATGAACTTTGTGTTCGAATTGAAATTGGAGATATGATATGAAGGCATGGCTTTCAATATACACAGATTAAATGTAGAAATAAAAGATATAAATGTGTGTATGTGTACACACTCAGAAAAATACATCTCTCTCTCTCTCTCTCTCTATATATATATATGCATGTATTCCCATACACATATTCCATAGCAAAGAACATACCTAGTTTCCAGATCTTGACTTCTAAATACCATTCTTCACTCTACGAAATGAAGATCCTCAGAGAAGTGAAATGGCAAATTCCAGAACTAGGGGAAGCAAAATACAATATGATCTTGGAAAATCTTTTTATGCCAAAGTAATGGTGACATATCAATAGGACACAGAAGCCAGCTTGAAGGGGTTCCACTAGTTGAATCGAAACCAATTTGAGCATCTAAGTAAATCATGATAGCAACACGTTATAATCTATTCATTGTTACTAAAATAGGAAACCAAGACTTTAGACAAATAGTAATTAATTAATCAAAATTTTGTTTAAAATGGGATATATATAGTTTCAAAATCCCTTCCCACAAAATATTTATTAATTAAAAAAAAACCCTTAACATTATAGTTAATAATGTTAACATAGGCTGGCAGACAATAAGAAATATTAAAAAAATGTAGTGATAAAAGTGAATATCATAGATTGGAGGAAAATTAAATCATATACCACAAGATAGGATGAAATAAAAAGAATGTAACATTATTTCTGTGATATTCCTGCCAAATATTTATAACTGAATTCAATTATACAGAAATATGACATGCCCATGGCCTCTAATCTTTAGAAATATAAAGGTCACAAAGTTGAATAAAGACTGAGGAACTGTTCAGGACTGAAAAACACTGAAGAGACATGATATCTAAATGCAGCATGTGATTCCAAGTCAGGATACTTTGGCCATAAATGACATTATTGAGATAATTAGTGAAACCTCACCAGGGTCTAAGTATGAAGACTGTATTGTGGTTATATAGGAGGCTGTAGTTGTTGGTAAGAAATATAAACTAAAATATTTGGAGGTAGTGGAGCATCAGATTAGCAACTTATTTTTGAACGATTCATAGCAAAAACAAATTATCTGTAGTCTATTAGTAACTTTTCTATAAATTTACAGTTCTTTCAAAATAAAACTTAAAATGTCAAGTTTTTACAACTCAAAAATAAGTAAATAAATAAAATGTCATTGTCTGTGAAGTCAAGGCCAGCTCCACTGAAAATGTGAAAGAAATAGATTATATTGTTTAGCTCCTTCCTCTCCTCGCCATAGTCCTGAGGTCTCAGCCCGGGGTTCCTCTATTGTCTTAACAGAACAAAGTCTCTAAGCAGGTCTGGTCAATTTGGTCACACTGAGACACAAATTACTATTCAGAATCAATATATTACCATTTCCTTGGGGTTTTTTCCTTTTCCTTTACTTTTTAAACAGATTTCATTATTTTTATTTTAAAAGAAAATTTCAACTTTGGAATTTTAGTTTCCAGGAAGCTAAGAAAAGCTGACTTACAGGACTTCATAGTTGCCCTTCAATCATTCATGCATTCATAAATGTTTGAGTGCCTACTGTGTGCCAGGCAGTATTCTAGGCACCAAGGATACACCAGTGAACAAAACAAATGAGAAAGTGAGAGAGACAGAGAGATAAAATCTCCTCACAGGGCACCAAGCTTACATTCTAGTTGGAGACAGATAATAAACAAATAAAAAATAGAATACATAGTATTTCATATGATGGAAAATGAAGAAAGGAAGCAACCTGAGTTAAGGAAGTGTAGATAGGATTTGATTATAAGTTGGAGTCATCAGAGAAGGGCTCACTAAGAAAGTGATATTTAAGAAAACATTTAGCTAGGGACAGTGGCTCATGCTTGTAATCCCAGCACTTTGGAAGGTTGAGGTGGGAGGATTGTTTGAGGGCAGGAGTTCAAGACTAGCCTGGTCAATATAGCAAGACCCTGTCTCTATTTAAAAACAAACAAACAAACAAAAATAAAACAAACAAACAACAACAACAGACCAGACTGGGCAACAAGGTAAAACCTCATCTCTACAAAAAATACAAAAGTTGCCAGGCATGGTGGCACATGCCTGTAATAGGTTAAGGCTGCAGTGAGCCATGATCGCACCACTGCACTCCAGCCTGACTGACAGAGTGAGACTCTGTCTCAAAAAAATTTGGGTGTGTGCACATGTGTGTTCAAGTTTATGTGTATATAAATATATATAAATATATTTATATATTCTACTGGCACATATACTACCTGGCACACAGTATATAGGTATACAAATATATTTCCATATATTTGTATGCATATAAAGACTTGAATATGTATAAATATATGTAAACATATATACATATAAAGCTCTTGAAAAAGCCAGCCATGCTGATTTCTCAGTGAAGAGCATCCTAGGCAGAAGGAACAGCCAGTGCAAAGGCCTTGGGAGAGGAGCTTGCTTGAGGTAATCTAGAAACACCATGTAATGAGCAAGGTAGAAGATAAGGTCAGAGAGATGAGGGACAGGGCAGATCTCATAGGTCCTCATAATGACTTTAGCTTTTACTCTAACTGGGACCATAAGTTATTGAAGAGTTTGGAGAGAAGAGTGACATAATTTGATTTTAAAAGAATCATTGTTACTAGTGTATTGAGAATAGTCTAAAGACAAGAGTGGAAGTTATAATCCAGGTACAAGATGATGGTGAGTTGGACCAGGATGGTGGTAATAGACATGGTGAGAAATAGTCGGGTGTTATTTACCATGTGTTTACCTTTTTTCTCTTTATCTTAAGTGGATGAGTAGATGAAGGTTAAATTGATGAAATAGAAAAAGGGAAATGGAAGAATCCTTAGTTCTACGGAGTAGAAATGGAATAAAACAGAGTTCTCTCTACTCTATTATGATTTTATCTCACTCTATTGATGAGAAAATGGAAGGTGAATTCATATTCCTGCCTGTCAATTTAGTACATAACAACGCTTAGAGAAGGCATTTATACCTAACCAGAGATAACAGGCATATCCACAGATTAACATGTGCCAAGCATTTCTATTACTAGTTTATAGTAAAAGAAACATTTTTCTTAGGTAATCAACTTAATTTATTTTATAAGCATTTTGTTAACTTTAGCAAATGTAAAAATAATTTAAAAATACATTTTCAGGAAAGTATTAAGTGGTTTAAATGCATTTTAACATAAGAAAATTGAAAGTAATCCAAGTACAGTGAGTATATATAAAAAAAGTTATGTGTTAGTAATTTATTTTCTTTGAAGTGATTTGCATGCAATAACTTGTAATACCTATTAAGTGATTCAGTGATTACAAAATAATCCTGGAGAAAATGATCATGTGTTTAATGAAGAAACATTTGTCTAACCGAGAAAAAGAAAGAAAACCCTCATCTCAATGTCGTATATTAGTTGGATGACCAACACCGTTCCCAATTTGGCCAGGACTGTCACAGGTTTCACACTGAAAGACCAGCATCCTGAGAAATCCCCCAATCCCAGGAAAAGTGGGATGGTTAATCACTCTAAATAATTTACCTTTTAATTGTATACCTCTTAAAATTGAACTGTAATAAAGTTTATTTATATTCACTTATAATTTTTAAATAGATGTTATATTAAGTTATAAAAGCTTAGAAGTACAGTTAAACTACTTCCACCCACATCCACAAAAGGTCAATTAGATTTATTTTTTAATTAACTTTTCATTTGCTTTATAAGTTATCCTTTCATTGGAATTATTTACAGGTAGAGGTATTAAGTACAGGCCCACTTCTCAAAACAACATATGGGTTGAAAGCTAAAGTATAGAGGTTGGGGAAAACATGCGTAACTGAAATGTAAGTCCGTGTTCAAACTCATGATTTGTGAAAATCTTTCATGAAGGAGGCAAACCAAAATGATAAAAAAATGAGGAAAAAGCTGTCTTGGAAGGTCTCCTTAGCCTTCCTTCCATCAAGTTTCTGTAGCTTCTTCATCATATAAGGTATATTGGAACGCATTTCAGAATAGGAGATTTAGAGTAAATATTTATTTATTTCAACTGTCATTATCTATTCATAAATTCAGGCATTTATTAAACACTTGCTATGAACCTGATATCATGTTTATTTATTGGGGATTCAAAGAGGAGTTGAGACCCTTAAGAAGCTCTCAGTATACTGGGAGAATCAGACAAATAAATTGCAATAATGTATTGTAGGCTGGGTACAGTGACACATACCTATAGTCCCAGCTACTTTAGATGCTGAGGTGTAAGGATCACTTGAGCTCAGGAGCTCGAGACTAGCCTGGGCAACACAGTGAGATCCTATCTCAAGTCATAATAATTATAAGATATGATAAAGGTTATCTTAGTGAGAAGTACAGAATGCTCAGGAAATACAGCCATCCTCTGGTATCTTGGGGGCTTGGTTCCAGTACCCCCTCAGACACCAAAATCTGCGCATAGTTAAGTCCCTTATATAAAATGGTATAGTATTTGCGTGGAACCTATTCACATCCAGATTACTATTACTACTTAATACAATGCCTACACATCACTTAATTTGTGTGGATTCAATGTAGTACTTAGCACATGGCAAATTCAAGTTTTGCTTTTTGCAACTTTGTACAATTTTTTTATTTTTCCAAATATTTTTGATCCGTGGTTGGTTGACTTTGCAGATGCATTAACTCATGGATATGGAGGACTGATTTTACTCTGAAGGAACCCAACCCAGTCTGTGTTGAGTGGGGTGGGGCTGAGGCCTAGGGAATAGGCTATTCAGAAAAGGCTTCCCTGAGGAAATGATGCCTGGAGCTATAATTTAAAGAAGGAGTTAAATTTGGCTTGGCAAAGAAGGAAAGTTCCAGAGAAATGAAGAGCTCCTACTTATAGGAAATTAAAGCTCCTCCCATCTGCCTTCAAGTTTCCCTAAGGAAAGTCTGGATCTTCAGCAAGAAGTTTCACCCTTATAGGAGAAAAAGTTGTATTTAAGATCCAGGGCATTTATCTTAAGGATGGAGTTGCATTCAAAAGTGGTATCTCACGTCATCTGAAATCTTAGTCTCTTATTTTTGTGTTTTTTCCTACTTCCAGTGGAATTAATGATAAACACTGAGATTACTTCTAATGGGAATGGGTATTCTCTGCAAAGGATTTTTCCTCTTTCCCAGGGCTACTGTAGATGAAGACTTTTGGCAGGCTGCATTGATTGGCATTGGGCTATATTACTAAAAAAAAAAAAAAAAAAAAAAAATTCAAAATTGGAAAAATTTTTTAAATGCCTTAACAGGAAATACTATTATTTTTTCTTTGCTTTGCTTTGTTTGTTTGTTTTTCTGTTTTTCTGAGACAGGGTTTTGGTCTATCACCCAGGCTGGACTGCAGTGGCAGCCTGAATCTCCCCATCTCAAGCAATCCTCCCATCTCAGCATCCCGAGTAGCTGGGACTATAGGCATGTGCTACATGGCTGGCTAAGTTTTAAAATATTTTGTAGAGAGGAGGTACCACCATGTTGCCCAGGCTGGTCTCCTGAGTTCAAGTGATCCTCCTGCCTCAGTATCCGGTGTGCTAGGATTACAAGCATGAGTCACTGCACCTGGTCCAGTAGTTCTTTTCAAGCAGGAAAAGTTTTGTATAGAGAAATGTAGGCAAAGTCATTTAGGATACAGAGGGAAGTAGGTGAGGCTCTAGGGGAATAAGTTGTACTACGGTAAGAAACTAAAAGTGTAGCTAAACTGTTCTACATAAGAAATAAAAGGGAAAAAAGCAGTTAAGCCACCAGCAGAGGCTGAGCCTGGGGAAAGAGAATTTAGCATCTGGGTGGGTGAAGGAATTTTCAGAACATAATTTCTAAAATTTAAGTCTGAGATATTTGTGTTTCTGGGGCATAAATCCTCTATATCCCAAAACTTAAGGAAATTTAGTACATATTAAAGCTTTGGGTGGTGGTGGTGTGGGTAGAAAAGGGAAGTATAAATGTGTAACACATTTACCACTACTGCTGGTGCCTAGAGGAAGGAGTGGCATCATATTGAAAAGCATAGTGCAGCTTATAGTGCTGCTTTAAGCTGTGGCAGGTGAGGAAGTAAACAGTGAAGCCGCAACCAGCACAAAAAGGCTACACCATGCAATTGATTCAAATGTACGTAACAGTCTTGTTTTCCTAAATATATCAAAGGGGAGAAGGCAATGGGGTAAATACTTTTCCTTTCTTTGACGTTTTTCTTATATGACTTTTTATCCTACTGTTGTGTTAAGTTCTGAGACTAAAGGAATACAATGGAAGGGGGGCTGCAAATAGAACAGATTTTACAATTTGGATAGTTTTCAGTCAGCACTATCCAATACGAATGTAATACAAGCTACATATAATGTAATACATTTGAAATTTTCTAGTAGCCACATCAAAGAGAAACAGATGGCATTAATTTTAACAATATAGTTAATTTAATATATCCAAAATATTTTAAGGATATAATCAATACAAAAATTATTAATGGAATATTTTATAATCTTTTTCCTTTTTTGCACTAAACCTTTGAAGTCTGTCATGCATTTTACACTTGGAGTGCATCCCAATTCTAACTAGCCAAATATCAAATGCTTAATAGCCACATGTGGCTACCATATTGGACAGTGAAAGTCGAGACCATTTCAACAGACATTGCTTAGGAATATAGAAGTCTTCTCCATTATTTGTTATTATTGGAGTGCTATACTTGGGTTTGTTGTCAGAATAAACAATAAAGTATAATATTGCTTAGTTTTGATTTCTTTGCATATATTTCTCTCTGGTTTATTATTTTCAACTTTATTGACAAAATTGACAAATATAACTATAAAAATTTAAGGTGTACAAATGATGATTTGATATACATATATTGTGAAATGGTTATCACAGTCAAGTTATTTAGTACATCCATCACCTCACAGTTACAACTTTTGTGTATGTGGTGAGGACATTGAAGAGCTACTCTCTACAAAAACAAAAACAAAAAAAATCTGTTATTCTTCTGCTTTTATATCACAACAGTCAACAGAAAAGACCTCTGTGACTTTTGGTCACCAAGAAGTGTGTGGGGATTTTTCCCTACCAACAACCAATCAATTCTGTAGCGGATTCTTCAACAGACACTAGCTAGTTGCCCTCTAATTCAATTCAATTCTTACATTATCTACCTAGAGATCCCATAGGTTGAGGGTTCAATTCCACAAGACTGCCCCCACTTCCTGTGCTAATTGCAATTCCCAGATTGTTTTGCTTGTGCTTTTACTGACTTGCTATAAATAAATTGGAGTTTCCACAACCCCCACTTTGAGTTTGATTAATTTGCTAGAGCAACTCACAGAACTAAGGGAAACACGTTTACTGCTTTATTATAAAGGATATTACAAAGGATATAAAGATGCAAAGGAAATGTATAAGAAGGGGTGTGGAGTTTCCATGCTGTCTCTGGGTGCACCACCCTTTAGGGACTTTCATTTGCTCAGCTATCTGGAAGCTCTCTGAACCCTGTCCTTTTGTATTTTTATGAAAGTCTCATTTCATAGTCATGGTTGGTTAAATTATTGGCCACTGATGATTGGCTTTAACCTTCAGCTTCTCTTCCCTCCCGAAAAGTTAGGAAGTAGAGCTGAAAGTCCCTTCTGATCATACATTGATCTTTCTGGTGAACAGCTCTCATTCTGAAGCTACCTGGGTGGTGTCAGCCATCAGTAAACTCATTAGCATACAAAAAGGTACTTATCACTTTGAAGATTCCAAAGATTCTAGGAGTTGTATCCCAGGACTAAGACCAAATGTGTTTAGACAAAGATCAAATGTATATTTCACAATATCACAACTCTTTTAGCAAATTTCAGGTACAGTATGTATGCTCTACTTTAGATTCCCAGAAGTTAGAACTTTTTTATCTTATACCTGAAAGTTTATACCCTTGACCATCATCTCTCCATTTCTTCCATCTGCCAAGCCCTGGCAACTACTATTCTACTCTCAATTTCTATGAATTTGACTTGTTTAGATTGCACACATAGGTGAGATCATTTAGTACTTGTCTTTCTCTGACTTATTTCACTTAGCATAGTGTCCTCCATGTTCATATTGTCACAAATGGCAGGATTTCCTTCTTTTTATGATTTAATAATATTCTCTTGTATATGTATACCACATTTTCTTTAACCATTCATCACTTATCCATTCATCTGCCTTAGCCTACCTTTAAAACTAACTGTTTTCTGGCTTCCCAGGTGGGCCTTGCTTTCTAAAGCTCAAATAAGATGCTAAGCTAGTATTTAGCAACCTTGAAAAAATGAGTCACCTCTCCTTTTTTTTTTGTTTCATTTTGACATTAGTACCTGTCACTTCTCTTTACAACAAAATAAATAATAATAGAGGTAGGAGGCAGAGAAACTCTAGGCAGACAGGGGTGAGTCCCTGGTGAAGCCTCACCTTCAAGCCAAAAAACCTGAAACCCGTGGCCCAAAGTGAGAACTTCTATCCCTATTTGCCTGGTCTTTCCTGATTGGTTCTTTCTGAATAATGTCTTTTTACAAATTGAATGTTGCCTTTTTCAAAACTACCTATGGCTTACCCTGCCCCCCATCCTGTGCCTATAAAGACCCCAGACTCAGCCAGTAGAGGGGAGAAGCAGCTGGATATCTAGAAGAGGTGAGTTGACTTCAGAGATGATGGCTGGATGTCAGAAGGAGGCAGCTTGACTTCAAGGAGAGAGGGAGAGAGGCAACCTGACTTCAGGGGAGAGATCTGCCCTTCCCTTCCCCTCCAGCTCCCCTTTCCACTGAGAGCTACTTTCATTGCTCAGTGAAATTATCCGCATTCACCATCCTTCAATTCATTTGTGTGACTTCATTCTTCTTGGGCACCAGACAAGAATTCGGGGCCCACCAAGTGTGAATACCCAAAAAGGCTGTCACACTGGCCCTTTGCCCTCACTGGCGGAGGGCAGCTGCCCCACATAAGGCAAAGGGCCCACTGAGCTGGTAACACACTGCTGTCCACAGGTGGTGGAGCTAAGAGAGCATTGTAACACACCCTCTGGGGTCTTGGCATTGCAGGCACCCCCACTTGGATGCTGCCACAGGGCCTGCATGGAGTTTGCTTCTGCCGGTGCCAAAGTGGCCAGCTGGTTCCTGCATTTGCTCACCTACGCATGCCCTCCCACAAGGCATTGAGCATGGCAGGCTGAGTAAATGGGGCACCGCTGTCATGGGTCTCATGAAGGGATCAAGAAAATATCCTGCATTATCAATACCTTTGTTTCTTGACATGGTCCTGGAGAAAGTTACAAAGCCTTTTTCTTTTCTCTTTCCTCTCTTTTTAAATAAAGTTATCCTAAGAAGCAAATTATACCAGATGTTTAGTGTCTTCTAGTCAGAAAATGTTTGATGTTCTTATGAGAATTTAACAATAACTTGGACCTATTATCATTTTTTGAAATGGCAAAAATTCAAACAAAAGCCTTCATGGTTTTGAAATCAATAAAGGAACTCAGGGGACTCAGAAGAGCCACACGGGTTCTATAGTCATGTTTCAAACAAGGCTGTTCCCTTCTTTTCTTCAGCAGGCTCAGAGAGCAGGTTAGGAAAGGAAAGACCAGTCTTTTCAAAGGGGCTAACAATGGAGATCAATATTGAGACTTTTTTCTTGGATGTCTACTCATCTAATTTTAATCCATGATATAAGCTCCCTTTCCAAACCACTTGCTTCTAACATGTCTTCCTACGTTTTATCTTGAAGAGCACTTTCTCATTCTTTATACTTGGTTTGTCCCCTAAACTACAAAGCCTGAAGAGGACTAAGGTTTTCCTTTCTCATAATTCACTTTTGAAATTCCAAGATCAGTATAATTAACTGTATAGATCTTCAAAAGATATGCTTGTACATACTAGAAAGCTTACTGCTGTGGACATCTGTGGGCTCATTACCACCAATCAATATGTATTACAAAGAGAATGAATGTATAGCACTGGGTAATCTGGAGCACCTATTAACTGGAAATTAGCTTAACAAGCTTACACCCTGTATGTGTGTGTATGTTTGTGTGTATATATATATATATTTATTTATTTATTTTATTTTTATATTTTTTCCCAAGATTATTGTTTTTATGAGACAGCTCAACTGCTGTCTGACCAGGATGGGTCTCTTTTGGCCAGAGCTAAACACTGACCCAAATCTCTTTGGACAATCAACCAGCTAAAGACCAGGAAAATTTTTCAGTTCTTGTTCTCTTCCTTCCTTTAGCATTTGGCATGTTTAAAGATTAGTTGGTTATAATTCTGTACTTAAGAAAGACAAAAAAGAGAAAAAATTAATGGGGAGTGATACACAGGAAAGATGCCTATTTCATATATGTTCAGCCTTATTGATCAGGGAAATGCATATTAAAGGGGAATAATACAACTTTTTAAACCAGTGAGGTTGGCAAAATTTAAAAAAATAGATAAAATCCAGCATTGGCAACCATGTGGTGGAAGAGGTACTCGAGGCTGTAGTACTATGGGTGAGATTTTTTTTTTTACTCCTGTGCAGTTCATTCTCATTATTTACAGTAGTTAAGTTCTATAAAGTTACCATGAACACTGACTTGGTGAATACTGAACTATTGTTCCTAGGAGAAATACAGAGTTAGGTTCCTGTGAGCCTGTGGTCACAACAAATATATTAATGATCAATATATAACCTTGTTTTGTGTGTATTTCTGTTTAAAGACACTAAATAAATATCGTTGATCTAGTAACATTGAACTCATGGCCAGCATGACTGTAACTCATGCCTGAATGATGCCTGCATTACATATATATTTTCTTTATAAGGCACATCACAGCACTGTTATACTTAGGACTCTTGACAGCTCTTCGGCACTATGCTCAGGAACTGTTTTAAATAGTAAAGTCACCAACAGAAAATACAAAAATGCAAAAAATGTAACACCAAGTACACTGCAAAAAGGACACCTATAGCCAGGTATAGTGGCTCACACCTATAATCCCAGCAACTTGGGAGGATGAGGTGGGAGGATCACTTGAAGCCAGGAGTTTGAGACCAACTTGTGTAACATAGTGAGACCCTGTCTCTAAAAATATTTAAAACGAAAACAAAAACAAAAAAACCTTAGCTGGGCATGATGGCCTGTGCCTGTAGTCCTAGCTACTCAGTACTCAAGAGGCTAAGATGGAAGAATCACTTGAGCCCAGGACTTAAAGGCTGCAGTGGGCCATGACAGTACCACTACACTCCAGCTAGGGCAACAGAGCAAGACCTTGACTTAAAAAAAAAAAAAAAAAAAAGGACATTTGTTTTAAAGTGTGAAGTGTGAGAGTTAAAATAAGAAGGCAGAGAGTGTCACCTTGTTCACCCTCATTTGGGAGTACTCATGAGTACTCATTTGAGTGACTCAAATTTTTGCTGCTCTGCACATGTCTACCAATGGCCATACATGTGCTATTAATATTGATTTTGGGGTTACAAATAAATTTCAGTGAGTAGGTAAATTCACAAACATGGAATCCACAAACAGTGGGGATTGACTATATTTTCTATGTTTTTTAACAATGAATTTAAATGACTTTTTTAAAAGTATTTAATAGCAATTTATTAAATAATTTATTAAGTAAAGTTATTAAGTAAAACAAATTTATTAAGTAAATAGCAAAGTAAATAGCAACTAATTTTTAAAATAAATATTTTCATTTAATAAAATATTCTGGCTAAAGAAAAGAATTTCTCTTGAAGAGGAGGTGGCTGAAAGGGGTTTAATACAATTAGTAAAAATTACATACTAGAAAATACTTAGATTTCAGAATAACTGTGTGTCTTGGATTTCTTTTGCTTTGGTGTTAAATAATGCTCAATCCCCAAATTTGTTGAAAATAATTACTCTCTCTGTGAATATAAAAAGAAGAAACATTGCAACCTAGTAAGAGAGTAACAAACAGCAGTTGACATTAAACTACTGTATAAAACAATATTGTATCATATTTTTCTATGAAAATTAAAATTTTATTCAAATATAATAGTATTGAATCAACGGCAATCTTTTCCTGAAAAAGCAGAAGATGTAATTCAAATTTACAAGTCAGAGGTTTGGAATTTTATATATCCTTTTCTTGTAATGCGTGGATTTTTTAACTAAATTTTTTAAATGAAGATTTTTCTCTTTTCTGGTTGTTCCTGCCATTAAGTATCATAACTGGGATTCAAATCTTCACATTGTTGCTCTCAACTTCATGCCTTTAACCATTATATCATATTGTTTTATTACATGTTCGTGATCCTATCACAATATTACCAGGGCATAAAACATGTGCAAATCTAATGACTTTTGAAAATTAAATAGAAAAGTATTCTCTGTTAAGTTTTAAAAGTAGAGATTGCATAATATTTTTTCCAGGTGATTTAGCTGTAAGCTGATCCAAAAGCAACAAGATAGATGACAGTTTTTACCTTATATTTCCTATATCATGATTACTTGTATTATGGATAGAAAGTCAAAACCCAGAGAAACGTTAACTGATTGGATTAAAGGCAAAAAGAACTTTATACTATCTCAGCCTCCTAGGTATGACATACTGTAAATATAGGAACAAAATAATGTTTTCCCCTATAAAACCATTTAAACAGCATTTTTAACAGATACATGATAAATAGTGCTGTGGTAAATTATTTTACAAAAATGTTTATTATGTTTCCAGATTTATTTTAAATATTACTTCATCATATAGTTCACCAAATATGGTAATTGTATCCTCTCATACAGTCTTCCAAGCAAAACATTATGCTTTGATAAACTGGAATTTAAAAAAGAAAGGGAAAACATGAGATATGTTCTTTGATCTGAAAGAACTAATGATCTGGAGCTGAACTGGAGCTTGCAAAAGAAAAATTAAAAAAAAAAAGAGCTTATGATCTATATGAGGGATTCAATAGACTATGGTAGGAATATGATAGTCCCGTGACCTGGAATATACCTAAAAGTCTTATTTAATGTGGCCTGCAAACAAAGGGGAAGGAAGCCCCGATGAGGCCAGGGGAATGAAGCAGAAACGGGAGAGAACGACTGGGGCAGGGTAGCTGATAATTGTTCAGTGTGTGATTCTCTAGAGGTATTATATTGCCTCTGATTACAGAACCTCCTCCCCATCCCCTGCTTTCTTTTTTCCCCATTTTATTTGTGATTATGACGTAACTGGCAAATTTGTAGTAACTGTCATTTTGTAGTAACATATTGTTCTTGTTTTGGCACATTGCATTTACAGTGTACTCCTTTATTCTGATGGAGTGTGTGTGTGTGTGTGTATTTAAATATTATGAATGATTTGTTCTAGAGCATCTGAAACTACCACAGAAGGACTATCTAAACAACAAACTTAGAACATAGTTTCTAGATGAATACCAATGTTCCAACCCCCACGGGGCACCAACACATCTGATACAGAATTATTTTGCCACGATAATGTTTACTATTACCTCACTTAGGAACCAAGCATTGGGATGCTCTCTAGGTTCTAGGTTGACACATACATTTCTGGAATGGAGGCTTCAGTCTCAAGCAATAATTGGAATAATATCAACAATACTTTCATATATTCAGGCATATCTTCTAGTGTAGTGGAGAATATAGAAAAGTCTTAGGAATAAAACTCTCAGAGATTCCCTGTGGTATACAGACTTGGGTAAACTAGAAATAAATTTCACTTTAAGGGATTTTTGCCCTTTTACCTCCATTTTTGTTAGATTGAGATTTACTCAGTTTTATTTGACTAAAATTATTAAATACACTGTGGGTGTTGGGTATTGAGGACTGAGCATGATAGACATTGGCTCTGTCCACATGGAATTTATAGTCTAGTGAGGAATATTGTTATTAAACAAATGATTACATAGTTGTATATATTACAACTATGCCAAGTCTTTTAGAAGAATCTGATAATTGTGCAAGAAATTATATTAATAACAGGAGGCTCTAGCTTAGCTGAAGTAGAGGAATTCCTGAAAGATTTTCATTTATTCTGAAGCCTGTAGAGGCCCTAAATCTGGGGAGAACCTAGCATATTCTAGGAATTCAAGGAAGTCTAATTTGGCTCTAGCCTACAATGCAAAGAGGAAAGTAGCCTACAAGGTAACTAAAGAGATTGCTTAGGCCAGAGTATGAAGGCCACATTAACTAGTTTATATTTACTCTGAGTGCAACAGGAAGCTCCATGGAAAATTTAAATAAAGAATTAATGACATCTAGGTTGTATTTTTAAAAAGCTCTGTGGCTATGATGTGGAAAATTTGTTGGAGGAAAATAAAGGAAATCGGACTAGAAATAATGGGACCTTGGGCTTGGATGGTAACAGTGGAAGGTTTTGAAATATATTTTGGAAGGAGAACTGGAAGAACTTGGTAATTTGGACATGGGCACAAGCAAGTACATAGTTTATTTACTATAGATGAAGAAATTCTTGATAGAAATGTTTGTTTTATTTTGGAATATATACAGTAACAGTAATTAAAACACCAAAGCCTTTATTCATTGTTTCAATGTTTCTCTGGAGCTTTTCCAGAGATTTAAATATCACGTACATATAAATAGCTTTTACTCTCAAAAGCAGGAGGTAGAAATAGCAAAAATGCATGCAATCTTGAATTTAAACTATTTTAACTTTGGCATCTATTAGGTTTTAGTAAATTTGGAACCCCCTAGTCTTTGATGAAAAAGGTCTTGAGTATGTCTGGTTTTGTTCTTAAAGTAGTGGTGTGGCAATAATGAGGTCTTATGCTGCTCCTTCAGTGTTAATTTTAATTTTGTAGATTTTTTAAAAACTCAAGTTTTGTAAAAACAAAAAATGCTATATTTCACCCTACTATAACCAGCAGATGTTGCTTTCTTATTAGTTCTGCTGTGGAGATTCATGTGTGGATGGAATTAATTGACTAAAATCTAAAAACAGATGGACTATGGAAACACATTCTTTATAACCTTACAGGATCGAAATCCAACCAATATATATGTATTTTTCCAAACCTGTAAATCTATGGATCTTTGTATTACTTTATTATCACCCATAAACTTGATCTAAGTAATTAAAGGCAACATTTAGAGACTTTTTGGGATTATTTCCAGTTTTGGCCTTTAAGCCTTCCTACTAATTAATTAACATAATTTACTTCTAGGAATTGTGACACTTGCTGAGATGTTACACTTATTACTACACAGAATGCAAATGAAATGGCTCTTTGAATTATTAACACTATAATCTCTACTTTCAGAGCTACAGAAATGATTAGAATAGAAATATACCTTTCTTCTGGAAAGTTTTACTATTATTTTGGTTTAAACATAAGTATGTATGTAGATTTCCACTGGGGAGTTAGCTGTTAACAGCCATTTTTTCTTTGTTATCCTTTTCACTGTTAAACTTACTTCAAAAGGCTTCTAAAGGTTCCTGACATGTTACAGAGATAATATACACAGTAAAGTTGGCCTGAAGTATTTTTGTCTCTGATTTATTCATTTATTCAGTCAGCCAACCCACCAACCACTAACCAACCAAACATTTACAGACTTTCAAAGTGCATATGAAGTATTAATAGTTCTTAGTACTAGCAATGAAAACATGAACAAGACACCTTTGCTGAGCCAGAGGAATTTATGTCCTAGTTGAAGAAAAGAATTGTATTGTCAATAATTGCAATAAAGTCTTATAATTGCAATAATAGACATATATTAAATGGAAAAAAATTTACGATCAAATAAGATTGAGAAATACTGGTTTAAATGAAGTTAAGCAGATTTGTGTACTAAAGGACTCTAGAACATGTCAAATGCTGACATGCATTGTGAATCTCCAAAAGAGGGCATCTGGTATGAAGTATTTTCCAATTTTGTTGCCAAAAGTTACAGATGACAACCAGGATAAGGAGAAATTCCTGACCATAATTCTTGCTAAGCTGCTTTCAGGGACCTTGAAGAGAACATAAAGAACTTTGAAACATAGCTTTTACTTTTTAGGGAAGAGAAAAAAGATAAACAGGACTCCATAAATCTAGCCTTCATTATTTTGTTTTCTTTATTTCCAGACTACTCACTCCAGCACCCTCCCTTCCCCACCGCATCAGATCTTTGCACTGATTTGGAGGCTTCTATGCTTTCCTGCTTTTGAATTTCTCATCAATGTTAGAAAGTAACATTGTCCTGTTATTAAAGCTTATTCATACTGATACACCAAAACTCATAAATACTTGCATTTTTCAGACTATTTTCTAGTTATAAGGTGAAAAAGATTGCCTTTAGTTAAAGGAATTTGGAAAAAAATCATTTTGTTTTGTTTTTCTTTGTTGTCTCTTTTTTTCCTTCTGCTTCTGTGATAGTGAAGGTGTAGTTAATTTTGATCCTCTTCCCCCTTGGGTGTACCCTGAGACTAATCCTAGAGCAAGGTTCTTATCCTGATGTCTACAGACCCCTATGGCTTTTGGGAATAGAATTCAGGGGTGCTCTAGTTTGGTTTGCTTGACTCCCCCAAATCTCATATTGAAATGTGATTCTCAGCATTGGAGGTAGGGCCTAGTGGGAGGCATTTGGGTCCTGGGGGCAGATCCCTCATGAATGGCTTGGTGGCATCCTCAGGGTAATGACTGAGTTCTCACTGTGTTAGTTTCCTTGAGAACTGTTTGTTAAAAAGAGCCTGGCATCGTTCCCTTCTTCCTCTTGCTTCCACCCTTACCCTGTGATCTCTGCATGCCACTTCCCCTTCACCTTCCACCATGAGTAGAAACAGCCTGAGGCCCTCATCAGAAGCAGATGCTGGTACCATGCTTCTGGTATAGCCTGCAGAACCATGAGCCAAATAAACCTCTTTTCCTTATAAATTACCTATCCTCAGATGTTTCTTTATAGCAATGCAAACGGACTAAGACAAGGGGTCTGTGAACTTGGATGAGAAAAAAAGAATCGTGTTTATTTTCACTAATATCTGACTGAATATTAGAATTCCATAAATATAAACAACTAATCACTGTTATAGCTATGTGTTAATATAGTAGTTAACTTAGCAACCACCAGAAATTGCAAACATTTTCACATTGCATTACAATTGTACATATCTTAAAACATCATTTACAGTCATTGCTATTTTAAAATTATAAGAGTTATTAAATCAGCTGCTACATTTTAATAAATATGTACATTATATCACAAAATATAAAATATTCTGATAATTTTATTTTAGAGTAATTAATTTCCTGCAATTCTATGTATTTTATGCATTTAAAAACATTGCTTTGAGAAGGGTTCATAGGCTCCATCAGGCTGCCAAAAGAGGTTCTTAACTTTGTCTTTGCATAAGACAAAATTATGAACCCTAGTCCTAAAGGAAGATACACAAAGGTCAAATAAGAATCCCTGGAGTTGAAGACCAAGCATTAACCCAAGACAGCTTCTTCCTTTTTATTCCTTGTCCTAGTATTAATCCTCCCTACCCTCCGTGTTCCAGGCCTCTGAGGTATTCCTCCTTGTAAGACTTGTAGCCATCCATTCTTTTTCAGTCTCTCAACATCAGCTCCAACTTCCATATAGATATTTGAATTAATTAATTAGTTAATTCATCAAATATTTTCTGGGGACTTACTACATACTAAGTACTATTCTAGATACAGTAGAAATACAGTGGCAAAAGAACAAACAATAAAATCTATCTTCACAGAGGACGTTCTAGTTGGGGGGAAACAGATCAGGAGCGGAATAAATAAGTAAAATATATAATATGATGGTAAGTGTGTAGGGGAAAATAAAGCAGGGGAGGGAAATAGGGTTTTCCAGAAAAGGGAGGGATTTATAGTTTTTAAGTAGAATGGACAGAGAAGGCTGCATTTAAAAGTTAACATTGGATACAGACTTGAAGGAGATGAGGGTGACAGTCACCTAGCAATCCAGGCTGGAGGAACAGCAAGTGCCAAAGCTGGAGTATGCTTAGTATATTGGAAGAAGTCAGGAGGACAGTGTGGCCAGAGTGGAGTGAATGTGTGAGGTGAGGTCAAAGAGATACAGGATGGGAAAGAAGATCACATAGAGCGTGGAAAGCTGCTGAAAATACTTTAGCTTTTACTCTGAGTAAGAAGGGGACCATTGCAGAGTTTGAGCAGAGGACCAACATAACCTAACATGTTTTAACACAATAATGCTGGCTTCCATGTGGTGAATAGACAAAGTGGGGCCGGAGCAGAAGCAGGAAGAATGAATAATGAATGCCAGTACTTGACATGTGGTGCTTTGCAGTGGGCTCTAGAGCCAGGCCGCCTGAGATTCTTCATCTGTAAAATATAATCTGTTTCTTCACCAATAAAACGGAAAAAGAATAAGCCGGTTGTGAGGATTATATCAGCTAATATGGGCAAACTTCTTAGAATATTCCATAAATATGGATTTTTCTTACTTTTCTCAGAGCCTAGGATACATGCTGTGAGGGTACCACACAACTATTTGACACATAATGGGCAAGATGGGAAGACTTGAATGAGTTTTGGGCAACCTTGTTCCTATGTCTTGATTTTAGGAGAGTAATTGAGGAAAGGAAGCACCAGATGTTGCCTTTAGATCTGGAACCTTATTCTTTTCATACATATATGTGATGATGGTGCTAAAGCTCAAATTACATAAGATCATGGGAAAACAATTGACACTGACTCTGATTATAGAAAGTAGTGAATTAGTAAATGAAAAAACTAAAAGTGTGGTTATAATAGTAAGTATTGTTTTTTAAGTAAACTGCAACATTACATTGTCAGTTTATCCTAAAGAACAATAACATAAGCATACTATTTTGCTAGACTAATTATTAGTGTGACAATAGTAAATATATATTTATAGGCTTCCTGCTTTGGTCTTATAGAATAATCTTATAGTTGATCAAAAAATTAGATGGAAAACTGTTTTCAGTATGAGATGTTGGGCCATCCTTGTTTTATGACCTTCAAGAAAGAAAAGAAACTTCCAATGGAATTACACCATCTGTAAAGATACTAAGCTTGCCCAAAGAACACAGATAGCAAATTTGAGAGCTTTGATAAGAGTTCAAAATTGAATAAAATTGAGTCAATAATTATTTATTGAAATGTAGTGGTAGTCAAGGCATTACTAGATTTTGCTTGCAAACTGTTGTAAGAAAAGATAAGTTTACAGACAATGGCAAAATAAATCTGACAGTAAGATAAATGCTTTAAGAGAGATACAGGTTGTGAATAAGATTTTCAAGGAAAGTGCTTACATCTCTGGAGTAAGTGCGTAAGGTTTCCGAGAGAGTGCGACATCTGAAAGAAGGTGAACCCTGTGGAATACTTAGAATTTCTATAATCTGAAATGGGAATCTGTACTTTTAAAATGAGAGATTATGTCACATAGGCATTGAGATTGCAAGGCTGAGTAATTTAGTTTGAAGCATTGGATATAGTATAATAGTAGACAATAAAGCTAGAGAGATATTAGCATCATAATGAGTCCAAGGCTGGGAATTTTGTTACTTAATAAACATGAAAAACCATTGAAGGTTACTGACAAAGTAGCACTGTCATGTGATCAAAGTAAGAGTTATGTGACAATATCTAGTATGGATTGAGTGAAAGTTTAGGAGGAGAGGCAGCCAGTACTGAGGCATTTGAGAAATAAAAATAAAATCCCAAGCTCCCTACTGACTGAACAGATCCCTCACTTGGACAAGGGGACCCCAGAGAAACCTTAAAAGCTAAATTCCCTGGCCTGGTGTGGTGACTCACTCCTGCAATCCCAGCACTTTGGGATGCTAAGGTGGGAGGACTGCTTGAAGCCAGGAGTTCAAGACAAAACTGGGCAACATTGTGAGATCTTGTCTTTTCAAAAACTGAAAAATTAACCAGGCATGGTGGTGCATACCTGTAGTCCCAGCTACTTGGGAGACTGAGGAAGGAAGATCACTTGAGTCCAGGAGGTCAAGGCTGCACTGAGCTTTGATCAAACTACTGCACTCCAGCCTGGTTGACAGAGCAAGACCCTGTCTCAAAAACAAAACACGAAAATAAACGAGTTCCCAGCCATGAGGGGATGCGGGATCAGACACATCTCATTATACCTACTCCTTTGCTAACCATCATTAGCCTTCCCTAAGGGTTAAAGAGAAACTAGCCATTTTGAAAAACTTGCTCCACTGCTGATATCAACCATATAAACCATTGCTGCCCTCCCTTCTGTAGTTTTGACAGGGCAACCCACCAGCATTCCTTCCTGATTAGAGACCACCAACCACAGAATGGTTCTGGCCATTCTACGGAGACTGAGCACAGAGGGCTTTTATGTCCTCTGCTTTACCTTTTGATTTATAAGGCCTAATTGTAATACATTCAAATGTTAAATCTTCACCCTAGAGTGAACATGGTGTTGCAGTCTCACCAGTGCACCACAGTGTAGCAGTCTCTCATTGTGAGGTATCACCCAGAATTCTTTGTCTCACAATCAAGAGAATTAAGGAGCGTGGACACAAAGAGTGAGGTTGGAGTGAAAGTTTAATAAGCACAAGAAGAAAGCTCTCTGACAGGGAGAGAGGGCCCAGAAGAGGGTTACCATTTGTACAGTTGAATACAAAGACTTTTATAAGAAAACATTGAGGGCTGGGTGTCTCATTTGCATAAGGCATGAATTTCTGGTAGCTCCAGCTCATCCTCCTAATGTGCATACAGGCTTTAGCTTGACTTACTCCATATTTCTTTGTTCCCCTTACTGCACATGTGTCAGGGGATGGAATTTTCCATTGCAAGCCTGACTGGGCAAGTCACTTGTGTAGCCTTTCTTATCAGTGGGGCTGTGGGCATGTCTTAGGCAAGCCATCCTGTGCAGTTCCCTTACCTGTGCCTGCAGGCTGTTCTTTTGTTTGAAAGGATTCAACTGAGGACCCACCCTCCCTGCCCGCCTGCCTGACCAGCTTCTTCCTTTCTCTTCTCTCAATGGGACACATGTTTCATACACATTGGCCTACTGTGCATACCCATGCCATTACTTCATGAATATTCATAGCTCCTCCTATAACCCATTGAATATTTATACTTAGCCAAACTGCTCAGCATAAATTTCTGTTCCCTTTACCCCTCCCTCCAATTGCATGTTTCTGGCTTCTGGCCAGAGATTATGCTTCCTAGCCTGTTGGTATGGCCACCCTTCAGACTACAACCCTTAATGAGAAATAAGCTCTCCTTTTCAAAGTTATTAACCTCATCATTCTTCAATGGACACATTATAGCAGTTTAAGAAGCCATGCTTTAGAGAGATTGCAAAGGAGAACAATTTTATAGGCCTTACTTAACTTCTGTAGGCCTATGTCATCATCTCTTAAACCTCACTGAGTTACTGTGTTAGGCTGTTCTTACATTACTATAAAGAAATACGTGAGACTGGGTAATTTATAAATAAGAGATTTAATTGGCTCATGGTTTTATAGGGAGGCATCAGGAAGCTTACTGTTATGTCAAAAGGCAAAGCAAGAGCAGGCATGTCACATGGCAAAAGCAGGAGCAAGCAAAGGAGTTGGTGGTGGGGAGGGGGGTGCCATACACTGTTAAACCACCAGATCGCCTTTGAACTCAGAGTGAGAGCTCACTTATCACCAAAGGGATGGCCCAAGCCATTCATGAGGGATCTGCCCCCATGATTCAAACACCTCCTACCAGACCTCACCTCCAGCACTGGAGATTACAATTCAATATGAGATTTGGGCAGGGACAAATATCCAAACTATCAGTTACTATGTGCAGCAAATGAACTATACATGTAAAACACATGACATAATGTGGGAAACATAGTAATGCTGAAGAAATATTAGCCATCTGGTGATGATGGTGATGATTATGCCATTGTTGCTGCTGCTGCTGCCAGACTCCCCAGATTATCTTACCACATCCATTTTCTTTTGCAAACACCATTTCCCTACCTGCCTTTTAAGTTGTGGTGTTTCTTGGAATTCTGTTTTCAACCTGAACTTTGATATTTTTCTGCATGTCTTCCTTTGATAATTCTATCCACTTTTATGACCTTAACCACCACCAGTAGGCTGGTAACTCTCAAATCTTGTTTCCAGTCTAAGAACACCTCCTGAGCACCAGATCCATGTTTCTAACTGGCTATTAGTATCTCTACAAGAACAATCCTACAGGCAAGCAGATCCCATTCTCCTTCCTTGCAAACTTGCTTCTGTGCTTCTTTTCTTATCTCCATAAATTCATTACCAGCCACAGTCAGCTAAGCCAGAAACCTTGAAGTGTGTCTTTGCTTTTGCCTTTCCCCAACCCATTATAGTCAATCAAGTCCTTCAAGATACCTTCTCACCATCTCGTAAATATTCCTTTCTGTCCATTTCCAGTTCCCCTACCTTAATTGAGATTTTCATCACTTCCCGACTGTTTTATACCATAACCTCCTAATTAGTCTCCATACCTTCAGAATTACTTCACTGCAATTCTGTAACCACACTGCTGCCTGAGTAATCTTTTTAAAATGTAAATCTAGTCATATTATGCCCCTGCTTAACACTGTTCTGTGGCTCCCAATGTCTCCTGAGTAGTTAAAACTCCTCAGACAACACTTTACATGGTCTTGCCCCTTTCTGTCTATGTAGCAGAATTTACTGAATCTTTGTTTTATTTATTTATTTATTTATTGAGACAGTCTCGCTCTGTCACCCAGGCTGGAGTGCAGTGATATTATCATAGCTTGCTACAGCCTCTACCTCCTAGACTCAAGTGATCCTCCTGCCTCAGCCTGCCAAGTAGCTGGGACTACAAGTGCGTGCCGCCACACCTGGCCCATGTTTTAAATTTTTGTAGCGATAGGGTCTCTCTATGTTGCCCAGGCTGGTCTCAAACTCCTGAGTTCAAGGGATCCTCCTGTCTCAGCCTTCCAAAGTGCTGGGATTACAGATGTGAGCCATGGCACCCAGGCTTGAATCTTTGTTTATAATGTCAGTTTTATTATCATTCAGGGATGGTGAGGCCAATGCATCAGATGATTGCCATTGAAAAGATAGCTACAATCCCCAAGAGGACAGTGCACACTGCACATGCAGGGCCACACAGGGAAACATGAGGGTGGGTCAGGAAACAGAAGAATAGGGGGAAATATGGGCAAGAGCTTCTATTGTGATTTCCTTGGGAAGGAATGGGTGAGGAAGGGCTAACAAGTTCAGGATTGGCTAGTTTGAATAATTTCAGTGGACTGTAGGGTGTACAGGGCTGTTCTAAGTTGTCTGACCCTGTCCCTGAGGAAATTAGGGCAGGGGAATATTGATCCAGATTGTAAGAGCCTGATAGAGGAGGTTGGAGTGGATGGGGTCTGACCTGGTTGGTTTGCATATGAAAGGCAATCTCACAGGGGAGCCCTTTATTATCTCTAGAAGATGGCTGGCCTTGGGAGGGACAGTCTCCTCAGGGTCAATAAGGCCCCAGATGTTAAAACATCAGAATAAAAAGATGTGCTTAACACAGTCTCTTACCCTCACTGGCTATGCTCCAAGCAATTCTAAATGACTTGAATTTCCAACCACTCAAGGCTAAATTCCTCTACCCTCTTCCTGGAGGGAAGATATCTTCTTGGAAATAATTGCTTATCTCTTAATTTAATGATATTCTTGGTAAAGCCCTCCCGGATGTTTCCAACAGAATAACTCCCTGCCATGTTTATTGAGTATTGCTTATCACGTTATATAGTGATATATAAAATAAGAATTCTTATTTTACACCTTTTCCCCCACCCCCACCAGTCCAGACCATAAGCCCCTTGAAGAATGGGACCGTCATACTCATTTTTTACTTTCTGGAGTTTGTAACCTAGCAGGGTGCTTGGTGTGTAGTTGACTTTCAGTATATATTTGTTGACTGAGATGAAAAATAACTAATGAATAGGTGAATGAATTAATAATGAATTAATAAGTTCTATATCAGTCATACCTGTGGAAAACTCATCATCATTGAATTTCCTTTATTTCCTAAAACCTGAAGAGTTAGGCCAAAGTCTTTCAGTTTTATCATTTGCACTAAGTTGTCATCAAACTAAATGATTTATGCTTCTCCTTCCAACTCTAAAATTCTGAATTTTGGCTGAGTAAACTTTTAGTACTTTTGGTGAATTATACCTTTTCCTTTTACCTTTATATGGCTTAGAGTTATAATGTGCAGTTTTGAAAGTTGCAGCTCTGGGAAATGTGGTACATGATTTTTATTTTTGTAGACAATAGGAACCAACAAGTATAGCAAAGTGGTTAAGACCCTGGGTGCTGTTGGGCATGGTGAAATACACTTTAGACTCAGCTACTTGGGAGGCTGAGGCGGGAGGATCACTTGAGCCCAGGAGTTTGAGACCAGCTTGGGCAACATAGTGAGGCTCCATCTCAATTTAAAAATAATAATAATAATAATAATAATAATAATAATAATAATAATAAAAAAGACCCTGGGTTCTGTTATCTATCTAAGTTCAAATCCTACCTCCACCACTCAGTAGCTTTGCTCTTGGCAAGTGTGGTATCCTTTGAAAACTTTAGTTTCTTCATTTGTAAAATTGTAATAATAATGATATCTACCTCATGGAATTATTATTGTGAAGAATAAGTGAGATAATTTATGTAAACTTTCTAGAACATAGTGAATACTTAATAAGTGTTAGCTAACATTATTGTCACTCTTGTAATAGAGGTTATTATAATTATCACTATTTAATGATACTCTGCACTCTTAAACAGTATGATACTGGCCAAGGTTTCAAGGTTCAGTGGCCTTATTTGTGATAAATGAAAAATAGACATAATATGATGTAGACACATGTAGCTTTAAGTACGTTTAAGTATTATTATTATTATTAGTCACATTTTATGAAATCGAAATACAAGTCAATGTAAGAACATCTTTTTTGTTTTATAATTACCTAGGTGGCCTGTCTGGTAATTTAATTCTTTCAGAGAAGTCTTTTTAAAAAGGAAAATAAGAAAATCTTTGTGTAAAAATTGAGCAAGGTCTATACATGTGATTTTTAACAGCTTTATTGAGGTGTAATTCACATACCAATATGATTCACTTGTTTAAAAACATATAGCTCAGTGGTTTCCATCACCACAATTTTAGAATATTTTCATCACTTCAAAAACAAGCCCTATACCTTTTGGCTATCATTTGCCTACTTCCCACCTCACCCTCAGCCCTAGGCAATCACTAATCTACTTTCTATCTCTATAGATTTTCCTGTTCTGGACATTTCATATGAATGAGATCATATAATATGTGGTCTTTCATGACTGGCCTTTTTCATGTAGCATAATATTTTTAAGGTTCATCCACATTGTATCATGCATTCAGTACTTTATTCCTTTTTATGGCTAAATCATAATCCATTGTATGGATATACCAGATTTTGTTTATTCTTTCATCAAATGATAGACGTTTGGGTTGTTTCTATCTTTTGGCTATTATGACTGATGCTGCTGTAAACACTGTGTACAAGTTTTTGTGGGAATATATGTTTTCAGTTATCTTGAGTATATTCTTAATAGTAGTATTGCTGAGTTATATGGTAACTGTGTTTAATCATTTGAAAAACTAGTAGAGTTTTTTCCAAAATGGCTGCACCATTTACCATTTTACATTACCACTAGCAGTATTTGAGGGTTCTCACTTCTCCATATTCTCACCAGTATATGTTAGTATGACTTTTTAATTCTAGCCATCTCAGTGGGTGTGAAGTGATGTCTGATTGTGGTTTTAATTTGCATTTCCCTATTGACTAGTGATATCGAGTATCTTTTTATGTGCTTATTGGCCATTTGTATATCTTCCATGGAGAAATACCTATTCAGTTCTTTGCCTATTTTTAAATTAAGTCATTTTTATTATTGACTTGTAAGAGTTATATGTTATCAATAAAAGTCCCTTATCAGAGATATAATTTGCAAATATTTTCTCCCATTCTGTGGGCTGTCTGTTACTTTTCTTGTTGGTGTCCTTTGAAGCAGGAAGTTTTTTAACTTAGATTAAGTCTAATTTATCTATTTTTTGCTTTTATTGCTTATACTTTTGGTGTCATATCTGAGAATCCTTTGTCAAAGCCAGCATCATAAAGGTTTTACTCCTATGTTGTCTTCTAAGAGTTCTAAAATTGTAGGTCTTGCTTTTAGGCCTTTTATTCATTTTGAGTGAATTTTTGTATATGGTGTGAGGTAAGGATTGAACTTCATTTTTTTGCACATTGCTATCCAGCTGTTGAAACATTATTTGTTGAAAAGATTATTATTTCCCCCATTGGTTGGCCTTGGCAACTTTGTTGAAAATCAGTTGAAAGTGGATGTATATATTTATTTCTGAGCTCTCAATTCTATTCCATTAATCCATATGTCTATCTTTGTGCCATGTGTACATTTGATCTTTAGGTATTTTCTTGTTTTGTCTTATTTTTCTCCTAGAGAATGTTGACATCTAAGAATACACACACACACACAGAGTAGTTTTTAATTAATACACAGTTTTTAGTCATGATTATAGAGCTAACTAGACATCAGAAATGAATCATCCAGAATTACACACTTAAATATGAATATGAATAGAAATTTCATAAATAAATTTCATAAACCTGAAATTTTTCTAAATAAAATCTAAAAGCATAGTTTTTATTTTGACAAGTATTATATTTTTCCAAAAATCTTTTTCAATTTATAAAGCAGTTAAATATAGAACATTTCATTTTGGTCCTAAGGCTAATATGGTGAAATATAGGTACTCTTATTTACTTATATTATTGTAACTCCATTTTATCTATGAAAAAACAGAATCATGAAAACATGAAGTGATCTGTCCAGGTCACTCACTCAGCTTAAGACAAATCTGCACAAATTTCCTAACCCCGTTCTGTACTCTGGCTACTCTATCAGGCTACCTCTATACTGTTAGATTAGGAATCAGCATCTTATTATATAAAATATTTTCTCTAATTATAACAAGTATATCAAAGGCTTTTATATACAAGAGGACTGCATCCTGGGATCTTGAATCTCCAGTTTTCATACCATTCTAGCAAATAACTTGCTGCGTAGCCGTATGCTCAGTCGTCAGTAGAGAATGACAGAGCCTCATGTTATGTGAGCAGCTTGGTAGGATGCACTCACTAGCTGAGTGATTTGCTCCCACTCACCAGCCTCTGCAGTATTACAAATTAGTGCACATCACATACTTTTAGAATTTCTCTTAAGTAGTTGAAGTTGCAAATATTAAATCTCTAAATTTCAAGCCTTTATTAATTGTGAAAGTATCCTAATGATTTTCTACACTGTGGTTCTTTTCTAAAACTAATTCTTACTTACCGCTTTTATTTATTCAACCATGTATCAAGTGCTTTTTATGTGTCAGACAATGCCAAGCATGCGGATACTGCAGTAATGGCACAAAAAAATCCCTTTTCTCACAAAGTTTTTGTTCTAATAGAAAGACAGACAACAAATGAGTAAAATAAGTACTGTGAGAATAAGGAAGCAATATGAGAGATGGGGAGTGCTTTGAGAAGGAAGCCTGTCTGAAGATTGATAACCTTGAACATGGCATTAATGAGTGCTGCTGCTACATGGTCAAAAGAAATGGTTGCGCTTTAAACAAATACTGTTCTGTGATAGGCCAAAGAGAAGTTAAGAATAGCATGAAGAATAGAATATAGTTGTAAGAATATTTCAAGATAAGATTCTTCCAGCAAATTTAGCTTTCTTATGCCTTTGGATAACAGTAACAACAATGAAACACCATCCATATATCATCCACAATTTATTCGCAGAAATCCAAATTGGTACTTAGTTACCTCAGTTATTTGTGCTTAGTAGTATTTGTGCTTGAATATCTCATTCTCAAAGAGATCAAAGCCTACCTTTTCCCACCCACATTTATAGTTGTAACAGCCTAACACTCAATTACTTATCCTACTATATTTGGTTTTACTTTCTTCTGTAACAAGTAAGTATTAGCTTCTAAACATACTATACCATTTACTATTGAACACACTTATTTTTTGTTTCCTTTCACTAGCATGCAAGCTCTTGGAAGGAAAGGATTTTTGGTTTTTCACTGATATATTCAGAAAAGTGTCTGGTACATAGTAAGAACTCAGTATATATTTTTGAGAGAATGAGTGTTAGTAAAAGATGAATTAAATGTCCATTCTGTATTGTTTAAATACACATCTCATGAACTATTTGTTATGACTGCTATATCCAGTTAATGACCCAGAAACTTGATAACGATTTGCTCTAATCCTCAGTTCCCTTCAAGGTAAACTTTCTGATGTTCATCTTATAGTTGGAGAAATGAGGCTCAAAGAACCTAATTTTAAAACCTTTTTAAAAAAGTATCTTTTGACCAGACATAGTGGCTCATGCCTATAATCCCAGTACTTTGGAAGGCTGAGATGGGAGGATCACTTGAGGCCAGGAATTCAAAACCAGCTGGGAAAAATAAATATAAAAATAAATAAATAAGTAGATAAATAAATAAGCCAGGTGTGGTGGCACATGCCTGTAGTCCCAGCGACTCAGGAAGCTGAGGTGGGAGGATCCCTTGAGCTCAGGAGTTTGAGGCTGCAGTGAGCTATGATTGTGCCTGGGTGACAGAGCAAGATTGTTGTCTCTAAAATAAAATTAAAGAATTTTAAAAGTATCTTTTTATTGTTTCCAAAAGACATATTCTTATTAAAAAGCCAGCATCTTAACTCTGTTCTACCTGGTTCCATCTTGAATTGTTTGTGTTTTATAATGTCAAGAATATATTTCCAAATTATAATTGCATATAATGCAAAAAACATGTTTTGAATGCCCTTAAAGCATTTAAGAATATAATTCTGCTGCTGAGTTAGTCTCTGGTCTGTTCTCCATGATTTCTGTCTGTGATAATAGTACTAATATATATGTTGTAGATGAGAGTGGTAACATTCTAAACACCAACCTCAAAAGATTAGTTGTATAATATTCCAGTTAACTTCAGTAACCAATCATGAAACTGTCACCCATGGAATTTTAACTCTTTGAGGATATTTGCCTAAGTATCCTTTTGGATTAGGTACTTTTTCTGACTCTGCCCCTAACATTTTGAATTTAGTTTTGACTTTGCCTGCTTCTCTGGCCTTAGCATCTTCTATTACAGCTAAGAATTGTCAAAAGACAAAATTACAACAAATTTAGTTTAAAGATCTTAATTGACTTTTATTTGTGATACTAGAATTGGGCAACACCTCATTCTGTAAAATAGAATGAGTGCCCCAATAAGCTGAGCAGTTGGTTTTATAGTCACAAAAGGACTGAGGAAAGCAGAAACAGAAAACAAAAAGTGGGTTGGTTATTTCAAAATTAATTTCCTTGTAAAGGTTAAAGCAGAGAGGATTTTCTTATCATGCCAGCTAAAACTTGAAGATTTTGCTATTATCTCTCACTCTCCTGATCTCTCAGAAAGTCAGATAAACTGAGTTTTGGCTTGGTAACATGGAACTTTACCATCTGTGACTCCATTTTGGTTTGGTGTGTTGGGCCTTTTGCAGGAAGGAGTTCAGTCCAGACCAGTGGGCTCCTATCAATATTATTTAAACAGAACTATGTCGCCCTGTCTACTTCCAAACCCACCTTCTTGTCCCTTGCCTTCCATTCCATGTGTGCCACCTTAGCCCCCATAGGGATTGAGAAATTTTGATAGCTGTCTTCTTCCATAGTGTACTTTTTCTTTTTTTAATCTCTATGTTTTTATTTCATTTTGGAATTCAACTGGTTTTTGTTTCCCCATTCCTTAACTCATTTTCATTTCCCTACTCCTTGTATCAGTCTTTTTTGCCTCGCTATTTTTCAGTATGTTTATCTGAATGATTCTCATAAAAAGTGCCTTTCAGTTCCTTCATTTTTTCTTTTTTCTTTTTAAAACTATTCTTCCCTAGTGATTTTTTTTTAACTGCTCTTTGGCTGCATTCACTATTTTTCTTTTTTTTTAACAAGTGATACTGTTTTCTTTAAGATCTCAGCTTAACATTTTACCTCTTTTATTTCTTTCCACTCTCTTTTTATTCTTAGAATAAATATGTTCGTTGTTCTGAATATCTTTAAAAATAACCCTATTCCAATCAGACATGTCCCTATCACAGTCAGAAGGAGGGGCTCAAGTTTCCCTAAAAAGTGCACATTAGGAATGGAGCATAGCCACCAGCTGGAGCTGCTAGCATTTCAAAATCTCAGGAGGCTGCAGCAACATGTGCCAGGCCTTATCTCTGTAATACACATGTGCTGCTTGTCAGTTTCAAATGTTAACCCTCAGCAGCATTACTTAAAGTCAGTAGGCTTTGTGTTGTGATGGAAGGAAAATATTTTTAAATCTTCTTGAGACCCTGGGAAACTACCGCTTTTGGACATGAAAGAGCCTGCCACCTTACAAATCCATCAATAAGTAAAAGCCACTGACACCAGTGCCATGTTTCAGTTCAGTTAAGTTGGCATGAATAGTACTGAGCCATGGTGTTCTCAGGATGTAATTACTAAGGCGTTTTATTTATATCGCAGTGAAACAATCCTACCACTTGCAAGGACAAAAAGAGAGACTTTGGGGGCCCTTAAATGTAATCAGCAGACATGTGCCACCCTTTCACCTTTGTATGTTGATTTTTGTTTAGTGACACTGTAGCAAAACAATAACCATTAGCTCCAGATAGTAAGTATGTACAAGCATGATCTTTATTATTATTATTATTTGTGGAGATGGGGTCTCACTGTATTGCCCAGGCTGGTCTCAAACTCCTGGCCTTAAGTGATCCTCCTGCCTCAGCTCCCAAAATGTTGGGATTACAGGTATGAACTACTGCACCTGGCCAAGCATGATCTTTTTAAAAGCACTTAATTGAAATATAATGAAAATATTAACTCACGGTATATATATTTCAGGAATTGACTATTCATATTATAAAATAATTCTATATTTTCCAAAAGAATTCCTTTCAGGAGTGCTTCAAAAAGGAGTTTTCCTGCATTCTAAATAAATCCTAAATTTAATATATTTGTTTAAAAAATGAAATACACACAGTTTGGGGAAAACAGCCTGGCCTTATTCACAGAAGGCTGTATATTTGTACATCATGCATACTGTTTTCAAGTTACCATAACTAAGTTGTTCAGACCAAATAGTTTTTCTCCACACAATAACCATACCAAGAGCTCTAGGTATATAAAATTTACAGAACTGTTACAGAGTAAACTTATGCAAAGGAGGGTTGAGTATTACCATACTCCCTTTTTTCTTATTTTCCAAGTAAAGTACTCCTCGGTATTTGAGGGAGATTGGTTCCAGGACCCCTCAGATATCAAAATCTGAGATGCTCAAGTCCCTGATATAAAATAGTGTAGTAATTGCATATGATCTATGCACATCTTCCTTTATCATCTCTAGTTTACTTATACCTAATACAATGTAAATGCTATGTAAATTTTGTTATACTATATTGTTCAGGGAATAATAAGAAAAAAAGTTTGTATATGTTCTGTATAGGTGCAATTTTTTTTCAAAATATTTTTTGATCCCAGATTGTTTGTGTTCACGGATACAGAATCTGCGGATACAGAGGGCCAGCTATACTGTCTTTCCTTTAAGATGTCTCCAGCTGCCCCAATCTTGAGTGACCTTTGCCTTCCTTCAAACTCCTATGCCGTTAATTGTCTACACCTCTCACCTGGCAGTTGTCATATGCTTCTTGTATAGTTTATCTTTTATGTATATTTACTTCCTAGTCTAGGAACTAACTAGAGAAGTCTCTTTACACCTTTTTGGTATCTCCAATACTTGAAAAATGCTCTTAAAACAGTGCTTCTCAAACATCCATGTACTGTGCATAGAAAACACCTGGGGATCTTGTTGAATTGAAAATTGTGATTCAGCTGGTCTGGGGTGGGGCCTGAGATTCTACATTTATGACAGACTCCCATGTGATGTGATGCAGCTGGACCACAGACCACATTCTGAGTGACCAGTGTCTGTCAAACCTTCAGCAAATGTTTATTGATGATGCCATTTTTTTTTTCAGAAAAAGGATAAGAGATTTAAATTTGTTAAGTGCTGCATTTTTATGTAATATGCAAATAGCACTAAGACTGAACTGAGATATTGATTGAAAAAATACGCTGAATGATTGAAGATGTTAGATATCTTTTTTTCTGATTTCTCCATCTGATCAATAGGAATGGACTTTAGCTTATCCATTTTCATTAATACCAGACTGGATGAGATTATACGTGAATAACTTCTACTTCTGTCTTCACTAGATTCAGGCTGAAAAGCAAAAGTCTTTATAACACATTTCTAGTCACGTAAATAATACAAACTTTTTCTAACTTTTCTCTTATTTGGGACACCTAGCTTTGCGGAGCAGATGGTTTTCCCAGTAAACTCTTAGATTCTATAGGTATCACATTTCAGGGTCAAGAATTACGCATATCCTCAGTATAAACTCTGTAAAGACTTTTTTTCTCTTGTTTGATGGAACTCAAAAATGGAGCAATAATAGTTATCAACAAGCAATGAGTCTGAGTCCTCAGGCTTTAATGGCAACCAACAAACCCATGCTCCTTATTGCAGAGGAAGAGTGCATTGTTGATTCGCTTTATATCCCCAAATAGAAAACACGTTAAGGGTAATCCTGGGAAATTATGCTTACTTCAAACCTTGATTGCCAACACTGAAGTGTCTAAATAGCACTTCACCATTTTTCTGGTTGTTTTCTTAGAAACAGTTCACTTGCGGCCGGGCGCGGTGGCTCACGCCTGTAATCCCAGCACTTTGGGAGGCCGAGGCGGGTGGATCACGAGGTCAGGAGATCGAGACCATCCCGGCTAAAACGGTGAAACCCTGTCTCTACTAAAAATACAAAAAATTAGCCGGGCGTAGTGGCGGGCGCCTGTAGTCCCAGCTACTCGGGAGGCTGAGGCAGGAGAATGGCGTGAACCCGGGAGGCGGAGCTTGCAGTGAGCCGAGATCCCGCCACTGCACTCCAGCCTGGGCGACAGAGCGAGACTCCGTCTCAAAAAAAAAAAAAAAAAAAAAAAAAAAAAAAAGAAACAGTTCACTTGCTTCCTTCCTGTGATAAATGCCATATTTATTTTAGTATGAGTCAACCTACACTTTTTTTATATTGCCTCTCTCCCCAGACCCCCAAATCTCCAATTTCTCACAAGTGAATTTAGGCAAACTAAAGAAGACATCTCTGTTCCGTGAGTATTAAAATCAAACATTTTTAAATGTAAGTTATAAAAATAACACTTTCATTGTTTTCTTCCTAATTACTAAAGTAGTCCATGTTTATTACCCCTATTCCACCTCCAAAAAAAAAAGAAGAAAAATTATGGAAAAGAGTCAAGACCTAATAGACTAAAAATTTTAAAACTATTCTTGTTTGCCTACTTCTCAGAAATAAACACTGTAAAATAAACATTTTGACCTGACCTCAAACCATTGTCTTTTTATATATATATTATAAAAATAAAATTAAGATTATATAATCATTACTACTTTGTAACATCCTTTTTAAATTAAAAAATATATTGTGGTCTTCTCTAATATCATTAAATATATTTCCATAACATGGTTGTTAACAGCTGCATAGTGTTCCAGCATATGGATTAACTAACCATTCCCCTACTGTTGATTTTTTTCTAATTTTTATATAAGAGGATGTTGCAGAGACCAGACTTATACATAAATGTTTGTACAAGTTTTTACCTTGGAACTAATTTCTAGAGGTAAAATTGCTAGGTCAGAGGATAAAAGATGTTCATTTATAATTTGTTTCATCTTGCCCTTTCTAAAACGACAGAAGTAGTTTAATAGAACTTTGACTTATATTATTTCATAGTTTCTTTTGAAAATTATTTTCTCTCAATAGCAAAACTTTTGTTGGCTCCTGACGTACATTAATATACAAAAGAGCTACTTAATATTTGGAACACGAATTAACCTGAGGAGTTCATAAACAGTAGGCATTGCAATGAACAGCATTTATCAACTTGACTTACCAGCTTACACTGCCATAGTTCTGTTATAGTCATGTCACATTTGAGACATTAGTTGTACAAACAGTACATGAAGCAACTCACATGAATTTTAATTGAGAATGAATATTTGCCAAAACAGTAATTTGTCTTTTTAAGTCTTTGTTTCATATGCAGAGAATTTTATTTGTTAAGCATAGTGTACTCAGAGTCAGGCCAATCAGAAATAATATAAGAAAAGAAAAACTGGTTAACTCTTTCTATCTATATTAGTCTAAGGAGTACCAGGGCTAACAAATCTTGATAGTATGCTAATTTGTTGTGTTTCAAAACTTGCTCTTTATCCTGTTGCGAAAGCTGAATTCAATAGAAAAATGATTATATTTTTAAAATAAATGAATTACATGAGCCCACAGCACTGATTTTAAAGTAGGACTTGCATTGATACAGTTTATTGAATAAAGCAAAAATTTTTACAAGTATTTTATAAGTTTAAATAGCAAATTGAAATTGTGCGAAAATAATGATTTTGTGATTATTAAACATTCATTGTTTTAAGAGTGCATGTAACAAAAAGTATCTGTAGTTACCTAACACTATAATAGTTAAAATACCTGTTAATATGTATAAGTTAACTCTACATTTTTGTAAAAGTTTACAACATTGTCATTGTTGTGTTCATTTATTTATTTTAAACTTCCTTTTTTAGTAAAAATGTAAGGCCATTTATAAAATTTATGCAATATAATAAAATAAAGTGAATGAGGAAATCAAGACAGAGAGCAAATGAGGCTCTAAACAATAAAATGCATGCCATGAAATCCTGTACTTTTGTTATGGGTAGCCACATTATTACTCAGCTTTTAGACTTCCACCCAATCAAATTATATGACTGACAGTGTCCATGACAAGCAAATTAGTTGCTCACAAAAAGCCCAACTTTTCCTGATACCTAATAGAAAATTCCCTCATGGATCTCAAATGAAGACACTATGTGATCCAGCATTCACTGTCCTCAATAACTACCAGTTTCTTAGAATATTCCTTTTAAGATGCTTATGGTATCACCTCAGTGTGTAACAATTATATGAGAAGTCAAAATGATCTGATCCCACAGCTGGTGCAATATAGGAATAGAGTTTTAAAGGAAAAGATGTGTTTGTTGTGTTCCCTTAAGCAATCTTCTATACCTGTTCTTTAAGTCAAGGTTTTGATTAATACCGAATGACAATAGGTTCAGAGTTAAACTTTCTGAAAAATAGCTGGAATGTGGTTATTGTATGTCCACATGCAAGTGCAGAGCAGTGTGCTTCACCTCTTAGCCAAGCCAGGTGTGCTCTTTGTGGAGATTCAGAATAGCATGGACATTCAATTGAATGGATGGATACCCCTAATGAGGGAGTACCCAGGCAGGACCTGAACTCATTCCCAATAATTTGTTGCATAGACGTGATTGAACAATCAAGTTTCCAAAGCTCTGTAGTATAGATCATGATTGTACAGCTTTAGCCTGAAATTTATAAAATAAGCAGGTGTGATCAGTTGCTTGCCCTATGCCATGAAATAAAACACCCACACATTCAAACAAAGCAAAACAAAAACCATCAATAAAATACTTATAGACATTTGTCTTTGAAGCTGTTATTTTCTGATGTACTCTCCAAGATGAACTTCGTACAAAATATACCTTAAGGGCAGCCAGAGAGAAAGGTCGGGTTACCAACAAAGGGAAGCCTGTCAAACTAACAGCAGATCTCTCTGCAGAAACCCTACAAGCCAGAAGAGAGTAGGGGCCAATATTCAACATTCTTAAAGAAAAGAGTTTTCAACCCAGGATTTCATATCCAGCCAAACTAAGCTTCATAAGCGAAGGAGAAATAAAATCCTTTTCAGACAAGCAAATGCTGAGAGATTTTGTCACCACCAGGCCTACCTTACAAGAGCTCCTGAAGAAAGCACTAAATATGGAAAGGAAAAACCAGTACCAGCCACTGCAAAAACATACCAAATTTTAAAGACCACTGACACTATGAAAAAGCTGCATCAACTAACGGGTAAAAACCCCAGCTAGCTAATGACAGGATCAAATTCACACATAACAATATTAACCTTAAATGTAAATGGGCTAAATGCCCCAATTAAAAGACATAGACTGGCAAATTGGATAAAGAGTCAAGACCCATCAGTGTGCTGTATTCAGGAGACCCATCTCACATGCAAAGACACACATAGTCTCAAAATAAAGGGATGGAGGAATATTTACTAAGCAAATGGAAAGAAAAAAATAAAAAAGCAGGGTTCGCAATCCTAGTCTCTGATAAAACAGACTTTAAACCAACAAAGATCAAAAAAGACAAAGAAGGGTATTACATAATGATAAAGAGATCAGTGCAGCAAGAAGAGCTAACTATCCTAAATATATATGCACCCAATACAGGAGCACCAAGATTCATAAAGCAAGTTCTTAGAGACCTACAAAGAGACTTAGACTCCCACACAATAATAGTGGGAGACTTTAACACTCTACTCTCAATATTAGACAGATCAACGAGACAGAAAATTAACAAGGATATTCAGGACTTGAACTCAACTCTGGACCAAGCAGACCCAATAGACATCTACAGAACTCTCCACCCGAAATCATTCTTCTCAGCACCCACATCGCACTTATTCTAAAATTGACCACATAGTTATACATAAAACACTCCTCAGCAAATGCAGAAGAACGAAAATCATAACAGTCTCTCAGACCACAGTGCCATCAAATTAGAACTCAGGATTAAGAAACTCACTCAAAACTGCACAACTACATGGAAACTGAACAACCTGCTCCTGAATGACTACTGGGTAAATAACAAAATTAAGGCAGAAATAAATAAGATAAATAAGTTCTTTGAAACCAATGAGAACAAAGACACAGCATACCAAAATCTCTTCAACACAGCTAAAACAGTGTTTAGAGGGAAATTGATAGCACTAAATGCCCACATCAGAAAGCTGGAAAGATCTAAAATTGACACCCTAACATCACAATTAAAAAAACCAGAGAAGCAAGAGCAAACAAAAGCTAGCAGAAGACAAGAAATAACTAAGATCAGAGCAGAACTGAAAGAGATAGAGACACGAAAAACCCTTCAAAAAATCAGTGAATCCAGGAGCTGGTTTTTGGAAAGATTAACAAAATAGACTGCTAGCCAGACTAATAAAGAAAAAAAGAAGATTCAAATAGACACAATAAAAAATGATAAAGGGGATATCACCTACTAATCCCACAGAAATACAAACTACCATCAGAGAATACTGTAAACATCTCTACTCAAATAAACTAGAAAATCTAGAGGAAATGGATAAATTCCTGGACACATACACCCTCCCAAGACTAAACCAGAAAGAAGTTGAATCCCTGAATAGACCAATAACAAGTTCTGAAATTTAGGTTTTTAAATGAATCTTAAGTATGAAATATATTGTACATAGTCAAACCCCTCAGAGCAATAGAGCATTCAAATCCTTAGCCTGTGTGTTCCTATGAAGCCTGTCCAAATAAGTTGCAAAATAGTGTCTAGAGCCTGCAATCCTGTCCGTGGTGCTATTTTGTTATTTGTGTGAGTCTCAGGTTTCAATTCTCAACCTAATGAAGTACCATTTAAAAGCAACAATTAGAGAAGCAGCCACATCTCTTCCCTTTTGCAGTAGAAATACTCTAATTTTATTACAATTCCCCAATGTAAATTCTGGTTGGTCTTCCTGTATTGCCTAGAGTTCATCTTTACCCATTTTGCAATTCAATCTGTTTGGTGCATTTCTACTTATATATTTTTAAAAATATGTGTATTTTATAAATACTGGTGTATAGTTTTTGAATGCTCAGAAGATTGAAAGGCCTAGAGAAGATTCAGTCCAATGCAAACATCATATATTAAGTACTTCCTTGTGTCAGAGGTACTGAATGCTGTAAGGGATACTAAGATGAGTAAGACACAATCTCTAATTCTAATGTATTTATCAACTCTAGGAAGAGACATTCACAACTAAGTTTTTGCATGCTAAGTAAATATTAATTGAACAATTCGACACCTATTATGTACTTGGCACTGTTCTTGGCATCTGGATATAGCAGGGAATAATACAGTTCTGATCTGTGCTCTTACAGAGGGACAGACAACATAAAATTTTAGTTACAATATAAATCACTGTGCTAAAATACCCTTTGTAGCACAGAGGTTTATTAACTCTAGCTATGGATTAAGAAATGCTTCATGGAAGTGACAATTTTTCTAGAGTCTTAGAGTTTCATTGACCAGAAAAGAAGAGGAAAAACAAGCTAAGGGAAAGCACAGCATAAACACATAATGGCAAGATGTGAAAGTATTAATAAGCTTCACCCCATTCTGTTTGACAGGGATTTTGAATATCACAGAGAAAATACACAGGACTCAATGGAAGTTTTGTAAAGAGGTTTACTGTTATGACAAATATGTATGTTCTCTTTTTTATCCTGGGTCAAATTTCATCTGCCTTTTTCACTTCTAAATATTTTCTAAAGCATAAATCATGTAGAAGTGTATGAAGGAATGATGAGGCTGAAAGAGTAGCTCAAGCAAGATGAAAAAGTTCCTTGAATTGTCGTGTCTTATTTTGGACTTATTAATTGTTGGACTTACAAACAGTGGAGGCCCATCAGAGGTGTTTGAGTCAGGAAGAAATTGTATCATGCTGACTCTCAATTGCATTTTGCTGAACTAAAGTAGTAGCTTTAGTTCAGAATGGAAAGAAGTTCACAGAACCAAGAGGATCCTGTGAAACGTTGCATGGGTACCCTAGAGTTCCCTCTTTTGTGCTCCCCTTATAGCACTTTGCATATATCTCTAGTAGAGCTCTTGTTACACTGTGAGTGCTTTTAGAGTGTTGTGTTGAAGTCAGCTTGCACCAGCTTGCAAGATCTAATTGTTAGTATCACTTTCCAATTCTATGCTCTGCCTTGGTAGGAATATTTACACCATGAAAATGAGCAAACAATACAAATCTGTTTTTTATTGTTGTTTTTTGAAAACTGTTAAACAGTTACTAGCACATCACCGACTGTTTATTAACATGTCTGACTTCTTATAAGACTGTGACCATTTAGAATAAAAATACCATCTTATTTTTATTTCCTTATTTCTAGCCCAGTACCTCACAAATTATAGGTATCAATAAATATTTATTGAATATGTAGAGGGACAGATTAACAAATGAGATCAACAAATTAGGTAATGACCAATTGATTTTGGGAATGGATGAAATGGTTGGAAATAGCCCTATATTATGTAGCCTGAACATTTGGTAATAGTGATACTACTAGAAACTGAAGAAGAAAAACTGAGTTGAGAGGGAGAGGCAGAGGGAGGGATCATAGGGGAAGATAATTGTTTTGATTTGGGACATGTTGTGTTTGAGGTACTGTCAAAAGACCAGGATTAGAGATGCCCAGCATTCACTCCAGTTACTATCAAATGACAGTTTTGAAATTACTTTTCCTGTGACTTTCTAAAATACTTAACTATACAGACTAGTTGAAGTTCAAAGTTATTTATTTTTTTAAAAGATTGCTTCATTTCAATAGTACAAGAGAAAATTGCATTTTTATAATACATTCTGAACACTACGTTTGCAGGGAAAAGCAGAGATCAGATAGCCTAGAAGAGAATGACTGAGGAAATGGAATTTTGTTTTTTTTTTTAAAAACAATGTAAGTGTGTTTCAAGATCATAGTCACAGTTTACAATTCTATTAGGAAGAGAAAAATGAATTTTGGGGGAGGATAAAGTTAAAGTTACCTTTTAGAATATAACTCCTAATAAAAAGTTTTTCTTTTCAAAAAAGCTATTATAATGTGACCATGAGAAAAAAAAATCTTTTTACAATAAAGTATTAGGGAAGTAAAAACAATATACTTTCAGAAGGCAATAACTTTACATTACCTAAGAAATGGCATATTCTGATTTAGTAAATGTTCTCATTAATAGGATAATACAGTATAATCTGTACACATAGGGCTTTTCTTTTTTTTTTCTTTTTTTCTGAGATGGAGTCTCGCTCTGTCGCCTAGGCTGGAGCACAGTGGCGTGATCTCGGCTCACTGCAAGTTCTACCTCCCGGGTTCACGCCATTCTCCTGCCTCAGCCTCCCAAGTAGCTGGGACTACAGGCGCCTGCCACCATGCCCGGCTAATTTTTTTGTATTTTCAGTAGAGATGGGGTTTCACCATGTTAGCCAGGATGGTCTCAATCTCCTGACCTCGTGATCCGCCCGCCTCAGCCTCCCAAAGTGCTGGGATTACAGGCGTGAGCCACTGTGCCCGGCCAGGGCTTTTCTTAAGAAATATGTAACCAAGAAAATATACTTGACTTGCAACTATAGTGAACAGAGTTTATTCTTTTCTTTATAAATGGGAGTCTTGCCTCAAGATCATATATAAAGATGTGAGTTATTGCTTATAGAGGTGTATATATTTAAAATATATAATAGTAATAGACATGTCTAACATAAGATGAAAGATTATTTATTATATGTGATCTCTCATGTTTAGAGTGAATTGGTCTTTTCTATGCTATGGATATTCACCAGAAGATTAAGTAGTTCTTTGGGGAATAGTCTTAATATCTCAACTGGAAAAGTCATTTATGAGCATGCACTTATAAACTTAATGCTATTCTAGTGGATTAGTCCAATTCCACATATTTGTCACATGGCATTTTATATCTGTGATGAAACAGTAATATTATCCTCAATCAAAGTCACAGAGCAAGTTACTTTCAGAGCTATGGATTAGAGCTTAGAGTTCTCATTTCCATTCTCAGGCAGGTGTGTCCTAGTTTGAGAAAATGTGATACACAAAACCACCACCTCACAAAATAGATAAATGGTGGTTACTTAGATTTCAAAAGGATGTTCTTCGGGGTTCCTTAAAATAGGCACTTCTGAAGGATCTAATATAGCCTAAGGAGCCCAGACTATTGGTAACCAAGAGGCCTAGTTTCTCTACCCTATCATTAACAAAGTTAATGGGGTATATAAATTTGAGCATGTTAGTCATTCCATTCATCCATTCACTTATCCACTAAATCATTAATATTTTATTCAATGAATCTTTCATGAGGATTCTGTGTGTTGGATATAAAAAGGTTGTAGTCCTTGTTTTTAAGGAGTTAAGACAGAAGGGTAAACAAACAGTACATTTTTAATGGTAGAGGTAATGCAGCCTGTTAGCAGACCACTAAAACCTAAACAAGATGTGAAGGTGAACTGTGATAGTAGGAGTAGACTTGGAAAGTAAGGAAAGAATGCTATGCTAAAGAAATAGAATCTGTGTGACTTGGTAACAAATTAGATGGGGGGCCCAAAAGGGAGAGAGAGGAGTCTTAGGATGACTCCCAAGCTGTTGGCCTAGGTAACTTGGTGTAAGAGTGGTGCCATTTATGACGAGAGGGAATTTAGGAAGAGGGGGAGTTTTGGGAGGAAGACAATGAGGTTAGTTTTGTGCAAGCTGAGTATAAGAGCCCTGTGGGGGCCAGGCACATTATAGCTCATGCCTGTAATCCCAGCACTTTGGGAGGCCAAGGCAGGAGATCTCTGAGGCCAGGACTTCAAGACTAGCCTGGTTAATACAGCAAGACTTTATCTCTACAGAGTTGTTTTTTTTTTTTTTTAAATTAGCTAGTTGTGGTGGCATGCACCTGTAGTCCGAGCTACTCTGGAAGCTGAGGCAGGAAGGTCACTTGAGCCCAGGAGTTCAAGGCTGCAGTGAGCATTAGGCAGTTGTATAGTCCAGCCTGCAACTCAGAAAAGAGAACTGGGCAGTAGTTAAAGAGTCGTCTAAAGATATATGATAGTAGTGAATGAAATTGCCCAGGGAGAGCCAGAAGATAAGAGGAGAATATGGAGTGGACCCTAGGCAGTAGGAAGGTGGAAATAAAGGAGCCTGAGAGGAACAGTCAGGAGGAGATCCTGGACTGTGGTATCATGTGGGCTGAGTAAATGGAGGGCTTCAGGAATAATGGAATGGTCCAGAGTAATAAATGCTGAAGACAAGTCACAAATTGAGAGAATCTATGGGCAATTAGGAGAATATCAGTGTCCTTTGCCAAAGCGGTTTAGATAGTGTTGTGAGGCAAAAGGCTGAAGAGTAAATGAAAGTGGAGCTTATTAAGACTTCTAAAAAGGAGGGGAAGAGGTAGGACAGTAATTAAAATTGTCTATTTGTTAAGTGATGGGAGAGACATGAGCATTTTGATAGGATGCATAAAATAAACTTGAAAAGAGAAAGGTTGAAAACACAGGCGAAAGGTAATTATAATGAAGGAAGTTTCCTGACCTAGAGTTGCAAAGAGATGGGAGGGTTAATTATCAAAAGAAGAAGAAATGGCACTTTCTTTGGCACTGAATGGAAAGGGGGAAGGGAAGGATAATGTGTGTGTATATATGTGTGTGTGTGTGTGTGTGTGTGTGTGTGTGTGTGTAGGAATTTGAGGGAGCTGAATCTCTTGATATCAGTCTTAATTTTTTTTTCTGTGAAGCAGGAAACAAAGTTGCTGAGAGAAAACATGTAATTGAGGATGGAGCCTTGAGGATAATGACGAACATTGGCAATGCCAGCTGTGGAGGATAAGTGGGCAACAGACATGATAAATTATAGATAGGTAGGTAGATAGATGATAGATAGATAGATAGATAGATAGATAGATAGATAAATAGATAGGATTATAGCCTAGGATGGCAGCATGAGAAATATGGTTAGATTGACTGCCCTCAAGCTTATGTTCAAGGTTTCCATTAGCATGAGAGAGGTTAATACTGCAGATATTATTAGTCTTGGCTCAGCCCTTAATGTAGAATGTTGCTCAGAAGTTAAACCTCGGTCCTGGGAGAGAGCTACTATTCTCTAGGTCTCTACTGTCCAATATGATGGCCATTAGCCACATATAGCTCTCCAGCACCTGAAACATGGCTGGTTCTAACTGAGATGTATTATACACAAAATACACACCCAGGACTTGAAAATTTAGCATAAATTAAGAATGTAAAAAAGCTCATTAATAATTTTTATTAATTACCTACTGAAATAGTATTTTGAATATATAGGGTTAAATAAATTATTTTGTTAAAATTAATTTCACTTCTTATTAATGTGGCCACTAGACAATTTTAAATTACATAGGTGGCTCACATTACATTTCTTTTTGACAACATTGCTATTGGTAATTATAGGAGAAGATTAGATGGTTTCAAAAAATGCTCACCTTGGTCTGGAATCTTAGCTGCTTACTGCAACTTTAAAGGGAATCATAGAAGACATGCGGCAGTTTAGGAAATTAACCTTTAAAGAGAGTTTGCCCCAAGTGGTTGGATCTTTGGATATACTCTTTCTTCATTGCTGGATAGGAGGTCTGAGACTGTCCGTAGAACCAAGTTACCCATATCTGTAAAAGGCAAAAACTGTCTGCCTCGTCAGCAATTGTGCTGACAAGGGGATTTGTGGGATTCCTGTGAAATAGTACATGCTTTTAAAAACACAAGTACTATATAAGTGCCTCATTGTTAGCTATGAGTTTATTTATAATACTATGAAGACAATGATTATATCTACTAAATGCCTCCAGTTTGGCCAGACACCATTAGACATTTTATGGGCATTATCTTAATTAATTCAGCCAGATAACGCTGAAGCTAGGCCTTTAAAGGCACCAAAATCTTTCTACTAACTGCTGAGACTAATGTTGCTACTCTAGGACAAATAAACCTAAATTTTATAAAATCTCTATGTTATTTTATAAATTGGATATAACTGTACTAAGATCAGTTTGTTAGACCCATTGTTTCTTTCTTTGACTGACATGCCTTTTTTTTTTTTTCCAACTTTTATTTTAAGTTCAGGGGTAAATGTTCATGTTACATGGGTAAATGTGTTCCGTGGTGGTTTGCTGCACAGATCATCCCACCACCCAGGAATTAAATCCAGCATCCACTAGCTATTCTTCCTGATCTTCTCCCTCCTCCCACCCCTGGTCCTCTGACAGGCCCCAGTGTGTGTTGCTCCCCTCCTCCCCTCCATGTGTCCCTGTGTTTTCATCATTTAGCTCTCACTTATAAATGAGAACATGCGGGTATTTGATTTTCTATTCCTGCGTTAGTTTGCTAAGGATAATGGCCTCCAGCTCCATCCATGTTTCTGCAATGGACATGATCTTGTTCCTTTTTATGGCTGCATAGTATTCCATGGTGTATATGTACATTTTCTTTATCCAGTCTATAATTGATGGGCATTTAGGTTGATTCTATGTCTTTGCTATTGTGAATAGTGTTGCAATGAACATACAGGTGCATATGTCTTTATAATAGAACAGTTTATATTCCTTTGAGTATATACCCAGTAATGGGATTGCTGGGTCAAACGGTATTTCTGCCTCTAGGTCTTTGAGGAATCACCACACTGTCTTCCACAATGGTTGAACTAATTTACATTCCCACCAACAGTGTAAAAGCATTCCTATTTCTCTGCAACCTCACCAGCATCTGTTGTTTTTTGACTTTTTAATAATAGCCATTCTGACTGGTGTGAGATGGTATCACATTGTGGTTTTGATTTGCATTTCTCTAATGATCAGTGATGCTGAGCTTTATTTCATATGTTTTTTGGCCACATGTATTAGATCCATTATTTCTGATGGTACTTTTATAACTTCACTGCTATACAAGAGGTTTTAGGCCAGGTGCGGTGGCTCATGCCTGTAATCCCAGCACCTTGGGAGGCCGAGGTGGGCAGATTATCTGAAGTCAGGAGTTTGAGACCAGTTTGGCCAACATGGTGAAACCCCATCTCTACTAAAAATACAAAAATTAGCCGGGTGTGGTGGCACATGCCTGTAATCCCAGCTACTCAGGAGACTGAGGCAGGAGAATTGTTTCAACCCACGAGGTGGAGGTTGCAGTGAGCTGAGATTGTGCCACTGCACTCCAGCCTGGGTGACAGAGCAAGACTCTGTCTCAAAAAAAAAAAAAAAAAAGAAGAGGTTTCAGCTAGAAGTCTAATTGATTATAGGTGACTTTGGAGGGAGCAATTTCAATAGAGCAGTAAAGCTGAAAACCAGATAGCAAAAAGGTACTTACTAAGTGGGAACAGGGAAAACAGCTTTCTGTAGAGATGAGGAAGAAAGATGGAGCCTCAGAATATCACTGAGAGTTCAGCTCAAGAAACAGAAACCAGCTTAGGGATGTTTTTTAAAGGAGTTCGATTCAAGGAAGTAGCTATTTACGAACTTAAGTTTCTTAAGTGTTGCAGGGCCTTAAGTCAGGAGTTGCCACTGGAGCTATTGATTTCAAGAGTACCTTCCCATACCTAGAATCCTGAAGTTGCTGCTGCCTCCACTGCTACTACCATGGCAGTGACTTAGGCATTGAGTCTGCCACAACTCAAACACTTGTGTCTCCTACCTTGTCTGCCTGTAGCAACATTAGCAAGAAGGTAGCTTCTGCTTTGTCCTGTCTTCCAAATCTCATTTAGGACTTCCACATCGCAAGAATTCTAGCCAAAAATGTGTCTGGGGAATGTAGTTTTTAGATTTCTAATTTCCATCTAGAAGGAGGATAGAATAAAGAGTTGAGAGAGTCACTCTGTAGAATCGATCACATCTGATTTCTGTTGCTTATTGTAAGCCATTTGTAAGGCAATTATTAAGAAAGAGGAGAGGCTGGGCACGGTGGCTCACGCCTGTAATCCCAGCACTTTGGGAGGCCGAGGCGGGCAGATCCTGAGGTTAGGAGATCAAGACCATCCTGGCTAACACGGTGAAACCTCGTCTCTACTAAAAATACAAAAAAAAATTAGCTGGGTGTGGTGGCGGGCGCCTGTAGTCCTAGCTGCTCAGGAGGCTGAGGCAGGAGAATGGTGTGAACCTGGGAGGCGGAGCTTGCAGTGAGCCGCGATCACGCCACTGCACTCCAGCCTGGGCGACAGAGCTAGACTCTGTCTCAAAAAAAACAAAAAACAAAAAAAGAGAATTGCTGAGCCAAGGGAAATACTGTGTGTTTTCATGCTTGAGGTAGGAAAGAGCTTGGTGCCTTTGAAAAGTTGGAAGGGGTTGATGTGACTAGTTTGAAAAGTTGGAAGGGGTTGATGTGACTAGTTCATTTCAGGTGGGGTTGGAGAGTTAAGCAGGAGCCAGAGCATGCAGGACTATAGGTTATGTTGAGAAGTTTTTCTTTAAGAGACAGGGTCTTGCTGTGTTGGCCACGATGATCTTGAACACCTGGCCTCAAATGATCCTTCCACCTTAGCCTCCCAAAGTGCTGGGGTTATAGGGATGAGCCACCACACCCAGCCCAAGAATTTTGCATTTTCTCTTAATGAAAGCATCAGAGATTCTTCGGCAGGAAAGTGGTATGATTCAACTTATGTTTTTTTAAAGCTTATTCTAACTGCTTTTTGGACAATATGTTTACTAGGAGTAGAGGTATCTAGGAAACCAGATAGACCAGCAAGTATAAAATCTAAAAGCCCAATATTCTAGGCAGGAGAATATGGTGCTAGAGTGGATATAGAAGCCGACTGATACAGGGTATATATTAGTAGTTGTATTGACAGGATTTGCCAAGAATTGGATGTTAGAAGTGCCAAGAGTGGGTCCCAGCTATTTCATTATTTTATTCCTTTGAGGAAGTTTCTGAGCATTGAATTGTAGGATTCTTTAAAATAGTAAAGCAAGACTGGATAGTAATTATGTTATAGGGATGGAGTAGAATGTGGAACGATTCTTTTGCGGGGAGATATTAAGAATGCCTCTCTTGCTTTCAGGTCCAGGGTGTTAAAATAAAAGAATGCCTCTTAAATTTTTTAGTAGTAATGTGAGTATACATTAAAGGTTAAATGTCTTAAAATGTATTTAGAAAAAAAGAAATAGGAAAATATTTACCAAAAAACCCAATCCTCTATGCTAATGTTTATGTTCTTAAATTTTAGTTGTATATGTGAATCTTTGTAGTTTTTGCTAAAATACTAAGTAATTTATATAAAAGTGAGTTAAGAGATTTTTCTGACTCTTCTTTTTTAGTTGAGCTCATCCTTCTGAAGAATGCCCAATTCTTTTAAAAAAGAACCAAGAGATCATAATTTTTACTTTTAAAAGTAACACCTGTGTCAAATAAGACTTCATTTTCACTTCAGCCAGTTCCTATTGTTGGCTGAAACAGCAAACAGATCAGTAAGAGGCAATAGTTACGATGCCATGTGGTCTATTGAAACCTAATGAAAAAGACAGGATTGAATTATCTAAATATTTCACCTGAAATAACATTTAATTGTGACCCTCTTCAGGTTCTATAAATTTACATTACAGCTATTTTTTATCTAATGAAAAGTGAGATGTGAAGCCTGTCAGAGTCCACAAGCCTGATGTTTTAGTGATTCCTCATATACAAACAATTTATGTATTTTCCAGTGCCAATAAGTGTATTTACTGTGAACCTGCAGGTGGCTCACTCAATGAGATTAGTATTATATAAATAAGTAGTTGAGTTTAATTTTGCAATTACTCTTTCTAAAGCCTATGCATAGGTTCTAGAAGGATCCTTAGACTTAGCAGAAAGTAGCCTCTGGGTCTCTCCCTGGCTTCCTTTTCTACTTCCAATTCCTTCCCCATCTTTCATTATCTCATTTTAGTTTGAATTCATCTGACATTGCTTATCTCCCAGGAATATAAAACTGCATAACTGTATTAGTACAAAGTTGCATACTACTGGGAAAAGCTGTTTGATGGGTCAGTTTTGGTAAGATATTTTTGAAGTGCCGGAGGAGTCAAGAGAGCACTTAGCATGTGCTGTTTAGTATTACAAGACTTGTTGCAGAAGAATACTAGTAATGGATAGAAATGAAAATATTTGCTGTTTTAGTTATAGTGGTCCCCTCACTGGCATTTGATATTAAGTTTTATTACCCTCATTGCCTGTGAAAGGAGGACAATGATTGTAACATTGTTTCACAGCTGTTTTAGGGTTACTAGGACTTGAGCTATACTAGCTCCTCTTTTAATGTTTATCCATATATGTATATCACTGCTAACATAGTTATCCTGTAGTCCAGAGAATATTTTTTTCCTTGTACTTAGATTTTCCTGGAATTAGACTAGTGACCTCGTGATAAACCACCATATGCTACTCATTACAGTCATGCACTGCATAACAATATTTCCATCAACACCTGACTGCATATAGGATGCTGATCCCATAAGATTATAATGGAGCTGAAAAATTGCTGTTGTGAGATAGTCACACAATGCATTACTCACGTGTTTGTGGTGATGTTGGCATAAATAAACCTACTGTGCTGCCACTTGTATTAAAGTATACTACATAAAATTATGTATAGTACATAATACTTGATAATGATAATAAATGACTATGTTACTGGTTTACATATTTACTATACTTTTTATCGTTGTTTTAGAGTATACTTTTTCTACTTATTAGAAAAAAAGTTAACTGTAAAAGAGCCTGAGGCAGGTCCTTCAGGAGGTATTCCAGAACAAGGCATTTTATCAGAGGAGATGACAGCTCTATGTGTGTTATTGTCCCTAAAGACCTTCCAGTGGGACAAGATATGGAGGTGGAAGACAGTGATTTTGATGATTCTGACCCTGCATAAGCCTAGGCTAATGCATGTGTTTGTGTCTTCCTTTTTAACAGAAAGGTTTCAAAAGAAAAAAAACTTAAAAAATAGAAAAAGCTTATAGAATAATGATGTAAAGAAAGAAAAGATTTTTGTACAGCTGTACAATGTGTTTGTGTTTTAAGCTGTGTTATTACAAAAGAGTCAAAAAAAGTTAAAAAATACTTAGAAGTTTATAAAGTGAAATAGTTACAGTAAGCTAAGGTTAATTTACTATTGAAGAAATAAAAATATTTTTATAAATTTAGTGTAGCCCAAGTGTACAGTGTTTTATAAAGTCTGCAGTAGTATACAGTAATGTCCTAGGCCCTCACACTCACTCACCACTCACTCACGGACTCACCTAGAGCAACTGCTAGTCCTACAAGCTCCATTCATGGTAAGTGCCCTCTATAGGTCTACATCATTTTTTACCATATTTTTACTGTACCTTTTCTGTTTAGATATGTGTAGATACACAAATATTTATCATTGTGTTACAGTTGCCTACAATATTCAGTATAGCAACATGCTATACAAGTTTATAGCCTAGTAGCAAATTATATAGCCTAGATGTGTAGTAGGCTATATCATCTAGGTTTGTGTAAGTACACTCTATGATGTTCACACAATGAGGAAATCACCTAATGATGCATTTCTTAGACTATATCTCTGTTGTTAAGCAATGCATGACTGTATCTGAATATATTCTACAGTTGATCTTTTTCTGTAATTAGTAAATTTCATAAATCTTTTTCTAGTTTAATTTGTTTCTTAAATAGAAGGGCATTTTCAATTCTTACATATCTCTTCTGTGTTGTGGAGAACTGAAACTGAGTGGCTTTATTATGGAAGTAAGTTATTCTTTGTCCAGACATATTTTATCAATCTGATAGACCTATTCAATAAACAGTGACATTCTTTACAATAACACAGCCATAGAATAATTAAATAAATATTCCCTTCTTTATTTTCAGTATTTTGCCAATCACTATTCTATATTTGGTGCATTTTTTTGATATCTTAGATTTAGAAGTCATTCTATAAGTCAGAATTCTTCCTCCCACAGCAGGATTACCTGAGCAGAATTTTTAGTACTTATGATGAGCTGTAACATAGCCAAGAATTTGACTTGATGGGACTCAGCATGCAAGGTTTTAGGGGAGGATGAATATGCCTGGAATTTTGTGGAATTTGAAAGACTGCTGACCCTCCAAGTACAAATAAGTATCGCTCTTTAATGAGTCTGATTTTCTCAGCATAACCTGTTATTTATAAATACTGCAATAACTTTTTAAGAATTATTTATGGTATTAGATGAAATTATATGTTGGTACTTTGTGTTGCTTTTATGATCTCATAATTGCTTCTGCTCCTTGAAGGGAGGGGAACTATGCGTGGTAGTATGGTCTTCACCAGAGTTTAAGCAGCAAGAGGAATGTAAATCTGTTAGAAAAAATTAGGGACAATCCATCAGGAAATGGAGGGGGGAAGTGCTGTTATTATTTCACTCTCACTTTTAGTATTTTTTAATATTTTTGTATTTTTTAGTATTTCAATATTTTTTACTTTATAAGCATATGTGATATTTTATACTAATCAAAACTAAAATTAATTTATCAATACCTTTTTTAAAGAGGATCTAACATGAAAGCCTAGATTTTAAGAGCAGATATGAAGAAAATACCTATTGTTTTATATCTTTAAGTTTCATTGTTATCATTTACCTAAATAAAACATTTTATATCAGTAAAAATACTTCATGTTTTCTGAGGTTTATTAATGGATAATAATAGGTCATAATTAGCTTATGATCTAATCTAAACTTATACCTTTATTCTAAAACTATGACGATTACAACTCTTAAGAGATGTTATATATTTATTTAAAGATAATATAATATTTGGTTAGATTATCTTTGATATTTGTCAAAACATACCTTTCTGTCTCTTTAAGAATTGTCTTAATCTCCTTAAGACAGATTCTATTTTATCCTTGTCTTACAAATAAGAACATTAAAGCAGGCATAGAGAGGTTAAATAATGTGGTGTGGTCACACAACTGTTAAGTGGCAGAGGCAAAATTCAAATCCAGAGAGCCTTTTTCCACAGCCCCCACCCTTATTTGCTACTCCATCCTGACACTCTGAATAGAAGTACTGTCATTTTATATCAGTCAACAAATATTTACCAAACATTTACTGTGTGTTCATTAGTAAGATACAGAATATAAGGGAAGTTTTATATTGTGTTCAGGGATTGAAATCTAATGGGATCTTACTAAAATAGGCTCACAAAACAACTATATAAATTGCAAGTCAAGAAGGCCTATATTGGAAGTGTAAACTACTGTAGGAACATTGAAGAAGCAAGGATTACTCTGATTGGGAAGGCTTAATTTGCTTTTATAGAGGAAACAGTGTTTTCACTGGGATGTGTAAGCTTTCAAGGCAGGTGTGAGTGAGGTAGATTTAGGCAAGAATGGGGAGGACCTTGAATGCCACACTGGGGAGTTTAGACATTTGGCCATAGGCAATTATGAGCCTTCAAAGATTTTTTGAGCAAGTAAATAACATGATCGTATTGGCATTTAGGTACAAAATTATAGCAGCATGAAAAATGAACTAAAGATGGTTTGTTGTGTTGGAGAAATAGAGAATGTCAGTAAGATGAAGTGTCATGAAGATGGCAGAAGACCATATGTGCCCATCATCCCCTTGCTTACCAAGTCCTTACAGGAATTTACAGGAGATACTGTTTCACTGTGTGTTGTTTTAAAGAGTAAATCTCCAGTGATGCTGGAAAACAAGGAAGAGTACACACATACACATACACACACACACACACACACACACACACACACGTATGTTTTTGTTTTTGTGGGTTTGTTTTTTTTTTGTTTTTTTTTAGTTTTGTTACAGGCCATAAACTTCAAAAGACTCAAAGCAGATAGGATTGTATCGTTGAGGAAAACCAACACTCTAAAACGTGCAGGAGAGAACTGCTCCAGAAGGGGTAGGGGTACTGGGTGGGCTGCACATCAGACATATGGATGCAAGGCTGAGGAAGGGCATGGGGCCTTAAGCAGGGTGGTTAGTTGGAGGGCTGCATGAAGAGCAGCAGAGTAAATCAGCGCCTTCACATTTGCTTGCTTACATTGAGCAGAAGGCAGTTGATACTTTTAGCCACAGCCTAAGGCACTGAATGTGGGGCTTGAGCTAAAGAGGCAGAGCAATGGGAAGGCAGCTAATAACACTCAGGAAAAATGGTAGCACCCCCTTCTGAAAGGAAGGCAACCAGAATACCTCATCTAGCAGCATGTCCCTGGCATCTATGACAAGCAAATAGAGAACTCATAAAAAAAAAGAAAAAAAAAAAAACAGCCAGGAATTACCAACCATTTTTGTTGTTGTTGTTGTTTTTGAGATGGAATCTCGCTCTTTCACCCAGGCTGGAGTGCAGTGGCGTGATCTCGGCTCACTGCAACCTCCGCACCGCCGGGTTCAAGCCATTCTTCTGCCTCAGCCCCCCAAGTAGCTGAGACTACAGGTGCGTGCCACCATGCCCTGCTAATTTTTGTATTTTTAGTAGAAACAGGGTTTCACCATGTTGATCAGGCTGGTCTCTAACTCCTGACCTCAGGTGATCCACCCGCCTCGGCCTCCCAAAGTGCTGGGATTACAGGCATGATCCACCGCGCTAGGCCAACACACATGAACCTCTTCAGATTTCAAGTGCTGTGCATGTAGCAGACACTTATATGAAAGTAATCTTTTAATGAATGTAGTGCAAGTTAAATAAAATTTTCTTTTTTTGAGACAGGGTCCTACTCTGTCTGACAACCCAGGCTGGAGTGCAGTGGTGTCATTTTGGCTCACTGCAGCCTCGACCTCACAGGCTCAAGCCATCCTCCCACACAGCCTCCCAAGTAGCTGGGACTACAGGCGTGCACCACTACACCTGGCTAATTTTTGTATTTTTTGTAGCAACGGGGTCTCTCTGTGTTGCCAAGGCTGCTCTCAAACTCCTCCCAAAGTGCCGATTATAGGTATGAGCCTGGCCATCAAACAAAATTTGATAGAGAATAGGTTCTAATAAAACAGTTTACTGGAACTGAGTAATTTAAAAGTGTTTTTTTCCCTGACCGGAAATAAGAAAAAGAACGTTAGTACTCACTTTTCACAATTTCATAAATTACATCTTATGTCACAAAATGACAGCTTCCCACTATATAAGCAGAGTAAGGCTTCTGCTTGTTTTCTGAGATGGAGTCTGATCTGTCGTCCAGGCTGGAGTGCAATGCACAGTCTCGGCTCACTGCAACCTCCATCTCCCAGGTTCAGGTGATTCTCCTGCCTGAGCCTCCTAAATATCTGGTATTACAGGCACGCACCACCATGCCCAGCTAATTTTTGTAGAGACAGGGTTTCACCATGTTGAGACAGGGCTTCACCATGTTAGCCAGGCTGGTCTCGAACTCCTGACCACAAATGATTCACTCACCTCTACCTCTGAAAGTGTTGGGATTACAGGTGTGGGCCACCACGCGCAGCTGAGTAGGTTTTTAATATTGGATACTTACTTGCTAGAAAAATTACGGAGAACAGAATGAAAGTAATAAATATGAAATAAAATATAAAGACATCCTTATTTTCTACTTTATCAAAATGTTTTTCCTAAACATAATACATTTATAGCTGACATTTGATGGAACCCTGGCAAATAAAACTTAAGTAATTAAATAAATGCATGTCTTTAAAACATCCTTAAGTGATGGAACCACAAATGTGAGTGCTGCTCAGAATCTTTGCACCCTAAGCTACACCTGTCATGATTCTTTCTGATTTCCACTTTCATAGAGGTGACCCACTTACGACCTTGGCCTCTCAATCTGTTGTTCTTCTTTCTTCTAACATTCTTGCCCTCAGACTAACCTTATCCATGGTTATGCCTTAAAACTGATCATTATCAATCACTATAGCCCCCTCTCCTCCCACCCACAGTAATCTCAGTCTCGAGTATCTTTTAACTTTCCAGCTCTCTTCTTCTAACATACAGATCTCAATAATTATCCCATACCACTAGGAGCTCAAATTCATTGATCCACCTTTTCATTGTCAATTACCTCTTTATCCCCTAGGTCCTCTCTTCCTGTCTTTCTCAATTTAAATTTTTTTGTACATCATTATCATTCCCTTGCCTCTCTCTAACCCTCATTAAATTCAGGGCTATTTGTGACCATATTTTTTCTCTTAAAGATGAACTACCATTAAGTTGATACAGCTAACATTTTTTTAAAAGCTTTTGAAATCAATAGCATCAAATTGGTTCATTTTAAATCAAAGTTGTTAAGATCTCTACTGTCTTTATAAAATACAAGTCTTTCACAGTAATGAACTAGCTTCACATTTTGTGTGATTCCCATAATCTATTGATAAAAAGAAATGCAATTATTATTTTTCCCCGATGTAGATGAAAGCAGACTTTACATTGGGCCACAGAAAAACCCTTATAAGCACTGTCTATATATAACATGTATTTCATAAATAAGTTAGCGTTTCATATAGCTAGTGTTTTTCTTATTTATACCATATGACTAACATTAATCTATATGTGAATGTATGTTTAATAGGAAATTGCCCGGCATTTACGCCCTGGAACTCTCAGAGCAATCTTTGGTAAAACTAAGATCCAGAATGCTGTTCACTGTACTGATCTGCCAGAGGATGGCCTATTAGAGGTAAGATAAAGAAGGTAAACATCCTATTTATATTTCAAGCTCATAAATTATCTCAGGAGTTCTGATGTGTAAGAAAACTTTTTGTTTTATTGTTATACTTCAAGTTCTAGGTTACATGTGCAGAGAGTGCAGTTTTGTTACATAGGTATACACGTGCCCTGGTGGTTTGTTGCACCCATCAACCCATCACCTACATTAGGTATTTCTCCTAATGTTATCCCTCCCCTATCCCCCCCACCCCCTGACAAGTCCTGGTATGTGATGTTCCCCTTGGATGACTCTGTTACTTGGCCATCTGATGATTTTGGACTGCAACTTTGAAAGACCAAATTGTAGCATGCTGCATAGCTTTCAAAGAATTTAGATATTTTTTTCTGGTTGGCATACATTTTGATTTTAAAATAATTAAATTCTGTGAAATTTGTTTTTATATCAGGTGACTATACCATCACCATAAATTGCTAGTCATGAAAATACATACAGTTGACCCTTGAACAATGTTTGAACTGTGCTGGTCCACTTATATATTCATTTGTTCAATAAATATATTAGAAAGTTTGGAGATTTGTGACAATTTGAAAAAACTCTTGGGTGAACTTTGTAGCCTAGAAATATCAAAAAAATAGAAAAAAATGTGTATTATGAGTGCATAACATATATATAGATACTAGTCTATTTATGTGTTAATCGACTTTTTGTTATCGATGAAGCTCCCGGTCAACAGCATTAGTAGTTAAGCTTTTGGGGAATCAAAAGTTATATGTAGATTTTTCCACTGTGCAGGGGATAGGTACCCCATACCTCCACACTGTTTAAGGGTCAACTGTTTTCCAATGAAATTAAGAAGTCTAGCCAGGCTCAGTGGCATGCACCTGGAGTCCCAGCAACTTGGGAGGCTTAAGTGGGAGGATTGCTTGAAGCCAGGAGTTCAAGGCCACAGTATGCTATGATTGCATTTGTGAATAGCCCCTGAACTCCACCCTGGACATCATAGCGAGACTTTGCCTCCAAAAAAGGCGGGGAAGGAGTCTAATATACAGTGTGATAGTGTTACCCATGGCAAATTCATATGGGTCTGCAGCAACCTCAGTATCTGCCTCTTCAGAAGAAAGAATTCAACTGAGGAAGCATAAGGCAGAAGGAGAGACTGAGGCAAGTTTTAGAGCAGGAGTGAAAGTTTACTTAAAAGCTTTAGAGCAGGAACAAAAGAAAGGAAAGTACACTTGGAAGAGGGCCAAGCAGGTGACTTGAAAGACAAGTGTATGGCTTGACCTTTTGACTTGAGGTTTTTATATGATGGCATACCTCCAGGGTCTTGCACTACTTCTGACCACTTGCCCAACTCCTGAGATCTTATTGAGAAGCCGCTCGTCACCAGTTTTAGGTGTTTTCTATCTACTAGGAGACCGCCGTTCCCTGGCGCCAGCTGTGACCAATTATTACTTCAGAGAGACAGTTAACAACCACCTGACCATCACCTGATGGTCTCCCAACACTCCTGGTGTGAGGTATGGGAGCCCTTTCCTGCCCTGCTCATACCCGACTAGCTACCAAGTATAACAATAGCACTCAAAGTGATAGCTAACATTTTGGTCACCTTTATTAACCAGATTCTACCATGACACATGTGTTGTATAAATGATTTCTTTTCATTGCCATAGCAACTCCAATAGGCTGGTATTCATTATATCTGTTTTTTTAGGAAACTGAAATTGAGACTCAGAGAGGTTAAGTAACATCCCCAAACCAGACAGCTAATATGAAACAAAGCCATATTTGATCTCTCATCTTTTAAATTAACATAAAATATGAAATGAAAAATTCTGAGAAAATATAAGTGAAAATGGGTCCAGTTTAGGGTTAAGAAAGTTATTTCTAGGCCAAAATCCAAGAAGGAAACTGTAAATAAATATTTTATTTTTTTAACTTCTTATAGATTTTAAAATTTTTGTGTCAAAATAAGCTAAATGAAATTTAAAAAGAAATAATAAATTTAAGTGATTAAATGAAGAAAAATGGTTGATATCCTTAATACACATTTATTTTAATGAGTATTATGTTTTATGTGATCAAATCTATTAGTCTTTTAAAAAAAAATTATGTCCTGGAAGTTGTACATAGAAAAGCCTTCCCCAAATATTTTGTTTTCATTTTCATACATTGAAATGTTCAATCCACCTGGAATTTATTAGACATATAGTGTGAGGTATGGATTTAGCCAGCTATCACAATATTATTAATAATAAACAATTTATTTTATTTAAATGGCTAAATCCATCCATCCTTTCATTGTTCTTTCTCATTTATTGAATACTTATATACATCCTTGCCTGTTTCTGAACTTCCTATTTTATTCCATTGATCTGTACCAGCAAAATACTGTTTTTATTATTGTAGGTTATTTATACTTTACAAAAGTGTTCTTGGTTAGTCCCTAAAATGTATTCCTCCAAATGAACTTTTTATTTATTTATTGAGAGGGAGTCTCACTCTGTCGCCCAGGCTGTAGTGCAGTGGCACAATCTCGGCTCACTGCAACCTCCGCCTCCTGAGTTCAAGCATTTCTCCAGCCTCAGCCTCCTGCATAGCTGGGATTACAGGTGCATGCCACCATGCCCAGCTAATTTTTTGTATTTCTAGTAGAGATGAAGTTTCACCATGTTGGCCAGGCTGTCTCCTGACCTCAGGTGATCCACCCACCTCAGCCTCGAAAAGTTCTGGGATTACAGGCATGAGCCACCACGCCTGGCCAACCTCCGAATGAACTTTAAATGACTTTTTACCGAGGTCTTTACTCCACCCCTACAAAATGCAAGTGGGACTTTCAGTGACATTACAATATGTTTATAAATTATATGGAAATGTCATATCTGTAATAGTGAGTTTCTCCAACTTCATATGTGGTATGCCTCTCCTTTTATGCAAGCAGTAGAGTCACTTTTTTTCATATAGTTCTTAGTAATAGTCTATTAAATTTATCACCATAAGTTTCTTTGTTGTTGTTATAGAAAATGACTTTGTTAGCTCCATTAAGATTTTCTGTTATAATCCAAGATATTTGTAAAACCTTATCTATTATGCATCTTTGTATGAAATTTAGACATACTTGTGAAATGTAAAAATGTACCAAGCTTTATTTTTTAATAACCAAAAAGATTAAATGTTTATTTTAAATTTTAACTTATTTTATAAATAAATATTTCCTCACTTTCTGATAGCTTGGACCTATCAACTAGGTTTGAATAGAGACTTTTATTTAATGAGACTGAAATGTTATTAACCATGAAATTTATACCCATTAAAAATATTATCCAAGAGGGCCTGAGGGGAAAAAAAGGAAAAAGTATTATCTAAGGTATGCCTATGATTTTGTTCATATTGTTTGAAATAGATTATTACTGCCTGTAGTTTGCAAAGCCATTTACTAAATGATTGCAATTTTTCTGATCTAACTTCACTGGAGATTTCAGTGTACATTAATGACTGTGTGGTTTAGAGAATTAATCAAAAATCAGAAGTTAGAGCATCAGTAGCTTCCTCTTATATGGCTGATTATTTTCTTGATATGAACTTGAATAAGTCACATTTTCTTTCCATGCCTCACTTCTTTTATCAATAAAATGAAATAAAGAGTGCTGAGATAGTCAAGGATGCCCTTATCAATTAGCTACTTTCAGATTATTATTTGGCTTCAGATGATAAAATATTATGAAAATACATAAAGGCCAAATGAGGTATCTGGCTATAGGTCTTCAAAGTGAAAATCCGAGTGACACAAGACAAGTTGTCTGATCAGTGAGCACTTTGTTCCTAGGATCAGCTCTTCATTAGGGGGACATCCTTTAGATGCAGAGTGACCATAAAATTTATTGCCCAATTAAACACCCTTTGAAAGGCAGCTCTAATCAGAAAAGATGTTCGGACAAGAGGCATAAACCAGAACTGTCACACGCAAACTAGAATATATTGTTATCCTATTTATATGGCAAGAAGAGAAAGAGGGGAACATGCTACTTCTCTTTAATCTTTCCCTAATGTGATGTTTACTGAGCTATGTGTCATGGGTATAGAGCTCAGAAAGTATGGCTTCAGTTTATATTTTGTCATTATCCATTATTTTATTTATTTATTTATTTATTTATTTATTTTTATAGCAAACAATTATAGAACATGTTTTACTTGCTGGATTGTGATAGGATCAAACAATTCATTTCTACTGTTCTCCTAGAACTCATAGTAAGTTTGAGAGGTCAAAGATCTTAGCATGAATACAGAAATTTGTTTTCTTTGAATATTGCTAATTGTGACCCAGTCAATTTTGTGATTATAGGAATAAATTATGGTATTTATGAGACATTCTAGAATGTTCTGTCACTGTTAATGTTCTCTTATACTCTGCTGGTTGTAACTACAATGATCTTAAATTTGTGTGTTAAAGATAGCATTGATGGTAAAATGTTCAGCTGAGTAATCAAATACTAGTTTTCTATTAATGGCAAAGAACTTTTGAAGTAATAATGCCCACTGCTGGCAATGCTACAGTAAAGTAGATACCCTCATATAGCTGGTGACAACTATGGGCAAAACATATTGAAAGCCTTGGAATATTTCTATAACTTTTGTCCCAGAATTCTACTTCTTAGGATCTAAGCAAAGGAAGAGAGTGGCAGCAGGACTACAAAATGGAAAGTTATCTGCACAGATGTTCATGGAAGGAGTATTTGTGATCATTAACAATGGAAATAATACGCATGTTTACAGATACATCCCACCTTACCTCCTCTAAGAAACCTTCCATGGCACCCATAGTCTGCATCAGTCCGTATGTGTGTTTTCATAGCACTTTGCCTTCCTATACTATAGTGGTGTAGCCAAGTCAAAATAGCTCTGTACTCCTGGGCAAGTTACTCATCTCACTATGCGTAGGTTTCCTCACTCTGTAAAACGAAGATAACAGTACCTGCCCTATCAAATATCATTGTGCCTAGCAAATAGTAATTGCTCAACAAATGATAGTAGTTATTATTATTATTACTATTACAGCACAGTGTCTGTTTGCTCATGTGAGACTGTGAGTACACATAGTAGGGAAGAGATTTTTTCTTGCCTGGCATATAAAAGCTCTTCAATAAGTGATTTTTGAAAGAAAGGAAGGAAGAGTTTAGTTAAATAAATTGTATTTTTTGCACTCGGTGAAAAAGTATGTCACACTTTATAGAGAAGACTCTATAACAGTGTTTCCTAGCCTTGGTTGCACATCAGAATCACCTAGCCAGTTTTCTAAATACTGACGTCCAGACTCACCCCCAGAGATTCTAATTTTTTTTTTTTTTTTTTGAGACAGAGTCTCGCTCTGTTGCCCAGGCTGGAGTGCAGTGGTGCAGTCTCGACTCACTGCAACCTCTGCTTCCCGGGTTCAAGCTATTCTCCTGCCTCAGCCTCCCGAGTAGCTGGGACTACAGGTGCATGCCACCACGCCCAGCTAATTTTTTGTATTTTTAGTAGAGACAGGGTTTTGCCATGTTAGCCAGGATGGTCTTGATCGCCTGACCTTGTGATCTGCCCGCCTTGGCTTCCCAAAGTGCTGGGATTACAGATGTAAGCTACCACGCCTGGCCAAGATTCTAATTTTTTTAAACAACTTTAAACTTTTAGAAAAGTTGCAGGTACAGTACAATAAATTTTTTATGAACATTTGAGAGTAAGTCATCAACATTATGTGCATACTTCTGAATCCTTTAGTGTGTATTTTTAACATAAAAGGGCATTTTTTTTTACATAATCACATTACAAGCATCCAAATAAGGAAATCAACATTCATTTATTACTACCATCTAATCCTTAGACTCCACTCAGATTTCACCAATTGTCTCAATAAGGTTCTTTGCTAGCAAAAGGATCCAGGTCAGGACCATGCATTGCATTTAGTTTTCTCCTTAGTCTCTTTCAATCTGGATCAGTTTCTGAATTTTTCCTTGACTTTCATGACCTTAACACCTTTAAAGATAACAAGTAGAGATTCTAATTTAATTGATCCATTTATCCCTTTGCTCATCAGAAATTTTTCTAGATGGCTTCCACCTACAGTTCTAACAAGATACTGGCAAATTTATTTTGCTGTATGGCATACGTTACTCATACGAGATGTCATTTGTTGGCTCCCCCTTGTCTATGAAAATGAATGATGCCTTTGTGATGTTATGACTCAACCTCGTGTACGCCTCCCCTCTTCTCCACTTCAGTGTTAGTTGTCATCTCATGTCACCAGTGATACTTGTGAGAGGCAGTTTTACTTTCTCCTTGCTTCCTTCATCTTTCCCCAGGATTCGTTGAAAAACATCTTTGGGAATCATTGTTATGTGGGGAAAATAATATCTACTTCTTTGCCTTTCACTTTACCTTTAAACATGTGGTCTTTTCCAAGGACCTTCTTTTTCTGATTTTCTCTTACGGGAACAACCAAAACTTTGCATGTACTAAAATTGAGAACCTCAATGTTGCTGAATGGGTATATGGTAGAAAATTCAAGTATGTTCAAATTTTAATTCTGTATACCAAAATGATAGGTCAATCATTCATTTAGGTACTTTTATTATTATTATTATTTTGAGACAAGGTCTCACCCTGTCTCCTGGGCTGGATTGCAATGTCGTGATCATGGCTCACTGCAGCTTTCACCTCCTGGGCTCAAGCAATCCTCCTGCCTCAGCCTCCTGAGAGGCTAGGACTATAGGCTGTGTGACCATGCCCAAATAATTTTTTTTTTGTAAAGATGGGGTCTCATCGTGTTGCCCAGGCTGGTCTTGAACTCCTGGATTTGAGCAATTCTCCAGCCTTAGCCTCCCACCGTTTTGGGATTATAGGTGAGAGTCACCATGCCTGGCCTGTATTTATATTTTTTAAACATTAAAACACTTCACTGAGAACACAGCAGTAAACAGAATACATGTGGCTCTTATCTTCACAGAGCTTACCTTTCAGGAGACAGTTATGTATAGCAAATATTTTATAGGATGATGAAAACATAGGTCTTTCCTGTTTTTTTTTTTCTAAATGTTCTGTAACTTGGTGATACCACTTTTGTGATTATAAAATTTTAAGAAGCATATAAAATATTTAATTGTATGTATAAGTTTAATTGCCCAACGGGTTCTTCCTGCCCCCTGCACAGAGAAAATCAGTTCACCAAGACTGTGGTATTGAAGTTACCATTTTAATTGACAAGAGGCCGCCCACATAAGAGATGGAATTATTACTCAAATCAGTCTCCCCAAAGGATCAAAGGTTAAGGTTTTTATGGACAATTTGGTGGGCAAGGGCTAGGAAGTGTGTACTGCTGACTGACTGGGGATGAAATCATAGAGATGTAGAAAACGGTCCTCTTGTGCTGAGTCTACCTCTGGGTGGGGCCACAGGATCAGTTGAGTCATAAGTCAGGGTCAAGGTGAGGTCCATCGGTTGCCGGAATGCATATCTAAAAAAAACATCTCAAAAGACCAATCTTAGGTTTTACGATAGTGATGTTACCTATGGGATCAATTGGGGAGATCACAAATCTTGTGACCTCTGGACCACATGACCCCTGAGCAGTAAAGCATTATAGAACCTAGGTCTACATTTTAGCAGCATTCAGGCCCCTCCCATAATATTAATATTGTGGCTTTTCATTAGTTTTACAAAGACAGTTTTCAGTTCCCTAGCCAGGAAGGGGTTAGTTCTTGTTTTCAGGTTAAACTATAGACTAAGTTCCTCTCATGGTGAGCTTGGCTGACACCCAGGAATGAGTGAAGACAGCCAGTCTGTGAGGCCAGAAGCAAGATGGAGTCAGCTATGCTAGACTCCTCTCACTGTCATAATCTTTGCAAAGTCAGTTTCATAAGTAGTTGATCAAATCTGAATTTGGATACATAATTACTTCTGCATGGATTCTTATTCTGGTACACTCTGGGGGAAAAAATAGTGAATCAAGGATTAATCAGAAATAAACATAGGTGCATGGTGACTAAGATGATTGGACAGGCCCCAATTTCTTGGCCGTGATTAACGCAGGCCTCTGCACATACTGACACTCATAATTTATCTTTAGTTTTAGCTTCTATCTTGAAAGAAGAAGAGTTGTGATTTTTAGTAGTACATTGTCAAAGAGGGAACAACTTGTACAAATACAAAAGCAAACAGCTTTCTCTTAGAGATCTAAAAATAGTGCAGTAAGACTGGGGCTTTGACCAGGAGGTAGAAAATGGCAAGAGATAAAGCTGGAAACATCAGCAGGGGCCTCGTAAAGTCATATTAAGACAACTGAACTTCATCTTGAGGCCATTAGGGATCCAAATAAATGTTTTACTCAGGGGAATAGCACAATGATACCTGTGTTATAGAGGTCACTCTGGCTGCAGTATAGAGAACAGATGAAAGGGCCCTGGGGTCAGGCAGGGAAACAAGTGGGTGGAGTCTAGGGGGACAGAGACTAGGTAGAAGTCTATTAAGTAATTCAGGAGAAAATTCTGGTTTCCTGAATTGCTATGGCAGAAGGGATAGCCAGAAGCAGTGAGCTTCAAAAGACATTTAGTGGGGTAGAACAGAAAGCCTCAGAGACTAATTGGATGTGAAAGGTAGCCTGTGGGAATGAATCCAGATTAATGCCTATCCCCAAGCAAACGTGATAGTACCATCTTTATCTGTGTTACCAAAATCTAATAATCTAAAAATGTCTGAAAACCAAAGTTTTTTCATAAGTTTAATGGTAAAACCTAACCTGTCTTATATCAAGTTGTGTATCATTAAACAGTTTTGTTTCAGTAGCTTGACAAAACATTTAATGTATATCATTTTTATTTAACCTATTTAGTGTGACTCTTCACACTGCTGTAAAAATATTAATGTATTTGATGATGAGTGACTTCCCAGACCCCTTGGAGTATTATATAATATATACTATATATTCCAGATTATTATTGTAAATTCCAAAACATCTAGTACCAGGAGTCTTGAATAAGAGATAGTAGACAAAGTTTGAAGTGGCCATGGAGAAAGTGCTGATGACAGAATATATATTTATGGGTTGTATTTACAATTCAGTTGATTTAGGAGATTACATGTATTATGGTGTTATTATTTTCTGGTGAACAGTTTGGCCCAGGGGTGAGGTTTTTACAGGAGGGTACGATGAGGAAAGATAATTGAGGATGTTAGCAACTATAGTTGAAGTTATAAACAAGGAAAGATGTGATGGCAGGAGGTGCTTGAAGAAAGGGATAAAGTAGATGGGCCAAGGGACCGAATGCTTTTCTAAGGTACCTACAGAGACCCCAGGAATAACAGGGAAAGAGCTGTGTCACTGTACACTTCAGAAGTGGAGCTTTCCATGGTAATGGATGATATGATTCAGGGTGTGGCCATGGAAGGAGGTAGCCAGTGTGGAGTGGAGATCAGTATCAGTCACTAGAGATATGTAAGTCTAGGAACTGAGAGAAGCTTTCATGTTGAGTGGCATTGAAATCACCTAGGATCATGGTTAGGAGGTAGGGTGGAGAAGAAAATGGTGACTCAAATTCTGAAGTCTTTCACAAACTAGGGAAGTTTGTGAACCAAAGGTGTGACAGCAACAAGGAGAAAAGATCTAGCCAGATGGCATAAGCCTCAAAAAGTCAGGAGTTCATATATAAGGGGAGGAGGTCTTAAAGTAGCACTGGGACAAAGGATAGAACTACTCCTACCCTCCTGGCCAGAGATTCTTATCCTGCGGACTCCAAGGAATTGATGCCCTTAGGGGATATCCAAGTTTCATTTAAGGCTAAGAGGCCTATGAAGAGATTCAAGTTTCAAGGGAGTTTACAATGGCACTGAAGTTCTGCAGAAAGCAATAGGAATAGTTAGAGATTGGGGAAGGGAAGAAGAATCTCAGAGCCATGTGAGAATAGCAGGATCGGAGAAAAGAGGTGAATATAATGGCCTCCATGTTGGTGGGTTGGGGTGTGACAAATTAATAATTAATTTTCTGGTCACTAGTAAATAGAGACCTTAAAATCATCTTTAAAAATGAGAACTTTTATTTTTCCGCCCCATAATTTGAGATCTGAAGGTAGGCATGTGGGACTGGTATGGCAACTCCGTAATACCATCAGTCACCCAGTCTCCTCCTCCTTGGTACCGTCATCATCTTTAGTATGTGCTTTTTGCCTTGTTGCCACAGAATGGTTGTCAGAACTCGAGTTATCACTTCTTTTTTCCAGGCATAAAGAAAGAAGAGTGAGGGCAAAAGGCGAAGAATGCCAGCTGAGCTAACACTTCCTCCCTCGCCCACCTTTAAGCTTTTCCAAAAACCAGAGCCCTCACCCAACAGCTTCAGGTTATGATTTTTGTTGTTGCTGGGATTTAGTACTGTGGCCGCCCCTTTTTAGAAAGGAAGTGAGTAAATGTAGTTCTGTTACTTGGGAACATTGCTCCCACTAGCAAAAATCAAGATACTGTTAGAAGGAAGAAAGGGAGAATGAATGTTGGAAAGGTAAAAAGCAGTATCTTCTCCAGGTGGTCAAGAGGCATTTAGCTAGTAAACAGGCTTCCAATGGAACTGGCCCTAGCTAATCCCTAGTGCAGTGGTTCTTATGTGTCCTCCCCTGCTCCAGAACAGCTGCATCACCTGAGAACTTAGGGGAAATGAAATTCTCGGGGTCCACTGTAGGCCAGCTGCTTAGCAACTCGGGGATTTGACCCAGGAATCTGTGCTTTAACAAGCCCTCCAGGTGCTTCTGATGCCCATGAAATTTGAGAACTACCGTCCTAGTGCAGCGGTTCCCAATCAATGGCATGCATTAAAATCACCTATAGAGTTTTTTTTAACTATGTAAGCCTAGAGCCCTATTATAGAAGATTCTGGTTAAGGAGGTCTGGTATGAGCTCCTTATATCTATAGAGTAGAGCCCCGTTATTCATGGTTTCACTTTCCACAGCTTCAGTTACCCATGGTCAACCATGGCCCAAAAATATAAAATGGAAAATTCCAGAAATAAACAATTTATAAGTTTTAAATTGTATGGTACCTTAAAGAGCAGGGTTGCAAAAATTAAAAAATAAAAAGTTTTAAATTGTATGCCGTTCTGAGTAGTATGAGGAAATATTACAGTATATTGTTATAATTATGCTATTTTATTGTTAATCTCTTACTGTGCCTAATTTATAAATTAAACTTTATCTCTCATACATATGGAAAAACGTAGTATAGATAGAGTTCGGTACTATCCACAGTTTCAGGCATCCACTGGGGGAACTGGAACATATTCCCCACTTATAAGGGGGCACTACTGTATTTTATGTTGCAGGTGATTCTGATATTCTGATATGGCTGATAGTTAAACTAGCATTTAGAAACCACTGTCCCAGTGAGTAGGGGCACACCAGACTTTTTTAAAACTTGTAAAAGAACCTATCAACATAGTAAACAGACAACCTATCGAATGGGAGAAAATTTGGGCAAACTGTGCATCTCACAAAGGTCTAATATCCAGCACTTATACAAAACTTAAACAAATTTACCAAAAAGATAAAAAACCTCCATCAAAAAGGACATGAACAGACACTTCTCAAAAGAAGACATACACCAGACTTCTTCGAAGTCGGCTTTGGTTCTGCTTTTGAGGAAAGCCTAGACCCTGTGAGAAGGCCAGCAAAGGGATTGTTTTGCTTTCAGGACTTAACTGACAGTTGGAAGCAGCAGCAGCCTCTTAACTTTGAAAGGATCAATAGCCTCTCTAGATGGATTTAATTGTAGCCAAGGGTTGTTACACTTCCAACGGAACTCCAGTCTCTGAATGGGGGAATCTGTGGCTTCTGTGGAAGGAGCCAGCCATGACCTGATTGATTACCCAGATTTTTTGGGGGGAAGTCTCAATGTGAAGGCTGCCATTTGCCCTCCCAGGGAGGAGGAGAGGCCTGAGATATGTGGTATGCATGTATTGCATGGATGCTGAGGGTAACAAGGGCAGAGGCCCTGGGTTTCTTGCAGCTTAAAATAGTTATCTGCAGGTTCATCAAATCTGCACTCACCATTTGGCATGGTCATGTGGCTCAGAGGTGTACAGGGGACCAACTCTTGTCATTCTCCCTGTGGGTTGTGTAAGTGCCTTGAGGACCTGGGCTTATAAGGGACTTTTGTATCTCCAGCTGCTAACATATTGCAGGCTTTTAGTCTGTTGAGTAAATGCATGTGGGAATATATCATGAATGGGGACAGTGCACCTCCATACCCTCTCTCTCTTTATGTGGCGGAAATGTCTCAATGACCTGATGAGAGTGAGCCCCACTTTCAAGTACCACATCTCACCATTCCCTCCACCTGCCAGTTGCCAGAAAAGTCCACTGCAGCATCCCAAAAATGTGAACAATTATTATGTATCAATTAAAAAGGCCACGTCCACCAGCATCTTCTTTCATTGCTGTTTATTCAAGTAAAACCTGAAATATGTGCATGTGGAAAGCGAATGGTTTGCATGGATTCTTTTCTTCCTTCTCAAACCTGATATTTCAGAAGTCTCTACATTCATCGTAAAAACATCATGATAATATAAGAGGCCTTAAGCTATCAAATTGTAATTCTTTATGGCCCAGTTAGTATTTCATCAGCATTGGTTGTTTTCTCAGATAAAAGAATCTTGGATAAGGAGCAATTTCACATTCCCTCCTATATCCCGTCATAGTGGGGCATAAGTTCATTGCTAGATTCAAAGGGAGTTACAGGTTCATAGGTCTTTCTGTTTCTCAAGTACAGTGCCAGCTCCACCTTTCTTCAGATAGGCTGCCTTCTGAATCTGAAAAGTAACAAGCTTAATGACTTAAGAACTGTATTTAATATAATTTATCCCACTTTATATAGGCACTTATAAAATCATTTGCCGAAGACTCTAGGATTATTTTAGATTAATTTATTTTGTATAAATTGGTTAATTAATAACTATGGAAAATCCATATAAAATAAATAGACACAATCATTGGACTAAAAGTGACCTTACAGGGGGCATTTAAGAATCTCCAGGCATTTTGTCTCAGCACTTTTTGCATCTTCTCTACCTATTCCCTGGGAAATGGTTCTCAAACAGTAGCACAATTCCTGGATGGCTTTTTAATTTTTTTTTTAATTTTTTTGAGACAGAGTCTCACTCTGTCACCCAGGCTGGAATGTAGTGGCATGATCACAGCTCACTGCAACCTCGACCTCCCAGGCTCAAGTGATCCCTCCTCAGCCTCCCTAGCAGCTAGGACCACAGGCATGCACCGTCATGCCCCACTAATTTTTTTTTGTAGAGACAGGGTCCCCCTGTGTTGCCCAGGCTGCTCTAGAACTCCTGGGCTCAAGCAATCGTCCCACCTTGGTCTCTCAAAGTGTTGGAAATTACAGGTGTGAGCCACCATGCCTGGCTGGGCTTTTTAAAAATACGGATTGCTGGGCTGTACCCCCCAGTGTCTAGTTCAGTAGACCTGAGATAGAGCCTGAGAATTTGCATTCTAACAAGTTCCCAGTTAGTGCTGATGCTATTGGTTTAGAGTACCACACTTGGAGAGCCACTGTTCTGAGCCAAAAAACACTGTGCACTCTCCATTAAGTCAAGTTGTTCTCTTGATTAATTTTTGTCAAGCTGTTGTCAGATTTGACATTTCACAGACCTGGAACATTTCAAAAAAAAAAAAAAAACTAAACAGTAATAAAACCCACTTCAGGGATAGACACAATGATAAAGTTTTTAAAATTTAACAAATGAAGACATTAGAAAAATTTGTTTCCCATCATCATCGTTTTGTTTTAAAAGGACATTTAATCACCAACAGCATTTTATCACAGAATAATGGACTGTCTCTTCAACTGAATAAATTCAGCTTTACCTGAAGCTCACTTTATTGCTATTGCATGCCAAAGGCATGATGGTCGAAGCAGTCCACTTCAGGCACAGGCAAAACAGCATTGCATCTTCTGTAGATCATTTTAAAACAATAATAGAATCCACTAATAGTTTGTCTGCTTTTTGTTATCACCATAAACAGGCAGTTCCAAACAACGTCAGTGAGAAAATACTGCCCCTTCCCCAGGGTGGACTACTCCTGCCAACCCTTGCTTCATCACTGCTTTGTTGCCCTCATTTTTCCCATTTTGCCAGAAAGCAGTGAAATGTCATCCTAGACCCTCACCATCTGGTGGTTGGGAGCAACTGGGCTAAGTTACACATGCTTATGGAGTCTTTGATTGATAATTTTATTCAAACTTGATATGGAAAACATATATCACATTTCATAGGTCAAAGAGGAATGTAAACTAGTTGAGTCCTGCGAGTGGTGATTTTATCTATGTTAAAGAAAATTGGGACAGGTGCTGTGGTAATCCCAGCACTTTGGGAGGCTGAGGCAGAAGGATTGCTTGAGCCAAGGAGTTCAAGACCAGCCTGGACAACACAGCAAGACCCTGTCTCTATCTTAAAAAAAAATTTTTTTAAATTATACAAATTTTAAAAACATATTTTAAAAATAAAGAAAAAATCCTTTATAATTATTTGGAGAAATAGAGTATTCTTTAACACTTATACATGGGCACAAATATTTTTAAAAATATTTATTTAACTAGGACTAATGGACAAAGGTAGAAAATTCTGATTTTTTTTTTTTTTTTAGACAGAGTCTTGCTCTGTCGCCCAGACTGGAGTGCACTGGCTTGATCTCAGCTCACTGCAACCTCCACTTCCCGGGTTCAAGCGACTCTTCTGCCTCAGCCTCCTGAGTAGCTGGGACTGCAGGTGCACGCCACCATGCCCATCTAATTTTCATGTTTTTAGTAGAGACGGTGTTTTACCATATTGGCCAGGCTGGTCTCGAACTCCTGATCTGCTCACCTTGGCCTCCCAAAGTGCTGGGATTACAGGTGTGAGCCACCGTGCTTGGCCTCTGATTTTCAAATTCAAAATAAAAAGCCAGAGATTTTTTTATAATATTGAGTTCTTCAATGTAACATGAGGAATTAAAAATTAATTTTATCTCCTTAATCCATGGCTTAATTTTAAGTTAACTACCACATGTTATTTTATTTAAATTTCATTCATTCATTGATATGAATCCGCAGTCATTTCACCAGGTATTGTTTTGAAGATACACATTTCTGCCCAGCACAGTGGCTCACACCTGTAATCCCAACACTTTCGGAGGCTGAGGTGAGAGAATCACTTGAGCCCAGGAGTTTGAGACCAGCCTGGGCAACATGGCAAGACCCAGTCTCTAAAGAAATACAAAAATTAGCCAGGTGTAGTGGCATGTACCTGTGGTCTCAGCTACTCCAAAGGCTGAGGCAGGAAGATTGCTTGAGCCTGGGAGGTCAAAGTTGCCATGAGCTGTGATCATGCCACTGTACTCCAGCTGGATGACAGAGTGAGATTCTGTTTCAAAAAATAAAATGTGATTATCCCTATTTGACTGGGCACAATAGCTCACACCTGTAATTCCAACACTTTGAAAGACCAAGGCAAGAAGATCACTTGAGCCCAGGAGTTCAAGACCAGTCGGGGCAACAGAGGGAGATGTCTCTACAAAAAATAAAAAAAAAAAAAAAATTAGCCGAGCATGGTGGCAGGTGTTTAAAGTCTCAGCTAGTCAGGAGGCTGAGGTGGTAGGATCTCTTGAGGCTGGGAGGTTCGAGATTGCAGTGAGCCATGATCACATCACTGTACTCCAGCTTGGGTGACAGAACGAAACTTTGTCTCAAAGAAAAAGAAAAGTAGAGGGTTTAGATGGAAAAGATAAAAAAAAATGTAAAATTAAATTGTAATATAAAATTAAACACCAGCATAAGAGAATGTTACCAGATAGTGTATGATGAAGTGTTAGAAACAGTAAGTATGAGAGTTCAATGGAGAGCAGTATGAGTGTGGCTGAAGGGGGTCAGGAAAATTTCATGAAATAAATTTCATGAATTTAATGAAATGGTATTTGAAGAATAAGGCAGATTTTTATACACACAGAAAAAGAACATGGCAGGCTGGTTTTAGGAGACATTGAGTTCCTCTGGTTGAAGTGGAGGGTTCCTTTGGTAGAGTATGGGAGATAAATTTGGAAATGTAAATTAGAGCTAGATTGTGGAGACTTTGGAAAGCTTTCTGATGGCAATAATGAACATTATGGTAACAGTGATAAAAATAATAACTTTAATTTACTAAGCAATATATACCAGGTACTATGCCAAATTGTTTACCTGCATTACCTAAAAACTCTGTTGAATAGTTTCTATTATCTCCATTTTATATGCTAAGAGAGTGAGGCTCCCATAGGTGAAATGACTTGGCCAGGATCACCCCACCAATGAGTGGCAGAGAGCTGAAATTTGAACCCAAGTTTGTCTAAGTCCAAAACCAGTGTTTCTATACAGCAAACTAGGTCAACGATGACAAAAGTGTTTCAATTCAAGTGCCAGTTTTTGATTTATTGATAAAACTACAACCAAATAGAAAAAAAAAATCACCATGATGGATTACTGATGTTTGCTGTAAATGCTGGATGGGAGTTTCTTGGTATGTATGACACACAGTGGCTACTTAGGCTCTAGAAAACTGGAAGCCATCAAAGGTTTTTGAACAGGGAAGTGACTCGATAAAGGTTCCAAAACTTTAACCAAGCAGCAGAGTTTAAGGTGAGTAGATAATAGGAGTAATGGACGCGTATACTCTGATCATCCAGTAACAAGTCTTAAGGACCTGGTAGTCTAAAATAGGACCATTCAGAAATTTTCTTCTCCTTCAAGTGATCTATTTCTACTATCAAGGTGTAATTCTTTGAAGAGTATCTGTCTCCTCCCCTGTCCTCTATGATCCATGAGAACAGTGACCTTGTGTGTTTTGTTCATTCCTCAATTCTCCAGTGGGTAGGCATTCAATATAGTTTTCTTAAATCCAGTAATAATAAAAGCAATGATGATCATAGAAAGCACTCACTTTGTGCCCAGACTGGGTTAAGTACTTTCAGTACAGCAAATGCATATGGAATCAGACTACCTGGGTTTGAATTCTAGCTCTGCCACTTACTAGCTGTCCAAGCAAGCAGGTTAAACTCTTGTGCCTGAATTGCCTCATCTTTATGGTGGGAATAATAATAGTACTTACCTCAGAGAGCAGCAGCAAGAAATAGATTAGGTGATATAGGTAAAACAATAAGAATAGGAAGTATTCAATTAAATATTGGTTATTATTATTATCTTTTTAAATTATTATCTTTACCATTCTATACTTAACTTGTCCATTAGAAAATAAATATAGTAGAGTCAAAGGAAAGGCTATATATAACTTCTATGGCAGGCCTGTTTCGTGTCAGGCCTGTTAGGCTCTTTTATAAATGATATCCCAGCTAAGTTAAAACTCTAATTTCACTGTCAGAACTTACTTAATTATCTTTTTACCAAATATAAAACCCACACAAATCTGGATTTTCTTTTCATTTCAACTGATTATGGGCTTTAACAAATCTGGTTTCAAATAATGTATTTTTAAAGATAAATTGGAAATTTATCATGGGAGGGCTCCCATGAGGATGCAAGGCAGGCTGAGGAGGCAGGCTTCAGATCAGGTCATGTAGGGGCAATGAACCCGAGGGAGGAGGCAGATGGACAGAGGACATAGACAGAGGGAGGGGGTCTGCAGAGGGAAAGAGATACTGACCGAGGTCTGGAATGACCATCTCTACCAAGAGGCCCTCTGCCTCCCACAGGGTGTCCAGACACTGGTGCACACATTCTTACCCAAGGGCCTGGGCTGGCACAGCCCTCAAGAAGGTGGCACCCACTCTGGCAGTCAGTGGGTCTGGCCTGGTGGAAGGATCATCACAGGCTTCAGGGGGCTGGACAGCCTGGGGGGGACTAGCGGAGGTCATCTCTTCCAGCCTCCTGCCCTCAACCAAGTCCAGCTCTGAGCCCTGGGTCACCGAGGGCCACCCTGGATTCATTGGAATCCCTCCACCTCCAGTAGGTCAAGTTCTGTAGAGGTCTGAGGATGGTGGTCAGCTGGGGAGTCAGGAGCGGGTGAAGAGGGTCACAGTTCTACCAAAGCCTTGTCCAGTCATCCTCCATCCCCTCGAGGCCTCTTCCCTGATCTCCCACTCCATCCTGCCACTTCACTCATTTCATCAGCTGCCCCTGAAGCACCCGGGACTCAGGACTGGTTTTATCTTCCAAGGCCTTGGTGAAGGGCTGGCCCAGGATCTACAGCCACACCTCATACAGCACCAGCTCTGCCTTCCCGCCTAGAGCAATGAGGGTGGAGATGGCATCAGCCTGGGCCCCCTCTCCTGGAAGCCCTGGGGTGGGACTCATACCCAAGCTCTAATGCTCCAATCCAGCAGTCAACCAATGTTAGTCTAAGGGCCCATCCCTTGCTGCCTGTTTTTGTGCGGCCCATGAGCTAAGAATGGCTTTCACATGTTTAAATGGTTGAAAAACATCAAAAGTAGAATAATATTTTGTGACACATGAAAAGTATGTGATATGCAAATTTCAATGTCCATAAATAAAGTTTTATAGGAACATAGCGGGGAAAAGGCTTTTATTCTTTTAGTGTAGCCTTTTATGTTTGAAGAGCAAATTATATTGCCTTGCAAGAAATTCAAAGGTCAGTACCCAGGTGCTAGCCTCTGTACCTATCTGAACTTGCTCCTCTTTTTTTTTTTTTTTTCCTTTTCCAGCCTCTCTTCTCATCATATAAACCCTCTTGTCTGTCACCTGGCAGTACAATTAAACTCATGGATGATTCCCTTTTGTAGCTGAAGTTTGAGAGGCAAAAGTTAGCTGGTTAATAGAAAGGAAGTGAGAATACATGTTTTTTCTAGACAACCAAAATATCCCTTTGCCTACTGTTTATTAAAAACAAATAAAATCAAAAGCTTGTTCCATCACCACTAAGCAATGCTTGTCTCTATTTTGTAGGCCTTTACTATGATGATCTTCAGTAATGTTAATATATTAAGTGAGTTTGGCCAATTCTTGATCTTTTATCATAATGGAGAAATTAAGGGGTTAGCAAGGGCCCTTGAAATCCAGAGAGATACTAGCAACTATTTGTCCATTAAATGCAATGTATTTACAATATACCTTACCTTTTTTATAACAAGTATACAGATAGACTAGCTTGCCCTTAGACTCTTAAATATATTTTTCTCAGCTGTCTTATAGAGCACAAAAATATTTGTTATGGGCTTAATATGCACACACACACATACAGACATACAGAGTAAATTAGAGACAATATATATACATATTGTAAACTAGAGACAGAGTCTCATTCTGTCACCCAGGCTAGAGTACAGTGGTGCAATCATAGCTCAATGCAGCCTTGAATTCCTGTGCTCAGGCAGTCCTCCACTGTCAGCCTCCAAGTAGCTGGGACTACAGGCATGCACCACCATGCCCAGCTAATAAAATAAGTATTTTATAATTGAATGGAAGTGATTAAGAATCATGAAGGGACCCAAAGTCATAAACTAGAAAGATGTTAAAAGACTGGCTCATATCAGAACTGTATAATCCGAATTCAATAAGTCAGTATCACAGTAATCTCCCCTTATCCACAGTTTTGCTTTCCATTGGTCCCAGTTACTCTCAATCAACTGTAGTTCAAAAATATTTAATGGAATATTCCAGAAGTAAGCAATTCGTAAGTTTTAAATTACACACCATTCTGAGTAGCATGATGCAATCTCATGCTGTTCTGCTTTGACCCTTCATCATCACAAGAAGGATGAATACAGTACTTAAGATGTTTTAAGTGAAAGACCACATTCACAACATAACTGTAATTACAGCATATTGTTATAACTGTTCTATTGTATTGTTACTGTTTTTGATCCCTTAACTGTGCATAATTTATAAATTCAACTTTATCATAGGTATGTTTGTATAAGAAAAAACATAGTATATGTAGGGTTTGGTACTATATGTGGTTTCAGGTATCCGCTGGGGGTTTGGGATGTATCCCCTAGGGATAAGGGGGAAATACTGTAATAACCAAATATAATCCTCTAGCAGTAGAGAGAAATGTGTAACTAAAATATTAACTTCTCTTAGTTAAATATTATTTATTTTATTTTTTTATTATTTTTGAGATGGAGTCTTACTCTGTCACCCAGGCTGGAGTGCAGTGGCAGGATCTTGGCTCACTGCAACCTCCGCCTCCCAGGTTCAAGCAAATCTCCTGCCTTGGCCTCCCGAGTAGCTGGGACTACAGGTATGCACCACCACACCCGGCTATTGTTTGTGTTTTTGGTAGAGACAGGATTTCACCATGTTAGCCAGGCTGGTCTCAAACTCCTGACCTCAGGTCATCCACCCACCTCGGCCTCCCAAAGTAGGATTACAGGCGTCAGCCACTGCGCCCTGCAAGTTAAATATTACTTAAAACTAACAAATAGATATGCTCACTAGTGCTCTTATTTCTAGTAATCTTGAAGTTGAAAGAACTTCCAGAAGAGCATTGGTATAGAATATATTGTGTGTATGGGCATCTTGTGAAAGAGAAAACTGAGAAAAGATGCCAAGGACAATACATGTATGGGTACATGGCTTTGATCCACATATCAAGTAAGGGAGACAAAGTGCCCTTTTTAACCTGTGACTTTTGTGTCTACTCACCTAAGACAGCTGGTATTGTGTTCACATTACCAACCACCAACACTGTCCAGTCCCTTCATTTTCCTGGCTCTGGAAGACTGAGGAGAAAGATGAAACCAATTCACTCATTGTGCTTTGCTCTCTGCAGTTTGACCCTGAACTCTTGACTTTGGTCTGCTCCCTGCCTCATTTTTCAGTCAGTGACTAAGCAGTTTTTGAGTTAATAAGTAACTCTTAGGTGACTGATTAAAAATTCTAGGAGGTGACTTAGAAAGGAGTCTAAAACATGGTTGCCCTAATAGAATTCATCCTGTTTTTCATTCATAAAATATTACAGCTACTCCCACTTTGGCTTTAGGGTGAAAATTGTTAAACCTACTACTGTTCTTTGTCCTTTAGACAGTTATGGGCTTTCCTGTTTTAAGAGGAAACAGAAGACTAGTCTAACAGGAAAATATTAGGCTCAATGTTTTCAAGAGCACATGTATTGAGAAGGTTTTGCAGGTTATGGAAAGCTTTTAAAGAAATGAGTCCGGGTGCAGTGGTTCACACCTGTAATCCTAGCACTTGGGGAGGCCAAGGCAGGTCAATCACTTGAGGTCAGGAGTTTGAGACCAGTCTGGCCAACGTGGCAAAATCTTGGCTCTACAAAAAATACAAAAATTAGCCAGGTGTGGTAATGTGCACCTGTAGTCCCAGTTACTCAGGAGGCTGAGGTAGGAGAATCGCTTAAACCCAGGAGGTGGAGGTTGCAGTGAGCAGAGATCAAAGCACTGCACTCCAGCCTGGGCAACAGAGCGAGACTCTGTCTCAAAAAAAAAATAAAATAAAAGAAACTTGAAAGAAATTTTCTTTCAAGAAATTGAAATTATTTCTTTCAAGAAATAATATTGTATGAGCAATTTTCTGTGAGATAATTGTGAAAGAAGTTATAACAATCGCTATATCCTTCTCACCTTTAATCTGAATGTTAATTTAGCCACAAAGATAGCAATAAGACAACATCTTGAAAGTATCTTATCCACAGCAAAGTCACACTTTCTTAAGCATAGATGAAATCCAAACTACTATAGTCGTTACTTTTAAATCTCATATTGGGCAAATGCTTACTTGATATAGTTACGAATTTGATACAGTCATGCTCTTGATGAAGTTTAAAAGATAGCTCTGCTATTAAATTTATTTGCATTAACTCTTTCTTATTGCTTATTGATTTTTTATTTTTATGTATATGGTAGGAATATTAACTAGCTTGTAGGGAGTCCTGGCCATATGCCAAGCATTGGTCTAAGTGTTTTATATGCATTAATTGACGACTTCATTTACAGATGAGTAACTGAAACATAGAAGAGTTAAGCAACTTCCCCAGGGCCACACAGCTAGAACATAACAGAGCACAGACTTGAACCCAGGCAATCTGGGTCCAGAATTTATACTCTCTAACCTCACTGCCTTTCTGTGTGATCTTAAATGTAACAAGTATTATTTCTTTAGAGTTCATGATAGGATGGGGAGTGAGACTAGAAAAACTAAGCATGAGGGAAGATATAATAGGAAATAGAGTCAGAATATTTGGCCTCCCTCAAAAGTAATTAGAATGATTAGATATTTACTTAGGTTTTATCCTTATTAACTGATATTTTTATTCACAAACTTGTCCAACTCAGTTTTAGATTAAAAATATAAAGTTATTTATTCCTTAAAAAATTCTTAACTATCAAGCTGCTGTATTGTCAGCAGCAAGAGGCCTTTGAGTTCTTGAGGGGGATGAGAGAAGGTCACGTGCCCCTGGAATTCCAAAGGATTATTCTGATCTCACTGTGATTTCACTGTGCTTACCCATGAGAGGGGCATAGTCAGTATTTGTTGAATGACCAAGTACATAATTCTCATCTCCCATTCTAATAATAATGTGTCATATGAGGAACAAAATCACAAGTACTTTCTCCTCTTTGTCCCCATTGTCCTTATACATACTTCTGTTAACATACTTGGTGTATTGTTAAATAATTATTTGTTTCTGTGTAGTTCACCCCTTAGTGTGAACTCCTTGAGGGCAGGGGCCATGTCTTACCTTTGTATCCCAAGAACCTAGCCTCTGTTTATCAGTAACTTAGTTGATTATTGACAAATGGCTGTGGAAGGAAGGGAAGGAGTAAGGCAGACCTAGAGCTGATATCCTTGTGTATTTATTTTACATTTATTAAAAGGTCATTGGGTTTAATCATTTGAGGCTTTTGAAATATATTCAAAGATGATATTTCTTGGATTTGATATGACTCCTCTGATTTAACCCCTGGGAAGAGGTCACTGGGATTTAAAGAATATGTATGTTATAGTCTGTCCCTTAGGTACACCACCTGATTTTATTGCTAAATTATGTCATACTCCAAAGGGCTTTGGCTGTACTTTTGGTGAGTTTATCTGTAATTATTGATAAATACATTCATTTTTGCTTAATTTATACAGAATGCCTGTGTGAATCACCCCAAATCACTGTAGCATTTAAATTTCCATCTCATGGTATAGCTATGGACTAGGAAGTCTGCCTTGGAAATTAGGGCTTATTCTTTGAAAAACCACAGATGTATTTATTATTTGAGACAAATGTGTAGTATGGGATCTTTTCTCCCTCCGATAATATTAAATGCTGTGTTCTCACTTGTAAGTGGGAGCCAAACAATGGTTACACATGGACATACATAGGGAAATAATAGACACTGGGGACTCTAAAAGCGGGGAGAGTGAGAAGAGGATGAAGATTGAAAAATTGCCTATTGAGTACAATCTTCACTATTATGGTTACAGGTATGCTAGAAGCCCAAACCTCACCATCACACAATATATCTATGTAACAGACCTACACATGTACCCTCTGAATCAATAAAAATAATATGAAATGCTGTATCTCTCCACTTTTTACTTTCTTCTTCAGGCCCACTATACTCTCATATTATACCACATTTAGCTCACATCTCTTGTGGTATGCACTGTGCACTCACAATTGTGCTGGATGCTGTTTTTGTTTCTAGGGGTTATAACAATTCGATTTTCCTCCATAATTCTATTTCTTGTTTTTAAATTCGGGTCAACATACATTGTGAATTCCATCTTTGTTGTAAGCACACCCTTATTTACTGCTTTTACTGACCTTGTCATCTTACAGAATAGTCTACTCTATCAGTGAGTGATATCTCCCATTCTGTCATTACCACTATGGTCTGAGCAAGAGTAGGGGCTGGAAAGAGGCTACAATGAGGCTATCTATGGATTTTCAGTGGGTAATTTTAAAAACTGTGCCTCCATGGAAGCTTCTGATAATGCTTCTGTCCTCACCTCCACCCCGCCTCCCACTGTGCTTCTATAACTGGCCTTATGACAACAAATGAATCTGGCATAAGAGAGAAGAGCACCAGAGTAAGTGAAACAGAATTGAGTGAATTAGCCGTCTCGTTGGATTCTACCCAATCACACTGTGAAAGTCCATTATGCATTATGCTTATATTCCATTGTGTAATGAATGGTAATTCTTCTAATGATAAATACTGGTCCCCTTTGGTACCAACCTTAGAGTTAGAAATAGCTTAATCTGTTGAGTAAATGAATAAAAACCGCAAGTTGAAAACAGCAAAAATAATTTCTTTGCTTGGAATATCAGTGTACATATCTTTCCGTGCAAAGTTCTCCACTTTTCTCATTACCCATTAACTTGTTTGTTACTCTACAATCTCCATCTGAGAGCTAAAATCTGCTGCTTACTATTCACAAGGCAGAGAGAATTATAAAACGTTATACAATAGTAGCACACAGCATAGCTTTGAATCTTTCCATAAAGTCATCATAATGGTACGTTTTCTGAGTATTGCCTTCAGTTTGTTTTAATAAAGAATTCATTGTTCTAGTGTTTACATGATGATTTTCTGTAACAGAAACTGATACTGACATTGATACCTTAGGCTAATGCAATTTTTAGTCATTTTACTGGGGTAAAAATAACTTTGTTGTATAATAAACAAATTGCTGAAGCAATCCTCCTGCTTCAGCTTCCAGTAATTGGGATGGCAGGTGCACGCCACAGTGCCTGGCTTCTTCTCACATTGATAATTTTGGTCCTTCTCAGGTTAACATACATTTATTGAAGGCCTGTTTGTGCCATTCACTGTTCTAGGCACTACGGCTAAATAAGACACACTCCTCATTCTCAAAGAATTTAACATTCTCCAGGAAAAATTGTTATCGAAATTGACATCAGAAAGTAAATGCTAGGAGATTGATCCTTCCTGGGTTTCATGAAAGCCCCTATCAGGAAGTAAATGCTAGGAGGTTGATCCTTATTGGGTTTCAGCACAAGAATCAGATGAGCCTCCTGTTAGATATGAAATCTGCTCCAAGTATTGGAGGATATGTTAAAAAAAACAAAACATAGAATAGTATTCCAGGCTGAAGAAATAGTGTGTATGTTGTATAATATATTCTCTTGTAATGGCCTTTGTGGATAATTACACATTGCAAGTATTCAATTTTATTTGCTAGTATTCCAGTTTGTCTTCTCATTTGAGGGATATTATGTATCCATTCTCTTAGCTCTTTACCTTGGTTTTTTATTTTTGTCTTTGTTTCCTGAGATGGAGTCTCACTATGTTGCCCAGGCTACAGTGTAGTAGCTACTCACAGGAGCAATCCCTAATTCCATGTAGGGAAACTACATGGAATTTGATATAGCATAGCTTAAAAAGACATTAGAGAATTGCAGATGAGCATGGAAAGGTAGCTAAGGCTCAAGTCATATAATTATTTTATGCCAAATTTAGGAGTTTGAAATTTATTCATAGGGTTAGTCCATGGACTGACTGGCTGAAATTGTTTGCAAAATGTTGTGGATGTATTCATTCTGGGGGGGAAATGGTCCGTAGCTTATTAGATCTCAAAGTTGTCCACAATAAAAAAAAATTGTTGAGAATATTTGCAGTGAAAAGTTTAAGTAAATGCCCATACTGTTCACTAATTAGAGTGAAGTAAGGCATAACCATATCCATGTTTCATATTACAAGAAATGTGATGTACAGAGCTGTCAGTGCAATGAATGGAAGTTGCCAGGAAGACTTCTGTAGCCAAAACTAAACCGTAAATTCATTCATTGAACATTTCACTGAACTTTTCCTATACACCAGAAATTGGTAAGCACTGAGGAGACAGTAATGAACAAGAGCTCCTATTCAGACACACATTCCATTCAGGGCTCATAGTCTAATGAGGAAGGCAGACATTAATCAGATAATCACAAAAGGAAATGGACAAGTATAAATTCTGATTATTGCTGTGTAGTGAAAGACAGGATGAGTTGTAATCGGGGAACCTGGTGTAGATGGGGGATTAAGAAAGGTTTCCTTTAGCAAATGGCATTTGAACTGAGGCCTGAAATGAGTGTCAGCTGAGGAAAAAGGTAGTTGACTCCAGGCCGAGAAAATAGCACTTGCTAAAGCCCTTATGCGGGGAATTGGTTGGTGTGTTTTAGAAAAGGAAAGAAGAAATATAAAATGCAAAAAAAAAAAAAAAAAAGCCTGAGGTGACACTGGAGAAATAGAGATTGGGCCATGCAGGGCTTTGTGGGCTATTTTAAGAATATGGATCTTTATCCTCAAAACATCAGGAGGCAACCCTTGAGGGGAATGGGCGTTGACATAATCAGGTTTATAGTTTTTAAGAGGTCTCTCCAGTTACCATGTGGAAAATGGACTGAAGGGGGTCAGGTTGGGATAGATTTGTTAAATAATAGTATAACAACTGAAAATACATTGATACCATGTACTTTAATTTATGGGTTGTTATAAATTCATAAAATGTGTCTAGGCATTAGTTTCTCCATGTGGAAAATGATGAGGCTGAACTTGTAATTCTCAAAGCTTGGACTCCCCTACAAATGAGCTGAATAATTGATCCTCTGAGACCTGGAGGCAGCAGCTCCAATCCTTAACCACTTCCTGTGCCGGCTCCAGGATGCCATGCGAGAATGAGCATTTTCTAGGTGCACCATGAGGTGACAAAGATTGAGAGGCCCTCCTCTAAACCCCTTTCCTGCACTAACATTCCATGATTCTAGGTTTTGAGGAAATCAAATTCTAATCCGACACCTTGGTTTTACCATTGAGGAATGTGTTGCCCAAAGAAGGAAAATGGCTCACCTAAAATTGCATGGCTTAGTGTATAGAACATTACTCTCCTAACTAGTAATCCTGGGTTTTTCTAGTTTGCCATACTGTCTCTGTATCCTTTGTAAGCAGTATAATGAATTATTATAATTATCAAATTGCAGGTGCTTCTTTTTCTTTCCTCTATTTATGAACAGAAGTACAGTTTATTCTTTTTTGATTACCAGTTAAGAATTTATTGCTGTAAGTCATCAAGCATCGTTTTACTAAAACTTGAAGACTAGAAATGGAGAAATTAATTCCTAGGAAAACAACACATCTTATCTTATTCTGGCTTAGCTGAAAATATTGCAAGACTAGCATTTCTATTTCAAAATCAGCCCAAAGGCTGTGAGCATACAGAAGTGATGAATAGAAAGATGTTAGCTGAGCTCTTAATGACTTTTACTTGATTTGAACTTGAGTTCAAAGGTAAATCAAAAGTTTAAAGTTGAACTTGAATCTTACTATGCCATATAGGCTTTCCTTAGCCTTCTGGAAAATCTAAAGTATAAGGGAGGTCCAGGAGTATAGTGATTCTGGGCACAGACTCTGGAGTCAGGTGGTCTGAGTTCAAATCCCCAGCTTCTCCTCCTACCAACTTCATGACTTAGGAAAAATTACCTTTCTCAGACTCATTTTATCTACTTGAAGAGTAGAAATAATGACATTTCACAGTAAAAATTAAATGAAGCAATATATGAAGTAATTTTCTCTTAAATCTTAAATTACCTCAGCATATGCTTTCACAATTTCTTTCCAATTTTAAGTGACAAAGTCCATCCCAGCTATTCACTTCATTATCTCATGAATTCTGATTATGTATTCTCTCAGCTTTTATCCAATCTAAGAGCTTTTTCACTTTTCTCATCTGTCCTTATAAAAAAAAAGGCATTCCATCTTCTAAAAAATTTTTATTTCTATTTTCTAACTCTATTATTTTTGTCTTGGAGCTTTTCTAACTGAAATGTGTATGAAGTATAGCAATAGGAACTTCCCAAGAAATAAAATATTCTGTGGTTTGTTTTTCTTGTAAAGAGTACTGTAATTCCTTGGGTTTAATTGACAACATCCTTTATGAGGACACTCAGCATATCAGCATTGATGGCCTCGTAGACAGCAGTCTTGGCCCAAGTATTCAGGGAATGACGAGGACATACTCCAAGATCCTTTTCCCGAATCACTGTTTATTGTTTATAAAACTCATCTTGTAAGCCTGCTTTATTTCCTTATCAATACCCAAGGTAATCCTGTTGAAGTTTACTCTGCTTTTCTGCCCATATTCCCCACTTCATCTTTTGAGGCCTACCTGTCTCCTTGGCACATTATCCATGTTAAGTGCCTCCAAGGTACTGTGGATACTAGTAAATGCCAAATTAAGTGAGGGGTTTTATTCTTTCCCCAGATCACATATAATGATATCAGATGGGCTTGGTTTGGGCTCTGATTTCGGAGGCACCTACTTTGACTAACTATCTAGGACAGTAGTTTTCTTTTTTTTTCTTCATCCAGAAACTTTATTGTAAATCATTTGTCAACAAGATCTGCATTTCTAATTTCAGTTTGTCATTCCTCTGAGGCACAGAGAAAGGAAAAGATGAGATTAGGGTTAATGTTTATTGAGCACTATGTATAAAGGATCTTATTTAGTCCTTATAAACAATACTAGGGCAGTGGCTTTCAACCCCAGTGGACATCAGAAGTGTCTGTGAAGCTCTTTGAAAATGTGGACGTCTAGGACCTACCCAAGACCTAATGAATCAGACTCTCCAGGGTGGGGGTGTAAGCATCTACTTTTTGGTTCTTTAAAGATCCATAGGGTGATTGTGATGTACAACCAAGTTGAAAATCACCAATCTTGAGAACTGGTCTTTATATCTACAATTTCTTTTATTTGAAATCTTTTTTTTTTTTTTTTAAGGATAGACTGTTCCCTGTCAAAATCTTTTCTTCTCTGGGAGCCACAAAATGAATTTCTAAGAGGAAGTGTCAAGGTCACCTGAGTTTTTCCCCTCTGCTTGCTTGGCATTCATAACTGAGAAAACCCATCCCTGAAGCTTTACTGTAGCTGATTTGTAGCAGAGCCCATCCTGGGCTACTAGTTTCAGAGTGGGAACATGGGGCCATATGTCCTTTTTAAAAAAGTATTATTTGTATAATGTGCTACAACTTTATAAATTCACCCAGAAACTTACATGCCCACTAAATCCAATGAGGTAGGTTTTATTATCTTCAATTTTTAGATTAGGAGACAGGCTCAGAGAGTCTAAATGATTTGCCTAAGAGCACTAGGAAATAGTGGCTAGAATAAAACTCAATTCTTCCAACTCCAAATCTAGTACTCTTTCTGTTCTTTCTACTGATTAATATTTTTATCATTCCATTTTGAAATAATTTCAGACTTATAGAAAAGTTTAAAAAAATACTTTCCACAAGCCCTTTACCTATATTTGCCAAATGTTAATATTTTACCATGTTAATCATCCTTTCTTCTGTCTTTCTGTACATATGAATTTAATTATTTATAATATTTAACAGTATGTTATAGATGTAATTCCCCTTTATCTCTCAATACTTCAGTGTATATTTCCTAAAAACACTGATATTATCTACAGTCACCACAGAAAGTGATTGCGAATCAAGAAGTTAACATTAATACGATACTATTATCAAGGTACAGACCTTCATTTTTTACCCACAAATGTCTTCTGTGGCAAAAGAAGAAAAATAGTTTCTGGTTCAGGATCCAGTCAGGGATCACATATTGCATTTGGTTCTCACGTCTGTTTACTATCTTAGTTTTCAAAGTTTTCTTAGTCTGCCTCTGCTGTTCATGACTTGAATAATTATGTATGCTATCATCTGATAAGCTGGAATTGACAGTTCTGGCTGTCAGCACTTGATGGAGTTATTCAGAGATACTTGGGTTCAGTGACATACAGCAGGATGGGCCATAACATTAGGAGAATATTTGGAAACCAATAATAGTGATATTTATTATGCAATATTTATGCTGGACACTATTTTAAATGTCTTCCATATAATTCCTCATTTAAACTTCACAACAAACCTACATAGTAGGTATTGTTACATTATAGATGTGGAATCTGAGGAACAAAGAAGTTAAGTAACTTGCTCAAGGTTACCTGGCCAGGAGATGGCAGGGCTAGGAGTCAAATTCCAACAGCCAGGCTACATCCCTAGTGTGAGCTCTGAACCAGCACAGGCTGAACCAGAGACATTTAACAAAGTGATATGTCTTTAGGCAAATTATTAGCTCAAAAAACTTGAGTCTCATGAACTGAAAATGGGACTAATAATACCAATGTCATAAAGGTGGTTGTAAGGATTACACACAATAATCTGTTAAAGCATTTGGTATGTAGCAAGAACTTCATTTTTTAAGAGTAAAATTTAAAATATAAATATGGAAAAATTGACCGATAAGCATATCTGAAGAAGATACTGTTATGACTAAGAAGATACTGTTATGACTAAGAAGTTACTGTTATGACTAAGTTCACACTGAGATGAGAAAACTCTCAGAGAATACCTTTTTAATCATTACAGGTAGGGAGGAGAAGGGAACAGAAGCAACAAACATCTGTTCATATTTTGAGAGACTGGGGAGATACCAGTTACAACCAAAACCATCTTCGAGGCAAAAGGGGCTAGATAATGATGAGTCATGAAACACAATTTTATGATGAATTTATGGAAAGTTGTAGCCTTTAGTTATATTAGCAAAGAAGGTAAATATTTTCCATAAAGAGAAAAGTCAGCACCACTCTACTCTGGGCTGAGATATAATTACCTTCCAGCTTTTAAAAGGGAATTTTCTCCTTAGTGGGTGGCAGTCAGAGGAATCAAGAGGTTTTTATCTTTTGAGTTTTTAATTTCATATATACATATCTATATATATTTTAGAGAGTGGGTCTTGCTCTGTCACCCAGGCTGGAGTGCACTGGCATGATCTTAGCTCATTACATCCTCGACTTCCCAGGCTCAAGTGATCCCCTCACCTCAGCCTCCCAAGCGGCTGGGACTACAGGTGTGCACCACCACACCCAGCTAATTTTTTTTGTTGTTAATTTTTTTGTAGAGACAGAGTCTTTCTATGTTGCCCAGGCTAGTTTCGAACTCCTGGGCTCAAGTGATCCTCCTGCCTTGGCCTCCCAAAATGCTGGGATTACAGGTGTGAGCCACTGCACCTGGCCTTGAGGTTTTTAAAAGAGAACTCTGAAGACATTGGGTTTCCAGAATTAGAAAAATGTATAGTCATTTTAATGTGACATTTTCATTTAGTCTTTTTTTTATTTTTATTTATTTATTTTTTTGAGGAGTCTCGCCCTGTCACCCAGGTTGGAGTGCAGTGGCACAATCTCAGCTCACTGCAACCTCCACCCCCGGGGTTCAAGCAATTCTCCTGCCTCAGCCTCCCTAGTAGCTGGGATTACAAGCATGCAGTACCACGCACAGCTAATTTTTGTATTTTTAGTAGAAACGAGGTTTCGCCATGTTGGCCAGGCTGGTCTCAAACTCCTGACCTCAGGTGATCCACCCGCCTAGGCCTCCCAAAGTGCTGGGATTACAGGCATGAGCCACTGCACCCGGCTCATTTAGTCTTAAAACATTTCAAATATGTCAACTAAACCTACGGAGAAGATAAGCATATCTGAAGAAGACACTGTTATGATTAAGTTCAACTTAATTTTTTAATTAGACCATAAATAGATTTGTGGGGGGTACATCTGCAGCCCAAGGGCTTTTGGGGTTCTATAGCTACAACAATAGGCAAGGATGGATTTTTCATCTCCTTTCTATCAAGGTTTGAATGTTTCCTCTGAGTCTTTCCACCCAGAGAACCCTAGACTTCTTTCAGTTACCACTCCTTTCCTCACTATTGACCACTTCTGAGCCCCATATTTTGGGAGCTGAAAAGTAAGTAGTGCCTTGGAGAGGGAAGACAAAAAGGGAAAGGGAGCCCAGCAAAGGTTCATTCAAGGCTCACATGTGCATCCCCTACTGGTAGCTGCCTCTTGCCATCCCCACAGCATAAGCCCTCCCCTCCTCACCCCTGCCCAAGGCTGCAGAGCGCCATCACAGGGCCTCTGTTCCATGCCCGCTGAGTCTGCCAGCTCACACCTTCCATAATCTGCCTCACCCTGCACCTTCCCCAACCCGCCCAACTCTCAACCATCGATCTGTTCATTGCTTATTTTAAAAGCAGCCTTTTCAACCACATTTTTCATTCAGTCATTAGGACAACCATGCTAAAGCAACCCTACAGTAGACGCCCTTGGCTTTAAGCAGAACTGGTGCAGAATAAAAATGTCAGGCCTTTTTTTCAAAATTCATTAAGAATTTCAAGACAGCAGCAGCAGAGCATTAAACCAAACACAAGGCTCTTCTAGGCATGTGGCCCCGTGCACAGACTGCAGGCCCATGCAGCCAGCCTTGGCTGTAAGGGGCCCAAGTGAGTTGAAAGTTGGTCATCTACTAAATACACTGATATATTTAAAACTCAGTATCATATTATTGGAACACTAACAAAATTGCACTTCAATCAAACTGACTAGATTTTATCCAAAAATCTAGTGTAGTGACACAGGCACACATATTTTAATTTGGTGCTGGAATTCCACAACTGTGCGATAGATTCTCTAAGTGTTCAAGCACATCTGTACTCTTATTTAAAAGAAAATATAACTCCATAGGCATTTCTGATACTCAATCAACATTAAAAACCATTGGAAAATAGATGCCTGCATTCCACCTCTAAAGTGTCTGATACACTAATGAAAGAATAACAAGCTTCACAAAGCTATTGGGAAGGAAATGAGATTTATATGTGAAATTAGACTATGCACTATAAAGTAGTAAATAAATGTAAGCTATTGTTCTTATTTAAATTTAATGGTGATAAAGACAGAACGAGCCTTCAACTTAATCTTATAGGTAGTCAAGTATCATTATCCGTTGGATATGTTGAATATGTTACATGAATGGCAGAAGAAGGAGGGGAAGGAAGTGGTATCGATGAGAATAGTTTAGACCATGTAAGACGTTTAGAAGTACAAAAGTAAAAATTTCATGAGGACCTAGTGTGTTTGGACACTCCCCTGTGACCCCCTACCTCTACCCCACCCCAACATTTCATTGTCAGTGCTGGGTACATAGCAGGTGGCTCAGGAGAAATTTGCAAATGAAAGAAAAGAAAGGCCTGCTCTAGGCAAAGGTTTCAAACGTTTATGGTAGGCATGGACTTCTCCATCTATTATGTTTCATTTTCTGCAGTATAACCTGAGTTGTATTATACTATTATACTATTCTCTTGCTGTCTAGAGGCTCCAAAGCAGACTCATCAGAACCTCCCCAAGGCCTAATCTTTACCTGCTGGTTATTTCAGAACCCCTGCTCCTTATCAAAAGGAAAGGATCCTATGTCCTATTCCTGCAGGATTGTTCCATACTCCTTGAAGCACTCCAAAAGACAGACCAAGTAATGACTATATCGGGCACTGGCTGTGCCCGATATATGTGGCTGGCTGTTTTAAATTAACCCGTGTCACCTCCTGCCTGGTCTGTATAGGGTCAACACTAAGGGGGAATGTATGTGTCTCCTTGGAAAAGATAGCCCTAGAGGCCGCCTATGATTTTATGAAATCCAAGTTTTGTAAAGGCTTTGTGATAAAGCTAGCTACAGATAGTATGCTTTACTACAATATGGGCATTCTCTTAGGGTCTAGGATGCCTTTGTGACTAAATGAAAGAGCTGAATTCTGTAGTCAATAAGAGTCAACACCTTAGTAAGATACTTAATCCCTCAGAAAGGACTGATGCTGAAAGTCCCTCAGAGAAAAATAGAGAATTAAAGCATGAACCAAGATACCCGCCTTGTTTCACCCCTTTGTTTCACATGACTAGGATATGGGTGCTCATTGGAACCATCGGTTGGAAGAATAACAGGCTTATCTATTTCTTGATCATCTTTCTCAGTGTAGAGCCCAGGGGACTACAGATAACATGTCTGGTTAACAGTAGCCCCCTCTTAAAGAAAAAAGGAGAAAGTCATGTTTTCTCAGTTGAATTTGAAACCAAGATCACTTTATTCACTCAATTAAAACTGCTATTGTCTGTTCCTTGGATAGTTTCCCTCTGTATTCATAAGGTCCCTTAGTCCTAGATTTTCAAGGTAATGTTATTTGGTTCTCCTCTGTGAGCCAAATATACACAGATATCAAAGTGTTACTAATCCTTTAAGAAGCCAGGAGTTTAAGCTATTACTGAGCTTTGAAAGGTTCTCATAACGGAACTTTTGTTTCTGATCACTGATAATGTTTTTAATTTGGAGTTGGAGCAGTTCCCTCTGGTATTAGGTGCAGCTGGAGCAGACAGGGCATGCTATTGTTCTAAAGTAGATAGGTTCTGGGTAATGCCGTTTTTGGTTGTTTTTTTTGTTTTTGTTTTTCAAGACAGGGTCTCACTCTGTTGCCCAGGCTTACCGAAGCCTTGAAGACTTGAACCTCCTGGACTCAAGCTGTCCTACCACCCCAGACGTCCAAGTAGCTGAGATCACAGGCGTGTACCACCATGCTCGGCTATTTTTTTTTTTTTTTTTTTTTTTTTTTGTAGAGACGGGGGGATCTCCTTATGTTGTCTAGGCTGATCTTGAACTCCTGGGCTCAAGTGATCCTCCAACCTCAGACTCTTAAAGTGTTAGGATACAGGCATGAGCCACTGTGCCTGGCCTAAAATGCTATACTGTCAAGCAGAGTCCTAAATTTTAGCCAACCATTTATCACTTCCATGCTTTTTATCATATTTACCACCTGAAATTTTACTATTTTTCTTTAAATCCATTCAGTGCTATACTTGAACAAATTTATTTTACTGCTATAAATGGAAAACTACTTGTTTTAAACTATTCTTAATTGAAGGTAATAAAATACAATGAAAACCAGTTTAAAAATCCTAGCTAGGTAACATCTTATGGCAAAGCTTCTGACACCAAGGCCTGTCCCTCTTTGTTTGCAAGGGAAATTAACCAGGGTTGAGGACATACTAACTCGGTATTTCAGTTTTCCTTCCGAGAATATGAAGGGTTGAAAAGAGAATCCTTTTTCTCTCTTCAGTATTTAAATGCTTTTCATTCCAAGTAGTCAGCCTATCTTTGAAAAACTCAATCCCTTTATATTGTGTAAGGAATTAAGTATTTGACAGGACTTGTGTGAAAACCCATTTCTTGAATGTAAGAACACCCCAAGGGAGATAGATGGCACTGTCCCTACACCCATGAAATATGTCATCTACTGAGGGTCAGAATAAACTGATTAAAAAGAAATAATAAATGTATTGAAGAGTCTGAGAAATATGCAAATGGTTAACACTAGAATATGAGCAGCAGAGGAAAAAAGATGGAGTTTTGTCTGTTTTGTTCACTGATAGATCTCTCACTAGCTGTTAGAAGAATGCTTGGCATATGGTAGGTATCTGTTGAGTCTAAGAACACAAACCACATTCCCCAGTCTCCTAGTGGTGATATAACACTAAAGATCAGGAGTGGGAAATAGGTTGGCACAATCTGGAGAAATTAAGAGAAGCAAGATTTGGAGAGAATCTTGGAGAAAGTTACAGACACACACAATGGCTTAGAACAGAAAGTACACAATACATACGAAAACAGGTTAAGTCTCACCAAGGTCGTGACCTTATAGCAGCCTTAAAAATGCAAAATACCCTCCAGTTTGAATGAATGCTCCCCTTTCCTCAGACCTAAAGCCCCATTCCCTTATTCACAAGCATCACAAATTTAAATATCACATACACCTTACAAAATGAGCTGATGTTTCTGCAAGACAAACTTCTATTTCCATAAATGTGGGTTACTTTGAGAAACTCAGTTTCATGTAGGTATGTTAGTTTGAGGATTTTTCTGTGTCATTTCAACTACTGAAGTCTCCTAAAGACTTCAACTATTAAAGTTAAGCAGTTGTGCCATTTTTCATAGTTCCCTTGCTATTTTTTTGTTAAGTGGAGTCATTGTTCCTCTGGTACTAATTTCGCATCACACAATTTGTTGCTCTAGAAATAGCAAAACGAGAAATAGATTACTGTGATTATAAATATGAAGCAGTAGGTGGAAACTGAAGCTGTTTCTGGCATTTCTCACCAAAACGGCCATGGCCTCCAGATCTGTCTCTCTGTAAGAGGGCAGCACCCCTGAAGACACAGTGCCACGTCAAGGATGTGTGTGAGCTCCTCTGCCTGCACAGGCTTTGCGAAAGGTTTCCGTTTCAGAAATACAATGCCCTGATTTTAGTGTGGGCATTTCCCATGTTAGTTAAGTGATACTAAATCTTTAATAATTATAGCTGGAAAATGTTTTTTGGAAAGCTTTTTTATCTTCTTTCACACTAAGGCTAATTTTTAAATACAGCTAAATAAGGACTTAGGCCAATCCCTGAACCAAAAAGCAAGGTATGAACCTTAATTTACTGAACCACAAACCTAACCTCATTTTTTAAAAACTGAAGTGCTAACAACTTTTTTTTTTAACACATATGTCTAGTGAAGCAATAGCAGGAACCAACACTTCATGTTTTCTAAACTGAGTGAAGTAGCAGTAGCACTGCAAGATGATTTTTTTAAATGGAACTTCAAACTGGAGCTTCATCGATTCTCTGCCTCTGATTGATTGATTAACTTTTAGTGTCTTTGGGAAGGGGTATGCCAGTGTCTGAAGTCCTGACCAACCTCTTGGACTCTGTTAAGTGGAAAAGACCAAAATTTGTCTGAACTAAGAAATTATGTGTTTCTCCGTTTCAGGTTCAATACTTCTTCAAGATCTTGGATAATTAGTGGTGTGGAAAGTAAAGAAGTCACAGGTTGGGACATTTAGACAAGAGTGAATCACACACGAGGAATGTGTTCATTCTTTTATTGTCCGTTGTTTTAACCTGACTGAATACAAGATCAACAAGAGCACTGTACTCCTGGCAATTATTACATATGTTAGAACATGGATTTTGCACTGTAGACAACATTTAACACCAGTCTATGGGGTACTGCATTGCTTTTTATAAAGTTCAAAATAAAGATTTATTTTCAAACAAGTGACTTTGGTTTATTTCATACATTACACTTTTTCTTGCAGAAAAAAATAAAATTGTACAACTGCATAAATATAAAATTCTTCCACCATGAAAATGGTTAAAACATTCATAAAGACACAGCACCAGCATGTGATGCCTCCAGAAAGGAAAAAAGGAAAGTAAAAGAAAATGTATAAAGCAAATTAATTAGCCCTGTCACTAGCCAAAGTGATGGGCAGATCCAGATCTCAGACACAGCTTTAGAACATACCGGAGGACAAGGCAAGAGATGTCAAGACAGCATTCAATACAAGCATAACACAACCCATCACCTTTTTGTGTTTTTCTGTAGTGTCACTTAAAATTTAAAGGGCAGTTCCCCCATGACAAACCCCCACCCCAGCCCCCAGGAAAAAAATAAAAATAAAGACCTAACACCACAGGAAAAGACTATGGAGTATGTTAAAAATGCTCATCGATGGGCCATTACCTTTGAAAGAGCCAAAAAACAAAAAAAAAAAAAAAAAAAAAATTACCATGCCAGTTTTATTCCCGTTGAATATTTACACCTTGGACAGCAAACCTTGCTCACATAAAGTAGAAAACAGATACAATAAAACATGGCTTGAAAAATGACCAGAGTATGCACCTGTAGTACTGTACACTAAATAAAATACACAAGGCAGCAATACTTAGGGGCCAGAAACACTGCTTACTACAAGTCAGTTACGGAATCATAATTTACAGTAAAAATGGGCACGTCCCAAGGCTCAATTTTTCTTTTTCTTTTGTCATTTACAGTAGAATAAATATTTTGTTGCTATTGCTACACTTTAATTTACATTCTAACCTATTAAATGCAGAAAGCTAGTGTAAAGCATATAGATTAAGTGTAGGTCCCATACGTATGACAGTTTGTTCAAGACTAGTAGGTTTTTGTTTTTGTATCTTTTTTTAACTTATTAAATGGCTAGTGGGAAAGATTTGTGCTTGTGATCAGCTCTTAACTTCAATTTTTACATCAAAACGTCCCTGAAAACGGTCTTTCTCACTGTACCCAATGTTCTCACCGTACGCCTTACACTCTATGCGAATTTCAGTGTCCATGGTAAGATTGGTGAACTGTACGGCCAGCAGGGGCTGCAGGTATTTGGGCTGCAGGAGTTTGCCATAGTACGGATAATACTGCAGAGGAAAACCAGGGGAGTTGCCCAGTCCAAAATACTCCACATTTCCAACTTTATCCTTATCTTCATCTCGCTGAAATCCAGAATGAAATGAAATTTTAATGGCTCACATCATGCATCACTATGTGTACTCAAAAACAAGACTCAATCTACACAGTAGTTTGCAAACTACTGAGAGAGGAAAGAACATCTACTCAGTCTATTCCATTGCAGCCTTGAGAAATGGTCATAAGAAGAGACTATTCTCAATGTGCAAATGGATGGGGAAGCTGAGTCAAATGCCAAATAAGCATTCTTCAAGCCTCCTAGAAACAAGGCCAACATTGAAAGGCAGAAACACCTTGCTGTTGGCCCAGTAAATAATCTGTCTAGTGATATTATCTCCAAAGTTTACTACTTGCCTCTCATTTTCTTGTTGAGAAATCAATCTCCACTTCCTTGCTTGGTGCTAGCACTGTCTGGGAACTCCCTTTCTTTGTTCTGCCTTTCTCTCTAAACGGTCCATTAGTTTTTGGATCCAAAGGAAACATGCACTAATTGTTACCTTAGTCTTTCAATTTTTTTTTTTTTTTTTTTTTTTTTTTTGAGATAGTCTTGCTCTGTCCCCAGGCTGGAGTGCAATGGCGTGATCTCAGCTCACTGCAACCTCCGCCTCCCAGGTCCAAGCGATTCTCCTGCCTCAGGTCCTCAGCTGGGATTACAGGCACGCGCCGCCACGCCCAGCTAATTTTTGTATGTGTAGTAGAGACAGGGTTTCACCATGTTGGCCAGGCTGGTCTCAAACTCTTGACCTCATTATCTGCCCATCTCGGCCTCCCAAAGTGCTAGGATTACAGGCGTGAGCCACTGCACCAGGCGATATTTCAATATTTTTAAAAGAGAAGCCCAAACCACTAATTTTTATGTGACATTAATTTTTTTTTAATGTTGGCCCCAAATTTTTAATACATGCTGTGGGCCAGAAAGTACTTCTGTGGGCTAATTCACCTCTCAGTTCTGATAAGCAAATATCCCAATGTATTAAATTCAGATATTTGAGTTTCTTATGCCAGTGGAGAAACTGACATCAGTCTTATTCTGATTACATCTTTCTGTTCTTTTAAAAAGTTTTACCTAGTATAGCTACAATTCATCTCACTGAGACTTATACTTGAAAGCAATGTTTCTTATTTCTTCTATTAAAATTCTACCTGTCACTTAAACAGTCTTCTTCATTCTCCCCTCTTCCTCTGCCTACCCTTCCACCACCCCAGTAACCCTAAATTTGTCTTTACCTTGCCAGTGCACTGAACGGGAAGGACATTTGGGTTATACTTCATCACTGGGTAAGTCTCCAAGGACTCATTCTTGGGAGGCTAAAAATAAAACCCATTATGATCAGTAGATTGTAAATGATTTCTTAAGTTTCTGAAAAATAAAACTACTCCGTAGTCCAAACAAGTACACACTGGTCACAGTAAGTCAACCAAAATAACAAAAGACATCAGGACAGCAGAATGAATGACTCCCCTAACCAATTTAAGGTCATGTTTGTGATTTTGCTGAAATGAAAATAAGTGCCCAAGTTTATAACGACTACAATTAAGCTGTGATGCAAACCAGTACTAAATGGAACTTTTAATAGTAGCCCATTATAAGCTTTGCTTAAAGACACTGAAAACTAAGTCAACCCAAAATATAATGCTCGTTATTTGCTAAGATTAGATTACATGAGAAAGATGATTGACATTTCTGTTTTTATAAAGCGTGGGCTTTCCTCCTGAGTCATGAATAAATAATGTCATCCTTTTCCCTCAAGCATGACTTCAAGTAGGCTTTCCTTTTTTGTTGTTTTAATCTCCAGTCGGGGAGACTGCCATTTAAGGAGCGTTTCTTTGCAATTTTCTTAGGAAAGTCCAATATGTAAAAAAGGCAGAGGTGTCACTGCCCTAAGAGGAAGGGTGGTCTTGAAGGGGTGAATCCACTGAAGGGACCCAGAGGACAGTCTGAAAATTACTGCTGTCATGAAATATCCAGAGCCTCCTCTTCTACACCCATGGCTCAAATCTATCTCAGAAGTGTGATGAACATACTTCGCTGGAAGACAGTCACTTGCTTACTCAGATCAGCACAGCAAGTGAGTCTTGATGTGAGATGTAACACATACATAGTCTAATCAAAGTCAGATAAAATATTAGTTCCACATCAGGAAGGAACTACTATTTTGCTACTACTCTGTTTTGGATGCAAGAAAATGATCGTCTAGATTTGACTCTTTGGGACGTTTCTGCCAGCAATGTATTTGTCTTTAAAAATATGTAGAGAAAATGCTCACTAAGAAGTTGCCAGAATCTATCCTCCAATGGTGAGGATAGTGAGATGCTGGGATACTCTGATCTCTGACAAAAATAACTCCAAAATAGTTGGAGATTTGGGTGGAGGTGATGAATTAGGCAGTGGCAATGGATAACCAAGTAGAGACCAAAGAAAAAAGAAAAAAAGGACTGAAAAGAAAGAGTAGCTGAATTTATCACTGAACCAAGTAACTCTAAAGATGTGGGAAGAAATCAATCACAATAGACTAGACTGCCTCTGTGGGGTCCAAATGTCATTCAGTGTCTACGATGAGTAATGTCAAAAGCAAGGTACTCAGAAAGTATGGGATGAGTCTTCTCTTGGCCATGCCACAACAATTTCTTTTGCTGCTAAATAGCTGATTGATCTCAGTGAAGTATTCCCCAGCAATATGAATATCAAATACATTTTGGCATAATGGTTCTCACCGTTTTTCTTCCATTATATCCTGTCTATGTGGAAAGAAGCTTAAAATCCTTTTGAGAGGTACATTAATTTCTGCCAGCAGTCCATCAAACTAGCCAGCCAGGCAACCATCCATCCCCACCTACTCATTTTTGCCTCTGATGGCAATAAAGGAACTTTGATGCATCCTTCAGTTAACAAAACTTTTTATCTCTGTGTTGATTTTCTTTTGAAAATATTATTCATGGGTAACAAGCATTGTAGAAATAAATTAATAGCATTCAATAGAAAATTAATGAACAAAAGTGCCAGATTTCAGAAATGAAATGAGTTTGTTCACATAACTCAATATACTGCAGTCAATTTCTATCAAAATTAGAAACAACACTCATAATGCCAACGCTCATATACGGGTGATTAGGGGGAAACCTGCCAGAAGAAGCCAGGCTTAAGGGGAAAGGACAGCATTAATTCATGATCTGGAGGAGAGGATGAAATGACCAGCTTTACAAAAGCAGACAACAACGATAAATTTTCCATTCTTATGGAGAATATAATCTCACCAAATGGTGAGCAATGGCAATTTGCTCATTTTTCAGTGATCCAGAGTAATGTTTATCCATTATAAGTTGCAGTAATACAAAAAGCCAACAGCATGGCTAGCAAAATTCAGCCTAGATGATGTTAAACTTCTACTTCCGCAATAAAATTCAGAAAAAATATTTTTTCAGATTATCAATTTTTTTGAAATGTTCCTGTGGCTTCCAGAGGACCAAAACTGGACTATACATGCAAGTGGGTTAAAATTTTTTTTTTAATCCATTCTTTATGAAGTAAAAAATAAAAAACTTTTTTTTTTCTCTAACCACTAGACCACCAGGGAAAAAATATATTTTTCCATTTTTACTTTTTTAAAGAGTTTATGTTATAGAAACTGTTATCTGGATACTGAGCAGGAGTATTAAGAAAAGGGCCACAGACTCACTTCAGAATGCAGCTTTGCCTCTCAGAATTCCTTTAACTTTAGAAAATGAGATTAATGTCCTAACTACAAGAATTGCAGGGTGGATACAGAAGTTTTTGGTGTTACTCTACTGGCTACGTTTCAAAGTCAGCACTGAGTATACTTTAAAACTATCTTACATTGTCTTCTCAGATCAATTAAGTACTTAGTGTAAATGACTCATCTAAATTCTATCATTTAAAATATTACTTGCCTTAGGTTTGAAGCCTAGAACTCGGTTGAGCTTTATAATAATGCACGGTTTGCCCTCTTTGTAGCCATAAGTTTCATCATTTAATCCAGAGCAATTTCCCAGCCATTCAAGCTTGAATCTGCAGACCTTTCGCTCTCCTCGTTCATGATTAAAGTCTCCTCGTTCTTTCGGTTCACTGGGCACATCTAAAAATAAAAACACAACTTTTATATTGTACCAGCAATTCCCTTAGCAGTTCTAAGAAAAAGAAACTGTCTTCCTTGTCATAGTTACCTATTCTGAGAGTACGCTATTCTGCATTTAATGCATGATCTGAATTAAGCAAGATCTCCAGGAAAACCATCTCTCACCTCTTCACTCATATTAAAAGATATTTTACCAAAAGGAATAGCTGGTATATGGCCCCACACCAAAGCTTCATAGTACTTGATCAGCACGTAATATTTAGTCTCTGGCAATATTTCCCTTCTTTTAAATAATGGATTACTCAGCTATTTAGAAGACTGAAAGGAGACGGATCACACTGCGTGAGTAGCATCATTCACACTGTCAACACTGGCTTAGCTCAGTAACAGGGATATTATAATCAGAATACAAAAGGACTGTCAATAATTTTCAGAACTAGGTTTTTTTTTTGGTCAGAATTTTTAAAAAGGAACTGGTATTTTCCTTTTCAACCACCACTTAAGGGTTTTTTTGAGACAGGGTCTCACTCCGTGGCCTAGGTTGGAGTGCGGCAGCATGATCATGGCCCACTGCAGCCTCAACCTCCTGGGCTCTAAAGATCCTCCCACCTCAGCATCCTGAGTAGCTGGGACTACAGGCGTGTGCCACCCTGTGGCTAGTTTTTTTTAATTTTGCAGAGACTGGGGTCTTGCTGTGTTGCCCAGGCTTTTTTGATTTGAGTTTCTGCCTTTTAAAGCTATGCATTAAGCATTTGCTGGACTGAGAAATTTTATTCTGGCATTTTTAATTCAATCCTCATATAAAAGCCAGAAAAAGACCAAGTGAATATAGAATTCAAAGTTAATGTATAGCATGCTGGAGGAAAATAATGCAAACCATAATTTATGTATAGTTTTTAAATTCACAAATGAACTATTTTCCCTTCAAATAGCGAAGAGTCTGAATTTAGACTATCTCCTTGAAGTGATTCACCCTGATTATCCCTCAGGCCTTTTAATTACTGCAAAGTAAGATGAAAACCTCATTTAAATTCTAATGAGAAAAATTCACACTGAAAATGTTCTTTTAAGTTACTAAATATTTCCAAAATAACTTAAAATGGCAATTCGCCCCATACTCTGACCAAGCCACAGCCTGCCTTATAAAGAACTGGAGTTGGTAAATGCTTGAATTGAATCAGAAGGGATGATATTACCTAGTAAAACTCAGAGAGATGTTTTATGTTTGTTTGTTTGTTTTAACGTTTTTGAGACAGGGTCTCACACTGGTGCCCAGGCTGGAGTGCTGTGGCGTGATCATGGCTTATTGCAGCCTCGACCTCCCAGGCTCAAGTGATCCTCCCACTTCAGCCTCCCAAGTAGCTGGGACCACGGGCACACAACACCACACCCAGCTAACTTGTCTTATTTTTTGTAGAGATGGGGTCTCACTGTGTTGCCCAGGTTGGTCTCGAACTCCTAGGCTCAAGCAATCCTCCCTCCTCAGCCTCCCAAAGTGCAAGGATTACAGGCATGAGCCACTGCACCCAGCGAGAGTATTTTTTTGTGGAAAGAATGAGAACATGGACTGGAAAATTCACAGTCCAGGTAGTAAGAGTGAGGACATGTATTCATGTCAATGACTTAATGAAACTAAGAGCCTCTCTTTACCCTTCATAAGTCATTTCCTTATCCAAAACGATCAGCTGCCTAACACATATTTCATTATCTATCCCAACCAGGATCAATAAAAGTATACCCTGACCATACATCCTCCTTCATGAATGCCAGTGCAGTGATAGCTAATCACACCAAAAGGTCTTTCTGATGAGAGAAGGCCCTGTGCACTCTTCTATAGGGAGAACTTTTTGGGGGAAGATAAGGAAATAAGTAGCTGTACTTTTCAACGGATGTAAGAGAAAGAAAACCGGAATTGCTGTCTTGGCTCTGAATAGTAAAAAATAGTACCTAGGAGTGTTTTAAAGTAAGACACCTTTCCAATGCAGAAAACAGTCATACTTGAGGCTGTACTGTTTTTCATTGTGTCTTCCTGCTTTTTTTAAAAAAAGTGTCTAAATATGGCCAGAGTTCAATCTTTCATTATTTCAGGATTATCTCTCGATCATTAAACAAAAAATAGAAGTGGGAAATAAGAGTTAAAGAGAAAGAAAACTAGCCACAGACATCTACAATGAGTCTACTTACCGCCACAATCTTCAAAAATCATGTCATCCCTCTGGGCTGAATCTTTGTACTTTTCCAGGAACCTAACTATGTTCAGTACATATGCCTCATAGCTCTTGGGATCATTAGGACGAAAGGAAATTTCAGTCTTCTGGATCTGAGGAATCTGTGTTAATCCTAGACCAGGCAGAGAGAAAAACATTAGTAGGAAGGCAGAAACGAAGACAATTCAAAAGTAGACTTTCCACATACAAAACATACTTTGCTAACTCCACTTGGCTAAAAAGAAAGGGTCTTGCCTCCCTTGTTAAATCACTCCTCTGGCATTTAGATTAGGTAACCCCAAGTACCAGTGACTATGCTTTAATATCACAGATCAGTTAATTTCCATAGCAACACTTCATGGTAGGCATCACCTCCATTTTATGAATGACAACACTGCTTGCACTGAAAGATTAACTACCTGGGCCAAGGCTGCACAGAAAGTGGTAGAACCAGAATTCCAACCCAGGTGTGCTGTACTCCAAAGCCCATTATGTTTCTAGTACCCCAACGTGCACAGTTTTTTAAAATACCCTGCTAGCTAGCATTGTGTGCAGGTGGCTTTACCCTCCCTAATTACGTGTAAGCCTTGGACACAGAGGTCTTCTTTTATAATCCTTATTGTCAGTAAATGTATAACCATTCCAAATTCTCTAGACTCAAGCCTACCTAACCAAGATATTTCTTTGGATCTTTTAAACTAAACGGGAAGAATTTGGGACATACATGCAGTAACCACAAATGCTTTCCAATCTGAAAGTCTCAGCATGTCAGTGCCGGTCAGATAAAATTCAAAGTCCGTATGCCTTGGGTTTGCACTCTCTAAAACTCTGTTACATTCTTTAATATCCAAAAGCCGCTGCCTTCATGAGACTTCCTAGATGGGTATGTGAACCACACTACACAGCACTACTCAGGAGCAATGGTTGGAAAAGTCCATCACAACTGCATTTTATTGTAGGACTGCCAAATAAAAGATGCCTGGTTACATTTGAATTTTAGATAAGCAAAGAACATTTTTTTAAAAAAATATAAGTATGTCCCAAATGCTATGTGGGACACACTTACATTTAAAAATTATTGTTTATCTGAGGCCGGGCATGGTGGCTCACGCCTATAATCCCAACACTTTGGGAGGCCAAGATGGGTGGATCACCTGAGATCCAGAGTTTGAGACCAGCCTGGCCAACATGGTGAAACTCCGTCTCTACTAAAAATACAAAAATTAGCCAGGCATGGTGACACACACCTGTAATTCCAGCTACTCAGGAGGCTGAGGCAGGAGAATCACTTGAACCCGGGAGGCGGAGGTTGCAGTGAGCCAAGATCGTGCCACTGCACTCCAGTCTGGGTGACAGAGACTCTATCTCAAAAAAAAAAACCTATATATATAGATAGATAGATAGAGATATATATAAATATATATATATATAGAGAGAGAGATATAGTTTAACTGAAATTCAAACTTAAGTGGGCACCCTGTATTTTTATTTATTAAATCTGGCAACTTGATTCTACTCCTCACTCCCAGATCTCCCCTCTCTGTGTGGGGCCCATAAGGAGGCACATCATCACTATCCTTGATAAGTGACTCTACCCTGGCTTCCCACCCCCACCTCCCAGCAGGTCAGGAAAGCACCTATGTCACTATCATTTAGGGGCTTGTCAAACATGCAGTCTCAGAGACTCCCCTCCAGACCTGCAAAATCGTAATCTCTAAGAAAGAGATTTGAGAATCTGTTTAATAAGTACGAAAAGATCTTTAAACACCCTTGGCTTACAACTGCTTCTCTAGGGAATTATAATCTGAGAGTGGCAACAGTGACTCAGATATGAAGACAACGACGTTAACGAATGTGGAAGTGATAACTAGAGTGCAGCACCATTTGTAGGGCTTGAGAAGCAGGCATCAGTAAGGCTCGACTAAATGCTATTCTTTCTAGTGATTGAGGATGCTTTAAAAGTGGTTACATAATGAGGTGGGCTCAGGGGGTTGTATAGATATGCTTTTTCACACATGTAGTTCCCTAGAGGAATGGAAGGGATAGAGAGGAAGACAAGTAATCACTGGAGCAAGGCACAGGGGTGCCCAGGGCAAAGGACTTAAGGACATTAACAATCATCTTCAGGCCAGGTGCAGTGGCTCATGCCTGTAATCACAGCACTTTGGGAGGCCAAGATGGAAGGATCGCTTGAGCCCAGGAGTTCAAGACCAGCCCAGGCAACCTAGCAAGACTCTATCGCAATTAAAAAAAAAAAAAAAAAAAAAAAATCATCCTGAAAAGGATGATGTAGAACCTGAAGAATTATGGGGGACAAAAATTTCAACAGTGATAGAAATGAATCAAAGGGGAAGTAGCAGAATTTGCTCATAAAAATCTTCAGTTTAAAATAAACACAGATTACAGTTTAAAATTTTGTAAAAATGCCTACAAGCCATAATTTTTTAGTATTTCTAAAGCAATTTAAATATACCCTGAACAATCTTTTTCTATGTTAAAATTGGCATTGTGATCATTTATGGTGCAAAACAGCAGTATTGTAAAGAGAAGAGATACCTGCAAAAATAAAGGTGAGCAGAAGCTTCCACAGATAGTTAATGCTTGAGACAGCAATGGTAAACAGAGTTACCCAGTGAAATGGGGAAGTCGGGTAGGGAGGGTCACTCCTGGTTTAAGTTGTAAATAAGACACTTAAGTCAAGGTGACTTGCCTGGACCTGGGGGAAGTACACCAGCAGACCCAAAGCCAGAGGCTCAACAAAATTCAGAATGGGAGAATCCTGGAGTCAAGAGAGAATGGAGCCTTGAGGGACGGTCATGCTGAGGGGCCACCCGAAGAGCCAGTGCATAGGCAGCCAGAGAGAGAGACAAATGCCTGTGCATCGCTCAGGCAGGAGGTCTGCAGGAACCTCCTCCAAGTATTCTGTGTGATGTTTGGGAGTCAGGAACAGAAATGGACTTATGTACACAAGGTTAAACAGTGTTTCCAGGCTTGGGAAAGACAAGGCAGGAGGGTGGTGGATGGCTAGACAAGTGAAGGAGAGCAAATGTCAGAAACCAAGGAGGGATCTCATCTGACCTTCAGGGAAGGTCAGGGGAAGACCCACAGCCAGGGGACCATAGGGACATTGGTGTGATAAACAACAATTATGCAAGCTGTGGTCCATCAGCAGAGGGCGGGATGCAGCAAAAGCCAAAATATAAACAAGCCTGATACTGAGATTTGGAGAGTCTCACCTAACAAGCTGAAAGGAGGAGTGACCCTAGAAGGTCATGTTGAGAGTAAACATGGTAAAACCTGGATTGCGAAGCAAGTGTCACAAACATCCTTGTTCTCCCTGGCCTGGCTTCAGTGAGCCTCTCCAGTGGTTTGCCTCTCACTTTCTGGCTGCTTGCATTCTCTCTTCCAGTGGCTGCTCAAGGTTCCATTACTTTGATATGAGTATGAGGAATAGTGATGCCATTTCTCAGATTCTCCCACACAAAAAAAAGGAGAGTAAGAACAGGAGGAGGTATTATGCTGAGCGCTTTTCATTCCTTCACAATGTCAAGTCCACGGTTTCCACTATTAAAAGTGACCAGGGGACATGTGTCAGACTCAAAACATCAGCAACTCTCACTCAGTCCTCTGGGCTCTTTACTAACAAAATGATAAGGCTAGTGCATTCCCCAGGAGCCTAGGGGCTATGACCAAAACTAAGTTCATGTTTACTGATAGACTATGACAAATCTTTCTTGTAAGTGCCTCTGTTGTTAATCATCTAGGAATATGGCCGGGAATGGTGGCTAATGCCTGTAATCCCAGAACTTTGGGAGGATGAGTTGGGTGGATCACTTGAGGCCAGGAGTTCGAGACCAGCCTGGCCAACATGGTGAAACCCCATCTCTACTAAAAACACAAAATTAGCCAGGCATAGTAGCACATGCCTGTAATCCCAGCTACTTGGGAGGCTGAGGCACGAGAATCGCTTGAGCCCAAGAGGCAGAGGTTGCAGTGAGCTGAGACAGCACCACTGCACTCCAGCCTGGGCAACAGAGCGAGACTCTGTCTCAAAAAAAAAAAAAAAGAAAAGAAAAGAAAAAGAGAAAGAAAAAAAATATCTAAGATCACATTTGTGAAAATAATAGGTATTACTGTTACATGAAGTGGTACTACTGGCCCAGAAGAGAGTTATATACACAATTGGCCTCATGTCTCTCTAGACGGGGCAAATAAGAAATAATGAAAACCAAGTAATGGAATCACATCCCTTTCAACCTGAAAGCCCAAATTTTTCAGTAAGCATAGCTCATGATCTAAGCCAGTCAAGTTTATAATTACTTTGTGAGGGAAACATAGATGCAGGCTGCTTGAAGAATCTTGACTTTGCTCTTACAGAAGCATCAGAAACTAGTGAAACCAAGAAAGCAAGGGGTGAAACATAAGACAGCTAAGCACGGAGTCTTAGAACCCTGTGACTTGCCCAGCTGGATTAGACCCTAGGCCAAAGCCTCTGCCCTGTCCTTTCCATTTTAAGTAACAGAGAACCTTGGTAGAAGGAGCCGAGGAATGACAGATAAACCCCAGAAAGCTCAGTCATGTCTTACTGTTTTGTGAGCTCATGTTTCCCTCTGGAGTCTGAGGGGTCTTAGACGGTGGTAACTAACATAAGCCTTAATGACCATTCATTTAAGATACAGAGCTTTTGATCCAAACGTCATTTCCAGTAAAAAAACAGATGGTCTGGGTTTAGGTCATGCAATCAGCTCACACATGCTTACTACATAAACAAATGTCCAGGAGGCCACGCCACAGTCAAGTGGCCGCTGCCTCCTTAGTAGCTCTTCTGCTCTCTTTCCTCACATTTCCACAAGGTCTCTCACTCCATCACCCACTATCTCTGCCTCCTCTCTTTTCTTTATCCGAAGCCTGATGGCCTGAGAACTTCTCCTGGAAATTACCACAGATCAGCCCCCGGGTCTGTTCTGTTCTGGATAGTCTTAATTAGGACAGTTTTTGATGAGGTCTTCTCCAAAGATTAGAAAAATTCCTCTTCTCAAGTTATTTCTCTAAAGCAACTAGATACTCACAAGAGAAAGATGAAAGACCTTTGAAAGGATGTCCAAATCCTTTAAATCATTTACTTTAGGATTATCAGACTGTTAAGAAGAGATAGAAAGCAATGGGATTGGATTTGGTAATTATTACAGACAGTTCCCAACTTACAATGTTTGCCTTATGATTTTTCAGCTTCACAGTGGGTTTAGCAGGGTTAGTAAATGCATTTTTGACTCACAGTATTTTCGACTTACAATGGGTTACTAGAACATAACCCCATCCTAAATCGAAGAGCATCTGCATTTTGAGGCCACACCCAAATTCTCCAACCATGACATTCTCCAAGGGCTGCACAAATCCCACCTTGCTGACTGGAGTTCTCATGAGTCATATTTCACACTAGACCAGACGCTTTCTCCCATCATGCCCCTCTTTCTACTGCCCACTTCTTAAAGTTGTTAGTTATGACTCTGGACAAGGATGAGCTCTGTTTGCACTGGTAACTCCCAGAGGGCCAAAGACAGCAGAACACCCAATCGCTGGCACGCAATTTCAAGTTATATTCCAGGAAACAAATCTAACCTTTTCCCTCTCCAGTCTTCTAAACTTGAATTTACATTAACCACCCTGAGCTCTAGAGACAGCTTTGTTCTGATAGGATCATTTGCCTTAAGCTATATATCATTAATTAACAAAGCCACTTGAAGAGGCAGAAATCATAATCTGGGTATGTAAAATTTTAATATTTGGTTTTCAATGAGTATTTCAACTTTACATAAGATTTAGATTTAGAAAAAACTTCTGGCTTCCCACTTGCTTTTCAAAGACACATTTACCTGCCTTTGGTCCCCATCTCTTGAGAAATAAGGAAGATCCTCCATGTTTAGCTTTAGTAAGTGTTGATAGCACAAGGGGGAAAAGGCTTGAGGGAAAGGATTTTGTTTCTTTAGGTTTATAATGTAGCAAGTTCATCATTTCTCAATCTACATGTGAGTTTAAAGTATTTAAACTAGAATGTAGCCATTTCAACCTTGTAAGTTATTCAAATGCACAGCTGCTTGCACCTGTCATTTAATACATCTGATAAATCACTAGATCAAATCTCTAAATAGGAATCATTTCCCATGGAAACCTCCAGGAAGGTACCCATATGACTGAGAAGGGCACAGGAAGCAAAGAAATGCTTTTAAATGTAGCCATGCACAAATCATGTGTCTCCTATACATTCCGAGTTGAAAAGTAATTTCCAATTTTAAAAAAAATACACAGAGGTATGAATTCATACATACTCACACGTATATGTACACATAAACACACACATATGTATGCATACGCACATATATGAGATAGAAATTTCTCCTTTAAGTGCCACTCTGTAGGACCTAAGATATTTCTGGATTTTGTTTGTTTATTTTTGTTTTACATCTGTGAGTTGGTATCAACTTACCTAGCAAAGTAAGGGGAGAGGCACAGAAAAAAGGCGCCTTTGCACTTTCTGGAAACTAGCCACCTTTGACTCACCTTCTGCCTCCAGCTCCCAGACTCAGGCTCTGAGATTAGCAAGGAATAAATCTCCCTGCCTGCAGGCAGGGTCACATTCACACCCTCCGACACTCAGAATCTGCTCCCTTTACAAAGTCTTAGAAAACTGAATCCCCGGACTGTCTCTACAGCCAATCTGGATGTTTACCAACACTCAGGGTAAAGAAATCATTCCTCCTGTCTAAGCTAAATGCCGTGAACTCTGATTTAGGCTCTTCTCTGATCCGTCCTCTTCTTCCTGTGGCTGTATATTCACTTTCAGGCAAGCAGGGAGTTATTTAGTTCAGTTGACCTATCTTTAAAAATGCATATTCCATAGGGGCAAATCCTTGGTATTTTGTATAGCTCATAATTGTGCTTATTCTCAATACAATAAAGGAAAGGTGCCACTTTTATAAAAGAATAACATAAACAAATAGATAAATCCTAGTATTTTACATTAATTATGCTCAAGGCCAAACTGAAGAGCAAGTACATATAGTATATTTGACTTATCTAGATATAAAACATAACATTTGTTAAGTAATATCCTGAAACAAGACACTGCATTCTACATGACATTTGATAAGATCTACTCATGCATGTATGTGGGAAAAAGCTGGATGATACATCCCTGTTCCCTTCATCTCCCCAGCTTCTCACTAGTCTTGACTGCATCCGACAGACCAGCTGGTCATCAGATTACTAGCATGAGAGCACTGACCAACAGTTAAGAGCAACCAGTCCAATAACCCCATCAGATTTTATGGTAGAAGTGGACCTGTCAGGCTACTGCTCTTTCCACCCCACTTTCTATGACCCTTGGGTGAATGCAGCAAAAAATCCTTAAATGAAGCTTCACAAATCCAGCTTTTTTTTTTCCCCCACCATCACTCCCACAGATTTGTTACCTGGTCCTTCCTACTTATCAGGTCTCTGTTCTGCTTATTCATCATACAATGGGCATACAATGTAAGATCTGTTTTTCTGTGGCTCCAAGAACATTTTAAAGTAAATCATTAGGTTTCCTGTGTACCCAAGAGATGACTTACTAGTTGTACCCTTGTCTTTAGAAATAAAGAAATCACCACCTGGGTAGTTGAGTTGTTGAAGCCAAACAGAGTTCCCCCCACAAACCCTTTACCAAGTCATAAGGCTGTGCAGTAGCTTTTGGAAATCTAATTGCCACCAATGCTAACTCATCCACAAATTCTGGGACCAGGTAGACAGGATCCATTTGAGGGTGGGAAGGGAGGAGGAGAGGGAAAGTGAGAGACAGCTGGGTGTATACAGATACATCGCGTCAGCTGAGAGATTACAAAGCAGTGTATTCTAACTGGAAACACCTTACTGGCACTTTGCACTAACAACCCCTCCAAAGTATAAGGAAGCCAAATGTTTCTAATTTCCCCTTATTTCTCCTTTGAAGTGTGAGTGAGAGATAGTAATACAAGTATGAGGTAGTTTGCGGGGGGTGGAAAAATTAGGTATTCTGAGACTGACATAATGACTTCTCAGGAATTTTACTTAATCAAGCTGAGATAGAATGATAATGACTCGAACCCTAATGGGTTTTTTGTTTGTTTTGTTTTTGGTTTTTTTTTTTTTAGATGGAGTCTTGCTCTAGTTGCCCAGGCTGGAGTGCAGTGGCACGATCTTGGCTCACTGCAACGTCTGCCTTCCGGGTTCAAGTGATTCTCCTGCCTCAGCCTCCCAAGTAACTGGGATTAGAGGTGCCTGCCATCACGCCTAGCTAAGTTTTGTATTTTTAGTAGAGATGGGGTTTCACCATGTTGGCCAGGCTGGTCTCAAAATCCTGACCTCGGGTGATCTGCCTGCCTCGGCCTCCCAAAGTGCTGGGAATACAGGTATGAGCCACTGCGCCAGGCCCCTAATGAGTTTTAAGATTAGATATTTCCTCTTTACAATCAAGATGAAACTGAAACTGCTGGTGGTGCCAGTGTGGTCAGCTGGTCTGCATCCACCCCACTTCTCCTGCCCGATTCTGATTACCAACAAGCCAAGAATATGACCCTTTGAAAATGTGTCTGCTAGCACTGAGCCGTCTATACTTCAGAGCTAAACAAACAGCCACCCACAACCTTAAAAGAGAGAACAGCAGCATACATTCATACCTGCCTACCAGGAAGCAAGCCAGCTGGGAATCTCCCGGACCCACCGATTGACACACAGTGACCTTCATTTCACTCCACTGTTGCTAAGTGAGCCTGAGGTGGGGGAAGGGCAATGGCGGATGTGAAGAAGAGACTTTTCCATTACACCACTGGGCAGGCAGCAAGGCAAGCAGGGTCAAATCAGGGCCAGGGCTTGGTAGCCTGAGTGTGTGTGTATATCCATGAGCATGCGTGTGTGTGCACGCTTGCATGTCCGTGGGCATGCACGTGGGTGTGCGTGCCTGTGCCTGCTCAGCCCTCTCCAGCATAGCTAATTGCTGCGTCTCTCCCCAGATCCAACTGCATCAACAGATGAGAAGCGATGCTGCAGAGCAGCACTGCAGGACTGCCTAAGGGGGTCTCCTCTGGAGAAAAGCTTGGCAGGCGCTAACCCAACAAGCATGGGTTTGTTAAAGGGAGAGACTGCACAACAAATACAATGCCATTTAAATTCACTTTAAAATTTTTAAAAACATGTTTCCCAAATGTCTCTTAAACATTTCCATGGAAAGCTAAGGTTTTATTGACTCCATGAAAATCTAAGTGTGCAAAGCATCCCTGTCATATCTGGAAATTTAGTGTCCAAAAAGAAGAAACTGCTGCTTCTAGTAGAAAGATAGGGCTATAAAAACCCTGGACCAGGTGCGGTGGCTCACGCCTGTAATCCCAGCACTTTGGGAGGCTGAGGCGGGTGGATCACCAGAGGTCAGGAGTTTGACACCAACCTGACCAATATGGTGAAACCCCATCTCTACTAAAAATACAAAAATTAGCTGGGCATGGTGGCGCGCACCTGTAGCCCCAGCTACTCGGGAGGCTGAGGCAGGAGAATCGCTTGAACCCAGGGGGCAGAGGTTGCAGTGAGCCAAGATCATGCCACTGCACTCCAGCCTGGGCGACAGAAGAAGACTCCCTCTTGAAAAAAAAAAAAAAGAAAAAAAGAAAAAAACAGAAGTTGCTCTCAACAGTTACCCTACACTTAATACCATTGGTTTTGCCACCATAAAGTACTATTTGCTTTATATATGTTTATCATCTCATTTAGTTCTCACAGAGCATATGATTCCCCACCCCCCTTTTTTTTCTTTTTTTTTTTTTTGAGATGGAGTCTTCGCTCTGTCACCCAGGCTGGAGTGCAATGGCACAATTTCGGCTCACTGCAAGCTCCGCCTCCCGGGTTCACGCCATTCTCCTGCCTCAGCCTTCCGAGTAGCTGGGACTACAGGTGCCCGCCACTACGACAGGCTAATTTTTTGTATTTTTTAGTAGAGACGGAGTTTCACTGTGTTAGCCAGAATGGTCTCGATCTCCTGACCTCATGATCCGCCTGCCTCGGAAGTGCTGGGATTACAGACGTGAGTCACCACTCCTGGCCCCACCCCTTTTTTTTTAACAGGAGACTTAAAAAAATTTTTTGTGTGTGTGTGGATATGGGGTCTTGCTATGTTGCCCAGGCTGGTCTTGAACCCCTGCCTTCAAAGGATCCTCCTGCCTCAGTCTCTCAAAGTGCTGGGATTACAGGCATGAGCTACCACACCGGCTGCAACACGACTTTGTAAGGAATATCATGTGCATTAAACGGCCACCATTGTTCAGGGCCAAGAAGCTGTACACATTCACCATTTTTTCTTACATTTCACTTCCATTCTGTAGTTTAGTCTCTCCTCTCAGATTTCATGTTTGGCCTCTCAGTTTATCCAATATTATCGCCATACAGGCCCAAATACACTCACTGCACAATTGCCACTGCTTGATATGGCCACATTCACACGTTATTGAGAAGAGATCCAACTACAAGGTATTCCGGTGTACAAAGGGCAGTCAATACCCAGTCAGGCTGGATTTGCATTCATGCCTCAAATTCAGCTGATAATATTATTAGTAAGTCTTTATATCTTTAAATCATATGCAAACTTTCACACCCACTAGGTGTATCTAACTCAAATTTACAATTTTCCCTCTTTAACTAAACATGAAAATGGAGGCTTTAAAGATACTAATGTGAAGCCAAAAAATTGTCAGGGTATTCTTAAACACACTGTTTGTCTGCATACTTAAGGAGTTATTTCCTATGCAAAATACAAACTTCTAACACGTACTCTGAAAAATGCCAAGGAGGGTCCTTGGCATTGAAAAATGCCAAGGAGGGTCCTCAGGCAACACAGGGCCATAAGGGGTGGCCCAAGAGCTGCACTTTGTGGCAGCCGGCACTCTGCTGGCCTGGCCTGATCAAGGTTCGGCACTCTGCTGGCCTGGCCTGATCAAGGTTACTGTCATTTTCATATGAATGTCATGTCCCTTGGTAAAGGCCCCCGAAAAACCCCACAGGGTAAGGCAGGTGAAGAGGAGGGGCCTGGCCTAGACTCTCCTGAAAGGTGATGGGGGAAGGGATGAGGAAAAGAAGAGACAGAAATTACCAGGCCAAAGAACAAGGAAGATGGAGGACTGAGGACTTTTCCTGTGACTCAGACCACAGGACAGGAATGCATTTTTCCAAGATGAGCCACCAGCATTCCTTTGGAGAAGTCAGGGTTTGTCAGGTCAGTCCAACTGCTGTGAGCACACTAAATATAGGTACTAAGAACATGTCTTTTAGGAAGGGGATGGAAGGAAGGGAAGGGAGGCACCGTGAGAGGGTGTTGGAAAGGACTGAGCACTTCAGCCAGTTGATTTACAGGCAAGGTCATTTCCAAGTCCTTACTTACAAGGTTGGGCCCTTTGGCTATTTCTTTTCCAAAGTTAAATTTTCCTTTCTGCAAAGGGCACAAAGAGAATTTTTAGTTTCATTAAAGGCTGACTCCTCAAAGTTTATATAGTCAAGGACCATTTTTTTTTTTAATCTAGGAAATTTCCTGAAGAAAATATTTGACTTTGTAGTCGTATTTGGCTTTGAGTATAAGAATTATAAAACAGCAGCAGGCCAGGCATGGTAGCTCATGCTCACACCTCCCAGCACTTTGGGAGGCCGAAGTGGGTGGATCACCTGAGGCCAGGAGTTCGAGACCAGCCTGGCCAACATGGTGAAACCTTGTCTCTACTAAAAATACAAAAATTAGCCAGGCATGGTGGTGCATGCCTATAATCCCAGCTATTTGGGAGGCTGAGACAGGAGAATCGCTTGAACCTGAGAGGCGGAGACTGCAGTGAGCTGAGATTGCGCCACTGCACTCCAGCCTAGGTGACAGAGCAAAACTCTGTCTCAAAAAAAAAAAAGAATTATAAAATCACATCATGATGGAAGAATAACTTTTAAATGGCATAACAAAGAACAAAAACAAAATATCCGCACCAATTAAAATTACAACTAATGGTACCACAAAGTTCTAGCAGAAGAGGACATGAAAAGACACAATGCTTCCCTATCACCATACCCAACGTAAAACATGTTTCAGCTTCTCTGCATACTCCAGAATTCTTGCTTCAACCTTTCCACAGACCCACCTCTTGTGGAAAACAGTTGCTGGAAACTGGATTATTAAGCAGGTTTAAGTTATGTTATTTACTTACGTGATTTTTTTTTTCCACTTCCCCAATCCCTCAGCTCTAAATTTATCTGGAAATATTTTGAGTTTTTCTTACAGTGGAGAACTATTTGACTTAGGGCTACACAACAATGCTTGCCACCTCCGTATTTTGAAGATCTTCCTCTGTGAATCCTTCCCACATTCAAGGAGGTACGCAGGAAAAGCCTGTGGCAGGCAGTAGCCCTTGATCTAGGCTGCTCAGGGCCACGTAGATCATCTGAAGATTGTCACCTAAATACAGCTGTTACTAAACCTTTGCCAAGGGAAAGCAGAGAAGGGACAAGTCATTGCCATCCCTCAGCAGCAGCTTCAAGGTCATTCGTAAGTGAGAGCCCGGAAGTTATGCAACACTTTCTCTCTAGGTCCTCCAGACAATGATTTTTACAACAGCCAGATGGTAAATTCACGTTTGTGGCTATTCCACTGCCTTGTCCTATCAGCATCAGGCATGATGGCCATGGGCCTTTCACGACTGGTGTGGACACACATAGCTCTACACTGATGGCACCCAAGTCACAGCAGGGACTCGTGTGGCAGTTTGCATTTCTTATGATAATCTTTTTGTTCACCCAAGTTTTTAAGAGCTAAAAGAGACAGTTAATTAAACTACAAAGTGGGACCAGAAAGCTGGCAAATGAGATGCTTATTAAATCAATGGGTATAAATATTGAGAAGTAAGAGTGACTTTGTTCAAGCTCAAACTGCAAATTAACAGCAGGTGGGACAATAGACCCCTAAAGTCATGGCTCCTCTCCCTGTGAGTAGCTGCCCATTCCACAGCTTCTTATCATCTCTAAAAATAAGTTCACCTTTTAAAACAGGAGCCCAAGTGACTTTTTTAAAAGAATTTACCTGAGTCATAGCCCCCCTCAAGAAGTAAAAAAATGTCTGTTAGAGTTGAAAAGGTCTGGAAAGGATCCCACTAACCAAACCCTAGAATATGAAAAATGAGAAGACAGAGGCCCCCATCAGAACTCAATCTGTTCACAGTCACATAGCTGGTGGGTAGCAGGCTGGCCAAGAACCAGGACGCTTCACCCTCACTCTAGAACTGGGCAAATAAGATGTCTGCAACCCGTGGGAGCTCTGCCTGCAATGCGGGTAGGACATCTGGCTGCAGCCGAGAGAAGTTTCTCTTTTCCCTTTTCATGGTTGCTTTAAGACTACATTATAGAGTAATTTTCCAAAGAATTTTTTCTCAATAGAAAAAGTGACACCCATGCTATCTCTGAAGGAAATGAAGCTATTCATGTGGATTTTACCTGGCGGGGCCACTCGGTCCTGATATGTGGGCTTAAATTCACTGATGGTGAGCAGCATCACTTGGATGGTTCCGATGAAGATGCCAGCCAGGCAGCCATAAAATATTACGTAGAATAGAAGGATCTTAACTGCAAGAAGAACAGAAACAAAAAGCTGTGATGCAGTCATATGCTCAGAATGAAAGTTTAATCTTCCCACGGATGAACAAGCTTCCTTCCTGGTTCCCCCGGTCCCATGATTTCTTCCTTGTCCAACGTCAAGAGTGCACCTCACCCCACTGACACAGGGTGAAAATCGAGAAGCTGGGCAGCCCTCCACTTGCAGTGTGTATGGGAGGTGGTTAAGGGTAGGAGGAATGTTCAGCTAGAACTAGGATCCTTATATTTTTTTATTCCCTAAATTTTAAAAAAAGTATCCATATTTTTTATTCTCAAAATTATAAAAAAAATCATGAAGATCACCAATAAAATCTAGAGCTATGTTTGGATGCTTATGCAATGAATTTAAAATATGACAGTATACTCCCTTAGAGACCTATGTTTTCTTTGCTTGCATATCCCTTGACATTTAAATACTACAATCCAAGCTCTGCTGTTTCTCCAAATGCTCAGATGCCTGAGGGTTATTTTGCTATGGCAGAGCAATGAATCCTGAGAAACCCAGTGATGATATCCTCCTGTTTTTTTTACTATCACTCTCCCTTTGGTTTGTATTATCAACAAAGCACACTCTTTCCCCTCGGAGGACAAGACAAGGGGAAAAAAAGAAAATTCTATAGTGAAAATGACCAGCACATTTTAATTCCATCTTCTGGAACTGGAACAAGAATAATGACTGACTTGCTGGGCTGCATTTTCTTTTTCCCATAGTTAACAAGACAACAGGATGGAGGCTGAAATAGCTGCAAAAGCAAAAAAAAAAAAAAAAAAAGACTCAACACATAGATGGGAATGAGGGTGGCTATCAGTTACTGGTTTACAAGGATTATCTCCCTGATTAGCTGCATAGTAACAGGCTGTACTAGGCATTGCCTGGCAGTCCTGTGCCAGCCAAACGACTCAATGTGAATGCAAAACAGGGAACAAGTGAACTGTAAGGTTATCGAGTCAGAAGCACGACTGCACAAAGGAGCCTTAGGTTACTGCTAAAAAGGTCCAGATCTCATGCATTAAAAATGCCAGGGTACTTGGAGAAAAGCCACTGAAAAACAGTATTATTGAAAAGAAGTATATGTGGTAGGAGGGGGCCAGGGAGGGAGTGGGTACACAACTGCAGGAATTAGCCTTGTTGCCCTGTCCATACATTTAAAAGCCCAACTTTCCTATCAGGCACTAAACAGTTAAAGGAAATCAGGCTACAGAGCTGTTAAAACAAGCAAAACACACAAAACCACAGCAAAATGCTTAATCATAATCCTTTTTCTCCTCTATCAAAAGCAAATAACAAGGAAAAAAGCAAAGACAGAAGTAAAGATAAGGAAGAAAGAAAAGGTTGTGTAATCCAGAACTACAGCACCCAACTCAATCACTCCCTCCCCGCAGGACAAGGGTTAAGTGCTGCATTCTGTATCCAAGCAGCAGTAGGCAAATGGCAACGCTGTGACGTCAAGAGATCTGGAAAATTTTTCCAGTGAATGCTCCTAAGAGGTGCAAGAGTTGGTGTAACAGTCAGCAAGGCAGCTATCGTAGCCCTGATTCAAGTTTCCTCTTGCTGCCCCCCACCCCCACCTCATCTTGGTGCTCTTACCTTACCTACATGTGCCCCTTCGAACAACTGAAACATCTCTATACTCATTCCCTGGACTCCAGATGCCTAATTCTAACAACATAAGAGGGTACATAATTGAGGCTACAGTTTAAAATACAAATAAGAGCAACGGAAAAACAAGTCATTTTGCAAGTACGCCGATTAAGCTCAGAAACAGACAGCCTTTCTATTCTGCCCACACGATATCCTAAGAAAAGTGAGGAATTTTCCCTTTTTGCTCTGAGATGTTAGTTGATAAAATCTCCCTAGTTACTGCCGTGAGGTCACTGGGAGAGAGTGGAGCACTCAGGACTAGAGGGGCCTATGCAGTGGCTCACTCAGACACAGGCCACCAGGGGCTCCCCACTAGCCAAAAAAAAGGCTAGATAAGTCACACCAACTATCTGGGGTGGCACTGTGAGGGGAGCTGAGAGGCTTCAGAGGCATCTCCCTTTCACGCAATTTTTCTTCTTTTAAAAAAAAGTAATACAGAGGTTTTTTTGGAAAAACAAACAAATGAACAAACAAACAGTGTGTACCCTTCAAAAGGTCACAGGCAGGCATCCAGGCCTAGCTGTAAATATAAAACCTACCAATGTCTGTATTAACCTAATAAAAAGGCAGAAGGCACAAAGTGATTTGCATGCTGTGATTTCTCCAGCAGGTGACAGGCGAGTCTCCTGCGTCCATCTTGGTGAAAATCTACCTATAAGCAAAATCGAGCCAAGGGCATCCTGCCCTCGCCCCAAGGGCATCCATGTTGGGCCCAGTGCTGGAAAAGGGGCATTTTCTCCGTAGGAGACGGTAATTGCTGCCGCCTTTTCTACCTAAGAGAGGCTCTGACAGTTTTTACACTGCCAGAAAGGGGCAGACATATTAGCACAAAACAAAAAGGGGATTTTTAGCCCAGCACCTGTACCGTGGAACATGGAAGGGAAGAGGAGGCAAGTACAGCAGTCCTGGGTCTACATTCACAAATCAGCATACTGATAGCTTGCTGGATAGGATATCAAGACATAAAAATTGACACACACGGTCTCTCTTTCTCTCTCTCATGGAGGTGCTGCCCATTAAATGTCGGCTTAAAAATGAGTCAGTCCATACTGCCTTACCCTCTAAAGCAAGTATTATTCTGAGAAGCATGAAACTGGAATGAGCAAAGATGCATATTATACTAAGGGGAAAAAGACAAGAAGGCAAATTTCACAATGTGCCTAGAGTCAATGCAGCCCCTGCCCCTGTGACGCAGCAGGGTCAGACCACCAGAGAAGGAAGCCCCAGCTAACCTGGGGAGAAGGGTGCCCATACCGCAGTGCACCTTCCAGGCCTCCCTCAAGTTACAAGGAGTTGCCAGGGAGCTGTTCATTCTACACACACCCCACAGTTCTTCAGGTTTTCCTTTCCACAGTAAAACACAGGAAACTACCTTTATGCCTGAGACACTATGACAATAATCTCAATGAAGAAGTCTCCCCAAAATAAAATATAAAACAAAAGCTAAAAGCCATTAAAGAACTACATTTTCCATGGCTCAGGGATACCTATGCTTCCCAGTAACACCTTGGAAAGACGCTTCACCTTGACTAACCTTGAAGTGTGATGCATTATTAACCCTTTAATTTTCAATCAAGAGAGACTCACAGGCTGCATTTTTTTTTCTTTACAAAAATTCATATATTCCAGCTTCTTCCATTTCAAAATGTCAGCTAAGCACTATTTCCCTGACTCATTCTCCTGCCGATTCCCACAGATCCTCCCAAGCAGGAACACCAATCGGCCTCTGTTCAGGACTCCCTGAATGACTGCAGTGGTGGTGCCAGTGGTGTTGGTGGTGATGGTCATGATGATGATGATGATGATGATGATGTTGGAGGAGGAGGGGGCAGTGATGCAGCAGGGGGAGTTCCCTCCCTCCTTCCCTCACGCAGTCACGACTCATAGATTCGCCTACAACTCTGCCCTTCAAAATGACCTTTTTTTTAAAAAAAAAAAAGTCACCTTTCCGGAGAGGCTGAAAACAAGAAATCTAATTTTCGATGGAAAAAAGTCTATCCAACCAAGCAACAGGCTGCACAAAATATTTTAAGATCAGCTGCTCTGCGTTTATATTCCCTTCACCATAATCAACCCAACCTACTGACTGATCCACAACTGTCTGTGTAGACCTTGAAAACAACCAGACTTTGCCAGGTTTCGGGCCAAAGCTAAGAATCGGAGTCCTGAAATGGAGCTTATTGAACCATTTCTGGGTGGTGATGACTCCAGGGGAGGTCATGGAGGGAAATCCTTAGCCATCGCTGTGAAATACTACAGTGTGGATGGATTCCTCTCCACCCTTCTCTTTCCTCTCTTTTGAGATACGTATTTAGACTAGAAGAAAGATGCTGTAACACACAACCTCGTCTGCATTAGATCCCATCACCTCACGAGGTTCTCTCAAGACCCCAGATCTCATTTTTTTTTTAAGGACTCAGGACACGGGAGAGACAAATGTAGTCTCGCAGAGCCTGACTATTCCCAGGAGTAAAAGGCTCAACCGATGCACGGTAGGAAAGACTGCAAATTACCAAGCCAAGATCGCTACGATATGCATAACCTTCCGCCTGTCGTGTTCCAGCCCCGACCCTGCGCCCCACTCTGGGGACACCGCATTCCGCACAGGACTGCAAGCCCAGGCCGGCGCGACCCAGCAGCGTCCACCACCCTCGCCCCCGCCACCCCGGCCAGCGCGGTGGGTGCGGAACCGGCCGCGGACCCTGCGCAGGGGATGCGCCGCCCGGGAAAGATCAGACGCGGCGGCCGGGAGCTGCGGACCCCGTACTTACACCAACTGCCACCGGTCCTGCCCAGAAACTCCTTCTTCTCTGAGTTCCAGATGAATTTCTTCCAGCTGCCCTCCTCCTTGGCTTTCCCGCGGGCCATGGCGATGGCGGGTCAGCAGCTGCCGCGGTCCGGAGGGTGGGTGGCTGCGGCGCGCGCCCTGGCGTCCTCTGCGCCGCTCGGCTTCTCCGGCCTGGCTCTCTGCAGGCAGGACGCGCCGCTGCCGCTGCGGCTCTCGGAGTGCGAGACGCGCGGCGGAGGAGCCAAGGCAGGAGCAGGAGGAGGGGGAGGCGGCGGCGGCGGCGGCGGCGGGGCGGGGGCGGAGGGAGGGACGGCGCAGGCTGCGCGGCTCCGAGCCCCGCACCTATTGGTGGGCGCGCAGCCGCTCGCGGGCTTTCTTTGGTCCGCCGAGCGCTCCTCTAGCCCTTGGGGGGTCGGGGGCTCCGCGAACCCGTAGCTGCCGCTCCCGCTGCCACTGGGGACGTGTGCTGGGCCCCCGCCTCCCCTGACCTCTGCAGAGACAGGCCCGGGGTAGGAGAGTCAGAGAGGGAAGGACGGACAAGCGGACTGCGGGGCGCCACCGGCACTCCCGCCAGGAGCCGAGGAATTGGCTGCGCCCGCCCTACCTTTACTATATACCGCGCCCCGGCGGCCGTGCGCCCCGCCCTCTAGCGGCCCGGTGGCCAATCGCCGGCGCCAGGGGCAGGGACTCGGCCCGAGAGGGCGGGTTCGGGGCCGGCACAAAGGAGCCGCCGGGGCTAGAGGGGCCGCTTGGATCGCTGGGCGCGGGGCGTTGGGCGCGGGGCGAGGAGGAGGCGGGGGCGGCGGTGAGGGACGCGCAGGCAGCGCCGCGCAGCCCCCTCCCAGCTCCCGGCTGGGCGTGAACCGCCCCTTCCGTGGCTGGGGGATCCGCACCTGGGTCGCCCGGAGCCTCGAGGACCCCAGCCCGGCAGTCCTGGCCCAGCCTCCACGCCTCTGCCTGCCCGCCCGCGCTTTCGGCCTCCCTGGGCTGTGGGTCCACCCCTCCTGGGCGCTGGCGGGGTGGGGGAAGGTCACTCCGGGACGCCGGACTGGCGAGGACTCTGCCCAGCTCCGCCCCGCCTCCCGCTCCTGCACCTGCCGCCCCCTCGCACTCCCCGCCACTGCGGTTGCAGTTCCGGCCCTTCCCTCTTCTTTGCAGGCCAGCCCAGCCGGCAGCCCCGGTTCCTGACTGCCCGGCTGTGCCCCTTGTGGGCGGCCTGAACCACCTCGAGCAGGACAATTGCCAAACCCACCCAGGGCGGTAGCCCGCAGTGAGTTGTCCCGTAGAAACCAATTGAGACTCAGGCCAGTCTAGACCCCAGGCAACAATATCTGCACGTGACCCAGCCACCGAGGACTTTCTTGGTGCCCGGTCGGCGGCGGGTATTCTCATTGGCATGCTTTTATGCCCCCTTGGGGGTATCGATCCCTTTGTTCTGCTGTAAAATTCTTGGAGCCAAAGGACCTTTGGGAAAACCTAGCGCATAGGGCAAGATGTTGCAGACCTGGGGCATAGAGTACCCCTTCCCACTCTTTGTCCGCTGTTGCTGGAAAGCCAAACTCTTGGTTTCATCCCTCTCCTATGAGCCCCCAAGCAGCTTTATACATCCCTCTGAGGACAGTGACACAGCAGAAAACACCGGGATGCTTCTGCTTCCACTGCAGAGAAGCCCTATCCCCAGGGGCCATCATGGCCCATCTTGACGTCCCAGCCCCATATCAGAGAATTCCCCAATACCAGGATGCTTGTCCTTATCCTGGCCACCCTTCTGTCCCCAAGGTCAACCTCGCTGGCATAAAGACAAGCCCGAACTGATTAAGAATGAGCATTTTTCTAATCCTTCTCCAAGCTCGCCTGCAGGACCTGTGCAAACCTAAACATTCCTGAAATTCGGGGGAGAAGCGACCACCTATCCACCAAGCCCCAGTGGGGGAGGCTGCAGGGCTCTGTCAAGGGCATCCGAGAGAGAGAACAGCTTATTGAGAAAGGAAGCCACCTCTCGTTTAGCACCTGTAATGTTTATGTTGGAAAAACCCCAGCTTGGTAGTATGAGAGCTGCAGGAAGATGCTGCACTTGCGGGTATGATGACCCTGGTCCCCTTCAGGCAGAAGTTACCTTATCGAGTAGTTTTCCAGCAGGACAGGTTGCTGGGAAGGGTATGTGTTGTTGAGTGTCCATTACTGTAACAGGAGGGAAAACCTGTAGGCAGAATCAGCAAAAAGAGATGAGTGGGGAAAGGGTAGCATGGGAAGGGATGAGGCGGTTCTGGGAGTTGGTGGTGCCCTTACTTGTGCCCACTCCGTTCCTGTACCTTGATTCCCAACCCCCCTTCCAAAAGAAGCATATGGTAAGACAAAATATATAAAGAGAGTCTCCAGTGACAGATTTTCTTTTTTCCTAAAACAAGTGTCCTACCTTAGCTCTTCAGAGGTGTAGCAAACACCCAGTAGACTGATGCTTGGTCTCTAGTCTTTGATTTACTGTCTTCCACTGGGGAATATCTTCCCCTCTCAAATTTTAGGTCCCTAGCTCTACTCATCCCCCCTTCCCTGCATGGAAACTCTTCACAGGTTCAGATGAAGTCCTGAGGGTCACGTCTGCACAGCCAATGCAGCAGCTCATCCTAAGCCAGCCTCCTCCAGCCTTCCTGAAAACCTCCAGGTTTCCACCCAGTCCTGGGATTGCTGCTGGAAAACATGATCTCAGCCCTATAGGAACCAGATTTATCTCAGTAGCTCATCTCAGACTCCACTTGCCCCGCCACTCTAGACCATCTGGAATTGTACCACTCATCTAACCACTTCATCACACAGAACAAGCTGGTAAAGACCTACATTCACCTTCCCAGCTTCAGAACATGCATGCTAGCTGGGTGACCTTGGGCAAGTCACTTGTTCTCTCCAGGGCTGTTCCCTCAGTCATAAAATTGAAGTGATACATTATTGCAAGGATAAAAGGAGCGATATGGGAAAGTGTTAAGCACAGTGCCTGAGGCATGGCAAGAGCTAAGTAGCTAGCTTAATTATAATCAGCTGTTTCCATTTGACCTTGGCTAACCTTGGGGCTGTTGCTATGACTTTGTCACCTTCCCACTCTGATACCCACCCCATACCAGGACTCTGAGTTCCCATCAGCCCCTAGAAGGTCACCCTGACGCATTCCCCACCCTCTCTGCCACCTTTCCCCTTGCTTTCCAGTGCGCTTCCTGCTGTGTGACCTCCTCCAACTCAAGTAATGAATAACTCAAGTACTTTATGTCCCGTTGGGCTGTGCTGAGCTGGGCTTTTGTTCCAAGGCCCCTTCTGTGAAGGGTGCTGTAGCAGCAGGTTGAAAGCCGAACATGTGTGGTTCTCCAAAGGGAGGGGTGCCCCGGCAGGTGGAGTGTGTGGCTGGGCGTGGAAGAGGGTGTGGACCATGGGGAACTAAGACAACTTTTCAGTCAATGCGTATGGAAACCCAGTGTTTCTCTGCAGAAAGGAGAAAGAAATTATTCAGTTCAGTTTAAAGGCTCAGGAGGAAGAGAACAATTTTTAATCCCTTTTTTCAGTGCAGGCTGGGGAAGAGGCATGGTTCTGGAGTCCTGTGATTGGTTCTGCCCAAGGTTAGTGCTCTGTGGGTGGATGAGGGGAAGCGGAGAGCAGGAATGGCAGGAGAGCGGTGAGAGACCTCCGTCCCAGTGAGGATGACATGTTCTAACTCAGGAAATGAATAGATGCTCTTGCGATTGAAGAAAAATCTACGCTGGAGGCAGACAGGCTGGCAGGTAAAAGCAGGACAGAGCAGTCCTGTTTGTAGCAAGGTGGCCAGTCAGAAGCTGGGCTGGGAGAAGAGGCAGGACAAATCAACCCCTAGCAGTAAGATCCTTCTGTTCAGAGAAGCTAAAGTGAGGGGTGCCTGCAAAAGAGAGGGCGCAACTTGGCAGGCTGCATGAGGTCGAACCAGATTTGAAAAACAGACCTTCCCCTCTCTGCCCCTCCCCAAATATTGGCTCTCTGAATCTCTCTGCCAAACACAATGCAGACTGCTCTTCAGAGGGCTCCGCAGGGCTGAGCTGCCAATCCCACCTTCACACACGTGCTCACTCACAGTGGGGTTCTGTTTGGCCAGCCCTAGAGTATTTTAAGTACAGCGTGGAGGGGATGAGGGTATGTGTTGCATGGTGACTCATCCTGGCAGCAGAAACTATGTGCAGTGCAGAGAAAAATGGCTCAATGGCAGGCTCTGTTTGCAGTGGAATGCACAGCTCTGCAATGGAAGACAAAGAGGGCTGGGAGAGGACGAGCTCTGGGAAATGCTGCTGGACTTGCCACCTTGGCCAGGACATGCATAGATACCTGGGTTGCACCTAACATGGGGCTGGGCTGAGTGCCTTACCATCACAGAAGGATGCCGGATTGCTCCGGGGCTTCATTCTGTGCTGCACAATGGACCTGGCCTGTTTGACAGAAAACCAAATCATTCTCCAAAATGGTTCTGGTTTCTAACAATAATTTAGCACTGCTGCAGTTTAAACCCTATCCGTTCACTTCTTTCATCTGAAGGCATTCTGTTCTGGCACTTTCCTATTTTACTGGATCTGGAATCGAATCCTTGTGTGAGGACATAGTATGGAAATAACAAAAAAAGGACTTTTTTTTTTTTTTGCTAGGGATGTTGGTAAGCGGACCATTCGTGTCATCAGTGGGAGTGGTAGGTTACCCGCTCAACACCTTGGCTCCCAGGCCTTGACTAGCAGACTCCCAGAAGTTGTTTTCTGCTGTGCTGTTTCCTGTTTCCTGAGAGGACGTCCAGAAAGCATCCCTGATATAGTGAGAATACTGGGATTTCTCTCCACCTGCCATGTCCTTTGCCAAATTATTAAACGTGGATAGTGGAGGTGACCAAGGCAGGCACAGAAAAGAAGACACACAGAGAATGATTTTTGTTTGGTTTGTTCTAGCAGGACCGCAGAGGTGTCCGGTCTTTGCAATAATCTGAACTTACTTGCATGATTGGTAGGTGGTAGGCCTGAAGGCCCATGGATAAGTGGTGCTAAACCATTGTTAGAGCTTTCAGACTTAGCTTGCCTGCTTTTTTGTACTCCCCCAGTGGGGGGTAAATTAGTTGAATTTGGTTTTTATCCTTGGAAAATTGGCACCAACCGGCACCTCCTCTAAGCTTCAAAAAATAAAGTTCCTTTCCAGAATTTTCCATCTGCTTAAAAGGCAATGAGCAGACACCCTTCTGAGAGGCTAATCTCAATAAGAGGAGGTCCCACGACATCATTCCCCTGACAGAGGCATTGTCTCAACAGCCCCAGAGACAAATGTAGATGAGAGAGGATCTGAGGTATTTCATGACTCCTCTCTTGCTGGACCACTTGGAGTCTTCTAGAGATAAGGAGGAATATCTATTTTACGGTCTGCTTGATCTTCAGCTTCTTTCAGCAGCGTTTGTTTAGAGCCTAGAGGTAATATACATAGTCATTGTAGATAAACTCATTGTGTATTAACACTGAAGATAATATCAGATATTCTCTAGTACAAACTCCCCTCTCCTGGGACAAGGTAGCTGGTCAATTGGCCTCTTGTTGAACACCTCCAGAGGCTGTATACTCCCTATCTTGCAGCTCTCATTCCATTGTGGGGAAACTCTGGGCTAAATCCTAGCTCCTTATAACTTCTGTCCAATCCTAGTTCTTGCCTTTAGAGGAACAAAATGCAACCCTGGTGTATCTTCCACGTGGCAGCTCTACATATATTAGAAACATCCTTTGTCTCCCTAATTTTCACTTTTTCGAGTAAAAAATCTCGTATTTCTTCAGTACTTGTGTGAGAAACTTTCCAACCCTCTCATTATACTTGCTGCCTTCATCTGCATGATTTCTCATTGGCTCATGTCCCTTTAAAGCAGGTACTCTGGTTCTGAGGAGATCAGAGTTCAGTGGAGCTAATATTTGTGTATGATCTGGACATTATCATCTTGCCAACTACTGTTATCACAAAGCTACGCCTTCATGGCTTTTTTGAGCCAACGCCCCTCTAACACTGATGCCAAGTAAGTGTTTTAGAAAAATCTCTTGTACTTGCAAAAAACAGAGATAACCCCCCTCCCTCAAAATCTAACACAAGTGAAATGGATACCTATGAAGCAATAAGGCCAGGGGGCCATCCATCCCTGATCTCTAGGACAAGGTACTGTAAATGCTGTCCTCACGAGGACTGTCCTGGGATGGTGCTGGGCCAGGGTCCAGAGAGCTTGGTTCTGGCTCTTCTAGCATTTACCCACTGAAATGACTCAACTGAACTCTAAATGCTGCTTCTTCCTTCTAACCAACCCTGACTTTCTCTGCTTCTTCAGCTCTCCCAGTGCCCAACTTTGTTTTCCATGCAGGTCAATTGGCAGAGGTTCTTGTGGTCCTGCCTTTCTCATGATCCTGCAGCTGCAGTTCCCATGGCTAACTGGCAAAGCTTACCTTGCTTCTAGTCTGGATTCCAGGCAAAGGGAATCGGATTGGCACAGTTCACATTTTCCAGCCAGGTCACAGGTTGCTGGGAAACCTAAGCCTGGACTGCCTTGGTGTAGGTTCCTCCCTGTGATGTGGTCAAGATACAGAGGAGGGAGTCATGCAGGATTAAATGGCTGCTTAGCTGTTGCCTGGTGTAATGCAGACAGGCACTTTCAGATAAGCAGGATGACAGGTAGGTGAACAAACACACAGAATAAAAAACCTTTTATACCCCATAAAATATACCAACTTTTCTTATTTCTGGGGTGCTGTACCTTTCTACATCTTTCTAGAAATATTGTGTTTAGTTCGTAGGGATCAAAACAAAGGGAAGAAATGAAAAAAGACTGTTTTGCATTTATTTTACTTTTGGGAGGAGCTGGGAGGCAGGAAAATGTAAAATAATTTGCATAAACTAACTTACAACTTAATTTATACTCATCTCTGTACTTAGTAATGAGGAGGTTTTATGATCTGAAGGAGCAAATCCTTTAGGCAAACCAGCTGTTTGCAGTATCTGTATTCTGGCTAGCTAACAGCATGTTTTTTGATGAATAAATGATAACATTCAGTCTTTCATATGTATCATGCACATGTCATTGCACCCAATCATCCCAGCAGAAGGCACACTCATTTTACTAAGACATTACTGAAATGCATCCTGCATACCTGATGGGCCTCCTGTCCAGTTACATAGCATGACACGTCCCACTGTGGAATTTAACTTCTTAGTTCTAAAAGTCGTTGCTATAACTTTCCTTACAGTGATACCACCAAGGACACTGCCCACATAAATAAGTGCAATAATGAAAAGACCAGTATGATTGAGCCCTGGCTTCTCTAAGAGTTCTTGTTCCATTTAAACCTACTGTCATCATCTTAGAAGCCACACTGATAACTGCATTTATCAGACACTTACTGGAAGCCAGACACCACGCCAAGTATTTAATGTGGATTACCTTCCCTCCTCCCCTGTTTTCTGCTTTATATTACCTTTCTTACAACGTAATGAGGTAGGTCCTATTAGTATCATCTTCATTTTACAAATGAAGCAGCCAAGTCTTTTATAGACTAAGGCTAGCAAGAAGGAAGGCCACCTTCAAACCCAGGCAGTCTAGCTCCAGAGACCAGGCTCAGATCCACTAGGTATAACTGCCGCTTCAGGAGGAAAATGTATACCCACAGAAAGTGCAAGCATAGCTTATGGCACCAAATGGGTGCTGTCATGTAAAGGCTGGTTTATTTTTTATGGTAAAAATCTCTCCAAGATCATGTAAATCTTCATGGAGGTCACTATTTAAAGAAGCATTTTTTTGGATTCATGCACTCATCCATCAATCATTCATCGATGGCCTACTGTGTGTATAGTATTATATTAGAAACTGCGGGGGTAACAAAGAACATGACATCTGAGATGTAGTCTGGACATTTTAGCAGCAAACATTCTGGTTTGGGAGCAAAATACACAGAAATGAGTGAACAACAATGCAAGGTGCTAAATGATTGTGTTTCACAATGAATATCACAAACGAGATACAATGGGAATTTAGAGAAGAGATACCCTTTGTGCAAGAGGTAAATCCTGTACAGAAATATTGATGGTGCCTGAGATAATACCAGGCAGGAAGGAACATTTGTTTGCTAATTCACTGCATATTGATGGACCTCACAGTGTGCTTGTCACTGGAGAGTCAAGACAGTCAAGCAGTTTATTCTGTCATGTGGGGACAGCCTGAAATTTGCTTAGGATGCTAGGAGAGCACACAGGACTTATTCCTCCTGAGAGTTGATATGACTTCTGAAAGATGGGGACATTTGGACAAGGAAGAATTAGCCTGTGTGAGGAAGTGAGAGGAAAGGCGTGGGCAGAGGGGAAGCATGTGCAAATGCACAGAAACAGGATACATTTCATTAGGGTAGAATGAGAGAACTCCTTTGATTGGGACAAAGGGGGTTTGTTTTTGCTGTTGTTTTGTTGTTTTTGAGACAGGGTCTCTATTTCCCAGGCTGGAGTATAGTAGTGTGATCATGGATCACTGCAGCCTCAACCTCCTGGGCTCAAGTGATCCTCCCAGCTCAGCCTCTAGAGTAGCTGGGACCACAGGAACATGCCACCACACCCAGCCAATTTTTTTTATTTTTTGTGGAGATGAGGTCTCACTGTTTTCCCCAGGTTGGTCTCAAATTCCTGGGCTCAACTGATGCTCCCACCTCAGCCTCCCAAAGTGGCGGGATTATAGGCGTGAACAACTGCACCAGGCCTAGTTTATTTTTTTTTTAACAGGGAAAAGATAAGACTTATAAGTGCAGGGTCAAGACTGCCCTTTTATTTTCTCTTCCTTCCTTTCTTTTCTTTTTTAAATGTTTACCTGGGAGCATAGATTCAAGCTGCCCTGAGTATACACTCCCTAAACTGACCTTTTTTTTTTTTTTTAATTATACTCAAGTTCTGGGATACATGCGCAGAACATGCAGGTTTGTTACACAGGTATACATGTGCCATGGTGGTTTGTTGCACCCACCAACCCGTCATCTTCATTAGGTATTTTTCCTAATGCTATCCCTCCCCTAGCCCCCCACCCCTGGCCAGGCCCCAGTGTGTGATGTTCCCCTCCCTGTGCCCATATGTTCTTATTGTTCAACTCCCATTTATGAGTGAGAACATGCAGTGTTTGGTTTTCTGTTCCTGTGTTAGTTTGCTGAAAATGAATGTTTCCAGCTTCATTCATGTCCCTGCAAAGGACATGAACTTATTCTTTTTTATGGCTGCATAGTATTCCATGGTGTATATGTGCCACATTTTATTTATCCATAGACAGTCCTTTCTAAAAGAAGAACTGGAGTGAAGCAGATCCAAGTTCATCAGGGAACTGTGACTTCATGCCTATCACTCCCCCATTCATAAGGGGTAGGAAGGAGAGATGCAAGTTCCTCTAGCATAGGAAATCAGGTTCCCTCCTCACTGTTTCTCCACTGCTGCCCTCCTGGGTTGAAGTGGGTGACGCTCAGCTCTATGCCACGATGGCCAATGGAAAAGTCAAGTGTAACTGTAAAACACCATTGTCCTAAAAGACAGCAATCTTCCTCCTTTTGCTTCTCCCATGGCTTCTGCATAATGTTTGCTTAAGGAAACTTGGACATGTTCAGAAAATGGCCTTTCACCTACAGGACAATATTTCAAATGAAGTTAGAATTAGACTCAAGGAAACCAGGCAGTGGTCTCATAGGATATTTGAAACATATCAAGACTCCCATTTTCTTAGCTTTCATGCACATCTAGATGTGAAATGGAAGTGTTGTTACTTGGAGGTGAGAACAATGTTGTTCTCACCTCCAAAACACAGGGCTTCCCCTCTGCCTGCCATGCCCTTCCCCTCAGTCCTCACACAGGCCTACTCTTCCTACCCCTTATGGGAAAAAAGTGCAGTTACTTGGAAATGATTATTCTCGCCTCCAGGACACAGAATACAGGTATTGTTCTCAGCACCAAACGCAGCTTCCTTCTCTGCCATGGGTGGAAGAAAAGATGCTTCTACCCCTTCCTCCAATTTGAAATTGAGCACTTTACTCCCCAATGTCAACCTTTTACAATTTATTTTTTTTTGGTTCTGTGAACCTCCCAGCACTATAGTTTAACTGTGCATTAATTAAATATCTTTTGGGAGTGTGCTTGCAAAGCTAACCTTCATGTATGTTATCGACCTATAGAAAAATCTGTTGCAAGTTCCAAACAGGTACCATATGGATTTTTAAAATGTAACCTGTTGGTGAGATGCAAACACTTCATCCTAATAATAATTTCCCTTCATTGGCAGATTGGTGCAGGGGTTGGGTGAAACTGAGCATGCCAAGTCGTAGAAACTATCAGATTTGTATGAGAACTTAGAGGCGATTTTTCATATGACAAAGTGAAAACTTAGAGTGGAAAAATAGCTGGTGAGCTTGGGGCAGGGCTGGTCTCTGACTGAGACCTCTTTCTTCCATTCCATGTTCATTTTCCATCTCACGATTCTGCTTGGGTTAAACCACACAGCCACACATGAAGGCGGAGAATATCATTGCCTACATTTGAGGGACTCCAAGGAAAAACTTCACTGTGATCCTCCGTCAAAAAAGAAAAAGAGAAAAAAAAAATCCCCATGATAGCTTTATCAGTTAGGGTTAGGTTTGGCTGTAACAGAAACCCAAAATAACAGCAGCTTCAACATCATGGGATTCTATTTCCCTGTGACTTACAAGACCAGAGGTAGGTAGTCCAGGACTGGGATGATGGCTTTATTCCAGTAAGTCCTCAGGGAGCCAGGCCCCTTCCAGCTCATCTTTTTACATCCCTTCTACATGGTCCTTGCATTCATGGACACCAGTCATCACATCCAGGGTGGAGGAGGGGAAAAACAGAAGTGCCAACCACCCTTCAAGGCAACATCCATCCTAGATGTCCTGCACGTCTGCTCCTACATCATTGGTCAGAACTTGGCCTCAGGACAACACTTAGCCATATGGGATGCTCGGAAATACAGTCTTTGCTCAGGGTACTTGTCCCCTGTTAAAAATTAGAGGTTCTGTCACTGCTTATGCCACAGTGATGCAGAGAAACTTGGCACATATGGATGTGCTCTTTTGTGTTAGTATTGTCAAAGCCTTTTTCCAAGACGAATCCTAGGAGGGGGCCCATTGTCTCATATTTTATTCTCCAATGAGAAGATCAAATCGCTTTCTTTTGTGGTAAGAAAGACAAGCCATTCGAAGAGCAAACCATTAGAAGAGTTCAGGCCACTGGGGTCGGGAGACATGGCTGTGGAAATGACAGGGGCATAGAGCTGGAGAAAAATCTTAAAAAGAGTGCACAGAAACAGATGCATGCCTTGCCATGGCACAGTCTGTGACGTTGCCCAGTTGGCAAGGGCTGGTTCTGTTAATATTCTGCCCACCCACCACCCTTCTCTACTTCCTGTTGCAATCATGGCTGCAATATCTGTCAGCCTCTTTGGGGGCTTGTGGGATTTAGACAGCTATTGTCCATTCTTAGTACAAGTTGCAGCCGGGAAGGGTGTGGTTACTCAGCCCCAGCATGCCAGCTGGGTGCCAGTTTCAGCATGTTAACTGACAGTAGGGCTTAGTGCAGTTCCCATTTAGGTGTAAACTAATAGCTACTTTCAGCAGATCACTAGTCCTTCAATTTCACTAGCCTTCCAGAAGGATGGAATATCACAGCGACACTTGGAAGCTTGTATAAGAGTTGACCAGCACTGGACTACATATTATTGAGGACACTAGGTTGCTTCTCCGACTCTGTAAACTCCCCATGGCCACAAGACCTTTGCACATGCTATTTCCTCTGTGTCTGGAATGTTTATCTTTCCCCTCTTGGCAAGATAACACTCTGGAGTCTTTAGGGGAGACTTCCTTGACTTCTAAGAAAAAAAATGCCTTAGCCACAGGTTTTCCTATCATTGTATAACTCTTCCTTGTGCCATTTGTCACAGATAATAATTTTTCATTCATGTGATTATTTGCTGAGACTTTAATTTTATGAGCACTAGCTTTTGCCACCTTGACATCCCCTGTGTCTAGCACAGTGATGGGTACATAGTATGCACTCAGTGAATTTAGGTGAATCTATGAAGTCGCTGCACCTGCACATTTGTCTCCAACCCTAATGCAACTATAGGGTTTATCAATATATTGACGTGAACTGTCTATATCAGATTTACCTGCTTAGCTCCATTAACATGCAGATTCCTGGACTTTATCCGAACCCTATTGAATTAAGGTATCTGAGGAGGTACCTGGGATCCTCATGTGAATAAGCTTCCCAGGTAATTTGCACACACCACAGTATTTGAGAAGCCCATTGCAGTTGGGAAGACAGTACAGTATAGGTATTATTAAGAGGCCCATGCTGCACACAGGAATGAGCCTTCAGGATAAGACTGTTGTATTTAAGAGCTACCTCAGTCTACTTACATTTAGAGAGAAGAAACTTATAAAACAACTTTCTCTTTGAGATCTGAAAATGCCAAGGAAAATTTGGAGACAGCTGTTAATTGAGCTTAGGGAGTCCAGATTATGTGGAATGAAACAATGTGTGTTCACGGTAGCACCTGTGCACAGACAATTTCAAAGAAATAAAGCAAGACTTGATTGTCACCCGGTAGCTCACTGTCTGCCCTCCCCCCAACCAACCTCCTCTCTTAGGTAGAGTAGCGACAGGAAATCCTTGTTGAGGGGCTTCTGAAGCAAAACCTAAGTCCTCCACAGAACCTTAAGTCTGATTTCCAGCCTCCAAATTTAATCACACATATGGTCACCTATTAAAGTGAGCTCATGCACTTTAATCCTTGTTTTCTTTAAAATTAAAATAATTGGAGTATAATTGTTCTGAAGTTAAAAATCCACATGACCAACCACAATGAGTGAGGTCTAAACATACAATTTAACAACAAATGGTGTGAAAGTCCTTTAAAACAAGAGTTACACTGAACATTTTGGTCTTTCTTTCTTTCTGCCCACCCGGTTGCTTTTTAAACTCAACACCAAAGGCCTCTTCTTCCTCTTCTATAATTCTTTCCTTCTCTGCCTCATCTTGAGGGCAGCTTCCTATCTTTCTTTAAGGATCATAGATTCTTTACGTTCCAAGGATTTTGTCCTTTCTCCCATTGCCCTGGCTTTTACCTCCTCTTTTTAGTATTTTAACAAGGTTTTGAATAATCACTGTCATTTCTCTTTTAAAAACAATTCATTATGCTATCTTGCCAAATATCCAACTCTTATATATTAATAGCTCCACTAAAAAGAAAACAGAATGAGCTGATGTATGAATTAGGGTTATGAATAAAGATTAAAAATTCAAACCATGAAGTATTCAAAACATAAGAAAATATCCCTAAGAAGGACTCAAGCACAGTACCCAGAGAACAACTAAGAAGAAGGGCTATATTCAAACTGTGAACTCCTTAAAAAAAGAGACGAAGTATTATTTTACTTGTGAATTATCCAGTTTCCAGCACAGTGCCTGGAACATAAAAGTTTCAAGAAATATATGTTGAATAAATCATTGAAGGAGGAATCTCCAGTTTTAACCAGGGGACTTGCTAGTTTAATGTAAGGTTGATATTCAAAGTAAACCTCTTCTGAACCCCAAAAGTTTATTGCAACCTAGCAGTAACTTACCTGGCCAGATGGTTTAGAAAGTGGGTTGTTGGCAAGAGGTATAAACTGTTCCCTTCTTGAAATCTGTGATCCTCCCATCACAGCACTTGAGACCTTACACTTCAAGGTCCTCAACTTTTCAGGGATGTTTCTGGGTTATGGTAGTAAAAAAAGAAATTTTTTGATGACAAAATATAGAGGATTTTATCTAAGAGCCCCTTTGTAGACTTAGCCAGATATATTTAATTGTGGTGCTGTGGAAAGTGCATGGGTTTCCAAGACACAGCCATCTGAAGCTGTGAAAGTTACCTAACTATATGAGGCTCCACGTTCTCATCTTGGAAACGGAAATAACGCCATCTATATTTTATTTTCATTGTGGGAACTTGAGAGAATTAAGGCCTTAAGACCTAATAGAAATCAATACATGATAGCTTTTCTCTTTTGAATTTAAGCTGAATAGTGAGTGATATTTTTGTCTGTTTCATCATGGCTAGCTTCCAGTGCCTGACACAGAATAAGTACTTACAATATTTGTTAAATAAATTACATTTTTGTTTAGTTACCAAGTCACAGACTGGAGATGCATCCTTGTATTTTGAATATTCTAAAATAGTAGAATGTCTGGTGTTCCTATTAGCATCTGGCTTTAAGATGTTGTATCTATGCCAGTGGCAGCTGTGTGCGTTCCCTACATCACATGGGGCAGTAGTACATGCAGTGTCTAAGTGGGTCTTACAGTGTGGTCCCCAGACCAGCAGCATCAGCATGACCTGGGAACTTAGCAGAAATGTAAATTCTCTGGCCCCATTCTAGAACTACTGAGTGAAAAATTCTAGGGGTGGAGGTCGGTTGATTCTGATGTGCACCAGTGTTTGAGAACCAGAACTACAGGTATATATAAAACTCCCCAGTGCTGTAATTAGACATGATATGAGCACTGGATGCCAGAGAATTGATGACTTGCACTGAGAAAACATAATCACTGAGGATTTTAGAATATGATGCTTCCAGAGCTAACATACTCCTGGTAGAGGATTTTCAGGAACCTGACAGATTCTGAGTTCAAATGCTTCTTCATTGAACTGGCCTCATGATATGATCTATAGACATGTGCCAGAAGCATTACCTAAACTGCTGTTTTTACTACGGTGCCCCTTCCACCCAGCTATAGCAAAGTGGACTGGAGTGAGCACTGACTCAAGGGAAGCTCCATCTATAAGCTAGCCCTCAATTCTTGTGTCAGGCAAGATGTAAGCCAAGCTGCTGTAATAGAGACCTAAAAATACAGGGAATCAAAGAAAATAGCAGTTATTTCTTTCTTTTGTAACAGCCTGGTGGTGAATAATCCAGGCTGGAATGGTGACTCTGCTGTGTGGGTATTCAGAGAGCCTGCTCTCCTGTCTTGTTACTCTTGCATCCCCAGTGGTGGTGTCCTCCTTTGCTTGACTGAGCCTGAGTCAACATTGCATCTGCATTCTGTCTTACTGCAAGGAGAAAATCCAGGACAAGTGGCTTTGTCTTTAAGAAGACGATGCCAAATTTGTACATCTCACTTCCATTTATACCTCATTACTCACATAGTCATACCTTGCTGCAAGGCAGGCTGGGGACTGTAGTGTGCAACCGGCAGCCATGTGCCCGCATAAAGCACACAGGGTTCTATTACTAAGAAGAAAAGAAGAATGAACACTGGAAGACCACTAGCAGCTTCTGCCAGAGTTCTGAACATCTTCTCAGTTCCTCTTCTCACGGGGCCCTCTGTACCAAGCAGCCCTGTCCTTGGATTCCTGTGAGATTTCTGTATCCCGACATTAAAACCCTCTTTTCTAGAATTAGCCTGAATGGGAACCTGTTCTTCGTAACGAAATGCTGGGGATTAGAACGGTGTACCTCAAATCCCTCCTATCTTAGTAAAGGTTGAAATAAACAGAATTTTGATGGGTGGTAGGCTCAGAACAAGCACAGAATGAGAAGGATTGTGCAGTCCTGACTACAAGGATGGTCATAAGATGAGGCTGGCTGAGAATTTCCCCCACACGGCAGTTCTGAGCTGTCTTGAACACTCTGTAACCTCCATGAGAGCCCCAAGCCCAGGCCAGACAAAGCCATGCAGTGCGTTAACTTGTCTTTGGCAGCTTTCAACCTCTTTCTGCATTTTCAGCCAGTGAGATCCCTGCCATCAGAACTCCCATGTCCTGTGCTCATTCCCTCAAAATTCCGTGTTCTGTTGTGTGCACAGGCACTAGGGACTCCTTGGGGATCAGTGCCTTATTTAATGTGAAACTAGTAATGGGGAATTTTAGGTCCGTTTAGTTTATTAGGGGCTTTTGGTGTCCTGCAAATAGCACCCAGGCAGGGTCCTTTGGCCATGTTGCAGCAGCAGCTCTCTGTCTGCATTCCAGTATAATAGACTGTGAGAGAAATAACATCTCTCTTCTTCCTTTAGGTTCAATCTGTCATTTACAATTGCCAATTCTATTTCCTGGAAAAACAAAAACAAAAACAGGTAGAACTCTTAGGTCTCTTCTTTCTCCAGCCTTGTTTATCTCCCTTCCTCTTTTTAAGTTGACCGTTTTGATTCTGCTGTTCAAATGCCTGGATCAGATCAAATGCCAGGATTGCTCACGGTACATTCAGTGAGGGATTATAATAAACTAAGGGGAACCAGGAGAAACCCACAATGATGGCATTTAGCACATTCAAAGTTGAAAATAAAGTCAACGTTTATCCTTAATCAGCTCAGTCTTGATCTTACTCATCCTGGGTTTCTTGACTCTGTCTCTGGTTAGTTTGCTCTTCCATGGGCTGTATCTTGGTACTCCACAATTTTCAGTGAAATACATTACAGCCCCATGACATTCTGTTTACAGTAGGTCTTATAGAAGGAAGGTAAGAAGGTGGGGGGAGGGAGTGAGCACATTACCAGGTGAATGGTCGCTGTGTGCCAGCCACAGCTAGATGCTTTTAATCCTCAAAACAAAATGAAACAAAACTGGAGAGGAATTAATATTGCAATTTATGGGAAAATGGAAGACTATGCAATTTGCCCAAGTTACTAATACCTAATAAGTGGTACACTCAAAATCTAATCGAGGTTGTCTGACTTCTAAAGCCCGTGCTCCAAAATTGGCATCAACACATTTATGTAGAGTCTTTTACTAATGCCATTAATTGTTATACCTTGGAAAAAAGGGGAGGCATATAGCTTATTTAAAGCACATTCTTTATTAGTGAACCAAGGATGGAGAGGGGGATGGAGAACCACTGTGAATACATTCAGTAATTTATCAACAGGGGACTTTGTTTTGCCACAGCTTTATTGTTTGACTCCAGAAGAACCCATTGTCTATTCTGTGACTTAGTTTTACTATCAGATTAAAAAAAAAACAAAAAAAAAAACGAAAAACAATGTTCTCAGTGTTTGAAGAGCTTAGTAGAAATCTAGATTTTTATATGGTGTTTTGCCTAGATTTCCTTTTGATTTGTAGGATTTTTATATAAATTATTTATATAAAATAATAAAAATAATATAAATATATATTTATATTAATATATTATTATAAAATAATATAAATAATAATTATTTGTATGCTTATTTATGCAATCAGTTATAAACACCCCATACAGAGCAATTTCATTTTAATTTTTTTGTTTTGGAGCGCAGTGGTGCTATTTCAGCTCACTGCAACCTCCTCCTCCTGGGTTCAAGCAATTCTTGTGCCACAGCCTCCCAAGTAGCTGGGATTACAGGTGTCTGCCACCACACCATGCCGATTTTTGTATTTTTTGTAGAGACGGTGTTTTGCCATGTTGGCCAGGCTGGTCTCAAACTCCTGGCCTCAAGAGATCCGCCCACCTTGGCCTTCCAAAGTGCTGGCATTACAGGCATGAGCCATTGTGCCCGGCCCATTTCAGTTTCTGCTACAGCACTAAACTTACGTTTCTTAAAGGTAGGCCTTATGTCTTCATCAAGGAATCCTAAATTGTTAGACCTGAAAGGAACGTGAGAGATCATATTATGGCTGATGATATCTTTTTCTGTTTCCCTCACATGACCTGGCACCATACCTTGTATACAGTAGGGGGTTTAATAAATAGCAATTGTGTAAGTAGATAAATGCTTTGTACGCTTTGTAATTTGACCTCTCCCCCATATCGTCTATGAACAATGATACAGGAACAATTTGAATCTCTGAACACAATTATTATGTGTTTTATGCAATCATAACCACTCCTATAGGAGTTTGCTTGTTTTTGTAAGTGTTTTCCTCCTGAAATGACCTTTACTATCAGTTAGGTTTAGCTTAGAATATGAATTCCATGTATTCAAGTATTTTGTAGAAAAAATACCTCTGTCCTCTGTGATCATATTAGAGCTACCTGATGACAAAAACAGCATTTGGGTAACACCATGAAACTGCATCACTCACTGTACTTACTTCATCAGTATATCGTCTGTACCAAGCCTGGAAACCAGTTTACCTCTGCCCTGGCTTTAGGGCTGACTTCATCGGTGTGCAATCTATGCAGTTACACGGCGTCCTTAGCTTAGTGGAACCCCCTGCTTGGATTAATGCTCAGTTGTCACCTTTTTGAAATTCTTAATAAATTTTCTGGCAAGTGCCCTGCATTTTCATTTTGCACTGGACTCTGCAAATTATGTAGCAGGTCCCGACTCCCTGTCTGTGTTTGAGCATTTTCTCTCTCCCTTTCACATCCTCCAATCCGGCTTTCCAAAGGCAGAGACATCACATACACTCATCTTAGTGGGACCTGAAACATCTGCCAGGCCTTTAGAATAAACTAGTAAGTGAAGTATTCAAAATAAATGGATATTCATACATACTGGCAAACTAATGGAATGGAATGATCATGCATAAATCATTGACTGGTGCCAGCCACTGAGCTATGGGTTTATATACTAATTTTGTTTAACTGCCACCTCAAACCTGTGAGAGAGTGCTATTATTCTGATTTTACAAATGGGAGAAGGGAGGCTCAGGAAGGTCAGTAAGTGGCAGAGCTCACACACTGAGTTCTGATGTGTCTGAGTCCAAAGCCCATTCCCATTTCACTGCATTCCTAACTGAGGCCTGGAAAACTTACCCCTGAGATCACAGCATTGCCTGAGAGGAAAAAGGACTTTTCCTATGGTTTTCACACTTTCACTTTTTGCACTGGATCTTTCAGTTGTCTGGTTAACAACTAGGTTACGTCATTCTATATGGGGCTTTCAGATACAGAGCAACTTTCCCAGGACCACCCATTAAACTAGAAGTGAAGTGATATCGTTGTTCTCACTATGATGGTAGGGTGAAGGAAGCAGATTGGCCATGCCAAAACTGATGTCCTCTGAGATCCCGAGGCCCAAGCCAACATTTGACGGCATACCTCACTCAACAACACTTTTACCTGTGTAATAGAAAACAACAGCCATTTATAACTCGCTTATTCATTTTTTTTTTCCACAGGCCTCTGCGCAGCATCTGCTATGTGCAGGCACTGTGCTAGGCCCTGTGGAGACAATAATGAAAAAGATATAGCCCCTGCTTTTCAGATGGTCACAAATTGGCAGAAGGGTGCAAACTCATAACTCTCTTTATTCCAACATTTTGCCAGCTCTGGTTGTAAAGTTGAGGAGTTAGGAGTTGGAGTAAATTTAGGAAATGGGTAGAATATTATTTTTGCAGCTCATTGGAATTCTCCCTTGTTACAGATCAGGGTCCTGGGTTGGGTGGCATACCTATGCCTGTCATTATTTGCATCCCTGGTTTAACAGCTGGCTCTGGCCAATCTTATACGATCCTCTACCTTAGCAAACAGAAACACAGTTTTTGAAAATTCACATGAAGAAGAGTTGAATAGCAAATAAGTTCAGCCTTGAGGCTCCACCTATTACCTGGCTGTTGAGCTTTGTAAAACCATTGATTGTTTAACAGCCAGCAGGGCAAGAAGGCCAGAATTATGCTCAGCAAATGCAGAAACAGAGCACAGTTGTCTGTGTGTGTTTCCATGGTAACAGTGATAACAGCTTATATTTATAGACTCTCTATCTCCAAGGAGCTCAAAGCACTTTACAAACACATCATCTCTCTTCTATAGGAAAAAGAGAGAAGGAGAGAGAGGGGGATAGGAAGAGAGGTAGAGAGAGAGAAAGAAAGGGAGAGAGGGAGGGAGGAGGAAGGGAGAGAGGGAAGCAGGGAGGGAGAGAGAACAGGAGAAGAAGGAGGAGGTACAGAAGGACTTGGTGTGCTATTATGCACATTTCACAGATGGCACAGAGTGGGGAAGTCAGTGACCCAAGGTGGCAAGGTAAGCCAGTGACAGATGGTAGATTGGATGGACCTAGTGGCTCATATAACTCCTGGAACTTTTGCTGCTGGCCTTGAGCAGATGTCAGGGCTGAGCTGCTGTCTCCTAGTCATCTTGCTCTGTTCAGTGTCATCTAGGTGATCAGATAACTCCGGGGACATCAAAAGCAGTTTGGCTCAGTATTGTTGGTGGGAAACACAGGGAAAATTCTTCCATGGGGAGTTGGGGATAATGTCCAAAGTCCTTATAGCCAGACAGCCACCAGGCAATCCCAGACTGTGTTCCGAGGGATGACAGGCTCAGCTGTGCTGCACACTCATACTGAGGCTCTGCGCACATTGATGGAAATGGTTTTCTTCAAATAGAGCCCATTTCACAGTTTCTGAAGGACCTTTGGAGGAAATGCCTTTTGGGTACTTCTTTCTGAGACAACTATTAGACATGTGATGTGACTTGGAGTTATCTGAAGGCTGTAGCCTATGAAATTGAAAATGAGTTTTGTAAATCTCAGATCTACTATTTTCTGTATAAAATTCTTGTATGAATAGAGCCATGTCCTCTGGTGGAGGCCTGAACTCTTGGAGTGGGTTAGCATGAATCTCAAGCTCTTGAGTCCTGGAGCAGCCTGTCCCCATTCTTCTTTAGCCAGAGTTGGCCTTGGTCCCCACTTCTTACCCTCACAGGCCTTCTGTTTTCCCCCTCACTGCCACCTCACTCCACATTTAGCCTTTGGAAAATAGCAACTATTTTCTCTTCTAAAAAAGAGTCATTTTCTGCAGAGCATTCAGTCAATCCAGCCAGCAGTCCCCATGGCAACACTGAGATAAGATCCTTCCTCCCGCAGGTCTTCAGTGGTCTTGATAAACAGATCCCACCGGTTCCTGCAGCCCATGACCTCAGGCTGAAGCCAAAGATGAGCTTCTTGCCTGTTTAGGCTTCAGGGATGCTGGACTGAAGGGCTGATAGTTTGAGTAGCTGAGTCCCAGCAAAGTTTAAATGCTTTACAAATAGGCTTCTGACCCCCAAAGCAAAAATAAATTAAGCAAAGAACTTCCTGAAGGAGGAGGAGCAGTTGTTGGAGGGCCTTCTGGTTTCTGCACCATCTTAGTAGTTGACCTACATCCACCAGCGCCTGGAGGCTCACCCACCCAGGGGGAGTGAGTGGGCTCTTCCTCTGACCCTCTCAGGGTGGGCTGCACTCAGACTGAAGTTCTTTCTCTTCCTTCAAGATGCCAAGCTCCCTCTTACCTCCTGGCCTTGAGCTCCAAGCAGGAAGGAGCCCCAACCCCTGGTTTTGTGCCTGGTGCATACTCAGAATTTGTAAAGGAATGAACTCCTTTTGGCTGTTCCCTCCCTCCCTTAATCTTCACACCTTTTTCTTGGCCTTCCCAGTCCTCCTCCTTAAGGTCCCTCTTAGACACTCTGAAATTCCATCTCTCCCACTTCTTCCTATATAGTATTTTATCTTTCCCTCATTACAGCACTTATCACACACTATGGCAATTGCTTATTTTGATAGGAGTTTCTGGATGTCACTGAAACTGGCTTTTGGAGGTTTGTTGGAAACAGCATTTAAAGGTTTACTTCTGAATTAAAAATTAATATTCTGATTATTAAAGTTAGGATTAAAAACATAGTTTATTTGGGTTCAACTTATATGTGTAATTATTTTATTTTATATTTTTCCCAACTTTTAAGTTCAGGGGTACATGTACAGGTTTGTTACTATTTTATTTTTTAGTCTAGCAGAGTTTAGCAATCACTTCTAAAGGGCCTATGAATAAAGTTAATTACTTTCAAATAGTTTAAGCTATGATTATTAGTTATAATCGCCATCTCTTTCTTTTCCTATATGCATTTGTCTGTATTAACAAACTAAACTTTTTGGAGGACTTTAATACTCATATACATTTAAGCTCTTAAATGTATAAATATAGGATCCTAAGGTTCTCTTGTATGTTCCAGTAAACTTAAGAACTCAAAACCATAAAATTTCACATCAATTACTCAATTGTATTTTAAATGGGCCTTACAAGGCTATCATTCTAATAGGTCTGATTCTATTAAAAATTGCAAATACACAAAATAGCAACTATACACAATTTTATTCTTTAATACAAAATTATCAATACTATGGTTTGGGTCTCTCAAATCTTTCCATACTTAATTCTCAATCTTCCTGGTGTTAGGAAACACATAACCTACCTAAGGGAAGGCATTTGCCATCACAGGTAAATGAAGTTAGTTTTGCCCAGAAGATGGTCTTCCTGGTGACCATGATGGGACTTAGCCTTATTTAATGCTTATAGAGTCATAGGTTTTCACACTAAAGAGGCTGGTCTCCCACAGCCTTTGTCATTCCATCTGATTCTTTGTTTACTCAGAGGAAGCCTGTAGTTCCCATTCTTATTGATCACTTCACTGGATTTTGTATTTCCTTGTCCCTTAAGATTTGTCAGTATATTTACAAGTAACGCTAACTTAAACTTGATGGAATCGTAAGATTTATATACATTATCTTCTTGTTAATAATAAATACATTTGACCTTGATGGGGTTTCCTATTCTCTTATATTCTTAGGATCATACACGTCTTAGGGCTATTACACGTGATACTCTGTTGGGTTTTGTCTCACTCGTCATGACTCTTGAGGTCATTCTGCTTGCTGCTCCAAGGTCTCCTCCATTAGACTGTGAGCTTCCTGAGGGCAGGGCAAAGATGATTTGTTTGGAGTCATAAGCCCAGAATTCAGCATCTTTCTTGGCAAAGGACAGACATTATTGTCACTTGACCCTCCAGTTAAAGATAACCAGGAGCACACCTATCATTGAGCATCTTGGCCCTATTACTCATTGCAACGAGGCAGAATGCACACCGTGGACAACCATGGGGTATCTCAGTAAAAAGGGGCCAGAAGGACTTAGTAAAGGATTGGGCTTGTGTTAGGTTATTTTGAGAAGGGTTTAAAGAAGCAGGCTCTGCTCTGGATTGGATGCTATCAGAAAGTAGGAATAATTGAGTATGAGGAGTGAAGACTATAAGGAGTGAAGACTAGAATTAGGCTAAAGCTATGATTGCCAAAGAAGTAGCAGTCACTCATATTATCAGACTAGGGGAATGTTTAGGCATTTCTGAGATTTGAATAATGTTCACATTTTTGTCTGTTTATGTAAGATCAGAGGAGTGTTCTTGTTTTTGTCTTGCTCCATTATGGTCACAGAGTTTCCTCTGTTGTGTGAAGTTGTTTCTGTTTAACAGAACACCAAAACCTCTCTGTGAGTGCTGGGCCAGCTAGTAGCAACACTAGGGCCTAGCAGTGGTATCAGGGCAGCTCCCAGATGTCAGGGGCTGCTTTCTTTTTCTCACTATGCATATTTGAAAACAAATAAATGAAGGGATGTCTCATTTAACTCTTACTGCAATTCTGTAAGGGAGCTGTATTTCCATGTTATAAATTAAGAAACTGAAGCTCAGAGAGGTTCAGTAATTTGCAAAAAGTTGCAGAACTATTCAGTAGAAGAGCTGGGATTTTAATTTGGATCCACTGGACTCCAAAGCCCAGGCCACCACATGAATGAACAACCATTCTGGCACAAAACAGTTCTGAAAACTGGTCTGCTGCCTCATTCCTAATGGATGTATATTAGGATTAGAAGCCACTTATTGCTTGCATAAAGAATGAATCTTGTAATTCAAGTTGTTCCTGGAACTGAGGGTTATGATCTGTAGAGGAAAGTAAATTGACTGAGGAGTCCATGAAGAAGTCTGAGGAGAATGTGAGGGTGGTAGATGTTGGTACACACACAATCTGTGAGCTTCTTAAACCTAAAGACAGTGGGCAAAGTAGTAATCTTGATTGGGTTGACAACCGAAAGCCAGTTTCCTACCTGGCAGTAAACCTACAGACCCATGTCCAAATGTGATAGGTTTCCCCAGAACATAAAAGAAACCACCCACCACAAATGCCACCAATAAACATAATAAGATAATTGAAACGTGTGGAATAACGTAAACTTCCACTTATTTCGGAACTGTATGATATACTTCATTGTAGAAATGGTCCTGCAGACTCTTGATCAGAGTTCATAAAAGTTTCATTTGTAACTGCTTGCCTATAAGGGGCCCATATTCTCAAAAGGCACTGGGGCTGGCAGGGAAGTTTTGATTTGAATTTCTTGCAATGTTAACTGGCTTTCAATCTTATTGCAGATCATTAACAAAGTCATTACTGTGGCGTGCAAGATTCTATACCTTAACCCTGGCTGCACATTCTTAATTATTTGGTGAATTTTTTTTTTCATAGCAATGGGATCTCACTGTGTTGTCCAGGCTAGTCTTGAACTCCTGGGCTCAAGTGATCCTTCCACATCAGCCTCCCAAGTAGCTGAGACTACAGGCACATCCCTTGGCACCTGGGCTGTGATTTCAGGAGATTTTTAAATATTTTCATGCCAAGATCCCACCCTGGACCAACTGAATCAGAATCTCTGGGAGTGAGGTTTATATAGGGATCTTTTTCATTATGGTATAATTGACATACAAGAAATTGCACATATTTAAAGTATACAGTTTGGTAAGTTTGATATATATAACCCCCATGAAAGCATTACCATAATCAAGATAGTAAACATATCCATCACACCCAAAACTTTCCAAAGTTTTGTGTCCCTTTGTAATCCTTTCCTCTGACCTCACACCCCCCAGCAACCAGTGATCTGCTCTCTGACACTATAGGTTAATTTGCATTTTCTCGAGTTTTACCTTAATGTAATCATGAGTATGTACTCATTAAAAAAATCTGCCTTTTTTTTTACTTGACATAATTATTTTTGAGATCCATCTGTGTTGTTGCATATATCATGGGTATTTTCTTTTAAAATCATTTTTTTTTCCTTTCTTTACTGTAGCCAGGTTGAGAGCAACCAGCCAAGGTCCACACTCAGGGGTGCTGGGGAATTCCAGATGCTCCTCAGCATCTCATTCACAAAGGCTCTGAGCAGCTCTAAGACAGGGCTCCTCCAAAGGCCGGATCGGAGTGGCCCTTAGCACAGCTTTGGCTGGCCCAGGCTTATTCTCCCACTGTACCCGCTTCAGATTCACTGGGCCTAGGAAGTAGCTTGTATATGGCCTTAGCATCTAATACCTCTTTTCCCTCTCCCCCAGCTGCCTGTCTCCAACATTCACCTTTCAGTGTCGCAATACTCTATGCCTTGGAGTCTAGGGAGCAGGCTGGAGGGCCCAGCCAGCAAACATTTCCCTTCCTTGCATGGGCTTTTGCTTACCCATAGGTCAGATATTTCCACCCCGGTTGGTGGAGTCAGCAAGGCTGGCACAGACCAGGCTCTCAGCCCCCTGCTGTTTACTTGCCAAAAATATTTCTGCAACTGGAATTCAATTTGGAACATGTTTTACATTTGGATTTTCTTAGGAGAATATTTTAATTTCCTGATCAAAGTATGATGTGCTGTTCTTCTGGCTAACAGCTCCCGATGTTTTAGGAAATGGAGATCCCAGCTGATTTATCTTCCTCGATTTCATCCCAGTTCCTTAATGTGGACACTGTTGAAACTAGCAAAGACTCCAAACATAAAAACACCTAAAGTGTACAGACGTATTTAAAATGTTGACTCGGGGAACTTGTTATTTCTGCAAAACCTTTGACTGGAAGGGAAAATGTCCTTTAGAGGAGCCCTGTCTCAGAGCTGCTCAGAGCCTTTGTGAATGAGATGCTGAGGAGCATCTGAAATTCCCCAGCACTCCTGAGTGTAGACCTTGGCTGGTTGCTCTCAACCTGGCTGCAGAAAAAAAAAAAAAAAAAGAAAAAAAGTGAGTTTAAAAGAAAATATCCATGATATATGCAACAACATGGATGGATCTCAAAATAACTATGTCAAGTTTTAAAAAAGGCAGTTAAAAAAAAAGAGTAAAAAGCCCAGAGCTTGATTGTTTGTGTCATTTACTCTCCAGCAAGTCTGTTCTCCTATTCCATTTTCACCAGCTATGCAGAGTCACTTTGAAAAGTATAACTTTTGAAGAATGACTCCAATCTTTGTAAGGCAAGAAGGAAAATATCTACATCTATATCTATCTAAAACATTATTGCAAGACTTTTTGATAAAGAAATTTTAGGTGGTTTTTAGAGTGACATTTTAATTCTAAAACCTGCCTAGGAAGTGAACTATATTAAAATCTTATCTGATATTGGATAGATATATAAATATCTTCTGTCTCAAAAAGCTGATGTTGTGTTTGTTAGTAATAACAATGACTTTCCTCTGGGAATGCTTGTTAAACCTACAAGATAAAGAAGGCGTTGGTTCCTCCTTGGCCTTTAAGTTAAATTGCAGAATATCTTTAACCAAAAAAAAAAAAAAGAAGAAAAAAAAACCACCACTGTTCCTTAGAAAGACTATTTGAATGAAGAAGTAAATTGCTGGGGAGAAATTGAAAAATAGGTAAGATTTACAGGTTGATTTATTGTTGATAGACATTGGCCTCTTTATAGACTTGCGTTTTAAGTTTTATATAAATGTGATGGTGGCAAAGTACAGAATCTAAGTGTGCAGTGGGTCCTGGCATGATGGAACATGAACTGTTCTGAGAATCAAGAGACCTGAATTCTAGTATAGCCTTCGCTGTTACATTTTGAGCTTAAGCAAAACATGAAAACAAAAATATCCGGATCTCAGTTTTTGTAAAATGAGAATTACTAGCTGTGAATCTAGTATGTTCCAGATAGCGTAAATATTGTAGATTTTGTAGGTACAAATGCATTCAGTCAGTCATTTACTACAGGAATCTCACAGAAAAATAACTCTATTATTAGTGCATGCTGCCATTAGGTGTGGATGATACTTTATCCACAGGTTCTGTGCTCCAAAATGGTAGGCTGGGAGGCTGAGGTGGGAGGATTGCTTGAGCCCAGGAGTTTGAGAGCAGCGGGGGCAACATAGCAAGACCTTGTCTCTACAAAAAGTAAAAAAAACCTAGCTGAGCATGGTGGCATATATCTGTGGTCCCAGCTACTCAGGAAGCTGAGGTAGAAGGATCACTTGGGCCCAGAAGTTTGAGGCTACAGTGAGCTACGATTGCACCACTATACTCCAGCTGGGCCACGGAGAGTGACCCTGTGTCAAAAACAAAAACAAATAAGCAAACCAACCCCCACAAACCAACCAACCGACCAACCAACCAACCAACCAAACAAAAAACCCAAAGTGGTAGACTTATGCCTATACTTATGCCATACCTGTGGTGTATCTGAAATACATGCTATATTTCCACTTTCACCCCTTTAAAACAATATTTGTTTAAACATTAAGCTTAGCCATTATCACACACTTATTAGTCACAGTCATGACTTGCTCAAGATCTCATTATTATTATTATTATTATTATTATTATTGAGACAGTGTCTCACTATGTTGCCCAGGCGGCTGGTCTCCAACTCCTGGGCTCAAGTGATCCTTCCACCTTAGCCCCCCAAGTAGTTGGAGTTACAGGCACCCAACTATGATCTAATTTTATCCACTGTCTACACGTGCTTCTTGGTCTAGCAGCTCAGACTGGGCTCTTGGTGATAGCAATGTGGTGCATCTCTGTGCCCCTAAGATTATGAAACAAAACCTTGTCCAACCAGAAAACAGTAATTCCCCTGTTTCTCCAAAGGCTGGAAGTGCTTTGTATTAATGGAAAGATCCTAGGTATTAATAGCTTAACTAGATGTTTACTTGAAGTGTAAATATTGCAGCATGATTTTTTGTTAAGAAAATTTTAGATAGTTTTTTTAGTGGCTTTTTTTTTTTACTTTTAAAACCTGCCTAGGAAGTGAACTATTTTAACAATATCCTATTTGAAAACATTCGTTTATTTTCATCATTGTACATTATATGCTAAATAAAATGAAAATACAATAGTTCACAAGGTTTTTCCAAATAGTGAAAAGGGCTTTCAGGAGAGAAGACCTTATCAAAAGTTCAGTTGGGGACTTAAAATTTAATCCTATGCCCTTCAATAGCAAAATCATAACTATAACATGTGGCAGCTGGAGACCAAGAAGGACATTGGGAAACATTCAGAGGACAGACTGTCTGGCATAAAAGCCTCCATTAGCACCAAAACCAGCCTTAGGCATACAGATCTACTGTATTGATTTTGGCAATGTGTCTACCTTGTCAGGCCAATAAAATTAGCTGAAGTTGAAAATTGAATTAATAGCACAACCTAGTTCCCTCTGTCTCTCCTTTCACTGGATTGCAATTTGGTCTGGCTGAATGTGGCAAGACCTCTCTCTCTATGCCCAAGCTCTTCCTCCTCTCCTGGTCAGGACCTGGGCAGCCCCAGCTTCAGGAAGAGGCAGGCTGCCTGAGAAAATCACTCTTGTTGGCTTCACACATCCACAGGCACTTGTTGTCTGTTTAAGAAAAATTAAGCTTCTGTTTACTCTGCAAAGTGTATTCAATATCATTCTATCTACAGACAGATGTGTGCCTAGTTAATCCAGTTGTGCAGAAAAAAAAAAAAGATTAACTTGGATCTAGCTAAACAGTAGCAGCAACAAGGGAAGCATTTCAGCACTTGCTTGGGTGGCTCATGGGACATTCCTTTATGCTTGCATAGCTTGGAGATCACAGAACAGGTGTGCCCAGGGGAACCATGGATGGAGGGAGGGTAGGGTGGCAAGAACGTCTACCTGTCCCATATCAATTAGAAGTTAGGATTAAATATATACATTTTTAAAGAATGCCTTATAGCACTCCACCTGAAGGCAAAGGGAAGGGAAGGATGTGGGCTTCTTAGAACCATGGGCTGTTTGATCTGGAGAAGCCCTTAATTGTTTTCAACTGGAACCTGCTCATGTTACAGGTAAGAAGGCATAGTTCCTGAAAGGATAGGTGTCTGCCCAAGGACACATGGCTGATTAAGTAACAAAGCCAACCTCAAGACCTGGGTTTCCTGACTTCCTGTCCAGTGGTCTTTTTATTATACAGTGTCTCCTTTATTTACTAGAGACTCTGACACTTTGGAAGACAATGGATTCTAATCAAAGCCTCGCTGCTGATTTTCCGTATGACTTTGGGCAAGTCACCCTCTCCGTGCTTGAGTTTTAGTCTCTTCAGATGGGGCTGGAATGGGCCAAAGTGACTACTGTCTAGAGCTCAAACTCCCTGGAGAAAGGTACACTCTAGATGTTATTTCATGTGAGCTTCCTGGAAGGATGCTCTCAGTGGTAAACTTTACCCAGACATGCCTGCTTTCTTTGCTTTTCTTTTGGACATGGAGATTGCTTTGTTTCTTCATCAGAGTTTGTTAGAGATGGCTTTATACAAGTGTCGTTAGTTATAGAAATCTACCTGTTAAAAGACAAAATTGCAACAAATTAAAGATCTCAATCGGCTTTACTGCAATTCTAGAATCGGGCAAGACTTTTTTCCATAAAATAGAATGTATTCTCATAAGTGCAGCAGAGGAGGCTGGTTTTAGAGAGAGAAAGGACTGAAGAAAGCAGAAACAAAGAACAAAAAATAGACTGGTCATTTCAAAGTTTCGTTATAAGGCGGAGACAAGAAGACAGAACAATGGAAAGATAACTGATTAGTTAACATAAGGTTACTTCAGGCTACCTTTTTGTGTAAGGATTAAAGTACAGGTAACTTTATTATCATGCCAATTGAAGATTGAAACTGGCCAGTTTGGGAAATTGGTGTTAACTCTTCTGATTTCTTGGAAGGGCAGTAACAACTTTTAGATTTATGATGTGGAATTTTAGCATGGGTGACTCCATTTTAATTTTTCTTTTGGTCTGTTGGGGCCTAGTGCAGGAGCTTAGTCCAAAACAATGGTCTTCTCTAATTTTTATTTAACAATTCAAATTCTTTAAAAATGTGAATTCTTCCCTTTCAGTCTTTTCCCAAAATCGTGGAGAAGATGACTGTACCCTACAAATGGGGAAAGTAAAAATGCAACAAAAACCAAGGTCTTTCTTAATATGATTGAGATTAATGCTTTGATCAGGATATTACAAAAAAATAATCAGTTGGTTGTTTTCTGGTTTAAGGAAATCTAAAAGTTGAAATGCTGTGAACTTCCAAGAAGAAACTCAAGGCACTAGTTATTCCCATTCTCAAATGATTCTTTGCTTTCTTGCAGATTTTTTCATTAGCATGATGGAAAAATGCAATTCACTTTACATACATCTGTTGTATGAAATTTTTAGAACTCATTAGGGTCATGTAGTATATGATCCTCTTTATCCCATATTTACCACACATGAACCACAGTTCTGGTGATCTCTGTCTTCTCCCATTATTAAGTCATTTTAAGTATTATTTTGAAGAAAAATAACATATATATGTTTTGTAAAAGGCACATGTAATTATTGTGAAAGAGTAAAAAATTACTCCCCAATTCTACCACCCAGAGATAACTACATTTACCACATTGTTACATATCCTCACAGAACTATAGATATAAGAACACTATTATGTAATACTAAAAGTACTACATAACATATAATAATGCTAATGTATTATTTTCTGCATATTTTCTTCAACCTGCTTTTTTTCTATTAATATGTTATGAATAGTTTTCATGTTGATAAATATTAACTTATAATATTTTAATAGCTATAATTTATGCAGACATTCATACACATTTATTTCGCTAATGCAATTGGTAGACATTAAGTTGCTTTCAGTTTTTATCTATTAAAAACAACACCACAATTCAATGTACGTCTTTAAAACTAAATCTTTGTGCATGTCCTTGATTATTTTCTTATGGTAAATTTCTGAAGTGGAATTGCTTGGCCAGAAGCAATACTTACTTTAAAACGCTTGATACCCATCATCAAACTTCCCTGAAGAAAAGTTGTACCCAGAATCTGTGAGTGATTGTCTTTCTCCACATTCCAATAGCCATGTGCATTATCTTTTCACTTTTGAGATACAATTGACAAATTATAAAATTCACTCATTGCAAGTAAACAATTCAATAATTTCTAATAAATGCATACAGTTGTGTAACCATCACCACAATTCAGTTTTAAAGCATGCTCATCTTCCAAATTTCCTTCAGCATTATCTCTTAAAGCTTGTCTTACTGCGATATAATTGAATACAGTAAAATGTCAAATTTTAAGTGGGTTTTGACGAACGCATGTCCAGACACGGGGCATTTCAGTCATCCATGAAAGTTTCCTTGGCTCTTCCCAATCAACGCCTCTCACTCTCCACTCCAGAAGCAGCCACTGATTATTTATATCACTGTAGATTCTAGAATTTCATATAAATGGAACCATATATGCTTTCATTCAATATAATCTTTTTGAGACATCCAAGTTATTCCAGATATCAGGAATTTGTTACCTTTTTATTGCTATTACTGTATTGTATGAATATATAACAGTTCGTTCATCCTGTTGCTGAATATCTGGATTATTTCTAATTTTAGCTATGATGAATAAAGCTGCTATGAACATTCTTGAACAAGGCTTTTTGTAGACATATATATATATATATATTTGATAAATAGCCAGGACTGGAATTGCTGGGTCACAGGGTAGATGTGCATTTTAACTTTTTTTTTTTTTTTTTTTTGAGATGGAGACTTGCTCTGTCACCCAGGCTGGAGTACAGTGGCACGGTTTTGCCTCACTGCGACCTCCACCTCCCATATTCAAGCGATTCTCCTGCCTCAGCTTCCTGAGTAGCTAGGATTACAGGCATGTACCACCATGCCTGGCTAATTTTTTTGTACTTTTATTTAACAGAGACGGGCTTTCACCATGTTGGCCAGGCCTGTAATCCCAGCACTTTGGGAGGCTGAGGTGGGTGGATCACTTGAAGTCAGGAGTTCGAGACCAGCCTGCCCAACATGGTGAAACCCCATCTCTACTAAAAATACAAAAATTAGCCAGGTATGGTGGTGGGCACCTGTAATCCCAACTACTTGGGAAGCTGAGGCAAGAGAATTACTTGAACCTGGGAGGTGGAGGTTGTAGTGAGCTGAGATCATGCCACTGCGCTCCAGCCTGGGCAACAGAGTGAGACCCCATCTAAAAAAAAAATAAAACAAAACAAAATAAAATAAAGCGGTTATACTAATTTCCACATTGGTCAGAGTCCCATTTATTGTACATCCTCTCCAATATACATGTTGTAAATCTTTTTCATTTTAGAAATTCTAGTGGGTATATAGTGGGATTTCATTGTGTGAGGTTTTTTTTTTTTTTTTTTTTTGAGACAGGGTCTTGCTTTGTCGCCCAGGCTGGAGTGCAGTGGTTCAATCTCAGCTCACTGCAACCTCCTCCTCCTGGATTCAAGAAACTCTCAGCCTCCCAAGTAACTGAGATTACAAGTGTGCGCCACCACACCCAGCTCATTTTTTGTATTTTTTGTAGAGGTGGGGTTTCACCATGTTGACCATGCTGGTCTCGAACTCCTGGCCTCAAGTGATTTGCCTGCCTTGGCCTCCCAAAGTGCTGAGATTACAGGTGTGAGCCACTGTACCTGGCCTTCATTGTGGTTTTACATTATCTTCAAAATGGTACTACATTTTTGATTACTTGATTACCAGTGAGGTTGACTAATTTTTATGCATTTATTGGTGATCAGATTTATCTCATTCTCTTCATAAATGGAAATGTCCAAGAAAAGCCACACATGAAATATTTAAAAAGTCAGAAAACACTAGATCTCTTTTAGAATTAGTGTTTAATTTCCAAACTAGTTTTAGATTTCAGGACATGGACCCGTCCTGGCTTTCAGTGTTATCTATGGAAATAATGTTTTCTTCCAAATTTATTGTGCATTCATTAGGGAAAGAACATAAGTTTATCCCCCTTTTTAATTTTTAATTGTTATTATTTAACAAATGAGGCTTAGATAGAGACTCACTTAAGTTATAGAACTAGTTACATAGCCAGTACATTGTATACAAGAGATGCTTTAAAAACTTTTATTGCATAAAGGGATAAATGAATGAATGAGAAATTCAAAGCCTGGGATTCTTTCTGTTGCAACTTCTGTTCTTTTCACTTGTGTTTGGTTTTCTTCCTGTTCTTTCCTTGCTAAGGTTTCAGTAACAAGGTGCTCATGTGGATATTAGGACACTGACTCTTTGTAGTTTGAGTGTCTTTAGATAGAGTACCTGTGGTTGACAGAAACTGGAGGAAGTTAGAGTCTTAATTACCTTCGTTGTCCTTCTCTTCTATGTATTATTATTTATATTTTGCCATTCGTGCCTGTGTGCTTGTGTGTGTGCATGTGTGTGTGTGTGTGCGTGTGTGTTGTAAGTTGCCCTCAAGCCTTTCTGGAAAGGATCACAGAACAAACAAAACTCAATGCACAAAATATAAAAGAGCTAGCCCTGGCCCTAGAGCAGGAACAATCTGGCCGTGGACAAACAAAACACAATGCACAAGAAATAAAAGGGCTAGCCCTGGCCCTAGAGCAGGAACAATCTGGCCGTGGAGACAGATCCACCCACAGGAAAGCTAAGAGCTCCAGTAGATGCAGGGGTAATCCCAGCACTGAGTGATCCATGCCAGCCAGGGCTTTTGGGGAAGGAATATTGGGAGGTGGACCTTAGGAACAACTAGGATTTAAATAACAAATATTGCAGAAAACGAAGACAATGTAGACATGCAAAAGGAAGAAAATTAATGGGGGTATGTAGGAATAAAATAGGTGAAACAGTAGAGGAAAAAACAAACAGGTGAGCAAATGTTTGTGGTAGGAGAGAAGTGCACACTGATCAGGAGACAATAAAGCTGGGGTGGAGTGGATAATGCACATTACAGAGAGAGGCAGGGCCCAGGCAGAGAAGGGGAGTGGCGGGGTATGGTAAAGTAAGACACTTAAAGGCCAGGCTGTGGAACTGGAGCATTCCACATGGATAATTAGGGACCCCTGGGAATTCTTGAGTAGGGGAGCAATAAGATGAAAACCAGTGTGTTAGCACAATTAATTTGGTAATATTTGGCCAGCTGTCTGGAATCTGGGAGAGACTGAAGAGATTGATTCTGTGATAACTTGGTAGAAAACTTTTCTGTTCTACACCCATTGCTCTGCCTTTCTCTGACAAAATTCTATGACAAAAGAATTATATCACCTTCCTAAGATGTTAATCAAGTTTTTCAGGCTGGACATAGTGTCTCATGTTTGTAATCCGAGCACTTTGGGAGGCTTAGGTGGGCAGATCACTTGAGGTCAGAAGTTTGAGACCAGCCTGGGCAACATGGGGAAACCCTGTCTCTACTAAAAATGCAAAAGGAAAAAAGAGTTAGCTGGGTGTGGTGGTGTGTGCCTGTAGTCCCAGCTACTCAGGAAGCTGAGGTGGGAGAATCTCTTGACCCAGGAGGCAAAGGTTGCAGTGAGCTGAGATTGCACGACTGCACTCCCTCCTGGGTGAGAGAATGAGACTCTGTCTCCCAAAAAAAAAAAAAAAAAAAAAAAAAAAAAAAAAAAAAAAACCCAAAATAAAAAAAGATATTAATCAAGTTTAATCAAGTTTTTCAATATTTTCTTCATATTGCTTGTACTTCATTAAGCACAGTTTTCTCCACAGTTTTGTCTTCTTTAAGAAAATATATTATACAAAAGTCAAACTTAATAGGACAAACTAAGCTGTTGTTATTTTCCATTTGAAAGTATATTTTACTTTATGAATGTCTTAAGTAAGGAGTCCAGCTGAGAGTAGCACTGGACCCATTGTAATTTACAATATCTCTCTTTTTTTTTTTTTTTTTTTGAGATGGAGTCTCTCTCTGTGCCAGGCTGGAGTGCAGTGGCAAGATCTTGGCTCACTGCAACCTCCGCCTCCCGGGTTCAAGTGGTTCTCCTGCCTCAGCCTCCTGAGTAGCTGGGACTACAGGTGTGCGCCATCACTCCCAGCTAAGTTTTGTATTCTTAGTAGAGACAGGGTTTCACCATGTTGGCCAGGATGGTCTCGATCTCTTGACCTCGTGATCTGGCCACCTCGGCTTCCCAAAGTGCTGGGATTACAGGTGTGAGCCACAGCACCCGGCCGTAATTTACAATTTCTATAGGGGGCTATTACACATTTACAGAGCACTTGCATGGACATTATCTCAGGTGATTCCAGAGCTTAATGTTACAGATGAAGAAAATTGATATTTTAATTAGTGTATAGGCTGGGTGCAGGCTATAATCCCAGCACTTTGGGAGGCGAAGGTGGGCGGATCACTTGACGCTGGGAATTCAAGACCAGCCTACGCACTCCATCTCTACTCAAAAATACAAAAAAAACCACACACACAAAAAAACATTAGTTGGGTCTGGAGGCGCACAGCTGTGGTCCCAGCTACTCAGGAGGCTGAGGTGGGAGAATCACTTGAACCCGGGAGGTGGAGCCTTCAGTGAGCCAAGGTTGAGCCACTGCACTCCAGCCTGGGTGACAGAGTGAGACTCCATCTCAAAGAAAAAAAAAAAGAAAGTGAATAATGTTGCCTAAGAACATAAAGCTAGAAAGAGGTGACACAAGGACATTGTTTAAAGTAAAGAGTTAAATTTATCAAAATCAAACAGAAATGTTTCTGGAATTATAAAAGAATCTAATAGAAAAACAAGGTTTAATTTTTAAATATTTAAATCCAGATAATCTCTCAGGAATATAGCTTTTGTGGGATGTGAGCTTCCCTAGAGTATTCTTTGAAATCTAATCTTTTTTTCCTGACTCTTTGTTGAGAATTGCTAAAATATCACCACCACCATCACCACCACCACTGCCATCACCACCACCGCCACCAGGAGCAGCACCACCACCATCCCCTTTTTACCCCAGGCTTATTTCAAATCCCACCACTAATATAATACACCAGCATTTATCAAGTGCTTACTGCGTATGAGGCACTGTAGTAAGCACCTTTCCACATCACTTCATTTATTTCCTACAAAGACCCTGTAACGAAGGCATTATTATGATTATCACTTCCATTTTACAAAATGAAAATGAAGGCTTAGCAAGAGAGAGTATGAACCTTGCCCAAGTTCACACAGCCAAGATGTAGAGGAGCCGGGAATCAAATCCAGCTTTGTCTTCCTGAAGAGTCCCAGCTTTTAACCACTGAGAAGTAAGCCTAAGATATTTCTCTGGTTTCATTTCCTGGGAAGGTCCTGGACACTCTGTCAAGAAGCAGGGAGTATCTTGTTTTTCTTGAGTATCTTCATCTCTGGTGAGTGACAGGCTTGGGCAGCTCAGCCAGCAACCAGTCCTCAGGGGAGAGCTGGTATTTCACTCAGCCTGTTTCTCGTGTTTTTTGTCCTCTTTCTTTTGCCAATATAAGTTAGTGCCAATAAAAGATTATTGGCTTGTGAAGAAGATGCCAAAAAAACTGTATAGGAAAATATCCTCAATAATAATACTCTGTGCTTGGCACATGATATCTGAAAATCTTCAAACATAGTGCAGCCTGCAGGTCCCTGAGTCACACACACATCCCAAAAGACGTTTCATGTGCCAGGGGAAGAAGGTGAAACAGAGATGGCCATTCTCAAAATCTTCCCAAGGCAGTAACATGAGGCTGACCAAGAAGTTATCATTCCTGACCTTACCTTAGTAATAGGCTAAGAGATACAGAAGGCAAAGGTTGGTCCCTGGAGACAGTTTGGAAAGTCTTTTGCTCTACCAAACTCTGCCAAAGCCTGAAACTATGCGAGGTGGTGGCAAAGTAATTAAATGCACAGGTTCTAGACTCAGACTTATTGGCTGAAGCTCAAATAACCAAATAATTCTATGCCTCAAATTTCTCATTTGTAAGATGGGCATGATACACTTGAGTGACTGCTTTGTAGAATTATTATGAGGATTGTGAGATAGTTCTAGAGAGATGCTTAGCAAAGTGGCACCTTAGTTCCCAGTCAATGGTAAATGTATGTGTAAAACTTCAGTAGGAGCCAACCTCTTTTAACATAAGGTGTTGGTTACTAAGGAGGAAATCACAGCAATAAGAGAGAGGCATCCTGCCCTTGTGAGGAAAACATATTAATGAGCACCTTGTCTATGGTGGTGGGTGTTTTGGATGGATTGAGTTATGTATTATTGTTACCATTTTATAAGTTAAAGTATGGAAATTCAAGTAGTTTGCTCAAGTTAGGTGGGAAAACCATGATTATAACTTAGTTCTTTCTGAATTTTAAGGATTTCCACTCTATTATGTCTCAGGTACGCATTTTTAGACATAAGGTGTTAAGATGTTTCTATGAGCTAACACCTCAGCGTGACTTAGCTCTGCTTTACTGGTATAAGAAATCTGACTCTACAAAAGTGGAAAACTCAAATGCCCATGGGGTCCAGGGAGGGGAATCTGAGTGGATGTAAGAGAAATAGCAGGGCAAGCTGCATGATAGATAGCAAAGAAACCTGGGCCTAGCTGATAGACAATAGGGAATGGTGAGGACTGGGATTACCTGGCAAATGGGATAACGGGCGCAGGCTTGAGGTACAACTGCTGCTCCTCTCCAGCATGTTTTAGCCATATTTGGAAGTGGGTCAGATCTTGCAATTTTTTTCAGTGAAGGTAGAGATCTAGATTTTTATGTGAAATCACATTAAACTTTTTTAAATTAAACTTTTTTATTTTGAGAAGACTGTAGATTCACATGCAGTTGTAAGAAGTAATACAGAGAGGTGCCTTATACCCTTACCCAGTTTCCCCCAATAGTAAGTTCGACATTGTGATTTACAATAAGAAATATGAATTTGATCTTTCTCTTCCTTTCCTGGCACACAGCTCCTAAAATGCTTGGACTCTCCAAAGTGATGGGTCTTGTTGTATGCTAATAAGATAGCTGATGGCTAGGGGCTGTTGATAGCCTTAGGATGGGAGCTGGGTGCCAGGGGAACTAACCCTGTGATTAGAGGATTGGAACTTTTAGCCCCATCCTCTCAACTTCTGAGGAAAGGAAAGGAGCTGAAGGTTGAGTTTATCACCAGTTGCGAAGGATTTAATTAATCATGTCTTCATAATGAAATTCCATAATACCAAAAAGGACAGAGTTCACAGAATTTCTAGTTTGCTGAATATGTGGGGGTGCCAGGAGGGTGGCATGCCCAGAGAGGGCTTAGAAGCTCCGTGCTCCTTGCCCCATATCCTGCTCTATGCATCTCTTCCATCTGGCTGTTCCTCCATTGTATCCTTTTATAATCACTGGGTGAATGTAAGTAAAGTATCTCCCTGAGTTTTGTGGGCCATTTTAGCAAATGATGGAATCTGCAGGGAGGTTGTGGGAACCTCTGATTTATAATCGGTCAGTCAGAAGCACAGATAAACAGCCTTGGACTAGCAATTGGCATCTGAAATGTGGGCAGTCCTGTAGGACCTAGTCTTTAACTTGTGGAATCTGATGTTATGTCCAGGTAGATCGTGGTCAGAATTGAATTGAATCATAGGACTGGAGAATTGCTTGGTGTGTGGAGAAAACGTACCCCCCACATCTTGATAACCAGAAGTGATAAGTGTTGAGAGTATAGTAGGAGAAAACTGTTTGTTTGTTTGTTTGTTTGTTTGTTTTTTGAGACAGGGTCTTACTCCAGTGCTCAGACTGGAGTGCAGTGGCGTGATCATGGCTCACTGCAGTCTTGATCTCCTGGGCTCAGAAGATTCTCCCACCTCAGCCTCCTGAGTAGCTGGGACTATAGGGATGTGCCACCATGCATGGTTAATTTTTGTTTTTTGAATTTTTTGTAGAGACAGCGTTTTGCCATGTTACTCAGGCTGGTCTCAAACTCCTGGGCTCAAGTAATCCACCCCCCTCGGCCTCCCAAAGTGCTGGGATTACACGTGTGAGCCATTTCTAATTGAATTATTTTGAGCTTTGAAAGTTTTTTAAATGTATTCTAGGTGCTCATCTTTGGTCAGATGTGTGATTTGTAAATTTTTTCTACCATTCTGTAACTTGTCTTTTTATTCCCTTAACAGAGTTTATAGGAAAGCAAATTAAAAAAAATTGTGATGAAGTTAGTTTATTAACTTTTCCTTTTTTTGGCTTTTGTTATCAAGTCTAAAACTTTTCACCAAGTCTTAATTTCTGAAGATTTTCTATGTTTTTAATAGTTTTATAGTTTTACATTTTACATTTAAGTTCATGATCCATTTGAGCAAATTTTTATATAAGGTATGAGACCTAGGCAGAGAGTCATCTTTTTTGCTTACAGATGTTTATTTACTTCAGAATCACTTGTTGAAAGTCTTTCCTCCACTGAATTGCTTTAGCACATTTATCAAAAATATATTGGGCATATTTGAGTGGGTGTCCTGGATTCTCCATTCTGTTTCATTAATATGTGAGTCTATCCTTTTGCCAATTCCATTTATTTAGGTCTTCTTTCATATCTTTTATCAGCATTGTGTAGTTTTCCAAATACAATTCCTATAGATGTTTTCTTAGAGTTTTATCTATTTCATTTTTTGTGCAATTGGAAATGATATTATACTTTTAATTTTAGAGTCCACATGCTTATTGCTAGTGTCTAGAAATACAATTGGTTTTTGCATGTTTATTTTGAATCCTGAGACCTTGCCAAACTCACTCATAGTTCTGACATATTAGTTTTTAGACTTCTTGGGATTTTCTATGACAATCATGTCCTTGACTCCCTTCCAAGTACTAACCAGGCACAACCGTCTTTAGCTTCTGAGATCAGACATTCAGGGTGGTATGGCCATAGACAATCATGTCCTCTTCTAAAAGATATAGTTTTCTTTCTTTCTTTCTTTCTGATTTGCATGTCTTATTTCCTTTTCTTGCCTTATTACGATGGCCAGAATATTTAGTACCATGGTGAATAAGTGTTGTGAGAGTGAACTTCCTGACTTGTTCTTCATCTTGGGGGGAAAGTACTCAGTCTCTCACCATTAGGTACAACATTAGCTACAGTTTTTTTGTAGATGCTTTATCAAGTTGGGGGAGTTACCCTCTATTGCTATTTTCTTTTGAGGTTTTATCATAGCCTGTTAGTATGGTGGATTTCATTGATTAATATTCAAATAATAAACTAGGCAGGCTTGCATCTCTGGAAAAAACTTCACTTGGTCATAGTTTATAATTCCTTTTCATATATTGTTAATTCTATTTGCTAATATTTTGTTAGGGATTTTGGCATCTATATTTCTGAGGGATATTTGTCTACAGCTTTCTTTCTTTCTTTTGTACTGTCTTTGTCTGGTTTTCATGTCTAGGTAAAACTAGGTACATAAAATAAATTGGAAAATGTTCCCTCCTCTTCTATTTTCTGGAAGAGATTGTACAAATTAGTTTTTAGTTCTTTAAATGTTTGATACAATTCTCCAGTGATACCATATGTGCTTGGAAATTTTTTTCTTTTTAAAAAAGTTACTAATTCAATTTTCTTAAGATCTATAGGGCTGTCCAGTCCCTAAAATTCTACAGATAAGAAATAGGCTGATAGAACTATGCAGCTACAAACAAGCACTGCCTTTCATGGAAAAGAAAGGATGAACCCAAGGGTGGAACTGTGAGCTCAGAGGATAGAGCCTTGGGCCACAGAGGCCTTGAAACCTAAAAATTTGCCTAGCTGCATTTCCCAAAAGTCCCAGCAATAACAAGGCCCAAAAGTTATTTGGGACTTGTGACTCCTTTCTTTCATTTTTCCTTTCGAATGGAAATGTTTACAATTGGTATATTATGGCAGTCCCATCATGCCATTATTGTATTTTGAAAACAGATAATTTTTTTTTGTTTTGTTTTTTAGAGATGGGGTCTCACTGTGTAACCTAGGATGGGGTGCAGTGGTGGGATCATATCTCACTGTAGCCTCAAACTCTTGAGCTCAAGAGATCCTTCTGCCATGGCCTCCCAAGGTGTTGAGATTACAGGTATGAGCCTCTGCACCTGGCCCTGTTTTTGTTTTCAGTTTTATAGATCCTAGATGCAGAGGAATTTTACTCCAAGCTGATCATACTCAGAGTCCTACCCATATATATTTAAATGACATAGAAGAAGACATTTGGGGCTTCTAAGCTGGTGAGATTTAGATGAGAATTTGAACTTTGAGTTGATGCTGTAATGGATTGAGACTTTTGGGGATCTTGGGATGCGGTGAATGTATTTTACTTGTGGAACAGACATGAATCTCTGTGAGCAGACTATTGTAGGTAGAAGAATGGCCTCCCAAAGATGTCTACATCCTTACCCTGGAACATAGGAATATGTGACCTTTCATGGAAAAAAGGACTTTATAGGTGTGATTAAATTAAGACTCTTGAGATGGAAAGATTATCCTGGTGAGCCAAATATAATTACAAAGGTCTTTATAAGTGAGTGTGAGGGGCAGGACAGTCTTTGTCAGAGTGATACAATGTGAGAAAACATGACAGGTCATTACTGGCTTTGAAGATGGAAGGAACTCACAAGCCAAGGAAGGTAAGTAGCTTCAGGAAACTAGAAAAGACAAGGGAACAGATTCTTCCCTAGAGCTTCTATAAGATAATACAGCCCTGACTCATCTTGATTTTAGCCCAGCTTCAGAATTCTGACCTCCAGAGCTATAAGATAATAAATTTGTATTGTTTTAACTGACTGTATTTGTGATAATTTGTCACGGGGGCAATAGGAACTAATAGAAGTCCATATATTGAGCTTTCAAATCTTGATTTAAAAGCTAACACCTTTTAGTTCTGGGCTGGACAAAGTGGCTCACACCTGTAATCCAAGCACTTTGGGAGGCCAAGGTGTGGGAAATGGCTTGAGGCCAGGAGTTGGAAACCAGCCTGGTCAACACAGTGAGATTCCCCATCTCTGCAAAAGAAAAAAAATAAAAAAATTATCCAGGCATGGTGGCACATACCTGTGGTCCCAGCTACTCTAGAGGCTGAGGCAGAGGATCATTTGAGCCCAGGAGATCAAGGCTGCAGTAAGCTGTGATCGCACCTCTGCACTCCAGCCTGGTCACCAAAGTGAGATCCTGTCTGAAAACAAAACAAAACAATCTTTTAGTTTTAAATTTTCCACTTGGTTCTTTTTTTTACATCTTCTATTTCCCTGCTGACATTTTACATTTATTTGCTGAGGCAATTTTTCTATTTGTTTCAAGCAGGTTTATAACTGCTTGCTGAAGCATTTTCATCATGGGCTGCTTTAAAATCTCTGTTAGATAAATTTAATATCTCTGTTATCTCAGTGTTGGCACCTATCGTAGGACTTATTTCATTCAGTTTGAGAGCAGCTTCCTGGTTCTTGGGATGATGACTGACTTTTTATTGAAACCTGTACATTTTACATTTATGTTATTAGGCTCTAAATGTTCTGTAAATCTACTCTTTTAGCTGGTCTCCTCTGACACCATTCCAGCAGGGTAAGAGGGGCCTGCCACCTTATAACTTTCAGGTTGAGGTAGAAGTCCAGACTTACCACTTGGCCTTTGTTGACAGGTGGTAAGGGTTCAAAAAACTGCTTATTACTGCTGGTGGGATGGGGACTTCAGTGGTGGGGGCGTCTTTATTACTGCTGGCTAGGAGTGAAAGTTCTTAGACTCTATGAGGCCTCCTCTCACACCTTCCTATTGGAGAATGAGAGATGTGCCTCATTACTGCTGCGTAGTGGTGAAACTCCAGGCTCCCCACGTTGGGGAAGGTTAGAGCTGCCTACTGGTCATAGTAGATGAAAGTCCTGGTTCGTTCCTCGGCTTTCACTGACACCACCCCGGTCAGGTGGTTGGAGTGCCTTGTGATATAGCCTCCTGATGGTGGAAGTTGAAGTTCCGTAGTGGGCTTTGCTGTTATGGGTGAAGTGGGGCCACATTTCCCCCCACCACTCCTCTAGTGTTTGGTTGGAGTAGAGCAGTTATGGTCTGAAAGTTTTCTGTTTTGCTAGGTTGCTTTTTCCCTGTTTTTCCGGCTAGGGATAGCACACTTTTCTTGGCACTATTTTTGTCTTCTCCAGTTGGTGTTTCTGGGTTGTGGGCTTCTTCAGTTCTAAGTCTGGGATGTATGAGTCAAAAAGAAAACCCATGGAACTCACTAATTTGCTGTTTCTCAGGTCCTAAGTCTCTATCTAATCTGGCTTCTTCTCTTTACATTTTGGAGCCATTTATATTTTATAAATAATGTCCAGCATTTTTTGTTGCCCTCAGTGAGAGGAATAGGGAAAAAGTATGTCTATTCCATCTTCCTGGAGGCAAAAATCTCTCTTCATTTTTTAATACTGACAACTAGTAAAAAGAAAATTAACACATTTTGGAAAGGGGCATCAAAGAAAAGAGATCTATAGACCCCATTTGGCCTAAGGGTGACTTTTTGTGATTTCTATGCTAACAGGAGGGCATTGAAGGAATAAGAATCTTTACTTGTGTGTGGTGATGTGGTCAGGAGGTATGGTGGGAAAAAGGAAGGGATAATAGAGAGATAATGTTGGAGCCTGGGGATCCATGCGGCATGGCTTAGAAGTCAGACACTTCTAAAACAGATCACAGCAGGTCTCTTGAGGGAGCACTCCTGGCTTCTGGGAAAACTTTAGTGCTTGAAATGCTGTGTTCAAGTTTGTTGGAGTACTGTGAAACTAAAAAAAAAAATTAACTCAAAAGGAAACTGCTTTTCTGATTATAAAATTAATATGGTTTCCTGTTGGAAAATTAGGAAAACACAAAGAGAAAGAAGGAAATAATACTTAAACCGTTTTTCCAGAGACTACTGTTAATATTTTAGTGTGCTCCTTCCATTCATTTTTTAAGTCTGTCTATCATGTATGTAAATGACACTGTGGCTATTCTTTTTGCATACTTTTAACTACGTTTTTCCACTTTAATTATATCATAAATGTATTCCCCTGGCAATGAATATTTTGGTGAGAGTGTGACTTTTGATAGCTTCATTGTATTCCATTATGTGAAATTTAGCAACAGTTCTACTGTTAAATGTTTTGTTGTTTATGACTTCTCAGTATCATACATAGTGCTGTGATGAGAATGTAAGAAATATTTGGCCACATGTCTCATTAATTTTTAGAACTGGGATTACTTGAGCAAAAGGCATTTAAGGCTTTTGATTTATATAATTGGATTATTCTCCAGAAAGATTACCAATTTACATTCCCATCAGTGGTATGTAAATCCCTGCTACACTGCAGTCTTGCAGGTATTGAGTGTTATCATTTAAAAAAATCTTCACAAATCTGAAGCCAAATAGGTATCATATTATCTAATTTATATTTATTTTACCAGTAATTGCCACTAAAAATTAAATAGCATTTCTCTTTTTGTCTTAATTTTTTTCTGATAACTGCTTTTTGTTATTTGTACATTTTTTTTCCTATTGTGCTTTTCTTCTTGTTTGTTAAATCTGTTACAAGAATGTTTTTCAAGTTTGTCATTGTCTTTTAATTTTGTATGTGATGATTACTTTTGAAATAGAGCAGTTTACAATTTCAAATCTATTATTCTTTCCTTGGATTCCTAATGAACTTTTGTGCTTAGAAGGTCCTTCCCTACCAGTCCAGTTTTATCTGTCACTGCATATCAAGTGACCTCAAAACTTAATAGCTTAAAACAACAGCTGTTTTATTGTATTTTATAATTTTTTTTAGGTCAAGGATTTGGGCAGGGCTCAGCTGGTGGGTTTTCTGCATTATGCATGGTGTTGACAGAAGTCATTCAATGTTAATTAGCTGGTGGATGGGCTGATTTGGAGAGTCCAAGATGGTGTAGTTCATGTGTCTGGAGACTTGGTGAGAATTGCTGGAAGGCTAGGCTCAGCAGAAATGCCCTACAGAGTGCTTGTATGCAGCTCATCCAGTGATCTTGTGGTAGTTAGAACCTTTACATGGCAGCCCAGGGCTCCAAAAGCAAGTGTTCTAGGAAACAAAGAGGAAGCTGTAAGCCCTTTTATGACAAAGCCTTGGACATCAGCTACTCTGTTGGTGAATGCAGTCTCAAGCCTACTCACATTCAAGTGGGTGTCATGGGAGGTATAGCACGGAATCTGTGGTCATATTTTAAAATTGCCACAGCACCTCAAGATAGGTTAAATGTACACTTATATTTTCTTCTTGCTTGTTTATGCCCCTCTCCCTCCTCCTGCCCCTCCTCTTCCTTTTCCTCCTCCTTCTCTTCCTTTTCTTCCTTTATAGAAATGTTAAATCCTTAATCCGTATGGAGATAATTTTATACAGATTTATAATGAGGTTCAAATTTGAATTTTTTCCCTAGTAAACAGTTTCACTGTAATTTTTTTGTTGTTGGATAATCATTTCTTTACTGACAGCTGCTAACTTTTGTAGACACTAGGGACCGTGTGAATGTTCTTTTAACGGAGAAAAAAAATACCCTTCATGCTTTATGTTTCATTTTCTAGCACTTGTCTCCCTAGTCCAGCTTTCAGTCTGAGAAGAAACCAAAGCACACTGCTGATGCTGGGCTGGTCAGTGTGTGTCTGGGTGGTTTGGTTTCTCCAGGTTGCTTGCTTTCCAGATGGACTTTCTTGGCTAGAAGAGCTCTGAGACACGGGGCCTGATTGTTGACCTCATTTAGAGGGGCTCTTACTTTTCAATCTACTCAAAATAGCAGGCTCTAGTACTTTTGAGAGTTCTGTCCCTTGGACTATTGCCCTGGGATGTGTCTGAGGTAGTTTTGTTGTTATGATTTTAAGTGTGATAGTTCCTGGGGGAGATTATTTCTGAGATGAAGTAACTTGACTGTTTCTAGTGCGGAGAGTATTAACTCATTTCATTAACATACTAAACTAAAAGAGAGGAGAAACTTCCATACCACAGGAAGGTTTCCCTACAACCTCCCCCTCTATCTCAAGATCTTATCTAACCCTGGCTCCACTCAACATTCCTCCACTCCGGAAGGACCTTCTGACCTGGCCCAGCTTCCTCACCCACATCTCGACTTCCTCCTTTCTACTTCTATTATCACCAAGAAGTGCAGAGCTCAGCCCTGTGTCAGAGCTCTTGAAATGCTAAATCTTGCTTGGTCATTTGTTTTATTAATAACTACCAACCCTATTGCTGTTGTTGCTGCTGCTATTCACTTGCCTATATACCCTATAATCTGCTAGTTTTACTATAATATCTTATTTAATTCCACCCAACAGTTTGTTGAGATAGCTACTAGTCTTCTCATTTTTTAAAATGAGTGGATGGTGGTTTAGAGATGTTGAAAAATGTGTTCAAGCTGTGTAGTTAGTAAATAAATGGTGGAGCAGGACTTTTAAGTTTGGTAGTCTGCTAATTTTTAGACACTGTGTTTCTTCCTCCCTTCTCTCATAGTAATCCCCAGTTCCTAACTATAGGTGGGTATTTCCACTTCTCTTCCCTGGAAAAGGGCCACACGCTGCTGATATTGTGGGTCACAGGGAGAGACATCTACTTGAGGACATACAATCCCTGTCTGGCAGGGACCCATATTTGAAACTCAGTCCTCCTGAAGGTTCACTTACCTGATCCCTCTGCTTCCAGCCAGCTCTTGCTGATGGTGAGGAGCCTCATTATCTTAAGACAACACACAGTGGAGATGTGCTTTACGTAATTGGCCTGCCCTGTGAAAACCCCTGGCTGTTTTTTCAGGTGAGTTTTCTTATAACTTAACTGCAGCTCCGTGACTTACTGCTTCTTTTCCAGGCTCTTCTAGGGAAAATTTGCGTCTGTGGCCTTAGTCCAGAACACACCCTAGTCTTCTCTGGAGGGAAACACAGTCAGGGAAGGAAGAGATTTTGTAATGTGGACAGTGTTCGGTGTTCATCGCTGAGGAATCTGAGTGTCAGTTTGCATTCATCATGGGCGGAGGGCCCCACAGCTGGCGGAAGGCCAGCTGCAGTGTAAAGGTAGGACTAAATGGAGAGGACTTCCTGGGGTGGAGGAGGTAGAGAAATCAAAGGACGCTCCCTGAGGTTATGCCCTCTTGCTCCCTGTGTTCATTTTCTGGAGCTGCCATAACAAAATACACAGCCTGGTTGGCTTAAACAACAGGAATTTATGGTCTTACAGTATTGCAGGCTGGAAGTCCAAGATCCAGGTGTCTTCAGGTTTGGTTTCTCCTGAGGCGTCTCTTCTTGACTTGCAGATCATTGCCTTCTTGCTATGTCCTCAGATGGTCTCTCCTTTGTGTGCCCCTGGTATCTCTTTTTGTGTCCAAATTTCCTCTTCTTATAAGGACAATAGTCAAAATGGATTAGGGCCCACCCTAATGACCTAATTTTAACTCAATCACCTTTTAAAGGACCCGAGCTCCAAATACAGCCACATTCTGAGGTCCCAGTGGTTAGATCATCAGCAGGTGACTCTTAGAGGGAACATAATTCAGCCCAAATGACTCCCTTTTGGCCATTCTGAGAATACTAAGCAGTGGAGACCTGAGCTTTTAGCACCTCTGGTCCTGCCAGACCTCAGAGAGCATGAATGGGAGAGAGAATGGCCAGCCTAAGGTTAAGTAAATGAATAATGAGTCACAAGTGTAGAAACAATTTGATCATCAAATTTTGTGTTTAATATAAATCTTGGTGAGGGAAACTTATTGGCATGTCTTCAGGGTCAAACAGTTCTCCTACCTATTTTTCTATTTCTTTCACAAGGAATTAGATGTTTTCAAGTTAAAAAAAAAAAAGAAAAAGAAAAAACTAAATCTTTATAAAACCTTAGCAGAGTCTCCAGGGAAGTTGTGAATTGTGTGTTTTGGTCCATAAAAAAAAAATACTCTATTCTCCAGAGGAAGGCATTGGTCAATTTTGTAACAGAGATTGAAACTGAGGCCAAATGTTACCATTTCACTCTTGATATTTATCTGGATTAGGATGTGTACAAACCTTGTGACCTAGCATTACAAGAAGATTTTGTTTGCTTTGCATTAGTGAGCCTACTTGGACATTTGCTATACTAGAAGATTTTGGTAGTGCTTTGCTTCTATTGCAGCCTATATGGGTAATGATTGTAAAATCATCTTGAGCTAATGCTCCTGAAAAGGCTTTATCTCTGAAACCAGATTGTAGCTCTGAGTAAGAAGGGTCCTTGTCTTACATTGGCTTGATTCTCCTAAGCATAAAATTGGAGTAATTTTACTCATTACCTACTACTTAGAGGTCCAACCTTCTCTGTTGCAGACACTGTTGGTTGCCCACCAGGGAGTTATTTCCCCCTTTTTACCTTGCTATCAAAACCGTGATTTTAGTAACCCTCCTCTGAGGGGTCATGTTCTTTTTAAGAATTTAGTCTCTACCCAACCATAGAAGGTAAATCTTCATTGGTTTAGGCCAATTTATGGTGGTCTTTCCTTGTCTGGTGATTGTTTAATTAGGGATAGACTATGCTGATTCTTGACAAGGAAAGATAAGGGGACATCTTGTAGAGGGACACAAGATTGGGACATTCTCTTTTTCTGCCTCTGAAGATTGTTGATAGCATGTGAGACCTGACTCACAGCAGATCTTGAGACTGTGGAGGAAAACTGCAGAATAGCTGAGCTAGATCCATACTGTGTCTGTGTCAGTGAATTAATCCACCTTGAAATTGCTCTACCTCCACACTTCATGTTATACACAATAATAAATGTCCTTATTGTTTAAGCTACTCTTGGTTAGATCTTCTATCATTTGCTACCCAAATTATCTTCCACAGACTTTGGAAAGTTGCTGTTGCCTGGGAAGCTGAGTGTCTTGGTCCATTTTGTGTTGCTGTAAAGGAATATCAGAAACTAGGTAGTTTATAAAGAAAAAAGGTTTATTTGGATCACAATTCTGATGGCTATAGAGCTCAAGATTGGGCATTTGCATCTAGTGAGGGCCCCAGGGGGCTTCCACTCATGGTGGAAAATGAAAGGGAGGCAGCACGTGCAGAAATCACATGGTGAGAGAGGAAGCAAAAGAAAGGTTGGTGGTGCCAGGCTCTTTTTAACAACCAGCTCTCATGGGAACAAATAGAGTGAGAACTCACTCGCCTCCTAAGGAGGGCATTGCTCTATTCATGAGGGATCCACCCCCATGACCAAAACACCTTCCATTAGGCTCCACTTCTAATACTGATGTTCAAATTTTAATGTGATGTTTGGAAGCAACAAACATCCAAACCATAGCACCAAGTCAAAATACTTCCTTTCTCACATATGAAAAAAGAAAGAAGGCAGCCATGTTTGACTAGCAGTTCTGGCTGGTCTGTCTCCTGAAGAAGCTTCTCTGCTAATATTCTTCAAAAACATGCTACTGATGAGAAAACTATTTCCTAAGATTGAGCTGATTCAAAAAGAGAATACATTCAATAGGTAGCAAAGAAAGATCTCTTCCCATGTGACAGGAGATGGGATTCATTGCTGATGATTTTCTGGATACCAAGAAGAGATTCAAGCCAGGTAGGCATTAGTTGATTGCAGCAATTTTTGCACAAACATGATGTCAAAGTGTGACACTCATCTTGCCAACTTGAGATTGAGGTAAAGATCTAGGTGTCAGGCCTCTGAGCCCAAGCTAAGGCATCATATCCCCTGTGACGTGCACGTATGCATCCAGATGGACTGAAGCAACTGAAGATCCACAAAAGAAGTGGAAATAGCCTTAACTGATGACATTCCACCATTGTGATTTGTTTCTGCCCACCCTAACTGATCAATGTACTTTGTAATCTCCCCCATCCTTAAGAAGATTCTTTGTAATTCTCCCCACTCTTGAGAATGTACTTTGAGATGGACCACCCTGTCTGCAAAACATTGCTCCTAACTCCACCGCCCATCCCAAAACCTATAAGAACTAATGATAATCCCACAACCCTTTGCTGACTCTCTTTTCAGACTCAGCCCCCACTGCACCCAGGTGAAATAAACAGCCTTGTTGCTCTTCACATGGATGCGTGTGACACTAGCCAGGGATGGAGAGTGTGTAATACTGAGAGTAGGGTGAGAAATGAGCACTGTACCCAGGTGTAGGGGCATGCTGGCAAGCACACATCTGACACTAGGGAGCAATGAGAGCTGCCTCTGTTGGGATTTCAAACACGAATAAATTCATTAATTGGACTGACAGTCATTGGGTGCATACAGTATGTCAGGCAAGATGCTTGAGAAAGAAGGAAACATGGTCTTTGCCCACAAGGAACATACAGTCTACTGTACAGTCCAGCCTTTAGGCAATCCCTCCCCAACCCCACCACTGTATGTCAGTCCCAATTTGGCACCTTGATGCTTTAGACATCTCCTCCCACTGCTAAGTTATAGTATTATTGGAGTTAAAATGCATGTATGCCAGCTGCTGTTACACATATTCTATATGATAGAATCCTTGTTATCAGGATTCAGAATTGTAGTCAGTTTAAGGCTGTGAAGAGTTACTAAGCACCTACTATGAGCCAGTTGGTGTAAGACACACAAAGGTGAATGAGCTATCCTGTACTTCTAGGAAACAATAGCTCAGTTGGAGTTATATGATTTGCATGCTAAAAGTCAGAGAAAGCAACTAGGTGACAAGCAGCATATGAATGGAGCAGACAATAAATGTCAGAGGAGTTTAATTCAATTCAACTTATATATGTTGAGCCCTTCAGTCTGTCAAGTGTGAATCAGGCCCCTAAGACATAGGAATGGATGAATTCAATTCTTTCCCTTCTAGGAGCTCACTGTGAAAAAATGATACAATACTACTAGTTGTAATCAGCTAACATTTATTAAGGATTAATTATTATTAAACACATCTATATGCTTTCTATATAATAGCTCACTTAGTAATTAATCCTGTGAGGTAGATGCTAATATTATCTCTATTTTACAGATAAGGAGACTGAAGCATCTAGAGTTGGAGTAATTTCCACAAGATCACAGGTTAGTATGAAAGGTAAGAGATTAATGAAGCATTTATTCATCAATCTTACCTGTAATAGGTCTAGATATGGAAGAGCTAGGATCTTTAGGCAGAAGATCTGTGATAACAATGAATTGCTAGCCTACTATGGGACAGTGATATGGAGCAGGGAGTGGGTTAAGTTGCGTGAATATTCCCTCAGCACTGCTAGAAGCCACAGAGCCCAGTGATATCACTGCCAGACAACTGTGCAGTAGCTAAAACCATCAAGAATAGGAATCTGAGCTTGAGGCCAGCCTGGGCAACATGCCTAGAAGCCCATTTCAAAGAAAAAAAGGTAGCCGGGTATGGTGGTGAGCAACTGCAGACCCAGCTACTCGGGAGGCTGAGGTGGGTGGATGACTTGAGCCCAGGAGTTCGAGACTGCAGTGAGCTCTGACGACATCACCGAACTCCAGCCTGGGTGACCGAGCAGACCCGGTCTCAAATTTAAAAATAAGGAAAGAGAAAGAAAGAAAGAGAGAGAGAGAGAGAGAGAGAGAGAGACCCGGTCTCAAATTTAAAAATAAGGAAAGAGAAAGAAAGAAAGAGAGAGAGAGAGAGAGAGAGAGAGAAAGAAAGAAAGAAAGAAAGAGAGAGAGAGAGAGAGAGAGAGAGAAAGAAAGAAAGAAAGAAAGAAAGAAAGAAAGAAAGAAAGAAAGAAAGAAAGAAAGAAAGAAAGAAAATAGGAATCTTAGAGGGAAAGTAAATTGTGGTAGGGTGGCAGCTTTCTTCTGTCCCACGTGCTGAGCTGAGGTTTATTTGGGACATTTGGTAGTGGAACACCTTGTGTTAGGATTCCATTGAAAGTTAGTGAATACTACCATGTTAGAATTCCATGGAAAGTTAAAATCAGACTAGGAGGCCAATCTCCCCAGTCATGCTATCTAAAAAAGGTCATCATCAGCAACACCCACTGAATGCCAGAGGGGGCTCCTTGGTACCCTGCTTTGGGCTCAGATAGACTGAGGAGTATGGGAAGGCAGTTTCTGGTCTGCATCATATTTTCCTCCTGAGGGACCCAGGAACTCTCTTCTGCTAGGCAAATCCTAAGTAATCTTTTCAAAATGATACAACCCATGATAAGTCTTACCCTGGGATGGCATATGACCTACATTTGATAGGGGTTATAATCTTTCACCTACAAAGCTATGGACAGCTCCAAAATGAGTAGTTCCTTTATATTGTAAAGATAGATTTCTATTCCCTGCAACTGAGTTCTTGAATTCACTGTGACCTCCAACCTGCATTCTACACATTTTTCTTCATTCTTGGTATATTTCATACCTTATCCTGTAGGTAGGAGCCAATTAACTACCCAACTACCTTCCCACCACCCCCACCAAACCAATTTATCTATATTCCCCGGAAGAATCTTCTGAATAGAAGACAATGCTCCTCAGTCTCCAGGAAGAATCTAAAATGGTCAAATAGGAAAGAAAGTCAGAGAGCAAAAGATAAATCTCTCTAAAAGCCTTTGATCATTCATTCATTAAAAAAATATTTATTAACTACTACTCAGGAGGCTGAGGCATGAGAATTGCTTGAACCTGGGAGGCGGAGGTTGCAGTGAGCCGAGATTGTGCCTGGACGGTGGAGTGAGATGCTGTCTCAAAAAAACACAAAATGTTTATTCAGGTCCTACTTGGTCCTACTTGGTGCTATGCTCTGTGATAGACACTAGAGATGCCGTCATGAACAAGATAAACATCTCTGCTCTCAGGAGTTCATAGTCTGAAAAAGACAGAGAAGGTGACAAAATATTCAATTATAAATTTGAATAAGTGCTTCAAAGGATAAAAACTGGATAATAAGAGGCAAAGCATGGAGGGGCAAACCTACTGTACTTTTGCAGTCAAGGAAGGAGGTCACATTAAAACAAGACCTGAGGATCAAGGAATCAGTTGTGAAAAATCTAGGAGAGGTATACACTGTACTTTGAGATACGGTGGTAAGAAGAGACTTGAGTGTTCAAAGAATTAAAAGACAGGGCATATGGCTGGAATATTGAGGGGAAGGAGAGAATTAGAAAAGGAGATTGGGTCTGGGTGTGGTGGCTCACACCTGTAATCCCAGCACCCTGGGAAGCTGAGGCAGGAAGATCCCTTGAGTCCAGGAGTTCGAGACCAGCTTGGGCATCATATTGAGACCCCATTTCTACAAAAAATACAAAAATTAGCTGGCCGTGGTAGCACATGCCTGTAGTCTCAGCTACTTGGGAGGCTGAGATGAGGTGGGAGGACTGCTTTAGCTTGGGAAGTTGAGGTTGCAGTGAGTTATGATCTTGCTGCTGCACTCCAGCCTGGGTGACAGAGTGAGACCCTGTAACAAAAAAAATAAGTAAATAAATAAAAAGAAAAAGAAAGAAAGAAAAGAAAATGAGATTGGAGAGGTTGGAGAGGTTGGCAGGGGCTGTGGAAAGGATTTGGACTTTGGATTTTATTCCAAATGCGGTGGGAAGTCAACCTCGCAATGGCAGCTCCCCTACCCTGCTTCCATTTACTAAAAACTATGTAATTTCATTTCTAGAGTGCAGGAAAGAATGCTTGCATGCAGAGTGATAAGGGAGGAATATTTGATTTCCTATGATGTCACCAGGCTTTTGAAAGAAGTGTGCCTGACTGTAAACGATGCTATGTCAAGTATGTGATTTACAATATCAGGATTAGCACTATTAATATAATAAATTGCCCTTCAAAAGAGAACTTGATGAACCAATGTTTCAAAAGGAAGTTCTGATTGAAGTAATTGTGAAACCTTCAGATTTGACTCAGTTTCCCACCCAGCTTCCTCAGTGATATAACCAAAGTGACACACGGTCAAAATAAGTACATCTTTATTGAGTATGTATTCCATGCCTAACACTGTGATAGATGTGGTGGCTTCAAAGACGTGTGGATGGCCTCTGCCCTCAAGGACTTTAAAATATAGTAGGGATGGTAGAAAGAGTACACCAGCACAATCACTCGAAATGCATATAACCTCCGCTTTGGATTTCTAATTGGCACATCACACCCAGAATTCAATCTGATCAAGGGATTAGGATTGGAAGGATAACTTAGGAGTCATTAATGAGGGTTGGCCAAGCAAAGAGGTGAGCAAGAATGATGACATTCTGCTTACACAGTGTTATTTCTTCCCACAGGATTATTCTAGGCACCTGAATAGAACAGCCAGCCAGGATGGCTTGTTCCTGCTCTCCTATGCTTCTATCATTGGCAGTAAACTTGTGCAAACACTGGGATCCCTGGATACCATGGTAATTTCCCAGACTTTGAAATTACCGTGGGTGGGGCCTGTCCCCATGTCATACTTCCCCTTTTTGATACAAAGCATGGAATAGGAAGGAAAACAGGGTTCCACAGAACTTATGTAGAGAAATCCTAGGTTCTCAGGCTTAAATGCCTCTGAGATTGCAGGCTGGCATGGCAGAATTCAGAGTCTGAGCCTTTCATCTTGAGCTGTAGCAGGACCACCCGCAGACAAAACTCCTCAGACACCGAGTTAAAGAAGGAAGGGGTTTATTTGGCCGGGGCATCGGCAAGACTCCTGTCTCAAGAGCTGAGCTTCCCGAGTGAGCAATTCCTGTCCCTTTTAAGGGCTCACAACTCTAAGGGGGTGCGCGTGAGAGGGTCATGATTGATTGAGCAAGCAGGGGGTACATGACTGGGGGCTGCAGGCACCGATAATTAGATCGAAACAAAACAGGACAGGGATTTTCACAGTGCTTTTCTATACAATGTCTGTAATCTATAGATAGCATAACTGATTAGGTCAGGGGTCAATCTTTAACTACCAGGCCCAGGGTGTGGTGCCAGGCTGTCTGCTTGTGGATTTCATTTCTGCCTTTTAGTTTTCACTTTTTCTTTCTTTGGAGGCAGAAATTGGGCATAAGACAATATGAGGGGTGGTTTCCTCCCTTAGAGCTAGACGTTCAATTTCATTCTATTGGAATGAACAGGTTGGACTTTATGAATGCCAGCCAATAATGTCCCATTCCACCTAGTTGACCCCATTTCTCCTGGAAGTAAGGGTCTCAAACTCCTTTTGGTGGAGTCAGAAAGGTCTGTCAGAAAGATCTCAACTATCTTGTTAGAGATTATATAGGGTACAGTCATGTCTTTAGTTAAAGAAAAGTCTAGTGGTGTGTTCCTAGATATAGCTGTGCCAAAAATCCTTCCCCAGCCTCTGCCATGCACAATAGATTTTCATTTTTCTCTGGTTTTGTTTTCACTAGAATGGGCACTGGAATTGTTGGTATTGTAGGTAATGGCAGCATCTGGGAGTGGAATTGATGAACTGGGAGAAGGCCCCTGTTTTATTCACCCATGATTCAGTTTTTTGTTCCACAGACATTGGATGGGGTGGTTATTATGTGACAAGACATTGTCACAGACACAGGCCTTACAGCTTTTTGGAGTCAACACAGCCATTACAGAAAACAGGCTGATTACCTCAAGTGCTGTCTTAGATCAGCCCTCTTAAATGACTTCATCCTTCCTGGGGTTCAAGCCTTGGGTCAGAGTGTTGAGTTGTATTTCTAACCACTCAGCTACTGGCATGTTAAAAATACCACCCAGAAGAGGGTGTTTTCTTTGGTTTATATTTGGAGTTACTGTTATTTCGTGGTGTCCCTTCCAAAATTCACTTTGAAATTTAATCCCCAATACAATAATATTAAGAGGTATGGGCTTTGGGAAGTTATTGTCACAAGGGCTCTGCCCTCATGAATGCAATTAGCACCTTTAAGAGAGGGCCAAAGGTTGAAAGGTGCATGCTCATACCCTTCGGCCATGTGAGGACACAGTGTTCCTCCCCACTGGAGTTTGTAGCAACAAGGCACCATCTTGGGAGCAGAGAGCAGCCCTCACCAGTCACTAATGCTGCTGTGTCTTGATCCTGGACTTCTCAGCTTCCAGAACCAAGATAAATAAATTTGTATTGTTTATACATTACCCAACCTGTAGTATTTTGTTACAGCAGCTCAAATAAACCAAGACAGAATCCTCCTTTATCCCTTAGTGGGCTTCTTGTTATCCCAGGCATTGTGACATCTCTCCTTCAGGCTTCCTCCTCCAATATAACTTATCCAAAGGGTTCAGACCCTGAGATGGCTCATTCCTTCTTAGTCACAAAGGAGAAAACTCAGGAGATGTTTGTCAACAAAGAGTTGAAGGCAGCTTGTTGTGATCCAAGGCAGATGATTATTTAGAGAGGTAAGACCTCTAAACTTGGGTTTCTTCACCTACTAGTTGCATGACGCTGAACAAGTTAATCACTGTAAATGAAAATTTTATCATCAATACAACTAATTTAGTGTCTATATCCTAAGCTGTTGAAGAGAATCAAATGAAGTCAGATACACAAAAGATCTGGGTAAGCTACAAAGTATTACGTAGATGCGAATCAGTCCAGTTAGTCATACTGCCAAGGTAAGTGACAGATGTTAAGAGTGCCTGGCTCAATTCAACTCCCACCACTCCCTCTGTGGAGTTACAGGGTCTAAAGATCCATGGTTTCTCATTTTATCCATTTGATGCTGTAAGCATAGGGTCTAGGGTTTATATCTTTTCAAGGGCCTGTTAAAATATTTGCGACATGTGAGACATGGTGAAAATGTAAACACAAAACATACAGAAAACTGCAATATAAAAAAAGAAATGAATGTTTAAGTTAATGTCTATGAAACATTTATTTTCAATTAGAAAAGAAATTGAACAGAACTCTTATTCTGTTGTATATCAATTATTTTAAATGTGCGATATGTCTGTATCTTAATATGCTTGATATAATAAAAAGTAGGACTTCTGAAAGGAAGTTTTTAGAGCCTGTGAGATATTTGGGCAGCTTTGTCTAGATCTATGGAGAATGTGAAGCAAGAACAAAGGCCTTTTCTTTTTTTGTAGTTAAACTCACGTTTGTCTGTTAGGATCTAGTATCATATTTATTTTTAACTGGATCATTAAATGCTCTTTTCACTTCTTTCCTTCCTTTGGTGTCTTGCACCTTATCCACTTCAGCTAAAGAAGATGAACTAGCTCCTTCTATTCAACTCCTACATTAGATATGCCCACTTTCTGTAGGTTTTGGGAATGTTTATATTTCAGGAAGGTCACCCCAATTCCCTTCCCCACATCTGCCTCTCAGCTTCGTTTCCTATTCTTGTGGTCTGCTATATGGGACTCTTGTTACTTGAAGGTATTTGTAGAGTTGTAAGAAGGCTTTTTGGCCAGGTGGGCCCAAGCTGGAGCTAAGAGGCTTTGTGAAAACAGATGAACACCACATGGCTTTCCCTTCTTGCCTCTGCCACTCTGCTGCCTGACCATGGGCAAGCCCTTTCCTGTCTGCTCTTCCAGGAGCTTCTCTGTGTAATGAGATGCATAGCATTCAGGAGAGTGGATGAGCACTAAGACCTAGCCTTTACGTTCTGTTCTTCTGATTACACTTTCCAGTGACCCTGGCATACAAGTGTGTGCCCAGCCACTCAGTGGGGAGGCATACCCATAACCTGCTCAGTGGAAGAGGTCAGGCTTCAGCAGAACTCGGTTTGCTGCTTTCTTCCAAGCTGACAAAACTTTTCCAAATTTGGAAAGCAACTTAATGGATTTGGCTAATGAAGTGTTGCATAAACCAGATGATTAAAAACAAAAGCATAACAAAGCTCTTTCATCTCAGGAACAGAAAGCCACTTGACATTTGTTTCTCCCCCATTAATCACCCTGCTTTCTCATAGATTTCTTTGTGATGGTGGGTGGGGGATGATGGAGGTGTTGAGGTCACACTCCGGTGGCTGCATGGCTGCCGACAGCCATTCACTGCACTCTGCCTTACTAACTGAACCCTGATTTGGCTCACGTATCAGTGGCCACACTCTTCAGGGATAGGCACCTCTAGGAGGTGGAAGAATCTGGATTGGATAAGCCAATTACAAAAATTCTATTCCTGCTGCTTGTAATTTTGTGCTATGATTCCATCCAGTGAGATATGAAGGGAAATCTGCTAGGGTGGCAGAACCTACTGGAAAAGTTCTTCTCGTTTTTTAAAAAGGATTCAAGGTAGGACTGCTCCCTCTCTTTCTGCCCCCCTTATCATTGTGTGTGTATATAATGCTTGACTGTCTGGATACTACAAAAACAAATATCAACAAGCTGAGAATGGCAGAGAGAGAAAATGGGAAGAATCTTCGTCCTTGATGACATTTTTGAGCTTCTCATTTAAGCAACCTTGGAGCTTCTTTACTTTGGAAGCTCTTATTGTGAGAGAGAATAATTTGTCCTTGTTGCTCAGGGCCACTTCTAGTTGGGTTTGCTGCTACAAGAGCATGCTAACAGCTGAGCGAAGCTGCCTCTTTCGCTCCCATCTGCCTCTCCCTTCTTAGAGAGCATTTGGGAGAGGTTATTGTAAAGGCAAGGGCACCATCGGAGTGCAGGTCTCTTACCAGAACTTTCCAAACCAATCTACAATGTAGGGCAGAGGAGAGGGAAAGTAAATCCCCTGTAGAATTGGTTGGGGCAAAGCCTAAAGCTGCCAGTCAAAAAGCTGAAATTTATTTGACTTCCTACGTTCTTAAACTTTGAAATTCGCGTGAAATTTTCATTCTAGTTTTTAAAATGTCTTGTTCTTAATGTAAAACTCCTCTTTTATCTACTTAACAGTTCAATTATTTGGCGCTTCCTACCATGTACATTTTCAATTTAAAGTGAGGCTACGCCAACCCCTGGCAAGGCTTGTGCCCCACATGATACCAACCAGCCAAGTACCTGCTTCCAGAAGCAATCTGTGGACAGAGCTTGCAAAGGTCCATGAGATCACTGTTGCAAACCGGGGAGAGGTCAAGGCAAGAGGAAGTATCTTGGGTAGATTGTAGCAACTTTCCCCTCCCACAAATCCTCTGTCTGGAAAGTCCAGGCAGTGAGTGATGACAGAAGCCAGGCACAGACCACATTCCTGCCACAGGTAAGGTCTGTATGGGTGAATTTCCAGACTGCACAGGTGGCCCTTGTAGGATGGCTGAGAGGCCAAGTGACTTGCTGCAGGCCGTCGTTCAGTGCCAGAGATGGCATCTCACTTCCATTATGCTTCACAAACTCTGGCAGGCTGCAGTTTCAGTTAGATGTAAAAGGAAAATTACTGACATTATTTTGAATGTTTTTCCTGTGTTGCCCCCACCCACCTAGGCTATTTTTTGGTGAAATCTGAATTCTCCTTTTGTTAAGGCTCCCTGGACTATAAGCTCAGGGAAGCCAGAGACTTTGCCTATCCTGTTTCTTGCAGAATCCCTAGTACCTAGAACCATGTTTGGCACATAGTATGTGCTTCATAAATATTTTTTGAATGATGGACTTTGAATATATTGAATTAAGGATACTTTGAAGGCTATCCTAGAATAAGAGAGAAGAAAGTACTTTGAGGGCAACTATAGTCTAAAACAAGTTCAGACAACAGGGATGGAAAGGAACAAATGAAGACAGGGCCCTGGACACCCAGGAGTGGATCTCAGAAGGCATCCAAGGAATGAAATGCTGGAGGAGGCAGTGGTGGGGACCTAAGTGTGGCCAACTGCAAGAGGCATTGCTCTAGTTCTCAGGAGCCCCGAGTGAGACCACAGCTCATCTCTACCTGTGCCAGAACCTCCGTGGGTCTGGGTCCAGGGTCTGAGCCGCATGATGCTCTTATGGACCCTGGAGAAAACTGTGCTCCATCCCCTTAGTGCCTCACCCAAGTCCTTACCAGGAAGACTGAATCTGATGACGAGATTTTCCTCAGTCCCTGTTCAACAATCTCTTCCTGTTTAATCACCCAGCAAAGTTTCAGGACACCTGTCAACTCAAAGTGGGGTGGTTTCCACATCCTGAAGGAGAGGCTGTGGGGAATCCCCTGAATTATTCCTGGTGGGAGGAGAAGTAGGAGGTGGTGCCAAACTTCACAAACTTGAGATAGCTAAGCTGGCACAGTGGTGGTGGAAGAGACCCTTGTTAGACTGTTCAAGGCCTTCTCTGCTAAGCATTTGGGGAGAGCCCAGTAAGTGGCTGAGTGGGGCCAGGCATCCCAGCCTCCCTGCTACCTGGCTGTCTGGCAGTCCTTTACTTCTCGTGCTCTCTTCTCATCAACAACAACCTGGCATTTGTCTTTCCAGACTCAAGAATTTTTGAATTATTGGGTTCTACTCCACCTGCTCCCTTAGGTACCCTGCCTCTCAAATTGGTATTTCCAAGGGAGGGAAAAGTTAAGCCAAAGGTTTCCCAGCTGCTTATCTCAGCTGAAATGATCTCAGTAGTGTGCACAGCGGTTGGGCACAAGGGCTCTGGAGTCAGCTCGCCTGTGTTCCACTCCTTGTTATGTCTTTACTAAACTGTCTAATCCTGGATAATGCATGTAATATTGGTAGACTCTAGAATTCTCCATAAAAGGAGGTTAATGATAAACCCCTGGTATCATTCTGAGGATTAAAATAGATAATGTACGTAAGGCATATAACACTGGGCTTGCCACAGAGCAAGTGTTCAATAAATGTCAACGATCATTGTTTTTGCCTCCCCTTTTTATGCTTCCTTTTTACCTTTGCCTACATTGCTAAGTGCTTTCACCTTGTTTCATGGTGAGTGTGTTTGTGGAGAGTGAAGATAGGAATGATAGGGCACAGAGGCATTTTTTTGTCTTATTTTTCAACTCACCTGATACATAAAAAAAATTGATGCTACTTATTGAGGACTGGGCATCACACATACTATGGTGTTTTTAAAGCATGTCCACAAATTTTCGGCACTATTTCAAATAAAAGGAGCGGTCTAATTCTGCTCTCCTAGAATACAGTCTGGTGGTAGTGATTTGCTTCTAATAAATAGAAGGCAATGGAAGTGATGTCACTGTGTGACTTTCCAGCCAGGCCAGAAAAGAGGATATGGTTTCACCTGTTTCTCTCTCAAGTGAGATACATGCCTTTGGAGCCCTGAGCTACCTCATAAGAAATCTGGAGACCTTGAAGGGACCATGCAGAAGGACCATGTGGTGGGTCCCAAAGGGATAGAGGGAGGTGCCTGGGGAGCCACAGCTGCTCCAGCCCCTGCTCCAGCTATTTGTCTTCCCAGCATGGGAACAAGACCTGTGAATGAAGAAGCCTTGAAATTGACCCCAGCTCTAGCCACTGACCAGTCTGCCTCAATCACCTGGGAGACCCCGATTCAGACTAGCTCAGCTCAGCTGCTCTCAAATTCCTGGCCTACAAAACCCACAAGAGCTAATAAACAGCATTGCTCTTGCAAGGCACTAAGTTTTGGGCTGATTTGTTATGTATTGCTAGATAACAAATAAACGCATGATATCAACTAATAACTCTGTGTGGCAGGTATTGTTATCTTAGTTTCACAAATGAAGAAACTAAGGTTTAGAGAACTTGAGAAGCATACATACAATACCGCTAGGGAGACACAGAGCTGGGACACAAACTTGTGTCCACGAGACTCCAGAGCTTGTCAAGGATCCTCTGCACCAGGAGGCTGCCTCACTGGATGCTGGAGGAGGTTGAAACAAATAGGTAAAATTGTGTTTTTCTGTATCTGCCCTACTAGCCTCTCATGATTCTAAGATTAAACACACGATCACATTGTGTTTGGAAGATCACCACCTGTTCAAAACACTCTAGGCTCATAGTTAACTGGCAGAACCAGCCCCTGAAGTGAATTTACTAAAAGGCTCTGTGTCCTGCGTCTCCTTAGGAACAGTGCTGGGTTTCAAAGTAGGCATCAGGGCAGGGCTGCTAGTTAAAGGGGGTGGTCAGCAGGCCCAGAGGGCCCAGGTTGCCCTGGGGAAGCCTGGAGAAGGCTGTGAAGTTCCAAGCTTAAGGCAGGCAAGGGAAGGCCATATGGTGTGTGGTGAAAAATGGCGGAGGAAAACAGAACAAACAAGGCTGAGGAGTGGGAGCACAGCTGAGAAGGAAGTGAGAAGAGCACGATGTAACGGAAGCTCTGGAGAGCAATGAGAGAAATCTTCACAGACTGGATGGCTGAATGCTCCCCAGAGACACAGAAGGGCTCTGCTGCTGCTGCCAAGGGGAAGCAATTGGTTTGATATTAGACCCAAGGGGATTTACATGCCAAGGTCCACTTTAGAATTTCTATCCTAACCTCTGAACCCATGTACTTCTAAAACGTATATGTAAATGTTTCTGAGAAGACAGGGTCCATTCATTCAGGTTAATGTCTATCAAGCATCTATTATGTGCTGGGTGACCAGTGACAATGGGACATATAGAATATAAATTAAACACATTTTCTGCCCAAGAGGAACAGGGTCTGGAGGGAAATGATAATTTTTGGACACCTATTGTGTGCCAGGTCCTATCTGGGGTGATTTACTTAAATTTTCTCATTTAATCTTGACACCTATTCTACAAAATAGGCATTACCTTTATAAGAAGCTGAGCTTAGAGAAATTAAATAACATGCTTAAAGTTATATACAGCAAGCAAGTGTGTGTGTTTTAACCCAGGTTAATCTAATTCTAAAACCCATAATTGTTCCGCTGTCAACCCTGCCTCTCAGGCTTATGGGTTCGCATTTCTGGGTGCAGATTTCATGGAACTGTGTACAGAGGGCTTTAAGTCAGCAGAGAGGAAGTGGTTAGTCCTGCCTTGAAGAAGGTGCAGGAGGGGACGTGGTTTCACAGAAGTTATTAGATCAGGGCAGTGTAGGGAGAGGAGGAGTTTAGTAGTTAGAGAAGGACACTGTAGACAGAGGGAGTTGCAAGTCAGAGGGAACAGTGTGCCAGGCATGGAATGGAGGAAGACATAGTTGGAAAGACAGGCCAGGGCTAGACTGTGAGAAACTGTTTCTTTTCAAAGGAATATGGGCAAAGGGAAGCACTGAGGTTTTTAAGCAGGAAAGTGACTTGATCAGATGTGCCTTTTAGAAAGGTCATCCTGATAGCTCTTGGCAGTATTGTTAGGAGCAGAAAGAGCCTGGCCATTTTCACTTAGATGTTGCACTGACCTCTGAATCTCAAAAATCTCACAGTGAAATGCATGATCTGTCTTCTTCCTGCTTGCAAACTCTTATCTACTCCTGGGTACCCAACTTGGTAAGCACCTCACCATCCACCCAACTGACCAGGCCAGGGGCCTTGGCTTGTACAGAGGTGGGTGTGCACAGATGCTGACAAAGCTTAAGCATCAGGGCCCCTCACTCACATGAGCACTCTCCAGGCCCTGCACTGAATTTTGTGTTTGCAGCTTTGTAGTCAAGAGCTGTGCTAATCTCTTAGTTGTGCCATTTTTTCTCTTAAACTCTTTCTAATTTGGCTTTCAGCCACTATCTGCCACCTGGATCCCTGTAGTGGGTTTTGCTTAGGTTAGCCTGCTTCTCTACTTGCCACTGGAAATTTTATTCTCAAAGTAATTCTTCTAAAACATAAGTCAGGTCATGTTATTCCTCTGCTTAAAACCCTGTCATAGTTTTCACTGAGAGTAAAAGTCAAAGCCCTTACATTGCGCACTAGGGCCGTGCATCTCCTGACTGCTGTTTCCTTTTTGAGTTTTTGCCCACCACTCTTCCTTACACTTTGTGCTGCTCTAGCCACACTGGCCTGGAGCCACTCCTCAACACTCAGGCCCGCTCCCATTGTAGGGTCTTGGCTTTAACCTTTCCCTCTTTCAGGAGGCCCCTCCCACAGATATTTTCTCACCTCCCACAAGTCTGTGCTCAAGTCTTGCCTTCTTAATGAGACCTATTCTGACTACTATTCTTTTTTCTTTCCAACTTGTATTTTAGGTTCAGGGGGTACATGTGCATGTTTGTTACGTGGGTAAATTGTACGTCACAGGGGTTTTGTGTACAGATAATTTTGTCAACCAGGCAATCAGCATAGTACCTGATAGGTAGTTTTTCAATCCTCTCCCTCCTCCTACCCTCCACCCACAAGTAGGCCCCAGGGTCTATTGTTTCCTTCTTTGTGTCCATATGTACTCAATGTTTAGCTCCCATTTATAAATGAGAACATGTGGTATTTGGTTTTCTGTTCTTGTGTTAATTTGCTTAGGGTAATGGCCTCTAGCTGCATCCATGTTGCTGCCAAGGATATGATTTCATTCTTTTTTTGTGGCTATATAGTATTCCATGGTGTATATGTACCACATTTTTTTTTTATCCAGTCCATCATTGATGGGCACCTAGATTGATTCCATTTCTTTGCTATTGTGAATAGTGCTGCAGTTAACATACATGTGCTTGTCTGACCACTATTTTTAACACTGCAACCTGCCCCTTCCCCTCTCCCCTGCAGCCCTGGTTTACCATATTTTCAGAGATAGAAATCATACACTTTTATGTAACCTATGTATTAGCTAATGCTCTGTATCTATATATATTGACTTCCCAATTATTGATAACAATATTGACTCTTCAGAGAATTTTAAAGCTCAGAAATCCTTTTCATATCTATTCTCTCATAGGAATTATTGCCTTCCTGTTATACATAATAAAACTAAGCTCAGAGTTAAGTGAATTGTCTATTAATAACTACCAAATTTTGGCACCTACTCTGTGCCAGACACTATAAATATATCATGGCCAATGCTTACAATAGACCCATGAAGTGGATATTGTTTTCTGTGTCTTGCAGTTGAGAAAGCTCAGTGTTTGACACTTATGTGATGGTCTAAGTTCCCATTGCCTGTCACATCCAGGACTGCTTGATTCCAGAGCCTGTTCTTTTTCCATTGTTGTTCCTGTTCATTTCATTTCTTCATGCTGCCTCCCAGATGTGGGCTCAGCAAGGGGAGATACCTTGACTTAGATTTCTTCTTATGCATTTTTGAGCTAGTTTTTAAAATTTTCCATTTTAAATTTTTATTGATGCCTAATAGATGAACATGGTTTCAGGGTACATGTGATAATTTAATACATTCATGGAATTTGTAAAGATCAAATCAGTGTACTTGGAATATCTATCACCTTATCTGTTTGCCTTTTCTTTATGCTAGAATGATTCAAATTCTTCTCTTCTTGCTATTTTCAAATACACAACAGCTTATTGCAAACTATAGTCACCCACTGATTTATTTAACACTAGGTCTTATTTCTTCTATCAAACTGTATATATTTATACCTACTACTCAACTTCTTTTCATCCTCTCTCCCCCGCTCCACTCTTTCCTGCCTCTGCAGCTACCAATCTACTATCTTCACGAGATCCAGTTTTTAGCTTACACATGTGACTGAGAACACATGATTTTTCGTCTTTCTGTGCTTCGCTTATTTCACTTAATATGATGACCTCCATATCCATCCATGTTGCTGCAACAACATGACAGGATATTTTTTTATGGCTGAATAACATTCCATTGCTTACATATGCCACATTTTATTTATCCATTCATCCATTGGTGGGCACTTACATTGATTCCATATTTTGACTATTGTGAATAGTGTTGCAATAAACATGAGAGTGCAGGGGTTGTTCTGATATATTGATTTCCTTTCTTTTGGATATATACTGAGAAGTGAAATTGCTGGATCACATGGTAATTCTATTTTCGGTTTTTTGAGGAACCTCCATACTTCTTCATAGTGGCTGTACTAATTTACGTTTCCACCAACAGCGTAGGAAGGTTCCCCTTTCTCTGCATCCTCACCAGCATGTGTTATTGCCTGTCTTTTGATAAAAGCCATTTTTGCTGGGGTGAGATGACGTCTCATTGTTGTTTTGATCTGCATTTCTCTGAAGATTAGTGATGTTGATCCTTTTTTCATATACCTGTTGGCCATTTGTATGTCTTCTTTTGAGAAATGTCTATTCAGATTTTTGCCCGTTTTAAAATTGGACTCTTTTTTTTTTTTTGCTGTTGAGTTGTTTGAGCTCCTTATATATTCTGATTATTAAACTTTTGTCAGATGGGTAGTTTGTAAATGTTTTCACCCATTCTGTGAGTTGTCTCTTCACTTTGCTAATTGTTTCCTTTGCTGTGCAGAAGCATTTTAGCTTGATGTAATCCCATTTGTCAATTTTTGCTTTGGTTGCTTGAGCTTTTGAGGTCTTCCACAAAAAGTCTTTGCCCAGACCAATGTCCTGGAATGTTTTCCCAATGTTTTCTTCTAGTAGTTTTATAATTTCAGGTCGTGGATTTAAGTCTAATATATTTTTATTTGATATTTGTTTAAGGTGAGAGATAGGGGGTCTAGTTTCATTTTTCTGCATACAGTTATCTAGTTTTCCCAGAAACATTTATTGAAGAGACTGTCTTTTCCTCATAGTGTGTTCTTGACACTTTTGCTGAAATGGAGTTGGCTGTAAATGTGTAGATTTATGTCTGGGTTCTCTATTCTGTTCCACTGGCCTGTCTGTTTTTATGCCAGTACCACCCTGATTTGGTTACTATAGCTTTATAGTACATTTTGAAGTCAAGTAGTGTGATGCCTCCAGCTTTATTCTTTTTGTTCAGAATTGCTTTGGCTATTTGGGGTCTTCTGTGGTGGTTTCATATAAATGTTAAGATTTCTTTTTCTATTTCTGTAAAGAATGTCATTGATATTTTGATAGAGGTTGCATTGAATCTGTAAATTGCTTTGGGTAGTATTGTCATTTTAACAGTATTAATTTTTCTAATCCATGGACGTGGAAAGATATTCCATTTTTTGTGTCCTCGTCAATTTGTTTCATCAGTGTTTTACAGTTTTTCTTGTATAGTGCTTTCATTTCTTTGGTTAAATTGATTCCTTGGTATTTTACATTCTTTAAGCTATTACAAATGGGATTGTTTTCTTGATTTCTTTTTCAGACTGTTTAATATTGGTGTATATACATGCCACTGATTTTTTTATGTTGATTTTTCATTCTGTAACTTTACTGAATTTCTTTATCTGTTCTAACAAGTTTTTTTTTTTTTTTGGTGGAGTCTTTAGGTTTTTCTAAGGATAAGATCATCTCATCTGTAAATGAGGCTAATTTGATTTCTTACTTTCCTATTTGGTTACCCTTTATTTCCTTCTCTTGGCTGTTTGCTCCAGCCATAACTTTTAGTACTATATTGAATAAAACTGATGAAAGTGGTCATCTTTTTCTTGTTCCAGAAGTTAGAGGAAAACTCTCATGTTTTCCCCATTCAGTAAGTAAGTTAGCTATGGGTTTGTTGTAAGCCACATTTATTATTTTGAGGTTTGTTCCTTCTATATCCAGTTTGATGAGGGTCTTTATCATAAAAGAATGTTAAATTTTATCAAATGCTTTTTTAGCATCTATGGGAATAATCATGTAGTTTTTGTTCTTGGTTCTGTTAGTGTGATATATTATGTTTATTTGTTTGTATATGCTGAACCATTCTTGCATCCCTGGGAAGAATCCCACTTGATTGTGGTCAATGATTTTTTTAAAGTGTTGCTCAATTTGGTTTGCTAGTATTTTGTTGAAAAGTTTTGCATCTATATTCATCAGTAATATTGACCTGTAGTTTTTCTTTTTTTTGTTGTGTCCTTGTCTGGTTTTTGTATCAGTGTAATGCTGACCTCATAGAATGATATCAGAAGTATTCTTTCCTCTTCTGCCTTTTTGAAGAGTTGGAGTAGAATTGATATTAGTTCTCCTTTACATGTTTGGCAGAATTCAGCAGTAAAGCCATCAGTTTCTGGGCTTTTCTTTGATAGGAACCTTTTCCCTATGGCTTTGATCTCATTAATTATTATTCATTTGTTGTGGTTTTCTATTTATCCCTATTTCAATCTTGGTAGGTTGTATGTGTCCAGGAATTTATCTATTTCTTCTATGTTTGTTAATTTGTTGGTGCAGCATTGTTCATAATAGTCTGTAATGATTCTTTGTATTTCTGTGATCTCAGTTGTTATGTCTCCTTTTTCATTTCTGATGTTTTTTATTTGAGCCTTCTTTTTTTTTTGTGTGTGTAGCCAAAGGTTTGTCCATTTTGCTTTTCTTTTCAAAAAACCAATTTTTTGTTTTGTTTATTTTCTATATTTTTTTGGTCTCAATTTCATTTATTTCTGCTGTGATCTTGATCACTTCTTTCCTTATACTAATTTTGGATTTGGTTTGTTCCTGCTTTTCTAGTTCCTTGAGGTTGTCTATTTATTGTCTTCGTACCTTTTTGATAAAAGCATTTATTGCCATAAACTCCTCTCTCAGTACTGTTTTGCTGTATCTCATAGATTTTGTTATGTTATATTTCTGTTTTCATTTAAGAATTAAAAAAAATTCTTCTTAATTCCTTCATTGACCCATTGGTCATTCAAGAGCATGTTGGTAAATTTCCATGTGTTTATGAAGTTTCTAAGGTTCTTCTTGTTATTGATTTTTTTGTTTTATTCCATTGTGGTCAGAAAAGATACTTGATATGATTTCTACTTTTTAAAAAATTTGTTCAGACTTGTTTTGTGGCCTAAGATATGGTCTATTCTGGAGAATGTTCCATGTGCTAATGAAAAGAATGTGTATTCTTCAACAGTTGAGTTAAATGATCTATAAATGTCGGTTAGGCTGATTAGATCTAGTGTGTAGTTTAAATCGAGTGTTTGTTGATTTTCTGTCTGGATGATATGGCCATTACTGAGAGTGGGCTGTCAAAGTCATCTACTATTATGGTCTTGCAATCTATTTCTCCCTTTAAATTTATCAATGCTTGCTTTATATACTTGGGAGTTCTGGTGCTAGGTGCACAGATATTTTAATTGTTTTATCCACTTGCTGAATTGATCCCTTTATCATTATACAATGACCTTCTTTGACTCTTTTTACAGTTTTTGATTTGTAGTATATTTTATCTGATGTAAGTATTCCTACTCCTGCTTTATTTTTTTGGTTTCCAATTGCATATAATATTTTCCACCCTTTCACTTTTAGTCTATGTGTGCCTTTATGAGTGAAATGGATCTCTTGTAGGGCAGCATATAGTTAGGTCTTGTTTCTTCATCCATTCAGCCATTCTGTGCCTTTTAATTGGAGAATTGAGTCCATTTACATTCAGTGTCATTATTGATAAGTAAGGACTTACTACTGCCATTTTGTTTCTTGTTTTCTGATTGTCTTGTAAGTCCTCTCTTCCTTTCTTACTGTCTTCCTTTGTGGTTAAATGATTTTCTCTGGTAGCATGTTTTAATTCATTGCTTTTTATTTTTAGTGAATCTATTATAGGTTTTTGCGTTGTGATTACCATGAGGTTTACATAAACATGTTATAGATATAACAAGTTATTTTAAAGACGTATCAACTTATTAGATCACAAATACAAGAATAGAAACAAACAAAGGCAAGACAAGCACACAAAAATTCTACACTTTAACTCCATCCTCCCATATTTTGACTTTTGGTTGTCTCAATTTACATATTTTTATATTACTTATTTGTTAATGAGTTGTAGCAATTATTGTTCTGGTAGATTTGTCTTTTGGGCTTAACACTAGAGTTATGAGTGGATTGTACACCATAATTACAGTAACAGAGTATTATGAGTTTGTCCATGTACTTAATTTTACCTGTGGGTTTTATAGCTTGAAAAGTGAAGAACTCCTTTTAGCATTTCTTTTACTATGAGTCTGGTGGTAGTGAATTTTCTTAGCTTTTATTTGTCTGGGAAAGACTTTCTCTCCTTTCATATTTGAAGGATAACTTTGCTGAGTACAGTATTATCGTAAAGCAGTTCTTTTATTTCAGCATTTTGAAAATGTTGTTTCACTCCCTACTAGCCTGTATGGTTTCTGGTGAGAAGTCTGTTGCTGGAAAAACTGGAGCTCCTTGTATGTAACTTGCTTCTTTTTTCTTGCTGCTTTTAGAATCCTCTTTGTCTTTGACCTTTGAGAGTTTAATTATTATATGCCTTGGGGTAGTCTTATTTGGTTTGAATCTGTATTCTCAGACCTTCTTGTGCCTGGATATTTGTATCTTTCTAAAGTTTGGGGGAAGTTTTTTGTTATTCTTTTTTTAAATAAATGTTCTAGTCCTTGCTCTTGCTTAGTTCCTTCTTGAACACCAATAATTCTTAGATTTGATTTTTTGAGGAGATTTTCTATATCTTATAGGTAGTCTTCATTCTTTTTTCTTTTTTCTCCTCTGATTGTGTATTTTCAAATAGGTGGTCTTTAAGTTTACTGATTTTTTCCTCTGCTTGGTCTGCTTTTCTGTTGAGAGCCTCTAATGAGTTCTTTATTTCTATAAATGTATTTCTCAGTTCCAAGATATCTGTTTGACTTTTTATTATTTCAATCTCTTAGTTAAATTTCTCTGATAAATTTCTGAATTGCTTTTCTGCATTTTCTTGGAGATCATTGAGTTTCCTTAGACCTGCTACTTTGAATTCTTGTTCAGAGAGCTCACAAATTGCCATCTCATTAGGGTTAGCCATTGAATTTTTGTTTTTTCCTTTAGAGGATGTCATGGTGCCCTGTTTGTTGTTGTTCCTTATGGGTATACATCTTTGTGTTTGCATTGAAAGGTTTAGTTACTTATTCCAGTTTTCTCTGTCTGGGCTGTATTGGTTTTTATTGCATATTTTGCTTAGCAAATCTTTACCATTAGGTCAGATTTCAGCTCTAGTTGATGTCTTAACTCCAAGCTTATCTTGGCTCAAGTAAATGATTAGAGCACTATTCTTCCCGAATTGGGACAATCCAAATGGGGATATCCCAGCATTGTGGCAAGACTGGCTAGGGGTTAGTGCCCAGGAGACCTATAAGATGAATCTTCTACAGCACTGTGCTGCTGAACAGTCACTCTGATTTGGCTTTTCCTTTGGCTGAGTTACACAGTAGAGTTTCCGGGGCTGGGGATGATAGTTCCACCTTCCCCCATTGTCTCTGCCTCTGATTGTCCTCAGGGATATTTATTCCTTCAGGCACTAGCAATGCTTCCCGTGGGTTAAAGCAGGTACGGGTCTCCTGCCAGGGAACCCAAGACGGTGAGGAGGCTGGTTATTCACCTTGATCTCACTTTTTTACAGTGTAGAAACAGTGAGTTGGTAGAGAATTTTCTGTGTGCTTGATGGTAGAATTGGGAATAGAATGGGAGGAATGGCATCATGAATGTGGAAGTCTGATTCTCTTACTGTCTGCTCAGAGTTTTTTCCACTTCTCTGTGGCCCTGGGAACTGTCTCTTCTTCATATTTGAGTTCGGGGATATTTCTAGTGATACTCTTAGTGCTGTATATTTGTTTTTGGTTTTCTGTGGGGATGAGTAAAGCCAGCTTGCTTCTTTGCTGCCATTTTTGGAACCAGAGTTCAGTGCCAATATTCACTTAGAAAATTATTTACTAATAAATGTGACATAATTTATTCATTAGTGGCAAATGTGTATTTTGTGTTTTTGTCAGTAGCAGTTAATTTTGGGAGGAAAAGCTCCTTCGGAAACTTAGATGTTCAAATGAATGTGGATACTACTATTTAAGGTATAGAAGCTTGCCTGTAGTTTACTAGCTAGCTTCTCAAGCTGTGATTTTAAATCTTTTTCTATTAAGCCATGGATTTTTTTTCAAATAATATTATACACAGAATCCCAACATAGATCAGATAAATCAGAGAAGCGGTGGTCCTTCCTGAGGAGTACCCACAGGCCTATGGCCACAGTTTACTTTTTGAAAAATTAGTTACCTCACAAAAAAATATGTAAAGAAGTAAAAATAAAGAAAAATCATTGACTTTGACAAACAGGTTAAACTATCTGCTAAAATAGCTCTGGATTCTTAGTTTCTACTTTCCACTATTTATGCCCACATAATTATGTGAGCCCAGGTCCTTGAAAAACCAGGTCTCTGAGAAACAAAAAAAGAAATTGAACCTGATATGCTGTACCGCATCTCTTTAATTCATTTCAACATTCCTAATTTGTCAGTCTCAATGAAACAACATAGTGTCCATTAGCCAAAGTCAGAGGTAGGGAAATTTGAGACTTTAAAATAAACCTCACTCCCATTAGGCCACTTTTTGTTTTCATGGGGAATGCAGCTCTCTTCACTGCCAATCTGGGTACTTCCGCATAAAAGGGCTGGGAGGCTCTGCCTTAGGTCACTCTAGAGCCAGGGGTTCATGTTCAGAATCCACAACCAGTGGTCTTTCCACTGCGCAACATCATTTCTTGGTCAATGGTTGATGGCTGCTCCATCATAGAGGGCCTTCCTCTTCTCCTCAGCCTGGCCAAAATAGTTTGATTTTTCATTTCAGACTCAAATCTAGTTTCATTTCTCTCAGAAGCCACCCTTGGTTGCCTCTTTGCCTATGATTTTTTTGTTCTTTGATGTTAGAACTGACACTTGAATACCTTTTCCTATTTATCTACCTCATTCCTTATGGGCTATACTGTATCTCAGCATAATTTTTCTGGTTACATGCTAGATTTTTATGTTTGTATTATATTTTGATGTTGAAAACAATGTGGTAGTGAATATCATGATACTTTTCTCTTGGCACATTTGTCTCAATAGATGGGTTAATTCCTACTACTAAAGCTGCTTGGTTAAAAGGCATACACATTACATGTTTTTGATAGCTATTACTAATTATGTGAGTGTGACTTTCTGCACACCCTCACCAACATTGGGTATCATAAATATTTATGTAGAATTTATTTGGTTTACATGTGTTAGGTTAAGTATATAGTTAGTGAGACACTTAATAAATGTATGTGTGCCTGCTATAGACTGAATGCTTGTGTCCCCTCTAAAATTCATATGCTAAAATTTAATCCCCAATGTGATGGTATTCAGAGGCAGGGCCTTTGAGAGGTGATTAGATGATGAGGGTAGAGCCCTCACCCTCATGGGATTAGTGCTCTTATAAAAGAGACCCCAGCTAGATCCCTTTCCCCTTCTCCCATGTGAGGACACAATGAGAAGGTGCCATCTATGAATGAAGAAGCAAGCCCTCACCAGACACAGAAACTGCTGGAGTCTTGATCTTGAACTTCCCAGGCTCCAGAACTGTGAGAAATAAATTGATGTCGTTTAGAAGCCACCCAGTCTATGGTATTCTATTACGGCAGCCCAAACTGACTAAGACAGCACCCTTTCCTTTTTTCTCTAGAGAAAGGACTTTCTAGGTGGGGTGACATTGAACAAGAGTCATCTATCTGAGTCTCAGTTTCCTTATTTGAAAAATGGGATTAAGAATACCTCCTCATCAAGTCGTTTTAAGGATTAAATAACACAATGTAAATAAAGAACCTATCCCAATGTTTGGTAATGCCCAATAAATGGCAGGAACCTTCTCTTTGTGTTCACTGCAGTGCTTGGTACATATGGCATTCAATGAAAACAAAGTGAGGAAAATTAGTGTATGACTGTCCTACCTAACATCTGCTGAATATTGACCACATCTGGTCACAATTCTAAGTTTTTAAGAATTGGCTCATTTAATGCTTGCCACCACACAGTGGTGGGTGCTATTATTATCCCTATTTTATAGAAACATAAAGTTACAAGCTAGTTAGCAGTTGATCCAGGAATCTAGAACTTGGGATCATAAATACTCCACCTTTTGGAAATGAGTAGCTGCACAACAAGTTGCCTGCCTCTTGTCTGTCGTGGGCTGACATGTTTCCTCTAGAGCGGCCATCTTGAGAAGGCTGGTCAGCTTCCTCAGGCCAGCCTTTACCGTTCCTCCCCTGGGCGTGATATTACGTTTACAAGCAACACCTGTTGTGGTTCAACAACAACACTGTAATTAAAGAGAACAGCCAGAGGAAAACAAAGAAGATGTTTTCTTCAACAAAGTTAAAAAAAATTACAATTACTTACTTTATTTGTCTGAAGATTGATTTGATATCTACTGGGTACTGTAGAAAGCCCCTCACATTAAAATAAAGCCCTATATGGATCTCCAACAGCCAGCATTTTACATGAGGCCTTTATCAGTGTGCCTTGAATAAGTCATGGGCTTGTATGTTTTCAGGTGAGTATTTAAAATGTATTTTTTATTTTATTTTATTATTTTTTTGAGACCGGGTCTCACTCTGTCACCCAGGCTGGAGTGCAGTGCCACTATCTTGGCTCACTCCAACCTCCACTTCCTGGGTTCAAGTGATTCTCCCACCTCAGCTTTCCGGGTAGTTGGGACCACAGGTGCCTGCCACCACACCCGGCTAATTTTTATATTTTTAGTAGAGACAGGGTTTTGCCATGTTGCCCAGGCTGGTCTTGAACTCCCGGGCCCAAGAGATCTGCCCACTTTGGCCTCCCAAAGTACTGGAATTACAGGCGTGAGCCACTATGGCTGGCCTGAAATAGGATTTCAAAATAAGTATAAATACTCATTTTGCAGCTTTACTTTTTATAATTTCTATGCAGATGCCAGCAGGGGAGGACTGTAGTAAGAGTTGTGCACTTTAATTTTGAAATAGAGAATATCCTCCAAAGTCCAAGGATATAGGTAATTTTATTTTAAATACAAATGCCTAACTTTTAATAAAGTAGGGGTGACAGATGGTGGTGATCTTATTCTCAATTTACAAATAAACGAGGCTGCAAGCATCAGGCAACAGGTTTGAACTTTTGTTGTGCTGTTAGGGCAAATGGAGGCAGGTCTGTGGAGGTGCATCCTTGGGCTTTCAAAAGGGGCCCTGCTCTGTGCATTTAAGAAAGATCAGATATAATCACACACAGAAAAAAAATCTGGAAGGATATATAGCACAGCGTTAACTCTATGTGGTGGGATTAGAAAATTTTATATTTTAAAAGTACCTTTCTGAGTTGCCTGAGTTTTGTTTTAATTGAGAATTTATTCCTTTTATAATCAGAAAAATTAAGAGAAATTAATGAGGAAATACAAAGGCTGGGCAGGGTGGCTCACACCTGTAATCCCAGCACTTTGGGAGGCTGAGGCAGGTGGCTCAATTGAGCTCACAAGTTCAAGACCAGCTTGGGCAACATGGCGAAACCCTGTCTCTACAAAATATATATATATTATATATATATATTAGCCAGGCATGGTGTTGTGTTCCTGTTGTCCCTGCTACTTGGGAGCTTGAGGTGGGAGGAGCCAGGGAGGTCCAGGCTACAGTGTGCTGAGATGGTGCCACTGCACTGGGTGATACAGCCAGATCTTGTTGGAAGAAAGAAAGAGAGAGAGAGAGAGAGAGAGAGAGAGAAAGAAGAAGAAGGAGAAGGAGAAGGAGAAGAAGAAGAAGAAAGAAGGAGAAGAAGAAGAAGGAAGAAGAAGGAAGGAAGGAAAGAAAGAAAAAGAAAGAAAGAGAGAAAGAAAAAGAAAGAAACAAGAAAGAAAGAAAAAAGAAAAGAAATAATGAAAACTATGGAAAGCAAAGAAAGGAGGCTGCGCCTTCTTGGTCCAGAGGTAAACGAATCTTGGCTGGATTCCTTCCCTCCTGGCAGTCCTTCCAGATCTCTTCTCAGATTAGCCTGCAGATTTGTGTTCTTCCTCTCACTGCACTAAGATGTGGCGTCTTGTGCTTCAGCTTCATTCCGTGAACTCACAGCAGCCCTGGAGTTTCACTCCAGGAGAGTTCCAGCCCAGAGCCCTCTGCTATCTGACCTATCTCCTGTACTCAGCATGATTCCTCAAATGAATTCCAGACCTTGAGTTACAGAAAAGGAGGGCTTTAGAATCGGATGGCCACATGAACAATGTTTAATCAGTCTTAATTTTGGTTTCCTTATCTCTAGAGTGTAGAAAATCATACTACCCATTTTTTTTGTTTGTTGTAGGTGTCAGAGAAAATATATGTAGAGCGTTTACCAAAGTCCTCGGCCTTTGCTCATTCAACAATACCCATTAATTGTACATCTATTTATTTGCCAAGCATTCCTCTGGGAACTGATGATACACAGAATAAATATATTTTTAAAGAGAAATATGTATTTTTCAGCTTCTTATTTTAGTATAGAACATCCTTTACTTAATGACCTTTCAACTTATAATTTTCTCAGATGACAAAGCTATGCCCCAAAGCTAAAGCATATTAACTCTGCCCCCACCAACAAGTGGTATTAGTAGTCACCTTAGGTCATTTTAGAGTTGTCCTCATTCATAGTCTAAGGTAAGTTTGCTGAGTTTTGCTTTTTTTGAAAAGCAAAGTAAGACAAAAAGAATAAGCTAAAAAAACTGTCATATTTAATATATTTTGATATTACAGGCATTTCAGTTTATTGAAAAGATACTCTCATTGTCTAGATATCAGGATCCTAACTAAAAGAGATTTATGAAAATATCTATAATTGCATAAGACCTAGCTTGTTACAAATTTTTTATGTAGTAAAGAAAGACAAAATAAGAACATATTTTTAAGAGAATTGAAATAAAAAAGAAGAGTTGAAACTAATGCCATCAACTTCTGACTCCAGGATTGGACTCAGGATCAATGTACAACTTAGGCCTGAGAGAAGATCAGGCTCACTGAATTGTGATTACACTTAGTATAGGTCATCACAGAAGCCGTTTGACCTAGATGATTTTGTTTCCTTATTCTCCAGATTTTATCTTTATGTTTATATTTTGGGAATAACTAACTTGTTGCCTTATATTCTTATATAAACAGTTAGTTTTAAAAAAAATATTGAAATTTTTATTTATTTCTTAATTGACAAATAAAAATGGCATCCATATATTTTTGGGGTAATACATGACGTTTTGATATATGTACGCATTGTGAAATGGTTCAGTCAAGCTATTTAACATATCCATCACCTCACATACTTATTGTTTTGTGTTGAAAACACTTAAAATCTACTCTATTAGCAACTTTCCCGTATATACTATATTGTTTTTAACTATAGTCACCATGGTGCCCAGTAGATCTCTTGAACTTATTTCTTCTATCTAACTGAAATTCTGTATCCCTTGGCCAACATCTCCCCAATTCCACAGCCCCCTACCTCTGGTAACCACCATTTTACCCTCTGCTCCTTTGAGTTCAACTTTTTTAGGTTCTACATATAGGTGAGATCATGTAGCATTTGTCTTTCTGTACCTGGCTTATTTCACTTAACATAAATAATTCTGAAACTTTTATTAAAAATGTTAAAGTCAGTATTAATCACCAGACTTAAGAATAATATGTGTAATAATATAACTAATAGAGGATGACTTGCTTAAGGAAATTACACTTAGCTATAATTAAGTGCTTGCCCTACAAATCCTTCATCTAATGATTCTAAATTATTTTTCTTTCTTTTTTCTTTAATGTAAGCCATCGATTTTAGAAACTTTTGGGGACATTGCTGGTGATAAATCCATCATGGCTCAAACTAGTTTCATTACAAACTAAGAGTTATAATGGTGGTGACCTTGTTGCACTGTGAAAATGATCTACTATCTCCTCTTTCCCTTGTGTCTCTGTGGAAGAGATGTCCCTTTTCCAGTCCCTGGGTACAGACCCTCTCTCTTCCCATGTTTGCTGGATGCTGCCTCATGATTTATCCTGTCTTTCCAGATTGTCTTTTTCTCCTTTTCTAGTGGTTCTACTACCCTGGTTTCAGGAAGGCTCATCTCTATTCTACGACAAGCGACCTGAGAGAAGGGGCTGTGGGCTATTTATTTTTGCATCTCCAAACCTACCTAGCACGCTGTAGGGGGTGAAAATACAATTATTTTTAGAATTAATATGTGATTATAAGGATAACTTTGATTTATTTTTCTTCTTAATCTGACTTAGTGAATGGAAACAAGTTAACCTTAGCCAGAGTTCGGCTACGCATTCACTGAGTGCTTAAGTCCCTTTATTGTGGTAGCTGTGACTTGGTTTTAGCTCCTGTGCTACCAGAGGGATGATTGTGCAGGGAAGAGGTGGGAAGAGATGAGTAGAATGCTTTTTTGGGTCATTTTTGTGCCTAACTTATCTCCCGGAGACAGAAGCAGAAAGAGAAGTACCGTAGTATCTCTGTGTTAACGCACAAAACCCCATCATCTCTTATCAGTCACGAATCTCTCTACCAGTTCAGCTTTCTAGGCCCTTCATTAACACTCACCATCCCACAGTCCTCCCTGCAATATGGTTTTCCTGAAAGGGGAGTCCTGACAATAGTCCATGCAACCCTATGCAGTCTACAAGTTGCTTCTGAGAAGAACTTGGAGTTACAAAATCTCAGCACGTAGCAGGCTTTGTTTCTTGGGACAGTCAGTATCTCCTCCAGAACAAGCCATTTTAGGCTAACCAGAAAACAGATCTTTCTTTCTTTCTTTCCTTCCTTTTCTTTCTTTCTTTCTTTCTTTCTTTCTTTCTTTCTTTCTTTCTTTCTTTCTTTCTTTCTTTCTTTCTTTCTTTCTCTTTCTTTCTTTCTCTCTCTCTCTCTCTTTCTTTCTTTCTTTCTTTCTTTCTTTCTTTCTTTCTTTCTTTCTTTCTTTCTTTCTTTCTTTCTTTCTTTCTTGTCTTTCTTGCTGTCTTTCTTTCATCTCACTCTGTCACCCAGGCTGGAGTGCAGTGGCGCAATCTCAGCTCACTGCAACCTCCGCCTCCCAGGTTCAAGTGATGCTCCTGCTTCTGCCTCCCAAGCAGCTGGGATTACAGACGTGCGCCCCCACGCTTGGCTAATTTTTGTATTTTTAGTATAGACGAGGTTTCACCATGTTGGCCAGGTTGGTCTCGAACTCCTGACCTCAAGTGATCCACCTGCCTCAGCCTCCCAAAGTGCTGGGATTACAGGCATGAGCCACCGCCCCCAGCCAGAAAACAGATTTTCTAAAAGTGCTATTTAAGGTATTGTACATAAAATCACACATGTGTCATGAGCTGCAAAAGTGATCACCTCTGACCAAGAGAAGTGAGAAAAGAAAAGCTCAAACATGAGCCCTGAGTCTGGGAAGCCAGAATGGGAATTGTGTTTGGTTCACTGGAGAGAGGGAAAAAGAAAATAATCTTATCTGTCTCCAACAGTCCTGTCTCTCCTCAAGGCCATGCAAGTACAGATAATTCTTTTGAGCCAGTAGAACTACAGAGCCCTACGCACTCTTTTGGCTCCACAGTGGTCTGGCTGAGGCCGTCCCCCCAGTCTACTCCCCCAGCCGCATGCTTTTAAGCATGAGTGACCAGTGGGCCGGAGGTGCAGTGGTGCTGAGATTTGCAGAATATGGTGACATGCCAGTGATAATCGAAGGAAAGGACAATGTGTAGCTGAGAAACACTGACATCTGAGAAGTGTTCTACTCCAGTGACTCCCTAAATTGGTGGTTGATTGCAGTTATTCATAGCAGCACTAATTTCTTTTCTTGCCCTCTCTCCTTCTCTCTGGCCAAACAGTTTTAAAACAACATCAAAGGAATGAAAGAAAAATGCCAGAGAGCATCAACTTGAATCTCTCCACTCTAGCATGCCTAAATTTATTTCGTTTTATGTTTTTGTGTGTTCTAATCTTTTAATCTGTACAACAGATTAGTTAATGATATAAAAGGGAGCAGAATCCTTTATATAAATTTTCCAATTCAGCCAAGGTCAAGGAGATATTTTCATGCGGGTAGGGAAGTTCTGGCAATGTAGTGATGGTGTTTGTGACCTTGGCAAAGTGACCTCATCTCCATGTGCCTTGTCTGGAGTGGCTGAGCTCCGCCTTGGCCTGCAGAAAGGAATGGCCCCAACATATCTGTGGGAGTGTTGATACTAATAGTTAACTGGATACACTCTACTTTTGCTTTGTAGTGGTTAATATTTCCCCAAACTTTTCTTTCTTTAAAAAAATTCAGACCTACAGAAAAGTTACAAGAATAGCACAATGATGTTCATTTACCCTTTATCTAGATTTACTAATTGTTAACATTTTACCACATTTGCTTTTTCTCTTTCTCTCCACACACTTGCATGTTCACACAAATATTTTTTTGATAAGCCATTTAAGAATTCATTTCACAGAGAATTCAATTACTGTTACCTAAATATCTTAACACATGTCTTCTAAGAACAAGGACATTCTCCAACATAGCAACAATACAAGTATCACATTCAGGAAATCTAACATTGAAAACATAATATTATTTGATGTATAGGCCAAATTCTGATGTCTCCCAATTGTTCCAACAGTAATATTTTTAAAAATGTTTTTTCTTATTTTTCAATCCAGGATAGAATCAATAATCATTCATTCCATTAGCTGTTCTATTTGTTTAGTTTTTACAAATCTAGAACAAGGCATGGCGCCGTGGCTCATGCTTGTAATCCCAGTACTTTGGGAGGCCGAGGCGGGCGGATCACGAGGTCAAGAGATCAAGATCATCCTGGCCAATATGGTGAAACCCCATCTCTACCAAAAATACAAAAATCAGCCAGGCGTGGTGGCGGGCACCTGTAGTCCCAGCTACTCGGCAGCCTGAGGCAGGAGAATCGCTTGAATCCGGGAGGCGGAGGTCGCAGTGAAAGGAGATTGTGCCACTGCCCTCCAGCCTGGCAACAGAGCAAGATTCTGTCTCAAAAAAAAAAAAAAAAAAAAAATCTGGAATAGTCCTGAGCCCCTCTTTAAAAACAAATTTCTTATCTCCGTAACTTTTTTTTTTTTAATCTTTTGCAATTGAGTCTCGCTCTGTCACCCAGGCTGGAATGCAGTGGCCTGATCTTGGCTCACTGCAACCTCCACTTCCTTGGTTCAAGTGATTCTTCTGCCTCAGCCTCCTGACTAGATGGGACTACAGGTGCACGCCATCATGACCGGCTAATTTCTATAGTTTTAGTAGAGACAGGATTTCATCATGTTGGCCAGGCTGGCCTCGAACTCCTGACTTCAGATGATCCACCTGCCTCAGCCTCCTGAAGTGCTGGGTTTACAGGTGTGAGCCACTGTGCCCAGCCTCACCTTGACATTTTTGAAGAGTTCAAGCCACTCTTGAACTGTTTTGTAAAATGTCCCTCAATATAGATTAATCGAAGTGTTTCCTCATTCTTGGATTCCAATTAAACATTTGGGGCAGGAATACTGCATATATGACACTGTGCCCCTCTCCATGCATCACCACAGCAGGCACAACATAGCACAGAGTTACAACACTGATGTTCACTTTGATCACATAGTGAGGTCGGTTCCACCAGATTTCTCCATTTGGAGATACCTTTTATTCACTCCTTTTTAAAGTTAATAAGCAACTTGTGGAGTAGTTTTGTTTTTTTGTTGTTGTGTGTTTGTTTTGTTTTTTTGGGTTTTTTTTGAGACGGAGTCTTGCTCTGTTTCCCAGGCTGGAGTGCAATGGTGCTATCTCGGCTCACTGCAATCTCTGCCTCCCGGGTTCAAGCGATTCTCCTGCCTCAGCTTCCCGAGTAGCTGGGACTACAGGCACGCACCACCACACCCAGCTAATTTTTGTATTTTTAGTAGAGATGGGGTTTCACCATGTTGACCAGGCTGGCCAGGCATGGTGGCTCACGCCTGTAATCCCAGCACTTTGAGAGGCTGAGGTGGACAGATCACTTGAGGTCAGGAGTTGGAGTAGTATTTTAAGATTGTTCACTGCTGGTGGTTTCTTGTATGCTCATTTTTGCTATTGCAGCAAATATTTTATTTCATTTAAGATTTCATTCATAACAATTATTTTTTTAAAATCTGACAATTCCGTAATTTGCAATTCTTGGGTGTCTAAATCTGTTGTCACTAGTGGTTTGACTTCTTGTGTGCTTGGTCATCTTCACTGGTTCATCACTTGAGCTTAAAGAGATGTGAGTCCTATGGGTCTGACTTGGTGACCCTTCCTCCAGAGAGGGCTTGACTTTGACTTCTGCCAGTAGAGGCACCACTTGCAACCCTCCTTGTAGCTTTTGACTTTGAATGAAAATGCCAGGTTCAGCTTCCCTGCCTCATTGTTCCTCCAGGATTCACTCTGTTTTCACTACAGAGAGGCAATTGGGAGCTTGCCTCCCTCTCTATTTAAAAATAGGACTTATAGGAATCTTAAGGTCACTGTTCCATAACAGCCTTACAGGGAGCCCAAGGTGGAGAAAGACTTAGCTCAGAGAGATTTGCAGCTGTGGCTGTTTGTCTAATGGGATAAATTATAAGTTAATATGCCAATAGTTCACAAAGTTTTTAAAAGAATCATATTAACTTGCACAGAAAGGAACAGAAACAGTACAAATGAAAGTCTGAGACCTTTGGACTCCCCCTTTATTACTATAGACAGGGAGCTGGTTGAGAAAACCACTCAGCTATAACTGGTGTTCCAGTTGATTGCCCCAGCTGAAGACCCAGCCAACAGTCAGTATTGACCACCAGACATGTGAGTGAGTCTTCGGAAGATTCCAATCTCCTGTTGTCAAGTCACCCCCAGGCTTCAAGTCTTCCCAGCTGACAGCTCAGATTGTACCACAAAGATAAGCTGTCCTTTTCTGAATTCCTGACCCACATATTATGTGGGTATAGTAAAAAAAAAAAATTGGTTTGTTTTTGTCTTAAGTGTTGAGTAGTTTGTATGACAGCAATAGGGACTGGAACATTGAATATAGTTTGCATCTCACAGGAACATATGAATGTTTTTTCTACAGTTATTCTTGTTATTTCCAGTGCCTCCAAATAGAAGACATTTTTGAAGGTAGATGTGAGAGATCCTTCCTCCTCCTCCTCTTCCTCCCCTCCCTCCCTCCCCCTTCCTTCCTTCCTTCGTTCCTTCCTTCCCTCTCTCTCTCCTTCCTTCCTTCCTCCTCCTCTTCTCCTTCCTTCCTTTCCTTCCTTCCTCCTCCTCTTCTCCTTCCTTCCTCCTCCTCTTCTCCTTCCTTCCTTTCCTTCCTTCCTCTCTCTTTCTTTCTCTTTTCCTTCCTTCCTTCCTTCATCTCTCTTTCTTTCTCTTTTCCTTCCTTCCTTCCTTCCCTCTCTCCTTCCTTCCTTCCTCCTCTTCTCCTTCCTTCCTTCCTTTCTCTCTCTCTTTCTTTCTCCCTCTCTCTTCCTTTCTTCCTTCCTTCCCTCTCTCTCTCCTTCCTTCCTTCCTTCCTTCTCCTCCTCCTCTCTCTCTCTCTCTTTCTTTCTTTCTTTCTTTTTTTGAGACAGGGTCTTACTCTGTCACCCAGGCTGGAGTGCAGTGGTGCAATCTTGGCTCACTGTAGCCTCAACCTCCCAGGCTCAGGTGATCCTCACACCTCAGCCTCCCAAGTAGTTGGGACCACAGGTGCATGTCACCATACTGAATTTTTGTATTTTTTGGTAGAAATGGGATTTTGCCATATTGCCCACGGTGGTCTCGAACTCCTGAGCTCAAGCAATCTGCCTGCCTTGGCCTCCCAAAGTACTGGGATTACAGGTGTGAGCCACCATGCCCAGCCAAAATCCTTCATTTTTAGTAAACTAGAAGTGAGGAATTAGGTGTTGAGGGAATGAGACCGAATGCCAGATATTGCCTGAAGAAAAAAAGTTCTTGAAAATGTAACACTGCTGGTAGAATGAATCTATGCCAAAGCCAGACTCAGAGTATATATCAAATACTGTGCTAAATATCAGGGTATGGTACAAATGGGAGGGAAGAGACTAAGAATATACAGCATTCATATTTCAGCTTTTTCTCCTGTGGCCAGCAGGCATATTTTCCACTTCAAGTTCTCAGGAAAGAATTTGTTTCTCCTACGTATTTACTATGGTCCCCCACTGGACAGAGTTTTCATATTAAGCCACTTGATGAACTTCTAGCTAACCGATGGATTGGGCTAATAGCTAACTCATGCCTATGGATCAGGCATCTGCTCCATTCTAATCTATGATAGAGATGATTGAAGCTGTTTTGGGCTCAATTGTATCCTGTCAAAATTTATATGCTGGAGCCCTAAATCCCAGTACTTCAGAATGTGACTGTATCTGGAGATATGGCCTTGAAAAATGTGATAAGGTTAAAGTGAGGTTGTGAGCATGGGTCCTAATCCATTCTGCCTGGTGTCCTTATAAGAAGAGAAAATGTGGATGCAAAAAGAGATAGCAGGGTACACAGAGGAAAGACAGTGTGAGAACACAGCAAGGCAATGGCCATCTGCAAGCCAAGCACAGAGACCTCAGGAGAAACCAGGCCTGCTGACACCTTGATCTTGGACTTCCAGCCTCCAGAGCTGTGAGAAATACATTTCTATTGTTTAAGCCCTGTAGTCTGTGGCATTTTGTTATGGCAGCCCCAGTGAACAAATACAGGAACACAGTGTGGCTGCTCATTTGGTCTAATTCCTTTTAAAAGGGGGCTCTGGGTGAAGCAGACACACAGCTTGTTCTATACCCAGATGTTTCCTTCAAACTATATAATCCATTTGTAGGAAAAAGACTAACAGATATAAAAACCAATATATGAAAATTAGGTATAAATTAAGCGCCACAATATAGGATACAGAAAATTATGTGACACAGTGTTTATGCTGTAAGAATTTGGAGAAGGGGGAGCTCAATGTGAATTATAGCAGTGAGGGTGAACCTTATGGAAATGATGGGATGCATCATCAACCTTTTTTGCTGAGTGGGATTTAAAGAGGTGTGAGGGAGGTAAAAGGGTACTTTGGATATGGGTGACTGGTGTGAGCAAAGCAAAGAGGGAGCACTAAGGGTGACACATGAAGGGTTGAAGAGTCAGTGTAGAAGTGGCAGACCAAATGTGTTGGGAACTACTGGGAGAAAGGATTGGGCATGCAGAGTAGATGGAGATTATAGGTGACCTTGGAAATCAGGCCAAGGACCTCTCATGGATTTTAGGATTGATCTGCAGGCAAAGGTTATCCCTTCAAGTATCCCAGGATTCACTAGCAACAATAATATTTATTTATTTATTTTTGAGACAGAGTCTCAGTCTGTGGCCCAGGCTGGAGTGCAGTGGCATGGTCTTGGCTCACTGCAACCTCCGCCTCCTGGGTTCAAGCAATTCTCTTGCCTCAGCCTCCTGAATAGCTGGTATTACAGGTGCACACCACCACACCTGGCTAATTTTTTTTTTTTTTTTTTTGGTATTTTTTAGTAGAGATGGGGTTTCGCCATGTTGGCCAGGCTGGTCTTGAACTCCTGATCTCAAGTGATCTGCCTGCCTAGGCCTCCTAAAATGCTTGGATTACAGGTGTGAGCTACCATGCCTGGCCATTTTGTTTCCTTTTGTTTTTTTTCAAGTTACGAGGTGACATGGGTATAATAATTCATTGAAAAAAATGTAGTATGAGAGATAAAATATTAGTAAAAGGGGTTTCTAATTATAAGAAGGAAAATCCAACCTGTGTGTGTGTGGGGAACAGAGAATTATTCATTCACTCAGCAAATATTTGCTGAATGCTTACTAAGGGCTGTGTATGGGACCTAGAGATTAGAGAGATGTTACTGGCTCTTGGGACTTTTGATGGACAGGGAGTTTTAGGTGGGCTGAACATCAAGGAGGGCATTCCAGAAGATTGAAGGTCCAATGGCAAAGGTACAGAGGGAAGAATAAATGAAGTGGAAGATTTATTCATGGGGCAGCTGGAAGTGATGCTGCAGAAGAGAAATGAGCTATTATAGGGTTAATGTTGGGCTTTACAAATAAGGCAGAGGAGTTAATCTAGTAAGTCCCCTTTCCCAAGGCAGAAATGTTAGCATCATAATTTAGAAGGTATCTGTCAGAAGATGATGGAATGAAAACCTTGGCATTCATGAAAAGGAATGAGATCATGTCCTTTGCAGGAACATGGATGGAGCTGGAGGCCATTATCCTTAGCAAACTGACATAGGAACAGAAAACCAAATACTGCATGTTCTCACTTATAAGTGGGAGCCAAATGGTGAGAACACATGGACACATAAGGGGGAAGAAAGACACTGGGGACTTTTGGAGGGTGAAGGGTAGGAGGAGGGAGAGGATCAAGAAAAATACCTAAAGGGTACTAGACTTAATACCTGGGTGATGAAAAAGCTGCACAACAAACCCCTATGACACAAGTTTCCCTATGTAGCACACCAGCATTTGTACTCTTTTTATTTTAAAATAAAAGTTTTAAAAAAACCTTGGCATTCTAAGAGTTAACTTATTTATATCAAACACACTACACTCACCAGCCCATAAGATAACCAAGCTATAACACACACTTGGTCATCTTCTCTTAAAAAAATACTTTAAAATACAAAATAGTCATCCTTGTAAGGAATTAGAAATACTTGAGGAAAATTGTAAAATACTATACATATAATTAAGCCTGTTGGCATTAACTTCAATTTAAAGGAGTTCATAAAAACAAAATCAGTTCTTACTTTTTTTTTATGTATTTATTAATTTTTTTTAGAGGCAAGATTTCACTCTGTCACCCAGACTGGAGTGCAGTGGCACAAACATAGCTCACTGAAGCCTCAAACTCCTGGGCTCAAGAGATCCTTCTGCTTCAGCCTCCTGAGTAGCTGGGACTTCAGGTATGTGTCAGAATGCCTGGCTAATTTAATTTTTATGTATTTATGTATTTATTTATTTATTTATTTATTTATTTATTTATTTTTTAAGAGATGGTGTCTCACTATGTTGCCCAAGTTAGTCTGGAACTCCTGACTTCAAGTGATCCTCTTGTCTTGGCCTCCCAACATGCTGGGATTACATGAGCCAGTATGCCTAGCCTTAATATTTCTTTTTTTAAAAAGGCACTTGTATTGTCTAACACCTATGGCTGGAGAATGAACATTTGGTCAAGTTTTGACCTCAGAATATAAGTGTCTATCTAGTTAGATCAAGATGGGCATCACATTTCAGGAGACTGGTGGGTTTCTTCTAGATGAAAAGGTCCTTGGAGACCCTCTATTCTAACTGTCTACATCCCAGAGGAGAGACTTGTCCATCAGAGAGCACCTGCCATCCTCCCAGATTCAGGCAGTTACCTGGAGAGCAGAATCGGGCCACTCCTGGAGCCCACCTGTTGCTTGCATAGTCCAAGACAGTTGAGTTCCAAACTCGAGCATTTAAAATATCAAATTCTGAGGAGATATCAAATTCTGAGGAGAATTTCCTCAGAGTTTCGTGTGCCACAAAGTGCCCTCCTGAGAATGGACATCAGTATTTCCCAAAACCTCCCCCAGAAGCTCCTGGGCTGGTTATTTTTAAAAAGTACAGATTTATAGGACCCCGCACATGCCTAAAGAATCAGAACCCTGGAACATGGACTAGAAATCTGTATTTTCACGAGCATGTGATTTTTATTTACACTCAAGTTTGATGACCACTAGCCTAGGACAAGTGCAGATTTTTGCAGTTGCCTCTGACAATTAGTCCTCTCCCTAACACCCTGCTGGGTCTCCCAGCTGACTCTCCTGTGGCCTTACTTTCTGTCCCTGACTCTTCATCTTTTGACTGCCTGAGCGTTTTTCCTCTTCCTCTTCTCTCCCCTTCTCTTTGCTGCTCTTTTGTGCTTTCATTATTTGTCTCTCTTTTCTTCTTTCTCTGTTTTTTATTTCCTCTTTCCCTTGCTCTCTGTCCCACCCAGCCCATTCCAAAGTGGTGCTGGGATATGCAGGAGGAGCCAAAGGCAATGAGTCGAGCCCAGGTGCTCAGAGAGCTGAGTTCTGATCAGAGAATGCAGTTCAGAACACACCTGGGGGGCTCAGAGACCCCGAAGCTAGACTGCAAGGATATGGAGAGCTCAGCTCAGAGGATGGATGGGGTGGTGGGGAGAGGGAAGGGTGCAGATTTATGACATGGGAAATTCCCTGAGGAAGCAGATCAAGGAGCCCAAGGCACTGGCAAAGCAGGGCAGGGAGCCCCATGAGCACCTGTCCCCTACCTTCCCTGTGACCTGGGTGTGGGTGAGCTAATAAGCTACTGGGAAGCAGGTGTACACTGTTGCATAGACACTCCCCCACACCTTCTCCTGAGCACTTACTCTGAGAAACTTTGTGTGTCCTCCATTTGGCAGACTTGAGACTTTTTAAGAAAACAGTTAATATATCTTACAGGTGAGGAATCTTAATCCTGCAGGAAGGGAGGCTTTCCCCAGATGTCCCTCACACAAAGATACAGAAGTCAGAATTCCCAGTGGGAACGTATCTTGGGCAAGATTGAGAAACAGTCAAAGCTTTGTCCAGTATAACCTAACAAGCTGGCATATCAGCATTTATACTTGGTGTCCGAGCATATGCATGTGTGCACTTACACTCTGGCACAGAGAAAGCACTCAGTGCATTTTCGGTATTATTTTTTATTATTAGGAAATCGTCTTGTATTTGCTGTATTGCCTGTATTTATCATGATTTCCCTTTAAGGTAGGTTATAGATTTGGCCTTTTGGATGTCTCACAAGGAGGTCTTTGTGGCAGAACACCTGGAAGGATGATTGCAGGCAATTTCTCCCTCCCCTGGAGAGCACAGATGCCACCCTGTTGGGTGCGGACTGGGTTCTTAGGAGGCCCAGGAAGTGCTGTTGCTTCTAAACCCTCTGTTTGGCGGTTTCCTGCACCTGTTGCAGGAGGTGTGGCACATTTCATAAGCTCCAGGGGGCAGGACGGCACCTGGGAGAGCTCCTGAAGGGTCCTCACCTGGGAGCTCTCATTTGCCCGGTACTCCCACCCCCAAACAGTGCTGTCTGTGAGAAGGTGCATCAGTGGATGGGTGTCATGGCACCTGAGGCCTGAACTTGGGGTGACTCTCCTTTCTTGTTGGTCTGAATAAGGCAGAAACCAACTCCATTTCCATATTTCCTTTCTTTGAATTCCCAGTATTCCCCTCACCCCAGATAGCTGTATTCTTTAAGACTGGGACAGCCCTGGGAGTAGGGGCTGCCCTGTTGTCCCTGCCCCACCTTCCAGGGCAGAGAATTTTACTAGACATTTCTTGCAGATGCTGTCTCTGAATTTGAGTCGGAGTTTCCTGACCCTTTGCAAGCTGCATTTTAGAATCAGAGGGTATGTGGCCTTAGCAAACCTTGAGACCCATCCTCTCCTTCTACCTTTCTCCACCACCACTCAGCATCACTCATCACCCCTTGTGCTTCCATCCTTGCTTGCTTTTCTTCATGCTCTCTTCTCCACTTGAAATATTCTTGTTCACTTTCTTTTCTGTTCATCTTCCAGTCAAGGCCCAGCTCAGAATAAATTTCAGAAGCTTTCCCTGTCTCCCTCTGCTCACTGCCCTCTCCATCCAAGCAGAAAGAACCTGCCTGTCTTCTGTGATCTGCTGCCATTGCACACACCCCTGTGACGTTCTCCTATTGCCTCATTAGATGTTTACACCTGTGCCTCCCCCAGGTAGGACTGGGGTGGGGTTGAATGAGAGCTCCATAGGTCTTTTAATGGTGTCCCCAAGGCCAGCCTCAGGGCTTCAACACAGTGAGCTCTCAGGAATGGCTGCATTTTATTCTGACTGTGTTTCCAGAATCCCAGTCCTCTCTCTCTCACTGACCCCGAAGATAAGCATTGGAAAGGGGAGCTTTGGGGAAATGAATCTGCCCTGTCATCTGCGTATAGAGCTAATCTTAAATCCCAACTGCCAAATGGATCCTGAGGTGTCAGAAACTCTCCCGAGATAAGGGGGCTTCTAGCAACCATCTGCATTCTGGACCCAGGTATGTTGTGTTTGTAATCTCATTCACTCACTCGTTCATTCTTCCATGCCTCCCCTGATCCCCTTCCTGAAGTAAGAGCCTTCTGTTGATGTCGATGAAAGAACCCTGTTTATTTTCTTCAACTGAGAGTCTAACACACTGTGCCCTGGGCAAGGTTGAGAATCAGCCAAAGCTTGTCTTCTTTGTCCAATATAATCTAATAAATGGGTGTGTAACCACTTGTACTTTGTGTACATGTGTGTGTGTGGGTGTGGGTGTGGGTGTGGACCTGATATTCTGGCACAGAGTGAGCACTCTCAAATATTAATCTACAATTATTTCTCTACTACTAATAGATCATGATCTATAATGACTCAATAATCTATAATAATAATAAATCTGTAATTATAATTATCTACAATTATTTATCTACTTGGTATTGTCTGTCTCACCCCTATTAGGATACAGACTCCTTGAGGTGACAGATTCATACTCTCAGGCCTTTTTACTCTTGTACCCTCGGCACCAAGTACAGTGCCTGGTCCAATATTTGTGGAATGAATAAATGAATGACCAGACTTTCATTTATTTGCACTATGTCTTTGTGTGTCAGACTTGGGGTTAGGGACAGGAGATACACAAGAAATAAGACATAGCTTTTATTTTTCAATAGCCTCATTTGCAAGTGGGGGAGGCAAGTTACAGTTACAGTGCACAGTGATAACTAAGGATATAGCAGAATACAGGGGTTACGAGAGGATGGAGGACCAGTTCAGACTAAGGAGGAGGTGGATGTCCGGGAAGTTTGATATTTGGGTTGAGTCCTGGAAGGGAGGAAAAGTTGGCCAGGCAAATGAGGTTGGCAAGGACATTCTAGGGAGATGAGGCCATGTGTACAAAAGCCCAGTGAGAATGGAAGATGAAAGGATGTGGGGCAGTAGCTGGAGCCTGGTGTGCAAGGGAGCCCCAGGACGAGCTGGCCCCTTGGCAGGGCAGTTGGCTGTCCCTGCATGGTCGAGTGCTGGGGCTTTACTTCCTCTGGCTCTGGGCCAGCATGCAGACTTCAAGGTGGGGAGCAGCCTGCCACAAGAAAGTAAAATGTTGCATCCCTCGATGACCCCAGTTCCTGGCTCCACATGTTTCTGTTTGCTTTATTCTGGGGAGGCAGAAGAGAGACAGGTTTGGGGTAATCCTGCCCAGTGACCTCTGGGTTGAGAAGTGTAGAGAGCACCAGGCTCTCTCTGTAGGGTGAAACGCTCTGAGAAAGCCATTTAGGGAAGGGCCATGGCTGCTGTTTTGAGAACTGTGCTGTTTGCAGCAGGAGTAGGAGAAAGGGAGAAGAAGGACACAGGAACTTTGGGAAGCACCCTTTCAAGACTCTGTGGGTCCCATAGCTAGTGCATTGTGAGGTTTGAGATGCCAGGGAGTCAGGGTGATAGCCAGCCTGGCTTTTCTCTGCCTCCTTTTCTTCCTACTTTCTTCCTTTAATTAATTCTTATAGAGTGTCTGTTGCATGCAGGGTAGTGTTCCAGTCACTGAATATTTGACATTGAGCAAAGCAGTCAAAGTCCATTGCTTTTTGGGAGAGGGGATCAGGGATGGCCTCACTGAAACAGGGACATTTGAGCAGAAACCTGAATGAATCAAGGGAGACCTGTGGGTCTCTGGGCAAAGTGTGCAACTGTTAAACAAAGGTGTTGCACTCTAAGCAGGTATCTGGTTTAGCAGGGAGAAGACGGCTGAAAATAATCTCCCACTCCACAAGTGACAGAGAAATCTAATAGAGTGGGGATAATATTTAGAGAAAATAATTGAGCATTTTTCTCTTTTTGCAATCCCTTGCCATCCTTGAACTTACCCTCTATTCATTTAGTAACCTGATTGTATCAGGTGAGATTTCAACAGTTGAGATTGTATCAGTTGAGGTGTCCACCTATTGACAGTAATGAGTTACATTCCTGGCTTTCGTATTCCAAAATAGATTGCTTTATTCTTATAATTTTCCTGTAAAGTAGGTATAATTACGTCCATTTCTGAGGTAGGAATCAGGGCTTAGATATTCTTAAACTTGAAGCAGAAACAGTTATCTTAAGAGCTGAGGTTTTGATTTGCAAGAGTCAAATCCCTTTTAATAATCTGTTTGAAACCAGCAGATAGAGAAATGCTGAGCCAGCAAAAGCCCTGCTCCCTCAGAGACCAGTTCAGGGTGGCTGGGTGGGGAGAGAGGAGAGTTAGTTAGATGGGAACAGGAGACCCCAGAGCCAAGTTCGGTGGCTGTGGAAGGGGCCTCTGAGTCTGGCCTCCCACTCTGGGATGAAACGACGTGAGGCGCTAGGAATCTGAGAGCCAAGGCCACCTTTTGCTGTAGGAGGTGGCCACCATGCCTCTGGAGGTGGAGTAGAGGGAGAGAGAGGGCTGTATGGGTCTTGGTAGCTGGGGAGATACAGCCCTTCTGAGTCTCCCTCCTCCTGTCTCGATGGCACATCAGGAGGAAGGGCCCAAATAATCTCCTGGGTGGTTAAGAAGGGCTCAAAGTTAACCAAGTGATGGGCTGTATACTTTGAAACCTGGATGAGGCAGAAACAGAGAGACCCAGATGCACCAAGGGCTAAAATCCAAGAGTCTTAGATTTTCCAGCAAGTGCTGGTGGGGACAGGTGTCCATGAATGAATGAGGGTAGCATGGATGGCTGCCAACAAGCAGAGGTCCCATGTGTCCCAGGCCATCATGCCATGCAGACCCCTAGAATGTAGATGCCACCTAAGGGTGAGGAAGATGGGGGAGCGGAATATGGAAATGATCATGTTTAAATTTGAAGTGACCAGTGTTTTTACCTCAGGGGACGTGATCAAGTTTCTGCCAATAGGCAGAATTGGTGCATAAAACAGAAGTTGAGTTACAGAAGAGTAAAGAAAGTTATTATCGTTATTATTTTGCACATTTGGATCATGTAACTTGCAAATTGAGTATTTTCAGCAGCCATACTAATGTTGATTAGGTAGCAAGCAGATATGCAAAGAGCTATCTGGGAGATTTTCCAGCTAAAAATCACAATTATCAGTTGAGTCTTATGAACCCAGAAAATGTGGTAAACTCTCCTCAAAAGAAAGACGTGAGAAATTCCTTAACTTAAAAGCCTGTGGTTCAAAGAAGGGCTGAGAAGTCTGTCTCCTCCTTGCCTTTCTAGAAATATTGCAGTTAGCATGGCATCTCATCTTACTCAAGCAGCCTGCCCAGTCTAGAGTCTTCGAAATTCTCGGCACAGGCTCCTGTGTGATGCTCTCTGGGAATGTTGACATTCTCAGGGGAATGTCTATGCCAGGGGTTTTGGAATAAGGCACAGGGGAAGTTTCTGGGCTAGAATGGAGTGTGGTCTGAGAGGCCAGGTAGGGTGTAAAAAAAGAGAATTTAGAATTAGGTTTTGGCTTTCCTGTTTCCTGGCTCTGTGACCTTTGTAAAGTTACTTTACCTTTCTAAGCTTCTGGTCAATCATCTTGAACATGGACATTATGCCTATTTTTATAGAGATACTATAAAAATAAAATGACGTAATATATTCGTTTGCCAGGGCTACCATAACAAAATACCACAGACTGGGTGGCTTCAGCAACAGAAATTTATATTCTCATAGTTCTGGGGGCTGGGAGCCCAAGAAACAAAGTGTTGGCAGGTGTGATGTCTTCTGAGGCCTCTCTCCTCAGGTTGCATAAGTCCACTTTCTCACTGTGTCCTCACATGGCTGCTCCTCGGACTGTGTGTTGTCTATGTCCTAATCTTATAAGGACACCAGTCATATTGGATTAGGGCCCACCCATATGGCTGCATTTTACTTAATTACTTCTTTAAAGGCCCCATCTCCAAATACAGTCACATTCCCAGTTACTGGGCATCAGAGCGTCCACGTACAGAGATGGAGGGCTCACAGTTCAGCCCATGGCAGGTAGCATATGAAAGGGCTCAGCACACACGAGGTGCTTAGTCAATGTTAGCTCCCCTCACCATTTCTTCAGGCTGTAGTATGAGATTCAAACTATTAATGACATTTACTCTAAAGCGATGTTCACCTCTTAGGCCGCCTGTGGGCAAGGGGCTTGGAGGCAACACAATGAACAAAGGAGATTTAATAGAGCCAGAATATTTAATTCTGCTGCCACTTTTGAGAAATTTGAACTTGTATCAAACTCATAATTTCTCTGATTCAGTTCTGACAATAATTAGCCAACAGGGTGAGTATCAAATTTATAACAAAGTAATAGATCCGAAAGTGCCAGCACATTACTTGACTTCTGTTAAATGCTTCATAAATATTTCTTTAGTTGGGCACAGAGGCCTTTGGTAAAGTACACAGTGTTAGATATATGTGAGATATTATGTTCACTTGCTCCTCTGGCCTCTAAGTTTTGTGAAGTGGAAATACCCACAGGTTATTAAAGACCCAATTTGCTGGCCCCTTTCATGCTGTCTCCTAGGTGACTAGTTCCCTAGGATGTGCAGGGCTGGGCGGCTCCACCTTAGGTGCCACCTGAAGAGAAATCTCCAGGTAGCTGTCGTTCTTCAAGGCCCTAAGGGAGAAACTGGAGTGGCTATTGCTGCTGTTTTTACCTCTGTTGTGCTGGAAATCAGTGAGAGAGCTGTGTGGAGCCTGGGAGGTCACCTCTCAGGCTTCCCAGTATCTTCTAAAAAGACACACAGAACCCTCCATCTCCCTAACTGATGCCTCTGGGAACCAAATGTGCTTTAGAAGCTTCTATGCATAATTGGGCCTCCTGAAGGCAGGGCCAGGGACTGTTTCCTCCTCAGATCACAGGTTCCTGCCATCATGTCTGACAAATGGTTAGTGCACAAGCAGTGTTTGATCAATGGATGCCGGATTTCCCTGTTCTTGGCCGAATTGCCTTTGAAAGTAGCAGGAGTCAGTCTCTCAGGCATTAATAGTTCCCAGAACCTTCTCCATCTCCCTGGAGATAATGTCTTGGAGAAGGCTTCTGTCAGCTGCCAGAACCCCACAGGAATGGGGAGGACTCCATGGAAGAGAAGAATTCCAGTCTGTGTGCTTCAGCAAGAAACTGTAAGGTAAGAGTTGACCTGTATTGCTCGGTCTTATTTTTTATGGAGCCAGCTTTTGTTTTTCATTTTTGTTTTCTATGTCCCTTGAGGCCTTACCTCTCCAAATGCTCTGGTTTATTGAAACCTAGAATATGAGTCAAATGACCTCTTTGGGTTCACAGGGGATTGCCTTCATGCTGTTGATGAGACACTTGTGTGGGAAATGAATCTTCAATTCACTTCTCCTGCTTCGAAAGACTGGCATGGAAATTTAGTAGACAAAGACACTTAAAGGATATGATTGAAAAATTCAATTTGTTGAAGTTTTCCTCTACAGTGAAAAGAGATGTGTTTAGGCTCCCAGGACTGCCTGGAATGCCCAGTGATGTCAAATGTAGAATGATTTCATTGAATTATTCCGCTGCAAAGGAAAATTTTGGTTTGTGCAGTATCTTGATATAGTACATAATTTTTTTTTTTTTTTTTTTTTTTAGAAAACCCCGTTTGGTTACAATGATTCCTTTTTAGTGGCTAATATTGACTTTCTTGAGTAGAGAGGTGATTTTTGGTTATGGTATTAGCTAGCAAAGAAGAAGCCATGGTTCTCCAGAAAGTTAGTTTAATTGTGGTGATGTTTACTTGCTAATATAATGTTCCTGGGAAAGTAATGCTGCCCAATATTATTTCTTGGCATATGTGGTATAGATTCTTGCTGTGGATTGGTGGTCCTGCTTCTACTTTGGATATGGGTGTTCTTACCCTGAAAAGGAAAGGTCCTTTATTCCTAGGGTGATGATAATTAGATAATGATTGCCACGTATGAGGGCACATTATGGCTCCTTGCAGGTGACGAAGGCTAATATTAATGGCTACCTTGATTTGGATATATTTGTTCCCCACCTTATTCCCCTATGAAGTAAGTTGTGTCTATATTCAAATTATACAGATGAGGAAGCAGGCTTAGGGAGGGTTAATAGCATGCCTAATTCCACAGCTAGTATATGACCAAACTGAGATTCAAACCCAGGTCTAATTTGACTTTAAAGCTTTTTGTCTTAATGGTTACTCTCTCCTGTCTCTCAGTTTGGGGGTTACCTTACAGAACATCCCAACAGTAGTTCTCAAAGTGTGGTCCTTGAACCAGCATTGTTAGCATCACCTGGAAACTTGCTGAAATGCAAATTCTCAGGCAATTTCAAACTATAGAATTAGAATTGCTAGGGGCTCAAACTTGAACATCAATGTTTCAAACAGGTGGTTATATAGCCTCTGCACTGAGACCTCCAGAGACAGGGCTTTTACTCTTCTGTAGGGCAGTCATTCTGTGTGCTCTACTAGTTTAACTCCACCAATTGTTAGGAAGTTTTTCTTTATACTGGGGTACAGTTTGCTTCTGCTTAGTGTTCACTCATTGGTTCTAGTCCTTTTCTTTGTCCCATCAACATGATAGCTGAACATAGCTATTTAAACTCACACGATCAAGAACAGAAAATTGCTGAAGTATTAAGAAGAGCTTGTCTGATGGAAGGTGTAGTTTGAATGCCAGCTGCCTTTTTTGGTATGTTTACCAGAGTTGCTTTATTCTTTGCCCCATAAGTAAGATAGAAGTGGAACACTTTTGAAAAGGAGAAAAAAGAAAGACTGAAGTGTCAGAGTTCCAGGGTCTACTATTTCTTTAGGGAGTAGTCCTTCTAGCAATTCTGGGCCTGGAATATATTCTGTTTCCTGCAAAGTCACAGGTTGGATATCAAATCCCTCCTGAGGAACAAAGTGGATCATTGAAACTTGAGTGAGTTTCGACAGAAGTGCAAGCCTGGGCTGGTTAAATTACCATAGGTCACAGTGCCCAGGAGAGGTCAGCAGACAAGGAATCAGATGTGATAAGTGGGTTATTGAATCTGTGTCCATAGGACAGCAGTGGAATTCTTGTACTTCTCTTTTAACCTGGGTGTCCCAGAAAAGAGAACCTGAGGCAAAGGGCTTCTGTACTGCTACTATATCAGTTGTCATCCTGAGGAAAAAAGAGTGTTGGAAAAAGAGTGTGAGCCAGGGAAGATGGGAAACCAACAAGTCAATGCATTATTCAGTTGGCTTCTACTAAGGACAATTGCTTGCTTGCTTCTGTTGGACTGGCTCTGCAAAGTCAGATGACTGCATTGTAGGACAGTGGTTCTCAGGGGAGAAAGTAACTTTATTTACTGGCTTCCATTTCAAATCTGTCAAAGTTTCGTCCTACAGAGAATTAACTTCCCCCAAATCTGGATCATGCATATGTGGGCTCCATCTTGGGTCCTACGACATTCCCATGCCTTGTTGTCAACAAGATGGGATGCAAGAGGCACTTGGTTACAGTCACACAATGAAACACTGTCAGATTTCACCTGTATGAAATTGGTCAGAACCCAGGCAGAGCTGGTAATGGTAGCTGGACCAAGAGTTGAGAGAGGCTGAGAGGATCTGAAATGGCCCATAAGAGGTTTCTGATATAATACGCCTCAGGTAATTCTGAACAAAAAGTACCTTTATATACATTACAAAATTGATATCTAAACCTTTTCTTCATTAGTCTAAATGTTGGCAGAAGATATAATTCCCAGCCTATCATAAATGTTGACATTCTAAAACAAAATTGGGCTCTATTTCCAGGTATGATGAACTAAAACCCTACTGAATGACTACCCCACACTTCTTCTATCCATGCAGAAAACCACTGCAAAACCTGGCCATAAGGAGCATACAGACTCTGGTGTTCAGATGTGCTTGGAGAGGGAAGACTATAGAACAAATATGTTATATAAGACAGGAACAAATAAGTTCCTGTCTCAGGGCTTTTGACTGGGACTAAGTCCAGTGCCCATGTACCAGCAGCACATATGACCAACTTGCAATCTTTCAGGCCTGAGGAGTAAAAAAGTGAAGTCAGGAAACCATAAACACTAAAGATAGTGAAAAAATTCTGAAAGGGAAAGAACCAGAGAGGGGATCCCCAAACACTATCTACTCACATCTCTGACTCCTGAACTAAAAATCTATTTTAGATTTTAGTTAAAAATCTATTTTAAATTGAACAACCATTCTCTATAGTATTACTATACAATTGGCTAAAACAATTTGTGTATTACATACTTTGATGAATATCAACAGAGTAAAATTTTATTGCAAATTCATATCTTAATGAGATAGATGAGATTATTTTATTGTTTAAATGTATTTATATATTCTTGGATGAATATTACTTATAATGTAAGCTCATGTTTTTATCTTTTATAGGTGTAAATACTGAGAAACTTCATTCATATAAATAAGTAGATGGAACTGAAAGGGAGTTATATCAGTGGCAGTTAGTAGTTATTAGTCATCAAAAATGATTTTTAAAGATTTCTCAACTACCATCTTCAATTTTGTAGGGAGCAAAGAATTTGAAATCACCTGATTCATTATTTTTTTACTCTAGGTCATTAGAGCTACTCACTTTCTTGTCACAGAAACAATATTTTAAATTGTCCCTTTTGGTGCCCTAGAGGGTTTTTTTTTTTTAACACCCTCAGGTGATGCATTGAACTAAGTTTTAGAATGAGTAGGAGGTGAGTTTTTCCTTCATTAAATTGGACAAAGATGATTACTAGTAAAGAAAAAGCTAGCGGCCGGGCGCGGTGGCTCACGCCTGTAATCCCAGCACTTTGGGAGGCCGAGGCGGGCGGATCACGAGGTCAGGAGATCGAGACCATCCCGGCTAAAACGGTGAAACCCCGTCTCTACTAAAAATACAAAAAATTAGCCGGGCGTAGTGGCGGGCGCCTATAGTCCCAGCTACTTGGGAGGCTGAGGCAGGAGAATGGCGTGAACCCGGGAGGCGGAGCTTGCAGTGAGCCGAGATCCCGCCACTGCACTCCAGCCTGGGCGACAGAGCGAGACTCCGTCTCAAAAAAAAAAAAAAAAAAAAAAAAAAAAAGAAAAAGCTAGCATGAGCAGCCATGTTATCATCCAAAGCAATTCAGGGAATAGTTTGGACAGGAGTTGAATTTCTAGAAATTGATTTTGTAAACTACTCACTAGTATGTACTTCCTGGAAACTCCTTATATACGTGAATGTATTCTCCAGTTTGAAGACTACTGACTTGGAGAATCAGGGAGCCTGAAACCATCTATAGGAGCAAGAGACCTCAAAGAAAGTTTAGGTTTGAGAACCCGTCTTTACCTAGAAGGGTAGGAAAAAAATCCCAGGCTAACTCCAGCCAATAGCTAAGTGTAAAACTGGGAAACCTTTAGCTGGTACAGATTAACACAGTATGTAAAGTGCAACTGACAAAAATAAAGTCTTGGATTTCTTGAGGAGATGGAGAAAGAAATTCTCTTAGTAGTATGATGCAATGAATAATTGTAGAAAAATACCAAGAAACAAAGATGCAGGAGAGCAGCAGATGGATTAAAAAAAAAGCAGTGTCAGCAGCACTTGCAATAAGTGGTAGAAAGCCATGTTCATTAGATGCTGGATTTGAGTTGGAGTTGGAAAAAGGCTGTGGAAGTGTCCTCCTTCTAGATATATTAATAACATCAGAGGAAACCATCAGTTCAGTGAGGTTCAACCTGGGACTTAAATACCAGGCATCTAGAATTGAAGTAGTGATGGCACAAAATTGAGTGTACTGAGTGATCAATGATAGTTACTGGTTATAATATGGTGCAGAAAATAGGGTCCAGTCTTATGCTAACACCTTCTTTCTACATCATCCGCTTGCTGTGTCATGTGACCCTTTAATAGACCCTTGGACTATCTCTTTTGACTGTACTCCTGATTATCATATAATACCTCAGACGGAGCCCAATATTTCAGCTCTTGTCTCTGAACAGGCATATTGGAACTCTGTTTTTCAGTTCAGAAAAAGGGGTAGAGAATTACAACTGTTGTCATTTATTTAGCATCTACTATGTGTAAGGCACTGATCAAAATGCAATATCAGTCAACAGTGTGATGTGGGTTACTAAAGTAAAGAAGAAGAGAACTTGCTCTATGGGGCTGTATTAAGTTCCTGGAGGACTACAATCAATTTTGGTTATCACACTTTAACATGTAGTAGAATCAGTAGGATAAATCCTCAACCAAGATATAAGCATCAGGAATTTTTTAGTCACAAGTGACAAAAACCTGACCCAAGCAGGCTACACAAGTTTTATAAAAAGGTATTATTGGCTCGAGAAATTGAAGAGTTCCTGGGGTAACTATTGCTGCAGGTATGTACTGATTCAGAACCCAAATGATATCACCAGGATACATTTCTCCACTCTGTTTCCACTTGTGTGAGTCTTATCCTCAGGTTCAAGTTTCACACAGGTTCTCTGACAGTTTTCCCAAATTTCATATCCTCACACCATCAAGCACAGAAGAGGACAGTCTGTGTCCCATTATTTACAGCAAAAGTGGCAACATTCACTCATATTGGATTGGCTTAAGTCATATGTTTCTCCTCCTCCCTCTGAACCATCATTAGAGCCATGGGAAAAAAGATTTACTGATTGACTTAATTAAGAAGCCATTTGGGGTTCACTCCTGGAGCTGAGAGTGGGTTCCATGTAAACCAAACTGTATAGGTATTTCCCAAAGGAAAATATGGGTATGCTGGGGTAAAAACCAACACATATCCAATTCATCATGTGGATAAATTTCAAAACATATGTGGTGGTCACCTTCACAGAATTTTAAAGTGGAAACCAATCTCAAATCATGTAGTCTAGTCTTCTTAGTGGAGAGTCTAGTAAAAAGTCAAGGGGAAAATAATAGATTAAAATATTCCGTGATGTTGTATGGGAAAGGAAGTAAACTGCTCTGGCCCCCAAAGACTAAGCTAGAGTCTAAGCTAGGAAGTTAGAGGCAGACAGAATCTAAGGAAAAAAATGTTTTGATTACCATAAAAGTCTAATCCTGGAATAGAATTCTTCGGGCAATAGTTTATTTTCTGTTTTTGGAGTTGTTCAAATGAGGCTAAACATAAACATTTAGGGATGTAGTAGAAGAAAGTCATGAGTTGCATGGGGATGAGAGCCGACAACTGCGAAGCTTCATTCCAGTTTTAGCATCCTATAAGAAAACACTATATGAATGATCATAGCAGCATTATTCCCAATGGTCAAAAAGTGGAAATAAATCAAATGGCTACCGTTGAATGAACTGCTAAATAAAATGTAGTATCTTCATACAATAGAATATAATTCAGAAATACAGATACGTGGTACAACATGAATGAACCTTGAAAACATTACACTAAGTGAAAGAAGCCAACCATAAAAGACTGCATGTTGTATGATTCCAGTCCTATGAAATGTCCATGAGAGGCAAAATCAATAGAGGCAGAAAGTAGAGTAGTGGTTGCCTAGGCCTGAGGGTTGGGGATGACTGCTAATGGGTATGGAGTTTCTTTTTGGGATGATGAAAATGTTCTAAATTGGTTGTGGTGATGATTGCATAATTCTGTGAATTTACTAAAAACTATTGAATTGTACACTTTAAATGGGTGAATGGCATTGTATGTGAATTAATATCAATAAAGTTGTTATTGAATAAAATGAATACTATGAAATAAATTTTAAGGGGAGAGCAGAGCTTGGATATACGGTTGTACTGTTTTGACAGAGGACTGAAAGGAGAAAAAGCCCAGAAGTAACATATATTACCTAGGGAGGAGGGCTGATTAAAATACAACTCTGTTCAGCTCTGTGGGGAGGTCAGGGCAGAGAGCCGGCAGCGAGAGGACAGTCGGCATTTCGTGTGGGTGAGGATGCTGTAAGCATGTCCTGAAATGGACAAAGAAGCCTTGTCTTGGAACACTGGGGAGAGTCTAAGGCAGACTCCCTCTTCTTCAAGATCTGCCTTTGCCCAGCTCTGCACATGGACATGTCTTTCTAGCTAGACCCCTTAGTCCCTCTAACCCCACACTCATATCCAAGCAGCTAAAGGCATAATTTTTCCTCCCAGCTCTTTCATCTCTTATTAAAATGTTTTCTTTCCTGGTGCCTGAATCATTTGACATAATGTTTTTCTCCTCTCTTTGTTTTGTGCTTACCAGTGTACTTTCTCTCTCGTTGGCATAGGCTATTTCTTGTTTTTTTTTATTATTAATAAGACAACTTTGACTTTATATTTCATTTATTATTCCCTTGGGTCCTTTATGACCTTATCATAAGGTTTCTTTTGTATAAATGTGAAGATTCTCTAATATACTTAAAATGAGGGAAACCAGTGTTTCAAGTACTCACATTAAAAAGTCCTATACAACAAAAATAAGGACAAACCAACCTGACATTTATTTGAACGATTTATACAATAAAGAACTTGAGTGCCTCCTTGAAAGACTTTTTTTCCCTCTGTATTCTCATTGATTCTTTATGACAATAGGGGTACAGGTTTATGTCTTATCCAGGGTTTATTCAATGTATCCTCTAAGTTTTCACCCAACTAAAACTAACATTGGATTTCTCATTCATTAATCCACTCAATTATTCATTTATTTATCCACTCATGCAACACTTGTCACCTTGCTAGGTGCTGGGAATATAATGATGAGTATAAGAGCATGTCTCTGGCTTTCATGACACATACAATCTAACAAGAGAGACAGATGTTGAGCAAATACTTACACAAATTTGACAAATAATTATATGATTAAATTTATGATGTATTATAAGAAGAGAAATATAAGGTATTGTTATAATATATAGTAGTGCCTTTTCTTTCTTGCCTTTCTTTCTACACTTGCTAAAGGAGTTCCTGAAAAATGTTGGCTACAAAGAGAAATGTGGAAAAGAGAAGAGTCATTCATTCAACATTTCAACAAATATACATTGTTTTAAGCTTGGAGAATCTTCATCAATTCTAATTTTGTGAACATATCTACAGTGAGAGGAATTTCAAATTACTCAATATTTGAAAAGACATTATAATTTAAGTCATGCAAGTAAATGGTTTAGTTAACTAAAGTAGAGGTGGCCCTAATCTAATGACTAGAACATTCACTTGTAACAAGCAACATTAAAAAAAGCTTTGGCAAGTTTTGATTTAAACATAACGTAAGTAAGGAAAAATGTGGAGAGTATGTGTATATGGCTTGATGATTTTTTACAAACTGAACACACCTATATAACCAGAACCCAAGTCAAGGGGCAGGATATTCCCAGACCTCCAGAAGCTCCACCCATGCCCTCTTTCAGTCACTAAATTCAGAGTACAAGAGGACTAATATTTTTGAGCCCTTGCTGTGTGCTAGGCACAATGCAAAGTCTTTTATAGATGCTGTGGTGTGTTAAGAGTGGCTTTTTCCCCTCATATGTATATAAATTATTCCCTGGGAATCTAGTTGACATTAGTCATTTAATTAGCAAATTCTTCAGATAGCTAGAAAGTGTCCCTTGGCTCAGCATAGATAGAACTTTTGCAGTTTCACATTCCTGGAGAATTTCCACAAGTGCTGGAAATTTCCATGATGCCAGGGGCCATGGAGCAATGAACAGAAACAGGGAAATGGCAGTTTCCCTGGATGGCTGTGTGCCAGGCCCTCAAGTGCAGGGTGCCAGGACTTCTTCTCTTCTTGCCCTGCATCTCCTCCTTCCCCCAGGGGAAACCCCTCAGCCTGTGTGCCCCTCCCCAGTCCTCTCACCTCAAAATCCTCCTCAAGGGTAAGGAGGACGGAGTTTTTAATTTCTCTGAATAGTGAAGATCACTGTAGGGTGAGCACTTCTTGGACTACTGTAATCACTCAAGGGTCTTGAGAAATTTCCATAGTGTATGAGGCACTATTCCTTTGAGTTCTGGATGCTTGTGGCAGAGGACTGCAATGGGGTTTTAGATAGAGTCTGCCTGGGAAGAAAAAAATCTGAAGGACCCTGGTAGATAGGAACAGAAAAAGCCACCCATTGCCCAAAGGAGGTTTGGCCTTTATGGCCAGAAACAATACGGGTCTTAGGAATTTGGTGAGAGCTCAGAATTTCTGACCAAGGCTTCTGTAAAACCATGCAATCTTGCTGCTTCTGAGTCGTGATTTTCCTCCACTATCTATTCTCTGGTGTTATCTGCCATGATCGTGCCAAATCTTCTTTCTCTCTTCAAACCCCAGCCCCAACTTACTATTTCTTCCACGGTCAGGAGACAACTTCACCCCCTCCTTTGCTGCAACTTTTATAGTCACCAAACAAGGCCATATTTCTTCTAGATTTCTTACTGCATCCCTGAACACACAGTCTTTTCATATGTTCTTTCATGTGTGTCCCAATGCTACTCTCTGTTCTTCCTCTCTGGTATTGGGCTTTCTCAGTAACTTAATCTTGCTCTATACTTTTGTTTAAAATGTTTATTATAAGAGATTTCAAACATATGCAGAAGTAGAGAGAACAGCATAATAATCCTCCCAAATTATCATTTTTCTACACTTACTTTATCACATTTTTTATATCTTCTTCTGCTTTCTTCTTCCTTCTTTCTTCTTCTTCCTTCTTCCTCCTCCTTCTTTCTTCTTTTTGTATTAGGACAGTTTGAATATCCCTTGCCCAAAATGCTTGAGACCAAAAGTGTTTCTGATTTTGGATTTTTCTCGATTTTGGAATATTTGCATATATGTAAGGAGACATCAAGTCTAAACACAAAATTCATTTGTTTCATATTTACCTTACACACATAGCCTGAAGGCAATTTTATACAAAATTTTAAATGATTTTGTGCATGAAACAAAGTTTGTGACAATGAACCATCAAAAAGCAAAGGTGTTACTATCTCATAAAACATTTTGGATTTTGGAACATTTATGATTTTGGATTTTTGGTTTAGGATGCTCAACCTTATTTTAAAGCAAACTCTATCATCATCTCAAAAATGTCTTTTTATGATTCAGTTAGGATTCAAATATGGTTTAAATAATACATTTGGTTGTTATGTCACTATATTCATTCTTCCTTATCTAAACAAATACAATTCTGCAGTTTTTTTTCCTGTCATGCTATTGACTTGTTGAAGAAAGCATGTCAGTGTTCTGTAAAATGTCCAGTAATTTGAATTTTTCTGATTGTTTCCTATTGGTGTGGTTTAATAGATGCTCACTCTCCTGCATTTTCTGTAACCTGGAACTTAGATCTAAAGGCTTAACTAGCTTGGGGCCTCCTTTAGCCTTTTTCTCCTTCTGTTTTATGTCCTCTATCATGCACAATAGGTCATTACTATTTATTATAAAGTAGTTGCTCATTTTTATTGTCCTCTAATGTCCTCCTCATTGCCACGTTTAGAACAAATAGTCTGCATCAATTTTCTCTACCTATTCACACACACTTTTCCTCTAATCCTTATATAAGACTTCTGTTTCTACCACGTACAAAAATAACTCTTTCAGAGATCACTAGAAATTCTTTAACAACAAATCCAATGCCTTATTCCTAGTGTTATAATTAATGATGATCATCATCACCAGGTGCCAACTTCCATTTGCAGCCTTTTAACAGTTTACAAAATACTTCCACGTATTATTCAGATTTTTAGTCCTCCCCCTTTTCAACTTCATCCCTTCTTTCTTGACTTTTGTTCTTGCACTATTTATTTTTTTCTTTTTAAAATTATTTTTTTGTTTTAAGTTCTTAATGCTTCCAGCCATTTCTGAGACCACAATTTATCCTTGACTCCTCTTTTTTTTTTTTTTTTCTGATACCTCACTGCCAATTTGTCAGTAATGCTTGTTGACTGTAACTTCAAAATATATCCAGAATTCTGCAATTTCTCACCATGGCCACTGACATCACACGGTGTAATTACCATCCTGTCTTACTAGGATAGTCTCAATGGCCCTCAGCTGTTCTCCGTGCTTCTACTCAGGCCTCCCTTCAGTCTCTTCTCTCACTGCAGCAGCCAGAGTGATCTACTAAAGCATAGAATGATTATGTTAAAATTTGTTTCAAAAACTGTCCCAATGAAGTTGGAGTCCTTAGAGCGTGCCCAAGGCTCATCATAATCGGCACCCTGGCTTACTACAGTCTAGCCATCCTGGAATCCTTGTTCCCCTTAGTTGCCTCCTCAGAGCCTCTGCACTTGTGCTTTCTTCTTCCTGGAACACTTTTTCTCTGGAGATCTGCAAGATTTGTTTGGGGTCTTTGCTAAAATGTCACATTATGAGTAAGACTACTCTATTTAAAATTGCAACCTGTCCCTCTCGCCTTCACATCCTTTTTCTCCCATTACACTGCTCTGCTTTCCCGCCCGCGCACCCTTCCATGCATTCATTACTTTGGGCCCCTAGTGAGAACATGCCATACAAAGGGAAGCGGGGAAGGCAAACTCAAAAAGAAAGGTAGAGAGACTCTACATTTTCCCTCTAGCTGGATCCACAAATATAGCATTTCCCCTTCATCTTTAGCCAGCCTGCTTTCTTATCTTAGCACCTGAGAGTGAACAAGAAGGGAGGATGATGAAAAGTTTTAACACAGAAGAACGTTTGGAGGAGGGATTTGAATCACAGGCTTTTTCAAGCTGTGACCTTCAAATGCTCTTTGAACTCTGGATACCCCTCACACTCTATCTAGAAACCATTTCTACATTTGCTCCTGTAATAAGACATATTTACCTTATGCCTTTGCAACTTTTGCTCAGCTCTGTGAAAGGCAGCAGTGAAAAATATAAGTGTCAGATCAAAAAAGGTTGGGCACGGCCTCCTAGCTCTCGGGAGCAATGGTGCTGAAAACAATCAAATGGTGTGATACTTTGCCTTCAAATGAGTGCACAAAGGGTCCTGCTCCTGGTCACTGACATACTGCTTGCTGCCAAGGCCAGGGAAAATTATAGACTGTCCATCCCAGGGCCAGGCCCAGAGAAGACTGATGAATTTGCCTTGGTCAGGGCTGCCTTGATGTCTGTGCACAGATGTCTCTGTCCTGGTGGCCACCAAATCTGCCTACATGGAAAGATCTCTTTGGAGCCTTGCTAATTATACTGATTTCTAGATGTTCTGAATCTGAATCTTTGGGAGTGGAGGGTCCAGAAATCTGTATTTGTAACAAGCTCCCAGGTGAGTCTTCTACAGCCCATTGGTGACTGTTACATGGACCAGTGTTTGGGAGCCACTGTTCTTCCTCACTCTCTAACTGTTACCCCCATCTACTTCTGATAGCTGGTTGATTGTGAACTAAATCCGAATCACAAATAACTTTGTTCTACATGAGATAGAGGTGGTGTTTTCTTCTAGTTCCTAAAACCTCATCTTATTTGTAAGTTCCATTATTCAGTCATATACTGTGTATTTACCCAGGAAGTACCCACAGTCATCAATTATCCCCCTAACATGGTCCCTAGACATGGGCATCCCTCTCCACAAGAGTGAGATTAAGTGGTATGCATAGGGGAGGGGGATCTCTGGGAGGCACCAACTGATGGGGAGCCTTAAACACAGCTGGGTATGGAACAAGTCTAGGGGGGTTGTATTTACCAGCATTTAATGAGAGAGAGTGCAAAGTATAGTTTGAAGGGTTACTTTGGAATGTGGCTTGGGGAAGGGGTGACTCTTACGAATCATGCTTCAATAACAACAGATGGTCTTCTTGGGATGGGGCAAATTTGGTTAGTGGCAGAGTTTAGAGAAGAAAAGTATCGTTTGGGATCTTCTGGTTTGAAGCTTGGGCTCTATAAATCCATCTCTGCCTTTCCCCTCATAGGAGTCATCATCTTTTCTGAACAGACATTGAACAAATATGGTCTAACAGGAGGCAGACTCCAACGGGGAGTCAGACAGTACAGATTTTTGAATGGCTGTCACTGCTCTGTGGTAGCTTCTGTAATCTTTCCCAGAAGAATGAATCCCAGCCCAAGCATTTTCTATCATTGTGGTGTGGTTTACAGATTGACTCCTTATGGGCTGAGCATCTGTCTGCCTCTCCTACAGGTTGTGAACTTCTTGACGGCAGTGCTCCTCTTTCATGTACCAATTTGTTAATTCATTCTATACGTTATTTAGTGGGTATCTACTATAGTTAAGTCTCTTTGATTTGACAAAGTAAAACCATAGAATAGGAAAGAGATAAGAGGGCAATAGCAACAGTGAACATTAGTCAACACTAATATTAAACTTATTTATCTTTAAGGCACTTTGCAAGTTTAATTTATTTGACCATCACTGTAATCCTATGATGTAGTCACTATTATGACATTCTTTTACAGATGAGAAATTGAGACACAGAGAGGTTAAAAGAGCAGTCAGAGTCCCAGAGAGAGGCAGGAAGCTGTCACATTCCAACTAAAGTCGACCCAAAGCCATTTCTGTCTGGCCATTAAGTGGAGGTTGGCTTTGAGTTGAGGGAAGAGAAGTATCTTTAGAAATCAATTGATGAAGACACTTAAAATCAGAAATTATAGCAATTACAGAAACGAGTCTAAAATTTTTAATTTTCAATAAATTGCAATATGATACTAAAAAGTTCAACCACCCTCAGTTGCTATTTCCATAAAGTCCTCAGTGAAAGTACTCTTCAGATGTAATTATAAATAGCTTTCTGGGTCTGTTGGGCTCCAACTGAGAATTATAGTCAAGATTTTATCCAGAGTGGGCAAATCAGGAAACAGATCCACTTAGAGAATGCTGTTTTAAAGAAGGATTCTTACTCTCTGTGTGTGTGCGGTATTGCACTCAAGGCTGGGGGCCAGGGACAGTGGGGGAGGGAACATAGAAGAGAAGTTCCCCAAAAAAGTGAGAGTTCTGTGTGTTTTGCTCACTGTTATATCATTAATTTTTGAAGACTTGGGGGTGGCTGGTAAGATGGCTGAATAGGAACAGCTCTGGTCTGCAGCTCCCAATGAGATCAACGCAGAAGGCGGGTGCTTTCTGAGTTTCCAACTGAGGTACCTGGTTCATCTCAATGGGACTGGTTAGACAGTGGGTGAAGCCCACGGAGGGCAAGCCAAAGCAGGGTGTGGTGTCACCTCACCCAGGAAGTGCAAGGGGTGGGGGAACTCCCTCCCCTAGCCAAGGGAAACCATGAGGGACTGTGCCATGAGGAACAGTGCATTCTGGCCCAGATACTATGCTTTTCCCGTGGTCTTCGCAACCCGCAGACCAGGAGATTCCCTTGGGTGCCTACACCACCAGGGCCATGGGTTTCAAGCGCAAAACTGGGCGGCTGTTTGGGCAGACACTGTGCCAGCTGCAGGAGTTTTTTTTCATACACCAGTGGTGCTTAGAATGTGAGATAGAACCATTCACTCCCCTGGAAAGCGGGCTGAAGCCAGGGAGCCAAGTGGTCTAGCTCAGTGGATCCCACCCCCACGGAGCCCAGCAAGCTAAGATCCACTGGCTTGAAATTCTCACTGCCAGCACAGCAGTCTGAAGTCGACCTGAGATGCTGGAGCCTGGTGCGGGGAGGGGCGTTTGCCATTACTGAGGCTTGAGTAGGCAGTTTTCCCCTCACAGTGTAAACAACGCCTCTGGGAAGTTCAAACTGGGCAGAGCCCACCACAGCTCTAAAGTCACTGTGGCCAGACTGCCTCTCTATATTCCTCCTCTCTGGGCAGTGCATCTCTGAAAGAAAGCCAGCAGCCCCAATCAGAGGCTTATATCCCTGGGATAGAGCACGTGGGGGAAGGGGCAGCTGTGGGCACAGCTTCAGCAGACTTAAACGTTCCTGCCTGCTGGCTCTGAACAGAGCAGCAAATCTCCCAGCACAGTGCTGAAGCTCTGCTAAGGCACAGACTGCCTCCTCAAGTGGGTCCCTGACCCCCATGCCTCCTGACTGGGAGAGAGCTCCCAGGAGGGGTTGACAGACACCTCATACAGGAGAGCTCTGGCTGGCATCTGGCGGGTGCCCCTCTGAGATGAAGCTTCTAGAGGAAGGAACAGGCAGCAATATTTGCTGTTCTGCAGCCTCCGCTGGTGATACCCAAGCAAACAGGGTCTGGAGTGGACCTCCTGCAAACTCCAGCAGACCTGTAGCAGAGAGGCCTGTCAGAAGGAAAACTAACAAACAGAAAGGAATAGCATCAACATCAACAAAAAGGATGTTCACACAAAAACCCCATCCAAAAGTCACCAGCATAAATGACCAAAGCTAGATAAATCCATGAAGATGAGGAAAAGCCAGCGCTGACAATTCAAAAAACCAGAATGCCTCTTCTCCTCCAAAGGATCACAACTCCTCGCCAGCAAGAGAACAAAACTGGACTGAGAATAAGTTTGATGAATTGACAGAAGTAGGCTTCAGAAGGTGGGTAATAACAAACTCCACAGCTAAAGAAGCATGTTCTAATCCAATGCAAGGAAGCTAAGAACCTTGAAAAAAGGTTAGAGGAATTGCTAACTAGAATAACCAGTTTAGAGAAGAACATAAATGACCTGATGGAGCTGAAAAACACAGCACGAGAACTTTGTGAAGCATACACAAGTATCAGTAGCCAAATCGATCAAGCGGAAGAAAGGATATCAGAGATTGAGATCAACTTAATGAAATAAAGCATGAAGACAAGATTAGAGAAAAAAGAATGAAAAGGAATGAACAAAGCCTCCAAGAAATATGGGACTATGTGAAAAGACCAAACATATGTTTGATTGGTATACCTGAAAATGATGGGGAAAATGGAACCAAGTTGGAAAACACTCTTCAGGATATTATCCAGAACTTCCCCAACCTAGAAAGACAGGCCAACATTCAAATTCAGGAAATACAGAGAACACCACAAAGATATTCCTCAAGAAGTTCAACCCCAAGACACATAATCTTCAGATTCACCAAGGCTGAAATGAAGAAAAAAAATGTTAAGGGCAGCCAGAGAGAAAGGTCGAGTTACCCACAAAGGGAAGCCCATCGGACTAAGAGTGGATCTCTCTGCAGAAACCCTATAAGTTAAAAGAGAGTGGGGGCCAATATTCAACATGCTTAAAGCATTTTCAACCCAGAATTTCATATCCAGCCAAACTAAGCTTCATAAGCGAAGGAGAAATAAAATTCTTTACAGGCAAGCAATGCGGAGAGATTTTCTCTCCACCAGGCCTGCCTTACAAGAGCTCCTGAAGGAAGCACTAAATAAGGAAATAAAAAACTTGGTACCAGCCACTGCAAAAACATACCAAATTGCCAAGACAATCGACACTGTGAAGAAACTGCATCAACTAATGAGCAAAAAAAGCAGCTAGAGTCATAATGACAGGATAAAATTCACACATAACAATAGTAACCTTAAATGCAAATGGGCTAAATGCCCCAATTAAAAGACACAGACTGGCAAATTGGATAGAGTCAAGACCCATCAGTGTGCTATATTCAGGAGTCCCATGTCATATTCAAAGACACACATGTGCTCGAAATAAAGAGATGGAGGAAGATTTACCAAACAATGGAAAGCAAAAAAAAAAACACAAAAACAAAAACAAAAAAAAAACAAAAGCCAGGGGTTGCAATCCTAGTGTCTGATAAAACAGACTTTAAGCCAACAAAGATCAAAAAAGACAAAGAAGGACACTACATAATGGCAAAGGGATCAATTCAACAATAAGAGCTAACTATCCTAATATAGAGACCTACAAAAGACTTAGATTCCCAAAGAATAATAGTGGTAGACTTTAACACCCCTTTGTCAATATTAGACAGATCAACAAGACAGAAAATTAACAAGGATATTCAGGACTTGAACTCAGCTCTGGAGCAAGTGGACCTAATAGACATCTACAGAACTCTCCACCCCAAATCAACAGAATATACATTCTTCGTAGCACCACATCACACTTATTCTAAAATTGACCACATAATTGGAAGTAAAACACTCCTCAGCAAATGCAAAAGAACAGAAATCATAACAAACAGTCTCTCAGACCACAGTGCAATCAAATTAGAACTTGGGATTAAGAAACTCACTCAAAACCACACAACTACATGGAAACTGAACAACCTGCTCCTGAATGACTACTGGGTAAATAATGAACTTAAGGCAGAAAAAAATAAGTTATTTGAAACCAGTGAGAACAAAGTCATAATGTATGAGAATCTCTGGGACACAGCTAAAGCAGTGTTTAGAGAAAAATTTATAGCACTAAATGCCCACAGGAGAAAGCGGGAAAGATCTAAAATTGACACCCTAACATTACAATTACAGGACCTAGAGAAGTAAGAGCAAACAACTTCGAAAGCGGGAAATATCTAAAATTGACACCTAACGTTACAATTACAAGACCTAGAGAAGTAAGAGCAAACAACTTCAAAAGCTAGCAGATGACAAAAAATAACTAAGATCAGAGCAGAACTGTGAAGGAGATAGAGACATCAAAAACCCTTCAAAAAATCAATGAATCCAGGAGCTGGTTTTTTGGAAAGATTAACAAAATAGACTGCTATCCAGACTAATAAAGAAGAAAAGAGAGAAGAATCAAATAGACACAATAAATAAATGATAAAGGTGATATCGCCACTGATCCCAAAGAAATACAAACTACCATCAGAGAATAATATAAACATCTCTATGCAAATAAACTGGAAAATCTAGAAGAAATGGATAAATTCCTGGACACATACACTGTCCCAAAACTAAACCAGGAAGAAGTCAAATCCCTGAATAGACGAATAACAAGTTCTGAAATTGAGGCAGTAATTAATAGCCTACCAACCAGAAAAAGCCCAGGACCAGATGGATTCACAGTGGAATTCTACCAGTGGTACAAAGAGGAGCTGGTACCATTCCTTCTGAAACTATTCCAAACAACAGAAAAAGAGGGACTCCTCCCTAACTCATTTTATGAAACCAGCATTGTCTTGATACCAAAACTTGGCAGAGACACAACAAAAAAAGAAAAGTTCAGGCCAATTTGCCTGATGAACGTCAATGTGAAAATCCTCCATAAAATACTGGCAAACCGAATCCAACAGCATATCAAAAAGCTTATCCAACTCGATCAAGTTGACTTCATCCCTGGGATGCAAGGCTGGTTCAACATGGGCAAATCAGTAAATGTAATCCAAACCCTTCAAACGAAAAACTCTCAATAAACTGGTATTAATGGAAAGTATCTCAAAATAATAAAAGCTATTTATTACAAACCCACAGCCAATATCATACTGAATGGGCAAAAGCTGGAAGCCTTCCCTTTGAAAACTGGCATAGGACAAGGATGCCCTCTCTAACCACTTCTATTCAACATTGTATTGGAAATTCTGGCCAGGGCAATCAGGCAAGAGCAAGAAATAAAGGGTATTCAAATAGGAAGAGAGGAAGTCAAATTGTCTCTATTTGCAGATGACATAATTGCATATTTAGAAAACCCCATTTTCTCAGCCCAAAATCTCTTTAAGCTGATAAGCAACTTCAGCAGTCTCAGGATATAAAATCAATGTGCAAATATCAAAAGCATTCCTATACACCAATAATAGACAGCCAAATCATGAATGAACTCACATTCACAATTGCTACAAAGAGAATAAAATACCTAGGAATACAATTTACAAGGGATGTGAAGGACCTCTTCAAGGAGAACTACAAACCACTGCTCAAGGAAATCAGAGACGACAAAACAGATGGAAAAACATTCCATGGTAATGGATAAGAATCAATAGTGTGAAAATGGCCATACTACCCAAAGTAATTTGTAGATTCAGTGCTATCCCCATCAAGCTACCATTGACTTCTTCACAGAATTAGAAAAAACTACTTTAAATTTCATATGGAACAGAAAGAAGGCCCATATAGCCAAGACAATCCTAAGCAAAAAGAACAAAGCTGGAGGCATCACACTACCTGACTTCAAACTACACTACAAGGCTACAGTAACCAAAACAGCATGGTACTGGCACCAAAACAGAGATATAGACCAATGGAACATAATAGAGGCCTCAGAAATAACGCCACACATATACAACCATCTGATCTTTGACAAACCTGACAAAAACAAGCAATGGCAAAAGGATTCCCTATTTAATAAATGGTGTTGGGAAAACTGGCTAGCCATATGCAGAAAACTGAAACTGGACCCCTTCGTTACACCTTATACAAAAATTAACTCAAGATGGATTAAAGATTTAAACAGAAGACCTAAAACCATAAAAACCCCAGAAGAAAACCTAGGCAATACCATTCAGGACATAGGCAGGGGCAAAGACTTCATGACTAAAACACCGAAAGCAATGGCAACAAAAGCCAAAATTGACAAATGGGATCTAATTAAGCTAACGAGCTTCTGCACAGCAAAAGAAACTATCATCGGAGTGAACGGGCAACCTACAGAATGAGAGAAAATTTTTGCAATCTATCCATCTGACAAAGGACTAATATCCAGAATCTACAAGGAAGTTAAACAAATTTACAAGAAAAAAAAACCCCATCAAAAAGTGTGTGAAGGATATGAACAGACACTTCTCAAAAGAAGACATTTACACAGCCAACAAACATATGAAAAAAAGCTCATCATCACTGGTCATTAGAGAAATGCAAATCAAAACCACAATGAGATATCATCTCATGCCAGTTAGAATGGCAATCATTAAAAAGTCAGGAAACAACAGATGCTGGAGAGGATGTGGAGAAATAGGAACACTTTTATACTGTTGGTGGGAATGTAATTAGTTCAACCATTGTGGAAGACAGTGTGGCAATTCCTCAAGGATCTAGAAATAGGAATACCATTTGACCCAGCAATCCCATTACTGGGTATATACCCAAAGGATTATAAATCATTCTGCTATAAAGACACATGCACACGTATGTTTATTGCGGCATTATTCACAATAGCAAAGACTTGGAACCAACCCAAATGCCCATCAATGATAGACTGGATAAAGAAAATGTGGCACATATGCACCATGGAATATTATGCAGCCATAAAAAGGATGAGTTCATGTCCTTTGCAGGGACATGGATGAAGCTGGAAACCATCATTCTCAGCAAACTAACACAGGAACAGAAAACCAAACACCGCATGTTCTCACTCATATGTGGGAGTTGAACAATAAGAACACATGGACACAGGGAAGGGAACATCACACACTGGGGCCTGTTGGGGGTTGGGGGGCTAAGGGAGGGATAGCATTAGGAGAAATACCTAATGTAGATGATGGGTTGATGGGTGCAGCAAACCACCGTGGCACGTGTATACCTATGTAACAAACCTGCATATTCTGCACATGTATCCCAGAGCTTAAAGTATAATAATAAAAAAAAATCTTAAACAGTGACTGGTGCTTTTTATGTGCTCAATGATTATTTGTGGGATGAATAAATAAGTGACGGGAGAAGTACAGATAAAGTTTTGTAGAAAAATGCGCAGAATAAGTACTCAATAATTATATGTGAGGTTGGATAGAAAAGACAGGGTTCACTTAGAGTCCTCAGTAAGGAGCAAATAGAGTAAAAACCAAATAAGAAAAACAAAAAAATCATTGAACAAATTCAAAGAGAGGCAGTGAAAGCCTGCCTGACCTTCCGTGTATTGGCCTGTGATAGCATGTGGAATATTCTAAGTGCTGCTTCTAGCATAGAGTCCCTGTTTAGATGTCCCCTCCCTACTTCCCTCTTCTCCCCTATCTGCTATATGGTGATTCACATGAAAAAAGCTAAAGGTTTCTGCTCTCATCAAGTCTTATCAAGGAGAGCTGGGGTAATATTAGAGAAGAATGAAGACTCAGTCCTGAAAGAACTTGGAACAGGGGCTGCTGAAGGAGACAAGAGGTGAGAGTGTTCCCAGAAGTCCTGGGCTCCCTTTGGCAGGCCCCATGTGAGAAACCCTCCTCTTTACTATTTACTATGTCATCTCTCCTCACGCTGCCATTGTGTATTTTTGCTGCTTGGGTCTCGTTTGCTGCTTGACCTAGTTTGCCAGTGATGAGTATGTATTTGTCACACTGGCATTTTCTGTATGTGTAGGAGGACATGTCTGCACATGAAATAAGACCTTTCTTGTCTCTTCTGGTGCCTTGCTTGGGAAACCCCTCTGTCTAGAATGGCTTCCTGGCAAAGACTTGTTTTTCTAGAAAGCCTGCCTTGGTGTTAACTTTAAAGTCCTCACCAACCTACTCAGGTAGAAATAATCACGCTGTCTACTTTGCTATCTGCTTTTCATATACAATTACATCTATTACATGAATGGATGAGTCAGTGAGTCAGGACATCTTATCATACCCATCTTGGCAGCTCCAAAACTTTGCATAGCACCCGGCCTAAAAACTACAGTATCATAGTACACAGTAGAAGTTCAATTAGTATCAATGGTATAGAACATCACTTTCCATTTTCTCCTCTCCTCCTTGATATGATGATCATAAAATATTAGATTTCGTGGGAACTTCAGAGATTATCTGCTCCATTATACTAGTCAATGTAGAAATTCTCTGTCAAGAAGGTTTTATTGTATATTCGAACATCTCCAGTGGTGGGATGCTCACTACCTCTTAATCCAGCATGGTCCATTTCGAACCACTCAATCTTCAATGAAAAATTCTTCTACATTAAGCTGATTATTATCTCCCTATAACTTTTACTTATTGGTCCTATTTCTCTCTGCTGCACACACACTTGGAGTTATCCAAAATAAGTCTGATTGTCCTCCATATGGCCATCCTGAAGTACTTGAAAACAACTGTCATGTCCCATTTAATATTCTTTTTTCTCAAATTGGGCCATTCCATGCTAAATTAGACTTCAACGGTTTCTCATATAACAGGCTTTCTAGGCCATTCCTCTTCTTGGTATTTCTCCTTTGACTTCCAGTTAGTCAGGCTGGCCTCTACAATGTACTACTCAGGACAGGTACTATAGTATCAACAAGGTTAAAGTCTAGGTATATTCCCTGTTCCTTCTTTTGAGTGTTCTGAGTTCCAGGGCAGTGCTAGGCACTAAGCACTCAGAGATGGCAGTGCTATGGAGGAAAAGGGCTCCTGGAGGAAAAGATGCTACACCCCAAAACTCTGCTCCGAGACTGTTCGTCTGGCACATGCTGCTATGGCAGGGACAGGGTGCTTTCTCAAGCTGCAGCTTGGATCAACAGGAGTTTCCTTTGGGTGGTCTTTTTTCTCCAGCTTTACTGAGGTAAACTGACAAAAAAAATTGTATATTTTTAAGGAGTATAATGTGATGATTTGATATACATATACATAGCAAAATGATGACCACAATCAGGTTAGTTAACACATCCATTCATCTGTTGACAGATACTTAGGTTGTTTCCATGTCTTGGCTATTGCAAATAATGCTGCAATGAACATGGAATGCAGATATATTTTTGAGATACTGACTTTGTTTCCTTCTGATATACACCCAGAAGTGAGATTGTTGGATCATATGATAGTTCTATTTCTAATATTTTGAGGAACCTTTATCCTGTTTTTTCATAATCAGTGTACCAATTTACATTCCCACCAACGGCGTACAAGGGTTCCCTTTTCTCCACTTCCTCACCAACACTTGTTATCTCTTGTCATTTTGATAACAGCCATTGTAACAGGTGTGAAGTGATATCTCATTCAAGTTTTGATTTGCATTTCTCTCTGATGATTGGTGATGTTGAGCATATTTTCATATACCTGTTGGCCATTTCTATGTCTTCTTTAGTGAAATTTCTATTCAGTTTCTTTGCCTAGTTTTTAATTGGAATATTTGTGTTTGTTTTTGTTTTGTTTTGTTTTTGCTGAGTTGCATGAGTTCCTCATATGTTTTGGATATTAACCTCTTATCAGGCATATGGTTTGTAAATATTTTCTCCCAATCTTGAGGTTACCTTTCATTTTGGTGATTGTTTCCTTTGCTGTATTAAACTTTCTAGCTTGATACAGTCCCACTTGTTTATTTTTGCATTTGGGGCTTATGATGTTGGTGTCATATCTAAAAAAAATTGTCAAGACAAATGTCAATGAGCTTTTTCCTTATGTTTTCTTCTAGGTGTTTTATGGTTTCAGGTGTTATATTTAAGTCTTTAATTGATTTTAAGTTAATTTTAGTGTGTGGTGTAAGAGAGGGGTCCAATTTTATTCATTTACATGTAGATGTCCTGTTTTCCAAACACCATTTATTGAAGAGAATGTCTTTTCCCCCTTGTGTATTCTTAGCACATTTGTCAAATATTACTTGACCATATATGTGAGGATTTATTTCTGGGCTCTCTATTTTGTTTCATTGATCTATATGTCTGTTTTTATGCCCTTATAATGCTGTTTTGAGTACTACAGCTTTGTAATATATTTTGAAATAAGTGTATACCTTCAGTTTTTTTTTTCTCAAGATTGCTTCAGCTATTCAGGGTCTTTTGTGATTCTATACAAATTTTAGAATTTTTAAAAATTTTTGTTAAAAATGTTATTGGTGGTGAGGTGCACTGGCTCACGCCTGTAATCCCAGCACTTTGGGAGGGTGAGGCAGGTGGATCACTTGAGACCAGGAGTTCAAGACCAGCCTGGCCAACATGGTGAAACCCTGTCTCTACTAAAAATACAAACAATAGCCAGATGTGGTAATGCACACCTGTAGTCCCAGTTACTTGGAAGGTTCAGGCAGGAGAATTGCTTGAATCCAGGAGGTGGAGGTTGCAGTGAGCTGAGATTGCGCCACTGCACTCCAGCTTGGGTGACAGAGTGAGACCCTGTCTCTAAAAAAAAAAAAAAAAAAGTTACTGGAATTTTGATAGGAATTGCATCAAATCTGCAGATCACTTTAGATATTTTAACAATATTAATTCTTCCATAGGATATCTTTCCATTTATTTGTGTCTTCAATTTCTTTCATCAATGTCTTATATTAATAGTTTTTAGTGTACAGGTCTTTTACCTCTTTGGTTAAATTTATTTCTAAGTAGTTTATTGTTTTGGATGCTATTTTAAATGGGATTGTTTTCTTAATTTTCCTGTATTTTTAAATGAGATTATTCTTTACTTTTCTATATTTAAAATGGGATTCTTTATTACTTTTCAGATAGTTTGTCTTTAGCATATAGAAACACAACTGATTTTTGTATGTTGATTTTGTATCCTGCAACTATATTGAATTTATTTATTAGTTCTAACAATTTTTTGATGGGGTCTTTAGAGTTTTCTATGTATAAGATTGTGTCATCTGCAAACAGACAATCTTACATTTTCCTTTAGAATTTGGAGGACTTTTATTTCCTTCCCTTGTCTAATTGCTCTGGCTAGGACTTCTAGTACTATTAAATAGAAGTGGTAAAAGTAGGTGCTCTTGTCCCCTGAGCTTAGAAGAAAAGCTTTCAGCTTTTGTTTGCTAAGTATGATATTGGCTGTGGGCTTTTGATATATGACCTTTATTCTGTTGAAGTACATTCCTTCTATACCTACTTTATTGAGAATGTTTATAATGAAAGTATGTTGAATTTTGTCAAATTATTTTTCTGCATCTGTTGGGATAATCATATGATTTTTATCCTTCATTCTGTCAATGTGGTGTTTGTTGGTCTCTCTTAACTGAGGTGAACTGGAACGAATGAGGCTGCCCAGAGTTGGAGAGTGGATGAATGGGGAAGTGGTCAATGGTAGCATCTGGGGCTTAACCATCACTAGCAGAGATTGAGGAAAACTGTGTGTGAGGGGATGGGACTGGGTGTCAAAGCCAGGAGATTCCCTAGACGATGGGAGAGGTTGGCACAGCATTGTGTTCATTTTTGAGACTTGATGGGAGTGCTGTGGCAGGGGAGTCTCAAATAACTCCAGTTGCATGCACCACTGGCCATAGTCTACATTGTTATCTGTAAGTGTCCCCTTGCAAGAATGGGAGAGGCATGCAAACAGTCTAGAGTAGGTGCCAGGTGTCAAGCACTTAGGGAAAAAGTGAGTGGGAAAAGAGTTAGGCTTCAGTATCTTTCCCCACAATATTTACAGCAGATGCACGAATACTCTAAAAGTTCCAGACAAGACCTGGTTCAATTAAGAGATGCTTTTGGAAAGGTTTTCCCTACTTCCAACCTCCAGGTGGGGTCCATCTGCTAAGCATCTGGAGAAATCCAAAGAGGGTAACATTTGCACTCCTCTGGGGTCCTTCTTACAAAGGTCAGGGAATAACGTCCTGAATTTATTTTCGGGAATATTCTGGGGCTGACAAGACTCAGGTTATTCTCAGCTTAGAAAGATCCATAATGAAGAACTTGTAAAAAATAAAATCGCATGATGGAAAGAAAATGCAAACATAAAAAACAAGAAGCAGACGAAAGGGAGCTAACTGTGGTGAATGGAGGTCATTTGATGAACCCAGAACCCAGAACCCAGAATCAGTTACAATGACAGCGATGGTCCTTTGCCCAGAGAAAAGCAGACCAGGAGGTGGCAGACACAAGCAGAAGAAGGCAGTGGGAAAGTCTGAGCTGGGACTCAAATGGAGGCTGTGACAGGAGGGATTTTGGTCTCTCAGTGTGTATGTCACTTGAAGGCAGAGACCTTAATTATGGGGCCCTATGTGCGACTCTGAGCAAGCCTGCACCTTCAGGGAGAGGTAGGGCATTGGAATTGTGGGTTGTGTTGCTGGGAAGGCAGAGGAGACCTGGCTGAAGCTTCTTTTCAGACGTTGGACAGATGGATGAGGGAAAAACTGGCCATTATACCAAGCTCCTCACAGGTAGAGTCAGTGCAGCATGAAGTGATATAAGTGATACCTCTTCTGTGTGTCCTCTAATATGAGTTCTGTTGTGGCAGTATGATGGAAGGCCAAAGCTAGTACAGACTCCTTGGTAAAAGGCATGCTCAGAGCAATGCCAGATCCTGCCTAGACACCTTAACCTGCGTTTATGCCTCTTCTGTGTTTCTGATTCTGATGAATACAAAGTGCTCTGCTTCTTCTTCTCTAACTCCTTATGAATTACATGAGTTTGTTCTTTCCCACACAAAAAAAGAAAAGATCAAGACAAGGGGTGGAAAGAAGCCATGAGTGTTATTCCAGGGCAGGAATTCTTAACTTTTTGGTGCCACGGACCACACTGGCAGTTTGGTGAAGCCTATGGATCCCATTCTCAAAACTACGTTTAGAAATTCAGTCAATAAAATACATAGAATTGCAAAGGAAGCCACATGTACTGAAATTCAAAATTTTTTGTGGTTTAGTAAAATACATCCTTCTTAATTATCCCATTAAATTAATTAGCTCATCATTCTCTAGTGGCAGATTCAATAATTACTATAATTTTGAAATTTTGGGTAGCATAACACATATTTCAATATACGTAATGTGATATAAAAATATCTATGGTTTCTCTTGATGGCAGAGTTACAGGTACTGCTAAATCAACGTGGTTAGTTACCTACATTAGAGTTGGAGAAATCCTAACTTCAGGTAAAGGTTAGCGATGTGGTTTGGCTCTGTGTCCCTATGCAAATCTAACACTGAATTATAATCTTCAATGTTGGGGAAGGGACCTGGTGGGAGGTAGTTGGATTATGGGGTCAGATTTTCCCCTTGCTGTACTTATGATAGTGAGTTCTCATGAGATTTGGTTGTTTGAAAGTGTGTAGCACTTCCCCCTTTACTCTCTCTCTCTTCCTCCTGCACTTGCCATGTAAGACGTACCTCCTTCTTTGCCTTCTGCTACGATTGTAAGTTTCCTGAGACCTCCCCAGCCATGCTTCCTGTAGATCCTACGGAATTAAACCTAAGTCCATTAAACCTCTTGTCTTATAAATTACCAAGTCTCAGGTAGTTCTTTATAGCAACATGAGAATAGACTAATACAGTTAGTAAAAATAAAGGTATAAATTTTCCTATTAAAGTTCAAAAACACTTGCTCCTGCCATTTTTATCCCCAGACTCAATGCCCAATGGACTTCAGATGAAGAATCTTTTCTCTAAGAGAAGTCCCTTCATCAAAACATGAGGTCAGGAAAGTGAAAGTTCTCCCTAAATATTAAAAATATTACAGCCTCATACAAATTAATGAAAAAAAAAACCCTCAAGAGATGGAGGGGCCAAGGACATGATGAACAAAAAAAAATGATAAAAATTTGAATAAAAAGTCAACTTCAGAACAAAGTTGCAGAAATTTTTTTTTTTGGTCTATTAGGATGCAACATGCACCCACACAAACACAAATTCTGCAAGTGACACTGATATCACTATTCTCACTGCTGCTTAAATTAAAATTTGTACAGTTATTTTGGAAAACAGATCTTAAATTATTCACATTTTGAATCATTAACTTCTTAAACCAACTTAGATGATTGTCATTTAATAGCTACACTTTAAAATTTTTTTCTTATATAACCCGGACTACCCAAATCTTAAAGTACCCACTGGATTATATATAACAACAGCTCCCTCCATCACCAGCAAACCAAATATTTTCCAGTCTCAAAAGCATAAAAATAATGAAATCCACCACATTCCATCATATATGTTTAAACCTCATAAGGACTAATATATGCTGACCTCTCCTTTGAGTCTACTGGACTGTCACAGTATTACAGAGGATGGCAAGCTACCTAGGGAGAGCACACATTTATTTGGGCGTGGGTTTTGGACACGACATTTAGAGGCCTGTATTCAATTTTTGCCTAGAAGGTTTTCTGTGATCACATTTTTACTATTATCTTTTTTTTTCCTTTGGCCTTTCTACCAGTTCATACTTCCTATCAGTCTTTTGTTTTGAATTTGGTATCATTGCCCTATTCCTTTAATACATATTTTTTGAGTACCTATTTTGTGCCAAATATTGTGCTGGATATTAGAGACTCAGTGGTTAATCAAAAGATTTCATGCCTGTCCTTCTGGAGCTTACAGTCTATTGCAAGGGTAATTAAACTACAGCCCATGGGCCAAATTTAGTCTGCCATCTGTTTTTGCACGACCTGCAAGATAAGAATGGTTTTTAAATTTTAAAACATAATAAAAAATGGAAAGAATAATAATATTTTATGACACACGCAAAGTGTATGAAACTCAAATTTTAGTGTCCATTAATAAAGTTTTATTGGAACACAGCCACACTAATTTGTTTATGTATTGTCTACAGCTGATTTTATGCTGCAGTGGCAGAGTCAAGTAGTTGCAACAGAAACCGTATGGCATAAATCTAAAATATTTACTATCTGGCTCTTTACAGAAAAAGTTTGCAGACTCATGATCTAGTGGAGTAGACAGAAAAGAGGCAAGCAAGCAAATAATAAAATAATCACAGATTGTGGTAAGTGATACAAAGGGGGAAAAGGAGGAGAAGATGAAGAATGCTAGCAGCATGTGTGTGGATAGAGTCTGTAAGAGAACGTCTTCAGCTGGAAGTGATGCTTATACTTACACAGAGGTCAAAAGGGTGAGAAGGATCCAGATATGCCAAGAGCAAGGGAAATTCTGCTATGTTCAGAGCAGGGGCAATTTTGTTCCAGGCAATGGAGACGGGGATGGGTGGTGGCAAAGGTGCTGGTGTGGGAAAGATCTTGGTGTGTCAGAGGAACTGAGAATCCATCCTACCTGGAGAGGAGTAAGAATGAAGACTGACCCATAAATACATGAGGAACCACCAAAGGGTTTCAAGCAAAGGAATGGCATGGCCTGATTTGCATTTATCAAAGGTTACTTCATCTGTCCTATGGAGAATAGATAGCAAGAAAAAAAAAAAGAATGTTAGAAAACTATTGCCTTACCTCTCCTTGAAGGTCCATTTCACACCTTGCTCCCATTGACATGTACTACGATGGGCTCCAATAAACCTGTCAAAATGAGGGGCTTCAGAATTTCATAATATTTTGCTATTATTCTTTCAAAAATCAGTTATTAATGAAGTTTAGATGTGTAGAATAGCAACTGATAACATTTTCAAAAAAGCATGTGTTGGATGTCAGATTTCACTCTAATAAGAACTCAATGAAGAACACTTTCTTGCTAAAAATACAGAGTTTTCAAATATGGTGCAAAGAATATAAAAAGTGTTATTAGAAAAGATAACTGGTGATAGCTGCCCTTGCCTCCTGCCTTAGCAGTATAACTTTTCTCTGGAGGGCATAGCCTTTTGTCTTACAAAATGACCTTATAGACCATATTGGGGAGGAAGATGAGGTCCAGAGGTCAACACTGATAGCTAAACATCTATGCATAAGAAGTTAACAGGAATCTGTGGAGAAGATAAGATAGAGGCTGAGAAACCTGGCTGTGGAGACCAGTAAGAAATTTCTGGAGGAGGATTAGCCTGAGGACATAAGTACCCTCATGTGTACTTCTTCTTTTTTATTTTCTGCAAAGCTGCCATATTAAAGCCTTCCATTTTTTAAACCTTCAATGAAAGCCTTATACAAGCATATACTTGGATTGGCAGTTTTCTGGAAGTAATTGGGATGCTGTCTCACAAAGTTATAAACTAGTACAGAAAAGTGACATGTATGGGTGGCCAGGTGATCTATAAAATGAAGTAGTTTGGCAGAGGTAGAAATTCAGAGCCAGGTTGACTAGGAAAAATTTCTGTAAGAAATATAAGAATCCCAAGGAAGACCAAGTTTCTCAACACATGTAATAGGGATTTTGAGGCAATTTCATTTGACAGTTTAAGAATAGTGTGAATCCAGCTTACATATGGATTACATACAATTTTGCTCTGTTTTCATATTAATACCATGATTTACAGAAGGCCAAGCAATGTCATGTCCATTTCAAAAACCGGGAAGAATAGCCAGAGAAAGATTAAGTGACATCCAAGGGCATGGACATTGACACGGATAGAATCACTATTGTTCCTCTGGCCGCTGGGCCCTTGATGAAGCCTGTACTTCTATCCATTTGGTGGATGAGAGCCAAGGTAAAAAAAAAAAAAAAATCAGAAAAGAACACAAGTAAATGTTTATGGAAAAACACAATCCAGCATTTACGGGAAGCAATGGCTTCCTCATGAGTCCTGCCCTTTCTGAATTTTGGGCTTTCCTGAAGTTCCATTTTTAGAGAAACTCACGCTTAGGCCAATTTTTGCTGAACCACTTCCCTACCAATCTGTTTCTGGGTCTCAGACAGCGACTTAGAAAGTGCAAAGCATTCATGTTTCCATAGTGCCTTCCTGTCCCCTAGTACCCATTGAAAAGGCATATCAAAAGAGAAATCAAACAAATTTTGTTTCAAGATCTCAATTGAATTGGGTAACACTTCATTCCATAAAATAGAGTAAGTGTCCCAGTGAGTTGAACAGAGGGGGTTGGTTTTATAGACAGAAAGGGTTGAAGAAAGCAGAAACAAAGATTTAAAAGCAGATTGGTCATTTCTTAGTAAGGCAGGAACAGGGAGACAGAACAATAGAAAGATAACTGATTGGTTAATGCCAGGTTATGCTGGTTACTTTTTGTTGAAAGGATTAAAACAGGTAATTCATTATTGTGACTGTTTGGAAAACGGGCTGTTATCTTTCCCTCCTGATTTCTCAGAAGCTCAGAGAACAACTTAGTTTCAGTTTGGTGACATGGAACTTTAGCATGGGTGACTCCATTTTGATTTTTAGTATGGTCTGTTAGGGCCTAGTACAGAAGCTTAGCCCAAAACGGAGACGGAGTCTAGCTCTGTCGCCAGGCTGGAGTACAGTGGCGCACTCTCGGCTCACTGCAACCTCCACCTCCCAGGTTCAAGCAATTCTCCTGCCTCAGCCTCCCGAGTAGCTGAGATTACAGGCATGCGCCGCTACACCCAGCTAATTTTTGTATTTTTGGTACAGACGGGATTTCATCATGTTGGCCAGAATAGTCTCGATCTCCTGACCTCATAATCCGCCCACCTTGGCCTCCCAAAGTGCTGGGATTACAGGTGTGAGCCATCTCACCCGGCCAACAGTGGCTTCCTATAATTTTTGTTTAAAAATCACCTTAGCCCAAAACAGTGGCTTTTTATAATTTTTGTTTAACAATCATAATCAACAAGAGTTGAACCACCACATTTCCTCTCTACTATGGTTTAAAGTTCCCTGTTCTATCACAAGATTCTGTAAAAGCCCTTCTCTCCTTCCCTGATGTCTTGGATAAAACCCTGATATACCTGGTAGAGATGGGCACAGGCCAGATAGAGGGTGCAAAGCCCTCCTTCCATGGAAATGGGAGTCAATGCATAGATGAGAAATTAGCCTGTGATTCTTTTTTTTTTTCTTTGAGATGATCTTACTCTGTTACCCAGGCTGGAGTCAGTGGCATGATCATAGCTCACTGTAATCTTGAGCTTCTAGGTTCAAGTGATCCTCCTGCTTCAGCCTCCCAAGTAGCTAGGACTATAGACACATGCCACCATACTTGGCTATCTTAAAATTTTTTTGTAGAGGTGGAGTCTCACTATGTTGCCCAGGCTGGTCTTGAACTCTTGAGCACAAGCAGTTCTCCTGCTTTGGCTTGCCAAAGTGCTGAGATTACAGGCATGAACCACTGTGCCCAGCCAGCTTGGGTTTTGTGATCCTGCTTTTCTCCATTTTGCTAGACTCAAAATAATTTTATTCTTTCTTTTCAAATTGCAAGAATGAATGAGATAATCGTCTACAAAGCATCTCGAGTTTCTTGAAGAAAAGTATCATCGGAACATAAAAGTGAATGTGCTAGACAGCTATCAAAGCTCAAAGCAAAGAAAGTCACAGGCTGGGAAGAAATTCACGAAACAGAACTTAACAATTCGAAGTCAAAATCTTGTACAAATGACTAAGTGGCATTTTTTTTGAGGTCAAGACAACCTGTAGAGCCTGCAAGTCCCTGTAAACAATAACAATAGCCAATCCTTGCATAGTGATTAATAGTTTGTAAAACATTTTTATATGCATGGCCTTATTTCTCATACATGAGACACTGCATATGAAGCAGAAACATTGTGAGACAATAGCTCTTCTTACCATCATTTGAAAGGAAGAGACTGCTGGACTCAGCAAGGGTAAATTTTATTCAAAGTCCCTTAGCTATTAAGTGGTAGAATCAGGATCTGAATTCAGATCTCTTGATGCCAAAGTCCATGCCATTGCCACCACTTCTTCAGGGAGCTAAATATCTCCCTCCTCTCTAACTTCCTGTTTTGTCACCTCTTCAGAGAGAAATCAGCATTTTGGATCACAGAACCATTCTTGAGTCACCCACCAGAGCAGAAGTTAGCTATTTCTAAGGAGAATTAATTCTAGTCCCCTAGATGCAAATTATTTCTTCCTCTCAAAGCTTCAAAGTGAAGTATATATTTTAAGTCATCAAATAAAGTTTAAATTTTAAATCACCAAGAAAATCCTCTAAAAAAGAGTTTATTTCAGACAACTACCCCTCAGATATATTGTCATTAGCAGTTTCTTAAATGCCCTTCCTGTAATGGGCATTAGCACTTTATATATGTTCTCTCAGTCACTCTTTCTGGATTTATTTTTTGAGCACCCAAAATGTTTTAAACATGCTTCATAGAATTGCAACAGATACAACAGTGAACAAACAGTCAAACTCAACTCTTAATGGAGAGCAATATGCAAAATAAATAAGTAATATGTCAGGTGGTGATAAGAGCAGTGGACAAACATAAAGTACTCAAGAGGGCTATGAAGTACCAGGGTTGGGAGGTGTAGAAGTGGCAGTGTGATATTGCTCTAAATAATATAGGTGATGAGGGTAGGTCTCTGACTTGAGCAGCTAACCCAAGGACATGGGAGAGAAAACCATGTGGTTATCTGAGGACAGAGCTTTCCAAGGAGAGGGGAGAGAGTGCATATGTCCTTGGGAGACAGTTCTGGGTATATTTGAGGAATATCTAACAGGACAGTGTGACTGGAGCAGGAGGAGCACAAGGAGAGAGAGGTAGAAGATAAGATAGAGAGGAGGTGGGGTGAGAGAGCCAGAAGGCTTGGAGGCTGTTGTAAGAACATGGATTTCCAATGAGTCTTCACAATAAATCGGTCTAATTACTCCTATTTTATAGTCAAAAAGATGAGCAAAGAGAAATTTCATAGTTATTCAAGGCTACTGTGGAGTGGTCAGGGATTTAAATCCATAATTTTTTATTCCAAACTTTGTTTCCTGTTCTCTCTCTATCCTGAGGATCCTTCTGCTTCCATGGTCCTGATTCAAAACCTTAGACAAATAGCTATGTCCACAACATTCACATATCTGGATATACATTTTTACAGAGTAAACAATAAAAAATAATACAGGACACTGTAATGAAAGGCAAATTCCTATCTTTGATAGGCCATCTAATGAGTTGGGATTTATAATCCAGACAATCTAAAGCTTGGCTGTGACAGGAAGAAGAAAGATGAGAGAAAGCTATGGTGAGCCTGGAAATGCAGAGCACGAGGGCATATTGAACAACCGGAGATCAAAGAGGCCAGTGGAAATTCAGCCAAAAGGAAAAGCCAGGCCAATCTCCTGAGCGTGAGACAGAGAAGTTTCAGTTCTGTTATTTGGAAAATCTTCTGAAATGCACATAGTAAAAATGCTGTCCTGTGCTTTGCATCAAGTCCCTTTGACAACAGCTACAGAAGCTGGAAAGATTCAAGCTTCTCTTTCCTGTGTTGCTTCAAAATGCTGGTACAGATTTGGTCAGTGACATGATGCCACCCCATGACCCTGTGATCATATTTTCTGATGAGCCCTAGGGCCTCCGCTCAGACTCAGGAGCTTATTCCACTTGGTGTCTACTCATTCATATCTTGGCTATTGTAATGTGTGGGACCATCCAGACCAGGTGCATCAGATATCTGCTTCCCCAGATATGATGCCCCATGGGTCCAAGCCAAGTCACCTGGTGTATTCATTTTCACACAGCTGTAAAGATACTACCTGAGACTGGGTAATTTGTAAAGAAAAGAGGTTTAATGGACTCACAGTTCCACATGGCTGAGGCGGCCTCAGGAAATTTACGGAAGGGGAAGCAGGCACCTTCTTCACAAGACGGCAGGTGAGAGAAGAGTGAGGAGTGAAGCAGGAAGAGCCCCTTATAAAACCATTAGATCTTGTGAGAACTAACCCACTATTATGAGAACAGCATGGGGGAAACCACTCCCATGGTCGAATAACCTCCCATTGGGTTCTACCCTCAACATATGAGGATTATAGGGATTACAATTCAAGATGAGATTTGGGTGGGGACACAGAGCCAAATCATATCACCCGGTTTCCTGTGGAAATGGATGGAACAGTATAGCCTATTGACCATACAGGCAGGTTGAAAAACAGGGGCTCACTGTCTTCAAAGGAGCAACTTGATAAAATCCTATGCCGCATCAGCTCTCAGCTCTCAGCTCTCAGCAATGACGATGTTTGAAGGAATTGCAAGGCAACTCCGGATTCCATCACAGCAGAATATTTACTGGAGGTTCTGTGTGTCTTCCTCCAGTTATCCACCTGGCTTCCTGAGAGCTATCCTTTATATATGGAAACCAAGCAGAATTCTGAGTCCATGTCCCCAGAGAAATCCCTTAATTAGCCCAGGTGTGGGGGCTACGTAGGGCTGATGAGAAAAGTTAATTGAGAGTCGGAGGTTTAAACAAAGAAGGGTGTTGTTTTGGTAGGAAGGACAGGGTGCTGACCAACACACAGAGGCTTACTTGTGAAAAGATCAACTGGACTTGCAGCTTCTGCTATGGTATAACTTTAGAAACGCCAGGAAAAAGACATCATCTTTTCAAAACACCTTCTCCTTTCTGATTGTTGCTGCCTAAAGTTTCTTTCACTTATAAGTAGAAGAGCAAATATAATTTGAGGTTAAAAAAAAATCACAACAAAAAACCTGGGCACAGCAACATCTCAGCTGAAATTCACTTTATGGGGGAACTAACCGATCCATCCTTGGGAGAGTAGGTTGTCATGAGAATAGGGAAATGTAGGGGTATTTTTTTTCTATTGCTGGCATAACAAATGACCAAAAACACAGTTTAAAACAACACACATTAATTGTCTCACAGTTCTGTAAATCAAAAGTCTCGGTGATTTGGCTGAGTCCTGCCCAGGGTTTCACCATACCAAAATTGAGATGTCAGCAGAGCTGCTTTCCTTACTGAAGGCTATGTAGGAGAATCCACTTCCAGGCTCACTCCGGTTGCTGGCAGAATCCAGGTTTTTGCAGTTGTAGGACTGAGGTCTCTGTTTCCTTGCTGTCTATTGGCTGAGTCATTCTCAGCATCGAGGCCACCTGCCTTCTCTGGATTGTGGCTCCTTTTATCCATCCTCAAAGTCAGCAATGCTGGTTGCATCCCCACGCTCCACATCTCCCTGCCCTCTCCTCTGCCTCATTTCTCCCGCTGCTTCTTTTGCCACTTCTCTCTGACTCCAGCTGGAAAAATTTCTCTGCTTTCAAGGACTTATGTAATTAGACTGGGCCCACCAGATAATCCAGGATCATCTCCCTGTCGTAAGATCTGTAACCTTCATTATACCTGCAAAGTCCCTTTTGCCACACAATTTAACATATTTATAAGACCCAGGGATTGGTGTGGACATCTTTGGGAAGGGGAGCATCATTTGGCCTACTACAGAGACAAAGGGGAGGAGGTAAGCCTTTTTATACACATGACTTCATTTAATCCTCACAATTACAATGAAGAGCCAGGAGCTTGGAGAGGTTGAGAAACTTAACCCAGATAATGTGGATAAAATTTGGCAGTGTTGGGCCAGGCGTGGTGGCTCATGCCTGTAATCCCAGCATTTTGGGAGGCCAAGACAGGCAGATTGCTTGAGTCTAGGAGTTTGAGACCAGGCTGGGCTTCATGGCAAAACCTCATCTCTACAAAAAAACACAAAAATTAGCCGGGTATGGTGGTACATGCCTGTAGTCCCAGCTACTTGGGAGGATGAGATAGAAGGATCTCTTGAGCCCGGGAGGTTGAGGCTGCAGGGAGCTAAGATTGTATCACAGCACTCCAGCCTGGGTGACAGAGCAAGATCATGTTTAAAAAAACAAAAAACAAACCAACAACAAAAAAACTTGGAATCTGAATACAACTGTATCAACTCATAGACAAATAGAATATTAGATCTAGAAGAGGCATTATAAACTATCCAGACAGAAATTCTTACTCTAGGTCCATAGATCCAATGTCCATGGTTCCATCAGGGAGTAGGAGAGCCAGAAGAAAAATTGAAAACAAGGATGGGTGTATATAAAAGCATGTCTTTTTTTTTCTTTTGGAGAGAGTTCATGGTTTTTGTAAGAACCTCAGAGGGCTACTGCAAAAACAAGCAAACAAACAAACAAACAAACAAAAAACTTATGAAGCACCAAGCCCCATGTTTCATTGACTGGGTTTCTATAAACGTCACCAATAACTGATTTTGTTGTTGCTGTGAAAGAAAGATACCTAGCCTTGAACTGGGGAGATCTCCTCTGCAGATCTCCTTTACATCCATTAACAATTTCCACTTCTATCCTAACTTAATTCCATTTATCAACAGCAATATAATCCTATAGGGAAGGGGTTATTTAAAGGCTGGCATAAAGCCAACTAGATATTAGCACACCACCTAGGACTTCTCCATTGTTGTCACTCAAGTTGTCATAAGCAAGGAGATGATCTGATACAGCAGAGAGGCATTAAAAAAAGGGAAAGGCTGTGAAGTTTTGAAGCCAAAGTGTAGGATTTCTCTTTCAAAGGCCAGTAATTTTAACCTTTATCTCAACCAAGCCTTTTTAGCTAATTTCACTTACAGTTCCTTTGGTTTTCTGTGCCAGCCTTCTTCACTTCTTTCATTGTTTACCTTTTTCACTCCGGATTTTGATACCCTTGAGGTCACGCCTACTTTGTGCCAGGCACTGCACTTCAATTCATAACACTAAATAGCGGCACTTTTTGCAACTATAGAGCTTACAAGCTCATGTTTCATCATCATCATCATCATTAGTAGTAGTAGTAAACAGACTGACCTAAATTGCCCACCAGATACTTTGGCCGTAAAATTTGTTCAACATTATATTGTAACTAATGCAACTAAAGCGCAAAATCAATTAATTATTAAAATAGTTTACTGACCAATGAAACAGGAACAAAGGGCTATTTTCTATAATTGTCTAATTATAGAAGGAGAGTGGAGAGTATTAAAATGTTATAGTCCTTATAACCAGATTTCAAGATAATCTTATATACTAAGAGAACAAAAATACAAAACAAAGTAGATCTTCTTTGATTTTTCTTTTAATTGAGGCAGAATAAAATAGACGTAGACATTGGATGGAAATACCTTCTGGGATACATATGAAAGTAAGAAAAGTGAAAGCAAATTAAAATTTCCATTCAAATAAAATTATCAGTCACTGGCTTTGCATAGCAGAAACAAATAAGACCATATGACTTTGGATATATAACTTAAAAGTTCTAAACTTCAATTGTCTCACCTGTAAGGTCATGACAATAATATCTTCCTTACTATATTTATATAGAGTAAATTGAAAAAATTAAATTATGTAATTTATTATTTGTAAGTAATTACTGTTTAAATAAGAATGCATGTCACAGTAAAAAGTATCTTGAAGACAGTAACAGATTTTCAATATTATTATTATTAGATTGTATTGTACTTGTGTTTAAAACATCAGTGAAAAAGATAACTATGAAGGATCCAAGATGTATCATTGTTCTTAGAAAGAGGAAAAAAAGGACTCAAGATACCTTCAGTAAACTGTAAACACAGGAGAAACCATATTATTTTTTTCAGTTTTATCGTGACTTCTTTTGGTGATCTTCTTTTGTTTTTTTTTTAGATAGGGTTTTGTTCTTTCTCCCAGGCTGGAGTCACAGGTGCGATTATAGCTCACTGCAGTAACAAACTCCTAGGCTCAAGTGGCTAGGACTCCCACCTCAGCCTCCCAAGTAGCTAGGACTATAGGCAGGTGCCACTGTGCCTGGCTAATTTAAAAAAATATTTTTGCAGAGACACGGTCTCACTATGTTGCCCAGGCTGGTCTCAGACTCCTGGGCTCAAGCAATTCTCCTGCCTCAGCCTCCCAGAATGCTGGCATTACAGGCATGGGCCACTGCACTCAGCCTTTGGTGACCTCTTAGTGGAGTCTTTGTCTTTTAGGAATTTAGCTAATCATCTGAATCATACCTGTACCTACTACAATGATAAGGTCCCAGTGTCAACATAGAAAATAAGTCACTAACTTAAGGAAGATGCAAAGGAACATGGTTGTGGTTTGACCTCAGTTGTGTTTTGTGTGGCCTTTTGAGAATATTAAAGCATGGAGGCCAGGTGCAGTGACTCACACCTGTAATCCTAGCACTTTGGGAGGCTGAGGCAGGAGGATTGCCTGAGGCCAGGAGTTGAAGAGCAGCCTGGGCAACATAGTGAGACCCTGACTCAGTATAAAAAGAAAAAGAATTTAAATTTAAATAAAGAAAAAGCATGGAGCCTGAGGGTCCTCAGAGGACAGACCTGCAGCGCAGCCTGAGGAGGACCTTGTCTTGCTGTTACCACAGAGCATGAAAAAGGTGAGTGTCTCTACTTCACATGTACTTATGGCGTTTTCCCAAGGAATAACCTCTCCATGGACTAACTTTGCAAAGGTCTGTCTGGTTTGTAACTGTATCCCATCTTAACACAGTGCTTTGTATAGAGTAGATCTCAATAAATATCTTTTGAATGTATGAACATATGACTCAGCGTTTATGCAATTTGGTTCAAATATATGGCAACAATACAAAAACAGCTAGCTAAGCTGTACAGTGCTTTGTCAATATGGTGACATGGTGGATCAACTGTTGGCTGTGTAGACCGAGGTATCTACAATCACTGGCTTCTATCAATGTGTACGTCAGCCTGTTTACACAAGGAAAATACCTCATTCCTCAACGAAACCCTTTTCTATGGCCACAGTTTTTCCAAAAGAAGAGTCCTTAGATGGGATGAAGGGAAGGACAAAGAGATGAAGGAGAGGCAGACAGACACAACATAACAAGCTATCACTACTACTGTATGAATGATCTAGGTATCCTGTGTCAAAAGGAAGAGTCTAGGCCTTGTGTTCTTTTTCACATTAATTTCTTTCATCTTGTGTTTTAACACACCTTTAAAAATCCCTCTGAAGATAGCCCTGGGCTCTGCAACTTGCCATTTTGTACATTGAGGCAAATTAATTTGGGCTTCACTTTCCTCATATGTAGGATGAAAATAATCAGGTATGACAGGAGAAGGGAAGTAGTCGGGCACATGTGTTTTGTAATGAAGTCCCAGCCTGATCCTGTGGGGGAGCTTTGAGTATAAGTAATCCTGCGGCCAATTATCATTGCTGGGAAGGGATGGGGAGAATGTAAATTACTAGGCCCCAGTAGCCCTGAGTCAATCCACTGGAAAGAGTTGTAAGTCCCCTATTTAAACACATAAGCACATATTTACTGGAGAGGAATACACAGAACTCTTAAGTAGGGTCTAAAGGGACCTGAACAGAATCCCAACAGTGTCAGCCTGTGTTGAAGGTTAGATGATACCTGCATATAAAGCCCTTAGGATGGTATCTGGCACACTGTAAGCACTTACTGGACGTTTGCTACTATAATTAATATTTTTATTTTCTTCCCTCCAGTAGTAGAGGCATTGTTCACCATGGCTTCATTCCAAGCACAGGTTATAAACCCAAAAGCTGTCGGGTAATGTAAATTGGAGAAACTGCTAGGAGGAAGACTGGGAGGATGTGGGATAGGGTGAACTGGAGCACACCTGCACCACTGAAAATCAGATATTTAAAATGAAGTGTTTATAAAACACTGCACACTCAAAGTCAAGTCAAACAAAGCCAAAGCGAAAACCCATCTGGCTGTGGACTGTCAATTTGCCAAGGCTTGCTCTTAACCTTTCTCAGGATCCCTACCCTGCAAGGCATTCCAGTCCTAGCAGGACAGGACTGGGTTTGGTTGTACACTTACCAGTGCTCTTTGCCAGGCCTTCTGGGAAGCCATGAGACCTTGGAATGCTTTTTATTCGAGTAGCCTGTTCTCTCCTCCCTGGCTGCATAAACTTCTGATGAACTCCTTTCTCCTAGTGGAGGCTCTGAACTTCATGATTGCATAGATGCTTTAGTCTGCCTGCTTAGTGTGTTCCCTAATCTGAAAGAGGGTCTGTGATGTAAGGGGTGGCACCATGCAATGGAGAGTGGGCATTTGTTTTTTGTTCATCAGGGAGTAGTTATTGAGCACCACCAAGTTCTATGCTGGGGGCTACAGATCTTAATGTGAAACAGACTGTGTGTGTGTGTGTGTGTGTGTGTGTGTGTGTGTGTGTGTGTTTGAGAGAGAGGGATAATTTTTTCAGATAAAAACATTGTTCAGAAGATCCCGTCACCTTCCTTCTAGGGAATATAAAGCATCGGGATGAAAAATTGCTTATCTATCTATCTGTCTGTCTGTCTATCTATCTATCTATCTATCTATCTGTCTATATCTATCTATCTATCTGTCTCTTTATCTCTCTATCACCTTCATTTAGGCCACTTGACTCACCCCTTTCCCAGCACCTCTTAACATTCCTTTCCTTCTCATAGTGACTCTGGCTTTGTTAAATTTACCATTCAACCTTATACCTGCCGTGTGTATAGCTCTACACTTAGTCATTGAAGGTGGGGGTTTGTGTGCAAGAGAAAAATAAAAGGCAGTCCTGGGGAAACAGAACATGCTTTCAGTGAGCTATCAGAGATGTAGGACGATGTACAAAACAATGTTGACTTGTAAAGACGAGACTACAGGTGCTAGAAGGGGAAGGAAGAGAAATGACTTAGTGATGCGAGGGAAAATTCTCTGGTCATAACCTGGCATGACTTTTGCCTAATTTGTACATTATATTTCCTTTATTATTTTTGTTTTATTCTATATTAATATCGTTTCTATGATTAAAATTTAATATGTGTTCCTCATAGAAAATTTGAAAGGAAAGGAAAAGAGGGAATTAAAAACTATCCACAGTTCTATACCCAGATGTAGCCACAATTGAAATTTGGTGGTTTTTTCTTTCTAGATACACACATTTTCACTTTCCTCAGACCATTCTCTTTTGAAACTTGCTTTTTTTCCCCCATTTAATACATTATCCTGAACTTTCCCCTATATAATTAGGTACTCTTATACATGTTTCTTAATGGCTATGTAATATTTTATCACATAGTTGTACTATAATTTATTTAAACAAACTCTTATTTTCTCCCCAAGATCTGTGTCCCAGTCCCATATTCCAACTAAAGCCAAATTTTAAAGCTATCTGCAGGGCCCCAGAAGACAGCAAGACGGCAATAGATGATTTGTTCTGTTCCTCCCCAAGACTTCAAAGAACTGCAAGAAGATTAACTGCTCTGTTGCATTTCCACAGTGACTACAGTGACAACTCAGCTCAAGGCTACTGCAAAGATAGGACTGAGGCTGATGTAGGGTGCTTGGGAGGCAGGATGGGCTGGGAATGAAAGGATTTCCAATGGCCAGATAGAGAGCAGCATTAAACCCTTCTCTTACAGGCTTCTTTCAGCAAGCAAAAGAAACCAGCTGAACTCCTAGGATTGTTTTGAAAGCCCAGGCAAACGGCACATTTGAGAACTGAATTTGGCTCCATTTGTGCAAGAGAAGGTGGGTGGCTTCAGCTGCCTAGGAAACAGGCTTTGAATATGCACTTCCCGGAATTCTTTATGATTCTCTCCTGAAAAGGTTCCTAGTGTTCCTGATAAAGGATTCCTATTATTTGGCATTTGCAGGCAGCCTAGTTTTGGCAACATTTAGCTCAATTCTCTATGTCAGTGAGCTCTTGTAAAGCCCTGTATCTCCTCAAAGCGAGGCCGAGGCCAACATCCTTCCTTCTCCCTGCCTCTGTCTCCTTCCCCCACTGGGCCTCGCTCCCACCTACCATCCTTGTGCATACTTTTATTTCCAATGTGAAAGCTGAAACTCTGGCGCAGTTAGGTGAAGCTACACACGGAGCATCTGCTACAGCATCTTCAGTGTTTCAGGATGCTGCTTAGAAGAGTAAATAGCATCTGCAGGATGTGGGTGCTATATTGGAAATGAAACAAACATCACCATTATCGGCTGAATTTTGACCATGCTGAAGGCGTGACATAGACTATATGGTCAAAGCCTCTAAGACCGTACACTAAAATAAACAAAAATAAGACTTGGACTGTCCTTGTCCAGATTGGTGGTGTGGGAAACAAAGGTGACAGAAGGTCTAGAAAGAGCAGCTTTGGTCTTCATTCATTTGCCTATTCATTCAGTGGATCTTATTTGCTTAATTAATTAATTAGCATGTCACCTATGAGACCAGCACCTCTCAGCAAAAACTAGCTGAGCACTTCACCAGACTGGGGAAGCTGAAGTTCTGTAGAAAGGTTGGAACTATGTAACTTGCTGAGAAAGATGAGAAGGGGAGATAGAGTTGTGAGCCTAAGAGGATATTTATTCCAGGATAGGATTCTCACTGTAATCCTATTGGTTCAGCATGCTGGCAGTGGAAGGGGAGCCAAGGTAAGCAGTAATAGGAGCCCTGCCTAGGGAGACTTCTGTTTGGGGATTCTGTCACTATTTCATGACACACACACACACACACACACACACACACACACACACACAGTTTCTGCATTCAAGAATCTTGAAATCTGTGGATACAAATCATAGAGAGTTGAAAAAAATTTACAGTATGATACAAAATAACTAGACTTACCACGCTAAGTTCTGTAGGAATATGAAAGTGTTTCTTTTCTCAAGAATTTTTTGATATTTGAAATAAAAGAATATTGTTTTGAAATCTTTTGTGCAGCAAGTGACCATACCCTAATTTACCCTTTCTTTGTATATATCTTTTATACATATTGAATTTCATTTGAAACAATTTTCTACTATAAAAGCCATTGAAAATCCATGATCTAGAGTGTTGACTCTGTGGAAGAAGTGGGGGAAAAGACTTGAAAGATAGGCTGGAGTCTTATATAGAATGACCTTAGAAGCTATAAGTGTAGAACCAGATATAGGTATGAAATAGATACAAATACAGTTAGCCATTTACATACCTATATAAAATATGTCCTGCTAGAGAAGAGGCATATGCAAAGAATTCTAATAAAGTTAAGTGATCAATATATTAATTGAGTCAATTGAGTGGCAAATCTACCTGAGCTGGCATATGGAATATTTTCCCACCTTAATCAGGCAATAAGGTTGAAATTGATTATTAAATAATTAAATAAAGACGTAGACAGAAATTTGGGAGTCTAGTTGTGTAAACAACCCCATTTGAGGCAAATGGATTAGATCTCCAATTGGCAGAGTGCATTATAAATAGGACTCAGCAAGGCTTGCAAAGAGGCATTGCTCTGGATATGGGCAGTTCTAGAATTCACTCCTCAGCTGAAATCACTGGTTGATAATCACTCTTTTTGAGTTGAGAGTTTTCTAGTTTGCTTGTAAACCTCAGATCACTGAGGTCATATTCCCGTTTCTTTTGTTAGTTGTGTCTTTTTGCTCTAAGAAAAATTATACAACATATATAGATGAGATACTATTTTCCTTTTAATGCATTATCATTATATGTATTTATATATGTACATATTTATATAATATATTTTATTACATAAATTTAAGGTGTGCAATGTAATGTTTGATGTAAATATCCATGGTGAAATGATTATTATAGGTAAGCAATTTAACAGATTTTTTTTTGTGGTAAGCACACTTAAAATCCATTCTCTTGGCAAATCTTGAATATATAATACAATATTAATAACTGTAGTCCTCCTGCTATACAGTAGATCTCCAGACTTATCTTACACAGTGACAAGTTTGCACCCTTTTTCCTACATCTCCCCATTTCTTCCTTCTCCCCATCCCTGGTAACCACTGTTCTACTCTGTTTCTATGTATTTGACTTTTTTTTTTTTTCAGATTTCACATGTGAGATCATGCAGTCTTATTCTTTCTGTATCTGGCTTATTTCATGGAGTATAATACCAATTACAACAACATGGATGAAACTGGAGGATGAGATACTATTTTCTACCTGTCAAGACTGGCAAAAATTTATAAGCTTGACAATACACTGTGTTAGTAGGCTGGGGAAGCAGGCATTTTTATGCATTGCTGATAAAAATGTAAAATGGTACAACATTTATGGAGGTGACTTTGTTGATGCATTTACCCTTTGACCCTAGAGTCTACCTTAAAGATATGCCTTAACATTAAAAAAATGCAAAAGTTTATTACAGCATTATTTATACTGAAAATGTTTTGTGTATTACCTAAATGTACAAGCATAGGAGGTTAGTTGAGTAAACTATGGTGCATTCACATAGTATAGTGCTATATAATTATGAAAACAATGAGAAAGGTCTCTATGAATTGATATGGAGTGATTTCCAAAAGATATGTGAAGTTAAAAAAAGCAAAGTATATATATAAAGCATATATATATGTAAAAGAGTATATATATATGTTATATTGCCCTTTGTGTAAGAAAGAAGAAATTTTAAAAACATATGCATATATTTATCTTTACAAAAAGAAACACAGGGAGAATAAACCAGAAGACAATCAAGTTAGCTACCTACAGATGGTGTTGGAAGGGAAATGCAGAGGAAGGGACATGGAAGAGAGTGGCACTTTCTAAGAACATCTTTCTGTACAGTTTTGTTTTTTAGACGCATGTGTATGTTCTACCTCTTTAAAAAACATGTAATTAAATCAACAAGGATGGGAGGAGAAAAGAACCTAATGCTGAAAACCAATGAAAACATATGAACCCTAAGATATTTTGAATGAATTGCATAACCACACAGAATGAAAAATGGGAGCAAGCTGGCTAACTTAAGAACCTTAAGAACATGATATTTGACTACATACCCTAAGTCTTAGGAGGAGGAAAGCGGCAAACAAACCCTGAACTTTTTTGAGTAGGCTTTCTTTTTGTGGTTGTATGAACAAGGAAATTCTGAAACTACTTTAGATGTATTATAGGATTAAGCAAATGAATAAATGCACATATCTTGTTGGGACCCAGGTATTCATTGTGGTGAATGGATATATATGAAATGGTGTAGGGAAATCCATCCCCACAGGGGATGGATTGCATTTAATGTTATCTGTGCAAACTTGTGATTTCTAATCTGTGTAGATTGTTTGTGTAAATGTATGTGTGTGTATATATGTGCACTTTTCATGTACATATATTTGCATGTGTATGTGTGTGTATAAAAATTCATGTATTTCCTAACTTTGTCTCCTAAAAGCAAAAACACCCCAATAGCAATGAGCCCAGCTAGCATCTAGACCTTGGTTTCTAAATAGCATTTGCCCATGAAAGGAATCAGAGCTTCTTGGAGAAAGGGAAAATTCTAGATCTGGGACAGGGTAGGTAGAGAATAAGTCTGGAGTATTTTTTTATGTTAGAAAGTAGGAAAGTTCTTTAAAAAGAAAGAAAAAAAGATACAACATCCATCAAAAAGGGGCTCTCATTCACCAAAGTCTGAGACAATTTAAACACCAAAAGAATTAAGAACAGCAATGAGCTCATATTGTTAATCAATAGATAAACAAACACATAAATGGGTGAGAAGCGAGGGCTCTTGCCTATAGTAAAGCCAAGTACTGACTAGTAAGTGTGGAGAGAATGTCAGAGTTGAAAATCCATCATTTTGCAACCATCATAGTGAATACTACTTCAGGCAACAATCAATGATGGATACTAAATCTAGTAGGGCACTCAGATAGACCAGGCCTGGGAGCGAGGCATGACACTTCCACACATATTCCACTGACCAAAACTCATTGACATGGCCACACCTAACTTCAAGGGAGACTGGAAAATGTGGTATTGCTGTGTGCCTGGGAAGAAGAGAACACAGATATTGGTGAGCAACAGCAGTCCTTGTCACAAGAACTTTATATATAATATATATTATATATAATTTATAAATAAAATATCACAAATACCTATATATATATGTTTTTGGTATTTATGATATTTGTAAGCTTTCAGAAATTTTGGCATACTGGATTATCTAACTGTGGTAACTAGTCTTTAAGGAGAGTCATCCAATGAACCACACTTCCCAATATTTACACTCTTGTTCAGTCCCCTCATTGAATTTGGGCTGGTCTATATTCATGTTAGCCAATAGAAGGGGGTGGAAGTGGCTCTGTGCCAGTTCTAGGCCTAAACTTTAAGAGGACTGGTAGCTTCTCCTTTTTCTCCGTTGGGTCTCTCTCTCTCATCTTCAACTTTTATTTTAGATTCAGGGGGTACATGTGCAGGTTTGCTACACAAGGGTATATTGTGTGGCGCTGAGGCTTGGAGTATGACTGAACTTGTCACCCAGGTAGTGAACATAGTACCTGACAGGCAATTTTTCAGCCCTTCCCCCCGTCCCTCTCTCTCCCCTCTTGTAGTCCCCAGTGTCTACTGTGGAACTCTCACTTTTGAAAGTTATGTGGCATCGTGTAAGTAGTCTGGCTGTCCTGCTGGAGAGTCCATATGGAGATGCCACTTGGAGAAGGGACACTTGGGGCTGCTTGGTGAGAGAGAGGCCCAGCTGTCCCAGCACACTCCAGTCAAGCCTCCAGGTGGTGCCAGCCCCAGGTCCTGCATGATTACAACTGAGTGAGAACTGCCCAATCAAGCCCAGTCAACCCACAGACTCTAGGAAGAAGTAAGATGATGGTTATTCTAAGCCACCAAATTCTGGGGCAGTTTGTTTCATAGCAATAGATAGTTGAAACACCAGCAGCTAAGACTAATGATTCTAATTTAAACTGAATGGTTGATTGAGATGTGTAATTTTTTAATATGAAAAGTAGGAGGGGAATTAACTATGTATAGAAACAACATGGTAATGCTAAGAGAATATAAGATTCACCATTGTTTTGAGTCTTATTTATTATATTTATAAAAGCTACTAAATATTCGGTAAGATTCTATTAGTCAGATAATTAAGTCTTACAGAGCAAATAAAATAGATTAAATTGATTGATACATTTTAATGTTCATGAGTATTTAATCAACAAATTTCTTTCTTAAAAATGGTGCTCAAGTTTTCTAGATTCATAACTAGAATAACAAAATTTGTAAGTTGAAGTAAAATGCCTAAGAAATACGATTTCTTAGCCAGGCATGGCGGCATGCATGTGTAGTCTTAGCTACTTGGGAGGCTGACACGGAAGGATTGCTTGAGCCCGAGAGTTCGAGGCTGCAGTGAGCTATAATCGCACCACTGCACTTCAGCCTGGGTGACAGAGTGAGATTCTGTCTCTGAAAAAAAAAAAAGAAAAAAATTAAAAGAATTAAAATATTTAAGAAAATAACAAAAGAAGTATTAGATTTTAAAATTATTATTCAGAAAATCAAATATTAATGAAAATATCCAAAGTAATTACAGATTGACGTGTGTGTGTGTGTGTGTGTGTGTGTGTGTGTGTGTGTGTGTGTGTGTGTGTGTTTGCGCTACCTAAAAGCCTACTCTCGGGGATACCAAAATTATTTTGATAATATTGTTGACGGCTTTTAAGCCTAGGGACTTGGATCCGATACATTTCCAGGATCTCCAGTTTTCATGCTTTGCCCTCATTGCTTCTTTTTTTCTAAGTACCTGTGTGAGTACCTCAGTGAGTACCTCCCTTTCTCAGTGAGAATTCATGCAAGGAAATTAAGGAACAAACACCCTCTTCTCCTTGGCTTGAGAAGCAGCTATACCTGGGTGAAATGTTCATAGCTCTTTAGCATGACTTCAATTATGATTTTTGTTTTGTTTTGCTTTTTGGTGGAGATGGAGTCTTACTATGTTGCCCAGTGTGGTCTTGAACTCCTGGCCTTAAGTGATCCTCTTGCCTCACCTTCCCTAAGTTTTGGGATTACAGGCATGTGGCACTGCACCTGGCCTGAGTATGCTTTCAATCTAGATTTTTTTTTTAAAATAAAGAACAAAATCAGGCCCAATAAAGTGATCTTGGCTGGGAGACCCATGCTGGCTGTCTTACCCCATGATAGGAAATTTAGGACTAGATATCTATAGGTAAATTTCCAAAATAGTAACCGTGACCCCAGAAGGGCTCTCTCATAATCCTGATGTGCACAGAAGGGCAGAGTTCATTCTAGAATGCATTCCCCGACTTTCCTCCTCAGTTTGTTCTAGACCATCCCACGTGGTTGATGGATGGCTAGAACATTGGCTTTTGTCCCTGCTTATAGCACCTGAGACAGTTTCAATACCTGTTTTCAGGGAAGGATTGTATCTCCTACTCATGTGACACCTCTGTGTTCCTAGAACAGTGTTACTCCCACCAGTGATGATGCAGATTAGGGGAAGGCCAAAGGCAGAACTGAGAGAACTCTAGACCCAGAGACTTGACAGCTTGGCAGATAGGTCATAGGACAAAAAAAAAAAAAAAGAGTCATTTCAGAAACCTGATGTCAGAATTCCAAAATTCCAAGTTAGGGACCAGGTTTTCCACGATGGATTTTGTTTTTGAAGGCATAGAGATAGGGAATGAAAACTTTTGAAATAATATATAAAGCCTTATTCTGGGGCAGTCGATGAGAAATTATCAATCTTTACGCATTATATGTTGACTGCTCACTGTGTAGACTCAGTCTCTGAACTAAACAGAGCCCAGGTAGCCAGCATGCACATAAAGCAGGCAGGGAAGCCCGTCCTGGTTTGAATCCTCTGATTGGGTCATTCAGACTCAGAGGCAATGTGAGAGGGGCCTAGGGTGCCCAGATGACACAGCTCTTATGGACCAATCAGGTTAATTAATGGAAAGGCCTAGCAGAGATTTGGTCAGGCAAGGAGGATGATGCGAACATCTTTGTGGTTCTGCCAGTTTAGTAAAGAAGAGCGAGGAACTGCTCAGGATGAAGTCAAGCAGTGCCAAAAAGCCCACTGATTGTTCAGAGGGGTGGGCAGGAGGGGGTGGGAGTTAGAGATGTGCAGAGAAAGAGAGAAAATGGAGGAAGGAGGAGAAACAGGAAAAGGAAGGAGGAGGAAGGAAGTCTTATGTTAAGCTCTGTCGATACCTAAATTTAGTGTCTATGTTTAGACAGCCAATAATTTATTTCCAGGCCTGTGAAATCACTTATTCTGCCCTACTGTCTATGTGAAATCTCATACACACTTCACAGAAATGGATTAGATCACTGAGGCTGGATTTTAACCCACGCTCCTTGGCACTGGTTTCTGTGTAGGAAGTACTCAGGGGTAGTAATTTAGTGGGAAGAGTGTGGCAGGCTAGAAGACTTGCATTGAAATCATGCTTGAATAGTGAGCATGCTTTTTAAAAAACTTACACTGTGTGCTTATTTGTGATGGGTTGAAAGGGATCTAAAGTCTCCTCAATTCTCCCCAAATCCTCCCTGGCACCTCTGCCTAGAATAGGCTGCTGCAATTGCCACATTGTGAGAACACTGTCTGTGTCCCTGGCCGAAGTGGCTGGCAAAACTGTGGCTAAACTGACCACAGACTGGCAGCCAGGCAGCCATACCCAATGAAACCCCCAAGGTCCTTGTAGATGTGTGAATTCCCCTTTTATCAAATCACCTGGATAGTTTATCCAAGACACCTTAAAGTCAGTTTTTCTCTTGGTTCTTTAATGATGTTTCCATGCCAGAAATGTGGGAACCTCAGCTTTTTATATGTTTCACTTATATGATTTTAAAAGGCAGAATGTCTAGGTTGTTTCTAAGACAGTGGGCAGTTTTCATTGACTGTCTCCATACTTCCAGCATCCTATTCTAAACTAACACCACTTGAACTGTGGTCCTGGGACCAGCAACATCAACAACATTTGGGAGCTTAGAAATGCAAATTCTTAGGCCCCACTCCAAACGTACTGAATCAGAATCTCCGAGTTTAGGGTCTAGAAGTCTGTGTTTTAACAAGTTTTCCAGGTGATTTTGTTGCCATCCTGAAGTTTAAGAAGCACTGTTCTAAGGCACTTCATTTGTCATTTTGCATTTTTTTCCCTTTTCCTACTGATACTGTTAATTACTGACTAAAAATTTATTTTTGAATATAAAGGTACAAATTAAATATTTGCTCAAGCAAGGTAATTTGAGAGTTGCTGCAACATTTTACATGCCCAAAAGACACCTCTGAAATATGATGTTGCCATGGCACTGTCTCTGTTCTTGTTAGTTTCCACATTGTGAATGAATGAATGAAAGATAATCTTTAATATGCTTTAGACATCAAGACCCAGGAGGAAAGGGGCTTGTGTTATTTAGCATTTTGCTTCAGCTGCTACGCAAAGAGGGAACTAAAGTAATAATGGAAATTGGCTGGGCGCAGTGGTTCATGCCTGTAATCCCAACACTTTGGGAGGCCGAGGATCACCTGAGGTCAGGAGTTCAAGACCAGCCTGGGCAACATGGCAAAACCCTGTCTCTACTAAAAAACACAAAAATTAGCCAGGTGTGGTGGCACACACCTGTAATCCCAGTTACTTGGGAGGCTGAGGCAGGAGAATAGCTTGAACCTGGTGGGTGTAGGTTGTAGTGAGCCAAGATCATAACACTGCACTCCAGTCTGGGCAGCAGAAGGAGATTCTGTCTCAAATCAACAACAACAACAAAAAAAATGGAAATTGATTAGTCACATTAAAAGTTCATTTCTCTTTCACATAAAAATCTGATGACTAGCATTGCAGCTCTGCAATTATCAGGAACCCAGGTCCCTTCAGTCTTGCTGCTCTGCCATCCTCAAACTGCATCTTCTATCTTGTGGTCCAACATGGCTGTTTGTTCCAGCTCCCACCATCACATCTGTATTTCAACCAGTAGGAGGAGAGTAAAGGGAAGGGAATCATACTTAATTGATAATGATGAGACAACATCATTATCACAGAAGAGCTGCAGAAGAGGCATATCCAAGGTACATTGGGTACTGTGTTGATCTTGAGTCTCCTTGCTGGAGTGCAGTGGCATGATCTCAGCTCACTGCAACCTCCACCTCCCGGGTTCAAGTGATTATCCTGCCTCAGCCTCCCGAGTAGCTGGGACTACAGGTGCGTGCCACCACGCCCAGCTAATTTTTGTATTTTTAGTAGAGATGGGGTTTCACCATGTTGGCCAGGATGGTCTTGATCTCTTGACCTCGTGATCTGCCCGCCTTGGCCTCCTAAAGTGCTGGGATTGCAGACATGAGCCAGCGTGCCTGGCCTGTTCCTCCTCTTTTTTTCATTCCTCTTGTTTTGTTTGAGGACTGATCTTACAGGTTGCATCTCCTAGGTTTCCCTGTCAGTGACCTTACTTGGATTCAGCCAATGGGAAAAAGGGAGAAGCTGAAGCATTTCTTCCTATCTGCTTGTCTTGTAAGTGGCTGCAGTGATGACTGCACTTTATGGATCTGCTCCAGCTGGCCACGGGTTCTAGTAACACTGACTTCCTTCTTTCCAGTCCTTGGGTGGTAATAGCTTCTTGCTGGCTGTTAATCTCTAGGTTGCTTCACCATCCTGTTTGGGTTTAACTTTTCCATCACCTGGAATCAATTCTTTATATTAAAACACTCCAGTTGTAAGTAGTTAAGGCAGTCAGACCCTGGCTGACACAGGAAGGGGTACTCTACCTAGGGTGAATTCATAGAGGAAGTCACATTTGTACTAGATCTTGAAGTTTTGCTGACTGATTTCCATTAATTAATTCCAGTGTGGTCATTCTGGACTCTGGTCTAGAGAAGACGCAGGGGAGAAACAGTTTGGAGCTCTGATCACTCAGCTAGGATTAGCAGAACCTAGGATGGTGGGTTACAACTGTTTCTAACTCAGGGTTTCTCACCCTCAACACTGTTGATATTTTGGGCCAGAAACGTCTTTGTTGAGGTGCTGTCTTGTGCATTGTACGATGTTTAGTGCATCCCTGGCCTCTATTCATTAGGTGCCAATAGAATCCCCCCATCCTGCCTAAGTTGTGACAACCAGAAATGTCTCTAGACATTGTCAAATGTCCTGGCTGGGCGGGCTGTAAAATGTCCGACGTTGACAACCATTCTTCAAGTTTTGCTGATGGCTCAGCATCCAAGTTCCACACAGGAGAACCCTTTGATTCTAGGGTCAGAAACGCACTACCTTCCAAAAAGAGCAGCTGCTACTCTGCTCTCTCCTTCATCTCTACTTCCCTCAGCCAGCAAGTGCCTCCATTTTTGATAAACACTGTCTACTAGAGAACAATGATCCCATAGTCTGGAAGGGAGTGTCAGGGCCAAGCCATTGTCTTCCTGCCAGGAACCAGTGACACAGGAAATGGGGAATCATCAACCATTACAATACTATAATTCTCTTTGGAGTTTTGAGATAAAAGTTGCAGAGCTCTGAAGGATGTTTACTTTTATCCTTCATGATAAACTTTTTTCATAAGACAAATTTTCTGCCTCTTACCACCTTAATACACACACCTAACCTGGTCTATTGAACAAAAAGGAACAAATATACTTATCCTCTTTGAGAAATAACAACATTCCTACTGCTATTACCATTCCATCAAGAGCTGCCTATGACAAACCAGGCATTTTGTATGCATGTCAATGTATCTGGTTAATCTTCACAATAATGTAATGTAAATATGTTTTGCAATGTAAATATGTTTTTCTCAGTTTTATAGCTAAAGAAACTACTTGCCTAAGAAAACAAATTTAGTGTTGGTGAGGGACATCAAAATTTCCCTTATCAGTTTAAGATAATGGCCACACCTCATGCTTGCATTGTGCTTTATGAGTTTGTAACTATTACTTTACATGTATTGTCTAAGTTATACTTATAGCTTAAGTACTATGGAAATTCAGAGAAGCTCTAAAATGTTTGAGGTGGATAGAGAAAGTTTCGTAAAGAACTGGGGTGATTGCAGGAAGTTTCATAAAGAAAATAAGCTGGTCCCTGAAACCGATGTGTATCTGAATACTTATTGCTAATGGTGTTGGTAGAGGTGGTAGTGGATGGTTCATTTTAGACAGAAAACATGAGCAAAGATCCAGAGTTAAGAATAAAGAGAGCAAATACCCCGAGTTAAGAATAAAGGGGTATGCAGGGGAAGCAAGGGAATAGGCTTTCCCAGCAGGAGCTGGTGATTCATGATGGTGGGGAGAGAGATGGGGTAGGGATGTTTAGAGGATCAGTGTATACGGAGCCTGGAAATCCAGACGAGGGAGTCTGGATATTATGAAACGGTCATTGTGAGATGATTGAAGTTTGTAAGCAGAAATGAATATTTTACATCCCACTCAGGTGTCACTTCCTCGGAGAAGCCTTATCTACCCCCTTCCTTGTGCTCTGCTTTGAGTGTCAGTCTCCCATGGTGCCCTGGTACTTTTCTTGATCATGGCCATATAAGACTGTGAGCTCTTGGAGGACAGAACTCTTTGTGTCCCCAAGGCTTGGCACATAGTAGGACCATCTTTGTGTCCCCAAGGCCTGGCACATAGTAGGACCTCAGTAAATAGACTAAATGATGAATAAATGGACCCTAACAGGGAACCACATCCTCCTCTGACTTCTCAGGGCCATTTGAGGATGGATTTCTGGGAGCAGAAGCCACTGGATGTGTGAAAACACAGGTTGTGAATGCAGGAAGGTGCAGATGGAATCTCAGCGCTTTCTCAAAGAGGTTCACTTCAGAAGGGCATAGCTGGAGGGTAGATGAACCGAGAAATTTTCAGGTTGTTGAGAACAAGGAAATGTCGGTGAGAATCACCAAGTTCATCAAAATGTACTTGAAAAGCATGACCATCTTCACTCATCTTGAAACGTGGCATGTTTCAGACATTATGAGACAATTAGTCATTGCTGTTGCTTCAACTAATGTCCACTGCTTTTCTGTAGGAAATAAAATAGTCTTATTCTTAATCTAAAACACCAGAAAATATTCTTCCAGATGCTTTCCTCTTCCTGCATTTCCCCCCACTCCCCTCGCATTCACATTGGCATGTGGACATGTTCTCACCAAGTGAGTCAGTTAGATAGGAACATTAATTTATTTGAGCAGATGTCACTTTAAAAAAACAACATTGCACCATGGCACAAAGCTTACAAATAATGTCTGTCATGTAGCAGTGGTGCTAATATAAAGAAAAGGGGTAATTTTGGTGAATTCAAAGAAGATAAGATTACTGTAATTATGGGAAACTGCTTCTAAATAATCCCAGAAAAAAAGAAAGGCTGTTTTGTCTCATGTTGAGATAGGGGAAGGAGGAGGGCGGCAGCCTGGCAAGGAGGCAGGCTGTCAGAGGGGAGGAGGTGGAGATGGCGATGTTTAGTGGTGTGTTCACGTGGCTGACTTTGCCTGTCTTTAGCAGAACACTTCCCCTAAAAGTACCTGAGATGTTTGAAAGTCACTGGGGGGAAATATCCAAAAGTTTGCTCAGAATAAACTACAACTCTCCCTCCTCACAGGTTGCCTAAATCTAATCCATCTCTCAAAGCCCTTCTCAAATCCTTTGCCTGCATGAAACCATCCATTTCAATCTAGCTTATAGGACCCTTTACCTCTTGAAAGTGGGCAGTGAGTCATATGGCAATTAGGGTGAGTTTTATGACTTTGGTGTTGATAAACTATCTTTTATTGTCATTTAGTTTTTCATATGTTCACATACTGATTCCCTAATAAGGTCGACATCTCCTTGAATGGAGACATGGTCGTGTATATCGCCCTGGGGTCCCACACAGGGCCTTACATAAAGTAGGCCCTTAATGCATGTTGGTTGGTTGATTGATTTTCAGTATTAATGTGAATGGCTGCCAGCTATGGTGGTCCACTTATGTGAGGGGCATCTGATGAATTAAAAAGAAGAAGGAAACTAACATCCATCAAGCACCCATGAACCAGGCCCTTCATTGGGATTGGATGATCTTAATTTACTTATTTAAAAGAGAGGTTCCCAACCCCACATCTGTGGACTGCTAGGAATGGGGCTGCACAGCAGGAGGTGAGCAGCAGGCAAGTGAACCAAGCTTCATTTGTATTTACTGCTGCTCCCCATAACTCGCATTACCACATGAGCTCCACCTTCTATTAGGTCAATGGCAGCATTAGATTCTCATAGGAACATGAACCCTATTGTGAACTGCACATGCAAGGGATCTAGGTTACATGCTCCTTACGAGAATCTGATGATCTGTCACTATCTCCCATCACCCTTAGATGGGACCTTCTAGTTGCAAGAAAACAAGTTCAGGGCTTCCATTGATTCTACATTATGGTGAGTTGTATAATCATTGTATTATATATGGCAATGTAATAATAATAGAAATAAAGTGCACAATAAATGTAATGTTCTTGAATCATCCCAAAACCATATCCCCTGAGCCCATCTGTGGAAAAGTTGTCTTCTACAAAACTGGTCCTGGTGCCAAGAAGGTTGGGGATCACTGATTTAAAACACCATGAAAGAGATATCCTAATTAAGGATGAGCAAATACAGATTCAGGGAAATTAAAAGTGGGTTTCCCAAGCCCATAAAACTCTTAAGTGACAGAAGCTAAAATGTAATATTAGACTTGTCTGATTCCAAAGTTTCAGATAAGCTTTAATGCCCCCAATATCCTCCCTTTTCATTTGGGTGATAACAAAGTGTGGCAGTTTTATCCTAGTAGCTTGAGACTTTGACACCTGTTGAATTAAAAACACTCCTAGGGAGCACCCAGATTCATAAAGCAAGTTCTTAGAGAACTACAAAGAGACTTAGTTTCTGACACAATAATAGTGGGAGACTTTAACACCCCACTGTCAATATTAGACAGATCAATGAGACAGAAAATTAACAAGGATATTCAGGACTTGAACTCAGCTCTGGACCAAGCAGACCTAACAGACATCTACAGAACTCTCCACCCCAAATCAACAGAATATACATTCTTCTCAGCACCACATCGCACTTACTCTAAAATTGACCACGTAATTGGAAATAAAACACTCCTCAGCAAATGCAAAAGAACGGAAATCATAACAGTCTCTTAGACAACAGTGCAATCAAATTAGAACACAGGATTAAGAAACTCACTCAAAAACCATACAACTGCATGGAAACTGATCAACCTGCTCCTGAATGACTATGGGGTAAATAATGAAATTAAGGCAGAAATAAGTTGTTTGAAACCAATGAGAACAAAGACACAACATAATAGAATCTCTGGGACACAGCTAAAACAGTGTTTAGAAGGAAATTATACCCACAGGAGAAAGCGGAAAAGATCTAAAATCAACACCCTAACATCACAATTAAAAAGAATTAGAGAAGCAAGAGCAAACAAATTCAAAAGCTAACAGAAGACAAGAAATAACTAAGATCAGAGCAGAACTGAAGGAGACAGAGACGCAAAAAAACTTCAAAAAAAATCAGTGAATCCAGGAGGTGGTTTTTTGAAAAGATTAACAAAATAGACTCCTTGCAAGACTAATAAAGAAGAAATGAGAGATGAATCAAATAGTCACAATAAAAAATGATAAAGGGGATATCACCAGTGATCCCACAAATACAAACTACCATCAGATAATACTGTAAACACCTCTATGCAAATAAACTAGAAAATCTAGAAGAAATGGATAAATTCCTCGACACATACACCCTCCCAAGACTAAACCAGGAAGAAGTCGAATCCCTGAATAGACCAATAACAAGTTTTGAAATTGATGCAGTAAGTAATAGCCTATGAACCAAAGAAAGCCCAGGAACAGATGGATTCACAGCTGAATTCTACCAGAGGTAAAAAGAGGAGCTGGTACCATTCCTTCTGAAACTATTCCAAATAATAGAAAAAGGGAGACTGCTCCCTAACTAATTTTATGAGACCAGCATCATCCTGATACCAAAACCTGGCAGAGACACAACAAAAAAGAAAATTTCAGGCCAATATCCCTGATGAACATTGATGTGAAAATCCTCAATAAAATACTGGCAAACCGAATCCAGCAGCACTCAAAAAGCTTATCCACCACAATCAAGTTGGCTTCATCTCTAGGATGCAAGGCTGGTTCAACATACACAAATCAATAAACGTAATCCATCACATAAACAGAACCAATGAAATAAAACCACACAATTGTCTCAATAGATGCAGAAAAAGCCTTTGACAAAATTCAGCACTCTTTCATGCTAAAATCTCTCAATAAACTAGGTACTCATGGAATGTATCTCAAAATAATAAGAGCTATTTATTACAAAACCACAGCCAATATCACACTGAGTGGGCAAAAGCTAGAAGCATTCCCTTTGAAAACCAGAACAAGACAAGGATGCCCTCTCTCACTACTCCTATTCAACATAGTATTGGAAGTTCTGGCCAGGGAAATCAGGCAAGAGAAATAAATAAAGGGTATTCAAATGGGAAGAGAGGAAGTCAAATTGTCTCTGTTTGCGGAAGACATGATTGTATATTTAGAAAACCCCATCCTCTCAGCCCTAAATCTCCTTAAGCTGATAAGCAACTTCAGCAAAGTCTCAGGATACCAAATCAATGTGCAAAAATCATAAGCATTCCTATACACTAATAGTAGACAAACAGAGGGCCAAATCATGAGTGAACTCCCATTCAAAATTGCTACAAAGAGAATAAAACACCTAGGAATACACCTTACAAGGGATATGAAGGACCTCTTCAAGGAGAACTACAAACCACTGCTCAAAGAAATAAGAGAGGACACAAACAAATGGAAAAACATACCATGCTCACGGATAGGAAAAATCAATATCATGAAAGTACTGCCCAAAGTAATTTATAGATTCAATGCTATCCCCATCAAGCTACCATTTACTTTCTTCACAGAATTAGAAAAAACTACTTTAAATTTTATATGGAACCAAAAAAGAGCCCATATAGCCAAGACAATCCTAAGCAAAAAGAACAAAGCTGGAGACATCACGCTACCTGACTTCAAACTATACTACAAGGCTACAGTAACCAAAACAGCATGAAACTGGTACCAAAACAGATATATAGACCAATGGAATAGAACAGAGGCCTCAGAAATAATGCCAGACATCTACAACCATCGGATCTTTGACAAACCTGACAAAAACAAGCAAAGGGAAAAGGATTCCCTATTTAATAAAAATGGTGCTGGGAAAACTGGCTAGGATATGCAGAAAACTGAAAGTGGACCCCTTCTTTACACCTTATACAAAATTTAACTCAAGATGCATTAAAGACTTAAATGTAAAGACCTAAAACGATAAAAACCCTAGAAGAAAACCTAGGCAAAACCTTTCAGAACATAGGCATGGGCAAAAACTTTGTGACTAAAACACCAAAAGCAATGACAACAAAAGCCAAAATTGACAAATGGTATCTAATTAAACTAAAGAGCTTCTGCACAGCCAAAGAAACTATCATCAGAGTGAACAGGCAACCTACAGAATGGGAGAAAATTTTTGCAATCTATCCATCTGACAAAGGGCTAATATCCAGAATCTATAAGGAACTTAAATAAATTTACAAAAAAAAAAACAAAAACCCATCAAAAAGTGAGCAAAGGATATGAACAGACAATTCGCAAAAGAAGACATTTATGTGGCCAACAAACATATGAAAAAAAGCCCATCATCACTGGCCATTAAAGAAATGCAAATCAAAACCTCAGTGAGATACCATCTCATGCCAGTTAGAATGGTAATCATTAAAAAGTCAGGAAACAATAGATGCTGGAGAGCACGTGGAGAAATAGGAACACTTTTACACTGTTAGTGGGAGTGTATATTAGTTCAACCATTGTGGAAGACAGTGTGGCAATTCCTCAAGGATCTAGAACCAGACACACCATTTGACCCAGCCATCCCATTACTGGGTATGTACCCAAAGGATTATAAATCATTCTACTATAAAGACACTCACACATGTATGTTTATTGCAGCACTATTCACAATAGCAAAGACTTGGAACCAACCCAAATGCCCATCAATAATAGACTGGCTAAAGAAAATGTGGCACATATGCACCATGGAATACTATGCAGCCATAAAAAAGGATGAGTTCATGTCCTTTGCAGGGACATGGATGAAATTGGAAGCCATAATTCTCAGCAAACTAACACAGGAACACAAAACCAAACACCGCATGTTCTCACTCATAAGTGGGAGTTGAACAATGAGAAAACATGGACACAGGGAGGGGAACATCACACAGTGGGGCCTGTCGGCGGGTGGGGGACTAGGGGAGGGATAGCATTAGGAGAAATACCTAATGTAGATGATGAGTTGATGTGTGCAGCAAACCACCATGGCACCTGTATACCTATGTAACAAACCTTCACGTTCTGCACATGTATACCAAAACTTAAAGTATAATAATAAAAAAAAAACTCCTAGGGTAAAGTGTGGTAGACAGAATAACGGCCCCCTAAAATGCCCAATTCTTACCCCCAGACCCTGTGAACATGATCTGTTACATGGCTAAGAGCAGCTAAGTCTACAGATGAAATTAAGTTTGTTAAATGGCTGCCTTTAAAATAAAGAGATTATCTTGGGTTATCTGGATGCTCCCAATGTAATGGTGAGGGTTCTTAAGTGATGGAAGAGGGAGATAGAAGTATCTGAGTGAGGGATTCAATGTAAGGATAACTTGATATACCATTGCAGGTTATGAAGACAGAGAAAGGGGTCATGAGCCAATGAATGCAGGCAGCTTTTAGGAACTGGAAAAGGCAAGGACGCGCATTTTCCTCTAGAGGCCCCAGAAAAGAATGAAGTCCTTACCATGCTTTGATTTTAGCCCAGTGAGACCTGCATCAGTCTTCTGACCTGCAGAACTATAAGATAAATTTGCGTGGTTTTCTGCCACTCGTTACAACAGCAATAGGAAACAAATACATGAAGCAATAAATAAATTAGTGTCTGCTACAAACTTACAGAGGATTTGAAAATGGGTTTGAAGGGTTTGAGGAAGAGACTAGGGGCCCACTAAACTTAGAGGGAAAGAGAAGAGCCACCACACACACACACACACACACACACACACACAAACACACACACACACGATGTAGAACAAAGGTAGGGGATGGGGATGGGAACTCCTGGAAGGCAAGGATCATTTAGTCTATCTTGGCATCCCCCCCACCACACACACAGGGCCTGGGCTATAGCAGATGCTCCCTTAAAAAGACATTTCATTAAACAGAATGAATAAATGGTGGGGGAAATGGTGAATGAATGAAGGAAGGAGACACCAACCAGAGGAAAGAAGAAAGGGAGAAAAGAAAGGAGGTAAATATGTATAGACTTGAGTGGTACATAAGGGGAGAATAGGATGGGTAAACAGCCAGACTGAAGGCTCTGAAATGCATTTATGCTCAGGCCAGTCCCTCAGTGAAGTGTGCATTTGCTTCTGGAAACTTAATAAATGATAAAAGTTTTGCAAGTTTCTCAACCATATCATTGCTGGCTCTTAAGTCTCTCAACCTATAAATATATTAACCAGAGAGAAACTCAGTCTGTCAATATGGTAGCAAAGGGCAGTGGAGCAGTGTTGGTTAAGAACAATGATTTTGCAGGCATTGGATTTGAAAAAAAAAGTTTTTTCTGATGTCTCAGGTTTTTGTACCAATGAAACTTTATTCAGAATGAGAAGGAATTAGGTGATAATCTCCTTTTCACTTAGATTTTCTTCATTAATCTTATTCTTCTATTGGAAAGCTTTGGATATGTTGGTTAAAGTAGGTTTTTTATTGCTAATTATTAAATCTCTCAGTTCTCATAAAATTGGAGCCAAAATCTGCAAGTCTAACAATATCCAAATATAGGTGTGAAGTTACATGCCTTTAAGTTGTCCAGCCAACATTTAAAAAATGATGGAAAGTATTTACTGGCTTGAATGTAATATACTATAAAGGCTATTTACAGACCCATTTCCTTGAGCATTAGAAATATTAATTACATAAGAACTGGAGTCTCAAGTTCAGGATACAAATGATATTGAGTATTTTTTCTTTGTTACTGTTTCTCTTCATCTTTTTATATTCTCATTATTCTTCTCTTTCTTTTTCATAGACAAATACATACACACACACATGCACACACACACACACACACACCCCTTTAACACCTAAATTTTAATCTATCTGCATTACATAATCCATAGACTAACCACTGTTAGAGGTCATCTAATCCAGTTCCCTTCAACAGATAGTGAGATGAGATTGTAGCCAAAAGAGATAATAAGTGATAGCAAAATCCCAAATCCTAGGTCTCCTGAGTCCCCTCAGACCTGTGTTTTCTACTGAACCATACCATTTCTAAGTGTAATAAATATGTCAGTGAAGGTTATGAAAACACCCTGACCACTTATATTGTGTCCTTTCCTCCTCCTTCCCTCAGCTTAGATTCCATTTTTTGTTAATTAATCAGGTCCATCATCATTTTCAACAAACGTGGGTGGGAAATCAGATGTTTTAATGTCTGTCTTGGAGTGACAATGCCAAACTGATGCAAGATGATGACTAGGAGAAATGCTGGTATGAGTAGAATTTTTTAAAGATGAAAAAAATCAAATTATTCATTAGTTGGGAAAATGTTACGTAAATTGTTATAGCCATACTGTGAAAATTAGTGCATCAATTAAAACTAACAAATTAGCTTTATATATACTGACATGGAAAAGCATCTCCAGTACATTACATGAGAAAATCAAATCACAGAATATGATGCATAGAGTTATCATATTTTTGTTCAAATCTATAGAGAAATATGTGGAAGGATATATATATCCTTCCCAGACTAACCTGCTGGCTAGGTCCCTGCATCTAGCCTAGCTCATGCCAGTCCCTTCTTTGGTGTTAGCCAGCTCCCATAGCCCCAGCTTGAGGCTGGCTTCTATGCATGGACACATGTTCTACTTAGAAGATTACCACTGTCTGTCCTGACCTCTTCCTGTGGCTCTGCCTTGCTCACCACCTGGAATGCTCCGATGTGGTTAGTTTCTGGAATTTAACAAATGACATTACTGTACCCTTTTTGCTTTCTGTGCCTGGACCTCCAAATGCTATTCCCATAGTGACTTTTTATAAGGCCGATCTCTACTCTGCCCGAGATTTTTCCTATTCCATCCTCATAATATTTCTTCCTAACAGTCCTGGACTATTGAGTGACCCGTAAGTTCAAGTTGTCCCATCAGACAAAACTTAGGCAGTTTTTTACTGTAGGAGAAGAGGGTAGACCTGAGATGGGGGTCAAAAAAAATGCCCAAAGTGCTACAGAGATTTACATACAAGGATGTTAATAACAGCATTTATTTAAAGTAGGAAGAAACTGGTTTAGAAACAAAGAGGCTGGGCCCGATGGTTCACGCCTGTAATCAGATGGCACTACTGCACTCCAGCCTGGGCGACAGAGTGAGACTCTGTCTCAAAAACAACAACAACGAAAAAACAAAAACGAACACAAAAAAACTAAAACAAAACCCAAAGATCCAGCCAAAGAGGAATGGTTAAAATTATGGTACAGTTATTCACGTGGACTGTTAGTCACTAAAAACCGTATTTTGAGAACATGCTTTTGAAAATTTTTTTGTATTATCTAAAATCTATGTATCATCTATGTACCTAGCTATCTAGTACATACTTGAGGGTACATGTGATATTCTGATATATTTATGCAATGTGTAATGATTAAGCCAGGGAACTTAGGATATCCAATCACCTTACAACCAAAGCCACATTTTGCAGTCCATGTAGTAATAAGATGGAGCTCCTCCATACCATGGGAGATGCTTCTTCTGCTTAGACTCACAAACCATTAGGACATTATTCTCAGTTTCCACAGTGTCCTTTCCTTGTTTTGTCTCATTTTCTAATGATTGGCACATTTCTGCTCAGCAAATTTCCTGTGGTATGTTGGTGATCTTTGAGGGTAACACACGGCATGATGTAGAGAAAAAAAGAGATCACTTAGATCTACACTCGAATTCTAGCTCTACCATTTGCAAAGTATATGAGCTCAGTTTCCTCTTTCTATGGAAAACAAATGGAATAACAATATCTACCTTGCAGGATTGTTGTGGGAATTACCATGAGATAATGTATATAGAAGAGGCTAGCATATAGTTGGTACTCAGTGGATATTGGTTTATTTTCTTCCTCCAGATGGGCTGTGGGCTGGTTGGTCTCTAGATGAACTGATGTTTATAGGATGACAATATCTGTGCCATCTGTAGCAATTTAGTACTGATTAGGAACTCAAAATGAAAGACAAAAATGTATGGCACAGATTTGGCTTGAGATTTTTGACATCCCAGATTTGTTCTTTTTCAGAATTTAGAAAATATGTCATTTTTGTTCAAATCTATATGAAATTTTTAATAAATAAAAACTCAAAATATTTGATTTAGGTGGCAGTTGGGAAGAAAAATGTCTTCCTTTTATGATTAATGTTGCTTTATTTTACATGATTTTTCATTCATATTACTCTTTTGTTTAAATCTCTCCTTTAACACACACACACACATACACACATGTTAATCTTAGTGTGCAAAAGCAAAACAAGCTTTCTTATTGAACTGGTACCTCTGTACAATGATCTCACAACCAAAAGGAGCAATTGTATTTGATGAAGAGAGGTCTATATATATATATTTTTTTCCTGCTGTGTTAAGAGATGAACCAGCCAGATCCTGGTTGCTTGGGACTTCAATAGAGGAAATGATCAGATGGCAGGTGTTAGGGTAGCTTAGATGTCATTAGTGCCCAGTACCTGAAAATGGACAACATCCCTATGACAGGGAAGTCAGGTCGACACCATTAAAACAGTGGTTCCAGTTATGCTGCTAATCCTATGACCTTGGGCAAGTCATATCAGCTCTAGAAGCTTCAGTTTTCCCATCCATAAAATTAGGCATTTGGTGTAAATGATCTCTAGGTTCTCTTGCAGCTCTGAAATTCCATGGTTCCTTGAATACAAAAGTGGTAATGCGACAAGAGTCAGCAATGGAGGCCAGAGGAGCTAGCCCAAGAATATTGACGTATGCACTTAAAGTGAATCTGAAAAGCAAAGAAAAGTATTATCTGGAAACTGACAATGGGTAAATTCAGGGATGAGGGGAAATATTGGTCCAAACAGAACAATGTATAATTGGTAAGGGGGATATTTTATCATGATCTGTGTTCTAACTTTTGCTGTCTACACTTGATTCTCCCACTGCTGTTACAGAACAACAAAATCCATTGGGTTGCATTTCTGGGTGAGCCACAGACATGCTGGTAAAAGTAACATGCCACAGAGAGTGATGAGTCTGGGAGCCAAATAGGGTGACTGGAAAGAAGCATGATCCGATCTTAGTTGGGGAAGTTACTGCGAACAGTATCCTTACTGCATTCTACTAACAGAAAAGTCAGGAAAGATAATTTTCCAAACATGGAGCGATTGTTGTAGGTCTTTTTTTTTTTTTTTTTAAAGAGAAAGGCACTGGAGAGAATCATAAACACAAAAAGTATGTGACATCGTCATAGTACCCATGGCAATGGCAATTTGGCTAAGTTATTTCTTTTTTGTTCTCTTTCATTTTAACGAAGGGAGAGATGACACCTTCATTAACAGGGATCTTCCAACTTCTTCACACAACTCATTCTGTTTTCAGTTGGCTCTGATTATTAGGAAGTTATTTCTTTGGTGGCCTGAAAGATGAATCTCTAACACATCTAATCTCTGCTCCCTGCTTTATTTCCATAGCTACAGAGAACTCTGAAGACAGCTGGTGTGTACCTTTGGAATCTTCTTTTCTTAATATATGCTTTTGTTTCTCCCTAATGGTCTAATATCCAAACTTTTCACTCTCTTTCCATCAGAGGTTGCATTAGCTAAAGTTGGCCTTCTATGGCAGTCTTAGATCCCCTCAGTTCTGTCTTCATGGGTATATTTGCCTGAGGTTCTCTGTTGTGGTTGTGTTTCCTGGTTGGGTTCTTTCATCACATAATAGGGAATTCATTTCTGGAGAGATGCAGTTTTCAGTCTACAAAGGCCCACATCTCAATCTGCGAGGTAGATACTCTAGCAGAGCTGATGAGAGCTAAGCACTATCTCCATCATTTCTAGCTTAAGTATGCTGGTTGGCCACAACTTTCTTCTTGAAAAGTCCAGGGACACTTGCATCTTTGGTACCATCAAGAAGCTGCTTATAACCCATAATGCTTATTCTTTAACATTTCCACAAAATAATTTGGCTGCACGATCTCATAAGACAACCACTTCAGATATCTTATGTAGCATTAGACCCTGGGAAAAAAACCAGAATGGTTTCTTAAGGGCAAATTTGTCAAGATATTGCTCAATATATTGAGGAGCTTAATATAGTAGGAGGAGAGTGGATTTGGAATCCTAAGGAACTGAGTTCAAATTGTAACTCTGCCATTTACTATCTGATTGACCTTGGGCTTTGGGAAAATTAAATTAGATAATAATGACGACATGTCTGGTACAGTCTACAATACCCCGTAGGTGCACAATAATTGCTATTACCCTAATCCTTTTCTTGGGAACAAATCCTACATTATATTTCTTGGGATTACCTGGCAACCTCAAAGCAGCATGTTTTCTTACCTTCATTTAAAATATAATTTCCTGGCTAAGAAATATGTCCTGTTATCCAGGACACCTGCCTCTTTGCTGATTTCCCTATCAGCATAATTATTGACCCTGAACCCTTCAGAGTGATTTTTCTTCATTGGGCATGCATTCTCAGTCAGGCTGCCTCACTGCATACATCACCTGTGCTCCTACAGTTTATCACCTGTGTCATTCTTGTGACTTTGAATTGACTGTAGTGGAATAAACAGAAAGTTGCTAGGCATCTGGGCGAGGCTGAGTGAGCATTTTTAATGGGGGTTGTGCTGGCGCCACTGAACTCTCCAAGCTCTTGGAAACTGAAGAAAGCAAGTAAATGCTACTTTTGATAAAGTTGAAGACCTGGAGGAGAGCCCCCCCAGAATCAAAATATATTTTAGTTTTTATTCAATATTTTTATGGTCATAAAGGATTTATTGTTTTATATGTGTAGTGTCATGCATCTTGTGTTGTGGCATCTTATGGGTGTTTTGTTTAATATGTCTAAATATTCAATCTTGCTAATATAGATTAAACTAGCCAAAAATGAGGTGGTTGATCTGACATTAGCAAAAATTGATATCCAGCATGGTCTGAGAATCATAGTATGTAGGAAGAGAACACTCAATTAACCTCTCTTGTGATATTGGACTCAATTCCAGCTCTTCTCTGTCAGATGGGATAACGGGATGCAGCGAGACAGAGAGGCAAGAACCAGGTCCCCTGAGTTCAAATCCTGACTCTGTTGCATGACTTTGAACAAGTACTATAATCTCTCTGTGTCTCAGTTGCCTCATCTGTAAAATGGGATTAATAGTACAACTGGTTTCAAGGGTGGCTGTGAGAATTAAATGTAATAATATGTGTAAGACACTTTGAATAGTGCCTGGTGCATGTTCAATTTTATGTCTAAGATTGTCGTTGTGGTCAAATCCCTGATAAAATACCCAAAGCTCAGAAAGAATCATCAGATTCTACTCCATAATCAAACTACTGTAATTGTTGAACAATTATTTCTTATTTGTATTAATCAATTTAACAAATAGTATTGGTAATTTAGGATGTTCCAGGCACTCTTCTAGGTGAACAAAGGCAAATAATTCCAGCCAAGCTCCTGCTTTAAGGACTCAAAATCTGTCTCCTGGTAAATTTCACATGCTGATTTTAGTTTTTCCATGGAAATATGGAATAAATTTGCTCCTTTTTCTGCATGGCAGCAGCTCTTTAATCTGAGAATACTTCAAGCTCTTCTTTAGCTTTGCCTTTTGTGATTAAACAGGTGCAATTCTTTCAACTGCTTCAGATATGGCAGATGATTTCTAGCTGCGTTCCTGGGCTCTCTCAGGAACCAGGACAGGAAGGCTGAGCTATGTGGGACTTTAACCAGGGCAACACTGGGGCTCTAAGTCCTGTTCCTGGCAGTCCCCCAAGTTCTGCGTGACTTCACTCTTGACCTTCTTCCTTCTGCTCTGGAATTAGCTTTCTCACTTTATACCTTTCATAGGGCTTTAGATCAAGTCATTCTCTGGCTCTTTCTGCTCCTGCTTGCTTTTGAATGCCATCCCACCGCTGGGACCCTACTTAGACCAGATCCTAAATCTCCTAATAGATCCCAACCCAGCCCCTAACTTAGAGAGGTTTTAAATCACTGTACATTTTCATTTGTTATAAATGCTTTGTTTTAGTTGTCCTAAATTCCTTGAATTGTGAGCTAGAATAGCTCATAATCAGCAAGGGAACAAAATAAACTGCCAAATGAATCCAAGAAGCCCTTGATTGTAAGACGTACCAATATTTTATGTACCTCCCCCCAACCCCAGGCCTTCTTATTGCTCAGAATTTTTATTTATTCTTGTTGAAGGAACTCTTCTAAACTTAGTTAGCAATAGACTTTTATCTGTGTTGCTCTTGTACATAAATAGTAACCAAGTCCCATTAGGTTTCAAAAGCTTATTCTTTAGCTATTCACCTTTATATATTCATAAAATGCTTGAAGGGTCAACATACTTGGATGGTTCAGTATAGCTCCTGGATTTCTAACTTATCTAGGCCTTTCATAAGCTCAGAGGTCATCCCTCAATGTCCTCTGCAAGCATAGTAACATCTTTGAGAAACATTTTATCCAGGGGCAGTGACAGGTTCACTTGTAGTTAATAAAGTTTCAATTTTAGGGCTTCTCACTAGCACAGCCCATTCCTTTCTCTGTATAGATTATGATAATGCAGAATTTTGTCATATGGAAAGGTAAAGATATGTAGCCACAAAATATAGGGAAAAGTATGAAAAAGCCATGCCAAACATCTAATTTATAAAACATTCTTTTTTTTTTATACTTCTCAGCTTCTTAAGATTTGTAGTTTACCATAATTTATTTTGCCTTTCTTAATAAACATTAATTGTTGTACATAATTTTGTATTCTTTTTTCTAGAGAAGGATCTACAAATTGCATAAATTTGGAGTTCAATAATACCTAGATTTGCCCCCTTCTTAGGTAAATACTTTTTAGTTTAAATTTAAATATAATGGCAACTCTAGGACATTCCAATACAAATGACGTCACAGTCATATGCTACTTTTTATAACTCTTGCTTGTGATTTTGATTGTTTAGCTCCTTTAACATTGATGAAGTTATTTTGAGCCATTTTGAAGTACATCATGGTTTCATTAGCATTTTCTGTTTGACAAGGTTCAATTTTGTTTTTTCCTTAATTGAATCACATGTTGTTGGAAGTTGGGAAGATTCTGTTCAAAGTCAGATGGAAATTTCTGATGAATTGATGATCTGCCCAATGTATGAATTGGTCATATCACTCTCTCATTGCTTTAAAATTTCTTTCTTTCATCTATTCCCAGGGATTTGGGCATTTTTTTTTCTGTCTTTAGTTGATGTATTACAGCCAAACATTTTTTAACTTTTTACTTTGAATAACCTGAAGCTGATAGCCAAACATTTTTTAACTTTTTATTTTGAATAACCTGAAACTGATAGTTTCAAGAATTCTTTTATACTCTACAACCAGATACCGCAATTACTAATATTTTACCATATTGTGTTGTTCTGTCACTCCCTGCATTTATACATTTTATTTTTTTCTCAACCATTCAAGAGAGTTAGAGATATTAAGCCCCATTACACCTTAATGCTTCAGTGTGCATTTTCTAAAAACAAGAACATTCTCCTATATAACCATAGTACAACCATAAAAATCAGAAAATTCACATTGATACCATGTTACCATCTAATCTACTGATCCTAATCAGATTTTGCTTATTGTCCCAATAATGTCCTTTCAAAGGTCCAGGATCATGCATTATATTTACTTGCCATATCACTTTAGTCTCTTTCGATCAGATAAGTTCTTCAGTTTCTTTCTCTTTTAATGACGTTGAAATGTTTGAAGAGTCCATAAGAGTTACTCTGTAGAACATCCTTCAATTCGTGTTTGACAGACATTTGCTCCTGAATAGATTCAGGTTTTGTATCTTTTGCAGGGATATCACAGAAATGATGCTGTGCTCTTTTTAGTATATTATTTCAAGTAGCATACGATTTCTGGTGATGTTCATTTTTACCACATGGCTAACATTGTGTCTTCTAGGTTTCTCTATTGGAGAAGTTAATTAATACATATTAAGTACTTATTAATTAGTAAGCATTTAATATATATTTTATGAGAATATACTTTAAGATTAGGTAAACATCCCATCTCTCATCAAATTTTCAGCCCCTAAGTTTTGCTACTATTGAATGCCCATGTACCATTTATATAAATAAAGTTTTCTCATAACATAACCATATCTTTTCTTTTATGACTTTTATGTGGCTGCTTCTTTGCTACAAGAACAGAGTTTAGTATTTTTGACAGAGACCAAGTGTCCTACAAAGCCTAAATTATTTACTTTCTGTCCCTTTACAGAAAAGCTTGCTGACCTAGCTCTCATGAGCCTGATAATCTGTATTTTAACAAGTGCCTAGGTAGTTAAAAACTTTGCCAAAGTGTATTTCTTTCTCTGTACTGCTGAAGTCTATATTTTATTACTTAAATATTTTTTCAGTTCATAGTGTCATTTGTCCTTTTGTATCTTTTTTTTAAAGAAATAAGGCCATGAGGTTTACAAAAGCTGATGATAAAATTCGTGTCTTTGAAATGTCAATTGCGTAAATGAGACAGAGAATGGTATCATAAATAGGTTTTAATAGGTGGTCTTTGATATTATAGTGAGTGGAAAAACTTCACAATTTCAAAAAAACCCTAATACTATTCATAATCTTGACAACTTTGGCTTGATTTCTGTCTCTCTAGTGTTCTGATTTCTTCAAATACTGCTATTAGATTAACCTTCTTAAAGAATAGCTCTGAGTTTCTCATGCCTGGTCAAAAAGCAAACACAAACAGTATATTTCATAATCTCCCCAATTCTAATGCCTATGGCCCATAGTTTTTAGCCTGGCATGCAAAAGCCATCAAGGGTTGAACCCAGTCTACTCTGAATAAGGAAAGATGAGGAGCCAGGAGTGGTCTTAGAAAGAGAGAAAGAGATTGGAGGGCTTTTCCAAAAACATCTTCTTCTCCTAGCCATCCCATTTTCAATGTTTTAGATAGCTCAGACTTTTAGCTCTTTACCATAACTACTTCATGTTTAGGTTTCTCTTCAGATCACACACACACACACACATACACACACACACACACACACACACACACACACACACACACACACTGCATCACATTCCTAGCTGGTAGCTTCTATTGGTACGGTCCCATGACCTGTCCTTTAAAACTGTCTCTACAGTTCCAAATTCTCTCTGCTCCAGTTTAAATTCTATGTTTTTGAGAAAGCTCTTTTTCCTGCCATGGTTTGGAAGTAATATTTCCCTTCTTTGGCCACAAGTTGTACTTTACTTGTATTTCTCTTAGGAACTTGTTTTCTATCTTTAATACAATTCATTATGCACATGATCTATCTGCCCCACTATTTTATAAAATGGTCAATGATAAGCTTTCTATTGGATTTCCCTTCATAGTACAGTGTTTCCTCCTTAATAGATCCCCAGTAAGCAGTCAATGAGTGACTCACAGGTCTGTCAAGGTGCCCATCCTCACCAGAACACCTGAGTGTGAGTGGTGTAGATTCAGTGTGCAGCTGAGTACCTAATATCTCTCTTGGGGCCTTTGAGTTCCATTCGCTGTAAGATCTGAGGCTAATCTGAGGGAGGCTGGGCCAGTTTGCAGCCCCATTTGCTGGTACGCTATCTTTAAGAGTATAGCATGGAGCACTGTGGGAAGTGGGAGTCAGTGTCTTTTTTCCAGGCCACCATTCATTCACTCTGGATTCCTTAAGGAGAAGTCAGGCTGAGGTCAGCCTAGGTCCTTCTGATTCCTTCTGTTCCCATTAGTTGAACAAGCTCTTTACCTTGGTAAGTGATTCTTTTTGCTGCTATCAACTCTCCTTTACTTTGCCTTTTTGCAGATGTAAAGAGATGGAAATAGGAAAAACATACACTGTAGATCAGGGAGAGGGCAACCAAGGCAAAGTTACAAAAAGAAACAGACAAATTTCAGTGTAGACAGACCTAGGTTCCAGTCCCAAATCTGCCACAGTCACTGTGGAATGTTAAGTAATTTACATAACTGCATCTAAGATCCAGTTTCCTAATCTGCAGAACTGGAATAATAATAGCTACCTTATGTGGTAAGTGCTAATTTATGTAAAACACCTAGTTCATAGTAGATGCTCAAAAACTTGCTGTTATTAAATGGCTCTTTGGAGAAACTGGCCAAAAGAAAAGGAAAATTTTTAAAAAGGGGCAATGTGGACTGTGAATATACTGATGGAAAACATTCCATAGATGATTAACTAAGTTACTGTTAAAAATTACTAAATTAAAAAGTTTTTAATTATGAAAAAATACATTTAAGTGGGAGCTGAAAGCTACCCAATCCAGAGCACGGATGAAGAAGTACTCAGACAACTAGAGAAACACAACTTCATTGGAAAGGCAGTGAGGTAACAAGAATGGGTATTGACAAATGCATGTAAGGTTGTAGGTGGGATGGCAAAGCATTGAGGGCATTTCCACTTCATGGCTTCTATTTTCTTCATTAAGTAAAAGGCATTCTATTTTCTCCACTAAGAATAAGGAGGGACCAAGGTGAGGAAGATGATTTGATAGGCCACAGAAGTTAAATAAAAATTGATACAGGTTAATTCTGTGTTAGGCTATTTACCAAGTGAGAACATTGAAAAGACAGTGAGGCAAGGTAGTAAAAGTTTTGGCAAGAAAATAATTCAGGTGTGGAGATATGGACTCTAAGTTGAACAAGGAAATATATGAAGACAAGGATGGTCTCTGAAGTGAAAAAGGAATAGGAGGACTTGTGGATCAGGAGCAGGTGAAGGAGTAACTGAATGAGACAGCAAGAAGGACAGGATACTGGGATTGGATAGTGGTGGGTGGGAACTGAACATTTCAAGCATGGAGTTGTAACAAGTGTCTAGGATGTTCAGGATGTGGTTGTGGGAGTGGGTGACCGAAGTGGGGGTGTTGAAGTTTCCTAGGGATGGCAAAACCTAGAAACTGATGTGGAAGAGTTGACAATGGAAATGCAAAAGTCATTCTGAATAATGGAAGTGCTTTCATGTGATAAAAAGAAAGTTAACTAAGTACCTAATCTTAAAGAAATACTGGGTGTGGTGAACACAAGAGATAGTAGCAGATGAAACAATGAAGACTACTTACACAGGTCAAAAGTCAATGGGGGTCAGGCACAATGTCTCACGTCTGTAATCCCAGCACTTTGGGAGACCAAGGTTGGGGGGAATCTCTTGAGGCCAGGAGTTCAAAGCCAGCCTGGCCAACATGGCAAAACTCCATCTCTACTAAAAGTACAAAAATTAGCTGGGCGTGGTGGTGGGTGGCTGTAATCCCAGCTACTTGGAAGGCTGAAGCAGGAGAACTGCTTGAGCCCGTGAGGCGGAGGTTGCAGTGAGCCAACATGGTGCCACTGCACTCCAGCCTGGGAGAGAATGAGACTCCCTCACAAAAAAAAAAAAAAAAAAAAAAAAAGAGTCAACTGGGTTCTTTGTAAATTTTTAATTTTAAAAAAATTTTATTAAATTTTTTTTTTCCTTAGCAATGAGGACTCATTCTGTCCAGGCTGTCTCAGAGTCCTGGGCTCAAGTGATCCTTCATCTCAGCCTCCCTAGTAGCTGGGACTACAAGTATCTGCCACTGTTCCCAGCTCAACTGGATTTTTAGCAGAACAAAATCTGGGTGTTTTCAATGACACTATTCCCTACCTGCCTCTGCAAACAATAAAGTCCTTACATTGTTAGATTGACTTTAGGATCTTGGTTAGAGCCTGCTATCACTCTGTGTCTGTGCCCTGTTATGGGAACAGAAGTTTCTCCTCATTCCAGATTTTAGTTAGTAAATTGGGAAAATTTCCTTCCTGGCTGTTGTGCCTGAAGCTATAGCTTGTTGGTTTCTGATTTTTTTTTTTGTCTTTTACATCTGATAACATATTTAACTCTATTGTCCACTTGCAGCTCAGGCTTGACTGACTTGTGTTTGTATAATTCTAGTAAATAAAATAGCCCCCAAAAAAGACTTTTGTGAAAACTATGGTAGATCACAACCTTCAACAAATCTTCATCTTGCAATGCAGGGAAAAGGCACATCAATATTTACTGGAGTCAGAAAACACTCCCCAGCAGGTGCATAATTACTTTTATGAAGGATGCCTGTGACTCATTCCTGCCCTGCCTACACAGGACGCCTCTCCTCATTAGCTTGCGATATTATCTGTCTTTGTATGAAGGTCATTTTGAATCTAACAGCCAGGATAATCACATGGAAGAATTACTGGAAAAATCCCCACTCATGTAATTGCTAACATAATAAAGTTTCAAATTAGATATCAAACAGCACTTCAGTGTTTTGTTTCTTAAAATCATATGATTTGCCTTATGGGGATCTGCGTGTATATTTTCTTAAGGTGACATTGTCTCACCTTGAATATCTCTTTTTATAAGTGACTGGCCTTAAAGATAGAAAGAAATGCTAAGGCTTTGGATAGAACACCTTCTTGATGACTCAAATAATGTGTTAATGATTTTGAGAGCACTGAGGAAACTTATGCCCATTGAGTGCTACAATAATAGACTAACTGATTTATGAGCAGTCTGTACATTCCTAAGAGCTCTACTTCTAGGAGTGTGTAGCCCACAGGAGAACTAACTTCACCCTAACTGTAGAGTCCCATGCATTGATCTGAAGTACTCATTCTTAGTCTATTACCAGGGAGGTATATATGTGTTTTGGGGGCAGCATGTAAAAATTTGAAAAAGTATAATCACTATTGAAATATAAATTTTAATTGAGGAAAAACCATATTATTATTATTATTGTTATTATTTTCCTGCCTCAGGCTTATTTATACAAATAGCACAGGAAGACACCAGCCCCATGCTGATGGCAGCCCAGGGTGGGTCACACCAGTCCTTCTGTCCTCACGTTGGCAGACAGAGATCTCTACCCTGAAGTCTTTGTAGGGGCCTGGGCATCTTTGGGAGCCTGAGCTGAAACTGAAGCTGGAGCTGCAGCCTGGGCCTTGGTTTGATCCTTGGCTTTGGCCTTTGGCCCACACAACCTGAGACCCTTGGCAATGCGGGCACAAGCACACTTCCCAAGCTTGGGGTGGGTAATGTAGGCAAATTGATTGAGCTTGAGGCTGACACCCTTTGGCATCTGGGCTTAACCTCCTTTGGCTTTATGAGGACCTTGATAGCCTCAGTACGTGCACTCATGGCCTTGGCATTGTTGGCCTGCATCTTCTTTAGGCCCTTCTTGTTGCACTTCTTGGCAAAGCCCATGTTCCTCAGGAACTTGGGGTCCACCCCCTTAAGAGATTCATATCTTTGCAATCGGGGTTTCTTGATGCCATTCTGTGCCATTTTCGGGACTGGTTGTGTGTGGTGTGGTTCTTGGACTTGGCCTTGTCTGCACTGTAACACCCAGCTCCCAAAGCACCTGGAACCAGAAGAGACCATATTATTTTTATACTGTAAGCTTCTGAGGGAAAAGCCCTATGAAATCATTTTGGCTGGCAAGACTACACCAACACAAGACTACATTATTTACGTGTCAGTGATTTTCATGGACAACCAGAAATAAGTGGCAATTTATTCATAATTTCTATTACTGACTATCCATTCCATTTTCCTTTGCATCCAGCCAAACCCACAGCTGGATGGGGATTTTATCTGGTGAGGAGACCCTAACCTTTATTCCCTTGTGATACTGTCTTTATGTGATCATTGCAATTTTCTATTAACATTCAGTAGGTCCGCACTGGTGCTGGCAGAGAGTGGTAGGCAGGGAAAACAAATCTAAATAGATAACAACTCTATTCTAGTGAGGATAAATTTTTTCCCTCTCCATGCAGAATGGTATTCAATGTAATCAGCTTGCTACCAGCTAGCTGAGTGGTCCCTGTTGTATGAGACCATATTGGGTATTGGGGTTAAACATAGTAATTGGCAAATTGGATTTTCAGCTGTGGTAGTAGCTGGGTCAAATTCCATAAGAAGTCCCCTTTGCAGAGATTTTTGCCTTGCTTCTAGGTCAATCACTATGGCTAGTTTGTTTTTTAAGACCACTGAACAAACTCTAGGGTGGTTGTAGAAGGAGACTGACTGATATTTAAATTATGGGTCATCCAAGAGACTCACCTAACACATAAGGACTCACAAAAACCTAAGGTAAAGGGGTGGAAAAAGAAATTCCATGAAAACGGACCCCAAAAGCAAGCAGGGGTAGCTATTGTTATATCAGACAAAACAAACTTTAAAGCAACAGCAGTTAAAAAAGACAAAGAGTGACATTACATAATGATAAAAGGCCTTGTCCAACAGGAAAATACTGCAATCCTAAATATATATGCACCTAATACTGGAGCTCCCAAATATGTAAAACAATTACTACTAGACCTAAGAAGCGAGATAGACAGCAACACAATAATAATAGGGGATTTCAATACTCCACTGACAGCACTGGACAGGTCATCAAGACAGAAAGTCAACAAAGAAAAAATGGATTTAAACTATACCCTGGAACAAATGGACTTAACAGATATTTACAGAACATTCTACCCAACCACAGAATATACATTCTATTCATCAGCAAGTGGAACTTTCTCCAAGATAGACCATATGGTAGGGCACAAAGTCTCAATAAATTTAAGAAAATTGAAATTATATCAAGTTCTCTCTCAGACCACAGTGGGATATAATTGGAAATCAACTCCAAAAGGAACCTTCAAAACCATGCAAATACATGGAAATTAAATAACCTGTTCCTGAATGATCATTGGGTCAACAATGAAATCAAGATGGAAATTAAAAAACTATTTGAACTGAACAATAACAGTGACACAATCTATCAAAACCTCTGGGATACAGCAAAGGCGGTGCTAAGAGGAAAGTTGATAGCCTTAAATGCCTTCATCAAAAAGTCTGAAAGAGCACAAATAGGCAATCTAAGGTCATACTTCAAGGAAATATAGAAACAAGAACAAACCAAACCCAAACCCAGCAAAAGAAAAGAAATAACCAAGATCAGAGTACAGCCAAATGAAACAGAAACAAACAAACAAAAACAATACAAAAGATAAATGAAACAAAAAGCTGGTTCTTTGGAAAAATAAATAAAATAGGTACACCATTAGCAAGATTAACCAAGAAAAGAAGATAGAAGATCCAAATAAGCTCAATTAGAAACAAAACAGGAGATAGTACAACCAACACCACAGAAATACAAAAAGTCATTCAAGGTTACTATGAACACCTTTATGTGCATAAAGTAGAAAACCAAAAGAAGAAGGATAAATTCCTGGAAAGAGACAGCCATCCTAGCTTCAATCAGGTAGAATTAAAAACCCTGAACAAACTAATAGCAACAAGTGAGGTTGAAATAGTAATAAAAAATTACCAACAAAAAAAAAGTCCAAGACCAGACAGATTCACAGCTGAATTCTATCGGACACTCAAAGAATTGGTACCAATCCTATTGACTGTATTCCACAAGATGGAGAAAGAGAGAATCCTCCCTAAATCATTCTATGAAGCCAATATTACCCTGTTACCAAAACCAGGAAAGGACATAACAAAAAATAAAAAGAAAACTACAGACCAATATTCCTGATGAATATAGATGCAAAAATCCTTAACAAAATACTAGCTAACCAAATCCAACATCATATCAAAAAGATAATATATCATGATCAAGTGGGTTTCATACCAGGGATGCAGGGATGGTTTAACATATGCAAGTAAATAAATAAATAAATAAATAAAATAAAAACAAAAATCACATGATCATCTCAATAGACAGAAAAAGCACTTGGCAAAATCCAGCATCCCTTCATGATTAGAACCCTCAGCAAAATCGGCAAACAGACGACATACCACAGTGTAATAAAAGCCATCTATGACAAGCCCACAGCCAGCATAAATAATGAATGGGAAAATTTGAAAGTATTCCCTCTGGGAACTAGAACAAGACAGGATTCCCAGTCTTACCACTTCTATTCAACATAGTACTGAAGGTCCTAGCCAGATCAATCAGACAGGAGAAAGAAATAAAGGGCATCCAAATCAGTAAAGAGGAAGTCAAACTGTTGCTGTTTGCTGATGATATGATTGGATACCTGGAAAACCCTAAAGACTCCTCCCAAAAGCTCCTAGAACTGATAAATGGATTCAGCAAAGTTTCAGGATAAAAAATTAACATACATAAATCAGTAGCTCTGCTATACACCACCAGCGACCAAGCTGAGAATCAAATTGAGAACTCAAATCCTTTTACAATAGCTGCAAAAAAAGATACTTAGGAATATACCTAGCCAAGGAGGTGAAAGACTTCTACAAGCATAACTATGAAGCACTGCTGAAAGAAGTCACAGATGACACAAAAAAAAATGGAAACAAATCCCATGCTCATGGATGGGTAGACTCAATATTGTGAAAATGAACATACTGCCAAACAACAATCTACAAATTCAATGGAACTTCTATCAAAATACCACCATCATTCTTCACAGAACTAGAGAAAACAAAATTCTTGTGGAACCCAAAAAGAGTCCACATAGCCAAAGCAAGACTAGGCAAAAAGAACAAATCTGGAGGCATCACATTACCTGATTTCAAACTATACTTTAAGGCCATAGTCACCCAAACAGTATGGTACTGGTATTTAAATAGGCACATAGACCAATGGAATAGAATAGAGAACCCAGAAATAAACCCAAATACTTACAGCCAACCAATCTTCAAGAAGCAAACAAAAACATAAAGTGGGGAAAAGACACCTTATTCAACAAAAGATGCTGGGATAATTGGCAAGCCACATGTAGGAGAATGAAACTGGATCCTCATCTCTCATCTTATACAAAAATCAACTCAAGATGGATCAAGGACTTAAATCTAAGACCTGAAACTATAAAAATTCTAGAAGATAACAATGGAAAAAACCCTTCTAGACATCAGCTTAGGCAAAGACTTCATGACCAAGAACCGAAAAGCAAATGCAACAAAAACAAACATAAATAGGTGAGACTTAATTAAACTAAATAACTTCTGCATGGCAAAAGGAACAGTCAGCAGAGTAAACAGACAACCCACAGAGTGGGAGAAAATCTTCACAATGTATACATCTGACAAAGGACTAATATCCAGAATCTACAAGGAACTCAAACAAATTAGCAAGAAAAAACAAACAATCCCATCAAAAAGTGGGCTAAGGACATGAATAGGCAATTCTCAAAAGAAGATATACTAATGGCCAACAAACAGGAAAACATGCTCAACATCACTAATAATCAGGGAAATGCAAATCAAAACCACAATGCAATACCACCTTACTCTTGCAAGAATGGCCATAATCAAAAAATATGGATGTTGGCATGGATGTGGTGAAAAGGGAACACTTCTACCCTGCTGGTGGGAGTGTAAACTAGTACAATCACTATAGAAAACAGTGTGAAGATTTCTTAAGGAACTAAAAGTAGAACTACTATTTGAAACAGCAATCCCACTACTGGGTATCTACCCAGAGGAAAATAAGTCATTATACAAAAAAGACACTTGCACACATATGCTTATAGCAGCACAATTCACAATTGCAAAGATATGGAACCAACCCGAATGCACATCAATCAATGAGTGGATAAAGAAACTGTGGTATATATGTATATACCATGGAATACTACTCAGCCATAAAAATGAATGAATTAATGGCATTCGTAGCAACCTGGATGGAATTGGAGACCATTATTCTAAGTGAAGTAACTCATGAATGGAAAACCAAACTTTGTTATGTTCTCACTATTAAGTGGGAGCTAAGCAATGAAGAAGCAAAGGCATAAGAATGACACGATGGACTTTCGGGATGCAGAGGAAAGGGCGGGAGGTCGGTGAGGGATAAAAGACTACAAATTGCATTCAATGTATACTGCTCCGGTGATGAATGCACCAAAATCCCACAAATCACCAGTAAAGAACTTACTCATGAAACCAAATACCACCTGTTCCTGCAAAACCTATGGAAATTAAAAAGTTAAAAAAAAAAAAAAGACTTGAAACAGACAAAATGGCACACATTAGCTTCTACCATGGTGCTTTGCAAGACTGCAAGGTGAAAAAATTTCATTCCAAACCCCATCTTGTATGTAAGGAAACTTTAAAACAAAATTGAATGCTATCTTATGGGCATTGTTATGAGGGAGAAATGAGTATATTGGGTAAATTAACTGTATTATGATGTTTATGGTCTGCACACAGGCAGAATTTGATTGTGTGAGAAGACAAAAGAGGTTCCTTAGGATGACTAATACATCTTTTTAAATGTACATTAGAGAGAAGTGCACAGAGTGCGCATATCACATCTGAAATTTTCTATTGTTCTGTCTGTTTTTCATTACTCTGAAATGATTACTGCAAAAATTCCTAAATTGGATGCTTTTCAAAGAGGAAGATTAAAGACCATAAGCACAGTCTTGCAGCTGTGTAAAAAAGAGTGTATTTCTGTAGATGCATGGAAAGCCTTAGCAGCTTCCCCTTGGGCTCTGAACAGCAGATGGAGAAACCCGAGGCCCACTGGGAAGTGTCAGCCTTGCTCCATCCATGAACTTGGAGGGACCTCAGTTAACTTTTTGTAGCGTATCTGCCCTGAGCTAACCACCATCTGCTTGGCATTATTTAATTATTTAAAGCCTCTTAAATGCATTTTGGTAGGGCCTGGGTCTCCACGATGCCAGGACAAGGAGGCAGAGGTCTTCTGAAGAAACCCCTTGACCACCATCCGCTTGGCATTATTTAATTGTTTAAAGCCTCTTAAATGCATTTCGGTAGGGCCTGGGTCTCCATGATGCCAGGAAAAGGAGGCAGAGGTCTTCTGAAGAAACCCAGACAGAAACCTTGCACGGTTGCAAAGGAGGAAGAGAAGTCAAATACAAGCATTACCAAAATACTGAGCGGTCTTGCTTCCAAGACTACCTGGGAATTTGTAGCTCTTTGATTAAAGATTAGTACTAATTTGAAACAAAACAACAACAACAACAACAACAACAAATGGATCCTCTTACTTACTTGATCTGGAAGAATATCCTCCATGGAGGAGTATTTTGTCGGAGTACTTATATCACATGAGACATGAGTGTATTCTGGGATCATTGCCAGTTCGTATACATAGCTCTTCTCTAAGACTCTTTGTCATCAATTCTGTTTTGCTTCTTTAAAGAACCTGCTAGTAGATGTAGATGCTTACCTGAGAGCATTTCTCCTTTCATCCTGACCACAAGTTAAAGCATTTCACATTTGTCCCATTGGAAGAATTTTAGTTTTCACTATCCTTCAGAGCCACCACTGTTGCATTGTAAAAGTCCATTTCTATCTATGTCATGATAAGCCTTCTGTAAATAAGACTCAAAATACGGTCCTAGACAACTTTTTATAAGGCTATGGGTGTGGGAGAAGGTAGAATGTCACTGTGTGGCTGGAGTAGACATGCTAGGAGTGTGAGCTACTTGCTTGTCCAACCTGGGGAACTGCAACATTCAGATCTTGAATATGTTTACTTCCACTAGATGATGGAATGCTTGTGGGTATGCCCAACTTAATGATAGGTGGATTAGAAACATCCAGTTCATTATGAATATATCAATTTCTGTGGCCACTTCGTCTACTGCAGTCATGCATTAAGAATCTTATAACCTCTTCCAACCCTAGTAGTTTTACAGTTATGCATTCAGTTTCTTTTCTGTGTTTCTCTTAAAATTCTAATATGCAAACTTTCTTTAACAAAGTATATAATTAATCACTCTCTCTTCCCTCTATTGGAAAAATACAAGAGCCCTGAAACACTGGAACTTTAATTACCCATCATTCTGTATTAAATGTCAACCTTACATACTTTAGTTTGAACTTGTTTTTGTACTTCTAAAGTTAATAGCTATTGTGATTATATTATAAAATTCGGCAGTTTGCTTGGAATTACTTATTTTTTTTCAGTCTCTTTGCTCACACTTCCTTCTTTACAGATTGAGATTCTTTCTTACTAAGGCAGATACTTAGAAGTTCACTAGTAAGCGTCTGTTAATGGTAAACTCATACAATATGGATCTGAAAACATTTAATTCATTATCATTCTTAAATGGTAGTTTAACTGGACATGGAATTCTCTCAACAGCAAATTGAGAGTTACTTTATCTCAGCACTGAATATATTGTTTCATTATCTTTTGATTTCTATTGTTACCATTGAATTTATTGAGACCAGACTATACATTATTTCTTCTTAGATAATATGCTGCTTCTCCAGATGTCTTTAATATTTTCATTATATCTCTTCTGTTCTACCATTTTACTACATTGTCTAGGTGTGAACTTATTTTTTTATCCTACTTGGGACTGTTGGGTTTCTAAATTTCACAATTCTTATCTTTTATCAAGGCTAAAAATTTCAGATATTTTCTCTTCCAATAACTTATCTCCTTCAGAAAACCTTTCCAGATATGTTAAGTCTTCTCATTTTATCCTCCATGTCTCTTTATTTCTCATTCATATTTTCCATCTGTTTACCTGTCAATACAGCATTCTTACTAATTTTTTAAAGATATATCTTTCAGCCAATTAATTTTCTTTATGCTTTTATCTACATTCCAACTTAACACATCTACTGTTGTGATTTCAGTGGATATATTTTTCATTTCAGGTATTTTCCCTCCAAAACTTCCTGCTCCCCATATATATATATTTAGTGTATATATATATACACACTAAATATATATATAGTGTATATATATATATATTCAGTTTTTCTTTCTGTAGTCATTTTAAACATTTTTGTTTTGTAGCCTCTGTCTTATTGTTCAATTATAAACTGGTGGGGGGTATAATCCTAATATTTATATGTCTGCTTTCTCTGGCTCATGGTGAAATTCCCCAACTATTTTGTAACTTTGGATTGTAAACTCCTATTCAATGTGGCTTCAGTTGTGAGAATTTTGTAGATCCTGGTTTTTGAGTTTGCTTTTGTCAGGTACTTTTGGAGTATTTTCAGTCTTGACCAAGTCTGAAGTTAGTTATGCCTAAAAGATTCCTGGACAAGACCTAGTTACAAAACAAATAATGTTTTTAAAAGCAGAATAATTACCTGTTTTAGAAAGTAAAGAGGGATCAGCTTTACTTCAAAACTCTAGATATCTTTAGCATGATTCTCCTATTATGATTTCCCTCAGGATACATACAATATTCCAATCTACTGCAGGTGTTGTGATTCCCATAAGGTTCTTTTTGTCATATAAGGGCAGAGTGATAGATCTGTTTATACAATATCCTAGACCAGCCAAAGAGTTGTCTCTTGACCTGGGTCTCATTTAACACTGGGTCACAGACACAAGTGTAAATGTGGTATATAGTGCCTCCAAAATTCAAGGGCTCGACAAGTATAATTTAAGTAATTTCGGTGGTAGAAGGTAAAAGGGGGATCATTTTTTTCTTTCCCTTTGATGAAATATATCTATCTATTCTCATCTACTATAACTTAAATAATTTTACTGCTCTTGTAGGGTGCTGTATTTTTATAAGATTTATTCTCTCCTCTCTGATACACACATTTCTATCAAAACATTTAGAGTGTGATATTTCTATTTTATGTTTTCCAGGTTCTTTCACCTATAAACGTAACGAATTTATGTAATATCCTATGGAAAGCTACATTGTCAGGGTAATTGTGGAGGAAATTGTGGCAGAAAACTGGAGAGCTGACAAAAACATGGGCAAATTATTCAAATTAATTATGTGTCATATTGTTTCAAGAGTTTTAAAATTTTCTTCATTTAAGGGAATCTGAGTTTCTAAACTAATTCAGAGTTGGAAACTGAGGCATTTTGACTCTCTCTGTGGTTGCTCAAGTCTAGCCCCTATTTACCAGACCTAGAAGTTTCTTTTAATGTAATAAAATCAAGTTGTTTTGAGAAGTGACTTTTTATGTCCTTTGCCCATGTTTTAATGGGGTTGTTTGTTTTTTTCTTGTAAATTTGTTTAAGTTCCCTGTAGATTCTGGATATTAGACTTTTGTCAGGTGGATAGATTGCAAAATTTTTCTCCCACTCTGTAGGTTGTCTGTTCACTTGATGATAGTTTCTTTTGCTGTGCAGAAGCTCTTTAGTTTAATTAGATTCCTTTGGTCAATTTTTGCTTTTTCTGTCATTGCTTTTGACATTTTCATCATGAAATATTTGCCCATGCCTATGTCCTAAATGATATTGCCTAGATTTTCTTCTAGGATTTTTATAGTTTTGGCTTTTACATTTAAGTCTTTAATACATCTTGAGTTAATTTTTGTATAAGATATAAGGAAGAGGTCCAGTTTCAATTTTCTGCATATGGCTAGCCAGTTTTCCCAGCACCATTTATTAAATAGGAAATCCTTTCCCCATTGCGTTTGTCAAGTTTGTCGAAGATCAGATGTTTGTTGCAGATGTGTGGTCTTATTTCTGAGATCTCTATTCTGTTCCATTGGTCTGTGTGTCTGTTTTTGTACCATTACCAAGCTGTTTTGGTTACTGTAGACTTGTAGTGTAGTTTGAAGTGGGGTATTGTGGTACCTCCAGCTTTGTTATTTTTGCTTAGGAGTGTCATGGCTATGTGGACTCTTTTTTGGTTCCACTTGAATTTTAAAGTAGTTTTTTCTAATTCTGTGAAGAATGTCAATGCTAGTTTAATGGGAATAGCATTGAATCTGTAAATGACTGTAGGCAATAGGGCCATTTTCACAATATTGATTCTTCCTATCCATGAGGATGAAATGTTTTTCCATTTGTTTGTGTCCTCTCTGATTTCCTTGAGCAGTGGTTTGTAGTTCTCCTTGAAGAGGTCCTTCCCTTTCCTTGTTAGCTGTATTCCTAGGTATTATATTCTCTTTGTAGCAATTGTGAATGGGAGTTCATTCATGATTTGGCTCTGATTATCTGTTGTTGGTGTATAGAAATGACTGTGATTTCTGCATATTGATTTTGTATCCTGAGACTTTGCTAAGTTGCTTAGCAGTTTAAGAAATTTTTGGGCTGAGTCAATGGGGTTTTCTAGGTATAGGATCATGTCATCTGCAAACAGAGACAGTTTGACTTCCTCTCTTCCTATTTGACATCCTTTATTTCTTTCTCTTGCCTTATTTCCCTGGCCAGAACTTCCAAAACTATGTTCAATAGGAGTGGTGAGAAAAGGCATCCTTGTCTTGTGCCTGTTTTCAAGGGGAATGCTTCCAGCTTTTGCCCATTCAGTATGATATTGGCTATGGGCTTGTCATAAATGGCTGTTATTATTTTGAGGTATGTTCCATCAATACCTAGTTTATTGAAAGTTTTTTTTAACATGAAGGGATGTTGAATTTTATCAAAGGCCTTTTTTCTGCATCTATTGAGATGACCATGTGATTTTTGTCTTTAGTTCTGTTTATGTGATGAATCACATTTATTGATTTGCATATGTCAAAACAGCCTTGCATCCAGGGGATGAAGCCAACTTGACCGTGGTGGATAAGCTTTTTGATGTGCTGCTGGATTTGGTTTACCAGTATTTTATTGAGAACTTTTGCATCAGTGTTCATCAGGGATATTGGTCTGAAGTTTTATGTTTTTTGTTGTTGTATTTCTGCCAAGTTTTGGTATCAAGATGGTGCTGGCCTCATAAAATGAGTTAGGAAGGAGTCTTTCCTTTTCAATTATTTTGAATAGTTTCAGAAGAAACAGTGTCAGCTCCTCTTTGTATCTCTGGTAGAATACAGCTGTAAATCTGTCGGTTCCTGGGCTTTTTTTTTTGTTTCAGAATTTGTTATTGGTCTATCCAGGGATTCAACTTCTTCCTGGTTCAGTCTTGGGAGAGTATATGTGTCCAGAATTTATGTGTTCATTTCCTCTAGATTTTCTAGTTTATTTGCTTAGAGGTGTTTATTGTATCCTCTAATGGTTGTTTGTACTTCTGTGGGGTCAGTGGTGATATTCCCTTTATCATTTTTTTATTGTGTCTACTATGTAGCCAACAAACATATGAAAAAAGCTCAACATCACTGATCATTAGAGACATGAAAATCATAACCACATTGTGATACCATCTCACTCCAGTCAGTATGGCGATTATTAAAAAGTCAAGACACAAAAGATGCTGGCGAAGCTGTGGAGAAATAGAAACACTTTTACACTGTTTGCAGGAATGTAAATTAGTTCAACCATTGTGGAAGACAGTGTGGCGATTCCTCAAAGACCTAGAACCAGAAATACCATTTGACCCAGGAGTCCCATTACTGGGTATATACCCAAAGGAATATAAATCATTCTATTATAAAGATACATGTACGTGTATGTTCGTTGCAACACTATTTACAATAGCAAAGACAGGGAATAAACCCAAATCCCCATCAATGATAGACTGAATAAAGAAAAAGTAGCACATATATACCATGGAATACTATACAACTGTAAAAAGGAAAGAAATGGTGTCCTTTGCAGGGACATGAATAGACCTGGAAGCCATTAACCTCAGCAAACTAACACAGGAGCAGAAAACCAAACACTGCATGTTTTCACTTATAAGTGGAAGCTGAGCAATGAGAACACACAGATCCAGAAAGGGGAACAATACACACTGGGGTCTGTTGGGGTGGGGAGGGGTGGGTAGAGGCAGGGAGAGTATCAGAATAAATATCTAATGCATGCAGGGCTTGATGCATGCAGGTGTTCCGTTGATCTGTGCAGCAAACCACCATGGCACACGTTTACCTACGTAACAGAGTTTCAAGTCCTGAACATGTATTCCAGAACTTAAAATAAAATAAAATAAAATGAAAAAGAAAACAAAGTTGTTTGTTCTTAGTAACAGTAATGAACTCATCATTAAGATATCCGTGGATAGAGATTTCCAAACTTTCTCAGTCTTAGTGTCCATAGTGTCTCAGTAATTTTTTTTGGTGCCTCTAGGTCAAATTAAGTAACTGAAAGTTCCATTTATTAAGTAGTTGGGCTAAAACAACTTCATACATATTTATGTCCTAATAACTTGTGGATTATATAAAGAAATATGTATAAAATGAACAAAAGTATTTTTGTTTTATTCTTAAATAACCTCAACTACTTACCAATGGGATGTGTACATGAAGAACATAGGACACACAAATTGGAAGAAAAGAGTACATTTTTGTTTTATCTTTAAATAATTTTAATTTCTTACTTGTGGAATATATATACCTGTTAGGCACTACTTATCTTTTTAAATCGGGGAATCACATTAAAAACTACCACCCTTATTTTCTATTCAACATTAATTTTCATGTCAGTATCTACTTTTTACCACAGCAGCCACCAAAACCCTGTTTTTCAAAGATATGATGTTACTGAAAGGAATGTGGCATGATCTAAAGTGGAAATTGTAAACTATCTTGAGCTAGTAGTACATGCAGTATATTTCACTGTGTTTTCCTTTGACATTTACGAGATATTGGGCCACTTCTGTGACTTTGCTGCAGAGCCCTGGGCATCTTAGTATATGGTTTGAGAACTGTGGCTGTTGAGTGAGATCATTCTAATTACCATACTGACCCAAGCAATCTATTTTGGTAATAATATACACCTTATATCTGGTGGTGAAGTTCCACCCTGAGTCTTTCAATCCGTGTTGAAATCACTGAGCTCATTTCAACCTCAGCATCTCTCACCTACAGAGAACAACTTGGACACTTTATAAAGACGCTGGGTTTCCCTTCACCAATATATTTTTTAAGGCTTTAGTAATGGGAGTATTTTGAGGACTGGTCATAGTTGGGTATGAGGGTCAGTGGATGATAAAATTCACTTCAACAGTCTTTCAAAGTCTCTCTGGATAACTTTCTTAATAACATTCCAAGAAATTTATGAAATATCAACTTTATTTCCTGTGGCCAATGTTGAATGTAGAATTGAGTCAGTTAGGAAAGAAACCAAACCAAATGCCCATCAATGATAGACTGGATTAAGAAAATGTGGCAGATATACACCATGGAATACTATGCAGCCATAAAAAAAGAATGAGTTCATGTCCTTTGTAGGGACATGGATGAAGCTGGAAGCCATCATTCTCAGTAAACTAACACAAGTACAGAAAACCAAACACTGCATGTTCTCACTCATAAGTGGGAGTTGAACAATGATAACACATGGACACAGGGAGGGGAACGTCACACACTGGGGCCTGTTGGGGGGTGGAGGGCAAGGGTAGGGACCGCATTAGGACAAACACCTAATGTATGCAGGGCTGAAAACCTAGATGATGGGTTGATGGGTGCAGTAAACCACCATGGCACATGTATATCCATGTAACAAACCTGCACATTCTGCACATGTATTCCAGAACTTAAAGTAAAAAAAATAAATAAATAAATAATAAAAAAGAAAAGAAAAAATAAGATCCAGCAGCTTGAACTAGTGTATTAACTTTAAAAATCTGTTTACTGCACCTATATTAATAAATTCAGTTAATTAAATTGCAATGCCTTTCTTAGTCAAACACTCTCAGAATCCAGAAATTAGCACATATATAAACCATGTCTTTCCTAATATAACTTACACAATTTTTGCAATTATTGTAACATAGATTTTATCTTCTCAGATTTGGGGCACACTGGGAATCTGATTCTAGTTAGGATTCTGGAGAAAGTGAAGGGTGGGGTAATGAGCCATGAAGAGAAATAGCTTCCAATTATAAATTAACTTCTACAGACTAGAGAGTTGCAGGGTCCTCGGGAAAGGCAGGGGTAATTATTTGAGACAAGGGAGAAGCTACTTCCATTGAGAGAGGAAACTAAATGGAAGCTGTAGGTTCTTGATTTTCCAAGTCCTCCAAAACCCCCCATTAGTGCTCCATTCCAATTTTGGGCATTTCATGTGTTCTCTGTCAGTGTCCACATTTTCAGAAAAAGGCCTGGGAAATCTGTGAACTCAATGGATGTAATTCAACAATGTGCATGGTAGAACTTAGTGCTTATTATTCATTTATTTTAGCTAAGTAGCTATAAGAGATTAGAGGCAATTTTACAAAATTATATTAGTCCCTATAATTGTTTATAATTTTAACTAATAATTTAGGGTTATAATATTGTCATTTGACTTCATCCTTCAATTCTTTAGACACTTTTTACTGTTCTATGGCAATGGATACTTGTTTCCCCTCCTTCCAACTGGTTTGTGATCGTCTCAGGTAATCACAAGTAATAATTTTCAGAATCTCTATTTTAAACATTTTCAGCCACATAAAAACTAGAGAAAATAGCATAAATAAAATATGTACATACACCACTTATGTTTAATGTTTACAAATATATTGTCAAATTTATTTATAGACAAAATGGCTTTTCATTGCAAATATGGAAATATGCATATTTAAAGCAATAATATTTTCTTCCATGAACACAATACCATGACTATACCTAACATATTGAACACAAATTCCCTAATATCATCAAATCACAGGTCACAATTTCATTAGTCATGCTATCAATCTGTGCCAAGAGCATCAGTATTCCCATCCCTTAATGCTAGCTATATTTTCACTGCCTTTGTCAGCAAATAAGCTACATAACAAATTCCATGTATTGTTTTGTCCATTCCTCTTTCATTATCCTATAGCTCTGTAAATTGCAATAACTTCTACTAGTATTTTTGTGGGAGTCAAGATTCTATTAGTGAATAAAACAGAAATTAATCTGGTTAACTTAAGTGGAATATAAATTTATAGGAATAATATCCCATACCTCCATTTGAAGGATAATAGACTAGGCATAGATGGAAGCCAAAGGAAATGAAGCATAGTCAAAGATATGCCATAGGAGTTACCCTCTTAGATCACTGCTGGTTGGCATTGTCACCATGCGTCCTTTGTGATCTCACTACTGGGGTCTCAACTTTGTAACTCTGACCCTGAACCTCCGGGTCATTCCTTCAAATTTCAGAGGCATGAGCTCACACTCTAGCTGACAGGAAGTAAAGGGTGATAATGTCTGTTCTTGTAAATAAGATTTTATCTCTCACTCATATTGGGATTCCCCCAATTATGAAAAAATATATAGATGTTTGTTTCAGGTCAGATTCTCCAAATAGCAGGCTTTGAGATAAAGATTTGCTCAACTGGATTTTAATGCACATAGACCAAACATTGTGGGAGGAAATGTTCAAATTTGAAGTGTCTTTCAGCACACCTAGATGTCTAGACTTACATAGAAATATCTGGGATGTTTCTTATCTGGTTTCGTTTGTTTGTTTGTTTGTTGTTTTGGATGTTTCTTATCTGTAACCATAATGACAAATGGACTATGACTTGTACCAGGAAAAAAGCCAGAATGCCTCTACATTTTTTCCTAGAAACTAAAAATAAGTACAAAATGTGGGAAATATATTATCTAGCATGAAAACTTTTAACTAGGTGAACAAAGTTAGGCAACAGAGTGAGCAGCTGTTTGACTTCACTTTTAGTTACCATGGCGGCTTTTAGTTAGGACACAATCCTGAACCATTTAAACTGGGTGATCAATTGAGGTCATTGCATTCTAATTAAGCATTCCCCTTTGAAACAGATGCAGATACTTTATGAATACGTTTTCCTACATATCCTTAATATGCAAAGTTGATGTGCTTTCTCAATTTTGCAATTCAGTTATTTAAATCATATGCTTTTTTTGTTGATCAATAGCCCTTATTTGTTCATTGAAAATGCCATTATCCAAATGTTAACAATGTGAGTTTTACCTAATATTTTTGAAGTTTGAAATATATAACTCTAAAAAGTACAATGATTGACAAAAGATGACTTAGCATGTTATGTGTATGTGTAGCTCTGTGTGTGTATACTTGAAATTCAGTGCTTTAAAGTAGTTGCTATTTTTGAGATATATAAACAATAAAGAATCATCAACTTATTGATCGCCATCAAGATTGTTACAATATCCTTGCAGTTGTACCTTAAATTCTGTGTCATCCAGTCTCTGTTATGCAAGTTGGTCTTTATGGAATCACTGACAGGTCACTCTTAGTTCAGCAGATTCTGTTTTCCCTATGCATTGTACTTTAGCAAATCATATTTTACTCATTATATTAGTATAAATTTGAAATTAAGTAATCATAAAAATAATCCAGTTAGGCCATTTTTTTTGTTGGATTCTTTTGGTGCCTTCTCTCTCAGATAAATAATGATCTACTGAGAACATTATTCAAATTCAAATGAGACTTTTTGTGGCTGTTTTTTCTTTATATCGTTAACATGTCTGTGTTATCTGCCAATCATATGTAAGCTGCTTGATGGCAGGAGCCCGGATTTTAATACCTGCATAGCCCATGCAAGATCTAAGTCAAGTTCACATTTGGTCAGGTCTGTGGTGGCATGTGGCGATCAACCCTGCAGTGTGCAAACATCATTAACAAGAGACTTTTCTGGCCCTCCTGGCTCGAGGAAATGGAAAGGAAGAATGAGCTAGTCAGGAGACAAAACTAGAGGCAGTAGGAACAGTGGCCCTGAACTACATTGAGTCAGTGGTGGATTTAGGAAACCTATTGAGGAGAGGTGGAAAGGACAGACACTGGAAGCCAAAGTGGGCTCAATTGAGAAGGGACATGCTGGGCCTGGACAGAGCCAGAGAGCACATGAGAACCACTCTCGACTAGACAGAAGATGATGACAGGCATGAGGACCAGGACCAAAGTTCATTAAAGTTGTCGTGGTGGAAGGCTGGGATCATAAAGAAGAGGGACCAAATCTGGAGTGATGGAGCGGGGAGTGAAAGAGAAGTGGGAGTGAATGTGACGAGGGACCAGAAGAAAGATATCTAGGTTCTGTTCCAGCTGCACTTATTCCTGATCATCCCATGGGTCTGGCCTACTTCTGACAGATGCACATAATCAAATATGGTTTATGTAGCTGTCTCTGGACTTTGCTTGCCCTTACTTGCTCTCTTTCTTTCTCTCTAGCTCTCTCACTTTCGCTTTTGCTCTCTCTCGTGTCATGAGACCACAAAATACAATTAATAGGTAATTCAAGTCATTACTATCATAGATATTAAAGCCAAGAAAATGACACTTCTAAGTTCAGCAAACTACATGAAAAACAGTAGCATGAATAAAGGATACCCGGCATGGTCCAGAATGATAACAAAGAAAAATGGAGAAGTGGTGAGGGCAATTTGGAGATGGCCAGTGAAATGACAGTTGAACTTATTACAAGCCAGATAGCAGTCTGGAGTCTCTCTTCAAGCTAGTTCTAATTTTGAAACAGTGATGGAAGGCAGATATTATTATTCTGCTTTTAAAATAAGGAAACTGAGGCTCAGAAAGGTGAAGTAACTTGCCCAAGGTCACATAGCTCAGTGACAAAACCAGTATTCATATCTGGATCCCTCTGACTCAAATCTGGGCCTCTTTCTGCTTCTTTCTGAGGAAATTCTCATTTTGGGAAGATCCAGTGGCTTCTGGATCCCTCAGAGCCATGTCTTTCTTGGTGACCTTTTTCCTGATATTGATGAAAGGAACAGTTATCAGTGGAGTCTTAAAGATTTACTCAGTGGAGTCTTACAGATTTACTCATGGGCATTCTGTGGTACCCCCCAGAGCCTTTGTTTCTTGACACATTCCCATCTCCCACTTACCTAGATATTACAAATGGAATAGTACAAATGAATAAAACAGTTTTTGATAAAAAAATAATGTGACTCAAACCATTTATGTAACTGGTCTTGAATGCATGGTCTGCTGCTTCCTCACTGGAGCTAGATTTAATTCTTAATTCTGCCGCAGAAGGAGAACTTGAGTACATCACTATTCTCTGTGCCTCTGGCCACTTGCTTTCTGCAGGAAGGACATTTATAGAAACTAGAAGGACGAGGAAACTGCATCTAAACTCCCTGTGTTGGCGGGATCAGCAGTTGTAAGCTGCTAGGAAATTGCCAAGTACTGTTGAAATTTCCGTGCCTGATCCAAGATGTTGTTTACGCACAAGGCCCAAATCTTTCCGGTCTCAGGAAATACCAATGATCTTTGGCTGAAGTCAATATAACAAACAACCTTAAGAAGTTATTCAGAAACTAATTCTGAAAGCCTCCCATGGTCATACAAGGCAAGCCAAATACTGACATTGTATGTGGAAAATAAGGCTGCAATTAAACATTCACGATGGATCCAAATTTTATATGGTCTACTTCTGTCTGGGAGTGTGTGCTTCCCTAGGAAAGGAGCTCAGTCAGAAGTTGACTTGTGATTCTGTGACTTCCTGCTGGCCTTTGAAGGCTTGGTATCATTAGTCATCATGGGGTGATTTGTTTACCTTTTAGTCATAACTGATTAGTACACATTCATTCATTCATTGAACAAATATTAGCTGAGACTCTACTATGTGCCAGATTCTGGGTAGGAACTGAGGACACAATGCTAAGCAGAAACAAGCACACTTCTTATATTCAAGGAGCTTATAGTCTAATAAAGGAGAAAGATAAATAAAATCACAGAAATACGTAACTTCTAACTGTGAGTAAATTGGAGAAAATGATAGCCACGTTTTGAGAATGCGTAGCATGGATTGAATCTAGTCTGCAGTGTTGGGGTAGATGTCCTTGGGAAATGATGTTTGAACTGAGATTTGGAAAACATGGACCACTTCATGAACCCTGGGGACTGACGATGAATTAAGACTAGGATTTGACAAATCCCTGGAAGTGTGCAGACACTAACATCTGAGCAGTCAGCAGAAAGCTTGTTGGTTTTAGCTCTTAAGATGGCGGCATATTTCGGCAAAGGAAGGAGGAGCCCATGCTTGTGCAGACACAGCCTCATCCAAGTGTGATCCATATCCTCTCTCCAGATCATCCTTGATATTTGGTTTGGTTTGCGTTAGCCGTAACCCATTTCTCCTATATGTTTTACAACATCAGAATCAATTGATCAGCTCCCTCTTGAAAGTCTTGTGGTCCATTACTAACTACTGAGCTGATTCTACCATTTTCTTTCTTCTTTTCCTGCTTTCCTACCCTCTATCCACCATTCTGACCCCATTCATTACTGCATTTCTTCCAATTTTCTCTCTCTTTGATTGTTATACACACATTATAACTTATACACATTATAAACATTATAACTTATACACAAGTTATATATACATTATAAGTTATACACAAGTTCCAAGACTTTTAGGCTGTAACTGTGACCACTGAAAATTGAGACAAATGCAATTCCTGAGTCAGGTGTTCCTAGGTACAGTGAGCAATGCACACAGGCATCTTTTTATGTAATCTTCCCCCCACCATATAGCGAAATCTAGTGGAGTTGAATCACTTTTATGATGAAATTTGCCCAAATCTATCCTCCTGTGGATTATCTTTACCTGGGAAATATGTGCGCTAAGAGCTTTTAATAAAAGAACTGTAGTTCTCTTCCTTTATTGTGTTTCACCGAGGCTGCAAGAGGTGTGACACATAAGCTGAAAGTAAATTGAATAGGAAACTGAGGTTTTGTTTCCCTAGCAACGTTAATTCAGTCTTCTTACAAATGGAAATAACACTGGAGGCCTTTGTTTCTGCATTCCCAGCTCTACAGGGCAATGTGACATGCTGAGCACTCTGGAAACAGTGCTGTATAATAGAATTCTGCAGCATTTACTTTAGAATTTTCTCTCGCTAAATTTCATACAACCTTGTGGGCATTCTGCTGGAGCTGATATTCATCCTGTTTGCTGAAAAAAATGAGGACAGAGGAATATTCAGTGTTGTGACTTAGTACATCAGGGCATTCATTGTCAGCAGGGCAGGGCACATTATGCAAGGGCAGAAGGAGGAGTTTGGTGATTCAAGAACAATCATGGCTAGAAGGATCTCCCTATTGTTCAAGGTCAAAGTGGACAATGGTCCAGTAGCTCAGATATTCAGAGCTGGAGCACTGGTGTGTAGGAAGAATAAACATACCACATACATGGCCACTTGTTCTTACCTTTCATATGTGTCTTGAATATTTTATACACAGTCAAGCAAGTTTTAATAAAAACCCTAAAGATATAGTAATCCACATTTATCCATTTGAATAATTTGCCTTCAAAAGGCGTTGGTGAGATTTGGTCCATTTTCAGCATCTAGGAGATTTCATGGGCATATTTCTGGGAGTCTGGGAGGCTTTATAATACAGTGGTAGATGTCCAGGGTTCTAGTGACAGACTGCCAAGATTTAAATATTGGCTCCACCAATTTCTAGCTGTGAGCTCTGGGGAAGCCCCTAACTTTTCTGTACCTCCATTTTCTCATCCATAAAATGGTCACAATAGTACTGTAGGGTTGAAGAGATGGTTAAACTGAGACATCTATTTAAAGCATTAACAATGCCTAGAGCCTTGTAGTAAGTGCTTAGTATGTGGTAGACGTGGAACTGCCACACACTCCCACCTATTTGCGGCAGGAAGGGAGCACTTGCCAGATCTTTTTGAGCCCTTTGGGGAAAATTTCACTAGAACAGACAAATGTACAATTTTTCCCTCGCTAATTTAATGATAATTTGTCCCTATTTTGTAGCTGCTTCTTTAGCCATGTGATGGGGCAGGGGCTTGGGTTCATGGAGGAGAAGCAAGGGCAGGAAGAGGTGGAGGAGGAAGAAGAAAAGCAGGAGCTGAGAAATCCAGTGGCTTCAGAGCTGCAAACCGGTTGACACCCACATACCTCCTTCCTCTTTTTCAGCAAGGTTTGCCCATTCCCAGTAACTGGAGACCCTGTGAAGGACTATGAGTTGCTTTTATCCCAGATCCCTAAGAGCCAGCTCTGAAACCTAACTCCTCAATGTGAAGTTACTCACCAGTTATTATGTAGCTCTGCATCCTGCAATAAGAAAATGTGATTAGTACAGCAGCCCTGCTCATCCTATGAATCCAGAGATCTGCGCGGGTGTGATGTGAAGGCAGACTCTTTTTCACTCTTAAGGTTAAGCTCAGAAAAAAATAAAAAAAGGACTAACTCCCTGTTTTTCATCTTAAACATTTACCTTGCAATTTCAGAAAATTAGAGGGCATAGTATTCACTTAAGACAGTGTTAAGACTTCAGATCAAAATCAACTGAAAGAGCAAATGCCATATTTTCTCTTCCTGTTTGTAACTACATGTCACTTTATTGAAGCCCTAATTGTGGGGCATTCCTCCTCCTTCTCCTCCCCATTCAAATTCTCATGTTCCTGAGAGATATTAGAGCACAAGAGACATTCTGGCCAAATGCATTCTTGGGGAGAAATTCTGTCCTATATACAGACACTAGGAAGGGCACCCTTAGTTACTTGTGATCTGGCCTGCAGACATCTCCCTGCATTTCCCCTCCACATGTCTTTCCCACTTCACTCTTCAGGGGCACTAATCCTCACAGGATTGCCTCTTATCTCCAGCCCTGGGCTTATGCTGGTGCTTCCACCTGGAGTACTTATCCTCTTCCTGTACTCTCACCTCAACTTGTACTTTTGCAAACTCATGCTCCTTTAGACCACAATATGATCTTCCTGGAGACACCTTCCTGACCACCCCCAATACCCTTAAGGCATTCTTTCCTCCGGAATCGCTTAGACATTGTTCACATCTCACATTTAGCACTTGTCACATGAAACCCCATTGTATAAAAGTGATGCATGTTTGTGTGTGTGATTGGTTTCCCCTATACATAATGATAACCTTAAGGATGGGGGCCAGGTCTTGTTCATCTTTACTTCCACAGTGTCTGGAATAGTTTTTACACAGAGATAGTTAATAAAAGCCCCTTTTATGTATGAAAGAATGAGCAGTGTCCAGCCTCCTCTGCCACCTTCCTGCCAGGTACTGGACACCCTGGGAGGACACCTCCCCCAAAGGTCTCCTCATCTCTCCTTTGACCTTCCAGCCTTCCCTACTTTCTCACTTTTGGCTCTGCCCTGGTCCTCATAAGGGCTTCCTGAGACTCAAATTAGATTTCCAAATCCAAAAGAGAGCAGCAGACAGTGCAGGAAGCCCATAGGCCAAGCTAACCATCATCGGCCCTATCATCAACAAAGGTAACTGACTAAAAGATTTGAAGGTACAAGAATTTTCTTTTTTTAAATCCTACCTTCAGTGGAGTGTGGTAGGAGCTGAGGAGAGGAGAGACTCTATGGTGCCAGCTCAGTCCAGTATCAGGTATTATTTTACCTCCTTTAAATCTTTTCTGTGCTGGTTTCGTATTTTGTGGGAAGGTTCTGTCAATATTTTTTCATGTGTCCTCTTCCACTGCATGTCATTAGTATCCTACAGTCTTGATCAAGCTTGACTTCTTCACATAAAAGGTCAGTTATGTGAAATTCAAATGCCAATATGAATATTTATGGTCAGTAGTAGCTCGTGATTAAGTCCCAGGCTATTAGGTAGGAAGATAATGGTATTATTTGATTGGTGCCTAACTGAAACTAATTAATTAATTCCCTTGCTCTCTGCTTTTCTCTGGTACCTGTGACATCTTTGTGGAATGAGTGTTTTCTACAGGAAACGTGGTTTCTTGATTTCTGGGTTTGTAGAAATCAGTGAAATTCAAGGAACTTGTCAATCAACATGTACTTTTTATTATCTGTTGTGACTTTTATGGACACTTTAGATGTCACGGGAGAAGGAAGAGAAGGTCATGTAGCTTTTCCCCTTCTTTTTCTCACTTTTCTCTAAGTAGATAGTGTTATAGGACTGGGTCTGAAAGCTACACTCCTCAATGGGCTTGATATGGACTATAAATATTGGAGGCCGTGTGAAGAGCAAAAGGGTTACATGGATTAAGTGCTAATGTGAGGTGATCTCTCAGTGTCTATTGGCCAAGATGAGGATGATGGCAACAGCTAACACTTACTGACACTTATTATTCTCAGGGTTTCCCAGGTATAGTCTCATCGAATCTAAATTATAAACTATTAGGTCTAGATGATTATTATACCCATTTTACAGCTGAAGAAGATGTTGCCTAAGTCACTTATCCAATTTTATGCAGCTTGTGCATGTCAGAGACAGAACTCAAACCTGAGTCTGTAAGATCCTGAGAGCCAGACTCTTCCCAAAGATACTATCCTGAGTTATGGTTCATGTTGATTCCTTCTCCATTCTCAGGGTTCCTGAGTTCCTGAGGGATAATTGTGAGCAGTCAGGAGCAGATGAGGTTCTGGAAGACCCACATTTACACGAAAGATAAAATAAGGGATAATCATTTCCACAAAAAGGTTTACCATAGTGTCACTTTAAGGAAGAAACTCCCCAGTAACAACAGACAAAATATCAGTTGTTGTATAGAGATTCATACTACACATCTTTTCTTCAAGCACATAAAACAAAGCAGGACTAGATTTTAGCATTGGGCTGAGACACAGTTTTTTGGTGTTTGGACCCTGAAGTCATGTTGAAATGATTGCTGGGTATATTAGATGTTTTGATTTTCTGAGATAATTCCGTTAAATCATTCTGGAATTCTTACAGATTTTCCTTGTATACTGTATATATAAGGGGAGCTTGGACTTTCCAGAACATTTGTCTGGGTCTTATTATATTTATATATATATATACATATATATATATACACACACACACACACACACACACACACAGAGTAATGTATGTGTTATTTCTCTTTTTAAAACCAATAAATGCCTTGTGATCTTTTCAATAGTGGGACATCAAAGTTTACCTAGTCAAGTTTATTTTTTCTGCATGTCATATTGTGATTTAGTGGCCTAGATTTCATCCCTTTCATCCCTGTAAGTGAGCAACCTACATTATTCAGATTCAGGTTCAAAAGATGATTGTGGAGCCCTACTACGTGCTGGGCACATCTCCTTATGTTTTCTTATGTCATCCTCACAACAACATCATCTTATGGCTGGGATTCACAGATGGGAACTCCGAGGCTCAGAGGGTTGTTGCTACTAGCACAAAGTGAGATCAGCAGCTGGGATTTTGACTCAAGTTTCAAACCTTACAGGAAGAATGGTGCTTTTATGATATCAAAGCTCTGTTCTCTATTTTCTAATGGATTATGTCCCTCCTCCCTAATAAGTCAGTGAATGGTTTATGGTATCTTTAAAACACAAGTACGTGAATAAAAATCAGATTTTACTTTTTATGCTATTAATGTCTTCAGCATTTATACCCAACATGAATGACATTGGGCTTCTCATGCCCATTAGTTGAGTTTGGCAATTATGAGCCAATTGCTTAGTTTCCAGCAGAGACGGAATTTGGAGGTGGAAGGCTCAGCTCCTCAATGCCTTCTATCCCTGTAATTATCCCTCTGAGTAATTGCTTTGTGCCCTTTGGAGGTGGAAAACAATAACCAAATTGCTGCAAGCTATTTGTGAAAATGATGGTGGGATTTTTTAAAGGTTCATTTTTAACTTTTATGTTTTGAAAAGAGCACATGTAATAAGATCATCTAAAACTGGGGTCCATGTTAAACTGAAATTAAAATCTATCAAACCGGATCATAGTTTTTTCAGAATCATGTCAAAAATCTTCCTGTCTCTCTTCTTTTGAGAGCCCCCAGGATTTACAGTGCTGTTGGCAACTGCCCCAGCAGTGGGTGCTGAGGGAGGGGCTGGGATCAGGAGTGTCAGGGCAGGCTCCTTCCAGGGTTGCCTCCTGGGCCACCAGCATTCCAGGCAAGGCCTCCTTTCAACACCAGGGGCAATTTGATATGATGTTTGAAAAACAATATAATAAAATGAGCAAATGAACAGCACTTCTCTTTTATAAGACTTGCAAGGTGACTTTGCCTTTTTGCCCATAAACTCGATTTGCCCATAAACTTGAATGCAGTTTTGATGAGTTTGTTTGATTAATTAATGAGGCATATTAATGAAGCCAGATTCGTGCATTTGATTCCTATATGGACCACTTAGCTTTTTCCCTCCCCCCATGTTGACTGATTGCACTTTTAAATCTTGCCAATCTAGGGTCTTGATCACAGGCTGGCCAGTTGCCAGGCTCCTGGAAGGTACTTGCTGTTCCCTCTCTCTCACTGGTAAAGTAACACAGTGGGGCTGGGGCTCCCTCTGAATATGAAGAGTGCGTATCTTCAGAAGCAGTTTCAATGGTACTCTAAATCCCTGTGAAGTAGACTGAAATTGTCATCCTAGCTGAAAGGTAGGAAGTGTGTGATGTTCTATGCCTATACCCCCATCAGTAATTGCACACATAACCTTGAGATTGCATGGATTGCACAGACTGCCTTTATTTTTTATGGAACCCTGCTGCTTGTCGGAGGGAGTCTTGGGGTAGGGAGGCATCGGACTTTAAGAGCACAGACACTGTTTGGCAATGAAGTGTCTTGGTTTGAATTTTGGCCCCACCTCTTCGTTAGCTATGAAAACTTGAGCATCTCTTAACTCATTTAAGACCTCATATTCTTCATCTAGAAGACGGGCACAGGCCAGGCGTGGTGGCTCACACCTGTAATCCCAGCACTTTGGGAGGCCGAGGTGGGTGGATCACCTGAGGTCAGGAGTTTGAGACCAGCCTGGCCAACATTTTGAAACTTCGTCTCTACTAAAATACAAAAATTAGCCGGGCATGGTGGCGGGTGCCTGTAATACCAGCTACTCGGGAGGCTGAGGCACAAGAATCGCTTGAACCCAGGAGGCAGAAGTTGCGGTGAACCGAGATCACACTACTGCACTCCAGCCTGGGAGACAGAGTGAGACTCTGTCTAAAAAAAAGAAGATGGGCATAATAAATATTCAGCCTCATGAGGCTGTTTTAAGGATAAAACAAGATAATCCATGTAAAAGCACTTAGTATAGTGCCTTTAAATAATAAATCCTCAAAAAATGTTAGCAGTGATTAATATGCTAATTTCCATCTTGTGGAAGGAAAATAAGGATGTAGTAGATGAAATAATTTATAAAATCATCTTTTGGTGCTAGGTCTGGATTGATAAAATATTAAAATACATTCCATATAAAGGTTAACTTTCTGCAGTTGAGAGGCAGTTGAGATAATTGGTTAAATATCATATTTAATGTATGAGGAACAAACAGAAAAGAAAAGTCAGATGTGTTAAATTTTCATTTTTATTTTAAATTTTTTGGCAAGAACCTTCACACCAACCGGTCTTCAGAGTTTTCTTTGGCAACAGAGCAAATCCAAAGAGTCTTTGGTTTGTAAAGCTCCATTGACCAATGAGAGGCTCATGGTGAGTTACTTATTCTGAACCAAAGATTTCCCATTGTACAAAAGGGATAAGAAATCTTAGTTCACTGGGTTCTCATGAGGCTTGAGTAGGATAATTCATATAAAAGGACTTCCTGATCCACAAAATGCTTCAGAAAGTAAAGTATATTATGATTATTCATATCTTAGATGGTTGAAGAGTTAAGGGACAAAGAAGCTCCTTAATTCCTTGAAAACAGTGCAAGGAGATAATGCTGAAGGCCAGTATAGACCCAGCTCTCCTCTTTTAGGTCTGTGTTATTGATCAACCACTGGACAGATGGCATTGTATTAAGTGGGCTTGCTCTGAATCTTACTGATGGCACTTTTTCTATTTTGCTCTTTGCCCTCGCTGGCCACATAAGACAGAACTACTCAACTTTTGTCATCCCTTTGGACATCTTGGTCTTTTTTTAGGAAAAAAGCCTTTCTCCTTAAGGAACTGAAATGCATTTATTGATATGGAAATTATGTGTCTTGTTGGAAAAAAGTCTATTCTCAGAGAATGTCTCACAAAGAAAACACTGAATCAGATGGTACTATTCCTGCAGATTCATTCATGAAAAACAGCTGCCCCTCTAATAGGCAGTGAGGATGAGGGTCCTCAGGGTATTCATTCGTGGTTGTAGGGAAGCTAATGTCACTTAACTTAAGCTGGAAGGTATTTTATGTACACAGTTAACATGTTTCTTGGTTGTTTTTTGTTTTTTTTTTTGAGATGGAGTCTCGCTCTGCCGCCCAGGCTAGAGTGCAGTGGCACAATCTTGGCTCACTGCAACCTCTACCTCCCAGGTTCAAGCAATTCTCTTGCCTCAGCATCCCAGGTAACTAGGATTACAGGCATACACCACCACGCCTGGATAATTTTTATATTTTTAATAGAGATGGAGTTTCACCATGTTGGCCAAGCTAGTCTCAAACTCTTGACCAAGTGATCCACCTGCCTTGGCCTCCCAACCTTTCTTGTTTTGAAAATGAGAAAACTGAGGCCTGGAGCATGTTAAATCTCCCACCAGAAAAAAATATCCAGTTTTATGTCTTGCCATATTTCAGGTTTTATTTCATGTTTAGCCATACAACATTGTTTTCCTTTTAGTCTTTGTAGTGTTCTTTGCACATTTTTATGTCTGATCCTTTGCACATGTTATCCCCATGTCTTAAACAGTCTATCTCCCCTACCATTCATGTGACTGCATCCTGCTCTATACTGATTAATATTAATAGTACTTCAAATTTTTCCATCTCTCTATGTCTCATTCACCAGATTGTAAGTCTAAAGGGAAGGACCATTTTACCATTGTATATTATTGTATTCCTTATTCCCTGTCAAGCACCTGGCTCATTTTACATGTTCAATAAGTATTTATAGAATGGAAAAATAAATAAAACTATGCCACTATTTTTATCTTTAAGATTTTAATTTCCTAGTGACATTTTTATAGTCTGCAAGGGCCTAAGATCCTTAAGCCCTTGGTGTCAAGATAAAACAATGAGGATTCCCTATTTCAATCTAAGCGAAGACCCAGTCATAAGCAAAACTGCTTTTCTTGTTCAGCTAAGTAACACCTCAAAGATATAATAAAAAATGGAAGAGATTATGGAAAATGTTGGATTCCTATGGGGAGCTGGTTGCTTATGAGAAGACTTGTCTTTGGGAATAGCTCTAGCTACACGAAGGAAATTGAAACCCTCACAGTGGAATAGCTTACTGGTAAAAGTGACTCTCTATGTGTGGACTAATTATCAGTTGAGGAAGATGAACTGAAGAAGAAAATTCTTACCTTGAGGGTTTTGGGCATAGGGCTGGGCATTGGTTCAGTTCACCTTGGAAGCCTCCTTTTTATTTGAGGGCACAGCGCTAGGTAGCAGGCAGCCACGTATAATTGTTTTTAATACTTCTGTTCCCCTGACTTGAGTTGGAATGCTCCCAAGGGCAAGGACTTGTCTCAGTCATCTCTGGACCCTTCAGAACTTGCACAGAGCCTGGCATAGAACAAGCTGTCAATAAATGCTTTTGAATGAATTATTGAATAAATGGGAGGTAGACACACCAAATAGTTCAGATGTTTTGGTGTTTGCATGTCCATATGTATACTCTGATGACTCAACGCTATAGACAGAATGGCCGGCTACTTGCAAATGGCAGCCTGGGCAGTGAGTCCTTTGTCTAGCATTCAACAGTGGGGAGGCAATCCAGAGTGTCTAGTAAGGTGCTCTAATAAGGCCTGAGCCCCAATGTTGCTTATTAACTGTGTGACCTAAGGCAAGTTGTCTAGCAAACTTGGCCCCTAGTATCTCCATCATTTGGAAGAGCCTATAATATTATTTACATCTTTGAGTGGTTGTAAGAAATAACTGAATTTACACATGTAAAATGCTTAGCACTGTACTGGTGCATAATAAGAACACAAGAAATGTTGGTGCAAAAGTAATTACTGTTTTGGACCATGAATTTTAAATCATTATAATGAGGCTCAAGCACATCTTTATTAATCAAAATAGGAACCATTACAATCAACACATTTTTGCCTACAAGAAATAAGTTTGTTTATTCCTGTAGCCTAAAAATTCATGCCTCCAGATTCGGCAAACTCTTGGAAAGCATTTTCTGTATCCTGCTGGTTGTGGAAGTGTTTTTGCTGCAAAAAGTTGTCAAGATGCTTGAAGAAGTGGTAGTTGGTTGGCGAGAGGTCAGATGAATATGGCAGGTGAGGCAAAACTGCATAGCCCAATTTGTACAACTTTTGAAGCATTGGTTGTGTGACATGTGGTCAGACATTGTTGAGAGAAGAATTGGCCCTTTTCTGTTGAGCAATGCCGGCTGCAGGCATTGCAGTTTTTGATGCATCTTATCGATTTGCTGAGCATACTTCTCAGATGTAATGGTTTTGCTGGGATTCAGAAAGCTGTAGCGGATCAGACTGGCAGCAGCCCACCAAACAGTGACCGTGACTTTTTTTTGGTGCAAGTTTGGCTTTGGGAAGTGCTTTGGAACTTCCTCTCGATCCAACCACTGAGCTGGTTGTCACCAGTTGTCATATAAAATTCACTTTTCATCACACATCACAATCTGATTGAGAAATGATTCATTGTTGTTACATAGAATAAGAGAAGACGACCCTTCAAAACGACGATTTTTTAATTTTCACTCAGCTCATGAGTCACCCACTTATCAAGCTTTTTCACCTTTCCGATTTGCTTCAAATGCCAAATGACTATAGAATGGTCGGCGTTGTGTTCTTCAGCAACTTCTCCTGTAGTTTTAAGAGGATCAGCTTCGATAAATACTCTCAGCTGGTCATTGTCAACTTTTGATGGCTGGCCACTCTGCTTCGTATCCTCAAGGCTCTCCTCTCCTTTGCAAAACTTCTCGAATACCACTCCACTGTACATTCGTTAGCAATTCCTGGGCCAAATGCGTCGTTGGTTTTGCGAATTGTTTCCGCTGCTTTACACTAATTTTGAACTCAAATAAGAAAATCACTTGAATTTGTTTTTGGTCTAACATCATTTCCATAGTCTAAAATAAATATAAAATAAACAGCAAGTAGTATGTCATTAGCAAAAACTAATAACAATAAAATAAAATAAAATAAAGTGAGAAATGTGCATTAAAATGATGTATAATACAACCACATTTATTTAAGAATGTATTCCAGTATCAAATGGCAAATTCCAACAATGCAAAAACCACAATTATGTTTGCACCAACCTAATAGCAGCAAATGTTAACAACATCCAACATTTTTTGAGCACTACTATATCTGTGTGTTTATGTATGTAAGTATGGATGTATATGTATGTATGTATGCATGTGTGTGTTCTCATATCCTCAAAGCAGGCCTGAGAGAAAAGTATTACTAATATTCATGTTTATAGATGAATAAAGTAACACAGAAATGTTCAATTACCTGTCCAAGTTCATATAAACTGTAAGCGACAGAGCAAATATCTGAACCTCTGAGTTTACCATTGTGATCTCTTTGTTTTCTATTGCTTCTTTGCTAGTATTACTGTTTTAAAAAGGAGTGGAAAGTCTATGGTCAGAAGTACTAATTGCATTAGGTTCTGTATAAGGCAGTTTAGTAACCTAGCCATATTGCCACACAAAACTTTTCCCACTCTAGTGTGACTTTTAGCACCTATCTTTATATAATCTAGATAGCTTAGAAGTTCTCTGTTTAATTATTACAGCTATTTCAGCAAGCCACTGAATTGAAAGGGAATAAAGCCACTAAAAGATATAAAGCTGTCTTTGGCTCAGATTTACCTCACTGGTTACAATCTCAGCATGACCATAGGTGATGTTATGCTGCTATGTTTATGGTGCTCACTTTGCGTAAATTTTATCAAAACATACTTCTCTTAGTGGAAACCAATCTGTATGCAGGAATACCTTTTGAGTTAGGAAAAGTTTGCATTAATGAAATATTGAGAAAGAGAAAGGAAAAAAGAAATGGTTGGGGAAGTTGTATTTCACTGAGGGAAAACACATGTTTATTTTTAACACACCCAATATTAGCATTGGTTAGTGCTGTGGAATCCATCTATTTCTGTTTCTTCTGAAAGTGACCTCCCATTGGAGTCAGTCACTTTATCCCTAGACATAAGGATTCTCACTTAGTCAAATGGAAACAAGAATTATCAGCAGAGAACATTTACCATGTGTGTGAAGTGGGTAAACAGCTGGTCAGTCTCCAACTAGGGCTTTTGTTTCCCTTTTAGAGCTGAAACCACAGGAAGAGGCCAATATGGACTTCTCTACTACTTTATTTCCCCTGAGCCTGGTCAGCTTCTTCCAAGGAGATTACTGGGAGGAAGCTTCTAGGATTTCTGGGTATGTGAAGTTGGGGATTGAGTGGGGAGGGAGGAAAGGAAGAAAGGGCAGAGAAGTTCAAAATGTGACAGTGCGAGTACCTTTGAGGGTAGCTATTCTTAACACAAGTGTCCACATCAGGCAGTATAGATTCAAGGACCATGGCTGGGCAGAAACTGTGGGCTTGGTGAAGGATGCACAGGAGGAGTGTGAGGCTAATACTAACCACAGTATTGATCAGATTGAACTTAAATCATTTTGCTAGTTATACATCAACACATCTGCCAGATGCAGCCTCACAGCCCCTGCAAGCGGGGTCCTTATGCATCAAAGCTCTTAACAGAGATATAGATGAATACTTCCTCTAAGACAACTCTGAGAAAACTGTGGCAAGGGAAGGAGGCAATCGCAGAGAAAATGCTAAATATCTTTCTTTAGGCAGCCAGCAGGAACTCTGGAGCTCTTGATCTGTCCAATGAAAGCTCTAATGTGGCACTTCTGCCCAGAGGCCTCAGCACACGTGGGTCATCATAGCCTTGAGAATAGATGTGACTGTGCCATAGGAGAATAAAAAAAGCTAAATTCAAAAGAATGTCATCAAACCAGTTTGATGAATAATGTTTGCCTATTGCTTGTATGCTTTTGAAAGAAGCATAAAATCAAAGGCCAAATTGTTAGGACAGTACACAAAGCAGGTAGCTGGTTAGCGTGGCTTTCACGTAATTCCAAAGCTAAGCTCCTATGTAAAAAGAACAAGTAGGCTGTTGAAAAGACTTTCGCAATTTATTCAGAAAGGATCTCATGTTCTAAGGCAACGACCACATTTTCCTTGTTAGAGGTGAGCAAATACCCAAGTTCATGGCCATGAGATCAAATGTAATTAATAAAATGTTAACCCACTTCTGACATTAAATCCCCAGATATTGAGTGTGAGAAGGAAGTAAAAAAGCCACTTCACTGAGAGGCTGTGGCTTATAAAACCAAGAAGAAAAACCACCAGCATTTTTGCTTTTTGCTTTAAATTTCTATAACAATGAATAGTCTATAATTTTTATGGAAGCTGACAGTTTTGAGTATCACAAAGTTAAAAAGAACGAGTATTAGTATTCTCATTTGTAGGTGAAAAAACTGGGACTCAGGCTCAAATTCTCAGAATGAGTGCTACATCTCCTTTTATCCCCTCATATCAAGGCACATCCTATCATGTTATGATTGCTTCAAACTCTGCTTAATATGGGAAGAAGCAGACAGGATCTGCCTAAATTACATCCAGGCTGTCTCCTGGTAGGCTCCCAGATCGTTTGCTGTTATCCTAAAAAGGAGAGGCACAGGTAGTCATAATTCTGGTTTGATGACATGCAGAGGATTGATGATTATACAATAACTAAGAAATGAGCAACGACTGGCACTGTGTTAAGAACTTTCTGTGCATTACCTTCATAATAATCCATGAAATTGGCATTATCATAATACTTTTTACAGATGAGGGCACTGAGGCACAGATGTGAAGTAACTTGCTCAAGGTTAGACGGTAAGTTCAAACCCATCCAGGTCCATACTGGTGGGCCTTAATAGTTAATACTTTGTCATTAACTTTGTTGTCAATGCCATTCCTATGCATTTGAATGCATTTAGAGGAGCAATTCATATAGTAGATAGTAGCACAGACTCAGAACCAGGAGGCCTGGGTTCTAGTCCCAATTCTGCTACTGATTAGTATGGTATCCAGATCTCATGTTCCTTATCTGAAAAAATAAACCTTTATGCTACATAGTTTCTATACGTTCCTGAAAATCTAATGGGGTATATTCGATTAAAGTTTCTGCCTAGTTACTCAAGGGTCTTCATTTTCTAACTAAGGTTTGAAAATATTCTCCTGGCTTCTGTAATTCTGCAAGGCTGTTTTAGTTGCTTTTGAAAAACTAAATTTCTAAGAACTATTTTATTGAGTGCTTGAGCCTTTCAGAGCTCCTAAAAAGGTTCGTAACTCATCTTCTCACATTGCTGCTTGTGTTGACCTTGGCATCCACTGTCCACAAACTCCTCAAGGCCATCCTGAAAGGTGAGTGGGAGGTGGCAGATCATTGTAGCAGGCACTGAGAGAGCCACCACCAAACACCTTCCCTTTGGTTGCTTTCAGCAGCTTAAAAATCACTTTCACAGACTGTAGGGATTCATTTATTCCTCACAACACACTTTGAGGTAGGCGCTAGCATTCTCATTTTATAGATAAAGAAATTAAAGCCCAGACAACCATCTATCTTGTCTAAGCTCCAAACATTTATAAATAAAGACCTGAGTTCTAGCCTACATCTCCTGCCTCTAAAGCTAAATATATTTCCATTGCTTCTTTTAAGGAAGGCTGCATAGGAATTGGCAGGGCCCTATAGTGGCAGGTTTGACTGCTCCACTCTTTATCATCCATGTGTTTTGGGTAAGCCAACTAATTTCTATGCCTCTCTTCTGTGAAATAGATTAATAGTACTTGCCTTGAAAAATTATGGCAAGGCTCAATGACACATCCAGAATTACCTAGCTGAGTGTACCTAGCACAAAATAGATGCTCAAAGTCATCATTATTTTCACTTCTCTATGTTTGAAAAACTACATTTTCTTTTACTTCTAAGGAGTTTGCAGTTTTGTTGTTGTAATCTACTTACTACACAAATGAAGAATCTTAAAGATCTCCTATAGAAATAATTTTCTTGTCAGTAAACAGTAAAGAAGAGGATAAATTAGAAAAGTGAAAAATTTGTCAGTCGATACATCAGAATAATCTGGAGCCACAGAGTTAAGGCTTTCTTGCTATTTTTATGCCTCTTTATTCTTTTAGCTTCTAAATCTCATTTCCATTTGTTAAACTCAGATTTAAAAAGTTAACTCACAAATGATATGATGTAGTTGTCAGGCTGTTCCCTTAGGCATGATGCTCAGAAAACCAAACTCGAATGGAAACTCAAGCAATGTAAAATCTCTATTTAGCATACACAACTGTGTCCATGGTGAAACATTCTCCACTTACACTGTAATAATAAAAAGACTGGTACCCTAAAAGAATAAATAAGTCTCCAAGCTAGAATTTTCAATTTTTCATATTTTTATTCATGTGCATTTATTTTAAAACAGAAAATTTTATTTTGACCACCATCATCATTTTTCTGTTCCAGACATTGGATTCCCTGCTGGTTTCCCCACCTGATTATTGAAATTGATTTCTGGAGTTCAGGAAAAAGCAAGTCATCATATATCAACCTATTATGTGTGTTAGGCTGTTTGCATTATCACATTTAATCCATTTGACGCTGTGAAGGAGCAGGTAGTGTTATCTGACTCAAGTCTGTCCTTCAATTAATCTCACCACCTCCAGGATTCCTTTATGCTCTTTGTCAAGAACTCTGGTAGAGCAAAGAAAATGGGGATAGTTTGTCACGTTCAAAAATCGTATTGACCAAGACTATCCTCTCTCTCTCTCTCTTTTTTTTGAGACAGAGTCTCACTCTGTCACCAGGCTGGAGTGCAGTGGTGTAATCTCAGCTCACTGCAACCTCCGCCTCCTGGGTTCAAGTGATTCTCCTGCCTCAGCCTTCCGAGTAGCTGGGACTACAGGTGCATGCCACCATGCCCAGCTAATTTTTGTATTTTTAGTAGAATCAGGGTTTCACCATGTTGGCCAGGATGGTCTCGATCTCCTGACCTCGTGATCTGCCCGCCTTGGCCTCCCAAAGTGCTGGGACTACAGGCATGAGCCACTGTGCCTGGCTGATAATCCTCTTTTAAGAAGAAGGGGTATATATTTACCTAGGGAATTCCCTAGAGGAGAAGAGGCAGAAAGGCATAAAAGGAGTATAGTAAACTGAAATCAAGACATCTAAATCTAAGACCTGGCTCCATTACTGTACCCCTTTGGAACTTTGGGTAAATTCTTAATTCTTTCTGGGTCTCAATTTTCTCTTTTAATAAAACAAAGATTTGGAGTAATAAAACTCTAAATTCCTTTCCAGCCCTAGGACCTTATGGTCTACAGTGAGACTTCTTATATGATTCTAGTTAGGGTAAAACAATTCAGGATTAATAATAGTTATGTTAAGTACCCTAGGTTTTTAAGAGCTCAGTTTTGATTATGTATAATAATGAGTTTGACAAAAAAAAAAAGTTGAGTAAAGATGGATGGCTGAAACCCTCATTTAGCCTCTCTCTAGGCAGGGGAATGAATAGTTTGCAAGGGAAAGTTTATTTTCTGGCATTGTGCCAGAAGAAAACAGGATAGGCCTAATAATAGTCTAAAAGATGCAAGCACTTTGAGATTCTTGCTTCCATACCATAGTCAGATTCTCAGGGTCTCAGTAGACATAGCCTTGGAGTTGGGCAGGGAGTCTTAAAGCAGCGATCATCACCTAGGTTTAAGCTGAGATTCTTACTTTACAACGTGCCTTCTGCCCAATGACTAATGAATGACACAGACAGTTATGGGTACTGGGAGGTGGGAATAATCACTTAAGGGTGGCAGTGTTGGAGAAAAGTATAAGGAGGTGACTGGGAGACTGGACCTTCTTTGAAGGTTGGGTATGATCTAGAGAAATAGAGAATAGTTGGGGTCTAAGAGCACAGAAAGAGATGGAATATATAGTATAGCTGAGGAAAAATAAATGGGGCAGCTTAACACAAGCAACTCTGACATAGAAGTCTTCTGAATCAAAAGCAGAATTTTGAGGCACTCAAGAAAGAGGGGTATTAACTATATCGGTTATAAACTTTTTAAAAAAGTGATTTTACAGAGACTAATCTGGAGCGGGTAGTTTTGATATCTTCATAAGGATGACCTTGCCTTGACTCATTCTTTTAAACATTTTTTTTTATTTTTTATTTTTTTGAGACAGAGTCTCGCTCTTTCGCCCAGGCTGGACTGCAGTGGCGCTATCTCGGCTCACTGCAAGCTCCGCCTCCCGGGTTCACGCCATTCTCCTGCCTCAGCCTCCTGAGTAGCTGGGACTACAGGCGCCTGCTACCACGCCTGGCTAATTTTTTTTGCATTTTTAGTAGAGACGGGGTTTCACCGTGTTAGCCAGGATGGTCTCGATCTCCTGACCTCGTGATCCGCCCGCCTCAGCCTCCCAAAGTGCTGGGATTACAGGCGTGAGCCACCGCGTCCGGCCGCCTTGACTCATTCTTTAGCATTATTGTCCTTATAGAAAGTAATGCTATTAAAAATTTCATGTGTACATTGAGTCTTGAATTTCTTTTGGCACCTGCTGTCTCCATTGATTCAACGCAAGGAAGCTGTGTTCTCTTCCTTGAGCTTTATGAGTTTAAAGTACAGCCCATCCTATTGAGTGAGTTCTATGGGGCCATTGTCAAATCTAAAAGTGCTTTACAATGCTCCTGAGTAGATGGCATCCCACTGGGGTCATATCGTTCACTAATTGAAGGTAACGTTCTTGGATGATAGCAAAAACCGTATATAGCTCTAATAGCTGCTCTACAGATAAGCCCAAGTGCTATACCAAGCCAACCCCAATCTGTTTATATAAACCAACTATAAAATAATTTGCATGCAAAATATTATTTTACAAACTCCAATATCACAGGAGTAAACTATCTATTGAAAAGGCTGTAAATATTTGCATAAATGTTGCATAAACATGATGGGCTTTAGTTTGGAGTCTTTGTTAACATAAACATTTTTAGAATTATCTTAACCTAATTTATTTTAGCTCTAGACCAATTAATATTTATTCATAACCTATGTCTTTGGTAACTTGCCTAACTAAAAAGAGCCTCTGACATTTCTTTCCCCTGGTATAATTAAAAATTAAAATTTGTCATCGGTAACTTATAGAAAACTTTTTTCACGCTTATTTTTATCTTTTATAAATTAGTATCTTGGAGCTCAAAATTGCTCTTTGGAGTAAAAACTCTCTGTCTAGTTATTTAAAGAATCTATAAAATCCTTCCTTCCTTCCTTCCTCTTCCTTCCCTTCTTCCTTCCTTCCTTCCTTCCTTCTAGCAACTACAACATCATTTAGCATGTATATACATTTTAGTAAGCAAAGCATGGGGAATCAGAGGCAAATTATCCCCAAATCTCTGCCTTCTAGGAATACAAAGCCTAAGAGAACTAGATCTAAATAAAAACTGTAGGCTACATGTAGATTGAGTTGTCCTGCTTATTGAGATTAAAATGAGATTTATTTCAACCCTAACCTGTAAGCTGTAGTAGCCTTGAATCCCTCCCAATCTTTCCAAAAGTACTTTTGAGAGGGAGGATGGAGGGAGGGAATAAGTGGTGATTGGTATGATATTTACATGCCCCTTAACATTTCTTGCTGCATATGCTGTTCCTCAAATGCTGTTTCTGCACCATATTGTCCAAGATGTGAAACACAGTCTCTTTACCCCTGAGAACTTCACTCACACAAGACATTTGCTTGTGTGGTAGACTTTGCTGAAAGCTTGAGATGATGGAGGGGTTTCACACAGCCCATTATTTGCCCCCTCCCTTGATACACATCCTTTTCTACATTGTCCACGTCTCCACCCTATTAACACAGAAGAGAGAAGCTGAAGAGGATTTTGGAAAGTAAGGGATGAGACAAAGCATGAAAGATGACCAGGTGCTACCCAAGTTGTGGGACACTTTGCTGAAGAGAGGGATCCCTGTCCTCGTGTGATAGGCAGAACCTTCATCTTTCTTCTTCGTGCTCTCCTGTCCATGGACTCTTCGGTGTCTGCTTAGCATGAGCCACCAACTCCCATCTCACATTTCAGTGGCACTGAAGAATTGCAGAAACTTTGAAATTTTCTTTCTCTTCTTTCGCTTCTCTGGCATAAAGGAAAGTAAGCACTATACAGATTAATTGATATTGAATTAGGCCATTTCTTTTAGAAGAAAAGAGTGACTGTTTTAAATGTTATTTCTTCTCCCTTTACAATTGCAACACATTTCTATCTAGTCCCATCCTACAGCCAAGTGTTAATATGTTCTCATTCAGTGGATGATGGATTCTTTACTTTTCATCTTAAAATTAAATAGCTATGTTCTATACCAGAGAAGTGTTCACTGGCTACTAGATAATTCACTCCCAAATGAAAAATAAATGACATTAAATACATAATTCTGTCACTACTAGAGCACTGTATTATTTTGTTGTCATAGTCAATAGATACTTGTTCACCTTTTGGCAGCAGTGAAGGTAATTTTAAACTATAGAAAGGAAAAAGTTCCAGTTATACAGGAATTAATATTCTAAAAGAAATGTGTTTTCTGAATTTAATCTTTTAGATCAAAATGATAGAATTGTAAAGTCAAAAGGAGAAAAATTGAGGATTGGCTGGTTTGTATTATCATCAGTTCTCAAATGTTTATAAGGGCCATCTAAGAGTGAAACGACAATGGAAACACGTAAGTCATTTCCTAATCTTATTTTAACCTTCAGGTTCAAACTTTTTATAGAATAGATGAAATGATAGGTACTTCATTGATAATCTTTTCACATAATCCTGTTTATCCCATAAGTGGAAATACTTCTCAAGAGTGAAATAGCCAAATGGAGGAAAAGGTCTTGGATAGTAGCACATTTTAATGTCTTGTTTAAAATTGTCATTCCAAATTATGATAGTTTGTTTCCAAAGATGGCCACCATCAGTGTCTTGTTTCCCTGCACATATGCACAATTGCCAAATCAAGAGGTGAAGTCTAATTTCCCTCCCCTGTTATCTGGACATCTGGACTGATCTTCAGTTTTTGTTTGACCAATACAATCAAGCAGAAATGATATTACAGCACTCCCAAGCCTAGGTCATAAGAAACCTTGCACCTTTCCCCTGGGCCACATGGAACATTCCTCTTGGGATGCTCTTGAAACACTTCAGTCATACTGTGAGAAATTCAAGTCACATCCAAAGACCACATATAGAAGCTTCAGGAGACAGTCTCAGCAGAACTTCCAATCAATAACTGGCCATATGGTATAGCTATCTTGACCATAAAACTCATTTGGGCCTTCAAATGGTTCCAACCCCAGCCACCATCTGTTAGCACCTACTTGGGAGACTCTGAGCAAGAACGACTCAGCTCAACCCAGTTAACCTAACAGAACTTTAAGAGATAATAATAAATTGCTCTTTTGAGCCACTAAATTTTAGGATGGCTTATAACAACAATAAATAACTGAAACAGAAATACAAATATTTTGAATAATCTACCTGTTCTTTCTTTTTTCAACTCTTTGGATAGTCTCTTTTAACCAGGTACTATGCTAGGTGCTGGTGATGGATTCAAAGATGAAAGAGATATAAGATGTAAAGCCTGATGTATTTTCACAAGGAACATTTACTTGGTGAGACAGACAAATGAGTAGAAGAATATTATGCCATATGATAAGTAATATAAAAATGCACATGGTTCTTGAGGGATCACGTAGCTTTGGGAAAACTAATTGACTTTTTTTTTTTGGAAGGTTATTAATAAATAAAACTAAAAACTAAGCAGGAGACACAGAGACTCACCTGAGCAGCAGCACGGGGCAAAGATGGCATGTGGAACTTTCTTGGAATTGCAAATATTTCAGTCTGGCTGGGGCATAGAATATGAAGACTAAGTGGAGAGATATAATTGGGAAAGTTGACAAAGAGCTCAAAAATGTCTTTGTATACTGTCAAACGAGTTTGGATTTTATTATTCAATGTTAAAATTCTAGCCATTTTCATCCATTCATCTTTTATTTTACCTTACAATCCTTCAATAACTAAAAAATAATCATACTCCTCCAATGGCTATGTTGAAGGATCTTGAGGACAGGAAGAGAGTCACATTGTCTGATTTATGATTCAGGATGATGGAATCTTCTGACAAGATTTTTATTTTTTAGATCTTAAAATGCATTCTTTTCAGTGAAGCCATCTTTGGAGTTAGTCATTACTCTCACCTTATCTGTCATCTTGACTCCAATATGCTATTCCTCTTCTTTTGGTCTAGACTCTAATTTTAAAGCTATCTTCAAGTTAAGGAAAGGTCATTTTTCCACAGTTCAGTTCTCTGAAAAGCTTACATCTCCCAGTGAAAGTCACAGTCCAGGAGTGAAGCAATCACATGCTAGAACTTTAGGGCCAATTGGGAAGTCTTTACAAACACTTGCCTTGGTCGATCTTACTTATTGCTACAAGCCTGAAAATGCATAGTCCTAAAAAAGGTGGTCTCTCTGTGCACACATGTAATTTTTAAAAAGGAGAGGGCAATACGAAGGGAACTGAGGCTTGATCACCAAAAATCAGCACAATGAAAGCAAATGATAATGAATAATGAGCACTAGAATTCAAATTACCAGATGTTTTAAAGAGATGGAGTGCCAGTTTTCAATTCCATTTTGAGCACCACATTACAAAAGAACTATTTTAAAAATAAAAAAATGATTGAGGGAAAAGAAAAACAAATAAAAGAATACCTAAACTACTGAATGACCTCATTTGCTCATGATAAACTTCAATCACATCTTCTTACTCCATTCCCAGTTCTTTTATAGTATGAGTAGCAGCAATTCTCTGATCTTCAAAGACAAATCTGAGTGAATTCATTGGAACTCCCTGCCTTTGACAGTATGATTCTTTGAGTTTCTTGAGATGTGTTGTCATTTTCACTTTGAAGTGAATCTCGCTGCTATCCTGTCCAATGACTTTGAGTTTAACATATTCTCATTCCTTCTTATCCTCCAAGTCATCAGTTGAAGGTTTTGCCTCCTGATCTTACATAGGTGACAGGGGCTTCACCCAGGGGTCACTGCTATGCAGTGTTTCTAAAGGCATGAGGGAAGGGGCAGGGTGCAGTCAAGAAGCCTCTATGCGGTAGGTGAGAGCTGTGGCATCCAAGAATAATGGAGAGGGTGGTAGGTAGGTGGCTTCTAAAAAATGGTAAGGATCTGTAAGAGCTACTGTAGAGTAATAGGATTGGGCTGACTTGAGTCTCAGAGAAGGACTGCTGCATAGCTACATGGTCAAGCTAAAGTTTAAAAGAATGACTTCATACTGTCAATAATCTGCATGGGTATGTTACCTTTTTTTCCTGGCACTCAGCAATTCAAGTATGGCAGTGAGAAGGTGAGTAGCTTGATTGATCCAAGGTTATGACTTTTCTGGGCAGGTGCAATGAACTCAAAAACTGGATGATAGTTAAGAATATTGACAAAAGAGTAGTGAGAGAGATAAGACACAGGGTCTAAGCAATTGACAGCGTCTAAGCAAATGACTTGGACAGCTCATTCACGTGAAAGAATGGGATTAAAAGTAAGAAAGCTGAAAGGATCAGGGGCTGTGGTTAGAGAGAGGTGTTGCACAGATTGGAGACTGAATGGGCTTTCCTTCTGGGCATGAGAGACACAGGGTGATGTAACACTTCTAGAGAAGAGATTATGAGCTATCCATGATAGTGATGACATCACTAGTCATCACCATCACTTGCAGTAGGAGGTCAGTAGAATCCATCTATGTCAACAGTGAAGAATGCTAGAGCTGTAGTACATGAGCCAACAGGAGCCTCAAAATAAGAGAGAAATACAGAAATGATGATAAGGAACAGGCTGATTAACTCTGAAGCATTGAGCAGGTAACGTCTGAGCTTAGCTTTTAAGGATCCATAGGAGTTCTTCAAGGAGATGAAAAAGGTGATAGAGGAGATTTCAGATAAAGTCAGTATCACCTGCCAAAGTTTACAGGCATTTAAATTGTTTTCTACCACAATATCCTCAGGAGGTATAAACCATAAATACATGTTCTACTTTCTATTTTTCCTCTTTTCCTCAGACCATGACCATTCTTGAAATGAACTTTCCCATAGAATTAAAATAATCCCATTTCTGGATACCTGAGTAAGTTTGACTTAAATCTTTTCTCAGTTTGCCAGTTGCATAGTCTGAACAATCCTGCTACCTGTGGTTCTTAAGGAAAAGTGGTCATAGGTAAAGTTGGTGCACCAGCCTAATATGATTCTACAGAACTCTTGTTTAACTTTGAACAAATGCCACTTTTATTACTTTACAAAAATTGATATCCTAGAATCCATGATTTCTTCATGGTCCATTTTCTTTTTCTATCCGTTTTTGGAAGCAGGGTGATTTTAGAAAGAGTATGTATGGCATTCAAGGCTAAACAGAGTTGGTGTTGAATTGTGCTAACAACACCTACAAGCTGTGTAACATTTGGCAACTCACTTGGCCTTTCTGAATTTCCGTTTTCTCTTTTGTGAAATACAGATAGCATGTCTATCTCCTAGAATTATGAGAATGAAATGCAATGTCAATAAGGGATGGTACAGAATAGATGCTCAATGTTTCCTCTTTGTGGTTCTCTCTGAATCTCCCTTGCTTCTCCCAACTCAAGCAAATTAGTTTTCCTGAGCTAATTTCTTTCAAGCATATGGCTGCTGACCTTTTATTTTTCTTAATCCATTGACCCCTCTATATTGTGTATCTGCCCCCTGCCACAGCATCACATAAATATATGATAATTCCCTGAAATTGTCCTGCTTTCTTAGAACTTGACTTCTGGCAGACTAACTCAGAAACATTCAAGAGAAAAAGATGAGGAAAAGGGAATCTCTTTTATACTGGATAGTTTTAATAACAGAATCCTGGAGACAAAGTCAGAAAGTGATCATGGGAACAGAAAATAAAGAGAAAAAATGCAAGAACATAGAGGAGACACCCTAACAATAAGACTACGAGCAGGAAAGTGTCCTCCCATGCTTTGCTGAAGCTGAGTGATATCTGGTTAAAGTTTCCTTGGGCTCTTACTACCTTTCTGAAACTAAATGTTGTTTGAATAGGAGGAGCTAAATTTTTCATAAATAAATCTCTCTGATGGTTTGTTACATGTTCTTTATTTTTTTCTGTGTTAAAATGTAATCCGTATTTTAAAGTTTTCCCACTTGCCAGACTTATTTTACATTTTATCTCATATAGAGGTCTGCACCCAAGGAAAACTGAGATTCTCCCACCGGTTCTCCATGTAGACTTTCAGAACAGAGTAGCACACTGTATTTTGGTGAATGACACTCCCTGGGGTTGTGCAAGCATGCTTGCCCTGAGAATTACAGAGGCTGGGTTTTCAGGGACCCAGGACACTGAAATCCCTGGAACTGCCAAGCCTCAGTAGTTTCTTCACCTTTTCCTGTTAATGATCACACCACACTACCCAAGTTTCTATGAAACTATACAGCAATGATAGAAAGATAAGTTTGTAATATAGACAAGACCATCAAAAAAAGTAATTTACAAAAGGAGAAGTATAAATGGCCAATGAGCATATGAGAGGATGCTCTGCCTCTCTAGCAGTGAGAGCAATGCCACTTAAAACAGCAGGGATAAGCCATTTAGAGTGATTTGACATTGATAGCATAAAATAATAACCATTGTTGGTGTGAATGTGAGAGAAGCCTGGAAGAGATTATTCCTATTTTTATTTTCCAAATTTAATATATGATTATGATGTGAGCTATGTCTATTGCAGCAAGGGGCTAATAGAAAGTTGTCCAGAGAAGTGGCCAGGCACGGTGGCTCACACCTGTAATCCCAGCACTTTGGGAGGCTGAGGCGGGTGGATCACGAGGTCAGGAGATCGAGACCATCCTGGCTAACACGGTGAAACCCCATCTCTAATAAAAATGCAAAAAATTAGCCGGACGTGGTGGTGGGTGCCTGTAGTCCCAGCTACTCAGGAGGCTGAGGCAGGAGAATGGCGTGAACCTGAGAGGCAGAGCTTGCAATGAGCCGAGATCGCGCCACTGCACTCCACCCTGGGTGACAGAGCAAGACTCTGTCTCAGAAAAAAAAAAAAAAAAAAGAAAGAAAAGAAAGTTGTCCAGGGAAATATAAAGAAGAAAGAAATCATCCATGGTCACCTTGCTCAGTGAAAACCTCCATTGCCATTTACAATTGATTTATTTGAATCAGGATCCAGTTGAGATCTAATCATGGCATTTGGGATGTCTTTTAAGTCTCTTTTAATTTAGAACAGATTCCCCCCGCCCACACACACTCCTTTTTTTTCTGGTCCTTGACTTCTGGAAGAAACTGAGTTAGCTGTCCTACAAATTGGTTCAAATTCTGGATTTGTCTATTTGCTCTCCAACTGGTCTGCAAACTAAAAGTTAGACGTAAGTCTGGATTCAACTCAAGTTTAACATTTTTTGGCAAGAAAAGTTTGTAAGTGATGTTGTGTATTTTTTATTGCATTACATCATGTAGCACATAATGTCTGGTTGTCTCATTTTGAAACCGCTTACATTGATCAATGGCTTCAGATGAGACAGCCTGATTCTTCCGTTGTAAAAGTCCCTATCATCTCTTCTCTTAATGGTTTTAGCATCTGTTAATGTTTATTGCCTGAATCAATTATTTCATTAGTGTTGTTAAATGGGGATTTTCTAATTTCACTAATTCTTCTACATTTAATAACTATAATTCTTCTCTAAGGAAAAAGATGTTCCTCATCAACTAGGGATTTTTTTTATTTTGAAATGTAGTAAAACAGGACAACCAAAATGAGTATTCCCTAATTTTGTCCACTCAAATTCTTAGAAATAATGACAAACCAGTGGCAAGAAATATCCATACGTGTTCAGATTATGGTTTCTAAGTAACATTAACACTAAAAGGGACCAGAGATTCATGGAGAAGGGCTGAGTCCAAGTCCAGGGTGAAATAAGTAAGATGAACCTGATGATAAACCTTGCGGTGGCAATAAAGAATCTCTCAAAGATAACAGGGCTGTGTCAAAAAGATCTCCCAGGAACTAGTTTGAAAGAACTTCTGCCGGTGCAAGATGGGACAATCTTTACATCAAAAACAATAGTGACTGAAATTGACTATCTCATATTGAATATATTTTAAGCCTATTAGTTCATAATAACACAGACAAAAAATAAAAACTGCTAGAGAACCACAAAACCACCAGCCAAAACAAAAACACAACAAATACCATTTCAGAAAAGTAGGGCACCAACCCCTTGCTCTGAAAACTGGTAAATTACAGGGAAAGGATGATTTATGTTTCTAAATGATCATCATGGCTGCTGTGTGAGGAGTATGTTGTAGGAAAACAAGAGTAGAAACAGGGAGGCTTGGGCCAGGCTCCAGGGACTGTGTAAATTGCCAGGGATACATGGATGATGAGCTAGCCCCTGACCTCCTGGAGCTCTCATCTCCAGTGGGGAAGGCTGCCTTGTCACCAGGCAGTTGGAATCAAGCGGGAAGTATATAATAACAGAGGCAAGCAGACGGTGCCACTGCAGCACACGAGAATGGCATCAAGCCATCCTGGGAGCTCTAATACAGAGGAGTACATACCCAAGCTGAGTCTTACATTGAGTCAGAAATAAAAGATGATCATATCCCAGACCAACTCCAGAACCAGTTGGAGCCTGCTGGAACTAAGGCAGCTGTAGTCAGTACTGACTCAGGACCTGGATAGGATTAAGCTGGCAGGAGGAAGGGAACATTAAGTCCAGCAGAGAAGGGACTAGGGAAGATGGGCTGAAAATTGATCCAACATAGCCACAGGGAGGATAGGGCTGAGATTTCTTTTGTACTACCTTCATCTCTCTGTTTATCTGATCATTGCTTGTAACGGTGAAAGATGCTAAATGGGGGAGATGAGAGGAGAGCTATGAGGAAAAGTAGGGAGGCAGACATCAACGAAGCACAAATCACAGCTGTTCTACATGGAAGATGAATCATGCTATGTTGCTGAGCTGCATCATAGGAAAAGAGGTGCCGTGTCTATGCTGTGTTGTGCTATGTTAAAATTTTAATCACTAGAGATGATATAAACACTGAGGAATCAAAAACACACTGAGAGATCACTGGCCAGACAGAAGTAACACATGGAGACAGACTCAAGCTGTAGAATAACATGAGATGATGTCAGAGTAGACCCTTACATGACCCAGGGAATCTGCAAATATCCCAGATCCTTGGGATATTTGGATGGATGAAATGGACCCTGCACAAAGGAGGGTGAATAATATGGACTACCTATGCACAGAAATACAGAGAAGAGTTACAAGCCAATGCTGAGCTGAAGTGTAAAGTTTCAGAAGAGAGTTTAAACAAATATTTAAAACAATGATAATATTCAGTTGTGGCAGGAGTGCAGTAAAATTGCTGTTTCGATGTACTACTAGTGAGAGCTGAATCAGTACAATCTTCCTGGAAAAAAATTAACGGTATGTTTAAATATTCTTAAAATGTTCTTATACTTTTTCCTAATAATTTTATCTTTGAAAATAAAAGAAAGGCCGGGTGCGGTGGTTCACGCCTGTATTCCCAGCACTTTGGGAGGCCGAGGTGGGTGGATCACAAGGTCAGGAGATCGAGACCATCCTGGCTAACACGGTGAAACCCCGTCTCTACTAAAAACACAAAAAATTAGCTGGGCGTGGTAGCGGGCACCTGTAGTCCCAGCTACTTGGGAGGCTGAGGCAGGAGAATGGCATGAACCTGGGAGGTAGAGCTTGCAGTGAGCCGAGATCATGCCACTGCACTCCAGCCTAGGCGACAGTGCAAGACTCCGTCTCACACACACACACACACACACACACACATACACACACACAAAAGAAAACATAAGAAAAAAGCCCCCAAAATATACAAGAATATGTATACAAAGTATTATCAGAGTATTAGTTTAGAGGAAAATAGAAAACAATCTAAATTCCTACCAGTAAGGAATGATTAATTAAGGGTGGCATATGTATAATTGGAATATTATGCAGGAATTAAATGATTACAGAGATTTTAGTAATATGGGGAATGTTTATTATTTGAGATTAAGTTAGAAAGTAGAAAATAAATTGTAAAAATTTTTTAGTTTTTAAAACCATAGAAAAACTATAAAGTAGAAATACAGCAAAATTATCTGTAATCAAATTATGTTATTTTTAGAAGCTTTATCGGGAGATAATTTACATACAACAAAATTCACTAATTTAAATGTCTAATTTGATGACTTTTGACAACTGTTTATACCTGTGTAACCACCACCACAATTAAAATAAAGAATATTTTGATCAACCCCAAAATTTCTATGCTTTTTTGTATTCCCTTCCTCTGACTCCCTGACCCCTAATAACCACTATCTGCTTTCTGGTGCTATAGTTTTGCTTTTTCTAACATTTCATGTAAACAGATTCTTATAGTGTGTAGGTTTCTATGCTAGTGTCTAGCATAATGGTTTTGAGATTCGTCCATGTTGTTGGATGTATCAATAGTTTGTTCCTTTGTGTTGCTGAATAGTATTCCATTGTATAGATATACTACAATTTGGTTTTCCATTCACTAGTTGTTGGGCATTTGGGTTGTTTCAATTTGCTTACTATGATAAATAAAGCTTCTATGACCATTAGTGTACAAGTCTTTGTGTGCTCATTTTCATTTCTCTTGGGTAAATATGTAGGAATGGAATTATTAGATTATTTGGTAAGGGTTAACTTTATAAGAAACTGCCAAAATTATTTTCAAAGTATAATAGATGTATAATAGATGTACCTGTTGTAATGTATGAGACAGTTCCAGTTATTCCACATTATAATTTTGAGGATTCCTTTTAGATTTGATTTCTAGTTTTATTCTGCTGTGGTCTGAGAAGATACTTGATATGATTTCAATTTTTAAAAATTTATTGAGACGTGTTTTGTGGCCTGTCATATGGTTTATCTTGGAGAATGTTCCATGTGCTTATCAGTAGAATGTATATTCTGCAGTTCTTGGGTAGAATGTTCTGTAAATATCTGTTAAGTCCATTTGTTCTAGCATGCCTTTTAAGTCCATAGTTTCTTTCTTGACTTTCTTTTTCAAAGATCTGTCTAGTACTGTCAGTGGTGTATTGAAGTCTCCCACTACTATTGTGTTGCTGTCTATCTCATTTCTGAGGTCTAGTCGTAATTGTTTTATGAATCTGGGATCTACAGTGTTAGGAATATATAAATTTAGGAATGTAATATCTTCTGTTGGATTGATCCTTTTATCATTATATAGTTTACCATTAACCCTTTGAAGTCTGTTTTTTGTTTTCCTAATATAAGAATAGCTATTCCTGCTCACTTTTGCTTTCCATTTGCATGGAATATCTTTTTACACCCTTTTACCTTGAGTTTATATGAATTCTTACATGTTAGGTGAGCCTGTTGAAGACAGCAAATATTTGGTTTGTGATTTTTAAAAATCCTTTCTGCCATTCTGTATCTTTTAAGTGTAGCATTTAGGCCATTTACATTCAATGGAAATATTGAGATGTGAGTTACTGTTCTCTTTATCATGTTGTTACCTAAGTTTGATTTTTTTCATTGTGTTATTGTTTATAGCCCTTGTGAGTTTTAAGCTTTCAAGAGGTTCTATTTTGGTGCATATTTGGCTTTTATTTCAAGGTTTAGAACTCCTTCTAGCATTTATTGTAGGGCTGGTCTGGTGGTGGCAAATTCCCTCAGCATTTGTTTGTCTGAAAATGATTTATTTCACCTTCATTTATGAAACAGATTTGCTGGATACAAAGTTCTTAGCTAACAGTTGTTCTGTTTAAAGGGGTTGAAGTTAGAACCCCAATCTTCTCTGGCCTGTAAGGTTTCTGCCGAGAAGTCCGCTATTAGTCTGAAAGGTTTTCCTTTGTGGGTTACCTGATACTTTTGTTTTAGTGCACTTAGAATTCTTTTTATCATGTTGACTTTAGATAGCCTGATGACTACAGGCCTTGGTGAAGATCTTTTTGCAATGAATTTCCCAGGAGTTCTTTGATCCTCTTGGATTTGGATATTTAGATCTCTAGCCAGACCAGGGAATTTTTCTTCAATTATTCCCTGAAATATGTTTCCCAGACTTACTGTGTTCTCCTCTTCCTTAGGAACAACAATTATTCTTAGGTTTGACCATTCTACATAATCCCATATTTCTTGAAGACTTCGTTCATTTCTTTTGATTATCTTTTCTTTATTTTTGTCTGATTAGGTTAATTCAAAAGCCTTGTCTTTGAGCTCTGAAATTCTTTCTTCTACTTGTTGTAGTCTATTGTTAAAACTTTCCACAGCATTGTGTAATTCCCTAAGTATGTCTTTCATTTCCAGAAGTTCTGATTGGTTTTTCTTTAAAATATCTGTCTTTCTAGAAAATTTTTCATTCATATCCTGAAATGCTTTCTAAATTTCTTTATGATGGTTTTCACCTTTCCCTGAAATCCCCTTGAGTAGCTTAATAATTGACTGTCTGAATTCCTTATCTGGTATTTCAAAGATTTCATCTTGGTTTGGATCTATTGCTGAAGAGCTAGTGTTATCTTTAGAGGTGTTATAGAATCCTGTTTTGTCATATTACCAGAGTTTCTTCTCATTTGGGTAGCCTATTTCTTCTCATTATTCTTGAATTTATGTTTTATGTAACTGTGTTTCTTCATTTGTTTGTTAATTTCTTTTTTCCCCTTAAGGATGTGACTTTAATGCTTATAGTTAATTATATTTGGTTCTTGATGCTTTCAGGGGTGAAGACTCTGTAAGAGTTCCTTGATAATACAGAGTCTTTGTATAGTGGCTTTCTCATATGCTGGTTGTAGTAGCAATGTGCTCAGTATGTGAGCAAGTTCACTGTCTCCTTTGGGGTTGGAATGGTAGAGGTCTCTCGAAGCTTATCATATAACCATGTGGTGTGCACCTTTTTATTTATTTATTTATTTTTCCCCAGTATTTTATTTACTGGTTTGATGGTTTAGGCTTCAGGCCAGTAGGGGAGATGTCTCTGGTTAGCAACCAGTTGTGGCTAAAGCAGGTGGGCAAATGCAATACCCAATGGTAGACAGATGTCCAAGCCTTGACAGAGGGGGCTGGAGGAGCTCTCAGTGAGTCACACTGAGGTCTTAACAGGGGGAAGGGTTGGAGCCACCTCAGGTCCCCTGACAGGTTAGCAAGAGAGTTATCTAACTCTTAGACACACCCCTGTCTCAGTGCTGTAGCTATTCAGATCACACAGGTGCCTCTTTTCATCTGTAGGAGTGTTGATATTCCAAGTAAAGAGGAAATGTGACTCTGTCTCTCTTGTAAGCCTGAACCTGGAGGGTGTTCCTTCTGCAGGAATACAGTCACTTCAACGTGTTTGAGAAAGGCTGTCTATAGTTGCACCCATGCCAAGTTCCCATAGAAGAAGCCCCAACTGTGCGTGCAATAGTGAACAAGGGGGGAAAGATGTCCCCTTCTCCAATACCCTTTACACACACCAGGGCTGTCTGACTGTTGGGTTAGAACTGAAGATGCTCCCTGCTGAGCCCAGCACTGCAACTCTGCCTCTGCTGAAAGAAACTTCCCACCAGTGGAAAGATCTGCTGCTCAAGGCCTGCCATACAGATTACTTTGTCTCACAGGGTATTCCCTTGCTGTGGTACACTCCCTCTTCCCCTAAGAGTGGGAGTACCTGGGAGACAGACTATTGTGAGTGTTGTTGCTCCTCTGGGTCTAGCCACCCAGTAAGGTTGCCACACTCCAGGCAGGAGCTGGAAAATGTCTGCAAGGGATCAAGTGATATGACCTCAAGTCTCCCAGCAGTGGGTAGCAGCACCAGCTCTAATGGGAGTGGCAGGGGAATGATGTATACTCTGTGAGATTCCTTGGTTATTGTTAGCCTTAGTGTATTGGCTTTCTCGAATGCCAGTTAAAGTAGTAATGAAGTAGTCATATAGACAGACTCAGGACCTCCTGGTTAGCCAGAGTGGTGCAGGCAGTGGTGATAGCTCAGATCATGCAGCTGTTTTCTCCTTCCTGGGTGCAGTGTTATTCTCTCAGGAGATGCTGTAATGGACTGCATTGGTTGGTCTCCAGCTAGGAGGTGGTGCTTGCAAAAGAGCATCAGCTGCAGTGGTAGCAGTGGGATTTTTGCTTGCCTTATTTTGCCTGGGAAGTGGAGGATACTCTGGTTTCTCAGGCAATGAAAGAAGCCATATAGCTCCCAAAAGATTCTATCTTTTGTATTAAGTTACCAGGGCAGGTTGTGGGGCAAAGCCAGGTGGGGGCTGAGTCAGGTAGGTTTGTACTGTGAGTCTCATGCAGGGTAAGCAGCAGCCCTTGTGGGTATCAGAAGACAGGAGCAGTTCTCAGGCCACTGGGTTGATATTCCAGAGGGTAGTATTGCTGCCTCTGCTGCACAGAAGAGTTAGCACAGGGAGAGGGGAGTAGCAGGTGATGGTAAGCCCCACACAGATCCCACACACTTGGCGAGGCATAACCACTCGTGCAGTGTTCCACTGGCAGCGGTGGGCTCAGTTCCAGGTGGCCTGCATTCAGAACTCACAACTGCTCCAAAGCATATGCTTTCCCTCTGGAGATGGCAACTGTGGCTTTCAGTCCATGCCCCTCCCTATCCACTGCGAAGCTGGGCACCCAGCTTCTGCACTTGTGGTTCCTGGACTAGCAGCTGGAGCACAATTTTCACTCCCCTGCCCCAGCCCTGGCTAAGGGAGTTCATCCTTACCCAAGATTATATCGTGAAACCCAGTTGGGGGCTTATTTCAACCTGAGACCCCTGCCTGAACTATTTGGCTGTGCTCTGCAGGGTCCTCTGTGAGGAACAGTGAAAAATGCTTTCCCTCCGTCTGCACTGGAAACTGGGAGTGCATGCAAGGGTCTTCCTGTGCTGCTCCTACTTTTATATTCCATGTGCCTCCCCAGGTTGGTTCCTGTACTGGGTAGGGTTAAGGCCTTCCCCTGGGACCTAGACTTCCAGGGTCCCTGGAGGGGCTGTGTGTCCCAGGGGCAGTCTCTCCTCTCACCCTAGGGACTCATAGCCCTTTACCTGACTCACTGTGTAGGCTGCAGCCTGTTGCTTTCTTCAAAGGGTCTACAGATTCCTTTGGTTACCCTGTTCAGTTTCTGCATCACTTCCTGAAAAAAGTTCACAGTGTGAATCTCTACACACGACTTTGTCCTTCCAAGTGGGAGAGGTATGCTGGCAATGCCTCTAATCCACCATCTTGGACAAACAAAAAAGAAAGAATTGACATTATTTCTTCAATAAATGTTTGAAAGAATTCAACTGTGAAATCATCTGGGCCTGGGGTATTGCGTGGGGAAGAATTTTTAATTATAAGTTCAATTTCCTTCAAATATAGACAAAAAACTATTCAGGTTATCTTTTAGTTTTTGAATGACTTGGGTAGTTTGCTTCTTTTAAAAAAACTTTCCAGTTTTCAAAGGGAATGCTTCCAGTTTTTGCCCATTCAGTATGATATTGGCTGTGGGTTTGTCATAAATAGCTCTAATTATTTTGAGATACATCCCATCAATACCTAATTTATTGAAAGTTTTTAGCATGAAGCCTTCTTGAATTTTGTCAAAGGCCTTTTCTGCATCTATGGAGATAATCATGTGGTTTTTGTCATTGGTTCTGTTTATATGCTGGATTACGTTTATTGATTTGCGTATGTTGAACTAGCCTTGCATCCCAGGAATGAAGCCCACTTGATCATGGTGGATAAGCTTTTTGATGTGCTGCTGGATTCAGTTTGCCAGTATTTTATTGAGGATTTTTGCATCAATGTTCTTCAGGGATATTGGTCTAAAATTCTCTTTTTTTGTTGTGTCTCTGCCAGGCTTTAGTATAAGGATAATGCTGGCCTCATAAAATGAGTTAGGGAGGATTCCCTCTTTTTCTATTGATTGGAATAGTTTCAGAAGGAATGGTACTAGCTCCTCCTTGTACCTCTGGTAGAATTCGGCTGTGAATCCATCTGGTCCTAGACTTTTTTTGGTTGGTAAGCTATTAATTATTGCCTCAATTTCACACAAGGCAGGGATGCCCTCTCTCACCACTCCTATTCAACATAGTGTTGGAAGTTCTGGCCAGGGCAATCAGGCAGGAGAAGGAAATAAAGGGCATTCAGTTAGGAAAAGAGGAAGTCAAATTGTCCCTGTTTGCAGATGACATGATTGTATATCTAGAAAACCCCATTGTCTCAGCCCAAAATCTCCTTAAGCTGATAGGCAACTTCAGCAAAGTCTCAGGATACAAAATCAATGTACAAAAATCACAAGCATTCTTATACACCAATAACAGACAAACAGAGACCCAAATCATGAGTGAACTCCCATTCACAATTGCTTCAAAGAGAATAAAATACCTAGGAATCCAACTTACAAGGGATGTGAAGGACCTCTTCAAGGAGAACTACAAACCACTGTTCAATGAAATAAAAGAGGATACAAACAAATGGAAGAACATTCCATGCTCATGGGTAGGAAGAATCAATATTGTGAAAATAGCCATACTGCCCAAGGTAATTTATAGATTCAATGCCATCCCCATCAAGCTACCAATGACTTTCTTCACAGAATTGAAAAAACTACTTTAAAGTTCATATGGAACCAAAGAAGAGCCCACATTGCCCAGTCAATCCTAAGCCAAAAGAACAAAGCTGGAGGCATCACGCTACGTAACTTCAAACTATACTACAAAGCTACAGTAACCAAAGCAGCATGGTACTGGTACCAAAACAGAGATATAGACCAATGGAACAGAACAGAACTCTCAGAAATCATGCCGCATATCTACAACTATCTGATCTTTGACAAATCTGACAAAAACAAGAAATGGGGAAAGGATTCCCTATTTAATAAATGGTGCTGGGAAAACTGGCTAGCCATATATAGAAAACTGAAACTGGATCCCTTCCTTACACCTTATACAAAAATTAATTCAAGATGGATTAAAAACTTAAATGTTAGACCTAAAACCATAAAAACCCTAGAAGAAAACCTAGGCATTACCATTCAGGACATAGGCATGGGAAGGACTTCATGTCTAAAACATCAATAGCAATGGCAGCAAAAGCCAAAATTGACAAATAGGATCTAATTAAACTAAAGAGCTTCTGCACAGCAAAAGAAACTACCATTAGAGTGAACAGGCAACCTACAGAATGGGAGAAAAGTTTTGCCATCTACTCATCTGACAAAGGGCTAATATCCAGAATCTACAAAGAACTCAAACAAATTTACAAGAAGAAAGCAAACAATCCCATCAAAAAGTGGGCAAAGGATATGAACAGACACTTCTCAAAAGAAGACATTTATGCAGCCAACATACACATGAAAAAATGCTCATCAGCACTGGCCATCAGAGACATGCAAATCAAAACTACAATGAGATACCATCTCACACCAGTTAGAATGGCGATCATTAAAAAGTCAGGAAACAACAGGTGCTGGAGAGGATGTGGAGAAATAGGAACACTTTTACACTGTTGGTGGGACTGTAAACTAGTTTAACCATTGTGGAAGTCAGTGTGGTGATTCCTCGGGGATCTAGAACTAGAAATACTATTTGACCCAGCCATCCCATTACTGGGTATATGCCCAAAGGATTATAAAACATGCTGCTATAAAGACACATGCATACATATGTTTATTGCGGCACTATTCACAATAGCAAAGACTTGAAACAAACCCAAATGTCCAACAATCATAGACTGGATTAAGAAAATGTGGCACATATATCAGAGAAATGCAAATCAAAACCACAATGAGATACCATCTCACATCAGTTAGAATGGCAATCATTAAAAAGTCAGCAAACAACAGGTGCTGGAGAGGATGTGGAGAAATAGGAACACTTTGACACTGTTGGTGGGACTGTAAACTAGTTCAACCATTGTGGAAGTCAGTGTGGCGATTCCTCAGGGATCTAGAACTAGAAATAGCATTTGACCCAGCCATCCCATTACTGGGTATATACCCAAAGGACTATAAATCATGCTGCTATAAAGACACATGCACATGTATGTTTATTGCAGCACTATTCACAATAGCAAAGACTTGGAACCAATCCAAATGTCCAACAATGATAGACTGGATTAAGAAAATGTGGCACATATACACCATGGAATACTATGCAGCCATAAAAAATGATGAGTTCATGTCCTTTGTAGGGACATGGATGAAACTGGAAATCATCATTCTCAGTAAACTATGGCAAGGACAAAAAACCAAACACCGCATGTTCTCACTCATAGATGGGAATTGAACAATGAGAACACATGGACACAGGAAGGGGAACATCACACTCTGGGGACTGTTGTGGGGTGGGGGGATGGGGGAGGGATAGCATTAGGAGATATACCTAATGCTAAATGACGAGTCAATGGGTGCAGCACACCAGCATGGCACATGTATACATATGTAACTAACCTGCACATTGTGCACATGTACCCTAAAACTTAAAGTATAATAATAATAATAATAATAAAGAAAATGTGGCACATATACACCATGGAATACTATGCAGCCATAAAAAATGATGATTTCATGTCCTTTGTAGAGACGTAGATGAAGCTGGAAACTATCATTCTCAGCAAACTATCACAAGCACAGAATACCAAACACTGCATGTTCTCACTCGTAGGTGGGAATTGAACAATGAGAACACATGGACAGAGGAAGGGGAACATCACACACCGGGGACTGTTGTGGGGTCGGGGGAGGGGGGAGTGATAGCATTAGGAGATATACCTAATGTAAATGACTAGTTAATGGCTGCAGCACACCAACATGGCACATGTATACATATGTAACAAACCTGCACGTTGTGCACATGTACCCTAAAACTTAACGTATAATAAAAATAAAAATAAAAAATAAAAAAATAAAAAACTTTCCATTTTACCTAAATTATTGAATTTATTGGCAAAAAAAGCTGTTCCTTATATTTCCTTATTTTCCTTTTAATGTCCCTAGGAACTCTAGTGATGTTTTCTCTTTCATCGTTGATATTGTCAAGTTCTGTCTTTTCTCTTTTGCCTGATCAGCTTGGCTGGAAGTTTATCAGTTTTATTGATTTTATTTTTTAAAAACATTTTTTTCTATTTTATTGTTTTCTAATCTTTATTATTTCATTGCTTCTACTTACTTTGGGTTTTGTTTGCATTATCATAATCAGAATACAGTCAATAAACAAAATCACATATGACAGCCAAGATACACTAAAATTATCTTTTCTTGAGTTATTAAAGTAAAACATTTCAGTTTGAATAGAAGACTAGAGACTCACCCAATCTTCAAGGACTACAGGCAGTTCAACAAAATCAAATAAGACATTATTTGCTTTTCTGTAGGAACAAATGCTAGAGAAGGATTTTCACTGGCACAGGGGGCTAAGAAAGAATTTTACTTTTTTATGTCAATTTTTATCCTGAATCTTCTCAATATATTTCATAAAATCACTGTACTATGCTTTTCTAAATTTAGAACAAAAGAATGGCAGGGAATGATCTTTATCACTCACCTCCTGAGAATATCTTGACAAAAACTGATGAATAATTGTGAAGTGCCCTATGAAAACAGCTGTGGAGTATAATTGCCAATATGCTAATTAAAATTTATAAAGTGTCAACATATTGACATTGAGAGTCTCCAATTTACCTAAGAATGATTAGAATTCGTAATTGAAATGATGTCGTTTCAACAAAGCAACTAATGTTTATAGAATGTCAGGTTGTGTATGGCACTGGGCTAGCAAAGAGGACCCTGCTCTCAAAGAGTTAATATGTTCATTGTGGATCCAACACATACATAAAAAGATAAGTGCTACAGGTTGTCCAAAGCTAAGTGCCAAATGACTAGTGCAGAGCTCTAGGAATTCAAAAGCTTACAACATATAAGGGCTATGATCATGGATCAGGGATGTAGAAGAACACTTTATGGGGAAGATGAAATGTATCTGGATCTTAAAAGAAAAAATCCAACTGAAACAAGAAGAAAGGAAAGAAACAAATCCACTCAGAGGAATCAGAGTAAGCAAAAGTGAAAAGAAAAGACTGCTTATAATGTGCTTTTGAAACAAGCCAAATGGTTGTACTTAAGTGGGTTTGTGAAATGCAGTAGAAGAAAATAGTTGGGAGAAACCAACAACCTCCTAAAGTGTGTTTTATGTGAAATGGTTTGCATGCGCTTTGCACATTATCATTGGGCCCGTGATGTCTTTGTTAGAGTGCAGGGATTATTATTCTAATTTTACAGCAGAGGAAGCTGAGGCTCAGTGAGCTAAAATTACTTGCCCAAATTCAGTCAGGAAAATCTGGCAGACATGGGCTGACTGGGGAGGGAAAATAACATTTAAATTTGGATAAGCTGAGTTTGAGGAGTAGTGTGGCATCTAGATAGAGATAACTAGCAGGGTATAGGAACCCAATATAGTGCTGAAATTTACAAATAACAATTAAGGGAATGTACAAGTAGGGATTAAGGTTAAGAATCTTCTTAGAATGCTTTTCTATAGCTGGTCCTTTCTAGAAGATTAATTCTGCCTTTAAATTCTCCATAATTAAAGAGAAATCAAGTGATGCTTTGGAAAGGTGATGAAGAGCTTTGGCAAATCAGTCTTATGAAGAAAGGTTTTATAATAGCTGTGCCAGCAGCCAAGATGGATGAAATATTTTACTATGAAGAATTCACATTTGTTGATTGCTTACTATGTACTGGATGCCTTTCATAGTCAACCTCATCTAACACTGACAAAACCGGTAGATAAAATGATGGAAGAATCTCATAGCGGAATTATAAAGCTTAAAAGAACCTTGGAGTGCTGTTCAGAGATGAGGAAATGTGGACCCAAGAAGGTTAACTGACTTACTTTCTGAAGAGTTTTAAAAAGAAAAGTGTATTCTTGTTATTTTTATGTAATCATACTCCTGTTTAAAGCCATAAAAAAGGACGATGCACCCTTATAAAATCTTTTCTGGGTGTGTGAGTACATTTTGGAATTGCGTTTAGTAAGGATGACCTCTCCATCATGGTACAGTCTTTGGCCCTGTCTCTACTCTTGGAGTGACTAGGAAACCAACAAGCATACAGCCTCTACTGATACCTTGCATGCAACTGGTAATTGAACATTTCTGCTATTCTAAACAATTAGCAATTTTCCTCAGAGCCTCCCATAGGTCAGTCCCTGTAGCCTATTTTAAGCTATTTATACTACTTAAGCTTCTTTTTCCTTCTAGATTAACATTTTCCACACTTGATTTCGGCTCTGAAGAAAATCTTATTTTTGGAAAGTTCTAAAGAAAATCTGTGCAGCTATTTTTGAGTTTTCAGAGTGAGAAAAGTACTTTGATGCTTTGGATACCCAGATAATTAAAATCTGTCTTCTCATGGAAAGTTCTAACTCAGCATGCTTATCGTTCTCAGAAAAAAAAAAAAAATCAGCTGCTATGCAGAGTTTCACAATATTGGCTCAGTTTTAGTTTTCTATTGCTGTGTAACAAATTACTACAAACTTTGCAGCTGAAGCAACACACATTTACGATTTCACAGCTTCTGTGGCTGAGGAGTTTGGGCACAGCCTAACTGGGTCCTCTGCTTAGCCTTCACAGGGCGGTGATCAAGGTGTCAGCTGAGGCCGAGCTCCCATCTGCGAGGTCCTCTTCCAAGTTAGTTCAGGGTGCTGTGATTATACGATGAGGTCCACATTTCCTTGCCAGCTGTCAGGCAGGGAGCACCACCCTCAGCTCCTAGAGACCGCCCTTCTCTGTAAGCAGCTCAGAGAATGGCTGTTTGCTTGCTTCCTCCAAAGCCAGCCAGAGAAAACTGCATTTAAGGGCTTACCTGACTAAGTCAGCCTCTCCCAGGATAAGATCAACTTATTTGTGACCTTAATTGCATCCGTGAGATCCCTTTGCCTTATCATGTAATACGATCAGCAGAGTGATATTTCATCTGATTCACAGGTTCTCACCACACACAAGAGGAGGAAATTATACAAGGATGAGAGACAATAGGCATGATGTTATCATAGAATTCTGCTTACCACGGGTCCTGAAATAAACTTGTTTCAAATGAGTAAAAGCTGTCATAATATATAGTAGTCTATCAAGTCCTCTATCAAGAGTTTAGAGTCAGAGCTGGTTGCATAACTTAAACAAACCACAAGTTTCTTCAGAAACTCTGTGTTTCTCCTCTTTGTACTGCTGCAAAGAATAAGAAAGCTAAATAGAAGTTAAATCTGTCTTAGGCACTGATGAGAAGAGTAGTGGACACCCATTCATTCATTCATTAAACAAATGTATGTGTGTATATATATATATATATATATATACACATATATATATATACACACACACACACATATATGTATACACACACACACATATATATATATATACACACACATATATATATATACACACACATATATATACTCCTATAGAGAGGCCAGGCACTATCCTAAACAGTGGAGATGAATGATAAAACAGATAGGGGCTCTGCCCTTGAGAAGATTTACAGACTGGTAGGAGTAACAGGAAAAAAAATGAAGGTGGAAGGAATAATTGTCACAAAGACAATTGTAGCATGAGAAAGCATGGTATATATGAAGAATTCAAAGGAAGTTGCCATGGCTGGGTCACAGAGAGCAAGGGACATTGTGGTTTGAGATACATTTGGAAAATTACTTAAACAAATAGAGAATACAGAACCTTTCAGACCATGGTAAGGATTTTGCTCTTAATATTGTGAGCAAGGCAACAACACACAAGGGTTTAAGCAGAATGGCGTGATCAGAATTGCATTTTGAAAAGATCACTCTGACAAGAGGGTAGATAATGTATTGTAAGCTGGCAAAAGTAAATGTAAAAGACCAAGTAGAAGACCATGATAGAGGCCTAGTTAAGAGAGAAGACAGCATGAAGTAGGGTGCTGGTAGACTGGGTGGAGAAAATCAGAGTTGGAAGAACCTTAAGAGATAAAATAAACATGGCTTGGCAATGGGCTTAGTATTGGGGTGAGGAGAAGACAAAGGAAGGGTCCAGGAGGATGGCCAGGGCCCTGAATTATGCAGTGGTATCACCATTTCCTGAAGTGAGGGTAACTGTAAAAGGACCAGACGTGTTACGTCGGAAGAGAGGGAGATGGCAGATGGAGATCATAAATTTGTTTTTGGACAAATTAAGTATAAGATGGTTTGATATAATCAGGTGGAGATATCAAGAAAGTATTTGTATAAGTGAGTCTGGATCTAAGAACAGAAGTCTGGACTAGAGCGATATAGTGAATTCAACTGTATTTTTTTTTTCTTTTGAGACAGGGTCTCACTCTGTCACCTAGACTGGAGGGCAGTGGGGGTGATCTTGGCTCACTGCAACTTCTGCCTCCTGGGTTCAAGCAAGTCTCATGCCTCAGCCTCCTGAGTAGCGGGGACTACAGGCACGCGCCACCGCATCTGGCTAATTTTAGTATTTTTAGTACATACAGGGTTTTGCCATGTTGGCCAGGCTGGTCTCGAACTCTTGACCTCAAGTGGTCTGCCTACTTTGGCCTCCCAAAGTGTTGGGATTACAGGCATGAACCACCGTGCCTGGCCAAATCCAACTGTATTTGTTGCTCCTGTAACAAAGTACTACATCTGTAGTGTCTTAAAACAACACAGATTATTCTCTCACAGTTCTGCAGGTCAGAAGTCTGTAATGAATCATACAGGACCAAAATAAAAGTGTTGGCCAGGTGTGGCGGCTCAAGCCTGTAATCCCAGCACTTTGGGAGGCCGAGGCGGGCGGATCACAAGGTCAGGAGATTGAGACCATCCTGGCTAACACGGTGAAACCCTGTCTCTACTAAAAATAGAAAAAAAATTAGCGAGGTGTGGTGGCGGGCGCCTGTAGTCCCAGCTACTAGGGAGGCTGAGGCAGGAGAATGGCGTGAACCTGGGAGGCAGTGGAGCTTGCAGTGAGCTGAGATCGCGCCACTGCCCTCCAGCCTGGGCAACAGAGCGATACTCTGTCTCAAAGAAAAAAAAAAGTGTTGGCAGGGCTGGTTCCTTCTGGAGGCTCTAGGAAAGAATCTGTTCCTTGCCTTTTCCAGCTTCTAGAATCTGCTCCTGTTCTCTTCCTTCCTATTTAAAGTTAGTTGTGCAGTATCTTCTGAACTCTCTCTGCTTCTGTCTTCATATAGCCTTCTCTCTTATAAGGACCCTTGTGATTATATTGGGCCTATCTGGAAAATTCAGAATAACCTCCTCGTTATCTAAAAATCCTTAATTTAATCATATCTTCAAAGTCTCTATTACCATGTAAGGTATGTTCACAGGATCTTGGAATTAGGACATGGAGATCTTTGGGAGTGGGGACATTATTATTATTATTATTAACTTTTATTTTAAGTTCAGGGGTACATGTGCAGGTTTGTTACATAGGTAAACTTGTGTCATGGGGAGTTGTTGTACAGATTATTTCATTACCCAGGTATTAAGCCTAGTACCCATTCATTATTTTTCCTGAACTCTCCCACCTCCCAACCTCCAGCCTATGACAGGCCTCAGTGTATGTTGTTCCCCTCTATATGTCTATGTGTTCTCATCATTTAGCTCCCACTTATAAATGAGAATGTGTGGTTTTTGGTTTTCTGTTCCTGGATTAGTTTGTTCGGTATACTGGCTTCCAGCTCCATCCATGACCCTGCAAACGGTCCGTGTTATGCATGTACCATATTTTCTTTATCCAATCTGCTATTGATGGGCTTTTGGGTTGAGTCTATGTCTTTGCTATTGTGAATAGTGCTGCAGTGAACATACACATGCATGTGTCTTTATGATAGAATGATTTACATTCCTTTGGGTGTATACCCAGTAATTGGATTGCTGAGTCAAATGGTATTTCTGTTTTTTGGTCTTTGAGGAATCACCACACTGTCTTCCACAATGGTTGAACTAATTTACAATAATGTATAAGCATTCCTTTTTCTCTGCAACCTTGCCAGCACCTATTATTTTTTGACTTTTTATAGTAGCCATTCTGACTGGTGTGAGATTGAATCTCATTGTGGTTTGGATTTGCATTTCTCTAATGATCAGTGATGTTGAGCTTTTTTTCATATGATTGTTAGCCTTCGGGGGTGGGGACATTGTGAAACCTATTACATCAACTCTGCTAATGCAGATAGAAAGGGATTATGAGCACAACTACTATAATATTATATGCTAGGCAGATTTTCATACATTGATATATCATCTAGGCACTTTATATACATTGACTCAGATCCTTAAAGATCTCCTCAGGGTAGATATTGTTATTACTATTTTACAGATGCAGAAACAGAGGCAAGGAGAGGTTAGGTGACTTATAGCTTGCACAGCTAATTAGAGGGAGAAGAAAAACTTAATCCAAGTCTGTCTAGTTCCAAAGTTCTCATAGTTGCCTCTGTGCTGAAGAGCTTGCTTTTGTGGCAATCCAGTCCACTTTTGAGAGCTTCTTCTCTTTTAGGCCTGTTATCCTTCACTCACTTCAGGTACCTACTTAATTCCTGCTGAACCAAACTTTTCTTGTAGTGAGAGAGGCAATTAAGAAGCAAATCCACAAAGGGTTATATAACATGTATTGTCACCATGGGTATTTGCTTTTGAAAGAGGAATACATAGCCATAGCCATGTTACACTCAAAGTAATTCTCAATGATAGAATTTTACCCTCACCATACCAACAAGAGAAAGGGCAACAGGAAGAAGTCCTCCCTGAATCTTTTATGATGCCTGCCTGGTTCTTGGCTGGGTTAGTAGAAATACTGAGCTGTGATGACTGTAGGTATCTGCCTAAATGGGAGGGAGAACTTAAAGCCTGTGACCCCACACCATTTTCTGCATAGGTTCAAGGACGTGGGTTGGCTAAGGAGACAATTGAGCCACATTCACAGGCAGTGGGACTTTTGATAGTTGTACAGATTGGCCTTTCCTGGAGTAAATTTTTCTTTATTGCTCTTAAAACATGTCAAAAATGCTGTTCTTTGGGTTTACCTTTCCACGCCTCTACTTGTGCAAGTCATGATAAGATTCTGGAGGGTCACACTTGGAGAGTGGTTCTAGCTGGCTGTAGTGTTTTTTCAGGTGGAAGAGTCAAATAATCTTCTTATCTCTGTAAGGTCCAGCCTGGCTCACCTGGGCTCCATGTAAGGACTTTGGCACATACATCTTTATAGAAGTAGACTGCTGGAATCTGCCTGGAGTAAATTTTTTGCATATCTTCCTGGCAAGTCTAAATCTGTGGTACCTGATTGAGAACCCAACATTCTGGGAACAAAATATCTTCCTATGTCCCTTTTCACCAGAGACGTAATTAAGACTGGCCTGTTTTAAAAACCACATTTCAGGGAACAACATCAATGCATGTTCTGACTGAGATTTACTTGGAACTTGTATTGTTTTGAAAAATATCAAGACTTGTGGCCATATAATTAACCATTATGCATCCCCAAGTAGGATTGGAGTTCCATTTACAGAACCATGCCATTCAGATGAATTTGTCTCAGAAAAATCAGCGAATAAGGTTACCGACCACTTTTCTGTGGCTTTGTGTGGCACACTGAGGTATTATTCTGTTAGGCATCAATCTCCCTAAAGGCCCCTCTTTGAGATGCCAGTATTTTTTCTCTGTCCCTGACAATGAATTATGAGAAGAGGATTTCTGCTTACCACTTTCTATTTTTACTAACTCTCCACCTTTACATCAGGAGTTGCATTTTTTTGGTGGAGTGCAAATGAAAGCTTGCATTCCTGCTGCCTCTGGCAGAGCTGTTGTTTGGCAGAAATTCTTGCGACACAGCATATTCTATTTGCTTCAGTTACACTCAATAAACTTAAGTTTGAACATCCATCGTATGTTGGTATTATTGGGGATGCAGAGATAAGTAAGCATCACATCTCTGTCCTCCAGCAACTTCCCAACAGATATTCTCCTTCTATAGCTCAGAGTAACTCCCACTGTAGTCTCCTAGAGAAGAGAAAATTCTTCTGCTCCTCAGGCCACATCTCCTTTAATTCTCTAGTTAACTCCAAGGTGCTGCTCAAGATAGCTTAGAATTCTAATCCCCATTTCATAGATGAAGCCACTAAGGCATGAGAATTCAGCAGCACTTTGTCTGTAAGTCAACAGTGACGCTTACTATTGAATTAAACTTTCTTTGTCTATCTACCCCACTTGGCTATGGGCTTTTTGTTAAAAATCGTGCATTATGGCTGCGTGCGATGGCTCACACTGGTAATCCCAGGACTTTGGGAGGCCGAGGAGGGCAGATCACCTGAAGTTAGGAGTTCGACACCAGCCTGGCCAACATGGCAAAACCCCATCTGTACTAAAAATACAAAAATTAGCCAGGCATGGTGGTGGGCGCCTGTAATCCCAGCTACTCAAGAGGCTGAGGCAGGAGAATCACTTGAACCCTGGAGGTGGAGGCTGCAGTGAGCTGAGATCGCGCCACTGCACTCCAGCCTGGGCAACAGAGCAAGACTCCATCTCAAATAATAATAATAATAAATAATAATAATTGTGCGTGATTCATTTCAGTGTTCCCCTCAGCTGGCATGCTGTCACATAGTGGGTAGTTAACGTTAGCTTTTATTATAATTGTTATTATAGGTTGTATATTCCTTATATAAAATGCTTGGGACCAGAAGTGTTTTGGATTTTGTTTATTTTTTTTTTCAAGATTTTGGAATAATTTGCATTGTACCTACTGGTTGAGTATAACTAATCAGGAAATTGGAAATCTGAAATGCTCTAATGTGCATTTCCTTTGAGTGTCATGTCAGCACTCAGAAAGTTTCAGATTTTGGAGCATTTTGGATTTCAAATTTTCGAATTAGGAATGCTTAACTTATACTTCTGAACATCAGTTCTGAACTTATTGTGTATGTGAATCTCAGTGCTGTGTTCTTTGGTTGGTTCGTTTAAGGGAAGGTCAGTAACATGTTTGAACAAGGGGAGACTCCATTTATGCTGAGGGTCTTCTTAATCTCGCACTCTAGTCTCAACCACCATATTCTTAGCTCTGCAGGATACATGGCAGAAACCTGGGAAGATGCTGACTTCCATTCCTCCCTCTTGCCTAACATCTCCCCTTCCTCTTATTTTCCTCTGTTGAATGCAGTTCGATGGAAGGCCCACAGGTGTTCAATGCAGCCATTTTCACTTTTTTAAGGTTAAATTGCAAAAATCCCTATTATGCCACCTACTTTACTTACATTTTTTTCTTTTCAACCCTCCATCTAATATAAAATAAACCTTTAGGGTACTCACTGCATTTCAGCATTCTTTTTTCTTTATTTTCACACAGAAAAATAAAAGATATCCATCTTAATGTTTTCTTAACAAAATAGGTGAATTTGTAATTTGAGGGAATTGCCTCATTCCACCTCTTCACTGCACATTCACCATCTGAAGGATTCTGGAGGATTTTTCCCAGAGTTTCCATGCACATTCAATTCGATTCAGCAAACATTCATTAAGTGTCCACTAAATGCCAGACTCAGGGTTAGGCTGTTGGGATGCAAAGATGAATTAAATGTTGTTTCTGCCTTTGAGATGCTCATGGTCTAGATGGGGAAGCAGAGCAGCATATGCAAAGCTGTTGTGGAAAGACATTTCAAAGAAGAGTTATGAGAGAAACATGTGGCTAGAATATAGAGGACTTGTGGGAAGTGGTGGAGATCAGGGGGAGGATATAAGTTTAGGCCAAGTTGTGAAGGGACTTGAATGCCAATATAAGTTATTGGGATTTTGTCCTGATGTTTATGGGGTGACCTCTAAATGAGAAGATTAGATTTTTGTTATGTTTTGAGTCTGATGTAAAAACAGAGCTGAAATTCAAATAACATTCAATTAACTTTTAAAGTAGATAATTCAGGGGCATTTGGTGCATTCACAATGCTGTACAATGGCCGTTTTTCTCTAGTTTTAAAACTTTTTCATTACACCACAAAATACCTTACATTCATTAAGCAATCATTCTCTATTCCTCCTCCGCTAATCAGCTTTGTGTCTCTATGGATTTGCCTATTCTGAGTATTCCAAATACAAGGAATCATACAATATGTGGCCTTTTGTCTGGCTTCTTTTGCTTAGCATAATGTTTTTGAGATTCATGTATCAGGACTCCTATCAGGTATGTAGCATGTATCAGGACTTTATTCCTTTTCAGGGCTGAATAATATTTCATTGTATGTATATAATATGATTTGTTTATCCTTTCATCCATTGATGGGCATTTGGGGTTTTTCCCATCTTTTGGCTATTGTGAATAGTGCTGCTATAAATGTCCATGTACAAGTCTCTGTGTGGACATATGTTTTCATTTCTCTTATGTTCCTAGGAATGGAATTATTGGGTCAAATGAGAATTCTGTATTTAATTTTTTGAGGAGTTGCCAAACTATTTTCACAATGGCTGCACCATTTTATATTCCCACCAGCAATGTACAAACTTCCCTATTGCTCCACATTTTTGCCAAACGTGTTACTTTCCATTTTTAAAATCATAGCCCTCCTATGGAGCTTGCAGTGAGCCGAGATCGTGCCACTGCACTCCAGCCTCGGTGACAGAGTGAGACTCTGTCTCAAAAACAAAACAAAACAAAACAAAACAAAAAAAACATAGCCCTCCTAGTGAGTGTGAAGTGATATCTCCTTGTGGTTCTGATTTGCATTTCTTTCTCTTCCTTCCTTCCTTCCTTCCTTCCCTCCCTCCCTTCTTTCTTTCTCTCTTTCTCTCTTTCTTTCTTTCTCTTTCTCGATGGAGTTTTGCTCTTTGCCTAGGCTGGAGTACAATGACCCTATCTTGGCTCACAGCAACCTCCGCCTCCCGAGTTCAAGCGATTCTCCTGCCTCAGCTTCTCGAGTAGCTGGGATTACAGACACCCGCCACCACACCTGGCTAATTTTGTATTTTTAGTAGAGATGGGGTTTCAACACATTGGCCAGGCTGGTCTTGAACTCCTGGCCTCAAGTGATCCACCCGCCTCTGCCTCCCAAAGTGTGGGATTACAGTCATGAGCCACTACAACAGGACTGATTTGCATTTCTTTAGTGACCAATGTTTAACCTCTTTTTATGTGCTTGTTGGCTTTTTTTGCATACTTTCTTTGGGAAAATTCCTATTCAAATACTTTGTCTATACTGTGTTTCACTAGACAGCTTTATTGAGGCAAAATTCACATGCTATACCACTCATCCATTTAAAGTATATAATAATTCAATGATATTAATATATTGACAGGATTGTGTGACAACCCCCAGAATCTAATTAATTTTAGAATATCTTCATCACTTCAAAAAGCAATGAACTATCCACCAGCAGTCACTCCTAATCCCTCCCCATCCCTCAAGCCCTTGGCAACCACTAATCCACTTTCCATCTCTATAGCTTTGCCTATTCTCAATGTCTTATATAAATGGAATAATCTAATATGTGGTCTTTTGTGACTTGTTTCTTTCACTTAGTATAATGTTTTCAAGGTTCATTCATGTTGTACTATGATCAATTCTTCATTCCTTTTTATTGTCAAACAACAGGCCGTTGGAGGGATATACTACATTTTGTTTATCAGGTCATCAATGGATTGAAATGTGGGTTATTTATACCTTTTGGATATTGTGAATAGTGCTGCTATGACTATGATTGCATATGTATTTGTTTGAGTACCTGTTTTCAATTCTTTTGAGTATGTACCTAGGAGTGGGATTGCCAGGTCATAAGGTAACTCCATGTTCAACTTTTGAGGAACCACCAATCTGTCTTCCAAAGTGGCTCCAACATTTTACATTCCCAGTGGCAATGCATGAGAGTTTCAATTTCTCCACATCCTCTACGATTCTTGTTATTAGCCACTCTATAGTGGCTTTGTGAAGTGGTATCTTGTGGTTTTAGTTAGCATTTCCTTAATGAATGATCATTGTAAGCATCTTCTCTTGAGCTTATTGGTTATTCATATGCCTTCCTTAGAGAAATGTCTACTCTGATTCTTTGCCCATTTAAATATTGGATTAATTATCCTTTATTATTCAATTGTAGGAGTTCTCTATATATTCTGGATACATGTCTCTTGTCACATGTGTTATATGATTTCCAAATATTTTCTCCTATTCTCTGTGCGATCATTTGTCTTAATAGTATTACTTGTATTATAAAACTTTTAAACTTTGATGAAGTCAAATTTATCTATTTTCTTTTGTTGCTTACGCTTTTAGTGTCATTTCTAAGAAGGCTTTGCCTAACTCAAGGGCACAAAGATTTACCCCTATGTTTCCTTGTAAGAGTTTTATAGTTTTGACTCTCACATTTAGGTATATAATCCATTTTGAGTTAATTTTTTGTGTGTGTAATGTAAGGAAGGGAACTGGCATCATTATTTTGCATGAGTTTGATGTGTTTGGATTCTCTAATTTAAGGAAAAACTAATGATAACTTTAGTACAGGTTAGACGGAGGTGCAGAGAAGAGAAGAAAATCTCTTCTCTGAAGAGGACAGTCAAGATGATAGGATTGAGCTTTGTACTACCAGGGCCTTAGTTCAGGAATGTGATGTGACTGAAGCCAGCTCAATGAGATGCAATCTCAAGACTTGCTGGAACTATTAGAATAAAACTCTTTTTTTTTTTTGTAGGATTATTATCTGTTCTGATTACTTAAGTCTCAAGCTACCAGTCTCTTTAAGTAGACAGCTTACTGGAAAATGGGTCAATAAAACGAAAAGCAAAGCCAATAGGTGGGGTGAGACACTGAGTTTGTTAATATTGTTTGAACTTTTGAAACAATACTTGAAAATCTACTCTTAAATTTTCAGTTTTAGATTTTTTTCACTTAATTACCAAGTAAGTGCAGAATGGCACACACCTGTGTCTTGCTCCAAATACTCATCAACAATATGCACTAGAGAAAGAATACATTTATTATAGTTTCCTGATCATTCTTTGAAGTTTGACATGGTTGTTTCTTCCACTAGGAATGTCTTTTCTCTAATTTACTTGATTAACACGATCTTTCCTTCAAAAAGCGTGAAAAGGCCTCAACTCCTCTCCTAGAAGCCTTTGCTAATATAGCAAGGCAGGGTTGAAGGCCCTCCCCTCAACCCAGCCTGAGCCCCAGTAGTGTCTGTCTCATTTCATTTTAGTTTTCTGGCCCCTCAACTTTTGAGAAAGTAATGGACAGTGAACATATTTATTCATCTGTGTATTCCATGTGCCTAGACCAGGGCCTAGTACATAATGGGCAATCAGTAACTTTTGTTGAATGAATGGTAAATGCAATAGAGCCCCCATACGGTTAAATTTTATTAAGATCTCACAGTCCTCTAAATATATAACTATTTTCTCTGTGTCTAGCTTGTTCCCTCTCCCCTCGTGTTGAATTTTAAAACAGTCCTACGAGAAGACACCTAAGACTAAGAGAAGCACAACCTGATATAATAGTTTTGGTCAGTGTGGAATGCAGCTGCCTTCTTGCTTTCTGAACAAAGTGATGCCAACCAAGTATAACAGCCCTATATTCTTTCTGCTTATCAGTAGGTTTTGAGATATATATATATATGTTGGCTTTTTTGAGTCAGAAGGCCAATGACAAATAATCCCCTTTGCCTTCAGACACATTTAGCATTCTTGAGCTTACCTTGCCACTCAACAACACCCCCCATGTTTCTGGAGTTGCTGTATGGTTTAAGTCAGAGCAGTGAGCAGCTGGTGTTACTTTAATTCCTTGTGAAAACTTCTTCTCTGTTCCAACCAATATCCACGCAACCTCTGTTCTTTTAATATTTCCAATGTTAATTCAGTTTGCTTATTCTACACATGATAGATGGCTGACCTGTAAAGATTTTGAGGCAAAGGAAAGAGCACTGGAGCCAGGCAAGTAGCCTCAGTTCCTCCATTAGCTTATTATATTTGATGTCTTCGGTCCTCAATTTCTTCTCCTGAATCATGATAAGCCTGGATGGAAGAGCCCCTAGGGCCCATTGCAGTTCTCAGATTCACAGGACACTCGATGTTCCTATGGTTCTCATTGAAGTTATTTGTGATGCTGGATAGAGGCTGAGGGAATTTGGCCTTCTAACTTTTGGTAACATGTTCCCAGGAGGTATGCACTGTTAATTGTGCTGTTAATTGAAGAGAAAACATTGGCATTAAAAAGAGAGTTCCTTTTTACTTAGGAAAATCTGTCTTTACTTTCCCCCTTTTTGTTTTTATCTCTTTAAATCCCATGTTGTGACCATTTTATGGAACCGCCCAAATAATCAAAGTGGGCCCTGTAAACTGCCTCATTTCTTAAAAGAAGGCAATACACTGCCTAGTCTCTAAGACTTTACATAGCTGGGTTGTACAGTCAGAATAGGCCAAATACTATACTAAATAATCTTCAAATTTCAGTGTTTTAACACAATGAAGATGCATTCTCACTGATATCATAATCCAGTGAGAGGTGGCAGGGGCGAAGTGTGGGGATGGATGGGGACGTGAAGGTGTCAGAGAAGCTGTTTCCACCATGTTCCAGGACTTCAAAGTCTTTCACTGGGTCTTTTGGTTCCACCAGCAGATGCAGGAAGACAGGAGAAGGGTGAATGGTTTTGTGGCCACACGAGGGAAGTTTAACTGTACACCGAAGACAAAGAGGAAATGAGTTTAGTAATCTCTGCTGGGTCACCTAGGTATGGCAGAAACATGCACAGGGAGATGTTTATACAATAAGGTAATGATACAGAGAGACATTATTATACACATAGACTGAAAAGACTCATGAGACTGGAGGGCCACAAAGAAGGGCCAGGTGGTGATTCTGAGTTCAGAGAGGGGACTTAATGCAACCCCTCTTGTTTTATAGCCAAGGAAATTATACCCAGGTAAGGAAATTATGACCCAGGTAAGTAAAGTGGCTGCTCAAGGTCACCACAAATTAACTGCTTATCTGAAATGAGAACTCGTTGGTCAGCATACTTCCTGGCATTCATGTAGTAGAATCACAGGTGCCAGCATTCTTTGGAGAAAAGCCTACTTGGCTCTGGTTTAAGACCAAAGTGAAATATCAACCTTAATTTTTTTTTTTAAATGGAACTGGTCTAAAAACCATGGAAGATTTTAAAATTCTGAATAACTGTTGAAAGTCACCAAATGTGTAAGAGCACAGGGTAGGCATTTAATTAGAGAGAAGAGACAGAGACACACATAGAGAGAGAGAGCCACTAAGAAAGAGTCAAAGATCTGTTAAAGAAATATCCTTTTGATAGTAAACCTGACCTATTGGTTTTGCTGGCTCTAGGGGTCTATAAATTTTACTTCCTGTTTTTTTAGTTCTAAGGAGAAGAAGTCCCTACACAAATATTGAGAAAGATAAAGGCTGTCTTTGGGCCCTTTGCCCCTGTGATGGTATTCCTCTTCTAACATTCAAGTTGTACCAATGTCTCCCATCCCTCTCACCAGATAGCAATGCCTTCATTCCATTCCCTTGTCAATCTGATCACTCCATTTTCCATCCCCAAAGAGACTATTATAGTTATGTGTAAAGTGCTGATTACATACATTCATTGTCTCCTTTAGAACTCACATAAACTTCAGGAGCGAAGTTTTAGTATACCAATTTTATAGATGAGAAAAAGACCAATAGATAGAGCTACCAATTACTGAATACCTGCTATGTTCCAGATGCTTTATATACTCTATCACAATTTATACGGCAATCTTGCAAAATATTATTATATCACTTCCCTTTAAAATATGAGGAATCAATATCAGAAGGGTTAAATAATTTTGCCGAGATCACCAAGCTGGCAAGATAGAGACAGATTTTAAACTTGGGTTTATTTGATTTTAAAACCTATGTTTTCCATGATGCCAAATAATAACAATGATGATTTTATTATTATTTGTAATCATTTTTACTGTTATTAAGTTTTTATTTTATAGTCTTTCCAGAGAAAATTCACATTCTCTGATGGGATTCTTAGAGGTGCAATGCTTTAAACATTATGAATAAATGTGGTAGTTCAATTTATCAGTTAGGGTACTTTTAGCTGGAAGTTAAAAACAAACAAACAAAGATAAATGGTATAAAAAACAAGTAAACAAGGCTATTTATTTGTCCCTTAAGGAGAAATGCAGAGCTAGAGGAATTCTAAAGCTGGGTAATTCAGTGTCTCAGTGATGCTACCAAGAACCCAGTATCCATCCTTTCTGTTCTGTCATCTACAGTAATTTGCTTTATCCTCTTAGGCTGGTTCCCATGATGGTACCAGATGGCTCTCTCATTGCAGGTATCTTAAGCAGGTGACAACATCCAGAAACAGAAAATAAAACTGCTAGACTTGTGTTCATTTTTAGGAGTGAGAAAACCTTCCTAGAGCCTCACCGACAGACTTTCCTTGACATCACTTCAGCCAAAATTAGATCACATGCCCATGCCTAAACAAATCACTTTCCAAGGGGAATGGAGTTGCCATGTTTGACTAAACCACTTAAGGATTTAATGTCCTTTGAAATAATTGACTTCTCAATATTTTAGCAAGCTTCAGTTTCTGTTAGGAAGAAGGTTCAAGGCAAATTCTTGTGGGTAAGAAGCAATAGTGATGATCACATTCAGGCACCAAGACTCGGTGGGATAAGGATGGAGGTAGAAACTTTCAGGTTCACACAGAGGTCTTGCCTTCTCATGAGCCCAGACCCATTATGAGTCATGTTATAGAAGTAAATACTGTAAGTGTTTGGGGAAGAATTTTCACATCGTCCCAAAGTGTTATTTTGAAATTACAAAGATTCTCAGTTGACTGACTAGAAAAAATATGAAAAAAAAAGCCAACTTCTGACTCAATAAGGGCCACTTATGTTACTATGCTGTGAACTAATTGGTCTCAAATAACTTTAGAGCCATTTAGTTCAATTCCCAGATCTTTTGTTATAATGCTTGTCTTCCTTCTACAATGTCTTTTCCGCTTGATTATGTTACCTCTGCTACACATTTTGTGGCAAGGGGCTTACTACTTGTCAGGCCTCTGAGCCCAAACTAAGCCATCATAACTCCTGTGACATGCAAGTATACATCCAGATGGCCTGAAACAACTGAAGAACCACAAAAGAAGTGAAATAGCCAGTTCCTGCCTTAACTGATGACATTTCACTATTGTGATTTGTTCCTGCCCCACCCTAACTGATCAACTGACCATGTGACATTCCTTCTCCTGGACAATGAGTCTCAGGAGCTCCACACCGAGCACCTTGTGACCCCTGCCTCTGCCCACAAGAGAAAAGCCCCTTTAACTGTGATTTTCCACTACCTACCCAAATCCTATAAAACTGCCCTACCCCTATCTCCCTTTGCTGACCCCTTTTTCAGACTCAGTCCTCCTGCACCCAGTAATTAAAAAGCTTTATTGCTCACACAAAGCCTGTTTGGTGGTCTCTTCACACAGATGTGCAGAACACTACTTACACTCTATTATCTTTGAGGGCAATTACTTTTGTTACAAAGTTATTTCTCATTTTAAACTGAAGTTGCTAACTTTAAATAAGTATATATTTTACATAGACACAAATGTGCTGTGTAGAAAAAGCAGGTTTTGGAGTCAGACAGAGTAAGGTTAGTATCTCAGGTTTTCCAATAACTGGTTAGAGGGTTGGGAGCCAGACAATTGGCCTTAAATCTCAAATATGCTATTTATCAGTATGTAACCTTAGGAAAGCACTTAATTCATCCCTTTATCCCTCCATGACCCAGTTTTTGTAGCTGCAAAATAAATCCTATAGTGGTATCTCCTTAATGAGGTTAAGTCAGTCAATACATGTAAAGTCTTAGTGCTGGAGACAATAAATATTTCTTATTACTACCAAAACTAGCTGTGAGGACATATGAAAATGGTTTGAACTCTTTGGTACTCAAGAAAATTGATATAATCGTAACATACTTTTGAGGTTCAGTATAATGATTAAGTGCACAACAAACATTAGCTATTGATATCATTATTATTTCACAAACTCAATTGTTGATGCAGCTAATGGGATGGGGGATAGTGGAGAATACAATTATTCCAGAGCTTTCCGTATGTATTTTCTTTCTTTCCTAGCCAGAAATTCAAATGTCTACTTTTCCTCTCCCAAGATGTAAGTCATATCCACAAAGACCAGCCAGCACAGTGGGCAGGGAGTTCTAAATGTCTTGTGGACCTGTGGACCTATTTCCTGCTTATCTTTGCTTTGGCTGGTGCCACTTTTTCAGTTCAATTTGCAGTTTGAAGTCATGCAAATTGTATTTTAAGTGAATTAACCTAAGTAAAAGTTTGATGACTTCTGCCTCTAAACATGCTTTGCCTAAATCACTTATTTTTGCCCTTCAAAAGATAAACTGAATTGCTTATGAAATATGGCGTATGTCACATTCAATCAAAACACTGATCCATTCAATCTAACCCTCTCTTCCTGCTGCCATCTCAAGGTATGGATTGCATAAGAATTTTGTGGCATAAATTTGAAAACAAAACCAAAAACAGTTCTCCATTTTCTTTTATGGATTCTCCATTATGGATTAGCCTTAATGTTTCTTGAATTTCTGTTAGGGAACATCAAGGTCTGTGTCTAGTTCTTGGGATCAAGCTTGTGTTTTCACTAAGGTCTTGTAGCTGCTGACCTATTTCCCAGCCTCCTCCTTAGCTGACCTAAGAGGCCTGCTCTATACAATGGCTGCTCTCAGCTTTGTGGGATCTCTTCTTTTAATCTTTGGTATGCTTGAACACTAAATAATGTATTCAGATGCTGCCTGCCCAGGAAAGATGTCCACACTTTTTTCTCTTAATGCATAACTTCCTGATACCAAAGAAACCTATTTATCGAAGGAGCCAGAAATTCAGAAGCTACACTGAACTATTCTTACTTGGGAACCAAGTGTAAAATCTGACGAGTTGACTCCTACTTTTATTTTAGCTGGGCTGGGGCGTCTGTATAAACAGCCTTTCTTATGACAATTTGGCAGTGCGACTTTTGGTCAGGAAGAGAATCAACAAATGCTTTTATTTCTCAGTCTCCATCCTTATCCCCCCTCCCCTTTACTGACCTTTGTTTGAACCAAGACTAGAGTTTTATTGGGGCTTTGTTTTGTGTCTTGGGCAAGAGTTTTGGATCAGCCGAGGTCAGATCTCATTTTATCTAAATCAGTTTGCCCTCCCCCAATCTCAAGGGAAAAACTTCAACAAAAATACATTTACACGTTAGTCTTAGTTTTCATTGAGTTCCGTCTTGGCAAAGGAGGCCAGATTCTTATCCCTAGAGGCACTTAGCCTCTTAAACAATGTTTTATTAATTTTTTTCAAACAACCTCTACTCAATCATAAATAAATTGGCTCTCCTGCTTCTGATTCTGACTCCAGAGGCTTGTGGACTTTTGACGTTTTCTGTAATTTTTAATCTAGACATTGTCTCCCACATATAGCAAGAAGCAACATTATAGAATAGAGAATAGAGGATTGGCGGTCAAGAAACCTGGGTTCTAGTTCTGACTGTGCCACTATGCATAACTTTGGGCAAATTTTTAAATCCTAGGCTTCTCATCTCAGTAATAGAGGACTGGATAATATTTACAGTTTCTGTGGACTATAAGATTTTATGATTGGATTGAGAGGAACTGAGTGGAAATCCAGGACCCCAAAAGTAAATCAAAAGGCATTGGACTTACGTCAGAATTCACAATTTTATTAATTTTTTAAAAAGATTTACTATTATTATTATTATTTAGAGATGAGATCTCACTATGTTGCTCAGGTTGGAGTGCAGTGGCTATTCACAGGTGTGATCATAGCTCACTGCACTATTCAACTCTCAGCCTCAAGCGATCCTCCCATCTCAGCCTCCCAAGTCAGGTGCACCACTGAGCCCAGCTAGAGCACACAATTATCTGCATGGTTAATTAAGCCAGAGGTACTCCTTGAGCTCCCAGATTAGGGTAATGTGAGGAGCAATAGAGAATTTTTGGCATGTCAGACCTGGAAGGGCCAATAGAGGCTATCATATCTAACCCATTTCTTTAATAGATGAGGAAACTGAGGCATGAAGAGGAGCAGAGGCTTTCCTAAATTTGGTTAAAAAAGCCTCCATGGATTTTCTCTTCATCGCTTTCACTTCATACTACTTTGCCTCTTTATACTACTATTCAGAGGTATTCTTTATAATAAATGTTGTTAGTATTGTGTTTTGAATAATTCTAGTTTTGAAAAACTCTGTCAAAGGCAAACCCATTAGGCCATTCTCTCTTCCGCATTAGGACTGTAACCATAAGCCAAGGGGCAGTGTGTTGGTTGACACAGTGTACATACATCCCCACATCCCAGTAGTTTAAACACATAAGAGAGGAATTTAAAGTACACCTGTGTGAGGCCATGTGAATTTCCTCTTTCATCCCTTTTTTTGGTTCCATATATACCGATTATCCAGTATATTGAAGCCTGAAAAATACTTTGTTGTCACAGTTTTCCAAAGACTACCTTTATCCAAGGTATCTGGGTAGCTGAAGTCCAAATTTATTTCAGAAAATTGAATAATCAGGATTGCTAGCTGTGGGAAGTTTATATACTACATTAAAGAAGATAGATTTGGTTTTGTACACATCTCCTCTCACCCCCAAACTTTATGTGTTTCCAATATTCCTCAGACAATAAGGACTACACATTTCATTTTAGCAGGAGTCATATTTAAGTTCAGAGTTTGCCAGCAGATATTTTCTACCCTTCATGATCTTACCTTGTTTATTACACATTTGAGAAGATGAAAAGGATCAAATACATGAGTTTTTTCAGACAATTAGTATCTATATTTTAAAAAGCACAATCCTAGTTTTAAATTGATAATATTTGGCAAGATACTTGATTTTATACATAGATATATATATTTAACTCAAGTAGTTTATAGATGTTTTCACATCATTTGAATGATCAAGCTTCATTATGAACATCAATTATTGTACAGTTCCTGATAATACAGTGATTACCCTAGGGGCTACTAAAGGGCATGGGCCATCAAATGACCCCAGCAAGTACACATTGGTATTCTGGGGGCAGTGGTGGTATAAATGATATGTCACCTATGAGGTCCTATCATGAATAGTGTGATAATTTTTGGTAGCCTCTCATGCACCTGAGAACATACTGCTTTGGGCTTTAAACCAGATAAGCAAATTTGTTATAACTGTGGGAAGAATCAGAGAGATAAGAATCTGAGAGAGGCTTGTTGGACTTTAGTGCATGGAATTTTACTGCTCAAAGATCTCTGCTATTTACTCTAGCAATAACTAGCTTCCAGGAGGAATTTTCTCTAGGGTTTACAACCATGTATTAGTTTCCTAATTGGAATTTTGGATCAGTTTGTTTACATTCTTCTAAATAAAAACTTGAGTCATTCTTGGAACTAGACAAGTTATAAATTATGAATGATTGAGTAAATAATTAAGTAAACAGAATTTAGATATACACAGTAGATTCTCTTACAATTCATTTTATTTCTAGGAGACAGCATAGTATGCTGTTAAGGAGAACAAGCTTTGGAGCCAAAGCAACTTAGATTTGAATCCAAGTTTACCACTTTTTAGCTCTACAACTTGAGTAATTCCTTTAACTCCTATTTTCTTCACCTATAAAATGCATATGATAATAATACCTACCTCTTATTTTTTGTGAATGTTAAATGTGATAATGCATGCAAAACCCTTAGTACAGGGCCTGGCACATAGCAAATGATCAATAAATATTAAATTGTATTTTAAGGCACACCTTCCTCTTTATCTTCCAAATGTCTCTAACCTTTTTTGTCATTCAGGATTGGCTGACTGCTATAATGAACACCATTTAAATTTCAGGGGCTTAGCATAACAGAAGTTTATTTCTAACCTATCTAAAGTCCAGTCAATAGTGAGTAGGGTATAAGCTCTGTGTTCCACACAATCATTCAGAGACCCAGGCTCCTCCCAGCATGGTTCTCCATTACTGCCTTGAATGGAAAGCAGCAAATGATGGCCCATGGGCCAAATTGGCCTGTTCCAGCTTTTTTTTTTTCCTTTTTTTTACAGCCCATGAGCCAAAAATGGTTTTTATCTGTTTAAATGGCTGTGTTTTTAAATGGTTATAAAATAACACATAATATCCTTGATTTTGCTTCTTAGTCTACAAAGCCTAAAATATTTACCATCTTGCCCTTAAGAAAAGGTTTGCCAAGTCCTTTCCTAGGGCCCTACAGCAGAATTGTCTGCTAGGTTCTTGGCTTTGGGCTGTCAAATGAAGGAAGGCAAGAAGTAGAGGATCACACGGGAGATTTTTGTAGGTTCATTCTGTAAATGGCATGCATTATTCTCACCACATGGCTTTGGCCAGAAAGCAGCCAAAGGCATCTTTGCCTAGGAAGGCAAGGAGATGTGATCTAGTGTATGCTCAGGAGAAAACATAGTGGATTTTAGTGATGACAAGGCAGTACTACCATACCATTGTCAAAATAAACAGAAACTTAGCAATTCTTCCAATCAACACCCTGTTGCATACCTAAAATTTATACTTTCCTTGTATCTGTATTTTGCCTTAACCAACCACTGTCTCCTTTTTAACTATAGATGACTTAAATTTATTTATGCATTAGTAATTTATAAGTGTTTCACTCATTAGTTCAATACATATTTACTGAGAAACTATTATGCACTCTATTACGCTTTTATCTAATTTTTTTCAGGCCATCCAATATAAGGATGCCAATTTACTCTTGATTTCAAAGTGTCTGTATCTGCTTACCTCTCTCTGTCTGCTTCTTTCCACTATCTTAGAGGATAAAGAATCTCCCCCATTTTCTTAGGCTTGTGCATTTAATCACATGCCCTTTTATCTCTGTTAGACCTAGTCGTATCAATTATTCATTTTCTTTTCACGTTCCACTCTGAATGACTCTACCTAAAATTATGACTTAGTATCCTCCATTCTAGAAAACCAAACTCTTCTCCTGATCCTACTTCCCGTTACAAAAAAATCCTGTTTTTCTTTTTCCTTTCTCACCATTTTTTTTTTCAGAAAAGCTGCTTTGTGTATTTTACCACAAATTAATATTTTAATCTCCAGTAATCTAATTACTCCTCTCCCCTTCTGAACATGGTTCTTTTTAAATTTTATTTTATTTTATTTTAAGTTCTGAGGTATATGTGCAGGACCTGCAGGTTTGTTACATAGGTAAATGTGTGCCATGGTGGTTTGCTGCACCTATCAACCTATCACTTGTGTATTAAGCCCAGCATGCATTAGCTGTTTTTCCTGATGCTCTCCCTCCCGCTGAACCCCCTTCCTCAACAGGCCCCAGTGTGTGTCGTTCCCTCTCTGTGTCCATGTGTTCTCATTCTCATTGTTCAGTTCCCACTTATGAGTGAGAACATGTGGTGTTTGGTTTTCTTTTCCTGTGTTAGTTTGCTGATGATAATGGCTTCCAGCTCCATTCATGTCCCTGCAAGTACATTATCTCATTCCTTTTTATGGCTGCATAATATTCCTGTAATATGCTTATGCCCTGAATGGTATTGCCTCAATTTTCTTCTAGGGTTTCCTTAATCCAGTCTATCATTATGGACATTTGGGTTGATTCCATGTCTTTGCTATTGTGAATAGTACTGCAATGAACATACTTGTGCATGTGTCCTTACAATAGAATGATTTGTATTCCTTTGGGTATATATCTAGTAATGGGATTGCTGGGTCAAATAGTATTTCTGCTTCTAGATCTTTGAGGAATTATCACATTGTCTTTCACAATGGTTGAACTAATTTACATTCCCACCAACAGTGTAAAAGCATTCCTATCTCTCCACAGCTTCACCAGCATCTGTTGTGTCTTGACTTTTTAGTAAGCACCATCTGACTAGAGTGAGATAGTATATCATTGTGGTTTTGATTTACATTTCTCTAATGGTCATTGATGCTGAGGTTTTTTAAATATGTTTTTAGGCCACGTAATTGTCTTCTTTTGAGAAATGTCTGTTCATGTCCTTTGACTACTTTTTAATGGGGTTGTTCATATTTTTTGTGTGTAAGTTTGTTTAAGCTCCTTGTAGACTCTGAATATTAGACCTTTGTCAGATGGATAGATTGGAAAAATTTTCTCTCATTCTGTAGGTTGTCTGTTTGCTCTGATGATAGTTTCCTTTGCTGTGCAGAAGCTCTTTAGTTTAATTAGATCCCATTTGTCAAATTTTGCTTTTGTTGCAATTGGTTTTGACATTTTTGTCATGAAATCTTTGCCTGTGCCTATGCCCTGAATGGTATTGCCTAGATTTTCTTCTAAGGTTTTTATAGTTTTGGGTTTTACATTGAAGTCTTTAACCCATCTTGAGTTAGTTTTTGTATAAGGTGTAAGGGAGGGGTCCAGTTTCAATTTTCTGCATATGGCTAGAACATGGTTGTTTAAAAAATTTTTTTTCTTCATTTCCTATAAAAAAAAAAAAACAGGATACATGTGCAGAACGTGCAGGTTTGTTACATAGGTATACGTGTGCCATGGTGGTTTGCTGCACCTATTGACCTGTCCTCTAACTTCCCTTCCCTCATACCTCACCCAACAGGCCCTGGCATGTGTTGTCCCCCTCTCTGCGTCCATGTGTTCTCATTGTTCAACTCCCACTTATGAGTGAAAACATGTGGTGTTTGGTTTTCTGTTCCTTTCTTAGTTTGCCTAGGATGATGGCTTCCAGCTTCATCCATGTCCCTGCAAAGGACATGACCTCATTCCTTTGTATGGCTGCATAGTATTCCAGAACATGGTTTTTCTTTAATGGTAATCCTTGACTTAATAATTACTAAAGCAAGTTACTTTTTCTTATTGTTTATTCCTCCTGATCTCTACCTTCAAATTTTTAAAATTAATATAATAAAATAAACCAAATAAATTCTAAGTATCTTTATAATATATCCCAATTTCTGGTGGTATAAGTGTTCAACTTTGTTCATCTTTAAGATTATTTTGGCTATTCTTGAATCTCCATATAGATTTTAAAATTAGCTTGTCAATTTACACACACACAGACACACACACATACACACAAACTGCTTGAGATTTTTATTTTAATTGAGATTGTACTAAACATGCAGATCAGTTTATAAAAAATACACATCTTTACAATACTAAATTTTCTAATCTATGAATATGGTATATCTGTTTTTTTTTTTTTTTTTTTATAGGGAGTCTCACTCTGTCGCGCAGGCTGGAGTGCAGTGGCACAATCTTGGCTCACTGCAACCTCTGTCTCCCAGGTTCAAGTGATCGATTTTCCTGCCTCAGCCTCCCGAGTAGCTGTGACTATCTTTTTCTTTATGTAAATTTTCTGTAATTGATCTTGGCAATATAGACTTATTCCTAGGTAATTGCTGCTTTCACAGTTATTTTGTAAATCTTTGTTTTCTAATTTTTTGTTGTTGATATAAAGAAATTAAACATATTTTTATATATTCATTTTATATCCAATAGACTTGATAAATTAATATTTAATTCTAATCTTTTATCTGAGATTCTTTTTTTTTTTTTGGAGATGGAGTCTCACTCTGTTGCCCAGGCTGGAGTGCAGTGGCACGATCTTGGCTCACTGCAAGCTCCACCTCCTGGGTTCACGCCATTCTCCTGCCTCAGCCTCCTGAGTAGCTGAGACTACAGGCACCCACCACCACACCTGGCTAACTTTTTATATTTTTAGTACAGACGGGGTTTCACCGTGTTAACCAGGATGGTCTTGATCTCCTGACCTCATGATCTGCCCGCCTCGGCCTCCCAAAGTGCTGGGATTACAGGTGTGAGCCACCGTGCCTGGTCTATCTGAGATTCTTTTGGATTTTCTATACACATGATCATAACGTCTCTGAAAAACAAGGGTTTTCTTTCTTTCTTTGTCTTTTTTCTTGTCTTATTGTACTAATGAAGGCATTCAACACAATGTTGAAATGGTGATGGTAAGCTCTTTGAAGTTTTTTTTTAAATCATGAATGGTGTTGAATTTTGTTAAGTAACATTTCTGCATCTATTGTGATAATTATAATATTTTCTCCCTTTTTTCTATTATTATTGGGAAACAAATTGGTTGATTTATATATATAAGTCAACTTTGTTTCCCAGGATTAAACATAACTTGGATATAAAAATCTTATTTTTATACAATATTTAATAGCATTTTATTTGGAACTTTTGTATCTAAATTTATAATTGACTGATATGTTTCTTTTCTTGCAATATCTTTGCCAGGTTATAGTATCAATATTATACTGGGAATATAAAAAATTGGGATGTGGTCACTCTTTTCCTATTTTCCTGAAGAGTTTATGTAACATTAGTAGTATTTCTTTTGTAATTAATAAATTTTATTCTTAGAGTACTTTCATGTTTACAGCAAAATTGAGTGGAAAGTACAGACAGTGCTCATGTTCCTCACATGCACAACCTTCCCCACTATTGAAATCACATCTAGAGTGGTATCTTTGCTATAACTGATGAACCTACATTGACATATCATTATTGCCCAAAGTCTATGGTTCACTTTTGATGTTGTACATTCCATGGGCTTTGACAAATGTATAATGACATGTATCTGCCATTGTAGTATCATACAGAATAGTTTCACTGTCCTAAAAACCTCTGTGCTTTGTCTATTCATTCCTTTCTTCCTCCTAACCCCTGGCAACCACTAACTTTTAATTGTTTTTATAATTTTGCTAATGTTATATGGTTGAAATCATACAGGACATAGCACTTTGAGATTGACTTCTTTCAGTTAATAATTTGCATTTAAGTTTCTTCCATTTTTTTCGTGGCTTCATAGTTCATTTCTTGAGTACTGAATAATATTCCACGGTTTGGATGTATCACAGTTTACTTAACTATTCATCCACTAAAGAAAATCTTGGTTGCTTTCAGGTTTTGGCAATTAGGAATAAAGCTAATAAAAACACCCTGTGTGCAGGTTTTTGTGTTAACATAAGTATTCAATTCATGTGGGTAAATACCAGAGCGTGAGTGTTGGATCATAGGATAAGAGTGGGACTAATTTTGTAAGAAATTGACAACCCTCTTCCTAAGTGGTTGTATCAGTTTGCATTCCCATCAGCAATAAATGAGTTTCTGTTGTTCTACATCCTCACCAGTATTTGGTATTGAAGGTGTTTTTGAATTTTGGCCATTCTAATAGGTGTGTAATGGTATTTTATTTTTTAATTTACAATTCCCTACAGACATATGATGTTGAACATCTTTTCATATGCTTACTTGCCTTCTGTTTATCTTCTTTGGTGAGATGTCTGTTATGGTCTTTGGCCCATTTTAATATCTGGTGGTTTGTTTCTTATTCTTGAGTTCTAAGAGTTCTTCATAAATTTTGAATAACAATTCTTTACCAGATTTGTCTTTTGCAGCTATTTTTCTCCCATCCTGTGGCTTTTCTTCTTATTCTATTGACATTGTCTTCTGCAGAGCAGAAGTTTTTACTTTTAATAAAGTCCAGCATACCAATTATTTCTTTCATGGACCATACCTTTGGTGTTGTATCTAAAAAGTCATTGCCATACTCAAGGTTATCTATATTTTCTCCTCTATTATCTTCTAAGAGTTTTGTAACTTTGTGGTTTACATTTAGGTCTGTGATCCATTTTGAGTAAATTTTTGTGAAGGGTGTAAGGTCTGTGTCTAGGTTCATTTTTTCTTTGCATGTGGATGTCCAGTTATTACACCACCACTTATTGAAAACACTGTCTTTAAAAAAAAGATATTAACAGTTTACATAGAAAATGCAAGTGGATTAATATGTAAAAAAATTAACTTCATTAGTAGTTGAGTGTAATCTTAAAAAATAAGGTATGCTTTGTACCTACCAAAATAGCAAACATTTCAAATATTTTTTGAGGATATACTGCAACAATTACTTGTAGAAGGGTAAATGTCTCTAACTTCTCTGGTCAGAAATTTATCAATAAATACAGACTCTTAAACACTTCCAAAGAAAAAGAAAGAAAGAAAGAAAACACTGTCTTTGTTCCATTTCATTGCTTTTGCTCCTTTGTCGAAGATCAGTGACTATACTTATATGAGACTCTATTTGTGTGCTTTCTATTCTTGTCTACTGATTTGTCTCTTGTTATGTGAATAACACACTATCTTAATTACTACAGGTATATAGTAAGTCTTGAAGTAGGGTAGTGTGTCAGTCCTCTAGCATTCTCTTCTCCTTTCAACATTGAATTGGCTCTTCCAGGTCTTTTGCCTCTTTACATAAATTTTGCCTCTTCATATAAACTTTAAACTTCACATAAACTTTAGTTTATCAATAGCCACCCAAATAACTTGCTGAGATTTTGATTGGGGTTGCACTGAAGCTATACATCAAGTCAGAAAGAACTGGCATCTTGAAAATATTGACTCTTCCTATCCATAAACATGGACTATTTCACCATTTATTTAATTATTTGATACCTTTCATCAGAGTTTTGTAGTTTTCCTCATAGAAATCTTGTACATATTTTATCGGATTTATAACTAAGTATTTAATTTTGAGGGGTGCTAAGTAAATGATAATATGTGTTTAATTTTAAATTCCACTTATTAATTGCTAGTATTTAGGAAAGCGATTGAGTTTTATATATTAACCTTGTATCCTCCAACCTTGCTATGATTACTGATTATTTTCAGGAGGCTTTTTTTTTTGTTTCTTTGTTTTTGTTTTGAGATGGAGTCTCGCTCTGTCGCCTAGGCTGGAGTGCAGTGGCGTGATCTCGGCTCACGACAACCTCCGCCTCCAGGATTCAAGTTATTCTCCTGCCTCAGCCTCCCTACTAGCTGGGATTACAGGCTTCCACCACCGCATCCAGCTAATTTTTGTATTTTTAATAGAGAAGGGATTTTGCCATATTGGCCAGGCTGGTCACGAACTCCTGACCTCAAGTGATCTGCCCACCTCGGCCTCCCAAAGTGGTGGGATTACAGGCATGAGCCACTGCACCTAGCCTCAGGAGGTTTTCTCTTTTTTTGTCAATTCTTTTGGATGATGGATAGAGAATGATGTCATCTGCAAACAAAGACAGTCTTATTTATTCCTTCCCGGTCTGTATGCTTTTTATTTTTTCTTCTTGCCTTCTTGCATTAGCTAGGACTTGTAGTATAATGTTGAAAACACATGGTAAGAGAGGCTCTGATAAAATATTTTCTCCTGAGGGTGGGCCTTATTGAGAACAGAATGCTCTGGCATATTTCAAAATGGTTACTTTTCTCTTCCTTCTTCTGGAAGCACAAGGGGACTTTTCTCCAATATTCACTGTAATGACCTGTAGAGCTCCGGGAGTTAAAACTCAAAAAAGCCTGGGTTCCCCTGAAGTTTTAAGCTCTTGTCCATACTGAGCCTCCAGCAATTTGTCAGTTATAGTTTTGGTTGTTTTTGTTTTTGTTTTTCTGCCCTAGAACTTGTTCCCATGGAGGTTTCTGCTCCAGGAAGTTATAATTCTTTGTTTCCACCTGTCTGTCTCTCCAAACTGAGGGACAGTGGTTTGCCCTGTGACTTTATATCTCTGATGAATCTAGGAAAAGTTTTTGATTTTTCACTTTGTTCATCATTTTACTTGTTAGGATGAAGTGGAAACTTTAAATCTTCTTACATGCCAGACTAGAAACCAGAAGTCTGTATTATTTTAACGTTTTAGAAGAACTCCCACTGAAGTCATATGGGCCTGGAGATTTCTTTGTGAAAAAGGTTTTAAATTACAGATTCATTTCTTAATTGTTGTAAGATTATTCTGGCTTTCTATTTTTTCTTGTGTCAGTTTTTGTAAGTTATATTTTTCTAAAAATTTGTCTATTTCATCTAAATTTTTAAATCACAATTATCATAAATTGACAATAAAGTCCTCATACTTGTACTATGTGTAGGACCCTCGGTGATATCTCCTGTTTTCTTTCTTGATATTGGCAATTTATTTTTTTCTCTCTTTTTTTCTTCATCAGTCTTACTAGGAACTTATCAATATTGTTAGACTTCTCTAAGAACCAACTTTTGACTATGGCTGATGATCTCTTTTGAACCCTTCACTATATCATTATTTCCTGACTTTATAATTTCTTTCCTTCTACTTCCTTTAATTTAATTTGCTGTTCTTTTGCTATCTTTTTGAGAGGCTATTTAGATGTTGGTTTTTAGCCTTTCTTTTTCCAATTATACGCATTTTAGAACTTTAAATTTATCTCTAGTATTGCTTTGGTTGTATCTCACAAATTTATATCTTCAAAATTATTAATTTTATAATGCTTAAGAATTTTTAAAAAGAGATGTCTTTTTTGAACTAAGGGTTATTTTGAATAATATTTCTTAATTCCTATATACATTTGAGAAACTTCTAATTATCTTTCTGCTATTTTTTTCTAGCTTAATTTCACTATGACCTGAGAAGTATACCCTGAATTATTACAGTCCTTTGACTTTTTAAAAAATGCATTTTATGAACCAACATATGGTCAATTTTGGCTAAGGTTCTATGTATGCTTATAAAAATATGTATTCTGATATTGTTCATATATCTATATCTCTATATATTTATAGATACCTCTATATAGAGCTATTATCTCTATGAATCCATATATCTATATCTCCAAGTTTTTAATCATGTTTTTTAAATCTTCTCTATACTTACTGATATTTTTGTCTGTTTATTCCATTCATTTCTGAGATAACATTGTTAAGTACTCCTCTATGATTGTATCTTTGTCTATTTCTCCTTTTACTTTTGTCAGTTTTTTCTTCATACATTTTAAACTTATATTAGTGGTGCATATAATTTTATAATTATTATATCTTCCTGATGGGTTGACCATTTGGCACTTCAAAATATTCTTTTTTAAACTCCAGTATTCTTTTAGGTTTCAAGTCTACTTTATCTGATATTGTTACAGTTTCAGGTGCTTTCTTTTGGTTAGTGTTTACAAAACATATTATTTTTCATGCTTTTACTTTCAATCATTTTGTGTCTTTATTTAAGTTGTAGCTCTTATAAAGAACATAGAATCATGTTTATTTTATTCATCCAGTGTGATAATTTTCAGTTTTAATTGAAATATTAACTTGTGTACATTTAGTATAATTTAGGGTAACCTGGAGGTTGGAGGAGGAGAAAAACCAAAATGTCTTCATTTCATTTTCATTTTGGGATGATGTATTTACTGGCATAGAATTATGGATCAGCAGTTATTTTCTTTCAATGTTTTCAATATGGCATCCATTGCTTTTGTTGAGAAGTTAGCTCTCAGTTTTATTATTGCTTCTTAAAATGGATTATATTTTTATTCTCTGGCTTTTAATATTTTCTCTAATCTCTGGTTTTCATTAGTTTTAATACGATGCATGTGTGTGTGTGTGTGTTTGTGTGTGTGTGTATATTTATCCTGCAGTGGTTCCTGAAAGTGTGCTTTCAGTCTTGTCACCTTGTCCCTTTGAGTCCATCCTGTAGATTGAAAATCTAACATGTTATTAACTTTAAAATTTTTCATATGTATATAAGATAAATCCCAGGCTCCTTGTGCAAGTCTATAAAGGCTTCATGACCTAACTTCACCTACATTTTCACCCTTATTTCCTGAATCTAGGCTTCCCTGTAACCAAAAATGAAGTGCATCTTTCGTACCTCTACATCTTTGCTTTTGCCGTACTCTGTCTGGAATATTCCTCCCTATTCCTAACCACACACATATCTTCATTCAGATAGCTCCTTAGCTCCTTCAAAATTTATTTTAGACATCAGCTTCTCCAGGAAACTTCTCTGTGGCCTCAGACTGGACTGCACATATAACACCTGCACAGACCTCCATTTTAACTCTTCCTGCTCTATACTTCAGTTGCCTTTTTAGGTAACAATCTCCCCACTGACTACACTAAATACCAAGCTACTCAGAATTATTCATAATTAGCTACTCATTAAATTATTCATAAATTAATGCCTGGTGCTTAATCCAATGCCTGTCACATTGCAAATAAATGTTTATAAATAAGTTAGATAAAATCAAAATAAGTAGGCCCCAATGAATATCTATTTTTCCTCATTTAATAAGTTCTTTCTGGGAACCAGACACTAAGCTAACTGCTTGACACTTGTTACATCCTTTACCTTCTACAGCAACCCTATGAGAGAGGTACTATAATTATTCCCATTTTACAAATGAGGAAATTGAGGTTCAGAAAGGTTATACAATTTGCTCAAGATTATATGGCTAGAAAATAGCAAAGCTAAGTTTCAAACCCAAGCCAGAACACAAAGGTTTACCCACAAAATTGTGCACTGATTGACCCCCCTTAAATGCTGATTTCTGACGGTAGCACCCTCTTCACAGCCCTCACTACCCTCACCAACCATTCCCTAGATTTGCACACTGAATACTGTGTTATCACTAATACAAAGCTGTTTCTGGAATATGGAAGCCCTCAATAAATGCTTATCAAATAAAAAAAAATTTTTTTACTATGCCTGAATTCAGCTGACTTATTTCTGAGCCATTCAATATCGCGGGGGCACTCTGAGATTAGAATGGGTTAGATAACAGAAAATTAAGAAATATAATTCAAATTCTCCTCAAGGTCTAGGTGTAAATTAGACTCTTGGAGACAGAACCTACACTATTTTAGGCCACTTGTGTAGGAAGTTTTACATGAATTATTTGACACTGCTGATTAAACATACTTACGCATATTCTACAGGTACAAGAAAGAGCCAAGTGTGCTAAGCATAGTGGTCTTCCTTGGCTGAAAGGATAATATGGACAAAAGCCTCTCTATGTAAGTTCACTGTGGCCCGAAAAAGTTAAGAGTCTTCCCAAGGAGCCTGATTTGCAACAGGAGTGCCAAGTAGCCCCAAGAAGCTACTGAATCTCAAGGCAGCACTTCCTTCTTCCCAGCGCAGTATTTTGTATTGTGGGCCATCTCTCAGGTTTTGTCCATAGTGAGTGGGAATTCTCGTCACTGGAGAACATGTACATGATATGCATGATGTGCATCTGTGATACAGCAGGGGCTCTTTGCTCTTGGGCAGCCTTTTGGAGGCAGCTTCATCCTGCATCCTGGAAACACATTCCTTGACTTCAGTTGCAAAGAGGGGGAAAGGGATGAAAGTGGGAGTGGTGGCTGGATGACAGTCCCTGTCTTCATAGGGCACTCCTTGTATATTCAATTCCTTCCAGCTCCAGCCTCCTTAGAGTATTACTCCCCTCAACCAAAAAGGCAGGAAATGGATGGTACAAGTGAGAGTTTCTACCTCACTGGGTGTGAATGTGAATGTGTTTTATATACTGGGAGTTGCTATGAAAATATAAAACATGATTGTATTACATATTACACTCTTTTTTGAGGGGCAAAAGTTGAGTTGCAAAGAAATCACCCATGGCTGCCTAGAACAATGCCTGTGACAAAATTAACCATGCAAATTAGCCCTGATAATTTAACAAGGGTTAAGAGAATTTGGAAATTTAGACTGAACCTAAGGGACATAAGAATAAAAATAGGTTTAGGAGATTCAGGGGAGTACATTATGGTTTTCATTTGTTGGAGAGAGTTAACTCACTGTGATACCGACAATTTGCACAAAAGGCTGTATTTTTCAAAGCTCTTTAACATATCACCTCTCATGTAATTTGATCCTCAGAGTAACCATATGAAGAGGATAGCAATATAACCCTTTTGTACAAGGGAGGAAATAGTTATCCAGGCATTTGTTCATGTCCATTACTTATTGTCCACGGGAAGACAGGGTGGGACTGGAAAATAAAACTTGCTCTTCTGGTTCCAAATCTTTAATATTTCTACTACAGTGTAGAAGTCTCCAGTGTACTGGAATATAATGTTATTATTAAATCAGTTTTCTTCCTATGTCACACCTTACACAAAAGCAGAAGGGTGGCAATAACATTTGTGTAGGCTTGAAGGGCTTTTGTCATTGACTCAGAGTTACAGTGCAGAGGGAGACATGCACAATTTAATCAAGAAATTGTGATCGTAGGTGCATCTTGATGCTCCCCCTAATTCAGCCCTGCCATTCTTCTCTTACAGTGGTGGAGCAGATTTTGTCAACAAGTGTGCTTTGGGCACTGTGCTGGGCACCATAGGGAATAGAGTTGTAGTTTATTGCAAGATCCTTGCTCCCAGGAGCCTGAAATCTAGACTAAATAAATTCACACACACAAAAATCTATAGTACCAGCTCTGTTTGAAATTCATTTAAGAGAAAAGAGACCAGTGAGGGCAAGACTGCAGGAAGCTGCAGGAAGAAGGCATCCTTTACAGCTAGTCAGACATAGATAAGGAACTAAATATACTGAAGGGTGAAGGCACATATTTCCAAGGGAAAACATGAGCCAAAGCTTAGAGGCAGGAACAACCAGGGTATGTGTGTGAGACAGTGAAGAAGCCATATTGCCTAGGGCAGGAGGGTAAACCACAGTTACCTATTAGGAGGAGAAACTGACAGCCAGGCCCAACCAGTGGCAGAAGCAATAAGAGAGAGATTGATGATGCTGTGGCAGGGACTCCACCCCGCCCCAGGTGTATCTGTACTGTTGACCAGAATGATCCTCAGAGGGATGTACTCAGCGTGGATGTAATTTTTTTCCAGGAGTGTGAGAAGGAGGAAGTGTAGGGAAGTGGGAGAGAGGAGAAGAAATGCACTGGGGTGGGGAGGTTGTAGGTTTCTACCAGCGCACATTGTCCCACAGGAAAAGGCTTTCCACGAGACACATCTCCTTCCTTGTCTTTGCAGGCTGATTCCTGCCAATGATCTTCCTTTGGGAGATTTCCCATTTTCTCTTCCCGTTCCTGCTTGGTACATACTTTTTCTTCTTATGGCAAATTTTGTATTTTTAGCCCAGGCAGTTGCTGTGGAAACCACTAGAGCTGAACATTTTGTTTCCCAAGAACAAATGCATGCTTAAATATTCAAGCAATTTTCTGTTGTTCAAAGGAACTCAAATTTCTAGTGTATTGTTCAGACCACATGAGAGAAATTGAAGTTTTTCTCCATTACTTTTAGGGGTTCCCACAGTAGTCACACTTTTCTAGGGTTGAGAGAAGGTCAGGTTTAATGTTTATATCGAACATGGTAATCCCTTTCAAAAATAAGCATAAGGAATAATTTTATAATGTTTCCCTTCTTCCTCCAACATGTTTTAAAGATCTTAACAATGAGTCCTCTAGACAATGAAGATGGGAGTTCATTTCTTCCCTCTTTGGGAGGGGGAGATGCATTAAGAGGCACGCTTCTCCAGCCTTTCAATAAAGAGGTGCCATCTCTTTCAAGTCTAACTTACCTCAAACAACATTGGCATTGAAAAGTAGCTTTTTGCTCAATATTACTCAACCTGCCCCTACTTTGGACAAATTGTAGAAATTGCATTTGCTGTATCTGAGTAGTCTTTTTCCCCCAAGAATATTTCATATACACATTATAGCCTATGAATTGCAAGCATGTCCCTACTTTGGTATCTGAGGTTCTGAAGCCTACCCCAGCCTCCAGATTTCTTTCAAGTACATTAGAGAATAAGAATGGATTTCCCACACATCTAGATAAAGAGTTCTTAACCTTGGGTTCACAAACTTGGATGGAAAAAAACCTACACCATTATTTTTGCTAACTTCTAACTCAGATTTATAATTTCTTTCACTTATGAATGTAGGCAACAAATCAAAAGTCTAATGATGACTTTGTCACCACTGGAACTTATTACAGTTGCTGAAGAGGTATATCAAAATGTTGTGCTTGCTTCGCACTCCATTGATATTAGTCATTAGATATGCTGCACAGTCCAATCTTGTTTCTTGAGTTAATAAAGAATATATATATATATTCCTATGGAAATTTGATTTATAGTATTTTGAAAGCTATATTTAAATATAATTGCTATTCTTCGTAATAAATTATATTTTATTTTATGCATTTAAAAATGTTATTTTGAGAAGAGGGTCTGTAGGTTTTCCAGACTGCCAAAGGGGTCCATGGCACACAAATATTTAACAACTCTAGTGTTACCATCTCTACAACAAGCTGTCGCCATCTATTCACCATTACTTGAGACATTTTTTGCACTCTGCTTGTTACCTTTGAAAGCCACATGTAAAATTTATAATATAAAACAATTCTGTGGGAAGAAGTGGTATCAGTTGGGGTAGTGTCAGGACTGAGAAACCATTCTGGATATTTTAAGCAGGAAGAGATGTAATGTAAGGAGTTATAGACTGGAGCTGAGGGAGCAAAGGTCAAAGAATACTACCACTGACATTCTGGAAATCAGAAAGTTTAAAGAACTTTAGGAAGCCTTCACTAACCTTCTTAGCTGCTACAACACCAAGGGGTATGATTGGTGGCAGAAGGATACCTGGAAGCTTCTGGACAGTGTCACATCTACAGTTATGCAAGTCCACACAATGCATACAACTGCCTATTGCTGCTGCAGAAAACTTAATAGTTTCTATTTTTTCTCTGTTCTCCAGTTCTTGCGTTGCTTCACATTGTTGAAACATAACTCGGGCTGGGATTCTGAGAAATATGGATTTCAGGCTTCCAGCCTCTGGAACACAGAGGCAGCATAAGGTGGGAAGCAGGGAGCATGGAAAGACTAGTGCTGAGCCAACAGCACACCCAGCACGCAAGCCTGGTGCAGCAGTGGCGTCATGGAGAACATCAGGTTTGGATGTTGGGATATCTAATAACCTTGCCTCTGTGCCTTTGGGTAACTCACACTTGTCTTTTCTGAGACTCAACTTCGACATTTACAAAGATTTAATTTTTAAACTAGACTACATTTTGACTCAAGTCCCTTTTAGCTCTGAATTCTGATGGTTCTGGGAATGTAGTTCCTTGGAATTCAGTCCCTTGAAATAAAATTTACTTTTCCATTCACAAGCACTGATGAATGAGTGGGTCTAGGAAAAGTAGAGCTTGTCAGGCAATGGGCTAAGGAATTTTGAAAGAATTATTTAGATTTCTTTTGCTCTGAAGAGAGGATATCTGTCCTTCCCAGTACCACATAATTATAGGCTGACATCTTTCTCTGCACTGTTGCTTGGGCAACCTACGTAGAAAGCAGTAAGACTAATTCCACAAGCTACATAGGAGGGTTTGATTGCTTTATCTGAGAGTCTCATCACTTACATGTGTTTACATGAAGTGTTTGAAGATAATTTCTTACTAACCTAGAGGCATCTCTGTGTGATATATTCAACCACTTTGAATAATCTCCCTCTAATCTGGTTCATATTCACCTTCACCATTTCCTCCACTTACTCCACTTCCTCATCATCTTGCCAAGTGAAGAAAAAACAGACCAGGAATACAAATATTTCAAATACCTACAATAGGTCAAAGCAATATGGCTTCGATCAAGAGGCATTTTGTTGCTGTTCCATCATGGTCATATTAGCTCCCCAGAGGGACTCTGGCTCAAGCCTTCCAGGGAAAGTTCTCTTCTATCCTGCAGGCAGGTGCATCCTGGAGGGCAGGAGCACTATGGTCAGAAGGCTGAGCTCCTTAACCAAAAAGCCTCAGGGGTGCCATGCTGTCACCCATCAAGTGAAAGCTTGAGGAAAGAGGCTTCGAATGGCCAACATTGATTCTCTGAGCTTATTCTCTTGAAAGTGAAAGGATTATGTGCAGCTGGGAGATCTAGTTTGGCAGGAATTTCCTTTCAATAAGGAAAGGGCTTCATATTTGATTTTATATATTACAAGGGCAGGTCTTGGTTTACAGAACATATCAACAATTCTATTCCTGTCCTGAGAGTGGGGAGACCTCTAGGCAGAGGTGGGGCAAAGTCAGAGGGCCAGGCTTCCTGGAATTCTTGGCTCTGTTGAGAGGCGATAAGCTGGTTGAATAGTCAAGTGGGGTGCAATTTTGAAGATCTCTGCTTTACATTGCCTACTTTCTGCCCTGAAGTGACTAAGAGAAAATCAATTGAATTCACTTTTTAAAAGCAACTGTGGATCACATATATGTAAAGACCCATGCTGAAGCTATTGCATATTCAGAGGTGAAAAATACCTCGTTTCTGTCTTCAAGATTTTATAAGCTGACTGGAATGAATTACACATCCAAATAAATTTGATACTACTCTGTGATGACTGCTAAAAACCATATTTTATGAGAGAAAGAATTATTTCTGTCTCTGTGAATCTGGGGAGTCATCTAAGAAAATATGAGAGTTGTATGGGCCTTGAAGGAAACAGAGGAGTTTAATAAATAAATGATGGGAAGATTAGTAAGGGAGAAGGAAACATTTCATGCAAAAGCCCAAATTTATACTGAGGCCTGTAGTAGAAGGGTGAAGGACATTATTTGAGAAATAAGGAGTGGCCCTAAGTTCAGTGTTAATGAATCAATACTACACATTAAATAAGGTGTCTTTTAAAGAGAAACACACATAAAACAAGCTTATGTATTCACTGGTTGACAAAAATGTTATGACCAGATGCTCACAGGAACTTAACCTTGTATTTCTTCTAGGATCAATGGGTCAGTATTTGCTAATTCATTGCCTGCAGTAACTTTGCAGAACACAACAACATGAATAATGAGAATCAATTATATTTATCATCTCTGGGCTAGACAATAATACAAATAATAGGTACACTTAATTACTAAGTACTACTTGGCAGTCATTGTGGTAGTTGTAAGAGAAACAGTGATGAAAGAGAGAGACACAGCCCCTTTTCTCAAGTTTATAGATCATAGCGAATTTAGATGCTAATGTGCTCATCGCAAAAGTGATGGATATGATGAAAAGGGAATTATGGCATGCTGTGGGAAGATATGCAGGAGGACCTAATCTACAGGTAGGCACTATTATTCTCCTATGCATGGGGGACTTGGAGGCACACAGTTCCTAAGTAATTTGTCCCAGGTTCCCTCATCTCACTTTGCACAACTATCTCTGGGGGTGGAAAATGTTGGGAGGTTGGAAGGCAGAAGTGATGAGTAATCTCACTATAAAAGGAATCTTGATTTTATTGAGATTCACTTTAAATACTATGGTGCACAAATGCAAAGTGTCAGGAACTACTGCAAATGAAGACAGAAACGATGAACCTGCAGTGCTTCAATTTCAATGGTTGTCAGTGAAATACAAGTCAGTTTTCTAAGCATTTCATTATTCACAACTTTTCAAGATAAATCTGCTACATAAGGCAAGGTAATTCTCATGCAAATGAATTCAAGTTTCTAAAATAGGGAATTTCATAGAGAAGCCTTTTTTCCTTCTTTCTTTTTTCTCCCTTCTACAGCTCTGCTGCTTTTCTCTTGGGACCACGGTTTCTCAACTGAGCTGTATTCAATTTTATAATTAAGTTTTGTATTGATATTTTCTGGTTCCTGAGAGTAAGAGAATCGAGGAAAGAAAAGCAAGTAGTACATGGTTTCCTCTTACTTTGCTCTCACTTTCTAGAGATTTAACTTGTTCCTGGTAATGGGTAACAATTCCCCAGGGACCTCGATGACACATGCACTACAAATGGAAAAGTCTCTAGGGAAGCCCCTGTTTTCCTTGTTTATGTGAATACAACAGCATCCCTCTGTCTTTGGGCTTAAAGGAAGAAGCGCTTGCCAGTGACAAGGTAAAGGCACAAGAGAAGGCAGGAAATGAAGAGTTCTCCTTAGGGGAGAAGGCCTGGGATGGGGGATAAATGGGGGAGGCATTTGTTTGGTGGAGACGTTAATGAACAGCCTGACAAAGAAATCCCATTTCCAGACTAAAGACGACCACTTCAGGACCCTTCAAGAGGGCACAGATTCTATTCACCTTGTCTAGTGGCACATGTCCCAGTTCTGCTTGTTGTGTTTTGGAAACTTTTGCTGTTTCAATTGTGGTTGTGTAGAACAATCTATTGTATGCACAATGTTGTTCTACTTCCCTATACTCCTTCACAGTACAACAGTTCCTGAAGTGGGTGGAAATGATTACCCATAGGTTTCTGATGGGAAGCAAACCGTTGAGAGAGAAAATGTTTGTCCAGGGCTCTCCACCCAGTGAGTAACATAGCTGTGATTTAAGGTAACCATTACAGGCAACAGAGCAAACAGAAAAATACAGACAAGAAAATGTCTTTCTCTGGAAGACTAACTTGCCAACTTAACACGTGCTGAGAGCTCAATCACTTGCTTTTAAAATCAGCTGACTTAAACAAATGTCTGAAAATCTTATACTCTACCAATGTCTGTTTAAACATGGCTGATTAAATCCAAAAGAAGGGCAGATCAAACAAAAATAATGTTTGGACTTCAATTGCCAGATCGAGCCATTTGATTAAAAATATGCCTGTGCCTTGAACAGAGATTCTATATAAATATATAGCTGAGCTTAGCTTTCTTGTTTAAAATAGGACACTTGTAAAAATGGAACACATGTGGGAGATTCTTCACAAATGGCCATTATTGTTCAAATTGGAAGAGGTGGATACATGTAGGGTTGCCAGATAAAATGCAGGATGCTTAGTTAAATTTGAATTTCAGATAAACAATGAATGATGTTTTAGTATAAGGATGTGCCAAATACTGCGTGGGCCATGCTTATTCACTGGTTATCTGAAACCCTAATATGACTGAGTGTCCTGTATTTCTACTTGCTAAATCTGACAAGTCTAGTCATGTGCTTTAAAATCAACATCTGGTTCTGGATATCAGAAATGCAAATAGTATCATAAATGCAATGGCTTTCCAAAGCATTTTCTAGTCCCTATTGCAAAGTTGATACATCTTGAAAATGGATTATACCCTGAAAATGGAAATCCAATCAAAGGAACTTCCTCATGCTCCAAACATAGAAAATTTGGATAAACTATGCCAACAAAAGTTACATATGCTACTAAGCTCAACAAAAAAGGAACTCCTTAGGTAGTAGAAATAAAGACATTCTCAAAGTCAAAAATGGTGATAGCCTAAAGCCACAGTGGCTCATGGGACAACAGGTCCTTGATATACTTTTTAATGTACGAATATTGGGTTTTTCATGCCCACAGAGGATGGGCTATGAGATCTAAAGCCATTTGAGATAAGCAACTATAATGGAGTCTTTTACATATTGCTACAATTCTTGAAAGCAGATTCCATCCGTAGAAAAATGATTAAAAAAAACCTCCACATATTAATGACCCAAGGAGCTAGCTATCTGTAACACCCATAAGAATTCAGAATCTTGAAATTACATAAGGAATGGGTGTAGAGTCTAAATATACCCCACCCATGAGGTGTAGGAACCCCAGATTTAGAAAGCAGCATAAAACTGGTCTAGCTTTGGTGAAACCCTGAGGCCCTGGCAGAGGCAAATATGAAAATACTGTGTAAGTGCACTTCCGTCAATCAGCACAACAGAATTCCCAGTGAAACCCATCTGCAGTAAAGATGAACTTTTAAAAGTTACAAGAGGCAACACAAGAAAATTCTGAGGAAAACTAACAACAATGTGAAAAAGAAAATGACCACTTCAGTAAAAAAAAAAAAAATGAGAAAATGAATGTATTTAAAATATTCATGTTAGAACATTATAAAAGGCATAGAAATTAGAAGACAAGAAGAAAATAGTATAAGAAAAGAAAAAGCAGGAAAATGGCATCTCTAGAAATGAACAAATATGTAGTTCAATTAAGATAGCAAATTATGAGTTAAACTAAAGTACATGCAGCTGAAGACAGCTTAATTAGTAGAAGGTAGAGCTGAATAAAACACCTATAATGCAGGAGTGATCGAAATGGGGTGTTCTATAAAGAGATTAAAAGATATGAAAGTTAGAATAAGAAGATCTAATATACATCTGTTAGAAAAAATGAGAAGACACAATATTCCAAAAGATACTGGCTTGGAATTTTTCAGAACTCCAGAAAGATATAAGTCCTCATATTAAAATTATGCAAGTAATCCCAATGAGAATTAATTTCATAGTGAAATTGCAGGACAACAAAGATCAGAAAAAATAAATTGTGCAGGTTCCAAGAAAAAAAGACAGATTACCCACAAAAATAACTACTAAGACTAATAGCATACTTTAGCAACAATAGAAGCCAGAATGAAATGGAATATTTGCAAAATGTTCACTTAAGTGTCACTGAAAGGTATGGTGAAATAAAATGATTTTTCTATAAAGGAAGGTTGAGTTTATAAATAACATATATTCACTGAAAAAACAACTAAAAGTAACGCTGATTGTATAAACAACAAAAAGGCTGTTTTGAGAAGCTTGAAAACAAGGTGAAACTAATGTAAAATAACATGAAAATGGAAGGGGATTGGATTTAAAGCATACCAAGTTTCCTCTATTGGTCAATAAGAGATCTTTATTAGAATTGGACTTTGTTAGGTGTCCATGTTAAAGAATAGAAATAAAACACATATATTCAAAAGAGTGGATGAAGAAAAGGAAAGAAAGAAAATGGATCTGTTATTTAAATACCTAAAAAGTAAGAGCAGAGAATATTTTAAAGCAAAAAAGTTTTAAAAAGATATAGTAGGAAAAAAGAAAGCTGTTATTGCAATATTAATATCAGACAAATCTAGTTTTTAAGGCACAATAGCTGTAAAAAGCGTTATTTCTTAATGATTAAAACAACAGTTCAGGGCCGGGCATGGTGGCTCATGCCTATAACCCCAGCACTTTGGGAGGCCGGGGTGGGCGGATCACCTGAGGTCAGGAGTTCGAGACCAGCCTGCCCAACATAGCAAAACCCCATCTCTACTAAAAATACAAAAAATGAGCTGGGTGTGGTCGTGGGCCCCTGTAATCCCAGATACTCAGGAGACTGAGACCGGAGAATTGCTTGAACCCAGGAGGCAGATATTGCAGTGAGCTGAGATCACGCCACTGCACTCCAGCCTGGGTGACAAGAGTGAAACTCTGTCTCAAAAAAGATGAGAAAAACAAAATCAAAAACAAACAAACAACAACAACAAAAAAAGGTACATCAGGAAAATATAATAATCATTACATACTACAAACAGAAACTGACAAATACAAAATCGAAATGGGAGATTTTTTTTACCTCCCATCAAAAACTGGTAGATGAAGCTAATAAAAACTGGTGAAGATATAAATATTTGAATATTCGTGTTTATAAGCTTGATTAAGTAGACATGCTTAGAACACTTTACCTATCAATAGAGAATATAACACATACTTTCATCTTATAAGCATTTTTCCAGAGGAAAGGAAGCAAGCAAAAACTCCCCAAGTCAATTCGTAAAGCTATTCTAACTTTGACAGACAAACAAGACAAGAATAGTAGAAAGAGACCTGAGGAAAAACTCTTCATTTATAAACATAAATGCAAATTTCATAAAATATAAGGAAACTGAACCTGTCCATTTATTATTTTTAAAAAGTTTATCATGGTGAAGGAGGGTTTATTTTAGAAATGCAGGGATATATTCACATTAGGAAATCTATAAAGTACCCCATCACATTAACAGATTCAAGAAGAAAGTCAGTTAAGCAACTCAATAGATCCAGACAACGCATTTGATAAAAATTCAACATTCCTTGTGGTTTAAAACAATGCATAACAAACTAAAAGAAGTTTCTTAGATTAAGAGAATCTAACAAATGTGCACAGTGAATACTATACTTACAGCCTTAGAATCTATTCTTTTAAAGTCAGAAATGCAGCAGAGATGCCCATTATTATTTCTAACCTTCATTGTACCGAAGGTCTTAGGCAATACAAAGAGACAAGGAAATGAAACGGTAAGAATAAGGATCAGATTGGGAGAAACAAAACTTTCTATCTACAGACAAGCTATTGCAAGTTATAAGAGAAGGAAGCAGTGTTCAGGGTGTGGGTTTCATTCTGTAGGAGTATAATGGCTTAAACACACACCTACTCCAGCCATTCCTGCTTCAGACCTGGGTTTAGTTTGGTTACTCTCTGCAGTCTGTCATTTTTTGGTGATAGATTCTTTCTTTGGTCATATTCCCTACATTGACCACTGGATTATATCTTTCCATAAAACATGTTCTCCCTCTTCTTTTACTTACAGATCTATAGTATAATTGCAGCATAGGCTATCAAAGATATTTCGATGTTTCTTTTTTTTTAAATTTAACTTGTATTTTAAGCTCAGGAGTGCATGTGCAGGTTTGTTACATAGGGAAACTTGTGTCATGCACATTTGTTGTACAGGTTATTTCATCACCCAGGTATTAAGCATAGTACCCATTAGTTATTTTTCCAGATCCTCTCCCTTCTCCCACCCCCCATCCTCCAATAGGCCTCAGTGTGTGTCATTCCCCTCTATGTGTCCATGTGTTCTCATCATTTAACTTATGAGAACATGTGGTGTTTAGTTTTCTGTTCCTGCATTCGTTTGCTAAGGATAATGACCTCCAGCTCCATCCACGCTATGGAGAGAACATAATCTCATTCTTTTTTTATGGCTGCATAGTATTCCATAGGGTATATGTACCACATTTTCTTTATCCGGTCTACCACTGATGGGCATTTAGGTTGGTTCCATGTCTATGCTATTGTGAAGAGGGCTGCAATGAACATACATGTACATGTGTCTTTATGACAGAATGATTTATATTCCTTGGATAGGTACCCAGTAATGGGATTGCTGGGTGAAATGATAGTTCTGTTTTTAGGTCTTTGATGAATCGTAACACTGTTTTCCACAATGGTTGAACTAATTTACATTCCCACCAAAAGTGTATTAGCGTTCCTTTTTCTCTGCAACCTCGCCAGCATGTTTTTTTTTTACTTTTTTAATAGCCATTATCAGAGAGATTTTGAAGCACCATCAAATACATAGCAGGATTCCACATTCCAGCTAATCCACACTTTCAGTCAACACTGTGATGAAGGATTTTAGGTCCCTATATTCATTAATAAAAAGAAATGCTACCAAACTTAATAGGAAGTTGAATATTTTGATGCTTCCCTTTCAGTAACTGAGGATAGAGGCATTTACAATACTTTTTTTAAAATTTTTTTTATTTTTAGTATTTATTGATCATTCTTGGGTGTTTCTCGGAGAGGGGGATTTGGCAGGGTCATAGGATAATAGTGGAGAGAAGGTCAGCAGATAAACACGTGAACAAAAGTCTCTGGTTTTCCTACGCAGAGGGCCCTGCCGCCTTCTGCAGTGTTTGTGTCCCTGGGTACTTGAGATTAGGGAGTGGTGATGACTCTTAACCAGTATGCTGCCTTCAAGCATCTGTTTAACAAAGCACATCTTGCACCGCCTGTAATCCATTTAACCCTTAGTGGACACAGCACATGTTTCAGAGAGCATGGGGTTGGGGGTAAGGTTATAGATTAACAGCATCCCAAGGCAGAAGAATTTTTCTTAGTACAGAACAAAATGGAGTCGCCCACGTCTACCTCTTTCCACACAGACACAGCAACAATCCAATCTCTCCCTCTTTTCCCCACATTTCCCCCTTTTCTATTTGACAAAACCGCCATCGTCATCATGGCCCGTTCTCAATGAGCTGTTGGGTACACCTCCCAGACGGGGTGGCGGCTGGGCAGAGGGGCTCCTCACTTCCCAGACAGTGCGGCAGGGCAGAGGCGCCCCCCACCTCCCAGACGGGGCGGCGGCCAGGCGGGGGCTGCCCCCCACCTCCCTGTCGGGGCGGCTGCCCGGCGGAGGCGCTCCTCACTTCCCAGACGGGGCGGCTGCCGGGCGGAGGGTCTCCTCAATTCCCAGACGGGGTCGCGGCTGGGCAGAGACGCTCTTCACATCTCAGATGGGGCGGCGGGGCAGAGGCGCTCCCCACATCCTAGACGATGGGCGGCCGGGCAGAGACACTCCTCACTTCCTAGACTGGATGACGGCCGGGAAGAGGTGCTCCTCACTTCCCAGACTGGGCAGCGGGGTGGAGGGGCTCCTCACATCCCAGACGATGGGCGGCCAGGCAGAGACGCTCCTCACTTCCTAGACGGGGTGGCGGCCGGGCAGAGGCTGCAATCTCGGCACTTTGGGAGGCCAAGGCAGGCGGCTGGGAGGTGGAGGTTGTAGCGAGCCGAGATCACGCCACTGCACTCCAGCCTAGGCAACATTGAGCACTGAGTGAGCAAGACTCTGTCTGCAATCCCGGCACCTCGGGAGGCCGAGGCTGGCAGATCACTCGCGGTCAGGAGCTGGAGACCAGCCCGGCCAACACAGCGAAACCCCGTCTCCACCAAAAAATACGAAAACCAGTCAGGCATGGCTGCGCGCGCCTGCAGTCCCAGGCACTCGGCAGGCTGAGAAAGGAGAATCAGGCAGGGAGGTTGCAGTGAGTCGAGATGGCAGCAGTACAATCCAGCCTCGGCTGGGCATCAGAGGGAGACGGTGCAAAGGAGAGGGAGAGGGAGGGGAAGGGGGAGGGGGAGGGGGAGGGAGAATACTTTTTATCCTATTGTGGAGCTTCAGTCAAAGGACCCAGAGAGTGAAATTTATTTGCTCTGATAATTTCACTGATGAAATGACTGTCACAGCTGGAATAATATGCAGAGAAGAGGACAGCAAGGAAAAAGTAAATAGACATTAAAGAACACTGGGACTCTATCATTGCAGGTTGAGGAGGCTCATATAGTAGGAATAGTTCTTTCCTCCTTTTAAGAGTGATTTTATCTTTTTCCTCCTAGATTTCCTTTCCTTGGTGGCTGTGGGAATCTCTGCCTTTGCACAGTAGCCTCCAGAAGCTTGTAAGCAAATAAGATATCTGACATTTACAAAATGTCTTACAGTTTACAGTGCAGTTTCACATACATTACCTCCTTAGATGCTCACAACATCCCTGAGCCTGCCATGTGGTGTCGTTCCCACTTGATAAGGAAGGATACTGACTTTTCAGAAAGGTTAAGTGACTATTCAAAGTCATGCAGCTCATTTAGTCGCAGGGTCCAGATTCAAGCCAGGAGGTTGTCAATGTTTTTTCAGCAATGCATTGAAACTCAGTGACTGATACAATGAGTGGCAGTAAATAAGATATCAGAAGCCATCTATCTGTAGGTGACAGCTTTGCTGGGATCCCAGGTCTCTGCCGAGGACAGAGGGCACAGAAAATGTCTTTGGAGACTATTGCACATATCCTTAGGGCTCCAAAAGTTTCACCCACTGCGGATGGCTCTAACCAGGTCTCTTGAATTCTAGTCTTGACTTGTCCACTGTGTTTGGAATCTTGGGCAACTTATGAAGTTTCTCTGGTTTTACTTTTTCTTTTCATTAAATACAGTTACTGATTATTACCCTAATAACATCAGGATTGTTGTAAGAATAAAGCAAATAATAAACATCATCTCAGAAGGCTTAAAGTGCAATATAAAAGCTAGAAAGGTATTGTTATTCTTGTCAGTAATAATGTAATAAATAGTACAGTAAGACTTTGGTTTCGGTTAACATTTGACAGATGTCCACGGACCCCACGCCAGGTAAATACTGCAGTAGCTTCCTAGAATTGTGTGCATTTATTTTTCCAATTTGAAAAAATACCAAGACATATCAATATAAAAATTATCCACATTTCTAATATTGAAAATTAATACAAATTAAGAATATGACATCTCCTGTCCTCGTCTCCCCTCCCCTCCCCTGTTCTTCAACTTCCCTATTACCTCCCAATCCCACCCCCAGAGTTAATCACTGTTGACTGCTTCTTGTTTTCTTTGCTTTAGTTCCTGGATTTTTATGAAATGTGCTACACTGAGAAATAATATTGCTATGCAAATAATGACCACATCTTACAATCACATGGAGGCTTATAGTTTATGAAATACTTGTTTGAGTACTATCACCTTTGAGCCTCCTAAGAGTGCTTGAGAAGTGCTTATTATGCCCTTTGTATTGTAGTTCAGTCAGAGTAATACCATGGAATCAAAGACATGAATCCTGCAGCAATCAAGTTTAGTGAGGGAGATGAAAAATTATATACAACATGCTTATACATTTTTTAAAATTTATATTAAAATACATTTTAATTATACACATAATATAAAATAAACTTTATATTATAAAATGTATATATATTTATATATTTTAAATATATGTAAATGTATATATTTTTATTATAAAGTATATATATTTTAATGTATTTTAAATATATAAATGTATGCTTTAAATATGTAAATAAAACATATATATCTGTTTTATATATATATATACACACATACATATATATACACACACATATATATCTATATATATAATTAATTCTGTCTAGGGCCTGGTAGAAAAGAGAGGCCAGGAAATATTTTATATAAGAGATTACAGTAGAGCACAATTATGAATGATATTAAAATCTAGAGAGCAGTGATTACTCAAGGTCAGACCACTAGAAAGGACTCAAACTCATATCTTATGGCTCCAAGCCCAAATTTCTTTCTCCCACACTTTATTGTACAGTTTATGGTTTGCCCATTCAAAGCAGGCATGTTTTATGTAATATTTAACCAGAGTCAAAGGAATTTCCCAGCTTCAAAGACATTTAGTACAGCTGACAGAGACATGTGATTGCCTGAATGGATTCTAAAGTTCATAGAATTGCCAGTTACTGTGAGAATACCCTTGATGTGTCAGGACGTGTGTGGTGCAAAATAGATGAAGTAAGGAAAGTTTCCTTTTGGAACATTTCTCCTCAAACACTTCAGACTTCCTGGCCCTCTTGCTGTCTCAGGCTTCTGAGGCTCCATTGTGATAACACAACCAAGGCTACCTGGTCCTTAACATGGGCCTATCCCTAAATTATCCAACACTGACCAGCCAGTGTGTCATAATGATGCTTAACAGGCTGCAGCGGAATCTGGTGTGAGTACATTACCATGATGTGATCCATTACTAATCATGGTGTAAGGGTGGTTTATGTAGTGAATATTTAGTTCATTTAGGCATGAGATATATAGAAACTAAAGTCCCTTGACTCAAAGATATGGCTTTATAAAGCTGCAATTTGAGACGTACTGCCTGAGGAGGGAAATATGATTTGTGTTGGGCAGTGGGGGATTAGAAACCACCAACTCTTTTTACATGTGACGCTGGATCTCACAACAGCAGAAATAACTGTGACCTTGCTTAGCTTATTTATTTGTTTTCCATGCTGGTGGTGACTGGCTACTTTGGTGGGGTAGGAAGAGTGAAGGTTTTTCTAAGGCAAAGGACAACACATGGAGTGTTCAGCCGAGAGGGGCTCCCTCCCCTTGGCCTTGTGTCTTATCACCCCTGTGGCAGGAAGGAAGATGCCTGCTGCTATTGACAGCTCTGGCAGGGCCACCTCCGGTTTCCTGTTCTTTGGGCTGCCTCAGTGGCAGGGGGCAGGTAGCAGGGGGGGAAGAAGCACTGGCTACCAGAGGAGGGGTAGCTTAATGAAGGCAATAATGCTCCAGGAATTAGGGGAGAAAAAGCCAGGCTTAAAGAGTCCTATTTGTTTCAACCAAGAAACACTATTATTTGGACTATGAGAGCTCAAAGGCCCTTCCAATGCCAGCACTCAGTGACTTCATAACTATGAAGGGAAGGGGCAGAGTGGTATTGGGGAGTTTCTGCTGAGGGAGCCAAAAGTTTTGCCAGCCTTTCCTGTCCCCATGACACCTCTTTTATTTCCTGTCCTTCCCATTGCCACGGGAATTTGCATGGGTAGTCACTATGCCTACTGTGTTTATTGCTTTATTGCAGCACTTAGCACTGTGTCTGACACATAATAGAAAATTAATAAATATTGCTGAATGATCTTTATGACTATCTATATATATTTGAAGTAAAATCCCATGAACTATTTCCTTCTTTATAGTCTATTCAGACTTAATACTTTGGTTAACAAATAAACAAATTAAACTTGTGCATAGGACAAAAGGCTAGAAGGAAATTATCAAAATATTAATAACTTTCTTTGGGAAATATAAATATGTTTATTTCTCTCTGTTCTATTTTGGTTTAACTTTCTTTTTCTACCTTTCTATAACTAAAAAAGTGTGTTAACTTTTGTAATGAAAAAAATCTTCAGCAAACTTTATTAAAAAATGTAAAATCTTTTTGGGGGAACTCTATTTTCTGAAGAAATAACAACTACTGACTTCCTATAATGTTTGGGTGGGGTGCAGCCATGGGTGGGCTTTCGTGCACATATGTACACATCTACATATGTAGTACCTGTACATTCCTCCAATGGAGATGTTAACTCCTTCTTTTAAAGTTCAGTGTAGCCAAATAAGAAAGACAAGCAATGTACTTGGTAAGCTCTTCCAGGACAGTAGCATTACACAATTCTTCCATGAACATCTGCAGAAGTGCTTTCCAGCTTCCCAGCTGATTAATTCTACAGCCTCATCTCTTTCTGGGCCCATCTCCTCACTGCCGCCATACTGAATTGCTTGTAATTCCCTGAGGAAGCTAAGTCTTGCCTATCTCTGCTTTTGCACCTTTCCACCTAGGAAACACCTCTCCTTCAGAATGCAGCTCACTAAAGTGTCACACACTCCATAAATCCCTTTCTGGCTCTTTTCCCAGCTCTACTCTTCACCTTTATGGACAACTGATCCCCCATCCTCTGGGCATTCGTTGCACCCCATGAGGGTCCCCATCGCAGGCCTGCAACCCTGGACCGTGCTTATCTGTACAAGTTTGTTCCTCCACTACCCTTTGGCTCTCTGCAGGTGTGCAGCAGGTCTGAGTGCCAGAACCTAGCACAATTCTTTGCACCTAGAAGGACCTCGAGGGTTGTTTGATAAAGGAGCATAACTGACCTCAGCCTGCCAGTCCCAGTGACAGGTTAATGGCAGGTGGTGACATAGTGGGAAGAAATGCATGGGAGGGAAGACGTGTTTAAAATTGTAATGGAAGTCAGAAAAAAGGAGAATTTACTGCAGCCAACTTTTAGAGATGTAAACTGACTTGCCATTTGTTTTGGATCTCCCAATGCACTACTTTGTTGTTTTTGTCTCAAAATGTCATCTGAGATGATGCTGTTTATATCTTGTCTATCACAAGTTCTACGGTTTGGTGGTAAGAACACAGAAACTGGGTTCTATGCTGCTATGGTAATCATTGCCTGTAAAAAACAAAATCAAACAAATGACTTTTCTCCTTGAGGCCATAAAAAAATAAACAGCTTTGAGATACTTCCTAATTAAGGTGTAAATGTTCACCCCATATACTCCAAGACAACTATGATAATTATAATAGCACATTCATTATATTCACAAACGTTTGCAGAGCACCTACCATGTGCCAGACACTGTTTGTAAGTGCTGGCATGGCTCTTGCCATGGGGACTGGGGAAAATAGGTCCTTTCTACCATGGTGTGGCTGGGAATTTAGCTGCTTCTTCCCTTCCCCCAATATCCATGGGGCACCATGTTCTGACCTCAGCCTGAAAAGCAAAAGGCATTTAACCCCTACCTGAGCATGTGAAGGAGGGAAGCCTATTCTCTTTTCTCACGGCTCCTTGATAAGAGATGCACCAACCATGGGGCTTCTGAGAATGAGGGAGACCATCATCACAGGGAGATGCAAAGGTAAGGAGAGAGAAAAGAGGCTTTCATGTGCTGACGATGGGGTGGAAGGGCAGTAAGACAGGAGACTTGAGAAATGGGAATTGCAGCAAGGAGCTATCAAGACAAGAAATGTGTAAAGAGAATGAACTAGAAGTTAGGAGAAAAAAATGGATAGATGGAAGCTGGGGAATAGACAGGGTATGGGAGAGCTAGAACTAGAGAAAGAGTGGTGAATGACAAAGCAATTGTGTTACTTCACCGTGTCCCAGTTGTGTGCTTCTCTTGGGGAACCTGGGGCCTCTCATTGTTTAGCGACTTTAGCCCAGCTTGAGATCCTGGGTCAGCTGCCCAGGCTCATTTATTTATTTATAAAATGCAACCTATCAAACTTAGAATCTAATGAAGATTCTTCCCTTGGCATAATAGGGCCAATCTGGGCATAGGGCATGATCTGGTTCCTAACCCACTCTCCAACCTCATTGCCTCCTACTCACCCTTTTGCTCAATCCACACTGGGTTTCTTACTGTACATCAGACATTCTTATCCTGCATTTGGCCTTAACATGAGTTGTTCTTTAAGCCTATAATGCTCTTTGGGCAAATATTTACATGTCTGTATTCCTCAGTTTATTCAGATCTCTGCTCAACTGTTACCTGCTCCTAAAAGCCTTCCCTGACAAACCTATTGAAAACAGCTTTTCTTATCAATCTTCATGCCCAAACTGTTTTTTTAATCATTAATTACTATCTAACTTCACACATGTATGCATTGATTCATTCAATCATATATTTATCTTTGCCATTTAGAAGATAAGATCCATGTGTTGGGAGAGATTTCTCCATGAGTCTCACATTTCTGCCTTTTGTGTGAACAGAGACATAGACTTTGTTGCCGATGATCTCTTCTAGTCCATTTGTATAGTAAACACCCTGGAAAGTGGAGAGAGTGTCTCACTCCAGAGCAAAGACCAGGAAAGCTTAGTGACCAGTTAGAAAAGATTTAGATTCCCTAAACTCAGTGTTCTTTTCCTGTAATACAACCCACTGCGTGTTCCCCTGTCACCTGGTTCCATGGGTCCCAGTTCTCACAAGGTGATGCCAGTGCAAGAAGAGGCTGTTACTCTGCATCCACTGAAAATGTTTCAGGCTAACTTTTAGCTTGCAACTAGGGTAAAATGCTTTAAGAGTGGATACTCAGCTATTTAATTACATTTAATTACATCTTGGTAAAGGTCCTTCCCACCCTTCCCACACTGCTACCTGTGCTCAGATTCCCTGTTCCTCTATTAGCCACTATTGGTGTCTAGAGCACAATAAATTGCAACCGCCCTCAGTGAAGCATCCCAAGACCAAATCAGGACTCATATGTCATAGCTTAGGGAAATTTCCAACCAGTGGGGCTGATCTCAAATCTCCTATCTCCCCCAGATTTGCACCCAGGAAGTCAATTTAGATAATCCCCTGACTTTTCCCCAATGCCTGCAGAGTTTGAATTTTATCTGTGGGAGTTATTTATAGAGAGTTTTCTTTGTGCATGAGCAAGACTGAAAATTTACAATGTTGTTTTGGTATCTCCCTGATCCTCAGCTGTCTTAAGAACATTTGATTCAAAGGGCAGTTTTGTAGCTAATGCTAGTGGATCAGTTGGTGAGACTGAATTGCTGTTTTGCCTGACTTAACCTAAGTATGGTTTTAAAGAGGTATAATTATTTCTTTGCATTGGTAATAGAGGCACATGCAACAAACATTATCCCCAAAGGTCTATGTAATTGAGTTATTATAGATCAATTTGTATTTTCTCATTCAATTACATTACAATTTTAGAGGTAATAGTACTTATTCTCAGTGCTTAATGGTCTACAAATGGAAGTGATTACTGCCTCAATTGTCATTTTCCAAATGCTTATTGAACACCTATAATGTCCCAAGAATAGCATTAGGCTTGCAATAAAGCCGGCAAACAAGTGCACCCTAATCAGATTAGAGCATGATACGTGTCTTAAACATAAACAAAAGGTTAAGTATCAGTATAAGCAAAATGCCATGAAGGTTTCAGGAAATGGAGTGATGGGGAGTGAATAAGGTTCTTATAACATCAAACAAATGGCTTGATTTAGATTAAGTTTTCAATAAGTGCTTGTGTAATTGAATGCAGGAAAGACAGCATATCTTTTGGGGAAGATCAATGATTTTATGGAATAAATGTTATTTCATATAGATCTTGAGAAACAGGCTAATGCAAAATCTCTGGGAAAGAGTCCATCTTAGTAAATGTATATGAAAGTGAGAAGGTGGAATTCTCTGCCTTTGAACTCCTTTTACTAATGTTTCATGACTTTGTTCTCTCCTCTGCTTCTAATACTAAGTAGTATTATTAATTATATTATTAATTATTAATTACTACATATTATACTATATAATTATTAAGATAATTACTACTAGTAATTGTATTATATTAGTAATAATCTAATTATATATTAATAATTACAGTAATAATATAATTACTAGTAGTAATAATGACTAGTAAAGTTTCTTTATCATAACATATTAATCCTTGTTTTCTTTTCTAGTGCAAATAAATAATTTTGATGTTGACTAATGCATTTTTTTATGTTTCCAAAGTAAGTTTAGAACCAGGACCACTCTAGACAAAATTGTAGTAAAGCAAGGGGAATTTGTCATTAGCGTTCCTTCCCCAGGCAACACATATTCTGAAACATTATACTCACACCAGTATAGGCCACTCTTGGTTCCCAAATCTTAAAGAGTTCCCTGTCTGCTAATCCATAGCTAAGTTGCTTGATAAACAAATGACAAAAAAATTTACATTGTAATGGCTTGCTTTTATCTGGTGCTACATATTTAAAGATGGCAGCATGGAGCCAATCTGAAACTCATAGTCTTAAAGCAATGATTCAAATAGTGGGGATTTTGTTCACTCTGACAAGCTGGTGGTTGAAATATACCACACACTGCCACATTTATACTATCTGCTTTGGAATCATAGAATTTTAAAGCTACAAAAGACCTTGGATATCAACTTTTAAAATAAGGAAATGGAGGCCTAGAGAGATGAAAAAAAACAAACAAGTAAGCAAGAAAATAAGCAAACACAGATTATCGAGTCATGATTCATGCTAGCAGCATCAAACTAGATGAAATGAAAATTCAGTGCTTTTAACATATAACTAGGGTTCTTAGCAATTTTAAGAGCCATTACTTATCATTGTTCTGAAATAATTTAATTTCTAATTAAGACCAGGTATCAAACTGATAGTTAATGGGTCTCATTATATGAAAAAATTTCTGAATATTATGATTCAATTATATATTACAGGTTTGTTTTTTCTGGTTACATCAAAGACAAAGCAATTTTCATTATAGAAAATTTAAAAGCTAGTAATTTCTAAGTGACTGCTCTAAGGTCATACAAAGTGTCAGTGGTTCAGCAGGGATTGGGACTGAAATTATTGGCCTGCTCTTTAAAGATTTTAAGTCCCAGAACTTCTTCAGTGGACACTTATTTCCCACAATATGCCCAGCTGTATGTAAGTTTTAAATACACAAATGTATACTCAAGTATTTGTGAATGTATTTAGGCAACTGCTGTCTGAGATCCAAAGAAGAATAGTCTCTGATGTCAAGGAGTTTCCATCTAGCTGGGAATTCTCAGGGAGTATTTTCTATCCAGGAACAAGGAGGTTAGATGATCATATGGCTTGTAAGCTTCCGCAGATGGTTTACACCTTGAGGTAAGTAAGAGTAACAGTAACATAAACCAGAGCAAAGTTTTTGACGAAAGGCCCTAGAAGCTCATAGATTTTCTGTCTGACATTTTCACTCCTTTCAAGCCACATATTAATGATGCTGACCTTTTTAGTAATTTGATTTTGACAGTGACACAGCAGCAATAGTACTCAAAGGCTGACAGCCTGATGTGGGCAAGCCAGGGAAGTAATTACTGCTTTAAATCAAAGAAGAACTGTTTGTGCCTCTGTAGCAGGAAAATTCCATGTTAAGCAGGAACTCTTCCATCCTCTGAACCATATTGTATCCATCATCTTTCTGTGGGTTTACTTCCCAGGGCTCAGAAAAACTGTCTGCCTATTCGTGCCTCCAGACATAATAAGCATGTTTTTTGTTGTTTTTGTTGTTTGTTTGTTTGTTTGTTTTAAGACAGGGTCTTGCTCTGTTGCCCAGGCTAGAGTGCAGTGGCCCGATTACAGCTCACTGTAGCCTCGACCTCCTGGGTTCAGGTGATGTTCCCACCTCAGCCTCCTAGGTACCTGGGACTACAGGTACGCACCATCACACCTGGCTAATTTTTTTTGTAATTTTGAATAGATTGGGTTTTGCTATGTTGCCCAGGCTGGTCTTGAATTCCTGGACTCAAGTGAACACAGACCCTGGATATGTCAGACTAAGATCTCAGTATCCAATAGATAAATTCGCAATGAAATGAAGGGGCTTCTGAAAATGTATTTTCGCCACATAACCTTCAGGCCGTAGTTTTGGATAAGAAGGAAAAGGGCAAGTTAAAGAATATTTTTAACTTAAAAAGTGTAAGCAAACTCAGTTTGCAAAAGGCTAATTGGATTTTCTGCCTAGCCATTCCTTATTTCCCCATTGCATTGCACTTTTCCTGGAAGAATTAGATCAGGCTGGGCAATTTTGCTTTTGGTTTGTAACCAGATTCATTTCGTATCCCTCTTGGGTTTTAGCAGAGTTAGCTTTTAAACTATAGGAGGGAAAAACCACATTCTCACACTCAGAGCCAAGATTTCAAACTATTTTTCAAACACCGTTGACTTCTGTAATTATCAAAGTCACTTCTTCAGCACTGTGCTTGGACCATTCTAAACTGTCTAGTTTCTCATACCTACTGATGATATATCCAAAGGGCAGAGACTAAATGTGGACTTCTTGCTCCTATTTACTGAATTTCCTCTTTCATGGGAAATAACTCGTGCTTAGTCCCCATGAGTATAGGGCCATCGTTAACGTACACAGCACATTTGGAAAATGGCAAAATATCCCATCTTTGGCTAGATGTACAAATTACCTAGCAGAGGGTGATTTTGTGAGAAACAAAAGGGCCTCCTGCCTCTGAATAAATGCTGCCCTAATCTAGTGCTTTGGATTTGCATCATGAATACAGCAGAGGGAGTTAAGCTAATACTAGCTGCTGTAACAAACTAGCTCAAAATGACCAGTGGATTAAAACAACAAAAGTTCACCTCTAGTTCATGACAGTTGCTTATCAACCTCCAATAGGCAGATGGGAGAAGGCAGAGAATGGAGAGGCCAATCTGCTTCTTGATCTCTTTGGCCTAGAAATAACACGCTTTACTTCTGCTCATATTCCACTGACAAGAACCAGTCACATGGAGCTTTCTAGGTGACAGGGGATGGGGGGAGTTAGGAGGTATAGTTCATATCCTCCTGAGAAGTGAAGGCAGTCACTTCTCAGATACAAGGGAATTTCTGTGCCTGATGATTTAATAACATTCATTTTGAGCAAGTCAAAGTGTTCTTGTGGAGCCCCATTTTCACCAGGACACCGCAGAGCTGCTGATGTTCGATTTAGGAGGCTGAGCTCCAAATGCTTTTCATATGCTAACGGCTTCAGGCTATAAATTCATGTGAGCATGGACTTGGGAGTCAGCCAGAATTATATTTAAAATCTCACAAATTGCTTAGCCACTCATGGTCTCAGTTCTCTCATCTATACAATACAAAATAGAGATAATAAGAATCCCAGTTCAACATAATGAATTGAATGGCTTGTTTGTCTCTGCTCCTTTCTGAAGTCCCAGTAAAATAAATATGAAATGTAACAATGTTATAATCTTTAAACCCAATTGGACGGTGACAGCAAATAGAAATGTCAATAAATTTCAGCTGATAGATGGTGGACTCGTGAAAGAGAACTGATTTGATGTAATGAAGCAAATAAAACTTTACAATGTAGTGAGGGGGTGAAGAAAGCCAGCAACAAGCAAACTGATTTATACCACAGAACCCTATAAAGGCTCAGAAATTGGAGAAAGGAGGTATGTTTGAAGAAAAGAGTGTAAGACGGAACTGAAAACAAGATTAACTGCCACCATCCTGGGAGCTGGAGAGAGATGCAGTGCCACACAAAACATGGGCTTACAGAAAATCAGTGGATGGTATGGTAAAACCCTTATCTTTTTCTCCTGCTTGGTTCCCAGATTTTGAGAAGCCAGGATTACATGTGCTCTCTTCTGGAGAAACTTCTGGGCAAAAGAAAAGGCCTATACACATCATCATTGGGGTGTATTAGTTTCTTGCTGCTGCTGCAACAAATTCCCACAAACTTGGCAGCTTAGACCAACACAAATTATCTTACACTTATGCAGTTCAAACGTCCAAAATGGGCCTCATTAGACTAAAAGCAAGGTGTTGGCATTCTAGGGGATCTGGAGAAGCATGTTTACTTGTCTTTTCCAGCTTCTAGAAGCTTCCCACATTCCTTGATTTGTGGCTCTCTTCTTCCATCTTCAAAGTCAACAACATCAGACCAAGTCTTTTCCACACTGCCATCTGTCTGATTCTCTCTTCTAATTGCCTCTTCCACTTTTAGGTATCCTTGTGATAATACTGGGCAGCCCAGATAATCCAGGAAAATCTCCCTATTTTAAGGTCAACTGATTAGCAACCTTAGTTCCATCTACAACCTTAATTTCTTATTGCCATGTAACCTGATACAGTCACAGATTCTGGAGATTAGGACATAGCTATCTTTGGGGGACATTTGATCTCATCTCACAAAAATGCATTTGTGTCCTAGTCTGATCGCCTTGTGAGGCCCACTGGCTGCCAAGCTGTGCCCATGCAGAGAGAGCTCCCAAATGGCTTTTTAGAGCCTCTCCCTTATACATGAACTCACAGTCAAGGACCATCAGACATTAGGATACCTCTCAGAGGTAAGGGAAACACATACAAGCACACACAAACACACATCCATGCACTGCACTGCACTACACCACACCCACCCACACTTATACTCAGATCCCTTTCACCTCTCACCCACAAGGCCCACAAGGGTGAGAGGAATGTGAGTATAAGCGTGGGTGGGTGTGGTTGTAGTGCAATGCATGGATAAAGGCTCACCCCCTGACCTTTTATAGGGTTCTGTGGTATAGATCAGTTTGCTTGTTGTTGTGAACTAGTTTTTAGCTTAACAACCTCTGCTGTATTTATGATTATGGCATCCCTGACTGCAGATAGAGCAAGGATTTTCATCAGGCACGTGGAGCAATTCCAGAATGAATAGGGCTTGCTGTATATTCTCCCTCTTTTCCCCTAGAGTGACAACAGAAGGAAGGCTAGAACAACTTATCAAAAAGCAGATGAAGCTGGAGCCTATTGCCCTTGGCATCTGGGTCCTATGGTCCCAGGCCAAGTAGAAGATATGAAAGAAATGTTCCGGCCATGTGTGAAGAGATTAGAGTGTGAGGTAGAGTTGGAATACCCTGGTCTACTAGGCTGCAGACAAATGGGCCAGGTCAGAGAAAGCTGTTGGGTTGTCGGGTAACATGAGAGGCTGGGGACATGGCCACATATGCTACATGGTTTCACCCTGTATCTCTCCCATTCTTCGCCTTCTCTTTTCCTTCCTTAATCCTGCTATTTCTTTCTTCCCTCTCTATAACCATTCCGCCCTTTGGAAAAGGGGGGAACCTTTGGATTTTGTCCAAATCTCATATGGAATTATAATTCCCAGTGTGGGAGGTAGGGTCTGGTGGGAGGTGATTGGATTGTGGGGGCAGATTTCCCCCTTTGGTGCTGTTCTTGTGATGGAGTTCTCATGAGATCTGATTGTTTAAAAGCATGTGGCACCTTCCTCCTACTCCAGCCTAATGTCCCTTTTGCCTTCCACCATGGTTATAAAGTTTCCTGAGGCCTCCCCAGAAGCTGAGCAGATGCCAGCATCATGCTCCCTGTACAGTCTGTGGAACGTGAGCCAATTAAACCTCTTTTCTTTATAAATTACTCAATCTCAGACATTTCTTTACAGCAGTGAGATAATAGACTAATACACTTCTCCTCTTTTTTTTTCCTTCAGTGTCCCTGCATGTCTTTCTGTCTCTCTACCTCTCCATATTATGACAATATCCTCTTAGTTTATACATAAATATGTACGAGAGTCAATGTACTTTTCTCCTCATTTTCCTGAAAATCAGTTTGATAGATTATTGCCATTTCTGGCATGTTATATCCCCTGCCTCCCCAAGATTTCTAGGAATATATGAAATAGGAAACGTAAGAAATTGCTTTTCTTTCATAATAGCCTTTCATCAGGTATTCTCTGAGGAAGTGTGCTAATGGAAGAGGTAGAAGTTTTATTGTCTCTAATCAATAAACCTAATTAAAACATTCCAAGTGCTCCTCAGTTTTTCCCTGAGTTAGTGGAATCTCATGGTTGCAGTCATTTTTGGAGTGATGATGGCATCAACGAATGCTAAATGCTGGAGGAGAGCTTGGGGTTAGCTCAGAACATTCTGGCCCTTATTCTAGTGATTAGCCTCCTAACGCCCTGCCAAGAGGAAAGCTTTGAAGTTCTAGTTCCCAAGCTGAGCATTCACTAGAACCATCAGAAACATCCCAACAGGCAAGAGATAAAGGATCATGAGTTATGATTTCTCTCAAAAATGAAAGGAAGAAAATTGGATTATTCTCAAATATGTAATTAGATTTAGATTTCTACATGATCATGTCCAAATTGATATAAAAGAAAAAAAATTTTGCTTCAAAACATCTTAAAACTCTCTAACATTAAGTTCTTATATACTTAACTTGTTTCATAAGGTGTAACTAATGTTTAATTTTGTATTGAAATAATACATATACGTAGCCTTAAAATTAAAACAGTACTACGAGGGTTATAATGAAAAACAGCAGCTCCACATTTCCCCAGTTCTGATTTCTACTCCTATATGTAAACATTCCATTCTTTTAGCTGTTTCTTCTGTTATTTATCTTCATCTTGCTAGATGAATACTTATACTGCCATTTCTTGATTTTCCAATTTTAGACACTTGATTTCCTACAATATAAAATAGGGATTTAGACCTCTTGCTCCATGTCCCCTTTGCACACTTACAGATTTATTCCAAATACGTTGACATCATAAATTTTGGTTATATCAATATTCAGGACTCACGTTGTTATGTTTATATTAATAGACATCACAGCTGGGCCGCTGGCAGTGGTGTCATTGCATTATATTTCTCATCAAGCTTTTCTATTTCAATGAGATTAATCATTGCTTTTATGATGATTTGCTTAGTTTTTGGTGTCCTTTCACTTCCAAATTCTCTACCAGATCTGTAAGATTCCTCTCATTATAGTCAGGTTTATCACAAACTGTATGCATTATTTTTATTTTTTCTTAAAGACATCCCCCCTGAAGGCTTCCATTCTCTTGCTCCTAGCTGCACTGGTTGTTCAATAGACTGTGAAACAACTGGTTATTTGGGGGCCTTCTCTTCTTCATTATTCTAAAAATGCCTTTTTTCTATTTAACTCTTGCCTCTTGGATTCTAAATCCCTATCCTTCCTTTTTTTTTGCATATTTCCCTTTTTAAAAACATGGAAAACATCCTTTAGCAACTTTCTAAGAAGGGCATAAGGGGGTTAAACATTTTAAGGCTGCCTATAAATGAAAATCTTTTTATATTCCCATAATTGAGTGGTCGTTTATATGGGCCCTGAAGTAAGGGTTAGAATTTACATTTTACTCGGTATTTAAAAGGCGTTTCTCTATTATCTTCTGTAGTCTAGCTTTGTTGTTGATAAATTCAGTACCATTCTGATTTCAAGTCGTTTGTGACCTGGTTTTTGTTTGTTTTCCTATCTGAAGAAGCAATGAGAATGTCTTGACAGTGTTCTGAAATTCTCTAATGATATGCTTTGATGTGAGTCATTTTTCATTTATAATAAAGGGCCCTTAGTAGACCTTTCAGTTTCAGGCTTACGTCTTCAGTTCTGAAAGTTTTCTTATAACATTTCTTTGATAATCTTCACACTTCCACCATGCCCCACCCCCACACTTTCCTGGTCTTCAATTCCTGGATCTTCTGATGATTCTTTAATCATCTTATTTTAGAGATATTTCCTTAACTTTATCTTCCAACCTATGTATTGACATTTTTGTAAATTTCTGCTGTGTTTAATTCTCCAAGATATTTCTCTTTCTCTCAATGTTTCCTTATTATGGCACTCTGTTTTTGTTTTATGACAATAAAATCTTGGCTACTTAAATAAATTAATTTTAGGTTTTCAAAGTTCATTTTCTGCCAGCCAGCAATGTCTCTACTTTTTTTATTTTATTTTATTTTATTTTTTTGAGACAGAGTTTCGCTCTGTCGCCCAGGCTGGAGTGCAGTGGCGCGATCTCGGCTCACTGCAAGCTCCGCCTCCTGGGTTCACGCCATTCTCCAGCCTCAGCCTCCCTAGTAGCTGGGAATACAGGCACCCGCCACTACACCTGGCTAATTTTTTGTATTTTCAGTAGAGACGGTGTTTCACCGTGTTAGCCAGGATGGTCTCTATCTCCTGACCTCATGATTCGCCCGCCTCGGCTTCCCCATTTCTTATGAGTTTCCCTTCCTTCTTTGCCCTTTTCTTTCTTTTTCTTCCTTTCTCTTCTTTCTTCCTTCCTTCTGTTTATTGTTGTGAGAATAATTAACATGAGATTTGCCCTCTTAATGACTTTTTAAAAGTGGATAATAAAGTATTATTATCTATAGGCACACTGTTATACAGCAGATCACTACAACTTATTCATCTTGTATAACTGAAAGTTTATACCCCTTGAATATCCACTCTCCATTCCCACTCCCCTCAGCCCCTGGCAACCGCCATTCTACTCACTGCTTCTTTGAATTTGACTATTTTAGATACCTCATATGAGTAGAATCATGCAGTATTTGTCTCTCTGTGACTGGCTTATTTCATTTAACATAATGTCCTCAGGTTCATCCATGTGGTCACTTATGACAGAATTTTTGTTTTTTTTAGAAGAAGTTTCCCTCTCGTTGCCCAGGCTGGAGTGCAATGGCGTGATCCCAGCTCACCGCAACCTCTGCCTCCCAGGTTCAAGCAAGTCTCCTGCCTCAGCCTCCCAAGTAGCTAGGATTACAGGCATGCACCACCATGCCCAGCTAATTTTGTATTTTTTTAGTAGAGACAGGATTTCTCCATGTTGGTCAGGCTGGTCTCAAACTCCCAACCTCAGGTGATCAGCCCACCTCGGCCCCGCAAAATGCTGGGATTACAGGCATAAGCCACTATGCCTGGCCAGAATTTTCCTTTTTTTCTGACAATAAGATTCACAGATATATGGATATGGTGTAAATATTTATTACGTCTTCTTTATCCTTTTATCAAATGATGGACATTAAGCTTGTTTCCACAGCTCAGCTATTATAAATAATGCTGCAAAGAACATGGGAGTGAAAATATCTCTTTGAGATTCTAATTTCAATTCTTTTGGATAAATAACCAGAAGTGGGATGCTGGATTATATACTAGTCCTATATTTGATTTTAATTTTTGAATGCTTGGAGAAACTTTCATACTGCTTTTCATAGTGGCAGCAGCATTTTACATTTACACTAGCAGTACATAAAGATTCTAATTTCTCTACATCCTTGCCAACTCTTTCTTTTCTTTTTCTTTCTTTCTTTCTCTTTCTTTCTTTCTTTTCTTTTTTCTTTCTCTTTCTCTTTCTCTCTCTCTCCTCCCTCCCTCCCTTCTTTCCCTCCTTCCTTCCCTCCTTCCGTCCTTCCTTTTTTCTTTCTCTCTTTGTCTCTCTCTCTTTCTTTCTTTCTTTCTTTTCCTTTTCGTAATAGCCATCCTAACACATGTGAGGTGGTTTCTCATTGTCGTTTTCATTTGTATTTCCCTGATGATTACTGATGTTAAGTATCTATTCATACACTTGGCCATTTGTGTATCTTCTGTGGAGAAATTCAAATCCTACTCAAGTCCTTTGCCCATTTTTATATCAGGTTATTTGGTTTTTTGTTTTGTGTTTCCTATTTAGCTATAGAAGTTCCTTATATATTTTAGCTATTGACCCCTTATCAAATACATCGTTTGCCAAAAATTTCTCCCATGAGTTATTTTTTCTTTTTATCTCTTATTTTTCTTCTCATTCTTGAAATGCTATTTGTCTGTCAACTCATAATTAAATTGGAGCCACATAATTAAATTCAACTTAGGTTGAATGGGGGTGTAAGTGTGACTGTCTGCACTTTGGGTATTGGGTTTGCAGTAGGTTGTACTGTTCAACTTGTGGGCTTTTACTTCATTTCTTTATGATTCAGTATAGGGCTTTGCCCTTACCCTGAGGTAAGCGGGGTACCCCCAAATCCTGAGTTCCTCTACTCTAACCTCTCTTTAGAGGAAATCTCTATCATTTTCCAGAGTGGGAGAATGAGTAGATGAGGATGAGTAGATGAGTAGAGAATCTGCAATTCTAAGCTCCTTATGCAAATTTATAATCTTTTTTTCAGCCTTCCAGACCATCTGCACCCTTTACATCCCCCTCAAAAAAACAACCTATAATTTCTAAGTCTTTCTAAGAATCTGACCTGTGGCTTGACTTGGCTTCCCTTTTTCTTGGCTTTCCCCCTACATGCTTAGGGCTCAGCTTTCTATTTGGTCAGTTACTACTGGTGCTTTTGTTTTTCATTTTCCAAAATTTTGTCATTGCTTATAGACTATTGTTTCTCTCTATCTTCCTTTTTCCTTATACATTTATAAAATCCTTTACTATAACTTTAGTATGCTTCCAAAAGGAAGTGTTCTAGTGTTCAGCCCACCACACTTAATACAGTCATTTTATTTAAAGTTATGATGTAATAGAAATAAACTGAACTTGCAATGAGAGTATAAGATTGGATTCTATTGCATCTTAGCTTACATGACTATGGTCAAGTAAATTAATCTGCTGAGGCATCTCATTTTTTGTCCTTAAACGGGGAAGCTTCATTACACCTGTATACCTGTGAAGTATAAAATCCTAAACACGGCAGGTTTCTGTAAGCCTTTGTGAGGGTAGGTATTGGTAGTCCTACTCAACAGTGTGTCCAGTGCCCAGCACAGTGACTGATGCATACTAAGTATCCATTGTTGTTATTAAATGTGAAATCACTTTGTGAAGTATAAAATACTGAACATTTATAAGGCATTACCAATGGGTATTATGGGAAGGCAATACTGAAAAGACTTAATCGAGAGTTTACTATATGCTAGGCACTGTTCTAAATGTGTTATAACATTCATGCTCTCATTTATTTCTTATACAAACATTCTGAGATAAGAACCAGTGTTATTCCCATTTTATATATTAAAAAAACGAGGAACTAGTGGTTAAGTGACTTGCCAAGGGCCATGTAAACAAGTAGAACTAGGCTATGATGCCTGGTAGACTGGCTTTAGCAGTCAGGTTGGTATTTACTACATTGCAGGCTCCATGACAGGAGACCAAAATATTAGAAGGAAAATTCCAGAGACTTAATTTATAGTTGGGTAAGACCAAAAATATAACTGGAAGATAATCAGCAAGCAGCATATTAAAAAGTGCAAAGTGTATCGCTTATTTAAATAATTGTTGTGGGAATAAAAACACAAAAGGAAATAGACAATTAATCCAAAAACGCCTCCTGGGATCAGTAAATTTTTAAGCCAAAAAAAAAAAAAAATGCCTGTAGAAACTCCAACTAAGGTTCAACTATAGTAATTTAGGGACATTTAAAATGTTAATACAAATTATTCATAGCCCACCCTGTCCCCAATTTTCATGCCTTAGTCAAACCAAGTTATGGATGATAATGCAATAGTCTCCAAAAAGGTCCAGAATTCAGCCCTGCAATCTTTCCTTCCTTCCTTCCATGCATCCACCCACCCATCCATCCATCCATCCATCCAATCATCTGTTTATTACCCTAGGCTCTCAGGCACAAAGTTGAATACATCATAGTCCCTTTCCATAGAGACTTTGTAGACTAACGGGAGAGGCAGACACCTAACTTATGCCATAGGTATAATAATATAAGATAGACATCAGGAATTATAGAAGGAAGAAGAAGGGGCTCTTGAGAGTAAGGAACGGCTTCATTGAAGGAAGTGATGTCCAAATTAAGTATTAAAGGATGAACTAAGATTAGACAAGCAGAAGAGAGGAAAAGAGAAGGGGTAGTAAAGAAATTATAGATCTGCATTGCTGAAGCAAAAAGTTTAATCCCTGAGAACTGAGGCTATAGAAGTCAGCAAGTACCCATTAAGGAAGGGCATTTATGGCTGGTTGTGGAGCTCAAATGTCACGCAGTGTTGGAAGGAAGCCACTGAAGGCTTTTCATTAATGAAAGATACTCCCAAACCCCATACTGCCAGGCCTAGTACCTAACATCTCACCCTTGTATGACAGTGGGAGCTATCCTTCAGGCAGCCAAGAGTTGGACATCCTTTCTATAATGGCATTTTTCATTCAAATTACTAGTTCATGGGCCTTCAACTCGCCCAAGACAGACAAAGGCAGTTGACATCCTAAACCTACCCCTTTAACGTTGCTTCATGGAACTTCTTGTTTCAGCCCAATGAATCAATGGACAATGAAGCATATCTCCAAGCTCACTGCAATACCTGCATGAATGCCATTGTTCTTACAAGAATAGCAGAACAATCCATCACATCTTATATTCCCTGTTGACCCTCATGATTTTCTCTTTATTCATGCAAATTTTAACAGTTGACTGAGTAACAAACGTAAAAAACTAATTTGTTCTAAGGAACTGATACTTAATAATGTCTTACAATATTAACTTCACCAAAAATTGTTTGCATATTTTCTGGGATCTTCAATCCCCAACCCAAAGAAATCCTTAAGGTGAGAATATCAACAAATTGTCAGACCAATGGATAAGGTATCTGTGGTTAGACTTGCCATTACACATTCCTCCAGTCTTACTATCTGTGTGGACACTCCCATACTCTTTTTTTCTTTTCTTTTTTTTTTTTTTTTTTTTGTCTTTTCTTTTTTTTGAGACAGGCTCTTGCTCTGTCACTCAGGCTGGAGTGTAGTGGTGCAATCATGGCTCACTGCAGCCTCCACCTCCTAGGCTCAAGTGACCCTCCCACCTCAGCCTTCTGAGCAGCTGGGACCACAGCCATGCACAGTTATGCCTGGATAATTTTTTTTTTTTTTTGAAGAGGTGGGATCTCACTATGTTGCTCAGGCTGGTCTTAAACTCCTGGCTTCAAGTGATCCTATCATCTCAGCCTCCCAAAATGTTGCAATTACAAGGGTGAGCCACTGTCCCTGGCCTCATCTTATTTTCAGAGTCAGAGCAGCTGAATCTATTCCATTAGGATACCTGGACCATTTCTGTGTAGGCTAAGAGCAGGGATCTTCCATGGGGAAGATACTGACTTTCTGAAGAGGGCTGCTTTCAACCCAGATCCTGGCTCCACTAAATTGACTGTATCCATGAAAGTGTTTCCACAACCATGGATTGCCTTGCAAACATATGCTGCCATTGACATACCAGGATATGAGAAGATTATATTCATGGCTAGGTTCATACTCTGATCTTCTGATGTGATCCTTCATTGCTCAAAGGGACCATGAATGATTTCAGAGGATGTGTGCTTGTCCTTGATGGAAGTGGGCCGGAAGTTCAGTTAGAAAGATAAGGTATCAAGTAAATCTGAAGAGGAGGAAAAATGAAAGGAGTTCAGGTCTCTGATGATTAAACAGTTAGGGTTAGGACAGTAAAAGTACTTCCTAGTTAATTGGTGCACACACTGACACCAATTTACAGAATAATTTTTGTCAATCTGCTAAACATTTCCATCTGAAGCTTCTTAATTTTTTAAATCTAAAAATGACTTGGCAGCCAAAGTGAATATATCCTAAGTCAGTGTGGTGAATATGATTTTCATTTCACATCAGATCTAAAAGAAGCAATTTAAAATAGATTTAAATAGCTTAAAATTACATTGAGACATTCTCTCCATATATGTATGTATGGCATGCCTATAGAAATTTTTTTCCTTCAACTTTTAAGTTCCAGGGTACCTGTGCAGGATTTGCAGGCTTGTTACATAGGTAAATGTGTGCTATGGTGGTTTGCTGCACAGATCAACCCATCACCTAGGTATTAAACCCAGCATCCATTAGTTATTCTTCCTGATGTTCTCTCTCCCCCTGCACGCCCCTCCTCGACAGGCCTCAGTGTGTTTTGTTCCTCTCCATGTGTCCATGTGTTCTCATTGTTCAGCTCCCACTTATAAGTGAGAACATGTGGTGTTTCATTTTTTATTCCTGTGTTAGTTTGCTGAGGACAACGGCTTCTATCTCCATCCATGTCCCTGCAAAGGACATGATCTTGTTCTTTTTTATGGCTACATAGTATTCCATGGTGTATATGTACCACATTTTCTTTATCCAGTCTACCATTGATGGACATTTAGGTTGATTCCATGCCTTTGCTATTGTGAAGAGTGTTGCAATGAACATAGGCATGCATGTGTCTTTATGATAGAATGATTTATATTCCTTTGGGTATATACCCAGTAATGGGATTGCTGGGTCAAATGGTATTTCTGCTTCTAGATCTTTGAGGAATCTCCACACTATCTTCTACAATGGTTGAACTATTTTACATTCCCACCAACAGTGTGAAAGCATTTCTATCCCTCTGTATCCTTGCCAGCATCTATTGTTTCTTGACTTTTTAATAATCACCATTCTGACTGGCATGAGATGGTATCTCATTGTGGTTTTGATCTGCATTTCTCCAGTGATCAGTGATGTCGAACTTTTTAAAATTTGTTTGTTGGCCATATAAATGTATTCCTTTGAGGAGTGTCTGTTCAGGTCCTTTGACCACTTTTTAATGGAGTTCTTCATTTTTTTCTTGTAAATTTGTTTAAGCTCCTTGTAGATTCTGGATATTAGACCTTTGTCAGATGGATAGATTGCAAAACTTTTCTCCCATGCTGTAGGTTGTCTGTTCGCTCTGATTATAGTTTCTTTTGCAGTGCAGAAGCTCTTTAGTTTAATTAGATCCCATTTGTCAATTTTTGCTTCTGTTGCAATTGCTTTTGACATTTTTGTCAAGAAATTTTTGCCTGTGCCTATATCCTGAATGGTATTGCCTAGATTTTCTTCTAGGATTTTTATAGTTTTGGGTTTTATGTTTAATTCTTTAATCCATCTTGAGTTAATTTTTGTATAAGGTGTAAGGATGGGGTCCAGTTTCAATTTTCTGTATATGGGTAGCCAGTTCTCCCAGCACCATTTATTAAATAGGGATTCCTTTCCCTATTGCTTGTTTTTGTCACATGTGTCGAAGATCAGATGGTTGTAGGTGTGTGGTCTTATTTCTGAATTCTCTATTCTGTTTCCTTGGTCTATGTGTCTGTTTTTGTACCCGTATCATGCTGTTTTTGGTTACTGTACTCTTGTAGTATAGTTTGAAGTCAGGTACCATGATGCCTCCAGCTTTGTTCTTTTGGCTTAGGATTGTCTTGCCTATTGGGCTCTTTTGTGGTTCCATCTAAATTTTAAAGTAGTTTCTTTTCTAATTCTGTGAAGAATATCAGTGGTAGTTTGATGAGAATAGCACTGAATCTATAAATTACTTTGGGCGGTATGGCCATTTTCACAATATTGATTCTTTATCCATGAGCATGGAATGTTTTTCCATATGTTTGTGTCATCTCTGATTTCTTGGAGCAGTGGTTTGTAGTGTTCCTTGAAGAGGACCCTCACTTCTCTTGTTAGCTGTATTCCTAGGTATTTTATTCTCTTTGTAGCAATTGTGAATGGGAGTTCATTCATGATTTGCTTGCCTATAGAATTTTATTTTATTAATTAATTAATTAATTAATTAATTTGAGACAGAGTCTTGCCCAGGCTGGAGTACGATGGCTCGATCTTGGTTCACTGCAACCTCCGACTCCTGGGTTCCAGCGATTTTCCTGCCTCAGCCTCCCAAGTAGCGAGGAGTAGAGACACCTATCACCATACCTGGCTAATTTTTTGTATTTTTAGTAGAGATGGGGTTTCACTATGTTGGCCAGGCAGGTCTTGAACTCCTGACCTGGTGATCCACCCACCTCAGCCTCCCAAAGTGCTAGGATTACAGGCGTGAGCCACTGCACCTAGCCGAGATCTGATGTTTTTATAAGGGGCTTTTCCCCCTTTTGCTCAGCACTTGTCCTTGCTGCTGCCATGTAAGAAGGATGTGTTTGCTTCCCTGTCTGCCAAGTTTCCTGAGGCCTTCCCAGCCATGCTGAACTGTGAGTCAATTAAACTACCTTCTTTTATAAATTATCCAGGCTCAGGTCTGTCTTTATTAGCAGCATGAGGAATAATATAGTGTTTTAAATTATAAAATGCATAATCCTTACTGCAAATACTAAATGCATGTATTTTAATTTGCATTGAACACATGAGGAGAGCAAGGCTCTGAGAAGTTAAGTAACTTGCCCAACATCACATAGCTTGTAAGTGGCAGAACTGGGAGTACAGGTGGGGCGAGTGGATTTATCAAAACTAGGGCTGTTTGACTCCATGGCCCAGGCTCTTATAAGCTCACACATTGATGTCCTTTCTTCTGCAAGCCCACTAAGGTGCAATTTTACATTTTAAAGGCTGTGACAGAAGACCAATTCCACTATACATTTGTTTATCCATTTCTTTAATACTGTTTTTTTTTTTGTTTTTCTGTCATTTACATCCTTCTCTTATCCTGCCACATGGCTGCTCAAACCTATCAGTTTGAGGCCCACCCTCTGTCCTGCATATTCAAGGCCATCTTGAATCTTGGAGATTTTTCTGGAAAGATCTGCTTACTGATCTTCCTTCACAATATTATAGAACAAGGAAATATATCAGTGTTCTTGATCCCAGTCCTACCTTATCATCCTCTAGTTGTCATCAACTCTTTAGATAAAAATTAAGCTGTCTGGCTTTCCTGTGGCTTCTTGAAGCCCCATGTTCTTTTATTTTGTGTAAGGATAGAAGGGATAATAGCTCACCACCCAGTAAAAATGGTGGAGGGAAACATAAGAAAAATATTTCAAAATGTTGCTTAGCAGGTAGCATGGGTTGAATTGTGCTTGTCGAAAAAAATATGATTGGAATTCTAACCTCTGTTGCCTCAGCATGTGACCTTATTTGGAGACACAGTCTTTACAGAGATAATCATATTGAAATAAGGTCACTATGTTAAGCCTTAATCCAATATGACTCGTGTCCTTATAAAAGGGAGAAACTTGGAAATGGAGACAGACACACACAGAAGGAAGACAATGTGACAAGACAGGGAGAAGACGGCAATCTGCAAGTGAAGGACATTGACCTGGAATATATCCTTCCCTCATGGGTATCAGAAGGAAGCCTGCCAACACCTTGATTTTGGACTTCCAGCCTCCAGGATTGAAATGATAAATTTCTGTTGTTTAAGCCCCCGAGCCTGTGGTACTTTGTTGTGGCAGGCCTAGGTAGCTGGCAAGCAGGTGAGTATAAGGGAAGACATACTCCAGGAAAGCAGCCCAATGGTACTCTGCATAGGAAACATAAAGACAGGATGTGAGTCTCCAGGGAGCCACCCACAGAGCCCTACGAGCAACGGAGCTCTCTCAGGATCACTGAAGGAAAAGGATCCTTGTTTGCGCTGCCAGCATCTCATTCTACACCCAGGCTCTGGGGCGCTATTCTCTCTGTTGCCATGCCGAATGAGAAGTCACAAATTCAAGACCATCTTTTAGCTTCTTGATCCAGCCCTTACCATGAGCACCCTTGCCTCCTTAGAGCTTCCATTCTAAGGTGGATAGGTCATAGCATTCTTTGTTTCACTGATTTCAAGGTTACGGTCTATTTCTATCAATAGAAAAACCTCTATATAGTATGTGGAAATGTTCACTACAGTGTGTTGGGGCAAATTCAGCAAGTAATGTTTTGGATCTTTGTTATGCACGAAAAGATGACACCTCTCAGTGTCTGAAGTAGTAAATGCACTTCTTTCATCACTTGTGATTGCATGCGTGCGTGCATACACACACACACACACACACACACACACAAACATACACACTACTTTCTTTGATTCTTCCTAGCGCATTTCCATTCTCCCCATCACCTGCTATACCACTGCAGGTATTCCTGTGGGAGCCCAGATGTCAGACTTCAGACTGTCTATTTCATCATCAATGATGAAATCATCACTTACTCACTTCTGGCTGTCTGAACAAAGGGAATAGACAAAATATCTTCTTTGTCTTTGTGTCTACAAAGCTCAGAAACAAGCAAGGGTGTAGGGCATCTTCATAGAGGTCATGACTGAGGCTTTCTAGGAGCCCCTTAGCAGCTGGGTACCTTGCTTCAAGGAGATGGAGAATTATTTATGGTCTGATGATATTCACACACACACTGACTATGAACAGTGTTTCACAGCTGTGTTTAGAAGTTCTCAAGGAAATATATATTTGGAATATTTTTTGCCTGAAAAAAGAATAGTGGAAGGCAGGCAGGTGAAGGTCAGCAAGTGTCACCACAACAACTAGAACCTAGAAGATGACAGTGGTGGCTTATTTTCTACCTCCTCTCTTTCCCCATAAATACAGAAATCATGACCACTGGGGCCTTGACTGAGTGGAGAGCAAAAGTAACAAGTACAACTTTTCCAAGCTAATTTGGCATTTATGCTTATCTAGAGAGAGATCGTTTTGTTTTCAATTCTTTGTGCTCAGTTACTGTTGGGGGAAGGTATAAAATTACAGGGACACTCACAGGAAGACAGCATGGTATAGACAAAGTAAAAAAAGTGGGAGGACATCATAGAACTGGAGTATGAATAGTGACTCTCTCTCACCTCAGTAGATTCTGTGAACTTGGGCACCTTCCATACCTCATGTTTTGGGGAGAGGATCAAATAAGAGACTCTATATTGATAGACTGCTAAGTTGTAGAAATGTATCTTTCATTCCTCTTCTCTTCCCAGGTCTCCCCGGCACCCTGCCACTGAGCACACTAGCATGATAAGTCTGAGCATCTGAATGAAAGGAAAGTGTTCTTTAAAACAAATTATCAAATTTGTCTTAAGAAGACAATTTAGAAAAGTTCTAAATTTCTTTCTGGCTGACTGAAGCGCAATGCCCAACAGCATTCCTGTTCTCCTTCCATACTTTCTTTTCCTCTGTAATACTTCTGCCCTTATAATATATGACATAGGACTTCTTTATTTTCATTATTTGTCTTTACAAAACTAGGTTAAATCTCATGGGAACAGGTTTTGTTGTTGTTTGTTTCTTTGTTTTTCCAGATGCCCTTTTGCAAGGCCTGAGGTTCTCAAACTCGTCATCTGCTTCTAACCGCATTGGCTAGGCCCAAGTTTCCTCCGTTTTGGTATCGCTCTACCTTTATCTCTCTCCAAAAAATGAAACAAAACAAAATAAAACAAAAATCTAATAAAAATAAACACACACCATGATCCAAATATCTTATACGACATTATCTCTGAGCTTTGCTAGGTAATTAACTTATTAATATAATCAAGATACTATTCATATAATTTGTAAGTAATAATATAATAAAGCAGTAATTATATAAATAAGTAAATTGACTTATTTGATTCCTTATTTGTATATGTTTGATGTACTATTGTATTATGTTCATGTTCATTGGTATTATTGAATTTTTTGTACCAACACTTTTCCATTTTTAGTAACTATTGCCAATGACCCTAAGCCAATTTGTGGAAACCTCAAGGTCTGAGGCAGGTGGATGTTTTCTGAGCAATGGAAGTGAGTGAGCGTTACACAAGTGAATGGAAGTGAGTGAGTTATACTTTGTGAGGAGGAGATGTGGTATCCAGTGAAGCAGGGCTTATGGTAAGAGCTGTCCCCATTGGACACAGGTGGCTCCTGAGGCTGCAGACTCATACAATGACCTGTATCAATTTTGCTCTGACAACAGGCATGCAGGGAGCCCTGTCTGAGGGGCTTTGAAAGGCATTGAAAACCTCCCTGCATTGGTGGTTTTCAAGTGAGAATATGACAGGATACCCAGGAACTTTGGACTTGGAGTTGCAGGGTCTATGTTTGAGTCCTGATTCTGCCATGTATGGTTGGATGGGTATCTATGTCTTCATGGGTATAAAGGAACTAATACCACCTCCCAGGATTTTTATGAGGATTAAACTCTAGTGAAAATGTGAAAATGCCTAACATTGAAACTAGCTCTATGGCAGCTGATCAATACACATTAGTCCTAACTGGATCCCATTCCTTTAATTGCCTTACTTTTCAAAGCTGTGAAGCCACATAATGCACTAGTTTTGAAACTGGGAAACCTTCACCCTAGGAAGGACAGCTCTCAATTCATCAGAGCCAACACTTAAAATTGGGCTCTCAAACTCTTATATGTCTAATGTTCAGGTGGATAAAGAGAAGAAATCAACTTGCTTCTCTTGACAAAGACAAACATGAACAGTGAGTTTTATGTCTATAAACAAATATGCAGAGAAATACACACAAAAAATGATATGTCTTAAGTTGAAGGAAAAATCAAATGGGCCTTAAGTTGACACACTGATGTTATTAAGAAGGAAAAAGGATATGGACATATGATGAAGAATATGAAAAGGGATTTCTAGGTAGACGGTGATAAACCAGCAAAACCAAAGGGGAAAATCAGTGAGATGATCTTGATTCTGCAGAGTTCTATTCAGTCACCATGTTCCTGAATATATAGGGTATAAATTGAATCAATGACATGAAGAAAGTTCTCTGTTTTTAAAAGAATAGCTTTAGGAAAGTTAGGTATAAAGCAAATATTCTTCTTTCAGCTGGGTTATTTGTTTGGCACATAATGATTTTTCATATTAAATGTCTTTTAAAAGCAGGGTAACCCTATAAGCACTATTTCTGTATCTGTAAACCCAAAAGAGGCATACACCAGAATGTTAAAACACGGTGCCATAATATTTTACATGAGTTTATTTAAAGAAGAGTTTTCTAAATTATGACTATTTGGCAGAACTAGCTATTATTTTACAAATGCAGTAAATTGACTACTACGAATTATTATAAAGTTAAGTTTTGAAAAAGCTAATTCATCCTGCAGTTATAATAATTTAAGAAACAAAAGTCAGAGTATCTCAAAGAAGGTTAAAAGACTCCAGATATCAGTTCAGAGAGAAGATGGAGGGTGATTTAATCATGCTTCCTTTGCATATATATACAGGGTTGCAAAGAATCTTCATTCATTCTGAATCTTCTCAGAACAAGATGACAACTAGGTATAAACTATGTTCTGAGGACTTGATTAGATGTAAGCAAGCTCTCCCTCCCTGTTTGGGTGTTTGGGCATTGATACACATCTGCAAGAGAGGTACCAAGGAGCACTTCCGGGGGACCCAGGTGAATAAGGCAGGCACCCAGATGGAGCCTACTTATTCTTGGGATTCTAGAAGCTCCTTCTGAATCCAGCAATCTCTGACTATGCCTCGTGTGATGGAAGACCCTATGCAGCATGAAGAAGCACTAGGGCATGAAGATGCTTGGTCTATAACTGGGTCTGGAGAGCTGAATGCAAAAATATGAGTAATAACTTCATTGCAGCTCTTTCTTAGTGGTTCCCCCCAGTAGTCTGCCCATCATTCCCCTGGAGCAGACACATCTCCAACTGTGTAGTCATGACACTTTGGATTGCAGCACTCACTGCAAAGTATGGTTATTACTTGCTTTTAGCTCTTCCTAAAATCTGTGCATTGCTTATATTTCTCAAGAGGTAAGCAATAAGCAAGCCTGCAGAAAGTGTTTGAATGAATAAGTGAATGTGTGAATGAGTGACTGTGACCTCTCAAGGAGGCTTGTGTTCTCTCTGTAGTGTCTCTAAGTTCTGGATCCATCTTTCTACCCCATCCCTCTTTTTTTAAATCAAAATATACTATTCTTACTCTCTCTCCTTACCTCTTTTGTATAGGAATTTGCACCTCCCTGGTGGTGGAAAGTAATATAAGGAAGAATTGTACCTAAATATGTTACCTCTCGAATGCCATTTCCATTTTAACTAGAGGCTTCTGAGGTTATAAAAGAGTAAGTCAGGAGAGCAAATCCCTAGTAACTGAAGAGAAATCATTTATGGATCCCCCAAGTAAAACATTTAGGGAAAAAGATTGTTTAGTCAGTGCACTGGGGTAGCTCTTTCTATAACACTGAATGTTGGAAAACATCTCTAACAATTAGAATCATGAAGACAAGTCAGGCTGATAGATGTATTGAATATTTTCTATTTAAAGTCCCACTTTTATAGGATAAGGGGTTTAAATGAAGCCTTTGGTTATAGGTTTCATTATTCATTCATCCAGCAAATACGATAACCTGTTATGTGGCAGGAACTGCTCTAAGCTCTTAGGATACATGAGGGAACAACACAGACAATGACCTTTGCCCTCATGGGGCTTACATTATAGCTAGGGAACCAGACATTAGCCAATACACATACAAATAAATAAATATATTCTGCTTTACATAAGATAAATAATGGAATGAGGCAAAGGAACTTGAAAGTACAGAGGGTCAGTGGAAGCGTAGCTGGGAGGTTATAGTAGTAATGAGGTGGCCAAATCAGATTTTATTGAGAAGGTGAGATAAGGGAGAAAGCCAAATAGGTATTCAGGAAGGAAGATTCCAGCAGAGAGAAAAGCTAGCACAAAGTCCCTAAAAAGAGAGCATGTGTGCCTGGCATTTTTGAGGAAAGCAAGGAGGTCAGAGTTGTTGGAACAGGGCAGCACAGGGAGAGTAACAAGAGAAAATAGACCCAATGGTGTGGCAGCTCAGAGAGGGCCTTATGCCATGGCGAGGACTTGGACTCTCACTCTGAGTGTAAGTGGGGGCCAATGTAGGTTTTGATCAAGGGAGTGACATGACCTGATTTACGTTTTTAAAGCATTATTGCTACTTCTTTGTAGGGACCGTACAGAGGCAAAGACAGAAGCAGCAAGAACCGTTAGGAGGCAATTGCAATCAATATTCCAGGCAATTAATGATGGTAGCTTGAGTGAGCAGTAGCCCTGGTGAGGGCAGGAAATGGTAAGGGTCTGGATGTGTTTTGATGGTTGAGTCTACAGGACTACCTGATAAATTGTTTAACTGTGAGGAGTCAAGGATGACTCCCTGATTTTGGTCCTCTCAACAGAAGGACGGAGTTGCCAAAACTGAGATGAGGAAGGCTGTGGGTACAATAGGTTTGGGGTGAGGGAGTGGGGAAGGTTGGAAGTTTCTCTTTGGATCAGTTGAGGTTGAGATATCTATTGACATCCAAGATGTTGAGTCAACAGCTCCAAGAGAGCCTTCAGAGCCCCCAAGTTATATTTCTGTGTCTCAGATATAGTGGGTCAACTCTTTGTCAGCAGGCTGATGCCCAGCCCAGTTATTCCAGATAAAAGGAGATCACTCTCCTTACTTCTAAAATCAACTAGTTTCTGATTTCTTTCTCAAAAGAAATATCAGTAAACGGAAAAAATAAGCGACTTGGATATTCTTCAAAAGGCATACATATCCCTTATGATAACGTTAGATAGCAGTTTACACAGAATATGTGCAAAGACCTAGTTACTGTTACGAATGTCTTCCCTCTGCTGGGATTACATTCATATGTAGGTATTGACTGACCATCAGAACACCAAAATTTAGGCTGGGTGCTATGGCTCATGCCTGTAATCCCAGCACTTTGGGAGGCTGAGGCAGGAGGATTGCTTGAGACCAGGAGTTTGAGACCAGTCTGGGCAACATAGAGAGACCCCATCTCTACAAAAAATTAAAAAATTAGCCAGGCATGGTGGTGCATGCCTGTGGTCTCAGCTACTCAGCAGGCTGAGGTGAGAGGATTACTTAAGTTTGGGAAGTTGAGGCTACAGTGAGCCATGATCATACCACTGCAGCCTGGGAAACAGGGAGACTCTGTCTCAAAAAAGAAAAAAAAAGAATACCACAGTTTATACCTCAAAGTCTCAATCTTACTTGCTTTTTATATTTGGTTAAATTATTAGGATAGCACATTAAAAGAAAAAAATCAAAAGAAAAATATGTGTAATACTGTCACCCTATTGCAATGACATCTTTTTAATTTGTTTTATTTTCATGTTACTTTCCATTTATTTCCAATTTTATATAAAGGCTTGATTAGGAGACTTTTCAACTATAGGATTCAGAGAGGCCTTTGGGGGAAGTTAGCAGGATCCAAGATGTGAGGATAGAGGTATTTGCAGCTAATAGTGTGAATAAATAGAACTGAATTTCACTGAAACATTATTCTATTTTAATAATTTTCAAAATAGATGGAAGACCTGTTTTCCTGAGTATTATCTCTGCCAGTAATAGCACCTATTAATTACACTTTTGTGTCTGTGCACTTTGGGTGTTTTTGTTTTGTTTTGTTTTTACTATTTGCTCTGTTCACTTTTTTAGTTCTAATTACTTTTTTACCATATACTTTCCACATACTCACACATTCCAATTTCACTCTTGATTTTGTATTTACAACACATACAGATGAAATAAAGCCCACCACTTAAAATAACCTAGGAAATACTGCATCTTGCAATATCCAATTATTCACTTTCCCTACAAATTCTTAATGTCATGCAAATCAATGAAGAACCTCAGAGAAATTTTACCTCCCTCTGTGATTTTTTAAAGTAAACGTTTCTTTGAAGAAAGTGCTAGAACAATAGCAACAGATTACAGACTACCTTTAGATATAGATGGCATTCTTGCAAAGAGATAATTAACAACAAAAAGAAAGAGTGACAAAAAAACAGAACTCTGGAATCTGAAGAGCTCTTTTAGAGGCAAAAATAAGACCCTCTTCAATAAATGCGTATATTAACCTGAGCAAAAACACCAGTAACCTGAAAACTTACCTGATGATGCATCTCTATTAATAAAAATGTTTTAGTTTGTTCCTCCAGGAAATAAACGTATTTATTTATACCAAATGAACAATTGTACTAATATATTGTATATTTTATAAAATATATGCAAAACAGAAATTAAATGTAAGTTAACGTAAATAGCATCCTAATCATTTCATCCCGCACCTCAACAGATCATTTTTCCCCATGGGCCACATTTACCCTATTTAAGAGAACACTGAACATTGCAAGTGAGTGCTGTAAAAAACTTTTCAGCGAATGCAGCCTCTCTGTCTCAGTCTCCATTGTTTTCAGCTCTGGATAGCTGCCCTGTCACACCAAACACAAAACCACAGCGGTTAGCTCTTGTCACAGTGGCCTGAAAGCAACTACCCCAAGTGGTCAGCCTGAGACTGGAGACAGGAAGGCGTCATGTCACTTTAAAAGATTGGAAGGAGATAAATGCCACAGTCCCAACCAGCTCCCATCAAGTTCAGAATATGTCAGGCCTTTTGTAGGGCCCTGAATGATTTGCATTAGTATCCATGTCTGCCAATAGCAATATAAAAATTACCCCTCTTAGAAGCAGCGCTTTGATGTTTGCACAAGGCGTGCTCTTCTCTCCTAGGCAGGCATTCCCTTTCGTCTTCTGCTGGCCACTGGCAATCTTATGACTGCTTACACAGACATCCAGGTGCATTTCACTTGGCTGTTTCCCATCATGGGTTCCTTATATAGAACTTGCTCTCTTTTCTCATGGAGAATGTGTGTGTCTGTTTCTGTCCATATGTACCCATGTGCATTCATGCTGTTTAAAGAAAACTGCTCTAAAAGCTTGGTTGACATCCAAAGAAGGAAATAAATGATTGTGTGTTTATTTTAGACAGATGGACAACCTAGATATTGGTGATGGGATTATTGATTTCCCCTTTATGAGACAAACATACACACCAAGTCGTTGCCAAGACATCTTGTCCCTGGTCATAAGACAGTGTCTTAGTGAATAATTTATTTCGTCCATTTTAATGATTTGGGTGGTTAAATGGTAGAAATGACCTGCTGAACAGAAAATCAGCCAATAGCATCTTCAAAGACCATAAAAGTGAACTGTCATAGATGGTTTGGCTCACTGGTAAAGCAACTAAAGCTCTTCTATGAATGTTCTTAAAGAGAAAGAACCAACCAGGTTATAAACCAGGGTCTTCTTGAATGTGAAGGATAGTAAATGTTGCTTTAAGCAAGTCCCTGCACTATTACCAGGTTTTAACAAAGCAAAGCACATCCTACCTCTTACTACCTGCCATGATATTTGTAATAGTACAAATGAGATATAGGCCTGAAACACATTGCCATTTTAGCAATGACCACTTGTTTTCTATCCCAATAGAATATTTCAAGAAGTTATTACTATTGACAATTTAAATGTTAATAGAATTTTAGTTCAAAGTAATTGACTTTTAAAAAATTTTTAGGTTTCACTTATTCATCCAATAAGCATTTACTGAAGGCCTTCTAGGTATTTCATAGGGGACAAAACCCAGTCTCTATTCTTAAACAGCACTATTGTTATTAAATACAGGTTGATAAGCACTGCCATTCAGGGGGTCCTGGGTGCTAAGGGAGAATGCAGGAGGGCGAAAGGGACACCTAACCCAGTCCAGGCATTGAGAGAAAGCATTTAGAGGGAAGTGAGGTTTAATCTAAGAAAATAGACTAAGTGGGAATTAGCTATAAGAAGAGGATATGTAGAAGACAGTCTGAAAAGGGTAACACGACTTGCAAAGGCCCAGAGACTCAATCTGAGTCCAGAAAGTAAGCAGGTAAGGTTGGATTGTAAAATGAAAATGAACCAGTTAGAGTGGAGAAAGACGAAGCTACTGTGATAAGAAGACTGGGTGATGGAGGATCTTAGAAACAATGTTAGAGTTTGAACTTTATCCTTAGAGTAATGAAGGCATTGAAAGATTTTAAGGAAAAATAATTGTATTTTGGAAAGAGCATTCTGGTGGCCATGTAGAAAAATATCTTCTTAAACTACAGGTCATGATCCATTTGTCAGTTACGAAACCATTGCAATAAATCACAAATAGCTGGATTTTTACAAAATTAAATACATAGGATAGAAAATATCAGCATATACTGCAAAAGAGTATGGGAAATATTGTTTCATGAAGCTTTTGCTTCAGAAGTGTGTGTGTGCCCTAGATCTTGATGTGGAATTTATTTCTTCCTGTGGGTCTCAACAATAAATAAATAAAATTTGAAAGTACAGAGAATAGACTAGAGTTGAATACAAAACTCCAGCAGTTCAAAATTGTAGCCTGAAAACAGCAGTAACAGGGAAATACAACAGAATGGAGGAGTTACTCTAGAGGTAGAAAGAATGAACAGGAATTGGTGATGAAGTAAATGTGGTGAAGAGGTAGAGATCAAAGATGACTCCTAGTAGGATAAATAGGTATATGGTGATGATGCCAGCCCCTAAAAACAGGAGCACAGAGAGGGAAGCATGTTTGCTGAGGAAGATGAAGTTTCACTGCACAAATTGGCTATGGGAAGTATGTTAGTTTCTTATTGCTGCTGTTAAAAATTATCGCAAACTTTGGGGCTTAAAACAATACAAGTTTATTATCTTATAGTTCTGGAGGTTATAAGTCCAAAATAGGTCAACTGGGAATGACTTTTTTTCTTGACTAAAGCCTTTAGCCAGTTCTCAGCTTTTTCCAAATTACAATCAGAGGATCGTTCAAGAAAAAGTAAAGAGGGATTTAAAAAAATGTTTTAAGTTATAAAAATTAAACTCTACTCACTATTTTGGCACATAAGTTTATTCTGGATAGTTGGATACACTGGCATATGCAAAAATGCATTATCTCCTATTTAGTATGAGCACTGTATGCGTATTTAATTCTACACTGTTCATGTTGCAGATCTGTGAGGTTTAATTATCACATATATTCACACTACTTATCCTATTCAGAAACACTGAGAGATAAAATATATAAAGGCACTTACGTATCTGCCTTCAATTCCCTTTGAAGACTAAGAAAATGTTAAATACAATAAACATTGCTTCATAGAACTTTGATGCTTAAACAGAACTTAAGCACCATTTATTCTAATCCCTTTATCTTATGTTTGAGAAACCTGAGCCTTGCTCCAATGACTCACAGCTAATCGATGGCTGTGACGAGAGTAGAAGAGAAAAGGTTTAACTGCTTTTTCAATTCCCTTTAGTTGTTAACCAGAAATGGGCCTAAACATGGCTCCCTTCAAGTAAATAACAAAAAGAAAAAAGAAAAAATTTAAGTTAATGAAAAATTTTTTAAAGTTAAGATTTTCTCAGTATAGTTGATTTATTATTTAATGCATATTCAAGTACACTACAGAAAGCTATATGATATGGTTTGGCTCTGTGTCCCCACTCACATCTCATATTGAATTGTAATCCCCAGGTGTCAAGGGAGGAACCTGGTGGGGGGTGATTGGATTGTGGAGGTGGTTTCCCCCATGCTGGTCTTGTAATACTGAGGGAGTTCTCAGGAGATCTGATGGTTTAAAAATGACAGTTTCCCTGCTCTCTCTCCCTCTCCTGCTACTTTGTGTAGAAGGTGCTTGCTTCCCCTTCACCTTCCACCATAATTCTAAGTTTCCTGAGGTCTCTTTAGCCATGCAGAACTGTGAGCCAATTAAACCTCTTTTCTGTATAAATTACCCAGTCTCAAGCAGTTCTTTATAGCAGTGTGAGAATAGACTAATACACTATAAAACAGTTTACTACATTAATAATATGAATATATATTATGCTGAAGTTCATAATTCTAATAGTACAAATGTCCTGATTGTACATTTCCAGTTATGCACCTCCCTCCATTGCCACCAGACTATCTAAGCTATATGAAACATATAAAATATAAATCTGACCACTTATCCCCTAATTAAAATTCTTCAGTGGATTTCCATTGTCTACGCAGGTCAAAGACTATGCTCCTTCACTTAACCCCGTCCATAGCTTCAGCCTTCTCTCTTGCACTGCCTGTCTCAATCCTTATGCTCTAGCAACAAGAAGCTGGTCGTGGCTTTCATAGATCTTGTCTTTATTGCTTCTGTGCATTTGTTCCCATTCTCCTTTCTGCTTGAGATGTCCTGCCCCCTCTCCCCACCCACCATGCCCCATCACAGCCTCACTCCATTCTACAGGCTCTTGCTTGAGACTCAGCACTCAGATGGCACCTTCAGGAAGCTCTTCCTAACATGTTCCCTCTTTCCTGTCTCCTAGATTAGGTATCCTTCCTCCCTCATTCTGTATTTTTCTTTGCATAATTAGTCATTGCTTTTAAAGAGGTAATTATAAGACATTGTGTTACATGTTTACCTCACCTAACTTACTGTGGATTCCTTGACAGAAGGGCTATTTTACAGCAAGCATTAGTCCTAATATATTGTAAAAGCTTGGTATGAGCTCAATAAATGTTATTGGAATGATTAAATGATTAATGATTAAGTGAGTTAATCATACAAAGTGCACAGAACATCAGTTGGCATACAGAACAGGAAGAATGCCAAGGAGTAAATGAATAACTCTAAGATCTTCCCCAATCCTGCGTTCTTCTGACTAATGAACGCTGTACTTCAATAGGAGTCAGGTGATAAGTGGATGATCAGTAGAATGTGCCAGAGGAATTGGGAAAAATTCTGATTTGGAAAACTCTTAGGAAGAATCTTCAAGTGTGGGCATATCTTACCTTGGCCTTGCAAAGAGTTATAAGAGTGAACTGCAGAAAAATCAAAAAGTCTCACAAAATAGTTTGATGAAAGTTTTTTCAGTATGCAAGGAACATGACATAGTGTTATTGCTTCAAGGCAGCTCTCCTTCCTAAGTTCTTGGCATCCATCAAATCTTTCTTTAGTCTGTAATGGTTTTGTGCCTGGTACATCTACCAGAGGTCAAACTTCTAAATACAATGTATCCCCTTTCAATAGCATGGAGGGCCTAGAGAAACAATTTTATTTCCTTCTTGGCTGTAGTAAAAATTGCTGTTCTCTGTAGGTGGGTTGCATAGCCAATCAATCTCCTATAATAACTTGGGGAGTAGAACTAAAAATTAAACTTTTTAAAGAGAATGGTTTTCTCCTGTCCTATATCATGCCTCTACCCTTACCAGAAATGGGTGATGATAGCATTGGCAATTCAAATACTATATCTAGTTGCAGAATGATTTATGTAGGTCGCCATAGGCAAGCAGCAACTAAACCCAATTCTTTATAGTACTGATAGAATTTTTTCTGTCTTATTGTTGTTATATAGGCATACCTTGGTGATAATTGTAAGTTTGGTTTCAGACCACCTCAGTAAAATGAGTGGTGAGAGAAATTTTTCGACAAAATTTAATACTCTTTTCTTATAAAATTCTCAGCACTGTAGTAGGAGAAAAAACCTCCTAAACCTAGTAACTGGCATCTATAATAACCCTACAATGAATTCAATAACAGTAAAACACTGAATGCTTTAACTCTAGGATGAGCCACAAGGCATGGATGACTGCCATCAACCACTTGTATTCCATCTTATACTAGAAGTTCTAGTCAGTGTTTGATAAGGAAAGAAATAAATAAAATAAAAGGTGTTCAGGTTGGGGAGAAAGAAGTAAAACTGTTTTTATTTGCAGATAACATGATAGTCTACGTAGATATCTAAAGAAATCTACAAAAATATACTAGAACTAATAACTGAGTTTAAAAAGTTTGCAGGATACAAAAGTAATATACAGAAATCAATTGTAGTTCTATATACTAGCAATGAGCAACTGAAAATTGAAATTAAAAATGATACTTCCAATAGCAACAAAAATGTGGCACGCCTATGAATTAAATTAACAAAAGATATTCAATATCTGCACACTGAAAACTACAAAAACATTCCTGAGAGAAATTAAAGAAGACCTAATGAAGATACACTGTATTGATGGGTTGGAAGAGTCAATATTGTTAAAATGTTACAATATTGTTAAAATGATAGGTATGTCTCCTACATACCTATCAGAATAGCTAACATAATAAAAAAAAAAGTGACAATGCCCCATTCTGATAAAGATGTAAAGAAACTGGACCTCTCATACATTGCTGATAAGAATTTAAAAATGTCACAGCCTCTCTGAAAAAGAATTTAGTAGAAGTCATTCAAAACTAAACCTGCACATACCATACAACTCAGAAATTACAATCCTGTGGCTGAGTGTGATGGCTTATGTCTGTAATCCCAGCACTTTGGGAGGCTGAGGTGGGCAGATCATTTGAGGCCAGGAGTTTGAGACTAGCCTGGCCAACATGGTGAAACCACATCTCTGTTAGAAATACAAAAATTAGCCAGCCATGGTGGCATGCACCTGTAGTCCCAGCTACTCAGGAGGCTGAGGCAGGAGAATTGCTTTAACCCAGGAGGTGGAGGTTGCAGTCAGATGAGACTGTGCCACTGTACTCCAGCCTGGACAACAGAGCGAGACTCTGTCTCAACAACAACAACAACAACAACAACAACAAAAAGGTAAAAAAAGGAAAGAAATTACAGTCCTGGGCATTTACTTCAGAGAAACAAGTATGTACATATGTATAAAAACCTGTATGTACACAATTGCTCACAGCAATTTTATTTGTAATGACCAAAAACCATAAACAACCAAAATAACCCTCAATAGATGGATGGTTTAACAAACCGTGGTATATCCAGACCATGGAATGCTACTCAGCAATGAAGAAGAATGAACTATTGATGCATGCAACAACTTGGATGGATCTCAAAAGCATTATGCTAAGTGTAAAAAGCCAGTCTCAAAGGTTATATATAAATGTTATATATATCCACATATAACATAAATCCATATATAACATAAATGTTATATATAATCCACATATAACATTTTTAAAACAAAAATATTATAGAGACGGAAAACAGATGAGTGGTTGCCAGAGGCTAGGAACGATGGAGAGGAAGGTGGGTAAGAGCATAAAAGAGTAGCACAAGGGAGATCTTTGTGGTGATGAGCAGTCTTGTATTTTGTCTGTGATAGTGGTTACACAAACCTACATTTGATAAAAAGGCATAGAACTGCACACACACATTGAACAAATAAATACCTTTGAGTAAACAGACTGAAGGGCATCTGTATTTCTTTGTACCATCTTTGCAACTTCCTGTAAACCAATAATTATTTCAAACTAAAATTTAAAAAAGGTGTCAATTTTCCCCAAAGTGGTGTATAGATTCCATAGGATCCCGTTCAAGTCCCAGTAGATATTTTTGCAGAAATTGTCAAGATGATTCTAACATTTATATGAAAATTCAAAGGACCTAGGATAGCCAATACAACTATGAAAAAGATAAAATTGGAGGACTTATCCTACTACCTGACTTTAAAAATTATTTTAAAGCTATGAAAATCAAGATGAAGTAGCATTGCTGAAATGGTAGGCAAATAGATCATTGAAACAGCGTCCAGACGTAAAGCCACATATATAGTCAATTGATTGTGGGTTTTTTGTTGTTGTTGTTGTTTTTTGAGATGGAGTCTCACTCTGTCACCCAAGCTGGAGTGCAGTCTGAAATCTCGGCTCGCTGCCACCTGCACCTCCTGGGTTCAAGTGATTCTCCTGCCTCAGCCTTCTGAGTAGCTGGGATTACAGATGACCGGCACAACGCCGAGCTAATTTTTGCATTTTTTAGAAGAAACGGGTTTCAACATGCTGGCCAGGCTGGTCTCGGACTCCTGACTTCAAGTGATCCACCTGCCTTGACCTCCCAAAGTACTGGGATTACAGGTGTGAGCCACCGTGCCCAGTCATCAATTGATTTTTGACAAAAGTGAAAGGGTAATTCAATGGAGAAAGAATAGTTTTTCCTGTAAATTCTGCTGGAATAGCTGGTTATTCCTATGCAAAACAGTGAACTTAGATTCACAACTTATGGCATATACAAAAATTAACTCAAAGTGGATTATATACCTACATGTAAAACTAAAACTGTAAATTCCCTATAAGAAGAAAAAGAGAAAAATTATTGTGCCCTTGGGTAAGGCAAATATTTCTTAGATATTATACCAAAGGCACAAATCATAAAAATTTGATGATTTGAACTTGATAAAAATGAAAAACTATTACTATGTGACAAACACTATTAAGAGAATGAAAAGACAAGCCATAGTCTGAGAGAAAATATTTGCAAGTAAAATATCTGTTAATGGTCTTGTATTCAGAACATGTAAAGAACTCTTAAAACTCAATTTTTAAAAAAAGGATGGAAAAAAGACTTGAGCAAAATTTTACCACAAAAGATACATGGATGGTAAATAAGCACATGAAATATATTCAATATTATTTATTAGTTGGGAATTACAAATTAAAATCATGGTGAGATAAGATTGCACATCTATCAGAATGGTTACAATATTAAATAACTGTTCATATCATGTGCTTGCAAGGATGTGGAAGAACTAGAATGTGGTTGGTGGAAGCATGAAAGAGTACAGCCACTTTGGAAGAAAATTGGCAGTTTTACTCCAAGTTAAACATATACCTACCATATGTTCCAGTCATTTCACTCTCAGGTACTTAGCCAAGAGAAATGAAAACATATATCTGGACAAAAACTTGTACATGAATATGTCCATAGCAGTTTTATTTAACAAACTGAAAATGATCCAGGCATTTTTCAACAGGTGAGTGAATAAACAAATTGTGGCTTATTCATACATTGGAATACTTTTTAGCAATACATAAAGAATGAACGATTGATGCACACACAACATGGAGGAATCGCAAAAGAATTATGCTAAGCACAAGGAGCCAGACAAAATATAGTATATGTGGTAGGATTCCATTTATAGAAAAGTCTAGAAAATGCGAATAGATCTATAGTGACAGAGAGTAGATCAGTGTTAGCCTGGGAGGGGTGGGGCTGGGGAAGGCTTGGAAGATGGTATTACAAAGGGACATGAGAAAACTCAGGTGGTTGATGGTTATGTTCATGCTCTCGATGGTTGCAATGGTTTCAGGGGTGTATGTGTAAGTAAAAGTTTATCAAATTGTGCATTTTAAATATGTACAGTATATTTTATGTTAAGTATGCCTCAATAAAGCTGTAAAAAAAAAAAAAGTGCGTAATGGCAAATGGACCAAAAAGACCATATAAAAACAGACCTTGTTTTGTAAAGGCAGACGTTGCAAGTTTCACAAAAGGCACCTGCATCTCTCCTATTGCCTCCTGCTTCTCTTCCCTGTGGTGGAGGAAGGGTCCGTCCTTCCCTCCTGTGCTCTGGGTCCCATCCCTTTGACCTTCTTTGAAACTTTGACCTTTAGTCTTCACCCTCCTCCTGTCACCATTCTTTTACTCTCCTTTGCCTACTCCCGTGGGGACACAAATGTGCTCTTGGTATCTTTCTTTCTTTTTCCTTTTTCTTTTCTTTCTTTTTTTTTTTTTTTTTTTTGACAGAGTCTTTGTCTGTCACCCAGGCTGGAATGCAGTGGCGTGGATCATGGCTTACTGCAGCCTTGACCTCCTGGGCTCAAGCAATCCTCTCACCCCAGCACCTGACCCCAAGTAGCTGGGGCAATAGGTGTATGCCACCACACCCTGCTAATTTTTGTATTTTTTATAAAGACAAGGTTGCACCATGTTACCAAGGCTGGTCTTCAACTCCTGGGCTCAAGTGATCTACCCACCTCACCTTGCCAAAGTGCTGGGACTACAGGCATGAGCCACCACACCTGGCCTGTTATCTTTCATTTTAAAACCAAAATAAAACTCTTCTTTATCTAAACATACTCCCCTAGGTACTGCTGTCTATACACACCCCCTCAACAAATATACACACATACATGCACATACTGAGTTCCCCAAATCTGATTACAACACTTTTTGTAATTTCTCCCAACTTTGTGAATTTGCACATAGCATGTCTGCTACACTATTTATTAAACTAATGAATTGTGATAAAAGTGAATATAAAGTAGATACTCTGTTAACACACAGTTGATATGTATTAACAAATAGATCAAATAGATCTAGTTTTGAATTCTGGTTCTGGCAGAATTCAACAGTCACGGTATTAAGTGTGACTCTGAGTAGGTTATTAAACTCCTTTAAGAGGGTTTGCTACTTGTAGATGCATTTATGATACCCATTTAATGTATTTCAAGACTTGGTGTTAGAATTAAGTGAAATCATGTTGTTCTGTGTGCCAGCATCCTGCCAGGAAGACATTAGACTCGGTGGATAGCCAGCTGCTGCACTTCTGCCTGCCTGGGCACCAGAGGCTCAATCTTCCTCCACTTTCTCTCTTCACTTCTTCCAATGGGGTTGCTTCTTTTGGCGTGGGATGAGTCAGCGCGGCTCAGCACCTCACACAGAGGGCTCACCTCATCTTCCTTAAACCCGCCAATCCCTCTTCAAGCCCAATAAGCATTGCTAGGCAGCATCATTAGTCCACACCCATCGTGAGAACACTCATTGGCCACAGAGCATGGGAGCCCTGACTCACTCAGAGCTTTTCAACACTTTCTCATTCTCAGCCCCAACTCTATGTCTGTCTCCCTAAAACACTGATTTCTTTAGAGCAATTTAATATTTCTACATTTATAATAAAACTACCTTCCCTGCAGTCAATCAATATAATGGTAAAATGAAATATAAATAAATAAAAATAAAACCCTACTCCTATGGCATTTATCTGTACTTTGCAATAGGGCTACTACTTAGATATGCTCTTGTATTAGACTCATTTGTTTTATGTGTATGTTTTTCCCCTGGCTGAGTAATCCTTGAGAATTAAAACAGTTTTCTAAAATCAAATCAAGTACATAATATAGTGCTCAGTTTATATCTGTTCCATGGATTTTGATTATATCAACTGGCAAGTCATAGACACCCAAACTACTTAGTATTCTTCTCCCACCTCCACATCAATAAGATTTCTTTACTCATATATTTATTCTGTCTTTGGAATTACTTTCCTTTTCACTTTGATTCCAGAAGGAAGAAGCCCAACCCAGACCCCACCTCCTCCATGAGACTTTCTCTTATTGCTTCTGCTGAAGTCATTCTCTCCCTCCTATGACCTTCCATGGTACTGGACTGGGATTCAAAAGATCTATATGCCAATTACTAGCTGTGAGAATGTAGGCAAGATATTTACCCTCTCTGAATCTTGGTTTTCCATAACTCTAAAATGAAGATAATAACACCTATCTCACAGGGCCATTGTGAGGATCAAATGAGGTAATGTGTATGGAAGCTCTTTGTAAAGTAAACTGAGATAAGTAAATGAAAGGGATGATTATCTCTATTATAGCTTTTATCTAGTCTGCCTTGCATTTTAGTTACTTGTCAGTGGATCTGTCTCCTGAATTGGCTTGAGAAATCCTGGGAGAGTAGAAATGTTTTACTCATCTCTGTAACTTCCACTGTGCCTTGCACATGTAGGTGCACATTAGAACCTGTTGAATTGAATGTGTAGCTGAATGCACTGGACCCAAGCCCTTCTTCCTCCAGAGAAGTAAATGTCTATCACAGCACTGGTAATTCTATGGACAGCTAAAGAAATCCAAAAACATTGGCTTTCTTTTTTTAATGCACCAGAAGATGATTTTCAAAGAAGAAAGGGGAAATCATTTCCTCTGATATGTGCCACATGCTCAAAGCCTGCAGAGCAAGTAACCAACACAATTCATCAAATGAGATTACAGGAATTCAGGAAACGGCAAGTCCTAATTAAGCCAAAACAACAAACCACACCAGATGCACGCTCTATTTTCAAGCTATGATCTTGTATTTTATTATCCCACAGAGTTCTGGAGTCAAGACTTGTAGCAGAGGGACTGAGCTGGAAGCCAAAATAGGATGACACTCTAGTTCTTGTGGAGGAGTCTAAGCTGGAATATCAGATGTTTGTATTTAAAGTCAAGAACATCTTCAAACCAGGGAGGGGTTAGTGCTCTTAAGTGACCAATGGCTGACTTGCTGGATTCAAACAGGGAAAAATGATGTTGAGAATTCTGTTGTAAGTATTCTATTTTTGTATAATTTCTTCAGGAGTTTTTATCTTCCCCTCCTGGTAGAGTTGGGCCCTTTCGCTCTGCGTTCCCATCATTCTGTGCCCATCTCTTCTTAGCCCACAACACACTGGGAACAAGAACGGTCACTTGGTCCATGTCGGGTCAACCAGTCATTCTTTCTTATAAGGCTTTGATCATAGAGACCGAATTAGTCACATGGTGTTAAGATTGAAACCTTTACAATCTCTGCAAGAGGAAATGTTGACTAGACCACTGGGTGTGACTTCAGAGGTCTGAAAGAGAGCTGTGGGCTGAAAATACACATTTGTAAGTCATCACTATATAGATGGCTAGCCATGTGGATGACATCTCCTAGGGTAAGACAGTATTAGGAGAAGAGAAGATAGGAGACAGACAGGAGAGGAGGAGGTTTCAGAGAGCTCAGGTTTCAGATTTACCACTTATTTATTTGGTGATGGAAAGACCTTTGATCATCCTGAGTGACTGTTTTAGTTTTTGTAAAAAATGTATTTATTTATTCATTCATTTAGTTGACAATTTTTAAAATGCTTATTATAAGCCAGATACTGTGCAAGATGTTGGTGATACAGTGGTAAATATAGTGGTAAATATAACATACAGCGGTATATCATATAACATACAGTGGTATAACACACATAGTGGTAAATATACAGTGGTAAATATAACATAGGCTTTCTCTCTCTCTCTCTGTGTATATATATGTGTATATATATATATAGCACATCTTTATGATATGTAAATATATTTACATATAAGTATATAAATTTATATATCAAATATATTTTTACATAAATGTCTATTAAATATATGTTCATATATTATATATAATAAATATGTGCAAGATATTGAGAACACAGTGGTAAATTGTGGATACTGCATTTTAGCAATATAATTTTTGTTGCAGTCTGATTGACAACATAGAGCAAGTGACCATTCTTGTACCTAGTGTGTTACGGGCTAAGAAGAGATGAGCAGAGAACGACGGGAACACAATATATTGACATATCTCTTTATCTCTCTCTCTCTCTCTTCAGGGAGAGAGGTGTGTGTGTGTGTGTGTGTGTGTGTGTGATAAAGATAGAGGAATGCTATGATAGGGTGTGGCCAGGATGATTTTGATGCCCGTTTGAGAGGCAGCCATTGCAGTCCTGGGGCATCAGGAGAAGTTTCTGGAAGAATAACATTTAAGAAGAGAACTGAGGAAGACATTAGCAGTCATCCAAGTGAAGGTTAGGAAGTAGGAGGATATAAACTGGATGGAGGGAACAACAAACACAAAAACCCACAAACAAGAGAGTGCATAGTGAAATGTAAGGAATGATGAACAATTTCAGTCTGATTTAGAGAGAGGATCTGCAATGAGGAACGATGAGAAAGTCAGGTTGGGTCCAGATTACAAAGTGTCTTGTAGGTTGGTTTTAGGAGGCAACCTTTCATCTCAAAGAAAGTAAAAAGCCATGGAACAGTTTTAGTTACGGAAATTTCATTAATAGAATTGTGTTTTAGCAATAAAATTCTTGTTACAGTGTGGAAACTGTATTGGAAATAGAAAGACATGTTAGAAAACTGTTGAAATAATCTAGATGAGGAATGAAGATGCCCTGCGTCAGGACAGTGGTTTAGAGATGAAGAAAATGTTTGGATGATAAAGACAAAAGAAAAAGCAGGCTACAGCAGTAACTAGCGTTCCTGGCATGGATAGAAGTCAAGGAAAATCAGACTTCAGTAGTTAGGTGGCATTTTGATGTCACTTTAGCAATAAGGAGCAAATGAACTAAGCCACCATGATGATCTCTGACTTCCACATAGTTTTCTTTTTCCTTTTTTGAAACAGAGTTCCATTTTGCTTCCCAGGCTGGAGTGCAGTGGCACGGTCTCAGCTCACTGCAACCTCCGCCTCCCAGGTTCAAGCAATTCTTGTGCCTCAGCCTCCCGCGTAGCTGGGATTATAGGCGTCTGCCGCTACACCCGGCTGATTTTTTTTTTTTTTTTTTTTTTTTTTTTTTTTTTTTGTATTTTAGTAGAGACGGTGTTTCACCATGTTTCCCAGGCTAGTCTTGAACTCCTGAGCTCAGGCAATCCACCCATCTTGGCCTCCCAAAATGGTAGGATTACAGGCGCAAGTCACTGTGCCCGGCCGACTTCTACATAGTTTTCTATGTATACATATATATAATGTGAGTATGTGTGCATGTGTATGTGCATGTATTTGCTTTAAGAAACCATCAATAATACCCTCAATTTTCAACCATAAAGACTACAAACTTACCTACATCAGAATCTAATGTTGCTCCTTTTCACTGTAGGAAAAGAAGTTGTCCATCCTGTCTGCCATTGGTCCTTCTCTCTGTGCTTTGGACCCTTCTGCTTTATCTTCTTGTGAACAATTTCGCCTTCCTTCTCTTACATATTTAGACCCTACATCTCAATTGAATCCTTTCTATTAGCGTTAAAAATGCCCAAGTCTTACCCAATGAAGAGCATACACCTCTTCCACATCCCTCTTCCAGCCTTTCTTTCTAACGTCCAAACTCACTTCCCCCTTTCCTCCCCTCTACCCCTCACTCCTCAGCACACTTTAGTCTCATGCCCACTCCCGTCATTTTCCAGATCCAGCTCTGAGTAGGCTCTCCAAAGACCTCTATATTTCTAAATTCTTCAGACATGTTTCAGTTTTCCCCTTACATGAATGTCACAAAATCCCTTTTATTTACAATCTATTTTTAATTGAAAAATGCAAAAGAGAACCAATAATAATATAAAAAGCACCCATGTAATCAAAAACCAAAATTTTAAAATGCTTTTTCACATTTGCTTCAGAGCTATTTTTTCAAAAAACAAAACATTACCTTCTTAACGTCACAATTCCCATTTCTTCCTTCTCTCTCCAGGGGGCAGGCATTTATCAGGAATTTAATATTTATCCTCCATTTGTGGCCTCAGGGCCTAGCACGATGCCTGGTACATAGTAGGTACTCAACAAATATTGTTGAATACATCCATCAATAAAAAAATAGTTTATATTTCAGTGCTTTGGGGAAATAGGGAAGTTTATTAATTTTCTGAGAATAAGATGGGGGAAAAAAGCCTAGGGAGAATGCCTTATGATGAAAAGGCACGTAGGATTCCTATCCGTAGGCATTTTGCTGGTGTGGTTCTAAAATATTACGTAGTCTAAACTTTATGCTACACACTTCCAGTGACAGCTAATATACTGCTTTATAAAGTAACCCATTTCATTTCCGTACACCTTGGTTGAAGAAAATATTGTTTTTCAACTTGACATCTCTTTTCAGGTATTTCCTTTGTGTATTTCCATAGTAACCACTATGCATGGCACACGCTTAGCTGAAATGGAGGATTTTTCTCCTTTCAAATGACGGTCAAGAGGGTGGAACTTGAAAACATTTCCATAGTGAAGTGGATGCATAGGAGGTAGAGAGGAGGTGAGTTAGGGAGGGATGAAGGAAGAGAGGGAAAGAGTAAGAGAAATACAGAGTACGTGAGCAAGAGGTGCTAAGATCCTTCTCAATGAAAAAGATAAAAAGGAAAAGGTAAGTAAAGTTGGATTAGTTACAAAGCTTCCCAAACTATATTGTTGTGTACATACCACTTACACATGTACATACATACATATACACACAAAGAGATGTATACAAGTAAGGCAAACATGCAATTGGTGGGGAAGAATCAGATTTGGAGCTCTATACCTGCTTTTGAACCCCATGTTTCAGCAAAGTATTCTTCATGCCAGTTGGTTGCTGCGGAAATACTCTGAGAAATTCTCCACATGCCTGTGTTACTCCTGCAAGAGAGATTCTGTAGTGCAAATACATATAGTCTTAAGGAGATGTTAGAAAAGCAGAATGGCCCACTATGATTTCATTTCATATACCCCCAAATTACTTAATGCAACGCATCCAAGAAATCCCAGTAGCCACGTAAATACTTTTTTTTAAAACTAGTTTGTAGGTAAAAGGTTGCCTGGCATTCCGCTAATTTCTGCCTGGCTAGAAAATATCACCACTCTCTATACACATGTGAGAGGAAAAGTTTATGAGAAAAGAACAGACTGGAGTCAGGAAACTTTTCTTCCTGTAGCAGATCTTTAACTATGTACTGTTTGACCTTGGGCAAGTAAGTTCCCTCTAGGGCCTCATTTTCTTATTTGTAAAATGAGAGGAAAGCACTAGATGATTCCAACAGATTGCATCACAGAGGAGGCTTTGGGTTGTAAATGACCAAAATAAAAAATTCAAAATTTCAAATTAGCTTAAAAATACATGATATGTATTGGGTCATGAAATTAAAAATTCCAGAAGTGGGACTAGCTTCAGGTAAAGTTTCCGTTAGTACTTCAACAATGTCACCCAAGGACCCAATTTTGATATCCATTTCATCTTGAGGCTGGTCCTAAGATGGCTGCCAGAATCTCAGGGCTACATGGCATCTCATGTAGCAAGAGTGTTTGCACTGGATTCCCAACAATCATTCTGAAAGTTAGTCCGATTGGACCAGCTTTGGCAACAAACGCACCCCTTAACAATCATCATAGCTGGAGGATAAAATGTGGTTATCAGCTTAACCTTGGCAATATGTGCTCTAAATAGGAAGCAGAGAGAAAATTCAGTTTTCCTGGAAATACAGGAATCTTTAAGAACAAATCAAAGACAGCTGGAAAGAGGGTAAGGGGACTACTCGACAGATAACCAACAAATGTCTTCTCTGGGGTTTCCTCAATTCTGGCATCTTCTACTTGCTTTTTCTGCTCCGAGGGAGAAGTAAGTTGGCTTTAAGCATGAAAGAGGACACCGTTTGAAGCTCTTTGTGCTTGAAAGTTCCTATTGCCTTTGAATTTTGCCCTAACCATGAACCTCACAGAAAACTACACAATAACTTCAGTGTAAGCCTTTTTAGTCTTTTGAACAGTTAATGAAAATAAAACATATGGAGAAATAGGGAACACACATATGCACACTCACACATGCACACACAGACACACACAGACACAGACACACACACACACACACACACACCCTTCCTGAGCATATGCCCATTCAACTGCATAACACTTGTCCTTTCCCTGTTCTTAATTTCTTATTTTCAAAATTAATCTGCCGTTTTCCTTTATACTTTAAAAATTTGCACTAAACTTCTAACTTTCTAAGGATGAATAGAGACACCTTTCTCTTTCCTTTATCCCTTAAGCACATACATGCACAGACACGTATACACATATCATATATTATACCAGGAAAAAGAAACCCCTATCAACAAACCTGAAATTGAAAAGCCTTATCAGTTACCACATTTCAGGCAGGGTAACCAAAAATCAAATTTCAAATGATCTAAATATAAGGAAATATATTACCTTATAAAGAGAAATCTTGAGTTAGGATAGTTCTAGGTTAACTCAGCAGCTCAGCAATGTCATCCAGGCCCTGGATTTTTTCTCCATCCCCGCCCTGCTTTTCCTAGAATGCTGGCATCTTCTCTTAGGGTGACTCTTCTCAGGGTACCAAGATGGCTGCCGTAGCCTAAGCATCACATGCTCATGGTAAATCTAAAGACAAAAAATAATACTTTCTCCTCCTGCTTCCTTTTCATAAAGCAAAACAAAATCTTTTTCTGGACTACTACCTCCTTTCAAGCAGACTTCCCCTCATGTCTCTTTGGTTAAAGCAGTCTTACATGCCCTTTCTTAAATTAATCCCTGGAAAGATGAATTACCCCAGTTGGTGTGCCAATCACGTTCACTTCCTGGGAGAGGGGTTCTCTCTTAAAGCACATAATTGCCTGTTACCTGAAGCTAATAGAATCTGCTACAAAGGATTTTCAGAAGAAAATGCTCTGGTGAAGGATGTGTAACATGAAGCCGTTCTCTAAAGCCCCACCCCTACCCAGCAGTAGACTTTCCCTCCAGTGTCATTGGGCAGAAGGGGTTACATGCCTGTTCTGAAATACCAACTTACCACAATTCCCACAAAGAAATACAGTAATCATTCCTGTATTAAAATTTCTGTTTCTCTTTTTATTACTGGCCATGGAAATGAGGGTGATTTTTTTATTTTTTTATTATTATTTTTTTATTTTGAGACAGGTTCTTCCTCTGTCACCCAGGCTGGAATGCAGTGGTGCGATCTTGGCTCACTGCAGTCTCTAATTCTCAGGCTCAAGTGATCCTCCCGCCTCAGCCTCCCGAGTAGCTGGGACCACAGGTGTGAGCCACCACAACTGGATAATTTTTTGCATTTTTTTAAGAGATGGGGGCCGGGCGCGGTGGCTCACGCCTGTAATCCCAGCACTTTGGGAGGCCGAGGCGGGCGGATCACGAGGTCAGGAGATCGAGACCATCCCGGCTAAAACGGTGAAACCCTGTCTCTACTAAAAATACAAAAAATCAGCCGGGCGTAGTGGCGGGCGCCTGTAGTCCCAGCTACTTGGGAGGCTGAGGCAGGAGAATGGCGTGAACCCGGGAGGTGGAGCTTGCAGTGAGCCGAGATCCCGCCACTGCACTCCAGCCTGGGCGACAGAGCGAGACTCCGTCTCAAAAAAAAAAAAAAAAAAAAAAGAGATGGGGTTTCTCCTTTTTGCCCAGGCTGCTCTTGAACTCCTGGGCCAAGCAATCCACCTGCCTTGGCCTTCCAAAGTGTGAGGATTACAAACGTGAGCCACCATGCCCAGCCGAGGCTAAATATCTTATCATTATTGTGCCTCAATTTACTCCTCTGTAAAATTGAAATAACATTACAGCATCTACATAATCATATGCTTTTGAAGGTTAAATGAAATGAGGTAGATATAAATGGCACAGAGAGATACTAGTATTCTTTAAATATTAGTTCCTTTCCTGTATTGCCATCTTTCTTACTTTCCTTCACCTAAGGACCTAGAAAGAAGAGAGTCACACAGCATAAAATACATTAAAATTTTCATGTAGCTGATTTTTTTTCCCAAGATGGAGTCTTGCTCTGTTGCCCAGGCTGGAGTGCAGCAGTGGCGTGATCTCAGCTTACTGCAACCTCTGCCTCATGGGCTCAAGCAATTCTCCTGCCTCAGCATCCCAAGTAGCTGGGATTACAGACATGTGCCACTATGTCCAGTTAAGTTTTGTATTTTTAGTAGAGACGGGGTTTCACCATGTTGGCCAGGCTGGTCTTGAACTCCTGACCTGGTGATCCGCCTGCCTCGGCCTCCCAAAGTGCTGGGATTACAGGCATGAGCCACTGCACCCAGCCTAATTTTTTATTTATCTTAAATTTTGGGATACATTTATTATATGAAATAAATACATGTTAGCATATTCATTTTGCTCTGTATTTAAGTCTTTATAATCCCAGTCGGCCTGGATCTAGAGCTCATAACTTTGGTGCCCTACCTTTGCCTCCTGAGTCATCTCTTTTTGGGGTTGTAGCAAAGCTGCCCGTCTGTACGTGAGTATATTAGAATGAAGTTGATTGGATAATGTGACCTATTCAAAGGTCATGAGGCCCCCTCAATTCTGTCACTTTTAAGTCTCCCATTAGCATTTTAATTTTAGACCAATATTTGAGTTATAGTTCTATGTATTTAGCTAGAGAAGAAAGGTTTTGCTTAAGGATCATTGAAGTTAATATTGTGGCAGAGAAGGCTTAATGGAAGAGTTAATATCTTAACTGGATTTTGAAAGATGATGAGAATTTGTTAGTAGGAGAAAGGGATAAAGGTCACGCTGGGCAGAGGAAGCCACATGTATAAAATTTTGGAAGGAAAAAAGAACATACCAAGTTTATTTTAAAAACAACATTTTAACACTGGAGAAGCCTGGCAGCAGATGTGGCTGGAAAGAGGGAGCTCAAATGTTGAAGACCCTTTTATGCCACACTAAAGAATTTGGACTTTATTCTATCAACAATGAACAACTACTAAAAAGTTTAATTAGGGAAGAGATATGATTAGACTTATGGTTTAGCAAGATATTTCTCTCCAAAATAAAGATTTTGGGTGATTTTTTTTTATGTTGGTGGATAAAATAGAGGCACTACTAACCAACATTTTATAGCAAGAAGGAAGAACAGGTTTGGAGAGGAAGATAATGAGCTACCTGAGGACATGTGGAGTTAAGATGTTTTTGGAACATCCAGGTGGAGATCTTTGCTTACCATTGGACCAAAGAAGAGGAGTGCAACCTTTAAACATTGTGTAATTGTCCACTTTCCCTAAGCTCCTCCAACAATACCAATTGTTTTAATTTAGGATTAAATTTAATTTAGGATTAAATAATAATTTAATAAATTATTGGATTAAATTAAATAGCTTACAACTAATTTAATATGATAAATCAATGATTTAGAATTTAAAATTTAAAACTGTAAAAGTGCTTTGTTTATAAAGTTTGATAATAATAGCCCTTTTGGTTATTCTGTTTCTGTTTTTGAATTTATCATCCAAAAAAAGTTCAAGTAAATTAGCTATCCAAGATTTTCCTGGACAGAAAACAGACTTACTCTCTCAGGAGGTTATGCTTGCTTAAGTGTTCCAAGTCTTCCTCGTTTGTCAGAGATTCCATGTCCTTGCTCAATATGAAAGTGAGACAACTATTCAGGCTCTTGCTGGAAGATAGCCCAAAGATGGGAGCTATGTTGACGATCTTCTGCTGTAGTAGCCACTGGTAATGAATATTGGAGAATAGCCATAGTTTTGCAGTGTCACCTTTGAATTCCTTCAAAATTGTTGAGTGAATTCCATTCAGAGTGAGTTATTTTATTTACATTAGTTTGACAATTTGATTTAGAAAATTCTGTTTATTTCCAATTCCTTTCTAACTAAAAACCAAGTGTTACATAGACTATCTTTCTTTTTCACTTGGAATAAACATCATTTTGTGGATGGACTGTAACAGCTGACATCCCATTAAGCTGTGCTCCATAGAACATGGAAACATGAATACAGTATTTGAACTCTGACTCTATCGCAGTAAATCCCTGGATTAACTGCTGGCTGATACACTGCCTGGAAATGAAGAGAATCATCAAATAAACCATCAGATAAGGTGACCAAGACAGTCAGACTGGAAAACCGCTAGCTCATCTTTTTTAGTAGCTCATCTAAATGACTAAACTGAATCTAATACTACACAGTCACTTCTCAGTTAAAAGCTTAAAGGATGCCTGAAACCTGCTTATTTAAAAGTCTTTATTTATTGTACTTGATGTAGAAATAATTTAGTGTTACGTTTCAGATTATGCTTATAAAGAGACATGTGAGGTCTTATATGCATGCAAACTCTATTCATTCTTTCATTCCTTCATTTTATTTATTTGTCATAAATTTTATGCTATGTTGTGTCATGTCCCATGTCCATGTTAGGCATGGAGATAGTAAAGACAAACATGATCCTGTTTCTCAAGAAACTTAAAATAAGTTGAAGGTTGTGATACATAACATTAAGTGTCATGTTAAAATTGCTACAGATATGAATATTAAGAAAGTATATTGCTAAGGAACAACAGAGAAACATCAAAATCATACTGAGGTATTAGGAAATGTTTCCTAGAGAATGTAATCACTACACCGATTTTTATCGAATGAGTAGGAGATAGCTTCATTAACAAGGTAAGAGAGGAAATTCCAGCACAGGGAGCATTATAAACAAGGCTGATGACGTGAACATGCAGAAGTCTCTATACAACTTGCCTGGAGGGTATGTGGATGTCATAGGTGAGATGAGGTGAATTTTTGGAAGATAAACCTATAAAGGGAGATTGGGATCAGAATATGAAGAAGCATTTAAATTTTATCCCCAAGCCATTTCTTTTGGAATTCCTCTCTTGCCCCTGTGATTGTGTCAAACCTTCTTGTAAGTGCTTATTGCACAATGGACCTTTTTTGGTGGAACTTATCACAGATGTTATTGGCATTTACCTAAATAATTGATTACTTGATTCATGTCTTTTTTCTTCACCAGATTGTTAGTCTTCTGTGCTCCTGCTTCTTTACCTTACACATCTTGGTTGATAACATCCCCTTTGCTATAAGCTCCATGAGGACAGAGATTCTGTTTCATTAACTTTGTATCCCCAGAACTTATTACAGTGCCTGGAACATTGTGAATATTCAGTAAGTGTTGACTGACTGGATGTGTAAATGAATGACAGACATCAAAGCCACTGAAAGTCCTTATGAAGTGAATAATTTGCTAGATTGCATCTATATTCTGGAAAAATCCTGCTGGGAGTAGCCTTGAGTGATAAATTGGGAAAGAGACAGATCAGAGGCAAGGAGAACAGGTGGAAATAGTGCCATTGAGAATTAATGAGAGTCTAAATCTAGTAGTGTCAGAGAGAGTAACAGAAGAAAACAAATTTATTAAGGAAAAAATAGATTTATAGATACTATAAGGCTTGATATCTATAGCTTGGTATTTAACTGGATGAGGGGAACATAGGACATTGAGATATTTAGGATGACTATTGCAGACTGGGTTCCCCAGGAAACAGACTCTGAGGCATAGATTAGTATGCAGGAGGTTTATGAGGGAGTGCTCCTGGAATTAACACCTGTGGATTGGAAGGGAAGCTAAGAAAAGAGAAGGAAAAGGAAGGAAGAGAAAGAAAGAGAGGGGAGGGGAAAAGAAGGGGACTCATTAATGTGGAAATAATAGTTGAAGTGAAAGGAGATAGGCAGAGAAAATTGGATTTGAGAGAAAGGAAGGAAAAACACAATGAAATGTTGTTCTCAGAAGTCAAAGAAAGATAGAACTTCAGGCAGGAGGAAGCAAGTGACTATGCCTAAATGAAATAAGATAAGAACCCAAAATCATATGCTGAATTTAGCAAAACTTGCTGACTTCTGCCAAAATGCATCATGGAATGAAAGGAGGAGGGGTAGGACTTGACTGTAGTGTGTTAAAGCTTGTATGTAGTGAGAGGCATTGCTGTGTGAAAGTAGGGTAGATTACTCTTGGGACACTTGTCTGTGAAGTGATGTGGAGTCATAGGATGGTAGCTATAGAAGGACATGGTGGTCAAAGAAAGTTTTCTTTGTTTTTATTCATTTTTTAAGATTGGAAAGATATGAAATGTTTTTATGCCAAAAGAAAAACACCCATTGAAAAGTTTGAGGACATAGAAGAAGGAAATGGGAAAGCATGGGACATAGGAAAGCATGGGACCCAAACCACAGGGAATTGGTCTGGCATGCTAGGCATGAAACCCCTTCCATAGGATGGGAAGGAATAAAGAAAGTAATGGGTACATATATGGGATTATGAATTTATTGCCTCAGTTTTCTCACTAAAGGGTGTAGGCAGAAATGTCAAATAGATCTCGAACCCCAGCAGCTAGTACTGTGCCTGACACTTAAAAACACCAAATAAAGATCTATCGAGTGAATATGAGAAAGAAGGAATTGCTCTCAGCGACTCTGAAAAACTTCAACCTTTTCTGGATATCCACACCCCACTACCTCCTTAACATTTCTGCCTGCACCACAGGCCAGTTTCATGGGTATAAAATGTGCATTCACACAGGAACCTCTGCTTGAAACAGGTGGAATATGATTGGTTTAATGCTGCTTTCACTTTCTTGAAACTCTTAATCATTTTAGAGCATATGGCCCCCCATTTTTACCTCCTACTGGGTCCTGCAAATTATGTAGCTGGTCCTTCTGCCACCACAGAAGCTGTATCTGGTAGGTAAGACAGATATTAAAAAATAAAAAAGTGAAAGAAAACCATGATGTTCAATGGATTTTAAAAGAAAAATGAATAAACAAGCAAAAACAATAAAATGAGTGTTACAAGTGAAGAGGTACAGAGATCTGTGAGACACACAGCAGGAAACCGTAACCTAGTACAAGAATGAGAAGGTCAATGCCAGGTGGAGGTGTGAAGAGTTAGTAGGGGTTAATAACAAGAGGATTCAGAAAGTGAGAATGTTCTCTGCAGAAGGAGAGCAAGTGGGAACATCCAGAGGTTCGAGACAGACTTTTCTTTCAAGTTCACTATGTTTGCATAAGAGAGAGCCAAGGGAAAAGAAAAGAGATGGGGCAGAAAGACGGGCGGGAGTCCGATCATGGATACCACTGTCAACCATTTAAAAAAATTGGAGGCTCTATTCTATTAGGTTCTATATTGCTTCATAAAAGCTAATTAACTTTAGGAAAGAATTTGAGAAGAGGTTTTTTTGTGTGTTTTAGAAAGAACACACTAGATGCTGTATTGAGTGAACAAAAGAACATCAGGATGGCAGGATGGTAAATGTGGAGATCATTGTTAGGCTTTTGCCTTAGTCCAGGGGATGGGAGATGTGGACCCACTAGAGAGTGGCAGTGAGAATAGTGACAAGTGGCTAGACTTCAGGTGATGTTATCTCTTCCAAGAGAGGGTCCATGCTTACTTCTGCCAAGCAGTTAAACTGCCAAGCAGTTAATTCAATCCTGAGTTGAGGTGACTTGAAGGTATATTTCAATCTTTGTGAGATCTGATCTGGTCTCGAGAAGTCCAGCTAAAATTCTGTAGTACATTTATCAGAGCCCCTCCTTCTAAGTGGGCTCTGAACTCTAGCTGCTCCTTAGTCTCTCTGCTATTTCTTTAGAGTCAGCAGATGCCAGCAGGGAAAAGAGGCATTTGGTATTGGACTCACTTCTCAAGGATCCCTTATTTCCAGGATGTTGGCCTATCAAGTCCTTTATTGTTCTCCAAAGCCTTCAAACAGACTTTTTAAAATGTATTTTGTCCAGATTTTCTACTAGTGCTTGATGGGAAGATTGGCCCAATAAGCTGGTATACCACCGCTGGAAATGGAATTATCAAAATTAGCTTTCTGGAATAAAAGATATACCCAGTACAAGAGAGAAAAGAGGAAAAGCACCTAAGAAAGTATAAGGCATGAATCAAGACACATTTTATGATGGCTATTATTAATATACCAAGAACAAAGCATACATCTGTTTGAGGGATTCATTATCCATGGGCAAGTAGAAGGAAAAAGAAGGAGCATGTTTGTAGGAGCAATGCTTAGGAGAATCCATGGGGATATACTCAAGTGCATAGAAGGAGGGAATAAGGTTATTCCCAAGAGTGGTCACATTCCACAAGGAGACAGGGGAGGGAAGAAAATATTAGCAAATGTACAGAGAAATGAAATTTGGAGATGAACAGAGTTGAGGAAACTTATACTTGGTTTGACTTTCTGCTTGAAGTAAGACTCAAGATAGTTTGAGGAAATAGGAAAGGAAATAGGATATAGGACAAAGAAACTGTAAACTCAACGCTAAGAACTTCTAAAAAGGAAGATAGAGACTCCTGGAGGTGTAGAGATACATCATAGAGAAAAGGACTATGTAGTGGAAGTCCATTCTGGGTGTGTCAAAACAAAACATTCAGGTGAATAATTACTAAGAAACAACAGTGTGATAAAGTCACTTCTAACACCTCCTCCTGGTCCTGGGAGAGGAAGATATTGAGAAAATGATCCATCGGGTGAAGATGAGAGGGAAGTTCTGTCAAGCTCTGTCATCAAGGGAAAGTCATGTTTAATTTAATAGAACAAGGTTGAAAATGTGTATGAAAAAAACAGTGAGGATTGACTTCCACTTTCAGCCATAAGAAGTAAGAAAATGTGACCCACGGCTAGGAGAAACATCGATTAGTTGAAAGATACCCAGAAATAACAGAGATGATGAACTTAATGAACAAGGACATTGAAATTGTTTCTATAAGTATATTCCGTGTGCCCAAGAATGTAAAGAAAAATGCAAACGTAGTGAAGAAATAGAAGATACAAATAGAACCAATGGAGCTTCTAGAGATAAAAAAAATACAATATTTAAAATGAGAATTTATCTGAATGGAATTTATGGTGGATTTGACAGTGGACTTGAAGATAGAGCAACTATTCAAAATCAATCACAGGGAGGAAAAAAACCTGATAAAAGGTGAGTAGAAGGGTTCCAGAGGCACTGACACAGTATCTACTTGGAAGCCTTCAGAGAACATGAACCCTGAACAAACTTCAGCTTGACAGGACAGAGATGGAAGCCAAGGAGAAGAGAGTCTGAAGAGCTTGGTTCCTAGGGGATATAGTGGATTGTGGCCATGCATTTCTTTATTTTAAAAATGTTTCCCAAATCAAACTAATATTCCTTGGGTGTTTTCTATGTGCCATACTTTGTTCTAGCCCCAGTAGATAAAAAGATGCGCATGGCACAATTTATAGTTCATATAGGGAGGCAGGCAAGGAAACAGGCAACTGCAGGAAGGATACTATGGACCATGATGATCATAAGGGTATTATTAAAGGAGGTGCTCACTTTCAAGGTCATGCAAGTCAGCCTGTCCCTTAGAGGGAATGCCTCCTTAAATTTTGCACCCTAGATGCCTCTGTCTCTTTTTTACAAATTTTATTTATTTATTTATGAAATAGGGGTCTCACTAGTCCCTAGTCTCTGTCCTGGGTAGGACAAATTAATGATGGTAGAAAGAAGTACTGAATTTAGGACTAAACTACCCAAGGTTTCTACTGTCATTCAAATGTTATTGCCTGCATCACAGCATCCAGTGTTTCAGGGAGCTTGGGCCTCTGGTTTCTCGAGAATTGCTCATCTTTGAGTCCTCACTTCAAGAAACTGTCTCTAACAGATGCCACTAACTAAAAAGCAAAACAAAGACAAATAAAATAAAAAGGTGAATTTAGCTCACAGTATCCTCCTTTGCATTCACCGTGTCCTTTACATCTTTCTATATTCTCACCAACAATACTTTATTTCATAGGTCTGTCTTTCTTACTAGACTTTGGGCACTGTGAAGACCAGGACTGTCTTATTCATTGCTTTTTTTGGTAAAGCATTTTTCTTATTGCAGTAAATATATGGAACATAAACTTCTTAATTCTTTTAATTGACAAATAATAATTGTACATATTCATGGGGTACATAGTGATGTTTTGATATGTATAATGTATAATAGTGATCAGATCAGGGTAATTAACACGCCCATCATCTCAAACATTTGTCATTTCTCTGTGTTGGGAGCATTCAATATCTTCCTTCTTGCTATTTGAAACCTTATAATGTATTGTTATTAACTATAGTCATCCTATACTGGTATAGGACACTAGAACCTATTCCTCCTATGTGGCTGTAACTTTGTATCCTTTAACACATTTCTCCCTAACTCCCTCTTCCACCTACCCTTCCCGGCCTCTAGTATCCTGCATTCTACTTTTCATTTCCATGATTAACTTCTTTTAGCTTTCACATATGAAAGAACGTGAGGAGTTTAACTTTCTATACCTGCCTTATTTTACTTAACAAAATGTCATCCAGTTATATCCATATTGCCATGAATGACAGGATTTTATTCCTTTTTGTGGCGGAATGGTATTCCACTGTGTATATATGCCATATTTTCTTTATCCATTCATTTGTTGTTGGACACCTAGGCTGGTTCCATATCTTGGCTATTATTAATAGTGCTGCAATAAACATGAGAGTGCAGATGTTTCTTTGAAATAATAATTTCCTTTTCTTTGGATAAATTCCCAGTAGTGAGATTGTTGAATGACATGGCCATTCTAGTTGTAGTTTTTTTGAAAAACCTTCATATTATTCTCCATAGTGCCCACTTTAAAATACACAATTCAGTGGCATTAATTACATTCACAGCATTGTGTGTTCATCACCATTATCTATTTCCAAAGTGTCTTACTCAACTGTTGTATCCTTATAACAGTGTATATCCTTATAACAGTGTATATCCTTATAACAGTGTATATTAAAAGTGTTCTTTTAATCAATATTTATTTAATGAATTTCAGAATTGATACATGAATTAATCCAACAGTTTAGACTCTGACTATAAATACAAAGCAATTAAGATTTCCTTTGCTGCTATGCAAACAAGGACAGAGAATAGAGGCTGTAAAATTGAAATGAGATGTAGATAGTTGGGGGGGGGGGCACTACATCAAAGGAAATAGCTTTAGAAAGAGAAGCTGTGCTAATGAGGAATCATAAGGCATGTTTTTGGTGAAGAAGCCACATGACAGAACTCAATGAGTTCCACAAGTGGGTGACAGAGTCCCTTCCCAATAGACAGCTTTCAATGGAGGCAGGCCTGATGATTCTTTGCAGGTGGTTTGACTCCTGAAGCTGTCCAAGAAGTACTCAAAATATTTTTGACATTTAATAAGCCTTTTTCTCCACCTACTAAGAAGAGGACAGGCTGGTCCTACTACTATCTGTGGGGATGGAAAATAAATGGACAGTAATAACTCCTCTTTGTGCTTCATTAACGTGCAATCATCAGGGCAGCAGGCGTAGAATGAAGGCCAGTGTTGACTGGATGTCACAGTGAGAGGACAATTCTGTAGGTCAAAATGGGAGAAGAGGCAGAATAACAATCAGAAATTGTAGGTCATGTGGAAAAATTAACAAAGGTTGCTTTTATTCTAGTGATATTTTCCAATTATGTTAAGCGCACTGTCTAACTTGCTAACATCCCCCTTGCTTCCCACTGCACTAAAAGGAACTAGTTATCTGACTGTGCGATGAACCAGGAGACCTGGTGTGTCCCAGCCCAAAGGCTGAGGAAAAATGGCCCACAAACCATTCCTTACAATGGAATAGAGTAGAAAGGGTCAGAAGATACTGTCATAAGGCCCTACTCAGCCACCTACTGGTTCTATTACTTTTGGGGGGGTTATATGTTTATATTCATGCAGATTTATATGACCCTTATAATAATTATTATAAAACAAGCTCAATACGTTATTGTCTAGCTTTTTCTCCTCCTTCACATAACTGCTTGGTCCACTCCTGACCTAAACAAACAAATCTAAAAAGAGCTTACAACATCCCCCTCAATGGGTACGAGTGTGAATATTTTGTATAGGAACGAGATTCATGGTTAACGTTAACCCACATGAAAGCTCTTCCCACTGTTGGAAGAGAAAAACAGATTTTCACTCAATGTCTTCTCAATTGCTAGGTTCACTTCTTCATGGGAAAACACCCCACAATTATGGTAGTTGCTGCCAAGAGAATAATGGTAACAAAGAGAAAAGAAACAGTTATTATGGAGTTTGTCCAGAAATCCATCCCTATTATGTAACAGCAAATGATACAATTGATTCCCTCAAACTTGGGCCAGGAGACTTTTTTGGTAAAATGCAGCCAATCCACTGATTCTTTCTCCTTGTGTATTTCCCTACTCCTGTTCCAAACTAATCTGCATACCTGTATACTTAAGAGAACCTGGATCAGGATCCAGAACCTCCCAAAATGTTAATTAATATATTATATATTATATATACACACATATATATCAGCTTAAATACACATACTTATATATTTAAATATACATCAGCTTATATATAGAGAGAGCGCCATATATATATACACATATATATATCAGCTTAAAGTTACTAAAAATATATTTTATCCAAATGTTATTCATAAATTTAAAATTCAGTATCTATAGGCATTTGCAAATGCCATATAAACGTACACGAAGGCAATTTATAGCTTCTCTAGTACTAAATAGTTTTAATCCCTAAAATGATCCTCAAGAGGAAGACACAGGGATAATCAAAGCAAGATTGGCTTAGGGTCAGGGCTTATGTTAGGCACACATTGGTGGAGAGCTAATGGATCTTCCTTTGAAATTCTACCTTTATCTCCTTTTAAAAAGTCAATGAATTAATTTGTTATTACTCATGAAAACTTTTCTACAGATTATTTTTTCGCAGAAAAATAGAATGGTGGGATCTGAGAAAGAGAAAGAAAAAAGAGAGAGTGGAAAGTTTTCAAGAGCTGGAATTTTTGTAAGGCAGAGGATGAGAAAAGTGTGGGCCAGGGCAGGGCAGGTAAGTGGTGACACTAAGGAGGAATTGCCAGCTTGGGTGTACAATAAAGTTTAATGGGAAGGGTGCCCCAAAATAATTTCATTGCAGGATCTGGTCCAAGACCAGTTCTGACTCTCATCACCCTTTCTCTAGCATGCTTTCACTCTGCAGCCCTCAGCTCCCAGCCCCTTACACTGGTTTCCCTCTTGAGCATTATCTGCTCAGTGATGACCTCTGATCCATTCTGCCAATAGTTATCCCAGACTCTTTCTGTCTCTCTACAGAGAGAAGGTGTGGGTGGACAAAGCAAAGCAGAGCCCTGACCTCACACCAGCTGGCTGAGCTGTCTTGGCTTGCATTTGCTGTTCCAGCATTTGTGGAGTTTGAAATCTGCATGCTTGGAGTGCGGAGAGCTGGATCTTGCACCACAGTCTCCCTGTGGGCTCTTGAGTAAGTGCTTTTAGCAGCTAGGGAAGGTGGACACAGAAAGGGAGGGGAAGAAGAGGAGTTAAGAGTATTTGTGTAGTGTGATCTGAGGGACAGTTAATAGCCCTCTCTCCTCACAATCATAAAATAAAAGTATCTTTCCCAAGAGGCACCATCGTGTTAAAAATGCAACTATTAGAAATACACTCAGTTCAGTAAAGCGTTGCTCTCTCCTCTCGATTCTTATCTTCCCTTATCAATATAAATATCCTTAGGAAGTATCATACCCGAGTCACTGATACTTTAGCATACATAATCAGAAAACATTCTTCAGTCCCAGAATTTAGATGATCACTGTAGCTACTGGGTTGAGATGCTTTTAGGAAGAAATTGATGAAGGAGGATAAGAAGAAAAGGACAGCACAGAAAAGGCAGAAAGGGACGTCAAGACAATCTTCACTGACTTAGCAGGACCTCCAGGCCCACTCCAAAGCCACGCTACAAAGATCTCTTCCTCTCGTCTTCAGTGGCACATGTTATGGGGCCATTCAATCTCAGTAAGTGAGTGCATGAATGTCTGTTTAGTAAGTATTCTGTATTCTAATGTATACTAAGTATGTAGTAAGTATGCTAGAAAACTGTCTTGTTACAAATATGATTTTACCTGCGATCCCGTGGAGGGGTGATCAGAGAAAAAGAAGAGTTCAGAAAGTACCTTTCATCTCACTCCAGAAACTACTAAAAACTACTAATTTTCTTCTCCAGGTATTGAACTGATACATTGTATTTCTCCCAGAAAAGATTAAAATTGTATCCACAGAGGCAACCTCAAAACAGAGTTGATTGTTGTTCTGGAAGCAGGCTGATACATTTTTTATGATTGTAGGACAAAGTCAAGTATGAAGTTTCTCCTGGTCTATTCTAAGATACAAAGTATAAATCAATTTTGGAACAATCCACTTGCCCGCAGCCACAGACAGAAAATAAGCTTTCCATGGAAAATGAAGGGAGAAGGTGTGGAGAACTTGGGTGATGCAGCAGAAGAAACAGAAAGCCTGCGAGTACGGGCAGGGGCATTCCAGAGTCACCAGAAGTGGAACGTGCAGTTCTCCCTGCTGATTGCTTATTAGTGTCCCCCAAGATTCATTCTTGTTCTGACACCTTCAGGAAATTTATAGATCAATCTTTTCTTTTTTTAATTTGATGCTGCCATAAAAGCACTGTATGGTGCTATGAAGGGACAAACAGCTTCCTCCATAATATCTTGGCAAAGAAGAGAGCTCCAAAAGAATCCCTGAGGGACCCAGGTGACCCAGTCTGTGTTCATTTCTACTCCACATTCAAGTCACATAGCTCTGGTATCCTTATGGATGACTGTTTTGCTTAGAAATAAAAATCTGTGCTCTGACATTTCTTAACTCTGAAAATAGTGACATGGTCGTTTCCCAAAACCTCTTGAGCCTGTAATCCATCAGTTGTACTTGCAGGCTTAGACTTACATAATTTGAAGGAGTTTGGGTCTTTCCCAAATATGTTACTGAAATGGAAATCCCACAAATGAGAATGGATTCTAATTCATCTCAAGTCATAATTTAGATTGGGAATTGGCACTTTTTCTGTAATGAACCACACAGTAAATATTTTAGGTTTTGCAGGCCAAATGGTCTCTGTTGCAAATACTCAACTTTGCCCTTGTACCTTGAAAGCAGTCACAGATAGTGCATAAACAAATGGGTGTGCCTATGTTCTAAAAAGCCTTTATTTATGAAAGCAAGCAACAAGCGGGATTTTCCCAGGCCATGGTTTGCTGAGCCCTGCTCCAGATGGCTCTTTGCAACACCCACTTTCTTTTATTTTTCTGTGCTACCTATTGCCACTATCTGAGAGTTCTGAAAGTTTCTAAATTTACATAAATTGTCTATGCATTGGTATGATTTTCTCAAAATTGCAGTATAAACATGTGCTTTTCAATTTCTTTTATCATATCTTTATAGATTAAAAAATACACAATAAATTCTACCTGGCTGCATTCTAATAATTTTTCTGAACTCACGAGCATATTTTTATGTAGCTGTGATTTGTACATGTATTCTATTTCTCTATTTTGTGATTTATACTCAATATTTTTTGTAGAGACATTGTTATGTATTGATATATTCTGCTTACTTATTATAAAAGATTTTACAGTATTTCATTACATTTATAAAGCTGGCTTGCTAAATATTCTCCTACTGTTAAATATTTGGATTTTTCCATTTTTTTTCCGTGAGCTAAATAGGGCTACTGTAAAAAATCTTGATATGAGTGACACACAAGGAGGTTAAAATCCAAATGTAAAAGCTAACTAGCTCCAAGCTGTACTAATAATTGTGTTTGAAACATGGTAACATTACATACTCAAAAACATAGCCAGATGATTTTTTAAATTGTAAATTCATTGGATTGCTCTATCACAACATCACATGATCTGTCAGAAGACTACCCTATGCAACTTTTACTGAGATATGGGTTTTGATCTTACTTTTTTTTATATTCTGTAGTTCCCTACAAATATTACATATTTCCTCTCAGATTTGATGATGTATCTCAATATTGCTATACAAATCAGCTGTTCTGATGGCTTAAATACTTCAATCTATGTTCAAACAATGTACTTAAGTTTCTAAATAAGATAGTTTCATTAACATTGCCAACAATCTCATAATTAATGTCCAGATACTGTCATACTCAAGCTCAATAGTTTGTTTTTCCCAACGGGAGAGAGTTGAATTTCAAGATTGGTAGCAACTTTTCCTTAGCTCAGAGCTCAGGTATTGGGCTTGGTATTTCCAGAGCCAGCAGTAGATTCTTGCCTTTTAGGCCTATGGGCCATTGAGGTATAAAGTAGCAGAGAGGGCTGGGTGGGGACACTGTAACGAACCATTCTGAGGCTTTTAATTTTTTTGGCGAGAAAGAGCTTGCTCAGCTGCCTCTCACTAAATCACCTACTTAAAATGATTGAGACAACTGAGCATGCTAATATACTGATTCATAACTTTTTTTATCTGTTTGCATCTTCAGATCTTCAGGCGCCTAAGCCAGCAAGAGATACCTTTATAGAGAAAGGACATGTAGCCTAGATCTGTGCTTCTCAATTATCATTGGTAAAGAACCTTTTTTTTTTAATTTTCAAAATGTCACCCACCACTACTTTCATAAAATACAATAAAAATAATTATCAAAAAATAAATAAAAATCAGACATGCAAGATACCAGCCCCCAATTTCACACTTATAACTAGAGATCATTTAAAATTTTTATTATAATTAATATAAATATATTTATTCTATATTTATTACATACTTCTGTTGGATGTTACATTACATTAGCATTAAATAAATATAATCAGAGCAAACAGCATAGGTAAAAATATTAAGACTGTCACTTTTTAATTGAAAAGGTCATGTTTTTCATTTTTTATTGAAAGCTTCTGTATACATAAATAATACAGACTTTACCTAGCCTATGGTGAACAGGTCTGAGGCCTACACTTTTAGTACCACCAGTGTGGAAGGCCTGGCCAAAGCTTTAGCTCCAAAAATACCTGGTCTTTTCTCAGTCTCTTACTATCTGTGTGACTTTGTGACAATTCACTTTTTTTTTATTTTGAGACGGAGTCTTGCTGTCACCCGGGCTGGAGTGCAGTGGCATGATCTTGGCTCACTGCAAGCTCTGCCTCCCGGGTTCATGCCATTCTCCTGCCTCAGCCTCCCAACTAGCTGGGACTACAGGCGCCCGCCACCATGCCTGGCTAATTTTAGTATTTTTAGTAGAGACGGGTTTCACTGTGTTAGCCAGGATGGTCTTGATCTCCTGACTTTGTAATCTTCCTGCCTTGGCCTCCCAAAGTGCTGGGATTACAGGCATAAGCCACTGCACCCAGCCCTTTTTTTTTTTTTTAAATACTTTAAGTTCTGGGGTACATGTGCAGAATGTGCAGGTTTGTTACATAGGTTTACACGTGCCATAGTGGTTTGCTGCACCCATCAAACTGTCATCTACATTAGGTATTTCTCCTAATGCTATCCCTCCCCCAGTAGCCCCCCCAACAGGCCCTGGTGTGTGATGCCCCCATCCCCACGTCCATGTGTTCTCATTGTTCAGCTCCCACTTACGAGTGAGAGCATGTGGTGTTTGGTTTTCTGTTCTTGTGTTAGTTTGCTGAGAATAATGGTTTCCAGTGTCATCCATGTCCCTGCAAAGGACAGGAACTCATCCTTTTTTATGGCTGCATAGTATTCCATGGTGTATATGTGCCACATTTTCTATATCCGGTCTATCATTGATGGGCATTTGGGTTCCAAGTTTTGTGAACAGTGAATGCTATTGCTATTTTGAACAGTGCTGCAATAAATATATGTGTGCATATGTCTTTATAGTAGAATGATTTATAATCCTTTGGGTATATACTCAGTAAGGGGATTGCTAGGTCAAATGGTATTCTTAGTTCTAGATCCTTGAGGAATCACCACACTGTCTTCCACAATGATTGAACAGAAGCACAGACTATAAGGCAAAAATTGTTGATCTGACTACAAAGACATTAAAGATTTTTGTTCAACACAGGCACAATTGACAGTGTTAACAGATGTGTACCATACTAGGGGAAAATATTTTTAAAGTTTAAAATAAATGAGATTAATACTTAGATTATAAAAGCAATTCCTACTAACAATTAGAGAAAAAAATAGGAAAATGGGTGAAGGATGTGAATAAGAAATGCAAAAAAGAAGAAATCTGAAGGACTACAATTAGATCAAGAGATTCTCAACCTCACCAATAAGAAGAGACATAAAAATCAAAGCAACAATAATATACCATTTAATACTCATTCAATTAGCAAAAGTTAAAAAGTTACACGACTTCAAGTTTTCAACAAGTTGGGGGAAACAGAAACCTACATAAATGGCTGGTAGGAGTGGGAGCTGGCACAATCTTTCCAAAAAGTAAACCGGCAGCTTTTAGTAATTAGTTTCTGTGTACCCTACAATATAGCAGTCTCTCTCCTGGGAATGTGTCTGAGAGATTTTCACACAGGCCTGTAAGACACCACATAGAAAAATGAACACAGCAGCATTATTTGTTAGAGCAATAGTTGTCCATCAGCAGATGAAATAGAATTCAGCTGTCAGATGCGATAAACTAGTGAATATACATCAGAACATAACATTGAATAAAGAGATAAAAGAATATAATGAGACGCTGCGTATGATGTAAACTAAAAGCTTATACATGGCCAGGCGCGGTGGCTCACGTCTGTAATCCCAGCACTTTGGGAAGCCAAAACAGGGGGATCACAATATCAGGAGTTTGAGACCAGCCTGGCCAATATGGTGAAACCCTGTCTCTATTAAAAATACAAAAATTAGCTGGGCGTGGTGGTGAGTGCCTGCAGTCCCAGCTACTCTGGAGACTGAGGCAGGAGAATCTCTTGAACCCGGGAGGCAGATCTTGCAGTGAGCCGAGATCGTGCAACTGCACTCCAGCCTGGGTGATAAAGCAAGACTCCGTCTCAAAAAAAAAAAAAAAGAAAGAAAAAAAGCATATACACAAAACACTACTAGATATCTTTCACAAATACGTATGTATCAAGAGTATGAAGAGACATACATTAAACATCTTAGAGGGAATGTATACTAAGTGGTAAGGAATGGGAATAGGGAATGAGAGATGAAGGGGAAAACTAAAATAAACTAAGAAAGGGGCTTTATGGGATCAAACATAAGAGTGTGCCAGGAATTGAAATAAGAGTATGAATAAATGAAATCTCTGAATCTAAAATCCAAAAAGTTAAAAAAACAAAAAGGCACACATAATATGGAACAGGTTGCTATAAGAAGGCACACTTGGTCTCTGCATAAGTTTCTCCTAAGCACATGGGAACACATGAGCCTCACAGGATATAAAGTGCAAATCAAGACCCTGTTCTTAAATTCATGAACTATGATTCTCTTTAGACTGTTCTCCTTCAATCTCTTGAAGCTCTTTTCAGTTCTACAACAGTGGTGATAATTAGCCAAGTGGGGAGGGGAGGGCATAATTCCACTTTTCCTGAGAAGCTGGTGACAAAGATTCCCCCTGGCAGAGGTATTTTAGAAACATTGATTGTGTTCTTGTATTTTCCATGTTTCCCTCTATGTGCTGGCAGTAGCAAATGTCTTTATCGTGGCTGTCATCCAGAGAATTCGAAGCCAGAGCTCTGCTCTGGGCATACATCCAGAAGAGTGATGTGGATTCCATGGCTGAAGAGCCCCAAAGTTTAAGGAGGGCCCAGAGGTTATGCTGACTGCCTCTTCAAGCCTTTACAAGTTGAAGAGGGAGAAAAGCTGAAAGCCCTTGGTCTTTCTCAAGGCCGTGTGCGGCCTTACTTTGATTTTTGTTCTGGGACAGGATGCCTAGATGTTTAGAAGTGTTTTAAGAGCAAGAGGTCAAGCATCACTCTTGAGGGGCCAGAGTATAGTGGGGAGACTATACATCTGTGTTTTAGATTTTGCTCTACCTCCAAATTGGATATGAAGATTAATTGGGTAGAATTTTCTCAACCCATTGCATTCCTTACCATTTAGTGTACATTCACTCTGAGATGATGGCTAGAATTTCATGAGCCCTGTGTTTATGAAACGACTGAAGTGTGTTCATCTTTTTAGCACAGAAGAAACACCACTCATTGACAAAGAAGCAGCTACTCACGAAGAGGGATAAAAAGCATCTGAAATTCCTTCCAATCTCACATCAAATGTCTTCCAATACACTGAAAGTCCCATTATTTTTATTGATAGTAAAAATTTTCATGTTAAGTATTTATAGTTATTATTTATAAACAAAATTTTATAGTTTTAACCAAATTGCTAAGAAGCTATTATTCCCATTTTATAAGTAAAGAATGGTCTTAGCAAGAGAGGTTACCCTCCTTGACCAAGATGACACAGCTAGGATATAGCAGAGCCAGGATGCAAGCCAGGTCTACATGGATGCATGTGTACAGCTTTATAGCTTATTAGTGTTGCTATTAAAAGCTTTCGCTAAGATAATACATATATTTTATGCAGCAACTTGGAAACTAAGACATTCTCAAAACTTCTGTAAGATTATTTTTTTAATTTTTAAAAATTTTTTGTGGGTACATAGTAGGCATATATATTTATGGGGCACATGAGATACTTTGATGCAGGCATGCAATGTGTAATAATCACATTATGGAAAATTGTGTATCCATCCCCTCAGTATTATTAATTGGTTCAAACTAGGCAGATATGATCTCAAAACCAGATCCTTGAAAGAATGAAGCACAGAAAAATTTAAAAGCTTTCAAGCTTTGGATTACTCATCACCTATAGAGCAAAATAGTGCCCTGCAAATAAGAGACCCCCTCAATACAAATTCCCGTCCCCTCCTGCCTAGCTTGAGGTGCACAGTAGATTGTGAGGGACAGAAGACTGGATACCAGAGGCCTTGGAATGTAGGAAAGGGGACACAAAAACCGAAGGCAGTCTGAAAAGGTGATAAGAGATCTTCCATGGCAAACAGAACCTGTTTTTCCATTCTTCCCGAAGGTCAGGCCTTACTCTGTTGACGCAAGGGCTGTTTTCTGTGTCATTTTCTAGCTAAGGCTGATGGTCCCTAAGCACGGCACAGATTTTGATTCTTTCTCATCACTTCAAGGTCTATCTAAAGATTCTGCTGAGAAGGAGCTTATAATTTTTGCATTGTTATGGGTTAAACATATCAACTTTCATTTGATAGGCAAAATGCCCTGTGATAACACGTAACAATAATTACAGTTGCAGTAATAGCAACCATTAAGGAAATGTTTAGTATGTGTCAAATGCTGTGAAAAGTGCTTTATATATATACATCATCTCACATGATCCCCTCAACAGCCCTCAAAAGATGATATCATTACTTCTACTTTACATAATTGAAAATAAAGGCCGGGTGCGGTGGCTCATGCCTGTAATCCTAGCAGATTGGGAGGCTGAGTTGGGCAGATTGCTTGAACCCAAGAGTTCAAGACCAGCCTGGGCAACAAGGTGAAACTGTCTCTACAAAAATATACAAAAATTAGCCAGGCTTGGTGGCACACACCTGTAGTCCCAGCTTCTCGGGAGACTGAAGTGGCAGGATTGCCTGAGCCCAGGAGCCGGAGGTTGCAGTGAGCCAAGATCATGCCACTGCACTCCAGCCTGAGTGACAGAGTAAGAACCTGTCTCAAAAAACAAAGCAAAAAAACCCCCCAAAAACAGTCAAGTAATTTCCCCTTGACCATCTATCTAATGCCTGGTGGAACTAGAGCCAATTTACTTCAGACTCCAAATACCATATTATTGACCCTTATATTTTAACTTTGTTACTAATACCCTAATCATCTATGATCTAGGGAAACTGAGGCACAAGGTGTTGATTCATTAAGGTAACAGTTTGGAGTAGATGGGGTGGACTTGTGATTTAAAAACATAAATTTTGCTTCTTAATTGTCCATTCATTCATGTAACTAATATTTATGATGAGGAACAATTAATGCTGCATTCTATTTATTAGTAAAAATATCTGCAGTAAAGTATAACTGAACATCATAAACATGTTAATAATAAATAACAAAATAAATATTAAATGCAATCATAAATGATATTTCCTACACAACTTATTGCTTTCCTTTAAAAAGCCTTCTTCAGTTTCCTCTAAACCATCATTTTTTAATCTGAGGCCCCACAGGATTCATAGATAAAATTTGAGGAAGGGAAGGGGTGATGTACATGGAGTTGGTTTGGAAAAAACTGACCTTTTTATTTCACTAACATCTAATTGAAATTTGCTGTTCTTCAATTACAAATATTGGCAACAAACTACTGTAGTATTTAGGAATATCTCCAACTTAATCACTATGCATATTTTAAAGTATTATTTTGCAGCTGTTACAGATATCTTGAAATAGCATTGATGTTCATCTCTATTTGGAAACTATAATTGTTATTAGATATACTGCTACATATATTTATCTAATACTTTAATAAAGACATATATTCCTATAGCATAAATATTTTAATATTTGATAACTGCATTTCAATGTAATTTGTCTCTTTTGCAACCTTACGCCATTTATGTATTTGACAACAATATTGAGGAAAGTCCATGGACTTTACCATAAAAAAGTTTGAGAATTCCTGTTCTAAGTCATGTAATAGAGGTAAACTTTCTTGTAAACAGGAGTTGGAGTGCATAGAGGATAACTGTGCCTGATCTCTGCAGAGCAAGAAGGTCCTAAGCCTGAGACCACTCCTGTCCATGGACAGAAAACTCAGCAATTGGTGTCTGTCCAAATATTGACTGAGACTCAGGGCCCTGCAGTGTTGGCTGGTCATTCAGGAGTTTCGTACTGACACCTGGAGAGCTTTTAAAAATACCTATACCTTAAATGAAATTAATGAAATCAAAATCTCTGGAGGTTAGGCCTGGGCATTGGCATATTTTTAATAACTCTAGGTGACTCCAAGGTGTTGTCAGGGTGACAACTATTGGATTCAATTATAAAAGGCCTTGTAGACTGTGCTAAAAAGTTTACATTTACAAAAAATCAAGGAGGTTTAAAGTAGGGAAGTGACGATGAAATTTGTGTTTTAGAAGTGTCATCCTACTCATATAGTCTGGAAGATGGAATAGAAAACTACAAAGCAAGATTCAGGCAAAGAGGTTATTGCAATAATCCAGATGAGAGATGAAGATTAGCAATGGTAAACTAAAGCAGTGTCATTGAAGATGCAGGGGTCAGGATAGATGAATATTAATTGAGAATATTAAGGCAATAAGTTGATTGCATGCAGGGTGTAAGGGAGAAGGAGGAACAATTGGTGACTGGAGGTTTCTGGCTTGACACAATGGGGAGATGTGGTAATATTCCCCAATAAATGGAATGCAGGAAGAGCAGTGGGAATGAGTGAGGAAATGATACAAATATGAGTTGAGTTGGACAGGACACCCATGTGGGCATGTCCAATAGTCCACTGGAATGATGGCTAGAAGCTGAAAAGAGAGGTGTGAGCTGGAGATAATTATTTAAGAGTCACCAAGCCCAGAGAGTAGCTGAGATCAACAAGAGAGAAGAAAGTGAAGGATGGACCCCTAATAGATAATCATATTCAAGGTACAGGCTGAGAAAGGGAAGCTGTCCTCCAAGACAGAGAAACAGCAACCTAAGATTTGAGAAGAAAAGCAGAAGGCAATGGCATCTAATGGAAAAGGGGAGAAACTTTCATAAAAAAGAGGTGATCAGGAGATCCCAAAGCTACAGAAAAGTAAACGATAATAGAGAGTTATGGATAATCTCTTTTTTGAGTAGAAGTTAGGTATCAAGCACTTCACAACTCTTTCAGTGAGGAATTTGGGGGCAATAACTACAATAAAAATTCTGATTTTAATCATAAGAACTTCTATTGTTTCATATATCAAGAAGTCTGTGGAGAGAAGACTCCCATGATAGTACACTAGGGCTGATTAGGATTTACTCCTGAGCTGGGCTAGGGTCACCATCCAGGAGGGTATCCAGCCACCTATAAAAATTTTAAGTTTTTCTTAACCAGTAGAAAGGAGGAAATGAATGTTGGATAGGCAACAAATAGTGTCTGCTACAAATGTTTTTCTTCACGTGTATCCTCGCAATGGTTGTGCAAGGTAGAGATTATTACCTCCTCTTTTACAGATGAGAAAACCAGGGGAAGCAGAGGTAAGAACCTGTTCAAGAAGGCACATCTCAGATGTGGAAGAACCATGATTCAACTCGAGTCTGTCTGCTTCCCAAGACTGTGGTATTTAAACAGCTTATAATGAAAATTCCTTCTATAGCTCCCCATAAAAGGGCACACAGTTCTTTCTTAACGTATTATTTCAGGCATTCATTCACCATTGATGTATTTGTGAAGGTGTTCTCTCTAAATAAACTATTGGGACCTTACTTGACTGTGACTTCATCAGTTTATGACTAATTATTTCTCCAACTTGTCAAGATTATTCAGAATTCTAATTTTACTCTGCAAGGCGTTAGTCATTTCTTATACTGCAGGATTAACCAGAGAGAGACACCCTCTTAATAACATGTTTCAAACTGTTACTGCAGATACCTGTGAGCTGGGTGGCCAGGACTACTCCCGGAGCGTGATTCATGGTGCATCCACCTCACAGTACAGTGGCCTCTGGGACTGTGTTTTCCTAGCTTGCTAGCAAGTTTGCTGCAATACAGTCATATGTCATATTGATGATAAGATAGGCAATATTTATTACTTATTTTAGCTATAGAGCAGCTTATCAATCTACCACAGAAGAATATTAAATTGGTTTACATAAAATGGTTTTGAAACTGGTTTATCCTAAACATCTGTGATCATCCACGTTAGCAAATTCATCATTTGAGTTTCTCTAGGGTCTTTCCAGGAAACCGGGACACAGTGATTGATCAACCGTGTCCAAGAAATCTTTCTTTACTTTCTCTTGTTTCCCTACATCTTCTTTCTTTTCCTGACACACCTTGCCTTTTATTCATTCCTCTGAATCTCTTTTCCATAAGTAGTTTAGCTAATTTAGCCCTGGAGCCATGCTTAGTGATGAAATAGGCACAGACTTAGAGAATACTCGATTACTGATTGATTATTAACCTTCCAGCTTCTGCAACCAACGTCATCCATGCACATGTCTGTTCCACATTCCATAGGGGAATAAACAGCAAACAAAATGAATGGGCACCAAATCTAGCGCAGTTTTAAGGTAGTATAATTTGTTTTAGGTTCCCAAGGCCCACACTGACCAGTGATGTGCTACTTCCTGCTCAATAACTGTCAGTCTTCCAGTCCATGAAAGACAACTATGGTATATACCCAGTACCAACATACAACGAGAAGACATTGATATCGGGAGAGTTAATAATCATAATAGCTGTTATGATTGATTGAGTGCTTACTCATACATTCATTGATTACTTATACATTGATTGAGTGCTTACTATGTGCTGGTCACTGTGCTCAGCACTTTAACACTGTAACTCTTTTAATCTTTGACTTTTGCAAAGTAGCTGCTATAAATAGCCTCTTCACAACAGAAGAAACTGAGGCTACGAGAAGTTAAGCAACTTGTCCAAGGTTACGCAGTCAGGTAAGGACAACCTGATATTCCAGTCCAATTTTTCTCTTATTGTTTTTAGCTCCAGAGATGGAAATTCTTAATGGTTCTGATATGGTTTGGCTGTGTCCCCCACCCAGATCTCATCTTGAATTGTAGCTCCCATAATTCTCACATGTTGTGAGAGGAACCTGGTGGGAGGTAACTGAATCATGAGGGCGGGCCTTTCCAGTGCTGTTCTCATGATAGTGAGTAAGTCTCACGAGATCTGATGGTTTTATAAAGGGGAGTTTCCCTGCACACACTTTCTTGCCTGCTGCCATGTAAGACTCCATTTACTCTTCCTTCGTCTTCCATCATGGTTGTGAGGCCTCCCCAGCCATGTGGAATTGTGAGTCAATTAAACCTCTTTCCTTTATAAGTTACCCAGTCTTGGGCACATCTTTATTAGCAGCATGAGAACAGACTAATACACATTCTATCTTCCAAATGCTTAGATAAGCAACAGCAGTCTCCTCTTGATTTATTCATTTAACTCACATACAAATTTCTAAATCTCACTGCTTTATCCCCAGAACTTGAGTTTTAAAAAGTAATAACATTTTACTTATTCTTTAGAGTAAGTTCTTTCTTAAGTCCCCCAATTTTTCTCCACAGAGAGATCAAAAACAGCCTTGTTTAACAAAGGTAAGAGGTTTTGGGAAGGCTTTTTGAGGGAGAAGTTGGTTCATTTCTCAAGTGGGGGCCTCCCAGGACAGTTGGGACATGAGCCCTGAGTCACCTGTGGCAGAGCACAGAAGGAAGAGGAGCTACCTAACTTGTATGTAAGAAGGCAGCTATGTTGTTGTTGTTGTTGTTGTTGTTATGGAGTTTCACTCTTGTTGCCCAGGCTGCAGTGCAATGGTGTGACCTCGGCTCACTGCAACCTCCACCTCCTGAGTTCAAGCAGTTCTCCTGCCTTAGCCTTGTGAGTAGCTGGGATTACAGGCACCCACCACCATGCCTGGCTACTTTTTTGTATTTTTAGTAGAGATGGGGTTTCACCATGTTGGCCAGGCTGGTCTTGAACTCCTGACCTCAGGTCATCCACCCACCTTGGCCTCCCAAAGTGCTGGGATCACAGGCATGAGCCACGGCGCCCAGCTTTTTTCTTTTTAAAACAACTATTTAAAGGTCAAGTGAACCTGTGGGAACCACACACACAGGGAGAATTTTCACCCACTCAGAGGTTCTTCATTATGCATATCCATTGGGTGCTTGGGAGAAGAACTGGAGGCAGGGCCAGGGACCAGAAACAACATCCCTTGATAAGTAGGCCAGCTGCAGGTAAGGCGTGAAACATCATCCAGAACCTCTTCCCTAAGGAAAAAAAAAGTCACTTGTGGAAGCGCAGCTAACCCTGTTACCTCCAGGTAAAAAATGAAGACTCAGGTGGCCTGGGAATAAAACAAAAACAGACAAGCAAACAAAAACTAACCCTAGAGGACGGGGAAAGAAATCGCCGGGGAGCAGATTATTAGATGTCTTCCACTGTTGGGAGTGGGGCAGGATCCAAGAGAAAGGCTCATCCTAACAACAGAATGTACAGGGCATGCCTAAAACCAGCCTAGTGGCACCAGGTAACAAGCAATCGCAATCTAATGAGAGAAACAGGGAAGGGGCAAGGAGAGAGCCTCTCAGATGTTCAAGTGCACAGGGAAGGCAAGAGGCATGGATGGCATAGAGACATTGAGGAAGACTTTCAGGCAGCCAGCCCTCATCAAAGTTAATGCCAGAGGAATCTGAAGCTGGTGTTGCACTAAAGATAGCCAGAGCAACAATATAAGCCAAATCCCGCCTGGGTTTCATTTGGACTTTCTGCAACTGAGGGTTCATGTCAGCCCTCAATTCTTAAAAATATTGTGGCCTTTCTTCATTTGAATTCTAAACCTCTGATTGTTCTCTATGTTGCATTCTGGGTAATTTCTTGAAATGTGTCTTCCATTTTAGATATCCTTTCAGCTGGTTCTAATCTTCTGCTTAGTCTACTCAATGAGTTTTTAAGTTACAAATACACTTTTTTTAAAATAGAAGTTCTATTTAATCTTTAAATCTGCCCTGTCATTTTATATTCTCTTCTCTTTGCTCACGTGTTTGGCACCTTTTATACCTTTGAACATATTAAATATACTCACTTTGTATACTGCATCTGATAAATCCAATGTCTGAAATCCTGTGGGTCTGATTCTCCAACCTGTTTGTTTCTGCTCTCAACCACAATGCTCTGTTTCTTTTATGCTTTTTCAGTGAACTCTTGTTTGATTTAATTCTGTGTGGAATAGGTCCCTGGTGATGGCGCATTCTTCTGTAAAGAATTTGTGTTTGTTTTAGCCAGATGATAGGAGGCCACCAATCTAATACCACCTAAAAATAAAATTTCAACTTGTACTTTTTTGAATTAAATAGGCAAAAGGAAGTTTTATGAAAATCAGAAAATCCCCAAAAGGCTAAATTTAAGTGAAAAAACTCTCTGGGAATATGATTTTTTTTCTCTCTCTATCTATGGTTAAGTTTAAGTTAATGGTTTTCCTTGTTGACCTTCTTTGTGGTGGTGGTTATTGTTTTTGTTTTAATGAAAGGATTTTCCAAAGCATAAATGACTCTTTATCCTTTCTGACTTTGTTTACCCTCCCTAATTTGAATGGGCTCCTATAACAGGGTTAGTCACCAAGGCCACCAGAAATTAATCGATTTCTCCAGGATGGCCAGTGGTTTTGGATTCCTACTTTCACTTCATTTTCGCAAGTTGAAATCACTTATAAAAAATAAAGGAGCAAAGTGTCCTAGTAGTGTCTATTAGTCTTGTCCTGGATTTGAATCCCAGGTCTGCTATTTTAGTTACTGTGCAATCTTGGGCAATCTATTTGCTTTTCTGAACTTGTTTGGTCACTTGTAAAACACGAATAATAATATTTATCCACATATCTGGCTCTCGTGAAGACTCAAGATAATGAATATAAATTGCTTAGAACAAAGAAGAAACCTTGCCTGGCACTTAATCAGAGGCAGCTGTTACAAGTTATTAGTAGACTCTCTTGGCATAAATGTCCTGAAATCTTTAAAAACAAAATTGGTCATTTTCCATACAGGCCTTCTGCCCACTCAACCCAGTGTGGTAGTAACAGAGAAGAGACCTGGTTTGGAGGCAACTGGGCTGTTATAGTATGAGTGAATGTGGTGGTCAATGGGATCTCTGTTTCCCCATCTTCTGTTGTGTTGTTTGTGTCCCAATCAGAAACGATCCAGTGGCATAAATGACATATCTCAAATGTACAGGTGAAAAAATAAATAAATTGGATGGGGAAGATGTCAACTGAGAGTTGACTTCTATTATTAAGTGCTGTTGTACAGAATCTTGAAGAGTAATGAGGAATTAGCTCAGTGGTATTTGGGCAGGTTCTCCATCTGCTAGGGTGATGGCCTTAATGATTACATCCATAGCATCCAAAGGGTAAATCTAATTCACATGTTCCTGATCCACTTACACTAATGTAATTTCAACTTGGCCTGATAGACACCGACTGATATACAGACTGTCCTCTCTCCTTTTGGTTAATTTGGCCAGATGAAAATCAATGAGAACTTAATGTTCATTTGAAAATAATTAGGTCTATTGAATTTTACATGTGGCAAACCATCTTTATTTTTAAAGGATTTTAAGAGTTTGTTGACTGATGGTTATGTGACTACAGTCACTTTGGACTTTTTCATTTATTGTGTCCTGTATCAATCATTTAAAAGTCTTTCAAAGAAATAATATATTATGGCAGCATCATTTACTGAAGGCTCTCCTATATCTTATAGAATTTTTGTCTCTAAGACTTGGAAAGAATCCATGGTTTATATTCCTTCTCATCTCCTGAAGGATGTTTATATCAAATTGAATTTATTTTGTTAGCAATTTTATCCCTTCCAATGTTCATTCAGCCTTCAACAAATATTATTGAACCCTACAATGAGTTCAATTGGTTGGGTTCCCTGGGAAACAGATTGCGAATTATAGACTTGCTTGCAGGTTTATTGAGAAGGGCTGGTGGGTACAACATCTGCGAGTGGGGGAAATTGGACTTGGCAGAAGAAGTTAAACTGTGCTGCAGTTTTGACGAAGGCCTCATCTGGCCCTTCAGAGAGTTCTGGACCTGGGGATAGCCTTTCAGAGTTGTCCTGAGTTGAGGCAAGGGGCCCAGGCCTTTGTACCACTGTATTGACCAGTCACTGGGTTGCAACTGAAGAAGGAAAAAAACATTGCACAAAGAACTTTCTTTCACCAAGGGCAATTCCTAGGAAGGCAATCAGCTGTGAACCATTGGCAGCTGATGCTCCCAGCAGCTGGGGGAAAGCATGCCTCCATCCTGAAGGCAGGACCCGAGCAATGCACTGCAGCCTCTCCTAGCCCAGGGATACACCACTGAGCAAAATCTAACACAGTTTTCTGTTTCATGGAGCTTACAGTCTAGTGGATAGTCACAGTGAAAAAAAAAAGTTGTAAAATTATATATTGGCTATGGGTGATTGGGTTGCTGAAATCTGCTCCTGTAGACTATCCCTAGGGAACTCAATGTTTCACAGCTATCAGGTATATTTTGTAAAGCTTCTGTGAGAATGTGTAAGACAGGCAGGAGACTCAGATTATTTCCATTCTACAGAGAGGAAAACTAAGGCACTGCACAGGCAGAGACTTTCCTAAGCCATATTCCAATGCAAGGGTGGAAATGATAAAAACAGCTACAGGTTGTCAAGAATCCTCTCACTCTTAGGCCTCCTGTAAACATTACCAGATGATTTTCCATGTTGACTTTCTTTGTGGAGGTGTTTTTGGTCTTCTTTGTTATTTTGTTTTTTCTTTTAATATAGTTTATTCTTTTTGGAGGATGAATAGCTCATTAGGGTTCTGGCTTCATTTACTCTCCTTAATTTGAGTGGGCTCCTACAGGTAATACCTATCTGGAAGGTAAAGATGAACAAACTGAGGTGCAGATGACCTTAATTGCCTATGGTCACAGCCATTAAATGACAGAGTTTGGGATGAGCCTATCTGGTCTTTCCTTACCCTTTCATTACCCCATGCCCAGGCATTCTGATACATGGCCTGGAAGCTCGCATAGTGAAGTGGGGAGATAAAGTGGATTTCTGTGTTTCTCTATCTTCTATTGTGCATTCTGTGTCCCCATCAGAAACAGCATTGACTTTCAAACAATTTGCAAGTAAATTCTCTGGATTTTAGAGAATAGTACATGGGACACGGTCAAAGATGAATTTAACCTCAGGGGAAGGCTGCTACAAAACCAGATGTCCTAGCTCACCAAATATAATGAAGTTGCACTAGGAAGTGGACAGGAGAGGGAAGAGTTTAGGAGCCCTTCTCTGGCTTAGCAGAATGAATGCTGCAAGGATCCAGCCCTCAGCTGGAAAGAAGAGCCTCTCATGGGAAGTGGGCACTGATATCTCGTGTTTGAGCATACCGCAGAGGAGATCATGAGGGAGGGGCTGTAAAGTAGTATAGAATAGGGGAAAGCATTAACTTCACAGCTAGTCAGACTGGTTATAAAGCTCAGTCTTGACATTCTGTAGGGTTTGCCTTGGGTACATCACTTCACCTCGCTGAGACACAGCTTCCCAGTATGTAAACCAGGGATATTCTGATCATCTTCACAGCAATATGGTGACAATTAAATAAGAATGTATGTTAAAACGCCAATAGCAGAGCAGGCACTGGGTAATTAGTAGCTCTACCTCTTAGCAAGGTATGAGCTCCCACTTTTGGTCTTCTTGCTGTAAAGAGGCTGGAACTCAGAAAATGTTCAGAAAACCAGTCTGCTTCCCTGGGGGTGAGTTGTGACCCAGGGCAGCCACAGCTGACACAAGCCAGACTTTTCCTTTATTGCTCTACAGAAAGGAACAGGGACATGGTTCTGGTTCACTGGCTGGGGACCGGCAGTTTCCACCAGGATAGCTTAGAAGAATGAGGCAGTGAGTACAGGAACTGCTAGAAGCGAGATTACCTCCCCAGTGCCATTTCCCTGGGGAGCCCTACGCCTCTCAGAAAGCTGTAACAAGCAGGAGGGTTTTGTAGAGTCCCATAGGTCCTGGGAAGGGGTGGGAGAGAAACAGCCTACTTCTCAAGGTCACTTGCAGGCTGTATGTCACCCACACCTTTGAGCAGAGTGTGAAGGCAGCACCACCCTCTGAGATCACCTCCTTGTATTTTGCCTGATGAGCAGCAGGCTCTCGTGGGCAGAGATTTAGAAGAGTGGGAACTTCATATTCTGGAACAAATGGAGCATACCTGGCACTGGGGCCTCGGCATTTATTATTCTTTGGTATCCTTTAGCTCTACTTTAATTTTCAATTAATATGGTGAACTGTTTTTCACTTGTCAGCAACCTTGACTAGGTGCCCTCTCTCTGCAGAGCACAAGCTGCATAGCACAGGGCTTGAGAGCTCTGACTTCAGTTCACATGATGAGGAATAGAAATCTGCTCCACTGCTTACTAATTGTATGACCTTTAACTCCTAGAATTTCAATCGGTAAAATGGGAATAACGTTAATCCACACCAGATGCAAATGAGCTAAGGCACTGTGAGGTGCTATTCTAATTCCTTACACCTGTTCAATGTTCAATTAATGTCACTAATACAACGCAGTGGTTCTGTCAAGCAGTCAGTCCTTTGGTAGTAAGAGTTGTATGATCAACCTGGCCACAAGGAAAAGCAAAGGAAATATAGTAGAATGAAATGCACAGATTCCATGACATAGAAGAAATATGGGATGAAGAATTTTGAAAAATGACCTTAAAGGCATTTATTCAGGACAGATGGCCATACTGTTTCTGATAAAAGTCAGTCTGCTCTAAGGGGGCCTCAGCTTTAGAACTGCATTTTAATGAGAAGGATTCTTAACTTAGTTATCATATGGCATAGGGGTGTTGGTGATAATTTCATTCATTCCACAAATATTTTTACTGCCTACCATGTGCAAAAGTTTTCAAAATAAAATAACTGACACATTCAGAGTAGTGTGGTACATATAATTTCTTGTCAACTGGATTGGAATTATTCGGAGTAAAACTGAAGAAGGCCAATTTAGCCTTTGTATTTTCTGCTTGCTCTTCTAGCATTCTCCTGCCCCAGGTGCCTCCAGCCTCCTGCCACCTCCCACCACATCCCATCTCAGCTCATGTCCTTAGTTGTTTTCTAGGCTCTCCCCTCTTCTCGATGCAATCAAATCCTATCTTTCCTTGCCCATCATGTCTTTGGTTTCCTCAATGTCCCAGATTCAGGTATATGTGTGAAATTGAACTGGGAGACCATATTTTATATTACATTCATGAGTTACCATCTCATTCAAGTGTTACACATTCCAGAAATATTTACACCAGAAAGGGAGGTAGCTGGGGACTCAACACCTTGGCTCAAGGAACTGAATCTAATAGGATTTCAGTCTCTACAACAGGAAGATGAGAGGCATACAGATCTTTCTGCTTCCTCCTACTCTGACATTTTCCAAAAAAATGGGAAGAAGTAAAAGATCGTGCAGTGAGAACAGCGTGCCAGATACTGAACTGGACTTGGGAACTACATAAATAAATAAGACAGTCTAAGTAAATTTTTAAGTTAAAAAAGAAGTAGGCAATTTGGAGAGCACTAAGATACCCAATACTTTTCAGTCCAAATGGAGATTTTAGCCATGTTATGATTGTGACATGATCTTGCCATTATCTGCGTATGTCGAAATTGCCTATGTTTGCCGCCTTTCACTTCCCACCTGACATGTCTCCTGTTTGACCTGTTGGAGCAATTTTTAAAATGCTCCAGTTCATTAAGCAGATTTTTAAAAGGGAATCTATGACTGTATCAACACAGTGCTTCTGTTAAGTCATCAATACTTTAGTTTGTTTTTCTAACATTCTGAAACAGTGGTCACATGGAGGTGGTGGAGGGGGTGTTTCTTAAGCCAAATTAAGCCAATGAGGTTTCATTAGTAGATATTAGTTCTTACCAAAATGTGATAATTTTGTGTATATTCACAGTTGGAGCCAAATATTTTTTCCTGGGGAAATATCTTTGAAATCATAGTGCAAGTAGAAAGTTTAATTCATTAGGAAAATTCAGTTTTATTTAAAAATATACAAAAGGAACCCAAGGCTTATAATTTAGTCATTCGATTAAAACTTTGTAGCACTAGGCCGGGCGCGGTGGCTCACGCCTGTAACCCCAGCACTTTGGGAGGCCGAGGCGGGTGGATCATGAGGTCAGGAGATAGAGACCATCCTGGCTAACAAGGTGAAACCCCGTGTCTACTAAAAATACAAAAAATTAGCCGGGCGCGGTGGCGGGCACCTGTAGTCCCAGCTACTCGGGAGGCTGAGGCAGGAGAATGGCGTGAACCCGGGAAGCGGAGCTTGCAGTGAGCCGAGATTGCGCCACTGCAGTCCGCAGTCCGGCCTGGGCGACAGAGCGAGACTCCGTCTCAAAAAAAAAAAAAAAAAAAACTTTATAGCACTATATGGATTAAAAGTCGGAAGATATCAGATCTTTCATTTTTAACTTGATATCTCTGGAATATTGAATTTTAAATTGTTATATTTGAAGGAAAAGCAGTGCCCTTGTGTTTTACATCCTCTTGGTATTCATTCTTAGTATTCAAACTATCCAAAACACTATGCAACAATCCTTTAGAACACGGACCTGCAGTCCGTGGATAAATTCAAGGTGTCCATAAAGTTTCTGAAAAGAAATGTTGAAAGTCAAATGTATGTACTTTCTTCTGGAAAGAAGGTTCACAGTTTTCATCAGATTCTCCAAGTTATCTATGATCTCCAAAATGTTAAGCCCAATTGTCTTGGAGATGAGCTAACCAGTCATCTCATTGTACCAATTGGGAAACTGCCCACCTGCTCCCAAACTTATATGGCTAAGCAACTTGCCTGACATCCTCCATGAGCGCAGCAGATCCTGGGCATGAACAGAAATCTGTGGACTTCCAGGAACATAAGAATTAGAACCATTCCCACCAACACCAATATCCCCTGGACCTTTCAGGCAAACAATAGATACTAAATTTAGTTTTTGAAAATATTCTTGGCTCGGCATGGTAGTTCACGCCTGTAATCCCAGCACTTTGGGAGACCAAGGCAGGTGGATCATGAAGTCAGGGGTTCAAGACCAGCCTGGTCAAGATGGTGAAACCCCATCTCTACTAAAAACACAAAAATTAGCCAGGTGTGGTGGTGGGCACCTATAATCCCAGCTACTCGGGAGATTGAGGCAGAGAATTGCTTGAACCCGAGAGGCAGAGTTTGCAGTGAGCCGAGATAGCGTCACTGCACTCCAGCCTGTGTGAGAGCAAGACTCTTGGAAAAAAAAATCTTTTCACTTTAACTTATAAATTACCCTTTAACATTGAGGAGGAGCTGGGATTGTATCAGTGAGACACTGTATTTCTTAGGTTTGCCATCACCCAATTTGGCACTGATTTAGGACAGGGGCTGCATATGTGTTTGAATAAACACTCCCTCCCTCGTTGTCTGCCATACTTCATCCTGCATACAAACTTGATGCCTATAGCAAGGGTTTGGTCTCCTTTGATTAAGCCCTGGAGTTGAGGGCGGGGGGTGTTATCCGCTTTTGTTTCATGGAAAAGTACTCCCATATCTAGCCCCGATTCCTGAAAACTCATACCACAGTTCTCTTCCCAGGACTTTCAGATGTGAGGGGTTTGCACAACAGCGTCTTGGACAATAACAGAGAAGATAAAATTTCACAGATAAGGAGGAAGTGGTGTGCGTGGAAACTTGCAGTGGTTTAATTTCCATGCCCTTCTCCCCACACCCAGTCTCTCAGTGGGATGCTTGTCTGCACGTATAACTATGAATTATAGAGCTCCCATAAAAATGTGAGTCATCACCCAGTTAATATTTACATACACAACGTGTAAACTCCTTTGTCTTTAGCTGGGTGACAGTAAATAATGTTGAATCTGAAAGGTAAAAATCATCTGTCAGCAGCTGAGTGATCTTGATTCCTTTTTGTGGAAAACTTGGGAAAAATTGCCCAATTCATCCGTACATCAATGCTTCTCAAGCAACTTGCTTAATATTCATAACTCTAGTAATTGATTCACACTTTTCTTTCTGACACATAAATATTTTTCTCAATTATTTCCATCTCTTTTTCTCACTTGCAATCAATTTCCTGACCATCCATGTTAGAGTGACTGTTAAACATGGTTTACTTCTTGCTAGTTTTACTGTTGTTTAGGGGACATGATAACTGTCTTCCTAGTTATCATCTTAGTAGAAAAGCTTTCTGTTTTAATTTGTCATTTCAGTTCAGTTCAACAATGTCTTCTGAGCCTTTACTATGTAACCCCCACTGATTGTGAGGACCTCATCACTGAAACAGTCTTTGTCCTTAAGGAGCACATGAGCTTGTATAGATGTTTTATATATGCTACTAATTTTTACACATGGCAATATGACAATTTCATGTTGAAAAGAAATGCACTACAGACAGTGTGTTATGGCAGCACAGGGAGCAATTACAGAAAAACCTTCAGACAGGAGGATGCTACTGAGTTGAGCTCTTATTGCCTAGCAGAGTTAATAGGCATCCTTTATTGACTGCTTGCTACCAAGCATTGTGCTCAGTCTTTCACATGCATTTTCTTATGTTATACAAGAATCCTGTGAGGCAGACAATGTTATTATCCCTACTTTACAGTTGGGCGAACACAGGCTTTGAGTTCAAATAACTTTAACTGCCAAAGGATTTCTTGCTGACTCCGCAGTCTCTCCCCTCGCCACTCCACCACACACCTACTCATTTGAGTAGATTTTTTAAACAGACAGAAGATGGAAAGCATTCCAGGCTGCACTTCTATGTTTACTGAATGAGGAGGGAATGTGGAGTCTGGTGGCAGGATTGTGGCAGGCTAGAAAAATAGCCTTGGAATGATTCTCAACTACCAAGAGGTTACTATGTGCCAAGCAGTGCCTGAGTACTTCACAGACATGATTATCATTTAATCCTTATAATAATCTTGAGAACTGGATATTATTATCTCAATTTTTACAATTGTGGAGACTCAGAGTTTAACTGTACTTGCTTGAGACATCAAAGAATATTGAAGAGCAGGGATTTGATCTGTAGTCTGGCTAGGATCTTTAGGACCTCTCTAATCCATTACAGGGAAAGGAGCTTTCACAACCCTGATCAAGAACTTCCTGTCTTTAATTATTACTATACCTTCACTTCCTTTCTTTCTTAAGCCCAGGACCAGAAAGCAAATTAAAAATTCAATGCATTTCCCATCAAAATACCAAAATACCATCATTCTTCACAGAACTTGAAAAAACAATCCTAAAATTCATATAGAACCAAAAAAGTACCTTCATAGCTGAAGCAACACTAACCAAAAAGAGCAAATCTAGAGGCATCACATTACCCAACTTCAAACTATACTAGCAAAGACTATAGTCACCAAAACAGCATGGTACTGGTATAAAAACAGGCACACAGAATAATGGAACAAAATAGAGAACCAGCAATAAAGCCAAATACTTACACCCAACTAGTATTTGACAAAGCAAACAAAAACGTAAAGTGGGGAAAGGACACCCTATTCAACAACTGGTGCTGGGATAATTGGCAAGCCATATGTAGAGGAATGAAACTGGAGTCTCATGTCTCATCTTATAAAAATATCAACTCAAGGTGGATCAAAGACTTACATCTAAGACCTGAAACCATAAAAATTCTAGAAGATAACAGTGGAAAAACCTTCTAGACAGTGACTTAGGCAAAAACTTCATGACTAAGAACCCAAAAGCAAATGCAACAAAAACAAAAATAAATAAATGGGACCTAATTAAGGAAATTAAAGAAAAAGCTTCTGTGCAGCAAAAGAAATAATCAGGAGAGTACACAGACAACCCACAGAATGGGAGAAAAATTTTGCAATCTATGCATCTGACAGAGGACTAATATCCAGAATCTAAAAAGAACTCAAACAAATCAGCAAGAAAAAAATACTAATCCATGTCCCCTAAGGACATGAATAGATAATCCTCAAAAGAGGATATATAAATGGCCAAGAAACATGAAAAACATGCTCAACATCACTAATGATCAGGGAAATGCAAGTGAAAACCACAATGCAATACCACCTTACTCCTGCAAGAATGGACATAATAAAAAAAAATTTAAAAAAAATAGCTGTTGGCATGAGTATGGTGACAAAGGAACACTTTTACACTGCTGGTGGGCATGTAAACTAGTACAACCACTATGGAAAACAGTGTGAAGATTCCTTAAAGAACTAAAAATAGAGCTACCATTTGATCCAGCAATCCCACTACTGGGTATCACCCAGAGGAAAATAATTCATTACATGAAAAAGACACTTGCACACATGTAGTTACAGCAGCACAATTTGCATTTGCAAAAAGTATGGAACCAGCCCAAATGCCCATCAGTCAATGAGTGGATAAAGAAAATGTGATATATATATATATATATATATATATATATATATATATATATATATACATACACACACACACACACATACACATATATATACACACATATATATACACACATATATACACACATATATACATACACATATATATACACACACACATATATACACACACACACACACACACACCATGGAATACCTCTCAGACATAAAAAGGAATGAAATAATGACATTTGCCGCAATCTAGATGGAGTTGGAGACCATTATTCTAAGTGAAGTAACTCAGGAATGGAAAACCAAACATCATATTTTCTCATTTATAAGTGAAAGCTAAGCTATGAGGAAGCAAAGGCATAAGAATGATACAACGGCCAGCCTGGCCAACATAGTGAAACCCCGTCTCTACTAAAAATGCAAAAATTAGCCAGGTGTGGTGGCACGAGCCTGTTGTCCAAGCTGCTCAGGAGGCTGAGGCAGGAGAATCGCTTGAACCTGGGAGGCAGAGGTTACAGTGAACCAAGATCATGCCACTGCACTCCAACCTCGGCAACAGAGAAAGACTCCATCTCAAAAACAAAAAACAAAACAAACAAACAAACAAAAAACAAAAACAAACAAACAAAAACTTTGGAGCTTTGGGGAGTCGAGGGAAGGGTGGGAGGGAGGTGAGGGATAAAAGACTACACACTGAGTACAGTGTACACTGATTGGGTGATGGGTGTTGTGTGCACCAAAATCTCAGAAATCACCACTTAAAAAACATCCATGTAACCAAACACCACCTCTTTTCCAAAAACTATAAAAATAATAAATAAATAAATAAAATAAAAATCTGTACACTGGCCAAAACAAAACAAATAATAATAATAACAATAAAAGATTTCTAGATCCCTGCCATCAAATTGCTTTCCTATTGTCAGCTGGAATATTAGCAGCTGGAGGGTAAACTGGCAATAAGGAAGAAATGGGAGTAGACTAATTCTCACCATGACCCTTCAAGATGAGTAGTCCTTTCTACATTTCCACATTGTGCAAACAAAGGAGCTCATACAAAGAAAGTGAATAACCTTAGCTAAAAATCAGATAGTAATTTAGAGGCAGAAGTGATTAATATATCATTGGATAATATTTATGGAGCTTACCAATATATAAGACACACTATATTCATATATTTACCCAAAAAACTATTTTCCAGAGCTATTTTTCTAGAGTTCCAGTCAAAATTTGTAGATGAGTCTCCTTCCTTACAGTTTCAATTTGGGGTTTTCTATTCCTTATGAAGTTTTTGGAGCTTTGTATTGGGCTTGCCATAAATGGCAACAAATACTCCTTTGCCATTCTTTCATGAAATATCCTTGGAGCAACCCCATCAGAGGCTACTTTCACAGATCTGCATTATCTCTACCAAGGATGTGGTAGATTCCAGGGCCCTGGGGAAATTGTGAGATGTACTTCCTTCTCCATCCCGGAAAAGTGAAATAGAGTGTTTCTCCGCTGGCCATAGGATAAATGCCCAAATATCTGTTGGGCGCTTAATTGCGCTAGTAATTGATGGAGAAGCACTCCATAACACTCAGATGCACTCAGAAGAACCAACTGACAGTCATGCATGTCAAAGTACTGCTTAGAGGTGAAGTGCTGTCACTAAACTATGTGGATGTCCTAACACTGCTCATGGTTTAAAATTCTGTAATAGCAACAGTGAATATTTATTGAGCATCTATAATGGGCTAGATACTCTGCTAGAAATGGGATTTAACGGTGAATAATATAACGTTTCCACCACCAGGGATCTTAAAATCTATTAAGTTGGTGCAAAAGTAATTGTGGTTTTTGTCATTACTTTCAACGGCAAAAACCGCAATGACTTTTTCACCAACCTAATAGAAAAAGCTTCTGGATTTGCATATGTTGAATCAGCCTTGCATCCCAGGGATGAAGCCCACTTGATCATGGTGGATAAGCTTTTTGATGTGCTGCTGAATTCAGTTTGCCAGTATTTTATTGAGGATTTTTGCATCGATGTTCATCAGGGATATTGGTCTAAAATTCTCTTTTTTTGTTGTTGTGTCTCTGCCAGGCTTTGGTATCAGGATGATGCTGGCCTCATAAAATGAGTTAGGAAGGATTCCCTCTTTTTCTACTGACTGGAATAGTTTCAGAAGGAATGGTATCAGCTCCTCCTTGTACCTCTGGTAGAATTCGGCTGTGAATCCATCTGGTCCTGGACTTTTTTTGATTGGTAGGCTATTGATTATTGCCTCAATTTCAGAGCCTATTATTGGTCTATTCAGGGATTCAACTTCTTCCTGCTTTAGTCTTGGGAGGGTGTATGTGTCGAGGAATTTATCCATTTCTTCTAGATTTTCTAGTTTATTTGCGTAGAGGTGTTTATAGTATTCTCTGATGGTAGTTTGTATTTCTGTGGGATCGGTGGTGATATCCCCTTTATCATTTTTTCTTGTGTCTATTTGATTCTTCTCTCTTTTCTTCTTTGTTAGTCCTGCTATCAGTCTATCAATTTTGTTGATCTTTTCAAAAAACCAGCTCCTGGATTCATTAAATTTTTGAAGGGTTTTTTGTGTCTCTATTTCCTTCAGTTCTGCTCTGATCTTAGTTATTTCTTGCCTTCTGCTAGCTTTTGAATTTGTTTGCTCTTGCTTCTCTAGTTCTTTTAATTGTGATGTTAGGGTGTCAATTTTAGATCTTTCCTGCTTTCTCTTGTGGGCATTTAGTGCTATAAAGCATATAAACAGAACCAAAGACAAAAACCATATGATTATCTCAATAGATGCAGAAAAGGTCTTTGACAAAATTCAACAACGCTTCATGCTAAAAACTCTCAATAAATTAGGTATTGATGGGACGTATCTCAAAATAATAAGAGCTATCTGTAACAAACCCACAGCCAATATCATACTGAATGGGCAAAAACTGGAAGCATTCCCTTTGAAAACTGGCACAAGACAGGGATGCCCTCTCTCACCACTCCTATTCAACATAGTGTTGGAAGTTCTGGCCAAGGCAATCAGGCAGGAGAAGGAAATAAAGGGTATTCAATTAGGAAAAGAGGAAGTCAAATTGTCCCTGTTTGCAGATGACATGATTGTATATCCAGAAAACCCCATCGTCTCAGCCCAAAATCTCCTTAAGCTGATAGGCAACTTCAGCAAAGTCTCAGGACACAAAATCAGTGGGCAAAAATCACAAGCATTCTTACACACCAATAGCAGACAAACAGAGAGCCAAATCATGAGTGAACTCCCATTCACAATTGCTTCAAAGAGAATAAAATACCTAGGAATCCAACTTACAAGGGACGTGAAGGACTTCTTCAAGGAGAACTACAAACCACTGCTCAATGAAATAAAAGAGGATACAAACAAATGGAAGAACATTCCATGCTCATGGGTAGGAAGAATCAATATCGTGAAAATGGCCATACTGCCCAAAGAAATTTATAGATTCAATGCCATCCCCATCAAGCTACCAATGACTTTCTTCACAGAATTGGAAAAAACTACTTTAAAGTTCATATGGAACCAAAAAAGAGCCCGCATTGCCAAGTCAATCCTAAGCCAAAAGAACAAAACTGGAGGCATCACACTACCTGACTTCAAACTATGCTACAAGGCTACAGTAACCAAAACAGCATGGTACTGGTACCAAAACAGAGATCTAGACCAATCGAACAGAACAGAGCCCTCAGAAATAATGCTGCATATCTACAACTATCTGATCTTTGACAAACCTGAGAAAAACAAGCAATGAGGAAAGGATTCCCTATTTAATAAATGGTGCTGGCAAAACTGGCTAGCCATATGTAGAAAGCTGAAACTGGATCCCTTCCTTACACCTTATACAAAAATTAATTCAAGATGGATTAAAGACTTAAATGTTAGACATAAAACCATAAAAACCCTAGAAGAAAACCTAGGCAATACCATTCAGGACACAGGCATGGGCAAGGACTTCATGTCTAAAACACCAAAAGCAATGGCAACAAAAGCCAAAATTGACAAATGGGATCTAATTAAACTAAAGAACTTCTGCACAGCAAAAGAAACTACCATCAGCGTGAACAGGCAACCTACAAAACGGGAGAAAATTTTTGCAATCTACTCATCTGACAAAGGGCTAATATCCAGAATCTACAATGAACTCAAACAAATTTACAAGAAAAAAAACAAAAAACCCCATCAAAAAGTGGGTGAAGGATATGAACAGACACTTCTCAAAAGAAGACATCTATGCAGCCAAAAGGCACATGAAAAAATGCTTATCATCACTGGCCATCAGAGAAATGCAAATCAAAACCACAATGAGATACCATTTCACACCAGTCAGAATGGCGATCATTAAAAAGTCAGGAAACAACAGGTGCTGGAAAGGATGTGGAGAAATAGGAACACTTTTACACTGTTGGTGGGACTGTAAACTAGTTCAACCATTGTGGAAGTCAGTGTGGCGATGATGGCCCAGCCATCCCATTACTGGGTATATACCCAAAGGATTATAAATCATGCTGCTATAAAGACACATGCACACGTATGTTTATTGGGGCACTATTCACAATAGCAAAGACTCGGAACCAACCCAAATGTCCAACAATGATAGACTGGATTAAGAAAATGTGGCACATATACACCATGGAATACTATGCAGCCATAAAAAATGATGAGTTCATGTCCTTTGTAGGGACATGGATGAAGCTGGAAACCATCATTCTCAGCAAACTATCGCAATAACAAAAAACCAAACACCGCATGTTCTCACTCATAGGTGAGAATTGAACAATGAGAACACATGGACGCAGAAAGGGGAACATCACACACTGGGGCCTGTTGTGGGGTGGGGGGAGGGGGGAGGTATAGCATTTGGCGATATACCTAATGTTAAATGACGAGTTACTGGTTTCAGCACACCGACATGGCACCTGTATACATATGTAACTAACCTGCACGTTGTGCACATGTACCCTAAAACTTAAAGAAAAAAAAAAAGAAAAAGCTTCTAGAAAGCAAACAGTTAAGCACAGTAAAGTTTGGGAAGTGGTATAACACTCGAAACAGGAATGCCAGGAGGGGCACTGTGCAGCTGGGAGGGCCTCACGAGGCTTCCCAGGGGAGGTGCACTGAAGCTGAAGTCTGCAGGGTGAATTAGGGCCTTGCGAGGCTTCCCAGGGGAGGTGCACTGAAGCTGAAGTCTGCAGGGTGAATTGGGGTGAGTCTGGTGAATGGAGAAGAGGACACAGAGTGTTCCATGCCATGTGAAGACCAGACAAAGGCCAGGAAGTAAGAATGATCATGGTGTTTTCAGGTACCTAGATGTAATTCATGTGACTGAATCATACCGTTCCTGGGAAGAAGCAGGGGCAGACTGTGAGAGGACAGCTCCTCATCTTTCTCAGTAACCGATTCTGTCCCATAACTAATAATTTAATAGTGATGTTGAGGTTTCAGAGACAGAAGTATTATCAATGCTAAAAAAAAGTATTCATCCTTTCAAGAATATATTTTAAATATAGAATCCGTGAATGTTAGAGTTGGAAAAGGCCTCTTACCTAACCCAATCCCTTCGTTTAACAAATGTGGAGACTGAAGCTCAGAGAGGTTTGATGACTTATCCAAGGTCCCCAGCAAGTTTTAATAAATGCTTTTGCTTGAATCAGTGCATAGACGTATTACATTCCTGGATGGGAAGAATGTGTATTGTCAAAAGAGTGCTTTTTTAGATCCAGGTATAGGATTCACATAACTCTAATTACAGTGGCACAAGGATTATTTATAAACAATTCACCCAATCATTCCAGGAATCAGTGACACTTAAGTTTTCAAGTCATTCAGGGTAACTGTCTATTTCACAGTGCATTCTAAACAGAAAGTAGAATGGAAGAGAGATCAGCCATTTCCCCACATACACAAGGTACTTTCATAGGTTATAACTCACTTCTCATGAGTATGAGTACATTTTAAGAACACACTTTCTGAGGAAATATTCTTGTCCTTAATACTGTTCATCAGTCTGACCGGTGGCCAGCAAGCTAACGTAAAGGTAAGTCTTTGACACCACAATGAAAGGAAACCTGCAAAGGCAACTGTCAGCTATCCCTGACTCAGAGCCTTCCATTCCAGCCCGTGAAAACACTTCCTATGTTTTTCTTCTTCCTTCCAACTTCAATGATACTTAATGCTCCTATAATATCTTTTATCCAGGGAGCTCTAAGAAGGGATTGACTAGCATTACAGTGTTGGTTCCTCTCTGATCAGCCATGGGAAAATGTCAGTTCTTGTTGTTCAGGAAAATTACTGCCCTTTCCAATTTAGGGCACTACACACCTTCTAAATCATCATTCTTAGGCCAGCGGAGGGAAGTGCCTATGTCAGAGGGGAGGCTGAAAGCTAAACATGGGAGGGACTTTGTCAGGGACCTAGCATGTTGCTCAGATGGCAGTGTTTCAGGAGGCTCTTGACTCTGGGACGATCGGTGCTATGGCAGTGCTGCGTGTTCCAGGAGCCTCACCCACCAGGCTGCTGTCTCTGGCGTGCTGCAGAGTACTTTAAGTATCATGATTTGAAATCACGAGCTGCCTATAAGCCACCTTTTGATGTTTCATGAGTCTATTTCAGTTGCTAATGGTTGTGTGTGTGTGTTTACACATGTGTGTGTTTAGCTCTTACTAACAAGACAGTAAGGAGACAAAAATTGTAGAGTCTGGGACACCTCCATTCAGAACTATGCAATATCACTTGTAGGGTGTCCAAGTAGTTAGAGACAAGGATTGCTTCGATGGGAAAATTAGCATTTTATACTCTACTCTTTTAGGACTCATCCAGCATTGTAATAAGGGTCTAGCTTTAGAGCTAGACTCAGACTGCCTCACACTATAGGGAAAGATGAGATGGTGAATTTTAAAGTCAGAATTCTTGGGTACAAATCCCAGGTGCTCCACTATTTGGCAGTGTGACCTTGGCAATTAATTAACCTTTTCTTATCAAACAGTTTTCTCATGTCTAAATGTGTATAATCCTGTCTCAAAAGATAGTTGTGGGATTAATTGTGATACTGAATATAAAGAGCTTAGCATGGTGTCAGCACATCCCGTGCAGATGGTGGCTCTTATGTCATAGAGTGGTTGCTGCTGCTGCACTTGCTTACTGAGTTAAGCCAGGTACTTCTTTGCCTTTGTAAAAAGGAATGAATTTTTTTTCCTCTGTTTTCTCAGGATTTTTTTTTAACTTATAAACTGAGACCTGGAAAAAAAAATATTTACTCTCTCAGGCCCTTTTCCACCTAATAATCCTTCCCCTAATATGTTGCTTTTGCATTTCTTTTTCTTCTGCTGACCTCATTAAAAGAAGATATTATATGATTATCAGATTGTTTCTAGAGGATTAGGGTTTGATGAAGAATTCTCATTAACATTTGGTATCAGAATGAAAACCTCCATAAGCCAGATAACAGTGCATATCATTTACCATTTATTAGGTGCCTGACACCTTTCAAGTGTTTTACATATGTTGATTTATTTAATTTCTCACAATTGTATGAGGCAGAAACTGCTAATTTTTCAGAGGGAAAAACAGAGGCACAGAAACACTAATTAATTTGCTGAGGTTATGCCACCTTGTCTTGCCGGGGTCTACTAAATGTTGGAGTCTGTGGTGAGTACTAAATGTGAAGGAAGCTTTATTTGGGATCTGCAAATCCCAGTGAAGATGAGGTGAGGAAAGAGGGGATGTGTGAGGTGATATTCAGCAGATGTGGCCCCTGGGCACCTGGACTTCTCTAGAATGTTTGCAAGGAGAAAGTGTGCCTCAGAGCAGACTGTGGAAGGAAGAAAGGAAGGAGAGATGTTTCTTCACACATTTCCCTCCGTCTCTCATTCCCCTTCGCTTGAGATTCCCTCCTCTCCTCCCCAAGAGCTCCCTGCCCCTCACTGCCAGAGTTTGTCATGCAGTCCCTCAGCTTAGCAGCTGCTCAGGAAGCAGACACTGATGTTCCATCCAAGTTAAAATGTGGAGGGACAACCTGGTGCAAGTGGCGTCTGTCAGAGAGAAAAGGAAGGTGGTTTAGAGAAGCTGAGAAGGCCTGCCACGATTGCGTGGTATTCACTCAGGTGTAACTAGAAGGATGACTGTACACCCCAATGATGGAACCCCCTTGAGCCCAGATGATTTAATTTCCTAGAGATACCATCACAAATACCACCAATCTGATGGTTTAAAATAAGAGAAATTTACTCTCACCATTCTGGAGGCCAGAAGTCAAAACTCAAGATGTCATCAAGACCACATTCCTTCCAAAGGCTCTAAGCAAGTATCCTTCCTTGACTCATCCTAGCTCCTGGTGGCTCCCAGCAATCCCTTGAGCCCCTTGGCTTGTAGATGCATCTCTCCAATCTCTGCCTCCATCTTGGTATCATCCCTTCCTCTGTGTCCCTCTATGTCCTCTCATCTTATAAGGACGCCAGTCATTGGCCCATAGCCTCCCTCTAACTGCAGTATGACTTCATCTTGAGTTTTTAACTAATTACATCTGCAAAGATCTTTGCTCCAAACAAAGTCACATTCTCAGTTTTGGGATAGGCAGACATTTTGGGAGGACACTATGTAACCCACTACACCAGGTCTTAGATTATGTGCTGTTGGCTGTGGTAAGATAGACTGAGCCAGTACGCCCTTACCTGAGAGAGAACAAGGACCATTTAGTGCCTTTGTAAGGCATCAGGTCAAAATTCTTAAAATCAGAATATCTCAGGAAGTACTGATCATTGATAAAGTTACTTGATAGCTACTAAGGATTGTGGGTTATAATGCATTTTCTTTGGGATGGTCAAATGAGATGAGCTGTCTGATCTAGCCATACTGTTACAAAAAATAGTTACCTTGATGCAGAAGCCATCTAAGTAGGAATGGACACATCTATACACACACACACACACACACACATAGGTAAATAGAGAGAAAAAGGGAGAATAAGTTTTACACGACACTACTTATGATACTATTATGTTCATATATCTGAAAAAAACAAATTTCTTTGCATTTTGTGCATTTGGAGACTTTTCTTTTAGTTGAAGCTATAGGTTATTTTGGTATACAAAACATGACATTTTTGCAGTTTTTCCTCTTCGTTTTTTGAATTATATTTTTTTCTCTAAAGCCATCTCATTTTGGATATTGCCACGTGATGTGCTTTTCATTATTATTTTTTCTGTAATATTACTACCCAGAAGGTCACATTATTTCAAGTCTTGCTTCAGTGACTCCTGAAAGCATTTTTTAGGATAAAGGGTACAAATTGAGAAAAGAGGAGCGGAGAGTGCCTTTACTTCATTGATGTGGGTCTATTTCAAGTCATCCGTGCAAGACAACACTGATTCAATATCCGTAATCAATACACCAGGCCGAGTTGGGCTCTGGGGACACAGTGGTGAATGCAAAGGCGTCTTTCCTGCTTTCAGATGGCTTGTTGTCTGGCTTACCAAACAGCAGCTGCTCAGATATACTGGGGTCATCTGTCAATCAATGAAAAGTCAGAAAAACTGTACTTTCTTTTTTGTTGTTTTTGTTTTTAGAGACTGGGTCTTGCTCTGTCACCTAGATTGGAATGCAGTGGTGCAATCATAGCTCACTGCAGCCTTGCACTCTTGCACTCTTGGGCCCAAGAGATCCTCCTCCATCAGCCTCCCAAGTAGCTAGGACAAAAGCCATGCACCATGCCCAGCTAATTTTTTTTTTTTTTTTTTGGAGACCGAGTCTTGCTCTGTCACCCAGGCTGGAGTACAGCGGCCCAATCTTGGCTCACTGCAAGCTCCACCTCCCAGGTTCATGCCATTCTCCTGCCTCAGCCTCCTGAGTAGCTGGGACTACAGCCATCTGCCACCATGCCTGGCTAATTTTTTGTATTTTTAGTAGAGACGGGGTTTCACTGTGTTAGCCAGGATGGTCTCGATCTCCTGACCTCATGATCTGCCCGCCTTGGCCTCCCAAAGTGCTGGGATTACAGGTGTGAGCCACCACGCTCGGCCGCCCAGCTAATTTTTAATAAAAATTTTGTAGAGACAGGTTCTTGCTCTGTTATCCAGTCTCCTCTTGAACTCCTGACCTCAAGAGATACTCCTGCCTCAGTCTCCCAAAGTGCTGGGACTACAAACATAAGCCACCATGCCTGGCCAAAAACTGTACTTTCTGAGCTACTTCCTGATCTAAATTTCATATCTTGGGAGGCATCGGATAAACAGAATTCACCTCTTGATCCTTAAGGTAGATCCTTATGAGGTCAAAAGACTGCATGTGACCTCACAGGTCATTTGGTCCAGTCTCCTGATTTCAGTGAACAGACATATGAAAAATATTTATTGAATGTCTGCAATGCAGCAGACACAGTACTAATACCCTGAAGAAACAACAGTATGTAAAATCAGGCACAGGACTGGCCCTCTTGGAACTTATAGTCTAGTATGGGGAATCAGATGTTATCAAATAATTATACAAATACATAGAAAATTGTGATTGGAATAAGGGCTCTGAGGGGGTTTATGCAGTCCTGTGAGAGTGTGGGGAATTTTCTGATCTGATACAACCCTGAGAGGTTCTTCATTTTGAGAGCACAAGCTTTGTTTTATAACAGGCTTCAAAACAGATCTTCTCTACCAGCTGGATAACCCTGGGCAATTTTCTCTCTAAGCATCATCGCCCTCACTTGTAAAATCGAGAGGATGTGTCTTTCAAAGAGTATGGAGATGACATTCAATATAGTGGATATAAAAGTTTGTACCACAGTTAGACCTACTGATGTAAGCATGCAGGTTGGCAAGATCTCACTTTCCTTTGCTCAGGAGGATCTCCAGGCCCAGGGACAACATGGCCTAGTGGGAAGCCTGACACACACATAAGGACAAATCAGAGGGATTCCCAGTTGATTTTCAGGAGAAGGGTTACCTTTGACTTCCTGAAGGGAAATGGTTACAGAGGTGTTTGGATGGAATGATATTAGAGTTAAGGGTAGAAAAATGGTGGAAGTGGTGCTGGCTTTGCATTGAAGAGGGAAGCACATGGATGCTTCCCAACATCACACAGCTGGGGAGGACTTTCTTCTCCCCATGAGCACCTAAGGACCACAAGAAACTGGAGACAGATGCCCAGTGCTGGAGACAGTCATATTGTTTCAGGATCTTCCTTGGATCAAATCCAGACAGTTGTTCCTTATATCAGTCAGGTCCTGGCAGGAAACAGGTCCATATTCAACAGTAGTGACTGGAGAGAATTAATGAAATAACTATGTACAGAGATGTGAGCAGGGTTAATTGTGAACATCCCAGGGCCAGCTACAGCTATAAACCACGGTAAGATCACCCCTATAGTCTTAAAGCTGCAGGGTGAGGGAGTGAGGTTGCTGGAACCTAGCAGAAGCATTTCCCTTGGAAAGGGGGCCAGCCAGCAAAAGCTAAGGCTGCATGGAGAGAAACCTGGCCACTGCCAACCAGGCCTTGGTGGCAGGGAGCCAGGGGAATTCATATTTTGACCCCTCTCCTGATCCTTCCATATTCTGCTGGTGCCTCTCATTGGCCAAGCCCAAGCAGGAACCAGAGGGCAAGAGAGCACCTTAAGGTAGCACATAAAGCCTCCTAGAACACAGTGCAGGAAAGAGAAAGATCTGAAAAGTAAATAGGGAATATTCAGTACATCCCCTTGCAAAATGACATCTGATTGTTTTTTGTACCAGCAGTACCAGGCTCTGTTCCAAGCACGGTACATTTACATGTATTGTCTCATTTAGTTTTCCTGATAAATTAAAGTATGTGCATTTCTATTTGAGTGCATGTGCACGTGCATATACTCTGCAGGGCTTTAGCAACACAGCAAAGATGCCATAGCCCCGTTGGTGTCTTTTTCGGCTAAGCCAACCCACTGCTGTAGAGAGTTGAATTATTTTGGTAGTTGTTAATATTGCAGCATTTTAAAAAGCTGGGGTAGAAAATAGTACTCATTAGTGTGCAGCGTGCTCAGCTCCAGGCTGTTGACAGGCATGAGAAGAAGGCTGAGCTGCTGCCTTTCCTGCAGTTCTCAGTTCTGCTCTGTCACTGCCTGTGTGGGTGGTGTGTGACAGGAGGCAAGTGGTGGGCTCCCTGAGAGCAGGATTAGGGTGCAAAGCCCTTAGCAGAGCCCACAGGCCACAGAGCCAGGGGAGTATTTCTACTGTAACCAACGACAGGGTAGTTGGCAGAGGAGCCCTGCCTGGTTCTGCCTCATACTTGGGAAGCTTACAAAATCATAAACATCCTTATGCACCTTAGCCTGTGGTTTTACACTTCGGGATGCATAAAAGTCATGTGGGAAAGCTCGTTAAAAAGGCAGATTCCGCCTGGGCGCAGTGGCTCATGCCTGTAATCCCAGCACTTTGGGAGGCCAAGGCAGGCAGATCATGAGGTCAAGAGATGAAGACCATCCTGGCCAACATGGTGAAACCTCATCTCTACTAAAAATGCAAGAATTAGCTGGGCATGGTGGCGCGCCTGTAGTCCCAGCTACTCGGGAGGCTGAGGCAGGAGAATTGCCTGAACTGGGAGGCGGAGGTTGCAGTGAGCCGAGATCACGCCACTGCACTCCAGCCTGGTGACAGAGCAAGACTCCGTCTAAAAAAAAATGGCAGCTTCCGGGACCCCACCTCCAGGATTCCACTGAAGCAAGGCTGTCAAAAACTCAGGAATCTTCCTCTAACATGCCTCCATGGCTGTGATGCAGGTGGTCTGTGGACCTCACATGTATCAATACTTTGGGGTGGGTGTGTGTTTTTAGAGCTGGGAGAGACAGTATGCTTCTTAGGTGACCAAGTCCATTATCTGAAGTTGATGTACCGTGATTGAACAATGCCGAAAAGAGGTGCCAATCTGTAGCTTCAGGAATGGGAGCAAGAATGCGTGAATCTTGGTTAAAGAGCAAGCCGAGCTTGATCAGAGGAAGCAGCACACAGAAAACGCACTGGAGGACGGCACCAGCAGAGATGTCCTGTATGGGAGGATGTTATTTTCAGGGAGGCTGCTCCTCCTGCTAAAGCCCTGCCCCCACCACCTGCCTTCAGGATTGTAGGAGGGAAAGGCTTGGACAAACTGTGTGAACTGGCAAAGTGCTCTAGAATTGGCCACCTTGCTTCCCTAAAGGATGTGTCACCAAATCCCTCAATGCCGTGTCCTCCAAGAGAACTGGCAGGGCTCAAACTAGGGAACTTTGGCTTATGCCCAAGCCCTGTCACCCAATATTTCTGTAACTTTGGACATCACTGTACCTCTCAAAGCCTCTATTTCCAAACTGATAAAATGGAAATAAGAAAGCCAACTTTACTACCATCACCAATGCAAAGATGAACTGAGATCTGTTAAATCCCTGCACATGGAAAAGAATAAATATTTATTGAGTGCTGGATTGTGTGGTTTATATACATCGTGCCAAATGCTACACAAATGAAAGGGGCTGTTATTTATTTTATAAACTTTAGGTTTACCCACTTAAAAACCCAATTTCAAATTAGAAAATTTGGCTTAAAATGACATCACTTAAGCACTTTCTGATTAAATTGTTTTCTTTCTTTTCCCCCGTTTGTAACCAAATCTCTCCAATGAACCTCCTCCCGCGCTTTTTTTTAACCATGGTCTCTAGCGAGTCATGAGCTCAGAGGTTGTAACCAGTATCCTGAACTCTGTTCCTCCACTTATGAGCATATAATACATTTACTAAAGCAATATTTCCAGCACCTACACATACATCTCTGTGCTTCATTCATCCTCACAGACCCCAGAACACTAATTAGGCACTTGGGCCCTGAAGCTTCCTTCTGTGAGTGTCTCAGAGCTAACTTGGCTTAGCAGCACCCCATCCCCATCCCCATCCCTACTCTCACCCCAAGACACAGTCCTGGTTCCCAAGCTCGCAAGTTCCCAAGCTTCTTCTCCACCACGATAGCTCCTCCATCTGCCTACTGTTCCCAAGCCTCCTGAATTCTCTACCCTCACTCTGCCTTTAGTGCTCAGCCCTGTTATCCTGACACCTCTCCCTGCAAACTCACTCTCAGGAACCTCTGCGATTGACATTCATCCACATATTAATGGAACTCCAGAGAGTGGTGGAGCCATATTCCCCCAGCTTTACTCATTCCCAAACCCCTCCAGTCATCATCTGCACAAGAACACTCTTCTGCCCTGCGGAGTCCTGGGGCTGTTCATTACACTAATATGCATGATTGTTCCCTCAACTCCAGCTTCTAGTGTTACCCTGAGGTCAGACTAACAACGTACATTTGTTTCAAGCTTTACACTTGACAAAGTCTTTGCAAGACCACTATTTGATATGACTGTCACAATAATCTCGTGGTAAGTGGCTGGTGTTGTGATTATCCTCCATTTTACAGATGATAAAACAAAGGTTATGGGTTTTGTCTGATTCAGTGGTTCTCAACCAGAGATGATTTTTCCCTCCAGGAGACATTTAGCAATGTCTGGAACATTTTTGATTGTCACAGTGGTGGAAGAGAAGATGCTACTGGCATCTAGTGGATAGAGGCCAGGGATGCTGTCCAACATCCTATAATACACAGGGCAGCCAGCCTCCACAACAAAAAACTATCTGACCCAAATCAAAAGGTCATTTTGATTACTTGCAGAACCAGAACTTTAACTTAGATATTTGGATTTTAGGAGTCTCTGCTCTTCTCACAACCATCTGCCACTGCTCTGAGGCCCTGCTGTGACCATTTGGCACTTGGGGTAGTATAGTTACTAACAAATTCAAGTCACCTTTCTGTACTAGCTGTGAAAATTGGGGTGAGCTACCAGTGATCTCTGAACCTAATTTTCTTAGAACTGCTGGAAGGTCAATTGGTCTATCATATGTAAAGCACATAGTACAGTATTTAGCACACAGTAGGTGCACCTTATTCTACTCCTCCCAATCTTCTCTATTTCCTCAACTTGGATTGTCACTCTTTCTCCTGCTGCTTCCAGTATGAGCATTTTTAACCTTATTGGTGGCCCTCGGGGCTAACCCCAAATGATATGACAGTGGGTTCCACAAATGATCTTAAAAAGCAATGGGTCATGCAAGGGTGGCAAGTTTGCTGAAGGTGAGGACAGCCTGGGTGTACTGAGGCTATTGAATGCCTCTCTCAGCTAAACCGTGAAACTGGCACAGACTCATTTTGGAGGAAAGCCACGGATGGCTCAGCATACACTTGCTGGGAAGTTTGTGATAGTACTCTGGCCACCTAGAGCTGCAGCCAAGTCCTGATTATACACAGGAGTTAAAAGGGAAAAAAGACAGCAGGCAAAATGGAATCCTCCAATAACTCACAGTCAATATTTTGGGTTAAGCATCCATTCATCTGGGGCTACCAGCTTCACCCAGGCACTAGCATGAGCCTTGCCTTCTCCTGTCTGAGCAGCCCTCCTCGGGGCCAGCACGTCACATCTGGAATTCTCCAGTGGATCAGGTCTGCTCCAGGGTGACCTCTGTAAGTCTACATCATTCCCTCCCAATATACAATAGCAGCTACCCCAATCCAGAAAGTGTAAAAGTAACTTAGGAATGAGTTGATTCTAGGGCCATTCTAGGTGCTCTCAATTAAAATCGGGCAAAGTATTATATTCAGAATCTCTCAAAAAGGGATTATATGTTTGAGAAAGCTGCCAGACAGGAGTGGATCCAGGTCGCAAAAAGTGTCACCAGAGTGGCTATGAGTTCCTACACCTTTCAGAAGAACCCAGACTTAATAAGCGTTGGTGAGGATGTGGAGAAGAAATTGGAGCTCTCATACGCTGCTGGTAAGAATGTAAAATGGCACGATTGCTTTGGAAAACAGTTTGGCAGGTCATTAAAAGATTAAACACAAAATTACCGTATAACCCAGCAATTCCACTCCTGAGTATATACCTGAGAGAAATGAAAACATATGTCCACACATATACTTCTACATACATGTTTGTAGCAACACTGTTCATAATAGCCAAAAAGTGGAAACAACTCAAATGTCCATCAACTTGTAAATGGATAAATAATATATGGTAGATGTATACTGTAGAGTATTATCTGGCATTATAAAGAAATGAACTAGTGATACATGCTGCAAAATGGATGAACCTTATGAACCGCTAACATAAAACCTATGCTAAATGAAAGAACCTATTCATGAAAGACCACATATTGAATGATTCTATTCATACGAAATATCCAGAACAGACAAATCCATAGAGACACAAAGTAGATTGATTGTTGCCTAGGGCTAAAGGATGAAGGGAAATGGAGAGCGACTACTGATGTGTTCAGGGTTTCTTGGGTGGTTAAAATATTCTAAAATTGCTTGCGGTGGTGGTTGCATAAACTCTGTGAACATACTAATTTAAGGGATATATTGAATTATATACCTTAAGTGGTGAATTGTATGGTATGTTAATTATATCTCAATACAGCCGAAGAAGGAGGAGGATAAGGAGAGAGAAAAGAAGAATAAGAGGTAGAAGAAAAAGAAGAATCATGGAGACTTTTGAATGCTCTTTGTCAGAATCTCCAAAATATCTCAAGTCCATTATCTACTAGGAGGTAAGATAGCCCAGTGGTGAATTGTGTGGGCGCCAGAATCAAAATTAGTGAACTGAGTTATCTAGGCTTCAGTATCACTACATAACTTCTCGAGAAGTGACACCTGGAATTTGGGTAGAGTGTTCTGCATTATCTGCTATACGGTAATTCTCACTTTAGTGAGTATCAAGTTACCTAAAGGGCTTGTTCAAACACACATTGCCGGGCTCTACTCCTACAGTGTCTGATTCAGTAGGTCTGAGAGGGGCCGGAGGATTTGCATTTCTAACAAGTTCCCAGGTGACGCTGATGCTGTTGGTTTTAGAGCAACACCCCAAAAACTACTTATTGAACATTTAGTTCTTTAAAGTCCCCAGGGTCTATTGAGTAGACTTTTCAAATAACAGCAGAAATGCGTAGCGCAAATTAGTTATATGTGTATGTTAATATACATACTTTATAAGTGCATTATTTGACAATTATTCATAAATGTTATAATTAGTAACTGTAACTTTGATGAAATGATGGAAGGCATTGCAGAATGGGAATCAGAAGACATGGGGTCATATCCTTCCAGTTCTAGAAATTTGGCCCAAAATGTTCTCTCACCACAGTTTCCCCATCTGTGAGAAACTAATTCCAATAATGCCTCACTAACATATAAAGTTATGAGGAAGATAACATAGTAACCTAGTTGAAAACACATGGTCAACTGTAAATGCATTAATCTTATGTTCTCAATGTCTGCGTATGGAAATCATTCTCTATGCGGCCACCAGAATCTCTCTCAAAGGCATCAGCAGTTTCTGGAATCTCCTGAGACACTGGATGAGTTAGGTTGCTTTCAGCTTTAAGTAACAGAAATCTATATTAAAACTGGACCATAGCATGAAGATATTTATTTTTGCACATTAAAGGGAATCCAGCTGAGGTAGTTCTAGCTGTAGTTGAAAGAAATCTGCGGAGAGTGGAGATCAGGCAGAGGCCCTGGAAATTGTTGGAAAACAAATGTATAATAAAGATGAGTGTTTATGATAATCTGCTTTGTCTCTTAGAGCTCTTTAAGGTTTAAAATAGCTCATATCATGTCCAGAATGCAAGATACAACTCATGAGCATCAGGATGATAAACTGAAAAAATTAAAAAAAAAAAAAAACCCTCTAGCATAGAGGTTCTCAACCCTGGCTTCCGGTGAGAAGCCTATAGGGAAGGTTTCAAAGGACGTCATTGTCAGGACCCTGCTCAGAAGCTTCTGATCTGATTGGTCCAGAAATTGCTTAGACTCTGGAGGTTTCCAAAAGCTTTCCAGGTAATCCTTAAATGCTGATAAGGTGGAGAATGATTGCTTCAGCATATCATGAATCAGAGAGATCCTTCTAAGCTAGGAAGAATTCCGATGCCAGCACTGGGCAGTTACTTACGGATGGAAGTGGTGGGAGAAGATGGTGCTAAAAACAAAACTAAGCCTCACATAGCTGTTCAGCCCAGATCCTCTCCCCCTCGCTTCAGTAACCATGATCATCAAAGAAAACTGCATGCCCAACACACACACAAACACACACACACACACACACACACACGAGTTACTTGTTGCTTTATTCTCATGTATGACTGTCTTTCCCTTTCAAGACTATCTTGGTGTTTGATCTAGACTGAATACCGTCTGGTAAATGTGCCACAGGCTAGGCAGATGGTGGGATTAATAGTGTGATTTTTCTCTGGCTCCACATTCCTTTAGGAAGGTGACTCTTAGCAATTGATGTGAATAAGAATCACCTGGAAAATTTTTTAAAATATAAATACCTGAGCACCCCTTGTGAGGTTATGATTTAGCAGGCCTGGAGAAGAGCCACTGTCTACATTTTAACAAACTTCACAGAGGCTGTAGATAGAATTGGTCTATGATCACAATTCTAAGAAACTTTAAGAACAATACTGATGAGAAATGGGAAATACTATGTGCTTAAGAGATGCCCAAAGGTTTCAAAAAATTTGAAAAGCCAAATCATCAACGGATGCATGGAATGGGTAATGAGCACATGAAAAGATGCTCAAAATCATGGATCATTAGAGAAATGAAAATCACAACCACACTGAAATATCACTACAAACCTATTTGAATAGCTAAAATTTTTTAATGGCAATTTTCTGGTAGTGGTGGGCAATGGTATCACCACTTTGGAAATCAGCTAGGTAGTTTCTTGCTTTCTTTTTTTTGTTTTTTTGAGACGGAGTCTCGCTCTGTAGCCCAGGCTGGAGTGCAGTGGCACAATCTCGGCTCACTGCAAGCTCCGCTTCTCGGGTTCACGCCATTCTCCTGTCTCAGCCTCCCGAGTAGCTGGGACTACAGGCGCCCGCCACTAAGCCTGGCTAATTTTTTGTATTTTTAGTAGAGGCGGGGTTTCACCATGTTAGCCAGGATGGTCTCGATCTCCTGACCTCGTGATCCGCCCGCCTCGGCCTCCTAAAGTGCTGGGATTACAAGCATGAGCCACCACACCCGGCCTCAGTAGTTTCTTTTAAAGTTAAACATACATTACCTTGTGAACCAGCAATCTCACTCCTAGGTATTGACCCAAATGAAATAAAAATTTGTTCACACAAAAACCTATACATAGATGTTTATATCAACTTTATAATTACATTTATGTAATTCATTATATAAAATATAATGAATATAAAATTCATTACATAAAAAGTAATGAATTTTCAAAAACTGGAAACAACCCAAATGTCTTTCAACTAGTAAATGTATAAACAATCTGTGGTACATCCATGCTATGGAATATTACTCAACAATAACAAGAAACAAAATACTAACACATACAATGAGATGTTGAATTTTAAAATGGATGAACCTTAAAAGCATTATGCTAAGTGAAAGATGGACATGAAAGGCTACGTGTGGTATGATTCCATTTACTTGACATTCTGGAAAAGGCAAAACCATAGAGACAGAAAGTAAATCAGTGGTTACCAATGGCTGGGTGTTTGGGAAGATTTGACTGCAAAGGGATATAAGGGGATGTTTTGGATTGATGGAACTGTTCTAAGTCTTGATTAGGGTGCTGGCTATGTTACTGTACATTATGTATTTTAAAAGGTGAATTAATTATATGTAAATTATAACTCAATGAAAAGAAAATTCAATGTGAGGGCAAAAATACTGAAGGATAAATAGGGGGTTTATTTAGATTAAACCCATTACATTTTGAGAGCAGAGCACACTTTCTAGACTTGACTGGGTCCAATTTCAGCAGCATGGTAGAATGCTTAAGTGTAGAAATCATATCCAACTTATCTCCCCATGGGCCCATAGTACTTCCTTATGCAACTTATGAGTTCTCAGAGTAGCCCTGCAAACTGGTATACCCGCGCTTATACTCAAGGGTTAAAAAGTGTTGGATTGACAACTTAAAAAAAAAAACAGGCATTCAGCCTTACAGAAATCCTAGATGGCTCTGTTACTTCAGTCTATGATTTCGGTATTTTGAAATCACTGTCTGGGTATTTGTGTGGCCCGGAAGGCTAGTTTGGAGAACAAATACAGGGGTTTGCTAGTAGCGGGTAGGGTAGGACAGAAAGGGGTGAGGTGCTGAAAGGTGAGGGACAAATATGCTACTAATCAGTGTTTTTCAAGTGAATATTTCTACAGGGTAGAGCAGCAGTTGGCTTTTATAATCTAGATACAAAGTTGTTCTTTCTCCAGGGAGCTTCTTAGACTTACATGCTGCTGGTATATTCCTAGAATTCCACCTTAAAACAAGCTGAATGTCCTTATGGCTGACATCTCAGCATGGAAAAGTTTTGCTTAAGCAATGACACACTGCAGTTGGATCCTTCTCACCCACATCTGGAAGCCACATGTCAGCGGCAGCTATATAAAACGGTCAGACCAGCAATCTTAGAGTGACATTGTTTGCCAAAATCCCAGGCAGCATGGACCTCAGTCTTCTCTGGGTACTTCTGCCCCTAGTCACCATGGCCTGGGGCCAGTATGGCGATTATGGATACCCATACCAGCAGTATCATGACTACAGCGATGATGGGTGGGTGAATTTGAACCGGCAAGGCTTCAGCTACCAGTGTCCCCAGGGGCAGGTGATAGTGGCCGTGAGGAGCATCTTCAGCAAGAAGGAAGGTTCTGACAGACAATGGAACTACGCCTGCATGCCCACGCCACAGAGCCTCGGGGAACCCACGGAGTGCTGGTGGGAGGAGATCAACAGGGCTGGCATGGAATGGTAAGGGCCAGTCCCTGCACTGCACTGGGGCTGGGAACATCTCTGCATATCCCTCCTCCTGGGGGCTGCTAGACTCTCAAGGAATATCAGTAACCAAAGCCTGGGCAAATCCCACCCCAAACCTCACCACTGCATGCTCTGGGTGGAGCAGGGCTGCTGCTGAGCGGACTACATGACAGGACAAAAACCTGGGATGGGGAGTGTCTGTGGGAGACAGACTCCTCTGTGGCTCTGTTCCTTCCAGAAGCTGTTCTACCTACTCTCAGTTTGGGCCAGGGGCTGGTGTAGGTCGGCGAGAAGCTTGCTTACCAGACTACCAAAAGATATGTACAGAAACTGAAAGTAATAAACTTTATAGAAATTAAAACTTTCTGTGCCATCGGAATGGCATTTTTCTTTTTTAGAAATTTATTTTTACCATTTTACAAAAGTACTGGCCCACAGTAGTTTGGGAACAAGAAAAATAAACAATTGATCTCTCAGCACGGAGGGTTTGAGAACTATTGATTTAGAGCAAGTGAATGGAAAAGAGGGGACAAGGACATTTAGGCAAAAGAAAGTGGAATTAAATAGCTGTCTACTGCCTTGATTAAATGTGCTCTCTCAATTATGAGTACTGAGGTCCTTCTCTCTGCCTGAATTTAAAGTGGGTTTTATTGCTGGAAAATAGTTTACTAAAGGGTTTTGGAGAGAGGTGCTGTCTTCCCCTGACTGCATTCTGCCTTAAGCAGTGGCATGGAATTTTTTCGAGCTTGTACTTTTTTGTGGGGTGTGATTGTCTCAGCTGGGTCTCAGCCCAGGTGCTTGGTCAGGAGCTCATCCTAGTAGGCACTGACTGCTAGGCTGATTATTTACAACAGCCTAGATGGAGCCAGCACTCTAGGAGGCTTGGAGGAGAGAACGGAGGAGGCAGTCCAGGGAGGAGGAAGCCCACCTGGAGGGCTGCTGCATGTGCTATCTGTAGAGCAACCCAGATGTGTGGCAACAAGTACTTAGTGTAGTGGGGATTGGAGGGGTCAAGCACAAAATCTGGCCAGGTGTGGTGGCTCACGCCTGTAATCCCAAACACTTTGGGAGGCTGGGGAGGGAGGATCACTTGAGATCAAGAGTTCGAGACCAGCCTAGGGAACACAGCCAGACCCTATCTCTACAGAAAAAAAAAAATTAGCCCGGTGTAGTTGCATGCAGCCTGTGGTCCCAGCTACTCAGGAGGCTAAGGTAGGAGGATCACTTGAGCCCAGGGAGTCGAGGCTGCAGTGAGCCATGCTCGCACCACTGTATTCCCTCCTGGGTGGCAGAGCAAGACTCTGCCTCAAAAAAAAAAAAAAAAGAAAATAGAAAAAAGAAAAAGCATAGAACCCTGGGGGACACAACCAGTAGAGAGGTGATGATGGGAAATCCAAGAGGAAGAAACACCGATGGGTGGGGGAGCCAGGAAAGAGAGCGGGCCTTTAAGTAATGACAACAGCTACCATTTATTGAGTGCTTACCCTGAGCAGGCTCCATGCTAAGTGCTTTATGTGGATCATCTCGTGTAATGCTCAAAACAAGGGTATATCCCATTTATAGGTAGACAAACTGCAGTCTAGAGATCCAGTATTTCCTCGGCTAGAAAGCTGGGGTTTGGATCCACAGAGTCTTTGCTTCAAAGAGTTTGTACTTTGCCACAGTGACGGGCTCCTGAGAGGCTGCTGCCTCCACCCAGAGTGGGCTCCCACCCGACAGCTGACTCTGTCAGCAGAGCCAGTGCCACAGGACCAGATTCAGGGCAGTTCTTCCTCCTGGAGAGGGTGGGGACCTGCAAGACCACAGCAGAAGCCCAGCCCCAGAGGGATGATCCCTACTTGGTTACCAGGACTGTGGAGGGGCTCAGCCGGACTGTAGAAGGGGTGGGGAGAGGACTCACACAGGCAGCAGCAGGTGAGGGTGCCGGGGCTGTGGAGGCTGCTTGGACAGCCTTTGTGGGCCATTCTCATCCACCCCCATGGCCTCTGGTGAGCAGATTTAGTTATTCAAAACCCCTTCTGACAGATGCTGATTCAGAGACCAGGCTCACCTTGATTGTTGTCTCCATGACTCCTCACAGCCAGGCCCACTGCCTAATGTGGAGCATGGCAATGACCTAATTACAACTGTCCCTCCAGTCCTCACCTCTCAGGAGCACTATCGCATGGGTGCGACTCCTTTCTAACAGCCGTTTTTTGTGCCACAGTCAAGCAGCACTCAGCCATGGTTCCCCAAGCCATAGAGGAAGAGCCCTAGGCTCTGAATCAGGAGGCCTGGGTCTGGATCCTGGTTCTAATGACTTGTGGTGTGACCTTGGCCCAGACGCTCAGCCCTCCAGTCTCCCGCCTCATTTGGAAAGTGAGCAGTCAGGCTGCATGATCTCTGAAGGCTCCACAGAGCTGTGGCTCACCCCTGAAAACACTCTTGGCTTTTTCTTGCATTCTGTTGATCTTTGTGTTCATCCCTGCTAGAGAGAGAAGCCAAATGATGTTTAGTTTTAAACTTGCCAACTGTGACTGGTTTGTCATGAACTCCCAAACTATTTGAAGAAAAGCAAAAGAGGAAGAAGGTGAAATAACATGATTTTATTTGGCCCATGGGAGTCAAGGGAAAAGCTGATAGGCGAGATACCTCTTCCACCTCCTCTTACTCGGCATTTTTGGGTGTGCAGTGTCTAGTAATTTTGGTTTCCTTTCCTCCTTCCACCCTCTGTTGCCTCCTTCTCCCCGTCTACTAATCACAGGGTTGAAAACTCACAAACATGCAAAACAACTTCTTTACAATAAGATCCAGCTGCCCCAGGACTGACACGAATTACCCTGGAAGCACTTTTAAAAATGATTATGCCTTTGAGTTCAGCCTCCAGTCTCAGTGAAAAATCTGTAAGGAAAGAAATTGCTTATGGGCTGGGGAGCTATTACATCTGACGTTGGCTACAGGCTTAGTCTGTTCTCAGGGAACAGTTGTTGATGGTTTTGTGCAGTTGGGCTGCCTTGTATAACCAAATTAGCTTTCAGGTTTATTTTAAAAGAGGGGAGGAGTCTCGAATATAGGCTTGACAATAGCACATAGGATCTGCTAAAAAGAAAATCTTTCTAATCAAAGTGCCATCTTTAAAAGGTGTTGCCATCATAGCTGAGTGGTCTGTGGTGCTGCCATTGATCACAGTTTCTCTGTTGAAAATCACCTCTTCAAGTGCCGGCTTCTGAAGTTTGGATGATGGTCTCTGGCACTAACAACTACCAGGAGGCCTTACCTGGGTCCCCATGAGTGGTATTTCACCATCCCAGGGCATGCCTAGGTTGTTCTCAGGGAATCTGCTCTAACTTGGGTCAGCACAGGCTGTAGGGCACTGGGTCCTGTGTGGAATAAGATGAAGGTGAAATTTTCTAGTGAGATTGAGCTACTGTGTAGCGGAAGGAGCCCTGGGCTTGGATGCAGGAAACCTGGATTCACAGCTCCTGCTTGTATCTGTGACATTCGGTATCTCATTCTGGCAAAAAAGAAAGAGAAGAAAGAAAGAAAGAGAGAGAGAGAAGGAAGGGAGGGAGGGAGGAAGGAAGGATTGAAGGAAGGAAGGAAAGAAGGAAGGAAGAAAGGAAGGGAAAGAGAAAGGAAAGGAAAGGAAAGGAAAGGAAAGGAAAGGAATGGAAAGGAAAGAAAAGCAAAGGAAGAAAAAGGAAGGTGTGACTCCCACCTCACAAGCTGCTACTTGTGTTACTGTGATACTTGTAGGATAAAGTATAAGAAAACTCTAAAGCAAATTGAAGTCTAAAACAAATGCCTAGCACATCATGGGCAGGTAGTAAAAGTTTAGTGAATCTGAAATTGATGTGGCTGATGTTGGGCAAGCCAGCTTTCCACGGAGTCTGAGTTCAGAGGAAAAGTGGTCCATTTATTGGTATCTACTTTTTACCCCGGGCTTCAAAGAATCTCAAGGAGAAGTTTTGGAGTGGCAGTTTGTGTTAGAGCTGAGTTTATGAATTCAATGACAAGCCACAGACTGGAGAAGAGGAGAAAGAATCTATGCAACAGGGCTATGGCAGCATCGAGGTGCATTTGAAGGTGGAGAGGTTGGGTGGGAACTCCGTTTTCCATGGTCGGACTATTTCCCTAATCTAAGCAAGACCAAGCCTCAGTGTAGTTCAGGGCAGTCGTCCTGAGTCATGGTTCTGAGTATTGAGTACTCACAGGGCCCACTTCCTCGGGGATGCTTTCCAAGACCACCTCCTCTCCCCACACATCTCGCTGTCTCCACTCCCTCAGCCTGCTTTGTTTCCTACAATGCCCTTGTCACTACCTGATTGGCATTTGTTTCTTGTTTTGTCTCCCTCACTAAAATATAAGCTTCATGAACACAGGGGCTTTGTCTCATTCACCACTGTATCCCCAGTGCCTAGACAAGTGCTGGTACATAACAGGCCCTCAATACATATGCAGTGAAAGACCAAATCAGCAGTCCAAACCCCAGCCAGTGTCCCCACGGCCCTCCGCAAGGAGGCCTGCAGGTTTTCCCACAGGGGAACCATTTTGCTTATGTCTTTGATTCCCAATATTCCAGTGTCTATAGTAGGGGTTCCAACTGTATTGTTCACATCTCATTTTGATTTATTGCATTTACCAACATGCAGGATGGTCTTTCAAGATTTCTTAAGGATCGCTAAAACATGCACAGAGGATGGCTGACACACTTTGCCGCCGCAGAATGAAGTTTTTATCAGGTTTTCATTCTCTCAATAATCTTAAGGTCTCGATCAATTTCAAAAATTGAAAGTAAACTCTTTATTTCAAAAGCCATAAGGGCTAAATGCTGCACAGTAACCTATCCTGGTTTGACATTTGTGGAAGAACTGATGAAATCAGTTTGGTGTTATACCAAGGTTAATTTCTTAGCATTTCTTAGCATTCCTAGACACTCTAGAGTTATGAAAATTAACATTAGAGGAACCTGGGTGAAGAGTATACATGAATTTTGTGTGCTGTCTTTACAAGCATTCTGTAAATCTGAAATTACTTCAAAATAAAATTTAAAAAAATAAATATAAGGATGCAGCACAAATATAGTACAACAGAATCGTGGAATTCCAGCACTGGAGGGGGTCTTGGGCACAATCTAGAGCAACCTCCTTACCTCACAGAATAGGAATAAAGGCCATGAGACTGAAGCAATTAAAAACTGAATAAAAACATTGCTGTCAGGTTAGGAACTGTCATCCTCTTTTTACAAAAGTAGATATAAATATCAGTAGAAGGGGAGAGATGGGTCATGGAGCAATTCTGTTTGGAATTAGGAGAGAAATCCATAACTTTACATAAGTATAGGTTCTATGGCCCTAACCCTGATCTACGTGGTGATTTATGATTTATAGAGTATTCCTCATTTATATGTTCATTTGTTTATTCATTCACTACCAAATGCTTATTAGCACAAACTTTCCCAGGCCCCAGGAAGATGGAGATGAATAACATACAGTCTATGCCCATGAGTTATTCAAAAGCTAATATTGTTTGATCTTCACAACAGTATTGGAATCCAGGTGTTTCACACATGAGGAGGTTGCCCTTGCATGGCTAGCAGATGGCAGACGGAGGACCTGAGCCAGCCAGCCTGATTCCACAGTGCTGTGGGTGATATGAAATGCTGATGTTATTTTTGTTCCTGGATAAAGCCATAGTGAGTGCTGACCTAAAAAAGATATCAAATCCACCTAAGGATGACTTCTGAGGGCAAGAAGGCTGAGTGTGGGAGAATAGGGTTATGACAGATCTAGGATTCTTGCCAACTTTCCATCTAGGTCACTCTCCTAAGTGCTAGGAATCAATTGTCTGGGGGAACTTGAGCTCTGCAAAAATGGTTGTTGGCTGCTCTTGTAAGGATGGCAAAAGCTCCCTCCTCCCAGGAGGGGATTTGCTTCTGTCTGGGAACCTGCAGGACACAATCTTCTCAATCAATAAGAGATTTCTGCAGAGTTAAGATATCGTGTGTGTGTGTGTGTGTGTGTGTGTGTGTGTGTTTCTTTGAGGGATCTTGAAGTATTGAAAAGTTAATGAAGTTTAGAGTCAGAACAATTCTCAAAATGCAGCCCCACTGACCCCACTACTACCTTTACTCAAGTCGTCTCAACTCCGAAATACTCAGCTTTCACAACTAAAACACACCTCCCTAGAACTGTTGTTGTGAGAATTAAATAAGATAATATATGTACATTAACTTGTGTCCTTAGGGGAATTACTTACCTTCTCTAAACCTAAGTTTCCTTATACGTAAAATGGTGATCGTGGTGAGAAGCTCATTATTTGAACCCATTTTATAGGATTGTTTTGATAATTAAAATAATTAATGCACGCATAGTGCTAAGCACAATGCCTGCACATTGCAAGTCCTTGATAAAGGTTATTTATTATTACTTTATCATGACTACTCTGTGTAAACTGAGACTCATGGAGACAAGTATCACACAGTTGGTAAATTACAAAGCTGGAGTTGAAAACCAAATTGCTAGATTACAGAGCCTCTGAAATATATCATTTTGCTTTTGGAACATATAATTTAATCACAGTCTATAAATATTATGTGTACATTATAAGTGTCTTGAATATTTATTACATTTTAATAGACACGGAGATAGCATTAGATCTCTTGTTTAAAAATATTATAATTGATATTCATAAACTCACGTCAAATTTACTGTGATGCTAATGTAGCTCATGCAATTCCTGTGTGACCTGGAATTGCTCTCAGGACATAAATGCATCTCACAAGATAATCTAGATCTTCTCAGAGGCCTTAGGGGAAGCCTCTCCTGCCTGTATTTTTCCAAAAAAACCTGAGGAATTTGTATTTTTGGAGGCATTCTCGCTCTGTCCTGTGCTAGGTCTTTCTATCCAGAGATGCTGTTCTGCAGGTCATTTCTGCTTCACTGTTAAAACCTTGTAGACAGACTAGCAGACTTAAAACCTGGACATGGAGAAGACAGCAGAATTCTTACCCAGATGCAGGCAGGAAGAGAGCAGAATGTGTGCAACTTAACACTATTTAAAGAGACTGTTCATATCCCCACCATGGTGGCAGGAGGATGAGCAGTAAACGGTGCAGTGTTCAAAAACTTTGCATTGTAGCCCCATGAGGCTACTCAGTGACAGTATGTGTTAGGTGAAATGTGTAATGGTGATATCAACATGTCACAAGGAAGGAAAGTTAGTATGATTTGGAATTGTCAAGAAAGGAAGGATCTTTGAAGGAGGAGAGGCTTGGTATTGCCTTTTGTGCTCTGATATGTGCTTTCTGAGGCTCCTCTCAGTGTCTAATTGGAGAAGTTCAATCCTGACAATTTCTAATGTAGGCTCCAATATTTACTGAAAGTGATGTTTCGTGACTAGGATGTAGCCTGTCTTTCTATCAGATTACAGGTACTTTTATCATCATGGTAGTAATAACTATGACTTCCCCTGCCTTTCAATTATATACGTTGTGCCAGGTTCTATGCTACACTTGATATATAGCATCTCTTTAGTTTTTGTGTAATACTGTCAGGTTAAGAACTGTCATCCTAGTTTTACAGAAGTAGGTATAAATATCAGCAGAAGGGGAGAGATGGGTCATGGAACAATTCTGTTTGGAATTAGCAGAGAAATCCAGAACTTTGAAGGCTTCTTTTACTGGGCAAACTTGCCCCCAACTGTGTTTGTCTCTGTCCCTTGCCACTTCACTGCTCCACTGTCCCCAACCACTCTCCTATTTCTCTGCTCCTCTGTCTTTGGTACCAGTCTACTTATTTCCAGTATCTGTATTATCATAGTGTCTGCTTATCAGTTACAGTGTCTGGTAATTCTGCCTGTCCAATGTCATAGTGTTTACTTATCAGTACCAGTCTTCTGAAGAGATTCCAGACCAAGTGCAGCATCAGGTATAGAGTAAGTTCTAGTGAATATTTGTCAAAAGACTTAATGAACATTCTAAAATTCTGTGGGCCTTTTTATAAATGCCTGATAGCAACTCAAAGAATTATTCTGGGGAAAATAGAATTAACAAAAATCAAAGCTTTACTCTAAAAGAAAGAAACTCTTTTGGTACTATTTAAGACCTCATCCACCTTTGGGGCGGGAAAGAAATTTGGGAGTGTTAAGGATGCTGTGCCACATGGAGTGAGCCACTTGTCTAGATCATGGGCAAAACTTCTCATAGTCCATCTCTGCAGTGGGGTTGGAAACTGGCTAACAGCCCTTGAAACACCTGTGTGTCTGTGAAGCTGGGAAAAAAAAGACCAGCACAACCAGCCCATCTATTATCTATTTAATGAAATTTTGAGAGTTCTTGACCAAGATGGTGCTGCTTCCTTTTACCTTGTTCATCACTTGACTCAACCCCACACCACACCACCTAAAGTCCAAACTTCTTAGCAAGTCCAACTTCTAAAATTGTATAGAGGGGTTCACCAACAAAACCAGACACTCACACACCTTGCAAATGCTCTGTAATTCTGCCTGTCCAATAGCTTTGGACTTGGTAAAGAATGCAGACAACAAGAAGAAGTCCTGTCCAGCATACCAATCAGAGCTGTGGGACCATCTCGAAGAGATTTATTATATTTCTTGAGAGCTCATGAACATGAGCTTTGACCTCAGATGAATCTGAGTTGGGTCCTGGCTCTTCCAGTTACTCTCTTGGCCGAGAGTTTTGTAGGCATTATCACTGACTCCACACAGTGCCTTAGGTGAGGCTCCACAAAGCATGTAAAGGTCAGGGCTAGGACTAGAACTCATGTCTGCTGATTCCTCAACAAGGGCTCTTTCCCCTGCACCCCACTGCTGTTATGTTTTACTATTGCAGATACAGGAGAAAGTCTTCCGTTTTAGCTTTCAGGGTGATGACCCTGAGATAAATCATTTTCAGAAAGTCCACTTTCTCAGAATAGGTTCACAAATGTGTTTTCAGAGGAGGAGTAATTACCTTGTGACTTTCCTTCTAGAAAGCTTCCAGTTTCAGATGGAGCAGGGCTAACAATACTCCAGTTTCTGAAACTGAAATTGAACCTCAGCCTTCAAAGAGGTGGTAAGAAAAAAAAAAAGTATGTCTTCTCAGATGGGAAGGAGAGTCTTGTAAGTAAGGTACCAGTGCCCTCCTGCTCTAAGGAAATAGTCTTATTTCCTTAGAGCTGCGGTCATGTTATACAATTCACCAGGATATTAGCCATCGTATTGGTGACTGTTAGGAACTCCTCACTCACATCCATGAAGGGGCCTGAAACTCCCTCCAAGTAGTTTCCCTCCAAGCGGAATAGAGCATTGAGCCACTGCCCTGTTCTCCAGGCCATTCAGGAGCAACAACCAGGTGCTGTGAAGTGAGTCAGAGCATTAGTCATTTGACCGCTACCCATCTCTTTTGAAATTGAGTTTGAGTAACTTTAGCAATGCAATCCCTGACAGTTCCCCCAGTCCTGTTCCATTTAGAAGTTGCCTCTCTTCTCACCTAGCTCTGTGTTTGTAATCCTGCAGCTATGGCCAGTGTTTAGGTGAGTCTTGTTAAATAAGGAGCTTTGTTAAAAGTGAAAATGAGAGGAATGGAGGAGAGGAATGCCCAAAGCTATATTTATTTTGCCCCCTCATCATGGAGCTGCAGGGAGAGAACGGAAGCAAGAAAAGGGATTGCTCACCCAAGATCCATGTAAACTACTTGGAGGGAGTTTCAGGGCCCTTAATGGAATTGAGTGATGAGCTCTTAAAAGTCAATTCTGCCTCCAATAATGGGACATAGTCGGGTCACTCATTCGGTCCCTCATTCTTCTATTAAACATTTGCTGGACAACAATGTCAGACACTGCATGGAATACTACTTCCTGAGAGTGGTAAGGCATACTAAAGTACCTGTGCTCCAAAGTGGGTGGCTAAGACATCCAACCTCATTGAGCTTTGTTTTAGGGAAACAGCAGCTCAGGGAGGGCCTATGAATCCACCAGTGTTTTACTGATTAGAGACAGGGGAGCCAAGGGACAGCTTTTACAAAGTAGACTCATAATTACTGTGTAGACTAAACATAAGTATAATGACACTAATAAGCAATTTATTAATCCCAGGAATTTTACATGCGTTGTCTTATTTGGTCTTCACGATAACTTTAATACATATGTGCTATTATTATGCCCATTTTACAGATGAGGAAACTGAGGCTATTAGAGGGCACGAAACCCGCCCAGATGATACAGCTAAGAACAGTGGAGCCATCCAGCAGCATAGCCAATGCTCTTGGCCACTCTACTATCTGCTCCCCACAGTGTGAAAAGGTACCCCCACAAAGATCCGGCTCTGGAAGGAATGCTTTCACATACCAAACTCCTGAACAGGCTGACTCTACCAAAATGTGAAGGCAATCAAACCAAAGCCGGAGGAGGAGGGTTATGTTTGGTTATCTAACTTTCACTATATGTTCTTAGGCTCTGAGTCTGTAGGGTCCAAATAATCTTCACAGGGCAGAGTTATCTGAGGTGGTGTGTGAGAAAGTGACACACACTTCCCGTACAGGCACTGGGGCCAGCAGCCTGGCCAACAGCTGGCGGGGAATTTGTGGAACTTGGATTGCCTTCAGAACTGGTACTCCATGAAACAGTTCGGCTTATCTTCCTACATTTATTTTTACTTAGGGGAACTTACCCCCATGGGAGCTCTGTCCCCTATAGGGGTCTGAGTACAGAAGACAAGCCAAAACAATGGAACAACAACTCCGTGGAAACCACAGCCCAGCTCAGTTCTGAAAGGGCTTTGTTTTAGAGGAAGGCAGCATTTTAGTGATGGTAGGAGAACAGGTCACAGAGAGCACTAGCTTATGGCAACCTTCTCTTTTTGGACACATATGAGTTTTGCTTATGATTCTTAGAGCTTCATATTGAAATTACCTCTCACCTACTTTACTAAGAATTAGGATAGAATAGAACACCCTGGTAGATCAGCCCCTAAAGCTACCTTTCCACCATATCATGAGCCTAGTCCATTCCACTCATATAGCTTGCTGAAGTATGCCAGGCATTTACAAAGTGATTAGTATACTCCTGATGAGATGCGAGCAATGGTAGAATGAAGAAGGCTACATCAGTCATATGCAGAAAACTGAAACTGGACCCCTTCCTTACACCTTATACAAAAATTAACTCAAGATTAATTAAAGACTTAAAGGTAAAAACCCAAAACCATAAAAACCCCAGAAGAAAACCTAGACAACACCATTCAGGACACAGGCATGGACAAAGACTTCATAATAAAAAACACCAAAAGCAATTGCAACAAAAGCTAAAATTGACAAATGGGATCTAATTGAACTAAAGAGCATGTGCATACCAAAAGGAACTATCATCAGAGTGAACAGGCAACCTACTGAATGGGAGAATATTTTTGCAAACTACCCATCTGACAAAGGTCTAACATCCAGAATCTACAAGGAAATTAAACAAATTTACAAGAAAAGAAGAAACAATCCCATCAAAAAGTGGACAAAGTATATGACCAGACACTTCTCAAAAGAAGACATTTATGTGGCCAACAAACATATGAAAAAAAGCTCAACCTCACTGATCATTAGAGAAATGCAAATCAAAACCACAATAAGATACCATCTCATGCCAGTCAAAATGGTGTTTATTAAAAAGCCAAGAACCAACAGATGCTGGCGAGGCTGTGAAGAAATAGGAATTCTTTTACACTGTTGGTCGGAATGTAAATTAGTTCAACCATTGTAGAAGGCAATGTGGTGATTCCTCAAGGATCTAGAACAAGAAATACCATTTGACCCAACAATCCCATTAATGGGTATATACCCAAAGGACTATAAATTATTCTACTGTAAAGACACATGCACAGGTATGTTTACTGCAGCACTATTTGCAATAACAAAGACATGGAACCAACCCAAATGCCCATCCGTGATAGACTGGATAAAGCAAATGTGGTACATATACACCATGGAATACTATGTAGCCATAAAAATGAATGAGATCATGTCCTTTGCAGGGACATGGATGAAGCTAGAAGCCATCATCCTCAGCAAACTAACACAGGAACAGAAAACCAAACAGTGAATGCTCTCACTCATAAGTGGAAGTTGAACAATGAGAACACATTGACACAGGGAGGGGAACAACACACACTGGGACCAGTCGGGGGTAGAGTGTGAGGAGAGGGAGAGCATTAGGACAAATAGCTAATGCATGCGGGCCTTAAAACCTAGATGACAGGTTGATAGGTGCAGCAAACCACAATGGCACACATATACCTATGTAATAAACCTGTACATTCTGTACTTGTATCCCGGAACTTAAAGTAAAATAAAAGAAAATTGTAAAACCTAGATACATGTATAATAAACTACACAGTTGCACATACCAAAAAAAAAAAGCTAGATCATCAAAGAGCCATAGGTCTCAATTTACACCTTAACCTGCATTACTGAGCCCCTATAGCTGAGTTTTCTAGTCTGCCAGAACTTCTTACAAGTCCTGGGAACAGGGAATTCAAGCTAATTTACATGGTTGACCGAATACCGAGCCCATCTCTCAATTCTTCTCACAACATAATAGCAAAGTGATTGATACAGAACAGTAGTAGAGTATGAGATGTTTAATAAATGAATGAATAAATAAATAAATAAATAAATGCATATTTGAATTATATACATTAGGTGAATAAATGAATAACAAGTAATAAATAATAAATTTAAAAGGACGGATGATTTCTGATGACAGACAAGTAATATATTTAATATCTAATTTTGTTAGATCTGCAAGTTCATTTTCAGCAATGGAAAAGAATAAATGAAATCCACTTGTTGATAATGTTACAATTTGTGTGTCAACAAGGCCTCTCTCACCAGTCAGCACACGGTACTTACTTTATGCATTATATTTTCTGAAAACTTATCTTCCCATGAAATACAAGGTTGCATTCCAGCAGCTGTCTGGCCATGCACATAGACAACTGCCTGCTCTGGCTCTGCCCACTCATAAGAGGGGATAGACCAATGGCTGGGATGGTGGGAAATGCAAAGAAGGAGAGGTAACTGAAGAACTATTTTGGAAGGGTTTGTGAAAGAGCTCATGCTATAAGGTGGAAATCCACTGGATTTCATCAAAGGGCCATGGCTCACCATACCCATCTGGGCTTTGCATGCTGTGTGGGGGCAGAACAAATGATCATCCTTGTGCTCAATTTCCAGGGCTCTGCTGTTAAGCAGAAGAAATGTTTATTTGAAATTCGTCAATACATTGTGCTTCTCTTTGTCTTCTTTTTATTTTAAATTCCAGTAAAATGAATTATAATATCTTTTATTTTAAATGACATGCATAATACAATCTTGAATTTGTAAAATTCTAGATGTAAAATTCTAGATCCTGGATAAGTAGCAAGAACAGTGGAAATGCCCTGACTGTGTAGAGCTTATGGTCTTGTGGGTGGTGGAAAGATTCCTGGATAAGTAGCAAGAACAGTGGAAATCCACTGTGGTCAGGTAGAAAATAGTGTTATCATCACAGCAAAAAGTGGGAAGCCTGAAGACGCCATAGGAATTGGGCCCAGGAATGGGAGAAAATCATACTAGAGATGGAACAAAGGAAGAAATGATTGTACTATTCTAAGTCAATGTTTAGTTCAAAAGGTGCTGTGAAGACCAGCAGCAGCACAGGTAGAATGAAAGAGCAAAAATTATTTCTTGTCTGTGGACTGGAGTGGAGCGGTTATATATTTGAAGAATTAGGACTAAGCAGCTAGGACAGGAAAGGGATCTTTAGAGGGGGTTTGAGGCATTCAGTTGGCCTGTTGCAACTCTGTAAGGACTGCCTCCACAGCCAGGATTCTTGGTGGCCACCAGGAATAGAATTCTGAGAAAAACATGCCATGGCTGTGTAGAGCTTATGGTCTTGTGGGTGGTAGAAAGATTCCTGGATAAGTAGGAAGAATCTGGGTTGTGGTCCCAGCTTTCCTACTGGGCTGCCCTGGGCACATTCACCATGCCCATCTGGGCTTTGCATGCTGTGCAGGGGCAGAACGAATGATCATCCTTGTGCTCAATTTCCAGGGCTCTTCTCTTAGGCAGAAGAAATGTTTATTTGAAATTCATCAATACGTTGTGCTTCTCTTTGTCTTCTTTTTATTTTAAATTCCAGTAAAATGAATTATAATACCTTTTATTTTAAATGGCATGAATAATACAATCTCGAATTTGTAAAATTCTAGATGTAAAATTCTAGATCCACCCATTTATGCAGGCTTCCATCTAACAATATATATTGAAAGAGGTATGACAGGGGCAGTGTTCCCTAAATTTTGTTCAGTTAGAAAATTCTGAGTCACTTAAATTTTAATGGAGGGGCTATGTTATTTCTACAAATATAATAAAGACTATTATTTGCATAAAATGGAATAAATTGTTAAGAATCTAGGTCAGAGAAAGAGTGTGTAACTGTGGCAGTGGGGTCTTGGGAAGGGGTCTGTGTATGTGTCACTGTTCTTAGGTTCCTGGGGTTGTCTTCTCTTCAGGTACCAGACGTGCTCCAACAATGGGCTGGTGGCAGGATTCCAGAGCCGCTACTTCGAGTCAGTGCTGGATCGGGAGTGGCAGTTTTACTGTTGTCGCTACAGCAAGAGGTGCCCATATTCCTGCTGGTGAGTCTGGCAGCCGACCAAACCCTCATGACTCCTGGGGTGGGAGAGGCACCTAGGAAGTGCTCTAGCTTCAGGTAAGCTTGAGGGTCACACACAAGCCTGGAAGGCAGCGCTGGCATATAGACAAGAATGAATGAATGACTTAGGAGGATGTTCCCGCCAAGAGGGATCTTTCAGGTTATCCAACCCCCCACATCCTTCTTTTGGCAGAAAAGGAAACAGAACCATAGAGCCGGCACTGACTGGCCCAAAGTCACCCACCTACTCTGTGGGAATGCCAAGTCTTAAGCTTAGGCCTAATGACTCCCATCCCAGTGCTGTTCTCCTTCTCCCCAACTTCTGGTAACTTCTCATCATATCCAAGGCTGCAGGGCCTATTTGGGAACCTAGTTTCCTGTAGTCTTTCTCTGGGAGAAACCAATCCTCTCATGGGTCAGAGTCTAGTACATAGTTATAGACAGAAAAAATAAAATATTAAAAAATTAAAAAATTAAAAAAAAAGATTGTGCTGTTTTCTGGATCCATTTGGAATTCCAGCCTCTGATGTTTTGTTTCTTTCCCTATCCCTGGGCTCATGCCGAATATCTCCTGACCTAGCCTTCCAATTGACTAGGAGAATGTGTATATTGTCATTTGCCCTGATGACTTACACTGGGTGTTGATAACACAACCGGCCCAGGTTTTTTTAATCTGAAAATGAGCCAGGCATTTCTGCCTTGGGCAAGGGGATCCAGAAGTGTCAACATGTGAAGGTTGGCTCCCTCAAGTGATTGATCTCTCTACAGTTTGATGCTTGCAAGGACAGCTTCACAGGTCATGCTTATTCTCTGCAATCAGACAGCTTACTCCACAGATGCCCAGTGGCACACAGTATCTCTAGGGATACAAAGCCCCAAAAGCTTAACGTTTTTCTTTTTAAAGTAAGGACCGATAGTAAATTCAGAGCTCAAAGTCACCTGTCACTGTATGATGGAGCAGAAACCTCCTCTAGTTCTTCAAAATCGCTTCCATAAAGCAGCTTTTACTCCTCTACAGTGGGTGAACAGGCCTGGCAAAGGATTACGATGCCACTGGGATAGGTCCTGAACCAAAGACCTAAAGATCTCTTGCAGTGGAGGAGGTAGAAGGAGCACCAGTTTGGGCAAAAAGAAACTTGAGTTTCAGTCTCTGTGTTGGCCTTTCCTCACTTCCCTCCCTTCTTTCCCCTTTCCCCTTCTCCCCTCCCTCTCATAACTCTGCAGGCTCAAGCACATCACCTAAAATGATGACCACCTTTTTTGAGTCTCCAAGATCTTTAAGACTCTGATGAAAACTATAGACCTTGTCTTCAGGGGGGAAAATGCACTTAGCATGTTAATACAATAGTTTGCAGAGAATTTCGGGAGTCCTTAAACTCCCTGAAGGCCATTCATGAACACACTGCCAAGAACCCCTGGATCATAAGTTGAAATTCCAAGGACTAGAAGATCTTTCAGGTTGTGTTGAACCCTAAAAATGTCTTAATTCCAAAGACACTTTTGGAAAAGATGATCCAGATGCCAGAACTGTTTTGAGAGGATGAAGGAAGTTCCAAAGACGAGTGCGCCCTAATGAAAGGGGAGAGTAGGTAGGAGCTTGGCCTCCACAAATCTCTCATTCCTGGTCTATTAACAGAATGGCACTTCCCACAAGGAAACCAGCCTCCCTTTGTTGCAAAGCATTAAAAGCCAGTTAAAATGTATGTAAATTACCTGAAAGAGCAAGCAAAACCTAATACTCAGTCAGTGAATTTATTTACTACATTAGTATAACTTTCCCTGAATCAGACTCCAAAGGAACACATCAGGGCTGGGGTATGCTGGGTGGCCAGGAGGAGTGGGTTCAGGAGCAGGGGAAAGAGTGAGGAGGTGAGGAGGTAGCCCTGCACGGGCTGCAGTGGGGAGGAAGGGGAACATGGACAGCCTAGGGGCAGCTGGAGGCCTGGATGTTGGTGGCTCTGTCTCTCTGCCCTTCGTAGATGCCTCTGTCACAGCACTTTATGCATTTTACCACCTGTGTACAGTTGCTCCTCTCTACCTGGACTTCCAGTGTCTGGAGGATATGGGGCCACTCACTGATCTTTGTATTTTCAATGCCCAGTATAGTGCTTGGAACATAGTGTCTTCTTAACAACTGTTGAACAAATATCCACATTAATAATTGTGGAGGGTGTATATAATGTGAAGTGGCCCAGAAAATATAATTCTCTTACATAAAATTTTTTGTTCTCTCCCCCATCCCTCCACTTCTGCCCAGAATATAAGCTCTACACAAGCAGAGATCTTTGTGCTGACATATGCCAAGCCCTATAAATAATGACAGGCACATAACATTTGTTTGGATGAAGGAATGACTTCAGGCTACTTTTTGTTATGAGCATTAAATAAGATAATATATTTCTGGCCTTGCCACTGTCTATGATCACACAGAGCTGACCTGTCTTGAAACAGAGTCCCCTTCACCCTCCCAGATGCAGGAGAGACCCAGCCTCCTCACCAACTAACAGGACATTCAAAGGCAAACTCTGCCCAGGAACAACCTAGCAGGTGTCAGGTCATTGCAGGAAGCAGAACTTGAGAGCGGGGTTGGTTATGCAGAGGAACAAGACATGTGACCAGTTGGACAGTCTGTTGTTAGATGTACTAACTCATTCTTCCCCAGGCAGAGAGGAGTAAGCTGAGGCAGCAACATTCCTCATCACAGCAAGGCTCGAGGTCTCTGCAGAGATGAGTGGGAGAGCCTGCTGTGTCTGTGGCCATGCCATCATGGTTGGCTGGCCCCTGCCCAAACAGAACAACAACAGATAGTGGGCTTGGGCCTCAAGGCTTTGGGTGACCAGGCAGGCAAGGAGCTAAGGCTCACTGGTTTTAGAAAATTTGTCAAGGCCGGGCATGGTGGCTCACACTTGTAATCCCAGCACTTTGGGAGGCCGAAGTGGGCAGATCACAAGGTCAGGAGATCGAGACCATGCTGGCTAACATGATGAAACCCCGTTCTCTACTAAAAATACAAAAAAAAAAAAAAATTAGCCAGGCTTGGTGGCAGGCACCTGTAGTCCCTGCTACTCAGGAGGCTGAGGCAGGAGAATGGCATGAACCCAGGAGGTGGAGCTCGCAGTGAGCCGAGATCACGCCACTGCACTCCAGCCTGGGCGACAGAGCAAGACTCTGACTCAAAAAAAAAGAAGAAGAAGAAAAAAAAAAGCAAAGTTGTCAAACAGAAGAAATAGGGGGTGGATGAAGGTAAGTGTGAGAGAAAGGGATAAACATCTAAATTTTCCTGGAATTCCCATATTCCGTGGATCTGTGGGATCTGTGTTAACACTCTGAGCATTGCTTCTTGAAGCTTATCCTGTCTGTTTATTTGAATGCTGAGACCTGAAAAAGACAGGTCTTTGTGTTTCCAGTTCCACCGTTGTTTTAATGATGCCCCAGATTTCCAGTGGTCACCTGGAGACTGGTTCCAGGATACTTCTGCTTCCCCAAGAATGCTAGGTATCGTTCCTCTCACATACTTTAGAAAGGCTTCTCAAGCTCCCTTAGATGCAATTCACCAGCTAAGATGCTAAAAATGTAATGATCATATAGACATATATGTAGGAACAAAGTCTCAATGTTAAAGATTGATAGATAAAGATGAGCAATTTTGAGTTGCCAGAGATATTCATGTCTCTGCTCACAAAGTTTACCCAAAGCCTTGATCTGCAATGACTTTGCCACTCTGAACCCACCCCAACCCCCATACCCTTTACCCTTCCTTACCCCATCCTACCATCCAGACATGTTGCTGTTGGTCTGTGGAGCCAAAAGGTGGGGAAAGTACAGAGAATTAATCCAAAAGGCATGACAAGTCAACTTTGAAACAAGTCCCACTAAGGTGTGGTTCCACCTGCTGGTTCTATTTCTGAAGGCATGGTGTTAGAGCTGAGAGCTATCACGGTCACCAAATAAAATGGTATTTTTTCAAAGAAAACATTGGAGAAGCAGCAGAACAAGATTCAAGTGTGCACCATGGTACACAGTGTATGACTCACTATCCCGCTGGTGTGTCTAGACATTTTAGTGGCATCTTTAAATTGCCTGAGTCATGATGTTGTATTATATGTCTTTCTAAATGCCTCCAGGGCATAAATTAGGTCTTATTTTTTCAACATCTCCAGGATATTACCCAGCACAAAATAGACTCTTAATAAATGTGTCAGATGAATAACTGAATGTTGCAAGCCCCTAGGAACAGTAACAATGGTGAAACCTGACATTGATGTGATGATGTTTTATAGTTGACAAAGACTTCTTTCATGTACATTATTTTATTTGATCCTTTTAACAGCCTTACAGAGTGAAGTGAGAACTCTTTTTCCTGCACCTTCCCACAGTGAAATGCTGATAACCCTCTTATCTGAAACCTTCCCTTACATGACTTTAATTAGCTTGAATTACCTCCCAGGGAACTGGACCCATGTGGGTGGGAACGACATTTTTCCCCTTCCCTCTTTGAAAGGCATTCTTCAGCACGCAGCCTGACACCGTATGAACTAGCTAAGTGAATATCTAGCGCCTGCGTTTGTGAGCACTTAGGGATTCAGAAATATCATCACTCTGGGCTGGAAAAAACAAATCATCCAACCAACTCCCAAATGAGTATGAGATTTATTTGTTTGGTGGGAACCAAGGTGCTGCTCTCGTTTCAGCTTGTGCGGTTTCTCTTTGGATATTACAGCCTCACTGGACTCTGGCAAGAAAGCAAATTCCTGAGAGATGTGGACATGCCATTAGGAAATGGTCTCCACTGGATTGGATGAATAGTGAATTTTATAGATATTTATTTAGATATGAAAATTCTAATTCTTAGTCTAGTGGTCTGCAAACCACAAACACATGTCACTGAAGTTGCCACAACCCTTTAGACATTGTTTGTCATAATCTCTCTTCTCCAAACAGCTCAGCAGCTGCAGGCTGCACACCAGACTGTCTACTGTCCAGGCGGAGACTCTGTGTCCCAGGATCTGATGGTTGTGAATCATTTTCTTTTCCAAATGGCTCTTCTCCAGACCCATGGCCTTTCATTAGGTTCATTGGATAATATCTTTTGACTGTAAAATAATGCATCCATTTAGGTAACCTTTACTTTTCTCTTCAACCCTGATATTCTGTCTCTCAGACTTTGCATTCTCCACTGCCTACTTCCCCACTCTCTGTGTGCAAGTCATAAGCCAGAGAGTGCTTTTTTTAAATTCCTGTATAGCTCTAGTTAACATCAGTTGATTAGAACATTCTTATCTCTCCCACCCCAAAGCACCCAGTCAAAGCTAATCTTTAATTCTTAGCCTCTTTGTTCAGATGTTAATACAAGATAGGGAGTGTTTGCATGTTCACTCCTGTAATGCTGTTTTAGGGACATGAACAATCTCACAGGCCTCTGCATTGCTGTGCCTGTCATATGCCACCTGTGCCCAGACAGCCTCCTGCAATTCAGCTCCCAGAGGCCTGGTAAGAAGAGCAGCTTCCATTAGGTATATCTCCTAATGTTAGTTAACAGGTGCAGCACACCAACCTGGCGCATGTATACATATGTAACAAACTGCACATTGTGCACATGTACCCTAGAACTTAAAGTAAAATAAAAAAATAAAAATGAAGAGCAGCTTCCATACTGGTCCTCTGCGCAAGCTGGAAGCTATTACTATAGAGATGGACATACTTAAGTTTTGAGGAAATTGGACTAGATGTCTCAATTTAAAGGAACTTATATTGGGTTTAGATGCTCTGCGCCCTACTAAAACCATTGCCTTCCATTGCATGATGTACATAGCACTCATTGTGCAGACAGCAGCCTCTCTGAACTTGAGCAAAATCTATCATCCCTTTCATCTGCTGGAATGGTTTCCATAATTATTGTGCCATATTTAAAATGTAGACATGTACAATTGGCACTCCATATCTGGGGTTCCCTATCCAAGAATTCAACCAACTTTGAATCAAAAATATTCAGAAAAAAACAATAAAAATAAAAATAACAATACAACAATAAAAAATGATACAAATACAAAACCATATAGTATAATAACTACTCACATAGCATTTGCATTATCTTAGGTATTATACGTAATCTAGAGGTGATTTAAAGTAAACAGGAGGATATTCATAGGTTATGTGCAAATGCTACACCATTTTAGATCAAGGACTTGAGTTTCTGAAAATTTTGGTATCCATGGGGGTCCTGGAATCAATCCCCTGCAGATGCCACTGATGACTGTTGTATTAGTCCATTCTCACACTGCTAATAAAGACATACCCGAGACTGGGTAACTTAACAAAGGAAACAGTTTAATTGACTCACAGTTCCACAGGGCTGGGGAGGCCTCAGGAAACTTACAACCATGGCAGAAGGAGAAGCAAACATGTCCTTCACATGATGGCAGGAAAAAATGCCAAGCAAAAGGGGGAAAAGCCCCTTATAAAACCATCAGATCTCGTGAGAACTCACTCACGATCATGAGAACAGCATGAGAGTGACCGTCCTCTTGATTAAATTACTTCCCACTGGGTCTCTTCCATGACATGTGGGGATTATGGAAACCACAATTCAAGGTGACATTTGGTTGGGGACACAGAGCCAAACCATATCGACTGTATTTGGTGCCTGCATTATAGGTGATACCTCTCTCCTTATGTTCAAACTTCAAAAGCAGAAATATCATAGATGTGTCTGGCTAAGTATTGGTTAACCCAAGGCCAGCTACTTAGAACAAAGTAAACCTCTCAGTTACAAACCAAATCTGATGCTTTATTCTATCTAGTCTGCTTCCCTCTACTATAATAGATTCTAGAGGCAATCATTCTTACTTCTATTTATTAATTCACTTAAGCAGTCAATGAATGTGAATGGATATGAAATAATAACAATTCATAGGCTTTGGGTGAGACCCTACTAATGATAATGATGATAATAATAATATTTATTTATTGACACTTACCACGTGTTCCTGTGTTACTGCATTTAATCCTCACACACAAAAATTATGATACTATCATACAGATGAGGGAACTGAGCTATAGAAGTTGTGGCTCCCTTCAAAGTTCCAAACTTGACTCAACCAGTCTATCTGCCTCCAAATCCCATGCTCTTTGCATAGTACTGAGCTGTCTCTAGATGAGGAATAAGACTTCTACAGGTGAAATATTACATAATAGCACAGTAGGCATCTGGTAGAAAACAGAGAATAAAACTATTTTAATTGGAGGGGAGCTGTTGAAGGTCAAGTAGCCCCCACTGACATGCAGGCCCAGGGTGACCACCACATAATGTGGCTAATGAAAATCAACACGAGTCAAAGTGAATGTGCTTACTGACTAGCCCTGGGCTTGGACAGTGAGTTAGAAACTCAGTTCCAAGAGAGCAATTTGGAAAGTGTTCAGGGACTTTCCTCTACTCATTTAAGCTACAGATATCCCTGGAACTGTTATTCCCTCGTGTTGTGATACATGTCTGAAATGTTTGAAATGTAAAGTCCCAAAATGCCATAAAAGGACAGACATGGACATTTGTTTTTATTTCACACACCTCAGAGCCCCTGGGTTCAGATTTTCTGTGCAGAGAAGGGCACTTGGGTGACTACCAGAGGTCCCGCTTGGCCAATCCCCAGCTCTTGTGGGAAGAAGCCTGGGGATTGTTCTCTGTGGCTGTTTTCCTTTACACATAACTCCATTTGGGGTTTATTTTTTCTGTCTTTACAAAACTAATTCAAAGGGGGTCTGATGTAGCTCCTAATAAAGACAAACTAAATTAATCTGAAATATGTTCATTCCTTATAGCTTACTTGGAAAAGCATTATGCAAGAGGATTGATCATGAACAGACTGGCTTTATTTAACAAACTTCTCAATGATTTGACTGTCAGAAAGGGACATCTTTTTAGCTGAATATATAAAACGTAAGCCAACCTCAACACACCAAATCCGCAAATGTTGAGTTTCTCCTCCAAACCCACCTCTGAACCAGATCATAAAAGCATATTTGATTCCATGCACCAGTGATCCCTCAAAGAGCTCACTATATTGGCCATCATGATGTTATACAGTATTCTATTATCTTGCTAAATATATAGTGCTGATGTATTAGTCCATTTTCATGTTGCTGATAAAGACATACCCGAGACTGGGCAATTTACAAAAGAAAGAGGTTTAATGGAGAACTCACAGTTCCATGGCTGAGGAAGCCTCACAATCATGGTGGAAGGCAAGGAGGAGCAAGCCACATCTTATGTGGATGGCAGCAGGCAGAAAGAGAGCTTGTGCAGGGAAACTCTCATTTTTAAAACCATCAGCTCTCATGTGACTTATTCACTAGTATGAGAACAACACAGGAAAGACCTGCCCAAAGGTTCAATTACCTCCCACTGGATCCCTCTCACAACATCTGAGAATTCAAAATGAGATTTGGGTGAGACACAGCCAAACTGTATCAGCTGACATGTCACAGGACATTTGAATGGGATATTTAAAGTAATGTGCTAATTGAGTGGTAGAGAAATAGAAGAAAAACAGAATTCAATATTGAATGACCAACAGAAGCTTCTCTAAAATGTTGTTTGAGCATAAGCTGGGCTATAAAAGATCATTTGGAAGACATTCTAATTTTATTCTTATTTTTTAAAAAGCTGAAGTATGGCTTCCTCAGGTACCCGTTCTGATCTGTTCATATGTAAATGCTGGGGTTTTTTTCCAGTTTTTATGGTAGGGAGTCTGTGGTGTGTGCTTTTCTGGTGTCCCCACAAAGTGGGCCAAGGTTGGGGATATGATGTTTCCTGACCATGAGATGAAGCTGTATCTGTTCATGTGCACATCAATTGGAGGGAAAGTCCTGAAAGAGGAGCTTCCAGGTGACACCGACTAATCCAGTTGCCCTAATTTCCCCAAGTGAAACAGCTGTAACAAACACATCTCAGTGCTATGAAGTTTGACTTTCATAGAAGAAAAGTGTCTAGCTCCGAATAAGGTCTCGTAGAGGTGGGTTTTCACAAAACCTTACGCTGAGTCACTTTATGTCAAGGAATAGATTGAAAATCTTTACTTTAACTATTAAAAACCTAATAAGTTCTCAACCCAACCTCTGACAATGAATAAAATTGGCCACTGTATATAACTAGATTGTATCTCTATTTCCCTTTCTAAAATGGATGTGAGAGCGTATACCTGGACTCAGCTCTGCAATATGTCTGTTCTTGTGGCAACGGAGCCGAGACATCTATCAGCAGCAGCTCAGTCTATGATATTGTATCATAGCAAACATTCATTGAGTCCAGTTGGATCTGTTAATAATTTTAGAGCTTCAAGAATCTTAGATGAGAAAAATCCTATATCAATCTTAAAATTGTCTTCAGTTCGAACTGATTTCCCTCAGCTCATAAGTAAAATATTATTAATTTTTTTACCATCAGCTTCAGCTGACACAAGAGTTGTGCAAGTGGCTTTATGTTATCAAGTTTTTTCTTAGCTTTGGAACAACTCTCTGTCTTTCATCTTGACAGCAGAAAAAGTGCTGTGAAGTGAGAAACTGTACCACAAGAGTCATTCATCTGAAAGTGCGCATGCACACACACACACACACCCCACACACACACCAGTAGTTTTGCTTTTTTTGTTGTTGTTGTTGTTTGAGACGGAGTCTCGCTCTGTCGCCCGGGCTGGAGTGCAGTGGCGCGATCTCAGCTCACTGCAAGCTCCGCCTCCCGGGTTCACGCCATTCTCCTGCACAGCAGTAGTTTTTATTAAAAATTAAGTAATAGCTAAAATTGAATAAATCTATTCAAACACTTTACTTTAGGGGAAAGGAGAAAATAAGGCTTCCCATAGAAATGTTTGAAAAGTAGACTCATTTCAATAAAGGCATCTTCCTGACCTGCGCTCTTCTTCATCTTGCCAAGCTGAAGGTTTGTTTGATTGTTTTAATTGGTCTAGGAATGTATGGCAATGCTCAGTATGAAGTGTGTTTTTCCAAAAAACTGCTTAAAGTGACCTAGTAATTCACAAGGAATTCACAAGGAAGCTGCAACCACACCGAACTCTTCCCCGACCTACACTCGCAAAGCCCAGTGTCACAGCTTAGGAAACCCTGATCATTCTGCTTCCTTGTAGCCTCTTTTAATTTCCTGAAAAGTCCCTATGCCCTGTCTCAGTGTCTAGTTCTGAACGTTTAAATTCTTTTTTCTCTCTAAGGAGCTATTACTGGGCTTTCACTTATTAGGACACTTTGTGCGCGTGTGTGTGTGTGCGCGTGCACATGCAGTGTCATCAAGCGCTAAATGCAGCCACATATATCTGGTTTGAAAATACAGAACACAGCATCCTGGGCCACATTGACTCAATAGTTCTTCCTATGGATGGTGTTTGGGAGGTTCACTTTCTACCAGTGATTTGGGTCATTTCTCCCTTGGTATTTTTATTTCATAAAGTAGGAGAGATTTCCATCGATATCCAACCTCCTTCCCTCTCCTCCTTTACCCAGGTTTCTCTAGGACAGTCTAAACTCAATCCCATGGTGTTATAACAAAAACAAGACAAAATAACAACAACCAAAAGTCACACAAAACAAAACCTGTCTGGGACCAAGAAGAAAAAGTACCAATGGTCATGCACCTCACCTTCTCTAGGACATTCTAGAAATTCACTGGACATCAGTACCTCATGGAGAGGCTTCTCGGACAAACTGTCCAGTTAGACAGGGGGCTTATGTCTGGTCACTACCAAAAATGAAGCAACAGAGAATCCTAATTAAAGAAAGCATGAAATAACATTTTCCTTCTTTGAAGCTTAAAACTTCTTGATGTTTTTAAAGGTAAGCTTTTCTTTCCCACTTTATTCCGTGATATTTATCCAAGTATCTGAAGACAGATCAGAGTGGTCAGTAAAAACTTAAAAAATAAAAATCTAGCTTCATAATTTCCAAATACTTTTGGCAATTGGATTTAGCTTAATGCAGTGTTGCTGTATGTAGATTCTGCCTTAGCAAAAAAAAGAAAAAACACACAACTTGGTAATTAATTTTTACACATTGTATCCAGAGATGCTTCAAAAGTTTTAGAAAATATTTTTTGTTCCCTGAAGTAAGGAAAACACACACCCCCTCCCACCCCCATGCAACCTCTTATTCTAATTTGCATTATTGATGTTCTCAACAAACCTCTCTTTCCTTGGGTTAACTTTAATACAGTCCTTGTTAGAATTCTCATGGATCATAAATCAGTGGGATCCAAGTAAGGCCCTATTAGTTCTACTTATAAGACATTTACCATGCTGGGCGCAGTGGCTCATACATGTAATCCCGGCACTTTGGGAGGCTGAGGCGGGTGGATCACTTAAGGTCAGGAGTTCCAGACCAGCCTGGCCAACATGGTGAAACCCCGTCCCTATTAAAAATACAAAAATTAGCTGGGTGTGGTGGCACACACCTGTAATCCCAGCTACCTGGGACACTGAGGCAGGAGAATCACTTGAACCCAGGAGGCGGAAGTTGCAGTGAGCCGAGATTGCACCAGTGTGCAACAGCCTGGGTGACAGAGTGAGACTTGGTCTCAAAAAAAAAAAAAAAAAGACATTTACCTGAAAGGTAAAGTCCTGCTTCTGGATCTCTTTAGAAGCACAAAATAAGTTTCTGGATTTGCAGGACCTTATTTCCCTTCATGAACTCGTTAAGCAAAAACACAGGTACCTCACTTTGGGTTGGACTTGGCATCCTGATAGAGCATAATTACGTCTTAGGAAAAGTCAAATCAGAGAACAAGGGTTAGTGAATAATGGGTAAAAGGAATGATTATGAACCAAGAGAATGAGCTAACCATTGATCTTTCTCCATCTGTGCACTGAGATCCTCCTAGGAGCCCTTACAGTTTATAAATCAATCTTTTCATGATTTAATGACAATCTTGGAGAAAGATCACCATCAGTCTGCAGAGGAGAAGATCTTTCTAGCATTAATAAACAGTGATCTGGTAAACCCAAATCAGATGAAATTATTGACACTCACAAACTAGTTGTTTTCCAAGCGTCCCTGGGGTGTGGATAAAGACTTTGGAGGAGCTATTTCATGGTAAAAGGACTGTTTTGGTCCTGAAGGTTCCAGTGGCAAAGCCCTTATGAGAACTGGGGGATTCTAGACTTTATTCCAGGATGGACTACCATGGACCTACTCATATGAAGGCTCAGGATTTACTCAATATTGGAAGAGAAGGAAAGGAAAGGAGGAAGAGGAAGAAGAAACAAAATAGTTCTTAGTGATTCAACACCTACCATGTACTAGTATAGCACACTCATCACTCATTTTTATTAGTTCCAATGACAAACCTATAAGGTAGACTTTATTCTTCTACAGATCAGAAAACAGATTCATTGACTTTCCCCAGGCCATATATTTATTCAGCTAATATTTATTATGTATGTGTTTTAGGTGCTGGATGAACAATGGTGGACAAGGCAAAAACTCTACCTTTGGGGAGCTTACATTTTAATTAAATAATTTTTGAACACTTTGTTGACTATAACTCACAATAAGAAACATTAAACTATCGCAATATGTACATCTTATAAACAAACACACATATATATTTGAAACAAAATGTTTACATACATAGACTCGTCCTTACTGCATGTGATGCATGCTTTTATATTTTCTTTTCTATTTTATGTCTCTTTTAAAGCCAATTAAATTGATTTTGTTATCAACTAATGAATCATAATCTAAAATTTGAAAACATTGTCTTAGTTGACTTGAATAGAATAGGAATAGTATTGATATTAATCAATATCAAGAATTCCAAAGTTATTTTGATAATTCCAAAGCCTGGGGAGGTATCTTCATCTTTTTCAGTGCACAGTTTAATGGCCTAGAAAAGGAAGATGAGAAGTGGGAGGAGAGCTGTCTGTTTCTTCACAGCCTGGAGTTGTTTGGTGGATGTCATTTAACTTCAGTCTGGATTTGCCAGGATGCTCAAACTCCATCTCTTCTTCATAGTGTGTCTTCTGTTTGCTCCCAGCAATAATAATGTGTTTCATTTTCCTCTAACCTTTGTTCTTCCTGCATAGGCTAACAACAGAATATCCAGGTCACTATGGTGAGGAAATGGACATGATTTCCTACAATTATGATTACTATATCCGAGGAGCAACAACCACTTTCTCTGCAGTGGAAAGGTGAGAAAGACAGCCCCTTCCCAATGGGCTAGGGTTAAAGGAGTTGGGACTAACTCCCTGCAAGGATTTTACCTGCAGGAATTTATAAACACACACACACACACACACCCACACACACACACACACGTAGAATACAAGTGAAAATTTCTTACATGCACATATATTTCTGCAGGAACTTTGACCTGAGGTTTTACTTATCTTAGTTTCCTACCTGGTCAAGGATTAACTGCAGTTTTGGCTGGAAAATGGGAGGCAGTGGGAAGTGAGCTGTTCTCATGAGCTCACCTCATGGAGCTGCTCACCTTGCAAGTGAGGGTGGATTCCAGCCTGCTCAAGAGCAGAGAGTCCTAAACTCGGTATCCCTTGATGGTCTAAGCTTTTCCCCTCACTCAATTTCAAAGAGCACTTTTCCTCATGAAACACCAAGAGGAGAAGGCAAATATGCTTAGAGGAGTGCCCATTGTCAAAATGGACCCCCTTCCACCCCGTGCCTCTATATCATCCCCACTTTGGGTTTTAGGAAAGAAGAGAGAAGAGAAAGAAAAGGGATTGGAGATAAGAAACACACAGAACCTACTGTCTTAGTCTGGGCTGCTATACCACATTACCTTAGACTGGGTAACTTACGAACAATAGAAATTTATTTTCACAGTTCTGGAAGCTGGAAAGTCCAAGATCAAGGTGCCAGCAGGTTCAGTGTCTGGTGAGGGGTTGCTCGCTGCTTCAGAGATGTTGCTTTATTACTGTGTCCTCACGCATGGTGGAAAGGGCAAGCCAGCTCCCTTCAACTTATTTTATATGGGCACTAATCCCATTCATGAGAGCAGAGCCCTCATGGCTTAATCACCCCCCTAAAGGCTCCTCCTCCTAATACTATCACATTGAGTATTAGGTTCCAATATATAAATTTTAAGGGGACACCAACATTCAGACCATAGCATCTACCAACCATATTTAGAAATGAAAGGAGTTAACAATCCCTCAGTAAACCTGCAAAAATTAATGAAAGAAGAGAATTTAAATGGCCTAAAGATAAAAACAGCACTAACACTTTTTTCATCACCTTTCTCTCACAATCAACTCCTTAATCCTATCTCAAATACATCAAAACGGTAAGAAGAAAACAAGAATTGTACTCCCTATTAATATAGAGAAATGTGTGGGTAAATTCAGGTGTTAATGATTGGTTTGGCCTACTTTTAGTCAGCCGATAATCACTTTACACAGAAATGAATTCCTGAAAAGTTACCAATAAATATTTTGCAAACCAAATAACACTTACATTAACTCATTAGATAGTATGCTATGATGAATTTGAGTGTGACACATCTTTGGTGTGTGTCTGTGTTTTCAAACAGAATTACATCTTAAATAAAGTGAACTTATTTAATATGACCTAGAATTTCTTTTTTTTTTTAAAAAAAAAAAAAGACATTAAGTAGCTCTGGAAAGGCACAATATATGTTGCAGGCTGATCAGCAAAAACCTTTATGTTTACCCATAGGCAAACCACTCAGTTTGCACACATTACTTATTTTTACTTTAGATACACTTTAAACTAGCTTAGTTACCAATTTTCTAGAAGCAGCAAATTAGAAAGGGAAACGAGTATATACTACTTAGAATGAAACTCATTCCACCAATGAGAATAAATAGCTGGATGACATGATAACAAATATGCTTAAGAAAAATAAAGAAAATGAAAGGCTCAAGAACTCAAAGAACATGGGTTGTCATTTAGCAGGGCCATGCTCCCCAAAGTGCAAAACGAAATAACAGGGGTGCTCAATGCTCCAAATGATGACTTCAGCTCAACAAGAAAATTAGTTCTATGTTCCCTGTTTAAGAAAGCAGGAATTAATACAGTAAAGGAAGAGTGCCATCCAAGATTAGTATGAAATAAATATATCTGAGTAGTTAAAATGCTCAATTCAGTTTTCAGTAAATTCACTTTTTAGTAAATTTTTCGGTTATGTGGATTACCCAGAATCATGAAAAACTGAAATATTATGTCATTGCATTAATTTAAAATGAGTATCCTCCCCCCAAAATAAAATAAAATAAATATACTCATGCAACTTTGCTACTGTCATCAAAAATAAGTAGCTTAATGATCCACAACTTGGGTTTCTTCTCCTCTGCTGAAAGATGCTGAGGTCCCCAGCTTGGAGAACTATTGTCAGGGCAGGACTCCTTGTGCAAGAGCTTTCCCTCCACATGCAAATCATAGTGGTTTCCTCTTAGAATGCTGTTGTTCCATCTATGCGCTATTGACATCTAGGGCCAGATATTTCTTTGTTTCAGGGTCTGTCCTTTGCATTCTAGATGTTTAGTCTACCCACTAGATGCCATTAGCACCCCACCCTAACCAAAAGAAGTTGCAGACATTGCCAAGTATTCCCTTGGGGAGCAAATTTGCCCCCACTGTCCTGGTGTGAAATCAGAGACTGAACCTGGTGGAATCATTTGGTCTTCATAAGACCAAGTCTAAGTTTTGCTCAGCATCAATTAATAGCCTTCTAAAAGAGTAGTTTGAATGCCTGATCATAAGATCTTGTTTATCTGTGTTTGTTGCTACACAGATAAATAAGACCTGGCTGCAGTAATTACAGACATTTGGTAAACCCACAGGCCACCAATTTTCTAATTTCCTTCTAAAACAATCTATGACCTCTTTTGACAATTGCAGGAATCAAAATATCACCCAGGCCCTGGTATCACCCAGACCCTCAAGTTGATCACCCAGATTTGTGTTGAGGGACTCTATACCCAATTGTTCTAAACAAACGACCCGGAGCAACAGACTCAGAATTAGAAAGCCTGCCTTAGGCTGTTTGAGCAGAGTGAGCCCTGCTTCCTAGGACTAAGAGCAATCAGCCCCACTTTTCAGTTTAGAAGCTGGATGGAGGCCTTGTTAGTCATAGTGTTTAGGATAAATTGTTGAAAAGAGGGCTTGCAGATTGAAAAGGGAGATAGATAATTCTGAGTTTGTAAAGGACCCCACCAAGCTTTGGAATGATTTGCATAATTAAATATGGAAAAACTCTTCGTTTTTGCCCTTTATCAGGACTGTGCAAAGGGCATGGCAGCCACGTGTTCTTCTGGGCTTAAGATTACCTAGTTAGGCAGACTGTGTGGTTTAAGAGAAAGACCAAGATTTGAGTACAATAAACTGCGAATCTGAAATTGTCACCTATTACTTGTATTACCTTAAAGCAAGTTAATTATTTCTCTGAGCCTGGTTTTTCACCTAAACAATGAATCGTTGTGAGGATTAAAAGAGAAAACACGTAAAGCATCTGGTGCAATGCCAGATATATTAGAGGCTACAATTATCATTATCACTGTTCAACAGTATTAGACCACAGGAGTGTCATGCAATGTAGGCACTCAAAACATTTCTCTTAAATGGATGAATAAAGAACATAAATTCACCCTGAGCAAAGAACATTCCTTGAAATGTATCCACACCACATTTTTCAAAATTTAGTAATGCTATGTACACTCTTCCCATCCCCAACCACTTAAACACATAGGCAATTCATAACAATTCTTGTGATGCCAGAATGGCAGCCATTTTCTTTTTTAATTTAAGGGACTTTTTCATTCCTCTGTAGCAGTGTTTTCTGAAGGGAAACACATGTATAGCACAGAGCCCAGTGCATGGTGAGCACTCAGCATATGTTAAGTGCTCAGAAAGAGTCAGTGGGAAAATGGACGGACTTTTTAAAACAAGATTTTTTTCTTTTTTTTGAGACAGGGTTTCACTCTGTCACCCAGGCTGGAGTGCAGTGGCACCATCTCGGTTCACTGCAGCTTCAACCTCCCGGACTCCAGCAATCCTCCCACCTCAGCCTCCCAAGTAGCTGGGACTACAGGCATGCACCACCACACCCAGCTAATTTTTTGTATTTTTTTGTGGAGTCAGGGTTTCCACATATTGGCCAGACTGGTCTCAAACTCCTAGCCTCAAGCAATCCACCTGCCTCAGCCTCCCAAAATGCTAGGATTGCAGGTGTTAGCTACCAAGCCCAGCCTAAAACAAGATTCTTTACAATGAAATGGAGATGATGTTAAATAAATGCTTTTATTCCAAGCTGTTAACCCACAGGTCCTTGAGGTACTTTCTGGAGGCAGCAGGGGTGAGCTGACCACCAGTGATGAACAGAGGCCTCCACACAGCCAGTGACCTAATTAGTCACCTTCAAGGGTGACCTGAACTCACAGATTTGTCGGTTCTTGGGAAACTGCATAAAGATGTCTTCTAAGAGCAAAGTGAGATTAAGTGTCCCTTCAGTTCCCAGATCCTCCAAATGTTCTCTGCTGCTGTTTCCCCAGCAGCGATTCTTCCTGCCATGTCCTTTCTCACTGACATTCATTTTCTGACTCTCCCTCCCACAGGGATCGCCAGTGGAAGTTCATAATGTGCCGGATGACTGAATACGACTGTGAATTTGCAAATGTTTAGATTTGCCACATACCAAATCTGGGTGAAAGGAAAGGGGCCGGGGACAGGAGGGTGTCCACATATGTTAACATCAGTTGGATCTCCTATAGAAGTTTCTGCTGCTCTCTTTCCTTCTCCCTGAGCTGGTAACTGCAATGCCAACTTCCTGGGCCTTTCTGACTAGTATCACACTTCTAATAAAATCCACAATTAAACCATGTTTCTCACTTTTCACATGTTTCATAGCAACTGCTTTATATGACTGATGATGGCTTCCTTGCACACCACATATACAGTGCGCATGCTTACAGCCGGGCTTCTGGAGCACCAGCTGCAGCCTGGCTACTGCTTTTTACTGCAGAATGAACTGCAAGTTCAGCATAGTGGAGGGGAGAGGCAGAACTGGAGGAGAGGTGCAGTGAAGGTTCTCTACAGCTAAGCCTGTTTGAATGATACGTAGGTTCCCCACCAAAAGCAGGCTTTCTGCCCTGAGGGACATCTTCCCACTCCCCTGCTCCACATGAGCCATGCATGCTTAGCAATCCAAGTGCAGAGCTCTTTGCTCCAGGAGTGAGGAGACTGGGAGGTGAAATGGGGAAATGGAAGGGTTTGGAGGCAGAGCTGAAAACAGGGTTGGAAGGATTTCCTGAATTAGAAGACAAACGTTAGCATACCCAGTAAGGAAAATGAGTGCAGGGGCCAGGGGAACCCGTGAGGATCACTCTCAAATGAGATTAAAAACAAGGAAGCAGAGAATGGTCAGAGAATGGGATTCAGATTGGGAACTTGTGGGGATGAGAGTGACCAGGTTGAACTGGGAAGTGGAAAAAGGAGTTTGAGTCACTGGCACCTAGAAGCCTGCCCACGATTCCTAGGAAGGCTGGCAGACACCCTGGAACCCTGGGGAGCTACTGGCAAACTCTCCTGGATTGGGCCTGATTTTTTTGGTGGGAAAGGCTGCCCTGGGGATCAACTTTCCTTCTGTGTGTGGCTCAGGAGTTCTTCTGCAGAGATGGCGCTATCTTTCCTCCTCCTGTGATGTCCTGCTCCCAACCATTTGTACTCTTCATTACAAAAGAAATAAAAATATTAACGTTCACTATGCTGAAAATATTCAGGGTCAGTTTTTGCTCTCTACTCTTTCCCTTGCTGATTATTTATCCATTCATTCTGAAAATCCTGGTTAGCATTGTGGTTTGTGCCAAGCACCATGCAGACCCCAGGAATAAAATGATGACAATGACAGAGTGTGGTGGGGGAATCAGATATTTAAGACATAAAGTGCTAAATGCTTTACTTAAGATTAAACAAAGGAAGGAATCACATTTCTTGGCCTTTGAGTTCAGCCTAATCTTTTCTCAGCATCCTTCAACCTTCCTCATCCCAAGATGTCACATGAATTTTTAACCACAGGAAGTCCCTCTTTTCTTTATCCACAGCAGATTGCCTTTTTTTTTTTTTTCTGATCCATGCTGCTCTTCCCTCATCCTCTCTCCCAGTGGACCCAGAAGAAGAGCCAGCCAGGCAAAACCACAGGGATCGCGTACCTTGCCATACACCCCCTCTAGGTGGTCAAGAAGGTGACTCTCAGCCAGTGGTGATGGTATTTCCCACGGCAAGATCCCAGCATTGTGATGGGGAAGGCAGGGCTAAGGATATCTTCTCCTGCCTTAACTCCTAAAACACTTTTTCATATTAGAGCTTTGCTTTATTTCCTCCATGTCATTGTTTCTGACTCTCTGGCAATTTTAATTTATAATAAGATGCTTCGGTGTTATTTTTCACAAAGGGAGCCATTAATATTTTAGCAATTTCAGCCTGGTTCAGGATGGAAACCAGGAAATAGCCTTAGTTGGGTATGTGGAGCACAGCAGGAAAGGAGACAAGCAATGCTGATTGGCTGACTTGGCATCCATGAAGAAAGCAAATGGCTGGTGAGAGGATGGGGAGCTGGGAGGGTGCAGGGAGCATGGCTGGGGGAGGAGAGGCTGCAGCTGGGAGTAGCCAGGAGACTGCAAGAGGACATAAGTCAAGAAAAAAAACTTCTTTAAAGCAATTCAATAAATAGTGCCTGTGCCAAGTGGAATAAAAGGAGTTTCTACTAAGAAGAAAACTATTATTTGCACGTAGATAGGCCAAGGACAATGACAGAAAAGACATTGTCAACTTGGTTTGAATCTGAATAATTATACTTTATGTTATAGGTCTTTCAATAAGAACTAAGTGTCAGAGTGAATACTAAATCCCAGATCTGGTAACTGCAAGTTTTGTTCTCTGTTTTTTCATTACTCCAAACTTTCTACTAACTTGCTCCACAGTCTTGGATAAGTCACCTCTCCTTTCTAGGCCTACTGTTTAAAATGAGGACATTTATCTAGGTAACCATTGTGGTTTCTCGCAATTCTAAGAATCTCTGAACTCTATCACCTCCTGAATTGTTTATAAAGGGATTTTCTAAGGCATTTTCTTCCAGGAAAGGAGCCTGGAACTAAAGATGATAACCTAGGGCCTACCGCTGGCTCTGACAGAGGGTGGCTGTGTAAGATTAGAGAAATCCCCAAGCCCCCTTCCCCTCATCTGCCCAGTACAGGTAGGAATTCCTTTCTAAACAACTTTACAAGATGCTGGCCACATACAATGAGATAATAGAAAGAGGAGATACATGATTCCTGCCTCACAAGGCCTTCAGCCTAATGGTGAGATGAGAAGATAGATGATGACAATAACTGCAAGAAAGTTTCCTGAGGAAGCCGAGTCTATGCTTGGCCCTGAAGGACAAGTAGGACTTCTGAGGTGAGTAGAAAAGACTGTAAGCTCTGGCGTCAGACTTCCTGGACACAAATCATGGTCCTGTCACTTCCCAGCTTTATGACCTTGGCCACGTCACCTACCTTTCCTGAGACTCTATTTCCTTACCTGTAGAAATATAGTACTTACAACACAGGGTTACTGTAAGAATTAAATGAGATCACATAGTGTCTTGCATATAATAAGTACCCAATAAATGTAGTCAGAGAAGGAAAACAGTGTCAGTATATATTGGAAATAAAATTCCTTAGGTAAGCCGGATTTTAGTAAACGTCAATAATAGGAAACATTTATCAAGCAAACTTAAGTCCCACTTACATTTGCTCAGTAACTGAATCAATAAATTATCAAGTGTTTATTATATACCAACCATTTTACTAGGCACAGTTCCTGCATTCTGGAGAATTATAAACTAAAGGAGTTAGTCAAGCAAACAAACCGTGACAGTACAGTTTGATAAGTCAAGGGCAGGCGGCATTTCAATAGAAGGCGGTGAGAGGTCAGGATAGGAAAGGGGATGGTAGAATTTAAGGCAATGGAAATGATATTATGGAAGGCAAAAAATAAGGTATGCATTTGAGAAAGGTTCTCCAGGAAATACTGGCCTTACCAAGGGGGCCTGGGAGGTCCAACATACAGTCATATTGCTCTAAAGAGAGATTGGTTTCTCACATCAGTACCATAAGGCATTCCACAATTTGGTCATGTTAGTAGTAACTTATTCTATCTATCTGGAACTCAGATGGCCTGGAGAAGTTCTCTCTCCATCCTGGCCCTTCATCCATATATATGTCTTCATGCTTGATTGCTTTAACCCAAACATGAAACTCAACACTTTTGTAAGTTCCTTCAGAAAAATTCATTCTCACAAAAGCATTAGTGCTCACAAATGCTTAAACAGATCTGGGATTTAGTCCCCACAAACTCAAAAACAACAACAACAACAGATTCTGCATATTTCTGTCTTTATAAATGTTCTTGTTCACCGGGAAATCAAGGATTTCCATCTCTCTAGCTGGTCCCCCAGCTAGCTCCAAGCCTACTTGGTTCTTCTCTTATTAATCAGAGAAAATGTTTCTCAACATAGTCCATGACCAAACAGTTGTGCACATCACGGTGGCCAATAGAACAGAGATCACATAGTCAATAGCATCCACTCTCCTTTTAAAGTCTCAGTCAGTTTTAATTAAACCACTTCTGTTTAATCGAACCACATTATTAAGCAGTGCTATCTGAACCTGGTTACCATCCTGAGATCCAGAATTGGTGAGACTGGATAGGCAGAACCCTTGACAAAATGTTGCCTAGACATACTTGGGCATAGCATCCCTTTCCTACTAACTTGTTGAATCTCTGTTATTAAATGCATTCCTTTATAAAGCAAGAATTAAAAAACACACGTACCTTAAAATTTATGGTAAGAAATAATAACATATTCATGCATATCTCAGATTTTCATATCCCACCCATATCTCAATTTTTCATAGAATGAAATATTTCTAAAAAGTCAAAACCAACCAAAAATCCCTATTAATTTTAAAACCTATTCATTAGATGCCACTGTGTCTTGCTAAGCACTTGAATCTACCTTTGTGTGACCTTCTTCTTCCTCTCACACCAATGCAGGCCTATTTATCCATAAGAAGCCCAGTTATAAATGTGAATGAATGACTGTATCAGTGAAAAATGCTCAATAGAAATATTGCAAAATGCAAATTATGAATTTGCATTGTAGCATTTTTTATTCCTTTGTTCTTCTATATACTTTTCTGCCTTCCCCAACTTATAAAAATAATTATCATTGATTGTATTTATAATCAAAAAAGAAAAGTAATTTTAATCTTATAAAACAAAAAAAGTCACCGGCTTCCAGGCAGTTCAGTCCTAGGACAATGTTTCAGCTGAAAGGTGACCATATGGTTACTTCATGGAAAGAAAGAGATTATGAAGCCAGGCCCTTTCATCTAACCGGCCGCCTAATGGGTTATAATTTAATATGCAGAATTACCTGCTCTTTCCAAGGTCTCTAACCATCCCCAGAGACAATGGAACAGATGTGCAGCCTGTCATAAGGCCAATGTGAAACTAACATTTACAGCAGAAGCTGGAAATCTTCTCCCCACGTCTTCCACGCATGGAAGTCCTACTTCAGGGCCAAGTATAAATTCAGCTTCCCCAGGAAACTTCCCTTAGCCTTCCAAGACTGGGGCTCTTCACTCCCTCAGCATTCTGTGTCTTTATCTTCATGTCCCTGAGGACAGGAGTCTCATTTCCGTTTGTTCATTGGTAAATTTCCCATGCCTAGCTAAGTGTTTCACACATAATGGGCATCCAAGACATGTATTTTTAAACTAATCTGGATTTCTGGTTGGTTTCAATAGATCGATCAACACTCTAAGCAACCAAAAACTGAAAAAACACTTTGAAAATTATGAAATTCTATTAACAGGCAAGGTATTATGATGGTACTGTGGTTCTGATGGAGGTTAATACCACTCTTACTCTCTTTATTCATCATTATTGGGTAATCATTCATTTAATCCCTTTAAGAGCTATTCACTAATGATAAGTGAGTTGGAAAGTATAACATACGATCACAATGATCACTTACACATTCAGAAAGTGTATTTTACCATCCTGGGTAACATAACAATTTTGGTGTTTTTATGAACTGTGAACTGTATCAAAATCAACACGTGAGCAGCTAGCACAGTACTAGGCACTTGGCAGAAATGAGGGAAAGTCTCACTGAATAACTCCTTGGGAGACTGGGGGACCAAGAGGCAAAGGGGCTCAGGTTGGTAAAATAGTGTAAACCTGTGAAAATTTGGATGCTGTTTTTAAGTCTCATATAAGCATATGAGTTCTAGGGGTGGGGTGGGCGGGGATTTTTGTCTGATATATCCCCCGCACCTAGAATAGGGACTGACCCATGGTAGAAATTCAACAAATATTTAATGAAAAAATAAAAGTAGAGCCCTAAGACAGACCCTAATGCAGATTATGACTTCATTAACATAGACCTTATAGCCTTTTCTTTTTCTTGTTACTCCCACTGAAAGTGTACCTGTGGGATCACCTCATGATTAGATGGACCAATGCAGTGAAGCTGGTTTTTCAGAATTAGGTAGCTTTCTTTTTATATGGCTGTCTAGCAGGCATTCGTAGACCCTGCTGGTGTCTGGAATCTGTCTTCTCTGTGTCTGGTAGATTTCAGCTGACCTGGGTGTCTCTGTGGGCCTCTTTTGTTGGCAGACTCAAAGGTGAACTCATTAGCCATTACCCCCTTGGAAATATGTTCTGGGAAATCAAACATGCTCTGAGTCACATCTGTCTGCCGCCTACCACAACAGTGTAGTATGCAGACTGGTTCTGCCAATAGGCTTCTGGGAGGAAGAAATGGAAAATCTGTCATGGTATGAACTGCACAGCTCAACTTGGAGAAGGACTTCAGTCCACAGAAATTCACAGAGTGAAGGCAGGCTCTTAGTTCTCTTCATGCATAGGTAAGCCTCGAGAAAATTCCCAGGTCCCTGCAGAGGAGGAGAAAAAACGGAAAGAGGTGGACAAGTGGATTGTGTTGGGCAGGGCGGCGACACTCAGTGCTTTCCAGAACGGCACTTTGGCTTGTTCTAAATGGATAATGTCACATGGCTATGCTTTTGTACACATAAGGTTGATCGCTACTTCAACAAGGTGCCATTAATCAGCTTCCTTGCTCCTGGTACAAACTGAAGAAAGCCAAGAAGCATAAAACACATGCCTTTCCTCAGAGAGATTTTTTATTCTAGAGAGGGAGAAAAGAACAAAAAACTGGAAAGGTTAATGAATAAAAGAAGGCTGCTCACAATCCCACACCCAGTGAGTAATACACAAAGAAAACCTTATGCTATTGCAGAGAGCAAAGGATCACTATGAGCTGGAGAAACAGAAGGCATTAGGACAGGTAGAAGATGAAGAAGACTTATGCCAGCAGCAGAGACTGCCTGAGCAAACCTATGGAAGTGAGGAGGCTCCTCAAGAAGCCAAGAAAAACCTTGGGTCTCCTGAACCCAATTCTCAGGCTGGAGCCCAGTGAGGCAAATGAATTGCCCAAGGACACCTATGAGTAAATGTTGGGGACACTTAGAATTCAAGCCTCTGGGATCTGAGCTTGGTTATATCCTCTGTCAGGTCCCTGTCCAGTGAGTGGTTTAGTGAGGCGAAGAGAGAGGGAGAGAACATGCATTGCAGGCTCTTGCACTCTATGCTCAAACAGGCTTTCCCATTTGCTACTCGCAGATACCCTAGACTGGCATAGTTACTGCCATTTTATAGATAGGTTCAAAGGTCCCCAAAATAATAGGTGACTTGCCCAAGGTCACACAGCTAGTGGAAATGGATGTTGAACTGAAGTCTAGCTGTTTACAAAGCCCAGTCATCTCAGCTATGTCAACTTGGAGTCAAGGGTTTCCACTGGGAGTAAGGAGAGATAACTGCTTTAAACTCTGCTTTTTAAATAATGTTCAATTTGAAATAGTTGAATAATGTCCAATTTTAAAAAATGATTCAAAGATTTATTCCAGTATTTTAAACATTGCCTCTGGAGGGAGAGATGGCACTGTAAGGTGGTCAGGAGGACGTTGTTGGAAGTTAGAACACCAGATGAGTTGTCTGAAAATAATAATGTTGCTACTCGACTGTTTTATATTACTGTAAACATTACCCACTATAATAAAATCAGACACAGGTTCAACATCTCCTGTAGTAATAATAACTCTAGTCTGCCTTCTAAAATGACTCCTAAATAACAAACCCTCCATAAACTCAATCTAACCCAAATAAACAGAATTGCTGTGACAACCGAGATCATAATTGTCTTTGTTTGATCCTTCAGCCTCCACAATTGTGCAGGCTCTCCACACCGAGTCATGGCCTTGTTTATCTTTGCTGTGTGTGCTCTGGGAAGCTTTCTGCCTAGAGAATTAGCACACTCAATAAGCATCACTGTTCTCTTCAGTTGATTAAACTCCAGCATACTCGGTCTGTTAGCAAAATGTGTTGGGCTGATATCACAGTTCTAGCTCACCTCACCTCATGTTGCTCTTTTTCAATTTTATCTTAGACTGTGCAGGTTTTCTGCATCATAAACCAAATTAATCACTGAGATCTGATAGTTATAACAGATTCTAGACACATAAATTATTTTTCATTAGCTTTAATTGCCTGTAAAGGAATTTGGACACTTAATCTAAGGAAGTGAAATAATGTGGTTCAGCTCTATTAGACAATGTAAAGCTCTCACTTATTAAAAAATAAAAAGTGTAGAAAGGTAAGCAAATTTCCAGTAGCTGCAACCTTAAGGTCCTTCCACAGGAAGCCAATCTCTATGGCCACCAACAGAGCTGTCTTTGATGTTACGTGCAACTTCAGTCCACACTGGCTTCAGTGCCTTCAGAGCAGGTCTCTATCTCCTGAAGATCCAGGTCTTTGATTCTCCTATGGCTCTAAATATATATACCAAATAATAATGATGACTACAATTAATTATTTTTGTGCATACTCTGAGCCACGCTCTTTACTTAACCTTTATATGCACCTCATATGAATACTCAAGTAGATTTCCAAAGTGGCTATCATTATCCTTATTTTACAAAGGATAAGACTGACACAGAGGGATTGAATTCCTTTCTCAGGGACATAACAGTACACACTGAAGCAGAACTCAGACTCAGGCCTGGATGAGTCCAGAGCCTGTGCATTCCAGGATATTCTGTGCTCTCCTGAGACTCCAATATAGACTGTGCCATGCTGCCTCCTATAGGAGTAACAGCCGCTCCTGGCGTGTTTTCTCTCACCACCTAGGGCTCAGCCAGCATGAACACCACGTCAACTTAACATGAAAGCTAACTTCAAACATTGAGTCTAGTAGGTCCTTTCCTGGTACACATGGTTCATGACTGTATCCCCAGTACCTCACAGAGTACCTAGTACATTGTTGATGCTCAGTCACAAATATATGTTTGTTATAAATAAATAAACCCAATAAATAATAAATAAATAAAATATAAATATATATACAACATATGAATGGAATAAACTCACTAAGTGAACATTTTTGGAGTGAATGAATGACTTAGTTGATTATTCTTGGTAGATGCTCTAAGTGGCAGTCCCTTCATTCACCTGTTCTTCCCCCAGACTCTTCATTCGTAGTCTTTCAATCCATATTCTTTCACTGTTGCTTTCATTCCCATATCCCCAAACATTTACACTATCTGTGACCTTAGAACTTATACCCCATGGCTCTAAAAAAATGAAAAAGTATGACCACACATATTCCATTTTTTCATAGACTCATGCCTGACCTCCTCACCTTAACTGAACCCTGGCTTTCCCTGCAGTCCTCTTGGTCATGCATTCACATAGGCTCTGAGTCCTGTGGAATCTCTAGAATAATTTTCACCTCCTAAGTAATTCTTGAATTTGAGCCCTTTCATCTATTCTCCAACTGTCTCCTTTATTCAGATCCTTATCCTTGCTTTCCTGTCTCCTTTGGTCTATGCTTTTCTTTAGGAAGTCCATTTAATTGCTGGAGGGAGATTTTTCCAAAACATAAATCCAATAGGTTGTATCCCCACTTAAAATTTTTCCTAAACACTTTCCAAGCAAACCACATAGTCTTTCAGTGGCATAGCACCCTTCACACACACCGCCAGGTTCCTGTGCTCCAGATATGCAGAATTAGTCACGTTTCCCTGAAGAGACCATGTGTCCCTATGCCTCTGTGCCTGTTCACATACAATTTCCCATGCTTGGATGCCTCTGTACCTGTACCTTCTTTCCCTGGAGGACTTTCAGTGGTGTGTTTCCTGGTTTCCAAGGTGAGTTAATAGTTCCTCACTGGTGCTGCCATATACCTGATTATACCTACGTCATAGCACTTGTCACATTTCTGCATTTTTTTCTATTTTCACAGTAACTAAATGTTCTCATTGTCTCTTCATACCCAGTGCCCAGCATATGGTAGGTGTTCATTAACTATTAACTATATAAATATTTAAAGAATGAAAGGAGAGTCTTCTGACACTAGGCAGTCTACAGTTCCATGGAAAATAACCACAAGTAGAACTCATCATCTCTATTCCAGACTACTGCAATGGCTTTCTACCTAATGTAGCTGTCTTTGTTCTTGCTGTCCCCTTCAAATTCCACTTACACACAAATGCCAGAGTGATCTAACATGGAAATCTTTGACTCCAATGCTTACACTTGCCATGTTCCTCATAGTAGATGGGTTTAAACTCAACTTCTTAAAAAGGCATTAATGTCCTCCATGGAGTAGTGTCCTCTGTCTCTCATCTCCTCACTCCCTGCCTTCCTTGATCCCTCTCTGGCTGGTTAGGAGACAGGGAGGAAATACAGGAATCTTAAAATACTGTGTACAGAACACCATCACTGCCTTTGCCATAATGCTTTATGGTGACTTTATGAAAATTATGTTCCCATGGCCAGACAGTAAATTCCTTGAGGACAAGGATTGTATTATATTTCTCTCTAAATCCTTGGTAGACAGCACAGTTTCTGACCCATAGTAGGTGCTCATTTATGGGTATTGAATTAATAGTATCTAATGATAGGCAGAATAATGAGTTGGCATGAAAAATAGCACAATGTGTTGCAAAGGAAAGCAAACTTTTGGACAAAGATCAGGTCTTCCAGCAGACAATAAGCTAAATGTATGACAGAATGATACAGGACGTACATTTCTCATTAAAGTTCTTCAACTGAGAACAATATTTTGTGAATATACTTTGGTTCAAATCAAAATCTTATCATAAAAGGTATGTTTAAAATAAAAATGCAAATTATCTTCATAAATTCAGCTAATTTCATAAAGCAAAAAGCTTCTAGTACACATTTTCAAAACTAATGATACATAACATTAACATGAGTGCATTTACTGGTAGAATACACAGCAGCTAATGACATTCCATTACATGTTCTCTCTCATTGGTAGCCACCACTCGATGTCTCCTATGATTAGGCAAAGATTCAGTCAATTGGTCAACAGTACGAAGTAAAATCATCTTGTGGGGACAGCACCATATTTGTTGCAATAGGGAATAATAAAATAACAGATTTCTAACACTTAGGCATTTCACAACTTATTTAGTGAAAATAAAGGGACACCCATGAGCAATAAGAGATAGCCTATAAATACAAACTGCCTCCAGTCAAATGTGTTCTACACATGATTATTACTAATAAACACAAACACAATGAACAACTGTACAGTTCTTCTACAGGCCTGTGTGGTGGTACTACTGCCCCCATCTTACCATTGAGGGGGTAGGCATCCAAACCTTGTGACCTGCCCAAGTTTACATTGCTATATGAAATAGAACTAAGACTTAAACTCAAGTCTTCTGACTCCTCAATCCAAGCTCTTTTCAGTACCATGCAAGAGGCAAATGTCAGATTTTCCAAAAAAGTATCCTTCGTCCTTCCAAGTTCCCGCCAAAATGAGATTTTATAGACTAGCTCTGTTAGGCAGATTTGGTTACATGTATTGGACTAGGCAATCTATAATGTGTCTTCCAATTTGAAAAGTACATAATCCTCTCTAGTCTGTATTTATGGGCACCTTCAATTCAGCCATAACTCAGCCATTGTGACTGAACTGTTTCATCAGGCAACCAATCAGGGCAATGAAGAAACAAACAATATATCTGACTTATTTAACTGAACAACTTAAGCACAATGGTTAAACTGCTCAAGAGTGGAAAAAAAAAACAGTCTTAGCCAAGCTTAATATTACCTCATTCCTTCAGTGTTATATTTAACACACTGAATCCCTGTTTGTAAATGGCTCTATCCCCTCATAAAAATTGCATTTTGGCTATTAGAGTTTTTAATAAAATTTATTTTGATGACAAACATTTATTAGACTCTTCTGGCTTCCTTCATATCTCTGTACTCTTACATAATACCCTATAGTTTACTTTTTTTAATTTTTATTAAGTTACTGAATGCATTGTCACTGCTATTATTTAAGCATCACATACATTAAATGTCTACAGAATTCTCCACTTTCCTATGAGACCATAAATGTGTCTTGAACTATTAATCTGAATCACTATTCAAAGAGAATCTTCCGGGGATGTGGGGCGAAGATGACCAACTAGAAGCAGTGGTGATTGGAGGCTCCCATCGAAAATAACCAAAACAGTGTGTGAATCTAGCACCAGCAATCCAGGTATCCAAGTTCCATCATCAGGACTGACTAGGCAGCTGGCATGACCCACAGAGAGAAAGGAAGAACAATATGGTACAATGGCTCACCTGAGAGCCACATGGGGCATGGGAGCCCCCAACCCCCAGCCAAAGGAGACAGTGAGTGAGCATGCTACCCAGCCTGGGAAACTGTGCTTTTTCCATGGAACTGTGCAATCCATAGATCGGATAGGAAGTCCCCACTTGTGAGCCCACACCACTGGGGCCTAGGGTACTAACCAGGGAGCCATGTAGATTCTCAACAGCCACTCAGCTAGAATCTGCTTAAGCCTACAGAGTTCCCAGGGGGAGGGGCAGCTGCCTGTTGTCTAAGCTGTCTGAACTCTTAGGGGAGAGGTGGCAGCCAACACTGGGACTGCTAGCTGCCTAACACACTAAGCTCCCAAGGAAAAGGAAGGGCAACAGCCATCTCTATAGCTCCAGGCTGCGCTTTTCCCCTGCTGGAGCCAGGGTGGCTAGAGGGCTTGGCCCAAGACTAATCCCCAAAGCCCAACACACTGGCTGTGGCAGACTGCAGCCAGAGTGTGCTGACTCTGACCCATCCCTCACTGGGTGGGGCCTCTCTGCAGGAACTCCAACAACTCCAGCCAGGGGCTCTGATCTCCCTGGGCTTGAACCCATAGGGGGAGGGGTGGCCATAGTCTCTACAGACCAGCAGACATAGCCTTTCCTCCTGTTAGTTCTGAGGAATCTGGGCAGCCCAGACAAGTGGGATTCCCCCAGCACGGCACATCCACCCCACCAAGGAATAGCCAAAGTGCTTCCTTAAATGGGTCCTACTCCCTATACCACCCAACTGGGTGAGACCCTCCAACAGGCGTTGTCAGACACCCTATACAGGAGCGTTTCTACTGGTATCAGGTTGGTACCCCTCGAGGTCAGAGATGCAAAAGGAAGGAGCAGGCATCCATCTTTGCTGTTCTCCAGCCTCCTTGAGTGACAGCTCCGGGCGCAGGAGCAAACCACGTGAATAGGGCCTGAAGTGAACCCCCAGCAAACCACAGCAGCCCTGCAGAAGAGGAACCCGAGCATTGAAAGAAAAACAAAAAAGTCTTCACAAAACCTCATCCAATGGTCAGCAGCCTCAAAGATCAAAACTGGACAAACTCATGAAGATGAGAAAGAATCAATGAAAAAATGCTGAAAACTCAAAAGGCCAGAGTCCATCTTCTCCAAATGTTAACAACAGTTCTCCAGCAAGGGTGCAGAACTGGATGGAGGATGAGATGGAAGGATTGACAGAAGCAGGTTTCAGAAGGTGGGTAACAACAAATTCTGCTGAACTAAAGGAGCATGTTCTAACCCAATGCAAAGAAGCTAAGAACCTTGATAAAAGGTTAGAGGAGCTGCTAAGTAGAATAACCAGTTTAGAGAGGGACATAAGTGACCAGATGGAGCTGAACTTTGTGAAGCATACACAAGTATCAATAGCCAAATCAATCAAGCAGAAGAAAGAATATCAGAGTTTGAAGACCATCTTGCTGAGATAAGGCAGGCAGACAAGATTAGAGAAAAAAGATTGAAAAAGAAAAAACAAAACTTCTCAGAAACATGGGACTATGTAAAACGACCAAACCTATGATTGATTTGAGTACCTGAAAGAGACGGGGAGAATGGAACCAAGCTGAAAAACACACTTCAGGATATTATGCAGGAAAACTTCTCCAACATAGCAAGACAGGTCAACATTCAAATTCAGGAAATAACAGAGGACACCACTAAGATACTCCATGAGAAGATCAACCTCAAGAAACATAATCATCAGATTCTCCAAGGTCGAAATGAAGGAAAAAATATCAAGGCATCCAGAGAGAAAGGCCAGGTCATCTATAAAGTGAAGCCCATCAGACTAACAATGGATCCCTCAGCAGAAACCCTACATGCCAGAAGAGACTTGGGTCTGATATTCAACATTCTTAAAGACAAGAATCTTCAACCCAGACTTTCATATCCAGCTAAACAAAGCTTCATAAGTGAAGGAGAAATAAAATCCTTCTCAGACAAGCAAATATTGAGGGATTTCATCACCACCAGGCCTGCCTGGCAACAGCTCCTGAAAGAAGCACTAAATATGGAAAAAAAAAACAAAACAAACAAAAAAAAAAACTGGTGCCAGCCACTGTAAAAATACACCAAACTGTAAAGACCAAAGACACTATGAAGAAACTGCATCAACTACTGTGCAAAATAACCAGATAGCATCATGATGACAGGATCAAATTCACACATAATAAAATTAACCTTAAATGTAAATGGACTAAATGCCTCAATTAAAAACACAGACTGGCAAACTGGATAAAGAGTCAAGACCCGCTGGTGTGCTGTATTCAGGAGACCCATCTCAGATGCAAAGACACACATAAGTTCACAATAAAAGGATGGAGGAAAATTTACCAAGCAAATGGAAAGCAAAAAAAGAGCAGGGGTTGCAATCCTAGTTTCTGACAAAACAGACTTTAAACCAGCAAAGATCAAAAAAGACAACGAAGGGCATTACATAATGGTAAAGGGATCAATGCAACAGGAAGAGCTAACTATTCTAAGTATCCAATACAGGAGCACCCAGATTCATAAAACAAGTTCTTATATACCTACAAGGAGACTTAGACTCCTACATAATAATAGTGGGAGACTTTAACACCCCACTGCCAATATTAGACAGATCAACAAGACAAAAAATTAACAAGGATATTCAGAACTTTAACTCAGCTCTGGATCAAGTGGACCTAATAGACATCAACAGAACTCTCCACCACAAATCAACAGAATATACATTCTTCTCAGTGCCACATGACACTTATTCTAAAATCTACCACATAACTGGAAGTAGAACACTCCTCAGCAAATGCAAAAAAACTGAAATTTTTTGCATAAACAGTCTCTCGGACCACAGTGCAATCAAATTAGAATTCAGGATTAAGAAACTCACTCAAAACCACACAACTACATAGAAGTTGAATGACCTGCTCCTGAATGACTCCTGGGTAAATAATGAAATTAAGGCAGAAATCAAGAAGTTCTTTGAAACCAATGAGAGTAAAGAGATAACATACCAGAATATCTGGGAGACAGCTAAAGCAGTGTTAAGAGGGAAATTTATAGCACTAAAGGTCCACATCAGAAAGTTAGAAAGATCTCAAATTGACACCCTAACACCACAATTAAAGGAACTAGAGAAGCAAGAGCAAACAAATCCAAAAGCTCGCAGTAGACAAGAAATAACTAAGATCAGAGCAGAAATGAAGGAGATAGAGACATGAAAAACCCTTCAAAAAAATCAATGAATCCAGAAGTGTGTTTTTTTTAAAAAATAACAAAATAGACCACTAGCTACACTAATAAAGAAGAAAAGAGAGAAAAATCAAATAGACACAATAAAAAATGATAAAGGAGATATCACCACTGACCCCACAGAAATACAAACTACCATCAGAGAATACTATAAACATCTCTATGCAAATAAACTAGAAAATCTACAAGAAATGGATAAATTCCTGGACACATACACTCTCTCAAGACTAAACCAGGAAGAAGTCAAATCCCTGAATAGACCAATAACACGTTCTGAAATTGAGGCAGTAGTTAACAGCCTACCAACAAAAAAAAGCCCGGGACCAGACGGATTCACAGTCAAATACTAACAGAGGTACAAAGAGGAGCTGGTACTCTTTCTGAAACTATTCCAAGCAATGAAAAGGGGACTCCTCCCTAACTCATTTTATGAGGCCAGCATCATCCTGATACAAAAACCTGGCAGAGACACAAAAAAGAAAAACCTCGGGCCAATGTCCCTGATGAACATTGATGCAAAAATCCCCAATAAAATACTGGAAAACCAAATGCAGCAGCACATCAAAAAGCTTATCCACCATGATCAAGTCAGCTTCACCCCTGGGATGCAAGGCTGGTTCAACATAGGCAAATCAATAAATGTAATCCATCATGTAAACAGAACCAATGACAAAAACCACATAATTATCTCAATAGATGCAGAAAAGGCCTTCGATAACATTCAACATCCCTTCATGTCAAAAACTGTCCATAAGCTAGGTATTGATAGAACATATCCCAAAATAATAAAAGCTATTTATGACAAACCCACAGAAAGGGCAAAACCAGAAGCATTCCCTTTGAAAACCAGCAAAAGACAAGGGTGTCCTCTCTAATCACTCCTATTCAACATAGTATTGGAAGCTCTGGCTGGGGCAATCAGGCAAGAGAAAGAAATAAAGGGTATTCAAATTGGAAGAGAGAAAGTCAAATTGTCTCTGTTTGCAGACAACATGATTCTATATTTAGAAAACCCCATCATCTCAGCCCAAAAATTCCTTAAGCTGATAAGCAACTTCAGCAAAGTCTCAGGATACAAAATCAACATGCAAAAATCACAAGCTTTTCTATATGCCAGCAATAGACAAGCAGAAAGCCAAATCATGAATGAACTCCCATTCACAATTGCTACAAAGAGAATAAAATACCTAGGAACACATCTAACAAGGGACATGAAGGACCTCTTCAAGAACTACAAACCAAGGAAATAAGAAAGGACACAAACAAATGGAAAAACATTTTATCCTCATGAATAGGAAGAATTAATATCATGAAAATGGCCTTACTGCCAAAAGTAATTTATAGGTTAAATGCTATTCCCATCAAACTACTATTGGCATTCTTTACAGAATTAGAAAAAAATACTTTAAATTTCATATGGAACCAAGAAAAAGCCAATATAGCAAAGACAATCCTAAGCAAAAAAAACAAAGCTGGAGGCATCACTCTACCTGACTTCAAATTTTACTACAAGTCTACAGTAACCAAAACAGCATGGTGCTCATACCAAAACAGACATATAGATCAATGGAACAGAACAGAGACCTCAGAAATAACACCACACATCTACAACCATCTACAAACATCTGATCTTTGACAAACCTGACAAAAACAAGCAATGGGGAAAGGATTCTCTATTTAATAAATGGTGCTGGGAAAACTGGCTAGCCATATGCAGAAAACTGAAACTGAACCCTTTCCTTACACCTTATACAAAAATTAACTCAAGATGAATTAAAGACTTCAATGTGAAACCCAAAATTATGAAAACCCTAGAATAAAACCTAGGCAATACCACTCAGGACATAGGCATAGACGAAAATGCCAAAAGCAATGTCAACAAAAGCCAAAATTGACAAATGGGATCTAATTAAACTAAAGAGCATCTGCATAGCAAAAGAAACTATCATCAGAGTGAACAGGCAACCTGCAGAATGGGAGAAAATTTTTGCAATCTACCATCTGACAAAGGTCTAATATCCAGAATCTACAAGGAACCTAAACAAATTTACAAGAAAAAACAAACAACCCCATCTGAAAGGGGGCAAAGTATATGAAAAGACGCTTCTCAAAAGAAGACATTTACATGGCCAACAAACATATGCAAAAAAGCTCAACATCACTGATCATTAGAGAAATGCAAATCAAAACCACAACAAGATAACATCTCATGTGAGTTAGAATGGTGGTTATTAAAAAGTCAAGAACCAATAGATGCTGGTGAGGCTGTAGAGAAATAGGAATGCTTTTACACTGTTGGTGGGAATGTAAATTAGTTCAATCATTGTGGAAGACACTGTGACAATTCCTCAAGGACCTAAAACCCAAATACCATTTGACCCAGCAATCCCATTACTGAGTGTATACCCAAAGGAACATAAATCATTCTACTATAAAGACACAGGCACAGCTATGTTTATTGCAGCACTAATTGCAATAGCAAAGAGATGGAACCAACCCAAATGCCCATTAATGATAGACTGGATACAGAAAATGTGGTACATATACACCATGGAATACTATGCAGCCATAAAAAAGAATGAGATCATGTCCTTTGCAGGGACATGGATAAAGCTGGAAGGCATCATTCCCAGAAAACTAACACAGTAACAGAAAACCAAACACCACATGTTCTCACTCATAAGTGGGAATTGAACAATGAGAACACATGGACAAAGGGAGGGGAACAACACACACTCGGGCCTGTCATGGGGTTGGGGGAGAGGGGAGGGATGGCATCATGACAAATAGCTAATGCATATGGGGCCGAAACCTAGATGACTGGTTGATAGATGCAGCAAACCACCATGGCACATGTATACCTATGTAACAAACCTGCACGTTCTGTGCATGTATCCTAGAACTTAAAGTAAAAAAAAAAAAAAAGATATTTTTAATAAGAAAAAAATAGAATATTTGGGTTTTTTTAGTTGTAAAATAATTTACTAAAGACACTACTGTTAAACATCAAACTAATAATTTGTTGCCAATAAGGTACATCATTGTAAACATAACAAAAGTTTAAGAGATATATGGCTAATAAGCAAACAATACAATTTTAAGTGACAGCTTTCCTACTTACAAGATCATGTCCCTTCGAGCCATTACAAGGGCATACAGTGATGCCATTGCTCCCAACAGTTACCTGGGAAGGGAGCTTGGACCTCCAAATTGGTTTGAGATCATGACTGCCAAGATCTTTAAAAGCTCGAAAAGTCTTCACTCATAAAGGTCAATTCAAAAGCTCCTGGGTTTAGAAATCAAGATATTTGCTTTATACTTCCACATCAAAAAGATATAGAGTCAACCCCAAAGACAGTATGTCCAGGCATGAACTGGCGAGCTCTGCTGCTAGCCACAGCATCAAAGAAAATGGAGAAATCAGTGAAATGTGGCTATTGAACATAAGCACCATAATAAACATAGCTCATATAGCTAAAACCTAGATTGTTTCCCCACAAGATAACATTCATTTATAGCTCTAATGCTGAAAGAGCAGCTTTTTAATGTAACAGATGATCTAGGTACAGAAGTCACAGGTTTCTCTTCCTAGGATAAAAAAGTTCAACAAAATACAAAATAAACAGCATCACAGAGGCAATAAAATCTCATTGTACTGAAACATATACAAATTAAGGCTACCTTGATATATGAACGATTTAGAAATTATGATGGAACATTCCCATAAAATTATTTACATATAAGAATTCAAGCAATTTGTTAAAGAATCAGTAGTGGGCCTCAGTTCAAGCAAATTAATATTATCATCATTACATTCAACTTAATACACTTAGCCGCTATAACTAAAGTAACTGTAACCTCACTTCCTGAAATACCACTAGTAATGTTAAGAATCCAAACCTGTCAAAGGGCAAGGTATTACAGCATTTGCCTCATGAATGAAAAAGTCCAATAATTTCAACTTAATTTTTCTAACTAGAACAAGATCCAAACATGGGAAGTTTTTTTTTTCTTCTTTGCTTTTGCGGCTTTAATGCCCTTTTGTTTTTCTGAGCAAGCTGAATACATTCCCTGATAAACACCATCACTGGACAAAGGATCTAAACATTGAGATTTTTACTAAATCAATGTTTCAAGTTGGCACAATGTTCCTACTAAGTTTCAATTAGCACATCTTTCCAATGTCAGGGAAAAAAAGACAAAGGCTACTATGTCCTATAAAGAATGGTGAAATATTCCTAAAGCTGTGAATTTATGAAGAAAAGGTGATTGTCCCTCAAAAAAGAGAATATTTGTAGAGCCTCTTGGAGATGTTTGAGGCAAATTTTCAGCTTTCATCCAACTCCCATATGGTCATTCTTTTTCCCCAAGGTGAATCCTGAGAAGCCAGGGACTGTGGCTTGCTTCCTCAAAGTACCATCAGTAGGAATAGCTTTGAAGGATCTCAACAAGACAGACCTCCTAATCGCAGACCAGAGATTTTAGCCTCAGCTTTGCCCTCAGACCACATGCTAGCTCCACTCTGCATGTGCCAGCTGCCTTCTGCATTCTGCATTGACCTGACTTCCGTATCTGTGCACCTGGTGTAATTGCTAAATTCCTAGGCAAATGTTTTTTTCTGAAGGACGACATTTTAATTTAAAATGCAAATAATCTGCTTCTAACCAAGATCACAAGCCTTAGGTAAATTTCATTCATCAGAGAAAATCAGGAAGGAAATTTCTTCATGATGAAGGCTCTGGCTTCCAGGGGCTAAGTGTGAAACCTCATGCCTTGGACCAGGTGTGTACAGTTATAGAGGAAGTTTTGTAGGAAAATATTTCGCCAACCAGGTTGGGAAAGCAGCAGCACAGCAGAGTTGGGGGGTGTGGGATACAGAGTCAGATTACCTGCCTCTCTTCCCCCTCTACAATGTTCAATCTGCACAGCTTTGGGCAAGTGACTCAGTCCTCACGAGGCAGAGATTTTGTCTGTAAAATGAAGATAATTATAATAATTCCTCTGTACCACACTGCATTCTTGTGAGCATCAGCTGAGACAGGATAAAACATACTCTGAACACCATATGCTGATTCATTATTAGTATCAATTCTACATTCTTACTTGCCGTTTTAGGTTGCCTGAGTAAATCCTTCTTTTCAGCTCCCTAAATGCCTTCAACTTTGAATTAGGAAGGAGTTTGGAAGCTAGTACTCACTGAGCACCAGATGTGAGTGCTACACTCTGCTAGGGGCTACAAGGGTTAACAATAAATAAAAATATGTACATCATATGATGGTCCTGATCTTAAATATCTCATAATCTAGTCACGGAGATAATACAGACACAAAAGAAACAAATACTGAAAAAAAAATCAAGACAATGTCAATTTACATCTAATTAGGTAAGATCACTGCTGTATGGATTCACACATAACAGAGGTGAAAGATGGACAGTGCCGAGGTCTGGCATAGTAGGAGGGTAAGACTTTGTGAAAGAGGCACAGGAGCTTGGGTGTGATACGGGCATTCAGAGAGACGTAGCCAAAGGAAAACTCATCCCATAATTGAGCCACTCCTGAATTGAGGCCAGAAAAGAATGACACCACAATTGAAGAGGAACAAAAAAACAGAATCCAAAATGTAGGCCTTAGCACAAGGATCCCTATCTTCCTAGAAGAAGATGGAAATGTTGGCAAATATATAAGGAAACACTTTCACTGAAGTTGACCTCAAGGATAAATAAGAAACTATAACAGCCAGGCGCAGTGGCTTACGCCTATGATCCCAGCACTTTGGGAGGCCGAGGTGGGTGGATCACGAGGTCAGGAGATCGAGACTGGTTAACATGGCGAAACCCCGTCTCTACTAAAAATGCAAAAATAAATATAAAAAAATAAGCCAGGCGTGGTGGTGGGCACCTGTAGTCCCAGCCACTTGAGAGGCTGAGGCAGAAGAATGGCGTCAACCCAGGAGGCGGAGCTTGCAGTGAGCCAAGATCACGCCACTGCACTCCAGCCTGGGCAACAGAGCAAGACTCCATCTCAAGAAACAAAAAACAAAAAAAAGTAACTATAACGTACTCTGATTGACAAGCTTGGTGAAAAGAAGAGGTGGGCCCTCGGAGTGACACTAAATACAATGAAATACTCATGCATGTAATGCCATAAGACAAATTAGGAAAAAAAATATCTTACTAAAGGATTACATTTCATATTTTCCAGTATCCATATCTTTTTTAAAATGAGTATTTTTTGAGTGTGTAACACATTCAAGTTACCATACTAATGTATAATTTAATACAGCCACCAAATGAACTAAGGATTTTTATATGCCCGTTTTACAGATGATAAAACTGAAGCTAGAGAGCAGTGGATTAACTTGCCTACATAAGTGGCAGAGTCAGGATTCCAAGTTCAATCACCTTAATAAATATTTCTTATATTTCTAGTTTTATGAGCTAATTGTTTATTCAGGTGTTGAAGCACTGCCAATATTTATGGGAGTAATAGCTAAAATCAGGTATCAATCCATTCTGTAATTTTGTTTTCTCTGTGAATTGGGATGTAGCCACTATTATTCTGCATTAGTGGTGGAACACTTTAGCACTAAACATTTTAGTTTTGGAGCGTGGAATATGCTCTCTAGGAGGTTGGTTTGAAGACCACTGCTAAGCAAATGAAAAACTTGGAAAAAGACAAAAGCAAAGATGCTTGCCTGGCACTGAGAACACTCCTGGCAGCAAATGAATTTACTCTCTAGCATTTCTACAATGCCAAGGGCTGGGATCCCAGACAGCACCAAGCAAAGGACTGCTGTGCTTTGTGAGATGTAGTCACCATCAAAGACAGCTGGGTGAAATATGGTTTTAACAATCCCATCTTTTTAAAAACATTACCCTAAATTCCAGCTGGTCACTCTGGATATTTTTCCCTCTGTTTCCCCCATCAAACTGAAAATCTTTCCATGACAAAGGAAAACCATCCTGCCCTCCCACAGCAGCCTCTTCTTCCCGAAAGTTGTGTACAGGCTCCATTAACTTGAGCAGCTCTACAGTGAAGATGAGGGAGGCTGGAATACATGAGGCTTTGTAAATAAAGCCTTTTCTTTACATTTTCACCCAGACTCCACTTCTCATCCCTGGAGGTACTCAGGAATGTGTCCATAGGCCATGGCACAATTCAGTATGGCTAAAATATTATTGAGAAAATACATGCACTTTTTTGTTGTTATTTTGTTTTTATAAAAGTGTTTAAAACTTTGCAGAAACTTTTTGATTTTGCTAGTAAGCACCTTATAAATGAACAACACAGAAAATTGGGGAAATTCAGACAACAGGTCATTAAGACAGTCTTCTTCCCCCAAAACAAAATCAGTAGAGAAAAAGTGAATCTTTTAAATCCTAAAAGAAAGTTAGGTTGCTCGCAAGTCCTCATTTGGCTTTTTGTTTGTTTTTCTGCAAGTAAGGCCTTTCAGTCAGAGGCAGCCCTATGAAAATGGGCCTATTAGGCAAAAGTTAGCCCCTCACTCAACTAGATAGAAGGATTTAGTGCTCCAACACCTTTTGTAGATTGTGTACCTGCAGTAAAGGAGGAGACTAGTGAACAATGGTGAGTAATCATCACAAGTAAAAATAAGCAAAAATAGAGAAGGAAAGAGATTTTTTAAAATATGGTAAACATGTAAAACTGTGCTCCAAGTTAAAATGGCTGACCCAGTTGGTCACAAACCACACTCCATTCTGACACTGGCCCCTGAGTGGAGGGAAGGGATTTGGAACTCATCAGTAACAAAATAAGAGGAAGCTCATTTCTAGAGACAAGTGGTGAAGAGCTGTTGCTATAGACAAACCCCTGAGAAATAAAGCCTTCCTTAAAAGACACAGGGAAGTTAAAGAACAAAGATAGTTTTTAGAGATCTGGCCAGAGCCTCTTACTCTCAGTGACACTTCAGAGGGAGAAACCTGGTTTTTCAGAATCTTTCTGTCTTTCTGTTGGCCTCAATTGGAGCACTTTATAGAGGGCTCTGGCTCAGAAGGACAAGCTATTTCCTTTTTATCCAAGGATCAGATCATTTTTCACAGCCCACACTCATTTCTGCCTTGTTTTGAAGTAGCAACAATAATAAGCCTCTTTGTCTAGGTTGTCCAGATAATTACCTCCATTCTTCCTTTCTCTTGTGAAGCTCTATCAGTGCTTTTTACTTTTGCCTCTAAAATGAAGGGCCAGTTTAAAGTGTGCTGTGAGAGGTATGTAGTGAGGGAGGAGGGAAAAAGTGGAGAAGGAAAGATATTCCTCGGGAAAACCATTGCAGAATATTGGTGAGCAGAGATGGTCATGCCAAATTTAAAAACAGAAGTAAGGGATATCCCACAATGTGAATTCATCCACCAAGTAGTGGCATCAATCTTTTTGGGACCTCTTTATAACATAAGAAGACCAACCACCCCAGTTTGCCTGGGGATTATCCCAGTGTTAGCACTGAAAGTTTTGTCTCTCTAGAACCCTTCCCTGGGATTCAGAAAGTCCCAATGGCAATGGGTATGGGAGGTTAGGGTAAAAGTGAAAAACCCATACTGTGCCTCCAAAAAAAAAATAGGGCTGGAAGTAACACTACTTTTTACATCAAATGAATGTGACACAGATTATCCACCCTCTGTAGTAGCTACTGCTGTTAATTTTTTTTCCCATGACCACTGATGTTGGCAACCATTATTTGCAGCTCACAATGCATAATGAATCATCCATTGTTGCATTGCTTCAAGTGGATTAACTTGTGCTTTTAATCTTGTGGATTAACTACAGTGCTTTGTACTGAGATAGTGCTAGTTTCATTTTTTTAATATTGTCTCTATTGTGACCATGTTTTCTAAGAGTTCGCATAATGAAAATAAGAATAATTATAATAGCTACAGCAGCATGACTTGGACATCTCCAAAAAAGGAGGCTGGATGGCTGTGATATTTTAATAATAGAAGGAAGGACACATACAACTGGACTAGAGAAGTAAATAACCAAAACAGAGCTACTGCACAATCTGGAGAAAAGAACTTAGGGATGGGCATGATGAAGAGGCAATTATGATGAAAGCACTGACTTGGAGATTGAATCTCACAAGTCCAGGATGAACCAGGAAAGTATTAGGTCATAAGAAGTCTGTGTGGTTCTCATCTTGGGTGCTCTGTCTGGCTTTCTCCTTCTTGAATCACCCTCTCTGAGGGAAGCCAGCTACTATGTTGTGAGGACTCTCATTCTCAAGGTGACTGTAAAGAGGTACACATGACAAGAAACTGCCAGCAACCATGTGAGTGAGCTTGAAAGTGGATGCTCCCTCAGTTGAGCTCTGAAATGATTGCAGCCCTGACTGACAACTTGGCTGCTATATGTAAGAGACTCTGAATGAGAGGCACCCAGCTAAAGTTGTGCCAGAAACCCCACCCACAGAAACAATGTGATAGTACATGTTCATTGTTTTAAGCCACTAAGTTTGGGGTAATTGGTTACATTGCAGTAAACAACCAATACAATAGATGTCTTTCTCTAAGTCTTCCTGCCGCAACCCACACGCTTGCTGGCACTTGTATCCCATCCTTTCCCTCTTCCCTCTTGCCACACATAACATATGTGCCACTTGTCTGAGACTAATCATCCCACCAGTACTCCGAACCATCTCCTTCTGTCTTTTCTGGGACCTCACCCTACCGATTACTTATTCCTTCTGTCTTGAATTAGTGTCTTTCTCTCATTTCTATTGTCACAACTTTGAAAGGTTATTCAAAACTTTCCCATAATAAACCCATTCTCAACTGATATTTCCCTTTAGTGACTTCTCAACTGTATCTCTTCCTCTTCAAAGTTGAACTTTTAAAAATAATTATCTCCATTTCCTCAACTTCCAATTACAAACTCCATACCACCTTTATTTGAGAGAAATCAGTTTAGTCTTGCCCAAACTCCATAAACCTAACTCCAATGGCCTATTGTCCATCCTCTATTGGATGCCCTACATCTACCTCACATTCAAAATATTAAAAACTGAAATTATTCTCCTTCACAAATCGGGTATTTCTCTTGTCTCTGTCTCAGGAATGGCCCCATTACTTACAGTGTCTGAAGCCTTGTTGACATTCTCTCTTTCTGCCATCCTGTGCCCAATCACCAAGCTAAGCCCCATCCACCTCCTTACTATCTGATACCTCCATCATGCCCAAGACTCCAGCCATATGGAGCTATTTACAGTCTCTTGAACAAACTCTCCATCTTCTCTTGGATCTGAGGGTTTTTGGGGGGTTTTTTGTTTGTTTGTTTGTTTTGTTTTCTTTTGTTTTGTTTGAGATGGAGTCTCGCTCTTTCGCCCAAGCTGGAGTGCAGTGGCGCTATCTTGCTATCTCGGCTCACTGCAAGCTCCGCCTCCCGGGTTCACGCCATTCTCCTGCCTCAGCCTCCCGAGTAGCTGGGACTACAGGCGCCCGCCACCGCGCCCAGAAAAATTTTTGTATTTTTAGTAGAGATGGGGTTTCACCGTGTTAGCCAGGATGGTCTCGATCTCCTGACCTCGTGATCCGCCCGCCTCGGCCTCCCAAAGTGCTGGGATTACAGGCGTGAGCCACCGCGCCTGGCCGGATCTGAGGTTTTGCACCTGCTCCTCTCTTCACTCTATCCCCTTCCTTAGCTAACTCCTAACATTTGAAGAGGCCTTCCCTAAGCAACCTAGACTGGGTTGGGGGCGCTGCTCTGCATTCCCATAGCTTCTTTAGTTATCCTTATCACAGAACTTATGACACGGTGTGGCAAGTGTTTTGTTTTGCTTGCCTGGTATATTTTGGGAATGTATTTTATTCATTGCTATATTCTCAGCACCTAGGACCAGTGCCTTTCACAAAGAGCAGGCACATAATAAATGTTTATTTTTGTATTTAATACAAAATTAAATATAAGTGTGTACAAATAAGCAATATAAGGTTATGCTTTGGCTTCTTAGGGCTGCCCTAACAAATCACCACAAACTTAGTGGCTTAAAACAATAGAAATTCATTTCTCACAGTTCTGTAGGTCTGAAATCAGTGTGTCAGCAGGGTCTTGTTTACCCCGAAGACCCTAAGCAAGCATCCTTCATTGATTTTTCCAGCGTCTGGTGGCTCTTGTCACTCCTTGGCTTATGGTTTTAAGGCCTAAGAATAGTCCTTTGTGGCTCACAGTTCTACGCTCTGGGCCCACAGCTCCATCACCCCTGAGTCTTTACTTTTAGAAATAGGCCCTTTTCCTATTTCCTTAGCAGCTGCTCCACCATCATCAGCTTCTGGGTCCACAGTTCCACCCCCTGCATCATTCTTTCTTTTCCTTGAATGGTAGTACATATTTGAAGCTGAGTAGCTATAGCAGTTCATTTCTTGCCTATAGAATATTGGGAATCTAATCAATGTTTTTTAATTTTGTCTAGTCTTTGTCCCTTTCAGTCCAAGCTGGCAGTGTTTCTACTGATGTAACATTTCCAAAAACATCATGGGTCTCCCATGTATGTCAAGAGTATTCACTGCATTAGACAATAGAGTTCTCCAGTGATTCTTCTTGGATAAGTTCATTTTTATTCCTGGCTTCTTCTGAAATGGTTGATTGGACCCACGAGTGACATGGCTAATCTCTTCAATAATAAGTTGTCCAGCTATACCCTTGACCTTCTCTCCAGAGCACATTTTCTCAACAGTGAATTCTCTAATTTTAGCATCCTTTGTAATCTGGATAGATTGAGAATTTCCCAAACCATCAAATGCTTATTATTTTTGCTTATCATTTTCTTTTTTTTTATTTTCCAATAAGTTTTTCAATTGCTTAACCATCTCTCCCTCAGTTTATATCTTTTCTGTTTCATCTTACTCTAAGCAGTTAAAAAAAAAAGAAAACAAGCCTAAATATCCAACTTCATTGTTTACAAGTTCTGCTTTCCAACCAATAATATAACACAATTCAGGCAAGTTTTCTGCCAGTTTGTAAAAAAAAAAAAAAAAAAAAAAAAATTATTTCCTTTAGTTCCTAATAATGTTTCTGGTTTTCTTCTGATAACTCCTTAGAAATGCCTTTATATTCCTACCAGTAGTCTCTTCAAAGCAATCTAGGCTTTTTCTTTCATGCTTCTCAAAATTCTCCCAGCCTCTACCCATTACCCAGTTCCAAAGCCGCTTTCTTGTTTGTACATATTTGTTACAGCAGCACCTCACTTCCCAGTACATGATGGGTACAGATTTCTTTTTGTACTGGGAAGTGAGGTGCTGCTTGCTTTTCTTTGCATAACCCAATCAGGGATCTACCAAAAAAAAAAACACACAGATATTATATTGCATATATTGGATAGTGACAGAGAGAGAGATTTATATCAAGAAATTGGCTTATGTGGTCATAAGGACTGGCTAGTTCAAAATCTGTAGGGCAGCCCAGCAGGTAGGAAATCCACAGGAAAACTTTATTCTACTTCAGGGAAACCTTAGTTTTTCTTGTAAAGGCCTTCCACCTAATTGAATGAGACCCACCTGGATTATCAAGGAAAATCTTTAATTATTTTTGAAACAGAATTTCACTCTGTCACCCACACTGGAGTGCAATGGAGTGTTTTCAGCTCACTGCAATCTCCACCTCCTGGGCTTAAGCGATTCTCGTGCCTCAGCATCCCGAGTAGCTGGGATTACAGGCATGCATCACCAAGCCCAGCTAATTTTTGTATTTTTAGTAGAAACTAGGTTTTGCCATGTTGACCAGCCTGGTCTCAAACTCCTGGCCTCAAGTGTTCCACCTGCCTCGGCCTCCCAAAGTGCTGGGATTACAGACGTGAGCCACCATCCCTGGCCAAGGACAATCTTTACTTAAAGACAACTGATTGTAGATATTAACCACATCTTCAAAATGCCTTCATAAAAACACTTATATTAATATTTAGCTAAATAACTTGGTACCATTACTGTATGTATCAGTGTTCTCCAGAGAAACCAAACTAATAGGATATATATATATATATATATATATATATATATATATATATATATATGAGAACATTTATTACAGGGGTTTGCTTATGCAGTTATAGAGGCTGAGAAGTTCCCTAATCTGCTGTCTACAAGCTGGAGAACTAGGAAAGTCAGTGGTGTCATTCAGCTCAAGTCTGAAAGTCTGAGAATTGGCAGGGGGATGATGTGTAAGCCCTAGTCTAAGTCCAAAAGCCCAAGAACTAGGTGTGCCAATGTCCAAGGGCAGATGAAAATGGATATCACAGCTCAAGCAGGAGAGAAAATTTACTCTTCCTTCACCTTTTTGTTCTATTCAGGTACTCAAAAAAGAGGATAATGTTCACCCATATTGATGAAGGCAATCTTCTTCACTTAGTCTACTGATTCAAATACTAATCTCTTCTGCAACATCTTGTACAGTCCTCTATATGACAACATAAAGATACTGGCTCACAAAATTGATTTATTTGACTGTGAAATCTAATAGAAAAAAATACTTAATATTGAATCATGAATAAAGTGCACACTTTATGGTTTTGTTTATAAAAGTATGTAGCAAACCCCTTTTAATGAGGAAGCTAATTCAAGCCAACTAAGCTTACAAAACTCAATTTATAAAACCAGGATATTGATGTGTTAATTTAAAATAGAACTATACTAAGTGAACTAGATGCTGGCATCCTCATGACCATTCCTCTCTTTTTTTCTAGAAAAGCCTCAAGGAAACCAAATTTTTAAGAGGTTACTTGAGGTCTACTCTGGGTCCCAACAGAAGGAAAATATGGAACACAGGGCTCTAGGTAAGATACTTGCTATAGTATGTGAAGGACACATACTATATAAACAAGAAACAAATCATGATGAGTAATCCATGGAGATTTTGCAGTTGATTTTCACTATAATGAAACTTTGCCTAGCCTAACTAGTAAAATGGCATTGCATATTTTACTTGTGATATTTAGGTATGTCTCACAGCAATTTTATTTAATTTTTCAAAGTTTTTGGCAAACACTTTACTGTTGTTTGTCTCCAACAACAATGATCTATGAAGTCATAAATAAATAAATTCTATATATGTAGAATGAAGCTTCATGTTCATTAAGCTAAAAGATACTTACCCAGTTAACCCTAGCTCTGTATATATACCCTGAACTGCCACAAAAAAAAACTGCCATTACTTCAAGCACTTCCATCTAATAATTTTTGCTAAATAATTTGAAAATTTCAGACAGAGCTTATTTATCATATTCTTCTATCAAAGAACTAAGGAAGGACTGGTATTGTACCCAATAAGTGTTTTGTTTGTCTTTTTGTTGTTGTTGTTGTTAGAGAACTCTATAAAGCGTTTACATTAGTTCCTCCTATTTTGTACATGACATAGTTCTCCTTCCCCTCTAGCCCTCAGGCTTGACCATCAACTCAGGCCCTCTAACATTACAGAAGGTATCCCATATCTGATCATATCAAGATTCAGCTTCCCATGATTACAGAAGATATCCCATATCTGATCATATCAAGATTCAGCTTCCCATGAAGGAAAACTCTATGTGTGTGGAGATAAGAAAGATAACTTGAATTTCTTTTTCCCTTCCTCTTCCTCTGCTGGAAGTTCAGCAACACCATCTTGTTCTCTTCTGTCTCTTTTTGTGGAAGAAAAGAGAATGGGGAAGACACCTTGAAGGGAACTTTCCATGTCAAAGACTCTAACTTGCTGGGATTGAGTCACTCTTCAAGAACATACAAAGGCAGGATATGCAGACATTTTGGAAAAAGTACTTGAGACCTGTAGGTACCATAGACACATTATATCTCATTTTTAGAGACTGGAAATTCATAAGTCATAAATATAAACAAGATATACATTATCTTCAATGCATCATTTTCAATGTCATTATATTCAAAATCACAATTATATAAAGGAAATTGGCTGCTGCTTCTAGCTTCTGCTTTTCTTTGATAAGTTCCTTTGAGGACACTTACTTAGAAGCTCCAAAAATTAAGGCTATAAATAGCAATCAGTCACTGCAGAAGAGAGGACTACTCAGCTTAAGGCATTGGGAATGTTGCCACCACGTTACCAAGTCCTTCTCCTCAGTGTCTCTGGTTAGCACCTAGCCAATATTGGCAGCATGCAAGAGGCACATCCCCTCCTTTGTCCTATTACCATCTTATGGCCTTTAAGAGATGTGTTGAGAGTTATTTAAAACCTTTACAAGGGATTTATAGACTGAACACTGCTGTTTCATGAGTATAATGCAAATATAGTGTTAGAATGGGCCAAGGATCCAGAAAATCTTTCAAGGCAACTTTACAATTATCTAGACTAGTCTCTTAGCCAAAGAGAAATCTGTTCCATGGTATCCCTGGCAAGAAATATGTTAAAGGAATGGGATCTTATACACAATATTTAATCACTGTGATGGCCATAATTTACTGAGTACCAGGAATCACCAGGGAATGTGTCCTCACCAAAATCCTATGAGGAAAGTAAGTTTAGTGTCTGTATTTTACAAATAAGTGCCTTGAGGATTAGAAACGCTAAGTAACTTACCAGATATCTCAGAATACTTGAAACTAACTCTGGCATTTTCCAAATTTCATGATCTCTAATTTATATTACTTCTAACAGGTAACCATTAAAGATTATGAAGTAGGGAGTGACATAATAAGCCTTTTAAGAAGATGGCTTTAATAACACAGAAATAAGAGAGTTTATAGAAAGTTAGAGAAAGTCCTAATGTCAAAAAGGGAGAAGAAACAGAACTAAAGCATTATATCAAAGTCTAGATGAGAAATGAAATGGAAAAGAAGGTTTTTGAAGACCAGGCATGGTGGCTTAAGCCTGTAATCCGAGTACTATGGTGGCTCACGCCTGTAATCTCAGCACCTGGGAGGCCAAGACAGGTGGATTGCTTGAGCCCAGGAGTTCAAGACCAGCCTGGGCAAGATAGGGAGACCCTGTCTCTAAAAAAGAAAAAAAGAAAGAGAAAAGATTTTTCACAAAAATCTTAGGATTGCAGTTTAACAATACTTAACGGGAAATATAACTGAAACATATATAATTTATTTTGATAATTCTTAAGCCTTATTTCCCTTTAAACTCATTCCCCTACCTGATGTAAATAGAAATACCTGATATATTTCTCCATAAAGAAGATTCTGTGCTTCTTAGGGTAGGAACTGTATTTTATCATTCTTGCTCTTCATTGTGAAGTCAATGTCTGGCATATACCTAAGTGAGATAGACACTAAAATATAGTTGGTTGAGAAATGATTCAAAGAGTGGCCATTTAGTTCTCTATTGATCTTCAGTTGTCTTATTTTTAAAAAACTTAATTGACACATAATTATTGTACATATTTATGGGGTAAAAAGTGATGTCTCCATACATGTATACCATGGGTAAGATCAAATTAGGGGAATTAGCATATCTATCACCTTAGACATTTCTATTTCTTTATGGTGAAAACATTCAAAATCCTCTCCTAGCTACTTTGAAATATGCAATATATTATTGTTAGCTATTGCTACTCTACTGTGCAACAGAATGCCAGAACTAATTCCTCTTACGTAACTGTACTTTGTACCTACTGAACAACCTCTCTTCATCCTCCCCACTCCCTCTTCCTCCCCAGCTTCTGGTAACCACGATTCTACTCTTTAGTTTTATGAGATCAACTTTTTAGATTCCACATGCAAGTGAGATTATGCAGTATTTGTCTTTTTGCACCTGGCTTATTTCACTTAACATTATGTTCTCCAGGCTAATCCATATTGCTGCAAATTATAGGATTTCATTCTTTTTTTATGGCTAAATATCATTCAACTGTGTAAATACACCACATTTTCTTTTTCCATTTATACAATGATGAACACTTAGCTCAGTTTCCTGTCTTGGGCTATTGCAAATAATGCTGCAATTAACATGGGAGTGCAGATATCTCTTTGACATACAGGCATACCACAGAGATAGTGTGAATTCAGTTCCCAACTGCTACAATAAAGCAAATGTCACAATGAAGTGAGTCACATGGATTTTTTAATTCCGAGTGCATATAAAAGTTATGTTTATACTATAATGTAGTCTAACTGTGCAATTAAATTATGTCTTTTAAAAATGTATATACCTAATTGAAAAATACTTTATTACTAAAAAATGCAAACAGTCATCTTAGCCTTCAGCAAGTTGTCATCTTTTTCCTGGTGAAGCATCTTGCCTTAATGCTGATGGCTGCTGACTGATCAGGGTGGTGATTGCTGAAGGTTGAAATGGCTGTGGTAATTTCTTAAAATAAGATGCAATTAACTATGCCTCATCAGTTGACTCTTCCTTTCCAGCAGAGTTCTATATAACATGTGATGTTGTTTGGTAGCATTTTACCTACAGTAGAACTTCTTTCAAAATTGGAGGCAATCCTCTCAAAATCTGTCACTGCTTTATCAACTAAGTTTATGGACTATTCTACATCTTATGTAGTCATTTCAACAATGTACACAGCATCTTCAGCAGGAGTAGACTCCATCTCAAGAAACTACTTTACTTGCTCATCCATAAGAAGAAACTCCTAATCTGTTCAAGTCTTATAATGAGATTGCAGCAATTCATGAGATTGCAGCAATTCAGTCACATCTTCAGGCTCCACTTCTAGCTCTAGTTCTCTACTTCCACCACATCTGCAGTGACTTCCTCCACTGAGGTCCTGAACTCCTCAAAGTCATCTGAGGGTGGGAATCAACTTCTTCTAAACTCCTGTTAAAGTTGATCTTTTGACCTCCTCTCATTCATCACAAATGTTCATAATGGCATCTAGAACAGTGAATCCTTCCCAGAAAGTTTTCAATTTTCTTTGCCCAGGTCCATCAGAGGAATCACTATTGATGGCAGCTGTAGCCTTATAAAATATATTTCTTAAATAAAATAAGACATGAGAGTTGAAATTACTCCTTCATCCATGGGCTGCCGCATGGATATTATATTAGCAGACATAAAAACAACATTAATCTTTTTGTACGTCTCCATCAGAGCTCTTGACTAGTTGTATTGTCTATGAGCAATAATATATTGAAAAGAATCTTTTTTTCTGAGCAGTAGGTCTCAACAGTGGGCTTCGAATATTCAGCAAAACATGCTGAATACATGATATGCTGTCATCCAAGCTTTGTTGTTCCAGTTATAGAGCACAGACAGAGCACATTTACCATAATTCTTAAGGGCCCTTGAATTTTCAGAATGATAAATAAGCAGCGGCTTCAACTTAAAGTCACAAGTAGCATTAGCCCCTAACAGGAGTGCCCCTCTGTCCTTTGAAGCTTTGAAGCCAGGCATTGACTTCATCTCTCTAGCTATGAAAGTCTTAGATAGCATCTTCTTGTAAAATAAGGATCCAGCATTTCATCTACAATGAAATTGTGTTGTTTAGTATAACCACCTTCATCAGTGATCTTAGCTAGATCTTCTGGATAACTTGCTGCAGCTTCTACATCAGCACTTGCTGCTTCATTTTGCCCTTTTATCTTATAGAGATGGCTGCTTTCTTTAAACCTCATGAATCAATCTCTGCTACATTCAAATTTTTTTCTGCAGCTTTCTCACCTCTGTCCACCTTCATAGAATTGAAGTAAGTTAGGGCCTAGCTCTTGATTGCACTTTGGGTTAAGGGAATGTTGAGGCTCATTTAATCTTCTATCTGGGTCTCTAAAACTTTCTCCGTATCAGCAATAAGACTGTTTTGCTTTCTTGTTATTCATATGTTCATTGGAGTAGCACTGTTAATTTCCTTCAAGAACTTTACCTGTTTATTCACAACTTGGCTAACTGTTTGATGCAAGAGGCCTAGCTTTTGGCCTATCTCAGCTTTCGATAATCATTCCTCACTAAGCTTAATCACTTCTAGCTGTCAATTTAAAATGAAAGACACATGCACTCTCCCAAGACTAAACCAGGAAGAAGTTGTATCTCTGAATAGACCAATAACAGGAGCTGAAATTGTGGCAATGATCAATAGCTTACCAACCAAAAAGAGTCCAGGACCAGATGGATTCACAGCCGAATTCTACCAGAGGTACAAGGAGGAACTGGTACCATTCCTTCTGAAACTATTCCAATCAATAGAAAAAGAGAGAATCCTCCCTAACTCATTTTATGAGGCCAGCATTATCCTGATACCAAAGCCGGGCAGAGACACCACCAAAAAAGAGAATTTTAGACCAATATCCTTGATGAATATTGATGCAAAAATCCTCAATAAAATACTGGCAAACCGAATCCAGCAGCACATCAAAAAGCTTATCCACCATGATCAAGTGGGCTTCATCCCTGGGATGCAAGGCTGGCTCAATATACGCAAATCAATAAATGTAATCCAGCATATAAACAGAACCAAAGACAAAAACCACATGATTATCTCAATAGATGCAGAAAAGGCCTTTGACAAAATTCAATAACACTTCATGCTAAAAACTCTCAATAAATTAGGTATTGATGGGACATATCTCAAAATAATAAGAGCTATCTATGACAAACCCACAGCCAACATCATACTGAATGGGCAAAAACTGGAAGCATTCCCTTTGAAAACTAGCACAAGACAGGGATGCCCACTCTCACCACTCCTATTCAACATAGTGTTGGAAGTTCTGGCCAGGGCAATTAGGCAGGAGAAGGAAATAAAGGGTATTCAAGTAGGAAAAGAGGAAGTCAAATTGTCCCTGTTTGCAGATGACATGATTGTATATCCAGAAAACCCCACTGTCTCAGCCCAAAATCTCCTTAAGCTGATAAGAAACTTCAGCAAAGTCTCAGGATACAAAATCAATGTGCAAAAATCACAAGCATTCTTATACACGAATAACACACAAACAGAGAGCCAAATCATGAGTGAACTCCCATTCACAATTGCTTCAAAGAGAATAAAATACCTAGGAATCCAACTTACAAGGGACGTGAAGGACCTCTTCAAGGAGAACTACAAACCACTGCTCAATGAAATTAAAGAGGATACAAACAAATGGAGGAACATTCCATGCTCATGGGTAGGAAGAATCAATATCGTGAAAATGGCCATACTGCCCAAGGAAATTTATAGATTCAATGCCATCCCCATCAAGCTACCAATGACTTTCTTCACAGAATTGGAAAAAACTACTTTAAAGTTCATATGGAACCAAAAAAGGGCCCTCATTGCCAAGTCAATCCTAAGCCAAAAGAACAAAGCTGAAGGCATCACGCTACCTGACTTCAAACTATACTACAAGGCTACAGTAACCAAAACAGCATGGTACTGGTACCAAAACAGAGATATAGATCAATGGAACAGAACAGAGCCCTCAGAAATAATGCTGCATATCTACAACTATCTGATCTTTGACAAACCTGAGAAAAACAAGAAATGGGGAAAGGATTCCCTATTTAACAAATGGTGCTGGCAAAACTGGCTAGCCATATGTAGAAAGCTGAAACTGGATCCCTTCCTTACACCTTATACAAAAATTAATTTAAGATGGATTAAAGACTTAAATGTTAGACCTAAAACCATAAAAACCCTAGAAGAAAACCTAGGCATTACCATTCAGGACATAGGCATGGGCAAGGACTTCATGTCTAAAACACCAAAAGCAATGGCAACAAAAGCCAAAATTGACAAATGGGATCTAATTAAACTAAAGAGCTTCTGCACAGCAAAAGAAACTACCATCAGAGTAAACAGGCAACCTACAAAATGGGAGAAAATTTTTGCAACCTACTCATCTGACAAAGGCCTAATATCCAGAATCTACAATGAACTCAAACAAATTTACAAGAAGAAAACAAACAACCCCATCAAAAAGTGGGCAAAGGATATGAACAGACACTTCTCAAAAGAAAACATTTATGCAGCCAAAAGACACATGAAAAAATGCTCATTATCACTGGTCATCAGAGAAATGCAAATCAAAACCACAATGAGATACCATCTCACACCAGTTAGAATGGCAATCATTAAAAAGTCAGGAAACAACAGGTGCTGGAGAGGATGTGGAGAAATAGGAACACTTTTACACTGTTGGTGGGACTGTAAACTAGTTCAACCATGGTGGAAGTCAGTATGGCGATTCCTCAGGGATCTAGAACTAGAAATACCATTTGACCCAACCATCCCATTACTGGGTATATACCCAAAGTACTATAAATCATACGTATGTTTATTGCGACACTATTCACAATAGCAAGACTTGGAACCAACCCAAATGTCCAACAATGATAGACTGGATTAAAAAAATGTGGCACATATACACCATGGAATACTATGCAGCCATAAAAAATGATGAGTTCATGTCCTTTGTAGGGACATGGATGAAACTGGAAATCATCATTCTCAGTAAACTATCGCAAGGACAAAAAAACCAAACACCGCATATTCTCACTCATAGATGGGAATTGAACAATGAGAACACATGAACACAGGAAGGGGAACATCACATTCTGGGGACTGTGGTGGGGTGGGGGGAGGGGGGAGGGATAGCATTAGGAGATATACCTAATGCTAAATGACGAGTTAATGGGTGCAGCACACCAGCATGGCACATGTATACATATGTAACTAACCTGCACATTGTGCACATGTACCCTAAAACTTAAAGTATAATAATAAAAAAAAAAAAAGAAAAGAAAGACACAAGACTCTTCTTTCCATTTGAACACTTAGAGATCATTGTAAGGTTAATAATTGGCCTAATTCTAATATTGTTCTGTCTCAGGGGATGAGGCCCGAGGAGTGGGGGACAGGCAGGGGAAGAGCTAATCAATGGAGCAGTCATAATACACACAACAATTAAGGATTAATTTCACTATCTTCTACAGAGGTAGATCATGGCACCCCAAAATAATTGCAATGTAACATCAAAGACCACTGATCACAGATCACCATAACAGATAAAATAATAATGAAAAAGTTAGAAATATTATGAAAATGTGACTCAGAGACATAAAGTGAGCACATGCTCTTGGAAAAATGGCCCTGATAGACTTGCTTGATGCAGGATTGCCAGAGACCTTCAATTTGGAAAAAACACAGTATCTGGCCAGGTACGGTGGCTCACGCCTGTAATCCCAGCACTTTGGGAGGCCAAGGCAGGTGGATCACCTGAGGTCAGTAGTTCGAGACCAGCCTGGCCAACATGGTGAAATCCCGTCTCTACTAAAAATACAAAAATTAGCAGGGCATGGTGGCAGGTGCCTGTAATCCCAGCTACTCGGGAGGGTGAGGCAGGAGAATCACTTGAACCCAGGAGGCGGAGGTTGCAGTGAGCTGATATCACGCCACTGCACTCCAGCCTGGGTGACAGAGAGAGACTCCATCTCAAAAAATAAATAAATACAATAAAAACACACAGTATCTTTGAAGTGCAATACAGTGAAGCACAATAAAATGAAGTATGCCTGTACTAACTTCTTTTTCTTTGGATATACACTCCGCAGTGGGGTTGCTGGACCATATGATAGTTCTATTTTCAATTTTTTTTAGGAAACTTCACACTTTTTTTCATAATGGCAGCACTAATTTACATGACCAACACCAGTGTTTAAGAGTTTGCCTTTCTCCACATCCTCCCCAGAATTTGTTATTTTTTGTCATTTTGATAATAGGGACTTTAACTGGGGTGAGGTGATATCTCACTATGGTTTGATTTGCATTTTGCTGATGATCATGGCATGGGATTTGCTTCAAGAAACCAAGCCTTACCCTAGTAAATACCACCATCGCTTACATTTTTAAAGAATATTTATTATATTTTAATCTCATAACTGCCAAAATGCTTTTATGAAATATGTATTTTAAAAAATTCATATTTGGGCCATTCTTTGTGGAGGGCAATAAACAACTGTAAAGATAAGAAGACACTGAAATTTCTCCATTCAAGCATGTGACAGTCTGAGTTCCCTCCAAGAGCCAGGGGACTTTACTCTGTTCTTTTAGAACACTTGTTATCCCTCACCAGAGGCAACTGTCTCAAATGTATGTATCAAATGATAATAAGCAATAATAAATAGCTCAGTTCAGGGAAATTATTCACAAACTAGAAAACTACATTCAAGGAATATATTCTTTTGATACTGGGTCAGTATTGTCATCTTAGTTTTAAGAAAATAAATATGCAGGGCATGGTTTTTCCCCATGACACATGATGCCTGCGCTATGCATAGTGAACCAGCATGGTTAACTTCATTTATGAAGTACGGCCATTGTTTTTCATGATGTTAGCATCCACTGTTTGGAAACAGAGATTGGATAAATGCAGATTCTCAAGACAGAAGTCAGCTAAAGCTTTTGAAATCAATAATAAGTTATGAGTCACTCAATTCATTTCTAAATAATAGTCTTAATGTCACCGATTGCTGTGATATTGTATAAACCCAGAAAGAAGAGTGGAAAATTATTCCTTGGCTATGACACAAAATATTACAGACCCCAGGATTCTTTATGGGAACTGATGGCTTTGGGAACTTAGTGCCCTAAGAAATAAATAAGTGACTCTCTAATTACCTTTCCACTGGTAGATCAACTATAGGAGACATTGTAAAACTATATTAGTTCAGCTAGAAAACATTTGACCTTATTCTCATGAATCGTTTATTCTGTTGTTCTCGTATTTTAAAGGAAATGTTTTCTTTTCTACAAGGATTCAAAAATAAGCTGCTAACTTGACCTGTTAAACTAACTAGCAAACTTAGTGATGGAGCAATACAAAAACCACCTGAACAGATAGTAAAGTATGATATTATGCAGGAATTGCCTCTCCAAAGCCCTTACCTCATTCATATGCGTATAGAGGAAGTCACCACAGAAGCACAGGGTCATTGCACTTCCTACATCAGCACAGGGTCAGCACACTCCCCAATTCAGCACTAAGTCATCACACTCTCCACATCAGCACTAGGTCATCCCACTCCCCACATAAGCACAGGGTCAGCACACATCTTTATCCCTGAACCTGAACCTGAACCTGTGATTGCGACCTTATTATGGAAAAAACACCTTTGCAGATGAAATTAATTATGCATCTTTAATGAGATCATCCCGGATTATCTGTGTGGCTCCTTAATCCAGACAAGTATTCTTAAAAGAGACACGCAGAAGGATACAGACACAGGCAACAGGGGAGAAGGATATGTGGATATGGAAGCAGATATTGAAGTTGTGCAGCCACAAGTCAAGGAACACTTGGAGGTACCTAGGCTGGAAAAGGCAAAAAAAAGGTTTTCCCCTAGAGGCTCTGGAGGAAGCACAGCCTTGATGATCCCTCATTGTCAGAACCATGAGAAAATAAATTTCTGTTGTTTCAAACCTCCAAATCTGTGATTATTTGTTATGTCAGCCCTGGGATATCCATACAGGGCATAAAAGTTACTTTTTTATTTCATAGAGCTTTGCATGAAGATAAGTCACATCCAAACTTGATATAAATGCCGTCTGATATAGAGACTGCCTGGCATCATTCAGAGCCTCTAGAATTTCAGCTTCCTGACATGTCTAAGTAGAATGTTTGCTTTGTATCCCATGGGAGAGTACCTTGCCTGTGAGAGAGAGAATGGGCCAAATGTTTTGTGGTGAGAAGAGTGCACTGTGGTGATGGTCATTTGTGCTGTTTACCAAGTATTTCTTGTACTCCAATCTCCAGGTACATGGCAGGATTTCATTTCTTTTCTCCCTTATAGTTGAATTGAGCCATTTAAGTAGTGCTAGTAAATTAGTTGAGAGCAAAAGTGACATCTGTCATTTAACTGTAGGGCACTCCATAAAAATAGAGGCTTAATCTGTGTTGTTCATTGTTGTATTCTCAGCACCTGTAACGAAACGTGTGTTTAGTAAATATTCATTAATTGCCAATAAAGTCATTGGCATTTACCGACATGTTCTTCATCAAATTCCTCCTTTTGACTAACATTTTAGTTTGGGGTAGAGAGTCGAAGTAACTGCGCAAAATTCAACTTTATAAAAATACAAGCACTAATTTGAGTTTTTCCATCTTCAATTGGTAATCACTGTGCCTGTCTTTATTTAAAATTTTGACTTTTTTCATTATAGATTTTTGCATTAATCTTAATTTTTAAAAATATAGCATTACAATTTTATTTACCTCAATTACTGAGATTTTTGGTGTTCCCTTAACTTTTGCACCCAAGGCAAGTGTCTCACTCACCTCACCCTCATCCTACTCCTGGAATAGCTATAATTTACATATATTTTCACTTTGTTATAACGAAACCTCCAATATCCAATGAAGGTTGGAACCATGCAGGACAATATTAAAGTGAAAAGTGGTTATCTATTTATATTCCTAGCAAACCACTCATGAGTTATCCCATGCAATCTCAAAACAAGATCCATTCTTAAAAATAGGCAATGTATATAGATAACCTCCTGTCATTTCTCTCTGCTCCAGGATTGCTGGCTCCTGAGACGTAATGTGGACTCTTTTAAAATGTGATGGGTAGCACTATAAACTGGATTCCTCAAAATTTAGGATGCTTAAGAATTACAAAGAAGATGATTTAAAATGCAGAATATAGCCTACACCATCACTACTACCATCAAAACTCACACAATCACCCCTACCGCAGTCATAATTTCATCTATTTAGAACGAGATATAGGAATTTGCAGAAACCCAAGGGATTCTTATGCAGGTAGTCTAGCTATTATGACTTGAGGAAGGTTGCAAGCTCCTTTCTGCTGCCATCTTAACAATTTATTAATGCTAATGGGAATAAATTGGCAGTCATGGTATTGAAAATGATTGGCAGCTGCTTATAATAGATAAACTCCAAAGCACCCATGGTTTGACACAACATTAATTTATTTCTAAAGCACCAAAGTCCAATCATCAGTAGGAGAACGGATTGTGGGCTTACTCAAAGCACCCACTCAGGAACTGGTGCTGATGGAACCTCTTCCATCTTCAAAATATGGTTTCTAAGGTTGCTCCAAGAGCATACATCCAGGGAATGGACCATCAAGGAAAGAGAGTATGAAGGATTACATGGAAGCTTCAGGTAGGCCAGGCCTACAAATGACAGACTTTGCTCCCACCCACCTTCCATTAGACACATAGCCACACCCAGATTTAAAGGTGCTGGGAAATATAGCCCCCTGGTTGGGTAGCTGCTTCCCAGCAAAGACTGTTTGCTATGGAGAAGGGAGTCCAAATTATTGGTAGATAGCCAGTTGTATCTGTCAATGACACACATCTATACAGGAGAATAATGGCCAGGCTTTGGATACAATGAATGGGACAACATTGAGGCAAAGATAAGGACCCAAAGTGAAAAACTGGTCTCAGGGACGAACATCTACAAATTGTCCATTAAGCCAGGAATATCTTTATGGCTACAGGTTACAGCCAAGGCTATCACATTAGCTTTCTTTTAGGCCGTGTTGAAATGTGGAATACTTTGCAATTGATATATGATTCATAGCATCTTCGATCTCATAGCTGGAAGGGAATTCAAAGTAAGATAGTTCCAGTGGTTACGGTGTTATTGTTATACAATTAATGAGTCATTTGAAGCCTATGGTATGCTGAAAAATGCCTCCCTGCAAGAGACACTATTAATGCTTCCCAATCCCTGGAATTGGCAAATGCTACCTTTGTCAGTGTGATTAAATTAAAAATCTTGAGATTGGAAGATGATCTTGGATCAGCCAAGTGGACCCCCAAATAAAATCACATGTCTTCCTATAAGAGAGAGGCAGAGGGAGATTTTTCACACAGATACACAGAGAATGATGTGGCGTGAAGATGAAGCAGAGAGAGACTTGAAGATACTGGTCTTAAATATTTGAAGGATGCAGCCACAGCTAAGGAATGCCGGCAGCCACCAGAAGTTGGAAGAAGCAAAGAATAGAATCACCCCAGAGTCTCCAAAGGGAGCACAACCCTGCCAACATCTTTATTTCAGCACTGTGATGCTACTTTCAAACTTGTGTCCTCAAGAACTATGACAGAATAAATTTATGTTGTGTTAAGCTACTAAATTTGTAGTGATTTCTTATAGCGCCATAAAAAAAAATAAATACAAAGTCCAAGGAGGTTATGTGATGTGACTAAGGACTCACAGATAATAAAGAGTAGAAAGAAAATTAAAATGCCTCTTTTTGCAGGCCTCTTTTCACTACAACATTTACACTGCAGGGATTTTTATTAGATATTCAAGGGCTAGAGGTAGAAATGGGGATTCAAGGGGCTAGAAGATGAGCACGTTAGAAAAATTTATTCCAGTGTTTCCTAGCTTTCTGGCATAAACATTTGGTGGCTTTCAGGACCCCAACTTCACAGTAGGAGAGCAGCGTTTCTAGGGCACTGAACTGGCATCGACCTCCCCAGCCAAGAACATGAGTCAACTCACAGCAGTGAGCATTGCTGGCCAAGACTGCAGGATGAGCCAGCTCTTTGGGTCTTTTCTTTTTTTCTGCTCCAAGTTTGTAGGTGGATCAACATATTTTTCAAGTGAAGAAAGATTCTGGAGTTTGGCAAGCAACATCTATAGATATTAATGGCCCTTTTAAGCTGAGGCTTAATTAATTGACCAAAATGATGAATGTGGCTAAGAGTTATGGTTTGTAGATCCAAGGCTCACTGAGCACACCCATATCAAGGTAATCTGCATCAAGTCATCAACTCTGCAGAAAGTTACCCTTGTTCTTTCCAATTCACAAGGATGGTAGCATACATTCCATTAAAAACTCAGAATCGAATAGGAGCCTTTTACTGGAATTCAGACCTTCCTATCCCCAGGGGAGTCTGAGAAAATAGGAAATCATCAGCTTGGCTCAAGAGTAACATGGTGCATATCAATGAGGGAACTGCTTGAATCTCTGAACTCCCAAATTGCCATGTGTCCCTTTACACAGGACTCAGCTATACCAAGTGACTGAAGATGAAAGAGTGCTGCAGTTGCTTTCAGAGTATCTGGCTTAAGTCCTGGATGTTCTAAAACTGGTTTAGAAGTCACTTTGAACCTCTCAACCTTCTTACCTGTGAAATGGTAGAATAAGAGCCTTTAAAGTTATTCCTGGCTCTAAAGTCTGGGACTCTGCATTCAAGTAATGAACATAATCAGGACTGAGACACTTGGACAAATGCACACATCCATGCCCCAGACTAAGTTTCTCTGGCCCGATAGGTATTAGGTAGACAGGGACTGGGTATTCTCACATGTGTGACTGGAGAATATTGACAGAGCATCCTCTACTTTGCAGATACTTGTAAGCTGTGTTATAAATAAGTGTATATTTATCTGTTACTTCCCAGAGGAACTTGGATGAAGTGTGAATCATTAATCTATTATTTCAGATATGTCTATCTGCTCTGTTGGAAAACAGAAGAGAGATCAGTATTAAAGGAAAGCATGAGGGTCTACACAAATGTAAAGAACTATCTCCAAAAGACTTGTTTTCTTAAAAAGACAAAATTCTAAATTCTATACACACCACTCTAGATAGGATAAGGAAAATGCAGCTTGATATAGTAAAAACACATAAGCAAGCAAACAAAAGCATAGAATTAAAAGACAAATGAAAATTTGGATTCAAATTTCAAAACTGTCACTTGATTAAGTCAGCAAATGAACCTTGGTTTGCTGATGGGCGGCACAAAAGCCATTCAGAGGAAGTGGAGCTCCTCCACATGCTAGGAGTGACAATGAGCAAATTACATCCTCTCAGACAGTTTCTTCATTTCCAATATGAAGATAATAATAACTCATTCATAGTGTTTTCAGGATTTAAAGACAACAATTAGTGTAATAAACTTCCTGTAATGCCAGGAATATCTAAGCTCTCAGTATCCCATAGCCAATGTTGCCAAACATTGAGAACACCATTAATGATGAATGTCAATGGAGAGGGTGTTTAAATGACCATTTCAAGTAGTTTAGCTAAAAAGGAATGAGGAATAAAAAGGAGATAAAGGGATACGTTGAGATAGACGATGTAGCAGGTACCTTTTTTTTCTTTTTTGTCTGACAGTTATTGTGTTTTTTATTCTTATTGTGATTAATGGAGAGAGGACCCTAAAGGAGTCAGAATTCAATACGTTTAACAGGAAAAGGAACATTCTTCCACTGCAGTGGGTGGGCAGGAGGGAGGTAGAAGCAAGAGATGAAGATAACCTGAGCTTGTTGGGGCCGAGATTGCCCAAAGTTGGAGGTATCCTGGCCTGAGGGCCACAGTGCACTGCATGATGTGAGGATTGAGGTTTTTGGGGGAGGAAGGGTATGAGCTGGATGTTCAAGGAGAGTCGTAAATGTTTAAAAACAAGTCACAACCACCCCCTCACCCCACAATGAATTTGTTCACTTTGTCTCAGGGAGTTCACCTGAGATACATAAAAAATTGCCAGGTAGAAATTCAAAACTCTAAATTTGTAGGCTCCAAATCTATAAAATTGTAAACTTTTTTCCAGCAGGTTTCAGCAGCTAAATTGAGGAATATAGAATGCGGGTCATCTGGGTACTTCAGGAATGGAGTTGTCTTGAGTGATTGGAGTGAAATAACAATAACAATATTATAATGCATAGACTCTGTGGACTACTATGAGGGGAGAAAGAGAGGGGACTAGGGGTTGAACTACCTGTTAGGTACTATGTTCGCTACCTGGGTGCAATATACCCATGTAACAAACCTGTACATGCACCCCATATATCTAAAATAAAAGTTTAAATTAAAATAATAATAATATTGTAATGTGCCTACTCTGTGCCAGAAAGTAATTCTGGTTTGGTTAGAGTTTAGAACATACAAGTTTAGGCATTCATAAAATGAGAATAAGAGCATCAATGGCAGGATATTTTTTGTTCATCATTATTAATACTCTAATGCACAAAGGTGATTAAAAATGTAAGCACTGGATTTGCATAGGTTCGCATGGATTTAGAAATGGCACCTTTCACCATGACAACATGGTGAATCCCTGTCTCTACTAAAAATACAAAATTAGTCAGGCGTGGTGGCGCATGCCTGTAATCCCAGCTACTCAGGAGGCTGAGGCAGGAGAATCTCTTGAACCCAGGAGGTGGAGGTTGCAGTGAGCCGAGATCCCGCCACTGCACTCCAGCCTGGCAACAGAGCGAGACTTCGTCTCAAAATAATAACAATAATAATAATAATAATAAAGAGAAGTGCTTCTAATTTAGACAAGGTCAAACACTGGGGCAAGTCGAAGAAAGGGCTCTTCTTTTTTTTTCCCCATCCTATGAATTATTGAAGATCACTCAAAATCAACAGAGTGTGATGCCAGGAGTAGGATCTAGAGTCAGAAGAGCTGAGGCTAAGACCTGATTGACCATTGACTAGATGGTGATCTTAGACAAATTATTAAACCTCTTTCACTCTCCATTTCATTATTTGTAAATTGGGATAAGGATAAAATGACTCCACAATTTGCTGTAAGGATTAATATAGTTCTATACATGAAAGGGCTCTGTAATTAAGCTCAAAAATGCTGCCAAATCTTAGTTGTTGCTAAAAACACATTGTCTTTGTGTAAGTGGTCTGTGTCATGCAGATCCCATACAAGATTCGAGTTGTTTTGTCTTCTGAACAGAATAAGATTTTTGTAGTTTTTAATGTGTTACCAATCTGGGTCATGTTTACATTTCACAAAATGAATAAATGTAATAATGGACTTCAGGTTTCCACAAAGGAGAGTAGGGCAAGGACATTTAATAAGGAGCACAGGCTTTGGAGTTAGACCCAGTTCTAAATCCTGCTTCTGCTGTTTCTTAGCTGAATGACCTTGGAGAAGTTATTTAACTCTGAGTTTGGATACCGAGCCTGTAGAGGGAAGATTAATAATTCCTACCCTAGGGATTTGTTGAAAAGATAAAATGAGAAACTGTGTGTAAAAACATGTGGCTCCATGCCTAGCTCATAGAAGGAACTAAGAAATTGTGTTCACTTCCACTTTGCCATAATTTATTGTGGGCAGCATAACAACTGCCTCTTCTACTCTGTAGGAAAGAGAGCCCAAAAGAGAGTGTTCTTCAAGAAGCTTTGAGTTCAAATGGGATGAGAGAAGATTTAGAGGAAGAGATCAGAGCCTGGAGAGGGAGCGTCACTAGCATAGAGGGTAATGGTCAGCCAGAGATCCCAAGTGAGGATATGGAGTCTGAGGAACAGGCAGGACATAGACCTGTCTTTTGCAGATGTCTCCAAGGCTGTGGTTTTTGCAAGTGATTTTTCCACCTTATCCAGAGTGAGTTGGAAGAGCTCCCGATAACCTCCAAATTCAAAACGTATGGACATACACCCATCTCTGGAGCCAGAAAGGAGGTTTTCAAACTTTAGGCCCAATTCAGGCATGAACTATCCCTAAATATGTGGGGTAGGAAAATGTTCATCAAGGCATAAGCACTGCAGGGAAAGTTAAAGGTTTTTGCACCAGAACTGGTATTCCAAATCTGCTCGGAGGATTGTTTTAATTCAGCTGGAGACTGCTGATGAGTGGTGGAATTAATTTCTAGTTGAGAGAACTCTCTTTGTTTCTCTATGCTCTTTCTTCCAAAAGGAGCTTAACTGTTCCTCCTGATTAATTTCTAACTGTACATATACTGAATAGAATTAAAAACAGGCAGGCAAGCCATAGAAAACATCAAATGAGCTACATCCTAAAATAACTGTCTTTGTTTCAAAGACAGAGTATGGGCTGCCTATGCCAATCTCATCTGAGTTCATAATAGGGAGAAGGACGCAATGAAATCTGAACTGGCCCCGGAGGCCATACAGCATTACCATTGCTGGTGGTGGGTCCATGGGCCCCTCTCATGACAATGAGGGTGACACACTCACTCAGTTTTACTTACAAGAGCTCTGGAGCTTGATGACCCTTCAGTGCTGCCCCAAATTGGGGCCAGATCAAGCTTTTATTCTTCCATATCTACCATTCACTGAATGCAGGCTGACCTGGGAAAGGAGCTGCTACCTTGGGCAAGGGGGCCCTCTCCAGCTAGAGACAAGGCCCAGAGACAGGCTCAAGTCAGAGTGGCTGGCTCCCAACCTTCCCAACAGTTGGGGAAACAAGGGCTTCAGTCCTTAAGCAGGGCAAGGAGGAATTAATTTGAGGGAAACACTACTGCATCCACTACACCTTCTTTCTACATTTTCTCCCATGGAAACCACTCAGGTTATTTCTTGTCTTTAAATTATATTCAACATTTCTCTCCTTTGTCTCAGGTGCCATATGGTGTTAATATTCTGGTTGATACAAATCATTTTAAACATACAACATTTTTGGCATTTTATGGACCAAAAATTAGTTGCAAATGGACTTTTCTACCTTTCTGTCAGTTATGTGGAATTAACCAAAGTCTCTCTGAGCTATGTATAAATGTTACATTAGTTAACAATGAACAGTGCAAAAACATACACGCCTTCAGCAAAATAGCCATTCATTGATGCTGAGCTGCACCAATCTCTTTCATATATTTTCTATCAAATTCCAGAGATATAATGCAATGGAAATTACTTAACACTGCTGAGACTCAATTTTCTTCATCTGTAAAATGGCTAAAAGTTACCTACCTTAAAGAATTCCACAAAAAAAAGGAAGTACAAAAGAAGGCCCAGTAAATAAATGCCCACTATCAGTGTAAGGTGTTAATCATTGTAGCATTGACACCACAACCTTAATTCCACATGTATCAAACAGAATTTTGAAACCCTAGTAACTTAAACCACAGTGACTTCCAGCATATAGTGACAACAGAGCCCACTCAATGTTGAGAACTGTTTTTTTGTGGTTTTTTTGTTTCTTTGTTTGTTTTGTTTTTTTGAGTCAAAGTCTCGCTCTGTTGCCCAGGCTGGAGTGCAGTGGCATGATCTTGGCTCACTGCAACCTCCACCTCCCAAGTTCAAGCGATTCTTGTGCCACAGCCTCCCAAGTAGCTGGGGGTACAGGCATGTCACCACGCCCACCTACTTTTTGTATTTTTTAGTAGAGAACAGGGTTTCACCATGTTGGCCAGGCAGATCTCGAACTCCTGACCTCAAGTGATCTACCCACCTCAGCCTCCTAAAGTGCTGGGATAACTTTATCCCACCTCACCCGGCCTCAATGTTGAGAACTTTCAACAACAGACTCACACTCATTCATGAAGCAACAATTTGTCTGAATTACTTCTCTTAAAAAAATAGTTGTTCAAATAAATGTCAGGTTGCTAGTAATAACAAAAAGCTGGATAAATATTGAATGCCTATTACCAAGTTTAAAGTGTTTGCTTACCTTTGGGGTTTTCTAAAAGCTGATCAATAAAAATAAACATTGGGTTTTGATGTGTGATCACAGGCAACATCAAGACAGAGATTCTCAGCCATTCACTGATCAACACTACACTGGAACACACAGTATGGAAATAGCACTAGTCAAAGGTGAAGGCCTCCTTGCCAAAGAACATGGCAAGTACATTTTAGAAGCATCTGTAGCTAAGGGAGACGGGGAGAGCAAGGAAGATGGAGCTCTAGGTCTTTCAAATGCTTTCTTTCTGCAAACCCACTTTTGAATGGCTACAAACAACCATGGAACATTTTTGCCACCTTTGTCCACCATTTCTGTTATGATTGTATTGTTTCTGTATATAATTTTCCTCTTTTTTCCATTTTCCAAGCTTAAGCCAATATCTTTAGCCCACCCTAACATTGGTGATTAACTAAGGAATACGGTAAAGGAAATAGGTGTTCTTAATTACTCGTTGAGTATTACTTGTTCTGGATAGGTAGATGAGTAGCTTATCTTCAAGGTCAGCTTTAATCAAATTATCAATGTTAACAATTGTAATGATTATCACTAATTTTATTAAGCATGTCTTCTGAGCCAGCTACTATTTGATGTATTATACATTCTGTATCTAATTTAACCTTTACCAAACCTTATGAGATTGGTCATATGATTCCTATTTACACAGGTAAAAATTAGGGCTCATTGAAGATAAGCATTTTGGCCAAGATCACAGAACTGGCAGGTAGTGAAGGCAGAATCAGTACCCAGGGCTGCCTGAGTCTAAAGCCTTTGCTCTTTATATGTTCTTCATTTGGCATTTATTTACTAATATATTGTGAGCACCTGTTGAGTGCCACATACTTGGCTGGGCTGTAGGGACACCATCATGTGCAAAACAGAGTCCTAGCTTTCATGGATTATTTGATCAAGTAGGAATGCCAATAGGACAAATATATCTATATGTTAAAGGATATAAAGGGGGTGTGTGGAGTGTTATGGAAACTTATAACATGGGTATCTAACCTAGTTTGGGGAATCAATGAAAATGTGAAAGAAACATTTAATTTGAAGTCAGAAGAATGAGTAAGAGATAATCAGATGAAGGAGAACACAGGAATATTGGAGGGAAAGTGATAGTATGTTTGAAGGCCTAAGCCAAAAGACATAGCCCATTGGAAAAGATATCTGGCCCAACAAAACTGGAGCACAAACTGCTTTATTACGGGCAGTTGGGTGAGGGGGGATTTGTTACCAGGGGGCCGCAGATGAAGAATGAGAGGTAGTCAAGGACCAAGTCATGATGTACACGTGGACCAGCTGAATGGTATTGAACTTTATAGTGACATAGGGAAAACATCTAAAGGATTTAGGGACAAGATCAGATTTAGGCTTGGAGGAGGGCAAGAGTGGATATAGGGAGCCATGGTCTGCTTTAGATATTTTATAAAGGCACAGGTAAAAGAGAAGACATTTCTATCAAAGGAATTGGAATCTAAAGGGGGATGTAACAACTGGTAATGCTTGTTGAGAACTATGTGCCATTCATTCATTTTCAGATATTTTTTGAGCACCTACTTTGTGCCTGGCACTGTTCCAGGTGCTGAGGAGGCACCAGTGACCAAAAATGACCGTAGTCACGGAGCTTACATTTGAGCACCAGATACTAGGCACTTTAGAGATATTAATTAATTAACCCTCACCATAGCCCTACGACGTAGACTATCACATTATTTCCCTTTACAAAGAAACTGAGGTGCAGAGTAGTTAAGAACTGTCCAAGGTTTGCCTGCAGGTCTGTCTGGCCCCATGAATCTTTTGGTGAGATAAATGCAAGGGAAAGGCAAGAGACCTCGAGTGAGGAAAGCCAAAAGCACAGCATCTAATGTGGCTTCAGCGGTGAGAGCAACTCAGGATCCTACAAAGGCTAAATCTACAAGCTTTATTTCCAGTCTTGTAAATGACCCTTTTGAAGCTTTATATGATCTTCTATTTTGTTTTGCAACAAAACCACCATTGCCCTTTAATTACAGTATTTCTGTTGGGTAAAGTCCATTCTCTGTTTCACATGGAAATTAGCTATACTCTCTAGAGACAGTACTCTCAATAGCCAGGTTCCATGGAGCAGGACGTGATGAATCAGTTTGAGATGTTCTGGCAGGGTGATAATGCCTGTAGGTGCTCTATTGATTTTACTCTCATCCTGCTTCTTCTTCTCCTCCCTGAGTGTTTAATAAAGGAAACTTTGCTTTGCTTCGGTCAAGAACCAGATCCCCTCCTTGCTCTTTCTGGACAATTATGCCTTCTTAGCTCCTTAGTTCTCAATGCACCTCAGGAACCCAGACCAGGATTAAAAGGCCATTTTAGCATTGGTTTCTGGAAGAATGTGCTACAAAACACTTCCCTCAAACTTATGGTATAGATGCTGGCAATAAATTTCAAAATCAGATGTATTTGTAGCCCATAAATAGGCAAAACATGGCCAAGGATGGTGTTTCTCCTCCATTCTTCCTGCCCCCTCCCTCCCTGATCTCCTGTCCAGCTGAAGTCAGTTGGCATGGTTTTGCTGACATTGTTCAGCCCCTTTAGCCATGTCTTCAGACACCTGTGAGAGGTTTTGTGATGGTTAATTTTATGGGTCAATTTGAATGGACTGTGGAATACCCAGATAATCAGATACTCTAATGAAATATTTTGGGGGAATGTCTGCGAGGGTGTTTGTGGAAGAGATTAGCATTTGGATCAGACTGAGTAAAGAAACACCACCATCACCAATGTGGGTGGGCATTGTCCAATCTCTTGAGGGCCCAGAAAAAACAAAAAAGTAGAAGAAGGGTGAATACCCCTCCCCCGACCCTCTTGATCTAGGACATTCGTCCTCTCCTGCCCTCAGACGTCAGAGGTACTAGTTCTCAGGCCTTCAGACTTCAGGATGTACACCATCAGCACCCCTCCCTCTCCCCATTCTCTGGCCTTCAGCCCCAGACTGGGACTTATGCCATCCATTCTCTTGGTTCTCAGGCCTTTGGACTCAGGCTAAATAACACCACCAACTTTCCTGGTTCTCCAGCTTGCAGATCACATTATGGGACTTCTCGGCTCCATATTGCCATAAGCCAATGCCCATAATAAATAGGCATTCTCTTCTTATCTATCTACCTACCTGTCTATTAGCCTGTCCATCTATCTATCTATGTCTGTCTATCTATCTGCCCTATTTGTTCTGATACTCTGAAGAACCCTGACTAATGCCAGTTTTCAGAGAGAAGATAGGTAAAAACCACTTTCTATTTTGTATATGAGAAATTGAAAAGGGGTAAATACAAAGACAAGTACTTTCCCCATTACAGTCAAATTAGGCAAGAATTAATTTGCTTCTAATTTACTCCTGAACTAAGTGATAAGCTCCTCAAAGATGCTGTATTCTCTTCCACTGAAGGATGTTTACACATGAGGTTCCCTGTGCTAGGAGCAATGCTCTTCTACAAATCCCATCCAAACTTCCCTTTACCAGCTAACTGCTATCCATCTACCAACTCTCAGCCCCAGATGTCCTCAGCCCAGGCTAGGTGGTATCCTCCATGTGTGCTTTCAAGGAGTAAGGCTCTTTTCCACCATAACACTTGCCTCATTTTGTGTTTATGCCTTTGTTTGTGAGATTCTGTCATTAATCCAGTGTTTCCCACTAAGCCATAACAACAGACTGGTTTACCTACTCCTGATTCCCTGGCACAGTGCCTGATACATAGGACACACTCAAAAATATTTGTTTAATAAGTGAATGAAACCAAATTGCCAAAAGAGGAGTCTCTTTTCAAAAGAGGCCCTGAGTAGTAATAAGAAAAGGCATGAACTATATAAATCAGGTATAAATGGAAGTGTGCAGTGAGGCCCTGAGGACAGAATGTAAGGATAGGCCTTGAAAGTGACCCAAACACACATTCCCATGATGTTCCCTTGTTTTAACAACCTTTAATATGGTATCCACCAATTCAAGAGGGTTATCAGGCGCTCTGCCATTCCACATATGCCTACGGAGGTAAAATTTATTCTACCAACCTCTGGGGTAAAGCAATTTGATTAGTTAACTTGGATCAACAGGTATTTATCATTGATTAGGTATTGAACAGTGATCTAAGTGTAAGGGATTATAGAGAAAGTATTAACAGAAATGTGGCCCCTGCTCTCAAGAAGCTCACATTACAGCATATGGGCTTTGAATCCAAGTCTGATTTATTTCTCCCTGGTTGGCTGAGGAGTGAGTGTCAATTCACTGGGAATATAAATTTGAAACTTCTGTTTCTTCCAATGATGGTCACCAACTGTGCTATGTTGTTCCTATCTAACTCAGTTAGGGGTCCCTTAACCACTTCATGGCTTAATTTCTTAATTTTTCTAAATATTGTGGTTTTAAGAACTGCCTCCATTTAGTATTTAAAGCTTAGTCCTGTTTATTTATAAATCTTTTCTTGGAATTGAATTTAAAGTTATCTCTTCCCTTCACAAACCTCAATGCTGGCTGGAAATGCCTGTGGCTCCAGTGGGTTGGCCAGACATCATCCCTAACAGGGTGAGGTTGCTGCCCACTTGTGGGTTAACTGCTCTAGCTCATTGTCTACAGGCCACGTCATGATGTGCGGTCACTGCAACTGACCCCACTGACAAGTCTTGCTCATGCACAGATCTCCAAAGCATTAGTGATCTGCCATGAGACTTGGCCTCCTTATCAATCTGACCTCCAGCTTTATGACCCAACCTTCTGATGGGCATACATATTTGCCTCAGTCCCACCCTGATATGGTTTGGCTCTATGTCCCCACTCAAATTTCATCTTGTAGCTCCCATAATTCTCCCATGTTGTGGGAGGGATCCAGTGGGAGATAGTTGAATCATAAGGACAGTTTCCCCCATACAGTTCTCGTGGTAGTGAACAAGTCTCACAAGATCTGAAGGTTTTATAAGGGGTTTCCACTTTTGCTTCTCTCTCATTCTGTTTTGCTGCCACCATGTAAGAAGTGCCTTTTGCTTTCCACCTTGATTGTGAGGCCTCCCCAGCCATATGGAACTGTAAGTTCATTAAACTTATTTTTCTTCACAGTCTTGGGTATGTCTTTATAAGCAGCATGAAAATGGACTAATACACACCCCAAAGCCTATCAACATATTTAGGTTGCCCAATCTCATCTGTCTGCCACAGTGATGGCCAGGAGTATGAGCATGTGTAGTACATCTCTCCATGCTTCCCTAGAACTGAGAACTTGAAGAGCCCATCTTGGCATCCTTCTTGGGCAGACTGTCCCACATACCATCTTTTTTCCAATGCTGTTTTCCTTATTCGTGTGGTACAAGCACAGGTCATAGAGTCAGCTTCAAAAGCAGAAACTAGCTGAAGAATGAAATGCCAATAGTTTCCCTTCATGCCCAAATCCCCAATCTTTACAATCCTTGGACAGCCTTCTTCACTTGCCTGGGCTTCAGGGAGGGAAGTCTTTCCCATGGGCAGGAAGGACAGGGTTTCTCTTAATTCCTTCTGCATCCTAAGGTGACCTCCACTTCTCTGGGCCTATTATATTGGCAAAGGAGGGAACAGGGATTGGTAGGAGAGCCTCTCTAATAAGCCCATTTAGGAAGGGATCTGATAGGTCTTTTAACTTAGAATGCTGGACACTTACAGCCTTTTGTCTTCATCTTTGGGCTTTACCTCCCCTTTAGGAACTACAGGAAAAGCTGACTCAATGTCTAGTGACATATTCTGTAAAGGAATAGTAGACAACGCATGTGGCTCTGAATGAAACAGGTCTGAATGAAACAGCTTATGTCAATTTCAAAGTTTTTATGTCCAGCCTTTCTTCATTCCCATCTGAATCAAGTATAAAATAAACTCCTTTTTTTTCATAATTAATCCTTCCTGCCAACCTGACTCCTTCACCTAGGAAATGAATCTCCTTTCTCAGGATTCTTTACCTCACACTAAAGATACACCTAAATGTTCTCTGTGGCCATAAATGCTCATTAAAACTTTTCTGCTAAACTAGTTAAGTAAACTTTCTTTATCTTGCCTTCCTTTTACCCCAAATTCTCAAGTCCATCACTAACTTTCTTCACTTCTGCCTTCCTTTTACCCCAAATTCTCAACTCCATCACTAACTTTCTTCACTTCCAATTCTACTCACCACCCAATTCTTTTCAATTTCACCTTAGATTTTGTTACTATTCTGAAACTTTTCTCTCAAAGATTCTATGGCATAACTACAAAAGTCATTTTTTCCTCATTCTGTAGGAAATTACTGAGAAAAATTGGCATAAATATAAAGGCTAGACAAGTAAAAGGTGGGATTGAGGTTGGGGATATGTAAACAAATATTCTGATGGAAGTAAAGACGGGAATGAGAGCGAACACAGGTCGGGAAGAAACCAGGAAGGTTCCAGAGAAGGTATCTGTATGGCCAGCTGGCCACAAACAATACTCATGGTCAGCAAGTATTTGTGTGTTGGGGCATCAAATTAGCTTATAGAACGAAGAGAAAAACATTTCTCTAAGCCCTCAAGTCCTGTGGTTTTTGTAACTTTGCCCCTGGAGCATATTTGTAAGAGCCAAAGCAAGATGAGAGCCCACTGCTCTGATGACTAGTAATTGTCCCACATATTTACACATATAAAGAAAAAATCATATATCCTTGAATTTTTCCTTCTTATAGCAGTGGTTGCAAGAACTCCTTGACCAGTGTTTCCCAAAATCTGTTCCTTGATATATCCCTATTCGGCAAGAGCCATGAGGATGAAGATTTATCTGCTGGAATCTCCAGTGTCTGGACCCGGCACAAAGTAAGTGCTCAGAAATACCTATTGTATGAATAAAGAAATGAATGAATGTTGCACATATAAATACATCTACCAACATTTCTTTGGTAAAGTTTGGAAAAAGCTTGGTTGAGCAAAATTCCTTTGCTGAAGGACTGCTTTGAACCTTTACATTATGATACAATAGAGGGCATTTCTCAAATGCTTTTATGCATGAGATCATGTTTCTCTACATAGCTTCTGAACATATACATTTGGAGAAAAATTCCCTAAATAATTGCTGGTAGTGCAGCGCTAGGGCCAATTCCTCCATCTCCAGTTTACCTGCCCTCTCCCTTCATGCAGTGCTCACTTGGATCTGCCAGCCTTTGTGATGTCCCGTTCTTCATATGTAAACAAAACACAACACACACTGTAAGAACAAGGGAGTTTAAATTAACTGCCTATTTAACTGAACCACATCTCTTGGTTTTCCTCCAAATATCTATGTAAAAATGCAGCCCACACAAGAGTACATGTAACGTTTAGAAAGGGATATGGTGTTTACATTATTAGCATTTGTAATAGGTATTTGTGAGTATTGAAAATTTTATATGGCTGTTGTGAGAACTAAATCAGATTATATATGTTCTAGTACATTATACACCCTCAAAAACCAGGTGTTAAAGCCAAGTAGATCTGCAGGGCACAATGTTGGAAATTATGAATAGCATGAAAGAGAAGGGTTCTAAAAATATGCTGAATTATGGAAAATTATATATCAGTATTTGACAAGACTAGATTCAGCTGATATGACAAATTATGCCTAGATAAAGGTCAATGGAACATCATTACATCCTTATTTGGTCAAATGTCAATGAGATAGGGCACTCAATTTGCCTTTGTCAAAAGTTAAAGATGGACCACTTGATTTATCTTAAATGTTGGTTAGGAAGGCCAAAATAAAGATAGCGGTAATGACAACTTTCTGTGTAAAAATTTTTTCTATCATAAATAGTTGTGCCTTTGACTTTTCTTTAGTCACTTACATTAGTCAAAGGATCTAGGCATTAGAGACAAATGTGACACTTCCTTCAAGACCTACTAAACTTGTCTCATTTACTCAACAAATATTTAATTTATTCTACAAATATTTATTTTGAGCATTTACTAGACAAGACAATATGCTAGTTTTTCTGGAGGTACAAAGAAGAGTCAGACATGAGTTATTAAAGCCTTCAAGGTTCTTATAAACTAAGAGAATAGCAAAAGCAGGCATAGATTGACAAGATTACAAAGAAATTTATATGTGCCATAACTAACGTGCTGATAAAAAGTTATACAAACTCCTAGTGGAACACATTTTATTGTATTATAACTCTTAATTTACAATTCTGTCTCCCTTTGAAGATGGATTTTATCTTTTATATATCTGCAGACAGACATCATACGCTTTCAACAAATGTTTAATAAAAGAGTGAATGGTTGAACGAATGAAACTAAAGACTCTGAGATTTAGTTTTCAAAATAGTGCTACTATAGAATCATCTTTCATTTGCATATTTTTTAGGAAATAATTATTTTCTTGAAGCAAAGGACCATGTCATGTCTCATTGTAAATTCTATATAGAACCTGGTTGGCACAGTTAATGCAAAATAAATATTTTCTGAATAAAATGACTTAATTAATCAGAAAAGACACTAACAATGCATAACAGATAAACAATTCCAATGTTTTTGTTTAAACTCACAGACTTCTATGCAAAAAAGAATGCATTTTCATGTATATAAATTTACCTCAATAAACTTAAAAAATAGCTAATACTGTACTGCATACTTGAAATTTGCTAAGAGATACATTGTAAATACTCTAGGAAGGAAGGAAGGAAGGGAGGAAGGGAAAGAAAGAAAAAGAGAGAGAAGGAAGGAAGGAAGGGTGGGTGGGAGGGAGGAAGGGAAAGAAAGAAAGAGAGAGAAAAAGAAAGAAGGAAGGAAGGAAAGAAAGAGAGAAAGAAAGAAAGATAGAAAGAAAGAAAAAAGAAAGAAAGAAAAAAAGAAAGAAAGGAAGGAAGGAAGGAAGGAAGAAAGAAAGAAAGAAAGAGAAAGAAAGAAAGAAAGAAAGAAAGAGAAAAAGAAAAGAAAGAAACTATTTGGGTGATGGATATGTTAATTAGCTTAGCTTGAATGTGGTGATCATTTCACAATGTGTACATTTATCAAAACTTCAAGTTATATACCTTAAGTATATACAGTTTTATGTTAATTATGCCTCAGTGAAGCTGGGGCAAAAAGAAAGTTCATTACGCCACAAAGCAAGAACTCTCGAGATAGGGTGACTGCAGAGTCAGCTGATTTAACAGCATTAGAATCCAATTTCTTTCTCTCTCTATGTGTCCTGACATTTTGGATGGGTCATTTTGCCCTCAGATTCGTTTTTCTCCTGGTTTCAAGATTCTACAGTAATTCCAGACGTGACATCATCCAGACAAGAAAATGTTTAGAGGAAGAAGAAACCATTTTCTGTCTGTATCTTTGTTAAAGCAAGTTAACTTTTCCTAGCTGCCCCCAACAGACTTTTCTTCATGGTTCAGTGGCCAGAATTATCATTTGCCCTGAACCAAAGACACCTAAAGTGCGTAGAACCACTTTGATTGGCTTGGAACATCATTGTCAACTCCCTCAACCTCCATCCCTGGGCTGGCCCGGGGACCAGCCTTCCCTAGACACATGGCTCTCCGGACGTGGTTGTTTATACTAACAAAACCAAGTCTGTGAGGAAGTAAGAGCGGAAGAAAAGAATGTTAAAGAGGCACCCAACAGTAATGCTACATGGAATGGATTTTCTAAATACTAAAAAATTAAAAGTGCATTTATGATGAGAATAGAACCTTAGGTTCCAGGACAAATTCTCAAGAGAACTTGGATCCAAGTAAAGTAATTTTTGACACTTCCTCATCACCTCCCTCACAGATGACCCTCTCCTCCCTCACAAATACCAATCCCCCTCCCAATGTTTCACCTTCAAGCTAACCTCTAGTTGCCCGGGATTCCCAAGATGTCTCATTTAGACCTCTACTCCTGCAGCCAGACCTCACTCACATCTTCCAGCCATTACTTCTCCTCCTATCAAAAATTACCTAGAATCCCACTTATTTTTTAGAACACTATTCTCAGCACTCCAATAGCTTACCTCTTTTTATTTTCTCATTTTCTTTTAAATTGTTTGCAGGAAACCTGGTCATACTATGTGAACAAAGACATGTACATTTTGACAAGTTCCTATGGAGTAAAACTAGCCTCAATTCAGAAATACACTTTATCTCTGAGAATGGGTGTCTATGATCCTCAGACAGGTTGAAGGGGAAATATGAGGGAAGGGAAATTTTCCTAGAGGCCCTCACACAATCATCTCTTCCATCATGGTCTTTCTCTTTCCTGTGCTCTGAATAGTCTGTTCTTCTTGTATCGAGGGCAGATGACGTATTTATAACATTTCTGGCAGCTGGAAAGCTACGGAGGGAGGGTAAAGAAAGAGGAGTTGTGAGACGCAAAAGATATCATTGCCTTAAATGCTACAGCTAAAGCTGTTGAATGGCTTAGCTCCCCCTACAGGATGCCATGTAACATAGCAGCACACACTTAGAAGGTACCATTTTGTTAATCTCCTGGCCCTTCAGTTTCATCCTGTCTTGCTCTATCATAGGAGACTGCACAGTCATGGCCGACATCTTCAGCCTTCCTACACCAGAAACTTCTTCCTAGCCTTCCTAAACTTCTGCAAATAGACTCAAATATCAGGAAATCAAATGTTTTTCAAAATTAAGGAGATGAACTTCAAACATCCGGTAGTGGGAAGTTGAACTGAGAAACTGCTAATGTCTTCTTCCAATTCTAAAGTACTGTCAAAGTCAAATAAAGCATAGAGATGAATCTCTGAAATTAAGCCATTTCGTGGGGAGGAAACAATGGTAATTCAGGCCATACATGCAGACTGTCTTTAGCATGTCCCAAAAACAAAGAGGTTAGGGGTTTTATTTTTTAAAAAAGGAAACGTTACATATTGTCCTTCGCAAAAGCTCACTGGCACTAGTAAGGTCTGGGAGAGTTGGCAGGATTTGGTTGGTGACTGAAGGCAGTAGGTAAAACACAAGGGGTTGTTTCAGCAGCTCTTAGATAAATCAGGTTTCAGCAGGAAATTTCAGCAACTAGGCTTGCAGAGAATTACATTCTTAGATCAATGTCATGTGCTTGGAATGTTTTCTCCCCCTGGCTTCTCCACCCTGTTTTAGTAGGGTATAACAAGAATGCCCCAATTCATATGATTAGCTTTCACAATCATTGTCCTTCTTGCCACAGTACAAGCTGTTCACATAGTAGGCTCTGGCCTCAGCTCGTGTATGACCTATAAATAGCACCTGTGTCACCAGAGGGAAAAACTGCTGAATCAGGGACATGGGTTAGAAGGAGTGTAAATCATCTTTTGTCTGAAATACTCCTAATTGATTTTTAAAGAAAAAGTCTCAACAAGGGTGTGTGTGTGTTTATGTGTGTGTGTGTGTATCTGTGCATGTCACACACAGCTTATCAGAAAGAAATCAAGAGCAGGAGTGAATGAGCAAGACAGAAGACAATGCTCATCTTCAGCCTTCCTACACCAGAAACTTCTTCCTAGCCTTCCTATGTTGTACTATATTGCACTTAGAGAAGTGCAGTTAGAGAAGACACGAGCAAAAAAGAGCAGAATTTCTTATTCCAGAAACCTCTATCATCACAATCAGACAAACTCTTCATAATTGGGCACCCCACAGAATTACACCATAGTGCCATCTAGCTCTCACTACCAAAGCTTGACATCCTATTCCCAGCTAGGTTAAGAGGTTTAGGGTTAGTCACTGACCAGCAAAACTAAACTGATTGCCATTATTTGATAATGAAAATAAGCAAAATCCCCCAAAGAGGTTTATGTTTGGTAATAATTTATATTCAACTTATCTTATCAACATTCCAAACCAGTTTCTCAATATGAATATTAAGACTTAGATCTTTCTTGTTGAATATAGATTCAATGTTGCTCTGGGTTTTTATTAAACAAATTTCCACAAAGGTTGCACTGATTACTTCCTATCTTCTTTGGAAAGCTGTCAGCTGACAATGCTACCGGCTATAGATCTGATGTCAACAAATCACTGGTCTTGCAAATTTCCAGAGCATTTGCAAAAATCCCTAAAAAGAACAAATGGGAAAATTTCATTTTAATTCACTTATGCTGAATAGCAGGGTTGTTCATGTAGTATTTGTAGAGAGAAGGAGTGCTGGAGTCATGTAAAATAAAATAATAAACAAGTGTCACGCCTGCAGAAGATCAAAGATTCTTATTGTAGGTATGATCTAGAAGAAAGTCTAAGAACTGTATTTTGTGGTGCTTCTGAGTTGTAAATTCTTTACTAAAGTATTCAATTATGGGAAATCGTGCCTGCTTCCCACTGCTGGTGCTGGCTGGGATGGAAATACTAAATGCCAAGAAGGAAAGTACATAATGGTTTTACTCTTTCTTCTAATAAACAGTATCATGGTGGAAAGAACTTGGCCTTTGGCCTTAGAGACTTGAATTCAAACATTGAAACAAAGCACTTTCTAAGTATTTGGGATAATTAACGTCCTTGAGCCTATCAGCATTATTGCAAAAAATAGTGGAGATAATATCTGTAAAATATCAAATATTGTATCTTTTTTATAAATAGTCTTTATTTTGTGTAAATACTATTAAAACATCAAAGAGGAATATAATCATGTGCTGTCATCTTTACAGATGTCATTAGACAGTACATATTTGGATCTCTGGTAATCTTGTTATGATGTGAGTCAGTGATTTATGAGGGGCAAAATTTTCCTATCGCATTACCTATTCTCTGCATCATCTGGCTTACAAAAATAGGAGCAGTGCATCTTTGAGCAGAAATAGATGCCTGAAATAGCTGTTAAACTGTTTGAGAGTCAGTACGAGGTAAATTAACCCAAAATAGAGCTATAGCAGAAAAGAGCCAAAAAGTGTGACTGTATTTAGCTATGGCGATGATGCTCATGTGTGGGATTTCTTCTGGCTCCAGGGGAGGGAATTTGGTAGGGAATAAGCAACATCTCTACTGTATCAAGAAGACTGAGTTTCCCCACACAGCCCTTCCATTTACTAGCTGTATGGATAGAAACAAATCTACATTTTCAGAGGCTAATTCCCTTACTTGCAAAATGAGAATTATATCTTTACTACCTCGCAAGGATTGTTGTAAAACCAAAAGAGATAAAGTATCTGAAAGTCTTTTGCAAACCATAAAGTGATAGGCAAATATCCTCCATCTGTTCACTTCTTTCCATCTCTACTGATATCACACTGATACAAGGCCCCAATAGCTCTCATCTCAGCCATGTAACAGTGTCAATCCTCCTTATCGAACCCCCTCTTTACACTTGGCCCTCACTGGGAACCATTCTCCAAATGACAGCCAAGATGACCATTTTAAAACATAAATCAAGAGACAGCCAAACACCATGTACCTCTTTCTAGAGGTATTCAACCACTTTATAAAACATTCTTGACAAATGAAACAAACCTGAACACGATCAGCCCTGTCCACTTCCCCATCGTAACTGGTTCCTCACTCCTTCACTGACTGGGCTCCAGCCTCCTTGGCCTAACCCAAGGTCACTGAGATTTTTTTCTAATTTTTCTTCTAAAAGTTTTGCAATTTTCACTCTTATGTTTATGTTTATGATGATCCATATCAAGTTAATTTTTATGCAAGATATGAGGTAAGATTTGAGGTCTTTTCTGCACATGGATATCAATTGTTTTCACACCATTTGTTATAAAGATTATCCTTTCTCCATTGAATTGCTTTGGCACTTTTATCAAGAATTAATTGATGAACAATCATCAACTTTTTTTATAACATTATTATTGCTCAGAATTTAATTTACTTTATGTCTCATGTTTAAAATAAACACATTTTAGTCTTAGATTTTTCTAATATTAAAAAAATTAGAAATGTTTCAATGCCATCATTTTTATATACTTACACTACAATACTCATATTTACTTATATCCTCTTCTACACAAAGGCTATTGTAAAAGTGCAAATCCTTCCAAGCATTGTATGAAAAGGGAAAAAGTATAGTGACACTATTGCTGTCATAGAACTAATCACAGAACCACAAATGAAAGTACATTGGTCAACTTAGGAAGCGATGGCTGTGTTCATTATAAATAATCTAAAAAAGATACAGAAGATCACTTGGCCATATATATGTGGTCTATTCCTGGACTCTCTTCTGCTCATTTGATCTATGTCTTTCATATGTGTGTATATACACATTATATACATATTACTGTGGGACCTGACTCCATAAATGTCCAAAAAATTTTGAAAAAAACATGAAGTTTAGGGACTTAATATTAACAGATTTCAAGATTTACTGTAAATTACAACCCTATCTTGATTACTGAAGCTTTCTAGTAAATCTTGAAATCTCATAATATTAAGATTATGATAATATTAAGATCTGATAATGTTACGATTCTATCCCATTGGCTGATTTTAATTCTCTGCAGAGCACTTAACAATTTTTTCATTCTTTATTATCTATCTTCTCTGAGTAGAATATAAGCTTCATGAGCAGAGGAATTATCTATTGTCTCTTTTTTCCCAATGTATCTCTAGCTCCTTGAATAATGCCCTTTACATAATATATGTTCAATAAATATTATTAAATAAATGAATTTATTAGTCTAAGGTGTTATTTTTGTCATGACAGTATTTGTTGTGCATTAAATCTCTCCTTTGCCACTGAGGAATTCTGATTGATCAGGCTTCTACAGTGCCTTCTTACATTAGAGAACTTTTCAATGCCACCACCATTTCCTCTGTACCTAGAGAGATTGAGAACAGCCAAAAAGTAATGGAAGAAGCATTGGCCTGAAATTGAAAAGATCAAAGTGTCCAATTCTGTTCTGCCACTAACTAGGAGTGTGACCTTGGAAAAGTCATTTAACATTTCCAAATCTCTCTTTGTTTTCATCTGTAATTTGCGGGTGACAATTATATACATCATACATGTAGATTATTTCAATGAGATAATAAATGTGCATGGTACATTTCCTGTCATATAATAAGGGACCAATAAATGTTATTGTTATCATGTCATTATTTAGATGGTTAAAACTTATAGAAGCTTCTTTGGTGTTGTTTTGGGGTAGAATGAAAGCTAGGAAAAAATAAACAAAAGTAAATAAATAATGGAAACTTTTCTAGAGGTAGGAATTAGAAAATTATTAATAACTCTTTGTCTTGGCTTACCCTGGCATAACTTTGTATCACTTTCTAGTCTGAAATAAAACTACTTACCTGACCCTCCCCTTGATACAACCATCTCTCTTCACCAACAAGCCTCCTTTCCAGAAAGTAAGCCCTTGATTTCACCAGCAAGTGTCTTTCATTCCCCAATGTCTTCTGCATCCTACCCAACCTGCCTCTCATACCATTACAGTGGGACCTGGCCCCATAAATGTCAAAGAGAAATATCAAGCCAACTGTTCATTGAAGTACATCAGCCACAGTTCTTCAAAATCAGGCTATGTGAAGTTGGTGGCTTTCCTCATTAATGCCATTATTTTCTAGGAATAAAAGAAAATTGGGAAAGGGAGAAACAAAGACTAGGGGAGCTGAGTGAGGGTGCAGCCTGTTCTATGTGTGTGTTTTTTTATGTGTGTGCATTTGAGTATGTGTGAGAGAAAGAGGAAGATAATAAAAATAATAAGGGAAGGCACTTACATCATCAGTGCCCTATAACTAGAGAGGACACCTGAATCATCTCTTTCTTGAGGGCTACATTAGGGACTCAAGTCTTTCTATGTCTGCTTAGAGTAGGGTTGTAACCCAAAGCAGCAGGATGCGATAGACATGATAACTGGCCAAACCTGTCTGTTTGTTGGCTACCTATTCGTTGGCCTCAGCTGGGGACCAGGCATCCATAGTACAGAGTAAGCTGGCCAGCTGAAAGGCGTTAAGTTACATGGGAACCAGAACAATCTTACCTAGGTTCAAAGACCTATATTGACCTCCACTAATTGAAAGACTTAAAAGGCAAATGAGAGTCTTTCCATATTATAGAAAAACTTTGGAGCTGTTAGAAGGAATTACAACTCTCACTACTAAGCACTGAGTAGGGTGAGCTCAGGAGAGGCGAGTAGACTTACCTGAACTCCAGAGGAGAGCAGGCAATGTTTGAGAAGAGGTGTGTCTTGGTCCTTGGTATGCAAGTAGCCACTACAATCTCTGCCTGTGATCAGCCTTCCAGGAAGAACAGCGTGTGCTGCAGGGCAGGGGGCATGGTACACCCCACACCAGCACACAGATGATGGTAGGACGCCACTAAGGATCACACTTTAAAATCTAGACAGACTAGACAAGTGATTTTTTTCCTGACAGGGAAGGAATGTTTATTTCCAAGCTGACTCTGCTTCGTTTACTTGCACTTGTCCAACACATTCTCAGCATCCCGAGGAAACAGGAAAGGGGCACCCAAGAAAAAAGACAGCACAGAAACTTTAAAAAAAAAGAAAGTGTCCCCTCAGGCCACCTTCAGAGATAACTGAAAAGTAGCATCCTTAGAGGACAGATGCTAGGAGAGCACACAATGATTCAGAAATAATGCTTGCTAAAACTGACAACGAGAAGCCCCAGAAGAGCACCCCCAAGTTGTAGCACTCTAGTTTGCAAAGCAGTTTTAACCATCAGAGCTCAAAGCATGTAGAAAGCTTTCCCTGACTCCTTCCTAGCTCCTACAAAGTAGACGAAAGCAATTATTCCCAATGCACCAGAAGGAAATGTAAAGAAAGCAAGACAAAAGGAAGGATGCTTAGAATCCTTGAGGCTTCTCTCCCCAAGAAGAATCCTACCAACTCCATCCTGCAGGCGCTTGTCCTATTCCTGCTTAAACACACATGGAGACAAAAGTTTGCTACTTCAGGAAGCCTACTGGATTCTTGGCAATTCTCCTGATAGGATGGTTTCTCGTACTATGCCAATATCTGTCCCTTGCAACTTCCACAGTCCTGTTCTTTGGAGCAATATAAAATAACTCGACTCCTACTCTTCTTCATCACAATCCTTCAGATGTGTGGATACGACTATTAGGCCTGCCACAATACGATGTCATGAAGTCTCTTTATTCTTCTCTTCCAATTAATCTTATGTGACTGGTCTTTTAACCTTCAACATCTCAATCACCTCCTCTATCTTGGGGCAGCTCAACACGGGGGCATCAGTCTGAGGTAGAAAGGGCCTTCCTGCATCTGACAAGCAACACATCTGAACCTCCTTCTGCGAGGTGAGGAGAAAGGAAGGTCAAACAATGTAAGAAAAGCTATCTCTATGTACTTAGAAAATAGAAAATGAAATGGTTTGACCTTTTCTGTGGCACTGTACAGAGCTAACCCAGAAAGAAGCTGCCTTAGATTATTACAAACAGACAATTGGCATACAATTTAATACTCACCTTTCAAATTTAGAAGTAGATTTTTCTTGTCCCTCTTGCACCTGGTTATGGGGGGGATAAAAATATCCACCCACCCATTCCCTGCACACACACATTATCCTAATGCTTTGAAGAGCAGGCAATGGACATACTCCGTCTCTGAGGGCACCCAGCAACTGGCCCCAGAAAACACTCAGAAAAAGGAGCCAGTTTCCCTGGAAAATACCTGACACCCAGAGGGAACAATTGATCTGAAAGCTTTTCAGAGCTTCCAACAAAAGCAAGTGGGGCTTCCCCAAGAGAGAATAGGTTCCCACCTTGGCCCAGTTTTCTGAGTCCAGCTAAGAAGAAAGTATACTTAATTTAGCTAAGAAGCTAATTACAGTTAAATGACCTTTCTTAAGGTTGCTTCATGCAAGAAGTCCTCAAAAACCATAAAACAGGCAATTCCATATAACCAAGAAAACATTCATGGCTCCACCCACATTTATCATAATTTTTAATCTACTTCTCCAACACTCACTTTGACCATCTCTGTTGTTTTTCTATAAATCGGTTTAGAGGGGGTACGAATCTATTTTCAGCAAATACTTACTCCTCTTCTCCCCTCCTTCCCGTGCGCTTCCCCCTCTTCAGTGCTTCTGTTCAGGTTTTGGGCAACTGAGCATTAGGTCTTGTGCTTTTCGTCATGGTGTCCCCCTTCTACATTTTGTCACGCTGTCTTCTACATTTGACCCATGACCTGTTATTTTATGTGGATTAGGGATAAAGGACCCAAATCAAAGAATGACAATGTAGTTACATCAACAAGCACCAAGAACAGGACTAGTAATAGACAGACTACTAAAGAAAAACTTCTTTAGCAAAGGTGTCTAAGTTGGTTGCTTAGAACTCTAAGTGCATTTTCCCATGGTCACCATGTTATGTACAGCATTGAGAGGGAATTGAAATAATGCAATTAGTGCCCTATTTTGAGTAACATAGGCCTCATGAACTGGTCTGAATAACTAACTAGTCATCATTTATAAAAATAGGTCATGGGAAGATACCGTCCTTCTCTTGTTCATCATTACCATTTCTCCTAGTTCCTCCAATAGCAGGCATAGAGGAGTTTTAATTGTTTTTGTGGAACAAAGGAATACATGAATAAATGCACTTATTTATTCATCAACTATTTATAAAACACCTACCATAGTTAGGTGCTATGTTAGGTGCTAAGGATCTAGATATAGTCCTTATCCTTAAGGAGCTCACAGTTCAGTGAGGGAAAGAGACAGGTAAACAAATAATTACAGCATCGTGTGATGGTGCATTAAATGGTGGTAAAAAGCATAAACATGGATAAGATCCCAAGTAAGAGTGAGTGGAGTGAGATAAATACAGAAGAAAAGACCCTATGGAATATAGCATTAAAGGGGCTGATGGGGAAAAAGGAGTCTTCCAAGAAAAATGGAAAGAAGGTGCAAGAGAAGACATAAGGGAGAATAGTGTCACAGAAGCCAAATAAGGAGAGCACTCCAAGGAGGGAGTGGTAATACCACCTCATCTACTTAGTCATCTAGTAGTGACTAAGTGACTATTTAGTCACTTCTTTTCATAATGAATATTGCCAACCCAGACCTCCCCCTTGAATTCAGAGACTCCACCTGCCCCTCCTACATCTCCACATGGCCATCTGATAGGCTTCAGCTAGAATGACAATCAACAGGTAGAAAAAACACTTGGACAAGTATAAGGGAATAGATGTGTAAACCCTGACTCATAGCAGCTAAAACAAAAACCTCAGGCATGCAGGATGTCAGAAAGGCTTCTTGGGAAGATGAGATACATTTGCTCAGGGAAGTTATAAATGATGAAAGGAGAGGAGAGGCTGCAACTTGAGAAAGAACAGTGATAGGATTGAACCCTTGAATGTGCCTGTCCATTAACCAAGACTTGACCAGTCAAATGATACTTAAATTATTTAAGGGAAGGCTCCAAGTGGGCAAACATTTGAGTACTAGTCATCCAAAAATCTTCCCCTAAATTAGATAGACTTATACTCAGTTGAAAGATCATTTCACCAAAAATGAAGACATCAGCTATCATAACAAGCTACTTAGGACAATTAAGAACCATTTTATTCCTCCTCAAACCACCTATTTTATCTGTGAGGATAAAATCTAAAGAAGCTTTAAGAATCCTCCACTTTCCGGCTAAAACGGTGAAACCCCATCTCTACTAAAAATACAAAAAATTAGCCGGGCGTAGTGGCGGGCGCCTGTAGTCCCAGCTACTTGGGAGGCTGAGGCAGGAGAATGGCGTGAACCCAGGAGGCAGAGCTTGCAGTGAGCCGAGATCCCGCCACTGCACTCCAGCCTGGGCGACAGAGCGAGACTCCGTCTCAAAAAAAAAAAAAAAAAAAAGAATCCTCCACTTCCCATGCACTGTTGCATGGGATAACCTGGAAACCAACAGAAACACCACTTAACCAGATGGTTCTTCCTACAGTGTGTCAGAGTCTACATTCTTTAATTGAGAAAATTAAGGTACAGGAGGTGCTGCTGACATTTCAAGCAGTAAGCATCCCACTTTTTTGTAAAGGCACTTAATAGGTAAAGAATTAAAAGAGGAGGAATCTCAACAGAACTTCCTCTCAGCAGATGTTCAGCAAATCCTTTCCAATATGAGGGACTCCAATGTTAACTTCTTTATTTGCTTTGGTTAAAAGAAGAACAGTTGCTTCTCAAGGATTCATATTAAAACATTTTATGTGTTGCTAGATGATGGAACACTCTGTCATAGACAAAATTTTATTTTGGACCAATGGTTTGCTGATTTAGTCTGTTTTCTTCTGAAAGAAAGAATCTATAAAATCTATCCATCCGAATCCCTGCTCCTGGCTGTATGAAGTGATAAACCTCTGAGGTTTCCTGGAAACTTGGCTAAAATTGCTGATTTCCTCTGGAACATCTCGGAAAATGGTGTGTGGAGTATTCAATCTCTCCTTCCTGGGTGTAATTCAGGAAGCTATGGATGACTCCTGGTTTGTTTGTCAAAGAGTTAGATTTTCCATGATGTTTAGACAGGTCCTGGCTATTGACACTAGATTGGCATTACTCCCAAAGGTCAGATTCTCTACCTGCCACTGTATGGCATTTCTCCATGGGAGTCAGATGCACTCAAATGTACTTTTCCACCAATCATTGAGTCTGCTCAGAGCACATCATGAACTAAGCTAATGCTTTTGCCAGAATGTTCAACTTTTCACCCCACATCCAATATAGAAAACACTGAGGCATGGTATAAACCATAAAGAATGAGAATTTACTAGATAGGATTGCTAAGAACATCGGAAAATGAAGTAAAGGTTGGGGAATCCTTATTTGACAGCCTACTCAAAGTAAGGCATTGTAGAAGACACAAAACATTAAGACTTAAATTGCTTCCAGATAAAAGACATTAAAGGTTCATATAAAAATGTAACAGCATAGGCAGAATTTTATGTTCTGAAAACTAACATCACTTCCTCAGCACATGCCACAGCTCCCCGAGCGGTGTACCCCAATTTCTTCTTCAGCCCCAGAGACTGAGAACCAAGTCTTCTGCAGTCCCCCAGCTCAGTCTAACAAAGAGGTACTGAGAGTTGTGGCTAACTGAATTTAACCTACTCTATGCCAGGCAACGTGCTAAGAATTAAGGTAGAAGATACACACGTGGTTTCTGCACTCAAGGGATTTGTTTGCAGTCTGATGAAGTAAATCTTATTATTCTATTTAGTGAAAATAAACCAAGACTCATCCAAATTACAATGTTTCTCTTGCATAATCCAAAAATCATTTGCATAAATATATCCTGAGATACTTTATTGAAATGCATATCTTCCCGAGCCCCATTTCAAACTTCTGATTCAGAATATCTGACAGACAGGACTGAAAACCTGTAATTTAACAAACTCCTTGAATGACTCTTATACCTATTAAGCTTTGAGAACCACTAATACATCAGATCGTGAGAGTAATCACCATACAGAAGTCCCATGCTGCCCCTTTTTTGACTGAAGAGTGGAAGGCAACTTAGAGTGTTTCACCATCAGTGCCTGAGTCAGTCAGAGGCATTATGCTAATGAGCCCACAGCTGAAAATAAAGAAGTTAGGAAAAGGGACACACAGCATTCAAGCCCTCCAAAAGGCATTGAGGAAGTCAAGAGATCTCACTTACTACCAGGCCAGGCCAGAAGTGACTCTCAACGTACAGCGCATTCCTAAATGGCACTGGGGAGACGGGAAGCTTTGCAGCTCAGAGGACCCTTTGCAGGTCCTTCTGCATATACTGCTGAGGCCCTTATCCTTTTCCTCTGATGTTGCTGATCTCTAGATCAAGAATAGGCAGGTGAAAGAACACGTGCCTTGGCACCTGTGCCCAGTGCCTGGAGAATTTGCTGGATCTGCCGCTCTGTTACCCTTTCTCTTTCCCTAGTGCACCCCCCAGAGCTGGTTCCAACCAAAATGGTAGCACACACATACATGCACACCAATGTTTTCACCCTCTGAAATAGTCATTTTATCTCCATATCAGTTTTCACATCTCTCCTGCCTTGCCCCCAACTTCTCTTCTCTTTACTGCTATCCATGAAGACTTTGGGATCAGAAGACCTGGATTTGAGTTTGCTCTCCCATTTGATAACTGAGTGACCTGGAGTCTTCCCTGCAACTCCATTGACTCTCCATTTCCTTGTGTGCAAAGTGGGCATGATAATAATCCTTGTAAGATTATTGTGAGGATCAGACAATGCACAGGATATGAGAATAGAGCTTTGTAAACCTACAAAGTGCAACAGCTATTACACTGGAGAAGAAACTGTTATGCTGCGAAGGGCACTGACTACATGATGGTGACACTGGTCACAGAGACTGGCCGAGGCTAGACACAGGCCCCAGGAGCCGCTGCTGTGGAATGACCATGAAAGTCTCCATCATAAGTGATGGTGAATAAGCATCCACCAGTGGCTCTCATGGGCAATCTGGAATACATTCAAAGAGGTCAGCACTTAAAAATGGGGAAAAGAAAACAAAATACTTGGAGGGAGAAAACAGCAAGGCAAAAGCTGAGCAGGCAGAATCTGTTAAAGAGAAAGAAGGTGGCAGGAGGGGGAATGACAGACGGTATCAAAGGCAGCACCACAGGGAAGCACGAGAGGGGAAATCAACAGACTCCTGCTGCTGGGTGGACTAGAAAACCAGGGTATTCAACCTACACTAACCTAGATGGCCCAGTTCCTAAACAATCATCTCTCCTTTCCTTCATGACACTATGCAATGAAACTTCTATTCTCCTCAATTTATTGTGTAAATGTAAAACAAGCCTTGTCACTTGAGGAGTCACCAGAGGACCTCTGACTTCCAGCCTGAAAAAGTCTAACACTCCAAAGGTAAATTTTGTTCTTCAAAGTGACGATATTCTTCTGTTGGGCCCAGAGCCCTTGGACCATTTACTAATAGTAACGTTCTAAAAAAAAAAAAAAAAAAAAAAAAAAAGACAAAACCTGAAATTAAAAAAAGATATGCCTAAATTGACTAAATATTTAAATATGATCACAGCTAGATTTGAAAAGTGATATTCATGCTGTGGAGAAGACACCAAGAAAATATTAGTAAGCTTTTTGTTTTGACTTTCAGATCTTCCTGAGGAAACTACATTTATCGCTGTCTCAGAACGATGTATAAAAACACATAAAACAAAATCTCCTAAGAAGGGATCCACAGATTGGCTTTAGGAAATGTATAAACTCCATCAAATTGTACAGAGAAGTTGTAATTTACATGCATTTTTTGTCCATGAATTTCATCAAATTCACCAAAACATCTCACCACTGAGTTAGATGTTCCTAAACACCTTTTTTCTGGGACCCCTTTGACCTCTGAATTTATTTTACAAATTAAATTGTCTTTCATTGGTCATCCCCAAAGCTTGAGTTTCAATTCTAAATAATGTCACTCTTTTCTTGCCTCCTCCTCAAGCCACTTTTTTTCTTTCTCTTTTAATGTGTCCCTCCTTTATTGTTCCCTTTACTTCTTTTTCTTCTTCTTCCTTTTCTAACTCCCCTCTAATTTCCCTCTCTCTGCTATCCTTAATTAAGCCCACCAGTGACCTCCGTGTTTCTCTTCTCTCAAAGCTAAAGAAGGTGCCACTGCCCGTTTAAAATTTTCCATCTAAGCTGGGCACGGTGGCTCACGCCTGTAATCCCAGCATTTTAGAAGGCCAAGGCGGGTGGATCACGAGGTCTAGAGATTGAGACCATCCTGGCCAACATGGTGAAAGCCCGTCTCTATTAAAAAATACAAAATTAGCTGGGCGTGGTGGCACGTGCGTGTAGTCCCAGCGACTCTGGAGGCTGAGGCAGGAGAATCACTTGAACCCAGGAGGCAGAGGCAGAAGTTGCAGTGAGCCGAGATTGCGCCACTACACTCCAGACTGGCGACAGAGTGAGACTGTCTCAAAAAAAATAAAATAAAACAACAAAAATAATCCATCTAAGTCTTAGTCCTTCTCTACCACACTCCATATTCTTTTACATTTATTCCTACCCTTTCCCTCCATCAAATCCCTGGAGGCCTGGAGTTACAGTGTGAATCATTGCAATATTAATAGCATTGTCCTTCATGAGGGAAGATGACATCACTAATCCACCATCACTGGGACATGTACCCTTGATCGATTTTCTCCACAGAAGGAGCAAGCGGGTATTGCTATCTTCCCATGCCTCAGCTCATACCCCTAAAAAAAATCTCAAGAATATTCTAAGCTGAGATTTGGGGTACAGCAAGTAGACCCAGAATAGAAAGAAACCAACTTTACGGTCTCATGAGATTTTGATCTAGGCACAAAGAGTCTCAGGAGGGCCACACCTCAAACTAGGAATAACCAGAATCTTTCAACTGAAATTGATTTTGTTTATGCTGAGTTAGATTTGATTATGCATCTCTAATTTGAAAGAATCAGCTGCACGGTAATGATGAAGTTACCAGTTCGTGAGTACATAGTAGGTATATTACATCATCTCTAATTCTCTCAACTGTCCTTGGTAAAATGATATTCACAGAGATTAAATAACTTGAAGAAGCCACATAGCTAGTAAGTGATAAACCCAGGATCTGAATCTACTTTTCTTTCCATTACACTACACTGACACATGTGTTACAACTTCAGTTGCTTTCTTCTTGGATGCTGATAAAATGAGCCCAGCTGGTGGCAGAGAAGAGCCCAGCAGCAGCTTAAGTGACTAAGAGGTCCTCCTCTGGCTGACCTTCCCTTTCACCGCCACTTTCCTACACCAAGTCTGAGATGCTTTCGGTAACTGGAGATCTGATGACTCATGCCTGTCCTCAGAGTTTTAAGTGATATTTTCGTAACATGCTATCTTATCCCTGGCAAGGAAGTAGGATCCATTTTTTGCCTGTCTTTACCGAACTCTTACCTGCTCTAATTACTTTGATCAGCTGGTGCAGGAAGTAATTGAGACAACCTAAGAACAGTTTGTTTCCTTTGTCATGCCTGGACGATGATCTTTTCTTGATTGGAGTGAGCCATGACATACTTGTGCTCCAAGATCAAGTGAGACTAGTAAATGCTGGTCTTCTACTATGCTCTCATTGCATTTTGTATATCCCCTCCTTCCTTGCAATGCTATGCCAATTGCTGAAATGGAATTTCAGAAGAGGTCTACTGACTTCAGAGACCATATGTTCAGTCACTACTCTATATTGTTCCCAAAATTCTGATAGGGAAAATTTGAAGAAAGAGGGGGAAGGAGTTTCTTCTAAATGTAGGTCAGATTCTCTGCTTTGAAGATTAGAAAGAACTCTCAGTTAATTCTATAAATATTTGTTGGGTTCTTACTGCATCCTAGCCTCTCTGCTGAGTTGTAATAAGTCTATAGGTGTATTAAAAAAACAAACAAACAAAATATTAACTCTAGCTCAAGAGACAAACATACAAGGAAAAAGACTTTCAAAATTAACCGAGGGGGAAATTGATGCAACAGAAGCATGAACAAAGTGTAACAGAAGCCCAGAGGAAGAAACTAGGAGACTCTGGACAGGATTCTTTCAGAGGCTGGTCCTGAAAAGGTGGAGAGGATTTCTGTACCTGGAGAAGAACAGGAAGGATTTTTCCTACTGAGGATTCACCAGAATTATTAATAATCATACCTAACATTGTTGAATGCGTACTATATACCTGACACTGTTCAAGGTACATTCTATATATATTGATTTATTTAACTCTGATAAAAATCTCAAAAATTAGTATCATTTTCTCCATTTCACATATCAAAGAAGTAAGGTTCTTGAAGGTTAAGCAGTTTGGTTAAATGCTTGGGCTGGCTGAGGGGGTCTTTGGCTCAAAACCATGAACGTTGTTACTACCTGATGTTATCTCCACATCACGAATGTGGATGTCATCCTTGTACAGGAACCACATTAATCAATCTGTTAATTTTTGTTGTTTATTTAAATAAGATTTTCTTCATAGCCTAAAAAAAGACACAGAAACAAGAAGCAGCTCAGCACTAGCCAAGGCATAATAATAAAATAATAACAATTATTTATCAGTACTACTATGTTTTCTAGTATTTACTGAGCTTTACTCTGTCAAATAATGTTCCAAATACCTTTTAGGTATTAATATTAAACTACCCTATAATGTAATTTCTATTAAAATTCCCAGCTCACAGAGATGAGGACATCAGTACATATATAGGTGACAGGTTACAGGTTGATCTCCTATCTCGTCTACTTTATGTGCTTTATTTTTGGGTGGGGGGAGACCATTTTATCTGAAGCCTATTTTGTTTGTCATAGCCAAACTTTACTCCTTTCCCAGATGCTTCCTTCCTTGACATTCTTTTTTTCTTAAATGAAATCTCCAGATCTGTTTACCTCTGAATTGCGTCTATTAGTGTCCCTGGGCAAATGGATTTCATTGCAGTTCAAACCAGACTCTGCTGACTGAGGATTTCCAGGGTCCCTAAGTTCCTTCTGGTTTAAAGGGCAGTGGCTTGACTTGCATAGAATGTCTGCTAGACTGGCTTAGAACACATTTGAATGCTTAAAATACCAGTACAGTCAAAGGCCAGCCTGCCAGATGAATGCTGACTGGCAGGAAGAGCAGACATTCCAAAGAAAGTGCTGTCTGTCTTCAACCCCCAGCTCTCATCCAGGACTGAACTCAAAGCTTGGAGCAAACAGCCAAGAGCTTCAGGAGCTTTGTGTGCTGCAAGAAAAAATAAGGAAAAGAAGAGAGATGTTGGTGCACCCTTTCCTCTCTGAACTTCCACCCCAGCTAGAGAAAACACACAGCCAGGCTAACTGCTGTCACTTTCAACGCACAGCCACTAACCTCCCTGAGTCCTTTTGTGGTATCCTCTCATCCTATTATATATCTCTAATTCATTCAGTCTCCCTCTCTTCTAGACAAGAATTTCACACCTTTTCCTCCCACTTCAAATCTACAATTCCTCATCTTATATTCGCAGCTTATAACAGAACATCCGTGTGCTCCCATCCACCAGTCTACCTATATGCACTGTCTTAACTCTTGTTACGACGCATGAACTCCTTGCTTCTAGCTGAAGTCAACCCCGATATTTGTGCTCTGAGTTCCATTCCCTTTTACCTTCTCAAAGATTTTGCTCCCTCCAATCTTTCATCTCTTTACTCCATAATGAATTCTCCTATCTGCATACAAACACACTGTTGTTTATCTCGTTTTAAAACCCATCTCTCAAACCCATTTTTGCCTCCAACTATTGCCCTGTTTCTTAGCAATCATCGGAAGTTGTCTATACTTGGTGTCTTCCCTTCTGTTCTTTCCATTCTCTCTTGAACCCATTCCAATCAAACTTTCCCTCCTAGTACACCTTTAAAACTGCTCTCGCAAAAGTCTTCATGCCCTCTCCCCACCACCTACAACACATACACACATAGTCAAATCCAGGGCTTAATTACCATAGGCCATTGCACTTGATTCTGCAGCATTTGACACTCAGGATCATGGTTTCCTTCCTGAAGTACTTTTTTTCTGGAATATCTTTCTTTCTTGGCCTTCTACCTACTTCATTTGCTGCTCCTTCTCAATCTTCTTTGTCAGTTCCTACTTATATGCCTGCCATCTAAATGTGTACAGGACCAGGATCACAGGCTCTTTAGATGTTCAGCGTCTATACTCACTCTCTTGGTGATCTTCCCCCAGTCTTGTAGATTTAAATACCATGTCTATGATGAAAATTCCCTAATTCATATGTCTAGCTTAACTCCTCCTCTGAACACCAGCCTTGTAAATACAATCGCTAGTCAATATCTCCACTTGGATTTTTAATAAGCATTTCAAGTTTATCATTCCAAAAAAATAAACTCTTTAACTTTCCATCCTGTCCTGTAACTTTTAGTTCCTCAGGCCAAAACCTTAAAGTAATCCTTGATTCCTCTTCTCCTGTTAACCCCCATAACAACATACTATGTCAGTTCTTCTCTGAAATTATCACCAGAATATGACCACATCTCACTACTTGGACTGCTATCACCTTGGCTCCAGCCACCATCATCTTTTTCCTGCATTACTGCAAAGCTGCCTCACTAATCACCTTTCTTCCATCTTTGTTCACTTATAGCCTATTCTCTAGTAAGAAATCAAAGTAATTTTTTTAAATGTAAGTCAAATCATGTCACTCTCCTTCTCAAAAATCTCTGTACTTCTTTTGTCACTCAGAGTAAAATCCAAAGTCTTTACCATCTGCAGTGGGGCATTAAGATAATCTGTATGACAGCCCAACACTACAGAATAGCATTGACTGGCATTTTCCCATTTTTCTTTGTTCAGGTAAAAACCTTGGAATCACCTTTGTCTCGTCCCTTTGTCTCACACTCAATCTCTACTTCATCTGTTCTGTCAACTCTACCTTCAAAACATCCACCATATCTGACCACTTCTCATTATCCTCATTGCTACCATCTTAGTCCAAGCCACCATTGTATCTTATAAGCACTATTTTAATAACAATCTAGTAGGTCTCCATGCTTTCCTACTCGCACCTTTCAGAGTAGCCCTGACAAAACATAAGCCACATCATGTCACCTCTCTGTTTATAACCCTCCAATGGCTGCCCAGATAATAAGGGTAGTTTCAGAGCATTAGTGGGAATGAAAATCTTATTGGCTGAAGAGTTAATTAGAGATGATAAAGCAGGGACAATGAGGATAAACTAGTCTTTTGAGAAATGTGGCTGTGAACAGAAGGGCAAAACAGGACAGTAGATGAAGGTGGCTTAGACCTGCCAGGGATTTTTTCCATAAGAGGGAACAGATGTGAGCATACTTCCATGTTAAGGGTAGTTACTAGAAAGAGAGATTGAAGATACAGTAGAGAGAGATATTGAATGGCCTCAGAGGAAGCAGAAGGAGATAAGAACTTGGAAGCTCAGTTGAAAAGGACAGCTTCAGACAGAAGGTGGGGTTTGCATTCTAATGAGACAGAAAAGGAGGAGAGGACTGATGCAGTTAAGCTTGCAGGTAGTGGGGGTAAAAGCCAACGATGATGTGCAGACTCAGCAGATTAGAAAGTTCCACTTTCAAAACTTTCACTTTCATTGACTAAGTTAATGCGTTTTTAAATCAATATCAAATTCTTAGGAAACAAATACTATTACATTAAAACAGAATTCAATTCTTGATGGATTTTCTTTCTAACAAATAATATTCCATATTATGGCTGTGGGGCACATATTCTAATTTAATATCAGGGCTCCATTATATTAAGGGATATCAATGTTTTGGAGCTCAGAAAAGAGTTCCAGTGAGTTCATTTTATTAAAAACAGTAATGCCATTTGTTTGCATTGCTATTTTAAAAGGTTAATCAATAAAATAATTATTTAAAGTTATTTAATTACAAATAGAAGCTTAAGAATGCCTAAGTGATTCTCAAAAAGATTATACAGCAATCAGTGAAAATCAGATGAGTGTGCTGATGACTTAGTTCATCGCTCAGCTGAACAAGGCTAGCTACAATGGAGGCTTTCACTATTATACAGACTTACACTGATTCATTCTTAGCTATATAGTATTCGCTTTATACCCTTAATTAACATATGCCCATAATTAGCCATCATGAAGACAGACAGCTTAAGTCATGTTACTATTGAAATATAACGAGTTAATAAAGAGAATAAAGAATTATAAGAAGTTGGCAGTTTTGCCCAAGGATGCTCTTCACCAGATACAGGTTGAATGCATCTACTCAAAAATCCTCTTGTAGTCCCGGTCTTGGCAAATGTTATGCTACCCATTCAGTCTTTAGATGCAGAAACCTTTGAATCTTTTTATCCCTTATTCTCTCTCAATCCCCATGACCAGTCAACCAATCAGTCATGTCACCAAAATCTGCAGATACTTCCTCCTTAGGATCTCTTTAGAATCCCTGAACCTCTGCCAATCTCAGTTCAGGTCTTCAGCACTTTCTATCATCCCTCCCTAATACACAGCTTCCTGGGTCATCCTCCAACAGTCTGAAAACATACCACTTCCCTTGTCCTGATTCCAGTTCTTGGAGAGCTCCCCAGCGCTTTCAGAGTAAAGCTCAAGCTCACAAGTAAGATTAACCCAGAAGGCTCTGAATGATGTGACTACTGCCTAACTGCTCTTCTTCCTCCTCATTTTACTCCATCTTTGTCCCATCTCAAACGTATTTATATTTCAAATAAGACAACAGTGAATGCCTCATAGTACAATGACATAACCAAATGCTATTTCTTTTACTGGAATCCCTTTCTCCTCCCTTGTCTAGCTAACTTCTATTTATTCTGCAAAGCAAAATTCTGAATTTGATATATGCTTTGAGGGGTTTCTTTTCATTTTTGTGTCAGTAGCAGAAATAGGTTTGCCCAAATATAATTCTACTCTTCTCTCTGATCACCCTCAATTCAACAGTTCATATGAAAAAACTGGAGAACTGGGCTGGGTGCAGTGGCTCACACCAGTAATCCCAGCACTTTGGGAGGCCAGGGCGGGTGGATTCCTTGAGCTCAGGAGTTTGAAACCAGCCTAGGCAACATAGTGAAACACTGTCTCTAAAACAAAAACACACAAAAAATTAGCTGAGTGTGATGGTACATGCCTGTAATGCCAGCTACTCAAGAGTCTGAGGCAGGAGAATCACGTAAGCCCGGGAGGCAGAGGTTGCAGTGAGCCGAGATTGTGCCACTGCACTCCAGCCTGGACGACAGAGTGAGACTCTGTCTCAAAAAAAAAAGGTTGGGAGGACAATTAAATGCATCTTTGAAGACAGAACTATGATGCAAATAATTTGTCAGGGTAAAAGGATGATAAGGCTAGAGGTTGAATTATAGAATCACCTTAAAGGAGGATACACACTAGAAGAACTGAGTATCCTACTCTGATATAACATAACATGGATTTTTCTTCAGGCCTGCACTAAGCTATGTTTTTATCCATTCTTGAATTGCTTGAATAATTCAACATATGGGTTAACCAAAATTTGTTTTTTTTTAAAAAAAAAGTAGATGTTATTATACACACTTTAAAAAAATAATAATACCACAAAATATACAAGAGTCAAACAATAAGAAGCCTATTTTTTATTTGAAAATTCACAAGGCACTATAAATCTCATAATCACCAGATTGTCGATACTCAGAAAACATATGTTAAACAGAATTCCCTGTATGATAGAATGACGCATGGGTACTGTATCTATGTGTCACAAATTTTCTGGGGCAATTCTTCTGTCCTATTTCAAAAAGAAAATAAAAATCCTTGTTCAGACTATATCTATCTGTCCTTACTTATAGCAACTTTTAATTTATTTCTATTTCAGTTCATGGTACTTAGTTTTGGAGTTTAAGAATTGCAAGTCTTAACCCTCTGTTTTCTGGCACTGGCTTGTGGAGGAGAAATACAAGATACTTTTTTTTCCCCAACTTTCCAGTTGATTTCAAATTTTGCCTCCTCCACAGGGATTTCTGGGCAGTGGTATACTGGTAAAGGTGTGACCAGTTCTCTGGGTGTGTGGACAATGGAGGAAACCTGATTTATAGTGTTTGCCAGTTTTCATGGTATAAATACTCTCACCATCCAATTTCAAACTACCAGTGGTTTAACAGCCACTTCACAATTGCTAAAGAAAAAAGTGTTCAATGATACTTTTTAAATCACAGCGAGAATGATTTTATTCAAGATCTTCACTATAGGTGGTAGGGACCACTGCAACAGGGTCTTACAGTGAAGAGGGGAGATGAGGCTTAACTCGGAATATAGGCTGGGAAAATGGGATCAAGGTAGGAGCTATTAAATGAAAAATTATTGAGAGGAAACATCAGGGGTAAGGGGGATTCTGGCTAAGTCTACCTAACAACATGTTTACTGAAGATGGGCTAGAGTGATCTGACATTACCTCGGGGATGGTGAAGAATGAGGAATTTGATCAGATATGTAGGGTGGTAGATTGTTGCTAAACTAACTTAGCAGGGCTCTTTGCCAAGACTGGTTTTACAAGGGAAATACACAAATAGGCCTAGGAGAAGCTTCAGAAGCCTGACTAAAGTTTGGCCAAGCAAATAATCTTTGTCACAATATTGTTGTATATTTAACAATCAGTTCTTGAGAGTGGGCTCGTGCCAGCTCCACCATCCTACTGCTTCCAGGTGACACTGGTCCACAGAGGCCTCCCGATTACTAACTTCCTGATACACTCCTGGGCTGCACCTGTCCCACAGCCATGCCCACCCAACACCTAACAATGACTGCCTTATACTCTGACAGTGTTGAAACTCATCTGATCTCTGTGGTCCTGGAAAACAGCAAAGATTCAGAATCTTCCCCTCTTTATATTCTCTGAAACCTCTACCCTTTTGTGTTTCCAAAACAGCTACTGCAAAAGACCACCCTGCCCTGCGATATCCTGAATATTCCAAGATAAGACCCTTCCTTATGATGCTTTTATTTATCTGCCTTTATAAAACCCTGGGTTTTCCTCTCTTTTCTTTGAGACAATGCTTATTAATGAACATTCTCCCTATTTCAATAGCCTCAACTAAAACACCTCCTTAATTGTATAGTACATTTTCTTTCCCCACTCTCTGTTGTCAGTTCACTATTATCCTGAACCCTGCATGGATTCAGTCAACCACCTGTCTCTTGGGTTGCCCCTTAGAAGCAGGAAAACCCAGCCTCTCCACACCAGCCCCAGTTGTGCTTTGATGCCACACCCCCAGTTGCGATACTCATTGTTGATTCTGTTGAAAGGGAGATCTCTGGGTGAGAGAGCATGAGCAGCTCAGGGCCTGAACTGAAATCCATGAACACAAGCCTTCTTGCCCATGTACTGGGATCTCTCCCTTACTTGGGTACAGTTCCATTGCCCTGCAATCATGGTGGTAGTTGTGGGGTGTGGTATAAATGAAGACCTGCTAGCTTTCTCCTCACCTAACATCCTCCTTCACCCATGAACATACACGCTCATCCCCTGAGGGAACATCTGAGCTTGCTACAGCAGGTCAGCCTGGCATCAGCTCTGCCTCAGAGCAGCCCCTCCACTGCCCTACCCAAGCCTTTTACACCTTGAGATCAACAACAGCTCTGGCCCCCCTCCATGGACATTGCGTCAGACTTAAGCTCCTTTCCAGAGTCTCTGGAGGACCCCAAAGAAGAGTCAAAACTGCCTCACTCTTGGGCCATGCTCTGGAGGAGGCACATTCTCCCATTCCTGGCCAAGGGCACATCCACAGTGTCACTGGGCTCCATGACTGGGCTTTTGAACCAGAAGACCAAAATTTGATTCTTGACTCTGTGCTTTGAAGCTGTGTGATTTTTGCTAAATCGTTTAATTTCTCTCAGGTTTTTTCTATTAAAAAATTACTTTAAGATAACAACAATAATATTTCATAAGGTGACTATAAGGATTAAAGTAAACCTCAAAATGCTTTGTCAATGATAAAGTCCTATACATTTTAGCTGCTCCTGTTGCTAGTGAATCAAAATAGGAGATGGCTTTAGAAGACCTTCCTGAGGAATCAGATCACTGTTTTCATACATTAAAAATATTTATTAAGCACTGACTATGTATCGGGGGCATGTGAGGTCAGTGCCCTCAGGGAGTTTACGGTCTGTGACAGAAGATAGCACGTTTCCGTTTCCAGGCGATTACAGCAGGGCCCTTGCCTCTCAACTGTGGACCTTGCCTGCAGCCTGGGAATCTCATGGGAGCTTGTTAGAAGTGCAGGATCTTACCCTGAACATACCAAACGGGAACCTGCATTTCAGCAACATCCTGGGTGATTTGTTTGCTGCTATTGAGAGTGGCAGAGAAAACAATGTGTGCAGCGGGTGCCTCCCAATTTCTTTGCAGGGTCTCAAGGCAAGCTCCCAACAGGAACGAACATCTAAGCAGGGGCCTTAAGACCCACAGCCGGCTGCCTGAATTTCAGCAGGGACAGACTGAGTGTAGCGGGGCTTGCTGTCCACTTTCTGAGTCCTCCCCCTCCCTCTCTTCTTCCCCCCTCCACTCACCCCCACTCCAAGCTTGGCATTCTCAGGCACTCCTCACACACCAGAGTGAGGAGAAAACCCCTCTGGCCCAGTGAATTCCTTCTTAGAATGGCTTCTACCCCTTGTGGAGAGCAAGCGAGTCTTTTGAAAGTATTTTTCTATAATGTGTCGCTTGGATGGAGGGATGATTGATGACTTGATGAATTGCACATTGAACTCTGACTTTTAGGCACTAAATATAAACTGTGCACATGCTGGAAGAGCTAAATTTAGCGGCGCTGACATAGGCGGGGAGGGAGGGGCCATAGGGGGCTCTCCCGGGACAGGCTGGAAGCAGCCAGAGTGATGCCCCAGCAGCTGCTGCAGCCCAGGGTTAATTTATGATCCTGTCAGGGAAAGAGGTGCACTGGAAATTTCATCCCAGGCTGATTTGTTCTTAGAGGGGTTTGTTGTGAGTCATTTTTCTGTTTTTCAAAAATAATAAAAACAGATGCAGATTGGGAAGATGTCTGCCTCCATCTGATTTGTTTTCTCCCATTTGGGCTATGGCACCGGGCTGTCCTCCTCAGGCTGGGCTCGGATCTCCCGGTGGTTATTTCTAATTCTGTCCCATGCTGCCCCAGATCTTCTTTGTTTAGTTAGATGAGAAGGCTCTAATTATTTAGATTGAAGGTCAGAATGAGAGTGGATCTCTAATGCTGCCAAACTGCAATGCTCCAAAGTGTCCTTTCTGGTTAAAAATCCTGATTGTCTGGTGTACTTTGAGGAAAGCTACTTAGCTGCTCATCTTTGTTGAGGTTAGGGTGAAGGGAGGAAGAAACAAGACTCCTTGGCCTCCTGCCTCTCTCCCAGCAGCGTGAGAAGAGAGCATTAGTGCAGCACTTAGGCTGTCCTGGCAGAAAGCAGACAGTGGAGACAGGGTGGCATCATTTCAGAACACAAAGTGGGTCTGCTGGTCCTCCATCCCCCACCATCACCCTGGCAGCCACTGTGGATAGGGAAGCCACAAGCAGCATCCATTTGCCATTTCCCCTTCATTATCAAGAAGTCATGTTTCCCTCCTGGGGTAAGATAGAGACAGCTCATCTACATTTTGATTGCTGTCTTTGGATAATGATAACCGGAAATAGGCTCTGAACTCCCTCTACAATCACTTTCCATTAATTAGACTTAATTATGTGGCCCAAGCAAGAAAGAGAGAGCTCCTTGCCAGTCCATGAATAAATCATACTTGATTTACTCCACCGTGTTTGCCCTCACTTCTCCCTGGTTCCCCCAAACTCAAAAGGAATAGAGGAGCACTGTGGTCAATTTGCCATATCACCCAGCATCTCAAACCAAGAGCCTCTGTGTCTGCCGTCTCTCCCTTATCCTTCCTCCTCCCATTGGTGACTGAGAAACTGGCTGGTCTCAGCTCCAGAAAGAGGAGAAAAGAGAGCATTTGGCCCACTGATTATTTAAGTGTCCCCATCCGCATGAGTTTGGAGGTAACATTCAAAGTGATTGACACTTAGGGGGCTCTCAGGCCATGCTTTGGGGAACATAGCCGACTCTCTTCTGGAAAGTAAGGACATACTCAGCCTGAGTTCTTGGAGAAAACTTTCCAGGGAGTCCTAATCATGCTCATTCTAAGCATCTCCACTAGCCCATGATTATACCCAGAGGGATTTAAAAAGTCAGAGAAATTTTCTGCTACTTTATAAACATGTTAATATGTATATGGCTCAGGGACTTGTGATGGGCACTACTGGGAGCCCCAGAAAGAAGTCTGAAGAGAGAGCTACCCTGAACTGTGGCCCAGCAGCTTAGCATCCATCAACCCACTACCTGGAGTCTAGATCTCCCCACCTCTCTTGGGTTTCCTATTGCAGGCCCCGGAGACGTGTGGCATGATTTCTCTCTCAAGCCTGCAACACCATTGGAAGAGGATTTATCAGGCCATGGAGTCTCTCTGAGAAGTCAGTCAGCAAAAAGCAGCCTCTGGCACCAGCCATCACTTCAGTGGCCTCTACAGATATCTCACATCTTAGGGATGGTGGTCTTGAATCTAGGAATCCAAGGTGTGTGACAAGGTAACAACACGAATGCAGATTCTCCTTAGGTTATAAAATCAACTGACAAGTGTACTTTTCACAAATTAAACTCCCCTATCTAACTCCAAAGGTATTTTCTCTTTGATTTGCCTTGAATTATGAGGTTCTGGGGGCCCTTTCAGTAAGGGGATGAGCACTGGCTAGCAGACTCTCGGGGGTCATCTGATTCCACAGGGTGTGCATCTTTCACTGTTTTCATTCACTAGTTAATTTTACAACCCTGAAGGAATAGAATTTAAGTTTTAGAAAACTGAGAGTAAAGTAAATTATTCTTATCTAGAGAAATGCAAGTAGATTGGTAGAAATTTGATTGATTTTCATCCTGTAAAACAAGTTAATGCCAAACATTTGACTTTACAGCATTGTAGGCTATTAATCAGTTTTCTACCTTTTGCAGTTGTTTGTTTTTGTTTTTTTTATTATTATACTTTAAGTTCTAGGGTACATGTGCACAACATGTAGGTTTGTTACATATGTATACATGTGCCATGTTGGTGTGCTGCACCCATTAACTCGTCATTTATCTTTTTAGCAAATTCATTTCAGCACTCCTGATTTTGTGTGTGTGTGTGTGTGTGTGTGTGTGTGTGTGTGTATTCTTCAAATTCTCCTTGAACTCATTTTAGCATCTTACTCATTCCCTAATTAATTAATGGGTTAAGTAAAATTTTTGACATTTATTCATGTTACATTTGCATGTGAGTCATGATTTTACCTTTTTGAAAATTGTACTTTAGCATAACTTTTTGGCTTAATGTTAACAGTTACTATATCATATTAGTAATCACTCACTATATCAACTTAAGTTTCCATTTTTTTAAAGAAAAGTGGCAAAAAAGAAAAAAATCTGTTCATATTAGACTAAATTATGTGCTACAGAATGTTAGAACAGAAGGCTTTTCTGTGGTTTCCAACTCATGATAAACAAGGGAAGAAGATATTCAGAAATATTCATATGTATTTTCCAGGTATTTTTATGTATGTTGTCTAATTTATATCTCACAGCATCCTTGTGATATAACTGATATTGATTCCATCAATATTAGAAGATACTTACTCTATACCAGCCACTATTTTAAGCTCTCTGCATGTATTGACATATTGCATTATTACAGTAAACTTATGAGATAGGTGCTATTATTATTCCCATATTTCAGATGAAGAAACTGATGCACCAGGAAGTTAAGCAACTTACCCAAGATCCCACAGTATTTGGTGGATTCTGGATTCAAGCCCAGACAGTTTAACCCCAGAGCCTGTGCTCCTTAACCACTTTTTATTTAATCTGTCTTTTACAGATGCAAAAACAGATGGCAAGTGGGGTTACTTGCCCCACATCACAAAGCATGTTAGTGGCAGTGCCAAGATTTACACCCAGGTCTGCCTGATTTTAAAGGCAAACTTTCTCTGCTAGATCAAAAAGACAGTAACAGAAACTGAGATATACCTCCAGCCTTTGCCCTATTGAAAACCCCATCGGATTTAGAGATCAGAAAAAAAATAATCCATATACTGTTCCTGCAAAGCAGTAAATCAGCTCGAAAAAAAGAGATGTTAGGTATTTGAACCTATAGAAAACACACACAAACATAGCACTTTGCATCTTTCTTGAGGTATTCAGGTACCGTGTTCGGCTGGATGCTTTATTCATCTGAGCTCTTGTCCTATTTCTTACCATTATCCTGCCAGCCCTAGAGGGCAGTAACATTCCCTGAAGGACCTAGCCCAGTTCTTTATGCAGAATAAGCTCAAATAAAGATTGTGGGATTGGGGCAGACTGGTGTTACGTGGAGGTGGCCACTCAGCTGAGATCCTGAGCATCCTCAAACATGATGACTCCAGCAGAGATATCTGCCCATCACCCCACTGAGACATCAAGGAAAGGTGTTATTTACTAGGTGCTGGGGTGGGCAGCTGTAGGCCATGGTTTAGGAAAGTCCAAGATGGGGAGGAGTCTGGCTGGGATTATAAAGAAGAGAGAACTTAGAGGGCGGTGGGGGGAGCAGGGGTGACGGTGGGGAGGAAGGAGTAGTTTGAGCAGACAGAAAAGGAGAAGCCCGTAAAGTGAAATTGTTCAGCTAATCAGTTACAGGGGCCTGCTGCTTTAATACCGCACCCCTCCACCGCAGTTCCAGGGCATCTGGCCTTTCCCTCCCCCCTCTGTCTCCTCAGCAACCTCCCACACTTCATACCCCACCCATTGTCACAAACAAGCCCCAGTAGGGCAGTATTCCCCACCATTCCCAGCCCTCCCCTCTGAACAGGGCCAAATTAGGGCTTTATGCCCCAGCGCCACCCCTAGAAGCTCCTAAGCTGCCCCCTCCTCCCCTGCTGCAGGCTCTCTGACTGGCTCTGCATTGCAGCCTGCAGTCGCTGCACCTCCATGTGCTGCGAACTCAGCCCAGCTCTCCAAGCTCTGATCTGCACTGCGGTGCCGCCCCCGCATGTCTTCCCATTCTCCACTCTGCGCTACTGCTTGCAGCTTACATAAGCCCCGTGCACACATGCAGTGAATTCATCTCTATCATTAAAACCCCGGGCGAGACAGTGAAAGCTGAAATGCTACTAGGTTGTCCTCCTCTCAGGAGCTGTCAAATAGTCATGCCCTGAAACGACAAATCCAGCACAACAAATACCCTGTGACAGGTCAGAAAGGCAGCTTGATCTAACCATGGACAGCGAACTCTTCTTCCTAAGGAAGTAGGGACACTTGAGAAGGAGGCCTGTGAGTCAGTGCTTTGACCTCTCTGCTAGCACAGCGCGTCACCCAACCTGCTGCGACAATCGCCAGCCGCGTAAAGCCAGCCAAAATCATCAAATCTACTTTGCCAAGAGAAATGAAGGACATACTGGTTTGTGCTAAATCTTCTCAATTACCTCACTTCATAGACTGACCTTGTCAGTAATTGCTTCCCGCCTGGCTTTACTAGAATGTTCTACAGTGAAAATATTAAGAATTTTCCCTGGGGCCATGGGCTAGTCCCAGTTTCCTGCTGGCGAGAGTGAATGGCGCCAACATCTCCTCCTTTTGCCTCTGACCAGCCACAGCCACTCTCTTGCTTTCCTGAGAGCCTTTGAAGTCTCACCCCAGGAAGCTCAGGCCCTAAAATATCTGTACTTCACCTTCATGTGGATTCTCCTTGTCTTACAGAGCAAAGACCATCAAGCCCAGTTCACCAATCCATCTGCCTTTATTAGGTGGAATTGAGCCACAGAATATCTTTCTAGTGAGGACAAAGCATTTTATAGGGTCGGGTTCATCACCTGCAGAGGCAGGAAGAAGGAACTGCTTACAATCAACACAACATACCTAGGCTGGGAAAGCCAAAAAAGCCACATCACCCTCTGCCCAGGACTAACTCCTAAGATTCCTATTTGCTGTGATCAAGCTCCCAACCCCAGCAGGATCCAGTTCTCAAAAGCTAGTCTTAAATATAGGAACAGAAGGGGTATGGATTCAGGGAGGGGAACTAGTGAAGAAAATTAGGTCCATGGTAGGGTGATCAACCACCCCAGTTTTCCCTAGATTAAGGGGAGGACACAGACTTTCAGCCAGGAAAGTTCTGGGCAGACTGGGACAAGTTGGCACCACAAAGCAAGGGTAGAGGTGGTAAAGCAATTTCTTCTTGGCAACTTGAGCTTTCAATTAAAAAGAAATATTTTTTTCTTCCCAAAGTATACAAGAGAGTATTTGCTCCTTGGAGACTGGTAAGGAAGAGGACAACTCCTCATGAACATTTTAGAAACTTGATAAGCAGAACCTGATTGGGAATGTAAACAAGACAGCATTACGGGAAAAGGTGTCAAGAAATCTAATGGACTAATAATGTTCAGGACATTTAATCTTCAGCTATGTCTTGTTTATGCCAGTTAGAGTGGCATAAGTCATGAAAAATGACTCCATATCCGGGATGGCATCCCCACACTCCACTCCTGGCTGTCCCCATCCCCTGCCTGAAACTTAGAATAGTAACAGCCGCCTTCTACATGGCATTTACTGGGCATTGGACTTGGTCTCCTAGAAGCAGTCAGCTGCAACCTAATGGAAAGAGCCCTGATCTAGAAGTCCAGACACCTGAGTTCTATTTTCATTTTGGTACCCTCTGATTGTATGACCTTAGACAAGCACCAACCTTCCCTAAGCTATAAAATGTGGAAAACAGTTCCTGCTCCTCTCCCTACCCCCATTGTTGTGAGGATTAAATATGTAGAATGGGCTTCCAATGATTCTTAAAGTCTGAGGCCCTGAACAACAATTCCCAGGATGTCTTAAGTCCTGGTTTCCCATACTGATTCACGTTGTGCCCCAGTATTGGGAGTCATTGGATCCACTCTAGATACTTAATATTTTGGGTATGTTTTCCTTGTGCATCTTCATTTTAATGAATAGAGCACCTTGAACTCTGAAGTTAAGTCTCTTTCCAGGCCTGTTTTGACACCCCAAACAATCATTCAGTCAGATATTCAGATGCCCAAAGTGGAGGTGAGGTGGAGGCCAATCTTAACCAGAGGCTAAATGTCTATAGTGACAGCTTATGTAAGGGCAGCTGCAGATCAATGACCTCAGAATGATTTCCAAGACTTGAATTCCTAAGAGGATCAACACTTGAACTCTGAGCAGGGAGTCTAAGGACTTGGGTACCAATGCTGGCTCTGCAACTCACTAAGTTCTCGAAACAGCTTTATCATCATTAAAGCAGGGTCAGGGCAAGTAAGGGTCAAGTGGATTCAGGGAATACTAGATATTCTGCCACTTTGTGGGGATAAGAGAATTAAATCAGATATGGCAAACCTTTGTAAACTATAAATGGAATACTATTTGTCTTAGTCCATTTAGTGTTTCTATAACAGAATACATGAGTTTAAGTAATTTATAGGGAAAAGAAGTTTATTAACTCACGGTTCTACAGGCTGTACAAGAAGCATGGTGCCAGCATCTGCTCGGCTCCTGGAAAGAGCTTTAGAGCTGCGTCATAACATGATGGAGAATGTCAAAGGGGAAGCAGACATCTGCAAACAGGCAAAAGGCAAAACTCAAGGGAGCATCCTAGCTTTGTAAAAACCCACTCCTGTGGGAACATTCCCATGAGAACTAATCCATTCTGGCCAGAGGGAGAATCACTCACTACTATGAGAACAGCACCAAGTCATTCATGAGGGATTTTCCCCCATGATCCAAACACTTCCCACTAGGGCCCACTTGCCAACACCAGCACCTTGGGGATGAAATTTCAACGTGAGATTTCAAGGGGACCAACTCAAACCATAGCCCCATTTAAGTGTGAAAGATTAAAGTAATTGTTTTTTTATTAAGGTAAAACACATACAATAAAATTTGTAATTTTAACCATTTTAGGTGAATAATTTAGTGGCATTAATTACATTCATCGTGTTATGCAATCATCATCACAATCTTTCTCCACAGCTATTTAATCTCACCTAACAGAAACTCTGTACCCATTAAACTATAACTCCCTATCCCCTTCCCTAGGCCGCTGGTAATCTCTAACCTATGTTCTTTTTATAAATTTGCCTATTCTAGATATTTCATATAAGTAGAATTATACTATATTTGTCCTATTGTGTCTGGCTTATTTCATTATGTATAATGTATTTAGGTTTCATCCATATTGTAGCATATATCAAAACTTCATTGTTTTCATGGTTGACTAATACTTTATTGTACATATGTACAGATTTGTTTATTGATTCATCTGTTGCCAGATCTTTGGGTTGTTTCCACCTCTGGCTATTGTGAGTAATGCTGCAATGAATATTGACATACAAGTATATGCTTGAGTTCTTGTTTTCAATTCTTTTTCAGAGTAGAATTTCTTGGTTATACTATAATTCTATGGTTAGCTCTTTGAGAAACCACCAAACTATAATATTTTCTATAAGGACTACATCATTTTACACTCCCACCAGCCATGTATGAGAATTCTAGTTTTTCCACATCCCCACCAATACTTGTTGTTTTCTGGTTTTGTTTTATTATAGCCATCCTAGTAGATGTGGTATATAGATTTTTTTAAAAGCACATTCTAGTAATACAATCCTCAGACAAAAGCCCTCAATCAATGTATGTATCTGAATTGGGTATCAACTGTACACAAATTGCTTCATTTAGAAAATGCTTCTTGAGTAAGGCACACTGCATAGATGCATGGTTCAGGCAAAAAATGAGAAAGCTGGAAATAAAGATGGATGTAAAATTAAATAGGGAAACTTTTCCCCAACCAATTGGACAGCAGAAGGACCATTTGCCAAGTGGTTATGAGTGATAAGAAACACTTCTGGGATTCATTGCCCAAGATATACCTGTTATTTATTTAAGGTTGCTAGTCAATAAAGCTTATATCACCATCTTTATTCATCTCACCAGTAACTTATTAAATTATATTACCTTAATTTTTTGCTGTTGTGCATTTTATGAGATGTACAAGATACATATAGTACCATGGTGAAATCCTGCCTCTGTAAACTGCCCTAAGCCCACTGATGTATATCTCCATTAAAGTTCCCTGGAATGGCCAAACTAGGTTTTTTAATCTGAATAATGGAGGTTATATTCATTGTCTTCATTTCCCTCTTTCTCAGTTTCTTTGCTTCCTTGTGTTTTAGTACAGTTTCATCCTTCTTTTGTCAAGGAAAAGATATGAAACAAATCTTCAGGCTCACACTTACCAGCTGCATTTGAGTGTTTATTCTCAGATTCATTAATGGCCAGACAGAGAGGCTGGCTAGGAAAGAAAGTAAAGTATGAGAAACTTCAGCCACTTGAAGTCCAAAATGAATGTGAAGCATCTCTGAAACTATAATCTGTGTCAAAGGAAAATCAGACTATAATTAAAAGGAAGAAAGAAATAGGCCATTATCCACAACATTTTGTTTACCATGTAAAAGAGGAACACAGGCTTTCCAGGAAATAAGTAAATTGTGGGTAATTTAAGAACAGACATCATATCTTATATACCTCCAGGTGAGGGACTTCTGTTTGTCTCTTTAGATCTGTTCTTTACTTAACTCCTCTTATTTTTAGCTGGAAAACAATTACATAGAATAAAGACTGAATTTCCCATACTTTCTTGCAGCTGAACTTACCTATATACTTGGGGTTATGCATACAGCTTCTAGAAAATGTCTTTTGAAGGAAGAAACCCATCTTTTTCTTCCCTTTTCTTCTTCTTGCTGGATGGAAAGTGGATGCAAATTTGAGAATTAAAAATGAAAAGAACCTGGGTTCCAGGGATCTCATACCAGCCTTGGCCTTGTTAACTACTGATTTTGTCCCTAGAGGACAGAGAAAAAAAAAACCTATCTAGTTTAAGCCACTCTTATTTTGGCTTTTTGGTCACTTGCAGTTAAACCTACTCCTTAGCAATACACCCCTTCAACCTCTGGAAGAATACCTTTCAATCAATCAACAGCTGCAATGATCACAGTTACAATGGACTAAACAGATATGTTGGGGCTGTTGCCGTCCTCACATTTTTGGAAGGCTCAGTGCTTTGGGTCTCAAGAATATAGCAGAGAGAATTTGGGCATGATTTATTTTAATATGGTGAGCAGAACATCCTGAGGGAAACACACACCCTTATATACATATACATGCACACACATATAAATATATATATGCATGCACATACACATAAATATAATGTCTCCATAGATTGATAAAATACCATTCAGTGGAGAGTGCAGTGACCAGGGTACAAATACAGGCACTGTCACTGGATGGTGGAAGCATAAATTGGTGTGATCTTTCGGGAAGAAATTTGCCAATATGTATCACAGCCTTCTCTAAGGAGAGAATGTGAACAAAGAGTGATGGCCAAAATTTTCATTGTAGCAGTAGATTATACAGAAAGTTTCTCAACCTAAGGGTTCAAACAATAAATGCATGTGTTGTGAAGTGTCAGAGCTGGCAGTTAACTGGAGTTTCTTTCCCATGAGTTGATTTTCATCAAGGAAAGAATTTCTCAGAGGTTGGGCATCAAGCGATAGAGAGGAGTAGATGGCAGACAATGAGACATCTGCCTCCGACCAGGCCCATAGGTCAGTCTAGCCACAAGGGACAGAGAATCACCCTCAGACACTAAAGAAGCTGTTTCCATAAATGAGACACAGAGGCCTGAAAACTCTGTTTAGTACTCAGGGGAGAAGTTAGAAGACTTAGTGCAGAGCATTCTTCACTTGGTGAAGAATCTTGGTTGGGTTCAGCACAGACGGATGATGTGCCTTGGCAACCTGAGGGTCTGCAGCTTTGGGAAGATAAGGAGACCTAGCCTAGGGAGGCAAGCCAGCATCACCATGCCAGGTGCCAGCATCTGTAGTAGTGGGGAGGTGCTGCCCTCAAGCGGCTGTTTGGACAGTAAGCATCAGCAGGGGGCCAGGAGTGGAAGAGCAGAACATTTGTGAGCTCACCTGGGATATATCTTAACCACACACTCCAATTTCAGCTCTGCCTGGGTCATATGCCCACCTGCATATTCAGTTCTCCCTGGGAGAACTGAAATTGGGTGTGTGGCTAAAATATATATGCAGGTGGGCATATGAGCCAGTGAAGTGTGTAGCCACAAGCTAGGAAACAACCTAAATGCATAATGATAGAAAAAATCAGGTAAATTATGCTTTGTCTCATAACCTGTGAGCCTGATATTATCTGTGGATGTTCAGTATCCTTTCTGTCCTTCTAAGCTTTCCCCTTGTAAAACAGGGCCTGAAAGCATGGAAATCACGTTTCTCAAGTGCCTGTTTGAATATCATTGGGGTGGCACTTTGTGAAGTTTGCAAAGCAGAAGAAAAAGATGGGCCATTGCTTCCAGTAAAGATCTAGGCACGCGTCTGGGTATCAGCAAATGGCTGATGTGGGGCTTTGTCAGCAGCTCCCAGATGCTGCAAGCAGCTAAGCTCAGTAGTAGTGATATCACTGCAATATTTGTGTTTCTAGATCTAGAGCCATCCTGATCATTGTTTTCTTCCAATGGGAGGCATATATAAAGGTTGTATAAGCCTTATTCCCTACGTCAGCTTCCTTTATAGTGAAAAAAACTTAGAGTGGCTTCCATTTTCAGAACCAAAACTTAACTGATACAGCAGAGCCTGTTGGTTAAGGACCTGAACTCTGGTATGATTTAGACTTGGTTCAATCCCAAGATCTGTTTTAAGTGAGTGAAACCTTGAACAAATTCCCTCACCAAACTTCCCAGTTTCTTCATCTGCAAAATGGGTTCACGAACATGCCTACCTTGTAGGACTGTCACATGGTTTAAATTATATCATATATATTAGCATCCATAAATATTAGATATCATTATTGAATACTGCATAATAATTGCATTAAAATAGTATAATAGTAGATGGAAAGGGAAGAAAAAACTCTATGTACAGTATAAACTCAACTACATGAAATACACCAATGGAAAGATAGCAAAATGTTCTCTCTCTAGGGTTTACATATGATTCTATTTTCTTCTGTATTTTTTTGTATTTTTAAAATGATCTACAAGAAGTATTATATACTATTTTATAAAAGGAATAACATGTAATGCTATTAAAATAGCCTACAGTGAAGTTACATAAATATACATTCAAACCTCAGCATCACTCACAAATTCAATGCCTCATGCAAAGAAACACACTCAAATAATACTGTTTCGTTGGTATCTAATATTCATCATCTTTCTAAAGTTTTTTCCCTATCAGCCCAAGACCAAGTAAATATTGTGATAACTTCAGATCTGGGAACAGTAAACCCCCAGGTCAGGGAATTTGCAAACAGTGAATTCTGGAGGAAGCAAATATGTTTGTGGAATTATTCTGGGGAGACTGCTTCATTCTTACCACAAATGGGAAATGACTACTTCTACGGCAGCTGTGATATTCCATTCAGGAGAGGTTTGTTTCAGAGGTGTCATTGTTTGTTTTAGTTGGCCCTTATATTATTTTCATTAACTCTGACAGTCAGTTCTGCAAGACTTGGAAAGCCATACTTTCAGGTTTATGCCTTCTTTCGTCACAGCATAATTATTAATAGTGCCCCTTTTTGCTTTTGAAAATGTCTGGGTTTAGATAATTATACACATGTATGTGTACCCAATTCAAGACCTGCCCAAATAAGAGCAAAGCTTAGGATTTTTAATAAAGGTCTGTATACAGCATAAAATTGCTCCTTAGCATAAAACTGCACCTTAGCATAAAATTGCTCCTTAGTTAACTACCCCTAAACAGCATCTGTTTTGTTTTTGGATGAGCTTCCTGGCTTGAGAAGTTGCAGCCCACTTCCAGCCCACCTGAAAGCACCATACCTTATATATATATATATTTTTTTCTCCAACAAAAATACCTCTTGGGGCACTGTCCTCAAAAATGAATATTTTATTTAAGAAAATAATAGTTTCTTGAATACCTGTATTCATATTTATATCTATGTAGCATGCCCACCTGCTAAGAAATTCCAAGCACTGTAACCCCACAATCATGTCTATCTCTTCTCTGTATCACCAGAGACTCATACAGCAGCAATATGTAGAAAGTCAACAAACTTGGACTGAATTGAACCAAACTTGCTGTGAGTTACCAATAAAGTGATGATAGAGGAATCGTCTTTGGGCTTATCCATTAATCATATTCATAGATACCATTTCCTGATTTATCTTGAGAATAAATGTTCTGGTGGGAATTTTTATTTTTTAATTTCCTCCTTGTGATTTCATTGCACTTGTAATTGGGTCAGCATACAGCACAGCTATCATCCATCAAATGAGTCATTGGGCTGAAATAAACGAAAGATGGTTAAAACAGAGACGTTGCCTTTGAGCTTATTAACGTAGTGCAGAAGATAAAATATATGTGTGGCATGTTTTTTTACTTGTTGATGCATGATCTGTATAACCTATAACATGAACCTTCATTCTTCTCCCATTACCTGTGGTTCCTTTCTTTGCCTCTCTACATGAGCATGTGGACTTTTCAGCTTCAAGATGGAGTACTAATTTATAGGAGGAAGGCATATGGATACTCATTAGACTGTAAAGGTGATGAAGCCCATCCCTAAAATGCCCTGCAAGCATTCATGGAAAGCTCAACAACAAGACAGTTCCTTCATAACAAGTGCTAGATGAGTGCTACAGGATCTTTTTATTTTTATTTTTATTTATTTATTATTTATTTATTTATTATTTATTTATTTATTTATCGAGACAGAGTTTTGCTCTTTTGTCCAGGCTGGAGTGAAGTGGCACGATCTTGGCTCACTGCAACCTCTGCCTCCCGGGTTCAAGCAATTCTCTTGCCTCAGCCTCCCAAGTAGCTGGGATTACAGGCGCCCGCCACCAGGCCTGGCTAATTTTTGTATTTTTAGTAGAGAAGCATTTCACCATGTTGGCCAGGCTGGTCTTGAACTCCTGACCTCAGGCTATCCACCCACCTCGGCCTCCCAAAGTGCTAGGATTACAGGCATAAGCCCGGCCCAGTGCTACAGGATCTTAAAGGGAAAAGAGAAAAATGGGCTCCTGAGTTAAAAGGAGAGGACTCGTGGAGTATGTGAGGCATGAACTAGGTCTTGGATAATGAGATGAGCAAGAGGATTGCTCTTCTGGCCAGGACCACATACTATGCAGATGGATAGCAATTTCTGCTAGAGCTTTAAGCCCCTACCAGAAATTCTGGAACTCCTAATGGGGCACAAAAGCAGCAGGATAACTCCATAGCTTGGAAATAGAGGAAAGAGTCATGTGGACATGACTTAGGGATGTCCCAGTGATGACCCGTGTGGAACAGTGGGTACCTGTGTGCACCAAGGTCGGGATGAGCTCTTGTCAGGAAGTGTCAGCTTTACTCACATCTCCTGAGACTTAGACTCAAGTCTAGGGCTAGAATGGCAGGAGGAAGAGGAGACTCCAAATTGAGTGAGACTACATTGTTCAATCTTAGTGAAATGGGCTTGAAAATAACATTAAGTAGAGATTTGGAAAACAAAGAAACTTGTTTCTTTTTTTTTATGTTTATTTATTTATTTATTTATTTATTGCACACTTTTGCTTGTTGACTGAAATATATATTTGCTATATATGACTCTCTGACGATCTCAAAAATAGGCAAATTCACCAGCTGTGTGTGCTGACTTGTGAAAGGAATAAGAGAGGCCCTTAGCTCCATGGTCCATTATCAGTACTGCTATGCATGTGACTTAGCTGCATAGTTTACCTTGCAAGAGAGGGCAGGGCAGTAGGCTTCAAGTCACAGAGCAAGATCAGCCTGAATACTTTCCTTTTGTAAACGTGCACTGGATACAACTTTACCCAATCCAATTTGAGCTGCAAAATTGGACAGTAAATTTCAGAAGAGCAGCAGCTTCACCTGTCAGATTGTTAACTTACCATTTGCCTCAGCTCCTCCTGAACCAGATGAACAATTTTTCCTGTCATGCTTTTTACATTTCTGTTCCCAATCTAAGCATGAAAGAGGGGGTGTTAGAGCGGGTAAAATGAAAAACGATAGTGGGACAGCAGGCATTCTAGAAATCAGCATGTATGAGCCCTTTATTCATATAACCCATTGTCATTGGGTATATAATCATACATAGTCAAAAATAAGTGCGTATTTTTTGTTTTTGAAGAAAGTTTGCCTTAATGCATTCTTTATTACAACAAATTTATGTGCCTGTCTTTCTTGTCAATCTCAAGTTTGTTAGCTAATTTCCTACATGAAGGGACCCTGCCATGTGGAAGGTAAAGGCCTGCCAGGAGAATGAAATAGCAGCAGAACTGACCTGCTCTCAAAAACAAATTGCAAACATCAGCCTGGAAAACAGGCAGACTGTGTCATCATAAATCCCCTTTTCTCAATTCTCTTGAAATAAGGGTTGGCCAACCCTGTTCAAAGCACCAATGAATCATTTTGCAGGCATCTCCTGGGTGGAGATAAAAATCTCTCTAAAATCAGAATTATTGAGTAGCATTTATGATTTGTCCCTTTCCCAGCATCTCAGGGTCACAATGGAACCTACCAATCATAGCAACTGGCCACTTACTCAAGGGAAGTGAAGGCAAAGGGTTTCCGTTACATTGAGGCAGGACAGAAATTGAAAATGTCACCTCACATTTTTTTATTTCATTGTTTTTTCTTTTTCTTGTAGTGGTAGATGAAGTTGTAGATGAGGAAAGGGTCAGCCTCTGAAAGAAGCTTCTAGGATTGCTTCAAAGAAAAATCAGTAATGGAGACGTTTTATATTAGCTGTAATACAATTTTATTTTGTCTTTTTACTTCTTCAATCAAATTAATAATAGAATCTTAAATCTCTGGTTTTATGACACAATATTTTTAGAGGAAAGTATGAAATTACATATGATCCCAATTCAATTTTTAAGAAATCACAGAGGCATGAGGGGAAAGCAAAATAGAAATAGTAACAACTCCATGAAATCTGTGGATTATAAGATCATTGATTTTCTTTTTTTACTATTGTGCATTCTCTAGGTTTACTATTATCATAATTTTACCTTTTACGTTTTGAGGGGGATAAATTTGTAAGTACTGGTGAGAAAAAAATGCTTGAAAACCGTATGCTCTTTAATAACTATGGCCTACTGGGATACCTGGGACCGACTGGAAGTATGATCAATGAAAACTAAGACTGAAAGGAATCTGTGGTTTACATCAGACTGAGTAACTTGGGTCTAACCCAGTTGAGTCAAAAGTGATAGGAAATGGAATGTGCCTAGGTCTAGGTTCTACCCATTCTTTGTGAAGGTCCCTATGCTCATAATATGAATTTTTGCCTCAGCTTGTGCCTAGATGAGATTCTATTGTCTGATCTGATGGAACAGAAGCATAATGAGATGTTGGCAGGTGTTCCTTTATGATGGAGGTGGCAACACCCCTCCCACTAAGCATCTACTTCTATCCCCTGATCCACAACAGTGCCAGTGAGGCTGAGGGTGGGGTGGAGTCAGAAAAATTGAGAGAAAGAAGAAAAAACTTACACAGGATCCACACTTGGCACCGAGATATATGCAGAAATTGCTAAAGGACCCCCTTTGCTTTAGGGACTTGGTGGAAGAGGCTGTCACTGAAGTCAGGTTGGAGTGAGAGATTGTAGGGCCATGGGACAGAATCTGACATTTTTAAAAAGAACTCCGTTATGATGAATAGACTCAGCAACAGGGTCTCAAAGTGGTAGGGGAGTCACAGTTTCTACATTCTTTATGACAAAGCTGTTTGGAAATTGCCTTAACTCAGCTGCCCTGATATAGACGCATGAGGCTAGGAGAAAAGGGACTATGGAATTTACTGAAAAATGATCCTCTCTTTAACATGTCAGGACCCAAGCAATTCTCTTGTGGGACCCTCCCAATTCCTAACAACTAGAAGATGTGCACATTCTCTTTCTTATATCCAAAGAGCATCAGGAGTCCACGTCAGTTGCCAAGGGTCTACACCATGTGATGGATTCAAGCAGGAGAAAACCAGCACTCAGTTTGACACATACCTCGCAGAATATGGAGGAATAGAGATTCCACTAGCAATGAGGCCAGCTGGCTCCCACAGCAACAGAAGCCACAGAGAGATGCAAGCAGGACTTTCAAGGGTAGGTGTAAAAGGTCACTGGAGAAGTTACAGAAATTCCTGGGGAAAGGGGCTTAGCAAGAGGTTCAGGTGTGGCATTAATGCCTGGCAGTCCCAGCATTAACACTGCTAGGACAATATTATAACTAAAAGCCGATGATATCTGGGACACTAGGGAATATAACATCAGAAAATGGAGAATTCAAATTGTCTCTGTTTGCAGATGACATGATTGTATATTTAGAAAACCCCATCATCTCAGCCCAAAATCTCCTTAAGCTGATAAGCAATTTCAGCAGTCTCAGGATACAAAATCAACGTGCAAAAATCACAAGCATTCCTATACACCAATAATAGACAAACAGATGGCCAAATCATGAGTGAACTCCCATTCACAATTACTGCAAAGTGAATAAAATACCCAGGAATACAACTTACAAGGGATGTGAAGGACCTCTTCAAGAAGAACTACAAACCACTGCTCAAGGAAATGAGAGAGGACATAAACAAATGGAAAAACATTCCATGCTCATGGATAGGAAGAATCAATATCATGAAAATGACCATACTGCCCGAGGTAATTTATAGATTCAGTGCTATCCCCGTCAAGCTAGCATTGACTTTCTTCACAGAATTAGAAAAAAACTACTTTAAATTTCATACGGAACCAATCTTAAGCAAAAAGAACAAAGCTGGAGGCATCATGCTAACTGACTTCAAACTATACCACAAGGTTACAGTAACCAAAACAGCATGGTACTAGTACCAAAACAGATATATAGACCAGTGGAACAGAACAGAGGCCTCAGAAATAATGCCACACATCTACAACCACCTGATCTTTAAGAATCCTGACAAAGACACGCAATGGGGAAAGGATTCCCTATTTAATAATGGTGTTGGGAAAACTCATCAGAGTGAACAGGCAACCTACAGAATGGGAGAAAATTTTTGCAATCTATCCATCTGACAAAGGTCTAATATTTAGAATCTACAAGGAACTTAAACAAGTTTACAAGAAAAAAACAACTCCATCAAAAAGTGGGCAAAGGATATGAACAGACACTTCTCAAAATAAAACATTTATGCAGCCAACAAACATGAAAAAAAGCTCATCATCACTGGTCATTAGAGAAATGCAAATCAAAACCACAATGAAATACCATCTCATGCCAGTTAGAATGGCAATCATTAAAAAGTTAGGTAACAGGCCGGTCGCGGTGGCTTACACCTGTAATCCCAGCACTTTGGGAGGCCAAGGCAGGCAGATCACAAGGTCAGGAGTTCAAGACCAGTCTGCCCAGCATGGCAAAACCCTGTCTCTACTGAAAATACAAAAAATTAGCCAGGTGTGGTGGTAGGCGCCAGTAATCCCAGCTACTTGGCAGGCTGAGGCAGAAGAATGGCTTAAACCCAGGAGGTGGAGGTTGCAGTGGGCCAAGATCTCACCACTGCACTCCATCCTGGGTGACACAGCAAGACTCCATCTCAAACAACAACAACAAAATCAGGAAACAACAGATGCTGGAGAGGATGGGGAGAAATAGGAACACTTTTACACTGTTGGTGGGAGTGTAAATTAGTTCAACCATAGTGGAAGACAGTGTGGCAATTCCTCAAGTATCTAGAACTAAAAATACTATTTGACCCAGCAATCCCATTACTGGATATATATCCAAAGGATTACAAATCATCCTACTATAAAGATACATGCACATGTATGTTTATTGCAGCACTATTCACAATAGCAAAGACCTGGAACAAACCCAAATGTCCATCAATTATAGACTGGATAAAGCAAATGTGGCACATATACACCATGGAATACTATGCAGCCATAAAAAAGGATGAGTTCATGTCCTTTGCAGGGACATGGATGAAGCTGGAAACCATCATTCTCAGCAAACTAACATAGGAATAGAAAACCAAACACTGCATGTGGTCACTCATAACTGGGAGGTGAACAATGAGACCACATGGACACAGGGAGGGGAACATCACACACAGGGGCCTGTTGGGGAGTGGGGCCCTAGGGTAGGGATAGCATTAGGAGAAATACCTAATGTAGATGACAGGTGGATGGGTTCAGCAAACCACCATGGCACATGTATACCCATGTAACAAACCTGCACGTTCTACACATGTATCCCAGACCTTAAAGTATAATAATATTAAAAAAAGGAAATGGAGAATTCATGTACCAGTTTTTATTCCTCTGATAGTTATAACTTTATAGCTAATAGCTTTACATAGAGAAAATATAAGTTCACAGCCACAGAAAGAGAACTTGAGCCAGCCATCTCACCCCCAAAATGTGTAACTCTGAGGAAAAATGACATTTTTTTAATTGCTTGGTGAATATTCTTGAAGATCTGTGCATGTGAGTGTGTGGGTGTGTGTATATGTGTAAGGATGTTTCGTGTCCCAGGACATATTTAGTGCCATTTAAAACAAACCAAAACATTAATATGCTTAAAAGTAGATTTAAAGCAATGCAAATGCTAAGCCACAACAGATTTTAGTTAAACCAAAGAATTAATTTAAAAAGTAAGAGATCCAGACCTCGAGAACCTCTGCTGCTGACTATGAAAGGGAGCTGCTTTGTACCAGGCACCTGGCAGAGTTTTTGCTTCCCATACTTCATATACAGCGAGTATGAAAACAGATTAAGCATCCTCCTTGCATTTTATTGCTGTTTCCAAACCGCTATTTCTCCTTTGCCCTGACCTTCCCTACACAGAGACTTTGAAGATAAGATCTTGAGGTAACACTACCAGAAACCAGATTCCTCTCCTGTTGCAGCCCTCTCCAAAATCCAAACATCCTGGCCTTCATTATTTGAATATTTTAGCATGTGGTTCTCGTCTCTCCATCGTTACTTCTACTATAATTCTTGCTGATTTCACTATCCATGCAGACTATTTGTTTTTAAATATTGGTCTGATCTCTTCTTTCCACCCTATTTCAGACCCTATTTCAGTCCCAAATATGATCATGTTTACACCATCTCTTCTGCTAACCATCCCAGCCACTATTGTCTCTTGCATGGATTATTTTAATAGTCTAACTGGAATCTTTCATGACCATATATTGTCATCACCAATGCATGGCATCTCATGCATTACCTTGGTTCCTGGCCAGCACACCCTATCTTTGTATCTCCTTTCTTCTTGTATCTTAATCCCAACAATTCTTCAGCCCCACTAAGTCCCCAAATATTTTGACTTTACCACCTTTGCACTGACTGTCACTCCCTAACATCCTCACTCACCTCCTTTCCCAGCTTAGCATTGCTAACTCCCTTGCATACACCGAAAATGCCCTTGCTCCTCTCCCTCCTTCAGTCTAACCACATTTCCCTAGTTCTGTAGCTCTGCCACTCTTCTAGATGTCAATTTCTTGCTTTCTTCTTTCTTTCCAAGCTAACAATGCATTTCTTTCCTCCTTTCCACTCTCAACTGATGACCCTGGAAACAGTAAGATCCATCAAAAGCAAGCCCCATCATGCTCCAACCACCAAACCTTCCAACCCACATGAAGCTCTCCTGATAAATTCCTCTACGTTTTCTACATTTGCAATGGATCAGCCATCCACTATCCTTTCTACAGGTTCTTTTTCACCGGTTTTGGTAAGGATGTAGAGAAACCTAAAACTTTATGCGTTGTTTAAAGGTCAAGTAAGATGATACGTTCACTTTGGAAAACAGTTTTTCACTTTCTTAACAAGTTGAACACAGACTTACAGTAAGACCCAGCAATTCCACTGCTAGGTATCTACCCAAGAAGAATGAAAACGTAAGTCCTCACAAATACTTGTACATGAATATTCACAGCAGCATTATTCATATTAGCCATAAAGTAGGACTTTCCAAATGCCCATTTACTGGTAAATAGATGAACAAAATGTGGTATATTCATGTAATGGAATACTATTCAGGAACAAAGAAATAGACTACGGCTACATGGTACAACATAGATGGGTCTCAAAAATAGAATGCTAAGTGAAAATAGGCAAGACTCAAAAGACTACATATATCAACTCCATTTATATGAAATGTCAAAGAAAAGCAAATCTATAGGGACAGAAAGGAGATTAGTAGCTGCCTGGGAGTGGGAGAAAGAATTAAATGCAAATGGGAATGAGGGACCTTTTTTGGAGTGATGGAAATGTTCTGAAACTGGCTTGTGGTGACAATCACACAGCTCTGTAACTGTGCTGAAAACATTAGTTGTACATTTAATGTGGATAAATTTTATGGTATATAAATTATAGCACAACAATGTTGTTGAAAATACAGACCGAAAAAGTCCCAAATAAGATCATTTTTACACCATCTCTTCTGCTAAACATCCCAGCCACTATCGTCTCTTGCCTGGATTATTTTAATAGTCTAACTGGAATCTCTGTTTTTAGCCTTGACTCCTTAGAATTTACTCTTTATACGGCTAGCAGAAAAACAAATTGCATCATGTCTTTGCTCAAACAGATCCAGTGGTTCCCCCAGATAAACCCAGAGTCCTTCCATGGCCAACAAAGCCCTGCAATGCTCCACGAGCTCGCTGAGTCCCCTTATATGACTCTCCTCTCTGTCACCAGTCCTAGTCACACAGGTCTTCTTGCTGCTCTTCAGCACATCAATCATATTCCTGCCTCAGGACCTTTGCATACTCCTCCCATCTACAACCAATATTCTTCCCTGAGATATCTTCATGGCCACTCTCTCACGTCTTTCATGCTTCCTGCATATTATCAGAGAAGACATCCCTGACCACATTCTATTTAAAGTAGAGCACTGCTCCTTCCTCCCTTTACCCCCACATCATCCCTATCCTATTACCTTGCTTTGTTTTTCTTTGTAGTATTCATCACCTCCTGGTACACTTTGATTGATGTGTGTGTGTGTGTGTGTGTGTGTGTTGTGTGTGTGTTGTGCACTTGTGTGTAGTTCCCATGACCACCCCATCTACAAAGAAGTTCCATGAAGACAGGGTCTTACCTCTTGTCTATTTGCTCATCGCTATATCTCATTTGATTCCTACAAGCACCATGTAAGTTAGGCCATCTTATTTACAGAGAAAGACAATGATGCTCAGGGAGATTTAGCAGTTTATTAAAGGTCACTCTGCCAATGATTATCCAAGCTGGAATTTAAGACTATGATGTCTGACATCAATGCCATGGAGCCACACTCACTATACCAAGTCCTACACTGACTACACCAAGAGAGCATGCCAGGAAAAGCAGTTAAACCAAATCCCATTGAACAAAGTTTTGTTTATTCTCTTCCTCTGAAATCCTAGAAAATGGTCTTAATGATTTTGAATCCCTTGATTTTTTTTTACATCAGCAAGATCTGTGTAGTACTAAAATAGGAAGTGCAGTTGCAATGCTGTCTTCCCCACACTTGTTCCATCCTGTAGAGAAGCCAACCCTGAAATAAATCTATAACCTGAAATACATTTCCTATAACCTGAAATAAACACATTTCAGAAAAATGAAAAATTCCAAGCACTTACATAAATCCAATTTAACATTAAGATTAGAAGTGTAGGAATATTTAAGATGGATGATACCAATTCATCACAATCTCTTTCTTCCTCCAGAGCATAATCTGTTACACCTCTTCATAGCAACCGTGTGATTTATTTGTGTAATCAGTGGATAGCTACGCCTTTTTAAATTGTGTCTTTGCTCAAAAGCTGTACCCACAAAATAAATCAAGAAAAGAGTAAAATATTTATTTACACTAATGCCCATCTCAATGTCAAAAGACTCTGTTTTTACTGTTTCCTTTCTTCTATATCTTCTTTTATATTTTAGAAATCTTCCCAAGATACACAGGTACTTATGAACCCAGTTGTGACCCCAGGACTCTCTAAGCATATCAGTGCCAGAGAGAATCAAAGGAACAAGGAAAGGTGGTTCTCAGAGCAATTGACAGCATAATCCACCTCTCTAAAACACACTGGGAAAACTGTTACTAATTCCTATGATGTGCCTATCCTTTTCCTAAGTTCTGAATATACAGAGATGGTGCTGTACAAAAGACAATGCTGCTCCAAGAATCATACCAATTACTCAGAAAGACAAGCAGGCGTATCCTCCCTAGTCTCTTCTCCTGAGTTCCAGAAGCTGAGGAACAACAGGATGGAGCTGAGGCATCCATCACTAAAGTCATCACTATGGCTTCTATTGGAAGCAAGAATAAGTATCCTACAGCCAACCATCTCAACCCCAGGCAGGAGCTCAGCACAAACCTAACATGGTGCTTAAAAAACAAATGCATCATGACGTAATCATGGCCGATGGGGGCGAAACTGATTCCATATTTCAGGCTTGCTGTTGTATACCAATCCAAAGCCGTCACCAAGGAGAGAGAAGCCTTTCTTTTCTTAACCTGCAGCTGTCTTTACAACTTTAAGTTATTTGCAGAAAATTTATACAGAATCTCTGTGGTTCCTCCTGCAAGACACTGTTACGAAGTGTCTTTAGTCAGAGTCTGCTGTGAAGGCTATCCGGCAATGGTAGCAGGGCACAGAGTCCAAACCTGGACATCACTCATGCATCCTTCTTCAACAAGAGGATAAGGGCAACACTACATTTGCACATAAAACACTGAATCACATTTATTTGATAGGAGCTGGAGTTAGAAATCATTCACCTCAACCTTATCCTTGTGGATAACCCCCAGTCTCTTCACGGGCTCTGTATTTGGCTGTGCTAACCGAGGGTGATTTGTCTCCTCATCATGACATTTTGACTTCTGTGACTATATTCAGGTCATCAGAGCTTTAAACACAGAATATTTACTGGTGTCTTGAGAGAAAACACAGCGCAAAAGTCACTGTAGTTTTGCCTGTGGTTAGGAAAACCTACCCCATCGAATTTCAGAGAAAGCTAAGAATTTGGCTGGAGGAAGAGATCACAAATCAATTAGAAAAGGTTTATCGATTGTCTCCACTGTTCGATGCAGCCAGGGATCTGTTTTACATAGAATGGACACTCAATAAGTGTTTGTGGGTGTGTTTTTTTTACATCTTTTCTAATTATAAAAATTAGAAAACTCAGTAAAGAACATTTGAAACACACAAAAGAAAGAACTCTGGCTGAGTTTTTACCATGGCTCTGTGGTCTATAAACTTTGCAACCATTCCCGCCCTTCTTCCTACCTCATCCCGCCTGCCTTTGGCTATGAAGTTTTAGCGAATTAATGCAAGTAAAAATGTTTTTAAAAGGACATTTGTAGACAGGAGCATTTGATGTTGTTTCAGGGCATCAAAATAATGTGCCAGCAGAGTGTACTGGGATCTTCTCATTTTCATGCAACGTTTCCATCCCTGTTGACATTGCTTCTTAGCATTTGACAAGATAGATGGAAAAACACTTCATTGATTCGAAGGAAAAAAACTTCCAAGCACTTAATCTTTCATCTCTACCTATAATGCTTTTTATTCTTGGAATCACACAGGTGATCATGATTAATATTATAAAAACTCCACAAAATTAATTTTTCAAAATGAATGTGACTAGAAATTAGCCATCTTCCTCCATTTCTAGCCACCCTAAATCTTCCACCTTTAAAATTTGGCTCTCTCAATTTTGTCAAATTTAGCTCTCCTGTGTTCTTAATGAATTCCAGTCTTAAACATGATCCATCATGATTAAGAGAGGAAACTAAGCAATGAATTCCTTTCAACATTTTTATTGACATATAACATATAAATCAAAAAAGTACACATATTATAAGTTAACAAATGGATGAATTTTCATGAACTGAACAGGCCTATATAAGCAGCACCCAGATCAAGAAACAAAATCTCAACTGCCGTAAGCAACTCACTTGTGAATTTAATGTTCCTCTCCAATGTCTTTTTTACTAAATGTTACAAATCTAATAGATGGAATGTAAACTTTTTAGTATATTCACATTCAATTATGTAAATATAAGTTCTAATTCAAGCATACAGAGCACAGTTCCTTTGACACATATCAAAGGATTGTTGATCTCAATGAGGTGTAGCCCATCTAATCATTAGATTCCTCTGCTGTTGTCAACTGAAATATTCAAATAATTCTCATTCAAGACCCAAGACAACTTCTTACAAACATGCCACAACATCTGAATGACGTAATGAATGAATAAGTTAGGGAATTCCAGTCGAGGGAGAAAAATAATTACAAAAATGGTGAAAACAATCATTACACTACACTAATAACCAGTTTGCCTATTCTGTTTGTAATAAAAAACATACACTAGGGCCTGTATTTATTCAGCCCAGGTTAAAGTTAATGGTGTGGATTTATAAACAACCACTTTTCCCTCTCAACCCATTTAATGTGGACATGTTTCAAGGCCTGACAGTACAGCTCTTTCTTAAAGGTGCCCTGAGGTACAAAACGAACCTTCTTCCCAAAGTATAAGCTGCCCTGGTGGTGTCATTAAGGATAAGGAAGACCGTTTGCTCTGGGTTTCTCTGCTCATGACTATGTGTCTTGGGCCTGCAGCCCACTGGCAAAAGGCCTGCTTGTCTGTAACATGGATCCCCTGAGGCACCGAAGATGCTCAGTCTCAGCTGAGCAGCTCCAGCAATTTGTCTGGATGTCCATGATTTGTCGTGATTTGCATTTCCTACTGGGGTGGGCACAGGTATGTGATTCAGTGATGAGACCAACCACAGAAAATGATTCTAAATGAACTAGATTAATTCAGCTATGAGATAAATTTCTCAAATACTACTTACATCTCAATGGAACTCAAGTTTTCTCCTAAATAATTTTAACTCTTCAAAATGCCTACAAGAGAACTTCAGCCTCAAGGACCCTTTCCTAAGTCACCTTTTCATTCATCTGTCACCGCTCCTCCGTTCTTGTTTGAACCTAGTTGTCATCTTAACTCTCCTGGTCATACTCCCTGCCCACTTGGTGCATATTTGCTGAGTGTTTTCATTATGCCCAGTGTCAGCATATGGTCATGAATAGAGCAAAAGTGAACCTTGCTTTCATGGAGTTTGCAGTCTAATAGAAACAGCAAATTGATCAAATAATTAACAAAAATATCTTGGTCTCTTCCACCTTCACACCTTTTTGCCTACATTACCTCTCACATTTGCTTTGGCTTTTAAATTAACTCACCCTCCATGGCCCAGTCAAAATCTCTTTATCCGTGACACAAACCTTCACTGACCAACCCAGTCAGCCCACAGGCTTTCTCTGAGCCCCATATGCTATGGACCATACCAGAGTCACTGAATGATCTAAGGGCAGGCCTGCATGAGCCAGCTTACAGCACAATGCAGACATCAATAACTGATCATAGCACTCCCTGCCGAGCCAGGAAGTAATGTCAAGGTCTCATTCAACACAGAAAGTCCACAGCCACTACCAATTAATTGGAGTTGATATTATGAAAGAAATGTACTGTCATCCTCAGTCCATTCCATTTACTAGGCAGTTATCAGTGAACTCTGACTTTCACTGTCATCATATCCTCATGCATAGGTATACCTCTACAACTACAATGTAATACATAAGTTGCAGGGACTGGATCTTATGTTCCTTCTACTAGTTCTAATTCAGCAACTGTGTGTTGAGCACAGACCATGGGAAAGCCCTCTTGTAGATGCTAAAGGAAATATAGAGATTAATAAGACATAGTTCCTGCTCCAAGAACTCCTGATCTTTTTTTGAGGGATGAGAAGTTTACAAATATCTACAATTCAGGGAAGAATAAAATGAATGCCAAAAGAAAGGCCTCGAGGTTTGGAAAAGCCATAAAATTAGATCTGGTTCAAAGGACAAGGAAGGTTTCTTGGAGAAAGTAGCATCTGAGATGGATGCTGATGATGGCAGAAGGAAGAAAGAGGAGGCAGAGTGTTGCTCTCCAGGCGCAAAGAAGAGCCTAAGCAAAGCCACTGGAAGAGGAAAGTTAGGATCCATCAAGTATTCTGTTTTGGCCCCAAGAATACTTAGTACGGCATCTTATTCAGAGTAGGTACTTGATATGGTTTGGCTGTGTCCCCACCCAAATCTCATCTTGAATTGTAGTTCCCATAATCTCCACATGTCAGAGGGAAGACCCAGTGGGAGGTAATTTAATCATGGAAGAGTTTACTCTCATGCTGTTCTTGTGATAATGAGTGAGTTCTCACGAGATCTGAGGATTTTATAAAGGGCTTTTCCCCCTTTTGTTAGGCACTTCTCCTTGCTGCAGCCATGTGAAGAAGGACATGTTTGCTTCCCCTTCTGCCATGATTGTAAATTTCCTGAGGCCTACCCAGCCGTGCTTAACTGTGAGTCAATTAAACCTCGTTCCTTTATAAATTACCCATTCTCGGGTATGTCTTTATTAGCAGCATGAGAACGGACTAATACAGTACTCAATGAGTGCTAGTAGGTAGAAACTTTAGGTGGCACTGGTAAATTAACAATCTACAGGGGCCAAAGAGTCTGTGAGCACCTCATATTCACACACACAAGCACACATGCAAACTCCAAAACAACAGACATTTCCAAAAGTGGGACTCCAGTCTCTAGCAACTTACAGAGACACCAGAAGTGAGGGGACCTAAGCAAATTCCTCTGTTGGATTGTGTTGATGCTTTTAATGAATTGTAGCATTATTCTTTCAGGATAATGGATCTAAGCACATTTTTGGTCTCTAACAATGCTTTAAGAATGTGCGTTCAATAGCTGATCCTGGGATATTAATAAACAGTACATGGATAGGGGTTCTGTGCTCATATTAACCTTAGGAAACACTAAGATAGGTGATATTTAATGGTTATATATTCCACAGTACTTCTTAGAGATTTTGACATGCTATGTCAAAGAGGAGTGGGATGTTTTGATCATTTCCTAAATACATGTGACCGTAGAGTCTTTTTTTTAGTGGAGGCTCTCATGGAATAAGTATTACATAGACCACTCTATGATTTATGTGTTATATGCAATTATAGAAAATATTTTTAAAAAGCCTTGCCTAAATGATGAAGACAGATCTCAACCAGTAAATTGTCAGCTACCAGGAACTCTTGAAGATGCTTGATACATCTATTCCCTTTTCCATCCATCCTCCATTTTACCGCATCCTACTCCACTGACTAAGGTTAACAAAAGCTGACATTTACTGAGCCTGTACTATGTGCCAGGCTCTATTTTAAGTGCTAGAACCCTCACAATAAGCCCACAAGTTTGGCACTAGTATTATTATTATTCCGATTATATAAGTGAGGCAACCTGAGGCACTGAGAAATTAAGGAATTTCCCCACAGCCACCTGTATGGTATGTGGTGGAGCCAGTGTACAATCCAGGCAGAGCTAAGGCTCCTAGCAACCACACAAGTTTCTTCCCCAGAGAGAGCAAGAGAGAGAGAGAGAGATCAGATGATGGCCCCTCCCTCTTTCATCCACTGCCTATGATGGGTTTAGTTCTCCAATATTCTACTCTCTCATCTACCTCCCCACCCACCCAACCTTCAACCTTCCATCCAGTCTTCAGAGAAAGGGAAGTCACTCTTCCTTCATACAACACCTGGTGACTCCAAGTAAGATAACCTCTGTCTGGCCATGCGGTCTTTTGTTTCCTTATTCTACACGGTGGAACTTCTTTCAAATATTTCATTCAGCAGTTCCACCTTGATGAGACAAATCACAAGTTTTGGAAAGAAGCAGATTATAAATCCAGTCTTAACAATTACTCTAGGCAGCACAGTGTGACAGAAAGTCAACATACATCACTTGTATTTGGTTGAAATGTCTTTTGATGAGGAGGAACTTTCTCTTAGCTGAGAATCCTCTAATTTTCCTTCCTAGCCTCCAGAATAATAGCTCCAGGTTATTCCTCTAGCCTTCTTCCACCCTCAGCAGTCTGTTCAAATGTTTACTACTTCTTCCCCTAAAAAGAAAAAAAAAAGTCCCTTTGGCTTCTTCCTCACCTTCCCTCATCAAACTCCACCTTTCAGTCATGCTTGTGTGCCCCTGATCTCCACTCTAAACCTCTTTCACCTCATTTATCTTTTTGTCCCATTACAGATTCATCTCTGCTCCTTTCTGCCTCCCACTGCCATGTGACAAATCCCTTTTAAAATAGCTCTGGTGACTCACCCGGCAGATACTGTATTCCATTTATATGTACCTTTTTTATTCCCCAAGGGGCATGAAGAGTTTCACAGAAATTCAGGCTTATTTTTGCCTCGGTCTTGTAAAAGAATTGTCTGTAAGAAGGGAATAAAAATATAGTTTGGGCTTTTGTCAGAATAACGTGAGTATTAAGGCTGATAACCAGGTTTTCACTTTTCCAGAATTTTTCTTCTCCTCGCCTCCCTCTCCTTGGTGTTTGTTATTTCCTTCAGGATTTATTAGTAGCCTCACCAGAAGTCAGACTTTAGCCTTACCAAGCAGTTGTGCTGTTTCTGAACCAGTCACCCATGCTGGAAACCTCAGAGCTGGTTCCAGGCCTCTAGCTGGTTCACGCCCATTGCCCAGTGGGTAACCAGGCCAGTCCAGCACTATCGTGGGGTCCTCACCTCTATTCCACTGCCACCACCTGACTCAGGCCAACATCTCCTCCAACCTGCACCAAGACAATGATTGCCTAATGGCCCCCACTGCCCTCAACCATTTTCCTCCAAATTGTTATTCTCCATCCCTCATCTGAGCATGCTGCAACCTGGGTCCCTCTGTCTAAGATCCTATCCATTGTCATGGTACTCAGGCCTTCTCAGTCCGGCCTCAAGCTACCTTTCCTCTATAAACCTCTATAAACCTGAGCTCTATAACCCACCCATCCTGGAAACAAGCAGCTCCCCCACACATGCCTCAGTTTCCCTGCATCTGTGCTTTCATTCATTTGGCCCTTCTGGCAGGAGTGCCTACCGTGGCCTTTTCCTGGCAAGCTCTTTCTCAGGTTCAAAGGCACCTCTTCGGCGAAGCTTTTCCTAACTTCCCCAGGGTGGACTTAAATACACAGAAGACTGTATTCCTATAGCTTTTTATGATAACTGTTAGTGGACAGATATGTATAAGGTAGTACTTATCACAAAAATGTATTGGAAGGCTATGATGTCCCAGGCACAAGTACATAGACATCAAATTCATAGTCCTTAACCTACTTCTAAGTAAGACAGAAAATAAAGTCAAATAAAATGGTATTTCAGGATGATATAAGCAGTAACAGAGATGAGCCCAGGGGCTGAGCAGGTACATGGGGGTGATGGGGCTCATCTAGACTGGTGACATCAGAAAGGTCTCCAAGGGAAGTCAAGCCCTGAGCTGGGCCATTTGGAACATCCAAATGGGAATGGCTTTGATGACTGTCATGAGCATCAGGACAGCAGGCTAGATCCTGTTCCCATGTGCTCTGCAGGTGCTCAGCAAATATTCAGGACATTGAATACATTAGAAAAGGCTTGGTCTGTGGATCTCTGAAACTCCACTGATACAACCCAGCCTCCTTCTTCCTCTGGGTGGTTGGCTCCAATTGTGTTCTCACTGATCCAACTTTAGCTTAGCCAAAGAATAATGAAAGTAATAAGGTGATTTCCAGGAATGCTATTTTCTCCCATCCAAGCCCTGGCTCTCTACAGCCAAGGAAATTGGTGAAAGGAGTCACTGGCCCAAGGTGTTCGGCATGCACAACTGAGCCACAGCGTGAGTCACACAGTCATGCATAACTAATGTGCTCCCTGGCTAAGCAGTAAAGGCCCATGAAGTAAAGGTAAAAGGTGTTGCACCACGCCAGGCCAAGTTCAGAAGTCACGAGGTCCAGAGCCCCCTCCCAATTGGCTTCCTGACTCCTATCTTGTTCTCTACGCTCCATCTTCCACCTGGCAGCTGATGTCATTTCCCACAGCCTTTAAAACGAAGTACATGCTCTTTGGTCTGGCAGACAAGGCCCTTCATAGTATCTGCTCTGCCTCCCTGACCTCACCTTTTGCACCCACTTCCTAACCCCCGCACTGTCCCTCGGTCATATTAAACTACTTGCCTTTCCTTAATTCATCAGGATTCCTCTTACCTGCAGGCCTTTGCCTGTGATGCTTGTTCTCTTTGCCTAGAATGCACTGAAACCTTCAGCATAACTCTAAATCTTCTTTCCGGTCTCAAGTTAGAGGATATTTTCAAGGGGAAGCTCATCTTTACCCTCCATTCATGCTAAGATCTGGATAGGTTTGCTCCTGTGTGTCCAAAGCTCACACCCTCTGCTTTCTCCATCATCCCACATATTACACTGCATTGAAATCGTTTGCTTACTTGTGTGTCTCCCCAGTGTAAACCCCCAGAAGATAAACACCTGAAGGTTTCACCATTGCATTCCAGTGCCCAGCCAAGCATCTGGAATCCATTAGGCATGCAATAACAATGTATTGGTGGAGTGAGTTCCTGGGGAAGGGAAGCAAGAAAGATTTTCCCAGAATGTAAGCTCTAAGAAAGCAGTGACTTTGTCCTGTTCACTCTGCTGTGTCTTCAGTTTCTGGCATATAATAAACGTTCAGTAAACATTTATTGAACGAATGAATGAATGAAGTCTGTAGGTTAAATAAGGATAACCCCTGAATCATCTCTTTACATATGGTTTGGCCCGAAGGGAATTGTCTTCTGAAGTGAGAAAGACAGCGTGACACAGTTGTCAACACCCTGAATCTTGCATGAGTTCAGATCTAAACTCTACCCCTCACAGACCAAGGGACCTTCAGAAAGTTAACTAACCCTTTTATGCCTCCGTTGTCTTGTCTTTAATTGAGCTCTGTAATGTGATTAAGTGAGCTCATATTTGTACAGCAAGAAAATAGCTATGGTTATATATTTTAACAACTATTTATTATTTAAAAGATAGAACAGCCATAAAATGAAAAGTCAAGCACTGCCCATATCCTTCCACACATCCTATTATTATTATCCCAAATAAATCCTTAGGGTCTGGGAGACATTTGGCAGACAAACCATTCCATTCATCTTTTGTGACTTTGTTATTTTTCAGCCTTCATGAAGCAGGATGTCTGTTCTTATTAAGGGATTGCTTTCTCTAAGACCACCTCTGAAGTTTATTTTAGACAAATATCAATGAACATGGATAGGTGACCACACCGTTTGCTAGGAGGCAACTTTTTAGTAGTTTCCACTCTGATTCACTAGTTGTATGACTAGAAGTGAGCAGATTTGAACAAGTTGCTTTCATCTACCCTCTGAAAATTCATGATATTGTTAAATGCCCCCACAAGAATAAACAACAGCCAATATTTTTCACTTAAAACTATCAAGGCAAGGTCAGGTCTTCCTATTCAGAGTCTGATAGAAGAGAATGTATACATCGTCAGCTACTTGGATAGTAAAACCCTAAGCATGAAACAAATCAGCAATTTAATTAGCATACAAGACAGCATGAATCTGGGGTGTTGAGTTACCAGATGAGCATTTAATTAAAAGTTTACTGCAAATTGTGATCACATGAGGAAATATTGCATGGGTCAGCATTTGGAGCATTAAAAGCTTATTCGCAGTAAAGCATAACATGCATGATAACTAGCGTAATGGCAAATACAGAAATCCTAATAAGGTAGTGAGATTATTGTCCAATTCAAAGGGTATTGATTTTTACTTGAATAAAGTTTCTTTATACCAAAATTCTAATTTTTGCTAATGGGACAAAAAAGGGACAAGTTGTGTCATTTTATTCCTTTAATAGGACACCAAAATAAAACACAAAGAGGTGAAAAAAATTGAGTGAAGCAAATTTTTGAGTAGTGGACCCTCAGAATGGGAACCCAGTGAAGACTGGATTATTTTCTCCCTTATTCTATAAACAGAATTCTATTATAGAGACAAGTTGAAATACATCTCAAATTGTTGCCATTGTCACAGCTGTAACTTGTGACTGATGTGTAAAGAACCATTACAAGCTGGACTCTAAGAGAGATTGATATAGCTTTCACCTCTGATAGACACTAGCCAGAATCTCTTCCATTATGGTTACCATCAAAGAGAGGTACAAGGTCAGAAATCAAACAACAATGATACACTACCTTTCCCTAAATATAATGAATAGACTAGGGAACTATTCTTAATAATAAATAATTTATTAATTAGAACATATAAGTGAATACAGAAGACATTTAAAAGTAAAAATACAAAGGAATAATTTTATTCATGCAGTGCTTTCATAAAAGGTGAGTATAAACTCAGTCCATGAGCGTGTAAAGTGAAATGAGCTGGCTGGCTGGAGACGGACAGGGTGCCAGAGACTACTAGCCAGTCAGAGTCACAGCTGTATTGGTCGATTGCTGGGTTCCTGTTGGCTTGGTCTGGATCATGTTATTTCTGGTGTTGGATTTCCTGTCCATGCTCCTGACCACGTCTCTCACCCATGTGGCTTGTGGATCAGCACAGACTTTTAGGCCACGTTTGGTAATAAAACTGTAACGCAAGGAAAAGACAGACGAAGTTAGCCACATTCTCAAAGCCTCAGGGTCAGGAGTTAAGATCAGGGCAGACATGAAGAGATCTTGTGCAGAAATTACTGCAAGAAATAGTCTTTCAGAGCCATGAGATCATAAATGAGTACCCTTCTTCTGCCATCTATTTTAACATAAAGGAGTAATATCTGCAAGTAGTATCCAGCCCCTTTGTTCACAATAATTCACAGGGTCCTTTTCTCATCCATGTCACCAAATGTTGTAACAAAAAGACTTTGAGGCCAACTAGTTCCATTATTACATAACCTCTTCCTTTTCAAATTTAAAAATATTCATCTTATTTTTTAAATAAAAAGTGATTTTTACATTTTCATTTTTTAGAGTAAAGCTTGCAATTACATGTTGAGAAGAGTTATTACTTCTAAAAATGAGATTCTGGTAGAAGAAAGGGACCATGTAGGTTGTGCATTGACTCATTTTCTTGAAATATGGCAACTGATAAAAGTATGGGACTCTGCCTGACTCAACCCTAAGATCCCCCAACTCCAGTGAGGCTTGCAGGGAAACCCTGACATGGGCCAGTCATCTCTAAACCCAGGTCTCAGAGCTGTGCACAGTATTCAACAGACTCTTCCACTAAGCTAAATAGAGGAGGACTTCTATTCTTTCTTTGGCAGCCCAATTTCTGCAATAATCGCTATTCGGTTGGGCTGCAGAAAGACATGATTGATAAGGAAAACTAAAGAGGTTTTTGGTTAAGTTGAGGTGTTCCTCTATGCTGACCTACTTTTCCTGAGGACGGCAGCATTTCTACAGAGTGTATTTCTATACTTCTAGATACCCACCCAGCACAACTTCTGAGGAGGCAGACTCACATTACTGCTCTCAAGGAGCCTTCCGTGATGGTGTAGGTCTTGATTCTGCTAACCGGCAGTCGCTGGGTAGTGAGGCTCACACAGGTCCTCTTATCTGAGACTTCACTCCCTACACCTGGTGAGGAAAAAAAAACAACAGACAATTAAAAATAAAGCAATTATCCAGATCACAGGAACAATCATCTGTTAAATTACTCTGAGAATGTTGTGAGAATTTAAGGCCATTTGCTTTTTGGGGGAAGAGAGGACTGATAGGCATCCCGAATCTCTTGCCCGTCACAGATTCTTAGTAAATATTTGACTAATTTAAAAACTCAATCAACAGAATTGTTTCAGGAATTTCATGCTGAGAGAAAATAACAAGATGTTATCCCGTCTCTGTGTATATTTTCACTTAGACATTTGGGACGGCTAGCAAATGCCCCAGTGACACGCATTCATTCATTTATACAATGGTGCCTGTTGTGTCCCACATGTTTTACTAAGCAGACATTACTCCTGTTTTCATAGAGCATATCTTCTCATGAGGGAGCCAGGCAGCAGACAGGCAAACAGAAAAGATCATTTCAAATAGTGCAACATGTTACAGTACCATAAGTGAGATGACAGAGTAATGCGTGAAGAGTACTCTAGGCAAGGCAACATTCAGTGAGGGAAGGAAGCATGCTTTTGACAGACTAAATAAAGGTGTTCTCCTTTTTAAATGGTCAAATGTCTCTCTCTGTCAGCTGCCTAAGATGCTGAAAGGAAAGATGGCCAAAGGAAGGAAAGTGGCCCCAGACCCTGCCGTCGTGAGGAAGCAGGAGGCTAAGAAAGTGATGAAACCGCTGTGTGAGAAAAGGCCTAAGAGTTTTCTTAGGCAGGCATTGGACAGGACATCCAGCCCAAAAGGGACCTCCGCTGCTTTGTGAAATGGCCCCGCTATATCTGGTTCCAGCTGCAAAGAGCTATCCTCTATAAGCAGCTGAAAGTGCCTTCTGCCATTAACCAGTTCACCCAAGCCTTAGACCCCCAAACAGCTACTCAGCCACTTAAGCTGATCCACAAGTACTGACCAGAGACAAAGCAAGAGAAGAAGCAGAGACTGTTGGCCCAGGCTGAGAAGAAAGCTGCTAGCAAAGGGGTTGTCCCCACTAGGAAATCACCTGTTCTTTGAGCAGGGGTTAACACTATCACCACCTTGCTGGAAAAGAAGAAGGCTCAGCTGGTATTGCACATGGTGTGGACCCCATCAAGCTGGTTAACTTTCTGTCTGTCCTGTGTCCTAAAATGGGGGGTCCCTTAATGCATTATCAAGGGGTAAGAAGGCAAGACTGGGACATCCAGTCCACAGGAAGCACCACTGTGGCCTTCACACAAGTTAACCAGGAAGACAAAGGAGCTTTGGCTAAGCTGGTGGAAGCTATCAGGACAAATTACAATGACGGATATGATGAGATCTGCAATGTCCCGAGTCCAAAATCTGTGGCTCACAATGCCAAGCTGGAAATAGCAAAGGCAGAGGAACTTGCCACTAAACTGGGTTAAATGTACACTGTTGAGTTTTCTGTACATAAAAATAATAAAAACTCTCCAAAAAATTAATAAATGGTAAAAGGTAAGATATATATAAAAGGAAGTCAGCCCTTAAATATGCATCCCCAATAGTAATGGCCCAAAGGAATTAAACTATTAAGTGTAGAGAATCATCTTACATTGCAAGAGGAAAAATAACTTGGGAGAATTAATACTGTTAAGGGTTGGGTGAAATCTAATCCAAGTTTCTAAGTGCTGATTTTCTCCTTAGCTGTAGACACTGGTCTTTGCTTCCCAGGGAAATAGGCAGCTAAAAAGCATCTAAAGTAACCACTGATAATGGCCAACATTGGTCTGTAGTGTTGCTAATATCAGAAGGCATTTTTTAAAGCAAGGGACTAAACAAAGAGTGTTCATTGTGTGCTTTTCTTCATCATTTCTTCACTCTCAATGCCAGTCTGCACATTGCTATCCTCTACCTTTGCCAATTTATTTTTAGTGGTGAATTGTTTCTGTAGCCAATGAAAGAGGAAAAATCTGGGTTTTTTCTCTGTTTCTCTCATATTTAAGAAACAATATTTCTCTCTGTGAAGTATCTGAAGTGGACTCCTAAGACTCAGGGAATCCTGTTATGCTTGAAACCACAAAGCCTTTTCCTTATTGTCAGCAATGTTTGAGTGTCTGTGTTATTTTTTAAAATATCACCTTCACTCAGGTTGCAAAATTGAGTCAAAGCAGAGACCGTTTTCCCTCATTTTTGTATGTAAGAAGCTAAGCACCAGTGGGACTTATAGAGCTCCTTCAACTAGAAAACTTGGGAATTTGAGACCAGTGTCTGCAGTTCTTCTCAGCCTCTAACAGAGCTCCTTTCCCCTACTCAGATCTGAGTCTCCCTCAAATGGTATGCCCATTGTCTCAGCAAAATGCCAGCCAGGTAGCAACATGTGGCCTAATGTAGTAATCAAACTCTTTTGTTTCATCAGTATTTTTTTGTTTTATCCATAATTTCAAGGACTTCCAGACTTAGCCACCTTTATTCATGGAACCCCTTGGGGACCCATTATTAAGTTATAATATCATAGTCTAAGTAATAAGCCTACCAACTAGAACACAAATAAGTCGACAGATTCACTCCAGTCATAGGAAAAATTAATCCTTAAGAAATACCTACTGAATGCTCAGGTAAGGGCTCGGTATATCTGAATCTTACCTGGATGTGTCTTGCAGGTTTATTGAACTGTGTATAAGGTGCTGATCTATTTGGTAGTAGTTATTATTGTATGTTCTCTTACAAAAACAGAAAATTTCTCATAAATAGTAATAGTCATGGCATTACTAACAGAGTCCCCCACGTACTTGAAGGTAATATTGATTTTCTGGACATGAAGGTTTGAACTTCCAGTCATTTGGGGCTTAGTTTTGTATTGAAAACATTGATTTACTCCAGAACATACATCCTCTGGTGCATCCCCACATTGTAACTGAACTCTCTAAGATTTTGATAATTTATCAAACTATATATTAAATGGGCAAAACCTACAAATGCATTTATAATCATCACCTCTAATCCATAGCTAACATTAATCAAAAAATTACTGCTTGTAAGGAAATCTGATGTTATTAAATAAACCATAATATTTATTTAATCTTAATCTCAGGTGATCATGTCTGTTATACTATTCAGTTATACATAAATAAGCACAGGCCCTGAGTGGTTAAGGAATTTACCTGAAATTACCCAATTAGGAAAAGTAGGAGCCCAGATACTAATCAAATTCTCCCTGTTTTGGAAGTTTACGAAGCCCTCTACAGTCAAAATCATCATTCCTTTCTTGCACATGGGAAGTTTAAGGCTCCCCTGGGGAAAGCAGGTTAGTCCAGTCATAACCTGAGTCAAACCCAAAATGTGTGCCCACCTGCCTTGCCTCCCTGTTCTTTATCTCACAGACAGCTTCTCCACTTACCTTCCACAATGTATGCAGTGAGAGAGCAGATGCCAAGGAGGGCCAGGATGAGAAGTCTCATGGCTGAGGTCCTGCTGAGCTGTGCAAGGAGAGTGAGGATCGGGCTCTTTGAGGACCTCTTTTATGCCTCCAGTGGTCAGTGCACTTCCTGTGGTGAGAGGGGGCTTTCGAGGTGGGTGTAGGATCATGGAAAGTCTTTGCAATACTGATGCTTTTATTTTTCTTAAAAAAAAAAAAAAAAAAAGTCCCTTTCCCTGTTCATACTAACCTAACGCCTTGTGGCCTTTACCCCTTTGTCTGTGGTTAATGTGTCAATTAAACCAAATGCATGCATAAAAGAAAACGTGGTTGTGTTGTCTCCTGCCACCAGCCTGAATTCAGATCTTCCACCGTAGACATGCCTGAAGGCTGTTCACTGCCATGGCCCACCACGGAAGCTGTAAAGGAAATGAGGTGGGGTGGTCACTGTGTTCCATCCCACCTCATGTGACATCCAGTGTGACATGAGGCTTCCACAACCATGGATCATGAGTCCCTGATGCCACCCTTTGACTCTCTCAGGAGGGGAAGAGAGGCTGCTGCCACACTGAGCTTCTCGATCCTTTGCTTTCTTGGTTCTCATTTTTCTCCTCCACCTTCATTCAAGTCACCCCCCTTTCTTCACCCCATCTCCCCAGGTACCCAAGAAACAATTAAATAACTGTTTAAGCATGTCTACATGCATGTGTTTGCTTTATTACAACTTAACATACACATTTATAGAAGCTTTTGAAAAGCTGTGCTGTACCAACTTATTTCAAATTAAAAAAGAAATAAAATTATAATCTTACCATCTGACAGTTTTCATTTTCAATATTTTTCCAGTGAATCTGCATTGGCATACATGTGTTCTCATAATTGTGGTAATTTTAAATGCTGTTTTAACACCAACTTAAATATCTTCCCATTTTTTAGCGTTCATATTTCTACTTCAAGTAAATATATACACATACACATTAAACCATTTTCTTATAACTTATTATAAAGATCAGAACTGTAAGGTCAATTTCATTAATACACACCGAATTATTTCCCTTTAATAACCAGGAGTAGGATTACTGGGTAAAATGATATGATCATCTTTACAGCTCTTATTATATATTGCCATATAGTCTCCCCAAAATATAATTTTAGTTTGCAATGCTCCCAGTAGAATTTAAACATACTGATTGCAATGGAACTTTTCTGCCACTGAATTTGTTGTATGGTGGTTGTTCTTTATGTTATATAGGTATCTATAAAATGTATTTATTAAATACATGTGTAGTTAAAGGTCCATTGCTATGAGGAATATGAAAATAAATTCCTATGTTTTGATAAAAAGTATAGGTTAACCTCTAAGAGACTTCCCACTAATCGCATTTGATTTTTCACCCAGACTTCATTCTAAACTTCAAACTGGCTCTTTAATGATCTCTACCTTACTGCACAATCACTCCTTGAACACTGGACACATCTTCTATTCAAACTGCTTCTCCTCATATTAGTCCTTAGCATGGAGCAATGTGTTCTCTTCCATCTAATTTCCAAATACTGATATATAGGGATCATGTTAGACTCATTGCTATCCACCCACGTGTCTTTCTCAACCAAACTGGACTAAGTATACCTTCTAAGTAGTTCTTTGAGATGTGTCCTCCTTTCTTCCCACACTGCTCAAATCATAGGCCAATTGCAGTGGACTAACTGGTTTCCCAGACCAGGGCCTCCTCTCAGTCTGTTCTCTGCAGCTTTGCCAGGGTAATCACTGTAAAGCCTCAATCTAATCATGCCATTTCCCTACTGAGAACCTCTTTACTAATTCCAATGCCTATGGGATGTATTTCTAATCTTTCACTGTGATATATAAGAATGCTCAAGATCTAGTACTGCTTTCCTTTCAGACTCACCTTCCACCATTCACTCACACACTCCCAAACCTTAACAAACACATACATGTGCAGCCAACCCAATGGGCCAGCCTCTTTTATGCTCCTCACATGTTTCCTTTAACTGGAATACCCATGACAGCTCCCTACATAGTTACTTGTAAACTCCTCCTCTCTGTATAAGTTTTCCTGAATTTTTTTGATAAAATTAAGTTGTGCCACCCCTTTATGCTCTCTTAGAACTTTGTTCTGTTCTCATGGCTGTTCTGCAACGAATCTCATGGTGTTCTCCTACTCAATTACATTCCTGCGTCTCCCACTAGATGGCAGACTCTTTGAGAGTAGGAGATTCCCTTGTTATCTCTGGATCCCCGGCACTTGCAGAAAGCCTGGTATGTAATAATTGCTCAACAATTAGTTTTTAAGTAAAACAATTTTTTTAAAACGCCAAAATTACAATGATTGTGCATTAAGTGAAAGATGACCATCTAAAAACATAAAGCCATGCTTCATGACATTGGGCTAAGCAAATAAAGGAAACAAAGGCAAAAACAGACAAATAGAATTACGTCTAACTAAAAAGCTTCTGCACAGCCAAGGGAATAATCAACAGAGGTAGAAGACAACTTATGAAATGGGAGAAAATATTTACAAACTATACATCTGATAAGGAATTAATATGCAAAATATATAAAGAACTCAAGCAATCATTAGCAAGAAAACAACACAATTTAAAAATGGGTAAAAGACTTGAATAGACATTTCTCAAAATAAAACACACAAATAGCAATCAGGTATATGAAAAAATGTCCAACATCATTAATCATCAGGGAAATGTAAATTTTTTAAAAAAATATAATGAGGTATCACCCTACACCTGTTAGGATGGCTGTGATAGAAAAGACAAACGATAGCAAGTGTTGTCAAGGATATGGAAAAGAGGGAACTCTTGCACACTGTTGGCAGGAATCTAAATTAGTATAGACAGTATGGAAAACAGTAGAGTTTCCTCAAGAAATTACAAATAGAACTACCATATGATCCAGCAATCACACTACTGGGTATATGTTCAAAGGAAATGAAATCACTGTATCAAAGAGATATGTGCACTCCCATGTTTATTGCAACATTATTCATAATAGCCAAGATATCAAATCAACCTAAATAGATAAAGAAAATGTGGTACATATACACAATGGAGTACTAGTCAGCCAAAAAAAAGGGAGGAAATACTGTCATTTGCCAAAACGTGGATGAACCTGGAAAACATTATTTTAAGTGAAATAAGCCAGGTGCAGACAGATACTGCATGATCCCACTCACATGTGGAATCTAAACAAGTTGATTCCATAGAAATACAAAGTAGAATGGTGGTTACCAGGGGTTGGGGCGGTTGAGAAGCGTGGGGTGGGGTTGGGGATATGTTGGTCAAAGAATACAAAATTTTAGTTAGATAGAAGGAATAATTTCAAGAGATCTATTATACAACGTTGTGGCTGTAATTAAAAATATATTGTATTCTTGAAAAATGCTAGAGTGAATGTATTCTCCTCACAAAAAATGATAGCTATGTGAGGTAATGCATATATTGATTAGTTAGGTTTAGTCATTCGACAATGTATATATACTTTGAAACATCATCTTTTACACAATAAATACATACAATTTTACCTGTCAATTTTTTAAAATAAAATAAATAATAAAAAGAAGTAAAAAATAAAGGTGTGAACTCAGGAGATTGTGCCTGAGGCTTTCTCATGTTTTCAATGAAATCGACAATTTGACTAGTGGCTGAATTTTTATTTAGCATACTGACATGGAATTTGTTAAACTCTCAGAATGAATTGTTCACTTTCAGTTTGTCAAAGCATGCACTAGAATGTCATTTGGGGAAGATTTAAATAACAGACAAGAAAGTAGAAACCTAGCGCAAAGTGGGCATGACTTGCTAATGGGTGGACATTGGTTGACAACAATCAGTTGAGGCATACTTGTCATAATGAATATTTTTATCTTTGACTCTTCTCTTTCTCATGGATATTACACCCAATCAGCAAATACTGCAGGCTCTCTATCTTCAAATAGAACCTAAACACTTCTCACTACCCCCAAACCACCCTATGCCAAGCCACCATCACCTCTCACTTGGATTAGTCGAGTCATGCAGTAGCCTCCTAACTGTTCTTTCTGCTTCCATCTTTGCCTTAATTGACCACATCGACCAAGGTGACCATTAGAAAATGTCATTTCTTTCCTCAAAATCCTTCGATGGCTCTCCATTCTTAGGAGATAAATTCAAAGTCTTTGCAAGGGATTACAAGTGCCTATGCCCTGTGCTCTTCTCTCTCATTCACTCTCTGACATCCTCCCCTGCTGTTCTCTACGCCTCTTACATCAACACAACACGCGGCCACCTTGTTTCTCAGACATGTCAATTTTGCTCCTGACTCCAAGCCTTTGCATTTACTGTTTCCTCTGCCTAATACTCTCTTCCCTCAGATGTCAGCATGACTGATACCCTCACCTCCTTCAATTCTTCACTCAAATGCTGCTCATTGTGGCTTTTCCTGATCACCCAATTTAAAACTTTGTACACATGCCCATTCTGGTATCATTTGATCTATTTTTGCTGTTCTATTCTCATTCAGAACTCCCAACACCTTCAAACATAGCAGCAATTTACTTGCTGATTTTTTTTGTCTGTCTTTTTCCAGGAATTCCTTATCTTTTTCACTGCTGTTTCTTCAGAATCCTGTACAATGCCTGGCATAAAGGAGCTGCTTAATTTATATATCCAGAATAAATACAAGTATATCTGGTGTGTACGTGCAGGAGTGTATAAGCAAGCATATGCATGTGCAAACATCAACATTTATGCCTGCAAACTCTAGTGCTCTGGAATATTGACACTGCTCATGCATGTGTGACCACACAGTGGAATGGGAAAATCCATTTTTGAAGGAAAGCATTCATTGTTGAGGGAAGAAGACAGAAGCATAAGGGGTACAAGTAAAGGAAACTCAACGTTTTCTCTTTCTTATGACTTTCTGGTCTGAATATCTTAATTCATCTGACAAGTTATTTTGCATTTTATCACACATAATATGCAATCCATATAAAGATTTCTTCTTCTATAAAACATGTTTGCATAATTTTCCAATTTTTCTATTAGGCAATTTTTCTTTTTCTTATTGGTATGTAACGAATCTTTATATGTTCATCTTACTAATTATTTGTCATAGGTGTTGCAATATTTTCTCAGTTTATAGTATGTCTTTCACTACATTTATGATGTATTTGATGAACAAAAATATATAGTTTTAAGATAGTTTATCACTATTTTATTTTATGGTTAATGCTTTTTATGCCTTAATAAATTCTTCTTTTCTCCAAAGTCAGAAAGAGATTTACCTCTATTTTCTACTAAAAATTTTAAAGTCTTGCGTTTGACATTTAAATTTTCAATTTTTCTGGTGTTCATTTCTATATGGACTATGAGAAAGGGATCCAAAGGCTTTTTTTCTTTATACATCCAACATTTCTAGCTCCGGTTTTTGAATAATTCTACCTTTGCCTACACTACTTTTCATATATGAAGCCCCCACATATATATGCATCCATTTCAGAGTCTATATTCTGCTCCACTGGTCCATCTGTCCATCCTTCACTAACACCGTTCTACCTTCATTACCTAAGTAATTACTTATAACTTAACTTTAGTTTTTAGTAAGGCAAGCCCTCTTCTTCTTTTTCTTCAGAAGTATCTTGCCTGAAGCTCACTAGTAATTTTTCAAACAAAAGTCAAGACCGCAGTGTGACCCCATTTTCTTCCCATTCAAAATGGTCAAAATTAAGAACTCTGATACTAGTACTTTGCAAGGATGTGAAGCAGCATATATTATTCATGGCTTTGGAAATTGGTATAACACTTTGAAAAGCAGTTTGGCATTGTCATGTAAAGCTGAGCATTTGCATAACATGAAGTTCCGGAAATCCTGCTCCTAGATATATACTTAGAGAATTTCAGAGGAAAGGAGCATTAAACGTAAATTACTTGGAATGTTCAAGTGCCTAAGTTGTAGGTAGGTTTATAGTGGCATATTATACAAAGTAATTAACTGAGTAGAAAAAGGTCACCTGTAGACTAATGAAGATAATGTGTAATTGCATCATTCAGATTAGAATAACAAAAAAATCAATGTAGATATTCCTAATCGGTTGTCTGTCTTGAACGCTCTCCTCCAGAAAGTGACACAGGAATTTAGGCTGCTTTCACCTCTGAATAATACCATCTCCTAAAGCCTGGAAGTCCTTTTCTTCCAGCTGCAGGATGAAGAATGAGAGAGAGCATGGCACACCTCCTCTTATCTAGAAGTGACATGTATTCTTTGGTCTCACATGACGGCTGAGAACCAGTTATCTGGTCCATCTAAGAAACAAGGACAGAGTGGGAGAATAGAGAATGGAGTTCCATCTGGGAAGTGTAATCTGGATCAGTGCTTGAAACAAAGAGCAGTTGAGGTCTAGCACGACCTGTCATAGCAATAAGATTATGATTAATCTGATGGTGCGCCTGAGGTTCAAGTTTCTAAAGGATAAAAATAAAGCAAGATTACTCTGATTATTATTTTCTTTGAAACGTGCCCACAGTACATCTCTTGAATTGTACATCTTTTTTCCCTAAATTAAAATAGCGTTCTTGTATTTTCTCTTAGAAAAACAGTATGATTACTGTAAATAAAATCCAGACACTCTAGAAAAGTTTTTGTTTTTGTTTTTGTTTTGAGATGGAGTCTCGCTCTGTCCCCCAGGCTGGAGTGCAGTGGAGCCATCTCAGCTCACTGCAAGCTCCGCCTCCCGGGTTCATGCCATTCTCCTGCCTCAGCCTCTGGAGTATCTGGGACTACAGGCGCCCGCCACCACGCCCCGCTAATTTTTTGTATTTTTAGTAGAGACGGGGTTTCACCGTGTTAGCCAGGATGGTCTTGATCTCCTGACCTCGTGATCTGCCCATTTCGGCCTCCCAAAGTGCTGGGATTACAGGCGTGAGCCAACGCGTCCGTCCAGAAAAGGTTTTTAAGAAAGTACAATTCACCCAAAGTCCACTACCCAGAGAAAACCACTTAACCATAATAGATGGGCCTTCTTCCAAACAGATCTCTAGGTAAATATGCCTATGTATATCATTTCACAATCTTTCTACAGCATTCAATGGCTGGAGATTTATTGTACATTTGGAATGTGTGAAGCTTTATGCTAAGTACAAAAGGGCATTAACCCATTTATTTAATCCTTAAAGCAATATAATGAAATAAGTAGAATTATTCTCTACATTTTATAGATGAGAAAATTGAAACTTAAAGAGCTTAAGAAATTCACTAAAAATCACAAAGCTTGGTGATGATAAAGATTCAAATTCCAGTCTACCAGACTCCAAGCCCAAGCTATTACACAGTGCCCTATACTGTCAGATATTTTGATACACCACTAATACCCTCTTGATGGGTCCTTAAATTATTTCCCTTTTTATTCAACCATGGACTACACAGCAATAAGAATATACATTTCTTTGAACTTTGCATATTTGCTTATACATCTCTTTAGCATAAGCTCCCTCCAGGAAGCTTCCTGAAGAGTCTCTTACTTTTGTACCTACTGCTTTCTTTAAAAGGTATACAAAGGTTAAATGTATGAAAATTAAGCTGGCTGGAAGATTGATACCATATCAGATAGCTCTCAATTGCTTGTCCACTGCAACATAAGTGCTACAGTAGCTTGATCAATTATTTGAAATGGAATTTGACTCTGATGATTCTGGAGTGAATAAGGCATATACTCCTCATTCTCAGGCATTAATATTGGACTTTGGTTAATACATTGATGATAGACTGTCACTCTGCAAAACAGAGAAGGCACCTAAGGAAATGCACAGTGAAGCTAAGTTCTGAAGGAAGAACAGGGGGAGGGATGAATCTACCAGCATTTCCCAAAGTGTTTTATACCAAACATCTGTTCTGCCATCTGGGGAGAGAGGTCCATTTCTAATAAACTTGAGAAATATGGGGCATTACTAATTCATAGAGCATATCAGTATGTTAAAGCCTCTGAGAAGTCCTACAGTAAAATTTGGCTAATCCAACATTTCCCAAATATTTTTGACTATAGAACCATTTTTCATGGAAGACTTTAACCAACTGGAGATATATTTCACCCTAGGGAGGGTGATACTAAAAGGATCTTGTCTTGGAGGTGAGGTTTAAACACTAGGGTCTTCCCCTAGTGTTTAAGTCTTAAGCAAGAGACGTTGGAGATATTTTGATGGTGAATTCAATACAGGCAAAGACAGAGAACTTGATACTAAACAGAAATCCAGTTGGATTATACAGTTTTTAGTGGAATTCCAAAGCCTGGGGAAAAATTTTGGCTCTGTGGTACTTTTATTCATGATTACTATTCTGCTTCTGCTTATTTTCCAGTACCAGGGAATGTGTAATTGGACCTCTTCTTTTTCTCACAGTTTAAAAAACTCATCTAGCCCTAGTCTTACTCGATAACCACTTAAAACAATAACTGATGCTATTTACTCCAGAAATTGCTAATAATGAATGACCTAACTTTTACATAATTTCTTTTTATTTTTATATGAGATACTATGCAAAGAGAATTAATAGTTTTCTCCAAAAAAATCAAGAATTGTATAGAAAAACAATTAAATAGGTATTTTATTGCCATGGACTTCAAGTAATGGGTCAAATCTGTAAAATTATATTTAATAACTTGAGTCACTGCATTTGTTTAAATTAGTGAATTCAAATGAAATATGCTAGATAGGTATTACTAGGTTGTTGCAAAAGTAATTGCAGTTTTTGCCACTGGTAATTAATTCTAATGGCAAAAACTGCAATTACGTTTGCATCAACCTATATCTATACCTGACAAATATTATGTATAATAACTTCATATTAATAGCACAGCACAAGAATCAACACACTGTATCTGCCTTCTGTTTTTGTAAATAAAGTTTTATTAGAACACGGCAATGCCTATTTGCTTACATATTGGCTATGGTTGTTTGTACACGGCAACAGCAAAGTGGATTTGTTGCATGGTCATCAAAGCTTAAAATATCTGCCATCTGGCCCTTCACAGAAAATGTTTGCTGACCTCTGGGTCAGACCCTGATTCATATTTATTAAAATGTTGTGTTCAATGGGATATCAACCACGTAAAGTAAGTAGAGATGAAAAAAAACCTAAAGTACACCAAAACATTAACAATGAAAAATTCCACCAGGAAGTTACCAAGTTCATGGCCAAGCTGGGAAAGTAAGAATAGCTTCTCACATTTCATGCCCTTGTATCATTTATTAGCTATTTTATTTACTTATTTCTTTTTAGTGAAAGTATGTGGTATTAGCATGCAGTACTTTCTCATCAGGTGGGTTTATAGTCTCCTTCATTTTTTAATAAAAGATACACAGCCACCAAAAATCTCAAAAAAATTTCTAAAAATATCTGTGGTTATCAAAAGGTTAAAAACCACTGCCCTGCACTATATAGCATATATTACTCAGGGCCAGGAACCCACAAGCCCAACAGAGGAAGTGTTGCAAGTTGACCACTACTCAGAAATTGCTTATAAATAGTTTTGGTTACATTGCTCATTGATAACAGATCAATGGTGAATCTAAACAGAACAGGTGATTGAGTCAAAGTAACCAACTCTCCAAGGAAGGTTAGGTTGGGAAGAAAAAAGACACCAGTCTCTATGACGGCAAACCAACCACTCTTTCAGGGAGCTAAAACTAGTAAGCAGAAGAGTATTTTTTCAGACGACTGCCACTTGTGCCATAAAGTGTACTAGAAACAAAACCCTCTGTGGTACAGAATCCAAAGCATTTATGGATTTCCTAAGTTGGACATTGGCCAGACTAAATCTGCCTACCAAAGATAGATGTACCAGCCAGAAACTGAAGTCCAGTGTCAGTGGTCAAAAGCCATCCTAAGGAGTCTTTCCTTGAGAAGCCACCTATGGTAGTGGGGACGATGAACTGTAAAACCAGATTAACCAGGATCTTTGTGGGCTCAAGGGATCCACTCACCTCAGTCTCCCAAAGTGCTGGTATTACAGGCATGAGCCACCACATCTGGCCTATTTTATTATTATAAATAACAATGAATGATTTTTATGGAATCAGCCAGGTCTATTATTCTCTGCTCTCCCATACTTGGCCTCCTCCCTATATCTGAAATATCAGGAGGAAGAAGCATGCACATCACTGCACATGATTGATATCAAGCTGGAAGACATTTTCATCTTCCCAATGAAAAGATCAGTCACACATACAAAACCTTTTTATGGTAGAATAAGAGGGCATGGAGTGCTGTGCATTACCTAATTTTCAGATTAACTAAAATTATTTTTTATTTCAACCTTTATTGAAAATGTTCCCATTTTTTTTCTGGTAGAGCAGAATAGAAAAATAAATTCTTGATGACAGAGGCTTACTTAGTTTTAGTGCCTCAGCCAGTAATCTATTGCACAGAACCTAGAAGAATTCTTAAAGTACAAGCATTACCTTAAAGGGTATATGATATTGAATTGAATCTGAATGGAGCTTCAGAGTTGATTCTGGAAGCAAATTAATCAAGTATTGCCTTATCAGAAGTCTGCTCTCGTTGCTTCGTATAAAATAGCAGCTCCTCCCCATTCCCATAGTTTCTTGCAACCTGCTTTATTGTAATTTATAGCTCTTATCATCACCACTTGACATTTTTATATACTGTGTATTGTGGTTTTCCCCCTACAGAATACAATATCCGTGAGAATTGAGACTCTGTTGTATTACTGAACCCTCAGCGCTTATAATGTAGGAACTCAAGAAATATTTATTGATTGAATAAATAAATATAAACTAATTGTCTTGTCATTGTCTTCTTTCCTACAAGAACTAAAAGCAGAAGCTCTGCTCAATTTAACTTGGAGCTAGCTACTTTATACTGATATTATCCTAGTATGGCAAATAATACAAGGAAAAAAGATCAAAAGATATAGTGGCTAGAATAGACCTGAGAAATTATGCAGTCTTTTTATGACGGGAAAACAAATTAGAGTGATGGGCAATGTCACAGAACAAACTTCTGTTCCGACACATCCCTTAGCAAGGCTCAGTGAGAGTCAGAAGACCACTACAAACAAAAATAAAATATGCTGTATATCAGGGAGAAAGATTAATACATTTCTTTGCTTGCTTTTCCATCTATGCAAGACACAGCTCATTCTGGAAAAGGGTGAAGTGAAGGATTCATGTGGTGAATTCAGGCTTGCACCCGAGTCCTCCCTCCATCCTCCTCAGAGGCTCCTCTTCTGCTGATCCTCTCTGCACCTCAGTGCATTTGGCCAGTACAGACCTTAAAGTAAGATGAATTATAACCCTCAGCGCCACCTGAGAAATCCACACAATTCAATCACATCTACTTCCTGCTATTCTGTAAATGGCATTACTTGAGCAACGTTTTAAAAATTCGAAATGTTAATCACCATCTTCCTTTAAAGAATTGTGTTGAATACCCACAATTTCATCATATGGTATTTTAATATCTTTAATAATAAGCCATAGATGTAAAGCTGTAGTCATACCAACTTCTCTCTAATACCTGGAAAAATTTTATATTCTCCTTAGCTGCTTAGGCTTTTACAACTCACCTTTCCCTTCTCTTTATTATTTGTGTGTGTGTGTGATCCTTAATTGTTTTTGTCTGTTTTATTGTGGTAAGAACACTTAACATGAGACCTACCCTCTTAAATTTTGAAGTACAAAATACAGTATTGTTAACTATATCTAGGCACAATGTTTTATGGCAGGTCTCTAGAACTTACTCATGTTACATACCTGATACTTTTTTTAAAACTTTTTTATTTCCATAAGTTTTGGAGGAACAGGAGGTATTTGGTTACATTAGTAAGTTCTTTGGTGGTTATTTGTGAGATTTTGGTGAGCCCATCACCCAAGCAGTATACACTGAACCCAATTTGCAGTCTTTTACTCCTCACCCAGCTCCTAGCCTTCCCCTGAGCCCCCAAAGACCATTGTATCATTCTTATGCCTTTGAATCTTCATAGCTTAGCTCCCATTTTTGGTGAGAACATATGATGCTTGGTTTTCCATTCCTGGGTTAGTTCACTTGGAATAACAGTCTCCAGTTCCATCCAGGTTGCTGCAAATGCCATTAATTCATTCCTTTTTATGGCTGAGTAGTATTCCATTGTACATACATATCACAATTTCTTTATCTACTTGTTGATTGATGAGCATTTGGGCTGGTTCCATATTCGTATAATGATTTCTTTTCCTCTGGGTGGACACCCAGTAGTGGGATTGCTGGATCAAATGGTAGTTCTACTTTTAGTTCTTTAAGGAATCCCCACACTGTTTTCCACAGTGGATGTACTAGTTTACATTCCCACCAGCAGTGTAGAAGTGTTCTCTTTTTAATACATCCATGCCAACATCTATTCTTATTTGATTTTTTGGTTATGGCCTTTCTTGCAGGAGTAAGGTGGTATCGCATTGTTCTGATTTGCATTTCCCTGATTATTAGTGATGTTGAGAATTTTTCATATGTTTCTTGGCCATTTGTATATCTTCTTTTGAGAACTGCCTATTCATGTCCTTAGCCCACTCTTTGATGGGATTTTTTTTTCTCGCTAATTCGTTTGAGTTCTTTGTAGATTCTAGATGTTGGTCCTTTGTTAGATATATAGATTGTGAAGATTTTCTCCCACTCCATGGGTTGTCTGTTTACTCTGCTGTTTCTTTTGCTGTGCAGAAGCTCTTTAGTTTAATGAAGTCCCGCCTATTTCTCATTGTTCTGTTGCATTTGCTTTTGGGTTCTTTGCCATGAAGTCTTTGCCTAAGCCAATGTCTAGAAGCATTTTTCCGATGTTATCTGCTAGAATTTTTATAGTTTCAGGTCTTCGATTTAAGTCCTTGATCCATCTTGAGTTGATTTTGTATAAGGTGAGAGATGAGGGTCCACTTTCATTCTCCTACATGTGGCTTGCCAATTATCCCAGCACCATTTGTTAAATAGGGTGTCCTGATGATATGACTGTATACTTAGAAAACCCTAAAGACTCCTGCAAAAAGCTCCTAGAACTGATAAATGAATTCAGCCAAGTTTCAGGATACAAAATTAATGTACACAAATCAGTAGCTCTGCTACACACCAACAGCAACCAAGCTGAGAATCAAATCAAAAACTCAACCCCTTTTACAATACCTGCAAAAATAAAATAAAATACTTAAGAACATACCTAATCGAGATGAAAGACCTCTACAAGGAAAACTACAAAACACTGCTGAAAGAAATCATAGATGACACAAACAAATGGAAACACATCCCATGCTCATGGATGTGTAGAATCAATATTGTGAAAATGACCATACTGCCAAAAGCAATCTACAAATTCAATGCAATTTCCATAAAAATACCACCATAATTTTTCACAGAACTAGAAAAAAAACAATCCTAAAATTCACATGGAACCAAAAAAGAGCCCGCATAGCCAAAACAAGACTAAACAAAAAGAACAAATCTGGAGGCATCACATTACCTGACTTCAAACTAGCCCATAGTCAGCAAAACAGCATGGTACTGGTATAAAAATAGGCACATAGACCAATGGAACAGGATAGAGAACCCAGAAATAAACCCAAATACTTACAACCAACTGATCTTCAATTAAGCAAACAAAAACATAGCTGAAACTTTATACCTGTTGAACAATGACTCTTCTTTCCTCTCCTGCTAAGACCCTGGCAACCACCATTCTACTCTCTGTTTCCGTGAGTTTGACCATTTTAGATACTTCCTGTTGGTGGAGTCATGCAGCATTTGTCCTTCTGTGTCCGCTTATTTTACTTAGCACAGTGTTCTCTAAGTTCATCTATACTGCTGCTTATGTTAAGATTTCATTCTTTTTTAAGTCTGGATAATATTCTATTGTACATAAATGCTACATTTTCTTTATTCATTCATCTATCAATGGACATTTAGGTTGTTCTCTATCTTGCCCATTGTAAATAATGCTGCAATGAACATGGGAATCCAACTATCTCTTCAAAATCCTGATTTCAATTCTTTTGGATACATACCCAAATGTGGGATTACTGAATCATGTGGTATTTCTATTTTTAATTTAAATTTTTAAATTTTTAATTTTTTGAGGAATCTTGTATTGTTTTCCATAACAGCTAAACAATTTTACATTTTAACCAACAGTGTACAAGGGTTCCAATTTCTTCACATCCTCGTCAGCACTCGTTATCTATTTTTTCTTGATCATAGACATCCTAACAGGTGTGACATGATACCATGATACCTCACTGTGGTTTTTATTTGAATTTCCCCAATGTTAATAATATTGATTGTCTTATTATACATCTATTAGTAATTTGTATATCTTCCTTTGAGAAATGTCTATTCAAGTCCTTTGCCCACTTTTAATAGCATGGGTTGGGATTTTTGGTTTTTCGAATTTCTTTTAATTTTGCTATTTATAGGACTTCCTCTTCTCTTTATGATCATGATTATTCTTACTTTGAGTCTCAACCAGAGTCTATAGTGATGATGACAGTTGCCACAACTGCATTGACCTCTACTCTCTCAGAGCCTGCCCTTTTTTATGTTCTTGTTCCTTCTCCTTTCTTTTTGTCTTTTATATTGTTCCTGCTGTAGAAATTTCCTTAATCTTTCTATCCTTATTTCCTATTAGAATCGCCAAGTCCATTAATGTCTGAGTTTATTGTAAAAGCCAAAGGTGAAATCATCCTTCAACTGATATAATAAGTTAATAATCCTAACGTTTAACAAAGTCTTTGAATATTTCTCCAGCATCTGTGTTTTTTTCAGAAACAGATAGCCAAAATAATCTTGTTAAAGGCAATTGCCTTTGTATAACAGACATGAAAGAAGTTTAATAAATATGTAAACTTTACTTATTTTGTGCTTAAAGTGTTAGTGGGGGAAAATGCTAACTCTTTTAATAAACAGTTCCTAGAAGTAAATGTATCAAAAGCAGTTGGAAAAATTTATAGGTGTACTTAAGGCATTTCTGCAAGGATCCCCACTCCTACCCCCAGAAAAAGTGAACATATAGAAATCAAAGAAAGCAAATAGCAAAATAGAGAAGACCTTAATTCCCTTCCAATGGAAAAAAAAAGTTAATCATTAGGCTTTTGTGCCTGTAATGGAATTAGTTATTGAAAAATATTAATGTAGAGTTTTTTTCTCTCTTTCTACATTAGTGTCTATGGTGGACATTTGCCACAATAGTGACTGTCTGGCTTCCGATGTGTATGGAAGTTCCCATATGATAGCCCTTTTCATCAAAGTAGAATCCAGAACTCCATTTTCAACTTACCCTTGGCATATGACGTAGACTGAACCAATTAAACCACCTCCACAAGCTTGGATTTGGAAGAGATCAAAGAGAAAGAAGACTCCACATGAAATTCATTTTTGGGGAAAGCTATATGGTTGTTGACAAGAGTCGTGGAGTTTGTTTGCTTGTTTGGTTTTTAACTAATAGACTTTATCTTTAAGAGCAGTTTAGGTCCACAGCAAAATTGAGCAAAAGTACAGAGATTTCCCATATACCCACTCAGCTCATATACACTCATAGCCTTACTCACTATCAGCATCCCTTACCAGAGTGGTGCATTTGTTACAACTGATTAAATGACATTGACACATTATTGTAACTCAAAGCCCCTAGTTTACATTAGGGCTCATTCTTGGGTTTTGACAAATGTATAATAACATGTATTACCCTCTTAGTATTGATACAGAATGGTTTCACTACCCTAAAAATCACCTGCACCTCACCTACTCCTCCTCCCTCTCTCCCACCAAGCCTCCAGTAACCGCTGATCTTTTTACTGCCTCCATAGTTTTGCCTATTCTGATTGCTTCTTTCACTTAGTAATATACCTTTAAGGTTCTTCCATGTTTTTTCATGGCTTGTTTCTTTTTGGCATTGAAAAATATTCAGTTGTGTGAATATACCACAGTTTATATATTTACCTATTGAAGAACATCTTGGTTGCTTCCAAATTTTGGCAATTATGAACAAAGCTGCTATAAATGTATGTATGTAGGTTTTTGTGTGGAGACAAGTTTTTCTGTGGACATAACTCTTTTGGGTAAATACCAAGGAACACAATTTATGAATCATATGACAAGACCATGTTTAGCTTTATGAGAAACTGCCAGACTGTCTTCCAAAGTGGCTGTGCCATTTTACATCCCCAGCAACAATGAATGAAAGTTCATGTTGCTCTACATCCTCATCAGCTTTTAGTGTTGTCAGTGTTTTAGATGTTATCCATTCTAATAGGTGTGGAGTGGTGGTTATTTTAATTTGCAGTTCCCTAATGAGGTATAATGTAGACTATCTTTTCATATGCTTATTTGTCATGTGTATATCTTCTTTGGTTAGGTGTCTGTTCAGATTTTTTACCCTGGTTGTTTAATCAGGTTGTTTGTTTTCTTATCGCTGAGCTTTAAGAGTTCCTTCTATATTTGGGGTAACAAGTCCTCTTTCAGATATATCTTTTGAAAATATTTCTCCCACTCTGTAGCTTACTTCTCATTCTCTTGACAGTGTCTTTCACAGAACAAAAATATTTAATTTTAATGAAGTCCAATGTATCAACTTTTCTTTCATGTATACAGTGCATTTGGTGACATATCTAAAGAACCATCTCCAAACCCAAACACATCTAGATTTTTTCCTATGTTATCTTCTAGGTGTTTAATAGTTTTGTATTTTACACTTAGGCCTATGATGCATTTTGAGTTCATTTTTGTAAGAGGTAAAAGATCTGTTTCTAAATTTATTTTATGTTGATGTCTTGTTTCAGAACCATTTGTTGAAAAGACTATTGAATTGCCTTTACTTATTTGTCAAAGACCAGTTGACCATATTTGTGTGGGTCAATTTCTGAGCTCTCTGTTTTGTTTGACCAATCTATTTGTCTGTTGTTTTACCAATACCGCACTGTCTTGATTGCTGTAGTCACTGAGTTTTCAGAAGTCACCATAGCAGGGGTCCTAGTGAGTATGACCCATGCAGTATCTCAAATTCAAGCTTGTGCCTCTGATGAGTGCTGTGCGGATACACCTGTAGACAAAATATGATTTGAGAATTATTCCTGATTAAAGCCTCTTTCATTGTTTGCAACTAAAAACTCAGACCGAAAGAATGATCTCTATAGACAGCATAGATATGCTTCTGATAGGAAGTTGCCAAATGTATTAAGTTCTTTATTACTCCTCTTGAAGCATTATGGAAATGAGAAAATAAATGGTAACTAAAGTCAAAAGAGCTAGGTCTAAGTCTTGGCTTTGCCAATGGCTAACTCTATAATGCTAGCAGTCAACCAGCTTTCCCAAATCTATATTTATTCTTCTGAAAATGGGGATAATTTCTGTCTCATTGGGTTATTTTGTAAAAGTAAGTGATATTAATCAAAAGAATTTAACAGATTATAGTGGGTTCTCAATTGATGCTTTTTACAGTTGCTCTCTGCTAAACATGGGTTGATCTTTTTATTCCAAAGTGCCTAAAAGACAAGGTAAGGCTCTCTATCTAATTGGATGTACGAGCTTAGGAACAATGGTTAACAATAGGGAAAATAATTAAATATTTTCAGGCAACACAGGGGTTTTAAGCATGAGTGAGCCAAATTTTTGAATAGTAGCAGCTCTATGACTTAAAAATAATAATTGTGTAATAGTATCATATCCAAACAAAAGAAGAAATTAGTATATCTTGTGGCCAAAGTGGATCCATAGAAGCTATATGTTTGAACTACATGTTGTTGAATTTCTTTTATCTGTTTCAGTTACTTGCAGATAGTTTCACTGAGGAAGTGGTATTACTAGAAACAAAGACAATTATTGGTCTATTTATTTCTGTGAAAAATAATTTTACTTTTTCCTCATTATATAAGCAATTTAATGATTATTAATTACATAAAAATATTTGAAAAACAGATAATCAAAAATGAAGTTGAAATCGTCTATAATTCTACTGTACAGAGATCATTATTGCCAGCATTTTGGTATTTACCTTTCCAGAATACTTCCTACCCATTTAGTTACAGATGGATAGATGTCAGATATAAGAATGAACTATATATACTGTTACTTACCCTATTTTCTTTTTACATGAAAAAATGAGCATATTCCAGGTCTGAAAATTGAACTATATCATTTTTAATGGCCATAAAGAATTCTCTTAAAAGCATGTAACAAAGTTTATTTAACTATACACCTATTGATAAACAGGTAATTTCCACAGTGGAAAGAAGGTATGAAAAAGACTACGAAGAATATCCTTTCCCATATATCTTTTTGCACTTCTCCAATCATTTATTTAGACAAATTCCAAGAAGTACGACTTCTGGGTTAAATAAATTGTATCTATTGGTTTTCATGAATGAGTATCATTATATAAACAGAATACAACTCAATAAAAAGGATTAAAAACAAGTCTGGGTTTGCTTTGTATAAAGTAGCACAAAATCATGGTAGAAATGACCCTACTAACAGCACTGGTACTATTGCTGAAGACTGGCTTACCCTAAAAGAACAGCAGGGATACTGTAGACAGAGTATGTGGAAGACAAATTATACCACTGCTGTTTTTTTTACAAGTTTCCATTCTCTCTCTCTCTCTCTTTCTCTCTCTCTGTCTTTCTCTCTCTTTCTGTCATGTATGCACACATAGACACACACACACACACACACACACACACACACACACACACACACACACACACTACCCTTAATGCATGGTCTTGCTGGTACGTACTTTGCTGAATGTTAGCTACATCACATTAAGGGAAGCCACAGTGAGTCTACGTGGTTTATTGAAAGTAACCAAAACTGCAGTGAAATTTCATCACCAATGGTGATGAATACTTTCAAAACCATTAGTCCTTACACTCCGACCACCATCAGACATTCCTCAGAGGCTAATCTTAGTCACATGTACCAAACTTTCTCCAGCCACTGCTTGTCCTTGGTAACATCAGTGATCAGGTAAGCCAGGTTCCTTGTCTTAGTTTATCTGCTCCCTCACATGTTTCCATAAGTTCTGATGCTAGGCTATGCAAGTAGAAGTTCAAAATGTCTGTTCAGTTTAAAGGTTTGCCTTTCAAAGGGGAAATTGGGAAAGACAAACAGGGAAAGAATTAGGGATACACCCTCATCTGGCATGCAGAAGATAAACATGGGGATTTCATAATTTGCTTTCACCATAAAGCCCTATACTTAAACTCTTTAAAACTGTAGCAGGCTTAAAATATAAAAGAAAGTATTTTTACCATTTTTACTGTTCATTGCCAATAATTGCTATGGAAAAGACCATACACTTAGAATCACCGTGGGAAATTACAAGGACAGAATTTCCTTTCCAAAGGCCCACGAAGAAGGATTTTTTTCAGTATCCCGTAAAAGGCTATATTTTTTATTTGAACATAGACTAAAGTTTTATGATAAGAAAATTTCTACAGACAGGTTTATGCCCAAGGAGAAAATATCCATGCACAATCACAGAACTCAAAAATGATTGGATTATTCCTGATAGCTCAAAGCAATGGTTGGAAAAGCTGAAAGTGTTTGGACCAAGGCAAAGAGCACCCCAGAAAGGCAGACTGCTCTTCAACTACTGGAAAGTGATTACTTGTCATTTATATGATCTACCAGATCAGTCTAGGATGAATGGGAGAAAACTACAGAGAAGAATGATCTAGCCAACAGACTAATCTCCTTTAGTAACTTCTCACACTAGGTGTTACATGGAAGCTAATGGCTTGCAGGAGAGGCCATGATGTGCAGCCATTTACCCAAGCAGTCAAAATCAGGAACTCTATGAAAGTTGTAGAACCAGATATGCAGTTTCAGACCTCAGAACACCCAATGTAAACTCTTTTAATTTAATGTGATTTTGTTTATGTGTGGAATATCTATCTCTAAGAGTAATCTGCTGTGGTTTAGAGCCCTGGCTCTGGAACCAAACTGCCATGTTCATTTCCATTTGATCACTTAGTGTGTGACCTCCTGCAAGCTACTTAATGCATTTAACCTCTCTGTGCCTCAGCTTCCTTATATATATAAAATGGAAATAATAAGAAACCAGATGAGGCTGCTGCAAAAATCAAATTAGTTAGCACATGCAAAATACTTAGAAGAGTTCCTGGCATGTATTAAACACTCAATATTTATTGGTTCATGTTATCAATATAGTGTTAATATTATGCAAAATCTTACGTATGTGAGAATGAAAGTTCTTAAAAGAATACTTTAGAGTAATGTTACTTGAGGAAAATTAGTAACTTAATTCAGTAAAGGGAGAACAAAACAATTTCTTTTGCTTAAATAACTGGACACCTGAATGGGAGTTTTTCCTGATTTACCAGGAAACTTAAACTTTTCATCTTTTGTGTTTGAGGTCTGGTTTTTGAAAACAAAATCCTAGCCAGGAAGAGTCTGTTCCTATATGATTTGTTTCTATTTGAAGAGGGAATGTGGAAGTGGAGTGTGGGACAGGAACCAGATCTGCAAAGCATATTTCTGTATCAAAATTGTATTGAATTCCTTTGAGGTCTCCTCCAACCAGGGTCTCCAGATAAAATACTGGATAACCTGGATTATCAAAAGGAAGCTCATAAATGCCATGGGCAGAGATGCACCCAGGCCCAGAGAACAATCTGAATGCAGGGTTGGAGCCTTTCAGAGACCCCAGGGGGCCTCACTCTCCATCTCACGTTCCCTCACAGCAGGATAGCTTTCTTTACCTCACAACAGAACATATGGGACATCACAGCCACCCTGGTTTCCATGTTCTCTGTTCAAAGTCCCAGCCAGACTGAAACTGGAATCTCTCAAGCCCCACTCAACATTCCTGGGGGACAGGGGTAAACATTTGTATAGGATGGTAGAAGGGGTAGTTTTCAGAAAATTGGAAGGAGAAACAAGCAGACAAACAATAGGTGTCTGACAAAAGTAACTTATCAAAGACCAAACAAACGCGCAAGCAAAAATGAAAACAAAACAAAGAGGATCAAGAGGGCACATTCTGAAACTCAAATTGAGATCATCAGATTCAGCAAGTAACAGACAGCCACTGTTAAAGCAAACTCCCCCTTTCCTTCTGTCAATAAAATTGAGGCAATGTGGAGATTTGTTTATTCCAGAAAGAATCAAAAGTGACAATACCTTTTCTGTAATGTTTTGAAGGGTGAGGGCAAGGAAGGGTGCAGGGGCAGAGTGGAGGTGGCCTCAAAAGCTTTAACCCTAAACCCAAGCTCTGATTTGCAGATACTTCACCCTAAAAGTTAATCCATGATTCCATCAAACTAGGCGAAATGGAAATAATTACTACATTTCTCACTTTGCTTAGAACTTCTAGTACTACTGGCTAAGTTTCATTGCTTCTTCCTCATTTATTAAGTCACTTCTAAGACACTGCTTTGTCATACTTCAGGGTCTTCTCACATGTTGTTTCCTCTGCCTGAATCACCCTTCCCCCAAGTCAAACCGTGGTTAGGATGGTCTACTCCATCTGTGAGTCCAGTTGCCCTGCCCGGGGTAATAAATGAGACTATTACTCAGTACCCAAGCCAGCAGCCCTTGAAGAAGTTGCCCCCTAGCCAAGTTAGGTCTTAATCATGACTTAAAATAGCTTGTCCCTAGCGCTAAATGGCATCTACTAAGCAGTTAGACATATTCTCATGCTGCAAGCTCCTTGTTGTTATTTACAGGAGATAATTGAGCATTCCTGCTTCTTCTTTGACCCCTTAGAAAAAAAATACAAAAAGAAAATTATCTCCTCTCTGCTCTCCTGAGCTAACAAGCACCTAGTTACCTTCTGGGAAATAATCCCATCTCCCCTCTTTCCTTTATTCAATGATGTAATCATCATTTTTGAATGACCACTGGATGCCAGGGATTATGCCAGTGGCAGGCTCAGAGGTATAGAAGACAATTCATTCCCATACTCAAAGATCTCCCAAGCTAAGTTTCCAGATGTTCAATGTCTTTTTCCCCTGCTTACATTCAGACCCACAAGAGGCAAGAGGCAATGTGTCTTTTCCAGAGCTCCCTCGTCACCCTCATTGCTTCCTCACTCTGGCCAGCCAAAGATCAAAATGATTTTAGGGGGTGGTGGGACCTGGCCCAGACTGAATCTTCCTCTGCTTGATGCCTGGCAGCAGAAAGGTTGGTGATTTCTCTGCTGTCAGTCAGGACAGAATGTCTGTGGTAGACCACCCTGAAGCTGAGGTTGGGAGCAGGCAGTGGAGCAGGTGAGAAATAATTTCTATTTTGAGAGCAGTGAGGGGAGGAGAGCTAAAGACAGAGGAGGAAGTCTCTGACCTGCGTCTTGGCCCCCAAGTTTCTCACCCTTTGCTGCTTTCTGACTTAAAATCTTACTCATTAAACTTTCCATGGGTGACTCTAAGGTTCTGAGCTGGAGATTCCCCTGGGTGTAGGACCACCAGTGTACCCACCTAACCAGCAGCCTGGAGAGGGGCCCATCTGCTTGGGATAGGCCATGAGAGAGAAATCGGTGGTCTGAGTGAGCTACTGTATGAGTGGAAAAGCTGACCTTTGCTCCATTCACCACCACATAAGGCTCACATTTTGACTCTCTCTTCATGAAACTTCCCCATCTGAGGCAGGGTTCCAGCATTTTAATTCAGTGTGTGCTCTGTGTACTGTATTCCGTGGGGTACATGTGGAAAAAGCAAACTATTGCCTCTGACACCCACATACTCACAATAGCTGCTGTTTCACATAGCCTTTGTGTAACACTGCTGTGGACACATGTCATAGCTCCATTCTACGAGAGAGGGTTCTTGTCACATTCTTGGTGTCAGGCTAGCTAAGACTTAAACTCTATCAAGTCCAAAGGTCAGGAGGGACATAAGAGCCAAACTGAGAGTTGAGGTCATGCGTCTGAATATTCATTGTATGCTGAGTTTCATCTTTTATATCATAGGCTGTGTAGGCAATTAAAATTGCTTTGCCACAAAATAATTCGCCAGGCATGGTGCTGTGTGTCTATAATTCCTGCTACTTGGGAAGCTAAGGCACGAGAATCACTTGAACCTGGGAGGCGGAGGTTGCAATGAGCCAAGATCGCGCCACTGCACTCCAGCCTGGGTGACAGAGTGAGACTCCATCTCAAAAAATAAGAAGAAATAATAAAAAATAAAATAAAATTGATTTGCCAATCATTGCTTCATATTTGACAACATTCACTCATATTTCATTCATTCATCCAAAAGATGCCTTATTGAGCATCTAACAATTCCATACCCAGTGACAGCACTGGGGACAGAGGGTGAGTCAAGAAAGCCGCTACAACATATAGTAATAATGCAGTATTTGAAAAAAGCAAAGAGTTTTGTGGGACCACAGAGAAGGGGCATCTCTCCCAGTGGGTAAGGGCAGGATGGAAGAGAAGGAATTACAGAGGATTGGTGACTCAGACAAGTCTTAAAGGATGAGTAGAGATTAGCCAGATAAAGGAGGAAGAAAGGGTGCCTCAGTATTCCCGGCAAAGGCGAAGTCTAATGACGTCGAGAGGATGAAGAAATCAAGTGCCTGGATAATAATGGGGCAAGCTGATTTGGTGTGAGCTCTAAGATAGCAAAGGTAGGAAGAAGCCAGACAGCAAAGGACTTCGCCTTGTAAACCAACACATGTGGATTTTAACCTCAATGTGTCTGGGGGACCTGAAGTCTGCTGGGGAGATTAAGCATTGTAGTAATGAATTTAAACAGTAGGTAAGAGAACTAGATGAGGCTGTTAGCCATTCAACTAAAATTAGAGCTCCAATCCGGCCTGTCTCCCTTTAGGGTCAGGCACATAATAGACTCTTGAAGAGGAATTGTTGACCTGTTATTTTCTATTTCAAGGCTCCGCTTCTTCTTTGGACACTCATGAAGCATGGACATTCTGTCATCCTACCAGGTACCTAAGAGGATGTCAAAAAAGAGCTCAGACTTCTGTGTTGTTTTCTGCATTTCTCCACTGGCCTCAGAGGACCTCTCCAAAATAATGAAGAGGGTGTTTTGAAGGATATGAAATCTTGAACTCTGGCCAAAAACACCAATACTTCAATGAGTAGATGCCAGTAAAGTGAATTGTTGTTAGACTCTCACCCAGCTGACAGAATTACTAATATAGGAGCATCAGATACTCCAAAGAGAGTTATTCAAGGAATCAGAAATAAAGTCTTAGCTGCACCACTGACCCACTGCATCATCTCAGACAAGTCACTTAAATGAGGACTCAATTTCCCCTCTAAAAAAATGGAAGAGATCATATAAATCCTGCCTACCAAATATGATTTCAAAATGAAATAAGACATGAGAAAGTGCTTTGTATGCAGTAAAATATTGTAGAGGGTAAATTGTTATTGTTGTTAGTGGCTCTGCAAGTATGTAGAGTCAGTTAAGGCTTCTCTTGCATGTTAAAATAATATGCCTCTGTTCTAATCTTCCCTTACAAGTACACTACTTTCTCTACCCACCTAGCAGGCAATAATGGGCAGCAATATCTGTAATGTTTGCAAAAGCATATGTGGTAAAATTTATATTAATACCAGAAAAATTATTATTTCTAATGAAGTTGTTTTTCTTGTGGTGAAAGTATGCATAGACTGAAGTTTCATACAGCTTTCAACAACTAGGAGGGGTGTGTGTTTTTGTCTCTATTTAAGGAGGAAAAAACTGAGGCCCAGAGATGTAGTGATTGCACGGGGTCATCACACAGTTGGTAAATAAGAGAGCTGTTTGTTTCCAAATATCTCCATTCCAGTAACAATTCAGCAAATACCCAGTTCTAGGAACAAAATGGGTACTCCATAAGTGACTGATTAAAATACGGTACGGTTAGGTAACACTAATGCTGTCATTTGTCAATATTTGAAAATTCTGGTGACTAAAGATTACAACAGTGCTGTGGCTAAGAATGATAAAAATTATTCCACTCGAAAGGATGAAAGAATTCTTTTTAAATGTATGTTTAGAAGGAACAATGGTAGGATAGGGTTCTAAGAAATCATTTATCTTTGTCTACATTTAGTTTAATTCATTTATGAAACAAATATTTATTGAGGTCTACAACATGTCAGCCATTATTTCTAAGAACCAGGGCTAAAAGAGTGAACAAAACAATCTAAATCTTTGAATTCATGGAGCAAACATTCTGATGGAAAGGAAAGTTAATCCACAGGATTATAAAAGTAAAATTTATTATACTTATGCAAGTATATTATAAACCAGGATGTTATTACACATTAAGGAGAAAAAAATAAAGGATGGAGGGGGAGGATGAGATATTGGGGAGGGGGTAATTGAGATTTTAGATAGGGTAGCTGGAAAACAGGCATCACTGAGAAGATGACTTTAGAGAAAAGAACTAGAGAGAATGGGGGAGTTAGCCACACAGCTATCTAGAGGAGGAGCACTCCAGGAATGCAAAGGAAACAGCAAGTTCAAAGGCCTTGAGGCAAAAATGTGCCAGATGTATTCAAGAAATAGTCAAGATGTCCAAAGTAGGTGGTTTGAGAAATCAAAGGAGAGGAGGGGTAAAAAATGAAGTCAGAGAGATGACGGGGAGCAAGGCCATTCTAGCTCTTATAGATTGTTGATAAGACTTTGGCTTTTGCTCTGAGTGAGAAATGAAGACATTGGGAAAATGTGTGAGGAGGTGTAATACAATCTGACCTATACTTCAACGGGTTTATCTGGCTGCTGTGCTAATAGTAGATTGCAGAGGGCTAAGATAGACACAGGAATACCACTTAGGAGGGTATTACCTCCTATTGAACCAGAGAGCTCAATAGGAAGGCTCAAACGCTGGTTTATTTTGAAGGTAGAACTGACATGATTTGCTGACAATCTGGGTATAGAATGTTAGACAATGAGGAGAGACCAAGGCTAGGATGAGATCAAGGCTTGGATGAGACCAAGGCTTTTGATGTGAGCACCTGGAAGAAAGGTGTTGCTATTTTTTTTTTAAATTATACTTTAAGTTCTAGGGTACATGTGCACAATGTGCAGGTTTGTTATATATGTATACACGTGCCATGTTGGTGTGCTGCACCCATTAACTTGTCATTTATATTAGGTATATCTACTAATGCTATCCCTCCCTCCTACCCCCACCACACGACAGGCCCTGGTGTGTGATGTTCCGCACCCTGTGTCCAAGTGTTCTCATTGTTCAATTCCCACCTATGAGTGAGAACACGCGGTGTTTGGTTTTCTGTCCTTGCGATAGTTTGCTGAGAATGATGGTTTCCACCTTCATCCATGTCCCTACAAAGGACATGAACTCATCATTTCTTATGGCTGCGTAGTATTCCATGGTGTATATGTGCCACATTTTCTTAATCCAGTCTATCATTGATGGACATTTGGGTTGGCTCCAAGTCTTTGCTATTGTGAATAGTGCCACAATAAACATACGTGTGAATGTGTCTTTTAGCAGCATGATTTATAATCCTTTGGGTATATACGCAGTAACGGGATAGCTGGGTCAAATGGTATTTCTAGTTCTAGATCCTTGAGAAATCGCCACACTGTCTTCCACAATGGTTGAACTAGTTTACAGTCCCACCAACAGTGTAAAAGTGTTCTTATTTCTCCACATCCTCTCCAGCACCCGTTGTTTCCTGACTTTTTAATGATCGCCATTCTAACTGGTGTGAGATGGTATCTCATTGTGGTTTTGATTTGCATTTCTCTGATGGCCAGTGATGATGAGCATTTTTTTGTGTGTCTGTTGGCTGCATAAATGTCTTCTTTTGAGAAGTGTCTGTTCATCTCCTTTGCCCACTTTGTGATGGGGCTGCTTGATTTTTTCTTGTAAATTTGTTTAAGTTCTTTGTAGATTCTGGATATTAGCCCTTTGTCAGATGGGTAGATTGTAAAAATTTTCTCCCATTCTGTAGGATGCCTGTTCACTCTGATGGTTCTTTTGCTGTGCAGAAGCTCTTTAGCTTACTTACATCCCATTTGTCTATTTTGGCTTTTGTTGTCATTGCTTTTGGAGTCTTAGTCATGAGGTCTTTGCCCATGCCTATGTCCTGAATGGTATTGCCTAGATTTTCTTCTAGGGTTTTTATGGTTTTAGGTCTAACATTTAAGTCTTTAATCCAACTTGAATTAATTTTTGTATAAGGTGGAAGGAAGGGATCCAGCTGCAGCTTTCTACATATGGCTAGCCAGTTTTCCCAGCACCATTTATTAAACAGGGAATCCTTTCCCCATTTCTTGTTTTTGTCAGGTTTGTCAAAGATCAGATGGTTGTAGATGTGTGGTATTATTTCTGAGGGTTCTGTTCTGTTCCACTGGTCTATATCTCTGTTTTGGTACCAGCGCCATGCTGTTTTGGTACCAACGCCATGCTGTTTTGGTTACTGTAGCATTGTAGTATAGTTTGAAGTCAGGGAGTGTGATGCCTCCAACTTTGTTCTTTTGGCTTCGGACTGTCTTGGCAATGCAGGCTGTTTTTTGGTTCCATATGAACTTTAAAGTAGTTTTTTCCAATTTTGTGAAGAAAGTCATTGGTAGCTTGATGGGGATGGCATTGAATCTGTAAATTACCTTGGGCAGTATGGCCATTTTCATGATATTGATTCTTCCTATCCATGAGCATGGAATGTTCTTCCATTTGTTTGTATCCTCTTTTATTTCATTGAGCAGTGGTTTGTAGTTCTCCTGGAAGAGGTCCTTCACATCCCTTGTAAGTTGGATTCCTAGGTATTTTATTCTCTTTGAAGCAATCGTGAATGAGAGTTCACTCATGATTTGGTTTTCTGTTAGTCTGTTATTGGTGTAGAGGAATGCTTGTGATTTTTTGCACATTGATTTTGTATCCTGAGACTTTGCTGAAGTTGCTTATCAACTTAAGGAGATTTTGGGCTGAGACAATGGGGTTTTCTAGATATACAAGCATGTCATCTGCAAACAGGGACAATTTGATTTCCTCTTTTCCTAATTGAATACCCTTTATTTCTTTCTCCAGCCTGATTGCCCGGCCAGAACTTCTAACACTATGTTGAATAGGAGTGGTGAGAGAGGGCATCCCTGTTTTGTGCCAGTTTTCAAAGGGAATGCTTCCAGTTTTTACCCATTCAGGATGATATCGGCTATGGGTTTGTCATAAATAGCTCTGATTATTTTGAGATACATCCCATCAATACCTAGTTTATTGAGAGTTTTTAGCATGAAGTGCTGTTGAATTTTGTCGAAGGTCTTTTCTGCCTCTATTGAGATAATCATGTGGTTTTTTTCTTTGGTTCTGTTTATATGCTGGATTACTTTTATTGATTTGCGTGTGTTGAACCAGGCTTGCATCCCAGGGATGAAACCAGTTTGATTGTGGTGGATAAGCTTTTTGATGTGCTGCTAGATTCAGTTTGCCAGTATTTTGTTGAGGATTTTTGCATCGATGTTCATCAGGGATATTGGTCTAAAATTCTCTTGTTTGTTGTGTCTGTGCCAGGCTTTGGTATCAGGATGATGCTGGCCTCATAAGATGAGTTAGGAAGGATTCCCTCTTTTTCTATTGATTGGAATAGTTTCAGAAAGAATGGTACCAGCTCCTCCTTCTACCTCTGGTAGAATTCAGCTGTGAATCCCTCTGGTCCTGGACTTTTTTTGATTGGTAGGCTATTGATTATTGCCTTAATTTCAGAGCCTATTATTGGTCTATTCAGGGATTCAACTTCTTCCTGGTTTAGTCTTGGGAGGGTGTATGTGTCAAGGAATTTATCCATTTCTTCTAGATTTTCTAGTTTATTTGCATAGAGGTGTTTATATTATTACCTGATGGTAGTTTGTATTTCTGTGGGATCAGTGGTGATATCCCCTTTATCATTTTTTATTGCATCTATTTGATTCTTCTCTCTTTTCTTCTTTATTGGTCTTGCTAGCAGTCTATCAGTTTTGTTGATCTTTTCAAAAAAACAGCTCCTGGATTCATTGATTTTTGAAGGGTTTTTTATGTCTCTATCTCCTTCAGTTCTGCCCTGATCTTGTTATTTCTTGCCTTCTGCTAACATTTGAATGTGTTTGCTCTTGCTTCTCTATTTCTTTTAATTGTGATGTTAGGGGGTCAATTTTAGATCTTTCCTGCTTTCTCTTGTGGGCATTTAGTGTTATCAATTTCCCTATACACACTTTTTTAAATGTGTCCCAGAGATTCTGGTATGTTGTTTCTTTGTTCTCATTGGTTTCAAAGAACATCTTTATTTCTGCCTTCATTTCGTTATGTACCCAGTAGTCATTCAGGAGCAGGTTGTTCAGTTTCCATGTAGTTGAGCGGTTTTGAGTGAGTTTCTTAATCCTGAGTTCTAGTTTGATTGCACTGTGGTCTGAGAGACAGTTTGTTATAATTTCTATTCTTTTACATTTGCTGAGGAGTGCTTTACTTCCAATTATGTGGTCAATTTTGGAATAAGTGCGATGTGGTGCTGAGAGGAATGTATATTCTGCTGATTTAGGGTGGAGGGTTCTGTAAATATCTATTAGGTCCACTTGGTGTAGAGCTGAGTTCAATTCCTGGATATCCTTATTAACTTTCTGTCTCGTTGATCTGTCTAATGTTGACAGTGGGGTGTTAAAGTCTCCCATTATTATTGTGTGGGAGTCTAAATCTCCTTGTAGGTCTCTGAGGACTTGCTTTTTGAATCTGTGTGCTCCTGGATTGGGGGCATATATATTTAGGATAGTTAGCTCTTCTTGTTGAATTGATCCCTTTACCATTATGTAATGGCCTTCTTTGTCTCTTTTGATCCTTGTGGGTTTAAAGTCTGTTTTATCAGAGACTAGGATTGCAACCCCTGCTTTTTTTTGTTTTCCATTTGCTTGGTAGATCTTCCTCCATCCTTTACTTTGATCCTATGTGTGTCTCCGCATGTGAGATGGGTCTCCTGAATACAGCACACTGACGGGTCTTGACTCTTTATCCAATTTGCCAGTCTGTGTCTTTTAATTGGAGCATTATGCCATTTACATTTAAGGTTAATATTGTTATGTGTGAATTTGATACTGTCATTATGACGTTAGCTGGTTATTTTGCTTGATAGTTGATGCAGTTTCTTCCTAGCATTGGTGGTCTTTATAACTTGGCATGTTTTTACACTCTTTTGCCCATTTTTAAATTGTGTTGTTTTCTTGCTAATGAGTTCCTTGAGTTCTTCATATATTTTGCATATTAATTCCTTATCAGATGTATAGTTTGTAAATATTTTCTCCCGTTTCATAAGCGGTCTTCTACCTCTGTTGATTATTTCCTTTGCTGTGCAGAGGCTTTTTAGTTAGACGTAATTCTATTTGTCTGTTTTTGCCTTTGTTTCCTTTATTTGCTTAGACCAATGTCATGAAGCATGGCTTTATGTTTTTAGATGGTCATCTTTCACTTAATGCACAATCATTGTAATTTTGGCGTTTTAAAAATAATTCATTTATTTAAAAACTAATTGTTGAGCAATTATTACGTAACAGGCTTTCTGCAAGTGCCAGGGATCCAGAGATAACAAGGGAATCTCCTACTCTCAAAGAGTCTGCCATCTAGTGGGAGACGCAGGAATGTAATTGAGTAGGAGAACACAATGAGATTCGTTGCAGAACAGCCATGAGAACAGAACAAAGTTCTAAGAGAGCATAAAGGGGTGGCACAACTTAATTTTATCAAAAAAATTCAGGAAAACTTATACAGAGAGGAGGAGTTTACAAGTAACTATGTAGGGAGCTGTCATGGGTATTCCAGTTAAAGGAAACATGTGAGGAGCATAAAAGAGGCTGGCCCATTGGGTTGGCTGCACATGTATGTGTTTGTTAAGGTTTGGGAGTGTGTGAGTGAATGGTGGAAGGTGAGTCTGAAAGGAAAGCAGTACTAGATCTTGAGCATTCTTATATATCACAATGAAAGATTTGAAATACATCCTGTAGGCATTGGAAGTTAGCAAAGAGGTTCTCAGTAGGGAAATGGCATGATTAGATTGAGGCTTTACAGTGATTACCCTGGCAAAGCTGCAGAGAACAGACTGAGAGGAGGCCCTGGTCTGGGTAACCAGTTAGTCCACTGTAATTGGCCTAACATTTGAGCAGTGTGGGAAGAAAGGAGGACACATCTCAAAGAACTACCTAGAAGGTATACTTAGTCCAGTTTGGTTGAGAATGACATGTAGGTGGATAGCAATGAGTCTAAGATGATCCCTATATATCAGTATTTGGAAATTAGATGGAAGAGAACACATTGCTCCATGCTAAGGACTAATATGAGGAGAAGCAGTTTGAATAGAAGATGTGTCCAGTGTTCAAGGAGTGATTGTGCAGTAAGGTAGAGATCATTAAAGAGCCAGTTTGAAGTTTAGAATGAAGTCTGGGTGAAAAATCAAATGCGATTAGTGGGAAGTCTCTTAGAGGTTAACCTATACTTTTTATGAAAACATAGGAATTTATTTTCATATTCCTAATAGCAAAGGACCTTTAACTACACATATATTTAATAAATACATTTTATAGATACCTATGTAAAATAAAGAACAACCACCACACAACAAACTCAGTGGCAGAAAAGTTCCAGTGCAATCAGTATATTTAAATTCTACTGGGAGTATTGCAAATCAAAATTACATTTTGGGAGACTATATGGCAATATATAATAAGAGCTATAAAGATGATCATATCATTTTTCCCAGTAATCCTACTCCTGGTTATTAAAGGGAAGTAATTCAGTGTATATTAATGAAATCGACCTTATAGTTCTGATCTTTATAATAAGTTATAAGAAAATGGTTTAATTTGTATGTGTATATATTTACTCGAAGTAGAAATATGAAGGCTAAAAAAATGGGAAGATATTTAAATTGGTGTTAAAACAGCATTTAAAATTACCACAATTATGAGAACACATGTATGCCAATGCAGATTCACTGGAAAAATATTGAAAATGAAAACTGTCAGATGGTAAGATTATAATTTTATTTCTTTTTTAATTTGAAATAAATTGGTACAGCACAGCTTTTCAAAAGCTTCTATAAATGTGTATGTTAAGTTGTAATAAAGCAAACACATGCATGTAGACATGCTTAAACAGTTATTTAATTGTTTCTTGGGTACCTGGGGAGATGGGGTGAAGAAAGGGGGGTGACTTGAATGAAGGTGGAGGAGAAAAATGAGAACCAAGAAAGCAAAGGATCGAGAAGCTCAGTGTGGCAGCAGCCTCTCTTCCCCTCCTGAGAGAGTCAAAGGGTGGCATCAGGGACTCATGATCCATGGTTGTGGAAGCCTCATGTCACACTGGATGTCACATGAGGTGGGATGGAACACAGTGACCACCCCACCTCATTTCCTTTACAGCTTCCGTGGTGGGCCATGGCAGTGAACAGCCTTCAGGCATGTCTACGGTGGAAGATCTGAATTCAGGCTGGTGGCAGGAGACAACACAACCACGTTTTCTTTTATGCATGCATTTGGTTTAATTGACACATTAACCACAGACAAAGGGGTAAAGGCCACAAGGCGATAGGTTAGTATGAACAGGGAAAGGGACATTTTTTTTTTTTAAGAAAAATAAAAGCATCAGTATTGCAAAGACTTTCCATGATCCTATACCCACCTCGAAAGCCCCCTCTCACCACAGGAAGTGCACTGACCATTGGAGGCATAAAAGAGATCCTCAAAGAGCCCGATCCTCACTCTCCCTGCACAGCTCAGCGGGACCTCAGCCATGAGACTTCTCATCCTGGCCCTCCTTGGCATCTGCTCTCTCACTGCATACATTGTGGAAGGTAAGTGGAGAAGCTGTCTGTGAGATAAAGAATAGGGAGGCAAGGCAGGTGGGCACACATTTTGGGTTTGACTCGGGTTTTGACTGGACTAAACTGCTGTCTCCAGGGGAGCCTTAAACTTCCCATGTGCAAGAAAGGAATGATGATTTTGACTGTAGAGGGCTTCGTAAACTTCCAAAACAGGGAGAATTTGATTAGTATCTGGGCTCCTACTTTTCCTAATTGGGTAATTTCAGGTAAATTCCTTAACCACTCAGGGCCTGTGCTTATTTATGTATAAACTGAATAGAATAAGAGACATGATCACCTGAGATTAAGATTAAATAAATATTATGGTTTATTTAATAACATCAGATTTCCTTACAAGCAGTAATTTTTTGATTAATGTTAGCTATGGATTAGAGGTGATGATTATAAATGCATTTGTAGGTTTTGCCCATTTAATATATAGTTTGATAAATTATCAAAATCTTAGAGAGTTCAGTTACAATATGGGGATGCACCAGAGGATGTATGTTCTGGAGCAAATCAATGTTTTCAATACAAAACCTGTGTGAAGGCGACAGTAGTGCTTGCTGTGGACTGGATGTCCCAGTCTTGCCTTCCTTCCCCTTGATAATGCAATAAGGGACCCCCATTTTAGGACGCAGGACAGGCAGAAAGATAACCAGCTTGATGGGGTCCACACCATGTGCAATCACTACCAGCTGAGACTTCTTGTTTTCCAGCAAGGTGGTGATGATGTTAACCCCTGCTCAAAGAACAGGTGATTTCCTAGTGGGGACAACCCCTTTGCTAGCAGCTTTCTTCTCAGCCTGGGCCAACAGTCTCTGCTTCTTCTCTTGCTTTGTCTCTGGTCAGTACTTGTGGATCAGCTTAAGTGGCTGAGTAGCTGTTTGGGGGTCTAAGGCTTGGGTGAACTGGTTAATGGCAGAAGGCATTTTCAGCTGCTTATAGAGGATAGCTCTTTGCAGCTGGAACCAGATATAGCGGGGCCATTTCACAAAGCAGTGGAGGTCTCTTTTGGGCTGGATGTCCTGTCCAATGCCTGCCTAAGAAAACTCTTAGGCCTTTTCTCACACAGCGGTTTCATCACTTTCTTAGCCTCCTGCTTCCTCACGACGGCAGGGACTGGGCCACCTTCTTTCCTTTGGCCTTCTTTCTTTTCAGCATCTTAGGCAGCTGACAGAGAGGGAAATTTGACCATTTAAAAAGGGGAACACCTTTATTTACTCAGTCAAAAGCATGCTTCCTTCCCTCACTGAATGTTGCCTTGCCTAGAGTACTCTTCACGCATTACTCTGTCATCTCACTTATGGTACTGTAACATGTTGCACTATTTGAAATGATCTTTTCTGTTTGCCTGTCTGCTGCCTGGCTCCCTCATGAGAAGATATGCTCTATGAAAACAGGGATAATGTCTGTCTTAATAAAACATGTGGGACACAACAGGCACCATTGTATAAATGAATGAATGCGTGTCACTGGGGCATTTGCTAGCCGTCCCAAATGTCTAAGTGAAAATATACACAGAGACGGGATAACATCTTGTTATTTTCTCTCAGCATGAAATTCCTGAAACAATTCTGTTGATTGAGTTTTTAAATTAGTCAAATATTTACTAAGAATCTGTGACGGGCAAGAGATTCGGGATGCCTATCAGTCCTCTCTTCCCCCAAAAAGCAAATGGCCTTATATTCTCACAACATTCTCAGAGTAATTTAACAGACGATTGTTCCTGTGATCTGGGTAATTGCTTTATTTTTAATTGTCTGTTGTTTTTTTTTCCTCATCAGGTGTAGGGAGTGAAGTCTCACATAGGAGGACCTGTGTGAGCCTCACTACCCAGCGACTGCCAGTTAGCAGAATCAAGACCTACACCATCACGGAAGGCTCCTTGAGAGCAGTAATGTGAGTCTGCCTCCTCAGAAGTTGGGCTGGGTGGGTACCTAGAGGTATAGAAATACACTCTATAGAAATGCTGCCATCCTCAGGAAAAGTAGGTCAGCATAGAGGAACACCTCAACTTAACCAAAAACCTCTTTAGTTTTCCTTATCAACCATGTCTTTCTGCAGCCCAACCGAATAGCGATTATTGCAGAAATTGGGCTGCCAAAGAAAGAATAGAAGTCCTCCTCTATTTGTCTTAGTGGAAGAGTCTGTTGAATACTGTGCACAGCTCTGAGATCTGGGTTTAGAGATGGCTGGCTCATGTCAGGGTTTCCCTGCAAGCCTCACTGGAGTTGGGGGATCTTAGGGTTGAGTTAGGCAGAGTCCCATACTTTATCAGTTGCCATATTTCAAGAAAATGAGTCAATGCACAACCTACATGGTCCCTTTCTTCTACCAGAATCTCATTTTTAGAAGTAATAACTCTTCCCAATACATATTGCAAGCTTTGCTCTAAAGAATGAAAATGTAAAAATCACCTTTTTAAAAAAAATAAGATGAGTATTTTCAAATTTGAAAAGGAAGAGGTTATATAATAATGGAACTAGATGGCCTCAAATGTCTTTTTGTTACAACATTTGGTGACATGGATGAGAAAAGGAGCCTGTGAATTATGGTGAACAAAGGGGCTGGATACTACTTGCAGATATTTCTCCTTTATGTTAAAATAGATGGCAGAAGAAGGGTGCTCATTTATGATCTCATGGCTCTGAAAGACTATTTCTTGCAGTAATTTCTGCACAAGATCTCTTCATGTCTGCCCTGATCTTAACTCCTGACCCTGAGGCTTTGAGAACGTGGCTAACTTCATCTGTCTTTTCCTTGCGTTACAGTTTTATTACCAAACGTGGCCTAAAAGTCTGTGCTGATCCACAAGCCACGTGGGTGAGAGACGTGGTCAGGAGCATGGACAGGAAATCCAACACCAGAAATAACATGATCCAGACCAAGCCAACAGGAACCCAGCAATCGACCAATACAGCTGTGACCCTGACTGGCTAGTAGTCTCTGGCACCCTGTCCGTCTCCAGCCAGCCAGCTCATTTCACTTTACACCCTCATGGACTGAGATTATACTCACCTTTTATGAAAGCACTGCATGAATAAAATTATTCCTTTGTATTTTTACTTTTAAATGTCTTCTGTATTCACTTATATGTTCTAATTAATAAATTATTTATTATTAAGAATAGTTCCCTAGTCTATTCATTATATTTAGGGAAAGGTAGTGTATCATTGTTGTTTGATTTCTGACCTTGTACCTCTCTTTGATGGTAACCATAATGGAAGAGATTCTGGCTAGTGTCTATCAGAGGTGAAAGCTATATCGATCACTCTTAGAGTCCAGCTTGTAATGGTTCTTTACACATCAGTCACAAGTTACAGCTGTGACAATGGCAACAATTTGAGATCTATTTCAACTTGTCTCTATAATAGAATTCTATTTATAGAATAAGGGAGAACAAAATCCAGTCTGCATAAACATCTTCTTTTGAGAAGTGCCTGTTCATATCCTTTGCCAAATTTTGATGGGGTTGTTTGATTTTTTCTTGTAAATTTGTTTAAGTTCTTTGTAGATTCTGGATATTAGCCCTTTGTCAGATGGGTAGATTGTAAAAATGTTCTCCCATTCTGTAGGTTGCCTGTTCACTCTGATAGTAGTTTATTTTGGTGTGCAGAAGCTCTTTAGTTTAATTAGATCCCATTTGTCTATTTTGGCTTTTGTTGCCATTACTTTTGGTGTTTTAGTCATGAAGTCCTTGCCCTTGCGTATGTCCTGAATGGTATTGCCTAGGTTTTCTTCTAGGGTTTTTATGGTTTTACGTCTAACATTTAATTCTTTAATCCATCTTGAATTGATTTTTGTATAAGGTGTAAAGAATGGATCCCTCTTCAGTTTCTACATATGGCTAGCCAGTTTTCCCAGCACAATTTATTAAATAGGGAATCCTTTCCCCACTTCTTGTTTTTTTCAGGTTTGTCAAAGATGAGATGGTTGTAGATGTGTGGTATTATTTCTGAGGGCTCTGTTCTGTTCCATTGGTCTATATCTCTGTTTTGGTACTAGTGCCATGCTGTAGTATACTACAAGGTTACTGTAGCCTTGTAGTATAGTTTGAAGTCAGGTAGCTTCAACTACCTGATGCCTCCAGCTTTGTTCTTTTGGCTTAGGATTGTCTTGGCAATGCAGACTCTTTTTTGTCAGATCTGAAGGAGATAGAGACACAAATAACCCTTCAAAAAAAAATCAATAAATTCAGGAGCTGGTTTTTTGAAAAGATCAACAAAATTGATAGACTGCTAGCAAGACTAATAAAGAAGAAAAGAGAGAAGAATCAAATAGATGCAATAAAAAATGATAAAAGGGATATCATCACTGATCCCACAGAAATGCAAACTACCATCAGGTAATACTATAAATACCTCTATGCAAATAAACTAGAAAATCTAGGAGAAATGGATAAATTCCTGGACACATACACCCTCCCAAGACTAAACCAGGAAGAAGTTGCATCCCTGAATAGACCAATAACGGGCTCTGAAATGGACGCAATAATTAATAGCCTACCAACCAAAAAAAGTCCAGGACCAGACAGATTCACAGCCAAATTCTACCAGAGGTACAAAGAGGAGCTGGTACCACTCTTTCTGAAACTATTCCAATCAATAGAAAAGGAGGGAATCCTTCCTAACTCATTTTATGAGGCCAGCATCATCCTGATACCAAAGCCTGGCACAGACACAACAAACAAGAGAATTTTAGACCAATATCCCTGATGAACATCGATGCAAAAATCCTCAATAAAATACTGGCAAAACAAATCCAGCAGCACATCAAAAAGCTTATCCACCACGATCAGGTGGGCTTCATCCCTGGGATGCAAGGCTGGTTCAACATATGCAAATCAATAGAAGTAGTCCATCATATAAAGAGAACCAAAGAAAAAAACCACATGATTATCTCAATAGGTAAGGCCTTTGACAAAATTCAACAGCCCTTCATGCTAAAAACTCTCAATAAACTAGGTATTGATGTGACATATCTCAAAATAATGAGAGCTATTTATGACAAACCCACAGCCAATATCATACTGAATGGGCAAAAACTGGAAGCATTCCCTTTGAAAACTGGCACAAAACAGGGATGCCCTCTCTCACCACTCCTATTCAACATAGTGTTGGAAGTTCTGGCCAGGGCAATCAGGCTGGAGAAAGAAATAAAGGGCATTCAATTAGGAAAAGAGGAAGTCAAATTGTCCCTGTTTGCAGATGACATGCTTGTATATCTAGAAAACCCCATTGTCTCAGCCCAAAATCTCCTTAAGCTGATAAGCAACTTCAGCAAAGTCTCAGGATACAAAATCAATGGGCAAAAATCACAAGCATTCCTCTACACCAATAACAGACTAACAGAGAACCGAATCATGAGTGAACTCCCATTCACAATTGCTTCAAAGAGAATAAAATACCTAGGAATCCAACTTACAAGGGATGTGAAGGACCTCTTCAAGGAGAACTACAAACCGCTGCTCAATGAAATAAAAGAGGACACAAACAAATGGAAGAACATTCCATGCTCATGGATAGGAAGAATCAATATCATGAAAATGGACATACTGCCCAAGGAAATTTATAGATTCAATGCCATCCCCATCCAGCTACCAATGACTCTCTTCACAAAATTGGAAAAAACTACTTTAAAGTTCATATGGAACCAAAAAACAGCCCGCATTGCCAAGACAATCCTAAGCCAAAAGAACAAAGCTAAATGCTCCAATTAAAAGACACAGACTGACAAATTGGATAAAGAGTCAAGACCCATCAGTGTGCTGTATTCAGGAGACCCATCTCACATGCAGAGACACACATAGGATCAAAATAAAGGGATGGAGGAAGATCTACCAAGGAAATGGAAAACAAAAAAAAGCAGGGGTTGCAATCCTAGTCTCTGATAAAACAGACTTTAAACCAACAAAGATCAAAAGAGACAAAGAAGGCCATTACATAATGGTAAAGGGATCAATTCAACAAGAAGAGCCAACTATCCTAAATATATATGCCCCCAATCCAGGAGCACCCAGATTCATAAAGCAAGTCCTTAGAGATCTACAAAGAGACTTAGACTCCCACACAATAATAATGGGAGACTTTAACACCCCACTATTCAATGCAATTCCAGTTAAAATTTCCATAGAGTCTAATGTCAACATTAGACAGATCAACGAGACAGAAAGTTAATAAGGATATCCAGGAATTGAACTCAGCTCTGCACCAAGTAGACCTAATAGACATCTACAGAACTCTCCACCCCAAATCAACAGAATATACATTCCTCTCAGCACCACATCTCACTTATTCTAAAATTGACCACATAGTTGGAAGTAAAGCACTCCTCAGCAAATGTAGAAGAATAGAAATTATAACAAACTGTCTCTCAGACCACAGTGCAGTCAAACTAGAACTCAGGATTAAGAAACTCACTCAAAACTGCTCGACTACATGGAAACTGAACAACCTGCTCCTGAATGACTACTGGGTACTGGGTACATATCGAAATGAAGGCAGAAATAAAGATGTTCTTTGAAACCAATGAGAATGAAGACACAACATACCAGAATCTCTGGGACACATTTAAAGCAGTGTGTAGGGGGAAATTTATAACACTAAATGCCACAAGAGAAAGCAGGAAAGATCTAAAATTGACCCCCTAACTGCACAATTAAAAGAACTAGAGAAGCAAGAGCAAACACATTCAAAAGCTAGCAGAATGTGTTGTTATTAACTGAGGTGGGAAAATGCAGTAGTTGCTGGTTTTCGGGAGAATATTAGGGGCTCTGTTTTGGTCATGTTAAGTTTAGGTGCTTAGTAGACATCCATATGAAAATGTCAAGTAGTCAGATAGCTAGGTCAGGAATCCAGAGGACGTGTCTAAGCTGGAAATACTAATTTTGGAGTCATTAGCTTATATGTGGCACTTAAAGCCTTGATAATGGGCAAAGCATGTAGGTAGAGTTGATCAAAATATAAAATGTTCAAGGACTGAGCCTTGGACACAGATTGGGAAGATGAGGAGGAACCAGCAAGGAAAACTGGGAAGAAGTCAGAAAGATATGAGGAAACCCAATCTTGTGTGGTATCCTGGAAATCAAGGCAGGAGGATGTTTGCAGGAATAGAGTGAGCAACTTTGCCAAATGCTGTAAATAAGTCAGAAATTAGAACTTAAAAATAGTTGGATTTAACAGCATGGCTGTCACAGAATGACTATAAGGGGAAAAGCGTCAGTGGATTGGTAAGAGCAGAAACTTTTGAAGAAGGGTTGAGAAGGCCTGGGAGAAGAATTAATGACAACTCTTTAAAGAGAATAATTTTAGACGACAGTTGTCTCATAAGCATCACTATAGAGGCTTGGAGAGAAAAAGAAGCTTGCAGAGAAAAAGAACTACAGCTGAAGTGGAAGTGTAGTCAAGAGATGGTGTTTTGTTTGTTTATTTTGATTTTTACATGAGAGAAAAAATAACAAGTTTGTACACTAATGGGAATGATTCAGTGGAAAGTTTAACACTTAGTATAATATCCAGTGTATCAACTATATATATATATATGCTATTTTCTTAATAATTTGAATTCATAAATGCATGCCCCTAGAAACTGGTTATGTACTCCTGATTCTTTACATTTTCAATTTCATTATTTCCACTAGGCACTAATCGTATTAGCAATTTGATCTGCAGTTAAACTGTTTTCTGGTATGGATAAGAGAAAGAAATAATAAATAATACATTGTTAGAACCCATCATAATTATACATTTTTGATAAAAATATGATTTCATTAAGAGTTTTATAAACAGCCATTTGACACAAATTACCTGCCCTTACATTGTAACAGTTTTAAAAAATAACTGTTGATTTCAAAATTAAAATGAAACTTCCCCAGGCATAGACTGTCTTCCTCTTCTTTCAACTACTACTGATTAGTAATTTATTTAACCCTGGATGTTTATTCAAAGTTCCAGTGGCAGTAAAGTTGATTTATCCTAAAAGTCTGATATCTGTGGACCCTGATCCCCCCTAATGGGAGTGGTACATCAACTTTTTAGGTAATTCAAGAAGTAGCTCCTGCATTGGCAGTCCCTTTCACTGACTTCAGTATTATCACTTGCTCTTGGTGTTACCTTAACAGTTCCTTCAAGAGAATGTCTTCGACATTGTGGTTTCCTGCCCAACTGCAGCTTAACTTTATAATAAAACACCCTTCAACCCTTCCTTCCTGTTGCTTCTGCCCTTGCCCCAAGCCAAGAGTAGTGAAAACTCTGCTAAGTAATAACTATAGGATTTCTCTCTTAGCCTCTTGGCCTCTACTTTCATTCTGGATATTATAACTTAGGCCACAAAATCATTCACAATTCCCATTGCAAAGCTTTTTATCTCTTTTCTATTAAAAACTTAATATTGTATAAGCTTCTCTCCTACCAGATGCCTCAACTTTACTCTTTTGTAGTCTGTTTTAGTTTTTTGCTTATTGAGATTAACCTCACACATTTGATTTTTTTAATAGTTATGCATTTTGAAGAGAACAAGGAATAGCTTTAGACTGCAGTTGCCTCAGAAACCTCATTTAATGTTTGATAGGGCAAATATTTCTTCTCTGTTTTTTTATTGACAGGTACAGTCACATGCCCATGTGTTAGAGCATAACAAGTATAGCTTAAAATTGCTTATAATAGTCACTAACATTTGCTGAGCACTTATTCCATCTCCAGCACTCTGCTAAACGTTTGGCACACATTATCTTACTTGATTCTGTATTTTGCTACTGACAAAACTAAGAATTTGGGAAGGTTAAAGCATTTGTCCAGGGTTACACAGCTAATAAATAGTTGATTAGGGATTTGAATACAACTGATCTGACTCCAGTAGCCACCTACTTAACCACTCAGGAGAGAGTTTGCTTGCAGGATGATGTATAAGGGCAAAACTTGTCCAGCCAAGTCTCAAGGGCAGAGGAGAGAGATCTCTCCTAAAGAAAAGAAAGCCTTGGTAGCAAGGAGTTATAATACACTGGAAGTGTAACAGTCCCTTGAAGTTCCATTATTTATCTTAAAATTTGTGATGATTTTGCATTCTGCTTCATAATATATTTATATTGCTTTAATATAAAAGAAATATTTGGCTCTATTAAAGGACAAAAAAGATGCAAATATTTACGAACCAGATGACAAACATTGTAAGGATATCAGTTTTCCCCAAATCAATCTACTATTCAATGCAATTCCAGTTAAAATTTCCACAGAGTTTTTGGGCAAAACTTTCTAATACAATTTTTAAATTTATATGACACAAAGACATTCACAGATAGCTAAAACAAGTTAGGAAAAGAAAAACCAAGAGTAAATGTTTCCCCTATCAAATATTAAGACATAAGATAAAGCTGTGATAATAAAAAACACAGTAGTGTTAATTTAGAGATTAACAACGAGAACAATAGAAAGCTCAGAATCATGTTTATAAATTATGCATCTACATACACACACATACATATGTGTGTATGTATGTGTATATATAAACTATGATCAGATGAGAATAAGGTATATTATTCACAATATATTGCTGGAAGCTTTTGCTTATTTTACAGAGAAAAATAAAATAAGTTTCCTACCTCACACCATGTATAAAAATAGACTTCTGATACATTAAATGCAAGAAGAAAGAAAAGAAGGGAAGGGGGAAGGGAAAAGAAGGAAAGAGGAAGGAAAGGAAGGCAGAAGGGGAAAGAAGGAAGGAGGGAAGGAAAGAAGGAAGGAAGGGAAACAAGGAAGACATAGGAGAATATCTTTATTACACCTGGGTGAGGGAAAGATTCCATAACTATATTCCCAAAGAATAACTCACAAAGAAAAATAATCTGATATATTTTCCTATTTCAAAATTACAGATAAACACAGAGTTGCTGTCTATCTCATTGCCTTATTCATTTTCTTCATAGTGTTTATCGCTTTACGATACTGACTAGTTTACTCATTTGATTTGGGGTCTTGTGCTCATTTAAAGGTATGCTTCAGGAGGGCAGGTACTTTGCCTATTGTGTTTACCACTGTAGACACAGCGCCAGAACTGTGTCTGGCATAATATGTGGGCAATAAATGGGTCCTTTGTACATTGTCTTAAGGATTTTTTAAATATTCCTGAATTTTATAGATCCCACCGCTATCTGGGATTCCCTTTCCTTACCATTTTGCAGGTTCTACTGAAACTTCCTCTAACATAACTCATAAAGGGTATCTACAAAACTGCTTATTAGAGAAATTTCAGGTTCTACCATGCCTGAAACTCTGATTGAATCCCTATAGGCAACAGTAGGACTATTATGACAATGTCTCTTGAATGCGTCATGTAGGGTTGATCCTTTTAGAGAGACAATACCTTTAGGATATAACTAAAACCAAAGAATTGAAAATAGAAGAAAGCATATTTCAGCATAACTCTATAAATTATTTTATCCCATTGCAATTGTCCAGAAAGGAAGCAGGTTGACTTGAGAAGCAGTAAATTATGCATCACTGAATGTGTTTGGGCAGAGTCTGGAGGACCACTTACCAGAAGAGAGAAAAGGTGAGAAGAAATGTTCTCCAAGGTTCCTTCCATCCTCGAGCTCTAAAATCCTTAACCAGTTTTTTCTTATACCCACCTCCTCTCCACAGGACTCTTCCCTTCCCCCTATCAGGAATATTGAAGCAGCATGATGCCAAAAGCAGTTATAAACACTATAAATAATTATTACTCTCAACACTTGATGAGTGACACCAAAAATTAAAGGAAGCTTGCACCGTAAAGCAAGCACATTGCAGGGTATTTATTTTTTGGCTCTGGAATACAAAGACACATAGTCAGAGACACACATTCATCTTCCATTCTTAGTGTCCCATGCTCGCCCCCACTAAGGGAGAAGCTCAGGTGAACATCATGCAAATACTCCACGGTGTGGGCTGAAATTCATAGACAGAAGGGTCAGCACGGAATAAGGCATGCAGCCTCCCGTCTCTTGAAACTCTGTGGAGATGCTTGGTCATGCACAACTGAACACATTAAGAGTTTTGCTCTAGTTTTTCTCTGTCTACAAGAGAGGTCCTACTCCCTGTTGCTCTTCTTTTTTAAAAAATAAGGATCCCATGAGAGTGGCCTTAGAAGTAGGAGGCAAAAGTTCTGAGAATGGGTACCAGATGCTCAGGAGTTGCATTCCCATACTGATAGCACCTAGGGATCTTGTGGGAAGCTGAGGCTGCATCTGGGGCCTCTCCACCTGGCAGGAGTCCCCCAACCCCATCCCTCTACTCCGCACCTCCCACCTACCCTCCCAACCCTGGCTCGAAAGCTCATTGCCAGGAATCCCCAAGAGGGCCTCAGGACCCTGTGATAGACAATCCCACTCATCTCCCCACCCTGCTCTCTGCCTCCCCACCCCAGTCAGCTCTCTGACTTACGCTATAGAGCCTAGTGATGCTTACACTATAGAACTCTCTGGCACTATGGGCACTTGCACATCCCTTACCTTATTTGATCCTCCTAAGAGCCTTGTAAGGGAAAACAGCAGGTATGATCGTGTCCATTGTATTCATGAACAGACTGAGATGCAGACAGGATAAAGTGACTGGCCTAAGTCATCCAACTATGTGGCAAAGCCAGGACTTGAGGTAGGCCATCAGAACCCACATCTCATGCATTCACCTCCAAAATATATACTTCATCAAGTTGCCAGACAATGATGCCATCCATGTCAGACAGAGCAACTGTAAAAGGAATGGTTATCCATGCCTCATTAGCTCTGGAAAGAAGGGCAGCATGCCAGAATTCTCTGAAACCTGAAGAAGTAAGAACATGCTCCCACCAGAGAGCAATTCCCACCAGAACAGCTCACCTTGAGATGTGTCACCTTCACACGTAAGCACTGCCTAAGACCAATTATTGGCCATCTGGGGAAATAACACACAACAGGTTCAGAGTAAGACTAAGATAATTAGATTACCCCCTCCGCTTTCCCTAGATTACAGGGTAATGAGTATATCAGAAGAGAAAGTGATTTTTCTCAATCTTTGCTGGTGGATTACATGTGAAAGTACAATCACAGCAACCACAGTTCCTGCACCTAACTCAGAAGTGGGACAGGATATAGAGACATCAGAGAGAAGAGAGAATGACTACTTAAGTGGAGCTCTTCAGAGGTGACACAGGTGAAATATGCCCTGGTTGCCCAATATTCTCCTTGCTTCACAAGGAGAAGGTAAGATTAGCCATCCAGTTTTAGTGGCAGATGCCTGTGTTTGAATTAGGAAACTGTCTTGATATTACTTGACTTGTATCAATGGCCTGGGGCCTGCACTCATTCTGCCACTAACTGGCTGTGTGGTGATAAATATAGTAAAATCAAAAGGACACTGGATTAGGAGTTAGGAGACCTGGGTGACTGTGACCCCTGGAAAAGTTGCTTCTCCTCTCAGGGCACTGATTTCTTCATCTATGAAATGAGGGAGTTAAACATAATGATCTCCAACTTTCCGTTAAGTTCTGAAATTCAAAGTCATTTTCTACACATGGAAAATTAGATGGCTAAACTTGTTTTCTAAAAAATCCTTTTTGGTCTTAACATTTTAAAGTTTCATAAATATATTTTCTCAGTCATTTCTTTCTTGGGATAAACATGTGGTCCCTAGTATTCCAAATGATACCTCTGCAGTAAACATATGCTCTGCGGATTGTACTGAATTAGGAAATTGTTGTGGTCAGTAGGGCCACCCACTAGTTCATATGCCATCTTCATGCAAATTATAAAAAGGCATCCCCTCTGGCCAGACAACTTGGAAAAGTGTGTCTTTCTGTGCAGAAGGAGTCACATAGAGGGCTAAAAGAGCAGAGCTTAGGCTGAATTTCAGCTTCCTCCTGCCTCCTCAGCTGGATACCCTTATACAATGTACAAACTGCTCAACTAAACACAGCAGCCCTAATAGAGTATAAAATACTGAAGACTTCTGTTTCAAGCCATACTCAAACTTTCTGAGGAAAATGATGAAAAGTTATAGCTGGCAGCATTCTATGTTCTCTGAGCTGGGCATAGACTGTGCTGAGGACTGAATGGTTGCAATGCTGATTTTATTATTGATGCCCTAAAGGATGAACAGAGCACCATCAATCATCACTCTGGCAAAAAGAAAAATCAGAATGCAATCTCCAATAGTCCATGATTAAAACATTAATCTGATTAACCTACAGAAGAAATAAGTTACTCTATACACTAAGCTTCCTTTCAAATAGATTTTAAGCTCCTTGGAACAGTGGTTTCTTGTTCACTTTTATACCTCCAGAATAGACTACAGTGCCAGGCATGATATAGGTGTTCAATAAACAACTACTGACTGAACTCACCATATGAAGTTGATTGATTCAAATACCCCAAGAATGGATATTTGGGTCACACAAATGAAACATGATGAAGTTAAAGTAGAATTAGGAAAAGTCAGCCTAGAGCACTGGTTCTCAATCTTTTTAAAAAAAAAATCACCGGGTGATCCTGACACGTCTCCCTACTCTGCACCCCCCTCCTCCACCACTTGAGAACCCTTAAAGGGTTAAGATTTTCTACACACCAATTCTGAAGGTCCTCCTTGCAGCTTACACAAACCTAAACAGAGAACAGAGGAATGATTCTTCTCAATCTTGAGGGGCAAGTTTCCTTGTTAGATTTATGCCCCATCCCCCGACCCCCCACCACTCCGATTGAGGACTTTGATGACAACATGTACAGCAATAAGGCCTTTTGGGGATTTGTATTGTCACCAATAGTTATTTATTGGTTCATGTCATCAGTTGAGGAGAAAGTAAATTTGATAATAGTGTCTTTCTTTACATATTTTTTAAAACACAGAAAATGTTTTCAATTTGAAGAAAAATACAGAGAATAAAATAGCAAATATCAATGTACTTTCTACTCAGAATTAGCAATTGACACTGTGCCTTATTTGCTTCAGATATTTTGTAAAGTAATACAAGATCTACATCCTTTAGGATCTACATCCCCCATCCTATTTCCTGTCCTCCCTGGGCAGAGGCAAGCACTATCCAGCAGTTGATGGATGTTTTTATTGTTTGTGTTTTATGTTTTGCTCCTAATGGCATGGTATCAGAATTCTTATTTCCCCTGTCCTCCCAAAACTTGATATTGCTAGTCTTATGTTTTTGCCAATCTGATCATTGTGAAATAGTGTCTCATTGTTTTCACTTGCATTTCCCTAATTACTAGGAAGTTTGAGCATTTTTCATATATTTGGGTTGGCCATTCAAACTTCCTTTTCAGTGAATGGTCCTTTCGTATGTTTTGTCCATTTTCCCACTAGGTTGTTAGATTTTTCTTATTGATGTTTAATAATTCTTTAATATTCTGGATACAAATCCTATAGATTTTTTTTTTTTTGAGACAGAGTCTCACTCTATTGCCCAGGCTGGAGTGCAGTGACTCGATCTCAGCTCACTGCAACCTCTGCCTCCTGGGTTCAAACAATTCTCCTGCCTCAGCCTCCTGAGTAGCTGGGACTACAGGCACATGCCACCACCCCCAGCTAATTTTTGTATTTTTAGTGGAGACAGGGTTTCACCATGTTGGTCAGGCTGGTCTCAAACTTCCGACCTCAGATTATCCTCCCACCTCAGTCTTTCAAAGTGCTGGGATTACAGGCATGAGCCACCAAGCCCGGCCTATTTTCTTAGTTATATGGAAGTAATGGAGAAGTTTTAAATTGAAGTTTTCAAACTATTTGATGTTTTTCTTTGTCATTTATCATTGTGTAACATAAAAGTATAACATCAAAGTATTATATTTTGATTGAAAGGTTTTTCATATTTAGCCACTTTATCTGGAATTTTTTTTGAAGTATAGTATGAAGTAAGGATCTATTTTTATATTTTTCAGTATGGAAAGGTAGTTTTCTCTATACATTTATAGCTAATCCAGTATTTTTCAGACTCTATATTTGTAATATATTAATGGGGCTTTTTTTAAATTAGTGGATTGTAACTACCATTTTTTAAAAAACTAAATTATATAGAAAATATTAGACTACATTTCATATAGTAAAGGTAAACAGTGTTTACAGAACACATACACACATATGCTTTGGTTGAGTACTGAAACATAAAATAAAATATATTTTTTTCTGTGGGTTATGACTGAAAACGTTTAGAGTACACTAAAAAATGTCAATTATTTCTCCCATTTATTTGTTACAACATTTCTATGATATATCATGGTCTTATATGTGATTAGGTTTGCTTCTGACCTATCTATTCAATTCTGTGGACTTTATTTAATATAGTGCTATTATCATGGTATTTTATTTGTATGGCCTGTTAACATCTTCTTCATGTTATCCTTTAAACTAGTCTTGATTTCTTGACTATCTTTCCATGTGAATTTTAGATACTCTTTGCCTAAATAAAACAAAACTTTTATATTTTGATTAAAGCTGTTTTGAATATATTCATTAGTTTGAGGAGAATAGACGTATTTATAATATTAAATCTTGGTCTAACTTTCCTTGATTTGGGTTTATTTTTACATCCTCCAATATTTTCTGTGTGGGTTTTGTTCACGTTTAGGTATATATTTAACGAACACTTATATGTACCAAGCCACTATTCTAAGCACTTCATAAATCATTAATTCATTTAAGACTCACAACAATCTTATGAAATATAACAATTATTTTCCCCCATTCTATTGTCATGTTACAAATAAGGAAACTTAAGCACAGAGAGGTTAACTAATTTTCTTAAGGTCACACATCTGGAAAGTATAACAATCAGAATTTGAATCCAGGCAACTCGGTCCCAGAGTTCTTGTGCTCATCCAATACGGCATGCCGTCTCTCCAAACATTTTGTCAGATTTATTTCTAAGTACCTCATTGCTTTAATGAAAACAATAGCCAAATTGATCGGGATGTTTATCTCTGTGGTCAATTTTTATAATAATTCTATAAATAAATATTTCTTATGTGTTGAGTGTAAATTTTAATATATGAGATCAAGGTTGTTACTTGCACTGATATATTTTATACATGTATTTCTTCGCAATGTTTTATCTGCGTGATCTGGAAAAGATGTGTTGAAATTCCTTACTATGATTCTGGATTTGTCAATTTCTCCATATAATGCTCGTGTGTGTGTGTGTGTGTGTGTGTGTGTGTGTGTGTGCACGCGTGCATGCGCACACGCATGCACGTGCATACCAATTTTATTAGATGCATATGGGTTCACAGCTGTTACATGTTTAGACACTTTTCCCACCACTTTTCATGCAGTAAAATCACTTTGTATACCTTTAACTATTTCTTTCCTCAAATTCAGTTTTGTTTGATAGTCAAAATACAGTGATGTTTTAAAATGTGGACTTTGAAGACAAATGGCGTGGCTTGGATTCCAGCTTGGCACTTGCCAACTACATGACCTTAGCACTAACCACAGTGCCTGGCTCTAGAAATGTTGGTTGTTGCTAGACTGCTATTGTTTTCTAGACTTTTATTTGCTAGGTTACTGGCACGTCTTTTCCAATCTTTGTCTTTCAACTTATTTTTATCATTACGTTTTTAAAAGTGTGTTTGTAAGTAGCAAATAGCTGAATTTTTAATCTACTCTTTTAATAGATAGGGTTACTCTATTTATATTGTGATTATTGACAAACATTTTTTATATCAAGAGCTGACAAATTATGGCCCATGGGAAAAATGTAGCCCAGCGTGTGCTGTTGTATATAATATTTTAGTGAAACATAGCCACTCTCAGCCATCTAGGATGGTTGCTTTTATCCTTCAACCAGTAAAGCTGAATCGTTGCAATAAGGATATTACCTACAAAGCCAAAATAATTTATTATTTGGCCTTTTACAAAAAAGCTTGCTGACCCCAGATTTACACCATCTTACTTTTTCTTTTAGACATGATTTCTTCTATTTTTTCCCCCTTGTCCCATATTCATTGGGTGAATCAAGTCATATTTACTGTCTTAGTTTCCCTCTACTAATTTAAAGGTTATACATTCTATTTCTAGTCTTTTAGTGGTCATTCTTACGTTTTAACATGAATATTTTTGTTTTTAAAATTACTTTATTGAGATGTAACATACAATAACTTGCACATAAAGTGTACAATTTGATAGATTTTGACATATATATATATATACCCATGAAGTTAAAATCAAGAAAATAAACATATCCATCACTCCCAAAAGTTTTCTCATGCATAACCCTCCTTCTCATCCTTCCCTGCCCCCACGTCCCCAAACTACAAATGATTTGCTTTCTGCAAGTATAGATTAGTTTGCATTTCCTAGAGTTTAGTATAAATTGACTCATACCTTATACACTCTTGTTTCTGACTTTTTTCACTCAGGTGTTTTGTTTGTTTGTTTGTTTGTTTTGAAACGGAGTCTCGCTCTGTCGCCCAGGCTGGAGTGCAGCGGCGCGATCTCGGCTCACTGCAAGCTCCACCTCCCAGATTCACGCCATTCTCCTGCCTCAGCCTCCCGAGTAGCTGGGACTACAGGTGCCCGCCACCACGCCTAGCTAATTTTTTTTTTTTTTTTTTTTTTTTTTTGTATTTTTAGTAGAGACGGGTTTCACCATGTTAGCCAGGATGGTCTCGATCTCCTGACCTCGTGATCCGCCCACCTTGGCCTCCCAAATTGCTGGGATTACAGGTGTGAGCCACCAAACTGGGCCCACTTGATATTATTATGAGCATGGAATTGTTGCATGTATTTGTAGTTCATTTCTTTTTTTTTTTATTTTAGTATATATTGCCATAACAACAAATAAGGACATTTTCACCCAACCACAATCATACTGTTACCCATAACAAAATTAATAGTAATTTCTTAACATTATTGAATACAAAAGTCTTTATTCAAATTCCCCTATTAGTAATCAAAATGTTTCTGCAGGTTGTTTTCCTTTTTTTTTTTTATCTTTTAAATTTTACTTTAAGTTCTGGGATACATGTGCTGAACGTGAAGGTTTGTTACATAGTATACATGTGCCATGGTTTGCTGCACCTATCAACATGCCATCTAGGTTTTAAGCTACGCATGCCTTAGATGTTTGTCCTAATGCTCTCGGTCTCCTTTACCCCCACTTCCCGACAGACCCTGGTGTGTGATGTTCCCCTCCCTGCGTCCATGTTTTCTCATTGTTAGTTCATTTCTTTTTATTGCTTAGTAATATTCTGTTGTATGGATAAACCACAATTATTTAACCACTCATCTGTTGATGGAAATCTGTGTATTTTCCACTTTGAGACTATTAAAAATAAAGCTGCTATAAATATACAGGTATTGATATTGACATATTTTCTTTTTCTCTTGGGCAAAAACCTAGAAGTGGAATCACTGAATTATATTGTGGGTGCATGTTTAACTTTTTAAAAATTGTCTGTTTTCCAAAGTCGTACCATTTATATTACCACCATCAATGTGTCGGAGTTCCAGTTTTTCTACATTCCTGTCAAGACTTGATGTGGTCAGTCTTTTTAATTTTAGCCACTTATTAGGTAGGTAGTGGTATTTCATTGTGGTATCAATTTGCATTTTCTTAATAGCTACTGATCACACCCCTTTTCATGTGCTTATTTGTCATCGTTATGTCTTCCTTAGTGAAGTAGCTGTTTAAATCTTTTACCCATTGAGGGAGAGAGACACTTGTTTTGTTTATTTGTTTTATTCAACAAGCATATTGGCTTAAGAAAATCTACATATTAGTGAATCCTCTATAGTCCTCCCTGCTAAGACAAGAATTTTAGAACTTTTACTTCTAGTCTTAAAAGTTCCATCTTCTGTGCCATCACAGTATAATATTTTAGTTCTACCTAGTTTTTAACCATTTGTCTTAAAAATAATTAATCCCTTTTGTACATCTGTACTTAATTTGGAATTACCTGCATAACACCAGTTTTTTAGCCTCAGTTGTTCCTAACATCCCAATCCCTCCTTCAGGTTTAATTTTTTTTCTCCAGGAGTAATATTTATTAGTTCTTTCACTGAAGTAACTAGGAAATTAAGTTTTTGTATCTCTGAAAATGTCACTATTTGCCTCACATTTGTATGCTTATGTAACCGTGTGACTCCAGGTTGACATAAACATTTTATTCTCATTTTGAAGACATCTTTTTATAATATTGATATAGTTTGGATGTTTGTACCTGCCCAAATCTCAGTTGAATTGTAATCCCCAATGCCAAAGGTGGGCCTGGTTGGAGATGTGTGGATCATGTGGGCAGATCCCTCATGGCTTGGTGCTGTCTTCATGATAGTGAATTCTGGTGAGATCTCATTGTTTAAATGTGTGTGGCACCTCTCCCCACAAACACTCTCTCACAAACTCTCTCTCTCTCTCTCTCTCTCTCTCTCCATTCTTGCCACATTATGTGCCTGCTCCCCCTTTGCCTTCTGCCATGATTGGAAGCTTCCTGAGGCCCCCCTTAGAAGCAGATGCCACTGTGCTTCCTGAACAGCCTGCCAATTAGATCTCTTTTCTTATAAATTTCCCAGCCTCAGGTATTTCTTTATAGTGCTTCAAGAATTACCTAATACAGATATCAACTAGTGTTTATTGTTTTTATAAAAAATCGTTGCTTGTGAAATTTTTTGTTATTTTCTAAGAAATGTATCTTTTCTTTCTAGTAGCTTTTAAGAATTTTCCCTCTGTCTTTGATGTTTTCCACTTCTACTACAATATGTCTGGGTGTAGAAATTTTTAAATTCATTCTGCTTGGAACTGAATGCATTTCTTCAATCTGAAAACTCATCTCTCATCAGTTTTGTTAAATTCTCAGCCATCATCACTGATATTTCTTCTCCTTTATTGCATCTAGTCTCTCTGTCTGGAGCTCCTATTAGAAATATGTTGGACCTTCTCATTCTATCTTCCATCTTTCTTAACCTCTCTTCTACATTTTCCACATTTTCCTTACCTGTTCTGTATTCTAACTAATTTCTTCAGAGCTAAATTCCTATTTGCCTATTTTCTTTTCAAATATGTCTAGTTAATGTTTAATCTGTCTGTTGAGGTTTCTTTAAATTATCATTCTCAATATGTTTGTTTAGCTCTTTCTAATTTTTTTCTTTATATCCTTTACTTCATTTTTTTTAAATTTTTTTTCTTTTTTTTAGACAGGGTCTTGCTCTGCCATTCAGGCTGGAACACATTGGTGCAATCTTGGCTCACTGTAACCTCCACCTCCCAGGCTCAAGTGATTCTCCTGCTTCAGCCTTCTGAGTAGCTGGGACTACAGGGCACACCACCATGCCCAGCTAATTTTTTGTATTTTTAGTAGAGACAAGGTTTCACCATGTTGGCCAGGCTGGTCTCAAACTCCTGACCTCAGGTGATCTGCCCGCCTCGACCTCCCAAAGTGCTGGGATTACAGGCATGAGTCACCACGCCCAGCCCATTTACTTTAATATTTTAACTGTTGTTATTTTAAAAATAACTCCCTGCAGACTTCTCTATTTTCTATGTTCTGTATTTCCTCGCATTTTGTTTTCTCATTTACTGGGTTTGTCATCTCTTCCTCTCTCTCTCTCTCTCTCTCTCTCTCTCTCTGTTTCTCTCTCCCTGTTGGTCATGGGGTTCTATCTATATTGTGTACTTTATGTAAGTAAGTGAACTTTCTGACTTATGCTTTCTTCTGAAGGAGCGCCCTCTCTTGCTGTCTGTGGTAAAGAGGTCCTCATGGAACAGTGTCACATTGGCCTTTGCTGGTATCCCACTAGTTTCACTATTTTTTGATTTGTGGAGATTTTTTGTTGTTGTTACTGTTGGTTTCTTTGCTTACAGTTTCAACACCATACAGGTAGTATAAATTAGGTTTGTATACCTTCTCCCAACAGAGGTTTAACGTTTTGATTTTTCTTAGGTCACCCTTTTTCAATACACTTCCCAAAATATGTGACCCACTGGCACGCTTGTTCCAGACTGTCAAACAGATATTTTCCAGTCTATTTTGTGGATGGGGCATTTGCTCTGTCTGGCTTTGTGCAAAGAGGTCATTTTCAACTTCTCACTTTATAGGAGGCTGAGACCTCCTGCTGTCTCTCCACCCATGAAAATCACAGCCCTCACCCCACTTGTAAGGTCTACACCTGCTTCTCTGGGTGCTGTGCCCTATTCAGCTCCAGCTCCTGCACACTGTTCAGTCTTTAAGTTCACTCTCTATTCTAGCACCTCCAGATTTCCTTTCCCTAGTTTTGAATCCAGAAATTAATTACTTCACATTGTATCGTATTATCTTATATTTTACTCAGCACTTCAATGTACTTGAAATGGAGGGGATCTGTATACATCAGTTTCATTTGCTGTATTGACTGGAAGTGATCTACACATTTGTTCTTAAATTTAATGTATACATAAATCCTTAACTTTATTATTTTATTTTTGTTATTTAAAAATAGTCTTATAAAATGGATAGAATTAATGTTAGTCCATGTCTACAAAATAACTATGTGAATATTGCTTATGATGTGGGTCCTCTCTCTGATTACCAGATTAGAGTCACCTGCTGTTTCAAGTTATTAATAGATGAGTTTTATTTTTTTCATACTTTGTTTCTTATGAAATCTCTTCAGAATCTAAGAATTTAAAGATCCAGATTCAGAGTATTTGTTAATTCCAAACGTTTTCTCAAGGTTAGAGTTAGCTTATGGCACATATAAAATGTGATTCAATTTATATAATATTCAAAATTAAATTTGCACATAGACTTCTCTCATAAGTAGAGAGTACCTTGATTTGATGAAGGCCACTGGTTCTGGTTTCAAGAGACAAGACCTTGGCTTGTGTATAGATTCACTGCTACACACATACTTACAAGGTTTTCTGTGGTCAAGGAACTCCTTGAGTCCTGGAGTCTGAAAGGATTAAACACCCAGTATTTGTCTAGCACATATAAGCACTGACAATGCAAGTTGTCCAGAGTTTCAGTACAACAGTCAGCAAGCAAAAAGAGTTGGCAGAAAAGGGAGATGGGCCTAATCAAGCTGCTGTGAAGTAGCTAAGTTGTATTGCACCAGATAAGAGGCTTTGCAGTTCTTTATGATAACCACATCACCTTCCTCCTGCAACCTCATGGTCATAACCTGTCTCTCTGACCTCCAGGTTTAGGTTAAAGCCTCAAATTCCACAGCCTTTGTAAAGTCAAACTCTGGTTTCTGCAACTCTCTAGTTTCTGCAAATTCCTCCCTAGTTTCTGCAAATTCTAGTTTTTGCAAGCTCTCTAGTTTCTGCAAATTCTTAGAGACTCCTCCTTTCTTGTCATATTTCCTGCCTCCATCTCCAACCTCTAAATATACTGTTTCTGTTTCAACTCCATATCTGTGCTGACAAGACACACTCAGCTCCTCAGATTTCTGCAAATATATATATATCTCATTCCCATCAAGAACTTGGAAGATAGTAACTTTTCTGATTTTCAGGGAAGTAGGGGATGAAAGGATGGTATCACGTCATATAGCCCACAGTCTTCCATCAAGTCACTCTTGGTCCCTTTTTTCTCTCTTAGCACCCCTCCTTTTCAAAGCAAAATGCATTGTACTCTTTATCTCACCCTTACAATTAGAAGAGCAAGTGTTATTGCTTGCACATGCCCTGGAATCTCACAATTCAACTCAAGCAATTTATCAAAGTATTTCTTCCAAACAAATAAATATAGCATCTTCTCCAAAAGGAATCAGTCTGAATATTTTTCTTCACCTCATTGTACCCATATTTGGGATTGATACTGGGACAGAGTCTAAGTGCACATTGGAAGAGTTCTCAGTGGAGAGTGATGAACTCAATCACGTGCACTCAGCCTCATGTAAATTTGCTTTACTTCCATCTACTTCCCCTTTTCAGGTATTAGCATGAAAGAGAGGACCAAAAAAAGGGAAATTTTTCCATGTCATTTCGTATGGTAAGTTAGGAAGTAGAATATTTTGTGACAGAACATGTTTCTTTTAGGCAAATATGCTGGACTTGAGCAACGTGGTTTTCAGCCCTCCTGAACATGAAGCGAGGAGGCATCCTGCATCATTCATCCAGCCCCCTTAAATTAAAGCCCTCCCCATAGAAAGTCTTAAAAAGTCACAGAAGAGAATGAGGGGGAGGCAGGAAAGAATGCAGTGACATTTGCAAGGGGCGCAAGGGCTGGGACAATTATAGATTAAAATAGAAGAGCTGAGTTGGGTGAGAGGAAAACCCACCACAGTGATAGTAGAGCATTATTGTTCTTTTCCCCCATGATGACATATACTAACATATATAAGTACCCGTTCGCTTGGTCACACCCACAACTGACTGCAGAGAAAGCCACAGAGTCTTTAACTGTCACTCCCCCCTGCCTACTAAAGGATGGATCTCGGCAGTGAGAAAAGAGTAGGAGGAGCTGTGACCTGGGCCCCCTGCTCCCAGGCAAGCTTGTGAGGCATGTGAAGGGGAGGAACTGCACGAGAGGGTAGGTGCAGGAGGGCAGGGGGCACCTGCAGGGTCTCACACAGGTGAGGTTTATTTCTGTCTCTAAAGGCTCGGCTCATCCTGTACCCTTTCCAAGGATATTCATGTCTCCCAGCCCCAAGGCCTGGTGTGTAATCACCAAACCTATTTTGTCCAAGAAGCAGAGAATAAAAATGAGCAGCCACAGGAAGTTGCACCTTTAAAGTGTATTCCTGCATCTACACTTTCAGTCTGAAAGTTTTGAATTCATTTCACAGATCAGCTGAGATATTACATGTATTGAGACAATGAGCTGATGAGAAAAATAAACCTGAAGAGTAAAGAGAATGATTTAAAAGAAAGGAAAATTCCCTAATCCTAGAAATTACTGAAGACTGTTTTCTTTTTCTCTAGTACCCTTTCCATTCATTATGTCTTCTGTGATTTTCAAAACAACTCTGTAAGATAAAGAGTCCTTGAAAAAAGGGAGAGGTGGCACATTCACTTTTGGCTGTATGGCCAGTGACAGATTAAAATACTTTTCTACTTAAAAATAAAGTGTCAGGAGTATACAATTCTACCGAGTTAGATGGAGAGAGGAGAAGGACAGGTCATACCCTAGAAGATAGGTAGAGATTAACACTTGGTTTAAAGGCAGGTAATTAAGACAGTGTGCTATCAGGAAGGAATAGGCAAACTGACCCATGGAGCAGAGAAAGAGTGTGGACACAGACCCACTTAATCTATAACTGGCCAGGCATTGTAGATCAGTGGAGAAAGAACAGACAATTAAATAAGTGCTTCTGGATCTAGTGTTCAACCACACAGAGGGAAATGAAATAAGGTCCCTATCTCACAACAATGAAGAAATGTGGGGGAAAAAAATAAAAGACTTGTAGAAGAAAATATGGAAGATCTTTATGACTAACAAACACACAAAAACTAAAACCCTAAAGAAAAAGATTGATAAATTTAATGACATTTAAATTAACAACTTCTGCTCATTTAAAGATGTATAAACAGGGCAAAATACAAGACACCATTAGGAAGAAATATTTGCTACACATATGAGAAAAAAAAATTTATATCCAGAAAAAAATACTTCCTACAATTAGTTTTTTTAAAAAAAAGACCAAAAAAATCTTGAAAATGGGCAAAATCTATGAACAGGTGTTTCATAGAAGAGGAAACACAAAGAACCCATAAATTAAATGAAAACGTGCTTAACTTTAACCTCATTAGTAATTAGGAGAAGAATAAAACTAAATGAAATGCCAAGTCTCTCCTTCCAGATTACTAAAAATAAGAAAGTAAAACAATAACAAGTGTTGACAAATATGTAGAGGAAAGGAGAATTCTCATTCCCTGCTTCTAGGTTTATAAATTTGTATAAATACTTTGGAAAGCAGTTTGGCACACCCTCGGGAAAGCTAAACATGCACATATCCAGTGACTCAGAATTTTTCTCCCAGGTTTATACCTAGAGAAGCTCTTGAACATGTGTTCTAGGAGATATATTAAGAATGCTCATAATGAACATAAACTCTTTATATAATATTCATAATAAAAAGGAAAAATAATACATTTTTCACTTCCATCAAAGGGAGATCAATTTTTTGGAACTAAATTACTGTTATTTGCAAATGTTTTTCTCAATACCAATAAAACTAATACCAATGCTTTTCATAGCTGTATGTGATCTGTATCCAAATAGGCCTATTAAAGGCTAAACTCTTTTCACATTAATCATCATAATGACCCTAGAGGACTGAGAACTGTTGGATTATAAATGGAAAAAATGCGGCCCAAACAGTAAAATTTGTTCATAAGTTTAAGAAGAGTTAGAAGTAGCTCTGAGAAAAAAAAAAAAAAAAACCAACACACCAGACTTCTTTGGAATGAAAGTAGAGCTCCCCACTGATGTCAGTGGTAATTTTCTCATCAGTGAAGCCTCAACACCACTTGCATTTGACCACAAATAAGAATCATTTCCTTCTGATTTTTAAAAACTCCTTCCTCAAGCCAGGAACGCATACGTAGATGGCTCAACATGAGTGTGTGTATGCTGTTTTACTCCTACATTGGATGGATACACAAGTTGCTTTCTGAGCCCAATGTGTCCTCAAGAACAGGTAAATCTCCTTCCACCAAGATGAAAACTTTTCCAGTAGGAAGGCGTTAGCAGCACCAAGTGAGAAAAAGACAGAATCAGACATATCCAGGTTGATTCTTCACCTCTCTGAGTCTTACATATTTCCACAAATGAAGTGGAGCTAACAGAGGAAGGGGAAAGAAGTACCTAGAATATGCCATGCACAGTGCCAGGCACATGATAGGGACTCAGCAAGACCTAGCTCTCTCCCATCAGGCTCTTACCTGTGACTGGACCATTCCACTCACTGAAAGAGAGTCTGGCCCATCCAACATCCGACTCTGCCCACAATTCTAAACCCAGATGGGAGCCCAGCCAAAGAGGATGTACCAAAAACTCATGAAGCTTAAGCTTCAGGCTTTTTCTTGCAGTGGCCCATTTAATGGGCCAAGAGTTTTTGCTGAGAGTTGTAGAATATTCTATATGGAGATGGGAAGGCACATTACAAGTAGAAAGCATTTCTAGAGAAGACCCCTGGTAAATTGCCTGGAAAACTGCCTCAGAGGGGAGACGCCCCCATAATCTATTGTGATTTATTTTCTCATTCTACATAGATACCTACCTTCACATATTTTTTAAAAGAATATTTATAGCAGCCTTTGTAATAGCAATGACTGAATATAACCCATATGTCCATCAGAAGTAGAATAGATTAATAAATTGTGGTATGTCCACACAATGGAATATTGTGCAAAAAGAATAAACTCCAGATGCATGGATTGATTTGAAAAAAATCTCAATTAATATTATAAGAAACGTACATTAGCAAAATATATCCAGTATAATTCCACTTATGTAAAGCTCAAAATATGCAAAATATCAACAACATATTGTGTAGAAATATGTATGTAATTGCACTATAAATCGAAGCAAAAGAGTGATTAACACAAAATTCAGAAAGGTGGTTATCTCAGGGGTGAGGGATAGTAAGACTGGGGAGACACTCACGAGAACATTTTACTTATTGTAGTCTCTTTGTTAACCTACATGGTGGCTACATACACAGTTGTTCATTTTGTTATTCTTTAAATTGTACTCTTATTGTTAAGATTTTTTTCTAATGATCGGTGACAAAGATGAGACTCCACAATTTACAAGCTAGTTCCCAAGCTGGCTAACGGCAGCACAATGCTGCCTATTCTCACTATTACTCTGTCAAATCCTTCTCACCCCAAAATATAAATTTTTAATGGATGACCCTTTTAAACTTGGGTCCCAGCTTAGACAGCTATTCAAAGGAGGAGGGAAATGAGCACATGCATATTCATGATATCTTTACCTGAGATTCTCATGAGTTTAGTCTCCATATTTCTATCACGAGAGTCAGATGGCAAAGAAGAATAAGAACAGAAATTTTAAATTTGACTCCATGGATCTTAACAGTTAATTTGATTTTTGACTTTCAGATTTTTTGAATAGTGGACCTATGTTATGTTTGGCCAACCCTTCCTCTGCAATAAATTAAAACTTCATAAAATACTTTTAGCACTCTCACAAGCATTTAGACTTAAACTATTATCTCTAATAATTAAAAGAAGAATGTTGTCACCTTCTTTGCACAAAGAAGAGAAGAAGTTTAATGAAAGATTAAAATAAAGCCTCACAAAATAAGATTAATAATAGTTACTTGTGTACTCTGTATTACTCAGAGATCTACTGAATTAAATATTATTATGTTAACAACCCCCTATTCATTATATAATGGCAACCCAGTGTTAACAACTACTAACCCCAACAAGCTTGTTTTAATGAGTAAAGATAATATTGCTACCAAGAATTTTGAACCTGTGTTTTCCTAGGTCATGGGCTACCAACTCAGCCAGCTGACTTCCAAATGAACAGTGTTAGCCTTAATAGATTCAGGAGAGAATGTGTGGACCTATCAAAATCTTTACCACACTTGTAAAAACTCAAAGAAAACATCTTATCTCAGTGAATTTAGAATGCCATCACTTTCCAAATATATAATAAGTTATTGTTTCTGATGGTAAAACAAAATATATGTGTGATGAAAATTTTGGAAAAGGTAGAAAAAAATAAAGACTATTTAAATTTCCTGTAGTTCTACCATCTAGAAATTACCACTATTCATGTTTTGGAGCATTTTCTTCCATGGTTTTTCTTCCCAAGGACACATTCATATGTTTACATATTTGAGACTCTACAGTTAGTTTTCTTTTTTCATTTTTGTGTTAGCATCATATTATAAGCACTTGCCATTATTTATTGATCATTCCTATGGTTATATAATATTCTCCATATGGGTATAATATAATTTAAATAAAATTCTCTGTTTGGGGACATTTTGGTTGTCACCTTTTTATATCAAAAAGACCTTTTAGTTCCTCCAGTGATTAATGTACTTTACTACAATGCAATCTATCAGTGTAGCAAAATGGCACTTGTACCCCATGAATATATACAAATAACATAAGTAAGTGTGTCAAATTATTCTCAAAAAAGCTGGAAAACAAACAGCCTTTGTAGTTTTGGGTTTTTTTCATATCTTATGTGTATCTCTTGCAGTACACAATGGATACCAACTTTTAAGTTTTTGAAAAATGTGTCATTGATCTCATTTTTAAGGCTAGAAATCTATTTGTACATTCTTTCACTTAACAAATATTTATCACGTGCCTATTACATGCCATGAACTGTTTTAGGTGCTAGGGATAAAGCCTAGAACAAAATAAAGTCCCTGTCTTCATGAGCTTATCTTATAGCAGAAGAGACAGAAAGAATATGTCATGGGTTGTTAACTATAACAGAGAAAAATTAAGAGGGATAAGGGGAAACAGAGAGTGTTTGTGAGGAGGTAATGGTGGTAGTGGTCTTACTGTATAGAAAGAGGGCTGTCTGGAAAGGTGATAAGCTGAAATTTGAACAGACATGATGAAGTGAGACACAGGGAAACCCAGAAGAGAATTTCAGAAGAGGGAACAGCAAATGCAAAGATACTGAGATGAAATAGGAATATTCTTGGTGTGCTTGAAGAACAAAGAGGCTGGTGTGGCTGGAGTTGAGAAGGTGAGTCGTAGAGGGCAGAGAGGTAGATGACCAGGCCAGGTCAGGGAGAGCCTCAAGAATCATCCTGGCTATTGTGTAACCAACAGACTCTAGGTGGAGTGAGGGGCAAGGTGGAGGCAGAAAGACCAGTTAGCAGGTGACTAAAAAAGTAGGTAAAAATGACAGTAGCCTGGACTACAGGAATATTGGAGAAGATGGAAAAAAATAATGCTATTGTGGATATATTTTGAATTTAAAGATGTCATATTTGCTAATGAATTATATGGGTCTGTGAGAGAAAGAGAGGAGGCAAAGATGGTTCCAGGACTTGGGCCCGAGAAAGTGAAAAAAAAGGAGTTGTCATTTACTGAGATATAAGTGGCCATATAATAATCTGTTGCCTAAATCAGAACACTTTTCAGAGTGAAGAAAGAAGCTCTTGATAATTAAAACATGACAGGACAACATGCGTAAAGCCAGAACTGATCCGAATAGAGTAAGACAAATCACCATCCTAATCACTGGTGACCTTGACAAAAGCAGGTGGGATTTCTGTTTTGTTTTGGTTTTTCAGTGATGAAAGAAAAGAAACTTAAAAAAAAAGGAAAAAGAAACTTGACTGTAATGTGTTCAAAAGAAAAGGAAGTGGAGACAGCTAGTACTGATAACCCTTTTGAGGAGTTCAGCTTATGGCTCAAAAGGGGAGCAGAGAAATAGGCTAATAGATCAAGGAACATGTACATTCAAGACAGATTTAATTTTAGATGGGACAACATTGCATATTTATATGCTGATTGGAAAATCCAGGGGTGGGAGAGATGCCAGAGAGCAGAAACAAAGCTGGAGTGATGCCCTTGATGGGTAGGAGGACATGGGGTCCAGGGCCCTGGAGGAAGGTTTGGCTTGGGTAGGAACAGAGATGTTTCATTCGTTGGAGGAAAAGTAGATTGAGAGAAGTGGGGACGGAAGCAGGTGGAAGTTCTCTTCTGATTGTTTGTATTCTCTTGATGACTCTAGGAAGCCAAGTCAAAGATCCAGCCAAATAGAAAGCAGACTTCTTTATCACGGACTCGGAACAAGACAAGCTGAGTCATTGTTTCCACTCCGACTTTTTTGACTCCTTTGGGACAAGTGCCCCCATCTACCCATAACACCAACAGAGTCACTGGCAATGAGGTTCACCTGCCCATCACACCAGGGACAGAGAGGTGGCAGGGAGAAGACTCCCCCTGCAGTCCCTCTCATCAGGGCATGGTAGGACAGTGGAAGGCATTGGGGTAGAATGTGCAGTGGCCACTGAAGACAAACTTTGTGGAAACGGGATCATTTATCTGCCACAAAAAGAGAAGAAACAATAAGGAGTGGTATCCTTGATGAGGCAAGAAGGGGATGGACACAGTGCTCTAGACGGAGACTTCTTTATTCAAAAGAGAATTCTCTGGCGCGCTGTGCTATGCCCTGGAGATTCTGAGTGAGACACAGGCCCTGGCCTTCAGGAGACCACAGGCAGTGAGGGAAATAGAAAGCAAGGAGGCAGTAAATTGATTTTTGTTTGTTTGTTTGTTTGTTTTGTAAATGGATAGGATTTGGTTACATGGTGTGCTGGAAGTGCCCTGCACAAACATCAGAGTTCTGAGGCGAATAAATCTGTATCCAGCCCTCCGTCGCATCAGGGAGTGGACGCTACAATGCTCTCCACTCTCCCTGTACATTACGAACATCAAATTGGCTTCCATGCTGCACACGCTGCGGTCAGTCTCTCTCTAAACTCTCATATGCACGACAGGAAGTGGCAGATTCCCCCAAGTACACTTCTTTGTGACTTTGAAGTCCCTTAGCATTTGGCAGCACTTTTATTTTTAACATAAGTAAGTGCAGCACCGTCTGCTCGCAACAGCTATCACAAAACGCATCTATTTTTGACTGAAGCCAGACCCACCTCAGCAGTCCAGCCTGTCAAAGCCAGTACTCCACCTCAGGCTCAGTGGACACTGCTGGCATGCAAAACGTCATGGACTTTCTATGACACCTCAAAGCCCGAGGCAGCACAAGAACCTTGGAGGGTGCTGGGAGCCCTTATCCGATGCCTTAACTCCCGTGTCAGTGATCTTTAGTTTCCTCCTTGACATTTAACCTTTCTTGACACTTGCCCTCCCCCAATCCCTCCCTTTCAGGTTTCCCCAGAAACCTTTTGGACATAGGAAATGACTGCTAAATGATGCTGAAACATCAAAGGGCCTGTGTGCACTTTAGTAAAATGCCAGTCCATCAGGTGACATCAGCAAACAGCACAGGAGCCTTCAGATGGATCATTGGAACTGAATACCAGAAATCTGCGACTCTGTCAATGGAGTATCTGACAGGAGGCAATATTTAACAGAAGTAACAGCCGGAAGACAGGTTGAACCTGAGGATAAGTGATGTGAGGTTTAGCAGGTGTCTAAGATACGGTGGCAAGATTTCTCACACTTTTCTAAGTTTCTTAAACTAGACCAGAAAAATTCCCTGAAAACAAACAATGCCACAGTTTCCCATGGCAGGTGTAGAAGCAGAGTAATATCAAAAACTTGCTAACCTAATAGGCTATTTCCATTTCTTAGTAATGTCTCTGATGATCAACCATATTAAAACTTTCCATGACTCATCCTGAGCTCTGGACCCATGGGGTAGTTAAAAGAGTGGACGGCCTACCTGAGTTCACATCTTGGATCCACCATTTGCTGGCTTTGTAACTCTCCGCAAATGTCCTCACCTCTCTGTGCCTCCCCTTCCTCATCTGTAAAATGGAGTGAAAGCAGAATGTCCTCCACATGGGGGTTGAAAGGTCACACAAGGTAACCTGTATGCCCTGGGCTTGGTGCTGGGGCAGCACAAGATGCAAGTTCAGTGATATGATTATCACTAATAAGTGCTAACTTTATTTCACGTTATTTACCTCAAACTCAGTGTGCTCAAAACTCACCTTGGGTTTGCCGTTAGCCCCAATAAATCCACAACCTAGTGAATTGGCTTTACTTGGAATTATGTTTAAGTATTCTCTCATGAAATAAAAATCCTTTAGGTTAATAGAGTTCCTGATATCAGCAGAATGATGACACAGAGTTATTATTAGGAAGGAGAGCCTTCTCCACATCCTTAAAATTACACTAAGTCTTTAATGTAGTAGAAAAGAGCTGCCCTGCCTTTCAACTCTGTAGACACCAGTTCCAACCCTGCTGTTAGCGTCTCACTGTGATGCTTTCCCTGAGTCCCAGCAACAGCCTCCAAAACTATTTCTAAAGACTTGAGAAGACCATAATGAAGAGCTCAGGCTTTGGATCATTTAAGACACAGGATTAAATCCTAGATTTCCTGGTCAGTAGCACAGCAAATTTAAATTTCCTAATCTCCTAAGGCTCAATTTCCTCTACTAGAGACAATTCCAGAATCCACTTCATAGGATGCTATAGGAATGCTGTGAAGTAGATATGAGCAAAGGCCTGCTCCCAGCTAATCCCTCTAACATTAACCAGCCCTGAGCCTGTGGACAGGGTAACTTCATCTCTCTGGGTCTGTTTCTGCATCTATAAAATAAAGGACTTGGATTAAATGATCTAAATTTCCTCTAGCCCTAATGAACTCGAAGCTTTGATTCCCAGATCCTAGAATGTTCAACATCTGTGATTTTTCTAATATTGTTCCCTCCTTCTTGAATGCTTTGTCTCCATTCCTTCCGTCAATTTCTGATTGTCAATCTTCTCTCACAGTATAAGACAACAAAAAAGAATTCTCAATCTTCAAGATCTGTTTCAAAAAGAATGAGAAATTGGTGTACTAGGGAAAAACTTAACACCACCACTCTGGGCAAATCTCAGACCACCTCTGATCCTTGATTTCCACTCTGTGAAAAAGAAATAATAATGTCCACCCTGCATTCCCCACAGTCTCATTGTGAGGATTCATTGATTATTTCATTCACAGTCTTTGCAACTGGTAATTATAAACAGGGCATTACTAGTTGCCGTCTTCTCTGTGAGCCCCTTTGCTCCTCTCTGATGGCTGGTTCTGTGCTTTGCCTTGTGTTGTTGTGTGTGTGACTCTACCACAGCCCTGCAAGCCATGCAGTGAAGAAGGTCTGTCACCGACTTCTCATGCCATCTCCTCAAAGCAGTCACCTCAGAGTTGGCACACAGTTGGTGCTCAGTGAACATTTTTTTGTGTGTATTCATGCATTCAACAAAAAATTATTAAACCATGCTGGGTTTTGAAATGCAATGATAAATGAGACACAAACACTTCCTGCATTTGTGAAACATAATGGTCTAGAGGGTGAAAGACATTAAACAGATGAACGTAGAATCGATTAATTATACCAATAAGTGCTAATAAGGAAAATTGCAGCTGTTAATAGTGTGGATATGTCTGTGATACTTAATTTAATGTGAGGCATCAGGGAAAGTCCCTTGAAGAAGTAACAGTGAGGCTGGGATCTAAATAATCATATGACTTTGTGTTCATCAGAACTAAAGTCTAGAGCGAAAGTCAATACATTTAACTCTCCCCCTATAGGGTTCTCCAGGTCAGATGAGTATATTCAGCTGGTTACGTCAGTCAATCCCACATGTGCGGTTCCTCCATGATCTTGCCGTGCATCAGACATCTTCAACAAATAATAACAAGTCATGATGTGCTCCTCACCCAGCTCAAACTACGTCATCCAGCCCAGCTTCCTCCTCTCTTCCCACCACCCAGCACCACTGCGAAGAGATGGAAAGTCACCTTCCTCCCCAGCAAGTCATCCCTTACCCCCAGATAACACTCCTCCTTCGGTTCTGCCAGCCCAGATCTCTGTCCTCCCATTTCCTCAGCCTCAGCCCCCACACTTCACACATCACCTTCTTGACAGTGAGTTTGGACTTTCACCCCATCCGCTTTTTAGCCACCCACAACATGCCTTAGTCCTGTTCTCAACCCTATGCAGATGCCTCATGAAAGAAGTGTCCTTTCATTCGATTGCAGTGGTTTCTCCCTCTGGGCTCTATCAGGGGTTATTTCCTGAGCACTCCCACCCCAGTTCTGTCTCATTACAGATTTTGGAAATGTGTCTCTTTCTGCATCAGCAAGATGGAAGGCAGACCTGGGAACCAGGACTCAGCAGGCCATGTAAGGTCACACAGCAGGCCCTGTCATTCAGCCCAGCTCTCTCACAAACTCTGCAGAGACGGTGCAGCCCTCTGACGTTCAGGAGCAGCTCTGAAAGGAGTTGTGGCATTTACCTTTCTTCTGACCACAATAACACCCGAGATGTGGACTTTCCCCTGCAGTGACTTGACTCCACTACACACTGCTTATGGGGACATTGGGCTATTTTAAGCATTCAAGTCAGCCTATTCTGGGTTCTGAGCAATGTAAAACGAATGAGATTGCCCTTCAAAGACCAAAGAAAAGCTTGGGGCTAAGTATCACATAGCAGAAATGAGCATTTAAATTATACTCACCCAACACAATATGTTCCTGATTAGATCAGATATAAAGTAGGAATGAAAATATGATGAAAACTTCAATATTGGGCAGAATATAATGATTCACAGCACTAATACATGATCACAAAAATGTAGTGGATTCTAAACAAGTTTCTACTAATTGGTGACTTAAAAGGAAGTTTCTATGGAAAAAAATACCATTCAAGAGCACTTCTCTGAGGAAGAGAGACCTAGGAAAATGGCAATTGGCTGACTTGAGAGTCTTCAGACATACATCTATCCACCTGAGACTATGGGCACACACATCTTCAAATGGCTTTGCTAGCATAGAGCCCAGAGGAAGGAAGATTCCAGAGTAAGGGGTCAGTGTGGGCTCTCTCTCAGTGACGCAAAGAAGAAAGCAAAGGGGAAGTGACTACTGAGCCCCAGTCTTGGGAATAGATAGAAGGCAGAATTCCAGAAGGGCCACCAGTTAACACATCAGAGAGGAGTAAGCAATCATTGACTAAGAATTTAGTGAGATTCCTGAAGTAACTCACTCCAGTGATAAAGGTACATGGTCTGTACAAGGTAATCAGTTTCTTGAAAGGATAAAACAAAATGGCCTGGAGATGAAACAGACTGAAGCATGTACAGCTTGACTGACCACTGTTTCACAGCTGAGACATAAACATAGATCAGAAATTAGCTCTGCCCTAAGACTCCTCTCAATGCTACATATGTAGCATGTGCAGGAAGGTATTATGTGAACATCTGGCATCAGAATCTCCTTAGAGATTGAGCCATCTTTAGGGAATCACTGGGGAGGAAGGTGAAACCCCAAGTATATGAGTAGATCGAGTAAACAAGCCAAAAAATAAGCAGGAAGGAGAGGAAGAGGATGGCCAAGTAACAGAGTAGACTATCCAAAGGTCCTTTATTAACAAAAGTATTTCATAATAAATTTGAAATTTTTAAGTTGCTTGATTGCTTGAAGTAAATGCCACACTTCTTTGCCTTTTCTTCCAACCTTCAGTCCTTTGGTAAAGTCTGCTAGACCCACAACAAAAATGACACGTGTGTATGTGTGTGTGTATGTGTGTGCGTGTAATCAAACACCAGGGCTGAGTTTCCTAGCCACACTGACCAGTGCAGAACAACAATTATACACACACACACAAAAAAAAAATGGTCTAGAAGCTAAACTATTCAATGGCCACAGAGGCTCAGAACTAACGATAATTATGAAACATAAGCCCCTTTGTGAAACTGCAGAAATCTAAGAAAAGGCATTGAGCTTCCAAGTAAAATTATTTTCAGTTGAGTCAAATCTGAACCTTAAAAGGCAAATAATCATAGCAAACATCTGGGTTGCATATATGAGCACGCTGAGAAGCCATCTATTCTTATGCTCTGGGAGCAACCACTGGCCAATTTCTTTAGGGCAGCCACCTGAAAACTCTTTTGTATCTCTTAAGATTTAAGGAGCAAACAATAACTATGATATCTTCATGGGAAGTGTTTTCCCATCCAGCATTACAAGAAGACTGCATCCCCTCAGACCCTTTAGCCCCATGATCCCCAAAGCCAATGTACACAGTGCTGTTTGAGTCTTCTATGGGTGCCTATAAGGGATCACGTAAGAGCTCTAGTGACACGGGAACCTGTTACAAATCAGCCCTAATATCCTCACAGTCCACTTTGACCCTTCTGGTGCTATCCATCTGTGACAGTGCCAGGGTGGCCTAGTTGTCATACTTCCTTCTTGGAGGAAACGTAGACAAGATTTCCTGGAGTTACCTGGGGAGGGAATTCAGGGTGGCACAAATCTGTGTCACCTGCATAGCTTTCCTCTCCAGTAACCTCTATGCCCTAAAATTAAAGCCAGCAATTGCTAGTTCCTTCACCACATATCCAAGTGTGGCCACGACTTCTTTGTGAGGGAGGGAGAGAGAGGATGGCCAAGTATCAGAGCAGACCAACAGTAACAGAGCAGCCATTTGACCCCAAGAGTGGAGGACTTTTTAGCCACAAATGACTCTAAGGCCTCATGGTCTGTATGTCTGTTCCAACCTACCCATATGCTGTCTTATTTCTGTTTTATAAGAAGTTGTTATTGCATATAGACTAATTTTCACATAGATAATTACTCATCAACTAATTCATCTCCATTGACTAATTGCCAGAGTTTTTATAATAAAGATTCAGTATTACTAATGCAGCAGAGCAGATTGCCCAAGAGCACAGCTTTGGAGTCTAATTAGATGTCTGAATTCACTTTTTAATATTTTGGCCTCCCCAAGAACTAGGAAACAAGAGAGACTAGGCAGCAGTAATAAGAACCACCCAGGCCTCTGGCGTCTCTGTGTGGAATAAGTTGCCAACATTTAACTGTCTGCCTGGGAAGCCTGTTGCTGTAAGGCCACCTGCTCAGGCAAGAATGTGGAAGTCCAAGCTGATAGAGCCCTGACTTCACCTGTTCGGTTTGCTGAAACAAATGTGAGTGATCAAAGGCAAGAATGGCAACAACTCAGGCCTTCCAACTACTGACCAATATGCCAAGCCTTCATTTGGACCTGAGTCCGGACTCAGCCTCTTCCCTGAGCCAGAGATATTCAGTATAAACAAAGAATCACAGGGCTTTGCAGCTGGAAAGGATCATAGAGTTAATCTCATGCAATCCTTTTGTTCTGCAGATTAGGAAACTGAGGTGAAGCCCTCTTGGGTGAAGAGTTCAAGATTATAGTCTAATAAAGACAGAAACAGAACTAATACCTTGCTGGGTCTTTCTATTCAAGTCTAATGATGGTCATTCCATAACATCACACTGCAGCATTCCCTGCTTTGCTAGGGAAAGCTCTCCAAAATCCCAATTAGCATATTTAACAACAACAAAAAATGTATTTCAAATGAATCTTCCTCAGGAAAGAAGAGAATGCTTTTGGTTGTCACTATTATCTCTGGTAGGAATAACCAGCTAGCGATTATGAGCACTTTTCCAATGTGCCAGGTATTGTACTGGGCACTTTATCAGCACTATTTCATTTACCCTTCCTAATAATCTAATTACATAGGTACCATTATCATCCACATTGTGCTGAAAAGAAATTTGAGACACAAAATATTATTTGTCCACATTCGCACAGCTACACAAGTGTAAGCGATGATTCAAACCCAGATCATCCACTTCATGACCCATTACTTAGTCACTCTGCTATACTGACAATAGACCAACAAAAACCATAGCAAAAACTTAACCAAGATGTAAAACGATGGCTTGTGAGCCTTTTCTTTATTCATGATTTGCTTGGTTTCCTGGGACGTTCAACATCTAAAATTTCAGCCCTCTAAACTGGGTCGGAGTCACTGTGCAAAGGAGTTCTGCAATCCTGTCAAGCATCCAGCTCAAGACTCGGGTGAGGTTTAGGAGACTGTAGAGTCTTGAAACCTCTGTCCCAGTGTGCTTCAGGGCTACTTCTGTTTGGGATTCAGGGCACACCAAGGAGCAGGATGAAGTTAGCATCTTCTCCCCTCCCACTCTCCCTCCTATATTCTGCCACTGGGAGCTTTAAGGACAAAGATGTGAGCAATCCTAACTGCTCTCTTACAGTACACAGGAGAGATCAGAAAGAAAAAGGGGGAGAAACACCAACCAGACCTTTGTAAGACTTGATGATGGGATGGGGTCAGAGATATAGAGGAAATGTTGGTGTGTACATTGCTTGGTTTAAAGTGCATTAGTTTACTTTAGTGTCTGATAAAGATATAATTATCAAAATGTCATGTATCTACTGGGGCATCTAGGGAGATCTGTTTCAGTCAATAAGATGCTAGCTCTTGTAGGGGTCCATTTTTAGATCTGCCTTATGTCTCAGAAGAAGTAATTACTTTGTGACCCACATGTATTTAGTAATGCCAGAGCTATCTCCAAAAGCAGAGAAAGTCTGTAAGTACACAATTAGAAAGATGAAAAGGCTCAAACTGCGGAGATCAGCTTCTTTCCAGAAACAAAATTTGTTTGGAGCAGGGAGAAGAGGAAAGAGAGAGAGTGAAGGCAATGGGCTCATGAAGCTGGAGTAGGGGTGGGGACACAATACCCTTAGAAGAGATGTGAGACTCCAGTAGCTAACTTCACTGATAATTCAGTATTGCCTAGGATTTTCCCATGGTACAGGACAGATAGAGGACTTTGGGTTGGCAGAGGTGGGAGTTAATGGGAGGGAAAGTGGATGTACACTGTAAGTAACATGGTGTTATTTTCATTTTGGGCACCAAAAAAATAAAACATTTTCATTCCCTGCTTTCTGCCAGGCTCTTCCCTTGCTCAGTGTCATTTAGCCTTCATGCCAGCCTTGGGAGAGAGGTCCTTTAAGAGCTGCCTTGAATGATTTTTACAGAATGTACCAGCCAAGGGAGCAAGTAAAGGCTAAAAATCCAACTCACACCCGGCTTGCCACATGAAGGGTCCACAGGCCACTGGAGATTCCCTTTTCTAATTCACACAAAGATGCTATTTGGGCTATCAGCAGCAGCTCTGGACATTATCGCCCCATTTTGCAAGACTCAGAGATGGTGAACCACTTGCCCATGGTCAGAGCAGTAAGTAAATTGAAAAATGAGTATTCCAAGCCCAGTCTGTCTAGTCCCAACTTCACTTTTTGTTTCACTCTGCTAGACTAACTTGGTATTTACAGAGTGGGGAAAGGTCAAGGGAATCCCTCAGGACCAATGAAATGAACAATCTCAATGTAAGGGTCTAATGAGGAATCTGTGAGATAGATGGTAGAAAGTTCTGGAACCATAGTAATATATAAAAAGGCAGAAAGGAAGGCAGGCAGTCAACATTCAATTCAACAGTCATTTATTAGACATCAGCCAAGTTCCAGGCAAGGATCTAGGCACTCAACAAAGAAAGAAATAAGGTAACAACCACAGTTCCCATGAAGGTCACTGTTAATACTTAGAGAGAGTAAGGTGAAAAACTGAAAATCAAGCAGAACTAAGGGGAATCAATTAAAGAGACTGGCCATTATTTGTGTTGCAAAGGACAAGAAAACTCTACAGAGCCAGCATGGAACTTGAACTTGACCTTGAGGCTTAAGAAAAGTCCATTGGCAGGAGTTCCTTAAGTAGTAAAACCTGTAGAGGTAAACTTACAGCCAAAGGCCTTGTAACCTCCAGTCACGGTGCTGAGCAGTACAGTCTAAGCCAGGGTGGAAATGACTGTGCCCTGCTTTGGTCTCTGCTGTGCTTCCTAGAGGCAAACACCCATGTCACAGGTCTCCTGCCCACAATCTCTCTGCAAAGGCTGAAGGTGTCACAGAAGAGAAGGAAAAATGGTCCTGAAAGAGTAAAAGAGACTTTTATACTGTGACTTAACATATCTGGATTTTCCAGATACTGCAGCTCACTTTCCTGAAAGTCTTAGTTTTGAAGAAAAAAAACCAAGCCACTCTTTCCCTACAGTGAGTTGGGCAATAGCTGTGGTGGGGCAATAAGGAGCCAGAGCCAGCTTGCAGCTGGGTGACGTCTCAAAAGGTCATTCCTGCAAAGGCAACCCAACTGCACTCCCAAAGCTGAGCATGAGTCTTGAAGAGCATGAATCAACGCCTTCTCTAGGTCCTTCCATGCCCCTGTCCTAGGGAGAAGAGAAAAACGGAAGTGAGTGGAGAGTATATTACTCAATACATTTCCTCATTCTGTCTTTGTGGCATCATATTGAAGAAGGGTTTCTTTACCCTGTTTAAAGGATAATGAACTGAGGCTTGGGCAGCTTCTACAACATGACTAAGGTCACATATGTCTTAAGGAAAAAAGCCAGCAACTTAACCCAACTTTCAAAGCTGAAATTCTTTTTATTTAATCAAGGCAGTTTAGTGAGGTGGTAAAGAGTACAGACTCGGGCATCTGGTTACCAGGGTTTGAAGCTCTCAGATCTGCTACAAACTAGCTGGAGACTCTGGGAAGTTCATTAAACGTCTCTTTGCTTCAGCTTTCTCACACTTACAATGATGGTAATAGTAGTGAGGATGGTGTGTGTTAATAGGCATAATGCTCATAGAATTATATCTGGCACATAGGAATGATTGTTCAACCAAGATGATGTTTCCATGTAGGAGAAGTAAAAAGGCATTCTGAAAGCTGGGAAAGGAAGAAGGGAGTAGGAAAGACTGGAGGGGGAGGGGTATTAGGAAAGAGAGGAGAAGGGAGAAGGAAGCAACATTAGAAAAATCATCATTTTGTATTTTAGCCATGCCTGGGACCTTCAACCTTACTTATACTTCCTTCCCCACTATAAGAAACAGGCCACAGCCACAATCAGCCTTTAAGGCTGATGAAAGCTTGTCAATAGATGAAAGATAGACAGACAGACACATAAATAGATTAGATGAATAGATTGGATACACAGATGGTAAACGTATAGATAGATAGCTTGCCAATAACAAATGCTCTTATCATAAGTGGAAATTACAGAAAAAAAGGACACTAAAATTGAGGATTTGTGACTCCTTTGATCCACTTATCCTCATGGTTCAACAAAGAGGGTAGCTCTGGCTTGTGCCTCACCTTCAAAGTCTGCAGAACTGTTTGTACCTGTCATACAATGGACCTCCTGATCAGAGGGCTGCCAACCCCACACTCACAGCATCAATGGGCCACAGCCCAGAGGAGGAGGATCTCTTACTAACCACCAGGAACAGTGATCATGGTTCCCAAAGGAACATTTAGCTCAGATCCAGCTACTCAAAAAAGTTTGAAAGATATAATGACAATTATGATGTGAAATTGGCCTCCCTGTAGGGAATCTATCACGGTGATAGAGGCTGAGACTTGGGGTCAGACCTCCAGGATTGGTATTCTGGCTCCATTATTATTGAGCCTTGTGACACTGAACAAGTCACTTTGCCTTCCTCAGTGCCATCTGAAAATGAGGGTAATAATTTCTTTCCCACTGTTATATAATAAAGAATATGCCTGGTCTTTTTCCCAGGTTTCTGGAAAAATGTGTTCTATGCCCCTTGAATTTCCCAAGGGACAAGTGTGTCTTTGTTACTTATGGTGGGACCCTGGACCACACCTTAGTTTACACCAGGGAGACAACTTAGGATGGGGGCTGGTCATGCCAGAAAGGCCAACCGTGTGATTACAAGGTTAAGGGTTTGAACCAAATGTTAACAATACAAACTCCTGACCCCTGGAGAGGGGAGGGAACTGGAGCTTGAACTTAATTACGTGGCCAGTGAGTTAACCAATCACACCTACCTGATGAAACCTCAATAAAAACTCGAAACAGTGAGGTTCAGGGGAGCTTCCTGCTTGGGGAATACACATCACCGTACCTAGAGATATGCATCCTGACAACAGGGTAGGGGTTAATGGAAGCTCTACATTTGGAATCTTGCCAGACCTCACCCTGTTAGTCTCTTCACTTAGCAGGTCCTCAATGGTATCCTTTATAATTATAACTGTAATTATAACACTTCCATGAGTTCTGCAAGTCATTCTAGCAAATATCAGACCAGAGAAGATGATGGAAATCTCCAAATTCATAGCCAGTTCATCATAGCAGGTGGCCTGGGGAACCCCTGACTTTGTGTCTGTCATCTAAAATGAGGGTAGTCTTGTGGGGGACTGCATCCTTAAGTTGTGGAGTCTGCATTAACTTCAGGTGATTAATGTCATCATTATATTGGAGTTAGGCATACCTCATTTTATTGAGCTTCACTTTATTGCACTTCACTGATATTGCATTTTTTACAAATTGAAGGTTTGTGGTAAGTCAATGTTGAGCAAGTCTATCAGCATCATTTTTCCAACAGGATGTACTCACTTCATGTCTCTGTGTCATATTTTGGTAATTCTCACAATATTTCAAACTTTTTCATTATTATTCTATCTGCTATGACTATCTCTGATCAGTGATCTTTGATATTACTATTATAATTGTTTTGGGCCATGCCCATATGAGAGAGCAAACTTAATAAACGTTGTATGTGTTCTGACTGCTCCAACTGACCATTCCCTCATCTCTTTCTCTCTCCTTAAGCCTCCCTATTCCCTGAGACACAACAATTTTTAAATTATGCCAATTAATAATCCTGCAATGTCTTCTAAGTTTTCAAGTGAAAGGAATGTTTGCACATCTCTCACTTTAAATAAAAAGCTAGAAATAATTAAGCTTAGTGATGAAGGCATGTCAAAAGCTGAGATAGGCTGAAAGCTAGGCCTTTTGTGCCAGACAGTTAACCAAGTTGTAAATGCAAAGAAAAAGTTATTGAAGGAAATGAAAAGTACTACACCAGTGAACACATGAATGATAAAAAAGCCAAACAGACTTATTGCTAATGCAGAGAAAGTTCGAGTGGTCTGGATAGAAGATTAAATCAGCCACAACATTTCCTTAAGCCAAAGCCTAATCCAGAGCAAGACCTTAACTCTCTTCAAATTTATGAAGGCTGACAGAGGTGAGGAAGCTGCAAAAGAATCATCTGAAGCTAACAGAAGGTGGTTTATAATTTTTAAGGAACAAAGCTATCTCCATAACATAAAAGTGCAAGATGAAGCAGTGAGTGCTGGTGTAGAAGCTGCAGCAAGTTATCCAAAAAATCTAGCTAAAATAATTGATGAAGGTGGATACACTAAATAACAAATTTTCAATGTAAATGAAACAGTCTTCTATTGGAAGCAGATGCCATCTAAGACTTTTGTAGCTAGAGAGGAGAAGTCAATATCTGGCTTCAAAGCTTCAAAAGACAGGCAGACTCTCTTGTTAGGGGTTAATGCAGCTGGAGACTGTATGTGGAAACCAATGCTCACTTACCATTCTGAAAATCTCAGTGCCCTTAAAAATCATACTAAATTTACTCTGCCTGTGCTCTATAAATGAAACAACACAGCCTAATGACAGCACATCTGTTTACAGCATAGTTTACTGAATATTTTAAGCCCACTGTTGAACCCTACTGCACATTAAAAAAAATTCCTTTCAAAATATTACTGATCATTGACAATGCACGTAGTCACCCAGCACACGTAGCCTATCGCTGATAGAGATATACAGAGATTCATGTTGTTTTCATGCCTGCTAGCACATTCATTCTTCAGCCCATGAATTAAGGAATCAATTCAACTTTCAAGTCTTGTTATTTGAGAAACACATTTTTCGAAGCTCTAGCTGGCATAGATAGTGATTCCTCTGATGGAGCTGGGCAAAGTTATTTGAAAACCTTCTGGAAATGATTCACTATTCTAGATGCCATTAAGAACATTTGTAATTTATGGGAGGAGGTGAAAATATCAACATTCATGGGAGTTCAGAAGAAGTTGATTCCAACCCTCATGGATGACTTGAGGTGTTTAAGACATCAGTAAAGGAAGTAACTGTGGAACTAGAACTAGAAGTGGAACCTGAAGATGTAACTGAATTGCTGCAATTCCTTGATAAAACTTGGATGGGTGAGGCATTTCTTCTTATAAATGAGCAAGGAAAGTTTCTTGATATGGAATCTACCCCTGGTGAAGATGCTGTGAACATTGTTGAAATGACAACAAAATATTTAGACTATTCTATAAACTTAGTTGATAAAGTGACAGCAGGGTTTGAGAGAATTGCCTCCAATTTTGAAAGACGTTCTACTGTTGGTAAAATGCTGTCAAACAGCATCACATGCTACAGAAAAATCTTTCATGAAAGGAATTGTCAATCAATGTGACAAACTTCTTCACTGTTGTCTTATTTTAAGAAATTGCCACAGGCATCACAACCTTCAGCCACCACCACCCTGATCAGTCAGCAGCCATGAACACTGAGGCAAGACACTTCACCAGCAAAAAGATTACAACTTGCTGAAAGATCAGATGATCATCAGTTTCCTTAAGCAATAAAATCTTTTTTAATTAAGGTATGTACACTATCTTTTAGACATAATGCTATTGCACACTTAATAGGCTAACGTATAACATAAACACAACTTTTATATGCACTGGGAAACCAAAACCATTCTGTGACTCATTTCATAGCAATATTTGCTTTACTGGGGAGGTCTGGAACCGAAACTGCAATATCTCCAAGGTATGCCTGTTTATATACCTACAAAGGCTGTTTTAGAAATAAAAGGTAATCACATATTTTTAAAAGACCATAAATAATGAAGGGTTAACTAAATATTATGTAATTAAAAAGCTATGGTATTGATGAAAAATCAACAGTAAAATTTCTTTAAGGATTTTTTTTCAGCAATGCAGATAGATGCTGTTGTTTCAGCAATACTGTCTTGCTTTAACCTCTTTATGACTAATTTACTATTTCAACAAAATTTAATGGAAACAGGCTTCTGTGCTAGCATATAAGATTCTGTACTAGATATCGAACTAGTGGAGGGAAGTAAGAGGAATACCAAGTTGAAACAGAAACCATAATGACCCCCAAGAAACATACAAAGCAGCAGAAGAGATAAGAAAATGAATTCAAAAGCAAAGCAGAAAGGGTGTACAACAAGAGAGGCATGGTTAAACTAAAAAGGAGGGGATTATTTCTGAAGGAATCAAAGAAAATTTGCATGGGAAATGACATTTGAAGCAGGCCTTAAGAGATGCATTGGATATAAAGAGGGAGGGAAAGGAGAAAGGACATTCCACGCTGATGGAAGAATGAACAAAGGCACACGGGCAGACAGCATATATGGAAGTGAGTGATATCACAGCAGGGCAGAAAGATAAACTGGATCCAGGCTGTAGAGGGCCTTGAATGTTTAGTGAAAGAGTTTATACTATCCTATAGGCAAAAGGGAACTGTGAACTACTTGGCATGCTCTAACATGGCAATTTTATATATATGCTTTTACTTTTTTCTATTGAAGACAATTTTGTTGAAAATATTGAGAAGCGCTGACCATCTCTCTCATTTTAGAGATGAACAAACAAGGACCTGGAGTTTATGTGATAGCCTAAATTCACACAGACAAATAGTGGTCAAACCAGAGAGAGGGCAGGCTTACAAACTTCTAGCCTGGTAGCATTCCCACAAATACATGATCTCTCACTTAAAGCAACCATTTTTAATTCAAATCAATAATAATTTAATACCCTGCCCTTCAGACTGAAGAAGATGCCTCTATCTTCTCTTCTGGGAGATATTTATTCCAGAAGCAACAGCACAGGGAGCAACAGCACAAAAGCATGAAGGCCCTGAGGAAGCTTGAGGGTGCTGCCCATGGGAGAGGGCCCAGTGTATCTAGCTACATGCACATTGTAAGTTATTGGCATAAAACCAGCTACCAAGCCCACAATATTGGCCTTATTAACACCAGCCAGCTGGAGAGTTAGATGATGCCTGCAAGAAGATGCAGTGCCTGCACAATATCAACTAAAAATAGCAACAGGACTGTTCAATGGAAAACATAAGTATTTTCCCGAAACAGCTGGATCATGTGACAAGTGAAATCAAACACCACATTCATCTGAAGACAAAGAAAGAAAGCTTGAGCAGTTTGCTAAGAGAAACTCAAGTGAACCCACTCCCTGTTTAATGTTGTACCTCTACTGGCTTTTATCTTCTGACAGTCTCTTTACAACACTTGACTAAAGTCATCAATCCTACAGCACTGGAAAATTCCTCGAGAGTCTTTGATTTCTCTCAGCCTGTGAAGGACATTAAGAGGTCAAAAGACCCCAGAGTTTACTTTCTTCACCAACCCCCGGTTTACCAGCTTAAGACTCACAGACAAAAAGGGAATGCTGCTCTGGTTTCACTGAGGTGCTAGATTTGATGGTTTCTGGGTTTTATCAACTATGAAAATGACATGAGTTTTTTAAGTTCAACAAATATATGCAAATTTAGTATTTATCCATAACTGTATGAAAATACAGGAAAGATCCAGTCTTAGAACCCATTTTAAAGTACAGTGGCATGGCCCCAGAATACAAAGAATCACTGAGTTGCCCACCTCATCCTAGGAAAAATAGTGTGCTGGCCTGTGTGCTGAGTCTTGCACCCTTGTGGGGCTGGAGAGTATCCTTCTGAAGGGTATCAATTCTGCCCCCTTGCTCTCAGCTGACATGAGCCCTTCCACCTTTCCCTCTGAACCACTATTTGTTTTGTAGGTCGTTGCCCTTAGATCCTCTCTAAACCTATGTGGACAGATTATCCAATGTATATTGCTGAGGTTATAGGTAACTATTTAACTGGTGGTTTCAACCAGGTATCTTTTGCTGCCTCGTCTCAAGTCCTGCTTAAGCAGCCTAGAGAGCAAGTTCGGAATGTTCCCTTATCCCTGCTTGTCTAGAATTTCTCACTCATTCTTAAAAGATGAGTAAGTGTCCATCATAATTCCATTTTCTTGAGAGTTTCTTATCAGAATTGTCCACTTTTGTGTTTATTACTCCCTGGGCATATAATTTATACATCATTCCTTTCTTTATTCAACAAGTATTTATTGTGCCACCTACTACTGCTGACACTAGTGATCTAACAATTACCAAATAAAGCCTTTACCTTTATACAACCTAAATTGAGTGAAGGAGAAAAGCAACTAACAAATTTGAGAACACACACATAAAAATATAAATGGTCAACTAGTGATAAATTCTATGGAGAAAAAATAAAACAGGGTAAGGAAACAGAGAGTATGTCTTGGTATTACTTGATTTAGAGTGGTCAATGGTAGCCTCTCTAAGGGGGTGACATTGAGCTGTAGCCAAATGAAGTAAGAAAGCAAGCCTTCTGTTGTTAGGTGTATTTCTCTCTGTAGGACTTGTATCTCCAAGTAGACTGTAAGCAGTTTGAAATAAGACCTGAATCCTTTATTTTAATATAATAACCCTAGCCCATGCACTGGGTATCTAGCTAACTGCCCATTGTAAGTATTCAAAAAATATTTATGTGTTTGAAAAATTGTATTATATATCAGATAATGCAATTAATATTATGCCCGCCAAACTTCAATAACACAGAATCTTCAATACTGTATTCTTCTAGTGAAACAGATAGACATGATGAAGATGAAATGCCAAGACGCTCTTGTCTAATTACCTGCCTGCAAACCTAAGCAAGGTTAGTTGAAGACAACATGTGTCTTGGGAGCAGGCTCTGAGACAACCAGTGGATGTGGGGAAGGGAAGCACCATATTAGGAATTACTGTTTCACCCCAGCAAAATGGAAATTCAAATTATTTTGATGAAGAAGGACTTAGAGAAACAGATAAAGAAGCAATGTGCTCACAATTGTGTAGCTAGTTAGTAGATGAACAGGAACAGTACCTAGATGTCTAACCCCCATCTCAACAGAGTGTCCTTGCTCTAACAGGGAATAGTATTTCTGACAAAAACCCTTGCCTGAAAGGGAGAGACTAAAAGAAATGTTCTCCAGATTTAGTTATATCAGCAGTATCAAGTCACAGCAGCTGGATATAAAACCTTATGGCTGCTGACAATACTCCCTTGCCAGTTCAGTCTTTCTCTCTAAAAGGAACGTTGTCAGTGTCTTTAGGAGACGGCCCTCCAGCACCTGTCTGGTGTCTATAGCCATAAGGCACTTACCTTTTCCCAGAGATGCAGGCTAATTTCAATGTTGGAAAACTTTTCTGATTGGAAAATTTAGGAAGTTAAGCTAAGCAATTTTCTTAATTGAATACATAGGCATACACCATGGTGAAATCATATTCTTTTATAATAGATATTGAATAGAAAGAAGAATTTATATTCAATACATGGCCGATAAAACTTTAATTGAAAACATATCACTTGGAAATGTTAAATAAATGATGTAATCTGAACTCATTGTTTCTCTGATGCCTCTGAAACTACCTTTCTCAGGAACATAAACTAAAAGGTTGAATTTAATTTTGCCTTACCCAAAGCACTAAATATGAATTCTGTTTTCAAAAAGATATATCCAAAAGGAATATAGATTTTTAAAGGTAATATGTGTGTCACTTTTCATTCTTCTCAAGCAAATTATTAAAATGTGAACATTTGGAGTTAAAAGACACAATGAGTGAAGAAAATTGTCACCGACAGAGCATATGGTATTTGGTGTAACATTATGCAGAAGCCAGAGAGAGCTATGAACCATGTTTCTCTTTCCCATGTCCACGGAAATGCCAAAGTACACTGGAGCTATCGAGGATGTTGACTTTTTCCCGTAAATGTTTAACTTCTTCTGGAAACCACAGAAACTTAAGTGATTTAGAGTGTGACTTTCATGAACAGAAATAGTCTCCATAATCTAATCTCCAGAATGCACTAAACCAGGAGAAGATCCACCTGGTAAGTAAAAAGTCTGAATGAAAAAATATGTTGTTGGCCAGGCGCGGTGGCTCACACCTGTAATCCCAGCACTTTGGGAGGCTGAGGCGGGCGGATCACGAGGTCAGGAGATCGAGACCATCCTGGCTAACACGGTGAAACCCTGACTCTACTAAAAATAACCAAAAATTAGCCAGGCGTGGGAGCGGGCACCTGTAGTCCCAGCTACTCAGGAGGCTGAGGCAGGAGAATGGCGTGAACCCAGGAGGCGGAGGTTGCAGTGAGCCAAAATCATGCCACTGCACTCCAGCCTGGGCGACAGAGTGAGACTCTGTCCCAAAAAAAAAAAAAAGAAAAAGAAAAAATATGTTGTTAAAGAAATACAGTTTCACTATTTTCACATACACCTAAAATAATATATGAGGTTGAAAACATGTAATCTATTAGTCCTTAGAGAAATTGCTTTAATAAATAGAGATGATTTGCAATTAGCAAATTGTTATCAGCATAACAAGAGTTTGAGAATATATTTTTCTCTTAAAATATGTCACTATTCCAAATTTTGTTTCCCCTCCTAATTTTTTAAATTATGCAATAAGTTTTAAAAATTTATGACTCCTGCTGAAAAGTCCTGAAATTTATTAATAATGTATGAATGCTACATAAGATTATGAATTTATTTAGAAGATAACAAATTGCGCAAATGTGTAATAACTGCTCTTTTCTCCCCACCAAAAAATGGTTTTCTAATTAGTATAGACCCCTTCATTGAATTAAAAATACAAGTTCTCATTTTTAGCCAAAGACATACTTAAAAATACTTGGAGATACACTTAAATATATTAGTATAATCATCACTACATTTTAAAATCTCTTCTTCTTATTCTTCATATCTACACTGGAAGATAAAAAGCAGGAGTAGGCAAACTAGTTGACTTCATTCCATCGAGACAGGTGGTCAAATGGAGAACATTCCAGACCATTAAATTAGATCTAGGAGAGAAAACCATTAGCATAAAAATTATCTGAAACCACCTACTCTAGTAGTGTTAAAAACAGTTAATAACATGTTTCCTTTAATTATTTAGGATATTTTTGAACTCATCAAAATAATTTAATACCATGGGAATTTCAACACTTACAGCTCCAAAACTAAATTTTCCACAATCACTGGCCAAGGGATTCCTATGACTTTCCTACACTAAATATAGAAATAAAATCTATATTCCCATTTGGCTTATTTTTCAATTTGTCATTTGTAATAAATTTTAAAACCACTCTAAATTCCACTTAATTTTTTATGAGTAGCATTTAGTGCCTGAAAGCATTGTCTTAGATATTTATATAGCTGATCTGACCTATATTCTAGCATAGCTTATCAAGAATATTCTCCCAAACAGCCATCTTGAGTGTTGTTTTAGACTTTTCTGCTTCCACAGGTATCATAATGACAGTTCATTTTCAGGATAATTTCGTTGTCAAAGGAATGGAAGAATATTAAGGAGAACAAGTCCTCATCTCTCCAAAGACCCTTCATCCTTCATTTCACAATAGTCTTTATTGGTAAGCACATAATAGAAATAACTGGGAATTTGAAAGATGAATGAGGATAATAAAAAAAGGTGTGTTTGGAGAGTGAATCTGGAAATCCGTCGGGTTAAATAGAAAAGAGGCATACAAGTATATGGTTCCTCCATTGTGGTGAGTTTGAGGTCTTAAATCATGTGATTTAAGCCCAAAAATAGTGTTGTTATCGTTGTTTGGTTTTTGTTTTTTAAAAGGAGAAAAAGGTAGAGCAAGCCTTCCTTAAAGGGATATCCAGGCACTGAAATGGAAGAGAACAAGTAGCATCAGTCAGTATTCCATGAAGAAAATAGCAAGCACTCTAGGTATTCAAGAAGACGGAATATAATGAAAGGTTTGCATAGTCACTGGACTGACTGGAGGGGCACCATGTGCACTGGTGTTCCACAAATGACTCTCAGGGTACTGAACAGATTCTCTAGGGTGACTGTGACCTTTAGGCCATGGAAATGCTGCATTCAGGAACTCATCCCAATGGCTGCGATTCAGGAATCGGGATGCCAGGCTCTTGAAGCTACCCCAGCAATGGCCCCTCAGACCCTCAAAGCCAGCAAATAGGTCTTGGTGATTCCTGCTGCTGCTTCCTCTGAGCACTCTCTCCGAGAAGGTTGAGCACCAGAATGATGCTGCAGACAAACTTCAAGATACATTGAAGGGGGTGATAATTGATACACACAGACCAGGTTGGAGGCTTTTGCAGTGGTCCATAGGACAGATGATGGCATCTTAGTGTTGGTGATAGAGATATAAATAAGACACAGGTTCTCATCTCTAATGAGATTTTGGAGGCAAAAACTATAGGATTATTTGGGTAGTAAAAATCAAGAACTGCTGCCCTTGCAAATGGCCACTGTGACTCAGAACTGACAACTGAGGTATCTTCTGCACCTAAGAACTCCAAACAAGAACCTGGAAACTTGAGGCCAGTGTGTCTTCCTTCCACATCTGGCAAGCTGGAGAAAATGTGAGGGCAGCTTTATCAAACTCTTAAATGAAAACAATCCATTAAAGTCAAGATACATAGATTCACATCTACTTTTTCTCCTACTCACTCCGGGACATTCTCTGGTCCACTGTCTAAACTAGCCTCCCTTGCCCACGTCTCATCCTCTTCCTAATCCTTACCCCCTCACCCTACCCTATTTCTCTCCTTAACACGTATCACTATCTAGTATTACATATTTGTGTGTTTTTCTCTGTTCTTATTTTCCGCCTCCACTTCTAAAAGGTAAGCTCCATCAGGGTAAGGATTTTCTTTTTCATAAGAAATCCTAGTACCTAGAACAGGTGTAGCGGTAACAGGAGGTCACAACAAGAGAGTCTGTATAAGAGCGGAGAAATAGAGGAGCACTCTTGAACTGAGCACCCAACCAGCGCTCTGCATCAGGCACACACTAGGCCCTGTACAAGCACCATTCCCCCATCCAACAATACCGTAAGCCTGCAAGGTGTTCCTGCCACCCTTAGAAAGATGAGGGAGGTAAGGTGCTCAGCATTACAAAGCTAATAAATGTTCAAGTGAGTTTTCAATTCAGGTTTGGCTGTCTGCAATGTTCATGCCCTTTCCACTAAGCATTATAAACTGTAAAGGGCTACTCAAATATATGAATTACCTATCATTATTATTATTATTATTTCATGCTTAAATTCTACAAAAGCTATTTGAAAGGATAGTTATAAGAATTAAGTAGAGCCTACAAAGCCACTTGATTTAAAGCCTCAATGACTTTCAAAATTGTACCACTAAAGATATTTTTAACAAATGGATACAGGATAGGAGGCCATGTGTAAGGAACTAGCCTTGGAAATGGGAGGCAAATACTAGGGATAGACAAATGTTTCTGAGGTGGCAGAACTGCAAAGTGCTTATCTTTGGGAGATCTGTGCCAGGGAATGTAGGGAACATGCTAGTTAAACTTTTTATACATGCTAAGAGGGAGTACACGATGAAATTTCCTAGTAGCAAGTAACACTAAGTACTCCTCATTGCAAAATGTCAAATCAGTCAACAGAAACTGCAGAGCATTCTTTTCTGTCTATGTAAAGAAGCAGAAAAACAGGCAATAGGAACATAAATCAAACTGTATTGACAGATTAATAGGTCCAATCCAAAAAAGGCCTCTACAGCTTAGGCAAACAGATTCTAGACATTTTTTAAGTTCAAGCAACTGAGGACAAAGTTCCACCAAACTGCTGGGCATTGCTGGAGAGATTAATATACACATCAGAGTAATCATAGGCTTTATAAAAATGACCAGGCAGCCACACCAGAAACTTTCACTCTTGTGAAAAACAAGAGAGGTCCAGAAAGCTGAACTGTAAATAAAGTGTAGAGCTGGAATCAGAGGAAAGCATGACAATACAATGACCCTTCAAACCAAAAAGAAAAGGAAAAACTAAAAGACTATCTTAAAAATTGTTAAAATTATAAACACAGCATAATCTTCAAGTCTGAAAAAACATTACATGGACTGCCCTGAACTCCTGTTTTGCAAATCCCAGTGGTGCTGTGCTGCAGAAAGCATCAATTAAAATGTAAAAATTTAGCAGTCTTTCCTTCCTTCATTCAACAGTTATTAATTGAGCACATGCCATGATCAGGGCACTGTTCTTGGCATAAGGGATATATAGTAAATGAAAACACAAACTCTTACCCTCCCAGAGCTTATATTCTAGTAGGGAGAAACAGATAATAGGAAATAAACCTATAAGAAAATTGTGCATTATGTTCTAAGTTGAAAAGGGATGTGGGCAGTGCGGGGAGCGTTGGGTGTCGAGGGAAGTCGTGATATTAAATAGAGTGGACACTGAAAAGGTGATATTTGAGCAAAAACTTGAAGAAGGTCAGGGTATAGCCACGGAGATATCTGGAGAAAAGATTTCCAGGTACAGTAAAGATTCCAGGTACAGTAAAAAGTCAGATAAAAAGCTTTGAGGTGGGTGTATAACCTTGTGCTTGAGGAATCTACTCCAGGGTGAGGTGGGGAACAGAGTAACATAAAATCAGAGAAGTACCACGAGGGTCGGCGGGAGTGGGGAGGGGAGGTGTGGGGAGATAACTCAGGGCTTTGTATAATAGATGACTGTAAAAACGTTTGCTTTCAGTCAGAAAGGTTTGGCAATAGAGAACCGATGTATTTTAACACATGTGGTCCAGTCTGCATTTATTGGTGGCTAATAGCATTTCTTCAAATAGGTGTTTGCTCTGAAATCTTATACCTTCTGAATTATCTCTCATCTCAGGCATATTAGATTAATTGTAGCAGAGCAAGAAGCAATTGTTTGTTATATTCCATTTCAAATTATTTCACTTCTGGTTAATAATCAAATTTCCCAAATTATATTCATTATTGCTTCAACATTCTACATATGTGATGAGGGGATGTTAATTTATTACTATTGGGACATTTATTCCAGCAATGTCTTGGAACTACAGTAAACTTCCATTAGCTGAATCTTTTGAGAGTATGACCTCTTAGCTAATGGAGCTCTCTGATGAACTGAGAGATGGCCAAAACACTTTTTAAAACTTCTCTGCTATGTAACATGAGCAGAGATATAGACAAATGTTCTGCCAGAATAGAAAGAGGATGAGGACCAGAAAGAGAAAGAAAAGGAGAAAGAGGGACAGGAAAGAATGTTGAGTTGAGGGATATTTTCCATGCTCAAATAAATTTGAGAAGCATGTTTAAATTGCAGAACTTCTTTAACATGCTTCTCTAATACATTAATGGGCACTGTGCATCTCCAGCAAAAAAAGTATTCAACATTTCCTGACCTTATATAGCCAAGAATATTGTTTCCTCAATACCCCTCATATTATAGATTATTGTAGTTTGTAGGGTAAACTGTAAGAAATGCTATTCTATGGTATTTCTTGAAATAGTGGATTTCTCTACGTCCCATTGCCTTCATACATGTTTTATTGCACTGTAATTATATGCTTGCAGGAGGCCTCTCCTATTAAACCCTATTCTGTTTGAGGATTATTATCCATCGCCATTGTATTTTGAAGAACCTGTCAAAGAGGAGGTAATCAATAAATGTTTGCTTGACACACAGCAGGTGTGTTATGAATATTTGTTGAACTAATGAATAAACACTTTGCACATGACAACATATATATATATTAGAGACAGGTTCTTGCTCTGTCACCTAGACCCCAGGCTGAAGTTCAAGGCACAATTCTAGCCCACTGCAGCCTCAAACTCCTGGGCTCGAATGATCTTCCCACCTCAGCCTCCCAAGTAGCTAGTACTACAGGTGTGTGCTACCACACCCAGCCAATTTGATAATTTTTTGTAGATATAAGGTCTCATTATGTTGCCCAGGCTAGTCTCGAACTCTTGGCCTCAAGTGATCCTCCTGCCTCAGCCTCCAAAGTCCTTGGATTACAGGTGTGAGCCACTGCACCCAGCCTATCAAATACATTTCAATGAGGGCCTCCTGTGGGCCCTGGTTTCCTCTTCTGTGAAGGAGAGTGGTTTGTCTAGTAGTCTCTAAGGTTCCTTGAAGCCCTAATCTTCTTGATTCTGTGACTTCGTAGTGGTTCAGGACTATCATGCCAAATAGCTTCATCCTACAGAATTACAAGAGGACTTTTGAAGACTATTGAGGAGGACTAATAATAAGAAGAATTAGTCTTCCACAGTTAAAGAACTTGCCCTAGAAATGTCTCCTCAAAATAAATATGGGATATCAATTTGTTCTTTTGCCCCTTCTTCTCAGAAACCAAACATAGAAGTATTCTAGAGGCTGGGTGTGGTGGCTCACGCCTGTAATCCCAGCACTTTGGGAGGCTGAGGCGGGCGGATCACGAGGTCAGGAGATCGACACCATCCTGGCTAACACGGTGAAACCTCGTCTCTACTAAAAATACAAAAAAAAAAAAAAATTAGCCGGGAGTGGTGGCGGGCACCTGTAGTCCCAGCTACTGAGGAGGCTGAGGCAGGAGAATGGCGTGAACGCGGGAGGCAGAGCTTGTAGGGAGCCGAGATCGCGCCACTGCACTCCAGCCTGGGCGACAGAGCAAGACTCCATCTCAAAAAAAAAAAAAAAAAAAAAAAGAAGTATTCTAGGTTACCAAGGGTTATGCTTTCTTTCATGTTAAGACGTCAGTTTTTGCTGTGAAATGAACTCCATTTTGGTGACAAGGGTCTGGAGGTTTTCTCATAATGATTTTAGGTTTCTATCCTAATAAGAGGGCTGTGGAAATCATTGAGAAGGGTGCCTGATGTTTAATTATTTACAGTGATTTTCTACTAGGAATGATCAACTGAATAGCTTCTCTGGGCTTTTTTTTTAGTAAAATATTTCTCTCCAAGCCACTAGAAGAATTTCATATATTTTGTCAATCTTATCGTTATATCACTTAGTGAGGATTCTTTTTGGTTCTTAAAACAAAACAACAACATAACTTCTGAGGATGAAAAAAATGCCCATCCAATTTAATCCCAATTGTGCAATAGATATAATTTGCAAAAGAGAAAATAATAGTATGAATATTTTGTATCCAGGCAACACACCCCCAAGAGGTCTCATGATTTATAAGATTTCCTATTACTGCCTTCAATAGAACATCTCCTCTAAAGTAGCCAGGGTACTTGATGAACATCCTCTTCCTTACTCATATCCCCTAAGGAAAGAAATGGGTTGAACACATCATTGCCCTAATTTCACAAAGGTAGAGAAAGTAGCAGAAGGAAAGTGACTTTTTCGAGGTTACCCAAGGTTCCACTGTGTTAGTGGTTTGGAAGGAAAGAGAGGTCTGGCTTCCAGCCAGCCTGGACATCTGTGCTCTCCAATTCATCATTGTATTCAAACTACAAGAGAACAAGCAATTTAATATTTGGTGTCACCAATGCATTAGCCCTACAAGAGCTGGTACAGCAGCATTAATATGCAAACAGCTAAATATAAAGTATATTTTCTTACCAAGCAGAGTGCTTCCAACCCCTTAGGAAAACCTGAATCTACTGTACATAAAAAGTGAATAAAATAGCAAAGTATAGCAGGTTAATCATTAATATATTTTCATTAAAATATGAGGGAGAAAATGTAGCTATATTCCACTCTTAGGAATAACCCTTAGAGTTTAGGAAGATGCAAGAAGAGAACAAATGTTTCTATAGACATTGTGCTAGTACAGTTTATCCAAAAACTCTCTCTCCACAAGGATTTAAGGTTCTAGGGCAAATGCCAGATATATGACTGAAAGGTGATCCCAGAATACCTCAGCAATTAACCCTGCATTATTTTCTTCTCTCTTATACTGAAAGCATTATTAGAAATCAAGCATGTAGCTCTCTCTGGAAGTCAGGGAGCTAGAGAGTAGAAATGAGTACTGTGGTATACTAAAATTCGTTGAAACCATGAGCATCTAGAGACCATTCCCTATATACAGAGAGGACTGAAGTCCAGCGCTCTGTTTTCCCCAGTATTCTCTGTAGACTTTGTTGCCTCCATTCTGCACAATGTAAGAAACCATTAGGAGAAAACCTCCCCTTGAACTGTCTGGAATAGGTCCTCTTTGTTCTTATTACCCAGGTATTAAAAGTAGAAGAAGAGAAACTGAGAGTATCCACCTAGATAAGAGCAAAGTGGGATAATCTTAGTATTATTCTTTTTTTTTTTTCTTCTTTTACTACACTTTAAGTTCTGGAATACATGTGCAGAATGTGCAGCTTTGTTACATAGGTATACACGTGCCATGGTGGTTTGCTGCATCTATCAACCCATCATCTAGGTTTTAAGCCCCGCATGCATTAGGTATTTCTCCTAATGTTCTCCCTCCCCTAGCTCCCCACCCCCTAACAGGCCCTGGTGTGTGATGTTCCCCACCCTGTGTTCATGTGTTCTCATTGTTCAACTCCCACTTACGAGTGAGAATATGTGGTGTTTGGTTTTCTGTTCCTGTGTTAGTTTGCTGAGAATGATGGTTTCCAGCTTCATCCATGTCCCTGCAAAGGACATGAACTCATTCTTTTTTATGGCTGCATACTATTCCATGGTGTATATGTGCCACATTTTCCTTATCCTGTCTATCATTGATGGGCATTTGGGTTGGTTCCAAGTCTTTACTATTGTAAATAGTGCTGCAATACACACACATGTGCATGTGCCTTTATAGTAGAATAATTTATAGTCTTTTGGGTATAAACCCAGTAATGGGATTGCTGGGTCAAATGGAATTTCTGGTTCTAGACCGTTGAGGAATTGCCACACTGTCTTCCACAATGGTTAAGCTAATTTACACTCCCACCAACTGTGTAAAAGTGTTCTTATTTATCCACATCCTCTCCAGCATCTGTTGTTTCCTGACTTTTTAATGATCCCCATTCTAACTGGCTTGAGATGATATCTCACTGTGGTTTTGATTTGCATTTCTCTAATGACCAGTGATGATGAGCTTTTCTTCATATGTTTTTTGGCCACATAAATGTCTTTTTTTGAGAAGTGTCTGTTCATATCTTTGCCCACTTTTGGATAGGGTTGTTTTTTTCTTGTAAATTTGTTTAAGTTCCTTGCAGATCCTGGATCTTAGCCCTTTGTCAGATGGATAGATTGCAAAAATTTTCTCCCATTCTGCAGGTTGCCTGTTCACTCTAATGACAGTTTGTTTTGCTGTGCAAAAGCTCTATGGTTGAATTAGATCCCATTTGTCAATTTTGGCTTTTGCTGTAATTGCTTTTGGCCTTTTAGTCATGAAGTCTTTGCCCACGCCTATGTCCTGAATGGTATGGCATAGGTTTCCTTCTAGGGTTTTTATGGCGTTTTACATTTAAGTCTTTAACCTATCGTGAGTTAATTTTTGTATAAGGTGTAAGGAAGGGGTCCAATTTCTGCTTTCTGCATGTGGCTAGCCAGTTTTCCCAGTACCATTTATTAAACAGGGAATCCTTTCCCCATTGATTGTTTTTGTCAGGTTTGTCGAAGATCAGATGGTTGTAGATGTGTGGTTTTATTTCTGAGGCCACAGTTCTGTTCCATTGGTCTATATCTCTGTTTTGGTACCAGTATCATGCTGTTTTGGTTACTCTTGCCTTGTAGTATAGTTTGAAATCAGGTAGCTTGATGACTCCAGCTTTCTTTTTTATTTATTTATTTTTTTTGGATAAGGATTGTCTTGGCTATAAGGGCTCTCTTTTTGGTTCCATATGAAATTTAAAGTAGTTTTTTTCTAATTCTGTGAAGAAAAGATAGGGTTTTTGTGTGGGCATCATTTTTGTTGATGTTGGTGTTATTGCTTTTGTTTCTTAGTTTTTCTTCTAACAGTCAGGCCCTTCTTCTTCAGGTCTGCTGGAGTTTGCTGGAGGTCCACTCCAGACCCTGTTTGCCTGGGTATCACCGGCAGAGGCTGCAGAGCAGCAAAGATTGCTGCCTGCTCCTTCCTCTGGAAGCTTCATCCCAAAGGGGCACCCGCCTGATGCCAGCCAGAGCTCTCCTGTACGAGGTATCTCCCAATCAGGAGGCATGGGGATCAGAGATCCACTTTAGGAGGCAGTCTGTCCCTTAGCAGAGCTTGAATGCTGTGCTGGGAGATCCACTGCTCTCTTCAGAGCCAGCAGACAGGAACTTTCAAGTCTGCTGAAGCTGTGCCCACAGCTCCCCCCCACGCCGCCCCCCACCACCCCCACCCCACCAACCCAGGTACACTGTCCCAGGGAGATGGGAGTTTTATCTACAAGGCCCTGACTGGGGCTGCTGCCTTTCTTTCAGAGATGCCCTGCCCAGTGAGGAGGAATCTAGAGAAGCAGTCTGGCCATAGCTTTGCTGCACTGCGGTGAGTTCCACCCAGTACAAACTTCCTGGCAGCTTCCTTAACACTGGGAGGGGAAAACCGCCTACTCAAGCCTCAGTAATCTTTTGTATTATTCTTAAGAACAATTTAAAAAACTACTACTCATATTTGTTTAGTGCTTTTCCGTTTATACAACATTTTCCATCCATTTTCTTGTTTGGTACTTACAACAATCCTGTGAGATAAGTAAGATGAGTATTCTTTTCTAACTTTTAATTAAGAAAAATTTCCAACCGATAGAAAAGTAGATAGAATGGTGTTATTCATCTCCTGAAACTTACAATATGAACAAATCACTATTCATCTGTCTTTTTTAAAAACTGAAGTATCTTAGTAAATTGCAAGCAACATGTCATTTTCCCTTATTATACCTAAAAAATTAATAATTATCTAATATCATCTCGTCTATAATTCATAATCAAATATCCACCAACAGTAACATGAATGTTACTTTCTCATTTTACAGATGTTACCTTTTTGACATAACCAAGTAAACCAACAGGCTTGAAGACACACCGATCATAAAAATGAATCTAAGAACCCAGGTGTAATCTTCTGATTTCTAGGTCCCAGCGCTTCTCATTTTTAAGCAGAGTTTCATAGAAATACTCTATTCAAACAAACAAACAAAAAAAACAGAAAAGCCACAGACCTCTGTAACATTTAAGCAGAGGTGTCCTCTTAGTAAAATGTAAAATACATGTGTGAAATCTGTTTCCAACAAGCTCTTATGTTATTTTTAGTGGCCCTTCTCATCACCTGTGGTGTTTTGTTTTGCCCTCCCTCAACCCATTTCTATTGCCCCCATCCATACTTTAGCCAACACCATTCTCTGATATGCTGGGTTGCCTGAGTGCCTCACCATGTCTACCTAGCCCATGTGTCTCTCTGTCCCCATCCACAGGGGTAACACCATCTTGCAGAGAGCAAACACTCTAAGAAGGCCTGATGGACTCATCTGCCTGAAAGTGGTCATAATGACTGGCACCATAACCCATTCTGAGTGTCCATGGAGTAATATAGAGATGATAGTAGTTTGCCTCATGGAATCTTAAGAAATAACATTGTTATCATGATTCTTGCAGCATTATGAGTATTGGCAAGGTGTCCCTGCAATAGGTTAAAGGTGTGCACTCAATTTATGCAATCCCTCCCCACCCACCCAGAAATTTTCTCTTCCATTTAAATTTTTTACAATCCTCTTTAAGTTTCAACCCCTCCTCTCATGACAACTATTACACACATATTCAAGTGAACCTAGCTGCCGCTCTTGCTTCACTTCTAGTATAGAAATGTTTACATTTTCTTCCACGAGGTTCTTGGCATCTTTTGACAGTACCTGCCAATGACCACTGAACATTTTTCAGATGGATGTGGGTATGCTCCAAATCATGACATCAAAGGTATTTCTTGGATCTACTGAATGATTTAGCCTAAGTGAATCAGACAAATATGGAAATTATGTAAATCTTATGTGTCACCCAGGGGAAAGAATGTGAAACATTTTAAGGCAAAAACAAGTTCTGGTTATTATCAGGCAACCTTGGAAATGTGAGATGACAAAACAATGTAATGTTGCCCAACTCTGGAGAACAAGGAAGGAGAAAAATTAATCAGAACAGATCTCACTTCTCATTCCAGACTCAAGCTGCTTAGACAGGAATCCAAATTAGTGTGCCCCCACTCCAGCTCCAAATAAAGCACTTTACACAAAAATAATTAAAAACTCTGTATATGACACCTTCCTTCCAGGGTTTGCATATCAACATAAAAGCATTAGAGAAAATTCCCAGATGCTACAATTCCAGACATAAAAAATTGTCCAAAAGGCCTTTCTTTGCATCCCTGAAACCATACCACATTTATATCAGCCACACTTCTTAATTGGGAACAACAGAATCCACTGTATCCACTCTATATAGTTTAGAGGGAAAATGATGGTGGGGAGGTTTTTAAAAGACACATTTGCCCTCAGAATTATTGAACTAGCTGGAAAAACAGATTAGAACTGAAGCTTTCAGGAATAATGCCCAAAATCACACAGAACTAATTCAATGGGGAAACAACATATAAATCCCTGGAACTAGACTATTCTGTAGCCACTCCTCCCACCAGTACCAATTCCATTTTGATCTTGTGACTAGGGTAAAAGTTGGATGTCTTTACAGATCCAGAGTCAGTTGCTGTCTCATATTTGAATTAAAGTTTCATGTTTATGTCTGATTGGCAGAGCCTAGGCCTATCCTAAGCTCTTTGAAACATTAACTCATTTAAGCCTCAAAACAACCCTAAAAGGTTGGTACTATGAATATCCCTTTTTATAGCTGAAGGAACTGAGGCACATAAAATTATGTAACTAGTCTGAGATCACATGAACAATCAGTGGCAAAGTTGAAATTTGAATTAAGATGGTCTGGCTCCAAAGCTCAAGATTTCTTAACACTTTTTTTGTTCTGTTTTGTTGAAAATATTATATTCACATGTTTGCATCCTAGCTGCAAGGAGGTGAGACATTGGTTCACTTACTCAAATCTAAAAATGTTATTCAAAGATGACGGGTAAGCGTAAATATGACAGATGTCTACCACAAATTTATAGAATAGGTAGGGCCATTCCTTTATATTTTTGTATCCCCTTAAAATTGTGGAATGTAGGTACATTTCTGTGTATATTTACTATCCACAGTGGTGGTCTCTAAAGACAGCTCCACATTGCTCCACCCACAGCCTTCTGTGCACATATGTTGCTCCTCCCATAAAAAGGAGGAGGCTTATCTCTCCACCTCTTTTGAATCTGGGCTGACCTTGTGACCTTTGAAATTCTTTAGGACATTCAGTGAAATGCAGCAGAATGAAGCTATGCCTGGCCTTTAAGAGGCTGGCAGCTTCTGCTTTTGCACTGGGGAAACCAGTTGCCATGTAAGAAATCCATCTACCCTCAGCCTGCCATGCAGTAGGGAAGCCCAAGCTAGCCACATGGAGAGACCACATGGAGAAGAATACAGTCACAGATGGAGACAATTAAATCCCTACACATGTGTTACCCATAGAACCATCCCAGCCAGCTCCTCATCCTTCAGATCATCCTGGCCAAGGCTCCAGACATCCTTACACTGCTTTGTCCAAATTCATGACCCACATAATAATGAGCAAGCAAAATGGTAGGTGTCTTAAAATGCCAGATTCCAGGGTAGTTACACAGCAACAGATAACTTAGACACAAATTAACACTATATTCTCACCTAATTAATAATAAAAATTTTGCATCTCATTAAATTTCCTTTTATAGCAATAGTGAGCAAACTTTTTCTTAAAGGGCTACATAGTGTTTTAAGTTTTGCAGGCTACAAAGCAAAATTGAGGCTATTATGTAAGCTCTTAGATAACCATTTAAAACGTCAAATCATTCCTAGCTCAAGGGCCATAAAAAAATCAGGCAGCTCACCAGATTGGCCCATGAGCCGCAGTTCGCTGATTTCTGCTCTACAGCCTCGCTTTTGATATTTGCTTTGTACCTCCTGATAGGAACTCCCTATAACTCATTTAATCAAGACCCTATTCTTGAGCATTTAGTTTGTTTGTAGTTTTCTCACTATCTCAAAAACTGTCATATTAAACCTTGTGGTTATTTCCTTAAGGGGTGGTTTAAAGAAAACTGTATTTCACGTTGCTATTTGAGTGTGAGCAGCATGAGTCCTTCCTCCTCAATCAGGGATAATCTTTTTCTCTTTTGGCTTCCTTAGAACTCCATAGTTTGGAGTCAGACTATCACTGAAGCCCAAATCATTGCTTCCCTAAAAGAGATTAGCAATCCCAGGCCCCAGGGAGAACACAAGTGCCCCCTTCTCACTTCCTCCCTTTCCCTCTCAGCAAGAGGTGGCCAACACTAAGCTTTAGCTCCAAGCTTGACAAGCTTCCAGCTAGGAGGTGTCCCACCCTTCTGCAGGTGAGCCAGCCTCTGGCTTCCCCCAGCTCCCTCTCCTGGCACTTGATTCTTCCCCTTCAATTCTCAGCCTGCAACAGGCCCCACAGCGGAGCACAGCAGGACAGAGGACAGGATGAGCCCTGCTGATGTGGAGTCCCAGACAAGGTCACCTATTGGAACAGGCTCTGCGTAAGCCTGCATGCTCTAATCCTGTAACCCAACTATCTAGTGGAAATCCATTGCTGCTGACACTGTCCTTCAGATATTTTTAAACTGTGATAACTACACTTACATGGAGTACATGAAAAACAGAAGTTTGGCAGCTTTGCTGCTGCCCCACAGGCTGCTCCCCATCTCCTCTCCCCAAATGCCCCATTTCCTGCTTCCCCAGCCAGATCCTATGCATTTCTTAGGACACAGTTCTCACATCTTGCCTTTGAAAAGCCCAGCCTCACCTTTCCTCATTCATTCAGCTCTTTGGTCCAGCAGGTCTTAGAGTTTGCACACCACTTTCTCCACATCTTGTTATATTCTGGCTTGTCATATCCACTATTGTTCCACAGAAGTCAGCATTGTCAGCACAGCTAGATTGCCTTCTCAATGAGAGCATGAAATGTGATTTTACATCTATGGCCCTTAAAGCAGCTACTGGCAGTGCTGGGCACACAGCAAGGAGCTCATTAATTATGTTGATCGATCAGAGGTCATTTTAGGATTCAACTTAGGAAAATTCCAAACTACCCACTCAGAAGTGCCCAGTCCATATTGAGAATTCTGCAACTAGCGGTTTGCTTGTTTCTTCTTCAACTTTTATTTTAAGCTCAGGGGTACATGCGCAGGATGTGCAGGTTTGTTACATAGGTAAACGTGTGCCATGTCCCATCACCTATGTATTAAGCCCAGAATCCATTAGTTATTCTTCCTGGTGCTCTCCCTCCCCCCACTCTCCCCGACAGGCCCCAGAGTGTGTAGTTCCCACCCATGTGTCCATGTGTTCTCATTATTCAGCTCCCACTTATAAGTGAGAACATGCAGTGTTTGGATTTTGGTTCCTGCATTAGTTTGCTGAGGATAATGGCTTCCAACTCCATCCATGTCCCTGCAAAGGACATGATCTCATTCCTTTTTATGACTGCATAGCATTCCATGGTGTATATGTACCACATTTTCTTTATTTAGTGTATCATTGATGAGCATTTGGGTTGATTCCATGTCTTTGCTATTGTGAATAGTGCTGCAATGAACATATACGTGCACGTATCTTTATAACAGAATGATTTATATTCCTTTGGGTATATACCCCTGTAATGGGATTGCTGGGTCAAATGGTATTTCTTCCTCTAGGTCTTTGAAGAATCGCCACACTGCCTTCCACAGTGGTTGACCTAATTTACACTCCCACTAACAGTGTAAACGTGTTCCTTTTTCTCCACAATCTCACTGGCATCTGTTGTTTTTTGACTTTTTATTAACAGCCTTTCTGACTGGCATGAGATGGTATCTTACTGAGGTTTTGATTTGCATTTCTCTAATGATCAGTGATGTTGAGCTTTTTCTCATGTTTCTTGGATGCATGTATGTCTTCTTTTGATAAGTGTCTGCTCATGTCTTTTGTCCACTTTTTAATAGGATTGTTTGTTTTTCTCTCATAAATTTGCTTAAGTTCCTTATAGACTCTGTATATTGACCTTTGTCAGATGGATAGATTGCAAAAATTTTCTCCCATTCTGTAAGGTTGTCTGTTCACTCTGTTGATAGTTTGTTTTGCTGTGCAGAAGCTCTTTGGTTTAATTAGATCCCATTTGTCAATTTTTGCTTTTGTTGCAATTGCTTTTGACATCTTCATCACGAAATCTTTGCCCATGCCTATGTCCTGAATGGTATTGCCTGGATTTTCTTCTAGGGTTTTTATAGTTTGGGGGTTTATATTTAAGTTTTTAATCCATCTTGAGTTAATTTTTGTATGTTGTGTAAGAAACGGGTCTAGTTTCAATTTTCTGCATATGGCTAGCCAGTTCTCCCAGCACCATTTATTAAATAAGGAATCCTTTCCCCATCGCTTGTTTTTGTCAGGTTTGTCAAAGATCAGATGGTTATAGGTATGTGGTGTTATTTCTGAGTTCTCTATTCTGTTCCATTGGTCTGTGTGCCTGTTCTTGTACAAGTACCATGCTTTTTGATTACTGTAGCCTGGTAGTATAGTTTGAAGTTGGGTAGTGTGATGCCTTGAGCTGTGTTCTTTTTGCATAGGATGTTCTTGGCTGTTCAGGCATTTTTTGGTTCCATATGAATTTCAAAATAGTTTATTATATGTTGTAATTCTGTGAAGAATGTCAACCATAGTTTAATGGGAGTTTTAACATTGAATCTATACATTACTTTGGGCAGTATGGCCATTTTCACAATATTGATTCTTCCTTTCGATGAGCATGGAATGGAATGTTTTTCCATTTATTTGTGTCCTCTCTGATTTCTTGGAGCAGTGGTTTGTAGTTCTCCTTGAAGAGGTCCTTCATTTCCCTTGTTAAGTGTATTCCTAGGTATTTTATTCTTTTTGTAGCAATTGTGAATGGGAGTTCATTCATGATTTGACTCTCTGCTTGCCTGTTGTTGGTGTGTTTTTTGTGTTTGTTTTTAGAGACAGAGTCTCATTAAGTTACCCAGGTCAGCCTCCAACTCCTGGGCTCAAGTGCCTCAGCCTTTCAAAGAGCTGAGACTACAGGCATTGCCATCACACCCAGCTTGGACACTGGTTTTTGCTAGCCCTGGAGTCAAATGAAAGAGCCAGTGAAATAGGAAACAATTAGGAAACAAAGACCTGAAATCTTATCTGGTTCTCTCACTTAAGACATGTGAATTTGAACCTCATCTGTAAAGATGGGAGAATATAATACTTTATAATTCTATAAAGCTTTTTATGAGACTCAAATAAAAGCAGCATGCTTTGTATATATTACTTACTCAACCTGCAACCACATCTGAAAGGTGAGCGCTGTTGTCCCCATTTTACAGATAGAATGATAGAAACCTCAAAGTGAAGAAACCTATCAAATGTCATAAACTTAGCAAGTAAGAATTTTAACTCAAGTGTCTCTGATGAAAAGAAGGAAAAAAAGAGAGACACTGAGAAAAATAAATGTTTTACCTTCTCAACAGTTGATAATTTTAGTGTCTGTCCTAAATAAGCTCATTTGTATCATCTTCATTTTTGAAAGAGGGAAAAAAACTAAAAAGAAAACAGAGTACAAAAATGACATAAGGGAGTGAGGAAATAGATGGGGATGCCAAGAGTTAGGAAATTAGTTCAGTCTAGCAAACTTTACTAAATACTTCCTCTAGGCCAGGAACTGAGAATTATGCAGGGCAAACTATAAGAAGATGGTCTCTGCCTGTGAAGGTGGCAGAAGAGATTCACATAGAGAGGCTTGTGGGGAGAGGGGAAAAGGCTGAGAGAGGAAGAGAGGAGACAGTTTTGCACTCAATCTAGGAGGAGATGAAAGAAAATGAGGTTGCAAATATAAGTAAGGCTACATCTTGGAGGTCTCACTATGTCAAACCCAATAGACAACAGAGTGCTTCAAACAGAGGAGCTACGTATTCAGATATAAATGTAAATGTGTTTGCTTATTCATTCATATATTCATTAATTTATTTAGAATACCTGTACATGGTGGAGAGGACTTCTTCACAAATTGACTAGAAAACATATTTGGATGTAGAGACTGTAATCACTTCCCATACCCTCACCACCACCCTGGTTCTTGCCAACACTGTCTCTCTCCTGGGCTACTGCAATTGATGCAGGGCAGATTCTTTGCTCATCTAGGAAGGAATTCAAGAGCAAGCCTGAGGTAGAAGAAAACAGCTTTACTTGGTCAGCCAGGCAGTGTTACAGCTTCGAGACAGCTCCTGCAGAGCAGGGATACCCCATAAAAAGTGTGTGAGAGTAGCAGCTCAGGGGAAGGTCTGCATTTGTATTTATACCCCTTTTTAATGATATGCTAATTAATGGGTGAGTTATCCAGAATTAGCTAGAAAATGGGTGGTAACTTCCAGGTGTTGCCATGGCAAGGGGTGGTAACTTCTAGAGTGTTGCCATGGCAATCAATGGTAAACTGTCATGGCACTGGTGGGTGTGTTTTATGGAGAGGTGCTTTCGGTGCCTCCTCCTTGTTTCAGCCAGTCTTCAATCTGGTCTGGAGTCAAGTCCCTGCCTCCTACCTTACAATCGTCTCCTATCAGTCCTTGCCCCTCATAATCTAGTTGCAAAATAATAGCCTTTCAAAAATGTAAGTCAGAGTATGACAGTCCTTGGCTCAAAACTCTCCAGTGGCCCCACTCAGAGTCAAAGCCAAAGTTCTGACAGTAGTCTTCAAAGTTCCACACAATCTGCCAGCCCATCCCTATCCCTTCCGCTATCTATCTGACTTCCTTTCCTACTACTCACGCCCTGGCTTGTTCTGCTCCCTTCATAATAACCTCCTTGTTCTTCCTCAACTACGAGCTTCCTCTCACTGCAAGCATGATCCTGCCTGGGATGTTTGCACATCCTCTTAGCACTGCCTGGATCCCTCTTCTCTCACATGCATCTGCACGTTTACTCCCTCACCTCCTTCAGGTCTTCCCTCAAATATTACCTTCCCAGAGCACCTTCCTTTACCACCCTATTTAAGATTGCAACACACCACCCCGTTTCCCTGAACTCCCCACACTGCTTGTCTGCTTTATTTTGGCCACTTCATTTATTGCTGTCTGATATTTTTTATTGTTTTTGGTGTTCCCCCATTGCTGCTCTAAGGGTGAATATAAGAGCATGGATCTTTTATCTGTTTTGTTCATTGTATCCATAATGCTTAGAATGTCCTTGGCACACATTAGGTGTTGAAATATTTATGGAATGAATGAAGGGGAAAGAGTGCTAACGCCCCCCCCGACCCCCCACCCCCACCCCCGAATCCACTTTTCCTTCTTTCTGGGCACATGGTCACTTATCTAGCAACTACATTTCCAACCACCCTTGCAGGTAGATGTAGCTGACCAATGGACTATAAGGAGAAGTTATGTGGACCTTGAAATCAAATCAGCAGCAGCATAAAACAGACCAGGAAAACCGTGCAGGCCCCCGGGAGCTCATGTTCTCATACACAACTTCAAATGTGACCAAGGGGGATAAATAGACAAAGAAGAACCTCCTTTCTGCAGTCAAAGCTAGGAGACAAGAAGGACAATGGATTTACCTTTTTTTTTTTCTTTCTTTCTTTCTCTTTATTTTTCTTTTTTAGACAGTCTCGCTCTGTTGCCCTCGCTCTGTTGCTGAAGTGCAGTGACAGAATCTTGGCTCGCTGTAACTTTTGCCTTCTGGGTTCAAGCAATTCTGGTGCTTGAGCCTCCCAAGTACCTCCCAAGTAGCTGGGATTACAGGCGCCTGTTGCCACGCCCGGTTAATTTTTCTATTTTTAATATAGACGGGGTTACACCATGTTGGCCAGGCTGGTCTCAAACTCTCAACCTCAAGTGATCCACCTGCCTTGGCCTCCCAAAGTGCTGGGATTACAGGCATAAGTCATCACACCCATCGGCTATGGATTTACTTATCCATATTTCTCCCCACCAATTTGAAATGCCATCTCTTTATGAATAATGTCCATGTATTTCTGGGTTTATTTCTAGACTTTTTTTTTTTGCTCCATTGGTTTGCTTTTGTTTTCATGTTTTATTATCTGCTATGGCTAAGTGCTCCCATACCCTTCTGTATTAGTCTGTTCTCACACTGCTATAAAGAACTACCTGAGACTGGCTAATCTATGAGAAAAGAGGTTTAATTGACTCACAGTTCCACAGGCTGTGCAAGAAGTATGGCTGGGAAGCCTCGGGAAACTTACAATCATGGCAGAAGGTGAAAGGGAAGTAAGCACATCTTACTATGATGGAGCAGGGGCCTGTGGGGATAAGGGCCACATGCTTTTAAACCATCAGATCTCATGAGAACTCACTCACTATCACAAGAACTGCAAGGGGGAAATCTGCCTCCATGATCCAATCACCTCCTACCAGGTCATGCCCCCAACATTAAAAATTGCAATTCAACATGAGATTTGGGTTAGGACACAAAGCCAACCCATATAACTTCACCCCTGGTTCCTCCAAAATCTCATATCTTTCTCACTTTTCAAAACACAATCATGCCTTTCCAACAGTCCCTCAAAGCCTTAACTCATTTCAGCATTAACTCAAAAGTCCAAGTCCAAAGTCTCATCTGAGACAAGGCAAGTCCCTTCCACCTATGAGCCTGTAGAATTAAAATCAAGTCAGTTACTTCCAAGATACAACAGTGGTAGAGTCATTGGGTAAATGTTCCCATTCCAAAAGGGAGAAATTGGCCAAAACAAAGGGGCTACAGGCCCCATGCAAGTTCAGAATCCAGCAGGGTAGTTATTAAATCTCCAAGCTCAGAAATACTCTTTTGACTTCATGTCTCACATCTAGAGCATGCTGATGCAAAGGGTGGGCTCCCACAGCCTTGAGCAGCTCTTCCCCTGTGGCTCTACAGGTTATAGCCCCTGCAGCTGCTTTCATGGGTTGGCATTGAGTGTGTGTAGTTTTTCCAGGCATACAGTGCAAGCTGTCAGTGGATCTACTATTCTGGCATCTGGAGGACAGTGGCCCTCTCCTCACAGCTCCACCAGGTAGTGCCCCAGTGGGGACTCTGGGGGCTCCAACCCTACAGTTTTCCTCGGCACTGCCCTAGTAGCAGTTCTCCATGAGGGCTCTGCCCTTGCAGCAGACTTCTGCCCAGACATCCAGGAGTTTCCATACATCCTCTGAAATCTAGTCAGGGGTTTCCAAGCCTTAACTCTAGCCTGCTGTACACCCACAGGCCCAATACCATGTGGAAGTCAGTGAGGCTTTCTCATATGTTGCACCCCTTGAAGCAAGGGCCCAAGCTGCACTTTGGCCCCTTTTAGCCACAGCTGGAGCTAGAGTGGCTGGGACACAGGGCACCATGTCCTGAGGCTGCACAGAGCAGCCGGGCCCTAAGCCTGGCCCACAAAACAATTTCTCCCTCCTAGGCCTCCAGGCCTGTGATGAGAGGGGCTACTGCAAAGGTCTCTGAAATGCCCTGGAGAGATTTTCCCCATTGTCTTGGCTATTAACACTGGGCTCCTCTTTACTTATGCAAATGTCTGCAGCCAGCTTGAATTTACCCATGGAAAATAGGTTTCTCTTTTCTATTGCATGGTCAAGCTGCAAATTTCACAAACTTTTATGCTCTGCTTCTCTTTTAAATGTAAGTTCCAACTTCAGATCATCTCTTTGTTCTTGTATATGAGCACATGCTTTTAGAAATAGCTAGATCACCTCTTGAGTGTTCTGTTGCTTAGACATTTCTTCTGCCAGATACCCTAAATCATCTCTCTTAAGTTCAAAGTTCCACAGATATCTAGAGCAGGGGTACAATGCCACCAGTCTCTTTGCTAAAGCATAACAAGAATGACCTTTACTCCAGTTCCCAGTAAGTTCCTTATCTCCACCTGAAACCTCCTCAGCCTGGACTTCATTGTCCATATCACTATCAGCATTTTGATCAAAACCATTCAACAAGTCTCTAGGAAGTTCCAAACTTTCCCTCATCTTCCTGTCTTCTTCTGAGCCCTCCAAACTGTTCCAACCTCTGCCCATTACTCAGTTCCAAAGTCACTTCCACATTTTCAGGTATCTTTATAGCAATGCCCCACTCCCAGTACCAATTTTCTGTATTAGTTCGTTCTTGCACTGTCATAAAGAACTACCTGACACTGGGTAATTGATGAAGAACAAAGATTTAATTGACTTGCAGTTTTTCAGGCTATACAGGAAGCATGGCTGGGAGGTCTCAGGAAACTTACAATTATGGCACAAGGTGAAAGGGAAGCAAGCACATCTTATCATGGTGGGGCAGGAGTAAGAGAGTGAAGGGGGAAGTGCTACACACTTTTAAATCATCATATCTCATGAGAACTCACTCACTATCACAAGAACAAAGGGGAAATCCACCCTTATGATCCAATCATCTACCACCAGGCCCCTCTCTCAACATTGGAAATTACAATTCAACATTAGATTTGGGTGGAGAGACACAGCCAAAACATATCACTTTCATTACTTTTTTTTTCAAAAGATACCTAACAATTCTTGTAAGAGAGATGCATTTTAGAAGTATTACTTGTGAAATATTATTCAGTCATAAAAAATAAGGAAATCCTGATATTTGCAACAACATGGATGAACCTGAAGGACATTATGCTAAGTGAAATAAGCCTGACAAAGAAAGACAAATACTATGTGATCTCACTTACGTTTGAAATCTAAAGGGGCTGAACTTACAGAAGCAGAGAGTACAACAGTGGTTACCAGGGGTTGGGGGTCCGTGGCAGGAGGACAAAAATGGGGCAGTGTTTGTCCAAGAGTACAAAGTTTTCGTTACAAAATGAGCAAGTTCTGCAGATCTAAGGAACAGCATGAGTGGTGATGGATGTGTTAACTAATTTGATTGTGGTAATCATTACATAATGTATACCTATATCAAATCATCACGTTGTACACCCTGAATATACACAATCTTTATTTGTCCATTAAATATTTTACCTTAAAAATAGAAAAGAAACATTACTTAGGCAGCAATTTGGAGGATGTATTGGAGGAAGACAAGATTATAGCTGCTACATTAATCCAAATAAAAAATGAGGATGGAAATGCCAGCTCCAAGAATAAGAGACGATCCTTCCTCCCCAACCCTGGTTTCTGGCAATGCTCCCCTCCTACCAGGCTTTGATATTGGCAGTTACTTTGTATGAAGAGGCTGGGACAGATTAAAGAGATCTTCAGAGATGCAGCCTAACTTGGTGACATATTGGATGGTGGTGATGAGTGAGAAAACGATGATTCTGAAGTTCCCAGCCTTGGCAAGGGGATGAATGTTAATATCTTTTCTGGCATCACATGAGAAGGGAAGCAGATTTGGGGAGTAAACATAGTGAACTAAGTTTGAGGGTTTGTTGGTTATCTAGAATGGACTCTCCAGCAGGCAGTACTATATATATATTTATATATTTATATAAATTTATATATATTTATTTATATATATTTATATATATATTTATATATTTATATATATTTATATTTATTTATATATATATTTATATATATTTATATATTTATATATATATTTATATATATTTATATATATATTTATATATTTATATATATATTTATATATTTATATATTTATATATATATTTATATATTTATATATTTATATATATATTTATATTTACTTATATATATTTATATATATATTTATATATTTTATAATTTTTTTTTTTTTTTTTTTTTTTTTGAGACGGAGTCTCGCTCTGTCGCCCAGGCTGGAGTGCAGTGGCGCGATCTCGGCTCACTGCAAGCTCCGCCTCCCGGGTTCACGCCATTCTCCTGCCTCAGCCTCCCGAGTAGCTGGGACTACAGGCGCCCGCTACCACGCCCGGCTAATTTTTTGTATTTTTAGTAGAGACGGGGTTTCACCTTGTTAGCCAGGATGGTCTCGATCTCCTGACCTCGTGATCCGCCCGCCTCAGCCTCCCAAAGTGCTGGGATTACAGGCGTGAGCCACCGCGCCCGGCCTTTTATATATTTTTATATATTTATATTTTTTTATATATATACACACACATACATATATACACACACACATATATACCTATATACATATATATACATATGTATATATGCGTGTGTGTGTGTGTGTGTATATATATGAGTATATATATATATGTAGGGTCCAAGTTCTGGAGAAAATTTAGGGCTTGAGAGTTGTACCTGCCAGTTCTCTCTGAAAATGGAGCATGAGTTAAAGCTTTCATAAAAGATCCCTGGAGGAGGAATGCCTCAAGCACTGTTACTAATTCACTGGGCTCTGACTCATCAGTGGGATTTCCAACTAGTTCTAGTTTTGCTCTGCCTTAGTGGTTAGACCCTGGAACTCCATGAGACCAGAAGAAAAGGGAAAAACAATACTCCCAGAGAAAAAGAAAGCTAGAGCCATCCTCCTTATGGTGGGAAGGAAAACTCATTCATCAGAGATCACTCAGTGGTGAAATGATATGCATAATTTACTCCAAAGCAGGACAAAATACGGAGTCTGAAGTCAATTATGTTGTGAAATTAATTGGAAAGCTTTAAGTCAGCCATGCAAAGCTTAAATTTTATTCTCATCATGTCCCTGTTGTTTTAAGCTTCCCAAGCCAGTCTTATGTTTGTAATTGACTCAGTTCTGTATGAAAGCTGCTTAGAGCCTTGAAATGAGGCTTGGTTCCTGAGTCATTTCACCTTGAATGCACTTGGGATTTTTTTGGGGGGGTGGCTAAAACACATGAAAATTTTATCAACATGCGCTGCTAAAGAAAATCATCATTTATTCCAAGGGGGAATAAATGGTGATTTAAATAATTTATTTCCCAAATATTCACATTTAGTGCTTTTACCGATCATTGCCTTTTCTCATATGTCCCCTTTGCTTCCTTTTTGAAGGAAGGGACATTATTCTACTTAAGTCTAGCACATTACCTGGCACATGAAAGATATTCCACAAATGTTTGCTGAAATGGGTAAAAATATAGATAACAATTCTTATCGTGGAGGAAATGGGACATAAGGGGGTATCAGTGTTAGAAAAGACATTTTAACTACAGCACAGGTGGCAAGTAATAGGAATTCAATATTACTCTAAACCATGGTGACCATTATTATTAGGATGTGAATCAAAAATAAGTAAATTATTAGGGCTGTTTGCTCTGCCTGTTTTCTCTTCTGCTGCAGAGCTTTTATTAAATGACAGTTGGTACCTACAGTGGAAGGTATGCAGGATTAAGAGAAAGAAAGAAAGCTCTAGTTTCTTTGATTTCCCTCTCAGAACAAAAGTGTGCTAGGGAAAGATATTGGATTGTCTGGTTAAAATGAAGTGCAGTGTTTGCTTGTGGGTATTCATTTGCTAAGTTATCCTTGTTTTCTATTACAAATTAAAAACATTACAAAGTGCTTGCCTAACTAGGAAATATTTGTGCCACCAAGTTTCTCAGATTAGAGACTCAGAATACTGAACTGAAGAAATAGCCCATATAAAATAATATGCAACATTTATTGACCATCTAGCAAATGTGCCAGGCAATGTTCTAAGTACTTCACATGTATTAATTTATTTAAACTTCACAACAACCCAGCGAGGTAGGTGCTGCTATTTCCCCCTACTTTGCAGATGAGGAAACTAAGGAACAGAGCAATTAAGTAGCTTGTCCAGGCAGTCTGTTCCAAAGCCTGCTCTGAACCATTATACAGCACTGCCTCTCCACAAGCAAGATGCCAAGATAGGGTTCAGATGAGGCCCAGAGTGACTCATGCTCGCCACGGTTGTCACTGCAGATTAAGCCAGAGCAAGGCCACCGCTTCCTCCTCACCCTTCCCAGCCAAAAGTAACATCTGGGGATTGGCTTCCTGCCGGATCCGCAGGCACTTTTAATGCTTGTCTGTCTTGGGATTCTGTAAGCCCCTAAGTCTCCTTTTGAATCAATTTGTATTACATGACTTATTACTATCTTTACTATCTTGAAAAGGAAGCTCCACAGTTTAATAACAAACCAGGACAGAAATGACTTCTTAAAACACTGGCTCTCCTGCCATTTAGTGTCCCAGAAAGTTTGTTCCAAGTCCCATCAATTGCAGGGGTTTCTCTTCTCAACAAAATGAGACTTTCTGGTGACAACTTATTACAAAAGAGATGCCCTGCCTCCACCCAGCTTGAACGCTCACACTAATCATATAAAAGGAGGAATATACGTTTGGGCCAACTTGGTTTTACAGAGGAAAATGGAAATACTCTTTTCTCTAGTTTATTTGACTTGCCCAAGGCTAATCCAACATAAAGCAGGAACTGAAGGTCATGGTCATGAATCTGATTTTTATTACACATGTGGCACTATTAGAATTCTTTGCTCTAACAAACAGCTTTCCATCTTCCCAGAAAAAAAAACATATAAAGTATTAATTTACTTATTACATATAAAATTATTTGTGTCTGTACTTGTAATCCCTCAACCATTTCATTGTAATAGGTTGGTCAATAATCAAGGTCAACCAGGTCATCTGTTACTCTATAGCCACCAACATAGCCTCTCCCTGACCCCCCAGCTTCTACTTGCAGCTCAAAGCATTGCTGATGGGCAGGTGTCCCTGTCAGTACAGGGTCAAGTCAGCACTATTTTCTCCTTCCCATCCCTTCTCATAAATTTCTAGCTATACCTCATCTCTTCTTTCTCACTTCTGTTCCTGAGAGGATCAAAGTAAAATGATAGCTTGGGAAATTCCTGACCTATAAAGCTGAGAAGCTGAGGAGAGACCAGACCTAAGCCCAGAGAGGAGCTGGGACCATATTCTTTGGCACACATTCTACTGAAGTATCAAGCATGGTAATGGACAGTCCGCAGTTCTACTTCAACCTCTAATTTTTATATTTATTCACAAAATATGTATTAAGCTTCTATTACTATATGACAGGTGCTGTGCCAGGTGCTAATAGTTTTTTTGTTTTGTTTCGTTTTGAATTGTTTTGTTTTGTTTTTTGGTGGTGAGAAGACTGGTTAGACATTTCCTTATCTCCTCTCCCAGCCAAGTTAACCCTCCTCTTTCTGCCTGAAAGATGCCATGATCACTGTCCAGTCTGAAAGAAGATCTGTGATTAAATGTTTCGAAAGGTAGCTCTGCACTATGAGAATCTTGGACCTGAAATGGAATAGGAAATGTCTTGGCCAGGTTCATGGACACAATTCTAGGACATGACTCTGGTTCATGACTTAATTCAGTATGTCTGATTCGTAGACTCTTCCTGCTTCAGAAAGATGATCTCGTGTGCTTTTCTTAACATTTTGATCCTTAGCCAGTAGGTAAGATCAGATAATCTCCTTCATGCTTCTTTTCAGGATATGCTATTCTTTCAAATTTAGCCAAGACAGAGGATTCCATTCCAGACATTCTTTCCATGAATGGCATTCAGTTAGGAATGTTGTTATGCTTCCATCTTTTTTCACTTAATAAAGGCTTCAGCCAATCTAAGTTACAAATAAGCCTGACCCTACTGAGTTACAAAAGTTATGTTTTCTGTAGCTGGTTTAAGAGAACTGGAATCTGAATTGGCCTTCTCCAAGACTACAAGATTGAGTTGGATGACCTTTGCAAAGGTTTCTGGGAGGCAGCTAGACTAAGAAGCATGGGTCTTTCCCCTTCCTGCCTGGAAAAGTATACAGCATGTATAGTTTACCCCTTGGACAGAGCTAGTCCCAAGAAAATTCCTAAAGCTGGAAAAGCTGGCTACTGAACACCTAATACTCAGTTTCTCTTTTCTAAAATTCCTCCTGCTCTTAGAAACTCCCCTATTGCCCAGATGTCATGCAACTAAATTATATTGCAACCATACAATGGAATACCGTGCAACCATTAAAAAAATATTGTGGAAAAATATTTAGCAGCATGCAAGTCATTCAGGTATTCCCCCAGGCCTCCAATTCTCAATCAGAGCATAAAATTTGTCAAATATTTTACTCTGGTCATTGTTTCCTGAGCATGTAAAACCACACCATTTCCTGCACCAAGTCAAGGTTTACGGTCTTAGTTCCAAGAACTAGTTTATAAGTAATAAACCAGACTATTTCCGGTTAGACTAGCAATAAGAAAATATACTATAATTGTTCTTTTTATTGAGAAGCAGTGACATGGATGTTTATCCATCCTAACATTCTCAAAGATGCAAACTTCTCACTGGAATTTAAAAGACATCCTTTTTGAGTAACCATTAGTTAATACTATTGTTTTTCGAATAAGATATAAACCCTAGTCCATCAGTTCATGGCTAGGGGATTTTGAACATGTAACTTAATCTCTTTAAGGCTCAGTTACTGTATTGACAAAATGCAACTACAATAGTATTTATCTCATGTGGTTAATTGAAAAAGTAAACAAAATAGTATGTACACAACTTATATAGTTCCTAGTAGTCAGTAGATTCTCAATAGATGTCAGCTATTATGCAAACTGCAGGACCTCAGTTTTATCCTCCAGCCTGTATTTAAGAAGGGAGTTGAGAGAGTCTCATCCTCATGGATAAGAGCAAATCACAGACTTCACCAGAGTTTCTAGTCTGTCTTATGAGGGAGTCAGGAATTAAAGAACAGCTTTGTATGATTCTCTGTTTTGTTTTTGACCCAGTCTCTCTCCCCTGTGAAAAGCAGCAAGAGAGGTTTCACTTCTCTATGAGACATAGCAGGGAAGCAGGACCTTGCTCTGGAACCAGTCTTAGGGAACTGTTAAGTTTAAAGCGTACCAAGGGACAAAGCAAGGAGAATGGCCTAAAAGGAGAGAGAAGCCAGCTGAGACCATAGGGCCTTGGCAGTGGCAAAAAATAAGGGCAATTTGGGAAGACAAAGATGGGCCTAAGAAATTGTCTTGGGAATGAGCAATAGGAGGCCTAGGTAGGATTCCTGTTATACAACAACTCTTTCCCATCAGGAAGCCAAAACTACTCTTGGACTTGGTAATTCCCCTGTCCATATGACACCTTAGCCAAAAGGGTAAATCTAATTCCAGTAAATGAAAGTATTTAGAGTCCTCACAGTGAGGAAAACTGTCTGCAGGCACTGGTGCAGAAATGTCGATGAGTGAGAAACTCCAATATGTTTGTTTTGAGAGAAAGAGACAGAGACACCCACAACCACTGTAAGTCAGAACGTGATCCCTGTGCTAGCAGAGGTACAATGTGCTGTGGGGCATGGGGGAGGTAGCTCCAGTGTACTTACTAAGAAGCGTGAGCATGTGTAAGAGTGGGAGGTGGAGAGGGAGGGGCAAGAATCAACATGAGATTTACAACAAGAACATCTCTTTTCCGGGACTGCTGACATATCCTGGGCTTTCTGCCAGCTCTGACCACCACCTGTTCAAAAACCAGAATGAAAAGCATTCCCCTTCCTCAGATTCATGTTGACTTGCTCTTCCTTCCCATTATAGTTTGCCTCCCTTTGCACTTTCCAAGAAATTATAACCCTGGGCTCAAGTGAAAATGAGGATCATCTGATTTCAGCTTGTTAACAAGGAATATTGGAGAGTCTGAATGGTGACGACCATCCATGGCCTGTTGATATATAGTGTGTGCCTTTCTGCCCTGCCTTGTTTGCTGGTCTGAGATTTTGCACCCTCTGTGAGTGGCTAGAGAATTAGGTTACTTCCTAACTGCTTTCAGGCTCACCGTTTCCCTCAAAAATCCTACATTCCAATTCTTGAGGTCAGACTTCTTTGGGGCTACAAGGTAAAGGCACTGGCCTTGTTTTCCTAGTTCCTCTCGGTGTGATGTTAGATGTTTAATTTGAGATCTTTCTAACTTTTTGAAGTACGCATTTAGCACTATAAACTTTCTTCTTAACACTGCTTTTGCTGCATCCCAGAGATTTTGGTATGATGTGTCTCTGTTTTCACTTATTGCAAAGAATTTTTTTTATTTCTGCATTAATTTTGTTGTTTACCCAAAAGTCATTTAGGAGCAAGGTATTTAATTTTCATGAATTGTGTTGTTCAAGAGATCTTTTTGGTATTGATTTTTGTTTTTATTCCACTGTGGTCTGAGATTATGGTCAGTATAACTTTGATTTTTTTTTAATTTATTGAGGCGTGTTTTATGGCCAAGCATGTGGTTGATCTTGGAGTATGTTCTGTGTCTGTGTGCAGATGAGAAGAATGCGTATTCTGTGGGTGCTGGATGAAGTATTCTATAGGTGTCTATTAGGTCCAATTGGTCAAGTGTCAAGTTTAAGTCCAGAATTTCTTTGTTAGTTTTCTGCTCAGTGATCTTTCTAACACTATCAGTGGGGTGTTGAAGTCCCCCACTATTATTGTGTAGCTGTCTAAGTCCTTTCATAGGTCTAGAAGTAGTTATTTTATGAGTTTGGGTGCTCCAATATTGGATGCATATATATTTAGGATAGCTAAGTCTTCCTGTTGAATTGGAAACTTTATCATTATGTAATGCCCTTTTTTGTCCTTTTTTACTGTTATTCGTTTAAAGCCTGTTTTATCTGACATAAGAATAGCAACCCCTGCTCTTTTTTGTTTTTCATTTGCATGATAGGTCTTTCTCTGACCCTTTACTTTGAGCCTATGGGTCATTACATGAAAAGTCAAAAACAATAGATGCTGTCAAGGCTGTGGAGAGAAGGCGATGCTTATATACTGTTGGTGGGAACGTAAATTAGTTCAGCCATTGTAGAAAGCAGTTTGGAGATTTCTCAAAGAACTTAACCATTCAACCCAGCAATTCCATTACTGGGTATACATCCAAAAGAAAATAAATAGGACACATGTACTTGCATGTTCATTGCAGCACTAAATGCACCATGTCTTTTGCAGCAACTTGGATGTGGCTGGAAGCCATTATCTTAAGCAAATTAACTCAGGAACAGAAAACCAAATACTACATGTTCTCACTTATATGTGGGAGCTAAACATTGGACATAAAGATGGCCACAATAGACACTGGAGAGTACTAGAGAGAGGAGGAAATGGGGAATAAGGTTTGAAAAACTAACCACTGGGTTCTGTCTCACTTGTCTGAGTGACAGGATTAACCATACCTCAAACCTCCGCATCACACACTATACCTGATATGGTATATCTATATACATATACCCACCCAAATCTCATCTTGAATTGTATTTCCTATAATCTCCACATGTCATGAGAGGGACCTGGTGGGAGGTAATTGAATCATGGGGGCAGTTACCTCCATGCTGTTCTCGTGATAGTGAGTGAATTCTTATGAGATCTGATGGTTTTATAAGGGGCTTTTCCCCCTTTTTCTCAGCACTTCTCCTTGCTGCCGCCATGTGAAGAAGAATGTGTTTGCTTCCCCTTCCGCCATGATTGTAAGTTTCCTGAGGTCTCCTCAACCATGCTGAACTGTGAGTCAATTAAGCCTCTTTCAATTATAAATTACCCAGTCTCAGGTATGTCTTTATTAGCAGCATGAGAACGGACTAATACAATCCCCATATAACAAATCTGCACATGGGACCCCTGAATGTAAAATTAAAGTTTAAACTATTAAAAAAAGAAAAGACATTGGCTCATTATGACCACATTTTGTGATTGTTCTGAGAATGGAGTCTCAGGAAGGCTCTGCAGGTGCTAGCTGAACTCTATGCCAACTCTCACACTGGACACCAGAGAAGATTGTGCTAGTGAAATGGGAAAACCAGGTTTCAGGAGATGGGGAATAAGGTAAATGAGTGCCAGGTTACACATGGCAGGATTTGCTCACTCATTTAACATTTAGCAAATATCACTAGAGTGTCCAGTACATGCATGCAACAAGAAAAAGGCACAGTCCCTCCACCCAACAAGACTATGGTCTACTGAGCGGGAAAGGCAACCAAAAGATAATTAATATACTACAGTGTGATCATTGCTACAGTGGGAGAAAGTCAAGATGGAATAAAGTAATACAGGAGAAGGAAATAACTCTAAGTTGTTGCGTTGAAATAAGGCTCCTGGAAAGAAAGCAGAGGCAGATTTGAGAAGCACAAGGCATGCATGGGGGTCCCCAGGCTGGATGGCAGAGGAGGGAGTGGAGGGGTGCAAATCAGTACCTGAGGCAGCCAGGGCTTGGTTGACACACTACCAAGAGTGCCCCATCTCTCATTCTTTCCTCCTCTATCCCCTCCCCTTTCTTTTGATGGATCTTCTCCCATCAGATTTGTACACCAAAGAAATAAGCACTATAGACCACAATAAAAATGGATCCAAGTGGCTTTTTAAAAGGCAACCTCACTTAATTAAGATATTCAGTCTCCATAACCCTGAAGGAATTCACTGGAAGTGCCAGTTTTCCCAGCAGCCCAGCACCCAAGAGGGAAACTAGATATAACCACACTTATGCTGCCTTCCCTCGTTTCACTCTTTCTCTTCTTTCTCCTCTCTTATCCTTGACCCTGAGAGAGAAGAGGAACAAAACTGAGTAGAAAGAGGTAAAGGAAAGGATGAGTGGATGAAAATACAAGAAAAAAGAATGGCAACACATGAGGAATGCTGGACTACCTCCTGCATATGGGCTATCTAAAGTGTTCCTCAGCAGACCTTTTTTTTTCTTTTCTTTTCTTTTCTTTTCTTTTTTTTGAGACAGAGTGTCACTCTGTCGTCAGGGTGGATTTCAGTGGCACAATCTTGGCTCACTGAAACTTCCGTCTCCCAGGTTCAAGCAATTCCCCTGCCTCAGCCTCCCAAGTAGCTGGGCCTACAGACACACACCACCATTCCCGGCTAAATTTTGTATTTTAGAGACAGGGTCCACCATGTTGGCCAAGGTGGTCTCGATCTCCTCATGATCCACCCACCTCAGCCTCCCAAAGTGCTGGGTTTACAGGCGTGAGCCACCACACCCGGCCAAGAGACCTTTTCTTAACAAGGATTTTCTCCCAATCCTCCCGGATAAAAGGATGGAAAAGGAAGATGAAGGCAAGACCCTTGGCCCAGAAACACAGCAAAGGTGGTCTGGTGAGAAGGCGGCAGAGGCCATCTCTCTACTGCACTCCCTCTCCCCTGGGCCCTTTTCCCCGTCCCCTGCCCTTGGGCAGTTGTCTGAGAGACCTGAAGTTCTCTGCACACTTTCCCCCTTTCTCTGACTCTTTTCTATTCTCTACCAACTGTGATGCCTACAACAGGCCTGAGTGGCTCCGCTCCTGCTCTTACACAGGTGAACCTCCTCATGAACTCCCAGGGGGACATATATGGCGTACTGGACATAGTCCATTTCTCAAGGACAGCAGGATCCAACCTGTCCATTAGCAACAGCAGCACTGTGTGAGATAAGCAATGAATGAAGACACACATGGTGTCCTTCCTCTTAACAATATCAGTGACAATACAACAATCTTCTTTTATGGAGCCTTTACCAACCAGCTTCCAACTCCCTCTGATTGTGATCTTTCTTTGTGCTGTTGGTCAGCATTTCACAGATATGCTTGCAAGATCATCTGTTTTTAATAATGATAATGTTTAATAGTATTCAAACATTTACATCTTGTGTTTCTTTATCACAAAATCACTTTGCAAGGTATAAATTATTATTTCTACTTTACAGATTATAAAATACAGACTCAAGTTTGTCAGACTTCAAAGCCCTCACTCTTTCTCCTGCTCCAAAATGTCTTACTTCCCCAACTGTAAGCACACTGAGGATAGAAACTGTGGCTCCTACCATGTTCTAACCCAATGCAAAGAAGCTAAGAATCTTGATAAAAGGTTAGATAAATGGCTAGCTAGAATAACCAGTTTAGAGAGGAACATAAACGACCTGATGGAGCTGAAAAACACAGCACGAGTGAACCATGCACAAGTATCAACAGCCAAATCAATCAAGCAGAAGAAAGGATATAAGAGTTTGAAGACCACCTTACTGAAATAAGACATGCAGACAATGGAGAAAAAAGGAATGAAAAGAATGAAGAATGAAATGTGAACAAAGCCTCCAGGAAATATGGGACTTCATAAAAAGACCAAACCTATGATTGATTAGAGTACCAAAGGAGATGAGGTGAATGGAAACAAGCTGGAAAACACACTTCAGGATATTTTCCAGGAGAACTTCCCCAACCTAGCAAGACAGGCCAACATGCAAATTCAGGAAATACAGATAACACCGTTAAGATACTCCACGAGAAGTTCAACCCCAAGAAACGTAATTATCAGATTCTCCAAGGTAGAAATGAAGGAAAAACTGTTAAGGGCAGCCAGAGAGAAAGGTCAGGTCACCTGCAAAGGGAAGCACATCAGACTAACAGTGGACCTCTCAGCAGAAACCCTACAAGTCAGAAGAGATTGGGGGCCAATATTCAACATTCTAAAAAAAAAAAGTATTTTCAACCCAGAATTTTATATCCAGCCAAACTAAGCTTCACATAAGCGAAGGAGAAAAAAAATACTTTCCAGACAAGCAAGTGCTGAAGAATTTCATTACCACCAGGCCTGCCCTGCAAGAGCTCCTGAAAGAAGCACTAAATATGGAGAGGAAAAACCGGTATCAGCCATTGCAAAAACACACCAAAATATAAAGACCAATGACACCACAAAGAAAATGAATCAACTAGTGTGCAAAATAACCAAATAGCATCATGATGACAGGATCAGATTTACACATAACAATATTAACCTTAAATGTAAATGGGCTAAATGCCTCAATTAAAAGACATAGACTGACAAATTGGATAAGGAGTTAAGACCCATCAGTGTGCTGTACTCAGGAGACCCATCTTACATGCAAAGGCACACACAGGCTCAAAATAAAGGCATGGAGGAAAAATTACCAAGCAAATGGAAAGCAAAAAAAAGCAGGGGTTGTAACCTTAGTCTCCATCAAAACAGACTTTAAACCAACAAAGATGAAAAAAGACAAAGAAGGACATTACACAATAGTAAAGTGAACAATTCAACAAGAAAATCTAACTATTCTGAATATACATGCACCCAATACAGGAGCACCCAGATTCATAAAACAATTTCTCAGAGACCTACAAAGATGCTTAGACTCCCTCACAATAATAGTGGGAGACTTTAACACCCTACTGTCAGTATTAGAAAAATCCATGAGACAGAAAATTAAAAAGGATATTCAGGACTTGAACTTAGCTCTGGATCAAGTGGACCTAGTAGAAATCTACAGAACTCTCTACCCTAAATCAGCAGAATATAAATTTTTCTCAGTGCTACATGGCACTTATTCTAAAATCGACCACATAATTGGAAGTAAAACACTCCTCAGCAGATGTAAAAGAACGGAAATCATAACAAACAGTCTCTCAGACCACAGTGCAATAGAATTAGAATTCAGGATTAAGAAACTCACTCAAAACCACAGAATTTCACGGAAATTGAACAACCTGCTCCTGAATGACTCCTGGGTAAATAATGAAATTGAGGCAGAAATCAATAAGTTCTTTGAAACCAATGAGAACAAAGAGACAACATACCAGAATCTCTGGGACACAGCAAAGCAGTGCTTAGAGGGAAATTTATAGCACTAAATGCCCACATCAGAAAGCTAGAAAGATCTCAAATTGACACTCTAATGTCACAATTAAAAGAGCTAGAGAGGCAAGAGCAAACTAATCCAAAAGCTAGCAGAAAACAAGAAATAGCTAAGATCAGAGAAGAATTGAAGGAGATAGAGACATGAAAAACCCTCCAAAAAAAAATCAACAAATCCAGGAGCTGTGTTTTTTTTTTAAATTAACAAAATAGACTTCTAGCTAGACTAATAAGAAGAGAGAGAAGAGTCAAATAGACACAATGAAAAATGATACAGAGGATATCACCACTGACCTCAAAGAAATACGAACTACCATCAGAGAATATTATAAACATTTCTATGCAAATAAACTAGAAAATCTAGAAGAAATGGATAAATTCCTGGATGCATACATTCTACCAAAACTAAACCAGAAGAAGTTGAATCCCTGAATAGACTAATAACAAGCTCTGAAATTGAGGCAGTAATTAATAGCCTACCAACCAAAAAAAGCCCAGGACCAGATGGATTCACAGCTGAATTCTACCAGAAATACAAAGAAGAGCTGGTACCATTCCTTCTGAAACTACTCCAGAAAATTGAAAAGGAGGGACACCTCCCTAACTTATTTTATGAAGCCAGCATTATCCTGATACCAAAACCAGGAAGCGGCACAACAGAAAAATAGAAATCTTCAGTCCAATATCGCTGATGAACCTTGAGGTGAAATCCTCATTAAAATACCGGCAAACAGAATCCAGCAGCACATCAAAAAACTTATCCAACATTATCAAATTGGTTTCATCCCTGGGATGCAAGGCTGGTTCAACATATGCAAATCAATAAATGTAATCCATCACGTAAACAGAACCAAAGACAAAAACCACAAAATTATCTCAATAGATGCAGAAAAGGCCTTTGATAAAATTCAACATCCATTCATGTTAAAAAACTCTCAATAAGCTAGGTAGTAATGGAACATATCTCTAAATAATAAGAGATATTTATGACAAACCCACAGCCAATATCATATTGAATGGGCAAAAGCTGGAAGCATTCCCTTTGAAAACCAGTGCAAGACAAAGATTCCCTCTCTAACCACTCCTATTCAACATAGTATTGGAGGTTCTGGCCAGGGCAATCAGGCAAGAGAAAGAAATAAATGATATTCAAATAAGAAGAAAGGAAGTCAAGTTGTCTCTGTGTGTAGACAATATGATTTTATATTTAGAAAACCCCATCATCTCAGCCCAAAAACTTCTCGAACTGATAAGCAACTTCAGCAAAGTCATGGGATATAAAATCAATGTGAGAAAATCACAAGCATTCCTTTACACCAACAATATGCAAGCAGAGAGCCAAATCATAGATCAACTCCCACTCACAATTGCTACAAACAGAATAAAATACCTAGGAATACAGCTAACAAGGGAAGTGAAGGACCTCTTCAAGGAGAACTACAAACCATTGCTCAAGGAAATAAGAGAGGACACAAACAAATGGAAAAACATTCCATCCTCATGGATAGGAAGAATCAATGTCATGAAAATGGCCATACGGCCCAAAGTAATGTATAGATTCAATGCTATTCCCATCAAACTCCCATTGACATTCTTCACAGAATTAGAAAAAAAATTTTAAATTTCATATGGAATCAAAGGAGACCCTGTATAGCCAAGACAATCCTAAGCAAAAAGAACAAAGCTGGAGGCATTATGTTACCTGACTTCAAACTATATTGCAAGGCTACAGTAACCAAAACAACATGGTACTGGTACCAAAACAGACATGTAGACCAATGGAGCAGAAAAGAGATTTGAGAAATAACACCACACATCTACAACCATCTGATCTTTGACAGACCTGACAAAAACAAGTAATGGGGAAAGGATCTCCTATTCAACAAAATGGTTCCAGGAAAACCAGCTAGCCATATGCAGAAAACTGAAACTGGACCCCTTACTTGCACCTTATACAAAAATTAACTCAAGATGGATTAACGACTTAAATGTAAAACCCAAAACCATAAAAACCCTAGAAGAAAACCTAGGCGATACCATTCAGGACAAAGGCATGGGCAAGTCTTCATGACAAAAACACCAAAAGCAATTGCAACAAAAGGCAAAATTGACAAATGGGATCTCATTAAACTAAAGAGCTTCTGCACAGCAAATGAAACTATCATCAGAGTGAATAGTTTCGTTTGAAAAGAAATAGTTTCGTTTGAAAAGAAAGAAAGGAGGGAGGGAGGGAGGAAAGAAAGGAAGGAAGGAAGGAAGGAAGGAAGGAAGGAAGGAAGGAAGGAAGGAAGGAAGAAAGAAAGAAAGAAAGAAAGAAAGAAAGAAAGAAAGAAAGAAAGAAAGAAAGAAAGAAACAGAAAGAAAGAAAGAGAAAGAAAGAAGAAAAGAAAGAAGGAAAGAAAGAAAGAAAGAGAGAGAGAGAGAGTTGGGGAAACCAGCCCCACAGCCCCACACCACCCAGCGGGTACCCCGAGTCCAGCAGAGACAAAAGATTTAGAAAGAGACAGAATAAGAGTTTAAAAGGTGGGTCCAGAGGACCAGAGCCTCGGAGGCTTGCTCACACCCCCGAGCTCTCAGCCTCCACCCAATTTATTGGTTTACAAGCTCTTTGTTCTTAGGGCAAATGGGAGGGTAGGAAGGGATGAGGAAAAGGATTAATCAGTGAAGGAGAACTTGTGAGTCATTCAATAAGATGTATAGCAGTGGTGGTTTCTGTGAATTTCCTCGAGCAAAGGCGTGTGTCTAAACTACTTAAGATCTTTAACTTATCGGGACTGAAATGGGTGGGAGTAGGTTTCAGGAGGAGCCAAGATGTTTGATTATACTCCACTGCTTCAAGGCAGTGTTATTTCCCCGAGCAACCTGTGGCATGCCACTGAGCCGTTATGCTCTCGGGGCATACAGCCATGAAGGCAATAAGGAGACTTTTCTCCTCAGAAGCCGCCCATGGCTCCCCATGGGTGTCTTACTTATCTGGCATTCCAGAAAGTCAAAGAAGGAAAGAAAGAAGAAAAGAAAGAAAAAAAGAAAAGAAAGAAAGAAAGAAAGAAAGAAAGAAAGAAAGAAAGAAAGAAAGAAAGAAAGAAAGAAAGAAAGAGAAAAGAAAAGAAGGAAAGAAGGGAAGGAAGGAAGGAAGGAAGGAAGGAAGGAAGGAAGGAAGGAAGGAAGGAAAGAAAAGAAAGAAATTTCTAAAAAAGAAATTGTGGCTCCTACTTCTTTGAATCCTCTGAAGTGCTCAGTCTTGCCCTGAATATAGGCTTAATTTCAAACATTTCTGTAGCTAATGAAAAAGAAGTTTGATTGTAGAGGGCAATATGATAAAGGCATTAAACAAGACACACACAGCTGCTTTCTTACCTGCAAAGCCAGCCTTTCCTCCCAAATGCACATAGTCATTAGTAAAAAGCTAAATTTAAAGCCATGATAAAATAGCCAGCCAGTTGCTAAACAAAGGCATCTTAGATACATCTTCATTTGTTTGCATTCTACACTGAAAAGTCATCAAACATCCCCAGATAGATGGAGAGAAAGAGCAGGTATTAAGCCAGAGCTGTGATTCCTAAGCCTATCCAGGCAGTGACATTCCTGTGACTTTGCAAGGACAAGAAAGTCACCAGCACATGCCACATGTCTTACAGACTGTCCATAAGCCAAAAGTGGTCCTCATGCTGATGGCAAGAGATGGAATTTGAAAAAAGAGATACCTCTTGCATATTTCAAAGTCTCTCCAGTAATTTGAGGGGAAAAATATCAAAAATAAAGATGAAAGTCTAGCAAACTAGTAGAACACAGAAAAGGGGGCATAAGTCCCTGTATCCTAATGCTGGCTGGCTTCCAGCATGTCATTTTGTATACATTTGTCATTTTGTATAAAGACATCAATGAGGAATACATGACTGGGTGCAATAACTGACCTTGGCCTTGACACCAGTCCTGACCCCACTAGGTCTTCCCTGTACACTGGCCCCCTGCCCTCCATGTCTTCAGCCACCTTCCTTTGGCTCGAACATTCCCATAGCTGCCTTGATGGAACACTACCCAGCAGTTTCCCACTCTGATTCTTCCCTACTTAAGGACCCTTGAAAGAGCAGAAGAGAGAATGACCCACAGCCAGAGAGTATATGAACCTCTGAGTCAGCTAACCCAGCAATAGTTATGCCTTCTAGAGAGGGAGTCCACACCAGGCCATGGGGAGGAGTCATCCAGCTTCAATATCTATAACAAAGACTTATTTCACTTGCTTAGGAGAACTCAAGTTTAAAATAGTGAGTGAGACTTTTTTTAGCATTGCCCAAAAGATGAAACTGCAGCCCTTTTCCAGCCAGAGAGATGAGCTGTGCATTAGTTGACTTGCAGAGTTCAACCGAATGGAATGGTCTTGGAGTAAGGCAGTAATAGAAAAATCAGCCTTTGTGTCTGGCCTGCTTTTTAATATTCCCACTGAACTCTCAGTCTGTTAAGAATCTCATGATATATTTGGTCTAATCTCTTAGGTACATATCTCCTCTCAGCAGATACCCCAACAAGTAATAGAAAATGTGCCTTTCAATAGAATAATAAGAAGAAAAGGTTGACAAGAGAAAGGGCAAGAGAAAAGGGGGCTCAGCTCTTGCACGGCCATCCTGACTGGCTATCGCTGGTGCTATTGCAGGGATGGCACAGCAATGCTTCACTTACCAAGTGCTCCCTGCACAAGACACCTCTGGTGCCTGCACATGAGACTAAGACCTCTCCTTTAGGGACCATTTTGCTACACCTTCCCCACAGTGTGTCTCAGAAACTCTTCTGTCATTCTCCATATTCAAATCACAACTTGAGTCAATTTTATTTGCCCTTTTCATGACATGTTTAAATTTCTGTCTTGACATCTTGTCTTGACATGAGCTTTAAGGTAATATGCAGTAATATTTCTGGGATGAGAATCCCTGAGTTACAATTTTAAATTTTGTTGTTATAATAATGACTTACATGAACATATCTTTCCTCTTTTGAATACTACCTGATTCAGAGAAACTTCTAATATTCCAACGGGTTTTTCTCCTCATGATTATTTATATCATTGTGTCCAAAGTTTCTTGATCATCCACCCCATGAGTAAAAACTTTTGAGCATGTGCCCCCAAAATATATTTACTTGTAAATTTTATATGTAAGTTACTGTCAACCCATATAGTATATATTTTTAGAGCTTAATTTCTTTCTTATTTTAGATACAAATAAATAGAAACTCTAATATTTTACTCCTGTGCTCCAGGAAATTATCATACAGAAGGAATGCTTGTACCCCACTTTGGAGGATATTACATAAAAAGAAAGGGGATATGTACGAGGTTGTCATCATTCCTGCAATGATAGAAACAACATTCTTCTCCCACCTCAATGAACTGTTGTTCTGACAGATATACATATAAGGCCCTCTGAGCTAATGAAAAAAAAAAGAATTATTCAACCTAATTCAGTGGGAAGCACTGTGCCATAAATAATCTCAAATCATTATCCTGGCCATTAATTTCAGCCTCTCCCTCTTGTTGCACATGTTTTTGGAATGACCAACTTGCAGCACAATTGACTCATTTGCTGTCCACATCCCTTACTTGGTTTATCCCTTTCTGGAAGTGCTAACTGCAGTGAAATGGTCAAGTTGCTGGAGGGAGAAAGGAGGATGTTCACAAACTGGGAAAGAGTATCAAAATTATCACAAGGTGCCAGCAGAGTCACTGTCACCATCAGACCACCTAGGGAGCCAACTGTTGCCATCACTCACCCATGTCACTTACAGATCTCCCTGTTCACAAAGAGAGAAAGCAGATGAAAAGGCCTGTTTACATTAGAAAAGGTAGAGTTTAGCTTCCATGTGCCTGTGATCTAGCTTCTTTCTGTAAGTTGTAGATGTTGAAAGAAAATAGACATGGCCTGTGTGCTTTCAAGCAGCACTCTCCCTGCCGGTTCTCAAAAAACATTAAATAAAAAATATTCTACAGAGATCCATCCAGCTGTTCTGACTTAAGGGCAATGCATTAGACACAACACAAAGCAAATGGAGCAAGTCAAGAGGCAGAAGGAATGTCCTCACAGGCAGGGGCCTAGGTACTGCAATGCCTGCTGCCAAAATGTGACACTCCCTATTAAAACTGAAAGTCATCACCATGCCAATATCAGCCAAGTTTACCATTTGCTGTAGACCAACAAAACTACCTTGGGTTGGCAGTGGGAGCTTGGGGGATTGAACTTGGTTTGCGGGGCTACAAAGATGGTCAAGACCCAGACCTGCCCTCAAGGTGCTCACAGTCTATAAAGCAGCTAAACTTAAGGGGAAGGAACATGCTAAAGGGTTCATGGGCAGGCCATACTCCCACAGCTGGGTGTTTCCCTGCAGCCTCTCAAGTAGCCTCTGAGTAGTGGGAAGGGCAGAAGCCATATGGACCTTATGCAAGTTATACAAACTGAGCACTTTTAATGTCACCTGAGGGGCAGGGGGACTCCCTGTACTGATTATTAAGATGTGAAAGAGATGATACAAAGGCTTATATTATAACGCCTTCCTTGTCTGAGTGGGGAGAGGAGCAACATCCCAAGACACTCAGAAAATTAGATTGTACAATCCCCTGTGGTAACCCCATTCTAGGCTAACAAGCCTCCCTTGGTGGAGAGCCTGCAGGCAAATGCCAACTATTGCACAGCTCTCAGAGATCATGTGAAAGTTGTCATTTAAACCATCCTTTCAATAAGAACTCCACAGGGTCTTTGGGATCAAAGGAAACAGAGAAAGTTGGCAGGTGGCAGGAAATACTTAGTCTCCTTGCCTGCAGAAGCTCTTGAAAATCCCGTATTCCACTTCTCATGCATGCACAGGCCTGCTTAGATCCGGCCTTGTTCTTCCAAGTAAATAATATTTAACCTTTCAACAAATATTTATTAAATGCTGTTTGTCACTGTTCTATGCCCTGGGAATACAGAAGTAAACAAAACAGACACAAACCTCTGCCTGCATAGAGCTCCCACTAGCATACATAAGCTATATAAATGGCAGGAGCCGTAAGTGCCATGGAGAATCAGAAAGCAGAGCAAGCGGATGGGGAGGCTCCATTGCCATACCCTGCAGAGACCCTTATGAGAGTTAGAGTCTAAGGCTGAGGAGGACCTGAGAGTCCCAGAATTCTTGTAGTAACTCATGCAAAATGGGATCAAGAACCAGATGATGTCAGGCCTTGTGGTCTGATGGTCATGGAGAGGCTGTGTATGTTGAGGAAGAAGGGGCTGGAGTCTTGGCAGGAGCACACAGACTTTCAGTCCCCCTTCCACTTCTCCTGTAAATCATGTGGTTGTTCTGGGGTGGGGTGGTATTATCTAGAGCACCTGGAAGTCTTAGCTCCCTCTTCATTCCTATAAAAAGATGTGAAAGCAGGAAGGAACATTAGTGTTATCAAAACAATAAAGGTTGTGTAAATTACTCATAATTTTCACTATCTTCTATCTTAGGAAAATTATTTCCCATGATTTCAGCAAGTGACAAGTTTTTACACTGAAGCATAAACTTTCTTAGTCTAAGTAAATTTGTGGTTTTGCTCTGTTCCTCCCCACCCCAGGCTTGCTCTGGACAGTAACCAAGCTGTCCTGGGCTAAATACACCATCTAGCGGTCAGCTCTGGAAATTATCTGACCCCTGCCACCTTCACTAGTTCCCTGCTCTACCCCTTCTATTTATCCCTGAGTAAATACATCTCAAATTATCTATTTACTCAGAAATATGACAAAAAAAAATGCTTTCTCCCTCTTTCATCCATCTTTTACCATTACCTCTTTCTCTTGTACACAAGTCTTTCATGATTCTCGTGGAAAAACTTACAACTTCACACATAGAAAAAAAAATCACGCTTAGAGTATGACACAGAGTACTTTCATGGCTGTCCGACCTCCCTGACCCCACATTTTATGCTGTCTTCTTGCCACACCACCCAACTCACACTGGTCTTCTGCTGTTCCTGGAAACTGCCTATGCATGGGGCTTTAAGCTTCACTTCTCTCTGCCTAGAATATCCTTCCTCCTGCAGAGCCACATTGATTACTCCCTACTTCTTTGAGGAACTCTGTCAGCAGCTCCTTCAAAGGGATTTGCCTTTGTTAGTGTATCTAAAATCTCATCTCTTATGCCAATTTTTTTCTTCAAAGCACTTATCACTACTTGATATTTTATGATATATCTATCTTTCATTAGTTTGGTGTCTGAATATCTCCAGAAGAAAGAAAATTCCTCAGAAACAGAAACTTTGTTTTGTCCCTTGATGTATCTCAAGTGATTCCAGGCCTGGAACATAACAGGAATTCTCCCCAGTCTCCCCTCCCACCCAAAAATGTGAAATCTATTTTCATAGTCAATATACAAGATTGATGCCTGAGAAACAGCAATAACAAGAAAAGGGGAATCTGTAGACATTCAAGTGAAAATCAGATTTACAAAGAGCCAGTGAAACCCTGAAAGTGGCTGAGACATCCTCTTTAGGATCTTCGTTTACCTCTTATCCCTTTTTAATTAAATGTGTTTTCCCTCAAAGTCTATTCAAAATAAACTGGTTTAGTTTAATTCTTTTTTGTTATTTTTTTTAAAAACTTTGGCATTGTACCATTATGATCTTCAACTATTTATTTCAAATATGCTCTATTTCAGCTGCATTTTAAGTTATACTTGGGCTAGAAACCTGGTCACTAGTAAGTACACTATTTCTATGTAGAGATATCCCCTGTGAATTCCAAATAACCAACTTGCAAGTGACATTTTGAATTATAACCCTGCTGCAAACTGGGAACACTCTTTAGGTGGCTTTTAAAATTTTTAGAATCCCGCAGTGACGATTAAAGATGGCTGCGCCCATGTAATGTCACTAGCAACTGGTGACCTCTTTCTCCTCCTTGCCTGGCCCCTGTGGTGGCAGGCTGGGCACGAGGACCATGCTGGGCCGGACCCTCTGAGAAGTTTCTGCAGCACTGAAACAAGGCCAGATTACGCCAACAGAGCTCTGTCAAAAATGTCTCTCTCTTATCAAGAAGACCAAGTTTCTACATGCCTACATTACTGCATCAGAAGAGGTGGCCTTAAAACAAGCTGAAGAATCAGAAAAGAGATATAAGCATGAACAGTCACTTGGGGATTTAGATGGAATTCCTATTGCAGTAAAAGACAACTTTAGCACATCTGGCATTGAGACAACATGTGCATCAAATATGCTGAAAGGTTATGTACCACCTTATAACGCTAGAGTAGTTCCGAAGTTGTTGGATCAGGGAGCTCTACTAATAGGAAAAACAAATTTAGATGAGTTTGCTATTGGATCTGTAAGAACAGATGGTGTGTTTGGACCAGTTAAAAACCCCTGAGTTATTCAAAATAATATAGAGAAAAGAGGAAGCAGAATCCCCACAGCAAGAATGAAGATTCAGACTGGCTGATAACTGGAGGAAGCTCAGGTGGGAGTGAGGCTGCTATGTCGGCTTTAGGATCAGCTACAGAAGGATCGACCAGAAATCCTGCTGCTCACTGCAGGCTTGTTGGTTTCAAACCAAGCTATGGTTTAGTTTCCCATCATGGTCTCATTCTCCTGGTGAACTTGATGGATGTGCCAGGAATCTTAACCAGATGTGTGGATGATGCAGCAATTGTGTTGAGTGTACAGGCTGGACATGACACCAATGATTGTACCACAGTATAGGACCCTATTAAACCATTTATTTGGTTTGGCAGATGTGAGCAAACTATGTATAGAAATTCCAAAGGAATATCTTGTGCCAGAATTATTAAGTGAAGTACAGTCTTTTTGGTCCAAAGCTGCTGACCTCCTTGAGTCTGAAGGGGCCAAAGTAATTGAAGTATCCATTCCTCACACCAGTTATTCAATTGTCTGCTATCATGTATCGTGCACATCAGGAGTGGCATTAAATATGGCAAGACTTGATGGGCTACAATGTAGTCACAGATGTGACACTGATGTGTCCACTCAGTGTGTCCACCCATGGTTGAAGCCATGTATGCGTCAACTAGACAAGAAGCGTTCAATGATGTGGTGAGAGGAAGAATTCTCTCAGGAAACTTTTTCTTATTAAAAGAAAACTGGGAAAATTATTTCATCAAAGCACAGAAAAGTGCGACGTCTCATTGCTAATGACTTTGCAAATGCTTTTAACTCTGGAGCAGACGTCTTCCTAACTCCCACCATCTTAAGTGAGGCAGTACCATATTCGGAGTTCATCAAAGTAGACAACAGAACACGAAGTTCCCAGAATGATATTTTTACACAAGCTGTAAATATGGCAGGATTGCCAGCAGTGAGTATCCCTGCTGCACTCTCAAACCAAGGGTTGCCAGTAGGACTGCAGTTTTTTGAACATGCATTTTGTGACCAGCAGCTTCTTACAGTAGCCAAGTGGTTTGAAAAACAAGTACAGTTTCCTGTTATTCAACTTCAGGAATTCATGGATGATTGTTCATCAATGATCACTCAGTAGGGCACATCACTCAGTAGGGCAGGAAGAAATTTCTGGATTCTTCTCATTCTACCTGAGAGCAGAGGAAGACCTCTAGAAGCTGAGCTCAAATTCCCCCTCTGCTTAACCGTAGCTCGCCATTTTCTTTGCTCTAACATGACTGTTCCATATGACACAAGGAATATCTTCCAAAGCAGTTTCCTCCCAGAGTCCTGAAAGGAAACTAGGAAAATGTAAATGTCCTCTGCTTCTGGCTTTCCCATATCTACCAGGTAGAAGCGTGATGCAAGATTCTCACCACCCCATGTCTTCTCTCCTTCCCAAAATTCATCAGGACTCAAGGGGGAGATTTTCACTTCTTTTCCTCTCTGGAATGCTCTTCTGCCACTTGTCTTTCTTCTTCTCAGGGCAACAAAACTTCATGCCCAGGTTAATTGCAGAAAACGGTGTCCCCTCTATGCTACAGAAGAATCTCTAAGACCTAGTTCGACTAAGCTGGCTTTTAATACACTAAAAAGGCCAAAGAAGTTTTGAAAAGCCCTTTCTAATTGGCAAGTCCTGGTTTCACAAAACTATTAAATTAAAAAAAAAAACTAAAAGATTTTTTAAAATAATTCCTACTCTGGGCATCAAAAGCTAGATAGTTTTCATTTTGCATTCCTATTATAGAAACCCTATTCCTCCTTGAGGCAAATGGATGCTTCTGGCAGCATGGGAAGGGAGACACCAGAAAAAAATTCATGAGGAAAACACTCCAATAAATTGCAAAGAATAAATTCCCAGCACAGTGCTCTCAACACTCTTTTCTTGAGTATCTAGTATGTGCCAGACTCCAGGCAGAAGCTATGAGGCCAGTGTGGCTCACTCGGGTGTGAGTGGTGTGGAGCACAGATACGTAGCTGGTGCAGAAGAGTTCAGTTGGTAATCAGCTCTGCCCAGGATTTCAGAGAATTGGCTCTGAAGTATGAATGAAGTTGGACACAGAGTCAAGGGGAGGAAGGAAGTCCAGGCAAAAGGAGTGCTGTGTACAAAGACACAGAGACGTGAAATATCTGCCCCATTCAACGGATTTCAAATAGCCTAATATGACTCAATGTAGAGAGGTTGGGGAGCAAACACCATAGCATAAATGATTTTCATAGCATGAAAAGGAAGACTGTGATCAGCTTGTGTTTAAGAAAGATCACTCTAGCTTCAGTATGGATAGAGTGGAGAGGGTTGAGAGTAGAGGCCAGGAAACTAGCTAATAACAGTAACAATAATAACAATTGCCAACACAGTGCTCCCTGCGTGACAGGTATATATTTAATCCTCACAACAATAACAACCCATGAGGTAGGTGCAATTAGTGTCCTCCTTTAACAGGAGACTGAGGCTGAGAGAGGCTTGCCTTCCTAACATCCATCATACAGCCAGCAAATGGCAGAGCCAGAAAATGAATGCAGGCAGCCTGACTCCTGCATTCACATTCTGGCTCTGCTCTTTGCTGGCTGTATGATGCCTGCAGAGCTCAGGCTTTGCAGCAATCCAGGTCAGGATAATGGTGACCAAGGATTGTGGTAAGCAGAATAAAGCCTCGCCTACCAAAGATGTCCACTCCCTAATTCCCAGCACCTGTGACTACATTAGGCTGCATGGCAAAAGGGGATTAAGGTTGCAGATGGAAACTTTTAACTCACCTTAAAATATGGAGACTGTTCTGGACCATCTGGGTGGCCTAAAGTAATCAAAGGGTCCTTAAGAGTGGAAAAGGGAGGCAGAAAAAAAGGATCAGAGAAAGAAATGTGATCATGAAAGCCAGGCAGAGAGCTGTAACATTGCTGGATGTGGAGATAGGGGAAGGGGCCACAAGTCAAGGACTGCAGATGGCCTTTGAAAACTGGAAAAGGCAAAGAAGCAGATTCTCTCTCCTAAGCCTCCAGAAAGAAATGCAGCCCTACCAAGTCCTTCATTTTAGCCCAATGAGATCCATATCAGACTTCTAGCCTACACAACTATAAGATAATACATTTGTATTGTTTTCAGCCACTAAGTGTGTGGTAAATTGTTACGGCAGCCATAGGACGTCGATAATAATGATGGTGAAGAAACCACCAATTCAAAGCACATTTTGGAGGTTAAATTCACCTCCTAAAGGATTTAGAGATCCAGTAGATAACTAGTGCCTTGCCAGTTGGAACGTGGTTCCAGGATGATATGAAAGGAGATGAAGTGAACTCAAAAGACTCCATTTTCTTCTCTGAATCTAAAGTCACTTAACCGATATACTATGTTTTGATTCCTCCAAACCATAGCCTCATCCATTTGTTCCATACTTTTCTGCTTTTTTTTATTTGACTTCCCTCATTCAGCCTTTCTATTTGTATCAACAGCTTCACCAGAAATTCTCTGCATTTTTTCTCTCCATTTTCTCAACCCATAATTACCAGATTCAGACCTTTAGTGGACTGAAAAAGTATCAAATGATCTTTGTCTCCTTCTACCTCCTTCTGGTACATTTTCCAGTTTTCTCTTCATATGTTCTCTCAAGAAATAACTCCAATACACTCTTTGATGAGATTTTGCCTTATAAGACACAGACATCCCCCCAGGGAGCTTCCACTACTGGGGAGCCCAGGCCATCAACACTAACAATAAAGTGTGACATGGTGGAAATACCCAACCTAGTGTAAGGAGAGGAGGCCTTCAGGGAAAGCCATAAGCTTCTGCATGGGTGTCTTTAGAAAGCAATTTCCCATCATACTTCTCTTAGCTTTTGATTTTGCAAGCAGGGAAATGTCTGCCTAAAAGCTAAGAACTGGGCTCAGGCAGGCTTGACAGAAAAAGTGCTTGCACTTGCACAATATCAGAATCACAGCCACCTAAGGTGACCCAAGCCCTACCTTTTACTTGTCACATCAAAGGAGAAAACATAAAGAGAGGAGATATCCTGATTTTCTGATATTTAAATTTGCTTTACAGAGGAAATAAAATAGTTCATTTAATGGGAATAAACATTCAACTTAAAGTCACAAATATATTCTGGGGGAAAAAAGTTACCATCTGTTCCCTCTACTTGAATATAAGTTTGTTTTCTATATACAGAATGACTGCATCTATCCAAAAAGTATATGTTGAGCTGAGTGCAGCAACAAAGACATCAGTGACATAGTCCCTGACTTCTAGGACTTAAAATCTGCTTGAAAAAAAACAAAACATACAACCTTGAAGCACTATAATAATAATAGTCACAATACTTTTTTTAGCTCTTTTTACATATGATTTTATCTACCGTTAAATTATAAAAGCAGCGCAGAAAAAGTCTGCTGAATTTCAGAGAAAGGAGCTAGAAGGGGTTCATAGTTCTGGAAGGCTGGAGGGAGGATGCAGTATCTCAGTTGGCCCTGGAAGATGGCCTGGAGAAGCACCAGAAAATCTGAAACATACAAAACCAGAGAAGTAGAATATTCATGAGAAGGCTAAGGGAACCGTAAATAGATCAGTTTGGCCAAAACGAAGGTTACAAGGGGAGATGTTGCCAGATCATGGAAGACTTCCACTCTTTTCAAAAGGGGTATTTGCTGGGAGCATCAGAAACCACACACGACCATGGTGCAGTTTTCTTACATGTCCATTTTCTCTGAAGCTTTGGAAAGGAAAGTTCGGTCTGTAAACTTGTTTTACATATTATTTTCATAGAAATGCAAACATTGGTACATTTTTAAGTAAAAAATAGAAATTTGCATGAATGTTTAAGATAAAAACATTTCAAAGAATGTTGTCCCTTGCAGCAGGACCTCAAACCCTGAACGTTCACCTTCCCAGACTCTTTCTGCTCTGTCATCCCCAACCCCAGACAACTGATAAGCTCAGTCTGGTGCAACTCCTCTCATTTCCCAGTTTGACTCCTCTCCCGCCGGCTGACACTGTGCCAGCTCAGGTTCTTATCAGCTATCACTCAGGTTATTGCAGTTGAATCCTACCTGGACCTGCTGCCTCCCCATCATTCCTTTCCCCTCTCCTTCTACACTATGCCCAGGGTTGTCTTTCTTTCTTCTTTTTTTTTTTTTTGTTTTTTTGTTTGTTTGTTTGTTTGTTTGGAGATGGAGTCTCGCTCTGTCGCCCAGGCTGGAGTGCAGTGGTGCGATCTCGGCTCACTGCAACCTCTGCCTACCGATGTGAGCCATGTGAGCCACCACGCCTGGCCTCCTTCTGGTATTTTCTTTTTTTTGAGACGGAGTCTCACTCTGTCACCCCAGCTGGAGTGCAATGGCACTATCTAGGCTCATTGCAACCTCCACCTCCTGGGTTCAAGTGATTCTCCTGCCTCAGCCTCCTAAGTAGCTGGGACTACAGGCGCATGCCACCACGCCTAGCTAATTTTTCTATTTTTAGTAGAGACGGGGTTTCACCATGTTGGCCAGGATGGTCTAGTTCTCTTGACCTCCTGATCCGCCTGCCTCAGCCTCTCAAAGTGCTGGGATTACAGGCGTGAGCCACCCCACCAGGGTCATCTTTCTAGAAGGAAAATGGAATCATACTACCCACAGCTGTAGCCCTTTTAGTCTCATCTCCACCTTTCACCTGTGCCCCAGCTACACCAACTCCCAACCAACCCACCAACAGCCACCCCAGGAAGTTCACTGGCTGGGCTTTTTTGTACCACATCCGTCCTGCACACACTGTCCTCATCCACCTGACAAACACCTCATATGTTGAGAAAACATTTCCTGCAAACATTGCTCCAACAATTTGCCTCCTTATACCACACTATCCTTGGAGAAACCAAAACCTCAATAAGTTCTCTTGAAGGGACTTTCTTTTCTTCTATTCCTGGGATAACTTATTATCCTCCATGTTTTTCAGCTCTATTTCCCAGTTTTCTTGAGAATCATCAGAAATCTGCCAATATTTTATTATCTGAGAAATACTTCTGAGGCAACAGAAACAGGACACTGTCTTTTAGATCTTTTATCTTCCACATAGCCAATCCCAAAGCACAAATCATTTAAAATGGCTCAATAAACATATATAACTGGCTTACTATGATGTGTTGGGAACTTTCTTAGGTGCCGAGGATAAAGAGATGAGTGAGACACAACCCTGCATTGAAGAAATTAACAATTTTCTTTTTCGTTCTTTCTTTTTTTTTTTTTTTTTTTTTTTTTTTTTTGAGACAGACTCTCACTCTGTCGCCCAGGCTGGAATGCAGTGGTGCGATCTCAGCTCAGTGCAACCTCCGCCTCCTGGGTTCAAGCAATTCTCCTGCCTCAGCCTCCCATGTAGCTGGGATTACAGACATGCACCACCACACTTGGCTAATTTCTGTATTTTCAGTAGAGATGGGGTTTCACCATGTTGGCCAGGCTGGCTGGAGCTCCTGACCTCAAGCAATCTGCCCACCTCAGTCTCCCAAAATGCTAGGATCACAGGCATGTGCCACCACCCCCAGCTGAGAAATTAACAATTTTCTAAGTATCTCTATTTCCAGCCCATGCCCAGAGCCATTTCTTAGCTACCACGGAATATGGGTCTCACTCAGTCACTGGTTGCACCAGGAAATAGGCCTAGGAGAGCCCCAAAGAGAAAGCTGCTCAGTGAGTCTAACCACACAGAAAGAATCCTACATCACCACCACGCAAAGGCGGTGGTTTTACTTTGAAATAACAGGTTATTGGGCCCTGGCTTCTCCCCTTTATTCTTCTGTGTTAATCCACTTCGCTCGGTCTCTTTCAGTACAGAACAGGTACAGCCAGGTACTCCCAGTTCAAAAACAACTTTATTTTCTCTGAATAGAGACCTTTCAATAGAAGAAACATAACTTGATCATTGTAATTTAAGCCTCAGCATTCTCTTTAGCTTGGGACTAGTCAACATGGTTATCAGTCTTCTCTGGTTATCCCTGCCTCAACTCAAATTTTTTTGCTTGATCTATTCTTCATTGCCCATAACCACCCACCCCCACCTTCTTAATAATTCCATTCCCATAAAACAGTGCCAGAGCAACTTCTTTCAGGTATGAGCTGATAAGTTTCCTTCTGCTTGGCTGTCACGGAAATTGCTTTCTCCATGGTTTCCGGGACCCTGATTTGGTCTGGGTCTCAGATGCTGCCCTTGAAGTCTTCCTGAACTCATCTGTTACTTTTCTGGCATTCCGCCAAAGGATATTGTCCAGGAAGGTATCTTTACCTGATCTTATTCATTTCTTCATCTTCCTCACAATGTTTAAGCTTCTAAAACCCCCATCAGAACTCAGCCAGCCAGCTAAAGTCTATAGAGTCCCTGAAAGGGATCAAAAAAAATTAATAACTATGGGCAAAGCAGAAGTAGGATCAGGTCAATAGTATCAGTCACTACCTTAGCTAAATACTAGAGAAAGAGAGACAAGGAGATACTGTAACCTAAATCCATGAGCCCAAATGAGTGCCCGAGAAGTGTATGAGACACTGGGCTTTGGGTCAGAGAGTTGGCACATTTGTGTCCCGGGAAAAATCAGCTCTACCAGCCAAAAGACAAAGGCATTTCATCAGTTTCATGAGAGATTTTTCTCTGACAGCTGCCCAGGATTATCTCTCATCCTTGAAACCAGAGGGCTTAGGTAGCTCTGGTCAGCTCTGCCACAGATGTATAGTCAGTATCTCCACAGGAACATTTAAGAGCTTTTGAGTCTTTGTCAGTATCATCTGTTAAAAGGCTCATGGTCTCCTTGCTAACACAAATATTGACCCACTAAAGACTGAATGGGATGGTCATGGGCCCTCTTCAACTCCTTATGAACCTCATTCTCCTCTTATTTTGCTAATAGTTCCTAAGTTGATTAATTGATCAGGTAAATCCAACCAGACTGAATTCTCAAAGGGCAAAAATATGTGTAATTATCTTTCTGTGTTTTCCCCAACAATTAGGACCATTCTGGGCACGCAGTGGCCTGAGACTCACAGCAGGTCACCTGATGCTATCCCTTTGATGGTACCCACAGCTGCCACTCCCTGACCTTACGAGTGCTCATTCTGACCCTCCACCTTCTCAAAAACTCGCTCTGCAGGCTCAATATTTGCTTAAACATAAGCAAATCTACACACTTCAGCTGACCCAGGGTTGCAGATTGATAGGGATTTATTCTGGACTCATCATAAATGCTTGTATTATAAATATGATTTAGCACTTAACCATGAATCCCCCTGTATTGTTCTCCAGTTGTGTGCACTTCTCGAACAACATAATTGCATGGTGGTAAAGAGCTCTGACTTTGAACTGACATGGTTCAAATCCTAACTTCTCAACTTACAGTAGAATAAATTAAAATACCTATAATTTTTATGGTGTTACTGTGAGATTACATAAACTAGCGCACGTCAAATGCTGTGTCTGGCACAGAATAAGGCTCTCTAAGTGCCAGTCTTATCATAATCCCCAAGTGGGGCAAGGAACATCTTCTACTCCTCATTTACCCCTTATAATCTAAGCACACAATAAACGCTAGGCACACGATGGGTGTTTAATACATGCTGACCAACTGACTGAATAACTTCCCCAATATGACTGCATTCTTCCAAGGCTGATAAAAACATTTCTGCCCAAGAATTCTATGAAAATTTTTATAGCTGCTTTTTAGGCTCACACTTTGACTTATCATCCCATTGACCTCCTCTCCATCACATACTCCTTTAAAGTAAGAAAGAATTCCCCGTGCTGTTCCAGTGGCTAAAGGTCTCATGGCTGCAGCAGTGAGTCAGCAGCTCACCCTGCAGCTGGCAGCTCAGACCCAACCGTGGCCCACTGTGCTCAGTGTGTCCTGCAGCAGCCACGGGTATTCCCAAGGACACTGCAGCATCCCACCTGGGGCACTGCAGTTATCTCAGGTCCATGCCTCACTGCAGCTTGAAGCCTGATGCTGATGAGTGTGCAGAAGAGCTGCTTCACTTCAGCTGCCTTTAAGCCCCTGGCCACTTCTGGTCCCCAAAGCCTACAGTTAAGGAAACAGAGCACATTCCCGCAAACAGAATCCTCAATAGGGCGGCCTGGCAGCCATCTGCATACTGGGCAAAGCACATGCAAAGCTGCATCCATTGGTCTGAAAAGCATCCTTTTTATTACTGACTGTGTCTAGCCAAACCTTGGGCAAGGGGGTAGGAAGATTGGGAAGGAGAGCCCTCTGAGCCCTTAGGGCCTAAATGTGCTTGTTCAGGCTAAAGGGAAAACAGACTCTATCTATTCTCTTTTGATGAGACAGTGAGCTCCTTGACAGCAAAGACTGCGTGGGGTTCCAGAGGCATCCCCAGTGCCTAGCCTGCACACAGGAGGTTCTCAGTTCATGTTGACAGCTGGTGATGGCTGATGAATGGCCAAGCCCATCAAGTAGGAGTGCAATACTGCAGTTTCCTCCCATGTCCCTGGAACACCACCTCCTGCCCCCACCATGATTCCTCCCTCCTCACCTCTACCACATGCTTCCAGTGCCCCAGGAGCAAAGGAAGAGCTCCCTCTCTCTCCCCATTGGAACCTGATTTGTTGAAGTTGCCCCCCACCTCAGAAGCCAGAAGAGAGGCTTCGATGGAAGGCACACAGCCGTTCTAGCAACTGAATGGAGATCATAGGTACATATGTATATATTGATTGTGATACTTCTGAGGGATCTATCTCAGTTCCCAGAAGAAGAAAATGGCATGGCTTTTTCACTGGGCATGGTCACTATGAGCTTCAATGATTGAAATGGAAATTAAAGTGAAAGGCTTTCCTCAGTCCCCAATAATGTATGTTTCTGTCTTGCCTTATACAAATTTCCCCCCAAAAGCTATTCTATTTGATAGCCTGCCTCTCTTCTCTCTCTCTTCACTCTCTCTCTCTCTCTCTCACACACACACACACACACACACACACACACATATACATGCTATGTAATGTGGTGCTGGAAGAGATATTAATCAATAACTACTGAATCAATAGTAGTAATTTTCTCACTTTGATTTTCAGTAGTAATCAATAACTACTGAAAATCAAAGTGAGACTGAGGACCAGAGGTAAGTGACCTGACTAAGTCTCACAGCCAGTAAGTGGCCTTACTAGACTCCTGAATTCCAATCCAGTGATCTTTTCACTTCATTATGAAATTGTTTGGTTTTGTTTTCTTGTTTGTTCGTTTGTTTTTGTTTTGTTTTGTTTTTGCTTTTCTTTAATGTCTTCAAAGGAGAGCTAATGTCAGGTTTTTCCTCACTGAGAAGTTGCAACATCTCCCAGGTAAAAGCCAGGTCCTCCAGGTAAGACATTCTCCCAGATCCTGCTTTTTTTTTTTTCCTTTTTTTTTTTTTTCTTCATTCTCCTGGGATGCTGTCTCACCTAAAATGGCAGGGAGGACCCTGGACCGCTCACCTTCCCATGTAATAAGTGATAAGTATACTTATCATACAAAAGAGATGGAGAGGCTCTTCCCTATCACAATCTAAAGCCCAGACAGATACAGTCATCATTTGTGACAATGAAGATTTTCCTTTGCAAATGCAGCAACTTAACGGTAAAATTGTGGAAAGGAGGCTGTGTGTGTTCACCTTGGTCGGTGCTGCAGCCCAAGCACAGCTGGCGCCTCTAGGGCGCATTCAAGTGAGGGAATAGTTATACTTGGCAGGCAGTCCTGACCAGCCATTTTGCCCAGGTCTCCTTGGATGCCTTCAGACTGCAGAGATCTTATTCAGTTTGCATCCCCCGCACAGTCTGCAAGCCAAGCTGCAGACATCAATCTGTTTCAGGAGAAAGAGCGCCACCTCCTGTCTCTGGACTGCAAGACCATATTTCTTTGAAAACCGCAGTGATGTTCTAAGCGGCTCAGTGCCTAAAGAGATCCGCTCTCCACAGCGAGGGGAGAAAATGGCACCTATGAAATTCGTACCGATACCCCATGTCACACTGTGAACCAGTGACTCTCCCAGGAAAACCCTGGACAAGCCCTGCAGCACGCATCCTTCTCCTTTCTTACAGTTTCATTTCTCCCCTCCAGCTTAGAACAGATGGAAGCCTTAGAGGCTTGTCGTTCAGCTGAGGATCTGAATGTAAAGAGACATGCTCAAGGTCACACAGCGGCCCCGTTCTAGACCCAACACAGACTTCTCCCACGCCAAGTAAAGGCTGGATCGAATTTATGCATTTCAGATTTCTTTCTCTTTGCCCGCAGTAGAAATTTTGCAACAGAGTTTTCTTCACTACTGCTTTGCTGATCTCACCCACTATGATCCCAGCTACAGTCCCCTCTCTCTTCCACATTATCCTTTGTAGTATAGCTGTATATGTTCAAATGTTAGCTCCCCTATTAGAACCCAAGTCTCTTGAAAGGAGGCCAATACCTGATTAATTCTTGCAGCCTTTTGGAGGACTTCCTGCTAGTTAAGCATCTGGGGACTTAGCTCCCCATGCCCTATTTCTTCTCAAGGGCCTCAGAAATCAAATCCACTCTCCTGGTCTTTTTAAAGCTGTCATCATCTACTGCTCTCTTAGGGGTCCTGTTTCCCCAAGAATGACTGAAAAGGACACAAGCTCTCTGGTTTCTCGCTTAGTATCTTCTTTCCTGTTCAACACCCCCCCAAAAAAATTACATCAGCCCTTAATATTTCAAAAGTTTTATTTCTAATCACTACCAGCAAACAGATGAGATAACAAATACAACAGTTTTTGCAATTGACAAAGTTTCCTGAGATTTTTCTGAATGATTATCTCCTGAAACAAAAGAAAATACTCAATTGTGAACTCTACTTATCTTTGCTCTCATCCCACCCCCAAAAAAAGAAACTTGAGAGTGGAGCTGCAACTTTACAGCCTAAGGACAGGAAAACCAGTGCCACGATTTCCACCAGAGGAGGCTCCACAGCCACAGACCGTCACATAACCAGTCTGCCTCATCCTCCTCATCTGTAAAATGGCCAGAATAAAAGTGTTTACTCATAGGAAAATCCTTATTTGAGGATTAAATGAGGTCATTTAATCCCCAGAGTGGTATATAGCAAAAATTAAGTCCATGGTCGATGGTTATTTAATTCATTAGGTAATTTATTTCATAAAACAAACCTGATGACAAGAGAATAGAACATAAAGGACAAAAATCTTCAAGGAAAGTAGCAGGGGCTCAGCTGAAGTATAAGGAGTAATACTGTGGGGGATGTGCCAGTGAGTACCAGGAGGAAAGATGCCTTGAAAAGATGCGGGGGGAGAGAAAGAGAAGAGTCCAGAGATCTCATCATTTCACTTCAAAAAAAAGGTGGCCATAAAGCAAAACCCAGGCCTTCCATTCTGCTTCCAGGTCCCATCCACGGAGCTTTGTCCACAGGCATCTGGGCCACCTCTCTCATTAGAGAACGGGGCCAGTCCTGCTGTCCTGGCTGACTTCGGCTCCATTAATCCACCCCTTTGCCTTCCATTCTCCTTGCAGGCTGCCTGTGCTGAAGGCCTCTTGCACTCCTGTGCTATCCCAACTTGCAGTAATTGCTTGGGGTTGTAAATCCAGCAAGTAGAGGAGGCTTTCTGTAGCAGGTCCTAGGTCGGTTGCCTGAGGACAGCACTGCTCTCCCCAGCCCCTAGCACTGAGAGGCCCTGTGGGAAGTCCACGCCTGCCATGGTGGTTGTCCTGCCAACAGCATCTCCCTTCAGGGTTCATCTTATTTTCTTCTGATGAACAAGCAAAGGCAACCAGACTCTCCGTAGGTGTAAGTTGGCACGCACATTTGGCAGGGAGGGTGGATTTCTTGGGGACATTCCATTACTCACTCTCATGCCCAACCCACCCTGTGCTGAGGCAGCAGAACCTTCTCCCTTACCAAGCATTGAGGACGTCCATTCGCCAGGCAGCTGGTAGTGAGCAGGGAGGTGAAAAAGGGGGTCTTTCTGAGAAGCAGGTTAGCAGGTGAGCCACCTGGAGACAGTTAGGGAAGGTAGGTCTATTTTTCTCCACCCAATGTCACCGAAGAACCCATTCACACCCTAAATGGGCTAAGAAAGCCATGTATAAAATGCTGATGCCAACTAGATTGGCATCTTGGACAAGCCCTAGAATGAAGCTCAGGGAATGAAGCAATGTGTTTTTAAGCAGGACCCTCAGCTCCTGCATCCCAAGTCTACAATCTCAATCTCAATTTTGCCAGAGTTGCAAAAACCATGAAATGGCCTCACGTGTAACTCACAAGTAACCCATCGACTGCCCATCAACCTTGAGATAGACATAAAGCTCCTTGTTATGCAGGTTACAACTACCTTGGAAATAAGTTTTATAAGTAATCACAAATTTTATTTCTGTATTTTGATTGTTTTCATAAAACTATAACCCTCTTAGGGTAATTTTGGCAAGTCCCAGGGGTTTTTTCTGTGGTCATCTGTGCCTAGCCCATGTTGAACACTCAGTGTATTTCAGCACCTGTGTCCCCAGTGATTCAGGCTAGAGTTGTGTCTCCTTCCTCATGCAGCAGTAGTGTGATACCTGTTCAGCTTATTCAGGAACACAAGTGTTGGCTGCAACTGTGAAGGTCACTGCTATAGAACCATAGTTGTCAAGTGTTGGCAGTTACCTTAATTACTTAGAGAGTGTGTTAAAATTAGAGATGCTCATCCTATACTATTGAATTTGAATCTATGATGATGAGTAGTTTTAAGAGGTTCCCAGGGGTTTCTGAGGCACCCAGAGTTTGCGAGCTGCACTCTAGCCCCTGGCTACTCAAAATGTGGTCAAAGGACCAGCCGCACCCATACCTAGAAGCATGTTAGAAATACAAGCTCTCTGGCCCTACCCCAAACCTCCTGAATCAGAATCTATATTTTCACAAGATCCCAGCTATTCATTTGCATGTTGAAGTTTGAGAAACACTGTCCTAGGACAAAGGCTATAACATCCTAGCAATCTGAGGTAAGTAAATAGCAGAATTTCCTCCTTGTTTTCAGGGTGAATGACCCCTGCCAGTGTAGTGACTGCTTGCCTTGCCTGCTGGGTAACAGAATCCAGAGACATGCAGCAGGGGCAGCTGGTTGACCAGAACCTTCTAAACAACCTTCAAATTCTGTCCTACCCACTGTTGCACCTTGCCCCTAATCAGTGATGTTACAGATTCAGAGATGGTGAAGGGGATATACCCAGACAACGTGGCAGACTGAAGTCTGGGTCCAAATCTCAGCTCTGCTGCTTTCTAGCAGGGAAGCCATGAAAAAAATCACATCACCCTTGCGATGCTTAGTTTCTGTACATGTAGAGGACATCTGAAGGGTTCGCAAAGATCATTCCAGCTTTTCATGTAACTCATCCTTCCCTGTCCATTTCACACATATGAAAAGTCACAGCTGGAAGGGATCTTCGATCACCTGGTCCAAACTCCTTCCTTGCTGTCCCCAACTCATACATGGGGAACCTGGGCCAGCCAGACAACCCATGAAAGGGCAGAGCCCTGACCAGAACCTAGAGCTTCCAAGGCCGAGTTCAGCATGCTTTGCACCATACAGTGACTGGGACATCATTCTTGGGTTAGGTGGTCGAGGAAACGTATTCTGAGACAGAGATTTGTATGCAGGATGTTTACTGGGGAGTACTCTCAGAAATAACATCTTTAAGGGAGTGAGAGGAGTAAGATTGGGCAGAAGGAGAAGATGAATCCTACAGGAAGCCCGGGAGCTGGGATGTGCCACAAGGTTGTCCTGAATCAAGACAAAGGAACCAGGCCTTTGTATTCCACACCAACCACTGTGGGTAATCTTTATAGACGGACTCAGAAGAGAGCCGTTGGCCATCCATCAATACTCCCAGCAGTCAGGGGACAAGTAGCTCGGTTCTGTGTGGGAAATCTGGACAGCACACCCTTTGCACCACCAGTTCACTTGCTTCACAGCCCAAGTGTGCCCTTTCTGGGAGCAACTTCACTGTTATTCTGGCTGCTCTCTTCACCTGGGGAAATTCTCAGTGGGATACTAATAGGACCAATCGCCATTACTGCTCTGATCTTGAGGCTGCCACTGAGTCTTACGCTGCCCCTCCTCTACTATCCTTTCCAGAGTCCTCTCACCCTTGGCCCACGCTTCTGCTGGCCTACATGTCTGGTGGGGTGACTCGAGCCCTCATCACTGAGGACACTGAGCCCCTGGTCACCACACTGTTCTCTGGCCGTAGCTGCTACATTTGTACATTTACCTCAAATTGGGCAGGGGAGTATCAAGAGACACCCCAATGTAGCCCCTGAATGCCAAACAGGTTATCTCCCGCCCTCTTTAAATAACAGCAGCACTGATATCCTGCTGATATCAGGGCCAATGGCTCCTGCTGGTTTGGAGATTCCTTTCCCTGCCTGCTGAATATCTTGGTACAAGGAGCTAGAAGAGACAGATGGCAATGACAGCTTAAAGTATAATGGGCCCTTATCATATACCTGGATGGAAGCCTTCTCCCTCTGGAAACCAGCACCTCTAGACCCACAGAGTCTGCTGGGGGGATGGAGAGCAACAGGATCCACCGTGAGTCACTGGGAGGGATGGTAAGCAGGGCCACTCCCACATTCACCCCTCAATTCCAGGACCCATTAATTCCACCCTTTGCAGCACAGCCCCCTACAGTGGTGGTTGATTTACAGGGTATACCACATTGTCACCTGAATCCTTAATACCATGGCTGTTCTACCTTCATACCCATTGCTCAGACACTGGAATGGCTGAAGACTAAGACTGGCTGATGTCAACTGGCAAAGTCATTCGGTCTATGTGGTTATCTGGTGCCTCTTCCACAATAGCTGCTGTCAGGTGGCATTAACATGCAATACATAGACTCCAGTGCTTTGTTCTCACTCCCATTGCCCATCCCCATGCTCTTCCCCAGCCCCTGACACCGGCCATTTGATCTTTTTCTTTCCAGGCCCCTGACCAACCAGCCAAGCCATTCACTGTTCCTCATGAGCCAATATATATTTGTACTTTAATCCACTTCTCTTTCCATACAGAAGAATGACTAGGTCTACCTTCCAAAGCTCTGCATATTGAGAGAATTTCCTCTCATCTCTCTCTTTCAGGGACACCCTCAAGTGGAACTTTAGTTCATAGCAGTCCATTTTGAAACTGGAACCCACATACAAAGCCAACCCATCTGTGATCCATCTTGACCTTTTTTCTCCTCTCTCAGCTGTTCATCAGGGAGCCTCCACTGCAGCCATAGGCATGGGTACTTGCTGAGGGAGAGGAAACAATAGTGGTGATGTGGGGGTCTGAGCCACCTGCTCATATAGCTCCTGGTGATCTCTGGCTCTGCTTGTACTTCATACTGAATGAACCACTTGCATCTTAGAGACTCACCTAAAAGAGCCCAGCTCATCATGGGTGGCTCTCTTCAGCCACAGTAAATGCCTGAAGAGGGACTTGGCTGAGTCCTCAGCAGCCAACACTTTGACAGCTGGGGGAGTGAGTACCTCGTCCTTAAAAGGGAAATTAGGAAAGTGCATTACAGAGCCCACATCAGCATCGAATCTCCAACACAAGTCTATGAAGAAGCTAGGGATGGCATTAATACTGCCATCTTGCAGATCAAGAATCTGAAGTATCACAAGGTTAAACAACTTCTTCAGTTCATGGAAAATCAATCCAGCCTCAGAACAACAGTGTCTGAACCAGGACTGTCCAATAGGAATACAATGTGAGTCACAAATATAATGCTAAATTTTCTAGTAACAATATTACAAATAATTAAAAAAACAGGAGGAATTCATTTCAATACCAAATCATATTTATCCCAATATATCCAAACTGTTATCATTTCAACATGCAATCAATATTTGTAAATTAATGGACACTTTACATTGTTCTTGTCATGCAAGGTCTTTGACATCTGGCCTGTGTTTCATGTTCACAGCACATCCCAGTGTGAACTAGTCACAATGCAAGTGTTCAGTGGCCACAAGTGGCTAGTGACAACTGTATTGGAACCCATAGCTCCAGACTCTGTTCAATTATCTGTGCTATCCTCTCGAGGTACTCCTTCCTCAGAAGGAGCCTAGACCTGGAGGGAGATGCTTGGGCAACAATCCTGCTTTGGGTGAAAAGCTAAGTCCCTGCCACTTATCAAGCTTCCAGAACACCCACACCTTTAGCACAGCACAACCTGCTGCCCCCATTTAACTTAACAGGTGTTTTGCCACTTGCCAGGAAGGTTCAATTTGAAAAGAAAAGAAAAAAGCAGTAGTAGACAAATGTTTGACTCCATCTCTGTGAGTACCCTGTAATTTAATGCTAAATTCAGCTCGATTTGGTTTCTGTGGCAACCCAAGGAACCAGCTCTCCACAGCTCATATCATCACTCTTTGTCAGATTTCTAAATACAGGGTGCCTGGAACACAGTCGTTATCCCAAATGTCTGAGCTCTGATACTCTCAGAAGCCCCTGATCCTGAGCTTGATCCACAGGTACAAGGATGCAGGATGGGAGCATCTTAATAAAGTCTTTGCCCAACACAGGAAATGTAGAAAAGACAGGATTCAGGAGCCTTCATTCCTAGAAATCTCTTGAAATGGGGCAGACTGTCACTGGTCCAATAAGACTTTGGAAAAGAACTTCATGGAGACAAAAAGAAGCCTTGGACCTGATGCAGTCATTGCCAACCCATGACAGCTTAGGCAGTGAACATGTTCTGCAGGGATGGGCCCCGTGTGGCAGTCATGAGCCCTCAAAAGCAAATTTGGGCTGGGCACAGTGGCTCACGCCTGCAATTCCAACACTTTGGGAGGCCAAGGCAGGCAGATAGCTTGAAGCCAGGAGTTCGAGACCAGCCTGGCTAACATGGTGAAACCCCATCTCCACTAAAAATACAAAAAAAAAAAAAAAATAGCCAGGTGTGGTGGCACGTGCCTGTAATCCCAGCTACTTGGGAGGCTGAGGCAGGAGAATCTCTTGAACCCAGGAGGCAGAGGATGCAGTGAGCCAAGATCACACCACTGCACTCCAGTTTGGGTGACAGAGCAAGAGTCTGTCTCCAGAAAAAAAAAAGCAAATTTGTCTACTTGTGTCTTCTTCCCTTTTTTGCAGGTAGCAAGCCTGGGATTTGGGAGATGTGGATTTAAATCCTGGCTCCAGCATTGACTTAGATGCTTGAGGTGCTTACTTGTCTCTGAGCCCAGAAATGTGAAACCACCCTGGAAAACCTTCAGCCACCCATGGCCAAGGCCCCAGGACTGCAGTTAATGATTCAGTCATCATCTGATAGGTATTAGTCCCTCCCCATTCAGTGCTGAGTTCCTTCCTATTGGCTTAGAACCCCAGAACAGATCCATTTCCTTAGAAGTCTCTGGAGCAGTGACTTCCAGATTCTTTTGAACACAACCCACCATACAAAATGCAGGTAACATCGTCACCTAGAACCTTGATCTACCCACATTCCTGATGAGTTCCTCCAATTCATTCTGCACACTCACTCTATCCAGAGTGGTCTTTTCAAAACACACATTGTCACTACATAAACCTTCCTGGTGACCTCCCATTGCTCTCAGGATAAAAGCAAAACCCCTTTAACTTGGCTCAGAGAGCCCAGACCACAGGCTCCATCTGCCTCTCCAGCCTCATCTGTGCTCAGCCCTCACACTCTGCAGCCTCCCTCCCACCACAGGCTGTGTACAGGCTCCTCCCTGTGCCTGAAGTGCTCCTCCACCCACAGCTCCTCCACCCACACCTCCACCTAACCTGGTTAACTCCTACTCATCCTTCAGATCTCAGCTCAGCTATCCCTTCATCCCTGATTTCCCCAGCCAGGTGAAATCTTTTGGTTATGAGCACTGTATGTTTCTCCCTTAACACATACTTGTCACAATTGCAATTTTACATTTGTTGATATATTTGAGCTCTCCCACTGAACTTTATGCTCTGCAGAGCAGGAATACTCTCTGATTTTACCCAGAATTTTATTCCAATGCTTACTGCCGTATTTGACATCAAGTAAAAGCTCAGTAAATATTTGTCACACGATTGAATGAAAAAATGAATTTCAAGTGACAGCTCCTGACAAATGGTAACACTTTCAGAGAGTTCTCTGTTGAAAAGACTTCTTTTTTCTTTTTTTTTTTTTTTTTTTTTTTGAGACGGAGCCTCGCCCTGTTGCCCAGGCTGGAGTGCAATGGTGCCATCTTAGCTCACTGCAACCTCCGCCTCCCTCCTGAGTTCAAATGATTCTCCTGCCTTAGCCTCCCAAGTAGCTGCAATTACAGGCACAAGCCACCATGACCAGTTTTTTTGTTGTTGTTGTTGTTTGTTTTTGGTAGAGACGGGGTTATACCATGTTGACCAGGCTGGTCTCAAACTCGTGACCTTGTGATCCACCCACCTCGGCCTCCCAAAGTGCTGGGATTAATGCCAAGGAGACTGGGCTCAGTTTCAGAGAGTATCATAGTTGACTGGCATTGACTACCACAGGCTCATGATTGGGAGTAGTGGCCTGAGTCCTGATTGTTCACCCTCCGTATTCTGGAATCTGATTTTCCTGCAAAGGCCCAGACCCTAAGCAGTTTCCTTAGGTTGGTTAATTGCTGGAACGGAAGCCCAAAGCCCATCCAAATCCTTATGGAATACCCTGGAACTCCTCTGATCCCTTCAGATTTCAAGTTCTGAAAGGAGAAGTATCCTCAGATTTGGGGCCACCAATCCTCCCTCCCAAGGAGATCAAAGCAAGAGAATCCAATCTTTATAAAATATGCTCCTGACATCTGCAGCAAGACTGAGGAGGCTGCAGTTCTCCAGGACTAACCAAGGCAGGGCCAACCCAGACCCCGGATAGAAACTCCACCCCGAGTAAAGGACAGGAGCAGCCCAGTGATCCAGTCCACGGCCTCCCTCCCCACCCTCCAGGTACCCAGGGCTGAAATGGAGGTAACAGCCCCCATTTCCAGACCATGTGTCTGCTGTAGCTACAGAATCAGACTTGTCCATTATTTTGCTTGGGATTGGTGAAAGGGGAACCGAGGGTTTGAGGGAAAAGTCTGATATTTCATGGTAGGATAGCATTTAGCTGGAGGTTGTTTTTTTTCTTTCTTTTTTTTTTCATTCCGTTCTTACTGCTCCTCTCTGCCACCCCAGTTGGCTCAATCTTTGGGCTTCTGTGCAGCCCTGCCGATGCCAGACAAGTGGAGTGAGAAGATGCCCTGCTGGGAATGATGGCTGCAGCGCAGCAGTCAAGTGCTGTGTGGGCCCTCCCGGCCGCCCACGCTGCTCTGAGCAATGGCTGGCTGTGACCCGCACGCATCCGTCCCTCCGCGGGGCCTGAGGAGGTTATTCTCTCAGACACTGTCCTCAGCTGAGGCTCTCCTTGCAGCCAACAGCTCCCTGAAAGAAGTTTGATGGCTTCAGTCAGGCCTTTCTCTCGTACTCTGCCAAGAATGTAGTTTCGAGTCTATTTTCAGTGAGAATTTAAGAACCTACACTTTAAGAAAAAAAAAAAAAAAAGCTACCCCTCACCCACCACAGTGCTATGTGTCAAATGGTCAAATGTTACCCGGCATGGATGCAGCACTTTACAGAGCTCTCTCACTCTAGGACTTTACCTTACTCCCTCAAAACCCTGGGAAGGAGATGGTAAAACTAACCCAGTTTTCAGGCCTGGATGGTTCAGTGACCAGTCAGGAAAGGGAAGACTTAGAACAAGGACCCGGGACTAAAGTGCTCCCCTTTTCCATCTGTCTCACCTGGCTGCAATAGTCCTTCCCTGAGGAAAGCACCTCATTCTGGGGACCCAGGAGAGGTAAGAGCACCTGCCAGGCAGCCTCTGCCCCTCAGAGCCAAGGAAGTGACCCAGAGCTGGCTGTGGTGGGGAGCGTTTGCACTCTGCAGAGAGGAGCAGACTGGTAGGGGTGCTTTCAACTCAACCTTCCTAACTCCCTCCCTCTACCTGTGATGCTGTAATGAGCCACTTGCTATATTTCTACCAGGGTTGGGTGTCCTCACTCCAAACGAATGTCTGAGAGTTCTTAGGGGAAATGCTACCTACTCAGCAGTTCTTAGGGATGTGCTGCCTAATTCTGTGAGAGGCAGCACATCATAGTCAAAGGAACATCGAGTTTTAGGGTCAGAAAGATCTAGGTTTGAATCTTGGCCCTTCCCTTGTGACGCTGGGTTGCCTCCCAGAGCATCCAGCCCTGCACCTCTAAACTGTGGTTAATATTACTTATCCTTGTCAGGCTGCAATAAAGATGAACGAGTACAGTGACTAGTACAAGGCCTGGCACACACACACACAAAAAAAAAACAAAAAACCCCTTAAAGAAATACTAGCTCTTATTTGTTTTTATCAGTCCTTCTCAATCTGTTTAATTCAGCATGAGATGCTTCAGCCCTAGGGACACTGCCATCTTTTGCTGCATTAAAAGAGAATTTCTTGGCCAGAACGTCATAGTCCCTCAGGTACTCTGCAATGTAGACCATGTCTGGGGTTGTACGTCTGTTTCTAAGTTTCAGAGCTTCTAATCTATCAAGTGTCAGAGTTCCTCTCCCATCCAGATTATAAAGCCTTCAGGGCAGAAGTCTTCTTCTAAATAGCTATGTATACTTATTTCACTGTCCCTAGCACAGAGCAGGGTACAGGGTGGGCATTTTCTAAACAGCTGGTGTTGTCTGGTCAGGGATTCCTAAGCGGGTGGCTCTGTCCCCTCTCTGGTGAAGGCTGTGAAGCATTCTCAGCTGGTCAGTTTTCACCTGGGTCCAGTGACATTAGGCATATTGCTGGTGCCATCTTAGGTGGGGTAGCCATTAATTACAAAATCATACAAATTCCACAGGTGCCAGGTCTAAAACATGGTCCCAGGGGAAGAGGATTAACATTTACTGAGAATCCTCTATAGATCAAAAACACTAAAAGTATTGTTGTTTATTACTAATTAGTCTCTGTAACTGTCTTAGGAGATATCCCAACATTCCAGACAAGGAAATTGAGGCCTACACGGGTTAAGTAGCTAGTCCAAGATCTTACATCTAAGAGGCTGAGCCAGCATTCAAACTGAGTTGATCTCATTTAAAAAAAAAAAAATGCTTTTCCAACTTCATACTGCCTCCCACGAGTTCAAAAGGCATGAGACCTCAAGGCTACCACAAGAAAATACAGAGAGTTGAGTTCACACCAGTCCACTGAGCCCCTGAGGGATGTTCAGAGACCTCGGGGAGCAGATGGGTGGAAGTGCCTGTTCCCAGGGAAAGGGTCCTTCAGTGCTGCTTCCTGCCCTTTTCTCCCCTCTGCAAAGCCACACTGTGCTCCGGGGACACTTGGCTGCAGTGCCCTCACTCTTCACTTGCAGAGAAGCATCTGTCTCTGGCAGATCTTGGCTGTCCAGCTCCCCCCACTGCAGGCTGAAATGATTCATTCCTCAAGAAGGTGCCCAGCTTGTGCCTTGGGACCTGTCAGGATGAAGGATTCCAGTGGGGCTGCCTCTCACCATTTGTATGCTGATTTGGTTCCCTGAAATTCATTCTTATGCTCATTGCCTTTTCCATAGTGTCCCTCCCTCTCCACTTTTCCTTTTTCTGATATAGTACAGCAATGTATTTGGCCTCTCTTGCATTCTAAAAATAATTCTGGACTAGGGCTTTTTTCTTTGCAATTGCAGAGCTGCCTGGGCTCACAGTGTTCTATCCGTAGAACATAACCCTCTGTTTACTGAGTAAGATATGTCTGGAAATGTTTTTCTGGGCAAGTTGTCCCAAAGGGTTAATATACTGAGGAGGCGACAGAATAAGCATTTGCTGAAGGGATTATTTCTAAAAACACTTTAGACATAGATGATGAGGGGGAGCAGTGATCAATTGATAGATGTCCTTACAGATCATCTAAGCCAACCTGGAGCAGAATATAAAATGCCTCTCACGATCTTTAAAAGGTGATCAACTAGGCCGGGCGCGGTGGCTCACGCCTGTAATCCCAGCACTTTGGGAGGCCAAGGCAGGCAGATCACAAGGTCAGGAGATCGAGACCATCCTGGCCAACATGATGAAACCCTGTCTCTACTAAAAATACAAAAATTAGCTGGGCATGGTGGCGCGTGCCTGTAATCCCAGCTACTCGGATGGCTGAGGCAGGAGAATGGCGTGAACCCGGGAGACAGAGCTTGCAGTGAGCCAAGATCGCACCACTGCACTCCAGCCTGGCGACATAATGAGATTCCATCCCAAAAAAATAAAAAAAGTGATCAACTAAGCTCCCTCCAAAAACAGATAGATGATAGATAGATAGGTAGATAGACAGACTCAATTTTGTGCCAAGCAGTATATAGGATTTAGTGCTATGTGATGGTAAATAAAATAAATATAAGATGTACATGAATGATATAAATATATAGATGGTATAAGATGACAAAAGAATAAATTAATTAATTTGGAGATAAAATATACCCAGATCTGGTCCTCATGATGAAATCTCCCTCCTGGTTTTGCCACCACTTGGCTAACTTTCCAGAGCTGCCACCCAGGGCAGCAGGCATTTCTCTTTCAGAAGCTTTGCTTCCGGAATCAGGAACTTCCTCCCCAGCTGCCTACCCAGTTCTCCATAAGAAAGCATATTCTACAGTGTCAGAAAGTCTCAGGATACAATATATGCACAGATTAAGCAAAAGGCACATCATTGCACATTCCACAGTGCCCCCTGGTACTGGTTGACATGTAAATGGAGTTTCTGCAGCTAGTTCCAATTCCCTAGTTTAAATCATATCTCTCTCATTCAGCATTTCTGCACATTAAAAAATAAACAGACAGAGGCTTCCCCAAGTGAAGCCACCCTCTCTGCCACCAGCCACATCAGATTGGACCTTACCTGTCCCTTTGGCTTCCCTTCTCCTGGGATCCCAGCCCCCAGATCCAGTCCTGGAATGCTTCCTGCTCAAAAATTTGTTTTTGATCATTACACCTTCTAAAAATAAGTATCGTATGGCCTGGCACTCACCCCAGTGTTCCTTTCCAGGACTTCCATTTCCATCCGCATCCTGGCCCTCCTCCCAGGTGATTCTCAAGTCTGGTCCCATTTCAGGGTCAGCACTAGCAGGACCTTAGTGGACTGAAAACCCAATCACAATGTTACTATCCTAGCCCCACCGGCCAGTACATGCACACCATCTGAACACATTACTCTTGGCAGAAAAGATTCTGGCCTAGAGTCAGTTGAGGGGAAACAAGAATGATGTCTACTAGGAAATCAAGCTAGTGATTTGATTGTTTTATGGAATCATAGATTCTTAGACTTGAAAATAGCTTTAGAGGTCACCTAGGCCAACCTCTAACCTAAGGCCAAATGCAAATTGTCCCCTTTGATATTTGGAAGATGACCATCTGAGCTCCCCCATTATGCAAGACAAAATTATCAGTACCCTCCCAAATACATCTAAGGATGCCCAGAAGTGCTTATGTTGTCCAAGATGTCTCTTATGCCTCTTCCAGATACCCCCTCTCTGTCCTTTATCCCTGGCCAACTCATAACAGCTTCTCCTGGCTGCCCAAGCTGCTCATCCTGTTCTCTGTAAAGCCAAGCCTGGACACTGGCATCCCCCTTCACTTCCTAAGACATTGCTAACTAAGGACTCTAGCATGTGACAAACTCTACCAGGGCCGAAAGACAGCACATGGGCAGAGGTTCTTCCTGATCATCTTTCTTCTTAGCATTAGCCTGCTACCTTGTGCTCAGAACCTGCCCTGCTCTCCTGAATGGGATGTTCCTTCCAACATCCCCTCTCCTGGGGCCCAGGCTCCTACCTTTAGTCTCTGGGTTTGTCAGCAGAAGCCAAAATCAGTCACCATTTATATCAGCTCAAATTAGGTTTACCTGTGAGTGACTGAAAACCCAAAATAACAGTAGCTTAACGAAGACCGTAGTTATTACTTCCTCCCATAAAAGTCTGGGTGCTTACCAGGCTGGTCCATGGTGTCAGGGACAAAGACTCCTTCTCTTTTGTTGACCAGTCCTGCAGAGCCCTTGTTAATGACTGGAAGGGGCTTCAACCATCCCAGCCACATCCAAGAATTGAAATGGGGGTAGGGGGAGAAGGAAGAGAGAGCATGCAGAAACTGTCCCATTGCATCCTGTTAGCCAAAACTTGATACCTAGAGACCCCTTGCTGCAAGGAGGCTGGAAAAAAATGTAGTCTTTATCCTGAGTAACCACGTACCTAGCTAGTATTTCCATAACAAAAGAAGAGGAAGAGAGGAAATATTAGGGGTAGGGGAGAAACATTAACTGTCTCTGCTGAGTAAATACGTCTGTTGATTCCAATTCATTGTTGACTTCACCCTTTCCTTTCTATGTCCTTCCCTCATAGCTGCCATCTTTTTTTTTCAGTCCCATTGTTCCTATTCTCATTCTTGTTCATGGATTCTCACCTAGGATTTTGCCACAGCCCCCCAACAGGCCTCTCTGCCCCGCAACTCACTCCTCTGCTTCTCCCCTTGGTGACCTTGCTAAGCAGAGCTGTTACCTCGGACCTCTCCAGGCCAAACTCCTTCAATAACTCTCCACTACCTGCAAAATGAAGATCAACTGCATGGCCAGACATTCCCTACTCCAAACTGGCTGTAGGGTTAGGCTTTATTTTGCAAGTGGTGGGAATTCATCAAAGGTGTGTGGACTAGAGAGGTACAAAGTAACAGCTCTGCTCAGCAAATATAACCAAACAGACCTTGTGTTTGACTTTGGCTTCCCCACTTCACCCTCCATCTTTGCCTCTCAAACTCCCACCCATGTTTCAAGATCCAACTTGACTGTCATCTGCTCTATGAGCATTTTCCAGTTCCAGCCTTTGTCCTAGCTCTGCCAGTGTCACCCTTAAATACACACACACACACACACACACACACACAAACACACTCCATCACCTCCCTCACCTTCTCTGCTTCTGTGTTACTGTTTCATTTCATTTTGTTTCCTCTGTATTGCAGAGATGATGACTTTGTGTCTGTGAATCCATCTATCCCCAGCACTCTGGTAATGTGGACCATGCCTTGTTCATCTGTCTCCCACCCAGGGACTTGGACAAAGTGCTCAGTTGACATTCATTAAACTGATCATCGGTACCAAGAAATTACAAATAGATGCGTAAAAATCTGGAAACAGTCTTTCTCAGCAACCATTCCAGAATTACAAACTTTCTCTAGCATGACCGTAGGATCTAAATGCAGTTCCAGTGGAATTAAATGTATGGGTTGTTTTGTGTCTATAGCATGACTCCTTCCTGTCTGAGAACTTTCTGGAACCCAAATTGCTAGTGCAGCTGGAATCAGGGTGTCTGACAAGAGGCAGCTGTCACTTCACATTTTGCAAAATATTTCCACAAAAATTGCCCCAAAATGCAAAAATCTTTCATTAGGAAGAGCTGATTCATGGAATTTATAATAGGAATCCTGTATGGCTGCATAATTCAGTAGAGGAAAATAGAAAAGAATAAACAAGTATTGGTCTCTCCAGGCCATTCCTTTTGAAGCCAAGTCAGGGCACAGAGCACTATGGACACTGCATGACCAGCCTGGTTGAAGGCAATGTTGGAGATAAACTTTCCCACACAGAAACCCTTCTCAGCCCTGAGTCTCTGTAAAAATGCACAGCTCTTGCATGTACATAGAGACTTCTCTTCCCCAGGCAGAGGAGTCAACGTGAAAGCCAAAGCCAAAGCACACTAGCCCTTCAGAGATCAAAAACCCTGTGACACTCTCAGAATACCTGTGTCCTGACAGATATTCAGCAAAATATTTTGTGACAGTGTCACCATAACCTCTTTGGAACACAGGGCTGTAGGTCCCATCCTTCCTGCCTTTCTATGTACATCTCATGTGGAATCTTTCTCTCTCTAGTACATTCAACCTCCTTCTAACAACTGGTTTCTTCCAGTTAATTTTTTTTAATAGAGATGAGGTCTTGCTATGTTGCCCAGACTGGTCTCAAACTCCTGGCCTCAAGCGATCCTCCCGCCTCTGCCTCCCAAAGTGCTGGCATTATAGGCATAAGCCACTGTGCCCGGCCCCTCCAGTTGACTTTTAATGCCTAAACTTTTCACTTGAGAAAAATTAGCTTCCCTCAGGCTTCCTTTCGCTGGCTCCTCCCCTTCTCCCTGTACTTTACTTGTTAAGATTCCTCAGGGTCAATCATTAGAACTCAATGATTCTCCCTCTACACTATCCCTGGAAATTTTCACCCATACCCACAGCTTCCATAACCACCAATTCCCACATGACCCATAGTTTTCTGTGTCGAACCCAGATGCCTTCCAGCCCCATGCCCATCAGCCCAGCTGCCTACTTATCATCTCCGTTAGATATCTCAAAAGCATCTCAGATTAATCAGGTCCAAAACCAAATCCTCATTTCCATCTCCCAATCCTCCAGACAAAGAAACAATAAAAAAAGACAAGACTCTTCTCCTAGTGTTTCCTAACTTCCTGAATGATACCAACCAGGTGGATAAGCAGAAACCAGAACCCATCATGGGCATCATCTTTTCCATGCTATTCCCCAAAGCCAATCTAGCACCAAATCATATTAATTTACCTGCTGAATACCTTTCAGATCCTTCAGCTCTTCATATGTTTCCCTTCACAGGCCTTTCACGTGACGTTCCATGGCCTAGAAAGCTCCTCCTTCCCTCTCCTGGCTACCTGGTCAATGATCAGGTCAATGATAACAGGCTACAGAAGCTTTTGATAATAAAGGCAAAGAATCCCGAACACCACTCCAGCACTGATAAATGACTGTGGAGATCTATATCCCTGAAATCATGCTGAAAAGACCCTATTTTCTTTAGGAAAATGTTTCCCAGCTCTTAATCAATTCACTGAAAACCAATTGCCAGAGAGGTACTTCCACAGACTCACTGTTAGGCAAGTTGACTTGCTTCCATGTTTCTCCAAGTGTGATCCTGATCCCTGGGTCATCTATACTAGAAGGTTTATTAGAAACACAAGCTATCCCAGACCCAGAGACCCAGGAACCTGAATCTTAACTACCCCCAGGTGATTCAGATGCAAGCTAAAATTTGAAATCAAGACTGCAGTTCTAGAGAGTAGAATTCCATGCTTTGCAACTGTCTTAAGCCAGCCTTCATTTGTCTCCTAGCAACCCTTGAGCAATGACAAGTACCTGCCAAACACTGTTGTGAAAACCTCTCTCCTGGGAAAACAAAAGTATTTTGCTTTCTAAATTCTATAGGAATAAAGCTGCTTTAGAAAAGGATAATTTGGCCACCAAGGTAGTTGGGAGAGATAGTTTTCTCTTTGGAGCTGAGCTGAGGGTGCTTATAAGACCCTCTGGCCACCGGGCTAGGTCCAGGACTGACCTTGGGAAGTAGGGCCAGCAGGAGGCAGAGCTTTGCAAGGTCTTGGCATCTGGGAGTTAGAGAGAGGCTTCAGCCATGGATAGCCTTGTGACCTTGAGCTGCAGTACCTCCATATGGACCAAGAGGGTTAGGAGATGGACAGGGATCAGGGGAGAACTGCTTTGCTTGAAATATGACAAAAAACCCCTATCCTATGATAAGTCTCTATGTCTCCTGTATTTATTTCACTTTAGGTCATGACATTTTGAGCACAATTGTGTGTGGGATGCATTCATCAATAGAGCTGGAAGCACCAACCACCATAGGAGGTAAAGTATTGTAATAATAATAATAATGAAGATAGATGATTGATAGATAGATAGATAGATAGATAGATAGATAGATAGATAGATACTTTTTATGTGCGGTTACTATATAACTAGAACTCTATGTTCACCTGCTATAATCTCTTCAACATCTATGGAAAGTAGACAAAAGTATTAGCACAACACAGAAGAAAAAACAAAACTAAAGTATGAAATGTATAGTAATTTTCCCAAGGTCATGCAGCTAGAAGAGTGGAGCTGGGATCTGGACCCAGATCTGTGCCTTTCCACTGAGCCATGATAAGTGGTAAGTTAAACCTATGTGGGGTACTGATGAGTCCATTCCATCCTCATGCAAAGCCACCTCCTCCACTGGGATCCCCGAATTTTAGTTTCCCTTCCTACTTCCACTTTACTTTCTGCTTCTGTACATTTAATTATTTTAGATTCCCCATGTAAATGAGTTTTTCTTCCTGTTTGCATCACCCCAAACCCACTATCACTAATCATCTTCCTGTCATTCAAGCACCTATGCTTGCACGCTGAGATGTACCAAAAGGAAGACCACAACTTCAAGTCTTCAAACAGTCCCTGAAAACATATGAGTCATTTGCTGTTGTGCACAATTTATCTTTTTAAGTTTGTGTATTGAGTTAGCTTAAAGTATGTTCCTAGCCTGACTTACGGAGGAATTTCAGATCTGCTGACTAGTAAACAACAGAACAAGGTTGGCCCCCTTAGTGGGCAGCAATGAGATAAAATAGAGTTCCCTGATGAGATGCTCATATCAGGATCTTGCTTGAATAAATCAGCTTTGAAAGACATTTGGAAACCACCGGAAATTTTCAATATAGACTAAGTATCAGCTGATGTTGAGAAATTATTATCAGTTTTGTTAGACTAAAGTGATACTGTAGTTATAGGGGAATATGTTCATTTTTCAAGGCACATGTTAAATATTTCAAGTTAAAATAAAGTTATGTCTGTAATTTACTTCAAATTCTTCAGAAAATAACTAAAAAGAGATTAAGTAAATATGGTAAAATGTTAACAATTGTTAAATCTAGGTGTGTTCATCTTAAGTTGTGTTCATCTTACTATTCTCTTTCTACTTTTCAAACAAATTCAACATGTTCATAATAAGTGAGTTTTTTAGAGAGTTTTGCTACCAAGGCAAGGAAAAGTAATCTAATATTTGTGTGCTTGGTGCTTTACAAACCTTATATTATCTTATTTTGTTGTAACACTAACAAGTAAAAATATTAATCCCATTTTATAAATGAGGATTATAAATCTCAAAGAGACTCATAACATAAAAGATGGAAGTTTAGGCTTTAATCAAATGAATCTCAACCTTTGGCTATCAGGTCATCTCTAGATCTAGGGGGAAATCACTTCTACATAAAGCCTGCCCTTTGCCAGGCTCCACTTATTTAATTCAATTTTGGTGAGACGGGAAGGCATTTTGTCCTTTTTTCCTCCTGAATTGTTATGTCTCTGAGTATGTTTCCCAGAATGTAATAGGAAGATTCCGATTATTTTCTCATTTCAAAGCTAAAGAGGCCTTTACATAATCAAGAAGCTCTGAGACAAATTGTTTTGTATAAACTTTGAAGGACTTTTCTGTTGAATCAGACACCTTTTCAGCCACTAGAAAGGAAAGTGGTACAAAGATATCTAGTCATCACTCCAGACACTGAAATCATGAAGATCAAATATATTCAGGCTTCCATCCTCGGCTATCATTTCTTGTGGTAACTTACAGTGTGCATGCTCTTCAGACAGTGAATGATGTAATGAGCACCATTAAAGTTGGAGTTTTCATTCTACATGATCGACAACAACAGTTCTACAGGCTAGAGACCAACAGGAAAGCCAGCCTCCCAGGCCCACCCCACCCCCCAACCAACCCAAATATTGGTCAGTTCTAATAGTATCAACACTCATGAGATGTTAGGCCAGTTCCTCTGAAAATAAGGCAGGCAGATAAAAATCTAGGAACACTGAAAATGGGAGCCAGCACGTGTTGACTCACATTAAAAAGTATACCATCATTAGCAACACAGGTGGGTAACACTAGGGCTAGAAAATTTGTCTACAAGACATCTTTCTCTGGTGTTGGGCTTTATTTTTAATTAAGTACATCTTTCGTCTGAGTTATCATCAAGGCTGACATTGTAAAAGGGTGAGTAAGCAATTATCTGGGTGGGGTGATATCCAGGGTACTGAAAAGGATTTCAGGAAATACTTTCTTCATCCCCTAACTGATCTCTGAAATTCCTTTAAGGCATGACTCCTTTGGCTTAAGGCTCGGGTCTCTGGAAAAATAAAACATTAAGCAGAAAAAAACTCCTGAAGTGGTTGTCGGACATTCATATTATAGCATGAATAAGTTGCAGATAGTGAGAACAGGTTTTAATGGAAGGGTTACAGCAAGAAGATATTGATACCTAACTGTAATGAGTGAGGGGGAAACGTAGGGGAAGGTAGAAGAACAATTAAGAATCCATCCACTTAACCTTTTCTCGAGTCTGCTCTAAGTCGCACAGTACCCTTCATTCTTGCACCAAGAATAAACATCTTTCCATGTTTAATAAGGACTTGAGGCTTATGCTTTTACCTAAAGACACACAGTAAAAATAATATAGATTTTTAAAGTCTGTTTTCTCCACTAGCCCAGACCCCTTTGGTATAGTAAGTATGATTTTATGATACTGAACTTTGTCTTGGGCTGAATTGTATCCCCCAAAAATTCCTATGTTGAAGTCCTAACCCCCAGTATATGGAGGTAAGGTCTTTAAAGAGGTAACTAAGGTAGGCACTTTGGGAGGCCGAGGCAGGCAAATCACAAGGTCAGGGGTTCGAGACCAACCTGACCAACATGGCAAAACCCCGTCTCTACTAAAAATACAAAAATTAGCCGGGCATGGTGTCACACACCTGTAATCTCAGCTACTCAGGAGGCTGAGGCAAGAGAATCACTTGAACCCAGGAGGAGGAGGTTGCAGTGAGCTGAAATGGTGCCACTGCACAGCAGCCTGGGTGATAGAGTGAGACTCTGTCTCAGAAAGAAAAAAAAAAAGAGGTAACTAAGGTAAATGAAGTTATCAAGGGGGGCCCTCATGACTGATATCCTTACAAGAGCAGATTAAGACACAGATACACATAAAGGGAAGGCCATGTGAAGACATACCCATAGGTGGTGAAGATGGCCACCTATAAGCCAAGGAGAGAGGCCTCCGAGGAAACAACACCTGCCAATACCTTGATTCAGCTCTCAGCCGTCAGAATTATGAGAGAATACATTTCTGTTGTTTAAGCCACCTTGTCTGTGGTACTTTATTATGTCAACCCTAACAAATTAATGAAAATTCCAAAATGCACAATGCTTTTCAACTTGAAATGATGTTATTTTTAACTAAGAATAATAGTATGTGTTTATTCATATGGAGCACTTAGTCCTGCCCCATTGTGTTGTGGTTCAAGAAGCTCTTCAGAGGCATTAGTCATCAGAATTTCTCAAAAACTAATCAAATGAAATGCAAAGAAACCAAACAGACTAAAATCATCAAAATAATTTATTGCAGCCATTTGCCGATAGATTTTAGCCAGTATGAACTGTTTCTCAGAAAGAAAAAAAAAAAATCCAGGTATCATTCAAGAGTTTCCAGGCCAACTGGTCACCCAAGTTTCTTTTGATGCTGTTTTACTTCTGAAAACATCCAGGCCACTCTTTCTTATCCACATTTTGCATTTTATGTCCTTTACCTAACTTTCAGAGGCCAGCAAGAATTCCTGTGGATGATGGTTTCTCATGCATTGCTTGTGGGAAGGTATAAGAAAATGGTGCAGCTCCTTCGGAAAACAGACTAGTAGCTCCCCAAAGGTTTAAACATAAAGTCACCAAATGACCTAGATATTCCACTCCTAGGTATACGGCCAAGAGAAATGGAAGTATATATCCACACAAAAATTTGCATACAATTATTCATAGCAGCATCATTCATAAAAGCCAAAAGTGTGAACGACCCAAATGTCCATCAACTGATGAATTGTTAAACAAAATGTGGTCCTATCCATGCAATGGAATATTACTCAGCAATAGAAAGGAATGAAGTTCTGATGCATGCTGCAACATGGATGAACCCTGAAAATATTATACCAAGTGAAAGAAGCCTGACATAAAATGCCACATACAGTATGATTCCATGCGTGTAAAATGTCTACAATAGATCAATCTATAGAGACAGAAAGTAGATTAATGGTTGCCAGGAATTGGGGGTGAGAGGGATTAGAGAATGACTGCTAATAGGTAGATTTCCTTTTGGAATGATGAAATGTTCCCAAATCAATTGTGGTGATGGTCGCACAACTCTTTGAATATGTTAAAATCTACTGAACTCTATACTTTAAATGGGTGAAATGTTACATGAATTATGTCTCCAAAATAAAGCATACTTACCTATGCTTTCTCATCTCCCATTTTCCTTTGGCTGTACTCTTCTTTCCAATCCCAATTCCCACCACAGGCTTCCCCTTTGACAGAAGTCATAAAAAGGGGAATTCAGGATAAGGATCACAGTAGACAGGTATTAAGGCCTTTTTCAAAACTCAAGAATTTAAAATGTCTGTTGGTTACCTACTGTATTCGTTTCCTATTGCTGTGATAATAAATCACCACAACTCTGGTGGCTTAAAACAACACAGATTTATTATTTCACAGTTATGGAGATCAGCAATCTGAAATGGATTTCACGGGGCTAAAATCAAGGTGTCAGCAGGGCTATGTTCTTTCTGAAGGCTCTATGGGGAATCTGCTCCCTTGTTTTTTCCAGCTTCCAGATGCTGCCTGCATCCTTGACTCATAGTTCCTTCCTCCATCCTCAAATCCTTTTTTAACTCTTTTAAGGACCTATGTAATTGCATTGTGCCCACCCAGATAATCTAGGATAATCTCCCCATCTCAAATCTTTAATATAATCATATATGCAAAGCCCTTTTGCCCTGTGAGACAACCTGTTCACATGTTCCAGGGATTAGAACATGCACATCTTTCAGGAGTGTTATTCTGCCTACCACCCTACTATGTGCAGCTGGTGGCTGCAGCATTAGAAGGGGCAGTGGGCCTTAGTTCAGGGTCATGGAACAGAGGGAAAGCAGGAGAACTAAGTCCTCCCCACAACAAATGCCTACAAAGACCACGGACCCATTTCAAGTGCACCCCAGGCACATGGCCTGCAACCTCCATCTGTCACCTTATGGATATCAACAAACAATCAACACAGATAGTTTCAATTTTTCAAACAGGGAGCAAAAAAATTCACAAATTTGGAGTGGCTTAATAAGAAATCTTCTGAACCTTTAGAAGAGGCAGCAGTAATCCCCAGGAGCCAGCATGGCCTCATGAAGATCAGAACCTGACAATGTCTCCTCCCTTTTTGCTCTGAGAAGCTGGATGTGATGATTAGGGAAATGTGGAGGTGCAGCATGTCTGACCTACTCCAAAGTTTCAAATGGACCACTAACAATATTCCAGGAGGCAGAATGGAGAAACATGGGCTGCAATGTTCAACCATTCTCTATATAAACAATTGGCTAAATCATCTTTGCTTAAAGACTGTTGATAAGTAGATTGGCTTCATCTTGTAAGTCCCTAATGTTGAGCCACAGGGCTGAGGTTTGACATTTTTGTCAGTAGTTTCGATGAATATGTATCATGCTTAAGCATGACGGCCAGAAAGGAGGTCATGAGCAGAATGTCTGGGTGTACACGTGCAATACAATTAGATTAGATCAAGGGGTGCATGTGGAGGAAAAATGAGCCTTGATCCTCACATGGCAAACAGTGGAAGACAGAAGTAAGCTCCTTCAAGCCTCTTCTTATAAGGGCGGTAATCCCATCTATAAGAGCTCCACCCTCTTGGCCTAATGACCTCCAAGAGGCCTCACCTCCAAATACCATCGCATTGGAGGTTAGGATATCGACATATTAATTTGTAGGAGACAAAACATTCAGTTCATAGACTATGATACCATGAAAAAACCAGAGGCTGAAATGGGAAACATCCAAAATGACACAGCAGATTAGAGATGAGAGTAGAGATGCACCTGTGTGCCTGAAGATGCAAGAAAGCATCAGCGGAAAATGCCACGGTGATGAAGGAAGAGCAGAGGCATGATGGAAGGGCGCACTCTCAGGGGAGCTAAGAAAGGACAGGATCAAAAGTGCAGGGACAAGCCTTAATGCCAGGTGAAAGGAACAGTTTAGCAAATTAGCATACAATCCCACAATAAAATTCAATACAGTCATTAAAACAAGGTTCTCAAAAAAAAGTTAATAGCATGGAAAATGCTCTTTGTATATTAATTTTTTAAGTGCCATTCAAATTAGTGTACAATAGAATCCCAATTTTATTATTTTAAAAAGTGTGCTTAGAAAAAAATCAGAAAGACCTCAAAATGTTTACAGCAACTGTCTCTACGTGGTGGGATTATGAGTGATATTATTTTCTTCTTTTACATCTCCACAATTTCCAAATTTTCTGCAATAAATATGTATTACTTTTGAAATCAGAAAGATAATTCCAGAGTGCAGGTGGAAGAGTTGGTACTTAGAAAGGAAGAACACTATCTTTTTATCTCAGACAAAAGAGAAGAAAGAACAAACGTGCATAGAAACAAATATTTGGAAGAAGAAAGGTAAGTAGTGTCAGTGAGGAAGCTCATGACAGATGAATGTCTCAGTCAAATCAAGAAGTCAATATTCCTTAGAAAGCATTTCTGCAAAGAGGCAATTTTCCCCTTGAGTAAAGAAGACACTTGATTTTTGTTCATTTTAGAATTTTAGCACCTTTTAAATGAAAAATGTCAGGAAGAAACATGGTGAAATTAATCTACAGTCCAACTGTTCTCCAAACTTAACAAAAATCATTAGGAGCCATACAAGTCTCTGCAGGCGCCTGCTAACTTTAGTAAAGCAAAGTAGGGCAGCCCTCTCCATTTACTGGCAATTATTCCTGGCTACCATCACATCAGCTGCCAGTCATCTGCCATTCCTTGACATTGCATTTGCCCTGCAAATTAAGTAATCAGCAATAACTAAGAGTCCATGGCCAACCAATGGCCAAAATTAGCCTCGGATCTCTCATCTGAAAAAGGAAGACATGCTTTCAACATCTGAGGGGAAGGTAGCAATATTCAAATGATTTGAGCATAGGAAATAGGACAGCGCTTCGCAGCTATGCCCAATGAATTCAACAGTCTATCTCTGACACCAGCAGGATGTTTCCTGCTAAAGCTTAATGGTTTTCTCTGTTCTCAATATGCTAACTTCCCATTAAAATGGTCTGTTAAGAGACCTGTCGATCCAGTGCCCTCGTTTTATAGATAAAATAACTGGGCCGGGTGCGGTGGCTCATGCCTGTAATCCCAGCACTTTGGGAGGCCGAGGCAGGCGGACCATGAGGTCAGGAGTTCAAGACCAGCCTGACCAACATGGTGAAACCCCGTCTCTACTAAAAATTCAAAAATTAGCCAGGTGTGGTGACACACGCCTGTAATCCCAGCTATTCAGGAGGCTGAGGCAGGAGAATCACTTGAACCTGGGAGGCAGAGGTTGCAGTGAGCCAAGATCGTGCCACTGCACTCCAGCCTGGGTGACAGAGCGAGACTGTGTCTCAAAAAAAAAAAAAGAAAACTGAAGCCCAGAGAGATTAATTGACTTCCCCCAAAGTCTCATAGCTGGTGGGTGGTACAGTTGAGAAGAGAAACCAGGCTTGCAGATACCAGGCACCTCTTCACTCTCCCTCACCAACCCGCCATCCACACTTGGTGGAAATGAGTACCAGAATGATGGGCTGGGTGGCACCACACATTGTCCAGTAGAACTGATGAAGATGCCTGCTGGGACTTGAGGAACATATGTTCCCAAGAGAAGCAGAACAAAAGAAGAGGTGATAGCCATAGGAATCTTAGTCCGCATATTCGTAGTAAAACCTCTTGTATACATTTACCTAAATACTTTATTTTTTTTTTTGAGATAGATTTTTTCTTTACTTTTTTTTTTTTTTTTTTTTTTTTTTTTTTGTCGCCCAGTTCGTCTGGAACTCCTGACCTCGTGATCCTCCCCCTCTGGCCTCCCAGAATGCTGGGATTACAGGCGTGAATTACGGCGCCCGGCCCCGTTTTCTTATCTGTAAATGAGGGCATTGGATCCACAGGTCTCTTAAGAGACAATTTTAATTGGAAGTTAGGATGTTAAGAACAGAGAAAACCATTAAGCTGTAGCAGGAAACATCCTGCTGGTGTCAGAGATAGACTTGAATTCACTGGGTTAGCTGCGAAGCGCTGCCCTGTTTCCTATGATCACATTGTTTGAATATTGCTACCTTCTCCTCAGGCGCCTGCCACCACACCCAGCTAATTTTTGTTTTGTTTTGTTTTTAGTAGAGACAGGGTTTCACCACATTGGCTAGGCTGGTCTTGAACTCCTGACCTCAAGTGATCCACCCCCATCAGCATCCCAAAGTGCTGGGATTACAGGTGTGAGCCACCATGTCCGGCCTGCCTAAATACTTTCTAAAACCCACTTTTACTTTGAGCCTATACCATCTCAAGATTTATCAAATGCCATATATTTACCACCAGTTTTACAAAATAACACAGCACCATAGCTCCTTTCTGGTAGTGACCTGATATCCTCATCTACCTAGAATATAAGCAAAAAAGCAAAAAGGTCCCAGAACAACCAATAGTGATGGACTGCAGCCAGCCCATGCTCAGATACTCAGATACTAGGGTCACTGCTGAGACTGCATTTGGAACAACAGTGAGGGAAGAGACTGAAGGCCTACAAATGTAGACACGAGGGCTCAGAAGGCAGAGTTGCGTGTCAGGTAAGCAGAGTATTAAATGAAGGACATTGTAATGAAATTAGGTAAAGATCTGTCATTTGTGGAGTCTCAGTTTCCTTTACAGCAAAATAGGGAATAAATACTTCTTTCCTTGCAAATTGTTTTAAAAATGAAAAAGAGATGAAACATGTAAAGCACTTAGCACAATAGTTAACATATACTAATTATTCAATGAAGGATAACTACTATTATAATTAGTGGGAGCAATATTTAATTGTGGCATTAAGAAGACAGAGAAACTGTTAATAATTTTGTTTAATTTCCTATAACTTTATTCCTTCCAGAGGAAACTTTTAGTTACAAGCACATGAATAAATAAAATCAAACTCAACTGGAATGACGTTCCTGAGGATGGAGATACATTTTTTTGTTGACCCATCTAAACTTGAACAGCAAGTGATAATCAGTCTCCAATCAGAAAGTCCCAGGTTAGTAAATATGAATATATTTTCCTGTCTTTTGCTTTTCTTCTTCTACAAACAGAAGGCAGGGGGCATTTGATTTGCACCTTGCCCCAGACCATATAGATCACAGGGAGGTACAGGTACCAGTACTCCACTGACAAGATACCTTTCTAAATGGCATCAAAGAGGCCCAAGGAGAAAAGTGATTGACTTGCTCTTTGGGAGTTTTTTAATATAATCGGGTTCACAGTATAAAAGACAGTGATGTTCCTGAGGCCCTTTCTAGGCCAAATGTATTATTATGTGAAACAGCAACTTCACAAAGCCAGCTTCGGGAAGTCTAAGATGCTTCCTCAGCAAGACAGTGCCTGCAGACTCACTACAGCAAAATTCTGCATTGTACCTTTCAGCACAGACATGGAAAGGTCTTTGGAGAACTGCCTATTTTTCACAGACAGAGACAGTAATGCTACTGCCAATTAAAAGACTACTTAGGTCTGTGGTAGATGATAAAATGCAGGTTAGAATTAAGATATTTCCTGCAAAATGCAGACCAAAATATCCTGAAATATTTTGTTATGGATTAACAATCGAATTACTAATCTCCCCAACCTTCACTTCTAGCCTTTAGCATAATGGTCACAGGACCAAAGTGACAAAGTCTTCAAAACAGCATCTGCCATGTGCTGAGAAGCACATGACATGAATTATCTCACTTAATTTTCACAATAACCTTGCCAGGTAAGAACTATTACAGCCATTTTAAAATTAGGAAATGGAGGCTCAAAAAGTAACTTGTCCAAGGACCGCAACTAGCAAGTGGCAAAACTAGGATTTGAACCCAGGCATGTCAAGCTCACAGTTTCTCACAGTGCTAACCACATCTAGCCACTGCATCACTGTTTCTTTCTTTTTTTTTTTTTTTTTTTTTAAACGGAGTCTCGCTCTGTCACCCAGGCTGGAGTGCAGTGGCGTGATCTCAGCTCACTGCAAGCTCCGCCTCCCGGGTTCACGCCCTTCTCCTGCCTCAGCCTCCCGAGTGGCTGGGACTACAGGTGCCCACCACCACGCCAGGCTAATTTTTTGTATTTCTAGTAGAGACGGGGTTTCACTGTGTTAGCCAGGATGGTCTCGATCTCCTGACCTCGTGATCCGCCCGCCTCGGCCTCCCAAAGTGCTGGGATTACAGGCGTGAGCCACGGCGCCCGGCCGCATCACTGTTTCTTTAGCCAATCCCACCAGCATTCACGGCACACTCGCTGTGTACTAGGCATTGTGTAAGGGGCTCTGGAACATAGGAGAGATATGGATCCCGCCCTCCAGAAATTCACAGTTTAAAGGCAGACATGTAAGTAAACAATGACAATTCAGGACTGTAGAAATGCAATAATTGAAGTAGAAAAATGGCAGAAAGAAGTGTTTGGTAAAACTTGAGGACATTTGATTTCCAGCCCACTGCCTCTCCCGTACACACCTGCCATTTTAAAATAGAGGACTACACGGGAGACCGAGGCTGGAGGAACCCTTGAGCCCAGGAGTTCAAGGCTGCAGTCAGCTATGATCATGCCACTGACTCCAGCCAGGAGACAGAGTGAGACACTGGCTCTGAAATAAATAATTAATTAATTTTAAAATAAAATAACATATAGACATTATAGAATATCAATCCTTTGAAAAAAGTTGCCTGCTCTCTCATTCTGCAGCTGAGGATATTAAAGCCTCAGAGAAGGAAACAAACTGCCTGGATCATGAAGTAACTGATGGACAAAAAAAAATGACTAGAACTTGAGTTTCTTGACTGAGGGTTGCAGGGTCTTGCTGGTACACCAAACGCTACCCTGGGCTGTCACTCACTAGAGATCTGGAAAGACTTTTGCAGGCAGCAGCCCACATATATGGTTTATTCTTTTTCTGTCCTACCTCAATCCTCAAGGGAAAAATACATCAGCTAGCCTTCGGAGGTCATATAAAGGAGTATAACCTGTGAGTGAAGATGAAATATTTGGAATTGCTAGTTAGTGTCTTAGGAGGAGGCTGCGAAGAATGAAGCGCGGTAAAGATGGAGTCTAATGGTGAAGGGCGCTGTTCACAGCCCAAATAAAAGGCTCAACTCCCTCCACCTGGAGCCCTTTTCCCTCCTGCTGCTTTTGCTTCCTTCCTTTGAGGTCACGTCTACTAGAGAGATACTTTTTTTTTCCATGTGAATATAATTGGTTTCACTTCACAGTTAGCACCTACTGAGGTGAAGATTCACACCTATCTGCGGTCTAGTAAGACAGTTCTAGAACTTTATATAGCAGCCATGGGTACGCACCTTGCAAACCTCCAAACCCCCACAAGCACCTCCCACCACCACTCCAACCCTGGAGCATAATGGACAGTAGTGCCAGCTCCTGCTCTGTGAAATGCATTGCTCTCTGAAACCCATTGTGGTGTTTGTATGGAGGCCCTGCTTCCCCAGAAGCTCTGGTCATAGATGAGAGCAGCAAGGATGCTACAGCTGACCCGCTCCTGTGAGACATGGCACTCTGAGGCTCCAGGACTGTCAAAGGCCTTCTTGAACATTCCCTAGGCTACACAGAAGTCTAAAATGCTTCCACCTACCTTCCCCTTCCTCCCTCCTTCCGTTGGGGTCAGATTTGCATTTCAGTCTTATAGCTCTCCCAGTGTTCCCAGCCTCTTCCCCATTTCCTCTCATGGTCCTTTAATAAAATCTCACACACCTAATCCCATCTTGGCACTGGCTTGTTAGAGGGCCCAGACTAACAGCTGAGCACAGGAAGTGCCCTGGACAGCACCAGGTCACCAGGATCCCGCCATTGAAGTACCTGGCACCTCAGCCTCACATTGCATGGCCTGGGTCGGGAGGTGCCTTCACGGCTTCCTCACCTACCCATCAGGGAATTCCTTCAGTCTGCTTTGCAATGCTCCCAGCAACCTGACAGTGGGATTTCCTACCAACAAGACCCAATGATTGGCCCCAGTATGTGACAGATAAGAAAGTGCAAAACATGGAGTCTACAGTTCCTGGCATTAAGGAGTCTAAGAATGAAACTCAACACCACTCTGGCTAAGAGCTTAAAAAAGAAAAATACAATAGGGCCCTAGAAAGCTGGGGTAAAAGCCAGCCAGAGAGAAGCAGCAGCTAAAGCCATACTGTATGGGCTAACAAGTCAACAGCAGCAGTGCAGAGGAAACCCATCCACTTGATTTCCGAGGGGTCTGGAATTTCTGGGGAAAGCAGCAAAGCACAACTCTGAAGACAAGAAAGTGCCCATCCACCCAAGCCTCCTGTTTTGGGACTCCATCACTTTCCAAAATAATTCTAAATTCAGAACCAACCCACATCTGCAGTGAAGAGTATACATTCATTAGAAATTTAGGAATAAGTTTCTGCTGAGGAGGTTAAATTTTTCCATGGCTTCTCTCAGGGTGGACTGATGAAAATTGATTTCTTATTGATAAAGTGTTATGTTTTGTGAGTTTTTTTTTTAATTTGGGCCTCCTTCCCTTTTATGCTGCTGTTTGCTGCCTTTTTGCCCATGTGTACAGAATAGAAACTAGGCTTATTTGTGCTGCTTTTGCCCCAGCCCTTCCTATTTTGAGGACCCTGACTTCTGACTCAACTGCTCTAATCCTCTATTACCCATCATGCCCTCAGGAGCTACCAAGCAACTCGTGCAGTTGAATGCCCCAGAACCATTCTTCACAGGGTATCCGTGGAAATCATCACCCTTTCACCTTCAGATTCTGGCTCAAAGAAATTGTGGGCGATGAGTCACCTAACTCTGTGACTCATATCTGGTCTCAATAAAGGTGTTTTATGAGTTGAAAAAAAGAGGCATCCATATAGATAAGACAAGAAGGCAAACTAATTAATGAAAATAATCCTGCAAAGGTGGTGAGATTAGAGATCTCTGTGTTTGGTTTGAAATTTTATTTAATGCATAAATGACTATAGAATAAAAAATGGATAAATTCCTGTAAAATAAAAATTCATCATTACAACTTTATTCTTCCTCTGAGCCAAGACCAGAGCTAGAATTTTTTTGAGACAAAGTTCAAAATTTTATTTCTGCCTCTAGATTTCTTTTCCAAGGTCAAGTTCCCTCCACTTTGCCACTCCCTTTCTCACGCAATCCCTTTCTTTCCTCATATTTGAGGTCATCCCTCGGGAATGGGAGAGAGCTGGGATGTGGTATTAGGAGTATCCTTGCTATTCGCTCTTCCTGGAATGCTTTTCCTCCCACCACCTTGACATTTTTGCCCAAATGTCAACTTCTCAGTCAGGTGTTCCTTGACCACCCCACTAAAATTTGCAAACCACCCTTCAACCCCTAGTACACTGTATTACCTTCTAAGCTTGATGTTTCTTCATAGCTTTCCCTATGAGAGCCAAGATTGTTGTTTTATCTACTGCTCTTTCCCCAGTACCTAGAACAGTTCCCCAAATATTCTCAGGTTTGTTCAATGTGTTGTTCAACTCTTTTAAATTCTTACTGATTTTTGTCTGATTGCTCTATTCATTACTGACAGAAGTGTAGTAAAATCATCCACTATGGTTGTCAGTTTCTCTACTTATTCCTGAAGTTTTGATAATTTTTACTTTATGTATTTTGGGATTATGTTACTTGGAGTACAGAAATTTAGAAGTGACTTATAACCTGAGGAATTGTCCTTTGTCATTATCTAGAGATTGTTTATTTCTAATAATGCTTTTTTTCTCTTAAAGTCTATTTTATCTGATTTTAAAATAGGTACTTTGACTTTTGGTTTTGGTTTCAGTTTGTATGGTATATCTTTTTCTAACATTTTACTTGCAGTCTTTAAGCTGTTCTCTTGTAAAGAGTATATGCTTTCTTTCTAATACAGTCAGATAACTTTGGTTAGGGTATTTAACTCCACTTACATGTAACATAATTTGACATGTTAGCACTTAAGTCGGTTATTTACTACATGCCTATTCTACATTTTTTCTCTTCTTTCTTGCTGTATTTGATTATATTTTAATCATTTACTTCTTCCCCTCCACTAGTTCATAAATTACACACTTTTTTGAATTGTTTCAATAATTGCCCTTGAAATTATAATGTGTATTTATGACTTAACAAATTCTGATGATAATTGATACCCTCACTCCTCCTAGACAATGTAAAGACCTTAGAACATTTTAACTCCATTCTCTGACCCCTCCTCCACCCATTGTAGGCAACTGTTGTCCTATATTTAATTCTGTAGATTTTTTTTAAATTCCAAAGGACATGATGATGATGCTGATGATTACTTTATACAGCATTATTTAGTTCCATTTATCTGCATATTAACATTCTCATTCATCTTAAATTCTCTCATTTGGCATCATTTTCCTTCTTCTTTATCCTTTAGTATTTCCTTCTCTGTTGATCTGCTGATGACATATTCTCCCAGTTTTGCTTTGTCTGGAAATGTCTTTATTCTCCTTAGACATGGAGCTTTAACTTGGTGTTTTCTGCTTTTAGAATGCTGAGTGCTCTGTATTTGTAATCCCATTGCTCCTATTGAGAAGTTAGCTGTTGGCCAAACTATTCCTACTTTCAAGGTAATCCAAGGTATTTTTTTGGTATTAATATTTCTTCCTATGATATGTTTAAGCATGGATCCTTTTTAAATATATTGTTTGGAACACATTAGACTTCTTAGAATTATGGAGTAATGTCTTTAATCAGTTTTGAAAAATTCTGTCATTATCACTTCAAATATCACCTCTGCCCCATTAGAAAAATTTGACAGATGCACTATTTTCTTCCCCTCTTTCTAAGAGTCAGATGATTGTCCTACATTCTCACTGTACTCTCCCTGTCTCTTACCCTCTTTTCAGTCTTTTTATCCTTTTGGCTCTCCATACTGGATAGATTCTTCTAATAATATTCAATTTACTAATTCTCTTTTCAACTATATCTAATTTTCTGTTAATTCCATCTGAGTTCTTTTCTTATTGAGCTTTTTAGTTCTAGGATTTCTATTTGATACTCTTTTTAACTCTATTCTGTCACTTTTTAGAATTTCTGGGTTTTGCTAAAATTTTCAAGTATTTATTTTCTCGAAGAGAGCAAACAATTGTTTTATAGTCTCTGTCTGATAATTCCAATATCTATTATCACTTATGTACCTAAACTGTCTTTTTTTCTGTTGGTTCTTATTCATCATGTCTTATTTCCTCATGTGCTGCATTATCTTTGATGGTGTACTCCATATTTTATTTGAAACAAAAGTATTTGCTGAAATAATTTGAGACCTAACACATTATTATTTTCTTAGGGCATTTTTGTTGGCTTCTACCAAGCACTAGAGACATTAGCAGTAGAAGACCACTTTAATCTAAGTTGAAGGCCTTTGGATTTGTGGAACATCATATGACACAAAGAAACTGGACTTTTGTGCAAGGAAATAAATTTCTGTTTTATCTACACTCCTAAAGTACAGCCCCTTGGGGCCACAGCATAAAGCAGAGGTGATTCACCAGGGTCCACCAATTACTGCTTTTTCTCTCTTCTTCAGGAGCCACCAGAAAGTACGAATCAGTCTCTCTGGTCTCCTTTGAACTGAAAAGTACCCCCAGGACAAAAGCGGCCTGGTGCTACTCATTTCTCTGGGTCATAGCCTGGTATGTCTCACTATCTTGCTAGCTCTTTGATGATTTTAAGGAGAGGTTTTCTTCCCAGCTTTTTGTTGCCTTTGGCAGCGGTGGCTGGCCCAGATTGCCTCTCTATTATTACCAGAACTGGAAGTCCTTTAGATTGCCCAGATCCATGGACTTTGTTTATATGAGAGAGCAAGATAAGTATCTAACTTAAGTCATACTGCTATGTTAGGTTTTCTGTCACCTGCAGCCAAATCTAATTTCAACAACAGCATTCTTATCACACCAAACAGGGGAAATGTATTCTAGCTCCTTATTTATATTCTCTCTCTCACTTTCTTTCTTTGACTTTCTCCATACCCCAATAGCCACCAACAATCAGATGCCCCAGTGGTTTTGAAACTTACAAGAGGGCCTGCCTTAGCCATTTGTAATGTTATAGGTAGCTCTCTTGCAATATCCACAGGGGGAGGAGGCAAAGAGGAGGAAAAAGAATCATCCCTTAACACAAACACTGCATTCCTGTAAAAGATAGCCTTTTCCTCTCTCTTCAGTTCTCCTCTTTATGTACAGTCCTCTGAAGACTGGCCTCAGCAACTCACAATGGTCCTCTGAAGGTAGAATATATGCTCTTTGCACCTTCTGTGCTCAGCTTTGAACTTCAATCACAATTCTAAAAGGAAGAATTATATTCTGTAGCTAATGCTATCCTGCTACACTCCAATAAATCGGTAATATATTCTCAATATATTGATTATATCTTCATGTATATTTTTATTGTACAATATATTCATTATATCTTTATGCATATTTTTATTGTTCATATATTGACATATTGAGAATATATTACGGTTTTGAAGGGCAGTCATACATACTGTTTTTCGTGTATTCTTATTATAAAGTTGTCATTAATAGCATTAGCCATCTTCATTTTTCAATCTGTTTTTTACTCTAATGTTTTCCACGCAGACCAAAACAAAATAATTGCTTTTAGATGTTTTGAAATTACTGTGTTTTTCAAATATTTCTTCATTTCATACAATTAACTTTTCTTCCTCTAATGGCAGCAAAGCTTACAATGGTCTTAATTGGATCTCGCAGTTTCCGGCAGCCTTGCCATGCTCATGAACTTATTCTCCTCTCTTAATCTTTTAGCAGAAGGGCAACTCATAGGGAATCTTAGCACACCTAGTTTGGGGAAAAGGAAGAAGGGAAGTAAATTTTTAGAATTTGCTACAGAGAATTAAGGGAAATGGTGTTTTGTTTTGTTTCGTTTTTAAAGTTTTATTCAAATAACAAATGGTTGACCTTTATGGAGTGATTCTTTGATTTGTTAACTCAATGGGTGCATCATTTTCTCAGTCTGAGGATAGTAATTAGGGGTGGGATGGGGAAAGAATCCAATGGAGAAGGCAATAGATCCTGAGAACCAGTGGTTGGGAAGAGTCAGAGAAGAAAAGGCCAGAGTGGGAAAAACACATAAAGTTAAGGCTGGAGATGACACAACAAAATACTATCATCTACCCTATTTGTCCCAGTTCACCTGTCTCCCATTACCTCACAGCAACACCTTTACCACATCCTTAAATCCCCAACCAAAACTCCATCCTTAAAAGCCAATCCACTTTCTAGGAGATCTTGTATCCTACATGACAACAAAAACGGAGATCATCAGATGGTAATGCCTTCACGTCCTGGTCTCCCCACTACAAATCTATCTTCTCTAGGTGAACCCTTGCTCCCTCCTTTATGTCATAGAGGAAGTTTCTTTTTCCCTATCTGAGAAAGGAGATAGGGAAGCTGTGCTCTAAATCCATCTACTCTCTCCTCTTCACTTTGTCACTATCTCAGGATTGTGTATTTAAAAGTGCTCAAGGCTTTCCCCTCTTTAACAAGAAAAGCCTCTCTTACTATAAATTCTTTGTATACTTTTAATATAAGTCACCTCTATCTACCACCAGACCTCTGTGCTTTCTTTCATCATCCAACACCCACTTCTCTTCTCCTTCCATGCTCCCTCCCTGGGTTGTTTGCTTCCACTGCACATATGTTCACTTACAGCTATGGTCTGATGTGTATGTGCCCCCAAACACATGTGTTGAAAGTGAGTCACTAATGTGATGTATTTGGAGATAGAGCCTTTAGGGGGTGATTAGGTCATGAGGATGGAACCCCCCATGAATGGGATTAGTGCCCCTATAAAAGAGGCCCCAGAAAGCTGCTTTGCCTCTTCTACCACATGAGGATACAGCTAGCAGGAGCCATCTGTGAACCAGAAAGTGGGCCCTCACCAGACACCAAATCTGCTGACACTTTGATCTTGGATTTCCAGCCACCAGAACTGTGAGAAATAAATTTCCATTGTTTATAAACTACCCAGTTTGTGGTATCTTGTTAAGCCACTCAAACAGACTAAGACATTTACACATAAATGACTCTGCCCTGGGCTTCAGACTCAAACATCCCACCACTTACTGATCATCTCCATTTGCATTTCTCTGAGATACTTTAAACTCAAAATGTCCTACTGGACATCATTTTTTCACCACTCTCTAAATCTGGATCTCCTTCTATTCCCTTTTTCAGTAAATGGTCCCCAGATTTCTCCAGTCATATAAAGCAGAAACTGAGGTTCTTTCTTGATACCTATTTCTCCTTCAACCCTATATCTGATCCGTCTCCCTATCCTATTGTCTGACCATCTAGACATCCCTCAATTCTGTCTCTGTTTATCTCCTTTGCCACCACACACTAACTGCCGACTGATCTGCCTGTATGTAGCTTGCCCCATCCAATCTATTCTCTACAGTAGACAGCAAGGTCTTTATAAAAATGCAAATCTGAATCTGTCACTCCCTTGCTAAAAATGCTTCAGTGACTTCCCAGTGATCCTAGGGAGAAGCACCCAAAATCCTTAAAATAGTATAGTAACAGAAATCCTACTTTGAAACATGGACACACCCCACACACTTTTCTCTTCTGCCAACCCAAAAAAGTAAATGTATCCCCTAGATGGCCAGAGCCATCCATCTGCTCTGGGAAAGATGAAAACTGTAAAGGAAAAATGCAAAGAAGCTGGGAGGAAGAGTTCATATTCTGATTTTTTACTTTAAAATGGAATTTTGCAGCAAGCCAGTAGTCATGCAAGAAAAGATTTCCTGAATTCCTTTATCCTCTCTTTTAGCTTAATCCAGAATCAAGTCTGGCTGCCGAAATCATGGGTTCCCCACAGAACACAGAAGGTTCCCCTTGCTGTTCTGTGGTAGAAAACAAAACATCTAGTCCATACTTCTCATCCTGCACACATCCCCTTATACAGTGAGTTCCTAGCTGAGAGCCCACAGCCTACCAGTGAAACAGGAATTAAAAGAAATTAAAGAATGTGTAAGCAAAAACTCATTATATCATTGTATATAAGAAAACCCAATTCCCCTTGAGGAAGAGGAAGAGCTGAAGTCCTTTAAAAATTAACTGCCTGTTTTTCTGTGGCTAGTGAGTCTTATCTCTCCACCTTTCCCAGGCATTGTGAAGACCCTGTTTCTCTAGCTGTGCAGCTGCAAGGTCACTAGGCAGATAAACTCAAGTCATAAAACGTGTTTTTCCTTGGAAAGTAAGAAATAATGTAATGCATGTCTCAATTGAATAACTGTCTTTGTTTCTCTCTTCTGTAATATACTTCCCCCTGCACAGATCTCCCCGGCCCACAAAATACTTAAAAAGTAACCGGACTCTTTGTTCAGGGCTCAATCTTTTTGGATGTTAATCTGACTGGGCCGGTGCACCTAAATAATAAATAATATATATCCTCCTCGACCTTTGGTCTCTCTGATTCCTAAATTATCCTGCTGCACCAGGACTTATAGGAGCAGAAATCAGAAGACTTTACTCCACACACTTCAGGTGGACATGTGGACAAAGCCATCGGAGAACATGACAAAAATACAGCAAGAGCAGAGACAAGATCAGATCATCCTGGGGGCAGATGCTGGGCTCTGACCAATTTGAGAGAGAAAAGGAAAAAGAACCCAGCTACAAGATGCACAAGTAGCAGGCCACAGCCACCAACATCAGCAGAGCAATTGGAGGCCAGGAAGACAAGGACACTTCTGAAGAGACTGAAAAAAGCAGAAGACAGTCCAAGTCACTGCAAGGTTCCAAGGTCTCTTTTTTCATTACTGTTACAAGTACCAAGTAAGCCAAAATCCACCCTACTCTTCAAAACCATCTTGAAGAGTTGCAGGTCAGGGTTGCTGCATCTGAGCATGTTTACTCACAAAAGGTGACAGATGCTCCTCAACTTACAATGAGATTACATCCTGATAAATGTGTCATAAGTTGAAAGTATCTTATAAGTCGAAAATGCATTTACTACAGCCTAACCCACTGAACATTGTAGCTTAGGCTAGCCTACCTTAAAACGTGATCAGGACACTTCCCTCAGCCTACATTTGGGCAAAATCACCTAACACGAAGCCTATTTTATAATAGAGCATTGAATAGCTCAAATAATTTATTGAATACTGTACATTACATAGAATTTGTGACAGTTTTACACCATCATTATGTCAAAAAATCATTAAGTTGAGCCACCATAACTCAGGGACTGTCTGTATTTATATTTTTACTTCACACTAAGCTTTGAAACTGAAATTTTTGCTCCTCAGCAGATGGGGTTTCTGAGAAAGACCAAATTAGTTATAGAGCACTAGCTCCCAAAAAAAAAAAAAAAAAAAAACAGAAGAAGTCAGAGGAGGAGGGCAACATGGAGCAGAGGAAGAAGGAGAGAAAAAGCAAGAAACCATTATCGCTCCCTCATCTGAACTGCACTGCGAGTAAGCTGGGGCTTCCACCACAGTGTCCTGGAAGCCATGTTTGCTGCCCATTTCTGGACTCTCCAGCCACACTGGCCTCCTTTCCCTTTCTCAAACCTGCTGTGGTTCCTGCCACTTCAAGATAATCTCTTAACAATCTATTCCTTCTGCCTGGAATGCTCTTCCTCCCACCCAACCCCGCTCTGCCCAGCTAACTCCATTCTTTGGCCCCTGCATCACTTTCCCAAGGAAGCCATTTCTGGACTTCCCTGACCCCTGCCTTCCATCTTCACTGGCCCAGAGTTCCCTACCCTATGGTCTCATTGCTCCCTCCCAGGCACTGCTGCCTCCCAGGACTCTTCCCTGTCGGTAATATAGTTCTGTTTGATTGTTCAGTTAATTTTGCCTCCCCTGAAGACCATAAGCCATGTTGGCAATGATGGTTTTGCTCACCATTGCACCTCCAGTGTCTAAAAACCATGGGCAGGTCAATTCATTTTTGTTGAGTAAAGGAATTGTTCAATAAGTGCACAAATAAATTCACATTAAAACTTGTCCAAAAACAAAGGAGTTTTCTTGTGAGAAGCAGCTGCTCATTCTGGGGCATTCAAGTGCAGTGAGATGACAACGATGACCATTGGAGATGCTTTCAAAGTGATGCCGGCACTAGACAGATGGCTGGAGTGTGTACCCTTTAAGGACTCACCTATCTCAGAAGTCATGTGTGTTTCTGTATGTGTAAATGCACAAACAGACTGGAAGGATATGTGTTCAGCGTCTTTTCAGACTGTGAAGGTCCCTGCAACCAGAAGGAGAGCTGTCTTCAGGAAAGGATGAAGGGAACGAGCATCTGTCTGTGACTCTGGTGGTTGTGCAGGCAGGTCACCTCAAGGTGGAGTGACACTGTGGTGGGACAGGTGGAGCACCAGTGAGGAAGCTCTCATGGGCCTGAGCCAACTGAATTAATTAAGACCAAGAACAGTAAAGGGACCCAGAGGGCAAACTCTGAGAGGCAGTCATAAGCAGCACCCTCTCCCCAAACTGTATTACTCATTCCCACAGAAGTGTGTGTCTGCTTGCCTTTAATCTGTTCTGACTGTAAGCCATTTTGAGACATCCCAGTCCCAATGATGGCCACCATGTTCTGCATTGAATAGATGCTTGACATACATCCAATTAGTAAAAGCGAGTGAACTAAAGTTTATCACTTGGGGTTTGTTTTTTCCCCATCAGTTGCTCCTGCTGCTCAAGGGTGTGTGTGTGTGTACACATATGAATGGAATACACATGTATGGGGGGTGGGGTGGGATACAAAATTGAGGCACCAACAAGTATCCAATATGAATGTCTTTAAAGTCAGTATCAGCAGCAAAGAAGGTACTGCACATACGATGTGCAGGGGAAAACCTTTTTACCAGGCACAGACCACCACCAAAGCCCCTCTGCCTAAATCTGTATTTGAAAAGCTAATTAAAGATTTTTTTTTTCTTTGGGGTCTTGAAATACTTTGCCTTTGAAAGCTCTTTGTTAAAATGAAAATGCCTTTGGAAAGGGGAATGGTTTAAACGTCTATCACTTTGCTTTTTAGAGGGGAATATGGTGGATAATTAAGAAGAGCCTGGAAAATCAGACCCCAGACTATGAGTGAGGAAAGGTGAGCCAAGAGGATGAGAAGACCCAGCAGAGAGAGCTGCTGTCAAAAGGGGCTTTGTCACCTTTAAATATCATTTCCACAACTTTGCTTGGGGAAGCCCAAGGTTTAACTGCCTCTCCTCAAAGAAATGCTCTGCAGATCTCTAAGACAAACAGATAAGCTTAGGTTAGATTCAATTAGGAGAAAAGGTGCTACACTCACTTAAACTTTTTATGATTAAAGGCAACAAGCAGCATCTTGGAGCTCTGTAGCAATAAGACTTTTGCAGCCTGGCCATCCATCCCCTGGTTGCTAGAATGAGGAGCAGCAGCAGATCAAGCCACATATGCAGTGGTGGGATAAGGTCTCAATACCTGCTCCAGAGAGCTCAGGATCTAGTGAGCAGCATCCAGGGAAGTGGGTGTGGAGAAAGAAATGAAGGATGGAGAGTGGGAAACAACGAAAGAGAAGAGAAAGAGGAAGGCGAGTTAAGCATCTGGAAAATTACTGCAGTCTCATGGCTTTGGCTGCTTCAAAGCCTGGATGAGTCATCCACTGGTTGCCTAGGCAACGACTATTTTCCTCCTGCTGCTGATCAATTTCATCTGCACAAATGTCCCATGAAACTGTGAGCTGTGAAGATAATATACCCGAGTCACAGAAGTATTATCAGACAAGGTCTGCATTTCAAGTGTTCTGAAAAAGACCTTATGTATACCAAGCCATCCACCTTCCCATCCCACTCAGACCACACACACACACACACACACACACACACACACACACACACCCCTACCCTATGGGTAGTGATGGGCCAGGACAGGGGTCCAGGCAGGAGGAGATCGTCACCTCTGCCTTATCCTGGTTATGATCCCAGGATCTTAACTGCCCAAACTCACTGTCTCCAATTAGAGACAGAGAGGATATGTGGTCATTCCCTCATTTCATGTCTTAAAACAAAAATGGATGCTTGTATTAAAAAAAAAAAAAAAAAGAACAGCCACATTGGACAGCCAAATACAATGCCCTTTGAGCTGTGACCTGCACTCTGTGCTCCTGGGTTCTGAACAGGGGAGAGTGGCTACTGTCTCCACCCTGGGTCCTCCCAAAGACAATGCTGTCCCTTTCCCCTATCTTACTTTTCCTCCTAGCTCTAGTTGCTACATACTACATGCTAAATATACACTTTTTTGTGTCTTCCCTACTAGAGCATATGCTTCTTTAGCAGAGGAATTTTATTTATCCTACTCACCACTGCATCCTTATCTCCTAGCCTAGCTCATCCTACGCACACTGAGTGCTCAGTAAAAGTTTGTTGAATGAATGAAAGAAAATGTTCTTGGATCATCTCTAAGACAACCCTAAAAAATGTTTAAGAAATATGAGCAAACTCTTTCCAAGGTGACTTCTACACTGCAGACATGACAACACCTACACTATGTCTAATCTAGAAATTGTCACAATTTTTGTGATTTCCCTCATTTTACCTCCCCTATGTAGGGCACAAAGAACTTGGGAAAGGTCTTGTGTAAAAAAAAAAAAAAAACAAGTGTCATATACATGAAATCAGCCCATAGCACAAAACTAGAAGAGCTGTTATGTCTATTTATATGTTGCTAATATTCACTAAGGGCTTACAACATGGCAAGCACGTTACATGTATTTTCTCATTTCATTTTCACAGCAACCCAGGTAGTAAATATTTGATAATTCCCATTATACAGATGATGAAACTGAGACTAAGAGAGGTTAAATAACATGATCCTGATGTGCATGCCGTAAGTGGTAGCATCAGGATTCAACCTCAGGTGGCTAAAAGCCACCACTCCATATTGTCTCTCGGTTTGCCACACCCCTCCACTTATCAGGATAGCCCTGTTGGTACCATTTCCAACACACCTTCCTCCTTCAAGCAGCGCAGAATCTCCATTTTAGCCTGGAATGGTTTGTATTTGTACTAAGCTTTCTTGTTTTCCAGGTATCTTTATATACATTATACAATTTGCTCTTCAAAACAGTGTTTTCTGATAAGCAGGACAGATACCATAATCTGCACATTTCAGACACAGAAAATCAGAAACAAAAAGGTTAAGTGACTTCCCTGAAATCATTCACTTGTCAGAGCTAGGACTTGCACACTGGTGCTCAGATGCCACCACCACTCTTACCCAGATGCTCTCTAGAAAAGAGCATCCCGGGTGCTCCCAGTATGAATGGCCCCATGCCTAGAACCACACCCTAAGTTGGCTCTGGGCCCCCTCCAATTCTCAGAGCAGTCCCCGGGAAGCCTCAAGCTGGCAAATCACTCATCCACCTTGTCAGCTACTTGTAGGCAGATCCTGCCCTGGGGAAACTCAGGAATCTTTTCTCAGAACCTTCAATAAGAGGAAAATGTTCCAATATTTCAGAGACAACTTGTATATCTAAGAAAGAGACCAAATGTTATACTTAATTTAGAAGATGGTGACATATATTTATACCAAATTTTACTCTCACTCTCCTTGCCCTGATCCCCTCAGTCTCCAACCACTCTCCACCTACCACTTTCCACTCCACAAAGAAATAACATTGGATCACATTCCACAGAATGAAAAGGCTTTAAATTATAGCTTTATGAACGTGATTCTGAGAAACCAGTTTACAAAAGATCCTTATCAGCTATTCCTGCAGGCTAAGTGGGGATGAGTAATTGGAAGAAACAATATTATAAATTTTAATCTACTCCTTTTTAGAAACTCTTATGAGATGTCATGGCTGACTAGCAACCAACAAGCATATAAAATGAGCATAGTAATGATCACCAAAAATGAAGAATTTTGCCTCAAGTGGTTTCTACGAAATAGTCCACTTGCTTGCCTGAGCCATTCCTTTTCTTTAGGTTGTCTTCATTGCTCTATGACCCATGAGACAATCTTCATGCCTACATGAAAGTCATATTTGTCCTTCTGTGCCTGAGCCCATGTGTTTTCCACATGTGTTTGCTTGTTTACATTTGTGGGAGCTGGATTGAGTGGGGACCTACCAAGTTGCAGGCACTGTGGTAGGAGTTTTCCATATATAAAGTCATTACGCCTCCAGTGGGCCTATGATGTGGGTGTGATTGCTAGTATTGTTCTTCTTTTACAGGTGAAGACACTGGGGCTCAAAGAAGTTAGCAGATTTGCCTAAGAACACATGACAACTGCTAAAAGTTATCGTAGTGATAGACCTAGAATAGTAACTGGGTATCAGCACTAAAATACATCCACACATTCTTTCAACACTCTTATTTCAGCATAGGACTACTTTTTTCAATGAATCTGATTGAGTGCTAACACTAAGCAACCAGGAAGAGAAAACTATGTGGAATCTTTAATGACTTTCTCTTTCTCCACTTAAGAGATTCATAATGACAATCTTAATCTTAATTTTGTTTTCGCCAAAATGTATTCCATGTATTTATGCATGGTTTATAGCTTGGCCCCTAATTATGTTATGGGTCAAAATTACTTACAAATCAAGTCAGATATCTTTTAAATTTTTTTAAATCACCCATCCCCTCAATTATGAGGCCAGGATGATAGCTATTTAATATTTTTCCAGGAATAAGTCATGACATCAATTGTAATAATGATACATGAAGCCATGTTGGAGTATATGAACAATTTGCTTCTTTCAATCACTGTACCATTGCTTGATTGAGCTTAAGAAAAATTATTTGATGGATTAAGTGAAAATTAAGTCTGATCTTAATGCAGTCTTGCATATGAACATGTATCTGAAGAAAATTAAGCTAGACACAAATAATAAGCCTGCCAACGTCTCCTCTAATTATTTATACCTGACCCACAATTTGGAAAACACTCTCCGTTACACTCTTGTTCTAATTAGATGCATCATTGTCCAATCTGTGAACAGTGCAAGAATGGTTTCCAGTGGCAACCATTTGCACCTCCTAAAGAAGGAGCAAAATATTCTCAAGTTGCTTTATTTTTTCAATATTAAAATCTATTAATAAATTTGCTTACTTCCTTAAAGCTATGCACTTTTCCTTACTTTATAATTGTGCTTTAGAAAGTTGAGTATAAATCACATTTTTGTAACATAAAACACATTCTCCCACGTATTTTTGTATGTGTGTTTCCATTCATTTATGTGATTAATTTATATGGGCATTTTCCTAAGGAAACTACAAATTTTATTAAATATAAATGGCCTAAGTTCATTACCATTAAAATATTAGGACTTTAAAGATAGTGGCTTCAAGATGATCTGGGAAGTCAAAAGGAAAAAGAACTTCTGGAAGAAAATGGTCTACACAGGGCCAGGCACAGTGACTCTTGCCTGCAATTCCAGCACTTTGGAAGGCAGAGGCGGGACAATTACTTGGGCCCAGGAGTTCAAGACCATCCTGGATAACATAGGGAGACCCTCGTCTCTACAGATAATTTTAAAAATTAGCCAGATGTGGTGGTGCACACCTGTGTTCTGAAATACTCTGGAGGCTGAGGTGGGAGAATCACATCGCTTGAGTCCAGGAGTTCAAGGCTAAAGTGATCTGTGGTTATGCCACTGCACTCCAGCCTGGGTGACAGAGCAAGACCTTGCCAAAAAAAAAAAAGGAAAAAGATGAAAGAAAAGAAAAGAAAAGAAGAAAAGAGAAAAGAAAAGAAAGAGGAAGGAAGGGAGGAAGGAAGGAAGGAAAGAAGGAAGGGAGGAAGGAAGGAAGGAAGGAAAAGAAAATGGTTCCCAGAAAGAATGCAGAGAATAAAAAGTGCTCTTTATTTTGCAGAGCATTGGTGACTCCATTTCAGTGCAATAGGGAGGGCAGAAGCCAAATGTAACAGGTTTGAGTTGGAATAGATTGTAAAACTATCAAAACTCCAAATCTCAATGCAGTTTGAAAACTACTCATCAAATCCAATATCCCAATTTTACAAATGAGCAAATTGAGGCCCAAAGAGGGAACATGATATCCAAGGTCACACAACTAGTGGCAAAACCAGGACCTCCTAACTTCCAGTGCTCTCTCCAGTGTCATTTTGGAGCTGCCCATGTTACCTTTACAGTTTATATACAGTTTACTGCTAGGATGCTATACCTCTTGGAGACCATCAAGCCATTCTGACCCTGTGTCTGAGATACATGTGTTACCACAACCCTGAAGAACAGGCTAGTTGCCTTGTCCATCGGTGTCTTCTCTGCCCACTTCTGATTGAAAACTTAGAATTTAGGATTAAAATTTTAAATAGTTCAGATGAGCGATCATTAATAAACAATGCAGTTCAATTCCATTTGATTCTCCTGTGGTCCCTCCTGAATGCGTAAGTAAAGAAGCTCTGATTCCTTTATCACTGGAAACAGAGAGAGCAGTCAGAGGGGTGTGCAGGGTTCTGAGGTGAACAAACCTGAGTTCTGGTGGGACTCCTTAGGTAATGTTTTAAGGTCAACATCTATTGAGCACCTACTGAGTGCCATGCCCTGTGCCTTGCATAGGGAATGCAAAAACTATTAATCCCCAGTCCTGGATCTTGAGGGATTTTTGCTCTCTCTGACTGTGGTTGGACAGACTTAGAGAAAGTTGAATCTCTTAGACAGTCAAGCTAGTCCTCTCTAGAGTCTTTAACCCAACCCATCTTAGGAGCTCTGTGATCATCTCTGTGCCTCCAAACTAAGATAGCACCAGTGGCATGGAGGGAAGCAAATCTGTAAATTTAATGATTATGAAGTAAGCAGAACCAGTCCTGGCCAGAATTTAGCTACTCCTTTACCTTCCATTCTCCTTTTTTCTCCCCTGCAGGGACACCTACTCAACATCCCATACCCAACATCTGCCTCTCTCCAGCTCTCACTCTCACTCTTGCCCTAGTTCTCGGTCTCTCTATCACAGTGCTCTCAATGATGCATGGCATGCTGTGTGTTTTTAATCAAGTTTCTTAACTTCTCACAGTTCTCATTTCTGCATGTGTAATAATATTCACCTAATAGGACTGTCAGACAATCAAATGAGGCAATGCATAGAAGGTGCCCATCATGGTGTTTAGTGATACTAAACAGTTCTCCATAAATATTTGATGTCACAATATTATTATTATTTCTGTTACCATTATTATCCCTTCCCTTAATGAATATACTACCTTTCCTTGGGGTATTTGCATTCAGTGGAAGACAAAGAGCATTTAAATACAAACGATTAGGTTCCTAACAGCAGGGCTTCAGACCAAGAGAAAAGTCAGTGGGCAGAGGTCCTTCCCGGCACCCCTCAAGTCTCTCCCGGTGAGTAGCACCTACTTGGGGCTCACAGAAGCTGCTATCTGCACCTGAGCCTCCTTCTCAATGCAGATCACGTCTGCTGCTCCACATGGAGGGCCCATGTGGCTCTGCTGCTCAGGAGTGAAGCTGATCACCATGCATCACAGCACATAGGCAAGACATGCCCTGGGCTCCTGCCAGGACAGGAGCAATGATGCTCAGGTACAGCTGCTGTCAACCAGAGCGGGGCCTCTCTTGATGGAGGCTGACTTAGTTTTGTGGGCTCTACCTGACAGCCCAGGATGGCCCAAGGTCAAATGACCCAGGGCCTCATGGGAAGTTTATAATGAAGCCAGCAGAGCCGACTGTGTAGCAGCAAATGTCAGCATAAAACTGCCTTCAGCTCCAGGGGCAACAACATGACTCAGCATTCTAGTCAACCTCCTAAATGTCTCTCATTTTCATCCCTGAGCTCCATCCCTATAGCTACTGCCTTAGTTGGGGCTCTTATAATTGTTCTCCAGGTGAATCATAAACAGCTAATATCTACTAAGTTCTTATTACAAGCCAGGTAATAAATACTTAGAGTTTTGCATGCAATTTCTCATCAAAATCTCAACCCTATGAGACAGGAATTATTTTTTCCCATTTTACAGATTAAAGGATGCTCAGAGAAATTAACTTGACCAGAGCTTGTGCCCTTCTATCCTCCTCCCACCACGGCCACCTATCCTCCCCACCCAACCTGCTGCCGTCTTACTGTGCCTGTCTATACCAACTGTTAACCAGAGTCTGCAGTGAGTCTCTCTCTCCTCCAACCCACCTGAGTCGACTTACAAGAATTCCTTCCTACAACATGAATCTGACCATGTCACTCACATACTGAAAATCCTCCAAAGACTCCCTTTTAGGTCCAGATAAAGTTGAGGCTCCCTAAACTGGCATTCTCGGCTCCTTTTTTCAAACTTGCTCCAATCCTCCTTCTGGTTCCACCCTCTGCTTCCTCCCACGTTCTTGCTGCACAAAGCCACTCAGCATTCCTCAAAGGCTCTCTGCTTTTGCACCTCCTAACAGTAACGCCATCCTTCTCTGTGGACTATGGTTTCCCCAGTTCTCTTTCTGGCAAACATCTATTCGCACATGAAGATCTAGATCAAGTGTGACTTCCTCTGTGAAAGCCTCCCTCAGATCCTTCTCTCTGTCCTTCCCATTCTAGTCACTGACCTGATACTACGTCAAATTGTATGCAATTACTTGTTGGAAGACAGCTACCCTGATGAAACTGGGCACTCTCCCAGGGCGGGGACTAGGGCTTATTAGTCACCTTTTAGATACAGTACCTACCTTAGTTCCTGGAACAGGGTAATTTATTGAATATGTATTTCAGAGATGGATGGAGAAATCGTTTGTTTATTTATTCATGCATGCATTCATTCAGTTAGTTAGCTAATTATCTACTATGTGCCAAGCAATGCACTAGGGCACTGAGGAGGCAAAGACGATAAGAATTAGAACTCTCTGAGGAGTCCTTGCTTTGGTCTAATGCTTACATAATCAAGGGCTTTTATTGGTTTTTTCTTGACTCCCTTCCCAGAAAGCAAACTGAACTGCAGAGCCTGCAAAATACCACCTAATGCCATCCTATTTAATCTGGAACCCACTGCCATCCATTTAACTGCCACACTGCTTACAAGAACCTCAATCGTCAGGTCAAAATCACAGCTTGTGCAAATAACCAATGTTAGAAAGCTTGCAACTCCATTGGGATCCTAAATCCATCATGATGTTAGTTCGTTAAATTCTGTGAATTCAATTAACTTTCCTGATTAATCATGGATTAATTAACCAAACTGTGCTGACATGAAAGTATTAAGGCTTATGGTTGCTATTTTTCTAGAGACAAGAGCTCATAATATTTGGCTGTGTCATTTCATTAGATCAAAATTGAAATCTTGCTCTCTGCCTGCTCTGTATCGTCTCATCATTTGATGATATGCTATTTGGTTCTCTAATTTTTTTTCTGCATAAATAGGCCTATTTCATCAATATAATAAGGATACTGGGATCACCTTGTGGGCAAGGACTTCACCATTTTTTTCACTTTCAAGTAAATTTCATTGTGTAAAAAGGCCCAGGAAGAAAAAAATTCATTTTGTATATTTAAGATATATAACAGTGCCAGGCACTGTGGCTCACGCCTGTAATCCCAACACTTTGGGAGGCCAAGGCAAACAGATCACCTGAGGTCAGGAGTTCGAGACCAGCTTGGCCAACATGGTGAAACCCTATCTCTTCTAAAAAAATACAAAAATTAGCTGAGTGTGGTGGCGCACGCCTGTAATCACAGCTACTTGGGAGGCTGAAGCAGGAGAATCGCTTGAACCAGGGAGGCGGAGGCTGTGGTGAGCCAAGATCGCACCACTGCACTCTAGCCTGGGTGACAAAGCGAGACTCCATCTCAAAAAAAAAAAAAGATACATAAGATGATGTTATGGAATACGTATAGATAGTAAAAAGATTACTATAGTGAAGCAAATTAACATTTTCATCATCTCAGTTACCTATTTTGGGGGGAGCCAGCTAAAATCTACTCATTTAGTGTGAATCCTATTTACAATGAAATTTTATTGCCTATAGTCCTCATGTTGTATAGTATCTCTTTAGACTTGTTCATCCTAAATATCTGCTACTTTGTATCCTCTGACCTATACTTCACCGTTTCCTCCCCCCATCCCACCCCCAGTAACCTCTGTTTTTTCTCTATCTCAGTATATTAGAAATTTTTTTAGAATCCACATATAAGTGAGATCATGCAATATTTTTCTTCCTGTATCTGGCTCATTTCATTTAGCATAATGTCCTGCAAGCTCATCCATTTTGTAGCAACGGGCAAGATCTCATTCTTTTTTAGGACTGAATAGCACTCCATTGTAATAATGTACCACAGTTTCTTTATCTATTCATCCATCAACAGACACTCAGGTTGTTTCCATATCTTGGCTATTATGAATAATTCTTCGATGAACATGAGAGTGCAGATATCTTTACAAGGTGATTTCATTTTTCTTGGGTGTATGCCCAGCAGAGGGATTGCCAGGTTGTATGGTAGTTCCTATTCTTAATTTATTTTGAAACTTTCATACTGTTTTCCATAACAGCTATACTAATCTACATTCTTACCAACAGTCTGCAAGAGTTCCCTTTTCTCCACAGGGACTCCACCTTTTAGACCCTCACAAAACCAGTCCACACAGTGCTCTCCTGCACATAGAGGTCACCCCAGAATTGCAGATAGCAAGAGCTGGAAAAGAACCTGGAGATAATCTAATCTGAAACCCTCATTATATAGATGAACGAAAAGAAGCCCAGAGAAGGGCAATGACTCGCCCAAAGCCATTAGGCTGAGCCAGGATTTCCTAAACTCAATTAATGATAACGGCAACAAATAGCTCACAATTATTTATTGCATATATATCTGTTCATTCATAAGCAGCCTGAGGCTACACACTGAGAAGCTGGTAAGTGCCACATGGCTGGAGAGACATATATTTGAATTCAGGGCTACCAAGGCAGCCCAAACCTGAGGGAACTGATTCCTAAAAGAAAGGAAATGCAGAGAAGTGATTCTGAATTCTGGACAGCTCTTGCACTCCAAGCAGTTGCTGATTTGTAAGCAGCAAGCAGAAACCATTGGGTAAAAGGGAAGGATTTTAGCAGTCTCACAGAGATACGGAAACAAAACTTGGAGTTCAGGACCCACCAAGAGGATGCTCTCAGAAACACTCAAGACTTTCAGCAGGGACCCCTTACATTAGTATCCTATTGCAACAAATTACCACAAATGTAATGGCTTAAAACCACACAAAGGTATGGTGCTAACCTATAGCTCTGTAGGTTAGAAGTCTGACGATAATCTCACTGAGCTCCAGTCAAGGTGGCAGCTTTCCCTCTGGAGGCTCTAGGGGAGAATCTGTTTCCTTGCCTTTTCCAATTTGCAGAAGCCACTTGTATTCCTCAGCTGGTGGCCCTCTTCCTCCATCTTCAAAGCCAGCAAGCCCAGATGGAGTTCTCGTCACAGTCCATCATTCTGACCTCCTCCTCCGCCTCCCTCTTCCAGTTTTAAGGGCCCGTGTGATTATGTTGGAGCCACCCCGGAAATCTAGGATATTCTCTATATTAAGGCCAGCTGATTAGCAACTTTAACTCCAACTGCAACTTTTCTTCCTTCGCTGTATATCCCAACATATTCACAGATTCTGAGCATTAGGATGTGGATGTCTTTGGGGAGTCATTATTCAGCAGACACATCCTTGAAGTAAAAGTGACTTAGAAATAGAAAAATTCACACAAAACTGAAACACAGCTGTGAATCTTCTCAATCCCAAACAGGATTAAGGTGATGTACCCCTAGTTTAACAGCCTGCCAGAAGCAGAGATAAATTCTCTTTGGAGAAAGTTATAATCATCCAGATGCTAACTGGATGTTATTCTTATATAAAATCCAAGCATTCAATCAAGGATTCCCAGGTGTACATATATATACAAGACCAAATGACCACTTTCTTTCTTCTCCCACATTAGAATACAAGTCCCCTGTGAACAGGGACTATGTCCAACCTGTCAGATCCCAGAGTTCAGACCAGGCTGTGGTGTATGATATTGCTCTGCAAATGCATATTGAGTGAATGGTTCTAATACTCATCATAGCTGCACCCCAATGGAGAAAACAGTCCCAAGGAGCCAGCTTTGAGCAGGGGCTTTCGGAGCCGGCATCAAATTCTCCTAAGTTCTACACCACCTGTAACAAGGTCACACCTTATCCAGTGCCAGCTCACAACAAGCCAACCTTAAAATATAATAATAACAAGAAGGAAGAAAAAAAAAAAAACAAGCTGCTGATGCTGCCTGCAGCTTGTAACAGGTAGGGTAGCCATTGGGAGTAAGCAGGCCTGTGGTGAGAGGAGAGAGGAAACCAGCAATGCTGAACTGACACCTGATTTCGGATGGTTAGATCTATGTAGAACTTTCATCTTCCCCATCCCTTATGTATTTTGAATCTTTTAAATGTTTCTATTAGACTTAACTCTTCCAAGCTGCCTTCCAGGAAAATTACAGAGAAACTAGGGATGTAGGAGTTCAGAGCCAGGGCTGCTCCATGCTGATGTGAAGGTTACTCTTTCTTTGCCAAACCATAAAGCCTCTGGGAGCCTGCACAGGCCTGCATTAGGCTGGAGGAGGAAGGACCTTTGCTGAATTTGTATGCCAGCTGAGGCACTTTTTCTAATGTGTGCAAAGGCTCAGTGTGTGCAAATGTCAGCCCCAGACCAGAAGCATTTTAAGAAGTATTCTAAAGAGGAGAAATAACCATCATTTATTTGAGTACCTATTGAAGCACTTTACATGCATTATGTCACTTATTCCTTAAAACTCCATGGAGTAGCTATTGCTATCATTTTACAATGAGACTGAAGCTCAGTGATGTTAATTAATTGGGTCAAGATCACACAGCCAGGAAGTGGTAGAGCCAGTGGGTCAGTGTCATGCAAATGCCTAGGTGTTTGGCCACTAAAGCAATTCTGTCTCAACCACTAGTTCTTGTGACCTGCTTCTTGCATGTAATTCAAATTGGCACATTCGAACATCTCAGCGGCTCAAAAAACAAGCATGAGAGGAAAAAGAACACATTTGTTGAACGTGGGTAGCTGAGGATCTGTAGGCTTTGAGTGGAGGCATTTCCCCTTCTCTACCATGTTGGCATCTAATGGTGCCCACCTCTGTGATATTTCCAGAACCCTCACGGGTAATGGGCCACGTAATTCAATGAGACTTTACATGTGAAACAGGTGGAACTGAACAGCACTGTTAGACGGCAAACTAGCAGTTTCCTTTTGGAAAAAGGAAACTGGAAAGACATAAAGATCTTATGTGAAAAGAAAGAATTCCTGGTCCCCCACGTGTCCTTCAGGTTATTCCAACATCATCCACTCCCCTGAGCAGTCTCCACCTACAGGTTGCATGAGTACTTGATAGTATCTCCTGATGATTAAGTTGCTTTTTCGGGATAGTGCGATTCATTTTTAGCTCCTCGTCACTAAAGCAGAGAGCCCAGAAGTCAGCGTGTGTGCCCACGGCATTCGGATCAGGTGAGGTTGCCGAGGCAACGGCAGCCGCGCCTGACGTCACTGAGCAAGCACACCTCCGCAGCCACGCGGCCGCGCCTCCCGCGGGCTTCACTGGCCTGTGTCAGACTTGGTTGATTCCCTGAGCTTCTCCAGAACTCCAAGAGCTGTCCTCCCACTCCCACCCACCTCAGCAAACACAGGAAGGGAGGAAGCTGCCTTTATTAAAAGGCAAAATCAGCAAAAAAAAAAAAAAAAAAAAAAACCAGGACAGGGAACCAGGGAGGGGTCCCGAATGATCCCCACGCGAATGTATCTGTGACTTTGCTTTGGGATCCGAGGAATGAGAAAATGGATAGCAGCGGGAGACTGGGAAGGGGTTTGCGCTCACTCTGTGGGGCAGGAACAGAGGCAAATCTGATCAAGAAAGGTTAAAACCTCTTTCTCCTCACCTCTCTCTTCCTACTTGAAGCCTCAATTAACTTAATCTCTGGGCAAAGCCCGTCAATCAATAAGTATAAGGATTTCTCCCCACGGAAGAAAAGGGTAACCACTGGGCAGAGAAGAGGAAGCTAGAGACCCTGATGCCGTTTTCAGCTCAGCCCCTGTGGTGGAGACAGCCTTCTGCCACCAAAGTTTAGCCATCCCCTTCCATGCTATAAAACTGTTTTGGAGAAGCATTCCCAGCAGCCTCTGCACTCAGGCCCCATGTGACCAGTTCCTACCAATAGGCTCTGAGCAGAAGTGATATAGGTCATTCTCAAATCAAAATGAGGCCATCTCCACCCTCTCTCTCTCCTGCTGCTTCAGGCTAAGATGGCAAAGCAGGGAGATAGAAGGAGCCTTGATCCCTAAATCACTACAGGTGTCCCTCAGTATCCAGGAAGGGTTGCTTCCAGAATCCCCACAGATACCAAAATCCAAGGATCCTCAAGTTCCTTTTATAAAATGATATCGTATTTGCGTGTAACCTATGCATATCCTCCTATATAGGTTAAATCATCTCTAGGTTACTTATAATACCTAATACAATGTAAATGCTATGTAAATAGTTATTATACTGTATTGTTCTTCTCCATTTTTTTTTCAAGTATTTTTGAGCTATGGTTGGTTGAATCCACAAATACAGAACCCATGATACAGAGGGCCAACTGTCCATTGAACACAGCCATTGGGTTGCTTTGTAAGTTAGAAACAAAATTCTCTTGTGGTAGGCAGCTGGGATTTCAGAGTGTCTCTGTTACGGCAGCTAGCATTAACTTACACAGCCTTATCACCAGCAAGGTTAAGCCAATGACACATGCCTTGGGTTCAGAGGTGCCAGCACAGCTGGGCCATCAACCAAAGCTGAACACAAAACTTGCTCTAACTAAAACAAGACATATTACAGCAAAACACCTCAATGTGGCTGCTTCCAGGGCACGGGAGAGATATTAGGCAAGAGGCAGACAGGGCAGTCAGTCGAGGCAGGGAAGTTTGAAGGAAGATGAATTTGTTGAGGCTGAGGCCTCTGCTCAGTCCTCAGGTCATATGTGTGTCTCCCTGAGCACACTAGAAGCCACTGACACAGAGACCCTTAGAGCAGCAGCTAGGTATGGAAACTACCGTGAGGACTGCTGTGTGCAGTTTCATAGGTTACTGCACAAAGACATGTAGCCAAGAATGTAAGTGGGGGCTGAAGTACAACCTGCCTTTTTCTTACCAAACCAGGCATTCTGGCTTCGAGTTGAGTTCGCCTGAAGAAAAGGCTTAGGACTGCCTCCACCTGATGCTTTTAAAAATGTATGCAGAGGTGCCATTTGTGTCTAACCTCGCACCTATGGTAGCACTTTATATGCCTGGCATGAGGGTAGTGGGCTGGTAGTAGCCTTGACCTTTGTGATTCTTGAAGGCCAGGCCACGGAGTTCTCACTTCCAAGCCAGCATCAACAAAAAGTCACACGCAACGAAAAAAATTCTCTAATGACCAAAGTAAAATTGAAAAGCTTGATGCCACTGCTAAATGAAAAATACATTATCTCTCTCTTCCCTCCTTATCCCTTTTCTCCTCCTCAACCCAGAATCTTATCCATGCTTAGCTAAATCCACTTTCCCTTCCTGCAAGGGAAAAGACAGGAATGCTCTTTGTTTCAAAGGTCTAGAGAAAGGCGCAATAAATTTCACTCCTAGAGGCCCTGATGTGCTGCTGGAGACGAGAATAGGGACAAAGCAGGCCAGCAGCAATGGAGACCAGGCCCAGAACAGCCGATGGGAGAGAAACTGGGAGGTGAGCATTTGGCGGAAGGCTACAAGGAGGACAAGGACAAGTGAGATTCCAAAAACAATCCATCAGAGATGCAATAGAGGATGAGGTCATTTGTATGACAGGATTCTCCCACAGAAGACAAGTAAGACAATCCCAGCATTTTGGGAGGCCGAGGTGGGGGGATCACAAGGTTAGGATATCGAGACCAGCCTGGCCAACATGGTGAAACCCTGTCTCTACTAACAATGCAAAAATTAGCTGGGCGTGGTGGTGGGCACCTGTAATCCCAGCTAGTCAGGAGGCTGAGGCAGGAGAATCGTTTAGACCCAGGAGGCGGAGGTTGCAGTGAGCCAAGATTGCGCCATTGCACTCCAGCCTGGGTGACAGGGCGAGACTCCATCTCAAAAAAAAAGAAAAAAAAAGAAGAAGAAGACAAGTAAGACTTTAAAGAAGTGAAAGAAAACTTACACAGAGGCCCATGTAAGGAAATATCAATATTTCTTGGCAAATTAATCACTGAACAAGAATTACCATTCATAAATGACAGGGATTTTATAGGAAATTGACACAACCTTTTCTGAAAGCCAATTTGGTTCTGTCTATTAAAAATTTAAATACTCAAACCTTTTGATCTAGCAAGTCCATTTCCAGGAACTTACACAACAGAAGTATTCCAACACTGGAAATGTCTAGACAAATCTGTACAGAGGTGCTTGTGGTTAATAAAACGTACATTTTTTAGGTGTATTTCCCATGAAATTTTGTCAGTCCTTTTTATTAGAAACTATGCATCTGTGAGGTGACTTGGTTAGGATTCAAGATGCTATCTGACCTTGTAAAGGAACCAAGACCTGGTATTTTACTAATTGTTTCTAAGCTGATCTACAGCACTGGACTTGAACCCCTTGGGAGTCACATCTTAGTCACTGTTCATTTTCAGACCTGTTTCAGAGCCGGGAATATAGTGGGTGCTCAAGTGCTATTTGTTATATGAATTCATGATTTAAGTGGGCTTGGTTCAAATTTAGTATCTCGCCTTCATTAGCACAGTATTCTTGAAGCAGAGTCAGTGGGTATCTGTTTTACTCCGGATTGATCTGCTACTATAAGCTGTGTTCTTACTCGCCACTCTGTGCAGTTGCTGGTTTAGGAAGGGGCAAATGAAGGGGTTCAGGAAAGGGAAGAAGGAGAATACAGCTGGCAATTTAAGTTCTCGAGATGAAATAAGTTGGGATTTTTAGCTTGTTTTCCCTACCTTGAACTTCCTGAAATTATATGCACCCCATTTCTCTGGGAAAGGTATATGGTTTTCATGAACTACTCAAAGAATTCAGGTCCATGACTTTCCAAAATAAACATCATTAAGAATCACTAAACCAAGGGATTTTTGATGCAAAAATTAATGTGATTAGACAACCTGTGCCAAAGAGTAATATACTAAAGGTGATAGACAAACAAGTGTGAAAAGGCCAAGGTCACAAACAGACCTACAAATGACTGTAAAATAACTCACACTGATGTTCCAATTTTCCCTTGCAACCCTTTAATATGCTATTTCAAAGCATTACAACTTAAAAGGATGTTTATTAACTACCTACTCAGCTCATAAACTTACGTTAACATTGTTATATACCCTAACTGAATGTGAAAAGTCATTTTCTGACTTCTAAAAAACTAAGATGGAAAGAAAATCTCAGAAACTGACAAATTGAATGCTTAGAATATCACCTATAAGAAAACATAACATAGGATGTTTCACTACACCATCTGCCTTAATCATCAAATTGTTACTCAAATACTTCCAGGTAAACAGTCAAAAGCAGCTGATTTGCTGTGACAGCATTACATTAAACTTAGCAAGTGAAGGAGGAATGCTATTACTTCGTTTCCTAAATCCTCAGAATACTGGCTTCTCCCCATCCAGCACAACCAACTATTATTTTACCAAAACAGCAATCAATTTAGCCTCAACTTTTTTGCTTTTACAAAGCTTTGCTACTTGCCAATTTGATTAGCTTTCAAGGTGTCTTTGGTGTTCCTGATATTTTGTAACGAACCAAAGTTAGGTTTAACAGAAAGAAAATTTTGGAAATTTGCCACAATGTGTATGTTCATACATACCAATATTAAATTAACCATTATGTTCCCAATGCTTTTCTACTATAAAGGAGTGGATAATATGGCTTTTTCTGAGACAGAACTTTCCACCTCCCTCCACTCCTTATCCTCCCATCACCCTGTTGGCTCCCATCCTTACCACTGACCTACAAGTTAACAAATAGCTATGTTTGAAGCCACCTAGACCTCTTCCCAGGAAGATGACAGAATCACCAATACCCCTTATTAGCACTTATCTGCCTGCTTCATCATGCTAAGTGTTATAAAAAACAAATTAATCAGATGCAGCACTTGGTCTCTAGATGTCTACCAATCAAGCAGAGAAAAATCTGTACTTGCATACAAAAGAGACATCTGAGTATAGAATGGCAGAAAGAGAACTGACCTGGAGGACAGTACTCAGTTCAGAAATTGCAATTTAGTTTGACATAAGTTGAGTGATACAATAGTTATTAGAGAATAAATAAATAAATCCACACACATACAGCCTTTGCATTTTATAATATGTTAAGGCTGCTTTTAAGATCAAGCACTGCTGCCTGGGACTTGTAAAATGGAGGAAGCATAGGCCAGTAGAACAAGTACTGAACTGTGAGCCCAAACACTGGGGCTCTGAGTCATTCAACTTCTGCGTTCTTGTCACTTTGTCTCTTCCACCTATAAGAGTGGTGATCCCTAAAGTCCTGATATTGACTATCTTTCTACTATCTCAATCTTTCCTTTCTCTTGACCTTGGACAGAGTGAGAGGCTGGGAGAGCTAGGGAAACACTGAAGCAGCTACAGAACCTGATACCTGAGGCACATAATAGTGGAGAACCCAGTGGCATTGATTTGGTTGAGAAGTGCCCAGTCCAGAGCCAATGTGCCAAACCCAGCCAGGAAAGCTTGGAAGGAGGGGTGAATGTGGAGGCCAAAATATCTGGACCATAAGGGCTAATGCAGGATGACTATGCTGGTGCTTGTTGTGCATATTGCACAACTCCAGGGGGCACCATTTTCTCATAATCATTTTAGATTTGTATAGTTATTTTGACAAACTTGTGGAAGATATCAGAAAAGCATCTTGAGGAAGGATGTTATTTTCTATCCCATACTAGGTTTCAACCTGGACTAGATGACAGGCCTGATAGAGGGATGAGATGAGCAAGCCAAGCCCCAAGGGATGGTTCAAGGTTGGACCCCATGGCTTTAGGAGCCCAGCCTGGAAGCACACACTTCCAAGGTTACAACTATCACCACCTTGCAGGTATTGCCCAAATCTCTACCCCTAAAACTGACCTCTTGCCAGCCTGCTCTATAAGTCCATCCAGAGATTCTCTACTAAAGCTCAAGGCACCTACTCTACTCCTCTTCTTCCAACCAAACAAGCTCCACCTGCTCACTTCCCACTTCTGCTGAAGGCCTCATAGTTCCTTCATTGCTCAAGTCTGAAATCCTGAAATCAGCTTCAAGTCCTTCATCCTTCTTCAACTTCAGTATTCATCCAGAGACCATGCCCTCTTCCTTTGACAGCCTCTTGCATCTATCCCCTCATTACCAGACCTCCTGCCACCACCCAATTCAAATACTCATCTCCTCTCCTCTGAATCACACAATACCTTCCTAGCTGGTCTTCAGAGCACCAATCTTCCTGCTTCAATACATCGTGGATAGGGCTGGCTAATTGTCCTAAACCACTGCTCTAAACACATCACCTTCTGCCCCTAAACTTCACTAACATCTTCCTGCTTAGTGAATCAAAATCAAACCACCCCCAAATGGCACAACACCACGATTGCCCCCACTCATGTAGGCAACACTCAGCAATACCAAAATCCCTTATTTTTCACAGTTAACCAGCCAGTGACCTAGGGAAACAATATCTCTAAGTCTCAGTTTCCTCACCTGTTAAATGGGGATATTAACAGTACCTACTTTTAGAGCCATTGTGAAGATTAAATACAGTAATATATGGAAAGTACTTAGCATGCTACATAACTGTCAGTGTTGATAATGATGATGATGAAGATGGTCTCCCCGAAACACCCTTCAAATGGCTTCATTTAACCTCTGACTCACAATTGTTCTATTTTATATTCAATTTCAACCAAATTCACCAGCTATTAGGCCCAATAAATGCATTTAATATAGTCACTTGTTTTTCAGTTCCCCCTCTAGCTTTCCCAAACTTGCCTTCTCTAGCCCTCAAGAAATGGAAGCTTCTTGGACAGAAGTGAAGTAATGGGGAGTCCAATCCACTTATATCAATGCTTTGACCAGACCCTTTCTTTCATGTAAAAATCATCCAAACCAGGCAGGGCTCACACCTGTAATCTCAACACTTTGGAAGGCCAAGTTGGGCTGATTGCTTCAGCTCAGGAGTTCAAGACCAGCCTGACCAACGTGGCAAAACCCTCTACAAAAAAATATAAAAATTAGCTGGGTGTGGTGGTGCACACCTGTACCTACTCAGGAGGCCATAGGTGGGAGGCTCGTTTAAGCCAAGAAGTTAGAGGTTGCAGTGAGACAAGATCCCACCACTGCACTCCAGCCTGGGTGACAGAGCAAGACCCTGTCTTAAAAAACAAAACAAAACAAATTATCCAAACCAAATTTTCATTAGAGAAGCAAGGAAGACATTTTGTCTCAATTCTTGAAAATGTAGGTCTTACTTTCTAATAACATTTAACTATGTATTTTTAAGAGTAAAATATGATTCTTTTAAGAATGAAATGGAGACTTAAAATAGTTGAAAAACAAACTGTCTTCCCAGAGTATAGAGAATTAGAGTGATAGAGTGAAAAGAATATGAAATTCAAATTTAGATAGCTCTTGGATACAATACTAGCTTCTCTACTCCCTAGCTTAAGCTCTGCTCAAGAGAATGGGAACTTGAGTGTAAATCAAATGACAGGCATCCAAATCTGGATACCATCCTTGCTAGGAAATTACTCTCTGAATCTCACTTTCCTCATCTGTAAAGTGGAGATAATGATACCCACTCTGTAGGCTGTCATGAAAAGTAAGTAGCACAATCTGTAAGGACCCAGCAGAGAGTCCAGCTGAGGTACCGTGAGGGTCTGCTCTGCCCACACCCGTTGCCCACCATAAGTACTGTGGCTTAAAGAATACCCGTTGCTAGAGAATGGGCTTTGCCTTCAAGCATGTATAGATGTTTCTCTGGGCTGCACATCTTTGGAGTTAAAATAAGAGTGATGGCAAGGTTTGGCCATTACTAGTATTATTAGTATTAGTATTAGTCCCCTCGGGCTACTTACCATAGCAAAATTCCGTAGACCAGGACTTAAACAACAGAAATTTATTTTCTGTTCTGGAGGCAGGAAAATCCAAGATCAAAACACTAGCCAGGCAGGTTTCATTCCGAGGCCTCATCTCTCAGCTTGTAGGCAGCCACCTTTTCACTGTGTGGTCATGTGGCCCTTCCCCAGTGCCTGTGGGTGGGGAGAGAGAGAACGAGTTCTCTGATGTCTCTGCTTATAACGCCACTAATCCCATCAGACCTAGGCCCCACCCTCATAACATTATCTAACCATACTTCCTTCTCAAAAGCCCCATTTCCAAATACCATCGTATTGAGAATTGGGGCTTCAGCATCTGAATTTGGGGACAAGGAGGGCACAAACATTCATTCCTTAGCATTACTTAACACTGCCCTTACTCATCATTAGAGAATCCCAACCTCCCTCCTAAGTCAACATATCTACTGGGGAAATCCCCAAAATATGTCTCCATATGTGCTCACCAAAGTGTACTCTCGGCCACCACGTGGCTTCAGCCATTTTTCTTCTCCCCTGCTGCAATGCCTGAGGTCTCTGAAACTCAAAGGTGATGCCAAAGCACAAAGTCTCCATGGACACCATGGGAGAAAAGCCTTCAGCATGGCCAAGGCCACAGCCTCCTGTTGTTTCCTCTGAATCTGCAGTGCCAGCCCCAAGAAGCTGCTCCTGGTGCCAGAGCTACAAATGTGCCAATGCCTCCCATCCCACCACAGCCAGGGCCACAGTGTCTGACCAATAATGCAGTAGAAGCCCTCCCAACTTTGGGCTGGGCTGTCTCCGAGATTTCAGAAAACAGTTTCCTCTTCTTCAATATTCAGTGGAGCACTCTGTTCACTGCACACAGTGTGGCACTTGCAGGAGCCCAATAAACATTGTTTAACATGCAGTGGCCTGGGCTAGACGGAGTCCTGCAGAATGAATGCTACACTCAAAATTGTCCTTTATCTCTGACCTCCAAGTCATTTTTCTTTTTTTTTTTTTTTTTTTTTTTTTGAGATGGAATCTTGCTCTGTCACCAGGCTGGAGTGCAGTGGCACGATCTCAGCTCACTGCAACCTCCCACTCCCTGGTTCAAGTAATTCTCCTGCTTTGGCCTCCTGAATAGCTGTGATTACAGGCACGTGCCACCACACCCAGCTAATTTTTGTAATTTTAGTACAGACGGGGTTTCACCATGTTGGCCAAAATGGTCTGGATCTCCTGACCTCGTGATTCACCTGCCTTCTTCAAAAAAAGCTTGTGTAGCTCAGTTCTCTCTCCCTTGGGGAAGACAAGTAGGTTCCCCAAACCAGAGCTTTCCAACAAGCATGCTGCAGATAGATCACTGGTGTGCCAGGAGATATCCTTCCCCTGAAGTCTCCAGGGTTGCTGGGCTGGCACTGAAGGTCAAAAGCTGCAGAGCCAGACCCCCTGTGCAGACAGCAGCCCCTCAGTTTACCTCAATGTGGCATACCATGGCGATCATTCTCTATGTAGACCATGAACAGGAGGAGGTTGAGAAGCATGTCCTCATGCTGAAAGATCCCCAGCAGGCCCTTCTCTCATTCTTCATGTCTAGACCCTAGGACAAGCTGTGCTTAGGTTCAAGATGCCCTCCCTACCAAGAATTTGTGAGTGCAGCATCATCTGAGTCTGTATCCTCATTTCTACACATGCACTGGAACTCACCCCTTCTTTTGTTTCCTTCACACTTCTCTCAATCTTGCCCTCAATTGTTTTCTCAATAGCTTGACCTCTTCATTTGGACTTGACCCCATGCCCCAGCCACATTGTCCCCATTCTGCTGCCCCGTCCTCATCGTTGCATCTTCGCAGTAATGTATTCTCTTACCAATGTTTGAATGGAATTCCTTAAAATTGAGTGCAAAGAGAAAAGAGACTTTGCATTTGGGGGTAAATTTTTAGCAGAACCCACACACTTTGCTACTATTAAAAGCCATACTATAAAATCAAATACTGCTCAATTAATATCTTTAAGCAAATGTACGCATTAACTAATCAACATCCATGAGAAAGAGAGCTGAGAGGGAAATTATGCATAAGGGCAATTCTTCTGGTCAGGTAGCTCTGATAGTCAATGAAAAGGAGGGTAGAAAACATTTCTGTGTGAGGATAAACAGCGGATACCTCACCTGCCAGGAAGCACTTGAAATTCACTCACTCTTTTAACTTTTTTTTTTTTTTTATGATAGGGTATTGCTATGTTGCCCAGGCTGGTCTTGAACTCCTGGGCTCAAGCGATCTTCCCACTTTGGCCTCCGAAATGCTGGGATTACAGGCATGAGCCACGGCGCCCAGTCCACTCTTTTAACTTTCAAGGCTGACAGCTCCTTAAATGCAACTAGGTGGTGATTTCTCTACAGAACTGTGTTACTTCCCTAACTAAAACCTTCCTTAGTTTGTTCCACTCATTCCTCACTAAACTGTGGGAAATAAGAATCAAACTTATCTCTCCCAATCATCTTCCAAATGGAAAGAGAATGACACTCCCTCTTTCAAAAAAGAAGGGGTTGCTTCCTGCTATACATGATTTGCTGTACGTAGATTGATCAATATTGAAAAAAGAGGTTTACATGCACAAGGAAAGAAGTTGAAGGGGAATATTTCCCTGGAGGGTTCATTGGAGGTATTTTTGCATGTGTACAAGTGGATTCAATATTACTGCAACATGATATTTTCAATTTATTTATAAGAGATATTTAAAAGCAACAGGCATTGTACTCTCTGGGGACAGAAGTCCCCCAAGGCCAATTCCTGCCTTCACCTTAGCCTCACGGACAGAGTTCCCATCCTGACCCTCTGTGACACTTTACAACTTAGTGAGATTAAAAAAGAAGGACAGACAGAATTGTGGAGGTTAGCAGTAATGGAAATTAGAAGCATTTTGCAGCCACCCTTTTATTAAACCTTCTTCCCTGGCTCTTCTCTCCCAGCGATCATAGTACTCGTGTGCAGGATTAGAAAGTTCTCTGGCACAGAAGCACCTTTCTGATATTTCAGTCTTCACCATTCATTCCGTTGACATAATTAAGGCTTTTTTTCTAGACTCTCTCTGAAAATGCAAATATCCCAGAGACAGAAAAGTTGAAGACATGCTAAGGAATCAAGGTTTCAATGAGATAGAAAATTATACTGGTCATAATATTTCCATGGTAATTTACAGTTGATTAAGCACTTTCACAGGTATAGCCTTATTTGATACTTACTAACAAACATATGACTTAGAAAAGCAGGACATATTTTTGGTATTATCATTTCCATTTTACATAAAAGACTCCTGATAACCAGAAATATTGACCCAACACTCCTATCCTATGCAAGTTAAAGAGCTGATTACAGACTCAACACGAGATTTCTGCCTATCCAAGAATGGAGCTGGCCACAGTCAGAGTCATTCTCACTCTTCCCTCTCCCTTGCCTCTCCTGCTCCCCACACTGATCAGTCCCCAAGTCTGTGGCCCCAGAATCCCAGCTGTGCCTGGGTCCCAAGTCCGGAGACCCTCACCAATTTTCTGCCTCATTTTCCCGAAGTCAGGCAATTGCCTAAAGGACCCTGGGTCCTGTCCTTCCTTCCCTACCCTGCACCAGCAACCCCACTCTATACAATTCAACAATAACAAATTTTTATTGAGTACCTACTGTGCGCCAGGCTCTAGGCATTAGGATACAACATTGTAGGATGAGATCCAAAGGTCCTTCCTCCCAATCAGGACTCTCTTGCTTGGTTACCTGCCAGAGTTCTATGGATCTTTATTTCAGTGGTGAAGGTAATGATAATGCCTAAGAGTTGCTGGAGAAATTACAATGCATGAGTGACTATTCTCAGCATTTGACTTATGGTAACTCATCCAATCCTTATAACAGCCCTATGAGGTATTATTCATATTTAACAAATGAGAAAACTGAGACAGAAGGAGGTTGCCTAGTAAGACTGCACACCTAGTAAGAGGCAGAGCAGAGGTAGACAGAGGAACCTGGCTCGCAGTCTACACCCTTATCTCTTAGGCTAAGCTGTAAACTGGTGGAAGCAGTGGAAAGAGAAACAACCTTTAAACCAGTATGTATTAATATAATACTTCTCTGTGCTCAGGCTAGGAAGATAGAAATGAATCTAAGTGCCTCATAGAAGGAGCTTCCTTTCTCCACCTCCTTTCAAAGACAAGGCCCACCCGTGCAAACACTTCTCCAGCAGCAGGGAGGGCCCCAGGCCTCCAAATTTACTGTTCATTTGCCCATTCTGTCTGCACACCCTTGATCTGGCCCTGCCTTTCTGATCACCACTAATGCTGGGCCCTGGCTCCCAAGAATCTCCCAAAGCCCCCTTGGTCCGATAACACTTTGGCTGTGTGCCTCCAACTCAACCCAACACTCTGAGACCCATTTCTGATCATCAGCTCTCAGCCTTCACACTCTCTGACTTATGTAATAGGTCAGCCCATCCCAAATTAACCTGCACCTTCCCCCACCTGGAAGTGGGTTAAAATACTAGCTCAGACTTACTACCTATCAGCACAATATGCATGCTTGACTCATATTTGTTCCTTTGATTCACTTTCATTCATTTATCCCTTCAACAAATAATGTGCACCTACTATGGGCTAGGCATGTATAACATACTTTACATGCATTGTACCTTTAAATTCTCCCAAGGACACCATTAGGTTTCTATACTTCCATTTTATACATGATAAAGCTGAGTTCTCAGCACTTTTATCAAAGAAGAATTTGCTATCCACGAGCAACTTGAGGTGGGCCTACCTTTCACCTTCCCGCCCCAGGCCTTCAACAGGCACTCGGCAGACAGTTGTTAAATTGCGCTGGATTAACAAGCCAGCTGGGCACTGTGTGCAGCCTACCTCCTGATGACCCCCAGTGGAGATCTTGCTGTTCAGGGCCCTCTCTTGTTCATATTCACTTAGTAAAAATTGGCCTGGATGTCTCCTGCATTATCAGCAACCACCAGGCACAGTACCCAAGCTTTGCAAACTAGGAATGTTTAAAAATTTAGCTCTTGCCACATCTCTAGCAGAACAGAACCAAAAGCAATCATCTGACGTTAGGAGGTGCCACACACAAGCAATGAGGACCTCTGCCAGCCCAGCTTCCTCCTGGGGAGGTGAGCTTTCTGCCTGGGCACATGGAAAAATAACATGTATGATATGTGCTCTTTTCTTTGCCCTGGAGGCCTTGACAGCCGTCAGCTCTGTTCTGACAGGTCCTAACCATAATGAACCAGTAATGCTTCTTCAGGTCCTTGCTAAGCATTAGATCCCTAGGTGATGCTATGTACCAGGGGAGATCACCCAGAGACTCTGATCCCAAGGCAGCAGCCTTATTGGGGGATTTTAGCCCAGGATTTTCTCCAAACACAGGGGCACTAAAAGTCAGGCCTGACCTGACTGGAGGGTTTAGAATTCAGAGCCAATTGACCAAACACCTCCAAAGAGAAAAGCAAATGGTTTTCTAAAGACAGTGGTTCTTGCTGTTTCCTCTTAGGACTCCATTAATAAAATAATAATAAAAATAAAGTCTCATTAAAAGAAGATATTTAGTGCTCGCTTCAGCACACATATACTAAAAAAGAACATATTTAGAACAATTATTCCCTTCAGCAGGTTGTAATTCCTGTAACTCTCAGGGAACAGCTTTGGGCTCTGCATCGCGACTCCCACGCAGGACACAATCTGTCTGTCTAGAAGGGAATGAGTCAGCCTGCAGCAGGAGGGAGGCAGGCTGCAGCATCCTCCCCATGAAAAGTCCACAGCCAACCTGGGTTTTCTTACAAGATGAGCTTTTTTTTTTAAAATTATACTTTAAGTTCTAGGGTACATGTGCACAACGTGCAGGTTTGTTACATATGTATACATGTGCCATGATGGTGTGCTGCACCCATTAACTCGTCATTTAGCATTAGATATATCTCCTAATGCTATCCCTCCCCCCTCCCCCCATCCCACAACAGTCCCCGGTTTGTGATGTTCCCCTTCCTGTGTCCATGTGTTCCCATTGTTCAATTCCCACCTATGAATGAGAACATGCGGTGTTTGGTTTTTTGTCCTTGCGATAGTTTGCTGAGAATGATGGTTTCCAGCTTCATCTATGTCCCTACAAAGGACATGAACTCATCATTTTTTATGGCTATAAAGACACATGCACATGTATGTTTATTGTGGCACTATTCACAATAGCAAAGACTTGGAACAAGATGAGCTTTTAACCCAATAAGCAAGTCCCTTCTCTCTGTTTTCAAAAGAGGAGTGTCTCAGAGGCTTCCTTATTATAAAGGAAGTGTCCTGTCTCAGAAGCCACTGTCCCACTCCAGAGCGAGACTGATGCCCACTCAACTCTTCCCCAGTCTGGGTTTGCAAAACGCAAAACTCTATATACACTTTTGACCTCTCCTATCTGTCGGTCCCTCATGCCGTCACTATTTCCAGCTATCAATCTGATTTTGCAGGACTTCCTGATGTGCACTGCAGGCATTTTGAGCATGAATTGCATGCTAAGCCTTGTGTTAGGTGTTAGTAATTTAGGCTGTGAAGGGTGAAGAACAGGATCTTCCTGGGTCAGGCCCAGTGGCCATTATTCCTTTATCTTCTCACCCTTCAGCAACAGACAGGCCTTATCGCTGAAAAGGCAAAGCTGAACACTGGCACGTCATCCCCAGTTGCAGAATTCCTTCCTTCTCCCAGCCCATTGCCTCTCTGCGTTATTCTCCCTAGAGGCTCTGCCCCAGGAGCAGAGCCATGAGTGAGGGGCCAGGCCACCTCTGTATGGCCAGAATCCAGAGCTGAGCTTGGGAAGCTCCTCTTTGAGGCTGACTCACGCCTGACAGAGGAGCTGATTGGACACTCAGGGGTCATCATCTCCCCGCATCCCCTTGCTGCTGGGGGTGTTTCCTAATGTCCACCCAAGATGTTGCCTCTCTTCCCTATTCTGCCTTAAGGGGAACGATGCTCCTGCATGGGGCATACTGACAGAGTTCTCTGCCATCAAGGGTGTGTAGACTGGTGCTGCACCTTCCTCCTGTGCCCCACGCCCTCCTGCTTTCTGTCCATCTGACTTTTTCCAGTGCTTTCCACTGTAGCCCTCGGGAGGCACTTGGCTCAGTCATACATAATTCTGACTGTCATCGTCCCTCCTCCATTTCCTCAGTCAGCTCTGTGACTTTCTCCTAAACACCCACAAATGTGCATCTATTCCAGCAGCTAAAAAGCCTCAGTGTGCATAAGGCTCTCCTGACCGCACTGTGAAGGAAGCAACTGCCACTTCCAGAATCAGAGATAGCAGCGTCTTCCAGTTTGCTGAAGATAATGATTTTCTTCTTACAGCCCCACCCTTTTCAAGGGCAGCTCTTCACAGCTCATTTTCCTTACCTGGCCCAGGTCTTCCCTCACTGTGGCCAGAGTGGTCATTCTAACATTTCTTTTTTTTTAACCATCTCCAAATGGTTCTTTATTGAACACCCACTTTGGCTAGGCGACATCCTCCCCCTGCCCTCTAATCCAGGCTCAGGTACCCGTGCCAGGAGCATCCTCAGAAGGCACCTTCCCAAGACCAGGAGTACTGAGAGACTGGGCAGAGGGTAAGGAACAGCAGGGATAGGGAGGAAAAGTGAAGACGCCAGGGAAAGAGGAGAGGCCTAAACTGGGCAGCTGATGCTTTTTCCTGCCCAGCACCCATTTGTCCCTTCTTCTGGTAATCTCATCCACCACCATACCATCAGCACCAACTCTCAGTCTCTGTGGATACACATGCCAGGCCTGTCCACTCAGTGTATTCCATCTTTTGGCCACAGTGATGACTTGAGGCTGGATACCTTCCTCGTGTGGACCAATGAGAACTAAATCCAGCAGTTCTGTCAGCAAATGGGAGCTCTTTTTACCAATAACTGGTGCTGTGGGGCCACACCATGGAGCCCGAGAATAAAGCCAACTCAAAGGAAAGCAGAGCTGAGAGCCGAAGAGACAGATCCCTGTTTGGAGTTCTGGGATGCAGCCCAAAGCCCAATCTAGCCCTGCCTTTTCAGCTATGTGAGCCATTAAATTCCCTCTGCCCCAAGCCCACTGGAAAGAGTCCCAATCAAGGTCCTTCCCATCTGGTTGTTCTTCAGGAAGTATTCTGAGGACAAGGAGACTTTCTTCTCTAGGGTTATAAAAGTAATTTGTGGTGACGGACTGTTCCTAGGTCCCTAGGGTGAGAGCCACCATGGAGACAGAGTCCAGCTGGCCTTTCCGAGGATACACACTCACGACCATCAACATCTTCAAATACATCAGCACATAATTATAAACTCCTACTGTTCGTAGTAGCTATTGTTTTTGTCTTCCTAGCACCTTGTTTTGGAGGAGAAAAGGTCATGACCCAGATTGGATTAATCACGTGGCCAAACACGCATGGCCACAGTGACTGATCCAAGAGGGCATGGGGACTCACAACAAACCACTGAGAACTTTGGGAGTTTCCGAATTAGAACTGGACTGGAAGAAACCTTTTATTCAGGACCCTCAAGCTGGGAGGATGCAGGACTGGAGCTGTCAGCTGTTATGGCCCCAAATGGCACAGAGAAGGCTCACGTGCAGCAGGAGGAAAGGAAGCCAACACAGAGGCCTGGTTGAGTTTGCTTGTCGTCTCCCAGTGGCCATTCTCCCCCCACTCCTTTTTACTAGCAGAATCTCCTTCCTCAGAGTTTTGGCTGCCCAAGTAGAAACTAAATTTGCAGCCTCCCTTGTTGGTAACTGTGGTCACATGGCAAGACAGTAGAAACCTGGGTGCCTGATGCCATCATGGAGCCAGCCACTTGCCTGGCCTGGACCAGGTGACTATCTCTGCACTGTTAAGGTAGAAAGAAATTAACTTCCATCTTGTCTGAGCTATATATTTTGGTGGTTTTAATGTATAAATGTTTTTAAAAACTGACAAACTAGAAAGGAGTTCTACATGGAAATAGTGGAAATGATTACATACAGCTGTTCTATTTTGCAAACCCCACAAATGGACGTTAAGTCAGGATAGCTCGTGCTAAATTCTAACCTTCAAGGCTGAACCGTTCTGCCCTATTCACTTACAGATCAGAGCATTAAGCAAGGCCAACCTTCTCAGCCCCTCACTTCTAAATCTTCCTTCTAAGCTAAGAGGTCAGAGCAGAACCAGGAAGGGTTGTGCTGTTGGCCAGAAGGAGATGGTCAGAATAGCCCTAGCAACTTCATTTACTCCTGGGGCTCTGTGCCCACAAACTGATTTCAAGAGTCCTTCATGTATAGATGCAAATGGTCTCTAAGTACAGACATTTTGGTGTGAATTGTGGAGTTTATGGCAAAAACAGGGTAGGCTGAATTTTTCTAGGCCAGGGAGCAAGAGTTCACAAATGCGGTGTCTTCAATGAAATAAGGTAAGTACCTTGAGGCAAGGAGTAACCACCTGACTAACGCATCCACATGAGAGAATCAAATCTAACACTTGGCAGAAGTAAAATCTGGGATGCTGAGGTCCCCACTTTTAGTGAAAGCCAAAGGCCCTAGGTCAAAATGGTAAAAAGCCTTTTACTAACTACCCTAGGACAGCTAAGGTCCTTTTAGGAAGAAGAGAGAGAAACACTAATCACCCCTCCCTTCAAGTTTTAATAGCCAACAGGAATCTGGGCTCTGAAAAGTCACAAACACCTTTTCCCAGGATTATGAGCAATTGCAACAACTGGCCAAATGTGTTAACAGCAGAAAAGCTGGGCATTACCTGTGTGGGAGGTGCTCGGCATGGGCAGTGTATGGCTGTGAGCAGCTCACCAGCTACATAACCTCCACACCAGGAGGGTGCTGCTGCTGTGCAGGCCCGTTTCCGGTGGGATCCAGCCATGCACAAGACCAAGGGGCTGGAGCGTTGGGAACAGATGATTCTGTGTTCCACGGATAATGGTACAAAGTGACTGGTCACAGATAAGGTGTAAGCACAGCATTTGAAGACAACTCCTCCAGATGGTCCATCTGTTAGTAAATTCTTAAGAGCTTAGAGCCTTGAGGATTGAGAAATTCTAAAGAAATTTTTTTAAAGAAGGAGGGTGGTAGATGTCAAAGACACAAGAGCTCTTTGTAGGTGCTGACTAGCTTACTTTGTCCCCAGGTTCATCTTAGAGCTCAAGCAGATTCAAGACATGAGGCAGAGATGCTAGACTTGTGTCAGGGGCAAAAACTTCTGATAATAGCTCTTGGTGACATCAATCGTCAGCTCCTGAGTGCACTCCACGAGCTCTCCTGAGAAGCATCCTGGGCAGCCTGAGAAGACAGTGAATGGTGGGACCACAGTTTCTGGAGGTAATGCTGTGTTGTCAAGAATTTTGCAGCAGTCTTTCAACAAACACCGGCACCCAATCACGCAGTTCTTGCCAACATGAATGCAAGAACCAATCTGAGCTGCGTTGACCACACACTCTTCCTCAATAAAGACATGGTCCCCAATATGTAAAGGAAAGAATTCAACACCTTTGCTGAATTTCTTGAATGGTGGCCTTATGACACTACAACTTTTCACAACACAATGGAGTCCATCTCTTATGTTTTCCAGATCCCCTCAGATAATACAGTCATTCACCACATGGTCTTGCGATTGAGAAGTATGTTCTGGCTTCCACACAACACTGACTGGAGACTGACTTTGTTCCCAGATGCCGTCTTGATATACTCAGACTTGTTGTAGAGCAGCTCACCTAACTCCATGGTCACCGCCTCCTTCCTTCAGCCCCGGATCCTGTCAGAGTCAGTCAGTCAGTCTTTCTGAGATTCCGGCTACTTCTGCCATTCCAATATTTCTATCTGGCCATGTCCTTTCTCTGCTGAAACCCTTAAATGAGGCCACAAAGGCCAGGGGCTGTGCTAAAAAGCATGGTCTCTGAAGCTGGACTACCTGGTTTCAATCCTGACTCTCATTTCTAGCACAGGTTTCTCATCTGTAAAAGGGGAATAATAATAGCCCCAGTCTCTTAGAGTTGCTTTAAAAACTGATTGAGGTTAGTAGTAGGCTTAGGACAATATCTGGGATAGAGTAGACATCTGTAAACACTTGTTGTTCCCCACTCTTTGCTATTTAAAATCCAAGCTTCTTAAATGGTCGATAAAAGACTTTACAGTCTGTTCCACTTACCTTTCCAGCCCCATCTCCCAGTCTCCCAAGCCAGCACACACTGCTTCAGACACACTGAGCCTCGTGCAAACCCTGAAATCACCTCTCTCTCTCTCTCTCTCCCTCTCTCTTCCCTTTCTCTCTTTCTCCCTCCTTCCTTCCCCATTATCTCTTTGCCTGCCCAACTGCTCCTTGCCTTCCCAACCCCTGCTCCACACTGGGTCAGTGCTCTCTGTACCCATGTCACTTCCTAAGCTATGTTCTCATTCTCTTTTTTCCACTAGCCTAAAAACCCAGTTGTCTTCTCAGCATGTTGCACAGTGCCTGTTACCTACTAGGTGCTCAGTAAATATTTGATGAAAGAACAAATGTCCAAGCTGTATGATAGATTACTCATCAGCCGTATTTCCAACTCCCCAGTCATTCTGAATACAATCATTGTTTGGAATTAGCTCTCTGCACCAAAAGGAAGCTGCTTCTCTCACAAGGATGTCCAAATCTTAGATAGAAAACAGGGACTGTGGCAGGGAAGAGGCAGAGGCAGAGTCTGGGTCAGCAGAAGACAGCAACCATGAGCAGACCTGGACTCTGTCCTCAAGACTGGAATATGCCAAAGAGCACAGGACCCTGAAACATTAGGGAAGGGCCTCTGGACTGCTAGGTGGTATCAGAGACCTGGCCTTGCCACTAACTTGCTGGACAACCTTCAACAAATCATCTTTGCTCTCTGGGCCTCAGTTTCCTCACATATGCAATGAAGGATTTGAGTTTTATGCTCTCTAAGGATTCTTCCAACTCTAATGAAGTGTGTCTATGATTCAAGTCATGTCATTCCTCCTTTCCAAACATCTGCAGTGGCTCCCCATCACCTGTGGAATCAAGAATCAGCCAGAAGCAGTGGCTCACTCCTGTAATCTCAGCACCTGGGGAGCCCAAGGTGGGAGGATCGCTCGAGTCCAGGAGTTTAAGAATAGCCTAAGCAATGTAGTGGGACCCCTTCTCCACAAAAATTTTTTAATTACCCAGGCATGGTGTCATGCGCCTGTGGTCCCAGCTGCTCAGGAGGCTGAGGTGGGAGGATCACTTAAGCCCAGGAGGTCAATGTTGCAGTGAACCATGGTCATGCCACCACACTCTAGCCTGGGTGACAGAGCAACACCCTGTCTCAAAAAACAAAAAAAAATCAACACAACACTGGCTAATAGGATTGTGTACTCTCACTTTGGCCTGTCCCTAACTCCCAACTTCCACTCAGTTCAAATCTTGCCCTTTGTGCCAATTCAGTACATCTATTCCCTATTCCCTCATCAGCTGGTTATTCTTCTACCGACAGTGACTTCCTTCCCCTCTGCCAACCTGACATCCTCCCACTTTTCAAGATCCAACTCAAATCCCAACTCCTTCATGCCACTTTCCTCAGCCAGCCCACCCAGGGGGCTTTGGCCTTCCCCGTTGGTCTCCATTTACAGGTTTTATACATGGTACCATATTGCCTTATGTATTGCCTCCAATCTTGCCTTCATTGATCCCTACGTATTAGTATCGTCTTTTCATAAGGAATATGTGCTTCTCAAGAAAGGGGCCCTATCTTTATTTTTACACCTTTCTCTCACCCCCTGCCTCCTATTCTGTTAGCCAGAGAATTGTATTGAGTAAACACAGGTTGGCTAAATAAGTAACTCTCTGACAGAATTATATATCTTCCGAGCATTCATAAGTGTTCAGAAAATGGTGCTATGTGCCATAATATTTAGGGAGCCCTGGTTTTCCTGAAGATAGTTTTCAAAAAACAAGATGCCTCCGAGTTTGCCGATGGTCTCATAAATAACTATGCAGTCACCTCCCTTGTACACCAGCAGCTCTTTCAGCTAAGAGATCTACACATTCTGAGCTCTCCTCTCCTTACCACCTCCCAACCTCATCTCCATAAGTCCATGGTCACAGCATTGATGTTTTGAAAAAAATCAAAGCTTAGAGGAAATGTAAAGAGAATAATCTATCAAACTGCCCCATCCTCTTTTGGGCCCTCTGCCTGATTTAAATCTACCTCCAGATTTGTGGACCCCATACTTTTCATGACTAATTTTACTTAAGTAGACTCTCTTTACTGCCATTTTTAAAATAATAATTTCAGGAAACTCATTTTCTCACCCAGTGGCATGTATTATGAAATACCCAGTACTGCTGTTTCTTTCACGAGCCTTCCAGTAACAGAAGAATCTGACGCTCCCCTCTTTCCTTTCCTCCATTCTTTCCCTGCCCAAGCTTTCCATCTGGCATCATCATCATCATTACCATCCTAACAGTGCTAGCCACAGCTGACACAGCCCTCTCATGGCCCTTATCTATTTCACCCTGCTCCAATTGCTGTCAGTGCACAACCAAGATTCTCAGGGGCCCTCGTCTCCCTTCCCCTGCCGGCCACTCCACAGCTACAGCATTCCCAGGCCACCACATGATTTCTGTGGATAAAGTGACCCACTCGTGGTAGAGGAAAGTGTCACAGAGTGGCAGGAGCCAGGAAAGGTGGCAGGGAAGGGCTGTAACAAGAGGACAGACATAAAGCTAAAACCCAAAGATCAAACTGAATGGCTGGTAGAAATACCAGTCCCATTTAGAAAACTGCTTCTACCCCTGTGGATGTCATTGCCAGCTTGGAGTTTTCTTAGTGTCATGATAAGGTGAAAGGTTGGGACAAATGCTGACAGCAGCACTTCCTTTCCTTCAAACACCAGGTGGTGCCAGATACAGATTTCTTTCAGCCGTAAGTCAACCTAGTGACAGAGAGTAGTCGTCCAATGAAGCTCACAGAGCAGCCTTCATGTACAAAGGGATTGTGTTCCACTCGTGTCCAAGTCCATTTCTGTGAACTTAAAAATGCATTTTCCCATAGAATTGTTTTTATAAAAGGTGGCTGCGTTCCAAAACCACCTGCAAAAATTCCCATCCAAAATGTAGTTGAAAGAAAAGTCACCTAGTAGGGAGAGACAAATAACTCTGATACTAGGAATGAATGTCAAAGATGATTTTAAATAATGGGTAAAACTAGATAGGGAGTTCTTTGAGTGCATGATTTTTTTCTTATTTAATTATTTTTCTGCTTTCCCAGTCTTAGCCGACTGCCCATCACTAAATGTTTTTACTCATTTCAGTGCTTGAGAAAAAAGCAGTTTTCATTAAAATTGTATTCAGATGTATCTAAAAACTTGTGTGGATTTTCTTTTTTTTTTTTCTTTTATTTGAGACAGTCTCACGCTGTCACCCAGGCTGGAGTACACTGGCACAATCTCAGCTCACTGCACTCTCCATCTCCTGGGTTCAAACGATTCTCCTGCCTCAGCCTCCCAAGTAGCTAGGATTACAGGAGCCCACCACCACACCCAGCTAATTTTTGTTTTTTGGTTTTTTTTTTTTTCAGTTTCACCGTGTTGGCCAGGCTGGTCTCGAACTCCTGACCTCAAATGACCCACCCGCTTCAGCCTCCCAAAGTGCTGGGTTTACAGGAGTGAGGCACCACGCCAGACCTGGCTTTTCTAAAATGACTCCCAGGATTTTTGATCCTGACTATACCAGTTGCCTAATTTCACCCTCAGATATAGAACTTTCCTTTCCACTGATGTTTTGATGGCAATATTCATGCATTTATCAATGATAATTTAAAAAATGGTCTACAAATGGACTAAACAAATAAAAGAGATAAAGGAGGAAAAAAGAAAAGGAAGTAAAGGAGGGAGATTCTTCTAAAGTACCTGGGCAAAATTCCAGGGGATAAGGTGGGGAATATTGTTAAGCTAGAAAGGAAAGAAAGCAAGAGGGAGAGAGAAGAAAAAAGGGAAGAAAAGAGAGAAGAGGAGAGGGAGAGGGAAAGGGAGGAGAAGAGAAAAACCAAGACAAGCAAGACAGGGGAAAGGAAGCGGGCAATGCATTGCATGTTCTTCCAGGTAGGGAAAGAAAGACTGTGGCCAGGACAAGATATTAGAGCTGACACTGCCACCTGCCCCTCTCACAGTCCACCTTGACTGGGTGGCTTATGTCTGCCTGGTGTGGTTTGAGCGTATCTATGTGGCTGTGCTGGAGGGCAAGCTTACATTGGTTTCATGCTTACGGAGTTTCTCTACTTCAAAAGTAAACATTACAGTGAGTTAGAGAAGAGCAAGCTCTAGCCTAAGGAATCTACTATTGGCATTTTACAAAGGTAATGGTGAAATTCACCTTTCTTTTTCCCATCTGCATGATGGGAGAATATAGTACAGTGTTTAGAGCTCAGGCTCTGGAGTCAGACAAAGGCTTAGAAATCCAAGCTCCTACTCTTCCTTGCTCTGGGACCTTGGGAAAGTTACTTAATGATTACTGACCTCCGTTTCCTCACTTACAAAATGGAAAAAATTATATCTTCCTCAAGGAAATGAAGATTAAAAGAAATATCACATGTAAACAGCCAGGTACCATGCTTGGTATCTGATACATTTTTTAACATGGTAGCCATTATTTTTCTTACCATTATAGAACAGTAATTGGTGTCACAAGATTATTAAGGCTACCATGAAAACTAAATAATCTCGTGCCAGCAAAGTGACACATTACATATCACCAACCAGCATAACTGGGAGTTGAAGAACTAGCAAAAAGAGAAGCTGCTGAATGGGGACTGAGCGCAAATCCACAGTATGAGCCAGATCTGCAGGGCAAGCCTGTCCTCCCAACACCTGGAGCTCAATGGGAATATGAGCATTCATGTGGTGGGGAAGTGGGGCAGTACACAGGGGACTTCTGCCACACTGTCCAGCTGGCCAGCAACTAACTGTCTTAGTCCATTTGTGCTGCTAAAACTAAATACCTGAGACTTGGTAATTTATAAAGAACAGAAATTTATTTTCTCACAGTTCTGGAGACTGGAAAGTCCAAGATCAAAATCCTGGTATTTGGTCTGGTGAGGACCTTCTTGCTGCAACCTCACATGGCAGAAGGTGGGAGGGCAAGAGAGAGCCGAAGAGCAGGTTAGCAAGCCAACTGAATGCTGGCAGAAGCCTCTTTAATAAGTGCCTTGATCCCATGAATGACAGAGGAGCCCTTATGGCCTAATCACCTCTGAAAGGCTCCCATCGCCTAATACTGTCATATTGGCACCACTTGAATTTTGAAAGCGACGTATTCAAACCATAACAGAAACCCACATTCTATTTGGAAGAATTTCTCATTTTTGTGAATCTTGGTAAGAGAGAGTCTGCCTCCTACATACTACAGGAGCCAACTGAACTCTTTCTTCCAGAGATGCCAGTAGGGATACCAGTACCATTTAGAAAACTGCTTCTACCCCTTTGGATGTCATTGCCAGCTTGAGGTTTTCTTAGTGTCATGATAAGGTGAAGTGTTGGAACAAATGCTGACAGCAGCACTTCCTTTCCTTCAAACACCAGATGGTGCCAGATACAGATTTCTTTCAGCCATAAGTCAACCTAGTGACTTAGAGAGTAGTCGTCCAATGAAGCTATGAGTTATGAAAAAAAGCACCTTGGTTTCCTGCCTCATGACCCACAGGAGCCAACCCGGTTCTGTTTTCAGTGATGGGTATCTGAGTTACCGGCAGCGAATGTGTACAAGTCTGAAGCAACCTCAATTCTTGCCTCCTCAGAAGAAAAAAATTGACTGAGGGACATAAGGCAGAAGAAGAAACTGAGGCAAATTTTAGAGCATGAGTGAGAGTTAATTAAAAAGCTTTAGAGCAGGAATGAAAAGAAAGTAAAGTACACTTGGAAGAGGGCTAAGCGAGTGTCTTGGAGGACAAGTGTGGGATTTGATGTTTTGGCTTGGAGTTTTATATGTTGGCATACTTCTGGGGTCTTGCATCCCTTCTCCCTGCTTCTTCCTTTGGGGTGGGTTTTCTGCATGTGTAATGGCCTGCTAGTGCTTGGGAGGGGAACGTCAGTGTCTTTACACATGCTCACTTGAGGCGTTCTTCCCATTCCGGTGCAATGCCCACAGAAGGTCATATACAAGTTAAACTCCACCATTTTGCCTCTTAATGCACATGCTTGAGCTCACTCGCCCAACTCCTGAAATTTTATCAGGAAGCTACTGATCACCAGTTTCAGGTTTTTTCTATCTATAGGGAGACTGCCTTTCCCTGGCACTGGCTGTGACCAATTATTATTTTAGAGAGACAGTTGAAAACCACCTGATCATCACCTGATGGTTGCCCCACATTATTAGGCAGATCCACCTCCTGCCCTGCTCACACCTGACTAGCTACTTACTGTAACAATTCCTGCATGCTTGTCATGCCTGATTGTTCAGCTTCCCAAGGAGTTGCAAGCCCCAGATTCTATTTCTGTTATTTAAACCCAGAAGAGTCTGACCTGGCACCTTATAAGGTCAGTGGACTCAATAGTTCCTCAGTTGCACTTCTTGCCCAGTGATGACCTTGGTCACTTTATAAGATCATTTCCCTCTTCAGAAACTACAGAGCATCTTGACAGTCCAACATCCCAACCAAAGCAGAGATAAACTGTACCTCACTCCCAATCAAGGACCCACCAGCCCCTTCGTCAACACCTGAGTTATGGTTACTGAGTACTTAGGGAGGAATTCTTCTAAGTCCTTTGCAAGAATTAATTTATTTAGTGCTTGCACTACCCTACAAAGTAGATACAATTATTATCTTATCCCCTGTTTCATAGAGGAGGAAATAGAGTTCAGAGAGGTTAACACACGTACCTAAAGTTACAGGAAAGAAACAGGACTAGGCTTTGAACCCAGGCAGTCAGACTCCACAGCCTAGCATCATACACCAACTTATACTGCTTCTCAAAAGCTGCCTAAAAATAAGTACACAGAGTTATTTAGTGCTAACATGTGCTATGAAGAAAAACACAGTAGGGAGATGGGTAAGGAGAAAAAAAGAGTGATGGGCTGATCTTTTTGTAGGATGCTCAGAGGAAGGCCTGTTAGAATGGAGTTGCTATAAACTGAGAGAGTGAAGAGTGAAGAAGAGTGGGTTTGGAGAACTATTTCTGGCCTTTGGTGCCACTCAGAACTACTCAGTCACACTTCTATATAAAATATCTTCCAAGATCTGAATAAAACTCTCTCTTCTCTACCCTTCCATAAATCACCCCATAATTTTGTGCAATGCTCACTTTCCAGTGTTGTAACCACCTTGAAGACCTGCTTTGACCACAGCCCTGACTCTCAATGTCTTCCTTAAATGGTAAGTCTGCCACCGACTCCAGACTCAGACCCAACAGCACACAGGCAAGTTCTTTACACTCAATCTAGACCTTGCCTGCCTCTGAACTCTCATTGTCTGTAGCTGCTGTATCTTTTGGCTCCCAGATCTTTTCCCACGAACAGTTCTCATTCTATATTCTTTCTTCATATGAGTCAAGGATAAAATTCTTGAACAGGACAAAGTCAAGGTCCAGGACAGAGTCCTCTGCCTCAACCAGAGACCATCCCACAGGCTGAGAATGGATGTTGTTTGTTTCAACAAATCTGGGTACATCTGACAACAATAGCATCCAGTCATATATTATACACTCTTCTCCACCAAGATAGCCAGAATGCACATTCCTGAATGTCAGGCAGAAATGACAATACATTGTATCCACAGATGTCCCTCAGCTTACAAATTAGTTGCTCTGTTTTAAAAAGTAGAATGATGTTAATTTCTTATATGTTCTTCCTGTAGGAATTTATCCCTCCGTCTATTTCAAATATGCATAATCTCTTTAAGAAATGGGTATTTGAATGTTATCTGTGTCATAACTTGCTTATCTGCCTGTCGCTCTCTGTGATTTCTCAGCTGTTATCTGCAAAGCTCTGAAGTCATATCTGCATATTTCTTCAGCAGAGCTCACCACTGCCTTGCCTGGGTTGAGAGTGGCCTGCCTCTTTTTAAATTCTCCCTTCTCCGTTTTGTAGAAAAGCGGACTTGCAGCAACCCCTTTTTGGAACACATTAGGAAATAAGTAAGCATGAATAAATGCAATATGAGAATCACAGGAGAAGATTTTTTTATCTTGAATCAACTTCTTCATGTAATGAAGACTTCTGGATAAAAACAAAATTTCAAAAGCCTTTTCTATTATGCTCAGCAGTTTTTATAAGCCTTTCTTTCTGGCAACTTTTCCAATCATGCTTTTTCCTAGAAATCAAGTCTAATGTCCTTTCCGTTTCTTGCAAAACTCCTTCTGCCAGTGATACCCTGGATTCCAGGGCAGGGGAAAGCTCACTCCAGGGGCCAGACCCAGCTTCTCCTTGACTTGGTGTGTGATCTGTTTTGAGTCATTGTGTGACTTCATGACACCACCCACAAATCAACCACCAGCTCACCACTCCGTTCCTATGGTCTGTCTTAAAGGAACTTGGTAGAGGTATTAGAGCAATGAGATGGTACGAGTCTGAATCAACACTTGAACATTTCCCCTCAAGTTAAAGGAGAAAAAATGATACACACTACAATGAAGAAAATAAAACACAGTATAGTTACCTAATTAACACTTCACTGCCATTATGTAAGCATGACCGGACAACAGACTGCTTAAGGGCAGTAAACCCTGCTTTCTCCCAACCATTTTAAGGTTTTATAGGGAATGAAATGATGCATTTGGGAAAATGGTTTAAAAAATGATAGTGCTGGCCATATTGCCCAAAATAATTTATAGATTCAATGCTATCCCCATTAAGCTACCATTGACTTTCTTCACAGAATTAGAAAAAAACTACTTTAAATTTCACATGGATCCAAAAAAGAGCCCATATAGCCAAGACAATCCTAAGCAAAAAGAACAAAGCTGGAAGCATCACACTACCTGACTTCAAACTATACTATAAGGCTTCAGTAACCAAAACACCATGGTACTGGTACCAAAACAGATATATAGACCAATGGAACAGAGCAGAGGCCTCAGAACTAATGCCACACATCTACAACCATCTCATCTTTGACAAACCTGGCAAAAACAAGCAATGGAGAAAGGAGTCTCTATTTAATAAATGGTGTTGGGAAAACTGGCTAGCCATATGTAGAAAGCTGAAACTGGACCCCTTCCTTACGCCTTATACAAAAATTAACTCAAGATGGATTAAAGACTTAAATGTTAGACCTAAAACCATAAAAACCCTAGAAGAAAACCTAGGCAATACCATTCAGAACATAGGCATGGGCAAGGACTTCATGACTAAAACACCAAAAGCAATGGCAACAAAAGCCAAAATTGACAAATGGGATCTAATTAAACTAAAGAGCTTCTGCACAGCAAAAGAAACTATCATCAGAGTGAACAGGCAACCTACAGAATGGGAGAAAATTTTGCAATCTATCCATCTGAAAAAGGGCTAATATCCAGAATCTACAAGGAACTTAAACAAATTTACAAGAAAAAAACAAACAACCCCATCAAAAAGTGGGCAAAGGATATGAACAGACACTTCTCAAAAGAAGACATTTATGCAGCCAACAAACATATGAAAAAAAGCTCATCATCACTGGTCATTAGAGAAATGCAAACAAAAACCACAATGAAATACCATCTCACACCAGTCAGAATGGCAATCATTAAAAAGTCAGGAAACAACAGATGCTGGAGAGGATGTGGAGCAATCAGAACGCTTTTACACTGTTGGTGGAAGTGTAAATTAGTTCAACCATTGTGGAAGACAGTGTGGCAATTCCTCAAGGATCTAGAACCAGAGATACCATTTGACCCAGCAATCCCATTACTGGGTATATACCCAAATGGTTATAAATCATTGTACTATAAAGATACATGCACACATATGTTTACTGCAGCACTATTCACAATAGCAAAGACTTGGAACCAACCCAAATGTCCATCAATGATAGACTGGATAAAGAAAATGTGGCACATATACACCATGGAATACTATGCAGCCATAAAAAAAGAATGAGTTCATGTGCTTTGCAAGGACATGGATGACGCTGGAAACTATCATTCTCAGCAAAGTAACACAGGAACAGAAAACCAAATACTGCATGTTCTCACTCATAAATGGGAGATGAACAACGAGAACACATGGATACAGGGAGGGGAACATCACACATCAGGGCCTGTTGGGGGGTGGGGGGCTAGGGGAGAGACAGCATTAGGAGAAATACCTAATGTAGATGATGGGTCGATGGGTGCAGCAAAGCACCATGGCACGTGTATACCTATGTAACAAACCTGCACGTTCTGCACATGTATGCCAACATTTAAAGTATAATTTAAAAAATGATAATGCCTAATGCTAGTAGGCTTATGGCAAAATCAGTGCACTCATTTATTGCTTGTAACAAATTAAATTGATCAATCATTTTGAATTGTTAATGCAACGCATGAGTCAATAAGAAGTTCACAACTTTCAACTCAGTCATCCCACTCCAAGGAACTTACCCAGAAGAAATAATTGAAGAAAAAAAAGAAGGCAGAGGAGGAGGAGGAGGAGAAGTGTGTGTGTGTGTGTGTGTGTGTGTATTTTTATATACACACATACATACTTATACATACAGGCTCAGAGATACTCATTACAGCATAATTTTCAGCCTTGCGAAGTCCCAGGTATGCACTCAAAAATATTTGCTGAAAACTCAGTAAGTCCAACAGTCTAATAATGATTTAACAAATTTTGGTACATTAATAAGATGAAACATTATACCAAAATTAAAATTATAATAGGAAGTCTATTAAAATATGGAGAAGAGGTCAGACGTGGTGGCTCACGTCTGTAATTCCAGCATTCTGGGAGGCCAAGGCGGGCAGATCACATGAGATCAGGAGTTAAGAGACAAGCCTGGCCAACACGGTGAAACCCCGTCTCTACTAAAAATACAAAAATTAGCCAGGCATGGTGGCACACACCTGTAATCCCAGCTATTTGGGAGGCTGAGGCACAAGAATCACTTGAACCTGGGAGGCAGAGGTTGCAGTGAGCCAGGATCCCACCATTGCACTCCAACCTGGGCAACAGAGCAAGACTTCACCTCAAAAAAAAAAAAAAAAAAATATATATATATATATATATATATATACACATGTATATACACATATATATACACACACACATATATGTGTATACACACATGTATATGTGTGTATACACACATGTATATGTGTATATGTGTATATATATATTTATATATATATACACATATATATTTATATATACGCATATTTATATATGTGTATATATGAAGATTGCATAGTATAAAATTAAATAAAAGTATCACATTTCAAAACAATATACAAATTAATTGCAATTACAGTCATTCCTCAATATATGTGGGGGCATGTCTCCACGATACCCTAGTATACCAAAATCCATGTATATTCAAGTTCCATAGGGCTGAAGTACCTACATACATGAAAAATCAGCCCTCTGCTTACCCAGGATTTGCATCCCATGAATACTGTATTTTGATCCACATTCCTTTGAAAAAAAATCCACATATAAGTGGACCCACACAGTTCATGCTCACATTGTTCAAGGGTCAACTGTAAATAAATGTGTATACATAAGGAGAATGATATGCTGAAATAAAAATAGTTCTGAAAAATGAAGGCAGAAATTTTTTAAAGTTTCTGAAATTAATGAAAATAAGAACGCAGCTTACCAAAATTTCCGGGATGCAGCTAAAGCAGTGTTAAGCACTGCTTTATAACACTAAAAACCTTCATCAAGAAGTTAGAAAGATCTCAGATTAACTGTCTAACTTTGCACCTAAAGGAACCAGGAAAAAAGAACAAACCAGCTACAAAGCTAGCAGAAGAAAGGAAACAACTAAAATTAGAGAAGAACTGAATGAACTTGAGATGCAAAAATTCATACAAAAGATCAATGAGACCAAAAATTGGTTCTTTGAAAAAATAAACGAGATTGATAGACGACTAGCTAGATTAACAAAGTGTGGTGGCTCACATCTGTAATCCTAACACTTTGGGAGGTGGCAGGAAGATCCCTTGAGCCCAGAAGTTCAAGACCAGCCTGGGCAATATAGGGGGACCCTGTCTCAAGGAAGGGAGGGAAGAAGGAAAGAAGGAAGGAAGGGAGGGAGGGAGGGAGGGAGGGAGGGATGGAGGGAGGGAAAGAAAAGAAAGGTCCAAATAAGTACACTCAGAAATGACAAAGATGACATTACAATTGATCTCACAGAAGTATAAAAGATCCTCAGAGAATAATATCAACAACTCTATGCACATAAATTTTAAAAATCTGGAGGAAATGGATAAATTCCTACAAAGACAGTCTCCCAAGATTGAATCAGCAAGAGATTGAAACCCTGAATGGACCACTATTGAGCTCTGAAATTGAATCAGTAATACAAAGTCTACCAACCAAATAAAAGGCCTGAACGAAATGAATTCACAGCCAAATTCTACCAGACATACAAAGAACTGGTACCAACACTATTGAAACTATTCCAAAAAAATCAAGGAGGAGGGTCTCCTCCCTAACTCATTCTATGAAGCAAGCATCAGCCTAATACCAAAACCTAGCAGAAACACAATGAATAAAGAAAACTTCGCGCCAATATACCTGATGAACATAGATGCAAAAATCATCAACAAAATACTACCAAACCAAATCTAGCAGCACATCAAAAGTTAATACACCATGATTGAGTAGGCCTTATACTTAAGAGGCAAGGTTGGTTCAACATATGCAAATAAATAAATGTGATTCACTACATAAACAAAATTAAAAGCAAAACATATGATCATCTCAATAGACACAGAAAAATCTCTTGATAAAATCAAATATCCCTTCATGATTAAAAACCCTCAACAGACTAAACATTGAAGGAACATATCTCAAAACTATAGAAGCCATCTATGACAAACCCACAGCCAAAATCATATTTAACAGGCAAAAGCTCGAAGCATTCCCCTTGAAAACTGGAACAAGACAAGGTGCCCACTCTCACAACTCCTGTTAAACATAGTACTGGAAGTCCTCACTGGAGCAATCAGGCAAGAAAAAGAAATAAAAGGCTTCCAAATAAGAAAAGAAGTCAAACTTTGCCAACAATATGATTCTATACCTAGAAAACCCTAAAAGACTCTGCCAAAAGGCTACTAGAACTGATAAATGATTTTAGTAAGGCTTCAGAATACAGTATCAATGTACAAAAATCAGTAGCATTTCTACATACCAATAACATTCAGGCTGAGAGTCAAATCAAGAACACAATCCCATTTGCAAAAGCCACACAGAAAATGAAATACCTAATAATACAGCTAACCAAGGAGGTGAAACATATCTATAAAGAGAACTGCAAAACACTGCTGGAAGAAATCAGAATGACACAAATAAATGGAAAAACATTCTATGCTCAGGGATTAAAAGAATCAATATCTTTAAGATGGCCAAACTGCCCAAAGCAATTAACAGATTCAATGCTATTCCTATCAAACTACCACCATGCTTCACGGAATTTGAAAAAAGCTATTCTAAAATTCACATGGAATAAAAAAAGAGCCTGAATAGGCAAGGCAATCCTAAGCCAAAAGAACAAAGCTGGAGGCACCACACTACCTGACGTGAAACTGTAATATAAGGTTACAGAAACCAAAGCAGCATGGTACTGGTACAAAAACAGACACATAGGCCAATGGAACAGAAGAGAAAATTCAGAAATAAAGCCACACACCTACAGCAATCTAATCTTGCACAAGGCCAACAAAACAAGCAATGGAGAAAGGACTCCCTTTCATATGCAGAAGAATGAAACTGGACTCTTACCTTTCACCATATACAAAAATTAACTCAAGGCGAGCCAAGATGGCCGAATAGGAACAGCTCCTGTCTACAGCTCCCAGCGTGAGCGACGCAGAAGACGGGTGATTTCTGCATTTCCATCTGAGGTACCGGGTTCATCTCACTAGGGAGTGCCAGACAGTGGGCGCAGGTCAGTGGGTGCGCGCACCGTGCGCGAGCCGAAGCAGGGCGAGGCATTGCCTCACTTGGGAAGCGCAAGGGGTCAGGGAGTTCACTTTCCGAGTCAAAGAAAGGGGTGACGGACGCACCTGGAAAATCGGGTCACTCCCACCCGAATACTGCGCTTTTCCGACCGGCTTAAAAAACGGCGCACCACAAGATTATATCCCGCACCTGGCTTGGAGGGTCCTACCCCCACGGAGTCTCGCTGATTGCTAGCACAGCGGTCTGAGATCAAACTGCAAGGCGGCAGCGAGGCTGGGGCAGGGGCGCCCGCCATTGCCCAGGCTTGCTTAGGTAAACAAAGCAGCTGGGAAGCTCCAACTGGGTGGAGCCCACCACAGCTCAAGGAGGCCTGCCTGCCTCTGTAGGCTCCACCTCTGGGGGCAGGGCACAGACAAACAAAAAGACAGCAGTAACCTCTGCAGACTTAAACGTCCCTGTCTGACAGCTTTGAAGAGAGCAGTGGTTCTCCCAGCATGCAGCTGGAGATCTGAGAACGGGCAGACTGCCTCCTCAAGTGGGTCCCTGACCCCCGAGCAGCCTAACTGGGAGGCATCCCCCAGCAGGGGCACACTGACACCTCACACGGCAGGGTACTCCAACAGACCTGCAGCTGAGGGTCCTGTCTGTTAGAAGGAAAACTAACAAACAGAAAGGACATCCACACCAAAAACCCATCTGTACATCACCATCATCAAAGACCAAAAGTAGATAAAACCACAAAGATGGGGAAAAAACAGAACAGAAAAACTGGAAACTCTAAAAAGCAGAGCGCCTCTCCTCCTCCAAAGGAACGCAGTTCCTCACCAGCAACGGAACAAAGCTGGATGGAGAATGACTTTGACGAGCTGAGAGAAGAAGGCTTCAGACGATCAAATTACTCTGAGCTACGGGAGGACATTCAAACTAAAGGCAAAGAAGTTGAAAACTTTGAAAAAAATTTAGAAGAATGTATAACTAGAATAACCAATACAGAGAAGTGCTTAAAGGAGCTGATGGAGCTGAAAACCAAGGCTCGAGAACTACGTGAAGAATGCAGAAGCCTCAGGAGCCGATGCGATCAACTGGAAGAAAGAATATCAGCTATGGAAGATGAAATGAATGAAATGAAGCGAGAAGGGAAGTTTAGAGAAAAAAGAATAAAAAGAAATGAGCAAAGCCTCCAAGAAATATGGGACTATGTGAAAAGACCAAATCTACATCTGATTGGTGTACCTGAAAGTGATGGGGAGAATGGAACCAAGTTGGAAAACACTCTGCAGGATATTATCCAGGAGAACTTCCCCAATCTAGCAAGGCAGGCCAACGTTCAGATTCAGGAAATACAGAGAATGCCACAAAGATACTCCTCGAGAAGAGCAACTCCAAGACACATAATGGTCAGATTCACCAAAGTTGAAATGAAGGAAAAAATGTTAAGGGCAGCCAGAGAGAAAGGTCGGGTTACCCTCAAAGGGAAGCCCATCAGACTAACAGCGGATCTCTCGGCAGAAACCCTACAAGCCAGAAGAGAGTGGGGGCCAATATTCACCATTCTTAAAGAAAAGAATTTTCAACCAGAATTTCATATCCAGCCAAACTAAGCTTCATAAGTGAAGGAGAAATAAAATACTTTACAGACAAGCAAATGCTGAGAGATTTTGTCACCACCAGGCCTGCCCTAAAAGAGCTCCTGAAGGAAGCACTAAACATGGAAAGGAACAACCGGTACCAGCCGCTGCAAAATCATGCCAAAATGTAAAGACCATCGAGACTAGGAAGAAACTGCATCAACTAACCAGCAAAAGAACCAGCTAACATCATAATGACAGGATCAAATTCACACATAACAATATTAACTTTAAATGTAAATGGACTAAATGCTCCAATTAAAAGACACAGACTGGCAAATTGGATAAAGAGTCAAGACCCATCAGTGTGCTGTATTCAGGAAACCCATCTCATGTGCAGAGACACACATAGGCTCAAAATAAAAGGATGGAGGAAGATCTACCAAGCAAATGGAAAACAAAAAAAGGCAGGGGTTGCAATCCTAGTCTCTGATAAAACAGACTTTAAACCAACAAAGATCAAAAGAGACAAAGAAGGCTATTACATAATGGTAAAGGGATCAATTCAACAAGAAGAGCTAACTATCCTAAATATATATGCACCCAATACAGGAGCACCCAGATTCATAAAGCAAGTCCTGAGTGACCTACAAAGAGACTTGGACTCCCACACATTAATAATGGGAGACTTTAACACCCCACTGTCAACATTAGACAGATCAACGAGACAGAAAGTCAACAAGGATACCCAGGAATTGAACTCAGCTCTGCACCAAGCGGACCTAATACACATCTACAGAACTCTCCACCCCAAATCAACAGAATATACATTTTTTTCAGCACCGCACCACACCTATTCCAAAACTGACCACATACTTGGAAGTAAAGTTCTCCTCAGCAAATGTAAAAGAACAGAGATTATAACAAACTATCTCTCAGACCACAGTGCAATCAAACTAGAACTCAGGATTAAGAATCTCACTCAAAACCGCTCAACTACATGGAAACTGAACAACCTGCTCCTGAATGACTACTGGGTACATAACGAAATGAAGGCAGAAATAAAGATGTTCTTTGAAACCAATGAGAACAAAGACACAACATACCAGAATCTCTGGGACGCATTCAAAGCAGTGTGTAGAGGGAAATTTATAGCACTAAATGCCCACAAGAGAAAGCAGGAAAGATCCAAAATTGACACCCTAACATCACAATTAAAAGAACTAGAAAAGCAAGAGCAAACACATTCAAAAGCTAGCAGAAGGCAAGAAATAACTAAAATCAGAGCAGAACTGAAGGAAATAGAGACACAAAAAACCCTTCAAAAAATTAATGAATCCAGGAGCTGGTTTTTTGAAAGGATCAACAAAATTGATAGACCACTAGCAAGACTAATAAAGAAAAAAAGAGAGAAGAATCAAATAGATGCAATAAAAAATGATAAAGGGGATATCACCACCGATCCCACAGAAATACAAACTACCATCAGAGAATACTACAAACACCTCTACGCAAATAAACTAGAAAATCTAGAAGAAAAGGATAAACTCCTCGACACATACACTCTCCCAAGACTAAACCAGGAAGAAGTTGAATCTCTGAATAGACCAATAACAAGAGCTGAAATTGTGGCAATAATCAATAGCTTACCAACCAAAAAGAGTCCAGGACCAAATGGATTCACAGCCGAATTCTACCAGAGGTATAAGGAGGAGCTGGTACCATTCCTTCTGAAACTATTCCAATCAATAGAAAAAGAGGGAATCCTCCCTAACTCATTTTATGAGGCCAGCATCATTCTGATACCAAAGCTGGGCAGAGACACAACCAAAAAAGAGAATTTTAGACCAATATCCTTGATGAACATTGATGCAAAAATCCTCAATAAAATACTGGCAAAACGAATCCAGCAGCACATCAAAAAGCTTATCCACCATGATCAAGTGGGCTTCATCCCTGGGATGCAAGGCTGGTTTAATATATGCAAATCAATAAATGTAATCCAGCATATAAACAGAGCCAAAGACAAAAACCACATGATTATCTCAATAGATGCAGAAAAAGCCTTTGACAGAATTCAACAACCCTTCATGCTAAAAACTCTCAATAAATTAGGTATTGATGGGACGTATGTCAAAATAATAAGAGCTATCTATGAGAAACCCACAGCTAATATCATACTGAATGGGCAAAAACTGGAAGCATTCCCTTTGAAAACTGGCACAAGACAGGGATGCCCTCTCTCACCACTCCTATTCAACATAGTGTTGGAAGTTCTGGCCAGGGCAATTAGGCAGAAGAAGGAAATAAAGGGTATTCAATTAGGAAAAGAGGAAGTCAAATTGTCCCTGTTTGCAGACGACATGATTGTATATCTAGAAAACCCCATTGTCTCAGCCCAAAATCTCCTTAAGCTGGTAAGCAACTTCAGCAACGTCTCAGGATACAAAATCAATGTACAAAAATCACAAGCATTCTTATACACCAACAACAGACAAACAGAGAGCCAAATCATGAGTGAAATTCCATTCACAATTGCTTCAAAGAGAATAAAATACCTAGGAATCCAACTTACAAGGGATGTGAAGGACCTCTTCAAGGAGAACTACAAACCACTGCTCAAGGAAATAAAAGAGGATACAAACAAATGGAAGAAAATTCCATGCTCATGGGTAGGAAGAATCAATATCATGAAAATGGCCATACTGCCCAAGGTAATTTACAGATTCAATGCCATCCCCATCAAGCTACCAATGACTTTCTTCACAGAATTGGAAAAAATTACTTTAAAGTTCATATGGAACCAAAAAAGAGCCCGCATCGCCAAGTCAATCCTAAGCCAAAAGAACAAAGCTTGAGGCATCACACTACCTGACTTCAAACTATACTACAAGGCTACAGTAACCAAAACAGCATGGTACTGGTACCAAAACAGAGATATAGATCAATGGAACAGAACAGAGCCCTCAGAAATAATGCCGCATATCTACAACTATCTGATCTTTGACAAACCTGAGAAAAACAAGCAATGGGGAAAGGATTCCCTATTTAATAAATGGTGCTGGGAAAACTGGCTAGCCATATGTAGAAAGCTGAAACTGGATCCCTTCCTTACACCTTATACAAAAATCAATTCAAGATGGATTAAAGACTTACATGTTAGACCTAAAACCTTAAAAACCCTAGAAGAAAACCTAGGCATTACCATTCAGGACATAGGCATGGGCAAGGACTTCATGTCTAAAACACCAAAAGCAATGGCAACAAAAGACAAAATTGACAAATGGGATCTAATTAAACTAAAGAGCTTCTGCACAGCAAAAGAAACTACCATCAGAGTGAACAGGCAACCTACAAAATGGGAGAAAATTTTTGCAACCTACTCATCTGACAAAGGCCTAATATCCAGAATCTACAATGAACTCAAACAAATTTACAAGAAAAAAACAAACAACCCCATCAAAAAGTGGGCGAAGGACATGAACAAACACTTCTCAAAAGAAGACATTTATGCAGCCAAAAAACACATGAAAAAATGCTCATCATCACTGGCCATCAGAGAAATGCAAATCAAAACCACAATGAGATACCATCTCACACCAGTTAGAATGGCAATCATTAAAAAGTCAGGAAACAACAGGTGCTGGAGAGGATGTGGAGAAATAGGAACACTTTTACACTGTTGGTGGGACTGTAAACTAGTTCAACCATTGTGGAAGTCAGTGTGGTGATTCCTCAGGGATCTAGAACTAGAAATACCATTTGACCCAGCCATCCCATTACTGGGTATATACCCAAAGGACTATAAATCATGCTGCTATAAAGACACATGCACACGTATGTTTATTGTGGCATTATTCACAATAGCAAAGACTTGGAACCAACCCAAATGTCCAACAATGATAGACTGGATTAAGAAAATGTGGCACATATACACCATGGAATACTATGCGGCCATAAAAAATGATGAGTTCATGTCCTTTGTAGGGACATGGATGAAATTGGAAATCATCATTCTCAGTAAACTATCGCAAGAACAAAAAACCAAACACCGCATATTCTCACTCATAGGTGGGAATTGAACAATGAGATCACATGGACACAGGAAGGGGAATATCACACTCTGGGTACTGTTGTGGGGTGGGGGGGGGGGGGAGGGATAGCATTGGGAGATATACCTAATGCTAGATGACGAGTTAGTGGGTGCAGCGCACCAGCATGGCACATGTATACATATGTAACTAACCTGCACAATGTGCACATGTACCCTAAAACTTAAAGTATAATAAAAAAATAATAATAATAATTAACTCAAGATGGATTACAGATTTAAATGTAAGACATCAAACTATAAAAATTCTAGAAGAAAACCTAGGAAGTGCTCTTCTCAACATCAGCCTTGGCAAAGAATTTTTGGCTAAGTCCCCAAGGGCAATTGCAAGAACAAAAGAAAATTGACAAATGGTACCTAGTTAAACTAAAGCGCTTCTGCACAGCGAAAGAAACTATCAACAGACTAGAAAATAAGCTAATCCTATAGGACAGAAAAAGGAAAAGGGGAAGAGTCATAAGGGAATATAAGCATAAGACACCCAAGCCAGAAACGGCAACCCTTCCAGGTCCCCTTCCACCGTGTGGAAGCTTTACTTTCTCTTTCGTTTTACTTTCGCTTTCGCTTTAATAAATCTTGCCGCCACACAAAAAAAAAAAGCAAAAAGAAACTATCAACAGAGTAAACAGACAACCTACAGAATGGGAGAAAATATTCAAAAACTCTGCATACAACAAAGGTCTCATATCCAGAATCTATTAAAAAAAAAAACTTAAATCAACAGGCAAAAACAAATAACTCCATTAAAAAATAGGCAAAAGACATGAACAGAAACTTCTCAAAAGAAGACATACAAGTGTCAAACTGAAAAAATGCTCATCATCACTAAGCATAAAAGAAATATAAGTCAAAACCACAGTTAGATACCATCTCACACCAGTCAGAATAGCTATTATTAAAAAGTCAAAAAACAACAGATGCTCGCAAGGCTTCAGATAAAAGGGAATGCTTATACACTGTTGATAGGAATGTAAATTAGTTCAGCCACTGTAGAAAGCTGTTTAGAGATTTCTCAAATAACTTAAAAACATAGCTACCATGTATGCCAGCAATCCCATTACTGGGTATATACCCAGAGAAAAATAGATCCTTATACCAAAAAGACACATGCACTTACCTGTTTATCACCATGCTATTCACAATAGTAAAGTCATGGAATTAACCTAGCTACCCATCATTGGTGAGTTGGATAAAGAAAATGTGGTACACATACACCATGAAATACTATGCAACCGTGAAAAAGAATGAAACTATGTTCTTTGCAGCAAAATGGATGGAGCTGGAGGCCATAATCCTAAGTGAATTAACATCAGAATAGAAAACCAAATATTGCATGTTCTCACTTATAAGTGGGAGCTAAATACTGAGCACACATGGACATAAACATGGGAACACTACACACTGTAGACAACTAGAGGAGGGAGGAAGGACAACATGGATTGAAAAACTACCTATTGGATACTATGCTCACTACCTGGGTGCAATATACCATGTAACAAACCTGCACATTTATCCCCTGCATCTACAATAAAAGCATAAATTTATTTTTTAAACAAAGAAGATATAAAAAAACCAAAAAACAATAAAAAAAAACTGGAGCACAAAAAATAATTTTGCGAAGTGAGAGAAGTGAAAGCAATTTTTTAAGTTTATTAGATTTTCTTGAATAGTGTTGTATTTTCTTTGACACTTCAGAAGTGCTTTTTACAGAAAGAAAAATATACCATCCATAAAGGCAAAAGATGGTAAAATTCTTTAGGATAAATTTTTTTCCATGAATTTCTCATTTTTATTTTTATTTTTTTCAACCACTTTATTGCAGTATGATTGGCATGTAAAAAGCTGCATATATTCAATGTATACATCTCAATGAGTCTGAAGATAAGCATACACCCATGAAACCATCATCACCATCAGGACCATAAACATATCCATCACTTCTCTAAGTTTCATCTGCCCCTTTTAATATCATTACTGTTGTGATTATTTCTTGCTTGGCAAGAACACTTAACAACATCTATCCTCTTAGCAAATTTTATGTATAGAAGACAATATTGTTAGCCATAGGCACTACACTGTGTAGTACATCTCCAGAACTTATTTATCTTGCATAACTGAAACCTTATACCCTTCAACCATCACCTCCTCATTTCCCCTTCCCCTGAGCTCCTGGCAACCACCATTCTACTCTCTGCTTCTATGAGTTTGGCTATTGTAGGTTCCACATATAAGTGAGTCCGTACAGTATTTGTCTTTCTGTGTCTGTCTTATTTGACTTAGCATAATGCCCTCCAGGTCCATCCATGTTGTTGCATATGGCAAGGTTTCCTTCTATTTTAAGGCTGACTGATATTCCATCTTATGTATATACCAAACTTTCTTTATCTATTCATCCACTGGTGGACATTTAAGCAGTATTCATATCTTGGTGGATGTAAGTTATGCTATTAACACAGTGAACATGGGAGTGCAAATATCTCTCCAGGATTCTGATTTCAGTTCCTTTGGATAGGTACACAGAAGTGGGATGGCTGGATCATATGGTAGTTCTGTTTTTGGTTTTCTGAAGAACTTCCATACTATTTTCCATAATGGCTGTACCTCTTTGGGATAAAATTTAAATGGTCATTTTAAAATCATTTTGCATGACTCCTGGAAGGTTAAATTGCCCAGAGCAGATCCCTATCCAAGAGAAAGGGCTGCCTTTGTGGGCAACCTTGTAAGCATCACACTTAGACAGCAATGCCCAACCTAGATTTCTTCCTTCTTGAAACTTGTCAGTTGACTTAATGTCTCAGGCCCAAGAAATTGTACAATATCCTAGCAACTACTTTGATATCAGACAGGAGCTTAGGTTCACTTGTTTCTGTTTTAAAGCTGCTACCTGCAAAGTGCCAGGCATTTGACAAGTATTATCTGCCTTAATCTCAAAACCGCACTGCAAACTAAGGATTATGGGGCCTCATCCTACACATGAGGTAGTTAAGGCTCAATAAGCTTTAAAAATTTTGTCAAGTATCTCAGCTCAGATATGCAGAGACAATGTTTCAAATTAGGTCTGCCAAGCTCCCAAGATGATGGAGCCTTTTCCACTCACCCATTCTGTTTTACCACAAAGTCAAGAACAAGAAAAACCTGCAGTGGAAGCAAGACCTTGATCCTTAGCAGCATCTGGCTATTTGGGGCCAGCTGCTCAGAGCCTCAAGAATAAAAAAAAAAAAAAAAAAAAAAAAAACAGCATTGATTTGGGCTCAAGTTCTCTCTTTTTTCCAGTTTTGACCATCACTTTCATGGTTACTTTGAATTTGGAGAGCATTTGTCTGGCTTTTCATAAAGAAAATTCTGGCCTGGCGCAGTGGCTCACTCCTGTAATCTCAGCACTTTGGGAGGCTGAGGTGGGCAGATCACTATGTCAGGAGATTGAGACCACCCTGGCCAACATGGTGAAACCCTGTCTCTACTAAAAATACAAACATTAGCTGGGCATGGTGGCGTGTGCCTGTAATCCCAGCTACTCAGGAGGCTGAGGCAGGAGAATCGCTTGAACCCGGGAAGCGGAGGTTGCAGTGAGCCGAGATTGCACTCCAGCCTGGTGACAGAGCTAGACTCCGTCTCAATAAAAAAAGAAAGTTCTACTTTTTCTACAGTAACCACACTGATACTCAGGGAAAAAAATGAATAAAACTACCTTTAAAAATCAAGAGAGAAGCTGGGCATAGAGGTGCAAGCCTATAATCTCAGCTACTCAGAAGGCTAAAGCAAGAGGGTCCCTTGGGCCCAGGATTTTAAGGCTGTAGTGTGCTGTGATCATGCCTGTGAATAGCCACTTCACTCCAGACTGGGCAAGGTGGCAAGACTCTGTCACTTAAAAAAAGAAATCAGGAAACAGAGGAGACAGTGAGACAGAGGGAAAACATTATGGCAAATTAACCCACATACAGCACCTTTTCATTTTGTTTTTTATCTGTCTTAACTCAGGTCACAACAACTCCATCCCTTATCATCAGGTATGTGTGTCCAGCACCTAACTATGTTAAACTGGGAACAGTTTAAGATACCCAAGTACAGCATGGACTTCAGTAACAAAAACCTTCCTGCCACTTCCCAACTGATTGCCCTAAGACAGTGCCCTTACTTAACTTCTCAGCCTCGGTTTCCTATCTATAGCATGAGCATAATCATCTTGGCTAACAGTGATAGGGCAAAGGTCAAATTCGGTAAAATATGTGAAATATCTGTAAGCTATAAAGCACCATGCCCATATTTTTGGACATTATGTTTTATACATCGATTTACTTAACATTCATCCTGGCAACCTCCTCATTTGCATGCCCTCTGGCAAACAGAAATCTAGGACACAGCACAGCAAACTTGGAAGCATAGAGAAAATGCAAACTATGAGCAAACCTAGCATAAACACACAGATTTACCAGGAAATCATTTATACTGTAAGCAAAGAAATAAATTTTGGTGCGTAAATGTAGGGGATTCATTATTAACTGAATCTTACTCTTTAGTCAAAGAAGGTTTCCTGAAGAAGGAGGGATGTCAGGCAATTTTTAAATACCAGAAAGTTGAGCCTAAGAAGCACTTATGAGGGGTAAGTAGTCCATTGACCCAGGACAGCAAGTAGATGTGTCTCATTCCATCACCCAGGCTACTAAGAGAAGAAGAGGGGTATGAGAAGACATTGAGTACATAGACCAAGTTCCCTGTTTCACTGTGAGTCACATGAAGACCCTGAAACGTGAGGATGTCAACTCAGAGCCCACAGATGGCAAAATCAGGATTCTTATCCTCTACATACTTACAAATCTCTACTACCCTTGGAATTCAGGGCTGCTTAGATGACAGACAGAAAAAGACAACGTATCTCATGGGGGCTCTCACGCTTGCTCTGATTCTGGCTTCCTCTCCTTGGCCTTTTGTATCATCTCCTGGGGGTCTCTAGAGCTACCTAAGTAGCTAACAAGCAAGCTGAAAAGCTCATCTTCAGCAAGATCACTTTTGCAAGCGTAACAGTCTCAGATGAAATAGATTGGCTTCTTAAAGGACTTTGGCAGCACTCAAAAAAAAATCCTTTTGAAGCAGCAGTGCATGTGAGAGGGAGTGGGGAGCAGGGATGGTGGGGTGGGCTTACGACATTCTAACAACCAGAGGTCTCATGATACCTTGGCTTTTCCTAGAGAGACAGGACTCAGGTGTTCTGGGCCCTAATGATCCACTCCTGTTTTCACTGCCTCCTCTGTCCCCCACTTGTCCTTGTCCTTCCTCTAGGAGGCAGCAATACAACAGGGCTGTGTTACACAGTGGGCTCGATCATCCACTCTCCAAAACGCTCAAAGAACACAGATGGACTCTTCCTTCTGAGTAAATCCTCCTCAATTAGAAAGCTCCTCGGCTGGCCCTATCTTAACATCTGCCTGAGGTCCATATACTGTCTACGAGATGCTCATTAGTACTGCAGGCCCTAGAGTCATCGGTAGACCTTGGACACCAGTAAAACATGTAGAACCATCTCCTCCAGAGCCAACAACTTATTATGAAACCTTCACATTTTCACTGCCAAGCAGGTAGCAGGGGGGCCTCAGAAAACCACAAGCTTTGTCTCTTTTCATACACCTCTAATATCGAGGTGTCAGGTCAGACAACTCTACCAAAACTGCAGTATAAAATCCTTTATACTGTAAGCAAATATATTTATTTCAATGGACCACTTAACCCTCATAAGTGCATCTTAGGCTCAGCTTTCTGGTATTTAAAAAATTGCCTGACACCCCTCCTTCTTCAGGAAACCTTCTTCGACTAAAGAATAAGATTCAGTTAATAATGAATCCCCTACATTTATATACCAAAATTTATTTTTTTGCTTACAGAACCAAATTTATTTCTTTGCACCAGGACCAAAATTGCATTATACCCTCCTCAAGAAGCTTCGTAAATGATTATTTGGTTTTGAACTTTGTTTTTGGTGTTTTGCCTGTCCTACTCAGAAGGCAGCTTTTATCCTGACGACGTTTCAGTTTTAGCTATGGCTCTCTCTAAAGCTGCTAGTTTTGTATGGGTAGCTCCTTCCTTAGAAGGAAAATCTGCAGTATCTTTTTTAAGTTCTGCGTCAGAAGACGGCCTGGACGGAGGGTGGGGTGACTGATGAGTTGGAGCTTTGCTGCCACCTGGTGTCCGACCGAGGAGGATGACGCAGTTCCCTAGATAAAGACTTGCAAGCTCTAGAGCCTCATCTGCTTTGCCGTGGGCGTGGGTGATTGTGCAGAGTTCTGGGTCACGCGCTTGGCTCTGATTTAAGGAGGTCAACCACACATACCCACGGGCAGAAAAACGGAGGCTGGCGCCTGCCGTCCCACCCCATCACCAGGACGAAAGGGGTGGGACCAGCACTCCCCATTTCCACAACCTTTCCCATGGCTTTTGGGTGACTTTTCCTGCGCTCCTCCCCCAATACGATATTCTCCCCTAAGGAATAAATGGAGAGACAGAGGGGGAAGCAGGAAAATGTAAGCAATGTGACTTTCTCTGGGGTCCTCATTCCCCTGCAGAGAGCTCTGAGGACTAAAACCAAGACTTGAAGGAGAAAAAGAGGTTTTAATATCCAAGCTCTGAAATCTCCAGGTTATGCAAACCATCAAAGTGATGTGAATGGCCTCCCGTAAGTAGGGATGGAGAGGACCCTGTGAACCAACTAGAAATAAACACTTAGGAAAAATAGCTTCAGCTTATTTAACTAAAGTTACGTCTGATGGCTGTTTGTGATTCCTCTGCAAGCTTGAACCTCTAATAGCACCTGCTATGTATTACGTATGCCCAAAGTGGGGACATTCATACAAGACTTCTTCACACTTTTAATAATGATAATGCTGTGAACTTTAGTTAATTAGAAGGATCGGGGACTGGGCAGCCTGATTAATTCAATTTTCTAGTTAACTAAGAGTTAATGTGGAAGTTATCCCTCTTTTCTAGGATTTTTGGTAGTTACAGCTCTCAGTGCTCATCTGTGTCTGTGGAATATTTCTGTCAATGTGAAGACTCTGACACATGCTTATCAAATTTTAGAAGATATAGGCTTGAAAGGTTTGGTAATGCGTTACATGGCAGAAGTCATTCAAAAGTAATTTAACGGGCTTATATTATGAGTTAAGACTAAAGTCCTGGAAATATATATTTTTTTAAGTTAACCATACAAATACAGGATGTTGAAACTTGGCTTAATAGCAGTTCATGTGGGAAGCCCCAGGCATTTTAGTAACCCAATGTGGCTGCCAAAAATGACAAAGCAGTCTTAGGCAGTGCTGAAAGAGAAAGGCAGTGTTGGGAGCAGGAAAGATGGGAGCTCTACTGAATATGCCATGGTGGGGTCATGTCTACAGATCTCCATTCTATTCTGCCTGCCACAGCAGAAAAGGAAAGGGAACTGATGAAAGTTTTAGAAATCACGGCATATGAGGAAAATTCAAAGCTGCTGACAATGTTTGCAGTAGAAGAATGGAAGGCCTAGGGAGAAACTGAAGAGCTATATTCAAACATGTGAAGGGTTGTCATGGGAAAAGAGGACAAGGCTTAGAGCTGTTAAAAGAAAAACTTTAGACAAAATAAATTTAACAGAGTTTATTTGTCCAAAGAACAACTCATGAGTTGGGCAGCACTCAGAACCAGAAGCAGTTCAGAAGACTGCTGCAGCAGCTTGGACAGCAAGTTTATGGGCTAAATGCAGAAGGAAGGCAAAGAAAACGTATTTCAATATCGACTAGAGTCTTTACCAGTCAGCAACCACAAACTAACTTCTGTTGGTGGTTTCTGACTGATAAAGGCGCTAGTTTCATTTCACTGTTTTATGCTGGGATTTGGTTTGCTTAGTGGGAACTTAAAGCCCAGGAGCCATTCCAGCCTAATGACCTCCCAATTTATATATATATTTTTTAATTATTATACATGACCTCCCAATTTAAAAAAATATTTTAGCAATTCCTCACCTATCAGCCTCTTGTTATGATAGATTGACCACAACATGGCCATAAACACCACTCCCTGTCATGATCATGGCTGGTTTTTCTTCTTCTCAGCACAAAACTCCTGAGTCACAACATCAGGCTCCTGGAAGAAATATTCCTTTTGTTGTTCACCCATTTTTGTCACCCTAACCACAGTGAGACCTTCTCTCATACCTTTAATGGCTACAGATATACATTTAATACCCTTGAAAGAATACAATGCACCAGGACCAGGGAGATTGCAATGAGGACTATAAGAGGATAATACCAAGACACTGGAGTATGCTCCTTAGCCAATGCCCCCATTAACCAGATCAACTAAAATGAACAAAATAAAAACAAAGGTTAATGGGTAGAACAAGCTATCAACTTAGTCTCTGGGTCCAGAGAGCAGTCAGTAGAGAAGATTTCTAGATTTAAACTCAGAATGTATTTTCCTGGTTTGTCATTTAAATGTCTCTGATTATGTCATTGGACATTTCAGTGTATTCCCTGAATGGTCCATGCATGCATCAATAGGCATGAGAGCTGTCCTCTAGAATTTAGATCAAGTTGTTTAACTATAGCTTGTAGCCTTCAGGAACAGAGGAGTTTATAGATGAAAGAATCTTGAGGATAATGAGTGAGGCTAGAATATGATATCCACAAGGCTACACTCTATTTTTCTGGTGAAATATAATTTTTCTCTCTACAGCTGGTCTCATTTCTACCAAAGATGATCACAATAAGACCAATTTGGTTGCAAAATATGTCCAGTCTCCAGTAAACTTGGCCTGATTATTTATCTAGGCGCAGCAAGAATAATGATTGACCATATGAGCTCTTTTAAGCCTTCTTTGTTGGGACTTTGAAGTAAGGAATCTAAAAGGGGACTTTCAAAAGCCTCTCCATGCTAAGAGGCCAAGCCAAGGACCCACCATCAAACTTTGCCTGCCATGTGTAAATTTTGGTGAATTGCTCTCTTCTCAAGATTCTCAAAATATTTTTAAGGCTCCCAGGTCTTCTTTTAATAAGACCAGGGAACCCTTCAAGACAGGTACCAAGCCAGTTTGCTACAAGGTGCTTTATTGGTGTTGAAAAGTCAATCTTCGTTCTTTAAAACTGTCTGGACCATGTGAGTATATTTACATTCTCAAGCATGACATTCCAGTCAAAGCCTTGGTAATATAACCAATGCTTCCAATTGTGTCCTGTAATAACAAAAACCAATTCTTATTGAACTTATGCGAATAACTATATTGCCATGAAAATAAGAATGCTCTTTCATAGTTTCTGAATTCTGAAGGGATCAGTAGGGATAAAATGAATGTTTCAACTTTGTTCACAAAGGTAAACTTTACCAAATTGCTATGTATAGCTAGCTTAAGAGAGAAGAAAAAGGCTCCCTTAAATCTGAAAAACAAAACATCAAAGAATCAGCAATGTTTCAAATGCAAAGACCATGAAAAACCATAATTCTTCTTCATCAGTTTGTTCAGTCCCATGAAATTAATCCTTCTTCTGCCTGATGTTGTGTTAGCAGGTTTTGTTTTGTTTTGGTTTGGTTTGGTTTGGTTTGGTTTTTCAGGTTTTTTTGTTTGTTGGTTGGTTGGTTTTTTTGAGACGGAGTCTCGCTATGTTGCTCAGGCTGGAGTACAGTGGTGCGACCTCCGCTCGCTGCAACTTCTGCCTCCCAGGTTCAAGCAATTCTCCTCCCTCAGCCTCCCGAGTAGCTGGGATTACATGTGCCCATCACCAATGTTGTGTCAGCAGTTTTATGAATCAATTATTTTCTTTATTAGAGTTCTGAAAATTCTTACCCAATTCAATGGTGCAGTATTAAAGTTAGAAACCAGTACTTGTCAGAGTCCTTTCTATGACTCTCCTTAAAGACTAAACACATTAGCATTATAGTTGATGAAACTTAATTTTAAGACTTAAGATGGTCATGGTTAAAGATCCGAAGAGAGTTCACTACAATAATGATGCAATTGACAAGGAAATGTGGTTATTTCTGTGGCATACAACATTTTAACACAATAATCAAAACTATGACAGATAACATCATACCAGGATGATATGGTTTGGCTGTGTCTTCACCCAAATCTCAACTTGAATTGTATCTCCCAGAATTCCCACCTGTTGTGGGAGGGACCCAGGGGAGGTAATTGAATTATAGAGGCTGGTCTTCCCCGTGCTATTCTCATGATAGCAAATAAGTCTCACAATATCTGACGGGCTTATCAGCGGTTTCTGCTTTTGCTTCTTCCTCATTTTTCTCTTGCTACCACCATGTAAGAAGTGCCTTTCACCTCCCACCATGCTTCTGAGGCCTCCCCAGCCATGCAGAACTCTAAGTCCAATTAAACCTCTTTTCGTTCCCAGTTTTGGGTATGCCTTTATCAGCAGCATGAAAACGAACTAATACAGTAAATTGATACCAGTACAGCGGGGTGTTGCTGAAAAGATACCTGAAAATATGGGAGTGACTTTGGAACTGGGTAACAGGAAGAGTTGGAACAGTTTGGAGGGCTCAGAAGAAGACAGGAGAATGTGGGAAACTTTGGAACCTCCTAGAGGCTTGTTAAATGGCTTTGACAAAAATGCTGATAGTGATATGAACAATAAGGTCCAGGCTGAGTTGGTCTCAGATGGAGCAGATGGAGATGAGGAACTTGTTGGGAACTGGAGCAACGGCAACTCTTGTTATGTTTTAGCAAAGAGACTGGTGGCATTTTACCCCTGCCCTAGAGATTTGTGGAACTTTGAACTTGAGGGAGATTATTTAGGGTATCTGATGTAAGAAATTTCTAAGCAGCAAAGCATTCAAAAGCTGACATGGGTGCTGTTAAAAGCATTCCATTTAAAAAGGCAAACAGAGCATAAAAGTTCAGAAAATTTGCAGCCTGACAATGCAATAGAAAAGAAAAATCCATTTTTTTTTAGGAGAAATTCAAGCTGGCTTCAGAAATTTGCATAAGCAGCAAGAAGTTAATCCCCAAGACCACCAGGAAAATGTCTCCAGGCCATGTCAGAGATCTTCACAGCAGCCCCTCCCATCACAGGTTTAGAGGCCCAGGAGGAAAAAGTGGTTTTATGGACCAGACCCAGGGTCTCCTTGCTGTGTGCAGCCTAGGGACTTGGTGCCCTGTGTCCCAGCCACTCCAGCCGTGGCTGAAAGGGGACAATGTACAGCTCGGGCTGTGGTTTCAGAGGGTGAAAGCCCCAAGTCTTGGCAGTTTCCACATGGTGTTGAGCCTGTGGGTGCACAGAAGTCAAGAATTGAGGCTTGGGAACCTCCACCTAGATTTCAGAGGATGTATAGAATTGCCTGCATGCCCTGGCAGAAGTTTGCTGCAGGTGGAGGGGGGCACACGTGGAGAACCTCTGCTAGGGCAGTGGGGAAGGGAAATGTGGGGTTGGAACCCCCACAAAGAGTCCCTAATGGGGCATTGTCTAGTGGAGCTGTGAGAAGAAGGCCACCATCCTTCACGCCCCAGAATGGTAGATCCACTGGTAGTTTGCACCATGTGCCTGGAAAAGCCACAAACACTCAATGCCAGACCAGGAAAGCAGCCATGAGGGTGGCTGTACCCTGAAAAGCCACAGGGGTGGAGCTGCCCAAGACCATGGGAACCCGCCTTTTGCATCAGTGTGACCTGGATGTGAGACCTGGCATCAAAGGAGATCATTTTGGAGCTTTAACATTTGACTGCCCTGCTGGATTTCAGATTTGCGTGGACCCTGTAACCCCTTTGTTTTGGCCAATTTCTCCCATTTGGAATGGCTGTATTTACCAAATACCTGTACCCCCATTGTATCTAGGAGGTAACTAACTTGCTTTTGATTCTACAGGCTCATAGGCAGAAGGGACTTGCCTTGTCTCAGATGAGACTTTGGACTGTGGACTTTTGGGTTAATGCTGAAATGAGTTAAGACTTTGGAGGACCGTTGGGAAGGCATGATTGGTTTTGAAATGTGAGGACATGAGATTTGGAGGTGCCAGGGGCGGAATGATATGGTTTGGCCGTGTCCCCACCCACATCTCAACTTGAATTGTATCTCCCAGAATTCCCACATGTTGTGGGAGGGATCCAGGAGGAGGTAATTGAATCAAGGGGGCCAGTCTTTCCCATGCTATTCTCATGATAGTAAATAAGTCTCACGAGATCTGATGGGCTTATCAGATCTCTTTTGCTTTTCAACTTTTGCTTCTTCCTCATTTTTCTCTTACTGTCACCACCACGTAAGAAGTGCTTTTCACCTCCCGCCATGATTCTGAGGCCTCCCTAGCCATGTGGAACTCTTAAGTCCAATTAAACCTTTTTTTTTCCCCAGTTTTGAATATGTCTTTTAAAAAAAATAGACTTAATTTAGAATTTGATTTTGAGAAGTTTGTCCAATAAATCAAAGGTTTAAAACACTTTGTCAAAATAGGATCCCAGGTTACTATGAAACAATAGTCATTCATTTAACCAGAGTGATAATTTAAAATTAACCTTTAAGGCTGGGCTCGGTGGCTCACACCTGTAATCCCAGCACTTTGGGAGGCCCAGGCGGGTGGATCACCTGAGGTCAGAAGTCCAAGACCAGCTTGTCCAACATGGTGAAACCCCATCTCTACAAATATACAAAAAAAAAAGTTAGCCAGGCATGATGGCGGGTGCCTGTAATTCCAGCTACTCGGGAGGCTGAGGCAGGAGAATTGCTTAAACCCAGGAGGCAGAGGTTGCAGTGAGCCAAGGTAGTGCCATTGCATGACAGCCTGGGCAACAGAGTGAGAACCTGCCTCAATAAAAAAAATAATTAAACTAAATTAAATTAACCTTTAATTTTAAATTAATAATTAATAATTTTAAATTAATAATTAATAATTTTAAATTAATCCTTAATTTTTCTGTAATAAGAAGCCAAAATTAGATAAGCTTAAACTTATGTTCAGTAATGTTTCAGCATTTTATCTTATTTGGAAATGATCTAAATGTTTAAAAAGTTATGAAACAATATTTAAATGAAGTTAAGAAACATCAAAGACAAATACAGAGAGTTACATAGTTACAGAAAAACCTTAGCTCTTTTAATAGAGAGAACTCAGTTTTCTTAAGTAATTGAAGCCCTAATACAACAAGAACAGACCAGTACTGCAAGAAAACTTTGTACTCACATTCTTTTGACACTGAAGCTTGTAATTTTTAATAACATCATAAATTCATATAAATCTTAGCCAACTTGATCACACATAAAATTCCTTTTCCAAGATTTCTCTTCCACAAACCTTCTACAACTTTCTTATATCCATTCAGTTTAGTCCTACACCTTTCTCCTGTCCTACTGTGGAATAATGAGTCATTCAATTTTAAGACAAAAATTACTTTCTTTTTCCCTTAGCAACAAAACAACAACAAAAATCCTCATGCCTAATAGTTTTACTTACCAAAAACATGTCTTACACACCTCATATACGAGTTGTTTCTCTTATTATTTCTAGTTTTAATTATCACATGTCAGCCAGAATTCTTAACTCTCATTAACTTTAATTTTTAGAAGCATGTACTTTCTCATAGTACAATTTTTCAATGTGGCACAAGACATGTTTGCTAACAGACCAAATATCTTTAATTTTTCTGTAATAAGAAGCCAAAATTAGATCAGTTTAAAGAAATTAATGTTTCAGTATTTTATCTTATTTGGAAATGATCTAAATATTTAAATGAATATTCATCATTTAATTTCATTTAGTGAAATTCCAAGGGTGTAAGTTACCAAAGAGATTTGGGAAACTATTTTTAAATAGACACATTATAATACAAAACAAAGCTAGCCATCATCAAGTTATTCTCTGTTAGCTATTTTGACGGCATGTGCAGGTCAGACAGTCTTCATGAAAGCAAGAATCCTAAATGTTAAATACGTGATTTTTGTTGCTATTTTTCTGCTACATATGATATACATGAAGTAATGGACACTGTACTTCCACTTGTACATTTATTCTTAGGTTGACCTCATAGATCTATAATCTGAAACATGCAGTAAAGATAACATAAACTTATTTGACTGGTAAACCCAAGTAAAATTAAAATGTTATGCTGATATTGTCCTCAAAACTGGTAACTCAAAAGACACAACTACTTTTATTAAACCAAAAATACTGAACTAGTCTTGTTTTGTTTTCCAAAGATGTACCTAAGTCATGTGAACTTGAAAAGCATTTGGGTTAGTTTCTATACTTCCAAGAGTTTAAGGAATACTTAATTTATATAAGCACTCATTTTTCTCTAAGCCAATTAGAGCTCTTTTATAATTTTGTCAATACCATCCAGAGGCAGAAAAAGGTTACATATATATAACATAAATAGACTTACTTAAACATAGACATATGCAGAGATCCTATAGCTTTCATTTTAGTTTTAGTCACATACCAGGTACAATATATAAAACTCATCAGTTTGTAAAAGAATATCTGATTCAGAATTGTATTTCTGACCAATGGAATGAGATTATCTGCCCAGATGGCTAGAACATTTTTCCAATATTTGTAGAAAAGACTTGAAAGATTTTGTGTTTGCTAGTTTCCACATAGCTCCTTTTTTGTTTTCCTCCAATGAATCATTTCCCTTAAATTTGCATTTCCAAAGTGCTCTAAGATATGACAAGGTAGAAAATTTACATTTCAAAGACATGGAGCTTAGACTTTATGATTAAATACCATCATTTGCAGAAACAAAAAAGCATATAGGTGAAGGACCAGTTAAGACAAGAAGACCGGGAAAGCCGCCTTAAAGAAAAGTGAGTCTTGTTAAGTAGCCTTAAGCCAGTTCCTTTTCCATTGTAACAGTTTTTAGTGATGCCGTCTTTCTTCTCTTTCTGATGCAGAGAGGCCTTACAAATGAAGGTTTCCTTTATGGAAGTACATTTTTCTTACAAAACAGTCCCAAAATAATCAGCTGAAAGTAGTACTTACGCTGAAAAGGCATATTTTGAGACTAATTTAGCTGAATAGGCAGCTTCCTAGCCCAGCCTGTGTTTTTCAAACTATATTACTGAGTTTAGAGCAGAACCCATAATGAATAGGGCAGACAAGGCATTTTCTATGCCTGGACTCAGCATGAGACCAGAATGTTTTACAAATAGTACTTCTAATCTTGCCTTATAGTCAGAGACCGGTTTATTCTTTTTTGTTTGTTTGTTTACAAGATGGAATGACAGAGCAGTGGACTTTTTTTGAGGGAATATTTCAAGAATGGATTCTAGGAGATTATTTGCTATTTTCATAGCCTTTTATTGGTCCACTCCTGAAATATTGAGTGGTCGAATCTGCCAAGGCGTTTGAGCGGGAGCAACTCCATCTTGAATAGGAGCTGGGTAAAATGGGGCTGAAACCTACTAGGCTGCATTCCCAGATGATTAAAGCATTGTAAATCATAGGATGAGATAGGAGGTTGGCATAAAATACAGGTCATAAAGACCTTGCTGATAAAACAGTTTGCAGTAAAGAAGCCAGCTCTAACCCACCAAAACCAAGATGGCAACAAGAGTGACCTCTGGTCTCCCTCACTGCTACACTCCCACCAGAACCACTGACAGTTTACAAATACCATGGCAACATCAGGAAGTTACCCTATATGGTCTAAAAAGGGAGGCATGAATAATCCACCCCTTGTTTAACATATCATCAAGAATTAACCATAAAAATGGCCAACCAGCAGCTCTATGGGTGGCTCTGTCTAAGGAGTAACCATTCTTTTATTCCTTTACTTTCCTAATAAACTTGCTTTCACTTTATTGTACGGACTCACCCTGAATTCTTTCTTGCACGAGATCCAAGAACCCTCTCTTGGGGTCTGGATTGGGACCCTTTTCCTGTAACACATATTTGATATCTTTCTCAAGTACCTGCCATTTGGCTCCAGTTATTAATTTATGGGCTTTGCCAGGTGCAAGTATCATGTGACTAAATTGGTAAAGATCAAGGGTCTTAGATTATATACTTCAGTGAGAATTTTAAATTCCTAAACAATTTTCTGAGGTTTTTCCTTTGAAAGGGGGAAACCATTTACTATTGATCTGAACTCAAGTCTTTGACCAAAGAAGTTAAAGAAGCAAATCTGGTTTCCCTGGGGGCCTAATTTTATAAGGCATTTATCTACTTTTATTTTCATGTATGGGGTAGGAAGATATCTAAGTGAAAAAATTTGTAGATTCAGAGTAGGAGAGAAGGATAAAAAGAAAATAAGAGTAGTGAGATATTATTTTTTCTGTTTCATCAATTAGTTGCTTAAGCTTTTCATTGGCCTTTTGTAAGGATTTTTTTGGAGGGGCAATTTTTGATTCATTTTGTCTTTTTGGAGCCTCCATATGCCAATAAAAAAATACCTCCCATTGTTTCTGAAGAATTTTGGGTCCTTTATTTTCTAATGCACCTCACAAGCGAACAATTTTAACTAGGTTAAAAATTCTTCACTGTGGCCATTGTAACTCTTAAGTTGTCTTTGGTAAGGTCTACCCATTTCCCTAGAAAAGCACAGGGCCTGGGTCCCTAGTCATCATACATGAGATTGGCTAGAGTTTCAGATGATGGAGTTCTAGACTCCTTGGATCCAGATGAACCCATGATTCCCTGTCTCCTCATATCTTACCTACTAGAGGCCTCTCTTCTGGAACCAGTTTGGTTTTTATCATGACTTCCAGACCCAGTCCAGATTTAAAATGTTCAAATGAACTCAGAGAACTTGACACCAGTTGCAGAGCTTGTGTACAAGAGTAATCTCCAAATGCACAGCAAGAAGCAGTGAGCACAAAGGCTTCAATGAGGTACCTATGCCTGTTTACTCATTGCTCCCAGGAGTCATCACGGGGAGTGGGGGTAAACTCCTTCAGATTCGAATTCTGACACCAAAACTGTTAAAAGAAAAACTTTAGACAAAATGAATTTTTGAAAGTCTATTTAAGCAAAGAACAATTCATGAACTGAGCAGCACTCAGAACCAGTAGTTCAGAGAACTCCACGGCAGCAGCAATGGGTAGAAAGTTTTTATAGGATGAATACAGAAGGAAGACAAGGAAAATATATTTGGCAAGGTGTGGTGGTTCACACATAATCTCAGCACTTTGGGAGGCCAAAGCTGGGGGATTACTTGAGGCCAAGAGTTTGAGACCAGTCTGGGCAAGGTAGTGAGACCCCATCTCTATTTAATAATAGAATATATGTAAATATTGATGCAAATATTGAAATTGATATTTTAATATAATATTAAACATAAATATATTTATATAATATATAGTATATTAAATATATTATAGTATATTAATATATAATATGTAATATATCATAAATAATATAGTAAATGTTAAATATATTTTTATATGTTATAGATATATACAATATAAATATGTTAAATATATATTTATATATTATATGTATTATATAAAATAAATATATATGTTTTTTGTTTTTGTTTTTGGCAATTTCTGATTGTTAAATTCGCTAGCTCTGTCTTACTGTTTACATCGGGCTTTGATTTGCTCAGTAGGAATGTAAAGCCCTGGAGCCACTCCAGCTTAATAGCCTCCCAACTTTAAAAAAATGTAACAGAACTTTCTAACAGAGTTGTTCAAGTCTGCATTGCAAGAAAGTAGTGGGCCCACCATAGAGTTCATAAGGTCTAACACTGTAAGATGTCACAGAAATAATTCCTATCATGGGTTAGGGGTTGGCCTAGAACACACACACACATACACACACACACACACACACACACACACACACACACACACACACCCCTATAACATCTCTTTTTGGCTCAGCTACTTACCAGCTGTGTGACCTTAAACAAGTTTCTTAACCTCTCTAAGCTTGTTTCCTTCTCTATAAGAAAATAATGGAGCCTATGTCATAGAATGGTTGTAAGAACTAGACAGATAATACATGTACAGCATTTAATGCCTGGCACATTAGTAAATATTCAACAGACATTAGATCTTACACTAACTCTCAGAGTTAATGATCTTAAGTTCCCCGTAAGTTATGGAGAGGTGAATATAACACAGTAGGAAGGAGCATAGGCTCTGGAGCCAGACTGCCTGGATTTCAAGTGCAGCTCTGCCATGTAAATAATTTAACTTCTCTGTTTCTTCATTTTCTCATCTGTAAAATGGATATCGTAATAATCCTTACTTCAAAGCTTGTTGTGAGGAGTAAACGAGCCAATATATGTCAAGTGCCTAGAAGTGTGTTTACTATGTGTAAGTACAGTCATGCATCACTGAGAACAAGAATATATTCTTGGAAATGTGTTTTTAGGAGACTTTGCTGTGTGAACGTCATAGAGGATACTTACACAAACCTAGAGGCTATAGCCTACTACACACCTAACCAATATGGTATAGCCTACAGCTTCTAGGCTACAAACCTACAGCATGATACTGTACTGAATACTGTATGCAATTATAACACGATGGTAGTTGTGTATGGGTAGATATAACCATAGAAAAAGTAGTAAAAATACCATATAAAAAATAAAAAGTAGTACACCTGTTTATGACATTTACCTTGAATAGAGCTTGCAGGACCGGAAGTTGCTCTGGGCGAGTCAGTGAGTGAGTATGAGTGAATGAGAAGGCCTAGGACATTACTGTACACTCCTGTAGACTTTATCAACACTGTACACTTAACCTACACTAAATTCATAAAAAAAGTAGTTTTCTTTCTTTGATAATAAATTAATCTTAGCTTACTGTAACTTTTTTACATTATAAACTTTTTAATGTTTTCAAATTTTTTGACTCTTGTAAGAACAGCTTAAGACACAAACACTTTGTATATTTACACAGAATTATTTTCTTTATGTCCATATTCTACAAGTTTTCCTATTTTAAAATTTTTATTTTATTTTTTACTTTTTACACATTTTTGTTAAAATCTAAAACACAAACATACACTTACCTAGGCCTACAGAGGGTCAGGATCATTAATATCACTGTCTTCCACCTGCACATCTTATCCCACTGGAAGGTCTTCAGGGGGATTAACACACATGAAGCTGTCATCTCCTATGATAACAATGCCTCCTTCTGGAATACCTGCTGATGGACCTGCCTGAAGCTGTCTCACAATTAACTTCTTCTTATTAAGTATAAGGAGTGCCGGGCGCAGTGGCTCATGCCTGTAATCCCAGCACTTTGGGAGGCTGAGACGGGTGCATCACCTGAGGTCAGGAGTTCGAGACCAGCCTACCCAAAATGGTGAAACCCCGTCTCTACTAAAAATACAAAACATTAGCCGGGTGTGGTGGTGGGCACCTGTAATCCCAGCTACTCGGGAGGCTGAGGCAGAAGAATTGCTTGAACCCAGGAGGCGGAGGTTGCAGTGAGCCAAGATCATGGCATTGCACTCCAGCCTGGGTGACAAGAGCAAAACTCCATCTCAAAAAAAAAAAAAAAAAAACTTCAGAAAAAAAAAGTGTAAGGAGTACTCTTTAAAATAATGATAAATAGTACAGTAAATACATAAACCAGTAACCATAGTCATTTATTATGATTATGTACTATACATGATTGTATGTGCTATAATTTTACGTGCTGGCAGTGCACACAGGTTTGTTTATGCCAGCATCACCACAAACACATGAGTAATACATAGATGATTGATGGATAAATAGATAGATAGGTAGACAGACAGATAGATAGATAGATAGATAGATAGATAGATAGATAGATAGTTAGATAGATTAAAGGGATATGACCTTCTGCAACTGGGGGAGCTGGCTAAGCAGTTTCTGTAAAATTGTTGTCTTCATATCTGATGCTGGAACTTGAAGTCCTCAGGGCAAGCAGTTGGGGAAGGAGTGAGTGTACAGTGGAGAACAAGAATAAGCTAGAACCCACAAGCATGAGCCAAAACCCACACAGATAAATAACTAGTGTCAGTTCTTGTTACCTCAACATGAATAGTATGAGTGTCCTACAGAAACCAGGGCCCATCATCACTGGAACTAAACAGACACACCTGGCCCAGGAGTCAGAGAAGCTGAAGGAGGAGTCAGATAGGCTGGAGCAATTGCAGGCCGAGCCACCGCCTCGCTCCAATGGATAAGCGAGAACTTGTATGAGCTGAAACGTGGATGCTGCTTCACTTCCCATTAGACTCTCTCTGGGGGATCCCCTAAGTGGCAATATATAAGAAAAAGATTCTGGGAAATACAGTTCAGCCTAGCAAAATTCACACATGACAAAGCTACTACATTGAATCAGAGAATACAGCTAAGACTTGAAATCAAAATGAAGCTCTTGTCTCAACTCAGACCTTAGGGCAGGCCTGTGGCAATTGATCTGACCTAGAGAACAAGAGAAAGGGGAGTGCAGCCTCCTTACACACTGGAGGGTGGCAGAGTATAGACGGGGGATTCAGTGGCTTTACCAATGTGGTAGCAGCCAGAGACAGGATTATTACTAAGCTAAGGAGGTTTAAGTATCAGAGCTCTTACTTGCAAAGATCTGTCCAAGATGTTAGGGGGACACTATCAAATCAATAGTCATAATTTTTGCATTTCCAAAATTGTTCAATTTAAGGCACGACACGACCTGGGTCCCTCCCTTAATCTCTGCTTAACCTGGTCCAGTGGGCATCTGATTGTCACTGGGTTCCCTATATGTTATTTCTTCTCCCATAGAAAAAAGCAGGTGAAATGGAGAGGTGGCAGAATTTTTTGTCCCCAAAACTTCTTCAAGGGGACAGAATCTCCTAAAGAGAAAGTGTCTTTCTTTAAGGGTTGATAAAGGAACAATGGGAAAAGAGGCAAATTATCACAATCTGTAAAGAAACGGCCCAGCTGGTCACCAAACACGTTTCCTCTTCTTCGTGGGCACAGGCCTAGACATTTCCCACCCCCTCTCGTGGCCTGTGATGGATTTCTAATGGAATATGAAAGGAAGCAATAGGCATTGTTTCCAGTGTTTGCTGAGAAGAATCATCCATATACACTTTGTCTATGTACTTTCTCCTGCTGGCTGAGGTAAAAGAGAGAAGACATCCACCACCACTACCACCAAGGGAAACTTGAGAGCCTGTGTTAAAAATGGAAGAGCCACGAAATGGTTTCTTCAATCCAGAAGCCGTGTCAGAATGTCACATAAGTAAAAACTGAAGTCTTACTGTGTGAATTCACTGAGATTCAGGGCTCTAATCTATCACAGAAGCTAGGATCCTGTACAAAGACACATACCTATATAATTGTTTGTTTTTGGTTTTTGGTTTTTTGGGGGGTGTTTTTGTTTTTGATTTTGTTTTTTTGAGATGGAGTATCGCTCTGTCACCCAGGCTGGAGTGCGATGGCGCGATCTTGGCTCACTGCAACCTCCACCTCCCGGGTTCAAGCGATTCTCCTGCCTCAGCCTCCTGAGTAGCTGGGACTACAGGTGTGCACCACTATGCCCAGCTAATTTTTGTATTTTTAGTAGAGATGGGGTTCACCATATTGCTCAGGCTGGCCTTGAACTCCCGACCTTGTGATCCATCCGCCCAGCCTCCCAAAGTGCTGGGATTACAGGTGTGAGCCACCACACCCGGCCCAAATAAACCATTTCTTTTTAATCAAAAATAAGTATCATATGAACAATGTGGTAAAGAAACTTAAAGAGAGAAAGATCTGTTTTGTCAGCCATGAGAGCTTCATAAGTTAGACGGATTGTGTATTGGACCTTAAAAGTTAAATGCGGTTTAATAGGAAAACATTAAAGAAAGCAGTTCCACGTGGAGAAACAGTAAGAGCCAAAACTAAGATGTGGAAAGGGTAATAGTAGATTGGCTAGAACATAAGTTTTATGTAAAAGAATACTGGGCAATTAAACTGGAATGGCATGTTGAGGTCAATTTTAGAAGGTTTTCCGCAGGAGGCTAAGAAAATTGGCTTTTATATTTCTAGTAGTGAGTTATTGAAGGTTTCTGAGCAGAGTGGTGACGCAACTCACATGGAACTTTAGGAAGATGATGCTCATAGCAATTGTAAGATGGCCTAAAGACAGAGAGGGGAAGCCATAGCCATAATCCAAAAATATGAGAATAAGAACATGAATGACAGCAGTGTTGTGAGACAGTTTTTTATGGGTCTCTCACAGCTTAGTTGTCCAAATAATGTGAAAAATGTATTGTAAGCTCTAAAGCACAATATAAATATCAATTATTATTTTTATTACCATTAACATTATTAAAGGAAAAGGAAGGGGATGAAATTCCAAGCCAATGTTTGCTGCTTAAACAAGCAATCCTCAATAAAGTTGGAGGTGGGAGACAACAGATTAAACTAATGATTAAAGTGGGTTTTGGGAATTATTTGTAATTGTCAATTTTTTAAATTCTCTCACTCTCCCCATTAATATGGAAACTTCAGAGTCAATCATATCAGAACCAATGGGAAACATCTGATGAGGGATTGGAGAGAGACACAGAAAGATTATGCTGGGAATTGTTATTAAGAAGATTCTCCCATGAATAATGGTAAGTTTATCTTTAGCGATCATAAAATTTTATTTAAAATGCATTTCTGTGTTGCTTACTTCTCCTAACTTCATTCATCTTCCACTCTTCATTTTTTGTATCCACAAGTCACACCAGCTTTGCTAAAGTGATAACTGATAGCACTCAGTCAGGATTGAGACTAAGCATAGCACAGCCTTTTCACAGGACTTGCAATGTCTATAGAGCATAAATTGGTGGGAGGGAAGATGAAAGTTGTACTTGCTTTTGTATTTGGATAAAAACAAGAATGTAAGCATCACTCCATGGGGACCCAGTACTGGGGAGATGCTTTTCTACCCTGGTACCTTTTAAGTGCATTACACTGAAATATTTATGCATGTTGCATTGCAAATAAAAGGAATCAACTAAATGCTAAACTCATAACATGATTAATTTATTGGACATCTATGGTCCTGTACCTCCAGTAATCACAGAAAGTCTTCAAACAACAAATAACTCTTTAAAAAAAAAAAAAAGATAAAATAATGAGGTCAGCAGGAATAATTGGATACTCTGTAAAGGTCAGAAACATGATATCAGAATAAAGGAAAGAGAGTTTAGTTCAGTTCAGAAACACTCACTGAGCCTCTACAATGTAATGGGCATTTGTGTAAGTTGCCAGAAATACAAAGATGAAGGAGACACAGGGCCTGTCCTTGGGGAGCTTCAGCCAGTGAAGGAGAAAGATGCCTAAAAATATAAAACTGAGGCAGTTACAAAAATCAAGACCTTCAGATGTCTACATTGTCAATTGACCTTGGGAAAGACCACCAACTGATACAAGAAGAATTATGTGGAAGGTTCTCCATTTTTGTCTAGGCTCTAGGAGGAAGAAAAATTGTTCCTTGATAGTTTAAAATCTCAAACTGAGATCTCAAATTTAGGGGTGGATAGTTTAAAATCTTGAACTTGAGACTGGATTTAGCACTGGTTCAACATGTGGAGACAAGAAAACCCCAAGGTAAGAAATTAACATTAAAATTGGTCCTGATCTGATCTGGTAGATTGTTTTGTTTTGTTTTGTTTTTTTCAAAAATGGCCATAAGAACATTTCCCATGCCACATGCTCTTCTTACGAAATCCCTTTGACATATCTGCTATCAAAAGATGGAGTCCACTTTCCCTCACCCTTGAATCTGGGTGAGCTGCAACCATGACAGAAGTGATACCCTATGCCTTCCAAGGCTAGGTAATAAAAGGTAAGACAGATTTTTCTGGCTCTCTTCTGGATGCTCACTGTTAGAACCCAGCCCCATGCCATGAGCCCAGTCACTTCAAGAGGACACATGTAGGCTGTAGGCATTCCAGCCAACAGTTCTAGCTGAGGTCCCAGATAACATTCAGTGTCAACCACCAGACATGTGAGTGAAGGAGGCTTTATATGACTCAGCCCCCAGGCTTTGGTTCTTCTCAGCTAGGGTCCCAGGTACCACGGAGTAGAGACCAGCCGTCCCTACTGTGCCCTTTTTGAAGTTTTGTCCAGTAGACTCCATGAGCTAATTAAATGGTGGTTTTGTGTCACTACACTTGAGGGGGTTAGTTATGCAGCAATAGCAGCTAGAACAAATGGTGATACGTCAGAGGTACAGAATGAAAGCAAATATAAGCCATTCTGAAAAAACACTCATGACTCAAATCACAGGCAATGAGAGAGACAGAGACAGAGAGAGAAATCCTCCAACGAAGATGAGCTACCCATCAAAAGTACAAATATACAATAAGAAATCATTCATGAGTGTGAGTCAATAGACACAATAAACTGCAGAATTAGATCCCAAGAACTTTGAATAATAGTATGATAATCAGACCAGCATATAAAATGAGTATATTTACAATTATTTAAATTTTTTAAAAAACAACAAGCAGTTGTAAAACTTAGGAATAGTTTCACTGCTGCAAATAACACAAAACCCAAAATAATTTACTTTAAGATAGAAGGTTATTTTGTCCTATGAAAACAAATCCCAGAAGTAAGAAGTCTAGGGCTGATATGATAACTCAAAGAGTATGGTGAACTCATAGTCCTTCTATCTTGTGGCTTCTACCTCATAGTTCAAGATAATTTGATTCTCAAATTGTGGCTTCTACCTCATGGTTCAAGATAACTGCTCAAGTTCTAATTATTACATCTGCATTCCGCCAACAAGCAAAGGGAATCCAGGCTAAGAAGTTCTCAACCCTCCCTTTAAGAGCACTTCCTGGAAGTCACACCGTATTGGAGCACATTATTTGTGGCTTCAGCTTTTTCACAGGACTTTCAATGTCTACAGAGGATAAATGTGAGGGAGGGAGGAAGGATAGAATTTGTATGCTCTTGGGTCTTTGCATAAAAACAAGAATGTAAATATCACCCCATGGAGGCACAGAACTGGGAAGATGCTTTTCTACCCTGGTACATTTTAAGTGGATTACACTGAATTATTTACACGGACAGTTTGCTTATACTCTGTACTGGGTTGAATAGTGTCCCTCAAAATTCATATCCACCCAGAAACTCAGAATTTGACCTTTCTGGAAATAACATATTTGCAGGTATAATTAGTTAAAATGAGATCACACTGGATTAAGATGGGCCTTAATCCAGTGACTAGTGTCTTTATAAAAAGAGGAAACAGACAGACACACAGGGAGAACACCAGGTGATAATGGAGGCAGAGATTGGAGTACGGCATCTACAAGCCATGGAATGCCAAAATTGCCAGCAGCCACCATAAGGCAGGAAAAGGCATGGAAATAGCACACACATCTGTAGGAGAGGCTGGGAGGTGCCTTGATTCTATGTTGCCAGAAATGACATAACAATTACATTCATTTAGTACCAATGTTTGTTAGCTATATACTCTGATTGCCTTTTCATACAGTGATTTTTGTAATATTATTTTCCATAGAGAAACTAGAAAAGTAATTTAGTCTATCTCTAAAATGACTAATCAAGATTTAACGTGGTGGGATTTGGGGGTATTAATATTTTAGAACGGTTTCTTTCCATGTCACAAGCAGTTGTTGCTAATTTCATGTATATTTCTAAAATTGTCAAATTTAGGGAGACTTGTATTAAGTTTCTTTTATATCCGAGACATTACAAGTGTATTTGCTGCTTATGGTGTTGCTAAGGGTTTCTGCCTTACAAACACAGGACTTCTAATACATACATTTTTAGAACGCCTATCAAAAAGAGAAATAAAGTATGGTGTATTGCCAGACATGGTGGCTCACATCTGTAATCCCAGCACTTTGGGAGGCCGAGGTGAAAGAATTACTTAAGCCCAGGAGTTTGAGACCAGCCTGGTCAACATCATGAGATCCTCATCTCTACGAAAAATAAAAAAGATTAGTTGGGCGTGGTGGGACACATGATGTAGCTTTGTAACACAGGGTGATAGCAAGATTGGAAACTTATTTATTACTGCTTACATTGTAAATTGATGCAACCAGTTTAGAGAACAATTGAACAATACCTGCAAAAGTTGAGCTACACGTATTCTAAGTCTGGGATTCTACTTGGAGGTATCTACCCTGCAGAAACTCTCATGTATGTTCACCAGAGAAATGTACAAGGATGTTCATTGCGGCACTGTTATATTAGATAGGAGTTCTAGAGTACTAGAGCACTGTTGACTATAGTTAACAGTATTATATAGTTTCAAATAGCTAAAAAGAGGATACTGAACATTCCCAACGCAAAGGAATGATAAATGTCTGAGATGATGAATATACTGATTATTCTGATTTGATCATTTTACCTTGTACGTATCAAAACATCACTGTGTACCCCATACATATGTACAATTATTATTCATCATTTAGAAAATAAAATTAAAAAATAAATAAATCTCTACTCACCCAGGCCCTTACACAGTGGCATTTCTAGAACCTTATTTCCTTTTGCCAACGGAGCCTCCATTCCAGGCTTCCTCTCTTTGGCTCCAAAACTCACAAAGGAGCCTAAAGTTGGTCTTTGGATACACAAAAGATTCACCTATATTTCAAAATAAATTCTAACTTATTTTGTTAGACATAAGTGAACAGCTGTCTAAGGTATTTTAAGGTATTATATATTAGTATCTCTGCAAGACAGTACTTTGGTAAGTTATAAGAGGTGGTCATTTCTCAATCTGCTAGAACTTTAGGCTATTGTGACTTAAAGTATTTTCTCAGTTGGGGTGCAAGGCTTATTACTGTGATTTTCATTTCTGGCTACAGGAGGGATGTAGCAGTTGAGACTGAGAGAAGGAAGTGGTAGGGTTAAATTGAAAAGTATTTCTGAGGTAGCAGAGACCAGGCTTAGTGGCTAATCAAATGTGGCAAATGAAAGAAAGAGACTTAAGTACCTGGGTAAATGGTGATGTCATTCATCTACCATCATCTATAATGGGTAATATAGAAAGAGAAGCCATTATTGAGTTTTAGGTGTGTTGACATTGAGGCACCCATAGGACACAGAGTGGAAATGTCCTGTAGGTGGTAGTGTAGTATACATGGAATCCAGAATCAAGAGAAGAGGTCTAGCTGGAGAATATTTATAAGCTCTTAGCACTTACATAGAAACTTAGAGTTATGAGCTGAGCATATCATTCGAAGAACATATAGAGCAGTAGATTTTAATTTTGGGGGGATGATGGATCCCACTGGAAATCTAATAAAAGCTATGGATCCCTTCCCCTCACTTTTTCTCTTCACCTCCCAAAAATTACCCTAAGTGTATATAAAATTCTGCGTATACCAAAGACCTTACTTATGAAGTTGCTGATGTCTCAGGTTTATGTACAACTCTGAGAACATTCAAGAAAGTGCTGCCTGGCTCACACTTGTAATCCCAGCACTGTGGGAGGCCAAGGCAGGTGTATCACCTGAAGTCAGGAGTTTGAGACCAGCCTAGCCAACATGGTGAAACCCCATGGTGTATTTTTAGTCTCCACTAAAAATACAAAAAATTAGCCGGGCATGGTAGAGCACATCTGTGATCCCAGCTACTTGGGAGGCTGAGGCAGGAGAATCACTTGAACCCTGGAGGCAGAGGTTGCAGTGAGCTGAGATCACACCACTGCACTCCTGCCTGGGTGACAGAGCCCAGGCTGCCTCAAAAAAAAAAAAGAAAAAGAAAGAAAGAAAAAAGTGCTCCCCAAGCCCTTATTCTACCCTTATCCCACGTATAGTGTAACCTCTCTGGACTTATGAGGCACTAGCCCACATGGAAAGAGATCAGGGCACTGGAAGAACGCTTTGCTTTCTCTACTTCCTATCTCCTCCCTATGTAAACCCATTGATGAGGTTCCTACCTCTTAAACAACAGTTAAATAATTGATCCTGGGCAATGTCATCACCACACCCCCAGGACCTCCTTTGGAACGCCTAATGTCTGAACTGATGAGTAAGCCCTATCCCTGTGTTTCAGAGTGCTGTGAGCCTGCATGACTCACCAACTCTGATTCTTGATCTGTTTTGTGAACTCCCACTAGTTCTGGGCCATGCTCTGGGCCTTGAGTTTTACAATAACTTTAAAGATGAAAATCTTAAAATCACATGCCAAAAAAAAAAGTGAGAGACAGAGATCACATGCTATTTTCCTAGGTCTCAGATCATAGCCAAGTATTTGGCGGGGTACATTTGATTGGGCTGGGAGAGATAAACAGGATTGTCTACGATGAAATAAAACAGCTGCTTTTACTGCAACCAATGCTTCTAGCTGCTCTACATAACAGTTTGCCTTCTGTAAATAATTGTGCTAAACAATAGACCCACCTACAAGATGCTAAGAAAAGTGCAACCGTAGGAATTTAAGGCCAGCTGTTAGCTTTTCTACTCTCTCTGCTCATCTCTGCCCTATCTCTTTTCAGAAAAATATTCATTCCCCATGTGGTCAACACAGCAGGATTCTGGACTCCACAAGTACGCGTCCAATGTTACAGGTTGACCAACTCATCCTGGGAAAATCCAGGCTGTCTCCATTTTAAATTGAAATGGAAATTTTATTGGAAATAAATGGAAATTAATGGAAAGTTTATTCCATTTAAATTGAAATTTTAAATTGAAATGCCTATATCCCAGGAAGCCCCTCAGTCTGAGGCACTGACAAGAAAGTATCAATGGTCCCTATATCTTATCCTCTCTGCAGAGCAAGAAATTTATGGCATCATCTTGCTGGTAACTGACTTGGCAGCAGGCTGACCAAACAGTAGCATAACTTACACATACGGGCTCCCAATTCAAAGTCTAATCAATCATTATAAAGATTACAAAGTCCTTCTCCCTTTCATCACATTTGTGAACTTTAAAACTGCAAAGTTAAGTCTTGGATTTCTGAATGCTTTGGCTACAACACATTTTTGTTTTGTTGTCAATAAGTGCACTTTTTTAAATGTCTATCCTAAAATCAATCACCTCAATACCAATCAATATTTGCCAGGCTTCATTAGATTTTGAGATCACATTGCTCTTAATCAAATTATAATGTGCTCTTACCCACATTCTCCTTCTCCAGGAAATTCAGACTTTCACCAGAATCTGCCCCAAAAGGTTTCTGGAAATGCCCTAGAGATGCTATCCAGTCCTTGGAAGACCAGCAATCTGCCACTAGGCCCCAGATGGTCCCTGGCCCATGAAGCCCTGCTCATTCCACGATCTCCCTGTCTCCCGCTTTCCCACGCCCTACGCCCAGCCTCCTCCCAAGTGTGAACACAGACTCTTTTCCCTAATCGCCACCGCAGCCCTGGGAATCTGATGTAAATGTAACAGGAAACCAAGGGGAAGTGCCAGCTGAGTAACGTAACTGCTCCTGCTTGGGACAATCCTCAGTACAGGGTGACATTGGGTTGTGAATGGGAACAAAAACTTCATCGTCAGGTAGGTCTGAATTCTGCCCCTACTAGTTGTGTTACACTGAAAACCCCATCTACGCTGTCTGAGCTGGCTCCCTCCATCTGTAAGACGAGGAAAATGATAGATAGTATCTATCCCATACGAAAACTCATACATGAATGTTCAAAAAGTGGAAACATCCCAAATGCCCATCAGCTGATGAATGGATAAAAAAGATGTGGCTGTATTTATCAATGGAATATTACTTGGCAGAAAAAGGAATGCAGTACTGATATACGCCACAGCATCAAGGATCCTCTAAGTGAAAGAAGCTAGTCACAAAAGACCATACATCACATGACTCCAGCCAAATGAAGTGTCCAGAATGGGAAATCTATAGAGAAAGAAAGGAGATAAGTGGCTGCCTAGGGGAGGGGGTGGAGGTGAGTAGGAAGGAAGTGGGCAGTGACTATTAATGGGTATAAGCTTTCTTTGTAGGGTGACAAAAATGTTCTAAAATTAGATTATGGTTATGGGCACACAACTCTGTAAATATACTAGAAAAGTCCAATGAATTTCCCCTTTAAATAGGCTGTGTAAATTATATATCAATAAAGCTATTAAAAATAATAATCTGTCTGGGCCCGGCGGTTCATGCCTGTAATCGCAGCAATTTGGGAGGCCGAGGCGCGTGGATCACCAGAGGTCAGGAGTTTGAGACCAGCCTGACCAACATGGTGAAACCCTATCTCTACAAAAATACAAAAAAATTAGCCAAGCATGACGGTGAGCGCCTGTAATCCCACCTACTCGGGAGGCTGAGGCAGGAGAATTGCTTGAACCCAGCAGGCAGAGGTTGCAGCGAGCCAAGATCGTGCCGCTGCACTCCAGCCTAGGCAACAGAGCAAGACTCTGTCTCAAACAAACAAATAACAACAAAAAAAAACTTTTCTAAAGAAATACGATCTTATAAAGACACAACTTTGACAAAAATATACAAAGAACTTTTTATCAAACCAAACATGTTTCCCCACCTAAAATTTCCAAGTACTGCTAAGGATTATTTCTAAAAATTCTGGATTAATACCTGTGGGGTGCCTACCATGTACCTACCAGGCACATGTGCAAGGTGTTGGAGGTACAGCAATGGAAGACAGTTTTTGTCCTCAAGTATAACCAAGACAGTCATCCACCCTGTAATAACACAATTAGCCATTTCTCTAATTTAAATTTCTAACTCTAGTAACCATCAACACCCACCTGCTCAAGTTAACAGAAATCCATGGAGTATCCTCAATCTCTCATGACTTCCTGTCATTACAACCCTGGACATTTTCCCCCAACATATCCCACTTAGCAACTTTAGCCCAGGCCCCAAGTGTTAACGCTTGAGGATCCACTCTTTTAACCCACACACCAGCCATTTTTCTCAAGGCATGGCAGTGTCCAGGTGGCTGCATAAGTCCACATTGGGTCCAGGAGCATCTCTTACCTCCAGTTGCTCTTGTGTGGAAACCAGTCATCCATTCAAACTACTCCTCCCATTGTGGTAATATAATTTTGTCTTAGAGGAAATATACTTTTCCTGCTGCCCAACCTTGGTCTGGGCTAACCCAAGCCATCCAATATATTTCACTACATTTTAACCACAAATAGAAAAGGTCTTTCCTTCTAAGAGATTACTACGTTCCCACCTAAAATATGTCTGATTCCTCCTCAGCAACCTCCAAGCTCCAAGCCCTCCCCATCTAATAAGTATGTAGGAGGGATACCACAGCTCCATCCTCCAGAACCAGCCCTGGTTAACCCAAAACTCCTTGTTAACACTCCTCCCCAAACTCCACCCCCTAAAAAGTGTTCTTTCAGAACAAAGTGAATCTACCCCAAAGGTTTATTGACTTATTCTCTAGGGACAGGGAACTCATCACTAAATAGACATACTTGTGCATACACACACACACACACACACACATAAACACACACAGTTACTCCTACAAAGTGCTCCAAATAAGAGTGGTCATGACCAGAAAATGTGAATTTCCGATGTTTCCATGTTGAGAATGAGAGATTGACCAACTTCTCACTCCCAACTAGTTGAATTCTAAGTCCTCACCTGGGCCTGACCAGTTGCTCTGGCCTCCGGGTTTCCCAGACGCCAGTTTTATTTCAGTAGCCTAGGTACTTTGGCAGGAAGGGGGCTGGAGAACTGAAACGATTGGCTGGAGATGAAATCACAGGGACACCTAAAACTGTCTTCGTGTGGCTGAGTCAGTTCCTGGAAGAGGGCCTCAGGACCAGGTGGCATCTCTTGTTTTGTCACAATGCTAAATCTGAAAGATATCTCAAAGACCAGTTCTTTAGGTTTCACAATAGTGATGTTAGCTATAGGAGTAGATGGGGGAGTTATAAATCATGTGACCCCCAGTTTTGTGATTCTGGGGCAGTAAACAACTTATAGAAAAACAAACTAAGCGATGGCAGGTCATGGTTTAACTATGCCTATTCTACAGCAAAGTCCAAGGCCCTACCACAATTTTAGCCTTGTCTTATGAACGCAGCTTCAGTCTACAAAAAAAAAAAGAAATTTAGCCTGTGAGGTTAGAAGCAAGATGGAGTCAGTCACGTTAGATTTCTCTCATTACTTATTCCAAAAAGGTAGTTTCACCAAGAGTTTGGGGGGGTTCTATTCCTAGAAGGTTGGGGGGTTGGACAGACTACCCCATAGATGTGTCTATAATGATGATGATGGAAAAGTTTTGGTGTCTTCAGACCACAGAGGCTGTTCCTTTATATCTTTTGTGGCACCACATATCCCTACCTTAACCTCTGTTCCAGGATGCCCGTACTCTCTCTGTTCACCAACCTGGCCAGTAGCCAACAAGTGGCTCAAGGATGCCCGTACTCTCTCTGTTCACCAACCTGGCCAGTAGCCAACAAGTGGCTCAATAAAGTGGGAATGGGTGGAGAAAATAAAAAGGAAGGAGTTGAAAGAAGGGCCACTTGAATGCCCCAGTTGCCATCCCCTACTTTGGCTGACCCACAATTTCCGTAAAACAGAATTCATATTCTTCACAAATGTGACATTTTAACTTGCTGATATTCACTCAAATCTATTCTAGTCTTGAAGAAAGTGGTGAAGACCTACCAAGCTTCGAATATCCTTTATTGAGTTTTTTTCTTAATAACTTAGGTGATGAAAACATTCCTCCCCTAATTTGACCACCATCCAGTTCTGGGGGGTGTCCACCAAGTGACACGAAGGGAATCAGCAGTTTCCCATAAGCATCTAGCTAAGCATGGTGGACAGAGGTGGTTGGTAATGAGGCTGGCTCATCCAGGGAAGGGAGGGCTGGTGAGGTCACACAGACTCAAATAAAGGCCCCACAGTAGGGGACACTTTCCAATAGGCCAGGCTTCAGGGAGAGTTAGAATCTCTACCATCTGGCTAAAAGTATTGCATAACTCTTCTATTCAGGTGGGATTTCAGTTTCTCTTAAATTTCATGAAATAGTCCAGAAAACCTGAAAGGCACCATTTTTGTTTTATAGTGAGTTGAGTAGAGAAGATACATGAGCAAGGAAATGGTATACAAAACTCCAAAGTTTGTCTAACACATTACAGAAGCTAATCTGTCACTTACTAAACTGACTTATGTAACTAGTGTTGTTTCTTCTGATCAGAAATTAGCCCTAGACTATTTAAAGAAAAAAATAGAAAGTGTCTCTGGCTAGATAGCTAACAGCAAATAGAGATCCTATTTGTGGAACCAGCTATCATGGTGTGTGTGTTTAAGAATCACAGCAGGTTCCAAGCTGAGTATCCTACAAGACGGAGAGACGTGATCACCCCAAACTCAGCTAATGCTCATGTTATCATGCTGCAGAGGACCCCATTCACCTGAGCAATATAAATGAAAATATAATGGAGGCTACGAGCTTCTTTCTGTTCTGTGTCCCTGGGCCAGGTCTTCTGTCTGCTCCAGGCTAGGGGAAGTGCAGGAAGGGTGAGACTCAAGGTGGGTTTTTATTCCCTAATTACACTTGCTGAGCTCTTGGTACAGGACATGTGAAGGACTTGGTGCCAAGACTTGCTGCAGTGACCAGTAAAGAGGCCTTGGTCAGACCTGCTGTGGCAATTACAGGCCACAGTAGCCTAAAGTTCTAGCAGATTGAGAAATGACCATCTGTTATAACTTACCAAAGTACTGTCTTGCAGAGATACTAATATATTAATACCTTAGTGACCTCTAATGGTATTGTAAAGGGACTGGGAAACAGGAACAATGCTGCCTTAGGGGCATGCTGACCAGACAGCTTTCCAAATGCATGGATCCATTGTGCCTTGGCCACTCACACGCCAACTAGTGGCCCAGAGCGCTGGCCAGGCAACCTGAAGTCAGGCAATGAGTCTTCCCTGGACACCACGTAGCTGGAGTAGTATTGTTTCCTGAGATCCAAAAAACAGAACAGCACAGAAATATTGGGCAGTGACACCAGTTGTGACACCATAGCATGTTAAAGGACCTTTCGCTATAGAAAGAGCCAAGGACTCAATAGTACCATGTTTGGACCCCTCAGACTAAGCCTTGGAGTGGGCTGGGTTTGCACGGGTTCAGCTGATGGAATAGTGGTGGAAGCAGCTGAGCCAATGCTAGGCTCCAAGTGGAACTTTAGACTCCTCAAGTGGCGGCCCTGAGAAGGGCTGCTCAGCCAGTGCAGTCTAAAGTCAATGTTTGGAGAACTGCTCATCACCCAGGTCTGGAAACCTCACTCCCAAGGTTATTAGCACATCCAGTAGTAGGTAGAAAAAGAGGAGGAAGACTCACGAAACTGATTCTGCTCACGGGTTATAGCAATGACCTTGGCTGGGGCAGAGGTAAAAACTCATCTGAAATAAGGTTCCTGGAGTATTTATCATCCTGTTTCTCTCTTCTAGGCAAGGAGTTTCCAAACCTAGCCCAGGGCCAATGCCTGGAGCTCTTGTTTGAAATGCAGATTCCTGAACGCCAGCCCCAAAGATTCTGATCCAACAGGTACGGGGTATACCCACGAATCTGTATGTCTAGCAAGGGTCCCCTGTTCCAGGTGATCCTGACTTAGGGGATCCAAGAACCAGTATTTGGGAATAACCACTCTAACACACCCTGTCTCCATATATGATTGTCATTCACTGACAATTGGTGGTGCCTCAGATGAGAAGCCCGTGTAACTAACAGCCAGCATGTTCCTAGGCTCCCACACGGATGCACCTATGTGTCATGGGGCATGTGTCTCTGAGATCTGCCCCCCAGCCACTTCACACCGTCCTTGTAGCACACATGCACATTACACCAATTCAGTTCAGCAAATGTTTATTGGGCACCTACAATAGGCAAGGCACAGTACCAGCTGCTGTGGGTTACAAAGACAAGAAGGCTAGGCCTCACCCTCGAGAGGCTTACAGTCTAATAGGGAGAGACACACTCACAGGTAACAAAAATACAAGGCAAAATGAGGTGAGCTCTATGGCAGAGGCAAAAACAACGGGAGAACAGCGAGCAGAGATAGATCAGACATATCTCAGCAGATCAGATGTTGGATGCAGGGAGTGACGTTTCAGCCAGGCTCTGGGAGGTGGGTCGGATTCGCACAGGTGAACTGGAAAAAAGAGGACACTAAGGCACAGGCAAGGTATAGAGGTGGGAAAGTGCAATGAATGTTCAGAGAACAGAGATGCCTGCCTTGACCAATACATAGGAGGCCAACAGGATAACAGAGGGACCTAAGCTGGGGAAGTGGTTTCAGGCCAGATGGTGTGATCGCTCGTAGTAGGATTTCTTTCTTTCTTTCTTTCTTTCTTTTTTTTCAAATGAAACAAAGCCTTGATCTACCACCCAGGCTGGAGTGCAATGCCACAATCATAATTCACTGCAGCCTCAACCTCCTGAGATCAAGCGATCCTCCTCTAAGTAGTTGGGACTATAGGCACAGGCCACCATGCCCAGCTAATTTTGTGTGCATGACTATTTTTTGTAGAGACAGGCTCTCACTTTGTTGCACAAGCTGGTCTCGAACTCCTGACCTCAAGCGATCCTCTTACCTTGGCCTCCAAAAGGGCTGAGATTATAGGCTTAAACTACCACACCCAGTTATAGTGAGGAGAATTGACTTCATTCCACTGGTAATGGTGAACCATTGAAGGTTTCTGAGCAGAGGAGTGACATGACTTCATTTCCACAAGTCTGGGCACACTGCTGTTTGTAATACATGATTAGCTTTATTCTTTTTGTTAACCTTACTCTATGGCTTACACCCCATCCTGGTCTCAAAGCAGAAGTGTGAACCTGAGCCCTGTGGCCACACATACTTTCCAGGCTTCACAAAGCAGGAAGCAGTGGCCTTAGCTAGGTAAACTCTGAGCTCATTTAACAGCTTTGCACCTTCTCCACAGAAAAGGAAGTGAGGCTTTCCAGAACGATTTGAGAATAAGAGGCAGGGCACAAGGATGGTACTTAACAAACTTCTGTCACCTAAGCATGGCAAGAATAAGCTGCAGAGAAAATGGGAGTGCAGAAGAAAATGGTGGAGAGATGCAAATGATCTAACTAGCATCATCCAAACTGAACCCTCTCCCAGTATGACTTCTGTAATAACCCACCTCCACCTCCAGCTAGTGGGAAGGGAGATTCCACAGTCTGACTCACTAGATCAGTTGATGGGGTTTCTAAGCACTCTACACATGGAAGGATCGCTGTGCAAAGAGGCTCCTAGGATCCTGCTTAACCATCCAGTGAGGAAGGAGAATGGTGCCCACCCGCTCCTGGGCCACCCCAGCCCGCGAAGGGATGCGAGGCCACTGCTGTCCAGGTGGACACAGCAATGCTGGTTAGCGAGGGCTCCCCCAGAACCTCCACACCAGCCGAAGTGGGTGCTTGGGTGGAGAGCACAGAAGGGGGTGAAGTCACAGCTGGGTTTCCGAGGAGAAATGCTCCTGGGGTGCTGGCGTGCACCTCCGGGCCTGGCCCACTGGGGCCTCCGGCACCATTGCTGATGGTCCACAGGCACGGGTAGGGGCTGCAGAGACAGAGAAAGAGGGGAAGGGAATGTTCACTGGCACTCCAAGGAAGGAGTGCCACCTGACAAGCATGTACACAGTGCTGAGAAGGGCATGGTTACAGGAGGGCTTCTGGCCATGGCTTTATTTCTAGCTATGACGCAGATTGGTCCTGTTTCTGCAGAAAAGCTAAGAGAAGCAGCAAAGTATGGTGGAATAATGATAAGATTAAGTATTCTGGTACTGGCCCGGCCACCAGCGAATTATTTGGTTTTAGACACAGAATTTCATTTATCTGGGCTCCCTTGCAGCCTATGTAAAATTGGCAGGGCAGTAGAAAAAAAGGTATTAAAACTGTATGATTTCTGCATATGATCTCTCCCTGGCCAATGTGGCATAATAACCAGGAAACATCACTGTCAGAAGACTTAAGTTTAAATCCCAGCTCTACCACTTAATTAGCTCTGTGGCCTTGGCTAGATTATTTAATATCTCTGAGTGTCAATTTCTCATCTTCAAGATGTGGATTCATAATTTTACCTACCTTACAGAGATTGCTACAAGGATTAAATAAGAGGAGTATATGGTCCTTAGCATGTAGTACTCAGTAAATGGTGGTTGTTAACATTAATTCTTCCATTCCTGGTCTCCGCCTGTGAGCTCTGGTGCCTGGCTGAAAGGCTGGGAGCTACAACATTTTCTTTGCCTTCTCTAGTTCTGTAGCACAGGTTCACACACTTGATTGCACATTCGGCACATTGGAATCACTAGGGGGGGTTTTTAAAGTAATATTGGTGCCTGGATCCCACTCTCACCCCACTCCCCTGCCCCAGAGATTCTGATTGAACTGATCTGGCATGCAGCCTGAGTACGAGGATTTTTTTAAGTTTCCCAGGTGACTGTAATGTACAGCCAAGCTTGCACCTTAATATAGATGCAGTTGGAACAGGTGCAATGAACCCAATGTTTTCGGCCTGTAGTCATCACTATGTTTCTTACATTTTAGAGTTTCTGCATTGCCCAACACTGTATTGCTTGATAATATGCTTATTATCCAATGGCAATATTGAATACATTTGTTTTGTTTTGTTTCTAACAAAATATTTATGGAGTCAGGAATGAGTTAAACACACCAACAGGGAAGCCAGAGTTGGCAATGCCATCCTTCACCTGGTGCCATTTTTCAATGCTACAGGCCTCTTTGGACCATATGAAACCTTCAGCAGCCCATCCTCTGAGCTCTCTCTGAGCTAGCTCAGCTTATGGGGATTCTGGCCCCAATCTTCAGAAGATGCTCTTCTACATTATCTCTTACAGACCCTTTCTGATGCCTCCTGGGCCAGTGGGAGAACCATGGGCTCTGAGAGGTACTGCTTACTGCAGAACCTTCAGGAAGTTTTTAAGGCCTCTGAGCTTCAGTTTCTTCATCAGCAAAATAGGAATTTTAATACCTGCCTTATAGTTGTCTTTGAGTACTACAGATGACTTATATATGGATGACTTATATATATGTAAGTATCTAGTATACAACTTGGCACATGATTGTTTAATATCTTCAGGGAACCTCATCTTCACTCTCTTTCTCACTTCCTACCACAGCCCAAATCAATGTTTTTCCCTCAGATCCTCTAGATCAGTGTCAAATGCAAATGATCCTCTAGATCAGCGTCAAAATGCAAACCATAAATGCCAACTACATGTGTAAGTTTAAATTTTCTAGTAGCCACATTTAGAAAAAAATTAATTTATTAATATTTTATTTAACAAAAATATTCAAAATATTATTTCAACATGCATTTGATGTAAATATATATATTTATATGTATATATTTACATCATAATATTTACATAATAACATCTATATTTACATATACTGTTATATTTTTATATATTTATATATTTTTAATATATATTTTATAGATATTAAAATATATATTTTTATACAAATTATATATATTAAAATATATATTATCTATTTTATATATAAGTCTATATTATATTTAAAAATATAAAAATATATGTAATATAGTGGTATATATATTTTATATTTTTTTATATATATATATAAAAAACTGGGATTTTTATTCTTTGTTTCACACTAAATCTTCAAAATCCTATGTGAGTATTACACTCAACTTGGACTAGCTGCATTTCAAGTGTTTGACAACTACAGGTGGCTGGTGGCTGCTGCACTGGACAGCACAGCTCTACACCCTTGTGGGCCACAGCAATATCAGCAACACCCAGGAACTTGGTAGAAATGCAGAATCTCAGGCCCCCACCCAAACCTACCAATCAGATTCTGCATTTTAACAACAACCCCAGGTGATTCTAAGCCACTACATTCTCCTAACCTTTCCTAACTTTTTCTGGACTTACAAATCACAAGTCATCTGATGTCTTCCCAAATCCCATCCTTTTTTTTTTTTTGGAGGCAGAGTTTCGCTCTTGTTGCCCAGGCTGGAGTGCAGTGCCTCAGCTCACTGCAACCTCCGCCTCCTGAGTTCAAGTGATACTCCTGCCTCAGCTTCCCAAGTAGCTGGGATTACAGGCATGCACCACCACGCCTGGCTAATTTTTGTATTTTTAGTAGAGATGGGGTTTCACCATGTTGGCCAGGCTGGTTTCAAACTCCTGACTTGAGGGGATCTACCTGCCTCGGCCTCCCAAAGTGCTGAGATTACAAGTGTTAGCCACCGCACCCCGCCAAGCCTCATCTTTTAATTTTGAATCCACTTTGGACCTTCTCAAAATTCTGCATAACCATATTGAACATAATAGCTGACATTTACACAGAATGTTACTGCTTACAAAGCACGTTAATGCATTTTCTCATTTCTGCATTTGATGCTCACAGTAACTCTGCAAAGTAGGTCATATTATTTCCATGATACCGATAAGAAAGCTGAAGCTCAGTAAGGCTAAGAAAATTGCCCAAAGCCACAAAATCACTACTAAGAGGTAGAACTGGGACTCAAACCCCTGCCTGTCAGACTCAAAGGGGCCTTCTCTTCCCACTTCACCACTCAGATTTCTAGAAGTCAGAACTTAATGCAGGTTGCTAGTGTGAGGATTAAACCATGGGGTCCCCCATGCTACACTTAACTCTGTTACCAGGGTCGTGAGGCCAGGCATCCACAATATGTCCCCCTTTTAGGATGGGTGACTCATGGGAAAATGGACAATCATGGGTCTTGACTTCTCAGTGTATATTTATACTTTTCCTCTTCAATTCCTCTACAGTCAGTATCTATTTGCTACCACCATAGTTTAAAGTATTTCTGACTGGTTTAAGACAAATGATCCCAGGCCATAATGTCTTTATCCTTTTATTTATTTATTTGTTTATTTTTTGAGACGGAGTTTCACTCTTGTTGCCCAAGCTGGAGTGCAATGGCGCAATCTCAGCTCACTGCAACCTCTGCCTCCTGGGTTCAAGCGATTCTCCTGCCTCAGCCTCCTGAGTAGCTAGGATTACAGGCATGCGCCACCATGCCCAGCTAATTTTTGTATTTTTAGTAGACATGGGGTTACACTATGTTGGCCAGGCTGGTCTGGAACTGCTGACCTCAGGTGATCCACCTGCCTTGGCCTCCCAAAGTGCTGGGATTACAGGTGTGAGCCACTGCACCCGGCCTATCCTTCTAAATAAAAGAAACAGTATATGACTGAGCTGTTTCTCCCCTTATGAAAGAACTCCACCCTGTTGCCACCTTGACTTCTTAGTGTTTTAGAAGTCAAGACAATAGGTTAGACCAAGCCACCCTAGGAAAAAGAATGAACTTGAGTCCCCAGTGCTAAAGTAAACCCCCAAGACGACCAATGAGCGAGTTGATGGTGTTGGTCTTACCTGGGCCCTGGATTGATTGGTCCGTTGGTGTGGGGTACAGACAGGATGCTGGCATGGGGTGTGGAGGATAAGGAAGTCCAGCTGTCAGGTCCCGAGAAAACTTGCAGATTATTGCTTGAGCTTTCTATCAAATTCACTTGGGGAAATAACAACAGTTGAATTGATAGCAAATGTAGAAGACATAAAGATGGTGACCAGTGACATTATCCTAGGGCAAAATATAACCATGGCTTGCACTACAGGCACCAACAGTTTGTTAGTTCTTTCTCAGGGAAATAGAAAATAAAAAGAAACGTGGGTTTCCTCAATGTCAACCATATGCCAGGTGTCATTCATAGTTTAATCTTCACACCAGTGACTCCTTAACTCCATCTTATAGATACGCCTCAGGGTGGTAGAATGATTTGCCCTGGGTAACACCGATCTGTCTAACTCATTTCACCACAGTCACTCTCTTTTAAGAAGGGACCATACCAGCCTCCCCTCAAGCTAAGCCTAAGGGCCACCAGTGCCCCAGATGAGATTTCTGAGGTCCAGGAACTTATTCTTCTCGGCCATCCCTGAGTAGGTTTAAATATCTCAAGCACAGTGCCTTTTGGCCCGGCATGGTGCCCACACCTGTAATCCTGGCACTTTGGGAGTCCAAGGCAGGGGAATCCCTTGAGCCCAGGAATTTGAGACCTCTCTGGGCAACACAGAGAGACACCATCTCTACAATTAAAAAAAAAAAAAATTAAGAAAAAAACATACCTTTTTACAAAAAGAAGAACATAATATGATCTCACTTATATGTGGACTCTAAGAAAGTTGAATACATAGAAGCTGAGAGTACAACAGTGGTTACCAGGGGTGGGAAGCTGGGGAAATGAGATATTGGTCAAAGGATATAAAGTTGCACTTGTGTAGGATGAATAAGTCTAGAGATCTAACTTACAATCTGAAGACTATAGTTAATAATATTGTACTGTGTACTGGAAATTTGCTAAGAGAATAGATTTCAGGTGCTCTCATCATGAAAAAAAGTAACTATGTGAGGAGATGGACATGTTAATTTGCTTGACAGCAGTAATCACTTCACTATGCATATGTATATCAAAACGTCATGTTGTACACCTTGAATATATACAGTTTTTATGGGGGTGGGGGAAGAATGTCTTCCATTTCTTTGAATCTCTATTTGCATAAATAGTATACAAATAAGAGAGAGGAAGAAGGCAGAGGGAGGGAGGAAGGAAGGGAAAAGGGGGAGAAGGGAGAGAGAGAAGGAAGATTCCAACGTCTATCTCTGGTGCTATGGTTTGAATGTGTCCCCCAAGGTTCATGTGTTGGGAACTTAATTCCCAATGCAAGAGTGTTGAGAGGTGGGGCCTTTAAGAGGTGACTAGGCCATGGGGGCTCTACCCTCAGGAATAGGCTAATGTCAGTATTGCAGGAATGGGTTTCTGATAAAAGGATGGGTTTAGCCTCCTGCCCTCTCCCCCTCTTTCCCCCACCATCCATGTGATGCCTTTCGCAATGTTATGATACAGCCAAAAAACCCTTACCATATGCTGGCACCTTAATCTTAAACTCCCCAGCCTCCAGGACTATGAGAAAATAAAGGTCTATTGCTTATAAATTACCCAATCTCAAGTATTTTGTTATAGCGCCACAAAGGGGACTAAGACACCTGGCCATGTCTCTTCTTTTTACGATCTGGCACTTCCAAGCTCTCCAGCCCTAACTCTTACATCTTCCATCTGTCCCCACTCCCCCTACACTCTGCTCCAAAGCTGTTCCCAGACAACCTAGGGTCTTTCCCCTTTCTGTATCTTTGCTCAGCCCACTCTCTCTACCTGGAATGCCCTGCACCTCTGCCTTTGGCACATGTCATCCTCCACCTTTTACCCCTGCCCACTCCCACTCTGTCCTTTTCTATTCATCTTTCAAGGCTCCATTTAAATGTTAACCCCTCTGGGCAGCCTTTGCTCCTCCACCAGGCATATCTAGCTGCTCTTTTTCCTTCATTCACATGGCACCCTGACTTATGTGTTTTATAGACTGTTTCTCAAATTCTAGAGCGCTTATGAATCCCCTGGTGATCTTGTTAAAATGCAGACCCTGACTCAGGAGTAGAGCCTGAAAGTCTACATTTCTAACAAGTTCCCAGGTGATGTTTCTGCATTACATTAGGATTCATTATTTACGTATTTGTGTAACCCCGAGCTCCTCCAGGGAAGAAGCTATATCTTTTTTTTTTTTTTTTTTTTTTGAGATGGCGTCTTGCTCTTGTTGCCCAGGCTAGAGTGCAGTGGCACAATCTTGGCTCACTGCAGCCTCTGCCTCCCGGATTCAAGCAATTCTCCTGCCTCAGCCTCCCAAGTAGCTGGGATTACAGGCGCCAACGACCACGCCTGGCTAGTTTTTGTATTTTTAGTAGAGACGGGGTTTCGCCATGTTGGCCAGGCTACTCTCGAACTCCTGATCTTGTGATCCGCCCGCCTCAGCCTCCCAAAGTGCTGGGATTACAGGCGTGAACCACCGCTCCCGGCCCTGAAACTATGTCTTAATCACTTTCCTATCCCACTGCCTAGAAGAACACGGTACACAGTAGGTGCTCAGAAGATGTGATTTGATGCTGACCGCAGGAAAGAATGAGGAAGTAGAGTGAGCCACTGCTCAGTTTCTGCTATTGGTAAGCTACATAATCTCCCCACCTGGCAGCAACTGTTGAGGTTGCCAAGAATAGCAGGCTAAGGGACACAGGGACAGGTAGCTGGTGACCAGGAGGACCCTCTACAAATGCAGAGCTCAGGGTGTCACTGAGGAAGGAAGGAGGCTGGAATCCAAATACTCTCCACTGTCTCCCATGCCATGAACTTTACTTGTTTTATTGTCAATCTTTTCATATTAGTATAGAATCTCCGTAAGGGCAGGGCATTTGTCCATTTCATTCCTGTGCTTGAAACAGAGCCTGGCATATAGTCGATCCTCAATAAATATTTGTTGCATGAATAATTTAATGAAAAAGTAACCATTGTTTTCATTTCTCCCTTCTTTCTACAAATCTAATAATCAGGCAAGGTCTGGGCCTACATAAGGCAAAGGTGGAAAAGGCAATAGTCAATGAGAAAAAAGCACACAAACAATACTGCTAACTTAAAACAAACAGACAGCAAAAATTATTTTAAAATACTAAGGTTGGGTTTGCATGTCTCCAACTGAATCAGACTAAGGCCTGAACATATAGGGATCCAGCTTCCCAGAGACCTTCCTAATAATTCCCTAATGCTAGACCCAGTATTCCCTGAACTGAGCCATGAATGCAACTATAGAAAAGAGCCATGCGAAGGTGATGAGCTGAGTGTTTCAGACCCACACAACTTGACATGGCTTTTAGAGATCTGCCTGAACTGCTCAGAATATCAGTGTCCTGGCCTTTCACGCTCATTAGAAACCAGGAGACTGGGGGTTTTATGAAATAATTTTTTTAAAAAAAACTAAGATTGTTATACCTAGTTAATCAAATATTTGTACATAAAATAACAATAAAATAAAACACAAAAACAATCATATCATAGATGTATATTAGATGACGGGGTTCCATCTTTAGCTACTCCTTTTCCTAGCTGTTTATCCATTTCTCCTGACTGCCCCCACCCCAGCCCATACCCCAAGGGTTTAATCAGCAGAGTCACAGACCTGAGGGAGAATGGTTTCTGTGCATGTACGCAGAAGGGTAGGGAGCCTGCCGGTGTCCTCGGAGACCCGAATAGTGCTCACAGCCATGGTGGGTGTGGGGAGCAGGCAGAGGCAGAGGAGCGGCATACTGGTAATTGGAGTTTCCTGCTGTGCACACTCCATCTGGATTGGAAAAGATCCAGCCTCCCACTAAAATAGACAAGAGGAATACACCAAGACTGAGTCTGTGAACTCCCACACCAAAAATCAGGTGACCAGCTACTTTACACAGCTACAATTCTTGTAAATGACACTGATGCCAGCCTGTGTGATGGTGCCAGCCTGTGTGGTGGTACCATCCCCTAGCTGCCACTGCCCTTGCCCATGAGCAGCTAACTTGGCTTCTCTGGAAATGCATGACCAGTCCTGAAACTGCCTTTGCAAAAATTGTATCAGTGAGAAAATTTTGGCAGTTGAAGACTTCTGATCTACCCAATCTCCCTCTTGCCTTTAGCCTTCAAGCTGCCAAGCTAGCTTTGGGAGACATTTAGCTTATAGTTTAAATAATAGTAATCCTTCTCTAAAACTCAACTGCCTTTGTAAAGCTAATGAAAGACTACCAGGCTAGGAGCATAGAGGAGCCTGAATTCTGCTAAGATGTAGACACAAATGATTGCCAGCCATTATTCCAGACTTTACAATATACGCAACTTTCCCAATTACTCCTGCAGATAACATCACTATTGTAGAACCTAAGATAGGCCTTTAGAGATATCTTTTCAGGTTTTTGGCATATCTGACACCAGTGGCTCCACCTGGACCCACCAACCCCACCTGTGGCCCCACCCAGAAGTGACTCAGCACCAGAGGACAGCTTCAATTCCCTGTGATTTCATCTCTGATCCAACCAATCAGCAGCAAGCACCTATTGTCTAGCTACCCCCACTTCTTCCCTGAAATTGCCTCTGAAAAAGGTAACCTAACCTACAAGTTTTTGAAGAGATTGATTTGAGTAAGAGCTCTGTCCCCAAAATGGCATGGCCAGATTCATGTCTATTAAACTCTTTCTTTATTGCAACGCTGTGGTCTTTGTGTCAGAGGTGTTTGAACCAGAGTGACTCCATCTTGAATAGGGGCCGGGTAAAGTGAGGCTGAGACCTACTGGGCTGCATTCCCAGGTGGTTAGGAATTCTTAGTCACAGGATAAGATAGGAGGTGAGCACAACATACAACAAAGGCCTTGCTGATAAAACAGGATGCAGTAAATAAGCCGGCCAAAACCCACCAAAACCAAGATGGCAATGAAAATGACCTCTGGTTATCCTCACTGCTAGTTATATGCGAATCATAATGCATTAGAATGCTAAAAGACACTTCAACAAGCACCATGATAGTTTACAAATGCCATGGCAATGTCAGGAAGTTACCCTATGCGGTCTAAAAAGGGGAGAAATCAACCCTCAGCTGTGGGAATTGCCCGCCCCTTTCCTGAAAAACTTATGAATAATCCACCCCCTGTATAGCATATAATCAAGAAATAACTATAAGTATACTCAGTTGAGCAGCCCATGCCTCTGTTCTGCCTATGAAGTAGCCATTCTTTTATTCCTTTACTTTCTAAATAAACTTGCTTTCACTTTACTCTGTGGACTTGCCCTGAATTCTTTCTTGCATGAGGTCCAAGAACCCTTTGTTGGGGTCTGGATCAGGACCCCTTCTCAGTAACATCTTTTTGTGCAACCAGCAGGAAGAACCTATCAGGTGGTTACAGTCCTATCAAAGGACTCTATCAAAGGGTGGAAAACCTCTAAAGCAACACTGGAATATAGCAATATGAAATACGATGAGTTCATGTCCTTTGTAGGGACATGGATGAAGGTGGAAACCATCATTCTCAGCAAACTATCGCAAGGACAAAAAACCAAACACCGCATGTTCTCACTCATAGGTGGGAATTGAACAATGAGAGCACATGGACACAGGAAGGGGAACATCACACACCAGGACCTGTCGTGGGGTAGTGGGAGTGGGGAGGGATAGCATTAGGAGATATATCTAATGTAAATGACGAGTTAATGGGTACAGCACACCAACATGGCACATGTATACATATGTAACAAACCTGCACGTTGTGAACATGTACCCTAGAACTTAAAGTATAACAAAAATAAATAAATAAATAAATAAAAAGAAATACTATCTGAATGCAGAAGTTAATAGAAATGCAAAGTTAAGGTGCTTCAGGCTTAATTAAAATAAAAGGCAGTCTAGGAGGCATTACACGTATATGTAACTCATGGACCTTCAGCTACCAGGGAAGGTAGGGAATGATTAATGTGGTTACGCAGGAAGAGTGAAAGCCTCTCTATTTCTGCCGAGTGTGAAGGTGCCTTCAGTTCTCACTCTAAGCAAGAGATATCATGATGCCTTCCAACCCCACCCCACAAAGAGAATTCTGACAGCACAGAAAGGGAGAGCTGGCCTAGCACAACTTGACAGCAAGCATTTTGGGGTTTTTTTTTGGTTTTGGGGTTTTTTTCCTTTTTTCTTCTTTTTCATTCCACTTATTTACTGGCAGGCAGCAAGCATTTTGCAGAATATTTTGGACGACTGCAAAATGTTTTGTAGAAAGATTCTGAACAGAAGACTATTTCGAGTGAGTTTATGGGCAAAGACTGAGACTTAGTACTGCAGGCCCCAAAACAAGAAGCTTGTTCTCCCGCTGACCATGCCTCAGCTAAGGGATCAGTGGATGGGGATTCAGATAGAAACAGAGCTGTTCCTTAAGAACATTGGCTAAGGATTGTCACCTGGGCTTCGGCAATGAGGAAATGGAGCTTGATATTAGAACCCACCGCCTTCGCTTAATACTTTTTAAGTACAAGTAAGCAAATTGTACAAAGTTCATATTACAATCATTCCCAACAAATCCTTTTGTCATCTTCATTTTCCCAGAGTTGCACAAACTTATGGCCCAAGGGGTCCCCATCTGACTAACAGAATCAAGATTCATGCACCCAGCGGGCAAAACCAGGCAAGTGGCCCCTCAGAACCAGACTTTGCCACATATAATGTACACACCTCAAGAAGTTTGCTGAGAAGATTGCAACACATGAACTTTGAACTCCTATGGTTCTGCACATGGCCCTAACCTAGAAAACGAGGTTTTTATTCCAGTTCATTCCACCTAAAGGAAAAAACTGAGGGGGAAGTGATAAAAGAAAAACAGCTCAGAACAGTCTGAGTTATGTGAGGCATGCAAAATTTATCAGACCCAGAGGGATGTGAGTGTGAGGAGCAGCTTCAGTCAAGGGCACCCCCTGCACCCATGCCTGGGGGCAATTCTTTAAAGGCATTTTTGTTCCTGACTAGCTGCCTCACCCATTATCTTCACGTTCCTGGAATGTGTGATACAAAGAACAATATATAACCAATCAGCAGCTCATGTTACAGTAGACAGTTTATGAATCACCTCTTATTTTTCCCTTTAAAAATCCACTTGTAACTGCTGCTAACCCAAGTATATATTCAGGGGAACTTGAATCTGTGCTCCCAAGCTGTAGTCCTCAAACTTGACCCAAATAAACTTTTTACTTATATTAATGTTGCCTCAGTTTTTTCATTTAGGTTGACAGTCATTTTTAAAGAGTGCTTTTCGGCCGGGGGCAATGGCTCATGCCTGTAATCCCGGCACTTTGGGAGGTCGAGGCAGGCGGATCACAAGGTCAGGAGTTCAAGACCAGCCTGGCCTATATGGTGAAACCCCATCTCTACCAAAAATACAAAAATTAGCCGGGCATGGTGGCACATGCCTGTGGGCCCAGCTGCTCGAGAGGCTGAGGGAGAGGAGTCACTTGAACCCGGGAGGCGGAGGTTGCAGTGAGCCAAGACTGGGCCATTGCACTCCAGCCTGGGCAACAGAGCGAGACTCCATCTCAAAAAAAAAAGAGTGCTTTTCTGAGAGCTGCTTCTCTTTATGCGGCTATACTCCCAGGTCTGTTATGGAAGGTGCAGTAAGATTGAAGGGAAGGAAGAAGTAAAGAACTCTGCAGCTGGCAAACTGCATAAGGGATCTTTGCAAGCCAATATAATCCAAATTAAAGAGGGTTTCAGACATCAGGGTTAACTTTCCTACTCTGATGTCACTGATCGTGGGTTGCATTGCAGCTGCAGAGGATTCCCTCCACCATCCTGGGACATGGACAAGGTAACACCCTGATGGGAACATCCAACACTACCTTCAGAATCCCAGCTATATTACTCCACCTCTTCCTACAGCCTTCCAGCCCACAAATAAAGACTCTTCCCCATGGAGGCTACAGCCTGCATGACACATTGCTATGGGAACCAACTCCAAAATTAGCAAACACTAAGAACAGGAGAACTCCAAAACAGAGAGACCAGAGTGGCAAGCATAACGTTAGGAGGCAAGCCGAGAACACACTGTTGAGGGCTCAGAGCCTTACTGACAAGAAAACCAGAGTCTAAGAAATTCATCATTTTCATTCTTATCTCCTGCCTAAGACTTTTTTAAGTCTCTTAAGCCTAGGACCATTGGCTCTCTCTCTGGAATTCTGGAAAGGGCACAAATTTGTCCTTAATAGAATAAACTGTGTGTTGGGTTTTGATTTGGAAGTCCTTAAGCAGTCCTGACAGGCAAAGAGTCTGAGTGTGGAAGGAGCTGGCTCCAGGTACAGCCCCACGCACCTCCCGCCTCATGTACACCCAACTCACAGTGAGAATAGGTCACATGCTGGCTCTCAGAGATAGCCTCCGGTACGTCTCTTAGGTGATTTCTGAAAGAGTAAAGAAAATGCACCATGGCTGTCCAACTTTTTATGTATGTCCACTATAAAGCATACCCAAAATTCTCCTTGAAGAGCAATCAATTTCTTAGAATAAGAAAACCAAACACCTTTTTCCTAAGCTCCTGTCCTTCCCCATTCTCCTTCCTTCGGGGTGCTGTCTCTACTTGTGCAATTGCTCTTGGAGTTGCAGTTTTACTGTTTACCCCTCTTTACCACATTTACAGCTATCCCTGTTTATTTTGATCTGAATAATTTGGGGATATTGCTCCTGACTGACAAGATTCAAGCAATAATAACAGCACAATTCCATGGCACAATTACATATGTGATATGCTAGATCCACCAATGACCCTGTGAGGGAAATATTAACATATTTTTCTAATTTTGTAGATTAGAAAAGTGGATCTCGAGGAGGTAAACTGACTTATGCAAGAACAAACAGCCAGTAAATTACAGAGCAAGGATTCAGTCAGGACCTCTTACTCAAAGTCCTAAATTCTTTGTATTATACCATGCTACTGTCACTTTGAATCTAGATTGTGTCATCTCACATATCAGTTTATCCTTTAGGCCTTTTGTTAACTGAAAACGTTATAAGTGTGTCTTGTATATCATCATAATTTATTCCAATATTGGAGCTAGGCACAGTAGCTCACTCCTGCAATCTCAGCAACTAAGGAGGCGGAGGCAGGAGGATCACTTGAGGCCAGGAGTTTGAGACTGTCTGGGCAACATACTGAGAGCCCCTGTCTCTTTAAAAAAAACACATAGCCAGGCATGGTGGCACATGCCTGTAGTCCCCACTACTTGGGAGGCTGAAGCAGGAGGATAGCTTGAGCCCAGGAATTTAAGGCTGCAATGAGCTATATCACACCACTGTACTCCAGTCCGCGTGATAGAGCAAGACCCCATCTCTAAAATAATAATAATAATATATTCAAATATTGGACAGGACAGGGTCATGTGATGCATCATTATGAACATCTGTCCATTAATCTAGAGCCTTATCAGAGCCTTTAAGGTGAACAGGAAAGATTAGACAGTTATAAAAACTATTTAAAAGATTTGAAACTCAAGCAATAAAATCTGAACATTAAAAAGATAATCATATTATACTGTAGGCTTTGTCAATTAAAAAGTCAGTGATAAGCACCATCATCTTCTTTTTCCTGGGATGCAAAAGACATAGAGTCTGGGCACGGTGGCTCAAGCCTGTCATCTCAGCAATTTGGGAGGCCGAGGCGAGTGGATGACCTGAGGTCAGGAGTTCAAGACCAGCCTGGCCAACATGGCAAAACCCTGTCTCCACTAAAAATAAAACATAAAAAATTAGCTGGGCATGGTGGTGGCCACCTGTAATCCCAGCTACTAGGGAGGCTGAGACATGAGAATCGCTTGCACCCAGGAAGCAGAAGTTGCAGTGAGCCAAGATAGTGCCACTCCAGCCTGACTCTGTCTCAAAAAAAAAAAAGAAAGAAGGAAGGAAGAATGAAAGAAAGAGAGAGAGAGAGAAAGAAAGAAAGAAAGAAAGAAAGAAAGAAAGAAAGAAAGAAAGAAAGAAAGAAAGAAAGAAAGAAAGAAAGAAAGGAAGGGAGGGAGGGAGGGAGGGGAGGAGAGGAGAGGAGGGAGGGAAGGGAAGGGAAGGGAATGGAAGGGAAGGGAAGAAGGAAAGCTAGGAAGGAAAGGAAGGAAAGGAGGGAAGCAAAGGAAGGAAGGAAAGGAAGAAAGAAAAAGAAGGAAGGAAGGAAAAGAAGGAAAGGGAAAGAAGGGAAAGAAAGAAAGGAAAAAAGAGAGAAAGGAAGGAAGAAAGAAAAGATATAGAGATGGCAGGTCGCTGCCCCGAAGTAGCAGAATCATCACTCATACCCCCAGAAGTCTCCGACTTCTTTTCTCAGCAGAGGAAATGTGAACCTGTCTCCATTTTTCACTTTTCCTAGGCTAAATGTAGTTTTAAAAAAGCAATTTATTAATGCCATGCTACTCAGAAGTAATTAGGAAAAAGGCAGAGTGAATTATTATAAATCTAAATCATTTAATTTTTTTAATGTGATTGTGCTACTTTCAAGAATTCATAGTAAAACAGGTCTTTAAAAAAAATTGTTAGTTAACAGTTCTCCCGGATCCCTATTATAACGAATAGATAATTATGATTTGAATTTTCTAGATGTTGTTGAATATTGAATTGAATATTGAAAGCCTATTTCTTTTTTTTCTGAGACGGAGTCTCGCTCTGTCGCCCAGGCTGGAATGCAGTGGCGCCATCTCGGCTCACTGCAAGCTCCGCCTCCCGGGTTCACGCCATTCTCCTGCCTCAGCCTCCCGAGTAGCTGGGACTACAGGCGCCCGCCACCACACCCGGCTAATTTTTTGCATTTTTAGTAGAGACGGGGTTTCACCATGTTAGCCAGGATGGTCTCGATCTCCTGATCTCGTAATCTGCCCGCCTCGGCCTCCCAAAGTGCTGGGATTACAGGCATGAGCCACCGCACCTGGCCGAAAGCCTATTTCTATAAAAGGTAATGAAAGTGCTACTAGTCTAGTTCCTTTCAAGATAATCATAAATTCCACATTTGTATTTGCATAAATCATTCATTAGAAGATTTCACTAAAATTTCTTTACTTACCTTTCCTTGGCATCCAAGAAGGCTTTGGCAAAAGGATTGTACTTGATTTTGAGAGCCGTTATCTTGCATTTACAAAGACAAGAAGTGTTAGTAAAAGTAGGATACACATGGGCAAACAGAACCCTTTGTCTTCTGTAAAACCAGTTTAATTCCCTCTCTTTTCCTTCCCTTTCCCACCAGGCACGATGGCTTATGCCTGTAATCCCAGCACTCTGAGAGGCAGAGGCCCTTTCCATCTTTGCTTACTCCAGCACTTAATCACCACTGCGCTGTCTCTGGCAAAGGACATTTTATCATTGCATGTGGTGAAAATGCTAATGCCATGTAAAGTGAGAAAAGAAAGGGCAAAACACTGGAAATGAGCAAAGCCCTGATGTGCGAAACCTAGCATTCATTTTTTTACTCATGTATTTATTTTTTTCAACAATCCTTGATCCCCTACTACATGTGATTTACTTTTCTAGTTACTTGGTACACAGTGGAGAGCAGCACAGGTGTGATCCTGCCCCTCTGGATGAGTGCCATCTAGCATCGAGTCCCTCATTCATAAATAATCACTTACACATGGGGCCATGTCAATGCAAAAAGCAAACTATCACTGCCATTCACTGTCACTCTCTGTATCTGCCTTAGCCTGAGCCTGCTTCATTTCTCATTAGAGACATCTGACGTATAGATAGATAGTGATCGTGATAGAGATAAAACAGATAGATAGAGACAAAGAAATATTTATTTTTCATCTCTCCCCACTGGGATGTAAGTGCCTTGAAGACAGGGTATTCATCTGTTTTATTCATTGCAGTATTTCCAGCATCTAGAACAATATCCAGCATGTAGTAATGCCCAGCAAATATTTGTTGAGTAAATAAATATTTACAGAATATATATATACACACACATATATATATATTTTTTTTGAGACGGGAGTCTTGCTCCCAGGCTGGAGTACAGTAGCTCAATCTTGGCTCACTTCAACCTCTGCCACCTGGGTTCAAGTGATTTTCCTGCCTCAGCCTCCCAAAGTGCTGGGATTACAGGCATGAGCCACCACACCCAGCTCACAGAATATTTATGTCAGCAAGGATCTGAGACTTGATGGAAGAAGGAAAGCAAAATAAGACCCAGATATGGTTTGGCTATGTCCCTACCCAAATTTCATCTTGAATTGTAGCTCCCATAATTCCCACGTGTTGTGGGACGGTCCCGGTGGGAGATAACTGAATCATGAGGGCAGCTTCCCCCATACTGTTCTCGTGGTAGTGAATAAGTCTCACGAGATCTGATGGTTTTATAAGGGGTTTCCCCTTTCTCTTGGCTCTCATTCTCTTTGCCTGTCACCATGTAAGATGTGTCTTTTGCCTTCCACCATGATTGAGGCCTCCCCAGCCATGTGGAACTGTGAGTCCATTAAACTTCTTTTTCTTTATAAATTACCCAGTCTCAGGTATGTCTTTATTAGCAGCGTGAAAATGGGCTAATACAGAGCCCAACTCCTTCTGGCTCAGAACTTGTGAGAAGAAATCAGGAGAAAGAGGAAAAAGAGGTGTGGGGTCAGATAGGTACAACCTGGTCTTTCTCTTGGCTTAAACCTGGAGAGGTAGAAAAGCATACAAGAAGCTAGCAGGGGGTGCAAAGGAAACACTGGCCTCCTTCACCCACCCCCACGCCCACTCGCCACTCGGGGTGCATCTGCATGGACTTGGCAGGGAAGCTTTGTTGGCAGAGGGAGGCACTGGGGCTAGGCTTTCCAGAGCTTGATTGCCATGGAGCATGTTCAAGACCCAGGAGTAGCGAGTCAGGCCGGGAGATTGCTGGATGGGTCAAAAATGACCAGTCAGGTGGTTCAAAGAGAACTGTCCAGCACCTGCAGCCAGGAAAAGCTTCTGAGGGTTTACCAAGTCAGCAGCCAAATGACAAGTTCCGCACACCACCAACTAAACCAACAGCACACCAGTGGGCAGGGGCCTTGCCGGGAGACCAGAGGAGGTTAGGACATGGTCTCCAATTCCACATGCACCCCCCACCACCCCGTTTCCCAGAGTTACAAAGGCCATACCTCCCCTCATAGACCCAGACTCCAGCCCAGGGAGAAAAGCTGGGAGAGAGGGCTATCTGCAAAATGGAATTACTTTATCATCGAAAGACTGGCCACCAGCTGAGGGACTGTTTACATTATTAGCTAGTTCATTTCTGTTTCCATTGACTGGCTGCAGGGGCTCTGCCAAGAGGCCAGTTTACTTATAGAAATGACATTTTCTCTGCACATCTGTGATGTGAGTTAAATCTGCAACTTCATTTCACCTGTAGGCACAAGACAGTAGCTTCCAAACCTGGATGATCAATAGAATCCTCTGGGGAGACTTTTAAATCTACAGAATCTGAGCATCATCCTTGGAGATTCTGACTCAGTTGGCTGAGTGGCAGCCCAAAATCTGTCTTTAAAGCTTCCAAATAAATATAGATGGAAGCAACAACAAGATCTTTTTTTTTTTCCTGAGACCAAGTCTTGCTCTCTCACCCAGGATGGAGTGCAGTGGCGCAATCTCGGCTCACTGCAACCTCCGCCTCCCAGGTTCAAGCAATTCTCCTGCCTCAGCCTCCCGAGTAGCTGGGATTACAGGCACCCGCCACTGCACCCAGCTAATTTTTGTATTTTTAGTGGAGACGGGGTTTCACCAGGTTGGCCAGGCTGGTCTGGAACTCCTGACCTCATGATCTGCCCGCCTTGGCCTCCCAAAGTGCTGGGATTAGAGACGTGAGCCACCACGTCCGGCCAAGATCTTATTTTTTTTAACCTATTAGAGTGTCAAAGATGACAAAGATTGATAATAGTGTTGATCATGGTGTTGGGGCTACAAATAGAGATGCCATTTTGAGGGAAGCAATTTGGCCATGTCTATCTGTTTCTAGGTGTTCACCCACGCAAGCAAATGACAGATGCACCAGGATATTCATTGCAGCATTATCTATAATAGAAAATAAAGGGCCGGGCACGGTGGTTCACACCTGTAATCCCAACACTTTGGGAAGCCGAGGTGGATGGATCACCTGAGGTCAGGAGTTCGAGACCTGCCTGGCCAACATAGTGAAACCCTGTCTCTACTAAAAATACAAAAATTACCCAGGAGTGGTGGTGCATGTCTGTAGTCCCAGCTACTTGGGAGGCTGAGGCAGGAGAATCACTTGAATCTCAGAGGCAGAGGTTGCAGTGAGCTGAGATCACACCACTGCACTCCAGCCTGGGTGACAGAGTGAGACTCTGTCTCAAAAAAAAACAAAAAAAAATTAGCCAGGCGTGGTGGCAGGTGCCTGTAATCCTAGCTACTCGGAAGGCTGAGGCAGGAGAATCGCTTGAACCTAGGAGGCAGAGGTTGCAGTGAGCTGAGATCACACCATTGCACTCCAGCCTGCGCAACAAGAGTGAAACTCTGTCTCAAAAAAAAAAAAGAAAACAGTTGGAAACAACTTAAATGTCCATTGGTGGGGGGCTGATTACGTGAAATAGTGTATTCATACAATGAAATATTCTGCAGGCACTACAGAAAAGGAGATATACCTAGGTATAATTACATAGAAAGGTAATCATAATACACCCTTAAACTGAGGAAAAAGAAATTTGCAGATTAATAATATATACAACATGAGCCAATTTATGTGAGGAAATCTACATTCACATATATATTTACATATACATAGAAAATTTGTCAAAAAGACACACTCTAAGTTATTCTTCGTCGTGTCCATGGGGAGTGAGTTTCCAAAAGCGGAAGAAACCCGTATAGCTTTACCCTGTAGTCTTCATGTTTACTTTATATACTTCTGTACTGTCAGTTTATTATGTGTTTTTAAATAAATAAATATTGTCTTTAAAAAATTTTTTTAAAGTTTAATCAAAAAGAATTCAACCCTCCCTGGGTTCTTCTGATTATCAGCAGATCATGTGAACGGACCCAAAGCAGCTCACAGACAGGCCAGGCGCTAACCACTCAGCCCTCACAGCCAGGCGGCTCAAGTCACTGGGCAGCAGCAGACTAACTGTGCTGATATTGAACATTAACAAGCAGTAATGATAGCATAATAAAACCCAAGGGAGGGTGCATGTTTGGATCACTTGCTACAGACTTGCTTCTAGAGCAGGAGACCTGACAGCTCCTGCCCAATTGTACCCACTCAAGACACACTCAGCTCTGCACAGGCCAAGGACACATAGGGTCCTGACAACAAAGACTCCAGAGTTTCAACAGAACTCAGGAGTTTCATGACAATGCACAGCTGTGTCTTGTTGGCACCAGGAGAGCACATGCTGGTGAGCCTTTAGCAAACAGCCAAGAGGGAGGGAGAGCAGCTACTCCATTGTTTAACTTCATGTCTGCTGAGTGTATCCAAATCCTGGAAAACCTACCTTTCATCTAAAAGGACCCCCCCCGCCCATCCTGCCATGATCTCCCAGGTGACAGTTACACACACACACACACACACACACACACACACACACACACACTCTTACCTCCTCATTCTGATAGGCAGTCACGGCTATGAACTGGGTTTCAGGGAAGGAGCAGTTTGTTACCATTCGATGGGCACTTCCAACACGCACTATGTGAACCTGGGGTTCATATTTATGCAGAGAATTCAACATTATCTGTCGAGGCAGGAGAAGAGAAAGAGGAGAAAAGCAAAGCCCCGTGTATCGCAGGTGATAAAGGAGCCAGCATCTCCAGTTGGTCCCAAGCTTAGCACCACCCCGGTTAGGGACACACATTTCAAATCCTAGGCCACCTGAGCTGCCACCACACCTCTAAGAAACAAATGAAGGGAATTTTCCAGAAGCTCCAGGAAGCATAACATTGAAGCCTTTACAAGGGTGAGGGGTGGGTTGTCAGAGAGGAGCTATTCCTTTTTTTTTTTTTTTTTTTTTTTTTGAGACGGAGTCTCGCTCTGTCACCCAGGCTGGAGTGCAGTGGCGCTATCTCAGCTCACTGCAAGCTCCGCCTCCCGGGTTCACGCCATTCTCCTGCCTCAGCCTCCCGAGTAGCTGGGACTACAGGCGCCCGCCACCACGCCCGGCTAATTTTTTGTATTTTTAGTAGAGACGGGGTTTCACCACATTAGCCAGGATGGTCTCGATCTCCTGACCTCGTGATCCGCCCACTTCGGCCTCCCAAAGTGCTGGGATTACAGGCGCGAGCCACCGCGCCCGGCTGAGGAGTTATTCTTAAGAGTGTTCAGTTTTCTGCCAAAATCTTGGCTTCCTTTTTTCCTTCCCCTATTTTCAGCACAACAGTGTGGATTTCAATCCATCAAAATATATTGTTTGCCTTTTTTTCATTTGAGGAATCCTAATAACTCAAAATGCTGACAATGGGTGCATTTTCCAAGTGACTAAAGAATGGCAAAATCTGGCATCTGATGGCTACACTCTCTCTGAGTCAAATGAAAGGTGTAATGACAGTCTCCTGCTGTGAAATCTGGTAGGCAGTAACAATTTACTGTTCAATTTCCCGTTTTAATAAGGAACTGGAAGCTTCTGAGTATCACAGACTCGGGTAGTGTTACCTCTGGACACATGAACTCCTATGGTCCCTGCCATCTGAGCACAGAGATCAGAGAAGGGGCACATGGGCACAGGGTGGGAGGCTGAGGGAAAGCCAAACAGGCAGGTGGGAAAGAGAAGAATCCAGACCCTTTACTCCCATCTGTGTCTCCAATCCCCAGAAACTGCCTACATTACAGAAAGTAACTAGCAACCTTCTATAGCAGACTAGTATTCACAATCCTAACACAGAAAACAAGAGGAAAAAGCCCCAAATGCTTGTTTACTCTAATTGGAGACCTGAAATAAAACCTTCCTTGTTTAAGGAAGGTTTGTTTGGATTTTTTTTTCCTGAAAAACCAAAGCTGATTCAATATTCTATTGATAATTATCATAATGCCCAAGTGGAGGTAGTAATTATTTCATTTAGAAGCAGCTTTTTATGAAGGTATTTGTCTATTGCCAGCATGCCACTTATACTAAAAAAGGGGAGAGGGACTAACAAAACCCTGGTACCCACAAACATCTCCCTCCTAGAGCTGGGTAAAAAGCACAGCACACAAGACGAAACTATGAAAAGGGCCCCGGTGATTAAGTAAACCACTGCTCTCTCACTCTCTTAACATCAGGAAGTCCATTAAAAACTGAAAGCACCAATTAAGAGCTGTTTATTCTTGTTTACATTTGGACTCCCGGGAATAATTGGCTTCTGTGGGAGAAGAGGCTGGTGAGGACACCTCTAATTGCCTAAATGCACCCTTGATATTTCTTGATTGGTGTTGTGGGGAGGCCGGAGCGGGTGGCCAGGCCTGCCCGCCTCATTCGTACCTGCCCGCCTCCATTGAGCTTGTTGGTCAGCTTCACTTTGCTGAAGGAGATGGGAGCTTTCATCCAGTGGGCCCCAAAGTTGGGGGAGTCCGGGTGAATGTAGACGCAGCTGTGGCTGGAGACCTCTGGCTTGCCAGCGGGCACCCATTCCCCGTTGACGTACTTCCAGCGGTGACTGTCCGTAGGGACAAAGTCCAGCAGGAGGGAGTACATGGCATTGGGGTCCAACCCTGTGACACTAATCTTTAGGACTGGAAACATCCGTCTAAAAGGAAAGGCAGAAACTTAGCCACAGGAGGGACGTTAGAGGAACTCTCACCTTGTCCAGGGGCCTCTCAATACTGAGACCTTCCACGGAATGCCCTGTGAGGAGGCCAAATAAACAGGGCCCAAGTCCACAACCCCAATTCTACTGGAGCTTCTTTTTATAAATGAATTTAATACTAGGGTTTCACTTTAAAACATGCTCCGTTTTAAAGTCTGAAAACCACTGATGGAGTCATTTGACACAACAGGAACCTGAAGCCCAAGATGTATCAAATGCCACATCCCCACAGAAAGCTCTCTTCAAAGATTTCCCACTGGCACACTGATGCCACTGACCAGCCCTTCCCAACCTCACAAAGAACACTATTTCTGAATAATAGTAATAGCATTTATAGCAAAACATGCCAGCCTGGGCAACATAGTGAGACACCCCCATCTCAAAAAAAAAAGAAATTAGCTGGGCATGGTAATCCCAGTTATTCGGGAGGCTGAGGTGGGAGGATTGCTTGAGCACAGGAGTTAGAGGCTGCAGTGAGCTGTGATGGTGCCACTGCACTCCAGCCTGGGTGACAGAGTGAGACCCTGTCTCAAAAAAACAAGAACAGGGTTACATGTTAAGTCAGTGAGAGGAACTCTTAACTGTACAAAGTGAGACCAGTTCTTTCCTCCAGGATGCCTCAGGCAGGGCCTTTAACATACCCATGTACACCATGGGACTCTTTGAAGAAAGCGTGGGGACGTGCACACCCTAAATGTATGTGACAGTGGGATTATCATTTAACTAAGCATTTTATGAGAATTTGTGTCCAAAGAACACACTTTGAGACATGCAGATCTAGATTCATCGATCCTTCTTCTACATGCTAGAATAATAACAACAAGTTTACTCTCACAAATATTTGGAGAAACTATCCAAGTAGCTGGCTTATAAGTCTAGAGCATTTTCATCATCCCGAAAAGAAACCCCACGGCCATTAGCAGTTACTCCCTATTCTATTTAGACTTCTTTTTTTTTCAGATGGAGTCTCTGCCTCCTGGGTTCAAGTGATTCTCCTGCCTCAGCCTCCAGGAGAGTAGCTGGGATTACAGATGTGTGCCACCACGCCTGGCTAATTTTTGGATTTTTAGTAGAGACAGGGTTTCACCATGTTGGCCAGGCTGGTCTCAAACTCTCAACCTCAGGCGATCCACCTGCCTCAGACTCCCAAAGTGCTGAAATTACAGGTGTGAGCCACCATGCTTGGCCTCTATTTAGACTTCATATCACCAGAAAAACAGCACAGAGAAGTAGTTTCTGCCTGCTAGGCAGGAGAGAGGCAGAGTTGATGTCCTTTGTGATTCCAACTCCAAAGTCACTGCCTAAGGTAAGATTTTGGAGCCAAAGCAAGGCCAGGCCAGCCGAAGGGCTTGGGTGTAATGGTAATACGGCCAACACTTACAGAGCACTCACTAGGTGCCAGGCATGGGAATAAGCACTTTGCATGAACTAACTCAGTGAGTTCTTCACAACAACTTTATGAGGCTGTGTTGGTGTGTTCAAGGAGAGAAAATTAATTTAAATGGGAGGCTAGGACAAGTATATAAATTAAGTAAAATTTCTAGGGAGAAAAATGCATCAGACGATGCATTCCAAATCCAGGTCTTCGCTGAGAACTGCATTATCCACCTCAACACTCCTCGTCCCTTAGTGAGATGATTGCACTTTTACATTAACTAAAATGATACACCTCCTCTAGGGCGGCTGCCTGTGTGATGTAAAATCTTCATGTTGCATTTTCTTTTGTTCTTTCTTCAATAGAAGGATTATTGTCTTTTATTTTCTCCTACTATCAGATTAAACGATTCCCTTTTACGATATATTTTAATGTTTTCAATTATGTTAATAATATTGGCCAAGTGTAGAAAACAGAAGGATCCTGAGAACACAAATGCCGTTTGCAAAGAATCATAAAAGTGGGCATCAGAAATGATTCTAGGGATCATATAGGGTTATTCTGACAGCCAGGAGTCAGACCCGTTTATACGAGGTATATGGAGACATGGTCTCTGTGTTCTGGTCCAGTGTTTCTTCTGAAGTACTAAAGTTTACTTTTTATATTATTTTAAAGAAAACACAAGAGTGGCATGTGTATAATTGTCATTTTGCATACTAAAGTTAAAAAGTACCAAAGGAGTTTAAGTCCAGCCTGGGCAACATGGCAAAACCCCATCTCCATAAAAAATACAAAATTTAGCCAGGCATGGTGGTGCACACCTGTAGTTCCAGCTATTGGGGAGGCTGAAGCAGGAGGATCACTTGAGCATGGAAGGTCGGGGCTGTAGTGAGCTATTATCACACCACTGTACTCCAGGCTGGGTGATAGAGTGAGACTGTGTCTCAAAAAAAAAAAGTACCAAAACTTTTCTCAATAAGACTATATAGTACACATAAAAGTAAGAACAAAAACTCATAAAACATATAATATATTACTCATGCACTAAATTGCCAGAGTAATGATGCAATTGTTCAAGCATGAGAGCATGGCTGGTGTCTTCATGATAAGAAATGTCAGGATGTTTCATAAAGTTCTGACTTATGATTTAAGAAATGACTTAAGGCGAGACACTTTTGTTTGTTTTATTTTTATTTAAAGGTGTGTGACTGTGTTGCCCAGGCTGCTTTCAAATTCCTGGGCTCAACTCCTACCTCAGCCTCCCAAAGTGCTGGGACTACAGGTGCAAGCCACAGTGCCTAACCGCAAGATTGTTTTTCTAATGATAATAGTTATCATGTACAGTCAGGCCTCCACATTCCCAGGGTCTGCATCTGTAGATTCAACCAAATGCAAATTGAAAAATTTGAAAAGAAATAATACAACAATAAAAAATAATACAAAAAAAAAATATGGCATAACTATTTACATAGCATTAACATTGTATTACGTATTGTAAATAATCCAGAAATAACTTAAGTATATGGGAGGATGTGCATAGGTTATATGCAAAATATTCTAGTCCATTTTATATAAGGAACTTCAGCATCCTCAGATTTTGATATTTGCAGGGGCCTGGAAACAATCCTCTGCGGATGCCAAGGGATGGCTGTACTGAGTTTTACTCTGCACCTAGGACTTTGCGTAGGTGAATATTTCACTTAAGTGAAATACAACTTAAGTCTTACTTCACCCACAAGGAGGTTATTATGCCAATTTTATAGATGAGGAAACTGGGACTCAGAAAGCACACATTACATTTCATTCACTACTCCTTTTTTTTTTTTTTACTCTCTTTTCCTTTCTTATTAGCTTCTCAAAGCTAACATGGTTGAGCCACAGTGAAAGGAAAAGTCCCCCTCAAAGTTTTCCCAAATCTTAATACCTACTTAGAGATTTATTTGCCCATTTGACAAATGGTTTTTTAGTGCCTGCTCTATCCCAGGAACTGTTCTAGGTGGGAATTCAATGACAAAAATTGCAGACCCAGTATCTTCTTGTTCATGAAGCTTACATTCTAACAAAGAAGTCAGGCAACAAACATGTCAATAAATCTTTGTTGTTTCTTAACATGTAAGATCATTTGGGGCTGGGTGTGGTGGCTCATGCCAATAATCCCAGCACTTTGAGAGGCCAAGATGGGAGGATCACTTGAGGCCCAGAGTTTGAGACCAGTCTGGTCAATTTAGCGAGACCCCATCTCTATTAAAAAAAAAATCATTTCAAATTGCAAGAGTGACATGAAGGAACTAAAATGCATGATGTCACAGAAGGAGACTAAAGGATGAGAAGCTACTTTAGCCATATCTGAACAGGAAGTGACATTTGAGCTAAGACCTAAATAATGAGAAGGAATGACTCATGCAAAATGTTAGAGGAGGTGCACTTAGAGGCAAAGGAAATAGCAAGTACAATGGCCCTTAGATTTAAATAGCCCCACTCTATTCAGAAACTAAAAGAGAAGACCAAAGTGGCTGAGGCAAAGTAAGGGGAAAATTCCAATTATTATCCTCACTGCTAATAGGTTAGAGTGCCCTCCTCTTAACTCTCTCAACTATATTATGTGAGGTCTCATAAAGAGTGTAGCATGACTTTTCGTTCCAGAATAAGAAAATGTGTAATGGCTTTCCATCTTTCATGCTATGGTCAGAGCTGTACCTGATGTTTCAAAGAAGCCATGATCAATCAAAAGATGCTTAACCTCATCAGCCATCAGAGAAATGCAAAATCCAAACCACAGTGAGATGCCACTTCATGGCCACTAGGATGGCTGCAATATGAAAAGCAGACAATAAAAAGCATTGGTGAAGATGTAGAGAAATTGGAATCCTCATACATTGCTGGCAGGGATGTAAAATGATGCAGCCACTTTGGAAAATACTCTGGCAGTTCCTCACTTGGTTAAATATACAGTTTCTCAATAATCCAGCAATTCCACTCCTAGGTATATACACAAGAAAAATGAAAACATAGCTCCATGCAAACATTTGTACACAGAGGTACATAGCAACATTATGCATAATAGCTAAAATGTAGAAAAATGCAAATGTCCATGAACTGATGAAGGATAAATAAAATGTGTTATATCCATACAATGGAGTATTTGTCAATAAAAAAGATGAAGTGCTGATACATGCTACAACATTGATGAACCTTGACCACATTACGCTAAGTAAAAGAAGTTGTTGACAAAGGACCACATATTGTATGATTCCCAGGATATCAAATGTCCATGATATGAAATAGGTAACTCTATAGAAACAGAAAGTAGATTAGTGGTTGCCAGAGGAGGTGACTGCTAAGGGCGCAGGGCTTCCTTTTGAAGCAATAAAAATGTTCTAAAATTAATTGTGGAGATGGATGCACAACTCTGCGAATTACTGAGAACCACTGAACTATACACTTCAAATGGATGAGCTGTATGGCATGTGAATTATATCATCACAAAGCTGTTAATAAAAACAAAGAAGTCACAGTGTCTTGTCTCTTAGAAGGAGGACATATCTGGGAAATGGTAGAATGATTAATTGCTCTATTTTCTTTAGTATTGCATTTGCCAAGAACTTTATAATTATTTTTTGTTTTTATCACTACGTAAATAAACTGAGAAATGACTATTTTTTAATCCATTCCCTATTTTAATACATTTTTTAATACATTCCCTATTATGGCAATGAGGAATAAATAAAAGTCAGTCAACTTGCCTAAGGTCTTGTAACTGGGAATGGAACTCACCCTGCCTCCAAGCCAAGTTCCCCTCCTCCCACCCCACTTTCCCCTCTTTTGTCTCACAATGACAGGGATGCATTATCTAGGGATCCAGTAACTAATTGATCTGTGATTACCACTCGTGATCAGGCTTTATTTTCAGGAATTAACTGCACTTCCAATCAAGGTGATTTTTTTCCCCATTTTTTTCCTAGATGTAGCTAACATAGAGAAACCCAGAGTGTGAGGGATAAGAAATATGTAAATCAGTCCCTAAGTAACAGCATAATTTCACTTAATCCACCCTGGAGAGAAAGCCTCCTTGGAGAGAAAGAGAGGAAAATGTGGCAGGGTAAATAAGCACTCCTCAAGAAAACCACACCTGAAGAACCACAGGTGGTTGGGCTTTGCCCATAAACTGTTGGGCTTTTATTATGAGACCAGCTTTCCAGTTTTATTTCACTGACAGGGAATCTCCAGAAGTCAGTGCTGCTGGAGGAGGCTATGAGAAGTGAGGTTTGCAAGAAGAAAGAGGGGCAGAGATGAGGCAGATTTTACAGGTGAGGGAACAGCAGAGAGTTAAAAGCAAATTCAAAAAGTTAAACTTGTAAACACTTTCCTCCATCTCTCCTCAAAACTCTACTATTTATCAAATACTCATCAGAACTTTTAGAGGGGTGTGTGTGTGTGTGTGTGTGTGTGTGTGTGTGTGTGTGACATACATGGTGCATGGATGCTGACATTTATGTGAAGGTGAGCAGGCATAAGAATAGCAACAGGTGTCAATTAAAGATAAATAAACGAAGGGAAAAAAACAACAGCATTAGGGAAGCAAGGTGGCCTGGTTAAAGGCAGATTACATAAATACATATGATCTTCTTGAGCTGTAATTTTAAACTTCAGAGAAAAATACCCATGGGCTGTAGGGACATGGAAATGTATTGGCCTGATGTGCAACTTTACTTTTCTCCTCTCTTGTACTGCCCTTACTGGAGACTATGAACAGCAACTCAGTGGCACTGCACCAATACCCCTTAATCATCAAGCACTGGTGAATCATCGAAACTAATCGGCAAATTTAAACTTAGTAATTCCCACCTCTTATTTTATGATGACAAGAAATATGGCATTTTCCCCTTAGGTGAAAATGTTACAAGTAAAGAAAACAAAAGCAAGAGATTTGATTTTTTTTTTTTTTTTTTTTTTTTTGAGACACGGTCTCACTCTGTTGCCCAGGCTCGTGTGCAGTGGTGTGATCACTGCAACCTTGACCTCCCCAGGGTCAGGTGATCTCCCACCTCAGCCTCCCAAGTAGCTGGGACTACAGGTAGGTGTCACCATGCCCAGCTAATTTTTTGTATTTTTTGGAGAGACAGGGTTTCTCCATGTTGCCCAGGCTGTTCTAAAACTTCTGAGCTCAAGTGATCAACCTACCTGGGCCTCCTGGCTAGTTGTTTAAATTTTTTGTAGAGAAGAAGTCTCCCTATACTGCCCAGTCTGGTTTCAAACTCCTGGGCTCAAGCAATCCTCCCACTTCAGCCTCCCAAAGTTCTGGGATCACAGACATGAGCTGCCATGCTAGCAAGCAATTTAATTTATTAACCTCTGAAGTCTGAAATGAATTCTTTCTGCAAACTAAAGTATAAGTTTCCAGCTTAAAGGATGGACATGAAAGGGAATACTGGCTGGATACACTAGAGATGACTCAAATGAGCTCTAAGGAGGTATTATACTTATTACTGTTATATCTAAAGGACTATTAACTATGAATAACTGAAAGTTTTCAATTTTAAAAAGAGAGGGAGGAAGAAAAGGCTGAAAGGGAAATGAAGTAGTAGAATGGGGGAGGGGAGAGAAAGAAAGAAAAGGAGGAAGAGAGAGAGAGAAAGGAAGGAACGAAAGAAGAGAGGCCAACATCAGGATCCCAGTTTCTGGAGATAATTCCGTGTTTTTCAGAGAAAAGCCTTTCTCTTTACAGCTTCTGATCAATGTCAGAGGCAAGCTTCCTATTTATATATGTGAAAGTAGATCTCCACTTGACAATGAGTCTTTTCACTCTTTCATCGGCCCATCTTACGCTATTTCAAGATTTGCTATTTTAGTGCAGAACAATGAGACCTCAAGTGTATAGGAGTTACCACCCCAAATGATGCTTTTTTAAAAAGTCAAGGTGACAATGTCAATGAAAAAGGGCCCAGGTGACATTATGAATGAAAAAGGCTAGGACTGGGTAATCATACCAGGAACATTCTTCTCCACAGGGAAGGGCCACAAATCTACCTGCACCAGGTGCGGGAGTTGATGTGGAGGGCAAGGATTTGAAGGAGACACAAAGAGTCTATAGACATAGGAGAATGGGTAGAAAGGAGGCATAGAGGAATAAATAGTTAGGGAGAAAAGAGAGAAGGAAGAAGGGAGTAAAGAAGATGAAGCAAGAAAGATGTCTATATTAACAAAGGTAAAGTGTGACTAATGGTTTAATCTGAGAAACTAAGAGGTTGGGGGTAATTTCAGACCAAGTTCATTCATTATTAAGTACATCAATTTCTTATGGACTTGTCTTCCCTTCTTTAATCAAAGTATAAAGGAAACTTTCTATCTCCTGGCAAAATCTTGACCCTAAAGGGCTCCGAGAGCTTAGGAGAATTTAAGAAAAAGATTTCATCTATAGGAAGACGGCAAACACAGCAGGACATCCATAGATAAGAACAGCCAAGTTCACCGCAATCAGACTTTTTCTACAAAGAATATTGTTCATGTAGCTAATATTAAATGACGTTAAAGATGAAGGATTTCATTTTGCTTTTTAAAGACAGGGTCTCACCGTGTTGCCCAGACTGATCCCGGGCTCAAGGACCCCTTGCCTCAGCCTCCTGCGTAGCTGGGACAACAGGAGCACACCACCACACTGGGCTGATGTGAAGAATATTACATTTTAAATATAGGGGAAAATTACATAGGCAATAAAAAGGCAAGATAAAACTTTTCTTAAATGGTAAAAGTACATTCCAATGTAACATATTATTAAATTGGAATTTATCATGGTTTCAGAAACTTTTATTATTTATTCCTTATTGAAATAGATGAACCATATATTGACTTGGTAATTGTACTTATTTTTACTTTAATAAATGGCCAATTTGACAGCCCAATCAATAGCATAAGGCTAGGTATTACTGTAATTAGTATCCAATAATACAAAGAAAAATAAGCAGAATGTTCTACCTATAATCAGATATAATAAAATTTTTACAGTTGCATCTTTGCCCATTTTTAAAGGGTCAGAGACTAAATCCAATTAAGAATTTGGTGTAATTCTGTGAAATTAAAACTATGTTTTATGTTTTCTTCTATGAAAGAAGCTAAAAATAATGTGTAAATACAGGTCAAGAGAAGGAACTATAATTACAGTAACAATATTAAAAGCAATAAATCTATATGAAATAAGTGTGGAACCCATTTTGAGAAAGAAAATATAAAAATCAAGCAAGGTTGATATTCCTGCTACTGGTATAATCGCAATTTCTTGAAATGCCCTAATTCAGGTATGGCTTTCATTTTAGAAAGCATTTTAATGCCATGTAACAGCTCTCGAGTTCATAACTCTTCAAGATTGACAAGAAATAGTTCATTTTCTATACTGTGCTTTATTAAAATATAGAAAACCGAGACATCAGGAACGGAAGCACTTTGCACAAGGACAAAAGCCTGACAGAAAGAAGTTCAGATGGCCTCGGCTCTTCTCTTTTATCAGAATTCTCTCGAGGGTGTCATAATTAGAGTTCAGCCAAAACTAAGCCTACTGAAAATGCCTTTCAGCATTTTGTACTTTTGTGACCATGTGTATGAAAAGCTATGTGAACACCAGCTGAATGTTGGAGCCAGTTTGGCCAAGCTGCGAGCGGTGAGATTTTGTTTCAAAATATTTGCGTCTCCTCTACGAAGTGAAATCTTCTAATATTACCTGGACAGCCCCTTAGCAGACTAGGTTTAATAGAATCTGAGAAATGCCACCAGAGATCAGTTTCAGTTAATCCCTAAATTTGTTGCACTGATAAGAAAGAAGGCATCTTCTTTTCTCTAAAGCAGAATAATATGTTTTCATCCACTATTACTGCAACAGCTTTCATATCATCACAAACACACACAATCTCAAATGAACACTCACCACAAACACACACGGGGAAGCAGATGAAGTGATAGGCAATGAGTTTACATTTGCCCTTTTGCTTCCAATCTTCAACTAGCCAAACATTTCTGGCAAGTTTGCTATACTTAGGAGGAGATCATCCAGCTTCCAAATAAAGTTGTCTTTCACCTTATCTGGACGGAGTTGGGGCTCAGGTCTGCGATAGGGTATGCAGCTAGTCACAAATTAATATTATTTTCTGACATTTAAGTCCATTTTCCCATCCCAATGGGGCATGCCCCCCACTTTATGGTAATTTCCCCAGAATTTCTCCATTTAAAATGCACATAAGACAGGTGGCTTCATCCTCTGATGATCTCAGATAAATTAATTAAGTTGGCTGGAGGAAAGCCATTGGAGACAGTCGTTCCTGTAAGCATGTTTAATCAGATCCCGCCGCCTCTGAGTGAAGAGCGGCAGCCTCTTCAATATTCAAGGGGTCTCATCTCTCCTGCCAAGCCCTGCCAGCCCACGCGGGGCGGCAGATAAACTCACCTGCCATTCTTGGTCACAATCATCTCATTAGTGACTTCCTTGAATCTCTGCCAGAGAGGTGCATCCTCCAGGATGATCTGAAGTTGCTTCTCCGTAGGGTCGCCTTTTTCCCTCCCTGCCTGAAGCTCACTCTCCACCACATTGAGCAGATGAGAAACAGTGCCATCGCTGGGCTTCCGAGTGCCCAGCTCACTCATGGCCATAGGCACTTCTCGAACTTTGCCGAGAGCCGTTACCCAACTTGCCTGCTTCTAGCTTCTTCCTTCCCTCACTTGCCTGCTTTTCAAACCCACTTGAACAGTGCTTGGGGAGCGGAGAGAAGATACCCTGGCTCTTGCCTAAGCTCCTAGGATGACACCCCTTAAAAGTCTCCACATTATGCCACCAACCTGTTAAGCTTTAGTTGGGGAGCGGGGTGGAGGCAGGGGAGAGGTAGGGAAGAAAAAGCCCTCTCTTAATTACTCATTGGATCAGGTGGGAGAGAGCCTGGCTTTCCCATTGGCTGCCGTGCACAGAGTAGATATTTAAGAAGAGTACTCCATCCAAATTATCAGGCTTTTATCTTGTTGTACCTGAAGAGGTCTAATCGGTGTATTGAGGACCATTTTCCCATTAATTAAAATTATTCCAGGCCCAGACTGCACTGTCAGGCAAATCATGTTTGTGCATAAATCATGACATGTGGCACCTATAAAGAAAAGGGTCCTGGGGAGAATCGACAAACTTGATGCCCAGGCTATAAGCTACTCTCCAGCATCTTAGACGAAGGCTCTGGAGGGAAGAAAGCATGTATGGAAGGTCCAAGGCACTGTGCCAAGAAACATGACTACTGTACCAGAGAATAAAGGAAGACACTCTGTGTGCCACTGCTCAAGGGTCAGGGCTCCGGAGAAAAGAAAAGAGCTCAGAATCTCTTTCTCCCAGGGTGTCCCCTACTGATCATCTCTCTCCTGAATGTCCTATACTCGCTCACACCCCACTTTTCTCAAGGGCCCTCCTCACCTCCTACAAATGGAGCTGTGAATGTTGTCCTTCCTCCCTAGAGTCTAGAACCCCAATTTTTGTTATCTCTAGCCTTTGCCAGAGGAAGACAAAAAAGCAGCTAGTATCATATTAATCTCGCTAAGGAACACTCTGCCCCCAGTCAGTGAAAATAAACTGTTTACATTATTAGGCAGAGCAATTTCAATCTTTGGTCCAGAAAGGCATTCTGGTTTTCTCTTTAGACAATTCATCCTTATTTTGGCATTCCAGGATGAATCCCACATTCCCTGGGAAGAAACACTAGTAGAAAGCTTTTCTTTTGCCCACAACACACAGTACTAATGGCGAGTGAGTGGATGGCGGGTGGAAGAGACAGGAGCAGAGGAAGCTCTACCTCCTCTGGCCCCCAACCTTGAGTAGAGCCTGGGGGTTGTGAGTTTTTCTCTCATTTCAATACAAAGTAAGAAAACAAGAACATAAGGAAAACAAACCCAAAAAGGTAAGATAAAGTCAGGGTAAGGATGACAGAAAATGTATTCAGGATCTCCTATGCTACATACCTATGAAGCATCACATACAGCAAGGAACAAACAGAAATGGCCTGCGCCTTTACAGAATTAACAATATGATGGAGAAAATAAATGATATAAAGTAAACAACAACTAAGTAATTATCAATAGTGATAAGTCTATGAAGGCTACTTAAAAGGGTGAAGTGATCAAGAAAAATTTGTGCACAGCAGGGTAGGGAACTCCAGTTAGATGGAGTTGTATAGAACAGCTTCTTTGAGGAGGAGACATTTCAGATGAGACCAAAAGCTCAGCAAAGATGTAGTCGGGGAAGAGTTGGCAGAGTGCCAAGCAGAAGAATTACATGTGAGAAGCATGGCTTGAGCCAGGTAGAAATCTCCAGGGAGGCCAGTGTGACCAGAATGTGGTGGTAAAGAGAGCAGAATGAGATGTTCTTTGAGAGAGGGCCAGGCCAGACCATGAGGCCTTAGAAGTCATGATGAAGAATTTGAATGTTCTTCAGCATGAGATAGGAAACAATTGGAGAGTATTAAGTAGGAAAACAGCATGATTGGCTTTGTGTTTGCAAAAAATCTAATCGATTTGTGAAGAATAGACTAGGAAAGGGCAAGAGCTGAAGTAAAGAACAAATTAGAGGCTATGACAGCAATTCAGGCAAGAGCTGGTGATGGCTTAGCCTAGGGTAGTGGCAGTGGCCAAAAAATGAAGTGTACAGGTTCTAGATACACTTTAGAAGTCTATATGACAGAACAACATGAGAGACTGGATATGGGGGTGAGGGAGAGCAGAGAACCATGTGCCTGATCAGAACAATTATTAGATGGCAGGGCCATTTACTGAGATATGGAAGGTGAGGGAGGTGGAAGGGTAGGCAGAGGTACAGTTTGGTTAGGAGACTCAAACATTTCAGTTTCATACAGCTAACACTGAAAAGAATGTGGCAGGCTGAATAAGGACCCCCTGCAAAAGAGACCCATTTCCGAATCCCCAGAACCTGTGAGTGTATTACCTCACATGGGAAAAAGGGACTTTTCAAATGTGATTCAGTTAAGGGTCTTGAGATGGGGAGATTAACCTGGGTTATCTGGTGAGCCCAGTGCAATCGCAAAAATAAGAGGGAGGCAGGAGGATCAAAGTCAGAGGAAGAAGATGTAAGGACAGATGCAGAAGTCAGAGGGGAGAGAAGATGCTACACTCCTGGCTTTGAAGATGGAAAAAGGGGCCAGAAGACACGGAATGTAAGAAGTCTCTAGAAGCTGGGAAAGATAAGGAAATAGATTATCCTCTAAAGCCTCCAGAAGGAACATAGTCCTGCTGACACCTTGGCTTTAGTCCAGTGAAACTAATTTTGGGCTTCTGATTCCCCAAACTGTAAGATAATAGGTTTATGTTGTTTTAAACCACTAAGTTTGTGGTAATTTGGTACAGCAGCAATAGGAGACTAATGCAAAGACTATTAGGTATATAAGTGGAGATTTTGAGAAGGCGCTGCTTAGAACTGTGACACAATTGTGGCTCTGAGCTTCCAAGCAGCCAATGCAAAGTGGGGGAATATAATCTGGCATACATTAAACTGTGTCCCTAAAATAAAAGCAAGCCTTGACCTGTGAGAAATTTCCCCCATAAATCTTTATGAGGAAAACGCTGTGAGATACAGTGAACAATGTCTCCCCAAACAGTCTACCAGTAAGATAAAAATCTTTCCTTCAAATAGTTTTACAATCTAGAAGGGACAGAAAGACACGCTTGTGGAATTCCAATACAGAAATGTGAAGTGTTCTGAAGCACCAGTAAGGGAGAAATGAAGAAAAAACAGAACTAAGACTGGAATATGACAAGGATGACCACTTACACTACTGTTATTCAACATAATACTAGAAGTTCTAGCTACAGCAATCAGACAAGAGAAAGAAGTAAAAGACATCCAAACTGGAAAGCAGGAGGTCAAATTATCCTTGTTTGCAGATGATATGATCTTATATTTGGAAAAAACTAAAGACTCTGCCAAAAAACTATTAGAATATATAAACAAATTCAATAAAGTTGCAGGATACAAAATCAACATACAAAAATCAATATAGCACTTCTATAGGCCAACAGTGAACAATCTGAAAAAGATATCAAAAAAGTAATCCCATTTACAACAGCTACAAATAAAATAAAATATCTAGGAATAATCTTAACCAAAGAAGTGAAAGATCTCTACAATGAAAACTATAAAACATTGATGTAAGAAATAGAAGAGTACATTAAAAAGTGGGGAGATAAACCATGTTCATGGACTGGAAGAATCAATATTGTTAAAATGTCCATACTACACAAAGCACTCTACAGATTCAATGCAAGCCCAATCAAAATATCAATGACATTCTTCACAGAAATAGAAAAAAAAATCCTAAAAATTCATATGGAACCATAAAAGATGCAGAATAGCCAAAGCCATCCTGAGCAAGAAGAAAAAAAACTGAAGGAATCATATTACCTGACTTCAAATTATACTAAAGAGATATAGTAACCAAAACAGCATGGTACTGGCATAAAAACAGACACATAGACCAATGGAACAGAATAGAGAACCCAGAAATAAATCCTACAGTGAATTCATTTCCGACAGAGGTGCCAAGAACATACATTGGAGAAAGGACAGTCTCTTCAATAGATGGTGCTGACACGAACTGGTAAACCTAAAAGAAATGACCAAATTCCTGAAAACATACAACCTCCCAAGACTGAACCAGGAAGAAATTGAAAGCCTGAACAGATCAATAACAAGTTTCAAAATTGAATTAGTAATAAAAAAATTACCAACCAGAAAAAGCCCTGGGCCAGATGGATTTACAGTTGATTTCTACCAGACATATAAAGAGCTGGTACCAATCCTACTGAAACTATTTCAAAAAATAGAGGAGGAGGAACTCTCCCTAACTCATTCTATGAGGCCAGCATCATTCTGATACCAAAACTTGGCAGAAAAAAAAATCTTCAGGCCAATATCCCTGATGAACATACATGCAAAAATCCTTAACAAAATACTAGCAAACCAAATCCAATTCACCACAATCAAGAAAGCTTTATTCCTGGGATGCAAGGTTGGTTCAACATACATAAATCAATAAATGTGATTCATCAAATAAATAGAACTAAAAACAAAATCTGCATGATCATCTCAATAGATGCAGAAAAGGCTCTTGATTAAATTCGACCTTGCTTCATGTTAAAAATCCTCAACAAACTAGGCATCAAAAAGGAACACATCTCAAAATAATAGCCATCTATGACAAACCCACAGCCAACATCATACTGAAGAGGCAAAAGCTGAAAGCATTTCCCTTGAGAACAGAACAAGACAAAGATGCCCACTCTCACCACTCCTATTCAACACAGTACTGGAAGTTCTAGCTGGGGCAATCAGGCAAAAGAAAAATAAAAGGTATCCAAATAGGAAGACAGGAAGTCAAACTATCCTTCTTTGCAGACGATATGATTCTATACCTAGAAAACCCTACAGTCTCTGCCCAAAGGCTCCTAGATATGATAAACAAATTCAGCAAAGTTTCAGGACACAAAATCGGTGTACAAAAGTCACTAGCATTGCTATACACCAACAATGTCCAAGTTGAGAGCTAAATAATGAATGCAATACCATTCACAATAGCCACAAAAAACAAAAACTAAAACACCTAGGAATATGGCTAACCAGGGATGTGAATGATCACAACAAGAATTACAAAACACTGCTTAAAAAAAAAAATCAAAGATGACCCAAACAAATGGAAAAACAGTCTATACTCATGAATAAGAAGAATCAATATTTTAAAATGGCCATACTGTCCAAAGCAATTTACAGATTCAATGCTATTCCTGTAAAACTACCAACATTTTTCACAGATTTTGAAAATATCATTTTAAAATTCATTGGGACCAAAAAGGAGCCCAAATAGCCAAAGCAATTCTAAGCAAAAAGAACTAAGCTTGAGGCATCACACCACTCAACTTCAAACTGTACTACAAGGCTACAACAGTAATTACAATAGCATGGTATTGGTACAAAAGTCGACACAGAGATCACTGGTACAGGTTAGAGAACCCAAAAAAAGAAACCATACGCCTACAACCATCTGATCTTCAACAAAGCTGACAATAGCAAGCAATGAAGAAAGGACTCCCTCTTCAATAAATGGTACTGAGATAATTGGCTAGTTATCTCAATCTTCTCAATATGCAGAAGATTGAAACTGGACCACTATTTATCACCAAATATAAAATTCAACTCAAGTTGGATTAAAGACTTAAATGTAAAACCTAAAACTACAAAAACCCTAGATGAAAACCCAGGAAATATCATTCTGGACATTGGTGCTGTCAAAGGCTTCATGATGAAGACTTCAAAAGCAATTGCAACAAAACAAAAATTGGCCAGGTGCAGTGGCTCACACCTGTAATCTCACAAATTTAAGAGGCCAAGGCAGGTGGATCATCTGAGCCCAGGAATTCAAGACCAGCCTGGCCAACATGGTAAAACCCTATCTCTACAAGAAATACAAAACTCAGCTGGGCATGGTGGTACATGTCTGTAGTCACAGCTGCTCAGGAGGCTGAGGAGGGAGGACCGCTTGAGCCTGGGAGGTGGAAGTTGCAGTGAGTCAAGGTCATGCCACTGCACTCCAGCTTGGGTGAGATAGCATGACCCTGTCTCAAAAAAAGAAAAAAAAAAAAAAGATTAAAAGTGGGACCTAATTAAACTTAAGAGCTTCTGCACAGCAAAACAAACTATCAATAGAATAAACAGGCAACCTACAGAATGGGAGAAAATAATTTGCAAACTATGCTTCTGACAAAGGTCTAATATCCAGCATCTATAAAGAATTTAAATAAATCAACAAGCAAAAAAAATATTTATTAAAAAATGGGCAAAGGACATGAACAGACACTTCTCAAAAGAAGACATACAAGCAGCCAACAAGCATATGAAAAAATGCTCAATATCACTAATCATTAGAGAAACCCAAATCAAAACCACAATTAGATACAATCTCACACCAGTCTGAATGGCTATTACTAAAAAGTCAAAAAGTAACAGATGCTAGTGAGATTGTGGAGAAAAGAGAATGCTTATACACTGCTGGTGGGAATTTTGTAAATTAGTGTAGTCACTGTGGAAAGCAGTCTAGAGATTTCTCAAAGAACTTAAAATAGAACTACCATCAGACCCAGCAATTTCATTACTGTGTGTATACCAAAAGAAATATAAACCATTCTCCATAAAGACACATGCACACGAATGTTCATCACAGCACTATTCACAACAGCAAAGACATGGAATCAACCTGGATTCCCACCAGTGGTGGACTGGATAAAGAAAATGTGGTACATATACACCTTGGAATACTATACAGCCATAAGAATGAGATCATGTCTTTTGCAGCAACATAGACAGTCATTATCCTAAGTGATTTAACACAGAACAGAAAATCAGATTCTACATGTTCTCACTTATAAGAGGGAGCTAAACACTGAGTACACACAGATACAAAGAAGAGAACAACAGATACTGGGGCCTACTTGAGGCTGGAGGGTGGGAAGAGGGTGAGGATTGACAAACTACTATCAGGCATTATGCTAATTACCTAGGTCACAAAATTAGCTGTACACCAAACCCTGAAACATGCAATTTACCCATGTAATAAACCTGCACATGTACCCCTTGAGCCTAAAAGTTGGAAAGAAAAAAATTTTTAAATAAAATAAAAATTTGGGGTCAACAGAAAAGAATGTTATGATAAATAAATACATAATGCTGAGAAAACTGAATATCCACATGCAGAAGAATTAAACTAAACCCCTATCTCTCCCCATATACAAAAATAAAATCAAAAGGGATTAAAGACTTAAATCTAAGACCTCAAACTATGAAACTATTAATACTAACAGAAAACATGGGGGAAACTCTCCAGGACATTGGTCTGAGCAAAGATTTCTTCGGTAATACCACAAAACCACAGACAACCAAAGCAAAAATAGACAAATGAGATCACATTAAGTTATTAATAAAAACCTTCTGCACAGCAAAGGAAATAATCCACAAAGTGAAGTGACAACCCACAGAATAGGAGAAAATATTTGCAAACCAGAATTATTAAGGGATTAATAGCCACAATATATCAGGAGCTCAAAAAACTCAACTGGAAAAATAATCTAATAATCTGATTTTAAAATAGGCAAAAGATCTGAATAGACATTTCTCAAAAGAAGACATACAAATGGCAAATGAGAAGTGCTCGACACCACTGATGATCAGAGAAATGAAAATGAAAACTACAATGAGATATCATTTCATCCCAGTTAAAATGGCTTTTATCCAAAATACAGGCAATAGCAAATGCTGGCGAGGATGTGGAAAAAAGGGAACCCATACACACTGTTGGTGTGAATATAAATCAGTGCAACCACTATGGAGAACAGTATGGAGGTTCCTCAAAAAACTAAAAATAGAATAACCATACGATCCAGCAATCCCACTTCTAGGTATATACCCCCAAAGAAAAGAAATCAGTTTTTTTAAGACATACCTGCACTCCCATGTTTATTGCAGCACTCTTCACAATAGCCAAGATTTGGAAGCAACCTAAGTGTCCATTAACAGACAAATGGATAAAGAAAATCTGGTACGTATACACAATGGAGTACTATTCAGCCATAAAAAAAGAATAAAAGCCTGTCATTTGCAACAATATGAATGGAACTGGAGGTCATTATGTTAAGTGAACTAAGCCAGGCACAGAAAGAGAAATTTTGCATGTTCTCACTAATGTATGAGAGCTAAAAATTAAAACAATTGAACTCAGAGAGTAGAATGCTGTTTACCAAAGGCTGGGAAGTGTAGTGGGAGAGTAGTAGGAAGTAGAGATGGTTAATGGGTACAAAAATATAATTAGATAGAATGAATAAAATCTAGTTGTATTGTTGACTACAGTCAATAATAATTTATTGTATATTTTTAAATAACTAAAAGAGTATAATTGAAATGTTTATAACCACAAAGAAATGACAAATGCTTGATTGAGGTGATGGATATCCCATTTACCCTGTTTTGATTTTTATGCATTGTATGCCTATATCAAAATCTCATGTGCCCCATAAATATATATACCTACTAGGTACCCATAACATTAATTTTTTTTTTTTTTTTTTGAGACAGAGTCTTACTCTGTCACCCAGGCTGGAGTGCAGTGGCATGATCTTGGCTCACCACAACCTCCACCTCCCAGGTTCAAGCAATTCTCCTGCCTCAGCCTCTCGAGTAGCTGGGATTACAGGGGCTCACCACCGTGCCTGGCTAATTTTTGTATTTTTAGTGGAAATAGGGTTTGACCATGTTGGCCAGGCTGGTCTCCAACTCCTCTCCTCAAGTGATCCACCCGCCTCAGCCTCCCAAACTGCTGGGATTACAGGCATGAGCCACTGCACCCAGCCTAAAAATAAAATATTTTTAAACAATTTTTTAAAGTGAAGAAAATGACTGCCCTTTAGCCCTATGAATAAATAAAACAATAACAAGATTTTATAATCTAATCTTTTAAATTTAACAACATACAAAGAATATTTTTCCCATGTCACCAAATAATTTTCTACATTATCTTGACACTTGCAAATTATCCCATCTTATAAATGAGCCATTTTTTAACCAATCTAATATTCCTATGTATTTACTTTTTTTTATAAGTTTAAACAATTAAAATTCCAGGTAATAAATATTTAGGAACATCCATAATTGTTTTCTTACACTGTATTTTTTAGAAGTAGTGTTGACAATAATAAAACATGCTGATCATATTTACATCTCATTTATAACAATCTTATAAGGTAAGTGGTGTAATTATACCCCTTTTATAGGTGAGAAACTTGAAGGTCACAGTGGTTAAGTAACTTGACCACAAGTACCTAGACAATGACTACTAAGGCAGGTATTTAAGCCCAGGGAGTCCAAACAGGTAGACTTCATTTTAACCCTTCGATTTCCAGGAATTCATTCATTCAGAGACACAATGAGAAAATCAGGAGATTCTAATTATCTCCATAATATAGATGAAAAAAACAGGTAAGAAAGGAAAAAAGGACTTGTCCAATATTCAATGAACCAGGAGAAGAGTTAGAAAAGGAATGACTCAGCCAGGCACGGTGGCTCACGCCTGTAATCCTAACACTTTGGGAGGCCAAGGCAGGTAGATCACTTGAGATCAGGAGTTCAAAGCCAGCCTGGCCAACATGGTAAAACCCCGTCTCTACTAAAAATACAAAAAAAAATTAGCCTGGCGTCGTGGCAGGCACCTGTAATCCCAGCTACTCAGGAGGTTGAGGGAGGAGAATAGCTTGAACCCAGGAGGCTTGCAGTGAGCCGAGATCATGCCGCTGCGCTCCATTCTGGGTGCCAGAGCGAGACTCCATCTCAAAAAAAAAAAATGAATGACTCCCCCCGCCAATTAATCTCCATCTGAGCACAGAGTACCAAGGTGTACAAGTCATGTCACTTTTAGGGAACCAGCAAGAAAGACTTTCTCATGAGTGGTCTCAATTCTCTTGTCAGGCTGGGTTAATAGAAAACTAGCAGGTGGAGCTCCTCCATCCCACTGTATTTCCCTTAACCATAAAAATTCTTTTTTACCTGTTATATATTGGCCTGCCATGGAAGGTTTTGTTATGAAGAAAAAATAAGTGAGAAAGTGTTTTCATATTTTTTAAATTAGATATAAAAGTTTTTAAAAATGTTTCCAAATCTCTGGACTAAATAATGTCTAAGGTATTTCCCAACTCTAACAATCTAGCGTTTCCTCTGATATGTATTGATGGTGTAAGGAAAATGGCTGTGCTTCAGTCAGGAGTAGGCTGAGGTAGACATCCAGTACAGCATGACACACTGGGTTTGGAGTGCAGGGACACAATCCTATGCATTATATAATCACATGTATGTAGCCATTTGATGTAACCAGTTTGTGTGAGATGGTACCTGGCTTTGAGCCATTATTGTCTGTGAGTAGTATAACTACACTGCTGACTCTGTAGGAGGGGAGAGAATAAAGCCATGTCCCAACTGCCTATGGTCCCTTGAGTGTTCTTTCAGCTACCCACCACCAATCCACCAACTCCGCTTGGACCTCAGCTCGGGCTGGAACCTGACAATTGGCGTAGTCAGCAGGATCCCAAGGTGAGTGAGTGAGTCCTTGGCCCCGATGATCCCGGGGGGGCCATGTGGCCCCAGCATGGGTTATGGTACCTGGTGGCAGCTGTGATGCTAGGATGGGCCCCAGTGGAAACATGGGCGGTGGTGGACAGGTCTCCCATGAGCATGGAGAAGGGGCTGAAGCACCCAGAAGGACAGAGCACCAAGAAGGAGCTGCTTTTGCCGGCAGAGTTGGATGGGCGTTTTTGACTGTACTACGGGAAGCACACACTCAGTCCCTGCGGGATGCACACAGGTAAAGGCACCTCCAGGAACAAGCAGAGTGCCAGGAGGCCCGGATACACAGCTTGGAATGAGAATTAGGAGCTGCCATTAGTGTGGGCCTGGGCCCACCATCCCAGCCAGAGACCCTCGCTTGTTCTGATACCTAGGAGGAAGAACCCCTGTTTCGGGCTCGCCCAGTTGTCTGTCAGAAAATAGAGCATGAACACCTGTTGGAGCCCCACAAATGGCGGGCACAGAGACCCCTACCATGACGGAGCACACGTCATGCAGTTCCTATACCCCAACTGAGTTGCGGGAATTAGGTAAACAGCTTTGGCAGCGTTTGGGGGAACCCCTACCCGCCTGGACGCTTCACCTTTGGGATGAGGGAGCCAACAGTATCGTCTGCTTCACTTCTGAAATGGAAAAGTAGACCTCCATTATGACCCATCTCTCCCTGCGTCACTGATTGCAGGTAAGCAGGCAGTTAGCACAGGGGCAAGGCAACCACACTCTAATTGAATAGCTGATGGTAGCCATATGAACGGTATGGAACAATTAGCATAGGGGCAAGGCAACCACACTCTAATTGAATAGCTGATCGGCATGGAACAATGCCAGAGAAATATCAGAAACTATGAGTAAATAGCAGTTGTACACAGATTTGGTGCAAGTAATTCAGGAGATGGGTATGTGGCAGGCTATGTTCAATCTGAATACCCGAGGGCCAGATGATGAACACTTTACCTCCCACATGAGGGACCTTGTGTTAGGCTCTGCACTCCCGAGTGCCTTCAGCTCCCAGGCCGTTGTTCTCACTCTGTATGTGGGGCACCACATACATGAGGTGACTACCACCATGGCGTTCCTTAGGGAAGCAGAGGACCATCATTTGGGACCAGGGAGTCAGTGCCACAAAAAAGGAGAAGGTACCTGTTCCACAGGGGGCCACCTCATGGGACAAAATGGGACCCCAATGGGTGACCCACATGCAGATGTGGATTGATTTGATTTTGGCTGGGGCTGACCGAGAGAAAATTGATAGGCAATCCAATGAAGTCCTGTTAACTTTGTGGAGGCAATTGTTCCCGAAGCAGCAATTCCAGAAAGTGTCCAAGAGGGAGAAGAACGATGCTGCTGGACCCAGTCCCACCCAACGCTCCAGCTCAAGGACTACTTGCAGACGGGCGGAGGTAGCCTTTTGTGTTTGATTAGGGAACTGGCCAAGGTGCCCGGCTTGGGGGGATACCAGACAACCAAAGGCCACATGTGAAATAGGCAATCCACTGGTCCCCCACCAGCGTATGGTGGGTGCTGGCACTGGTAGACACCAGTGCAGATTGTACCTCGTCTATGGGCACCCGAATAAATTTCCGGGCAAGGTTACATATACAGATGGCTATGGAGGCCGGTCAGTGAAAGTGAAACCTGTATCTTTGCACCTTGGCATCGGCCACTTAGCTCTCCATTTATAATTGCATATGTCTCTCCCATACCTGAATACATTCTGGGGGTGGATATTTTACATGGCTTGGCTTTACAAACCACAGCCAGAGAATTCAGACTCCAAGTACTTGTGGTTAAGCTGGTACTGTGCGGACATACGCATCGCCAGCCCCAGGTCCTGCCATAACCCTGACAAGTTACTTCCACCCGTCAATACCGCTTTCCAGGTGAGCATACAGAGAAAACTGAGACTATTAAGAAGTTAAAGGAGGTGCAGATAGTGCGTGGCACCCACAGCCCCTACAATGCTCTGGTATGACCAGTCAGAAAGCCTGATGGAACTTGGCGAATGATGGTGGATTATTGAGAACTAAATAAAGTAACACTCCCTTTACATGCAGCTGTACTGTCTATCACTGATTTGATGGGCCGCTTGACGACGGAATTGGGACAGTACCGCTATGTGGTAGACTTGCCAATACATACTTCTCAATTGACATTGCTCCAGAGAGCCAGGAACAGTTTGCCTTCACATGGAAAGGGCAACAAGGGACTCTCACAGTGTTGAGGCGGGACTATGTGCATTGCCCCAGCATACGCCACTGTCTCATTGCCATGGATTTAGCCACCTAGAAATGTCCAAAGGGGGTCCACCTATTCCATTATATTGATGCTATTATGTTAACCTCTGATTCTCTTGCAGATTTAGAAGCAGCGGCACCCCTCTTGCAATAACATTTGGCAGCACGCATTTGGGCTATCAACGAATCCAAGGTCCAAGGGCCTGGATTCCAAGGTCCAGGGGTCTGCCAAATTCTTGGGAGTTATCTGCTGAGGTAAGAAGAAGGGCATACCAGAGGCCGTTGATAAAATTCAGCATATCCCCAGCCCACAATGATGAAGCAGCTACAGACTTTTGTGGGCCTCTTAGGATATTGGCGGGCATTCCTGCCCCCATTTAGCTCAGATGGTAAAACCATTGTATCAGTTGACAAAAAAGGGAGCTACCTGGGATTGGGACAATGATGCTGAAATGGTTTTTCTGGCAGCCAAGTGGGCCATACAGCAAGCACAGGCCCTACGAGTAATTAACCCAGGGTGCTCATTTGAACTTGATGTGCATGTGACCGCAGATGGTTTTGGCTGGGGCCTATGGCAGAGCATGGAGCACTTTAGAACACCACTAGGCTTTTGGTCCCAACTTTGGAAGGGAGCTGATTTCTGGTATCTCTCGATAGAGAAGCAATTAGCAGCTGCATATGCTGCCCTTCAGGCTTGTGAGTGTGACAGGAAGGGCTACAGTCATCGACTGAATGACTTACCCAATAGCGGGTTGGGTACATTCATGGGTAACCACCCCCTGGACTGGGATGGCACAGACATCCACCTTAGCAAAGTGGGGCACCTACTTAGAATAGTGGAGCACACTGAGTACAAGCCCCTTAGCAGCAGAATTACAAGAAGTCTTGGGACCTGTAGTTCCAACGTAAGATAAGGCTATGGGTCAGCCTGAGGCACTCTTAAACCCTGAGCCATCACTGTTTAAAGAAGGGCACCCCCCATTCCTGATGGGGCATGGTATATGGATGAGTCCAGCTGGGGTGCTACTGCTGCCTGGACAACTGTCGTCGTCCAGCCTAGTACTGAAACCATATGGTTTGATACTGGGTGTAGACAAAGTAGTCAATGGACTGAACTCAGGGCAGTATGGATGGTGATCACCAAGGAGGAGACACCTGTGGTAATCTGCACTGACAGCTGGGCAGCTTATCGAGGCCTGACCTTGTGGTTAACTACCTAGAAGTTACAGAATTGGCTAGTTGGCCACCTGCCCATTTGGGGCCAGGCCATGTGGCAAAACCTATGGGAAATGGGCCACCAAAAGGATGTAACTATTTATCATGTGTCAGGCCCTGTGTTTTTGGCTGCCCCCGGCAATGATGAGGCAGATACCTTGGCCAAGATCCAGTGGTTGGAGTCAGCATCTACACAAGATATAGCCCTATGCCTGCACCAAAAATTGGGCCATGCGAGGGATAAACTAATGCAACAGGTCAGTAAGCGCTGGGGTCTATCCTTGCCAACATAAGATATCTGGGAGGCCTGCCAGAAGTGCCCAGCATGCACACGGACATACACCAGACAGGGAGCTGCCTAGGGTTACACAACAAGTGATGGTAGGGTGGATGCCCTTGGCTAGATGGCAAATAGACTACATTGAGCCGCTTCCAAGGTCACAGGGGCATACACATGTACTGACGGCTGTAGACATGGCCACCAGTCTGTTATTTGCCTACCCTTGCAGGATAACTGACCAACAACACACCATTTAGGCCCTGCAACACTTGTGTGCCCTATATGGTTGTCCCCTGATCATTGAAAGCAATAGGGGAACACATTTTACTGGACAGCAGGTACAACAGTGGGCACAACAGATGGACATAAAGTGGAGGTTCCATGTTCCACAAGCTACTGGTATGACTGAATGATATAATGGACTCCTGAAAAACGGGTTATGCTTGCATGTTACTCCCCCATCTTTGCAGGGCTGGAGTTCATGGTTGGACCTGGTGCTCCAAATCTTGAATGAACGGCCACGGAAAGGTGGCCCAGCCCTGGTGGAGGCACTGCTATACCAGGCCGCTGCCCCCATCCAGTTACAGATACGCACCAGGGATGACCTCCTCCGACCAGGTATGGGGACAAACAGTAACCTGTTGTTGCCTGCCCCAGCACCCCTAAAGTCAGGGGAACAAAGAACCTGGCTTTGGCCATGGACCCTCCAAGCCCCCCATTGCCAATGGTTAGCTATCGTAGCCCCTAGGAGGAGGGCCAACAGTATGATTTACATGTCACTCCTTAGGTATTTAATATATGGCCTCCGTGATTGACCGTTCATAGAGGAATGGCCAGGGAAGGAATCCTCCTCTGGGGTCCATATGTATTATCTGTGTGGCCTATTATGAGCTCCCCAGTGACTTTGGCACAGATACAGGACCCAAAGGAACCATGGGGAGCTGAGAAGATGTGGTGCCATTGCCTAGGCAGAAGCCCTTGGTGGCTGCATTGTTATTCAGGAATGAAAGGTTGGCCTGTATTTTGCCTGAGGGGTGTGACTGCTTTATCGTTTTGACCATAGGCTGACATGCTCCAACAGCATTGTGGACTGGGCACACACCTACACTGAGGTGACCAATGTTTCCAACTGTTGAATCTGCACTGCCCTTCCAGCAGCAGCTGTGGATGGCTTGCCCTGGCACATATATCTAGGTTCTATGGAAAACTGGACATGGTTAGACATTTGGGGTCCCAAGGCCAACGTTTAGAATGCAACATGACAAGTTTTGGATAGGGGATGCCACAAAACCCATAGCATGCCCACCCACTGGGTGACCCATAGCGACTATGATGGATGGGGCTGGTTAGTGGGAGAACATGTGGTGCCCCTACCACAGGTACCATGATGTATAGAGCAGCATTGGGGCAATGTCACCGTGGGGTGGTTACCTGCCATAGCCTGCACAAATATAACATATGTCACCACACCAAAGGTGCAATGGAATTGGCTGCCTCATCAATGCTGGGCCCCAGTGGACTTAGTGCCCCCCTGGAAATTTATAGACATATGAAGACACAGGATGGTCATCTTTGCGAGTGAATTGGACTGGCTGCTGTACCTAGGGGAGGCCTTATGTGCCTGCCACTGTTATTCCCACATTACCTAGGTGCCCACATAACTGGGAGGCACTACGTTCCCAGCTTTTGTGAGTGCAACGAACCTCCTGGTGGCTCTACCCCTTAGCATTAACCATCCCTCGTGTTAATGGTGTCATCTGTAGAAATGCAAGTTACGGCCCTTGTAGAAATGCAAGTTACGGCCCTTGCAGAGCACACAGCTTGAGCCTTGAATTACACCCGAGTTGCCCTCCTTCTGTTAACAGATGAGGTTGATCAAACCAGGAAGGTGGTACTGCAGAACTGGGTGGTGCTCAACATATTAACTGCTGTCCAAGATGGCACCTGTGTTCTTTTGGGAAAGCAATGTTGTGCCTTCATCCCTGATAATGAACAAAACATAACAGCAGCTTTGCAAGAGTTTCCCAGGAAATCAAGGCAGTTGACAGCCTTACTGATGACCCCCTACAGACATGGTGAGCATCTTTAGGCTCTGGCCTATGCTGGACCCTAATAATTACGGGCAGCATAGCGGGAATATTAGTAGTGAGTTGTTGCTCCCTATATTGCTGCTGTGGCCTATGAGTCCAAAGTTCCACCCTGTGGGCACGTCTCCCCACTACAAGGACTCCCTCGGCCTAGAGGGTGGAGTGTAAGGTAAATGGCTGTGCTGCAATCAGGAGTAGGCTGAGGTAGACATCTGGTACAGCCTGACACAGCAGGTTTGAAGCACAGGCGCACAACCCCGTGCATTATATAATCATATTTATGTAGCCATTTGATGTAACCTGCCTGTGTGAGCTCATATGAGGCTTTAAGCCATTATCATCTGTAATATAACTGCACTGCTGACTCTGTAGGAGGGGAGAGAATAAAGCCATGTCCCAACCGCCTATGGTCCCTTGAGTGTTCTTTCCGCTACCTGCCACCCATCCACGAACTCCCTTCAGACCCCAGCTCAGGTTGGAACCTGACAGATGGTACTACATGACTGTTGCCATTTCACTTATTAGTGAGGGGTGAATTATTGTATATATATATATATATATATATATATTTTTTTTTTAAGTGGGCAAGGCATGGTGGGTCACACCTACAATCTCATCACTTTGGGAGACTGTGAGGGATCACTTGAGCCCTGGAGTTCAAGATCAGCCTGGGCAACATAGCAAGATCCCATCACTACAGAAAAATTAAAAATTAGATGGGCATGGTGGTATGTGCCTGTAGTCCTAGCTTCTTGGGAGTTTGAGGCAGGAGGACCACTTGAGCCCAGAAGTTTGAGGCTATAGTGAACTATGATCACACTACTGCACTCTAGCCTGGGTAAAACAGCAAGACCCTCTCTCAAAGTCTCAACAAACAAAAGCTCATAACACTTCATGGAAGCCTCATCCTCCTCAGATATGATATTCTGGCTTTCTATTATAGTGGGTTACTGGCTTTCTGAATTATTTTCTAAGAGCTTCACATTTGTGTTCCTAGCATATTTTGTAAGTAGGTCCTGGCCGAGCATCTTAGGGAACAAGTCACTCATTTTCTTCTCTCTTCAGGTGTCTTTGCAGCACAATACTTCCGTGAAATACAAAGTTAAATCTTAGACAATGTGCTATACAATATATCTTCAATATTTGAAAATAGAGACTCATATCTGCATCTTAGGATTAAATCACTAAATTGTTTTGCCTACAATATAATGAGCCCATATTACTTTTAACCGTAAGACCCAACAGCTGTGCTTGCTTCGGCAGCACATCTACTAAAACTGCAATGATACAGAGAAGATTAACATGGTCCCTGTACAAGGATGACATGCAAATTCATGAAGTGTTTCATATTAAAAAAAAAAAAAAAAGATCCAGTAGCTGGCACATAGTAGGTCCTTTATTATTATTGCTTGGTTTATTATTTAATCTATCAAGGTGTAGTGAGGCAAAAACTGATGTTAAGAAAAAAATTAATAGCATCTAGAGGCATCATAATATTTATCGAGGCATTTTTAAGAGAAAACTGATATTTCATAAAGATTTTTTTCAAGAACATTTTTATTTTTAAATATTTTGGGGCCAGGCACGGTGGCTCACCCCTGTAATCTAAACACTTCAGAAGGCCAAGGCGGGAGGATCACTTGAGGAATTCAACACCAGCATGGGCAACATAGTGAGACCTTGTCTCTATAAAAAAATTAAAGAAAAATTAGCTATTTGTAGTGGTGCATACCTATAGTCCCAGCTACTCGAGAGGCTGAGTGGAAAGGATCCCTTGAGCTCAGTAGTTGGAGGTTAGAGTGAGCCATAATTGTACCACTATACTCCAGCCTGAGCAACAAAGCAAGATTCTATCTCTGAAAAAAAAAATTATACATCTTTGCTGTATTTGAGATAGTCCAAATGTGAAAACATTAAAAGATAACTTCCCACCCAGAAATCAGAAAATATTTTTCAGTAACAAATAATAAAACTATTATGTTTTAAGTCAAATGTTACATGCCTCTTCTCAGACTCTGGGAATGTTGCACTTCCAACAAAGTGTCCAATCAATTAAAAACAAAATACACAGACATCCCCCTCAAAAAAATCAATGCAATTAAAAATAATACTGACAATTCCCAGTCTATGAAGACTATGAAGAAGCTATGCCCTGGTGATTTAATATTAGGATGGAGATGGAAGACCTGAGATGTCATGCAAAACTCTGAGCACCTTAAAATTGTGGCTTGAATGAAACATTGCAGAAGAAGGAGAAGTAGAGGAAAATCTTCACTTGGGAAGGCCCCAAGAATGATCAACATGAGTGAATCAAACAGCCAGGCACAAGGAGGTCTAGAACTGCTTTTCTCCCAGCACAAGCATGTCTGAGTCTCACGTTAGACAGCTGAGTTTTATTCCTATAGAAGTCTAGCTATTTATGAAAATATCTGAGATGCATTTTCAGTTGCTTACGCAGAGTGCTCCAGCTTGCAAGTGGAAGGGTCATGCGGGAGCCCAGGCAGGAACCCCACTCACTTGAGACTTTCTCCTCAGCTTGGGGCCTGCAGGTGCCCACCTCCCCCATGTGGGCCACCTTATCAGAAGGAATCTGAAATGTTGAAGTCCACAGGAAACAGTAAAAGAATGCGGGTTCTGGATTCTGCCACAAATAATCCTGTGTCCACAGACAATTAATTTTGCTATACCTTTTTCTTCACATACTAGAAAGAGCTGAAAAGAAATCTGAGATCTCCCAAACATCCTCTGATTTTAGAGATGGGGCTCATGGTAACAAGGATAGGAGTGACTTTCCTGGCATCATTTCACCCATTCATTCACCCACTGAGTGTTTACTTTGTGCCAGGCATATTGGACCTCAGGGAGCTTACAGTGAGGAGATCAACAAATTTCCCGCAATGGAAGTTTGGAAGGAAGCATAGAACAGAGAAAGCTTGCAATTCTCTGCAGGAACCAGGGACGCCTTCACAGAGGAGGGAACATACAAGCTCAGTTTTGAAGTAGATGTTTGCCTTGGGCCAGGGAGGAACTACATTCCAGGAAAAGGAGACTATTCCATGAAAAGTTCAGGAGGCATTAACGCATTGAGTATTCAAATAGCAGCAAGTTCAGCCAGTGGAATATCAGACTAGAGAGGAAATGATTAAGGGCTTGGAATGTTCCATATTTCCCACAAGGAAATAATTTTAGTTGGCACATGAACTAACATTTGTTACTATAATAGTTATAGCAGAGAAATGCAACTAGAATTTGAAACCTATGCCTTTAAGGAGAATGTTGCTTAGGACAAGAGTAAAACTAAACAGAGAGTAGTGTGAAATGCCTGTAAAGTAATAGTGGTGGTAAAACTTGAAAACCACAAAAGATGGAAGATGAAAGGGGGAGGGAGGAAGGGAAGGCGAGGCAGAGGTTGAAAAACTATCAATTACTATGCTCATTACCTGGGTGACAGATCAATCATACCTCAAACCTCAGCACCACGCAAGGAACAGGCAGGTGCAATGCAGGAAAGGGCATAGCAGAGGTATTTAGAAGGCAGAATCCATAGGAATTGGCCATCACTGGATATGGCTATTAAGGGAGAAGGTATCCAGGATGATGGTTCAGCTATCCAGGATGATGGTTCAGCTATCCAGTTGGACAACGGGGCAAACGGCAGGACAATTCTCCAGGACAGAGAACACAAGAAGAATCAGGAGGAATGATGTTGCATGTTCACCATGAGCAGGGGCATTAATTTCGATGAACATTCTGTAGTTCACAGACTGGCTATAAACACACCCGTGAACACCAACTTGAATACTGGGAACGGGGACCCAGGGAAAGGAGATGCCCAGTGCTGTGACCTCTGGACTGGAACCCTGCTGAAATGATTCGGAGGGCTAAATGTTTCTCTTCTGCTTAATAACATAAGTTCTATCTCACAGGCTCAGCAGCTGCCCTGTAGCTAGTTGTTGAGGGGGGGCAAAAGAGCTATTAATTAAGGTGTGCAGTCTAGCTGACACCTGATAGTACTGCTGTGTCCTCTGGCACACAGCAGCCCATGTCTCCAATTTAAAGGGCAGAAATTAAAAGCCATGCAACCTGACCTCACAAGCTTGAGCTCCCCTGAACTGTGGCCGGATCCCTAGACATACACCAGGCAGAATCCACGTCTGCACATTTAGTCCCCGCAGCCTGCAGAAACCTAACACCTTTTCCCACCCACTTCCAGTGCCACCAGGAAATTAGCACTCACCCAGGTACTGGGTCATAATTAAACTGAACAAAAAGACAGCTGCTCCTACCTTTCTTTTTTAATCACCAACATGCAGCCTTGGGGATTACCAGCTTTGGGTTGATTTAGGGAGGATTACTCTTTCATTAGTTTCCAGGGTCAGTTCCAATACACTGTCATCAGAGCCCTTTAAGATACCCTTCCATGCCAACAGTTCATCCCTTTCCATGACTGAAAGGTTAGGTTTTTGCAAGCCTACTATTTGTCAGACCCCCAAATATCTGATTTTTAACCAGAAACAACACCCTAAAATGATTCTGCACTGATTTTCTAGGTATATAATGAGATGTCACTCTAAATCCCCAACGTAGTCTCTAATAATGATGAGAAGGAACAAATGTGGGAAAGGAACAAATGTGGAGAGCTCAAGCTTCTGCATAGCAAAGAAAACCATTTATAGAGTGAAGAGAACTCACAGAGTAGGAGAAAATATCTGTATACCACACATCTGATAAGGGGTTAATATCCCAAATATATAAGAAATTCAACTTAATAGCAAGAAAACAAATAACCTGATTTTTAAATGGACAAAGGACTTGAATAGATATTTTTTAAAAGAAGACATACAAATAGCCAACAGATTAATTTAAAAATGCTCAACATCACTAATAATCAAGGAAATGCAAATTCAAATCACAATGAGAGATTATCTTACACAGGTTAGAATGACTGCCATCAAAAAGACAAAAGATAACAAGTGTTGGCAAGAATGTGGAGAAAAAGGACCGCTTGTATACTGTTGTAATGTAAATTAGTACAGCCATTATGGAAAACAGTATGGAGGTTCCTCAAAAAACTAAAATTAGAATACCATATGATCCAGTAACCCCACTTCTGGGTATATATTAGAAAGAATTGAAATCAGAAAAAAAAAATTGAACTCAGTACACTGAAGAGATATCTGTACTCCCATGTTCACTGCAGCATTGTTCACACAGCCAAGATACGGTATCATGCTAGGTGTCCATTAACAGAGAAAATGTGGTATATATACACAATAGAATACTAGTCAGCCTTTAAAAAGAAGGAAATTCTGTCACTGGGACAATATAGATGAACCTGGTGGACTGTGTGAAATAATCTATGCACAGAAAGACAAATACTGCACAATCTCACTTATATGTGCAATTTAAAATAGTCAAACTTACAGAAGTAAAAAACGGAATGAGTTACCAGGAGTAGAGAGTGGATGCTGACCAAAGAATACAAAGTTTCAGTTAGATAGGAGAATAAATTTTTGAGCTCTATTGCACAGTACGGTGACCATAGTTAATAATAATGTATTATATATTTCAAAACTGCTAAAAGAATAGATTTTAAATGTTCTCAGTTATAAAAAAAGTAAAGTATGTGATACATATGTTTACATGTTGATTAGCTTGATCTTAATGTTAATTAGCTTGATCTAATCATTCCAGTGAATACAGATATCAAAACATTACATTGTGCCCCATACTCCATTAATATATATAATTGTCAATTAAAACTTTTTTTTTTTTGAGACAGAGTCTCACTCTGTCACCCAGGCTGAAGTGCAGTGGTGCAATCTCAACTCACTGCAACCTCTGCCTCCCAGATTCAAGTGATCCTCCCACCTCAGCCTCCGAAATAGCTGAGACTACAGGTGTGTGCCACTGTGCCCACCTAATTTTTTAGTAAAAACAGGTTTTCACCATGTTAGCCAGGCTGGTCGCAAACTCCTAACCTCATGTGATCCACCCACCTCGGCCTCCCAAAGTGCTGGGATTACAGGTGTGAGCCATTGCACCTGGGATTACAGGTGTGAGCCATTATAAAATAAAATAAGTTTTATTTTACTTAAAAATAAAACTTAAAAAAATAGATGAAGAAGCATATACCATGCTAATGTTAATCAAAAGATAGCAAGAGAAGCTAAATTAATTTCAGGCAGAGCAAGCTTCAGGGAAAAGAAAGGTATCACAGATAAAGATGGGATACTGCATAATGCTAAGGGGGTCAATTCTCCAAAAAGGCATAACAATCTTTAATGTATATGTGCCTAACAACAGAATATCAAAATATGTGAGGCAAAAACCAATAGAAACGCAAAGAGAAATAGAAGAATCCACTATTATAGCGGACACTTCAAAGCCCTTCTATCAGAAATTGACAGATCCAGCAGGCAGAAATTCAGTAAGAACACACTTGAATTCAACACCACCATCAATCAACTAAATATAATGGGTATTTATAGACTAATTCATCCAACAACAGCAGGATACACATTATTCTCAAGTTCATGTGAAATACTCACCAACACAGACCATATTCTGGGCTCTTAAAACACCTTAACAAATTTTTTAAAAAACAGAAATCATGAAATTGGATCCTTATCTTATACCATACATAAAAATCAACTCAGAATGGATTAAGGACTTAAATATAAAACCTGAAACAGTACAACTGAAAGAAGAAAACACAGAGGGAAAGCTCCATTATTTTGGCCTGAACGGTAACAGAAAGATAGCTGGAAAATCTCAAATTACTTGGAGATTAATCAACACACTTCTAAATTACACATGGGTCAAAAAAAAAATCAAGAGAAATTTGAAAATATTTTGAACTAAATGAACATGAAAATACAGCTCATCAAATTTTGTGGGATGCAGCAAAAGTAGTGCCTGGGAAAATTTACAGCATCGTGTGCACATATTAGTAAACAGGAAAGCTCCAAAATCAATCATCTTCCACCTTGGAAAACAAGAAAAAGCAGAGCATTAAACTTGAAGTAAGCAGAAGACAAGAAATAACAATTAGAGTAGAAATCAATGAAATTGAAAAAAGGAAATCAATAAAGAAAATCAACAAAACCAAAAGCTGGTTCTTTGAAAAAAAAATCAATAAAATCAATGAGCCTCTAGCCAGGCTAACTAAAAAGCCAGGGTGGTGGTGGGGAGGGCAAATTACTAATATCAGAAATGACAGAGGAGACGTCACTACAGATGTCATAGACTTTAAAAGGATAATAAAAGAATTCCATGAACAACTCTATGATCACAAATCTGATAACCTAGATGAAACTGATCAATTCCTTGAAAGATAAAATCTGCCAAAACTCACACAAGAAATGACAATCTAAATAGATCTATATTTATTAAAGAAGTTGAATCAATAATTAATAAACTTAAAAATACAGAAAGTTCCAGACCTAAATAGGTTCACTGTTGAATTCTGTCAGCCATTTAAGGAAGAAATTACACCAATTCTCTACGATCTCTTTCAGAAGATAGAAGCAGAGGAAATACCTCCTGATTTATCCTATGAGGCCAGCATTACCTAATACCAAAACCAAACAAAGACATTACAAGAAAAGAAAACTACAGACCAGTATCTCTCATGAACATAGATACAAAAATCCTCTACAAAATATTAACATATTAAGTCCAAGAATGTAAAAAAGAATTATATATCACAACCATGAGATTTATCCCAAGTATGCAAGGCTGGTTCAACATTCAGAAATCAATTAACATAATCTATCACATCAACAGGTTAAAGAAGAAAAATAACACGATTATCTTTTTTGTTGTTGTTGTTTGTTTTTTGTTTTTTTAGACAGAGTCTCACTCTGTCCTAGGCTGGAGTGTAGTGGAACAATCTTGGCTCACTGCAACCTCTGCCTCCCAGTTTCAAGTGATTCTTGTGCCTCAGCCTCCCAGGTTGCTGGGATTACAGGTGTGGGCCACCACACCCAGCTAACTTTTTTCGTATTTTTAGTAGAGACAAGATTTTGCCATGTTGGCCAGGCTGGCCTTGAACTCCTGGCCTCATGTGATCCACCCACCTCAGCCTCCCAAAATGCTGAGATTACAGGCATGAGCCACTGCACCCAGCCTATGATCGTATCAATAGATGCAGAAAAAGCCTTTGACGAAGTCCAATACCCACCCATGATAAAAACTCTCAGGAAACTAGGAATAGAGGGGAACTTCCTCAATTTGATCAAGAATATCCATTAAAAACCTATAGCTAACATTATACTTCATGGTGAGAAACTTAAGGTTAAGAAACTTAAGGTTTAAGACCATAATGGCAAGGATGTCCCCTCTCACCACTCCTTTTTATCATCATACTGGAAGTCCTAGCTAATGCAATAAGACAAGAAAAGGAAATAAAAGGGATACGGACTGGGAAGGAAGAAATAAAACTTTGTTCATACATGACAGGGTAGTCTATGTCAAAAATCCAAAAGAATCAACAAAAAAATCCTGGAACTAGTAAGCAATTATAGTAAGGTTACAGGACACAAGGTTAATATACAAAAGTCAATTGCTTTCCTATATACCAGCAATGAGCAAGTGGAATTTGAATTTAAAAACACAATACAACTTATGTTAGCCTCCGAAAACATAAAATACTTAGGTATAAATCAAACAAAATATGTACAAAATCTGTATAAGGAAACCTTAAAAGCTCTGATGACAGAAGTTAAAGAACTAACTAAATGGAGAGATATACCATGTTCATGAATAGGAAGAGTTAATATTTGGCCAGTCATGGTGGCTAACACCTGTAATCCCGGCATGTCGGGAGGCCAAGGCAGGAGAATCACTTGAGCCCAAGAATTCGAGACCAGCCTGGGGAACATGTGAGACTCTGTCTCTCCAAAAAATTTAAAAATTTGCCAGGCATAGTGGTGTGCTCCTGTAGTCCCAGCTACTCAGCAAGCTGGGGCAGAGGATCACTTGAGTCAAGGATCAAGGCTGCAGTGAGCCATGATCACACCACTGCACTCCAGCCTGGGCAATAGAGTGAAACCCTGTCTCAGAAAAAAGACAAAACAAAACCTTAATATTTTCATAACATCAATTCTTCCCAACATGAGCTATAGATTCATGGCAATCCCAGTCAAAAACCTGGCAAGTTATTTTGTATAAATATTTTTAAAAATGAATTCTAAAGTTTATATGGAGAGGCAAAAAGACCTTGAATAGCCAACACAATATTAAAGGAGAAAAACTAAGTTGGAGAACTGACACTACCTTACTTCAAGACTTACTACAAAGCTACAGTAATTAAGGCAGTGTGGTATTGATGAAAGAATAGACAAACATATCAAAGGAACAGAATTCAGAACCCATAAATAGACCCACATAAACATAATCAACTGGTCTTTGACAAAGAAGCAAAGGAAATACAATGGAACAAAGATCATCTTTTTAACAAATGAGGCTAGACCTGGACATGAAAAAAAAAAATGAATCACAGAGGCTAAATGTAAAGTAAAAAACTATAAAACTCCTACAAGATAATAACATAGGAGAAAACCTAGATGATCTAGGGGTTTGTTTTGTCTAGAGACAGGGTCTCGCTCTGTCATCTAGGCTGGAATGCAATGGCACGACCATAGCTCACCACAGCCTCAAACTACTTTGCTCAAGGGAGCCTCCCACCTCAGCCTCCTCAGTAGCTGGACTATAGGAGCGCATCACCACATCAAGCTTATTTATTTATTTAGACTAAGATGGTAGGCCATAAAATAAGTCACAATAAATTGAAAAGGATTAAAATAATTGAGACTATATTCTGACTATAATGAAATTAAATTAGAAATCAAGAGATCTGCAAAATCCCCAAATGTTTAGAAGTTAACATGCTTATAAGTAATCAATGAGTCAAAAAAGAAATCACAGAAGACAAGAAAATATTTTGAATTGAATTAAAAACACAGTATATAAAAATTTGTAAGATACAGCTAATGCAGTGCTGAAAAGGAAATTTATGGCTTAAATGCTATTAGAAAAAAGACGTAAAAATCAATGGTTTAGGCTTCTACTTTAAATAGCTACAGAACAAATTAAACCCAAAGTATGTGTAAGAAAGAAAATAGGCCGGGTGTGGTGGCTCATGCCTGTAATCCCAGCACTTTGGGAGGATGAGGCAGACGGATCACCTGAGGTCAGGAGTTCGAGACCAGTCTGACCAACATGGAAAAACCCATCTCTACTAAAAAAATACAAAATTAGCCAGGTGTGGTGGCACATGCCTATCATCCCAGCTACTCAGGAGGCTGAAGCAGAAGAATCTCTCGAACCCGGGAGGCAGAGGTTGCAGTGAGCCGAGATCATGCCATTGCACTCCAGCCTGGGCAACGAGAGCAAAACTCCATCTCAAAAAAAAAAAAAAAGAAAGAAAATAAGAGGAAAAAATCAAATAATAGACAATGAACATTGAAAATCAATGAATCCAAATACTGGTTCTTTTATTGTAAAACATAACACAATAGAAAAGTACACAAACAAAAAAATACATATATAGCACAATGATTTATCAAATACCATTGAACTACCACATGGTCTTTGAAAAAAGACCATGACCAGCACCCAGAGGCACCCTCACATCATTTCCCCTCCCAATCCCTATTCTCTCTGTCCCTCTCAAAGTAATGACTATTCTAACTCACGCAAATAACTTCCTTGCTTTTCATTATTTTATCACCAATGGAAGCACCAAAGAACTTGAAAGTCCAGAGTTATTTTACCTATTTTCTTAAACTTCATATGATAACACAATAGGTACTAGATACATCTGTTGGCCATTCACATATCTGGCTTTGTGTGTTCAAATCTTAACCAAGTTGCCTTTGAAAAGATCAATGAAAAAAGCTGCCAACCTTCTACCTACACTAAGCAAGGCAAGAGAAGGCTCAAATTACCAACATTAGCAATGAAAGAAAGGACATAAGTAGAAATCTTACAAATATTAAAATAGGGAAACATCATGAACAACTTTACACCAATTAGACAACCTACTTTACACAAAATAACTAAACCAGCTAGGTGTGTAGGAATATACCAAAATAGGCCAGGCACAGTGGCTCAGGTCTATAATCCCAGCACTTTGGGAAGCTGAGGCAGGTGGATCACCTGAGGTCAGGAGTTCAGGACCAGCCTGGCCAACATGGTGAAACCTCGTCTCTACTAAAAATACAAAAATTAGCTGGGTGTGGTGCGCTACTGTAATCCCAGCTACTTCGGAGGCTGAGGCACAAGAATCACTTGAACCTGGGAGGCCGAGGTTGCAGTGAGCCAAGAACACACCACTGCATTCCAGCCTGGGCAGCAGAGTGAGACTCCATCTCAAAAATATATATATTTATTTGTTTGTATGTATGTATGTATGTATGTATGTGTGTGTGTATTTTTTTTCCAAAATAAACACTTAAGGAAATGTCTTACTTTTTAAAAACCTTCCAAACTGTCCCTAGACCCATGTGAAACCCTAAGTCATTTAAAAGAGAGGACTACATGTCAGGTTAGGTCCCCCAAAACATCTTTAAGTGCCTATAATGTGTGCTACACACTGAGAATTCAAATTAAAGATACGGTTTTTTCTTACAGTTCTACAGTCTTCCTTTGGCTTAAAGACTCCTGGAAATACAGACATGAGTAAGAGACAACACTAGATTTATTAAAGATCATAATGCTATCATTTATTGAAGAAAGAAAGCAAAAAAAACTAACAATTGTGATGGGGGAGGAGAGACAGCTTGGCAACATTCCTTTTAAAGTTAAGTTAGCATAAAGAAAACAATATTTAGTAAATGAAATAGATTTTCAAGGTAGGAAAAGTAGTACTCAAGAATGTATTTTTGGATACAAAAATTCAGTTACACAATCAGTAGCATTCAAAATTAGTTATGAGTATTTATACAATTACAAAAATGGATTCATGTTTTAACAACGTATTTTAAAAGCTCAAACATTTTAAAACAGGCACAATATTCTAAAGGCATATGCATTCACCATGGGCTTTTGAATGTCCTCACTCCCAACTTCACAATCAAAATCTACAGAAGCGGCAAAAGATCAGAGTTCAGAGGGCTATTTTTTTTTTCCCTTTCCTTACTTAAGGTTGCAAACACATTGACAGAGGCAAAATAAACACGTTTCATAGCAGAAAGACCAAAAAATTGAATGTAAACCATAGCTCTCCCTTGGGAGATTACACAAATACAAGGTTCATCTGTACTTAGAACAAGGCTCATAACTTCTTGTAGCATGGACATTCAACAGGCACAGAGCAACAACATTCACCCAAATACCAGCTGCAATTTGTCCTTTAAGGATGCCTCACAAGGATATTATGTCCAGGTAGCTAGTCCATTTATATCGGGGACCAGTTGTCCTTTTGTTGTTTGTGGCTGTTTATTAAATGTAGTGGCACAACTTTGTTGTGAATATGTACCATCATTTGCTACAATCTAGACAGATCATCCTGTCTACAAAAAATCATTTTCTACATTTCTAAGACCATTATCAGTTTATCTGCTCCTGCTAGAAAAGGACATACTTTTTGTCAATTTACATTAACAAAGGCTCTGCTACTCCCCATTTACTCGCTGCAATGAAAACTGGTAAGCCAAGGGTAAAGCTTAAGTATCAGGGACTATGAATTTAGGGTAGAAGTGAAAATAACCAAAGTGGAACTAAATCCCCTATTCTTGAGTGCAACTGAGATCAAGTAAACTTCGCTGGACTTTCTTCTTAACTATAAAACTATTAACCAGAAGGTAAAGTCACACAATTTTACCTCCCAACAAACTTTTAAAATAAAAATTTCCAAAAAATTTAGATGTCTAGGTTTTGTTATATCTTACCAAGAGTTACACAGACATAAATTTGTATTTAACTTCAGTTAAACATCTATTCACTTTTTAAAAATGCTGTCTGCAAATAAACTACTGGACATCTTAAGCTTACTAAAAAAAACTTAAGATTTTTAAATTAAAAAAAAAAAACTAGGACAAAAATCTAGCAAATGGTTTCACGTACCTTTAAACACTGATTCTTAAAAATTTATATGCTGAAAATGAGGTTTGAGAATACGTATTTTAAACCATTTATAATCCTACCGTCGACTCTAGTCAGAAGTTATCTGAGCAAAGAGAAAATAAAGCCTGGCGTAGACAGTCCCATAGAAAATAGAATCCATAGCCACTGGGCTGCCCTTCAATTTCCCAATTCATTCCACTAAGTCTCATGATGCAAATCTGTCACTTTCATAGAGCTATCAAAAACAGAAGCCAAGCCAGATCCTCCACACTTTAAGATATGGTTCCTTATTATCTATTTTAACAGAAGTATCAAAAAGTGATTTTTTTTTTTATTTATTTTTGAGACAGAGTCTCACTCTGTTGCTCAGGCTGGAGTGCAGGGGTGCGATCTCGGCTCACTGAACTTCCACCTCCTGGGTTCAAGCAATTCTTGTGCCTCAGCCTCCCTCCCAAGTAGCTGGGATTATAGGCGCACACCAGCTAGCCTGGCTGATTTTTTTGCTGTTGTATTTTTTGTAGAGATGGGGTTTTGCCATGTTGGCCAGGCTGGTCTTGAACTCCTGACCTCAAGCGATCCACCCACCTCAGCCTCCCAAAGTGCTCAGATTACAGGTGTGAGCCACTGCACCCAGCCAAAAGGTAATTTTATTTGGAATGCATTTCATGATTTTATTTCTTGCTCCCTGAGCCTGCAGTGATTAGGGTGGAAGGGAAGTGGCACTCAGGCAGATAATTCACAAAGTCACCACACAAGGGTGATAGATGATCCACCACTGAGATAATCAACCCAGTGAAAATGCTACACTGGGGACCATGTTTTGCCCTTCCCAGACAAGACATCTTGAGCTAGGATCTGAGCTACGGCTATGCAGAGGAGCAGAACTGAAGGCTCCGTTTGAGCCCTTTCTGCAAAAGGGGATGCATTTCAGATAATGAGACAAGAGACGGGAGTGAGTTAGTACACAGCACGCCCAATACCCAACAAGCAGCCTCAGAGAGACTGGGAGAAGGGGGAGAGGGGACTGGAAGCCATCTCTTCTGTTCTGAAGGGCAGTGCTCCTCCCAAGACAGCACTCAGAGAGCCAACAGCCCAGGGCAGATCACGCCAGGACAGTGCTTCCATATGGCTGGCTGAGCACCATATTCCAATCTGCAAAAGAGTCACCTTATTGGTTCCCTTAACTTCCAAAATGCAGCAAGCCCTCCTTCACCCAGCAGTGAACGGAAGGGAAGGGAATGCAGGGCAGCAGGGAGACAGAGACCATCATTAACTACAGGTCTGAAACCCTAATTCTTTACTCACTCATCAGGTTGCTTTTAATCACTGCTGTTGCTTGGTAACAGGTTTCAGCAGATTTGAAATGGATTTCTTCCTCCCACAGTCTAACAAAAACAAGTAGGGAAACAACCAAAGAATAAGGCAACTTAAGGAAAAACGCAGGAAGACCCTGGGAGGCAGGGTCATGCAAAAGCTGCCAATGGTGTCCTGATGGGAGCTGTCTGAGCAAACTGGCCACAGGCCGTGAGTGAAAGCAAAGCAGAAGCCTTTCTACAAGACCCATCTCCTGCCAAGAACCCCTCCCTGACGCCTCCACTCGTGGGGTCTGGGATAGGCTCTTTACCTTCTCAGAGGATGGAGGCAATACCATTCACTGGGCAGTCACTGTGAATATTGAATGAGATAAAACATGGCAGTGTCTACAGCGCCGGGCACATAGTACTAGATAAGTATTTGTTAAATAAATTAATGATCGGAGACATTCACTCTCATCTTCCAAAGTTGTCAGTTATTTCTGGGATTAAATAACACCTACCCTACTGAGACTCTACTTATGCCAAGCCCTATTCTAAGCACTTGACACGTCTCACTGACATCTTGCAATGACCCAGCAGGAACTGTTATTCCCACAATTTTTAAACAGATGAACAAACTGAGGAGCCAGAGGTTAGGTAACCTGTTCAAAATGACACAACTAGTATATGACTAGTCACAGCTCACAGCCAGATGCATCTGACTTCAAAGCCTACATTCACTACTAGTATGCTATACAGGTGACATCTTAAAAGGTACCTTGGCCTCATGTCCCACAAAGTCAATCCAGGCATTAAAAAGGACATGGGGCTGGGCATGGTGGCTCACGCCTGTAATCCCAGCACTTTGGGAGGCCGAGGCAGGAGGATCACTTGAGGTCAGGAGTTCGAGACCAGCCTGGCCAACATGGTGAAACCCTGTTTCTACTAAAAATACAAAAATTAGCCGGGTGTGGTGGCACATGCCTGTAGTCCCAGTTTCTTGGGAGGCTGAGGCACAAGAATCACTTGAACCCAGAAGGCAGAGGTTGCAGTGAGCTGAGATCATGCCACCGCACTCTAGCCTGGGAAACTGAGCAAAACTCCATTTCAAAATTAAAGCAGTGTGTAGAGGGAAATTTATAGCACTAAATGCCCACAAGAGAAAGCAGGAAAGATCTAAAATCAACACCCTAACATCACAATTAAAAGACCTAGAGAAGCAAGAGCAAACAAATTCAAAAGCTAGCAGAAGACAAGAAATAACTAAGATTAGAGCAGGACTGAAGGAGATAGAGACCACGAAAAAAACAATGAATCCAGGAGCTGGTTTTTTGAAAAGATCAACAAAATAGATAGACTGCTAGCCAGACTAATAAAGAAGAAAAGAGAGAAGAATCAAATAAATGCAATAAAAAATGATACAGGGGATATCACCACCGATACCACAGAAATACAAACTACCATTAGAGAATACTATAAACAACTCTACGCAAATAAAGTAGAAAATCTAGAAGAAATGGATAAATTCCTGGACATATACACCCTCCCAAGACTAAACCAGGAAGAAGTCGAGTTCCTGAATAGACCAATAACAAGTTCTGAAATTGAGGCAGTAATTAATAGCCTACCAACCATAAAAAGTCCAGGACCAGATGGATTCACAGCCGAATTCTACCAGAGGTACAAAAGGGAGCTGGTACCATTCCTTCTGAAACTATTCCAAACAATAGAAAAAGAGGGAATCCTCCCTAACTCAATAGATGCAGAAAAGGCATTCAACAAAATTCAACAGCCCTTCATGCTAAAAACTCTCAATAAACCAGGTATTGATGGAACGCATCTCAAAATAAGAAGAGCTATTTATGACAAACCCACAGCCAATATCATACTGAATGGGCAAAAACTAGAGGCATTCCCTTGGAAAACCAGCACAAGACAAGGATGCCCTCTCTCACCATTCCTACTCAACATAGTACTGGAAGTTCTGGCCAGGGCAATCAGGCAAGAGAAAGAAATAAAGGGTATTCAATTAGGAAAAGAGGAAGTCTTAAACGTAAGACCCAAAACCATAAAAACCCTAGAAGAAAACCTAGGCAATACCATTCAGGACATAGGCATAGGCAAAGACTTCACGACTAAAACACCAAAAGCAATGGCAACAAAAGCCAAAATAGACAAAATGAGATCTAATTAAACCAAAGAGCTTCTGCACAGCAAAAGAAACTATCATCAGAGTGAACAGGCAACCTACAGAATGGGAGAAAATTTTTGCAATCTATCCATCTGACAAAGGGCTAAGATCCAGAATCTACATAGAACTTAAACAAATTTATAAGAGCAAAACAACCCCATCGAAAAGTGGGCGAAGGATAGACACTTCTCAAAAGAAGATATTTATGCAGCCAACAAACATATGAAAAAATGCTCATCATCACTGGTCATTAGGGAAATGCAAATCAAAACCACCATCAGATGCCATCTCATGCCAGTTAGAATGGCAATCATTAAAAAGTGGCATGGTGGCCACAGATGCTGGAAAGGACAGGGAGAAATAGGAATACTTTTACACTGTTGGTGGGAGTGTAAATTAGTTCAACCATTGTGAAAGACAGTGTGGCGATTCCTCAAGGATCTAGAACTAGAAATACCATTTAACCCAGCAATCTCATTACTGGGTATATACCCAAAGGGTTATAAATCATTCTACTATAAAGACACATGCACATGTATGTTTACTGCAGCATTGTTCACAACAGCAAAGACTTGGAACCAACCCAAATGTCCATCAATTATAGACTGGATAAAGAAAATGTGGCATATATACACCCATGGAATAGTATTCAGCCATAAAAAAAGGATGAGTTCATGTCCTTTGTAGGGACATGGATGAAGCTGGAAACCATCATTCTCAGCAAACTAACACAAGAACAGAAAACCAAACACCACATGTTCTCACTCATAAGTGGGAGTTGAACAATGAGAACACATGGAAAAGGGAGGGGAACATCACATACCGGGGCCTGTCCGGGGGTGGGGGCTAGGGGAGGGATAACATTACATGTATACCTATGTAACAAACCCGCATGTTCTGCACATGTACCCCAGAACTTAAAGTATAATTTAAAAAAAGAAGTATTTCCAGAATCTCATATAAAAAAAGAAAATTAAAAATGCAGTTTATTTATGTAAAAGATCAGTGGAACTTAAAGATAATCACTGAGTGACTTACAGTAAAAATTAAAAAATGAAAAAGACTAGTGTACTACAAAAGAGACTATCTGAAAAAAAAGAAATATCACAGAATATCAAAAACTTGAATGGGAACAAGAACTCTGCAGTTTGAGATTTCTGATAGTCATGAAAAAGAAGAAGACCTGTTGCATAAAAACCATTTGATGCAAGATGAAATTGCCAGGCTCAGGCTGGAAATACACACAATAAAAAATCAAATCCTGGAAAAGAAATACTTAAAAGACATTGAAATTATAAAAAGAAAGCATGAAGACCTTCAAAAGGCTCTAAAACAGAATGGGGAAAAATCAACAAAAACGATAGCCCATTATAGTGGACAGCTTACTGCTCTGACAGATGAGAACACAATGCTCCGTTCTAAACTGGAGAAGGAAAAACAAAGCAGGCAAAGACTGACGAAATGGAATCATACCATCGTAGACTGAATGTTGCTCTACATGATCATGATCAAAGTCACTCAACAGAAAGAGACCAAGAGCTTGATTTCCAGGGCACAGTAGATAAATTGCGTCATTTACAGGAAAATTTGAATTCTCATGTTCTGATTCTTTCTCAGCAACTTTCTAAAGCTGAGAGTAAGTCCAGGTGCCTCAAAACTGAGCTCCATAACACAAGAGAGGCTCTGAAAGAAAACGCTTTGGTTTTTGAACACATACAAAGAGAGCTAAACCAAACGGTGTCAAATGAAGGACATTGAAAAAATGTACACAAGTGGCCAAGATAAAGTAGAAAAATGCACAGAAAAGCAAGTAAGATTATGTCAACTACGAAGACAAAATATGTTGCTTCAACAGCAACTGGATGATGTTCACAACAAAGCTGACAATCAAGAAAAAACAGTAATTGATAGTCAAGCCAAATGTGATGCTACAGCACAAAATCTTCAAGCTGAGTGCATAAAGCACCGTCTTTTGCTAGAAGAACAAGAGGATGATCAATAAAGTTAATCATTTGAAAGAAAAACAATGTCAATATGAAAGAGAGAAAGCAGAAAGAGAAGTAGTTGTGAGACAACTTCAACAAAAACAGGGTGACGTCCTAAACAATCAACAACAAAAGCTTTGCTGGATGCTTCATTGCGTCACTGCGTCCATTGAGAAAGTGAGATGTAGGATTCAAGGAAGAAATTAGGTCAGATGAGAATTCAATTTCAAGAAAAATGGAATCAACTTACAGCGACTATAAAATGTACTAAGGAGACGCAAGGCCACGTACAAAAACTTGAAATAGAAAATTCTAGTGTTAAGAAATACAATTAAAAAGCAAGATGGCCAAATTGAGCAGCTTCAGAAAATCCTGCGAAGTTCAAGTTTGATGCAGCAGTTATTGCAAGAAAATGAAACTACAGAAATAGATGAAGCTTCTTCTGAATTTAAATCTGGATCCTCTGTAGCAGAGGTTCCCAACCTACAGGCCATGGACAGGTCCATGACCTGTTAGGAACCAGCTGCACAGCAGGAGAGTTACTGTGGATCTTCTAGATCATCTGCATGCCATGTGAATCTTAAAACCAGTTTTTAATTTCTACAAAAAAAAAAAAAAAAAAGCCTGCTTGGCTTTGGATGGGGACTGCATTATATCTATAGATTAATATGGGAAAGAATTAACATCAACAATGTTGAGTCTCTCAACCTATCAACAAGATATTTACTTAGGTCTTAATTTTTCTTAGCAATGCTTTTTAGTTATCAGTGTACAGATAATCCACATAGTTTGTCGGGTTTATTCCCAAGAATTTTATATTTTAATGCTATTGTAAATGGTATTATTTTTAAATTTTCAATTCCTAATTCTTTACTTCTAACATGGAGAAACACAATTGATTTGTGTATATCAATTATATATCCTGCTGTGTTGCGAAACTCACTTGCTGGTTTCAGTAACTTAGTAATGGATTTGATTTGGTTTTCTACATAGATGATAATATCTGTGAATAGACAGTTTTACTCATTTCTTTTCAATCTAAAGGCCTTTCATTTTTCTCCTTCCCTCCCTCTTTCCCCCTACTCCCAATTAAAACATGATTGCAGTGGCTAGAATTTTCAGTACAACGTTGAATAGAAGTGGTAAGAGTTGACATCTCTGTCTTATTCTCAATCTTAGGGGAAAACATTCAGCCTTTCATCATTACATAGGATGTTAGCAGTAGATATTTTAAAGATGCCCTTCGACAGGTTGAGGAAATTCTCTTGTATCCCTAGTTTGCTGAGATTATTTTTTAAACAAAGCATGGTTGTTCAATCTAAAAAAAAAAAAAGGACATGGACATGGAGGGATGAGCCTTCTAGGTGTCTTATTCCAGGCTGCTGGAGCTGCTGGAGCTCACAGTGACTAGCCAAGCCTCGTATCAGTTCTAAAGAAAAGGAACCATGAGCCCTCCTGACCTCCTCCATGTCCCTTCTGACACCACAGCCCTTCTGAGATCTGTCTCCAAGAGGCACCTGGGATGTGAAAGAATCCCACAAAAGCCAGAGGGGTAGCATAAAATTTCCTTTCCTGGCTGAGGACAGGTTAGTGACCTGAGCAGATGACTGGATGTCATCAATAGCCTAGAAAGAACCTGGGAAGACTAGCTCCTCTCTCTGGCCCCGTCAGGCTTGTTCACACCTCCCCAGCCTCAGAAGAAAAGATCAGCAGGGCACAGTGGCTCACACCTGTAATCCCAGCACTTTGGGAGGTCAAGGTGGGCGGATTACCTGAGGTCAGGAGTTCCAGACCAGCTTGGCCAACATGGTGAAACCCTGTCTCCACTAAAAACACAAAAATTAGCACGGGCGTGGTGGCGGGCACCTGTAATCCCAGCTACTTGGAAGGCTGAGGCAGGAGAATTGCTTGAACCCGGGAGGTGGAGGTTGCAGTGAGCAGAGATCACGCCACTGCACTCCAGCCTGGGCGACGGAGTGAGACTCCATCTCAAAAAGAAAAAAAAAAAAAAACCAGTCAGAGTTCTTAGCCACAGTAGGACAAAGAAAGGTTCAGCAATTAGCCACAAGAAAGGGGACAACCAGCAGGCCACTTCCTTTGGTTTAGCAGTGACAGAGGAGGAGCCCTAGTGGACCAGTTGGCCCTGTGCAAAGAACAGAAAGGCAATCCAGATAAACGTCATTTGTAGGATGACTCTGGAGGTCCTGGAGGGCCAGGAATGCTGGCTGACAAGACAGGGCACTAATCGTAGTCAGGCAACAAGGAGGAGCTGAAAGGGAACACAAGGGACAGTGAACATCCTGCAGATCCAGGAAGAAGCTTCCAAAAGAGATGGGCAGGGAGGGCCAGGGAGGAGATGGCTTGGCTGATGAAAACGAGGGAAACAGTCACAGGCAGTTACAGGAGGCACAACCAGAAACAGGCCAGGAAACTCTGGGGTCATGAAGGAGGCTGAAGCTGTGGCTTTGGGTGGATCCAAAAACCAGTGTGGGCCTTGATTCCCTTGACTGCACAGTGGTATAACAATCCCTGCTTCCTCACAAGGCTCTCCATAAGAACCAGGTAAGATCGTGGACACAAAAGCACTTTGTAGGTTAGGCATCAGGCTGACATGAGACCACCTGCAGTTTATCCCCAGTGTCCCCAGCACAGGCTAAGTGCAAACACTGGGACTATTTAAAGGTCACTGGGCAGGCGTGCCTACTTCCTGCTGGCTGCACAGCAGGGATCTGTCTTCCCACCCCACTCTCCCCTGGCCCAACTCCAGGGGAGAATGGAAAATAAAATCAGTTTAAAAGCAAACATTTATAAATAATGGAGAAAAAAATATAGCTGAGAGCAGCAGGATTTTTCAACTCCTATGGGCTCTCGTCCAAAAAAAAAACAGCAGCATTTTCTGCTGCTGCTCTGTTCTTTCCCCATCTAGTGCCAGGAGGTCATAAAGAAAGATATGCAGGGAGAGGGAGGGAGGGATGGGAAATAAAACCCAAGAGAAAAAGAGTCTGCACCTAATGTCAGAAAATACATTCCACAGTCAGGCGCAGAATCAGAACACCAAGAATGCTTAGATTCAAATTCAGAAACAGCATATACCACCAAAAAGTGCTTCTTTTCTACCTCACTCCATGGCCAGGCTCTCCAGGGGCTTGTCTAAAGCAGAGTCACTTGTTCTCAGATGCCAGAGTAGAAGCAGACTCACTCTATGCAGGACCACGGTGATGGCTTCCATGCTGAGGGACAAGTGGACCCCAAAACTCTGTCCCTTACTGTTGCTCCCGTGATCTCTGATGGGGCTGCCTTTTGCCACCTGGGAATCACTTGCACCCAAGGCTTATGTGCTGTTGCTGAATAGGTTTGTATTCATGGGAATTCAGTGGGACAACATCCAGAGAGGAAACAGGTACATGAGGAAGATTCCACTCCACAAGATACAGAACCCACTTCTCATCCTGTGCTACTGACATTCAGGTTCGAGAATGTATTGTTGCTTCCAAAAGTAACCCTCAAATGTTCGAATCACAAGCAACACATTGCTGCAAGATAAAAGGCACATGTCTGTAAGACAGAGGTTTCGAAGATAGTTACAAAACTGTCCACCAGCTTCTGTCCATAGTGCCTTCCAAAGCTTCATAAAACTGGCCATGAATTATGCAAGACACACGGCAAAACACTTCTTCACAGCATCCCTAGGAAAGAAAAGACACAAAGATGAGTGGAACGTCATCACCCCAAAGGCACTCCTTTAGAGGGCACCCAGAGTGGAAGCTGCAGAGTAGAAAGCACCTAGACTGAAAGATCAGACCTTCACAGCATCAAACTGCAGCTTCAACATTTATTAGTAGTACTATCCTGGGAAAGTTCCTTGTCCTGTTTGAGTTTCAAATTCCTCATCTGTAAGAGGGGATGTCCCCACTTACCCGACAGTCTGATTATGGGATTAGCCATCATAATCAGAGAAAAAGATAACATAGACTGTCAGAAACTAAGAAATCAGTCAGGATTGCTGCACTTTAATATCGGTCAAAATCACAGAATGCACTGACAGCATTAAATCAAATATTAACTGGGACCTTTCTTCATTCTAAGCAGGCAGCAGAAGGGAGCTCACTATGGGTCCTGAGCACTTATTAATATGCTATAATGGCCTTATCACAGGTATTTACTGCTTGGAATTCAGTGTAGAGGGTGCAAGGAAGAGTTGGTCTTCAAGAAATTACTATTCTACCCAAGCAAGCACTTCCATTTCCACCACCACACCACACTGTGCAATGTGGCACTAGGCTTCTCATACCCCAGCTCTGTTCCACGTTCTCAACTGTGCTGCACTAAGGACATTGGGAGTCACATAAGGGAGGGAGAGGTGAATGGATGCATTTCCATGAGTAGGCACTGCATTTTAATATCAAGATGGTTCCAGGGCAGCATTTCTTGAGATATACTCTGCACTGTAGTCTCAGAAGAGTCTCTGCACAAGAAGGGTTTTATGGCCACATAAGTCCCCCTCATGGCAGCTCACAATACACATAGCATATGGAAGGATCTAGCAAGCCAGGCAAAGAGGAACCTACCTAATTTTGCTTAACCTGTTTCTCAAACTTACTTGATCATAGAACTCTTTTCTTCCACAGAAACACTATTTCTGTGGAACACTGTGGGAAAAGCTATTCCAGGGGAACTTACAAATAGAAGGGTGGGGCCAGGCATGGTGGTTCGGACCTGTAAACCCAGCACTTTGGGAGGCCGAGGTGGGCCAATCACTTGAGGTCAGGAGTTCGAGACCAGCCTGGCCAACACGGTGAAACCCCATCTCTACTAAAAATACAAAAAATGAGCCTGGCATGGTGGCGTGCACATGGAGGCTGAGGCAGGAGAACAGCTTGAAGCCAGGAGGTTGGAGACTGAGGTGAGCTGACATCGGGCCACTGCACTCCAGCCTGGGCCATAGAGTGAGACTCCATCTCAAAAAAAAAAAAAAAAAAAAGAATAGAAGGGTGGGATCTAGCTCTGTGATTCCCTCCCTACTAGAGGAGTAATTCGTCTCCTCAGCACATGAAACTCACTATCTCAAATAAAATTCCCTCATTCTATCAATCACTTGTACATAAATTTTATACATGCCAATCCAGATCAAGACTGAAGCTCTGACAAATGACTCCAAGCAAGTTTCACGAATGAGACCTGTGCAACTGCATTGGCCCCATACTCAGAAGGGTCCACATTGGGTTTAATGCCTTGATTTGATGTTGCCATCTTGAAATTCTTAATCTTTTTTTTTGAGACAGAGTCTCCCTCTGTTGCCCAGGCTGGAGGGCAATGGCGTGATCTCGGCTCAGTGCAACCTCCGCCTCCCAGGTTCAAGCGATTCTACTGCCTCAGCCTCCTGAGTAGCTGGGATTACAGGTGCACGCCACCACGCTCGGTTAATTTTGGTATTTTTAGTAAAGACAGGAGTTCACCACGTTGGTCAAGCTGGTCTTGAACTCCTGACCTCGTGATCCGCACACCTCAGCCTCCCAATGTGCTGGGATTATAGGCTGAGCTACCGTGCCCGGCCTATGATTTTTGAACAAGAAGCTCACATTTTTATTTTGCACTGGGCCCTGAAAACTATGCAGCTGGTTCAGGGACCAAAAAATATTCATATGTTGGCAGGTTGATCAATATCTCATTGGATCCTCAGTAATGATGAACTCCGGTTTACTTCACATAAAAATCTAGCTTCCCAGGACATCCCTGCCCATATTCTTCTCAGACAAGCCACCAGGCCCCAAAACCAGCCAGGTCTGCATGGAGTATTTCATAACTGTTACCCTCCTAGAATCTATCAACAAAGCCACTCAGCTGCCTTTCACTTGAAAGGCTTAACTTCGCATCCAATCAATCACTCCTCAATACTTTCAAATCACTGTCAGCAACAGTCTTGGAATTTGTTAAGACATAAGATTGCTCTTCCTCCTTCCCAAGTCATGCATAATTTTTCATTTCCTCAGTACTTTTTTTTTTTTTTTTTTTGAGACAGAGTCTCGCTCTGTCGCCCAGGCTGGAGTGCAGTGGCGCCATCTCGACTCACTGCAAGCTCCGCCTCCTGGGTTCACGCCATTCTCCTGCCTCAGCCTCCCAAGTAGCTTCGACTACAGGCGCCTGCCACCACGCCCAGCTAATATTTTGTATTTTCAGTAGAGACGGGGTTTCACTGTGTTAGCCAGGATGGTCTCGATCTCCTGACAGCAGGATCCACCCGCCTCGGCCTCCCAAAGTGCTGGGATTACAGGCGTGAGCCACTGCACCTGGCCCAGTACAGTTTTTTTAAAAAGCTTGTTTTTAATTAACAGGTAATGATAAAAAAAAAAAAAAAAGAACAGAAGTTAAATAGTTGCATTAGAACAAAGTCAGAGGCAAAGATCATGCGGCTAATTTTGAGAGGTCCGTCACTGAAAGTGCTTAAAGAGGTATGGAGTATTAGAATTTCAGAGCTAAAAGAGGCCTCTGGAGATGATCTAGACCAACTCAGTCTACTTATCGATGCTTTGAGGCCAGAGGGGTCAAGAGAGCTGCTCGAGGTCACACTGCTAATTAGGAAGCCCTGGTACTGCTTACTCTCCCTTTATAAACTCTTGTGAAACCTTCCCAGCAGTGGGATACTGCAAGAAGCACGAATTGAGATCCCTCCATATCTTACTCAGTGATATGAAATGACATTCACCTTTATAAAAAAAAAAAAAAAAAAAACCCTACTCAAAGCTACGGGTTAAAAGAGTAATAATGTGCATATATGCACCATATATAAGAGTAGAATGTTCACAGCATTGGAAATCAGTGTACCTGGGTAAATATCCATCATTAGTTGTATAATTAGAGTGGGTGGTGGGGTGACCTTTAACTTACTTATCTATAAATGAGATGTATAGTATTTGTCTACTTGACTCAAAAGACTTCAGTAAAGATAAATAAAATAGGCTATACTCTCTGAAAGCAGACTCTGAATTAAAATGACAGAAATCATTATTTCCAAATACACAGTCTTACCTTGCAAATGGTATGAAGGAAAGGCTGTACCTATAATGAAAAACAAAACAAAGGGTCAAATGAGATGAAGGGAGTAGCAGATTATCCAGCAGAATGGGCTTCTGAGCTGTAAGAATACCTGCAGTGATCTATCCAGACCCTCTCCCATACTCAGCCTGGGGGATGAGCATGTGCACACAAAGGCCCACGCATGTGCATGCACGTGTACCCAAACACACACACTATGGCCATGTACAGATAGGCAGCCACAGAAGAAGGGCAAAAGGTTCATGTGGAGATAACCCGTATGACCTCGGCCTCAATGCAGTACTGCTATAACCTTGAACTAGCAACAATCACCTTAAACAGTCAGATTTCAAATACCCAGATGGCACAGAAACTCTATTCTGAAAAAATATCAAATAAAACCCAGAACAGTTGAACCGCACCCCCCTCCTTTATTTATTTATTTATTTTTTTTTTTGAGACAGGGTCGTGCTCGTCACCTAGGCTGCTGGAATATAGTGGCTCAATCATAGCTCACTGCAGCCTTGAATTTCTAGGCTCAAGTCTAGGAAGCTCAAGCAATCCCCCTGCCTCAGCCTCCAGAATTGCTGGGACTACAAGTATGTGCCACCATGCCCGGCTAATTTTTTAATGTTTTTTTTTGTTTGTTTGTTTGTTTTTTTGCAGAGACCCGGTCTTGCTACACTGTCCAGGCTAGTCTCAAACTCCTGGCTTCAAGCAATCCTCCCACCTCAGCCTCCCAAAGTCTTGGCATTACAGTGTGAGCCACCCATACCTGGCACAGTTGAACTCCTAACATTTTATAAATTCTAAACAGAATTTAACTTCTACCTAATTGGGATAAATTTTCTGCTCTGCTCCTATTAATTTTAAAAGAAGAGAAAAGAGAATAAAAAAGAAGAAGAAAAAAATGCTACCAACTACTCTATGAGTGAAAATGTAGTACGTCCAAAGGTATCTTGGTAAATTCCAGTTAGCTCAGCCCTGTCACTTAGAAGGAAACCATATACAAGGAACAGGCTCCATAATGCTAAAGAACCAGGCACTGTGTGTCAGGCAGACTGTAAGTTAGCCCTTAGAAAAGCAAACACAGTCAGAACACATGAGTGTTGAAGGGAATATCACCATTCAGCTGGACCCATATGAATGCTGAACCTCTGAAACTGGATTCAAAATCAGTCTATAAGCAAAGCAAGGTGTGTGTATATAGGTACCAATTTCTGCCCTGGAAGAAAAATCAAAATATAAACAGTCTACCACTCAAATGTGCATGTCATTTAAAAAAAAAAAAAACATACACACACACACACACATAAACACAAACACCAGCATCCTTCTCCATATCTTATACTTAACATGTACAGAAGCTCAATTACTTGTCAACACAGTAAATTCCAAAAGGCAATTTGTAACTATATTTATTCAAAAGTCCAAAATTGCTAAAGGGAGGGATGGGAGTTAAGCTTACAGTCTCAAGATTCATTTCTACCAAATAGGAGTTAACCAATTCTTCAGAACTTTAAAATGTCCACAATCCTCCTTTCTTTACACTGTAGCAAACATTTTTTTCAAAAATAGGTGAGTCACATCTATACTGAAACTGTTCTGGCAGATACCATCCCTTGATAAACTTTGAAAGAACTACAGAAATGTCTTGGAACCTACAGATTCCAACTATGCCACCACCCCTCTCACTCTGAGGTCGTATAGGCTTGAAAGGACCATGAACCTACAGCCCCACTCATGGTTTCCCAAAATGTCTCCAGCGGCCCTTTTACTATACTTGGCTCTGGAGTTACAATTTCCTACTCTTCAGCTGAATTACCAAAAGCCAACAAGCCTCTGAGCACATACGCTGATCCTACAGCCCACAGACACACGTTTTTCCATTTCGTCAGTGACTGTTCCTCATCTCCTGCTGACAGTTCACTCTTTGTCCTTCTGTTAAATGATTCATTCTATCACAAATGTAACATTCATTATTTTTCTTACCACTTTCCTTTTTTGTTAACCTCTATTGGACTCACAAGCCTTTTTAACATCCCTTATAATACTTTTGTTGTCCTTGCACTTACCGGACATGAGTGGCTTAATAATATTTGTAACATCTCAAAAATCAACCATTAGTTCAGCAAAAATGCCACAGCAGGCAAACAAGGAGCCTCCTGTGACCACTCAAGACCACTAATGCCATCTATTGGCAGTGGGCTGGGTTGATAGGCATTTGCTCTGGAGCCTGACTTCACTTTCATCATTACGAATCCTTAAATTAAACAGCTTCTGTGTTTTCTTAATTCTCCCACCCACAATATGTGAGTTTTATCTCCTTTGGCTACATTATTCAGTGGGCTATGTGGGAGGGGATTGTTTAAAAGGTTACTTACCACGTCAATGCCAAAGACTGCAAAATGCAGAAGATAAGTGCAAGTCCCTTGTTATGCCACTGGAAAAATAATAATATGGTTATAGGAGAGTGTGAGACAAGGGGCAAAAGCCAAAATGGTTAAGAAAAATTAAAATATACATTTACCCAAAAGGCAGAACACAGGGTAAGTGCAAAACACAACTAAAGGAAGAAAGGAAACATTAATTAATGACAATAACATGGCAGGAAAAAAAAAACTCAAAACTTGTTATTCTTCACAAATGCACAAAACTTATGCATCCTTCATCTCAAAGCAGTTAACCCACCTGAGCACCCATATTTGGCAGAATAGTTAAAAATCTCCATGAAATCAAACTAGCCAATAAAGATTCACATAGATAAGATGTTCTTTTACTTTCAAGTTTTCCCAGAACCTCTGCCCAGCAAACAAATCACATTTCAGGCCCACCCATTCATCCGTCCATCCATCTTTTCATTCAAATGCACTAAAGTAAGCTTAACACAAATCTTTCTATTTTAACTCCTACCAAATGCTAGTCTCTGCAGCAGAAAGCACATGTGAGGACAAAGGTTAACCTGAGATATCAATCTCACAGTCAGCATGCCAGTTACTTGTGTACCTATCACCTAACACTTTCCCTAAGGCCATTCTTAGAAAGCTCTTTCTGCAAGAGACTTGTCCAGGCCGTGGGCATCTGAGGCTGGCCAAGGACAACTGGTGCTAGAGCAGTCAGCCATGCCTTTCTTCGCCATCCTTCTATAACAATAACTACTCAAATATGTCCTAAATATTCTCTGTGTCCAGCATTGTGCCCAATACTCTAAAAGGACACAAAATAAACAGGAAATGTGGTCACAGCTTTTGATAACTCACCTATTTGAACAAATGAGATTATATAAATGAAACTAAAAATAAAAGTATGTTCTTCAAGTTCCAAATGTTGCAATAGCTATAAAAGTCCAGAGAATGTAGGTCTGGAATGATTTTGACAACCACAGGGAAGAAAATAGGCCAAAAATGAGAGGCATTTAGGGTCAATGGAACAGGAAGATACAACAAAGCTAAAGACAATGTTGTCAGAGCAGGGTACAAGGATGACAGGCCATAAGGAGGCCACTCCCACTTTGGGGAGACTGATGAAAAACAGTAATAAGTCCCCAAGTCAGATAATGAGGAATAAAGAGGCCATTCTATAAGACAGGACACCCACCCTAGAGAATGAGTCCTGTGTTTCTGAGTTATTCCCTCTAAGCCCTGCCTGTGTGTGGCTTCCACAGTCACCAGGAAGGTGTCTGAGCTCCCTTACTACCACCACACCACTGTGGCTCATCTGACAAGCAATGCCCTCTAGAGGTGCTTTTCAGAACTGGTAGCACCTTGACACCCACTGAAACACAAAGTAGGGGAGGAGGGGATCGTAGTATTACTTAGAGTGTTCCCTTCTGCCACATGGTTATAGGAATAGGGTAATAAGTCAAGCTGAACGGAAAAAGAGAAGAGGTCTTTAGATTTAAAAAGAAAAACATCCTATACAATAGAAATAAAAACTCCCATCTGAGAAGTCCAGCTAAAAAGCAGACCTTACCAGCACCATGATAGTTGCAATCAAACGAGTAGGCTCAAACATTCGCTTCAGCTGTTTCACTGGTCCCATGAGGAAGATGGTACTAAAAGGCAAACACACGCACACAAGCCGTTCAGAACAGAACTGCACTAGGCACACTGAGTCGCCTCCCCAAGATTTCCTGTGGCAATAGTAGCTAACATTTGAAAAGCTCTCATTCTGACTGTGCTGAAGGGCCTTTCGTGCATTTTTCTCATTTAATCCATCAACAACCAACCTATAAAGTAGGAACAATTACCACACCAAAGCCCACAGAGTTACTTTATCCAAGGCCACCCAACTAGGGAATGATAGACCCAGGCTGTAAATGCATGTGGGTGTTACTGTAGAATCATATCATACCACTAGGTTGGATAAGCCTTCTCCTTGAGAGGTGTTACCTTGCCTCCCTGACAATAACTACTCATGGAAACAAACAAGGCTCAGGAAGTTTAAAGAAAAACCATACCTTACAGGCTTAGGTAGCTTATGTTAAAAAGTAGAGCATTTCATTTTCTTTCATAATCTTCAGGGAATAATTCTAATGATGATGATATCATCATGGGTTATTTGTTGAATGTTTGCTAAATGCCAGATATTACATATATTACCTCATTTCTTCTCCTCAACAACTTTGTGAGTTATGTATTACACTTATTTTAGAGACGAGAAAATCACACAGCTACCATTTGACTCTATAGCTATTGGATTCCAAAGCTCTAAAAAGACAGACCCAGCATGCTGGGTTTTTTTTGTTTGTTTTTTTTTTTTTGACATGGAGTCTCACTCTGTCGCCAGGCTGGAGTGCAGTGATGCAATCTCGGCTCATTGCAACCTCCACCTCCTGGGTTCAAGTGATTCTCCTGCCTCAGCCTCCCAAGTAGCTGGGACTACAGGCACACGCCACCACACCCAGCTAATTTTTGTATTTTTAGTAGAGACAGTTTCACCATGTTGGCCAGGATGGTCTCGATCTCTTGACCTCGTGATCCGCCCAACTCGGCCTCCCAAAGTGCTGGAATTATAGGCGTGAGCCACTGCGCCTGGCCCCCAGCATGCTTTCTGTATGAATGAACTTGAGAGATGGCTAGCAAGAGTAATCACAAATGAAGCAGACTGTCATGTCTAACACATCAACTTGGCATGAGCCACCACACCCGGCCAATAAGTCTTCCTCTCTTTGAAGTGCCATTAAGTTGCAAGGCTTCACTCTCAAGTGTCCCAACTAAGAGAACACTTCTTTAACCTACACCGAATAAGAAGCAACAGTCAAGGCTGGTCCTAAAAATTAAACATAGCATATACACAAAACCATAACAGACTACAGGCAAAGACACAAACTCCCAAATACCCTGAAAATAACAATTTGCTCCCTTTATTATTTCCCTACACAGTCTATGAAGAATCCAGCCCATAGGGATTTGCTAAAGAGCTCTTCTAGACTAAGCAACACACCCATATATTTATGCTCAGTCTAGACTATACAATGTAACTTACACTGTCTGCCCAAAACACCCCCCCACCCAAAGTTAGTATTGGAGAAAGCTTTACAGGCAACAAGAGACATCTCTAAGGGTCAGCATTTTACTGTCATAAGCACTAATAAATTAAGCTTTACACAGGTAGCCAGAATCATGCAATCAATCATTTAATTAACATCCCCCATTTCCAGCCAGACACAGAGCTAAGTTTGGGTACAACTGGGGACAAGATACACGTGCAGCCCTTATCAAGTGGCTTACAGATCTAACAAGTCAGTGTAATAAAATGCTACCTGCACTGGCACATAAATATAGATGTGATACTGAGAGTCCAAAGGAAGAGGTCATCAATTCTGGAGAGGAGGAGGTAATCAGGAAAAGCTTCATAGAAGAGGTAGCTTTTGAGCCAGGTCTTAACAAATGAGCAAGTATCTACCAAACCAGGGGAGGTACAGATAGGGCAGCATTCCAGGCACAGAAAACAACCAAACAAGGGCACAACGGCATTTTGGGAAATGCAAGAAGTTCAGCCTGGCTGGGAAGCACACTGGATAGGGAATGGGACAACGGTGAAGCCAGATCTCAAAGACGCTTGACTGTATGCGTGCTGAGGAATTTGGACTTCATTTGTACAGACAAAACAGGGGGCCACTTGAGGGGGCTAAGCAGGGCTATAAACGAATGGCTCTACAGCTCAGTGGAAAATGGCCTTGAGAGGGGCAATGGAGGAGACAGAGAGACCAAGCAGATGCATCTTGCTCAGGTAAGGGTGATAACAGGCCAAAGCTAAGGCCAGCTCAGATATCACCTTCTCTAGGAAGCCCTCCCTGACTCAGGTCGTGTCGGCTGCCCCTCCTTGAGAATTTCTTTCCATATCTTGTTATATCATGAGTTATATGTCTGTCTGCCTGGCAGGGACCAAACTGGACTTGTCTTTGTATCCTCTGAGCCCAGCACAGAGTGTGATCAATGCTTACCCATTGAGCATGCAAGTCAGTCAGTGAAGCACAAACAGCCATGGGGACAAAGAGGAAGGAGCCAGTAAGACAGGGTTACATCAAGCCCTGGTGAGGAATCATGGAGGGGAGACTTGGACCCCCAGGACTCTGAAGCCATTTACAGAGACACAAGGGAAGGGAAAAGGGGGAAACAAGATGACTGAGCTCAGGTTCCTGCAGGTCATTCAGGTAGAGGCCAGGCCAGTGCTCCCAGTTGGAGAGGGTGGAGTTGTTGGCACCAGTGTGACTGAAGCATCAGTGTGAATGAGCTTGACCTGGAAAATGTGTGCATCCACAACATGCAGAATGGGCTGCCCACCTCCAGGAAGCGCTCAGATGCCCTGCCCACATGAGCTGCTACTCAGGTCTGGGAAGGTCTGACACTAAATAAAAACCAGTTTCCCTTATGGCCACTGGAGTGATGAGCCCTTTGAAAACCATCAACTCAATCTCTGACAGCAGTAAGAATACAGCAAGCAGGAGGACTGGGTTGTAAACCCTGGAGAAATCACTGAACTGCTTTGTGTCGCAGTTTCTGTACATGTAAAATCACGATGGCAAAACATTTGCTGCTTTCTCCCAGGTGTTTCAAACTAAGATATAAAATGTTTTCAAATAATAAGATATGAATGTGAGATATTCTAACTACTTCTCTCCAAATTCCTTACAACTACTGGAGCCTCCTCTTTCACCTCCCTCAAGGGCAACCAACATCCATTTTCCCATCTAATGATTGGCTAAAATTGGATTTTTAAAAAACAGTTACCTCCCAATTGATGCGATATTACCAAAGGTATAAAACACTGCGAAGAGGTGTAGTCCCTTCCTGGGCACCCACAGCAGAACAGTACCCTGGAATTTAAAGTACAGTGTTTGCACATGAGCAACCCTCCCACCCGGCCACACAAGCAGAGCTCCCAGAGGAAGCCCTGAGGAGTCCGTTTCCCTCCCCACCTCCCTTATTCCCCTCTCCTCTCATCCATGCATTTTAGTGAAGGGCAAAAGGGGAAAGGAGGTGGACAAAAGGGGGAATATATAGCAAAGACAGGTAGAAGGAAAAGACAGAGGAGGAAGGGAAATCTTACCAGCAGTGAGCAGAGAATTCCTATAGCAAAACACGCAATGAAGCCTTTTATCCTGGTACTCCAGCTTAATGAAGATGCCTCAACAACCTAAAATTGAAAAAAAAAAAATACATATACACACACATTTACTAAAAACAAAGCAAGCACATAACTAAATCTAGAAAGTGTTAAGTTGTATTAGGGAAGGCAAGGAGCACAGAATCCTACACACTCAGGCGATGTAAGTCATCAAATCCAGACTTTATCAGAGCTGTAAAGTTATTATGCAGACATGAATCTCCTCTCTAGCAGCTGACAGCTGTGCCTCCAGCTGAACATCTTCAGAGGTAGAAACTCCTTGCCTCAAGCACAACCCATTTCAAGAACAGGAAGGCAAGACAGCCAATCCTAGAGTAGCCCAGAGCCTTCCTACAACCCAGGCAGGATGAAGACCACACCTGGAAAGGCATGCGTCCACCAGGGACTCACAAGTCCACCTGGGATCCTCCACCAGGCAGGGTCCCAGGAAATAAGGAAAAGATGAGGGGACGGCACTCAAGCAGCTGCTCCACTGGTCATCGTCTCCTACATCAACTCTCACCCACATTATTCACTCTTGGTTCAGATATTGTACTTACAGGATGCTGGCATCAGCCAACTCATCCAAGTGGGAGACAGATCCTGGTTAATTAATTACTGTCCTGTTACATCCTGAGTCTTTGCCATCATGATTAATCCCTCCCTGGAGCAAAGTTCAGGGGAAGCCAGGAGTTCCAAAAACACTACTGAAACAGGAGAGCCTGTGAGTAGCTCCCAGTGGTTCTTTTCCCATGTCAAAAATGACAACAGCCAGGCACAGTGGCTCATGCCTGTAATCCCAGCACCTTGGGAGACCAAGGTGGGCGCATCACCTGAGGTCAGGAGTTCGAGACCAGCCTGACCAACATGGCGAAACCTTGTCTCTACTAAAAATACAAAAAATTAGCCAGGTGTGGTGGTGCATGCCTGTAATCCCTGCTACTTGGAAGGCTGAGGCAGGAGAATTGCTTGAACCTGGGAGGTGGAGGTTGCAGTGAGCCGAGATCATACATTGTACTCCAGCCTGGGCAACAAGAGTGTAACTCTGTCTCGGAAAAAAATGACATCAAAGTTTTTGCACTGGTGACCCTACCAGTCTGTCCACCTGATGCAAGTGGGAACAGTTGTTCCAAGCTGGACAAAGACAGCTGCCGTAAGAGACCAACACCACACAGGGCAGCTAGGCCATGTATATTCACACAGGGCTCACCTTGTATGGCCAGCATAGTCTCCATCTAGCAATGTGGTCAAAGTTTCCTACTATATTTCCACCCAGCTGATGGAAGAAGGTAGGTAGTGGCAGAAAGTCAAGAGTCATTAGACTGGCAACTCCGTCAGCCTTGACTACCCCCAGCTCAGGGATCTGTTTTCAACCCTGTCTCCAGAGTTCCCGTCAAACCAGAAGCTTGAAAAGAAGGATGAGAGGCTCCCCTCAGGTGTGGCACGTATTGCCAAAGACTACCTTACTCTCCACTCAGGAGAAAGGTATTTAGGTCAGGTTATACATTCATATATATGGAACTGGGCTCATGACCCTGCACAGAAGGCACAAATTAGGGATGATAACAGACAGCAGGGGCCCAGTGTTAAGATCTGACAGATGAGCCACCTGGTTTTACGCTGAGGTAAACCTCTCCTGGAGGAGTCTGGTTTCCCAAACCCCCTTGGACTCCAAAATGAGCCATGTGATGATGCTCTGGTAGCAGGCTTTACAAGGCCCCAGACAATCTAGTCAGGCTACTTCGGACTAAAGCATTTAAGCTCTCGCCAAGGACAGAATAAAATGAGAAGCTACCACTCTTCCTAGTCATGCAAAAACCAAAGAACTTACCTTGCCAAGGTGCGAAAAGAACTAGCTGCAGGTGGGAAGAAAAGAGCGGTAGTAGGATTGGCCTGGCTTGTTCGTAGGAAGAAGAGTGGTAGTGGGATTGGCATGGCTTGTCTGTAGGAAGAAGAACGGTAGTAGGATTGGCCTGGCTTGTTCACAGGAAGAAGCATGGTAGTAGGATTGGACTGGCTTGTCAGCAGCAAGAAAAAAGTGGTAGTAAGATTGGACTGGATGGTTCCCTGAGCACCACATGGCATCAACACGGATAATTTTAAAAGATTCAACCTTTCTATTTGAAGAGGATAAACCATAAGGTTAAGAATGAAATTTGAATTGGCTTTGACATCTAGATTGCTAAATAACCTCAACAGAACAGTGAGATTCCAGAGAATGGCCTGAACCCGGGAGGCGGAGCCTGCAGTGAGCCGAGATCGAGCCACTGCACTCCAGCCTGGGCGACAGAGCGAGACTCCGCTCAGTCTCAGTGAGATTCCAGCCCTCACACAAATCAAAATAACCACAATAGGAAGCAGTTCAGCCAAGAATGTGTTTCTGGTTTCTACCTTCAGAAAGGAAAGTGACACTCCATATCCAAGTCTCTCAAGCTGAATCCATCCAAATGTTACTCTGTTTGCCAAAATGGAAGGGGTGGGGGGCATATTTCACCACTGTATTTTTCCATTACATGTGGTTGCAAGTTCTTTTACATTCACACTTGGTCAGGGAAGGAGGAAGCTGTTGTTCCACTTCTCATAACTGGACTCAGTGAAAGCAAAACACTTCTTTTTGCCAAATTATGAAAACAAACTCATAAAATGTCTGTAAATTCATGACTGCTGGAAGCTGTGCTAGCATATTGTTTTTGGAAATTAGAGTAGCTAAAATGGTACCTGGATGGAATTTGTAGGCAATGCGCTCACAGGCAGTCTGACTGGCAGTTATTCACAAAGGTCCCTTTCACTCTGTGATGTGGAGAGAAGAGGGGCTCTTGCCAAGAATAATACTAAGAATTGTTCAGAAAAACAGGATTGGTAACCAGAAGAAGGTAAGAAAGAAATACTGCTTCATTTCCACACTTTAAAATTAGATACTATTCATACCTTTCTTGTCCCCAGAATCCTTTATAAAAAACATAAAACCTATACTTTCAGAAAGAAGTCCATTGAAACTAAAGACTTAAGGTGTATTTATGAAGATGAGGTATCAATCACAAAATTCAACGTGAGGCTATAATTAGATACTGCCATGCAAATTTTATAACTACCTAGGAGAGGTAGGAGAAATAGAACTAGTCACACCTTTATGGTTTGCATTAAAGGAATAAAGGTTTTAAAAAGCACTCTCTTCTAGTGACCTCTTAAAGAGATTTTAAGAGCGCCTAATTCAACTTACCACACAAAATAGCAATTTCCCCACAGAATCCTCCAGTTCTACCAGCCCCCAAACCATGAAAAATATGAGACAATCAAATCAGTACCAATATTTTAAAGGAGGCTCTGACCTAATCAGTAAACACTAAGCTGAAACAGCCTGCAAGATGAAGTTAGTCGGCAACAAAACATTTCCTAGGAATTCAAGACTCTGGAAGTGCCATACAATGATGTTATAAACAGAAATCTCACTCAGAAAGAGGAAACTGACCAACTGACCAAAGTATTTTAAAACAAGAACGAAGCACCTATTCTTTTTAAATTAGATCCAACAGATGCCTCAGCATAACACATTAAAGCCCTTCTCACAGTATCCAACACAGACGTTCACCATTTTAGGTTAAAAACAAGCTCAGCATTTATGTTTGCAAACTTTACTAGTCGTCCACTGTTGAGGGTCAGCCCACTGCTTCGTGATGATTTTCGAGACAATAATATCTGCATCATCCCACTGTCAACACTCCACCCCTCAAGAGTCTGCAGGGAGAGAAAGTGTCTGCCTCTTAAGCACCAATTGTTCATAAAGGCTTGTTGACAGTCTATGGAAATAAAGCTTTAAATAACGAGGGTCAGCTACCTATGAGTCAGACCTTTCTTAGGCCCGGTCTGAGGTTCCACTTGAGATTCATAATAGAGGCTAGAAATCAAGAAAAAAAAACCCGTGAAATTACTCTGAGCCTTGACCAATTAATAAAGGCAACAAATTAAAAAGAACCCACCAACTTGTTTTGAAATATCAAAAAGTTAAATTTCAGTGACTCCAACATTCGATCCCATAGAATTACTCCCTCAAGGTGAAGATTCAGAGAGCAATCTTACATTCGGAGATGTCATGCTAAGTCCCAGTATCACACAAAACAAAACCGAATAAAATCAGCAACCACAAACGTGGGTGAAAGCAGCTTGCTGAGAAAGAAGAACTTGCTGAGAAACCAGAAGAAACACTGATTAGTTTCCAGTTGGCCATATCATCTTAACATCCTCATTTCACAGATGGGGAACGGAGGCTAAAGAATACACCAAAAAGCGAAGAGAAACGTTATTTTGTCATCCAAAAAGGAAAACAAAAGCTAAAAGCACCCTAAATAGAAATGCAGCATTCTGTGTGGTTCTACAACATAGGACATTAGTGGCCAGGTTTCAGCACGATCAAAACTTTTCTAATAGGCCGGGCGCGGTGGCTCATGCCTGTAATCCCAGCACTTTGGGAGGCAGAGGTGGGCGGATCACTTGAGGTCAGGAGTTCGAGACCAGCCCGGCCAAGATGGTGAAACCTCGTCTCTAGTAAAAATACAAAAATTAGCCGGGTTTGATGGCGGGTGTCTGTAATCCCAGCTACTTGGGAGGCTGAGGTGGGAGAATCGCTTGAACCCAGGAGGCAGAGGCTGCAGTGAGCCAAGATCGCGCCACTGCACTCCAGCCTGGGCGACAGAGTGAGACTCTGTCTCAGAAAAAAAGAAAAAAAAGCTTTTCTAATAAAACAAACCAACACGCAGGCAGTCTCCTGAGGCGCTGGGTGTCTAGAGACTAGTTGTGGGCAGTGTGGACAGAGACACAAGATGTGGTCCCTGTCCTCATGGGATGGGGGCAGTTTCTCACCCCCAATCACAAGGCAATGTGTACAGGGGCGGGTGGGAGTGTCACACCCTACAACCTAAACCGGACAGAAAACCAAGGCAGAGCTCGGGGCGCGGCCACCAGCCCCGTCGCGAGGTAGGGACCGCCACCCCAACACCCCAGTCCGGGTCTGGGGCCCCGACCCACCCAGCAAAGGCTCCTTCCGCCTGGACCTCGGGGCCCCCAGCCCTACCCGGCCCTAAAGCGCATTCCCCGGCCGGTGGGGCCGGGGCCGACAGCCCAGTCGCCCACCCTCCCACTCGCAGCTCAGTCCGGGGATTTCCTCCTGCGCCGCCCCCTTGTCAGGGAGGATGGGCTGAAGGGGCGCGGGGCAGAAAAGGACGCCGCGGCCACTGCCCCGTGTAGTGCCAGACCTCTTCGCGGAGCCCTGCAGAAGAAGAGGAGGAGAAGGGGCAGAGCTACCGTCCAGAAACTCCAGGGAGTCCCCGCAGGCTTCCCAGGCCCGGGCAGGGGACGCAGGGCGGGAGCGCGGCGAGAGGGGGCCGACGGCCCCGGGCTCACTCACCTCGGACAGGCCGCTCCGGTCCTCCGTGTCCTGCCCGCTCAGCACCTTCTTCAGCTTGTCCATTGCGGCCCAGTCCCCACCAGCTCCAGCTCCTCAGCGGCAGCCTGTTGCGCTCGCTAAGTTGACGGCTCTTCCGGGTGCTAGGCAGCCGCCCAGCCGCCCAGGCGCCAACCGCGGCGCGCCCCGCCCAGGCACCTGCCCACCGGGGGGCTCCCGGCATGCCCCGCGCGCCCGCGCTCGCCTCCGCTTGTTTTGGTCCCGGGGGGCGCGGCGGGCCGGAGGGGCTGGGATTGAAGACCACCAGGCGCTGCCAAACACTAATTCGGCGTCCAGAGCAGTTTCAAACCGGAACGGGCCGCGCTCCCTCGCCCTACTTGATCCAGTCAACGAATGCCGAGCACCTACCACGTGCAAGGCTCCGGAGACACAAAGACGGGGGAGAAGCCTTGTGCAGACGGGAACAAAGGCTGTGGTTCATCCATATTGCGATCGTGCCTACACAGGAAAAGATTTTCTTTTTAATCACTCAAGGCCTTAGTCTGGTGTGGTGGGGCGTGCCTGGAAGCCCAGCTACTCCGGAGGCTGAGGCAGGAGGCTCACTTGAGCCAAGGAGTTCCAGGCTGTAATGAGCTATGACCAGGATACTGCACTCCAGCATGGGCAACAGAGCGAGACTCTGTCTCAAAAAAAAAAAAAAAAAAAGTGACTGAAGGAATGTTGAAAGGAATAATAGATTGTTAAATTGTTTTGTGTTTGTACAATTGTTTTTTTTTCTGACCTTAAAAAAACTAAAAGTAGACTGGGCATGGTGGCTCATGTCTGTATTCCCAGCACTTTGGGAAGATGGCTTGAGCCCGGGAGTTCCAGACCAGCCTGGGCAACATAGGGAGACCTCATCTCTTCAAAACATTCTTAAAAATTAGCCAGGCATGCTGGCGGGCATCTGTAATCCAAGCTACTTGCGAGGCTGAGGAGGAAGAATGGCTTGGACTCAGGAGGTCAAGGCTGCAGTAAGCCATGATTGTCAGTACAGTAAGCCACTGCACTCTAGCTTGGGCAACAGAGTGGAAACAATACAAATGGCCACCAACTGATTAATGGTAAATAAAATGTGACATACCCATGCAATAAAAAAGAATGGAGTACTGACACATGCTACAACGTGGATGAACCTCGAAAACATTGTATTAAGTGAAAGAAGTGTGGAGCCCGAAAATTTGAGACAGGTCTCAGTTAACCAGGAAGTTTATTTTGCCAAGGTTGAGGAACAGCACCTGTGACACAGACTCAGGAAGTCCTGACGACATGTGCCCAAGGTCGTTGGGGCATAGCTTGGTGTTATACATTTTAGGGAGACATGAGGCATCCGTCAATATGTGTAAGAAGTACATTGGTTGTGTTTGGAAAGGCGGGACAACTCGAAGCAAAGGCAGGAAGACTCAAGGGGGGAGGGGGCTTCCAAGTCACAGATAGGTGAGAGACAAATGGTTGCACTCCTTTGAGTTTTTGATTAGCCTTTCCAAAGGAGGCAATCAGATGTGCATTTATCTCAGTGAACACAGTGATAACTTTGAATAGAATGAGAGGCAGATTTGTTCTAAGCAGTTCCCAGCTTGAATTTTCCCTTTAGTAATTTGGGGGGGCCCAAGATATTTCCCTTTCACAGAAGCTAGACACAATAGACCATATATTGTATGATTTCATTTATAGGAAATGTCCAGAATAGGCAAACCCATAGAAACAGAAAGTAGACTAATGGTTGCCTAGGGATGGAGGAGGGGAAATGGTAGTAAGAGACTAATGGGGTGATTTAAATGTTCTGGAATTAGATTGTGGTAATGGTTGCATGCACAGCTCTGAACATACTAAAAACCATTGAATTGTATGCTTTGAATTAACTGTATGGCATATGAATTCTATTGCAATAAAGCCATTTCAAAAATGCTTAGAACAGTGCTCAGTATATATTTCACAATCCATTAATATTATCTATTGTAAAATGTAACAGGCATCCACTCTTATCTTTCTCCAATGTGTCTGAGTCTGAACCCAGAATATGGGCTCCTGATTTACCTACATTTATATTTGCACATTGTGCAATTGGCCCATTACAAGGTGATTCATTGTAGCATTGTTTGTAATAGAAAAAAATTGGAAACAACTTAAAAGTTCATAAATGAGGGAAGTGCTTAAATAAATTATGGTACATTCATTCACAAGAATACTAAGTAGTCATTAAACACAGAAGAATGAGGAAGGTTTAATCAATGTCTTCAGAAGGTTTTTTCTGACTGTGCCACACCATCCCTTGAAGGATCTTTGTAAACATAAGTCTGACTCATTTGTTGCCCTGCTTAACATCTCCCACAGTGTGGTAAACTGAAAAATGTTCCCCAAAAGATACCCATGTCCTAATCTCTGGAAAGTGTACATGTTACCTTAGACAGTGAAAAGTGGAGTGGGGGTGGTATTTTGTGCAGGTAATTAAGGATCTTAAAATAGATTATGCACAATTATCCAGGTGAGCCATAAATGCAATCATGTATATCCTTATAAGAGGGAAGCAGAGGGAGATTTGACACCAACAGAAGAGGAGAAGGCACTGTGACCACAGAGGCAGAGATGGGAGTGATGCAGCCACAAGCCAAGGAATGCCAGTAGCCACTAGAAGCTGGAAGAGGCAAGGAAAGGATTCTCCCCTAGAGCCTCCAGAGGGAGCATAGTCCTGCCAATAGCTTGTTTTCAGCATTTCTGGCCTCCAGAACTGTGAGAGAATCCATTTCTGTTGCCACCAAATTTCTGATATGTAACAGCAGCTGCAGGAAACTAATGCCCATGTTCCCTACCACCTACAGATAAATTGCTGCTGACTTCTCAGCAACACATACCTTCCTCTTTGGGTTCATCTCTCTCCTTTCTCTCACATACTCCAGGCTCCAGGCATAGGAGACTGTAGTTCCTGAACTCATTGTGTTCCCTACCTTGTCCTGGAAAACACCTACTCTTTTCCATCCTTGTCCCTTTCCCTTCCCCTAACACACAGTTCTCTCAAGTCACCTTATTCTTACCTCCACCATAACACTTAGCACAATATGCTCCATTTGTTCACATTAGGGTCCCTATGGGGCATAGATCTTATTTGTCTTTCCATCCCCAGTGCCAAGCACAGTGCCTGGAACGTATAGTAGGTGCTAAATAAATAGTAACCTACTCTAGTCATTGGCCAGGCGCGGTGGCTCATGCCTGTAATCCCAGCAGTTTGGGAGGCTGAGGCAGGTGGATCAGGAGGTCAGGAGTTTGAGACCAGCCTGTCCAACATGGTGAAACCCTGTCTCTACTAAAAATACAAAAAAATTAGCCGGGCATGGTGGCAGTCGCCTATAATCCCAGATACTCTGGAGGCTGAGGCAGGAGAATCACTTGAACCTGGGAGGCAGAGTTGCAGTGAGCCGAGATCGCCCCATTGCCCTCCAGCCTGGGCAACAAGAGCGAAACTCCGTCTCAAATAAATGAATAAATAAATAACCTACTCTAGTCACTGGTCACATTCTCATTCCCCACTGTGCAATGCAGATGCAAACAAGTCCTCAAGGCTGAGTGATGTACTCCCTCACAGCCTTTCTGTACCTCTGTTTTGCCAGGATGAACAAACAGGAAGCTTTAGATGAAATTTTATGTGCGCTCTATTAAATTTCACCCTCCTCTCAGCAAAAGCTAAACACAAAAAAAGTTCTTACAAAGTCTCTTAGAAGTGTGTGTGCAAGGAAGCTCTAAGGAGTTAGCTTCCAAGGAATAGGAAGTAAGGCAGTTCTCTGAGCATTATTAATGCATGAAATTAACACAGAATTCATCAGGGTGGACATATTCCTACTTGGTTATTAAGAAAAAGCCCTTAGAAAATCATGATTGAATACCTTAATGTATCTAGAATAGGAAAAGGAGAAGGAAAGGAAGGCCATTCCTCAAACTGGTTAATCCTAGGGGCTAGGAAAAGGAGACTCCTAAGGCAGTGTTGGCAAAGCCCATTTAAGCACAGCACAGGTCAGACATAGTTCTGGTGTCTGAGTCCCACATGAAGCAGGTTTATCCTTATCACAATTGTAAGAGCCTAGGCCACCATGCAAATCCTGAACTTTCTTCCTTTTTTTTTTTTTTTGAGATGGAGTCTCATTCTGTCACCCAGGCTGGAGTGCAGTGGCACGATCTCGGCTCACTCCAACCTCCACCTCCCAGCTTCAAGCGATTCTCCTGCCTCAGCTTCCCAAGTAGCTGGAACTACAGGTGTGCACTACAACACCCAGCTAATTTTTGTATTTTTTTAATAGAGACGGGGTTTCACTATATGTTGGCCAGGCTGGTCTTGAACTCCTGACCTCAGGTGATCCGCCCACCTCGGCCTCCCAAAGTGCTGGGATTACGGGCATGAGCCACCGCATCCAGCGTATTCTTTTATTTTGATTTCTTACATACCAAGAAGGCTTCTCCATTATAAAATCTGCTGCTCCCAGGAAGATGTCAGTCTTCTGAATGGTCACAATTCAGACCTTGAAGCCGTGAAGCCAAGAGACAGATCTTTGAAGGACACTTAGGGTTGTGCCATTCTGTGGATATTTGTAGGGGCAGCCAGGCCTCCCCTCTACTTCCAGTGGGTATTCTTGCCTTTTCTTCAGTCTTCCACATGAAGTAAATAAATGAAGTAGAAACCCTAGCTGAACCAATCAGGACAGTGCCTCTTGTTCTATTTTGGCATCACAGACCCTTTTGAGAGTATGATTGTCATGGAGCCTCTCCCCACCTGCCCCTGTGGGGAAAAGTGGCCCACACTACCAGCAGTGTCATATATGCCAGGCGTTCTGCCATGACTATGGGCCCTTGGTTGAAAACCCCAGGTTTAGAGAAAAACATTCAGATACACACCACCAGCCTTATGTATCGCTCCAAGCCCTAGATTGCTTTGTGTGTTCACCTGATTTTAGTGGTGGAGTAAGAGTTTAAATGATTTTTCCAAAGTCCCTTTGAGGGAGAGGCATGACCATTTAAAGGTAGGAAAGGAAGCTGAAAAGTAACTGTTTGATGTCAGTATTCTCATGGCCCCATGGCTTCTTTATCAATTACAATATAGCTGGCTGATAAACGAACTGTTGTATAGACAGGGATGAAAGAAACCATTTAAATCCAGGAGTGTTCAGAATTGCAGATAATAAGACTCTCCCAGTCATCACTGCAGGGAAGTAACTTTGCAATACATGAATGTTGTAAGGAGGGCTCTGATGCCCCACCTCATACCTGCTTGCCCGTGTACCAGCAATAGACATGAATCCCCGTGTACCAGCAATAGACATGAAGTTTGATATGCTTTGGCTCTGTGTCCCCACCCAAATGTCATCTGGAATTATAATCCCCACGTGTCAGGGGAAGGGCCTAGTGGGTGGTGATTGCATCACGTGGGTGGTTTCCCTTACACTGTTCTCACGATAGTGAGTTCTCATGAGATCTGATGGTTTAAAAGTGTGTGGCAGTTTCTCCTTCACTCTTTCTCCCTGACACCATGTGAAGAAGGTCCTTGGTTCCCGTTCACTTTCCATCATGATTGTAAGTTTCCTGAGGCCTCCCTAACTGTGCAGAACTGTAAGTAAATTACAATTAAGCCTTTTTTCTTCAAAAATTACCCAGTCTCAGGAGGTTCTTTATAGCAGTGTGAAAACAGACAGTCGTTTCTCTCCTCACGCCCTGCCGTGTGTGTGTGTGTGTGTGTGTGTGTGTGTGTGTGTGTGTGTGTGTGTAGGGGTGGGGGTTTCGGGGGGGAGCGCGGGGAGGATAGCAGAAAATGGCTTACAGAGAGAAATCCCCCCTCCCTCTGTCTCTGTACAGGGAAGCTGTTTTCTCCTTCCTTCCATCTTTCTTGACTGTTGAACTTTTCACTCCTTAAAACTACTCCACGTGTGTCCATGTTGTTTTATCAAAATTGGTGCGAGACTAAGGACCCTGGTGTTCGAACACTCCAGTCATCAGAGCTGTTTCAGTATTGGGAAGGGGGATCCAGCCATCAACCTGGAGCCAAACCCCAACCAACGAGATGCGACTATAAATGGGACACTCTGGGGCACGTTCCACAAGGTTCTGCAGAAGTCTCCAGCAAGATTAAGCCCCTTTTGACCACAGCTGCAATCCCCACATTCATGACCACGCCTTCTTTGCCTTTTCTTCCTGTCTCCCTTTCCCACTTTCTCACCTGTTCTTCCTGAGATTGCCTGTCAAACTGCCTGCCTGCCTCCCGATGCTTGTCTCAGGGTACATTTTGAAGGAAACCCAAACCAAGACGGGGTAGTATTTGCTGTAATGGGCTTTTATTTCTATCTTAGACAAATTCAGGTCTCAGAAAAACCTGGCACTTGTAAACCAAAAATAAAATTCTAAGGCCCTCCAACCATCAGAATGGGCCCCTCCTCTTGGCCCAGAGCATTCCAAAGTTAACCTGAAAATCTAGTTCAGGCCACAACAGGATGGTGGGGTCGAACATGCCTCAGTATGCCCTCCTGCCTTTTGGAATTCAGGAAAAGCTGACTAGTATTAACATCAATACAGACCTTAAGTCTGATAAAAGACATCTGCAATGTATTCTCTCTGAAGCCTCCTACTTGGAGGCTTCATCTGCAATATAAAGTCTTGGTCTCTATAACCCCTTTAGGGAAACCAGACATTTCTTTCTATTGATAAAACTCTTTCAACCAATTGCCCATCAGAAAATTTTTAAATTTACCTATGACTTGGAAGCCCCACTTCGAGTTGTCTTGCCCTTCCAGATCAAACCAGTGTAAATGTTACAAGTGTTGACTGTTGTATTATGTCTCCCTAAAATATATAAAAGCAAGCTGTGCCCCAGCCACCTTGGGCACATGCCATCACGACCTCTTGAGGCTGTGTCACAGGCGTATCCTTAACCTTGGCAAAATAAACTTTCTAAATTGATTGAGACCTGTCTCAGATACGTTTGTAGGTTCACACACTGTAACACTAATCCAGACTTAAAACCCACATGGGCATTTTCTCTGCCAGTGCCCTGCTACGGTTTGAATATGTCATATCCCCCAAAAATCACGTGTTAGAAACTCAATCCCCATACAACAGTATTAAGAGATGGGATCTTTATGAGATTATTAGGCCATGAGGACTCTGCCCTCATGAATATATTAATGCTATTATCACAGGAGTGGATCCCTTATAGAAAGACCAGTTCAGTCTCCTTTTCTCTCCCCTGCCCTCTGCCTTTTGTCATGGAATGACGCAGCTAAAAGGCCTTTGACAGATACTGGCCCATTGATCTTGAACTTCCCAGTTCCAGAACTGTGAGCCAATAAATTTCTGTTCATTTTAAATTACCCAGTCTACGGTATTCTGTTATAGGAGCACAAAACAGACTATGACATGCCATAAATACAACATACGTAGGAAAACACACATATCTAAAGATTTTATTATTATTATTATTATTTAGAGACAGGGTCTTGCTATGTTGCTCAGCCAAGTCTCAAACTCCTGGCCTCAAGCAACCCTTTCACCTCAACTTCCCAAGTGGTGGGGATTACAGGTATAAGCCACTGTACCTAGCTCTATCTAAAGATTTTTTACTGAAGAGTATCAATCTGAAATAATCAAAAGGATCAGGATCCAGTTTTAAAGAGCTTATTCAAGAGAAGCTGAAAGCCATTCCTGGATGCGCCCCTTCAGAGAAATGAGTTTAGTGCTTTGAAGTCAAAAGCTAAATTTTTTCTTATATAGGAAAAAGACAAATTTAACAAGATTACAACATTTTCTATACAAAACTGATTTATGAGTTATAACAAATTAATTAGTTACAGTTTGTTTCCATGTAGCTTGTTTTCTTTTCCTTATAACTGGTTTTTCATTTCCTTTCCAATTTTAAAGAGTGTATTTAACATTCCATCTTAAGCCATATGATAGCCTAGAAATCTTTGTGTCAGAAAGGTAAGAGGGGGGTCAATGTATAATGAAAGTCTACAGTTAGAGGGAAGGGGGTCCTCCCTGGCACCCTTCAACCATTTACATTTTATGAAACAATGCATGTAAGGGAAAAGGCTTAATTTGTTATTAAACAAAAGCTTATAGCTTATAGCTGCCTAGTCTACAGCCTGTCAATGACTCAGGCCCTGAAATTCTCATTCCTTTAAGGCTCAGAATAATTTAGCATTCCAATAGCTTAGACTTTGAATTACTTATTTCCACAAGAGGACACCTGTAGGCAGGATTTCCACAAGCACTACCTGACCCTTTATTTATAACGCAACTCAAGAAGGCCCTGGCCTGGCACAGTGGCTCGTGCCTGTAATCCCAGCACTTTAGGAGGCTGGGGCGGGCAGATTGCTTGAGCCCAGGTGTTCCAGACCAGCCTGGGAAATACAGGGAGACACTGTCTCTACAAAAATAAAAATAGAAATAAGCCAGGCATGGTGGCACGGGCCTGCAATCTCAGCTACGTGGGAGGCTGAGGCAGGAGGATCACTTGAACCCAGGAGGTAGGGGTTGCAGTGAGCTGAGATCATGCCACTGCACTACAGTCTGGGCAACAGAGTGAGACCTTGTCTCCAAAAAAAAAAAAAAAAGGCTGGGCATGGCAGCTCACGCCTATAATTCCAGCACTTTAGGAGGCTGAGGTGGGCAAACTGCCTAAGGTCAAGAGTCTGAGACCAGCCTGGCCAACATAGTGAAACCCTGTCTCTACCAAAAATACAAAAATTAGCCAGGCATGGTGGCGCATGCCTGTAATCCCAGCTACTCAGGAGGCTGAGGCAGGAGAATCTCTTGAACCCAGGAGATGGAGGTTGCATTGAGCCGAGATCACACTAATGCACTCCAGCCTGAGACTCCATCTCAAAAAAAAAAAAAAAAAAAGGAAGGCCCTAAGACAACAGGCTTCATGCCTCACATTTATAAAGAATATCAAGTCCTCCAGACAGCTAAGTTTGCTAAGTTTGTGATGATACGAAAAATTAGGGAAAGATTTTCCTATTTTGTGAATCACTGAGGGAAGCTATGTGGTTAAGTACATAAGGAAAAAAACTAGACTATTTCTAGTTTCTGGAAGCGGCATTATCTGTAACCTTGTTTTGATCGTCTTAATAACAATCCTTTAAATGTTAATGTGAGAAATGACTAATAAACAATTATTAAAAATGAGGCTTTAATTTGCCTTATTTGCATAACACTGATTGCTCCATTGGTTATCCCCTCTCCTGAATCACCAATCTGATTATTAGGCTATTCCCATAGACATGACTGTCCCCACAAATCCCTAGCTACCAGCCTGTTTCTTTTAAAGCAATTTTGTTGAGAGATCTATCTTCATATTTCATTTTCAAAGTCCAGTCTGGCTTCTGCTGTCATCACTCCCCCAAAACTGTATAAAATTAGCAATATCAGGCTAGGAGTGGTGGCTCACGCCTGTAATCCCAGCACTTTGGGAAGCTGAGGCGGACAGATCATTTAAGCCCAGGAGTTCAAAACCAGCCTAGACAACATGGCGAAAACCCGTTGCTGCAAAAAATACAAAAAAATTAACTGGACATGGGGGTGTGCGCCTGTAGTCCCAGCTACCAAGGAGGCTGAGGTGGGAGGATCACTTGAGCCCGGGGAGGTTGAGGCTGCAGTGAGCTGTGATCATGCCACTACACTCCAGCCTGGGCAATAGAGCAAGGCCACGCCTTAACAAAAAGAAAAAAAAATCAGCAATATCTCTGTGCTGCCAATAAAAACTCCTGTCATCTTACTATTAATAGTTCCCTTAACAGCATTCAATTCAGATGCCAACTCCTTCCTAGAAACATTCTTCTCTTCCCTTGGCTTCTATGTTACTGTACTCTCCTGGTTTCTACATTGGCTATTCCTTCTTGTCTCTTGATCTCCAAGTGTTGTTCAGGGATCAGGAATCCCTCCAAGGCCTTCGTTATTTCTTTTTCTTTTTTTTTTTTTTTATTTTTTATTTTTATTTTATTTTATTTTATTTTTTTTGAGACGGAGTCTCGCTCTGTCACCCACGCCTGGAGTGCAGTGGCGCGATCTCGGCTCACTGCAAGCTCCACCTCCCGGGTTCACGCCATTCTCTTGCCTCAGCCTCATGAGTTGCTGGGACTACAGGCGCCCACCACCACAGCGGGCTAATTTTTTGTATTTTTTAGTAGAGACAGGGTTTCACCGTGTTAGCCAGGATGGTTTCAATCTCCTGACCTCGAGATCCGCCCGCCTCGGCCTCCCAAAGTGCTGGGATTACAGGCATGAGCCACTGTGCCCAGCCTGCTTCTTTTTCTTTTTAGTTTTTTTCAAGTTTCAGATACTAATTAATCAATATAATCTCCAATCCAATATATCAACATGATTTCATGCATTTAGAGGAGAAATATTTCCTGATTAAGTGGAAAATTGTGCAGATGGCTTCTGGAAGACCTTCATTCTAAAGCAGCTTTATAGGGAAACATTTAGAAATCTGGACCTTCTTTCCTCAGTATGCTGTAATCCACATTCACTGGGTAGAACTCGTATGGATCATTGGGACCCAGTTTGTTTCAGGGTTCTGGGTTATGCTTTCCGTCTCAACTAACATCTGGATTGAACAATGCCAGACACAAGACACACAGTGCTGCTCCAGTACCTTCAGCTCCAATAAACACAAAGAGGGGATCAAGCTCAGATGCTTCTTAGTCTGACCGAGGATCTGGTGGAGCATGTTTGTAGCATTTGAAAGGAAAGAAACTCTTCATTTCTTTGTCAACATTCTTTAAGTGATTTCATTCATTTATATGACTTTAAAAGTTACCTATATTGGTGATAATCCTCAATTTCTTTCTTTAGTTCAGGTATCTCTTGAGCTACAGATTCAGTTACCCATCGAACTACACATTAGGCCGGGTGTGGTGGCTCACGCCTGTAATCTCTGCACTTGGGAGGCCAAGGCGGGCAGATCATGTGAAGCCAGAAGTTGAAGACCAGCCTGGCCAACATGGTGAAACCCTGCCTCTACTGAAAATACAAAAATTAGCTGGGCATGATGGTGTGTACCTGTAGTCCCAGCTACTCAGGAGGCTGAGGCAGGAGAATGGCTTGAACCCAGGAGGCAGAGGTTGCAGTGAGCCAAGATTGTGCCACTTCACTCCAGCCTGGGCAACAGAGTGAGACTCTGTCTCAAAAAAAAAAAAAAAAGAAAAAGAAAAAAAGAAAAAAAAAAGAAACTACACATTAAACATTTTCATTTGGATGTCTCAGGCATTCCAAACTTAACATGGTCAAGAGGAGTTTTAATTCCTCCAAACTTGTCCCTCCTTTCTGTCTTCAACACATTACGTAGCACCAATAGCCTCCTAATTGGTCAAGACCAAAACTTAAACATCCTCCTTCATTCTTCCATTTCCTTCACTCCTAATGTTGAATTCATAAGGAAATCCAATAAATTCAATCTTCAAAATATTCTTTGAGTCACTCTTCCTCATATCCACTACCACAGCTCTAGATCACACAGCATCATCACTCCCATTGCCTACTGAAACAGCCTCCTAAGTTGACTGCTACTCCTCTAAATACCTTCAATCCATTCCCCATCTAGCGGCTAACATGAATTGAAAATGTCAGATCTCTTGCCCCCTATGCTTAACTTTTCATTATTTCTTATTGCATCAAAATAAAATCTATCCTTCTTAAATGTGGACTACAAAATGCTGCATAATCTAACCCTAGCCAGTCTCTTCAGTCTCATCTTGTGCTCAAGCAATACACCTCTCTCCGCTTCCATAAATATGCCAATCTTTTCATTGACTGTTCTCCATTGTTTCCTCTCTTACAAACTCTTCCCACCCCAAATATATCCCATGACTAAGTTATTTTTATGTTCAGGATTCAGCTTAAATAGCATGCCCTCAGTATAGTGCCCAGACTACCTCTTATTATTTATTATTATTATTATTTCAGGATGGGAACTCACTCTGTTGCCCAGGCTCGAGTGCAGTGGCATGATCACTGCTCACTGAAGCCTCAACCTCTAGGACTCAAACAATCTCCCACCTCAGCCTCCCAAGTATCTGGGACAACAGACATGTGCCACCATTCCTGGCTACTGTTTTTTATCTTTTGTAGAGATGAGGTCTCCCTATGTTTCCTAGGCTGGTCTCAAACTCCTGGGCTCAAGCGATCCTCCCACCTCAGCCTCCCAAAGTGCTGGGATTATGGGCATGAGGCATGGTGCCCAGCCTTCTTCTTCTTCTTTCAATTGTTCTTCAAATTCTTTTTTGTTCTTAAATTCATGTTTATTAAAGTATAGTTACATATAAAGAAATTTGCCTTTTTTAGGTATACAATTCAATGAGTTCTGACAAACCTATATGGTCAAGTAAGTACCACCACAATAAAAATTTAGCATAGTCCATCACACCTAAAATTTCCCTCAGGTCCTTTCATATTCAATACTTCCCCCCTCTTGAAACAATTGATCTGATTTCTGCCAATGATTTTGCCTTTCCAGAATGTCATTGCGATGATGAATTTTATGTGTGAACTTGACTAGGCCACAGGGTGCCCAGATATTTGGTCAAACACTATTCTGGGTATATCTGTGAGGGGGTTTCTGAATGAGATTAACATTTGCATTGGTAAACTGAGTAAAGACTACAAATTAGACTACCCTCCCTGATGTGGGTGGGTCTTGTCCAATCCACTGAATGCCTGAATAGATCAGAAAGGCCAAGTAAAGGGAACATCTCCCGCCTGACTGCCTTGAGCAAGGACATCAATCTTTTGCTTCCTTTGAACTTGAACTGAAACAATGGCTCTTCTTGGGTCTCAAGCCTGCTAGCTTTTGAACTGGAACTGACACCATTGGCTCTCCTGATTCTCAGGCCTTCAGACTTGCACTGGAACTGTACCACAGGTTCTCCCAGATCTCCACTTTGCCGACTGCATGTCTGGGAACTTCTCAGCATCCATAATCACATGATCTAACTCTTTACAATAAATCTATTTAGATAGATGGATGGGTGACTGGATAGATAGGTAGAAAGGTAGGTAAGTAGTTATATAGGCAGGCAGGCAGACAGAGACAGAGATTAGATAGATAGATAGATAGATAGATAGATAGATAGATAGATAGAATAGATTGGATAGATTGGATAGAATAGATGATAGAATAGATTATAGATTAGATAAATAGAATAGATTATAGAATAGATAGAATAGATGGTAGATAGATAGATAGATAGATTGCTCTTTCTTTCTTTACGTAGCTCCAAGTTTCTGACCTATATCATTTTTCTTTTCTCTGAGAAACTTTTAACATTTATTGTAAGGCAGATCTACTGGCAACAAACTTCTTCAGTTTTTGTTTGTCTGAGAAAGTCTGTACTTCTCCTTCACCTCTGAAGAATCATTTCACAGGACACAGAATTCTAGGTTGGTAATCTTTTTCTCTCAACACTAAATTTCACTGACCTCCTTGCTTGCATGTTACTGAGGAGAAGTTGGGTATAATTTTTATCTTTTTTCCCCTGTAGGTAAGGTGTCTTTTTCCTCTGACTTTTTAAAGACTTTTAAAATATAGGACTTTTAAAATATGGTATTCCTAGGTGTCATGTTTTTTTGTGGTGATGATTGTGGTTATTGTTGTCTTGACATTTATCCTGTGTGGTGTTCTCTGAGCTTCCTGAATCTGTGATTTGATATCTGACATTAATTTGCAAAAATTCTCAGTCATTATTGCTTCAAGTATTTCTTCTGTTGTTTTATTTATTTCTTCTCCTTCTGGTATTTTCTTTTTTACTTTTCTTTTTTGAGATGAAATCTCGCTCTGTCGCCCAGACTGGAGTGCAGTGGCATAATCTCGGCTCACTGCAACCTCTGCCTACAGATGTGAGCCACCGCGCCTGGCCTCCTTCTGGTATTTTCTTTTCTATTTTTATTTTTATTATGATATGGAGTCTCACTGTGTTGCCCAGGCTGGAGTGCAGTGGCACGGTCTTGGCTCACTGCAACCTCCGCCTCCCAGGCTCAAGCGATTCTCCTGCCTCAGCCTCCCGAGTAGCTGAGATTACAGGCACCCGCCACCACACCTGGCTAATTTTTGTATTTTTATTAAAGACAGGGTTTCACCATGTTGGCCAGGCTGGTCTCGAACTCCTGACATCAGGTGATCCACCCACCTCAGCCTCCCAAAGTGCTGGGATTACAGGTGTGAGCCACTGTGCCTAGCCCTTGTGATATTTTCATTCCACTTATGTAATACTTATTCTAGTTGTCCCATCATTCTTGGATTTTCTGTTGGGATTTTTTTTTTTCAATCTTTTTTTTCTTTTTGCTCTTCCATTTTGGAAGTTTCTATTGAGATACACTCAAGTTCAGAGATTGTTTTCTCAGCCATGTCCAATCTATTAATAGACCCATCAAAAGCATTCTTCATTTCTGCTGCAGTGTTTTTATTTCTGGCATTATGTTTATGCTTAGAATTTCCATCTCTCTGTTCACCCATTGCCCATCTGTTCTTGCAGGCTGTCTACTTTATTCACTAGAGTCTTTAGCATATGAATCAGTTGTTTTAAGTACATGGTCTGACCATTTCAACATCCCTGTCATATATGAATCTGGTTCTGAGGATTGCTCTGTCTCTTAAAACTGTGGAGTTTTTGTTCTGTTTTGCCTTTTAGTCTGCCTTGTAGTTTTTTTTCTTGATACCTGAACGTGATGTACGTAAAAGGGGCTATAGTAAAAAGGCCTTTAGTAATGTGTGGGAAGATGTGTGGGAAGGAAAGGTATTTTATAGTCCTATGATTAGGTCTCAGTCTTTTTTTAAAGTCTTTTCATTTTTATTGCTCAAAAAAGTTTCTTTCTTTCCTTTTTTTTTTTGAGAAGGAGTCTCGCTCTGTCGTCCAGGCTGGAATGCAGGGCTCATTGCAACCTCTACCTCCCGTGTTCAAGCGATTCTCCTGCCTCAGCCTCCCAAGTAGCGGAGATTACAGGTGCATGCCACCATGCCCAGCTAATTTTTGTATTTTTAGTAGAGACAGGGTTTCACCATGTTGGTCAGGCTGGTCTCGAACTCCTGACCTCATGATCTGCCCGCCTCGGCCTCCCAAAGTGCTGGGATTACAGGTGTGAGCCACCACTCCCAGCAACAGTTTCATTTTTTATTTAGCTTTTTGACTCTGTGCTTGTGCCTTCAACACTTTCACAACAATTTTCTGCTCCTCGATAAGGAAAGCATGCTTGATCCTGTCATGAACACATTTAGCACAAATGGAACCACCATATTCCCTGCTGACATGTTTTTTTGTTTTGGACAATTTCATAAGAACTTTAGGTCTCACAGCACGAACCCCTCAAAGTCTGCCTGGGCACATGCCACATGCAGATTTTGGTGCTTTCCCAACCTTCTTGGTATAAAAGTAAACAATTCTATTACCTGGGGTTTGGGACAGCCTAGTTTTGTTAGAGGCTATATTGTAGGAAAGCCTACGATGGTATATCAAATGCTGGACCATTCTGAGTGCCTGTAAACAACATCAGCAAAAGAGGAAGAAGAAAGTCTTTGTGAGTTCAAAGGTCGAATAGGATTCAGTCTCAGTCTTTTAATGAGCCTGTGCCTCTGGACTGTGAACTTCACAAGTGCTTCTCCGTACCTCCCTCCCCACCATTGGGTGGAACAGGATAGCTAGAGCTGACTGGAGTTGGATATTTCTCTTCCCCCAATCAGTAAGACTCTGAAAAAACTTTACTAGATTAGGCTCTAGTAAAACAGTTTCTCTCAAGGGCAGGCCTTGTTAACAAGAGAAAGCTCTGGCATATTTGAAAATGGTTATTTGTCCCCTTCCCCTGATGAAATCCCAAAGGGATTTTTGGCCAGTCTTTACTGTGAGAACCTGATTGAGTGCCTGGAGGTAAAACTCAGAGAAGTGTGGCGGTTGCCCTATGACTGGGTCCCCCTGGAGTTTTTATTTATTTGTTTTATTTTATTTTTTGAGATGGAGTCTCACTCTGTTGCCCAGGCTGGAGTGCAATGGTGTGACCTTGGCTCACTGCAACCTCTGCCTCCTGGGTTCAAGTGATTCTCATGCCTTAGTCTCCCAAGTAGCTGAAATTACAGGCGCATGCTACCACACCTGGCTAATTTTTGTATTTTTAGTAAAGATGGGGTTTTGCCATGTTGGCCAGGCTGGTTTCGAACTCCTGAATTCAGGTGATCTGCCTGTCTTGGGCTCCAAAGTGCTGGGATTACAGACATGAGCCACCACATCTGGCCCCCTTGGAGTTTTTAATCTCAAACTTGTCCACACTGAGCCTCCAGCTATTTGTCAAGCACAATTTAGATTTTCCTACCCTGGCACTAGTGCCCACGGAGGTTTTTGCTTCTGAGTTCCTGCTCCATTAAGTTGTAATTCTCTGTATTTGCCTGTCTCTTCAATTTTGGGAGTAGCATTTTGCCCTGTAACGTCACTTTTCTGAGGGATCCAAGAAGAGTTGTGTCTTCACTTTGTCCAGCATTTTCCTTATTGTCAAGATGGAATGATGACTTCCAAGCTCCTTACATGGACCTTCGCTTCATTATTTTCTTGCTCATTTACTCCCTGACCAGAAGTTGGCTATAATTCTTATGTGTTTCTTTCTCTGTATATAATGTTTCTTTTTCCTCCAACTGTCTTTGAGAGATTAACTCTTATCTTTGGTTTCAGCAGTTTGACTTACAATGTGGAATTTCTGGAATTCTGGGACCTGTGAGTTACTGTTCTTCATTAACTTTGGAAAATTCTTGGCCATTATCTCTACTGATACATTTTTTTCTTTCTTTTTATTTTATTATTATTATTTTTTTTTGAGATGGAGTCTCACTCTATTGGCAGGCTGGAGTGCAGTGGTGCAATCTCGGCTCACTGCAACCTCTGCCTCCCGGATTCAAGCAATTCTCCTGCCTCAGGCTCCCGAGTAGCTGGGACTACAGGTGCGTGCCACCACGCCTGGCTAATTTTTGTATTTTTAGTAGAGACGGGGTTTCACCATGTTGGCCAGGATGGTCTTGATCTCTTGACCTCGTGATCCGCCCGCCTCGGCCTCCCAAAGTGCTGGGATTACAGGCGTGAGCCACCGCGCCCGGCCTCTACTGATATTTCTTATCCCGCAGTCCATTTCTGTTTTCTCTTGGACTTTAATTACATATGGGTGTATGTCTTTTTTTGTACTTTGGTTTATTGTGCTTCACAGATATTGCATTGATTATATCTGTATGGTGATCTGTGATGAGTGATCCTTGATGTTACTATTGTTAACTGTTGGGGGATATCAACAATTCTGCCTATATAAGACAATGAGCTTAATCGATAAATGTAGTGTGTGCTGTGACTGGTCCATTGACCTTCCATTGTCCCATCTCTCTCCCTCTCCTCAGGCCTTTCTGTTCCCTGAGACACAACAATATTGAAATTAGGCCAGTTAATAACCTACAATGGCTCTCCCTCTCCCTCTCCCTCTCCCTCTCCCCACGGTCTCCCTCTCCCTCTCTTTCCACGGTCTCCCTCTGATGCCGAGCCGAAGCTGGACTGTACTGCCGCCATCTCCGCTCACTGCAACCTCCCTGCCTGATTCTCCTGCCTCAGCCTGCCGAGTGCCTGCGATTGCAGGCGCGCGCCGCCACGCCTGACTGGTTTTCGTATTTTTTTGGTGGAGACGGGGTTTCGCTGTGTTGGCCGGGCTGGTCTCCAGCTCCTAACCACGAGTGATCTGCCAGCCTCGGCCTCCCGAGGTGCCGGGATTGCAGACGGAGTCTCGTTCACTCAGTGCTCAATGTTGCCCAGGCTGGAGTGCAGTGGCGTGATCTCGGCTCGCTACAACCTCCACCTCTCAGCCGCCTGCCTTGGCCTCCCAAAGTGCCGAGATTGCAGCCTCTGCCTGGCCGCCACCCCATCTGGGAAGTGAAGAGCATCTCTGCCTGGCCACCCATCGTCTGGGGTGTGAGGAGCCCCTCTGCCCGGCTGCCCAGTCTGGGAAGTGAGGAGCGCCTCTTCCTGGCCGCCATCTCGTCTAGGAAGTGAGGAGCGTCTCTGCCCAGCCGCCCATCGTCTGAGATGTGGGGAGCGCCTCTGCCCCGCCGCCCCGTCTGGGATGTGAGGAGCACCTCTGCCCGGCGACGACCCTGTCTGGGATGTGAGGAGCCCCTCCGCCGGGCAGCCGCCCCGTCTGAGAAGTGAGGAGCCCCTCCGCCCGGCAGCCGCCCCGTCTGAGAAGTGAGGAGCCCCTCCGCCCGGCAGCCGCCCCATCTGAGAAGTGAGGAGCCCCTCCGCCCGGCAGCCGCCCGTCTGGGAAGTGAGGAGCGTCCCCACCCAGCCAGCCGCCCCGTCCGGGAGGTGGGGGGCGCCTCTGCCCGGCTGCCCCTTCTGGGAAGTGAGGAGCCCCTCTGCCCGGCCGCCACCCCGTCTGGGAGGTGTACCCAACAGCTCATTGAGAACGGGCCATGATGACGATGGCAGTTTTGTCGAATAGAAAAGGGGGAAATGCGGGGAAAAGATAGAGAAATCAGATTGTTGCTGTGGCTGTGTAGAAAGAAGTAGACATAGGAGACTCCATTTTGTTCTGTACTAAGAAAAAATCTTCTGCCTTGGGATGCTGTTGATCTATGACCTTACCCCCAACCCAGTGCTCTCTGAAACATGTGCTGTGTCCACTCAGGGTTAAATGGATTAAGGGCGGTGCAAGATGTGCTTTGTTAAACAGATGCTTGAAGGCAGCATGCTCATTAAGAGTCATCACCACTCCCTAATCTCAACTACCCGGGGACACAAACACTGCGGAAGGCCGCAGGGTCCTCTGCCTAGGAAAACCAGAGACCTTTGTTCACTTGTTTATCTGCTGACCTTCCCTCCACTATTGTCCTATGACCCTGCCAAATCCCTCTCTGCGAGAAACACCCAAGAATGATCAATAAAAAAATAAATAAAATAAAATAAAATAAAATAAAATAATAAAAAAGAAAATATGGTGTCCTGAAAATGCTATGTGTATGAGTGAGAATTGAGTTATTTTGAAGTGGTTTTTGAGTATTTCCTTATGAAAGTCAAATAAGGGAAATAATTCAGTAATAAAAAAATTTATTTCCATGCTTAAAAAAAAAAATAACCTACAATGACCTCTAAGTGTTCAAGTGAAAGGAAGAGTCCCATGTCTTTCACTTTAAATCAAAGGCTAGAAATGATTAAGCTTAGTAAGGAAGGCATGATAGGATGAAAGCCAGACATCTTGTACGAGTTAGCCAGGTTGTGAATGCAAAGGAAAAGCTCTTGAAGGAAATGAAAAGTGCTACTCCAGTGAATACATAAATGATAATAAAGCAAAACAGCCTTACTGCTGATACTGAGAAAGTTTCATTTACCATTCTCAAAATCCTAGAGCTGAGAATTATGATCAGTTGCTACCACCTGTGCTCTACAACAAAGCCTGGATAACAGCACATCTCTTTACAGCCTCGCTCACTAAATATTTTAAGCCCAGTATTGAGACCTACTGTTCAGAAAAAAAGATTCTTTTCAAAATATCACTGCTCATTGACAATGTAGCTGGTCAACCAAGAGCTGTGATAGAGATGTACAAGGAGATGAATGCTGTGTTTTCATGCCTGCTGACACAATATACAATCTGCAGCCCATGGATCAAAGAGTCATTTCAACTTTCAAGTCTTATTTCTTAAGAAATACATTTCATAAGGCTATAGCTGCCATAGATAGTGATTCCTCTCATGGAACCAGGCAAAGTCAATTGAAAACTTTCTGGAAAGGATTAACCATTCCAGATGCCAATTTGTGATTCATGGAAGGAGGTCAAAATGTCAACATTTTAACAGGAGTTTGGAAGAAGTTGATTCCAACCCTTGTGGATGACTTTGAGAGGTTCAGGACTTCAGTGGAGGAAGTCACTGCAGATGGGGTGGAAATAGCAAGAGAACTAGAATTAGAAGCAGAGCCTAAAGGTGTGACAGAATTATTGCAAATTCATGACAAAACTTTAACAGGATGAGGAGTTGCTTCTTATGGATGAACAAAGAAAGTGGTTTCTTGAGATGGAATCTACTGTTGAAGATACCGTAAGCATTGTTGAAATGGCAACAAAGGATTAGAATATTACATATACTTAGTTACTTAGCTGATAAAGTAGTGGCAGGATCTAAGAGGGTTGAATGTCTTTTTTTTTTTTTTTTTTGAGACGGAGTTTCACTCCTGTTGCCCAGACTGGAGTGCAATGGTGTGATCTCTGCTCACCGCAACCTCCGCCTCCCAGGTTCACATGATTCTCCTGCCTCAGTCTCCCGAGTAGCGGGGATTACAGGCATGTGCCACCATACCCAGCTAATTTTGTATTTTTAGTAGAGACAGGGTTTCTCCATGTTGGTCAGGCTGGTCTTGAACTCCCAACCTCAGGTGATCCGCCCACCTCGGCCTCCCAAAATGCTGGGATTGCAGGTGTGAGCCACCACACCTGGCCGTTGATGTCTTATTTTAAGAAATTGCCACAGCCATCATCAGTCAGCAGCCATCAACTCAAAGCAAGGTCCTCTACCAGCAAAAATACTGCTACTTGCTGAAGGGTCAGATGATTATTAGCATTTTGTTTTAATAAAGCATTTTTAAATTAAGATACGTATGTTGTTTTTCTTTAGACATAATGCTATTGCACACTTAATAGACTATGGTATAGTGTAAACATAACTTTCATATGCACTCGTTAACAAAAAAATTCATGTGACTTGCTTTATTTGTTTTATGGCAGTGGTCTGGAGCCACACTGTAATATTTTCAAGGTTTGCCTGTACATCAGACTATTTGATCTTGCTCCACAGTTCTTGGATGCTCTGTCCTGTTTCCCCACCACTACTCTCTTTTGCTTTGTCTGTTTAGATACTTGCTATTGACCTCTTTTCAAGTTCATGAATTCTTCAGCTGTATCAAGTTTGAAGAAATCCGCTATCTCTGATATTGTAGACTTTTTTTTTTTTTTTGACACAGAGTCTTGCTCTGTTGCCCAGGCAGGAGTGCAGTGGCACGATCTCAGCTCACTGCAACCTCTGCCTCCCGAGTTCAAGCAATTCTCATGCCTCAGCCTCCCGAGTAGCTGGGATTATAGGTATGTGCTACCACGCCTGGCTAATTTTTTGTATTTCTAGTAGAGCTGGGGTTTCCCCATGTTAGACAGGCTGGTCTCAAACTCCTGGTCTCAAGTGATCTACCTGCCTCGGCCTCCCAAAGTGCTGGGCTTACAGGTGTGAACCACAGTGCCTGGCCAAGCTTTTTATGTGTATATATCTGGTGTTTCCATTTTGCCCTTTTTTACCCACTTCTCTGCTGAAATTCACTATCTGTTTGTTATTTCCCACCTTTTCCACCAGATATGTTAATATATTAACTGATTGTCTTAAGGTCTGCTAGTCCCAACCTCTGTTTCATTTCTGAATTGGATTTTGTTGGTTTTTGATTGAATGCCAGACTCATGTGTATAACAGAAGGAATAAGGTAGATTGTGTTACACCTGGAAATGCACACACTTCTGTCAAACTGATATAGTTTGGATGTCTGTCCCTTCCAAATCTCATGTTGAAATGTGATTCTCAATGTTGGAAGCAGGGCCTGGTAAGAGGTGTTTGGGTCATGGGAGGGATCCCTCATGAGCAGATTAGTGCCCTCTTTGGGGTAATGAGTTCTTCATTAGTTCACGTGAAAGCTGGTTTTTTAAAAAGAGCTTGGGCCAGGCACGGTGGCTCATGCCTATAATCCCAGCACTTTGGGAGGCCGAGGTGGGTGGATCACTTGAGGTTAGGCATTCGAGACCAGCCTGGCCAACATGGTGAAACCCCATCTCTACTAAAAATACAAAAATTAGCTGGGCTTGGTGGCGCATGCCTGTAATCCCAGCTACTCAGGAGGCTGAGGCAGGAGAATCGTTTGAACCCAGGAGGCAGAGGCTGCAGTGAGCTGAGATGGTGCCACTGCACTCCAGCCTGGGCGACAGGCTGAGATGCTATCTCAGTAAATAAATAAATAAATAAAATAGATAAATAAATAAAAAGAACTTGGCATCTCTCTTGCTCCTGCTCTTGTCATGTGACACATCAGCTCCCCTTTCCTTCTGCCGCAAGTAAAAGCTTCCTGAGGCCTAACCAGAAGCAAATGCTGGCACCATGTTTCTTGTATAATCTGCAGAACCATGAGCCAAAATAAACCTCTTGTCTATAAATTATCCAGCCTCAGGTATTCCTTTGTAGCAATGCAAAATGGACTAACACAGAGACCATTAGTTTGGAAATTGTGTCAATGTAGACACCAGTTTTTAGGGGTTTGGGTTGGATTAATGCTGTCACTATCTTCAGTATACTACAGGCTTCAAATTCTTCCAGTGGTTGACTGCTGTTACCTTATGCTTACAGTGCACCTGGAGTACAGGAGGACTTTTCTGAGTCCCACCCTCAATTTTCAGGGATCCCTGTATGCCTACACCACAGAGAGGATCTATATTTACACCCTTGCTGCTTCCTCAACAGACTGGTTTTCCTTGTTACTTAGTGCTAGGCTTATAGCAGAGACAGGGGGTTTTTTGTCCTTGGCTAGCCTCGGTCTTAGGCAGGCTTTGTGTGCCTGGCCTTCAGGGATGTGGCTTTCTCAACATTCCTGCACCATTTCTCAATAGTAGTCAAAATCTGTTTCAAATCTATTGTTGGTCTTGTGCAACAATTTCATGCTCATTCCCCACTGGGAGCAGACCTCTTTATGTTATCCATGTGGCTTCCTGGGCCCAGATTTTCTGCCTATCCTCCAAGGTCAATTTTTGCTTCTACTCTTCCAGCAGTAATATTGTTTTCCTGTGTCCTGAAGGCAGAACATTTCCTACCTCTCTCTCAAAAGCAGATGGGTTTTGTCTACATTCCTACCCCAGAGCAATGAATTTCTGCCTGGGCCCTAGGAATGATTGTTGTTCCTCCCTACAATAGCCTAAGGCTTTTGCATCATTCAAGAGAAGAGCTTGAAAGCAGGCAGAATTTCATGGCAGCCAACTACCTTCTGTTTGCTTAAACCACCTACTGAGACTTTCTGGTTCCACACCCTGCTTCCAGTCTTTCTTAAGTCCTGGTGTAGGCCCTTGGGAAAGAACTTGTGAGTGTGTATGAAGTTCCCTTATTTCAGATTCTTGGCTATTCCAAACTGGTATGCTAGCCCACATGTACACTTTAGGAATTTCTTAAAATTTTTGCCAATATTTTACCTGTTTATATAAAGGCCATCTCTTTCTCTTGGGTTCTTCCTAAGGTTAAACAGTCAGTATGTCCCATCTCTCCTTGTAGGGCTTATCACTCTTTGGGATTTGGTTTGTTTGCCTTGTAATTTCAGTTCTTTGATATGTTCAAGAAAAAAAGCTTTAATTTTATAGATGACCCAGCCTTTTCTCCTTGTTAAAATGGGAATGACAGTCTCTTGAGGTTTTCCACATCTTCTTGAGAAGCAGAGCTCTGACTACCTCTACTAAAGTTAGTTGATTTTCTGTTACTCTCTTGTCAGTATCATTTCCATCACTGCACATATTAAAATTAGTAATTTTTTTACTTTGTCTCCTCCATTAGACTTTAATCCTATAAAAACATATACTACATCGCTTCATTGTTGTAATCTATTATACCTAGCACCATAATTGTACATATAGTACTCAAAACTAATACATACGACAGGTATTCATATTTTCAAAAACCAAAAACATTAACCCAACATACAGAAAATACTGTTAAAAAACATCCATGGAAATATTGATGAACAGAGGGAGAGGAGAGGCAAGAGCCCAAATGCAAACTGGGAAATTGTATTCTGAACCATCAGTTAGGTTTTAATTTATAACCTGCCTGGAGACTGTCTACAGTGTTGACTGAGTTCAAAACATAAAGCACAAATAAGAAAAGTATACCCCAAACCACACTTCTTTAATTAAGCTCTAAGAAAAACTCAAATAAATGAAATAGTAAAACTTTGATCAGTAATTCCTTATTGTTTATTCTCCTCTTACAAAAAGACACTTGGGACAAATAAATACAAAATGGCATATATCATATTTAGCAATGGGCAAATACACATTTTCTTGGTATTCTCCACAAGAATAAACTAATAAAATTTTCAGAGGCATACTCTTCTACCCATCTCTTACCCTCTAAAAAAAAAAAAGGCAATTATTTTAATTCCCTGTAATTTTTAACAATGAATTCTCAAAATAAGTAATCTAGGACTATTCAGGGACCAAGACATCTGAATCAACAAGTTAAAAAAAAAATGTCTGTATACACACACACACACACACACACACACACACACACACGATGTTGCCCAGAAGCTCCAATTAATGAAGAGTCTTAAAAGTTTTTCATTTCATATAGTTTGCATGAATAGAGCCTGTTCTATTCTAATCTCAATGGCAAATAATATAAAACAGAAAGCTGAACACAACATGTGTGTGTGTGTGTGTGTGTGTGTCTACTTTTCTGTCCTAAGAGAAAACATTAAATACAGGTATATTTAATATACAGTGAACATACCATGTGTTTTCTTAAAGCCAACAAAATCCTGATTTCCTATAGCTTGGAGGTGATACAGAAGGCAGAAGACAAATATCAAATTTAGCTAATAAAATATACCCTGCCTATTGGCTCCAGCAATACACTATAGAGTTTGAGCAATGACGGATACCCAAGTGTATATGTTTTGTTAAAATTTATCTTCAGGCTAATACCTGAAGAGGTTGGCTAATACTTTAAATCAAATATTCTTACTTAATGATTTATCCATCAAATGGAAATATGTACAACATATTTCAAATCAGAAAAGGGGTGAATTTTCCCCCTGCCCTTCAAAAAAATATTTTTAAAAATCCACTTGAAATAATTTCTTATTTGATGCTTTTTAATCACTTTCCACTTTATGACAACCATTTTTCTAGAAAGGCAGACAAGAATATAAAATGACTAAGGGGTCACTATGAAAACAATCAAATGGATTTGAAATTTACTTCTGTGTATTTTCTGTACTCCCTAAGTCTTGTGCTAATTAATTACATTTTACTTCATCCCCTGTAATGTTACAAATATGCACCTTAAAATAGAAAAACTTGCTTTTATATTTTAAAACCCCCTCCTCCTTACCTATCTTCCCAAATATTTTAAGCAGAAAATTAATCTTGTTGCTTTAAGGATTGATGTAATATTTGCGAAAAACAACCCCTAATAAACCCTTTAGACTTTTTCGAACCAGCACCAAATTTAAGGGGTTTATTCACTCTGAGGTTGCATGGAAGATGGAAATTAAAAATATCAGTATAAGTAGAACCACATTTAAGAAAAAGCACCTAAAGATGGAGGACAGATAATTCTAACATCCTACACACACACAGTGGTAAACCATATTCATGTTTCTATGTATGTAATAAGTTCTCCAAAAATCTAGGTATTTTTGGTTCTGGTACTAAGTCTAAATTTTTTTTTTTTAAATTTCAAAGGCAATTTAAAACTGGGGGGAAATACATTTTTAAAATTTTGGGGTTGAAGTTCACTACACTATGAGACTAATTTCGTATGTGGCAAGTTGCAACTCTCCAAAGGTGTGAATAAACATCAGAAAGCCCAAAGTGAAGAGCCAGTACATCAACATGCATGATCAGGAATCCTATGAAAGTCACAAGGCATTGGGATTTGGTGATTTACATTAACCTCCTCCTGGTAGAAGATAGTGTTTCATGATGAATGCAGACTGTGCTCACTGCTCATGAGACACACACATCACTACTGCTGAGGTCCCACTTTGTGATAATTTAGAAATCATCCAAATTTAACTCCAGAAAATATAAATCTGGAATATGAATGTGAAGACAGACAGTACAAACAGCAGTTGAGTGAAACCTGCCTGTAACGATCTTTATTTTTTTTTCCTTTAAGGCTACAGAAAATCTGTACATAAACAAGGCAATTAATTCTCATAATAAAAATAACCCCTTACAAATAGCCAAGGTGTCCAGTCAGATTCCATAGTGAGTATATGTTGTATCACATTTTATTCCACTTGTGTACTTTTTTGTGAGTCTGCTGGGTTAGGATCAATTCTTTCTGGAAATATTAGCTTCTCACAAACTGCTTCCTTTATTGGTAAATACTGGGATATTTCATTAGGTTCCGTGAAGAGGGAAGGTGGAACATGCTAGGAAATACATAAATCATATTAGCATATTCAGTTACTGTACTGAAATTTTTTACAAATGTTTTGGTTCAAGCATTCATAAAGCATGGAAATTTTAAAATCAGGTGCAATATATGCATATGTGCTCCTAAAAATAATAGGTATTTCTTGATACGGAATCATTCAACTTTGTTACTGAATGATTTCATCAAAGATCACAGGGTTATATAATCTATAATGTTCCCACAAATGTCCTAAGAATTTAATACATCTTAATCCAACCCTATGTATCTCCTGCTTTTGTAACTTGAAAACACTAGTCTTCGGTTAGAGCACAGCATGTAGTCTACAATAGAATCTAAGTAGTAACTTTTCTGTTCCAAGTATACTCTATACCCAGACAGAAGTACATACTAAGCGTGAAAAAATAAAATCAAGTTTATAGGAAGGTACCAATTTTTAAGCAACCCATTATAGAATCCTAAGTTCTAAGGAAGGCTTCACAGGTCCCGGGGAGTAAAAAATAAAGAAAAATGATGCCAAAACAAACAAATTATGGTACAGAATCACCACATTTTCGGAAGAGAAAAGGAGACTATGTAGAAAGAAATAAGGCGGCAGGGTGGTAAGTGTAAAGAACATCCATCACCAGCCAGCTATGTGACTCAGAGTAAGTCACACCTCTGGGTTTCAATTTCTCTAGAACAAAATGTGAAAATTAGATTAGATGAGGCTTAAGTACCTAGCAGCTCTAAATGTTCTTGTATTTGAGGTAAGGTCAGAAAAGTTATGCTCCCATAGAATTTATCCTATAGAGCCCCATTAGGTGAATGAATGGGTTTAGGGATGTAAACTTGGGTGGTTGGGGTCAGGGGTATATGCTACTTAAATTAAAATGAAACATTAAAATTAACTTCTAAAAACTGAAATTTAAGTACTTGCCATCAAACTAGAAATTTTGCTTTCTCGTGACGTATATTCTCGTAACATGTAGGTCTTGTCAGCCTGTATTTAAAAATAAACAGTTGCAATAAATTTAATTATACTGATTTACAAAATCCTTTGTATTAAAAACAGACTGCCTACATTTTAGGATAGGTTGTCAAAACAGCATGCAGTCTAAAGAGAACATCTTGTTCTACACTGAGATAACTCCTATTTAACTCAAATTGGATTATTATTTCCAATTTCTATACATTATAATGATGATACACATATGTAAACAGATTTTATAATTACCATGTAAGAGAAACATAGCAAAGATTTTACTTTGAAAGAATATGTATATAAATGAATAATGTATATAATGAATTTGTATAAATGAAATATGCAAGAGATTTTAAAATTACTTCAAGTTTGAAACATCTTTCCCTTAAGCTATCTTATCATTTACCTACGTAATTGTGCTACTTTTATGTTGCAAAACATGCTTTAAAATTTTTATTCTTTCCCATTCCATAAAGCTCTTACCAAATAGCTTACTTAAAATCACCTTTTTTGTACTTCAATTTTTCCCATTTAAGATTTTTGGTTAGGTTTTAGAACAGCAACTTATTATAATTTACTTCTTGAAACACTTTTCAATAAAAGAAAAGCCACAAAATTATATGCCTTTAAGGTTTCACTCTCTTGTATTAATAAAAACAGATTAATAGTCACTGTAGGAAAAAAATCAAATAATATAAAAGTATAAATCATCAGTGATCACAGCTTATAGGTAACACTATCTTTAATACTTAGAAATCTCTACAGAGAATCTTATGTAAGTAGATTCATACTTGCTTTTGAAAGTTCAACACTGAAATGAATATCTTTCAAAATTACTTAAATATCAATCTCTGCAACCAATTTTAATAATTATATATTTTATACCATATGGATATAAACAATTTAATTAATGGCCATTTAATGGGCATTAAGTTCCTACTTTCCTTCCTTTCTGCTATTATAAACAATACTACTGTGAATATTCATGTACGTATAACTCTGAGTAATTGCCCAATTAATATTAGTAGATTATTATATAAAAGAATCTTTTTAGGATAAATTCCTAAAATTCAATATTGTTTAATTAAAACAGTATTTTTAACATTTAGGCCAGGAGCGGTGTGGCTCACGCCTATAATCCCAGCACTTTGGGAGGCCGAGGCAATTGGATCACTTGAGGTCAGGAGTTCAAGACCGGCCTGGCCAACATGGTGAAACCCCATCACTCCATTAAAAACAACAACAACAAAATTGCCAGGTGTGGTGGTGGGCGCCTGTAATCCCAGCTACTAGGGAGGCTGAGACATGAGAATTGCTTGAACTCAGGAAGCAGAGGTTGCAGTGAGCCAAGATCGCGCCACTGCATTCCAGCCTGGGCAACAGAGCAAGACTCCATCCATCTCAAATAAATAAATAAAAATAAAATTTAGATTTCTCTTTCTGGGGAACAAAAATATAGCTTATGTTTAGTACTTTGCCACCACTTTTAAAAGAAAAAAGGTCTATCACTATAACCATGTTATTTCAAGAAAAAATCCCTAAGTGAAGGGTTTAGAAAGCATCAATCCAATCCTATCCTACTAGGTTCAAATTCCAATTCTGCCACCTACTAACTGTATAACTTAGGTATGTTTCTTTTTTTTTTTTTTCTTTGAGACAGGGTCTTGCTCTGTCACTGCAGCCTCAACCTTCACCAGCTCAAGCAATCCTCCCACCTCAGCCTCCCAAGTAGCAGCTAGGACTACAAGTCCGTGCCACCATGCCTGGCTAATTTTTTGTATTTTTAGTAGAGACAGGGTTTCACCATGTTGGCCAGGCTGGTCTCGAACTCCTGATCTCAGGTGATCTACCCACCTCGGCCTCCCAAAGTGCCGGGATTACAGGCGTGAGCTACGGCGCCCGGCCTTGGCCTGATTAATATATTAATGTACTTCCTGTATATTAATGTACATCAGGACATTACATAAACAACATATACTGTAAACAAAGGTAAGAGTTAAAGGACAGTTTTCTTAAACATGGATTAAGTACATACAAAATTGTCTCAAAAGACCCCTCCCCAATTAGGGAGTGTCTTTTAGAAAACATTTTGAGTCACCAGAACCTTTGTAAAAGGAAATGTAATGTTTTGATGATAGCCTGCAGTCAACAGTGAATGTGAAACACTCAGACTTAACAGTTAGAAAGACTGCCATATAATATAGATTGTTTAATTTCAAATTCTCAGATTGACAATTAAACAACACAAACAAGCCCAGTATCAATTAGTATATTCATTAAACAACAATAAATACCTCATGGTAAAGTCTCGTGTCATTCATTCTGATAAGCACCCCATCAATTCTCAAGAAAAACCGCAACAGCAGGAAAAAGCTAGAAGGCATTACTCTCTGGAAAAAAAAAAAAAGGTACATTAATATTTTAATAAAAATTAAACATTTTATTACTTTGCTGAAAGAAAAAATTTGAAAACAAAAAACAAAAAAACCCTGGAATAAGGCTGAATTCACAGTTTATAAAAATCTCTCAACTAGAAGCTCTTTGTCCTAGCTCCAACTAGCCTCAAAACCTTGTGCAAACTATTTAACATCATAGTTTCGGTTTCCTAAAATATTTTTTCTAGGTGAGGAGATATTGAGGTTTAAAAGACTTAAAAACATACCCAAGTAATGTAAAAATTATAATGTTTATTTCAAAAAATGGCAGGTACTGATAGTAAATGTCAACACCAATAAAACCAAAATGAAAGAACAACCTAGTTCTTTGTCACTACTCACCTATTCACTTTACATAAAACAAAGCAACAGACCTTACACAGAATGCTCTAATTCAGTGCAACCTGTAGGCACTATTACATATTGCTAAAGACCTGGTTTATCAGAACACTATAACACATTCTTAACATCTTTCATCTGTGGCACATCTACAAATTCCTCTGCTTTCCAAGTATAACTACTAATGATAGGCAGAATCAGTGGAGAAAGTATGAAGGTGGGTCCTGGTGGCGGGGAGAGAGCGGTTGAATGGAATGTGAGGTATTTGGGTCTTTAAAATGAATATGTTTAGCTGGCATGGTGGCTCACACCTATAATCACAGCAGTTTGGAAGGTTGAGGTGGAAAGATCACTTGAGCCCAGGAGTTCAAGACCAGCCTGGGCAACAGAGTCAGACCCCATCTCTACAAAAAATACAAAAAATTAGCAAAGCACGGTGGCACAAGCCTGTAGTCCTAGCTACGTGGAAGGCTAAGCTGGGAGGATGGCTTGGGCCTGGGAGATAGGCTGCAGTGAGCCATGATTGTAACACTGCACTCCAGCCTGGGCAACAGAGCAAGACCCTGTCCCAAAATTAATTAATTAATTAAAATGAATATGCTTGGCCATTTGCTGAATAAATACCTATTGTCTACTAACACCAAGTTCTTACTATAGTAAGTCTTGGATTTATATAAATGAAAAAATAGAATCCCAATGCTCAAAAAGGTTATCAGCCAGGGAAAGGTCAAACAGATGTGGTAGCTGCTATAATGGGTATGCACAAGGCTCAATAAGCATTTGAGAAAGAAGTACCTAAGTCTGCTGAAGAACATCAGATAAGACAAGGCTTGAGCTGACCACAGAAAGAACAGCTAGAGATGGGAAGGAGAATTTCAGAAAGGGGACCTGCATGTACAAAAAGTACTGAGACATGAAATAATAACATATATTCAGGGAACTGCCTATAATCTTACATATAAGCACAGGGCTACATTAATGATGAAAGAAGAAATAACAGGATAACCCAGTAATGACAGTGACTTAACTGCCTGGAGAGTCACCAGCCACAGGCCAAATTCTTTTCTGCCTTGGGACCATTACACACCCTCTTCCCTTACCTGGAGTATTCTCCCGGCTAATGTTCACTTGTCCTTCAGATTTCAGTACACATGTCACTTCCACAGAGGGGCCTTTCTTACCATTCCATACCACAATAGATTTATCTTGGTATTCTCTCTCATAGCACTCCATTACGAATTAACGGATTTGTAACTATCTTCATTTATGTTTCCACTTGACTGTAGGCTCCATGGTGGTGGAAATATCTGCTTTGTTCATCACCACATCTCTATTGCTTAGAAAAGTACCTAGCACACAGCAGGTGCTCATTAACCATTTTCCGGATAAAACTGAAGCTAGAAGGTATTAATACCTTTGCTGGAGAAAAGGCTCTGAGCCAAAGTGTATTCTGATGGGGTTATCAGCAACAGACTTAAAAAAAAGACTTTTAGTAAAGGAAAGCTGTAGAAATAACCTGACTTATGACAACTTGATGTCACAACAAATTGAGAAGCACATCATTATTATTTGACATTACTACACAGTGATATGTGTAATTTATGGAAAAACTGACTTGCAACATTTCTTCAAATTTCAAAATTAGTTACCAACAGTCACACTGGACACAACACAGGCAGTAAACTGAAATATCATTTTAGCATGGCACAGTGGAGAGAGTAGGAATTAGGAGACCAGAACTCTAGTGCCAATACAATAGCATATTTTAGGGCAGTAGTTCTTTCCTAGGGGACGTTTGGGAATTTGTGAGAGTACTTTTTCTTGTCACATCAATAAGCAACCAATATCAACAGTTAGTGAATAAGGACCAGAACGACAGATCTGGGATGCACAGGACAATCCTATACAACAAAGTCCAGTCCTGCATTCCACAAAACTTGCAGTATCTTACCAGGCATTCACAGAGGTGAAAAAGCCTACTTATAATGATCTGACTTTAGAAACTATTTCCATTTTACATAGATAATAAAAAAAAAATCACTCAATTATCCAGGAAGTCAACTATTTTCCAAATCAAGGAAAGATTATACTTTTTCTTATTTAGAACTTCACTAAGAGTTGTTCATCATTTTGGAAAATTGTGTTAAGAGTCACTGATTGATACCTTACATCTCTGTCAGCCTACATTTTTTGCTGTCACATTTACGGTGACTCAATATGCAAATATAAGTACCTGACTGCTTCATTATGTCTTTGGTGCAGTCATATTATGCATTTAAGTATTAAAATATATTTTATTCTAAACCAATTTCCTTTAATTTTATAGTTAAAATATGTTGATTGCTGCAAAGTAGGTGGATTAAATCATCTACAAATTTCACTACAGGATAGTAATATCTATGAACTAATACTTCAGCTTAAAGTAGTTGGTTAAAAAAATGCTCTTCAGTTTAAGACTTACTATGTATTCTTGTACACACATATTTATACACATATCCTTTCAAGCAACTCCATCCACAAAACCACATGTGCTTTCCAAATACCGACCCACTTATAGACATGATATATATACCCCCTTGGATACAAATGCACACCCAGGTATGCAAACTCATAATGAACATTTAGCATAGTCAATTCAACAGGTGGTAGACAAGTGGAAAGATACAAGACTAGGTGAACTGAAGAGAGAATAAATCTAAACAAAAAAAAGTGAATTTAGAGTTATAAGTGAGCAAAGAAGTAAAGCCTATGAAAACAACTATCTAATGCTAGAATAATGATATATATTAGATGATACAAAGAAAACTTTGCAATTAGTTTCATGACCTTAAGCTATCTTTTTAGGCCTTATCTATAAAATATGGAGGCTACAAAAAATGATTCTCTAAAAATTCACTACAATTTCAAAATCCTTTGATTCCACCGAAAAAACTAATTTTATTTTTAGATAAGAAAAATAAAATTTTTTATTTATCTAAAAATAAAATTATTTTGTCTCCCAAGCTGGGGTGCAGTGGCACCATCATAGCTCACTGTAGCCTTGACCTCCTGGGCTCAAGCAATCCTCCTGCTTCTGCCTCCCAAGTAGCTAAAATTTGACTTTAAAACAAATCTGTTGCTGCTTTTGTATTATTTTCATTCTTTAAATCACAGCATCCACAATCATTATGCCCCAAGAACAATGTTTGATGTTAGGGTCTCTGTCTTTGACAGATCTCATGACAAATGCTATAATTGAGAGGTTTTTTGTTTGTTTTGTTTGTTTGTTTGTTTGTTTTGAGACGGAGTCTCGCTTGTTGCCCAGGCTGGAGTGCAGTGGCACGATCTCGGCTCACTGCAAGCTCTGCCTTCCGGGTTCACGCCATTCTCCTGCCTCAGCCTCCCGGGTAGCTGGGACTACAGGCGCCCGCCACTGCGCCCAGCTAATTTTTTGTATTTTTAGTAGAGACGGGGTTTCACCATGGTCTCGATCTCCTGACCTCGTGATCCGCCCGCCTCGGCCTCCCAAAGTGCTGGGATTACAGGCATGGGCCACCGCGCCCGGCCTAATTGAGAGGTTTTTAAAAAGGAGTATAGAAAAGAGATATTTAACTCTGTGTAACGGAGTTGTGAAGGGCCTTGTAGAAAAGGTGGTATTTTAGCTGGGTCTTTGGGTCTTAAAGAATGAGGCATTTAGTAAAAAGTTTCAGTTGAGTTATTTCTGGAAAGTATTAGAGACCCAATTATAATGCAGTGGTAAAGAAATATGAATAACCATACTTGTTATGTGTGTTTTCTACTTCTTTTATTTTATTTTATTTTTTTTTTTTGAGACGGAGTCTTGCTCTGTCGCCCAGGCTGGAGGGCTGGAGTGCAGTGGTGCGATCTCAGCTCACTGCAAGCTCCGCCTCCCGGGTTCACGCTTCTCCTGCCTCAGCCTCCCGAGTAGCTGGGACTACAGGTGCCCGCCACCAGGCTGAAAATTGAAGTGGTAGTTGAATGATGCACTGAAATCATAACACATGGATCATTTTAAAAAATGACATCCACCTTGCCGTCTGCAGATCCTATCAACATCATTTTTAATCCAAAATGTGAAAATTAAGCCACAGTCTTCATTAGAGTTAAATAATAAACAAATAAACTACAAGGTGGCCAGGCAGGTCTATTAAAAATGCTTTGCTAAAATAAAGCCTTAAGAATACACAAATATTTTGTGAATTTTATAATGGATATTCAATAAGATACACTCTAGATTCAAGTGAAATTGTACATGACATCATGTTAAAGCTCAGTGTTATTCTTTTTTTTTTTTTTTTTTTTTTGCTCTGTCGCCCAGGCTGGAGTGCAGTGGCGTGATCCTGGCTCACTGCAAGCTCCGCCTCTTGGGTTCACGCTACTCTCCTGCCTCAGCCTCCCGAGTAGCTGGGACTACAGGCGCCCGCCACCATGCCCAGCTAACTTTTTGTGTTTTTAGTAGAGACGGGGTTTCACTGTGTTAGCCAGGATGGTCTCGGTCTCCTGACCTGGCGATCCAGCCCGCCTCAGCCTCTCAAAGTGCTGGGATTACAGGCGTGAGCCACCGCGCCCGGCCAGGCTCAGTGTTATTCAAAGTGAGTCATATTTTTGTCTGATGTTAAGAATGCAAGAAAAATATTAATTTTAAATAAAAATAATACTCACAATCTTCACACTCAGGCTTGAAACTCCATGATCATGAAGTTCATCCTCAAAAAGGAGAACTTCTTCAAAAAACTTAATCTGTTCTCTGGCTTTCAATTTTTCTGTATCTATATGATCTGTTGTAGGTACAACCTGAAAGAAAAAATTTTAAAGAGGAGCACATTAAAAAAAAAGTTGAGGAGCTACAGAGACACAGGAAAGCAGTCTTTTCTTTTCTTTTTCAATCAGTCTTTTCTACATAGCCAGAGCACACAGTTCTAAATTTGGGTGTCATTAGTAGATATAAAAGATCAGAATATGGCTTGATTCTGAAAACTGAAGACATTACAGATGCCCAATATTATAGCTTCACAAAAAAAGCAGTAAAAATTTATCATTTTTCATGCAAGTCATATTAAAATCAACTTCTGTTGTGACTATGAGAAAATTAATCAACTAAACATCAGTCAGTGTGATGAACGACTGCTATCATAGAAGGTCATAGAACATTTGTGCTGTGAAAGCCACTTTTAGGACATTCATATGGAACTTAAAAAATATTTTTCCATTAGAATGTTAGATATTTGCTCAACCTAACTCCCCAAAACCTACAACAAAATAAAGTGCTTTAAATAATGAGGTAAACAAGAACTTGTAGAGAAATTCTGAGGGAAACTCTTAGCATTGCAAAGAGCTTTGAATGAAGTTGGCAATTTTTCAAGGTATTATTTTGTAGCTCTAAGACATGCACACACGTAATCCAACAAAAGCATCAACAGTCCCAAGGCAGATCATATCAGGAGCTCATTAAACTCAAGTGTCTCCTGAGCAGCACCCAAGTATGAATTGTGATACTATTTTCTACCACACCTAATTTCACTACAAAATGCTCAGCTGTTTTACTCCTTGACAGGTTTACCATAAACAAACACAACAATGCTTGTCAAACCATAGATATTTAGTAAATGTAGCTTTACTTAAGCGTCATGATTAGGTGATTTGTTTTGACTCATGGACAAAATTAGCAGATGGAGAGTAATTTGAGATAACTAGATAAGAATCAGAAGAAAATTACAAAGGATGTTGTTTACAAGACTGCACAGATTTTGGGAGGAAATCTAAGGGAACGTTAAGTAATGTAGGGGGAAAAGATGCCATGAAAAGAAAGTGGCAGTTTGTATATGATTTCCAGGAGGTAAAAAAATGTCCATAATTCTTCCATGGTCACTTAGAGATAACACTTAGCCCTAAGCAGTTTTACTTCCAACTGTGTACGGAGCAGGTATAAGGCCACTCTTGAGGTGAAAACTGGGAGGGGAAGGGAGTTGGAGTGTAGGGGCAGGGCATATAACCAGTCCCCTGCATCACACATTAAGTTTATGATCTAGTTAAACAAAAGTTGGTCTGCCAACGAGGACTGCCTAAGGTTACACAACTGAAATTAGTGTTAAATACACACACTTGTAAATTTCGTCCTTTTTATTTGATTTTAGTTCAGAGGAACACATTTTTAACATCCTCCTTATAGATACTCCTGAATCCCCCAAAATTAATCATTATCTGAATTTTCTCATTAGTAAATTGCTTCATTAATGTTTCACATATGCCTTCAGTAAGTGATTGGTCAAAATGAATCTGTCAGTTTTTCCATTTACGTACTTGTTCTTATAAAATGAAAGACAAAGTCAAAAAACAAAGCATGAGTTAGAGATATCATATTTAACTTATTTATGCTATTGTCTCCATTTGCAAGGCTAAATATGTCTAAAACTTTATACTTTTCAGCTCTCTTCCTCAACTCCACATATCTCTCTCTGAACCCAGGGATCTAAAAAATACAACAAAAAAAAAATAACCAGCTAAATATAAAACATATGGGCTGGGCGCGGTGGCTTATGCCTATAATCCCAGCACTTTGGGAGGCAAGGCGGCCGGATCACTTGAGGTCAGGAGTTTGAGACCAGCCTAGCCAATATGGTGAAACCCCATCTCTACTAAAAATACAAAAACTAGCTGATCGTGGTGGCAGGCACCTGTAATCCCAGCTACTCAGGAGGCTGAGGCAGGAGAATCGCTTGAACCCGCGGGGCAGAGGTTGCAGTGAGCTGAGATCACACCATTGCACTCCAGCCTGGGCGACAAGAATGAAACTCTATCTCAAAAAAATAAAAAACATATGGAACAGTATTGGCAGAATAAGTAATCTAGACAAACCTTCTTGATGAAGACAATTTAAAAAGCTGGCTAAAAAAACCCAAAAACTTCCTAAAAGCATCAAATGGCCAAGGCAGTATGGAGTTACTGGGCTGAGATCTGGAAAGACTGGAGCCGAGAAAAGTAAGTCTGTACTTGGCTGGCTTTTGCCCTGAGGCATAGCACTGGCTGATCCAGAGAAGAAGCTGGGCTCTGCTAGCTTTTGGTGCCATCACTGCTCAGTGCTCACTAAGGACAAGGACCCTGGAGAATTTCCTGCTTCCTCCCAAATCAGAGATGACACCCTAAAGAGCTATAGTGATTTCAGAACTTTTTTTTTTTTTTCTTGAGACAGAGTCTCGCTCTGTTGCCCAGGCTGGAATGCAGTGGCACCATTTCAGTTCACTGCAACCTCCAGCTCCTGGGTTCAACCAATTCTTGTGCCTCAGCCTCCCAAGTAGCGAGGATTACACACACATGCCACAACGCTTGGCTAATTTTTTTGTGTTTTTAGTAGATACAGGGTTTTGCCATGTTGGCCAGGCTGGTCTCGAACTCCTGACCTCAGGTGTTCCGCCTGCCTCGGCCTCCTAAAGTATTGGGATTCAGGTATGAGCCACTGTGCCCAGCCTCAGAGCTTCTTATCTGCAGGCCCAGTACACCTCAAACTCTGGTCCTAGACCAAGGCAGGCAAACTAAGACATGCAGCTCACATCTGCCCTGTTACCTATTTTTATGGGCTGCAAGCTAATAATGGCTAAATAATTGGAGAAAAAAAATCAAAAGAAAAATATTTCATGACACATAAAAATTACATGAAATTCAAATTTCACTGTCCATAAAGTTTTATTAAAGCATAGCCATGCCCATTCATTTATATATTGTCTATGAGTGATTTAGACTATGATAGCACAGCTGAGTTGCTGCAACAGAGACTCTAAGGCCCACAAAGCCTAAAATATTTACGTCTGACTCTTTACAGAAGAAGTTTGCAGAGCTCTGTCCTTGACTATGAATATTCTCGAGCGCCTGTCAGAACTAAACAAAAATCCTCTCTGAAGGAAAACACCATCATCCTAGAACTGAAATGAAAATAAAGAGGCAAATTAGAAGCCTAGATGTCATAACCCAGAACCAACTGAAATAAAAGACACTAGGGATTCCAGAGGTGATTGAAATTATTAGGCCTTAGTCCATTTGGGCTGCTATTTAATATAATAATATACCATAGATAATATATCTACTTTTATTCTAGGTATTACAATATTAACTTAGGTTCCCTAATACTTGATATACTATATTATCATAGTAACAGCTGCCATTTATTGAGATCTTACTGCAAAACACACACTGTTTTGAGATAGGGTGTCGCTCTGTCACCCAGGCTGGAGTACAGTGGCACAATCACAGCTCACTGCAGCCTCGCCTTCCTGGGCTCAACTGATTCTCCCACCTCAGCCTCCTGAGTAGCTGGGACTATAGACACGTGCCACCAGACCCGCCAATTTTTCTATTTTTTGTAGAGATGGGGTTTCACCATGTTGCCCAGACTGGTCTTGAACTCCTGAGCTCAAGTGATCCATCTCAGCCTCCCAAAGTGCTGGGACTACAGGCATGAGCCACTACACCCAGCCTACATACATAATTTTATTTCCTACTTCACAACTAGTATTACCCTAGTTTAACAAAGTGACTGAAACAAGGCTAAGTAAGACTAAATTACTTTTCCAAGCTGGCAAATGATGGTGCTGGGATTTTGAACCCAGATCTGTGTTTTGCCAAAGCCTGAGCTCATTACCACCAGTGAGTGGGTAATCACATTGACATTTATCAGCAACACCTCAGAACAAATCACATTATAGGCTGAAGTATCAATAGGAGAGTACTGAACAAATGCTTTTTGCCTTCTACTACTCTCACACTCCTTGTTTGTACAGCTGTGGTTCTCACTTGGTCACACCTAATGCTGCTTCATAACCTCCAGGAGGCTTTTCCTAAGTCAGTCCACAAAGTAAGTCATCATCATTATTGTATGGGTTTAAAACAAGTTCCCATTTCCTCACTCCTGGCAATGAAATATTAAATGGTCTCTACAAAGTTTTTCAATCAGAAGAGAGGAGGGAGGAGAACACTAATCTATGAAGTAGTATAAGGGACTAAAATAACCTTGCTCTCCCATTAGACTGTAAAGGAGGAATTTTTGTCTGCTCTGCTGTATCCAAGGCTCCTAGCATTAGTGCCTGGCATAGAGCAAGAGCTCAAGAAATATCTGTTGAATGAATGAATGAGTTTTTTCCTGGAAGCACAGAAAAATAGTTAAAGCTTGGACTGTAATAATAGCAGAAACTGAAGATAACAATCATTAAGTTCCTGCTATGAACTTTTATCTTCATGAGACTCTAAAAATTTCTGCAGAGAAAAGGGGCCCAGACACAACACTATCTTCTTAACATTTCTGCCTAAGCACCAACATATGATATCAGGTTTCCTTGTTTTGAGATGGAGTCTCACTCTGAAGCCCAGGTTGGAGCACTGTGGCGTGATCTTGGCTCACTGCAACTCTGCCTCCTGGGTTCAAGCAATTCTCCTGCCTCAGCCTCCCCAGTCTCCAGCTCCTAACCTCAGGTGATCTGCCTGCCTCGGCCTCCCAAAGTGCTGGGATTACAGGTGTGAACCACTGTGCCCGGATGACATAGGGTTTCCAATAGCTACTTTTAATATAAATATTTCAGGTTACGCTGAAATAAATTCATTCTATATAATAGTCTGTGATATTTAGAGACATTCAACCTAAACCAAATTTGCTTTATTTTATTTTACTTATTGTTTTTCTGAAACAGAGCCTTTCTCTGTTGCCCAGGCTAGAGTGCAGTGGCGTGATCTCGGATCACTGCAACCTCTACCTCCTGGGTTCAAGTGATTCTCCTGCCTCAACCTCCCAAGTAGCTGGGATTACAGACACACGCCACCAGGCCTGGCTAATTTTTACATTTTTAGTAGAGGTGCGGTCTCACTATGTTGGCCAAGCTGGTCTCGAACTCCTGACCTCAAGTAATCTGCCCTCCTTGGCCTCGCAAAGTGCTGGGATTACAGGCGTGAGCCATTGAGCCCAGCCCAGATTTGCTTCCTTTCAGTCATACTATAAGATTTCAAAATGCAGCTAACTTCACAATATAAGACCTACCAATTCCATCTTCCTAGCGTTATTTACCATGAATCTCTCTCTTTTTTTTTTTTTTTTTTTTTTTTTTTTTGAGACGGAGTCTCGCTCTGTCGCCCAGGCTGGAGTGCAGTAGTGTGATCTCAGCTCACTGCAACCTCTGCCTCCCGGGTTCAAGCAATTCTCCTGCCTCAGCCTCCCGAGTAGCTGGGACTACAGGCATGCTCCACCATGCCTGGCTAAATTTTGTATTTTTAGTAGAGATGGGGTTTCACCATGTTGACCAGGCTGGTGTTGAACTCCTGACTTCATGATCCACCCACTTTGGCCTCCCAAAGTGCTGGGATTACAGGCGTGAGCCACTGCACCTGGCCGAATCTCTTCTTTTTTTTTTTTTTTGAGACAGAGTCTCACTCTGTCACCCAGGCTGGAGTGCAGTGGCGCGATCTTGGCCCACTGCAACCTCCACCTCCCGGGTTCAAGCAATTCTCCTCCCTCAGCCTCCTGAGTAGCTGGTATTACAGGTGTGCGCCACCACACCCAGCTAATTTTTTTTTTTTAATAGACAAGGGGTTTCACCATGTTGGTCAGGCTAGTCTCGAGCTCCTGACCTCGTGATCTGCCTGCCTCGGCCTCTCAAAGTGCTGGGATTACAGGCGTGAGCCACTGCGCCTGGCCCCAATCTCTTCTCAAGCAGGGCTTACACACACAGGACTTAATACTAATATAGAGCTTTAGAATTTATTGAGAGCTTCCCATAAATTATTTCACATCAAAACTCTGCTTTGAGGTAGATATTTCTGTTTACCCAATTTATTGATAAAACTGAGACTCAAATTAAGTAACTTCCTAAAGTCATTTCAGGTTCATACTCAGGGCAGACAGGGCATAAACCTACTTTGTCTAACCAGAAGTTCTTTTTGCTCATATATTTGTTCATCTATAAACTTGTGAGCTACAAGCTAGCAGGTTCTGTCTAAATCATGTAATACATTACCAAGGCCCGAAACACATTTTAATGTTTCTTGATAGTGATAATGATAACAACAAGGCCGTCTGCCGTTGCCACCAACTACACTTTTAAAAATAAATTTTTCCACTAATGCCGTCTTTTATTTTCTACTGATAAGTCAACAAGCAAAACCCCCTCACATTAGGTTCTGAGGAATGCCACAACAGAAAACAAGGACGATAAAAATAGTTGCAAAAAATAACCCGTTACTAGAAAGTTCTAATGCTCAGACTGTCCAAGACAATCAATGACTCATGAAAGAAAAAAGTAAGATTTACCTTTAACTTAAGAGATTCTCCAAGTAAGGTTCCCTTATAATCTGTTGTATAGGTCCAATCATATGGTTTAATAACCTCTTTGGAGTGTTCACCCTCCGTCCTCAAATACCAAAATGAGAAGGATCAGATTCAGTGATGCAGAATAGAGATTATCTGTATTTATATATCACATCAAATTATATTCTATAATAACATATCCTATTAAATATATACACTTGTTATAATTCACCAGTACAAGGTTTTTCTTACAGTTTTTCTGCATTTATTATTTAACTTGTCATGTACTGATGT